>NC_000007.14:77506779-80006779 GCF_000001405.40 Homo sapiens
TCCCAAAGTGCTGGGATAAGCATGGTGAGCCACTGTACCTGGCCATGCTTTTCTCTTTCTTATAGGTAAGCAAAGTATGGCAGTTCATGGAAACCGTCTTTATAAGAGAGCTGATGGGTCCTTTGCCCCCGATTATTCTTTTCTTCCTTCAGACAGACTGGAATATGGTTGTGATGGCTGGAGTAGCCCAGCTGAAACAAGAGGTGACCTTGGGAATGGAAGCTACAAGAGTACCAGGCCACCTCAGCTCTAGACTAAGCCATTGTTTTTTGTTTTTTTTTTTTTTTTTTTTTTTACTCACAGCTGAAGCTATTCCTGACTGATACAGGAATCTAGTGGTAAGTTCTTTTTTCAGTGGGTTTAAGGTTGGTTTCATATCTTTAAGCTGGACAGATTGTCAGATAAATGACTTAAGAGTCAGAACTAATTACCTTTGTACAAATGGAAGGACATCATGAATCTGTATCATTGTAAGTAAAATACTATGACTTGATGATGACTATTTGCTGAGATACTGTGACTTTTCTAATATATGATGATAATAACAGTAATGACACTTATATTCTCCACGGCTGTTGAGATTAACACTTTTGGCCATAGTACATTGATTTAGGTTTTAAAACATGACACTAGAAAGACTAAAATAATTAATTTAATTAATAAGTTTAAACATGAGAAAAAACAAACTAGTTAAATTTACTCAATTTGGTCAAAATGTCTGTTTTCAATATGCTATATCCCTTGATAGTTTTCTGTTACCTGAAGATATTTTCAAGTTGTCTTTTTATTTTTTTAATTACAGACATACATAGTTGTTTTATAGTCTGTGGATCTGTTTCTAATATCTGCTGTTTCCTTTGAATCTTGCTTACAGGGCCAGACTTCCTTATGTACCTCAATATCTTTGTGCATTGCTCATTGTAATTGAAAATTTGTTTTATTTTTATTTGGGGGGGGGGGCGGGGTTAGGCTCCATTCTACAAAACAGAATGAAAAGGCCAAGATGGGCGAATTACCTAAGGTCAGAAGTTTGAGACTAGCCTGGCCAACATGGTGAAACCCCGTCTCTACAAAAGATCGAAAACTCAGCCAGGCATGGTGGCAGGTGCCTGTAATCCCAGCTACTCGTGAGGCTGAGGCAGGAGAATCACTTGAACCCAGGAGGCAGAGGTTGCAGTGAGCAGAGATCACACCACTGCACTCCAGCCTGGGTGACAAGAGCAAGACTCCATCTCAAACAAAAAAACAAAATATCAACCCTGGCCAGGCACAGTGGCTCACGCCTGTAATCCCAGCACTTTGGGAGGCTGAGGCAGGCGGATCACGAGGTCAGGAGATCAAGACCATCCTGGCTAACATTGGTGAAACCCCGTCTCTACTAAAAATACAAAAAATTAGCCAGGCGTGGTGGCGGGCACCTGTAGTCCCAGCTACTCAGGAGGCTGAGGCAGGAGAATGGCGTGAGCCTGGGAGGCGGAGCTTGCAATGAGCTGAGATCACGCCACTGCACTCCAGCCTGGGCGACAGAGTGAGACTCCGTCTCAAAACAAAAACAAAAACAAAACAAAAAAACAACCCCATTAAAAAATGGTCGAGTTTCCATGGTGAGATGGTCAACAAGCCTGTAAGTTCCTCAGCTACGACTACCAGGTACCTCGGGTTCCTCCCTCCTCCGAGAGACCGCCGAGGTGCGGGCTGTGAGAGAGGGAGCGTGGAGCCTCCGAGGCCGAGGACTCGGTCCCAGTTTGGACAGATAGAAGATCCTGCCGAGTGCCTGTGATTGCAGGCACGCGCCGCCACGCCTGACTGGTTTTGGTGGAGACGGGGTTTCGCTGTGTTGGCCGGGCCGGTCTCCAGCCCCTAACCGCGAGTGATCCGCCCGCCTTGGCCTCCCGAGGTGCCGGGATTGCAGAGGGAGTCTCGTTCACTCAGTGCTCAATGGTGCCCAGGCTGGAGTGCAGTGGCGTGGTCTCGGCTCACTACAACCTACACCTCCCAGCCGCCTGCCTTGGCCTCCCAGAGTGCCGAGATTGCAGCCTCTGCCCGGCCGCCACCCCGTCTGGGAAGTGAGGAGTGTCTCTGCCTGGCCGCCCATCGTCTGGGATGTGAGGAGCCCCTCTGCCTGGCTGCCCAGTCTGGAAAGTGAGGAGCGTCTCCGCCCGGCCGCCATCCCATCTAGGAAGTGAGGAGCGCCTCTTCCCAGCCGCCATCACATCTAGGAAGTGAGGAGCGTCTCTGCCCGGCCGCCCATCGTCTGAGATGTGGGGAGCGCCTCTGCCCCGCCGCCCCATCTGGGATGTGAGGAGCGCCTCTGCCCGGCCGAGACCCCGTCTGGGAGGTGAGGAGCGTCTCTGCCCGGCCGCCCCGTCTGAGAAGTGAGGAGACCCTCTGCCTGGCAACCACCCCGTCTGAAAAGTGAGGAGCCCCTCTGCCCGGCAGCCGCCCCGTCTGGGAGGTGAGGAGCCTCTCCGCCCGGCAGCCACCCTGTCCGGGAGGGAGGTGGGGGGGGTCAGCCCCCCGCCCGGCCAGCTGCCCCATCCGGGAGGGAGGTGGGGGGTCAGCCCCCGCCCGGCCAGCCGTGCCATCCGGGAGGGAGGTGGGGGGGTCAGCCCCCCGCCTGGCCAGCCGTGCCGTCCGGGAGGGAGGTGGGGGGGTCAGCCCCCTGCCCGGCCAGCCGCCCCGTCCGGGAGGTGAGGGGCGCCTCTGCCCGCCCACCCCTACTGGGAAGTGAGGAGCCCCTCAGCCCGGCCAGCCACCCCGTCCAGGAGGGAGATGGGGGGTCAGCCCCCCCACCCGGCCAGCCGCCCCGTCCGGGAGGGAGGTGGGGGGGTCAGCCCCCCGCCTGGCCAGCCGCCCCGTCTGGGAGGGAGGTGGGGGGGTCAGCCCTCCGCCTGGCCAGCCGCCCCGTCTGGGAGGTGAGGGGCGCCTCTGCCCGGCCGCCCCTACTGGGAAGTGAGGAGCCCCTCTGCCCGGCCAGCCGCCCCGTCTGGGAGGGAGGTGGGGGGGTCAGCCCCCCCCCCGGCCAGCCGCCCTGTCCGGGAGGGAGGTGGGGGGGTCAGCCCTCCGCCCAGCCAGCCGCCCCGTCTGGGAGGTGAGGGGCGCCTCTGCCCGGCCGCCCCTACTGGGAAGTGAGGAGCCCCTCTGCCCGGCCAGCCGCCCCGTCCGGGAGGGAGGTGGGGGGGTCAGCCCTCTGCCCGGCCGGCCGCCCCGTCCGGGAGGCGAGGGGCGCCTCTGCCCGGCCGCCCCTACTGGGAAGTGAGGAGCCCCTCTGCCCGGCCACCACCCCGTCTGGGAGGTGTGCCCAACAGCTCATTGAGAACGGGCCAGGATGACAATGGCGGCTTTGTGGAATAGAAAGGCGGGAAAGGTGGGGAAAAGATTGAGAAATCGGATGGTTGCCGTGTCTGTGTAGAAAGAAGTAGACATGGGAGACTTTTCATTTTGTTCTGCACTAAGAAAAATTCTTCTGCCTTGGGATCCTGTTGATCTGTGACCTTACCCCCAACCCTGTGCTCTCTGAAACATGTGCTGTGTCCACTCAGGGTTAAATGGATTAAGGGCGGTGCAAGATGTGCTTTGTTAAACAGATGCTTGAAGGCAGCATGCTCGTTAAGAGTCATCACCAATCCCTGATCTCAAGTAATCAGGGACACAAACACTGCGGAAGGCCGCAGGGTCCTCTGCCTAGGAAAACCAGAGACCTTTGTTCACTTGTTTATCTGCTGACCTTCCCTCCACTACTGTCCCATGACCCTGCCAAATCCCCCTCTGTGAGAAACACCCAAGAATTATCAATAAAAAAATAAATTAAAAAAAAAAATGGTCAAAGGACATGAACAGAGACTTCTCAAAAGAATATACACATGTGGCCAACAAGCATATGAAAAACACTCAGTATCACCAGTTAATAGAGAAATGCAAATCAAAATCAAAACCAGGGTGAGATACCATCTCGCACCAGTCAAAATGGCTATTTTTAAAAAGTGAAAAAATAACATGTTGGTGAAGTTGTTAAGAAAAGAGAATGCTTATACACTGCTGGTGGAAATGTAAATTAGTTCTGCCACTATGGAAATTAGTTTGGAGATTTCTCAAAGAACTTAAAACAGAACTACCATTCAACCCAGTAATCTCATTATTGGGTATATATCCAAAGGAATATAAATTATTCTACCATAAAGACACATTTCCTATCTCAAAAAAAAAAAAAAAAAGACACATGTACTCACATATACTTTGCAGCAATTTTCACAATGGCAAAGACATGGAATCAACCTAGATGTCCATCAACAGTGGACTGGATTAAAAAAATGTGGTACATATACACTGAGGAATACTACAGAGCCATAAAAAAGAATGAAATCATGTTCTTTGCAGCATGGGTGCAACTGGAGGCCATTGTCCTAAGCGAATTAATGCAGGAACAGAAAACCAAACCCCAAATGTTCTCATATATAGGTGGGAGCTAAACAATGAGTACACATGGACACAAAGAGGGGAAAAACAAGACACTGGGTTTTACTTGAGGGTGAAGGATGGGAGGAGGGTGAGAAGTGAAAAACTATCAGGTACTATGCTCACCACGTGGGTGATGAAATCATTTGTACCCTAAACCCCAGCAACAAACAATTTACCCATGTAACAAACCTGCATGTGTACCCCCTGCACCTGAAAGAAAAGTTTGAAGAAAAAAAATTTACTCTTACATTGTAAGTCTTGAAATATTTCCTTTAATTATTTTTATTGCTTTCCGTGCTTGTATTTTAGAGGTCATGCTTCTTTCATTACATTGTAAATGCCAACTTTTTGTGAAATTTTTTTCTCGTCTCTAATGAATTCATAGATATGAAAAAAAGAACTATTGTTTGACATCACATAGTAGCTTATGTTATTATCTTTTTCATGAATGTGTCTTATTTCCTCTATTAAGTATTAAACACCTAAAGGAAATCATGTCTTATACATCTTTGCATTCTCCATAGTATCCCACTCAATTTATTGGTGGGTTAATTGTGTTTCCAAAGTTTTGTGAAACTCTGTGACAATTATTTCAAGCATAAAACCAGTTTAGCAAGCATTGTGAAAAATAGAACACACTAATATGTATGGAATAACAGGAAGACATTGCCACGCTATGGTTTTCCCTCCTATATGTACTCTACATTTTGAGTGTGCTAGATACTTTACAGAATGAAGAGCTGATTTTCATGAAGTTAAGATTATTCAGTGCCTGAGTATCCAATTTGAAGACTACCTATGTCTTTTAGACATTATATTTCCCATTAATACCTCCAGTGAATGTCAGCTGGGAAAATGAGAGGAAACTCAAGTTAGCTGATGGAAGCTTCCTATTAATAGCTCTGTAGAAAAGTATGGTAGGGAGTTTGAAATTATTATTGAAGATGAAAATGAGGAAATACCCATAGATCGATTAGCTGTACTTGAGACGTGTTTATTTAAACATGTACATTCTAACGATAGTATTTTTATTCAGAGGGACCTTTGATAAAAGAGAACCTAGATGAGACAACAAAGTAATTTTTATATCCAGTGACCATACACTCCTGATTTTTCAGAACAGTTCCCATTTTAAATATTATGTCTGTTATTAATGCCCAACATGTCCTACCATGTATCCTGATTTATGACATAAATATGTCACAATATTTATAGGAACATTTGAGACACTTTTGAAAGGTCTCCTGGTGAACTTCATCTAGGTACTTCCAATAGACATTAAGTGGATTTTAGCAATTGCTCCACAATCCTTCCTAAGAAATTTTACAACTTCATATAAACATATAGAATAAAACCTCTTGTGCTATCCATTTGGAGTTAATGGAACCACCGTTCATTCAGTGGGAAACTGAGAATCATGAGTCCTCCCTCTCAGCCTCTTCACCCAGTAAGTCGCTTTTTATAGCTTGAATGTTTGTATTCCCCTCAAAATTCATATGCTGAAACTCCAACCCCCATTGTGATGGTATGAGGAGGTGGGGCCTTTGGCAAGTAATTAGGTTTAGATGAAGTCATGAGGGTGGAGGCCCCATGATAGGATTAGTGCCCTTATAAGAAGAGGAAGGGAAACCAGAGCTCCTTCTCTCTTTAAGGATACAGTAAGAAGGTGGCCATCTACAAGCCAGGAAGAAAGCCCTCACCAAGAATTGAATCTGCTTGTGCCTTGATCTTGGACTTTCCAGCTTCCAGAATAATGAAAAATAAATGTCTGAGTTTAAGCCACCCAGGCTATGGCATTTGGTTAAGGCAGCCCGAGCTAAGACATTTCTATATCTTGTACCATCCCTTCCCAATTGGCCTCACCATTTATCCTCCACAGTAAGCCAGAATGGTCTCTGAAAGAGCAAATACGTTCATGTTAACTCCACCTTAAGATAATCTTCCATGACTCCCCATTGCTGCAGCAGGGGGAGTAAGCTCAAATGTCTGCAGGGATAGCTAGGTAACCTAAATATGGAGGGGTGAGCCTGAGGAGACAGAAGACTAGAGAATGTACGTCTTTTTAAAGACATTCAAATTCAAGAAAAAAAAACCTACATCAAACAAAGAATATTTGTGGGCAAGATTCCTCCTGTGGGGTGAGAGTTTTAATTATTTTAACTTGTTAGCATAGTAGAACAAGTATCTTCATTATCTGGCTCCTATAAACAAAGATAATCTTCCGTGACTCCCCATTGCTGCAGCAGGGGGAGTAAGCTCAAATGTCTGCAGGGATAGCTAGGTAACCTAAATATGGAGGGGTGAGCCTGAGGAGACAGAAGACTAGAGAATGTACGTCTTTTTAAAGACATTCAAATTCAAGAAAAAAAAACCTACATCAAACAAAGAATATTTGTGGGCAAGATTCCTCCTGTGGGGTGAGAGTTTTAATTATTTTAACTTGTTAGCATAGTAGAACAAGTATCTTCATTATCTGGCTCCTATAAACATACATCATCCTCTCCAATTATTCTCAGTTGTGTGCTCCTCTCTGAAATTGCCAAGCATTTTTGCCCATGCCTCTTCCTCTGTCCAGAATGTCCTACTGGTGAATTTCTACTCATTCTTGAAGGCTTATTACCTCTGAGAAGTTTTCCTTGATATACCTAAGCTGAAATTAGTACTTTTCTTCTGCATTCCAGAACACA
This sequence comes from Homo sapiens, assembly GCF_000001405.40. NCBI lineage: Eukaryota > Metazoa > Chordata > Mammalia > Primates > Hominidae > Homo > Homo sapiens. The sequence continues at coordinate 77,513,925 of NC_000007.14, forward strand.
TATTCATATGCTGTTTAGATATACAACTTATCTCACTGCTGTAATTAGCTTTTATGTCTGTTTCATCTAAACACCACACACATAGCTCATGGTGAGTGTTGAATTCATCTTGATGTCCCCAGCATTTTACGTGGTACCTACGCACAGGCACTTGGAAAACATGCTGGATAGACAGATGGCCTGCTTAACTAAATGAAATGATTGATCCAAACAGTATTTTAGAAGAAGTGCAGTTTTCAACATTTCAAGTGTACAGAGTAGGTCCACTCGCCTACAAAGTGTTGCCAAGTGGAAGCCACTGTCAGAAATGTATTAATGACAGACAAGTCTTAGGTATGATTGGCATCCTCATTTATGTGAAGAAATGAAGCCAAAGGAAAGCACCCTTAGACCAACCTTCTTCCCTCCCCAACCACATGGAAAGAACTTGCATGCTAATGGTCAAAAGTTGGAGCTGGGAGTCAGAGATTCCTGGTAGAATTTCAGCATTACCATCTAGAAACAGTGAAACTTCAGGCAACTTACTTAATCTCTCTAAATCTGATCATCTTGTTTGTAAAATAAGCTTGATAATAGTACTTAATGAGAAAAAATATGTAAAGCATTTGGTATAGTATCTGGCACACAGTAAGCACTCATCACATATTGATAATTCTGGTAGGATGGTATTTTGAGATATTCACATTTTTTCTCCCTTCATTTTCCCCTTTCTTTCTACATCTCACAAAATTCAAAGAGCTAGCCTTTTGTTCACTGTCTCAGGGGAGGCATTACAACATGGTAGAAAGAAGACAAGCTTGTAAGTTTTCTGCCTTTTATTTCCGAAAGTCCTGGAGAGGTTGAGAAGATTCAAGTACAAAGTATCATGGCCAAAAATGAGGAGAATTTCCCCAAGATAAAAACAAAATATCTGCAGGCTGAAGATGAAGAACAGGAGGTCTACAAATAGGTCTGTATTTCTAGGAAAAGAGGAAACTTAGGCTTTGCTTCCTGAGCAGAGACTGGTAGAAAGGTGCAAGTCCAGTGAAGGAATAACTACATGGTGTGTTGGGGCAAACAGGGACAGAGGCAACCTCACAAGAATTTCCATACTCAAGTGCTTCATGAAACAGCAGGATTCCTGTGCTTCTGGGGTATCATGTAAGCAAAAGACAACATTTAGACCTAAAGGAGCCATGCTTTATTAGTTACATATTCTGTATAACAAATTACCACTTGAAAACTTAGTTAAAACAACAAACATTATCTCACATAGTTTCTGTTGGTAGGGAATTCAGGAGCTTCTTAGCTAGGTTGTTGTGGCTCAGTCTCTCATGAGGTTGTAGTCAAAATATCAGCCCTGGCTGCAGTCATATGAAGGCCTGACTAGGGCTAGAGAACCCACTTCTAAGATGGCTCATTCACATAGCTGGCAAGTTGGTGCTGGCTCTTGGTAGGAGGCTTCAGTTTCTCACCATGTGGATCTCTCCATAGGAATGCTTGAGTATCCTCATGAAAAGTAGCTGGCTTCACTCAGGGAGAGACATCCAAGAGAACAAGTCAGACATCACCGTGTCTTTTCGGATCTAGTGTCACAAGTCACACACCATCACTTCCCTGAATTTTATCACAAAGACCAACCTTGGTATGACATGGGAGGACACAACACAAGGGTGTGAATATCAGGAGGTGAGAATCACTGGGGGCTATCTTGGAAGGCACCACACATGACAAATGGGGTGGCAATTGTCTCAGTTGTACTGCTTAATTAGCTGAACAAGATGCCATAATAATACCTGACAGCTTGGCCAGGTGTAAGGGACCAGAACCTAGAATAACTGGGGGAGGACAGAGGCATAAAGGATTGCTCTTTTTTTTGTCAGTCAGGTGGGATTATAGGCACAAAACAGAATTTAAACAATTAGAGAAAGTAATGTAGTACTTATTGCACATTTTAGTTTATGAATAATAGTAGCAATTATCATTATTATTATAAATGAAGGAGTAACTGTATTGTTGCATCATTTTTCCCAAGTGGTTCAGGGTGACTCCAGTTCCACTAGGTCAGTAATTCTCAATCTTGCAAATATAATAGAATCAACTGGGAATAGCTTCTGATTTAATTGATTTGGAGCAGGGCCATGGAGCTTCCGATTTAACTGATTTGGAGCAGGGCCTGGGCATCAGTATTTTTTTAAGCCCCATAGTTGATTCTAATACGTAACCAAGACTGAGATCCAATGCTTTATGCAAATTCAAGACCTTCTTGCTACTTCAACCATCTATGATTCTATCAGGAGCTTGCCATATAGGAAGCTGGCTAATTCTCCCTATTAACTGCCTGGGATTGTTTTCTTCATAAACACTGGAAACACTTGTCAGTAACAGTCTACTTGAGAGAGCAGAGCAAAGGTTAAAGTTTGCTAAAAACAAACAAAACAGAACCAAGGGGATCTCAGTTGGCATTGTATTCTCTAACATAATGCAACTCTGCCTCTTGTCCCTATCATCTTCAGCAACTAGTCAACATTTAAGCCTTGCGCATCAACAATAATCTCATAATCTCTCTCCCACACACGCACACCTCCATGCTTCCTCCTCTTTTATTGCATTCTTATTTGACTTCTTTAAGGTATCCGACACTTAAAATATATTTATCTCCCTGGACTTACAAGACCTATCTCTAGTTCTTTCCCTACTTCTCTGACAACTTCTTATTGTCCTTTGCTAGCTTCTCTTTCTCTACCTGCCTCTTAAATGATAGTGTTCTCTAAGATTCTGTTCCTTGTTCTCTTTTGATCCCATTCTATATTGTTTTCCTTGGGCAAAACTCACTCCCAGCAGTTCCATCTACCATCTATTTACTGACAACTCCAAGATCTTTATTTTCCAGTCCATACTTTTCTTGTGTTCCAGACCTGCATTTGTAGTTTCCTGTTAATTAAGCTACCTCAAACCCTGAATGCTCCTTCAGGTTCTCCACGCCACCTCTCGAACTGCTTCTCCTCCTTTAATTCATATCTGAATAGCACAATACTTCTTATTTTTTAACCTGATGGTTTTATTTGCTTGTTTTTTCCCCCAGCTTTATAGAGATATAATTGACAAAAATTGTATATATTCAAAGTGTACAATGTGATGTTTTGATATATGTATACATTGTGAAATAATTTCCACAATCAAGCTAATTAACATATCCATATAAGCATATGGAGAGATCTACTCTCTTAGCAGGCACCATGCTTCTAATCATTTAAGGTAGAAACCAGGAATCACCCCAGAACAGAGGTGCAACCTGCTTATTTACTAAACTTGTTTTTATTTGGTCCAGGAAGTACTTTTAAAAACTTTGGGCCAATATTTAAGATTTGGGAGATTTCACATAAGAATACAGGTTTAGGCTTCTCTTTAAAAAACAGAAGATGATGAGGCAACACTTCATCCTACCTGCATGGAACAACTGGCTGGAGATGAGCAGCAGATGAGCTCCTGGTTCATGTAGTCTTCACAGTGACCATAAAGGATGCTGAAGCTCCTTTCATTCATTTATATACACTTGCCTGGCTCTTGAATATATCTCAGATTGTGACTTCTCTCCTTACTCATACCTCTCACCATAGCTCCCTCTACAATTGATTAGGAAGCCCTACAGATTCTAGCACTTCTCTAATCTGTCTTCCTCCTCTTCATCTTGATTGCTACGTTCTTAGTTCAGGATCTTGACTTTGCTTATATGGAGTATGTAACAGTCTACTTCTAGCTCCGTCATTAATCCATTGCTTATAAACCAGTAAAATGAAGTGATGTTATTATCCTGCCTAAAGGCCTTCACTGGTTCTCTACTACCTACAAGATAAAGTTCAAATTCCTCTAGTACATGGTACCAGGCCATCCATGCCCTGACCCCTGCCCACCACTCCAGCCTTATCTCACTTCATTCCCACAGTAGGTAGTCTATGCTTTACCCCTGCCAAACAATTCTGCTAACCAGGTGGATTATTTCAAATCTCTGAATCATGTTGCTCTTTATGCCTTAAAAAATATCTTAATGCTACCTACCACCCACTTGGCCCACACAACCACATTCTTAACTTCAGAGATTTGGTTCAAGTGTTACTTTCTCTTTAAAGACTTTTCTACCTCATTCCCAATCTCATAGGTAAAAAGACCATTACACTCCCACCTCCATCCCCGACCCCGACCCCCGTCCCCTCTAAGACTGCTATCCTGGCGACTATAACATATTATTGTATCTACTTGTTACTTGTTTGTATTCCTTTCTATTAGAAGGCAAATTCCTTAAAAGTAGTGGCTATCCCTTATATATCCTTATATTTCTAGATCCATGCTTAGCGCATATAGCTGCTTAATAAATATTGCCTGAACGAATTAAGGATTACTTCAAATGATTACTTACAAGTCAGTTGTTGTCTTAAATAGGTTGATCATCTTTCTGTAATCATGTTTATACTATATCACGGATCTGCTTTTACTCAGGGATTATGCAAGGGTAAACATTTTAGCTCAGTTCAAGCAAATTAACTCAATTTTTGAAACAGTAGGAGTTCAGATCGATGACATATATTTTATTTGTGTTAACAATGTTTCACCAGTTTTATTCTTTTTTTTTTTTTTTTGAGATGGAGTATTGCTCTGTCGCCCAGGCTGGAGTGCAGTGGCACGATCTCGGCTCACTGCAAGCTCCACCTCCCGGGTTCACACCATTCTCCTGCCTCAGTCTCGGGAGTAGCTGGGACTACAGGCACACACTGCCACGCCCGGCTAATTTTTTGTATTTTTAGTAGAGACGGGGTTTCACCATGTTAGCCAGGATGATCTCGATCTCCTGACCTTGTGATCTGCCGGCCTCAGCCTCCCAAAGTGCTGGGATTATAGGCGTGAGCCACCATGCCCGGCCTTACCAGTTTTATTCTTAAGAAAGATATCACATATTGCCCCTAATACCTGGGGGCAATATGATTGATAAATAATTTTATAATTTAGGCTATTATACCATATGTAGGAGACATATCAGTGTGACTTATGGGTATGGCTTATAAATAACACTAGGTCAGAGCTGTCAATTCTCTTAATGAAGAAAAGAATACAACAGAACTTGGCTGGGCACAATGGCTCACACCTGTAATCCCAGCACTTTGGGAGGCTGAGGCGGGTGGATCGCCTGAGTTCAGGAGTTTGAGACCAGCCTGGCCAAAATGCTGAAACCCCATCTCTACTAAAAATACAAAAATTAGCAGGGTATGGTGGCAGGTGCCCGTAATCCCAGCTACTCAGGAGGCTGAAGCAGGAGAATCGCTAACCCAGGAGGCAGAGGTTGCAGTGAGCTGAGATCGCGCCATTGCATCCCAGCCTGGGCGACAGAGCGAGACTTCTTCTCAAAAATAAATAAATAAATAAATAAATAAATAATAAAAAATATAAAAATTATATATATATATATATAGAGAGAGAGAGAGAGAACCTAATATGTGCTGGCACTGTTTTAAACTCTAGGGATGCTGCTGCCTTTCTAAACAGGCCGAGGGGATGAGGGAAGCGAGTACAATATACCAGCCTGGAAAACATGAAAGGGAGCCCAGGGCTGATTATGTAGCATGTCAAAACAAATGTCATTTTGCTGAGGAATTGGACAATTTTTTTTTCACCAGTACCAACCCATATGTGGCGGCCCTGCTCATGAAGTTTAAATTTCAGTGTGTCTGTAGGGGTGAGGTAAAGGGCAGGTCAGCAGGCAACCAAAAAATAAGTAGTTGTCCAGGGATCAGTGAGTCCCCTAAGAAAAATAAGACAGGGAAGAGATATTAGGAGTACCGGGGGACAGAGGTACAATTTTAAATTGGGTGATAAGGCAAAGCCTCACTGAGCAGGTGGCATTTAAGCAAAGAGCCGAAGGAGGGGAGGAAATGAGCATGTGGATACCTGATGGAAGAGCATTCCACAGAGAAAACAAACAGCAAATGCAGACAGAGGTCCAGGGGTGGGCATATGCTGGAGCTTGCATGGAAAAGCAGGGAAGCCAGTGGTTAGTGGGCAGAGCAAGGGAGTGGAGAGCAGAACAGCCAACAGTAGATTCAATTACTGAGGAAATCTAGGAAAAGAAAGTGGCTGGGTCAGAATATGTAGGGTAGTGTTTCTCTAGGCTAACAGACCCAGTGCCCCTTTTATATAATAAATATTTTATACTTTTCCCTTCATATGCTGAAATTAAATTTATGGATATTATAACTATATACAAAACTAACTTCAAAATAACTAATATAATGCTAAACCTGTAATATAAATGAGAAATGCATGAAAGCAATTTATAATAATATATATTTTAATATGTAAATGTGCAGACATGAACACCATAAAAGATATAATGAAATAGGTGTTTACACCTTTATGTAGAATCACATAAATGTGGTAGCTACAAATGCAGACTGATAGAGGAATGTTGACTTCTTGTCTCAAATGCCATGAATAGTGAAGCTGATGCTGTCTCTGACATGTTTTTCCAGAATAGCAAACCTCTGACAAAATTCTGAACAAAATACCATTTTGTTCTCAACTTACATCACAGTTACATTTCTGGAAAATCAAGTGTACATTAAAACTATGCTAAAAATATTTTGTGTTTATATATATGTAATTAGTTTCTAGGCTCAGATATTTATAAACAGGTTTTTCACCTTCAAGAATATCCAACGGGCTATTCAAAGGTCATGCAGAAGGCACATGAGAGAACTTTTTGTGGTGATGGGAATGTTTTATGCCTTGATTATTGTGGTGGTTACACAGATATATAAATGTGTCAAACATCAAATTGTACACTTAAAATGGGTACATTTTACTTTTGATAAACCATACCTCAAAAATGGATTATTATTATTATCATTATTTTTTGAGACAGAGTTTTGCTCTTGTTGTCCAGGCTGGAATGCAATGGCATGATCTCGGCTCACTGCAACCTCCACCTCCTGGGTTCAAGCGATTCTCTCCTGCCTCAGCCTCCCCGAGTAGCTGGGACTACAGGCACGCACCACCACGCCCATTTAATTTTTTTTTGTATTTTTAGTAGAGACGAGGGTTCACCACGTTGGCCAGGCTTGTCTCGAACTCTTGACCTCAGGTGATCTGCCCGCCTTGGCCTCCCAAAGTGCTGGGATTACAGTGTGAGCCACCACGCCTGGCCAAAAATGGATTTTTTAAAAAACTCATACGGGAGGATGAGGGACAATTCTTTATAGTGAGGGAGTATGTATAATGGTCTAGCAGCCCAGACCCCCACATACTCAATGCTACCACTTAATTATGGTACAACCAAAAATACTCCCACAAATTTCCAAAACATACCTTAGCAATACCACTTCTACTGAGAATATTGCACGCCATGTCTTAGTGAGATGGGAAGCCAACTGGAGGGTTCTGAGCCAAGAAGTGAGGTGACCTGACATGTTTTAAAAGGACTGCTTTAACTCTTTCAGGCAGAGGCAGGAAAGGGCTGATGCAGAGAGACCAATCAGAAGGCTATCATGAAAGGCAGGTGAGAGATGATATTGGCTTGGACAAAGGCAGTTGCAGTGGTCATCATGAGACATATCAGAAAAGAACTTCAGAAGTTTCGAGTCCCAAAAGACATGTTGGAAACAGAAAGAGTTCAAAAAATGTGTATTAGATTACAAGAAGTAAATAGCAGTAATTTTCAAGATTCTCAACAATCCTCACGTAACACTACTTCATTATTAAATGAAATTAAATGAAATTAAAAAACACTTTGGGATTCTAGCTGTGTCATTTTACATCCAAATATAATGAAACGTTATTTTCTGGAAAAATGAGATTCAGCAAAAATGTCCTTTTGAAAAATGTTACCATAGGCCGGGCATGGTGGCTCACGCCTGTAATCCCAGAACTTTGGGAGGCCAAGGTGGGTGGATCACCTGAGGTCAGGAGTTTGAGACCAACATGGTGAAACCCTGTCTCTACTGAAAATACAAAAATTAGCTGGGCATGGGGGTGAGCGCCTGTAATCCCAGCTACTTGGGAGGCCGAGGCAGAAGAATCACTTTAACCCTGGAGGTGGAGCTTGCAGTGAGCCGAGATCGCACCACTGCACTCCAGCCTGGGTGACAATAGTGAAACTCTGTCTCAAAAAAAAAAAAAAAGTTACCATAGAAAAGTATACTTCCCACACTAAAATTTAAATTTAATAAGCAGGGTTGCAACATAGGAAGGTTCTGGTGAAACACTTCATCTTGGCTGTTTCTGTGATAATTTAGCTCTTGCAATACCTTGAGTTCAGTGTAATGAATATCAGTTCCTCATTTGAGTTTTTCAAAGTGTAGAAGTTCAGAAAATTATGCTGGATTTGTTTTAAGACTAGAACCTATTACGTTGAATTTTTTTAAGCTCCGAGATGGCAGATAATTTCTTCCAATTTGTCCTGTTCTCTTAAAATTGGAGGATAGTTAATTGAGGGTTTCAGTTAGTTAACCTCAGGTGAACTAAAGTTCTATGTTTAGTACTTCAAATCCTTCCTTTAAAAATGTCAAAAGTATTTATGTATGTATAAAATGATTTCTGAGGTTTGCTTTAAAATAATCCAGCGGGGAGAGAGTGGAAGGGATTTAGATGAAACCAGATTGATGCTGTATCGATAATTATCAAAGGGTGTTCATTTTACGATTCTCTTTACTTTTACACATTTGACATTTTCCATAACAAAAAGTTTTGTTTTGTTGTTGTTGTTGTTGTTGTTGTTTTGAGACAGGGTCTCACTCTGTTGCCCAGGCTGGAGTGCAGTGGCGTGATCAAGGCTCACCACAGACTCAACCTCCCCAGGCTCAGGCGATCCTCCTACCGCAGCCTCCCAAGTAGCTGGACTATGGGCGCATGCCACCAAGCCCAGCTAATTTTTTGTAGATATGGGGTTTCACCATGTTGCCCAGGCTGGTCTCGAACTCCTAGACTCAAGCGATCCGCATGCCTCAGCCTCCCAAAGTGCTGAAATTACAGGCGTGAGCCACCATGCCTGGCCTTCACATTCTTTAAAAGTTTTTCTTTTTCTTTTTTTTTTTATAATTAGTGTATTTTACTTTAGCTATTTTGTTCACTGAAAATATATGTAGAAATTGTGGCCAGGCACAGTGGCTCACACTTGTAATCCCAGCACTTTGGGAGGCTGAGGCAGTTGGATTACTTGAGCCTAGGAGTTCGAGGCCAGCCTGGGCAACATGATGAAACCCTGTCTCTACAAAAATACACAAAAAATTAGCTGGGCTTGGTGGCATGTGCCTATAGTCTCAACTACTTGGGAGGTTGAGGCTGGAGGATTGCCTGAGCTTGGGAGGTTGAGGCTGAGGTGAGCCAAGATCGCATTACTGCACTCCAGCCTGGCTGGCAGAGTATGACCCTGTCTCAAAAAAAAAAAAAAAAAAAAAAATTAAATGCAAGTTCTGAGATTTAGTATTTTTTGAGTATTACTATGTACCAGACTTTTACTATGAACTTGGGAGAGATTTATTAGCTACAGGGATAGATCTCTACATTAAGGAGCTCATAACCTAGATATATAAACAAACCAGTATAAGGCAATGTAAGGACTAAAATATTGTGTTAAATGTATAAAGTGTTACAGGAGGAAAGAAAGAGAGAAATAGGCAAAGGGCTGAGTAGACATTCCTCCAAAGATATACAAATAGCCAAGAAGCACATCAAAAGATGCTCAACATCATTAATCATTAGGAAAATGCATATCAAAACCATAATGAGGTACCACTTCGTACCCAGTAGGATGGCCAAAAATTTTTTAAAGGAAAATAACAAGTGTTGGCAAGGATGAGAATAAATTAGAACCCTTGTACAATTTCTGGTGAGAATGTAAAATGCAGCTTCTGTAGAAAACAGTTTGGTTCTCCACAGAAAACCATGATCATAGGAACACTATTCACAACTCCTCAAAAGTGAACACTGCCCAAAAGTCCATCAATGGATGAAAGAATAAACAAAATGTAGTATATACTTATAATGCAATATTATTCAGCTTTAAAAAGGCAGAAAATCCTTTCATACGCTATAACATGGATGAACCTTCAAGACATTACACTAAATGAAATTAGCCAGTCACAAAAAGACAAATAAATGTGAGCCCACCTGTATGAGGTATCTAAAATAGTTATATTCATAGAAACAAAGTAGAATGGTAGTTACTGGGAGCTAGAAGGACAGGGAAATCAAGGAACATTGTTTAATGAGTATACATATTCAGTTTTGCAAGATGAAAAGTTTCTGGAGATCTGTTGCACAACAATGCAAATATATTTAACACTAATGAACACTTAAAAATGGTTAAGATAGTAAATTTTGTTATGTGATTTTACCAGAATTTTTTTAAAGGCAAGATACTACTCAGCATAAAGTTATACATGCACTGGAACAATAAAAATTCTAAATACAAGATAATGGTTATTTCTGGGGAGAGAAAGGAAGGACTCTATAGGCATCTCAACTCTATCCATACTGTTTTCTTACTGAAAATCTGAGGCAAATATGAAAATATTAAGATTTGAAACAAAACATTATGCAAGTGAAAGAAGCCAGACACAAGAGGCCACATACTATTATATATGATTCCATTTTTATATGAAATATACAGAATAGGTAAATCCATATAGACAGAATGCAGATTGGTGATTGCCAGGATGTTAGGGGAGGAAGGAGTAGGGAGTAACTGTTTAATGGGAATAGGGCTTTCTTTTGGGGACACGAAAATGTCTTAGAACTAGATAGATGTGGTAGTTGCACAATATTGTGAATGTACTAAATGCCACTGAATTGTTAACTTTAAAATGATTAATTACATATTATATAAATTTCACTTCAATTAAAACAAACTAAGGAAAGGGAGAATTTCAAGAAGGAATGGTATTCACTGAAAAGGGTCAAATGCTGCACAAGGGTTAAGAAGGATGTACACTAAGAGGTCATGAGATTTGGCAAGTAGGAAGTCCTTTAGGAGATATGTGCCAGTAGTCAGACTGTTGTGGGTTGCATGAGATGGGCAGTAGTTTGTGGGAGTCTTGAGCATTTTGTAGGATAAGGAGAGTCACTGAAGGGGAAAAGACTGACAATAAAGGAGAGGAGATATTTGTACAGCAAGAGTAGGAAGAGACATAAAAGGGTAGAGAGGGTCAACAGAATCCTAATAGTGGAGAGAAATGAGTAAGTTATAGGGGTAAATTTGTGATTTCCCAATTTCACTTGGAAAGGAGAAACTGAGTTAAAACTTGATAACTCCATTTTTCTAAGAATGAAGAAGCAGGGTGTAGGGCTTGAAGCGAGTGATAAAGCCATGGGAGCTGACCAAAAATGGACAAAAGGGCTGTCTGAGCAGCTTTGAGGGCTTTAGTAGAAATCATAAATATCTCCCTCGCACACACAAACCCACAATTAAAAAGTTCAACTGTTAAAGGTATTGCATGATTAATAGTATGTCTCACAAATTGCTCATTAGAAATAAAACCACTGCCTAGACTCATCTGTATGACACATGATACTGGATTTGTGAAATATTATGAATATACTTAAAAATAGTATTCATGTAACACAACAGAAAGATCACTCAGTGAGAACTACAGAAAGATAGCAAATTGAAATCTACTGAAGAAATATTAAATACCAAACATTCAGCTAGAAAAAGAAATGAAATATCTCTAGGAGACAACTTACTACTGAAGAAAGATATAAATAAATATTTCACCAGAATTTTGAAATAATGGAACTATTTAAAAATTGACAAGGAAAGGGCAGTTGATGATTGCCTTGATAAATTACATAGTTAATTTCTTTGAAAAAAAAAAAAAAAAGGATATGCCCTAAAGTTTAAAATAAACTATTTTAAAAGTATACTTTTAAAAAGTAACTGGTAGAGCATATTAAATGGAAATTAAAAACAATTTTAAAACCATAAAATGCTTGCTAATTGAAAACTAAGACTAATCGTAACTAGCTATTAACAGTAAATACCTTTTAACAAATTTTCAACTACTGAGCCAGGTGCAGTGGCTCATGCCTGTCATCTCAGCACTTTGGGAGGCCAAGGCAGGCAGATTGCTTGAGCTCAGGAGTTTGAAGCCAGCCTAGGCAACGTGGCGAAACTCTCTACAAAAAATACAAAAATTAGCTGGGTGTGGTGGCGTGTGCCTGTGGTCTTGGATACTCGGGAGGCTGAGGTGGGTGGATCACTTGAGTCCCAGAGGTCAAGGCTGCAGTGAGCCATGACTGTGTCACTGCATTCCAACCTGGGTGACAGAGTGAGAGACCCTGTCTTAAAACAAAACAAAAACCAAAGTTTCAACTACTGAATGAACTTGAATATAACTAAAAAATCGGCAGGCGCCTGTAGTCCCAGCTACTCGGGAGGCTGAGGCAGGAGAATGGCGTGAACCCGGGAGGCAGAGCTTGCAGTGAGCCGAGATCATGCCACTGCACTCCAGCCTGGGTGACAGAGTGAGACTCCATCTCAAAATAAATAAATAAATAAAAGAAATGTGATATTCACTGACAAGGTAAGGTAACCATCAAATGATGACATATAATATGCACATTAGGTGCCTTCTAGAATTCTATGGGCATTAGAAGATTTTTGCATAATATTACAGCAATTCTTGGAAATGAAATTTCCCTCTATAGATTTTAGTTTAGACTTGTATAGCTGCTAACGACACCAATTATTTGTTTGACTATAGGCTAAATAACAGAGTTGAAAGAAATCTCTGCTTTCTAGTTGCCAACACAGAAACATGAAGTGCAAGATTTTCACAGAATAGTGAATATGATAAAAATATAAAATCATGGAACTTTAAATATACTTTTTTAACTGCAGTACAATATATCTAACATAAAATTTATCATTTTAACCATTTTTAAGTGTATAGCTCAGTAACATTAAGTACATTCACATTGTTGTGCAACCATCACCACTAACCATTTTTTATCATCTCAAACTATATATTTTATTTATTTATATTGTGGTGAAAAACACATACATTTGCCATCTTAACCATTTTTAAGTGTATAGTTTACTAGTATTAAGTATACCTGTATTGATTCACATTGTTGTGAAACAGATCTCCAGAACGTTTTTATCTTGCAAATCTGAAAATCTATGCCCATTAAACTCCCCTTTTCCCTTCTGCCCCCAACCCCTGGTAACCACCATTCTATTTTGTTTCTATGAGTTTAACTACTTTAGATACCTCAAATAAGTGGAAGCACATTTTTTTTAATCTAAAATTATTAGTGGTCACTGAAGAAAAGGGATTTTTTGCTTGTTTTGTTTTGCTGATAGTTTGGCCTGACCTCAATCAATAAAGTGAATGAATTTTATATGGCACAATTATATTTCATAAGCCTTGTTAATGATCCATTCTTGAATACAGAAACCAAATGTCATCATGTTGAAAAACGACTAATTAGATGGTCAGGTAGTATTTGACTTTGAAGTTATTTATAAAATTTTAATTTTTCTTTGAATGTTAAATGAAACAGCATAAGAAGTATGAGATAGAAAGGTCAGAGAACAGGGTGGATTTAATGACTGTATTCTCTTGCAGTTAGCATTAATTATTACTGTATGTAGCCTTTGTTGTGTAACACTCTTAAGTTTTCATTGAGTGGAGAATTATCTGGGTTTTAGTTCTAGTTCTGCCATCTATGTGATCTTGGGCAAATAATTTAATTTCTCTAAAGTTATGCATTATTATCCTTACTAGTATTCTAATGCATATATAAAGAATATAGGGTCGGGTGCGGTGGCTCATGCCTGTAATCCCAACACTTCGGGAAGTTGAGGCAGGTGGATCACCTAAGGTCAGGAGTTAGAGACCAGCCTGGCCAACATGCTGAAACCCCGTCTCTACCAAAAAAAGAAAAGAAAAAAAAATTAGCCAGGCATGGCAGTGCACACCTATAATCCCAGCTACTTGGGAGGCTGAGGCAGGAGAATCACTTGAACCCTGGAGGTGGAGGTTACAGTGAGCCAAGATTATACTACTGTACTCCAGCCTGGGGACAAAGAGAGACTCCTTCTCAAAAAAAAAAAAAAAAAAATATATATATATATATATATAAAATAATACCTGACCTACCTACTTAAGGGTAGAGTTATAAGGATAAACAGGATGTGATATATGAAAAAGCTCTGACATATTAAGCTTTGAAATACACATTGAATATTAGAGAGATTTCATCCCTTCCAAACTTCTCTTCATTTTTATGTGTCTTCTGAAAATTTTATGTTACCGTAGGAAACTAAAAAGTTATGCTCCCTTACTGCCAGTTTCCTATTTATTAGATGACACATTTCAACAAAAAACTCAGATTAAAAAATGGTCAACATTTGCTGTGACTATGGCTAGAAAGAAGGAATAAATAGGATACCAGGATAAACAAGAATTTCCCTAGCTTCTCATTCACTCTCTCATAACCTCCCACCCAAAAGTCTATCTTAAATATAGTTTCAGAGTATGGAGAGGACTGAGGAATGCAGAATGAAATGACAGGTTAATATTAGAAATGCCATTGTGGGAGACTCTCAGGAATGATTTCAACCTTCACCTGCAGTTTCACTTAAATCACACCAGGTATAGAATCATTGTGACTCAGTGGTTTATGCAACAATCTGGAAACTCAGGACCTGTAAGCTTTGGCCATGTGTCTGACATTTGTTTTCCACAAGTAAGCTAATCATGTTCACTCACTGTGCTTCATTTAGCTTTTATCTATTAATGAAGAAAATGATATGAAATTACTTCCCAGGGTTGTAAAAAAAAAAAAAAGAACAGAACTCACAAAGAGCTATAAAATGCTGTGAAAGCCATAACAAAGGTAGCTTGTATGAGTATAGATGTGAAAACACCCCAAAAGTTAAAATTTCCACACATTTAAAGCATTAATTTTACCTGAGCTAAGGGAAAAAAAAGGTAATATGAACATGAAACAAGTAGATCATCCTGAAACCTCTTTTGGATTATTAGTTTTAAATTCCTTCCCACTCAGACCTTCACAAAAGTAGTAAGAAGAGAGATTTTTTTAAAAATGAAATTTAGCTTTCTTCTCATTCCTCCTGTATTTACCCAGAGTGATGTAGCTAGTGAGTAGGAAAAGGGCCTAAAGAGATGAGGAAGGAGGTAAAAAAGCACAAGACCCAGAAATCATTAACGGTCTTTAACCAGTTATTATTTTGTGTTTTGTTTTTCTTTTCTTTTTGAGACAGAGTCTTGCTTTGTTGCCTAGGGTGGAATTCAGTGGCATCAGAGTTCACTGCAGCCTCAACCTCAACCTCCGAGGTTCAAGCAATCCTCCCACCTCAGCCTCCCAAGTAGCTGGGACTACAGGTATGCACCACCACGCCTGGGTAATTTAAAAATTTTTTTTGTAGAGACTGGGTCTCACTGTGTTGCCTAGGCTGTTCTCAAACTCCTGGGCTCAAGCAATTCTCCTGTCTCAGCCTCCCACAGTGCTGGGATTGCAGGTGTGAGCCGTTGCGCCTGGCCTATTTTGTGTTTTCTATGAGTAAGTATATAGTACACCACTGCTGAAACATTATCTCATTAAGCCAGCACCAGGTGGCTTTCCTAAAAGAGGAAACTGATGCTTAGACAGCTTAAGTGACTTACCCTGAACAAGAAATGGAACAGGTTTTTGAACCTTCATTTCTCTGACTTCAGAGCCCACGCTCTTTATTACTGCCCTATTCTGTTTCAAGAAAAGCAAAATTTACTTATGGAATAAATGTCAACTGAACCTCTCCTAAAAGTTTATCGGAAGTCAGGTTACTCTGGAGATTCTCCCCATCTCCCCCATGGCCATATGGGTTATGTTGTGACATACCCACATATTGCTGCATGTCTGCTTAATGTTCTTTTCTTTCCTTTAAAAGTTTATTTTATTTTACTTTATAGATACGGGGTTTCGCCATGTTGGCCAGGCTGGTCTCGAACTCCTGGCCTCAAGTGATGTGCTCGCCTCAGCCTCCCGAAATGCTGGGCTTACAGGCGTGAGCCACTGAGTGCATCCTAATGTTCTCTTCCTAATCAGATTCTTTATACTTTCTACTCTCTCTCAAGGCTTCAAATCGCTAATTCTACCCCATGGCATACATTCAGCTTCTGCCCTTGCTGCATAATGACTTACTCTTTCTAGGTTTCCAAATTCAGATTCCTAAGAGTGAGAACTGATTGGCCCAGACCATCTTCTTATACCAGGACATAGGTTGCTGGCCAGTCTGTATGGGCTGATTAACTTCTCAACTGCCCAAACACGTGGCTGTGACAGAGGATAGGCAGAGCAGTAAATTTCCCTGAGACTATAGTATAGGTAGGTGAGCTTTCTAAAGCTGGACCTACCATGTGCCATTTTTAAAAATCTCCCAAACAAGATCTGCCTCCTTCCACCCAGCTTTTTTTTCTGAGACAGGGTCTTGCTCTGTTGCCCAAGCTAGAGTGCAGCGGTACAATCATGGCTCACTCCAGCTTGGAACTCCGGGGCTTAAGCAATCCTCCTGCCTCAGCCTCCCGACTAGCTGGGATTACAGGCACACATCACCACGCCTGGGTAATTTTTGTATTTTTAGTAGAGACAGGGTTTCATCGTGTTGGCCAGGCTGGTCTCGAACTCCTGACCTCAAGTGATCTGCCCGCCTTGGCCTCCCAAAGTGTTGGGATTACAGGCGTGAGCCAGGGCACCCAGCCTGCATTTCTTACTTTTTATTTTATTTTTTTTGAGACGGAGTCTTGCTCTGTCACTCAGGCTGGAGTGCAGTGGCGTGATCTCAGCTCACTGCAAGCTCTGCCTCCTGGGTTCACGCCATTCTCCTGCCTCAGCCTCCGGAGTAGCTGGGACTACAGGCTCCAGCCACCACGCCCGGCTAATTATTCGTATTTTTTTTTTTTAAGTAGAGACGGGGTTTCACCGTGTTAGCCAGGATGGTCTCGATCTCCTGACCTCGTGATCTGCCCGCCTTGGCCTCCCAAAGTGCTGGGATTACATGCGTGAGCCACCGTGCCCGGCCACTTCTTACTTTTATTTTTGTTGTTTCATGTATTGGCTCCTAATATCTCTCATTCCCTTCTCTCTCATTCACAATTTATCAGAAAAGTACCAGATTACTATTTTCCTCATTTCCATAATTTTGCTTCTATCCTCAGAAACCTCTTGTGGCTCCCATGCCTACAGTATCAACATTCTCCAGAGCCTAGTCTACTTTGGAGCTTTCACATCTATACAAATGTTCTACTTCAAACTTCTGCTTTGCTGTCTTCATGCTTATCACTTCTCTTGCCTGGGCGTTCTACTTCCTGTTCAAACCTAATTTAACTTACCCTTTAAGGTCTACCTCTGTGACCACCCCATGCTGACAGCCCGGTCCACAATTCTCTCTCCTCAGAACTGTTAAATCACTTATTATCTGTATCACTCTTTCACATTTATTAACTTAAAGTAACTAAGAGTTTATTGTTTTTCCTGTCTCCTGAACTAAGATATTCATTCCTTAGGAGTAGGAGCCATCTCTATAACATTTTTGTATCTGACACACACAGCATAAACCCTCATATGTTGATATGTTAAAAAGCCATATGTAGATTGAAACAAGACCTAAATGTATTGAAAAGAAGAAAAAGCCACTTTGAGAGGCCGAGGTGGGTGGATCACGAGGTCAGGAGATCGAGACCATCCTGGCTAACATGGTGAAACCCTGTCTCTACTAAAAATACAAAAAAATTAGTCAGGCATGGGGGCGGGCGCCTGTAGTCCAAGCTACTCGGGAGGCTGAGGCAGGAGAATGGCATGGAACCCGGGAGGTGGAGCTTGCAGTGAGCCGAGATCACGCCACTGCACTCCAGCCTGGGCGACAGAGTGAGACTTTGTCTCAAAAAAAAAAAAAAAAAGAAGAAGAAGAAGAAGAAGAAGAAAAAGCTAGCAAGGTACCAAGGAAAGCACTGCTAAGCCTTTCCAAAGAACTGAAATCCTGGCGGGGCTTGGTGGTTCACGCCTGTAATCCCAGCACTTTGGGAGGCCGAGGTGGGTTAATCATTTGAGGTCAGGGGTTCGAGACTAGCCTGGCCAACGTTGTGAAACCCCATCTCTACTAAAAATTCAAAAAAATTAGCCGGGCGTGGTGGCAGGCACCTGTAAGCCCAGCTACTGGGAGGCTGAGGCAGGAGAATCACTTGAACCAGGAGGCTCAGGTTGCAGTGAGCCGAGATCGCGCCACTGCACTCCAGCCTGTGCGACTAAGGAAGACTCCATCTCAAAAAAGAAAAAAAAAGAAAAAAAAGAATTGAAATCCTTGGAGATAGTTTACATAAATTTTCCCAAACCTAGCAGTAGATGCCAAAGGTAGCCGCTGAGAACTCAAGAAACTCTCAAGTGTTGCAAGAAAGAGAGAGAAGCTTGCCAATAAGACGAAACATTTTAAAAAAGACTAAAAACACCAGCCAAAATGGGACTCAATACCTTAAACAAGTAACACTTCTTACCCAACACTATACCAAACCGTACTAGACTGTTACACAACTTGTTCAGCATATCTTCTTTACCGATCATTGTCTGGTTGGTACATTCTTTTGAACCATCAAAAGCAGAGGCACTTCTGATCATCCTTCCATTTCTCTTCCTACAGTCGAATTTCTCTCCCATTTCTGAGGGGAAAGGGCCATCTACAATAAGCATGATCAAGCCCTGATTCTGGCATTTCCTCACATCCCGTGAAACTCAGTCTCAGTATCTGGTTAAAGTAAAATACTGCGGGCCCTTTTTTCAAATAAAGTTTACCTTAGAAATTAAACTATTCCTCTAAGTGAATTTTTGAAATACAGAGCAAAACTGTATCTCTTTGCATGCACACACATATATAAATGCATAGGAAAAAATTTGGAAGGGCATAACTTGAAGTGCATTTTTTTCTTTTTTCTTTTTTTTGTTTTTTTGTTTTTGTTTTGTTTTGTTTTGTTTTTTATTGATCATTCTTGGGTGTTTCTCACAGAGGGGGATTTGGCAGGGTCATAGGACAATAGTGGAGGGAAGGTCAGCAGATAAACAAGTGAACAAAGGTCTTTGGTTTTCCTAGGCAGAGGACCCTGCGGCCTTCCGCAGCGTTTGTGTCCCTGGGTACTTGAGATTAGGGAGTGGTGATGACTCTTAATGAGCATGCTGCCTTCAAGCATCTGTTTAACAAAGCACATCTTGCACCGCCCTTCATCCATTTAACTCTGAGTGGACACAGCACATGTTTCAGAGAGCACAGGGTTGGGGGTAAGGTCACAGATCAACAGGATCCCAAGGCAGAAGAATTTTTCTTAGTACAGAACAAAATGAAAAGTCTCCCATGTCTACTTCTACACAGACACGGCAACCATCCGACTTCTCAATCTTTTCCCCACCTTTCCCCCCTTTCTATTCCACAAAGCCGCCATTGTCATCCTGGCCGTTCTCAATGAGCTGCTGGGCACACCTCCCAGACGGGGTGGTGGCCGGGCAGAGGGGCTCCTCACTTCCCAGTAGGGGCGGCCGGGCAGAGGCGCCCCTCACCTCCCGGAAGGGACGGCTGGCCGGGCGGGGGGCCGACCCCCCCACCTCCCACCCGGACGGGGCGGCTGGCCAGGCAGAGGGGCTCCCCACCTCCCAGTAGGGGCGGCCGGGCAGAGGCGCCCCTCACCTCCCGGACGGGACGGCTGGCCGGGCGGGGGGCTGACCCCCCCACCTCCCTCCCGGACGGGGCGGCTGGCCGGGCAGGGGGCTGACCCCCCCACCTCCCTCCCGGACTGGGCGGCTGGCCGGGCGGGGGGCTGACCCCCCCCACCTCCCTCCCGGACTGGGCGGCTGGCCGGGCGGGGGGCTGACCCCCCCACCTCCCTCCCGGACGGGGCGGCTGGCCGGGCAGAGGGACTCCTCACTTCCCAGTAGGGGCGGCCGGGCAGAGGCGCCCCTCACCTCCTGGACGGGGCGGCTGGCGGGCGGGGGGCTGACCCCCCCACCTCCCTCCCGGACGGGGCGACTGGCCGGGCGGGTCTGACCCCCCCACCTCCCTCCGGACGGGGCGACTGGCCTGGCCGGCGGCTGACCCCCCCACCTCCCTCCCGGACGGGGCGGCTGGCCTGGCGGGGGGCTGACCCCCCCCACCTCCCTCCGGGACAGGGTGGCTGCCAGGCGGAGACGCTCCTCACTTCCCAGACGGGGTGGCTGCCGGGCGGAGGGTCTCCTCACTTCTCAGACGGGGCAGCCGGGCAGAGACGCTCCTCACCTCCCAGACGGGGTGGCAGCCGGGCAGGGGCGCTCCTCACATCCCAGACGGGGCGGCGGGGCAGAGGCGCTCCCCACATCCCAGACGATGGGCGGCCGGGCAGAGACGCTCCTCACTTCCTAGATGTGATGGCGGCCGGAAGAGGCGCTCCTCACTTCCCAGATGGGATGGCGGCCGGGCAGAGAGGCTCCTCACTTCCTAGATGTGATGGCGGCCAGGCAGAGACGCTCCTCACTTCCCAGACGGGGTGGCGGCCGGGCAGAGGCTGCAATCTCGGCACTTTGGGAGGCCAAGGCAGGCGGCTGGAAGGTGGAGGTTGTAGCGAGCCGAGATCACGCCACTGCACTCCAGCCTGGGCACCATTGAGCACTGAGTGAACCAGACTCCGTCTGCAATCCCGGCACCTCGGGAGGCCGAGGCTGGCGGATCACTCGCGGTTAGGAGCTGGAGACCAGCCCGGCCAACACAGCGAAACCCCGTTTCCACCAAAAAAATACGAAAACCAGTCAGGCGTGGCGGCGCGCGCCTGCAATTGCAGGCACTCCGCAGGCGGAGGCAGGAGAATCAGGCAGGGAGGCTCTTTTTTTTTTTTAGAGACAGAGTTTCGCTCTTGTTGCCCAGGCTGGAGTGCAATGGCGTGATCTCGCTCAATGCAACCTCCGCCTCCTGGGTTCAAGCAATTCTCCTGCCTCAGCCTCCTGACTAGCTGGGATTACAGGCATGCGTCACCACGCCCGGCTAATTTTTTGTATTTTTAGTAAAGACGGGGTTGGTTTCACCATATTGGCCAGGCTGGTCTTGAACTCCTGACCTCAGGTGATCCGCCCGCCTCGGCCTCCCAAAGGGTTGGGATTACAGGTGTGAACCATCGCGCCTGGCCTTTTTATTTTTATTTTTTGAGACAGACTCTCGCTCTTTCACCCAGGCTGGAGTGTGGTGGCACGACCTCGGCTCACTGCAATCTCCGCCTCTCAGGTTCAGGCGATTCTTCTGCCTCAGCCTCTGGAGTACCTGGGACTACAGGCGTGCACCACCACACCCGGCTTTGTATTTTTAGCAGAGACAGGGTTTCACCATATCGGCCAGGTTGGTCTCGAACTCCTGACCTCAAGTGATCCACCCAACTCGGCCTCCCGAAGTGCTAGGATTACAGGTGTGAGCCACTGCACCTGGTCTGAAGTGCATATTTCTGGAGTGGATGTATTAGTTGGATTATTTTAACAGAAATATTTTCCTTTTTTTGAAGAAGTAAATAAACTATATCCTGTTACACCTATTTTCTTTTCTTTTTTTTTTTTTTGAGACAGGGCCTCACTCCCGTCGCCCAGGTTGGGGTGCAATGGTGTGATCACAGCTCACTGCAACCTCCGCCTCCCGGGTTCAGGTGATCCTCCCATCTCGGCCTCCCAAAGTGCTGGGATTACAGGCGTGAGCCACCGCGCCCGGCCTACACCTATTTTCTTCAATGAGTTTTTCACTAAATTCCATAGTGCTCCTAACTTTCATCTGAGAAAGTATTCTACCACTGATATTTCCTATTATAACCAAATTCGCTGACCAATCTGCTCTGTAAAAAAAGGTTTGTGGGTATAAATGACGAAAGTCAGTTCATGGATCAAATCCTTCAGTTCTGTCACATTGTGAGAGGCCACTGTTGTGAAAGTAAAATAACTTCTAGTTACGGCTCTGCTAAGAATACGCTGGGGGATGTCAGGAAGTCGCTTTATTTGTAAAATGATGAGTTAGACCAGAATATATTCTCTGATAGAAGTTTACAAAGATGAATAAAGATTTATAGGCTAGGCGCGGTGGCTCACGCCTAAAATCCCAACACTTTCGGAAGCTGAGGATCCCTAGTGCACAGGAATTCGAGATCAGCCTGGGCAACCTGGTGAGACCCCCTTCTCTACCAAAAATAAATAAATAAATAAATAATAAATTTTTAAAATGTATTAGCTGGGCTTGGTGACGTAGTGAGGCAGGAGGATGCCTTGAGCCCAGGAGTTCAAGGCTGCAGCGAGCCGTGATCATAGCACTGCACTTTGGCATGGGAGATAGAGCAAGACCTTAGCTCTAAAAAAAAAAAAAAAAAAAAATTAATAGATTTATAAAGTCCATTCTATGGAGGAAAGTCTCTTATTCAGTTATGAACTGCTGCGAACCTAAAGGCAGGAAGGCAAATTCCCTTCAGTTCGGCAAACACGAAGACCCCACATTCGCGTCGTCTGTGAAGAAGGCACTCCGAACCTCAGGCGCTCACTCGCCAGGTTTAAGAGGATGAGCAAAGAATAAAAGTCCTCTCACCCAGGAAGCGTTTCGCTTCCCTTAGCTGGAGCCACGCTCCAAGGTGCCAAAGCCTAATTGCTGTCCACTCTCACCAATCCGTTAGCAAGATGAGCATCTACCTGCTGCGAACGTGGCGGTGACACTACTACAGCTCCCAGCCTGCCTCCCGCCCGCCCCCACTCCTGGACTCCACAGACCGTGACTTGTAGTCCCAGCCCACGGCTGGCGGCGGTGCGGGACTCCTGAAAACTGCTTTTCCTCCCTAGTAGGCGGTGAGACCGCAAATTCCATCAGAATCCTACTCTGACCCACTAGGGCTTGGCCCGCTCAGAGTCGCATTCCCTCCTCCAAATGAACCAACTCTCCTCCCAGCGATACTCCGACCTCTGAGCACCCCGGGCGGGGCCACGCCCCGGAAATGGAGTCAGGTCTCCAGGCCGCCCGCTGAAGTGCCTTCCAGCCACTCCAAGCGGGGCTGGGGCCGGCGGGGCGGGCTTGGGGGCGTGGCCGGGAGGCGGGCGGGGATGCATCTGCGGGCGCAGCGCTTGGGGCGGAGCCGCAGCGCGAGGCCGCGCATCTGGGTGGCGGCGGGGACGCGCCCGTGGGGAGAGGCGGCTGCGGCTGCGGCTGCGGCTGCTGGCGGGGGGTGGGGGGGAGGAGGAACCGGGAAGGGGGGGCAGGGCGAGCGGAGAGCTAGCTGTGTTCCTGAGGCGGCGGCGGCGGCGGCGGCGGCGGCGGCGTCTCCGACGGAGGAGGAGGGCGGGGAAGGAGGATGGAGCAAGCTGGGGGTTGGGGTTGGCGCTAGCGCAGCGGCTCGCCTGGTACTGTGGGAGAGCGGCGGCTGCTCCTGGAAGTTGTGGTGTCGGGAGCCCAGCCGGTGCCGCCGCAGCCGCCGCCTAGGGCGGTGGGGAGGAGGAGGGAGCCGCGGGGCTTGGCGGGGTCGGGAGGGAGGGACGTGCTGGGGGAACGAGCTGGGGAAGACGGAGCGGGCTCTGTGCCGGGCGGGCGGGCGGCGGGGGGGCCAGCGACCGCAGCCGGGGGGACGCGGGAGGATGGAGCAAGTGGAGATCCTGAGGAAATTCATCCAGAGGGTCCAGGCCATGAAGAGTCCTGACCACAATGGGGAGGACAACTTCGCCCGGGACTTCATGGTGAGTCTCTCCCCTCGCTGTCGCGTTTTCTTGCCGGCGCCGGAGCCCATCGCCGCCTCTCCCGGCCGGGCCGCCAGTGCTTTGTGTACCTCTGTGAGGAGAGGGGCGGAGGGGGCGCGCACCAGCCGGGTGAGCCGGGTGGTCTCGGAGGCCAGCGGGAGGCGAGAGCGCCTCCCCCCGTGGCCTCCTTTCTTCTCCCATGTTCGCGACCCCCGCGCGGGTTCCCGGGACGCGAAGGGAGCGGCCGCGCGGCCGAGCCCGCAGCCTGCACCGTGGCTCGCGACCACCTATTGTTTACCGGGCCGGGAGCCGTAGGCAAGTGAGGTGCAGGCCGGGGGGGGGGGCTCGCGTTTCCACACCTCCCCGCGCAGTTCGCTCCTCCCAGGAGGGTCGAGGCAAGGTATCTGGCTGTGACCGGGAGGAGTGCAGATCGTGGCTGACAGAGGAACGGGGGTATTGAGGTTGGCACTAACTCCTGGGATCCCTTTGCTCTAGCTGGTCTCAAAGCGGGCAGGGTAGGACTTAGGCCGTTTCTGGGGTCGCAGTCATGATCTCCAACGCTTGGGAAAGGATTGCCCATAAGGAATCTCATGGGTTTACCTAATTTCCATTTACCCGCGTCCCGCTTCTCCTCTCCTGAGGCCCAGGTTTGAGGTGGTCTTGGGGTCCGTGTGACTATAGGTTCAGGGGATAAGTGTGGGTGGGGGAATTATCCTGAAGGAAGCCAGCCGACTTCGGACTCCCCAGGGGATATTGCCGAAGGCGGAGGGGATGTGACTATCACTTCCTATCCGGGGTGGGGGTGGGGAACTTGGGAACAATAGTCCTGGTGGGGCGGAGGCGACGCTACGGGCCGAAGCCCTGAACTGGGAGATAACCTTCCCAGCG
Organism: Homo sapiens; assembly: GCF_000001405.40. NCBI lineage: Eukaryota > Metazoa > Chordata > Mammalia > Primates > Hominidae > Homo > Homo sapiens. Next base: position 77,538,534 of record NC_000007.14, read on the forward strand.
CCCCCCCGCCTCCGCCACCCCCTACTTTCCGCCCTCTGCTTGTGCAGGCAGTCTTGAGAGGAGGTGAAGGTTAAAAGTCTTGTTCATGAAATTGCTCTAGATACACTATTGCTTTAGCACACTGTGAGGGGGTCAGATCCGAAGGCGTGAGACCAGAAGTCGACTTCCTACGTTACCCACCCCCCCAACCCCCGCCCTTTTTATTTTTCTGCTGGACAATGTTCCCTCTAGGGTTGTTTCCCGGCTTAGGAGGCGGTGGTTGCGGCTGCTGCTCCTACGGATATTGCGCAAGACTGGGGCGTTGGAAACCCTGTAGGTCTGGGGAATGAAAAAGGAAGTGGGACTTTGGGAAGTGGTTGCTCCTTAGTCTTGGCGGGGGTTGGGAATGGGAAATAAGCTGGGGAAAATTTTTATCTTGGGTAAGGTACACCTCGAAGAATAATCACTTAATTCTGAAATCTGATTATGAGAAGGATACACAGTTAATGCCTGTAAAATGAATGGGCAGCAAACATTGGCTAGTTTTTATTTTTTGTTTAAAAAGTACAGTAGTTTTTATGGTGGAGGTGATATGACTTAGTAGTGAATACTTTTTCACGTTTTAAAGAGACTGGTCTAGTAAAGCTTTAGCGTTAAATTTTTAACAGCTTATAAAATAGGCCCTTGACCATACACAGTATTATACTAGCATCGTTGAGCTTTGTGATTCCCGCCTCCCCAGACCAATAATAGAGGACGGAAGTAAAGTTTTCTCAGTATCTTTTGAAGATTGAAAATATAAGTTAAATAATCTAACTTATTCCTTATTAAAAATAAAAATATTGCTTATATTTAAACATTTGCTCTTGATATTTAGCCTATGTATTTTTGAAAAATTACTTTTTGATCTGAAAGGGTTAAGGAAAACGGCATTTTCCCTTTTTACTATTGAGAGTTTTTATTGTCTTGGTATCTTTTGAATGGTGTCATTTACAGCAATTGGATGGAGTCCCTTTTTTACTACTTTCTAGCAAAAGTAGAAGAAAATACTTTGAATATTTAAGATGTTTAAAACTAGTTTTTTTGGGTTTTGTTGTTTGGTTGGTTGGTTGGTTGGTTTTTTTTTTGAGACGGAGTCTCGCTCTACGCTCTGTCGCCCCGGCTGGAGTGCAGCGGCGCAATCTCAGCTCACTGCAACCTCTGCCTCCCAGATTCAAGCGATGCTCCTGCCTCAGCCTCCTGAGTAGCTGAGATTATAGGCACGTGCCACCACGCCCGGCTAATTTTTGTCCGAAGTAGCCGGGACTACAGGCGCAAGCTACCACGCCCTGCTAATTTTGTATTTTTAGTAGAGATGGGGTTTCGCCATATTTGCAGGCTGCTCTCGAACTCCTCATCTCAAGTGATCCATCTGCTTTGGCCTCCCAAAGTGCTGGGATTACAGGCGTGAGCCACCATGCCCGGCCTAAAACTAGTTTTTTACCGTCTTACTTTGGTTATGGAAGAAGAGATGGTGTGGTCCCTGGTCATTTCTTGTTTGCATGCTAGTCACCTTGTTATCCCTAGGCATATACCGTCAGGAAGGAGCATTGTTTGGTGATGCGGGCCATCAGGACAGGTTGCCCAGCCTCTGAACTCCTGTACTGGAGAAGTGGCCTTAGGGTTCATGCTTTGGGGATGAGTCAGGGATTCCTATTGGAGAGTTCATTTCTTTCTTTCTTTCTTTCTTTCTTTTTTTTTTGAGATGTAACACCTCGCTGTGTCGCCCAGGTTGGAGTGCAGTGGCTCAATCTCGGCTCACTGCATCCTCCACCTCCCAGGTTCAAGCGATTCTCCTGCCTCAGCCTCCTGAGTAGCTGAGATTACAGGCGCATGCCACCACGCCTGGCTAATTTTTGTATTTTTAGTAGAGATGGGATTTCACCATATTGGCCAGACTGGTCTTGAACTTTCATCTGACTGACTTTGTGATCTGCCCGCCTCAGCCTCCCAAAGTGCTAGGATTACAGGCATGAGCCACCGAGAGTTCATTTCTCCAAGAGTAAATGAGTTTCCTTTTTCTTCCATGATACCTAGGTATAGCTAGGTGATTCTACATTAGAGATTTGATGACTAAGGCTATTCTTTTATAGGGCTTTTTTTTTTTTTAATTTCCTGACTTGATAAGCAATAGCTGTAATTAAGACAGCCGGTAGTTGGTGCTGCTTTTTCCCCTGACTGGAAGGCTGGAGAGGAACTATGTTCTCCTGGCATGGAAAGAGAAAAAAAAGATTAGCTTATAGATTCTATTATTTTTAAATTCTGATGTCGATTAAAAATGCATTTTAAATTCTTAACATTTTATGACTGAGCCTTAGAGATAATGTAGCTGATATAACTGTTCCATCATAAAATAATGTTTATTCCAAATTTGGAAATTAATAGAATAATAATAATGCCTTACACTTAGACCACAGTTCAAATGAACACTCCACTTGCCTGACTGGTGATGATGCTCTTTTCGCTCTATCCAGCTGTCCTACAGTCCTGTCATTTAAAGGCTACCTCTGTTAATATTTTTTGGTTTTGTTTTGTTTTGTTGTTTTGTTCTGTTTTTGAGACAGGGTCTCACTCTGTCACCCAGGCTGGAGTGCATGGTTGCGATCCTGGCTCACGGCAGCGTCGGTCTCCCTGGGCTCAGGTGATCCTCCCACTTCAGCCTCCAGAGTAGCTGGGGCTATGGGCCCACCCCACCAAGCCCTGCTGATTTTTGTATTTTTTGTAGAGACAGGGTTTCCCCATGTTGCCCAGGCTGGTCTCAAACTCCTGGGCTCAAGCAATCCACCTGCCTCAGCCTCAAAGTGCTGGGGTTACAGGTGTGAGCCACCGTAGCCGGCCTACTACTTGGTAACTATCTTATATCTTAATTTTGTTTCTTTATGTTTGAGTATTTAGGTCATTCTACTTTCTGCTGTTACATATAGTAATTCTGTGATTAACATTTTTGCTGAAACTGACATTTTTCACTGTTGCATAAGATAGCTTCCCAGGAGTACTAGGTAGACGTATATAAACATTTAATACATGTTCATAAACTTGAAAAAGTTTTGTCAGTTTATACAACTGTCATAATGTATGAGTGTTCATATTATAATTTTCTTGATCTTTATTTGATGGTTGAAAACTGATATCTTGTTTTAACTTGAATTTCTTGATTACTATTGAGGATAGAAATTTTCCACCTGTCATTACTATTCTATGAGTGTCTATTCCTGGCCTTGGTTGTGCCCCATACTGTTAAAGAGGAGACAGCTAAGGTACCCAGACTGTGCAGAACTATGTTGCCTAGATGGTTATTTGCATGTTGAAAACATGCTAATTTTGCTAATAAATTAGCAAATAGCTAATTTGTGGCTGATCCAGAATTTGATCTCAATTATCTCTACTTTTAATATTTACAAAATGAGAGATAAATGTATAAAGTAGGGTGGTGCACATTCATGTTTGACAGACCTAGGTTTTAACTCCACACAGACTCCCTCTGATGGCTGGGGGTTGGGGAGGTGGTCCTGGACCATACTTTGAGAACCAGTGAGCTAATACATGGTAAATGATAAAGGTAATGCTGGGAAAGTTAGGTAGAGGTCTTTTTGTGAAGGATCTTACATCTATGCTATACTTAGATTTTATTCTACAGACCGATAATAGCAATTCTGGACAGTCTGCATTGTAACTCCTAGAGACATGGAGAAAGTAGGGAGGTGTTAAGAAAATAGACATGCTGGTCCACTCCAGCGTCATTCCCCCATCTCACCTTCTCCAGCCTGCTCCTTGAGTTGTACTCTGAACCTTCACTTACTTAGATAGGTTCTGGTAGAAAAGGTGAGAATCATTAGTCTGGGTTTCTGGAGCACTACTGAGTCTTTTAAGAAAGGTAAACAGTCATTTGTGTTTTACAAAGTTGAATCTGATAGCAGTATGAAGGGTGGCATTTTGGAAGCTGTTGAAATATAAGAAGTGAGATGTGAGGGCCTGAAGTGAACTGAGATGGGGAAATAGAGTGTATACAACACATCTGATAAGAATTAAGAAAGGAGTCTCAATGATTCATTAGATGTAGGTAGTAAAGAAGAAAAGAGTATAGTGTTATGACTCGCAAAATATCTAGCTTGGTATCTGTCACCCAAGCTAGAGAATACCATTTGGTAGAGTAAGGAGTGAGGGAGGAGAAACAAGTAGAGGAGACCAAACAACATTGTAGGAGGAAGTTTCAGGGGGAGAAGAGGATAAATTTAATTTTCAACATGTTAAAACTGCGGTGCCTCTGAGACATCCAGTAGAAATGTAGAGCTCAAGATTTCTGACAGGACGGAGTTAAAGATGTAGGCATCATAATATAAGCATGTAGGAGATAGTCGACAGCATGGGAGTGAATGAGCTTATTCCAACAAACTTATAGAGTGACCAGCTTTAGGTTGAAGAACATCAGTCTTAAAATAACAGCCAAAAGAAGGATATACTAGTGATTGTTCCTGAGAAGGTGTGGTCAAGGAGGAGGGAGGAGAACCAGAGATGTCAGAAAAGCCAGGGAGAGTTTCAAGAAAGGAGTTATTACCAGAGTCAAATAATGCTGGGAGGACCGGTAAGGTGAGGTTGAGAAAGTACCTATTCCATTTGGCACATAGGAGTGCTTTGGTGACTAGAAAAAACAGTTTGGGTTGGGGTATGGGAAGAAGCTAGATTATAGGGTGAAGGGTGGGTTTAGTGTCTTTCCATTTTTTTTAACATTTTGAAAGTAGATGGTAGGAGCTAGAGGAAGATTGGTTGAAGGAGAGTGTGCCCCTTCCACTGCCTTTTTTTTTTTTTTTTAAAGAGAGAACTAGAGAATATTTTTCTTATTATTTCTTGTCTATGTGTATATCCTCTTTAGCCTGGGAAGATCTTATGTTGCAGTCTTGATAAATATAAAAATTTTAATCATTTGTTTATTCAGTGTTGTAGCTTATAGGTTTAAAAAAACTAATAATAGCTTTATTGAGATATAAGTACCTACCATAAGATTTATTCATTTAAAGTCTATGATTCACTAGTTTTTTATTACATTGATGAAGTTATGCAACAATAACCATAATCAATTTTAGGACATTTTCTTCACTTTCTGTACCCATTAGCAGTCACTCCCCGCCTTCCCATAAGCCCCAGGCAACCACAAATCTACCTTCTGTTTCCATAGATTTAAGTATTCTGGACATTTTATATAAATGGAATCATACAATATGTGGTGTTTTGTGACTGACTCCACCTAACATGATGATTTCAAGTTTCATCCATGTTATAGTATTGATCCGTAGTACTTTTGGCCTTTTTATGGCTGAATAATATTCTATTGTATAGATACCACATTTTGTTTATCCATTCATCGTGTTGATGGGTATTTGAATTGTTTCCACTTTTTGGCTAATGTGAATAATGCAGCTATGAACATTTGTGTACAAGTTTCTGTGTGGACACATTTTCAGGTCTCTTGGGTATATATCTAAGTGTGGAATTGCTCAGTCACGTGGTAACACTATGTTTAACATTTTGCGGAACTGCCAGACTGTTATCCAAAGCTGCTGCACATATTACATTCCAATCAGGAATATATGAGGGTTCCAGTTCCTCTACATCTTCACCGATACTTGTTGCTGTCTTTTTGATTATAGGCATCCTACTGGGTGTGAAGTGGTATCTTCTTGTGGTTAGCTTGTAAGATTTTGTGTGTCTTAATTTGTCTTTCAAAGCTAGAGTGATAGGAAATATTTTCCAGTCCTTGCATTTGAGCTAATCTTAGTGCTTACCCAGTGCCACTGGTTTAGTTATGGTTTTCTTATCCATCCTTTGATGAGTATTCACCTAAACATATTTACATCAACTAACTTCAGAAGTGGAAGTGAACTTTTAAGTAACTCTCCAGACATGGTTCACTGAGACAGTAAACTAAAAATTTACTTTAAGCATTCTCAAGAATGTTTTACTTTATTTACTTTCAAAATATATTAACTTTTTTCCATCAATATTTGATATTTAACTTGGAAAAAGGATTTTTAAAGGATGAAACTGAAAGTAAGACATTAACATTTAGGTGGCTGTAGGTTTTTTGTTCATATGTTAAATACTTCTGTGTTTCTGTAGCACTGAGTTCATTAGATTCATAAATATTTACATTTCTGTCTTCCCCAGACTGAACGCCTCCCAGGCTAGAGACTGGGACTTAATTATCCCTGTATCCCCATTGCTTAATATAGTGCTTGGCATTTAATAGGCACTAATGTCCATTGCATGTGCAGACATTGTAGACAAACTTAATGCTGTAAGACAGATTTATTCTTCAGGTGAATTCTTCAGTGGTCCAAGGGTTTGTCTTCTAGACGATCATGAGAACTGCTTCTTCCCCTCCTACACAGATGTGCTCACATAACTCGTTGTATTTTCAGTATCCACTGAAAAAGAAAATACAAGATAAGAGCTACATTGAATTCAAATATTTTAAATAAATATGATTTTATTAGCTGCAGTTTCTTAAGGTAACTTCTGTATTTGTGCATCCCACACCCAATGGATCATACTTTGTTGACATTGTCTTAGAGTATTAATAAAATGTCTTTTAAACTTTTGGCTTTGGACTTAATAAAATCAAGATATCATGTCATCGGTATCTCTTCAAAAATAGTGAATTTGTGGGTATTTAGAGAGTGATTACAAGTGATATCTGTTGTTCTCTACTTGCCTCTAGTTTCTTTCCTCATCCAGTCCATTCAACACATCATACTCACTTTCAAGTGGCAGCATCTGTAGGCTAATGGAAACCATACTGGTTGTACAATCAGGAGATGTGGGCTGCACTGGAAGCATGGTTTAATTTTTATTATTAAAAATATAAGTTAAAAAAACTCATTGCTCCCTTTGATGACCATTACAATTATTGGAAATTTTAAATGTGTATTTTGAAAGTCAATTCAAAACATATGATCCAAGTGCTGCTCCTTTTTCAAACTGTAATTATGTCTGTCTCTCTTTCCAGAGAGATTTGATTCCCTGATTTTTCCCTTCTCAGCTCCCTCCAATTTTAAATATATATATATAGTTTTTTTTAATAATTAAAAAAAAATACTTCACCTGGAAGTTTTCATCCAATTTTGTAACTTTGGTCCTAGTTGAGAATCACAGGCCTATAGGATAAAGTCTGTACTTCTTAGCCTGGCATTCCAGAACCTTCTTAACATAATGTCACAGTACCTTTCCAGTGTTAAACTTCTATACTCTGGTATGTATCCTCTCTTCTTTTTGAAGGAAGCTATTCCTGGTCCTTGAGCATACCTACTAAATGAATGAAATCTTGCTTATCTGTGGTTGTACTGTTGAACATACTTTTTCCCTCAGAAAGCTTCCCTTTTATTTTATTTTATTTTATTTTTTTGAGACAAAGTCTTGCTTTGTTGCCAGGCTGGAGTGCAGTGGCACCATCTCAGCTCACTGCAACCTCCGCCTCCTGGGTTCAAGCAATTCTGCTGCCTCGGTCTCCTGAGTAGCTGGGATTACGGGCGCCCGTGACCACACACAGCTACTTTTTTTATTTTTAGTAGAGATGGGGTTTCACCATGTTGGCCAGGATGGTCTCCCCTTTTATTTTATAAACCAGTACTTGGAAGATGAGAAAGCTAAAAATTTAAAATGACTTCACCATGTTCACCAAAAACTCAGAAGCAAAAATGTGATTAATTCTCACCTTCTAGAATAAATATTTTAGCACAGTTAATCTTAAAGCACTTTTTCTCCTTTGTAAAGTTTGATCTTTAATATCACAAGAAAAAAAGCCTTTCATTAGATTTGAGTTGAAAACTTGATAAGGTAAATCAGGTGATATGCAATTTCTAAACCACTAGTCTTTTCCAAATATGAGTTGAACTCCTCTTCCAGCATTTTATATTTCCTGTAGTATTTAAGTTTCTTTAGATTCATGCAGTCAAACCTTGACAATTATCTCCTTCCTTCTGAAATCACACAAAAATCTTGTTTGCATTTGTACAGTATTGTAGGGTCTGTAGCTGGCCTATGGCAGATATAAGAAGCAAACAGTAGTTGCTCCCTAAAAGTTTTTTTTGGAGAAAGTGGAGTGTGGACTGTATTAGTCCATTTTCACACTGCTATGAAGAACTGCCCGAGACTGGGTAATTTATAAAGGAAAGAGGTTTAATTGACTCACAGTTCAGCATGGCTGGGGAGGCCTCAGGAAACTTACGATTGTGGTGGAAGGTGAAGGGGAAGCAAGGCACCTTCTTCACAAGGTGGCAGGAAGGAGAATGAACATGGGAGGAACTACCAAACATTTGTAAAACCATCAGATCTTGTGAGAACTCACTATCAGGAGAATAGCATGGGGGATTATAATTACATAGGGATTATAATTCAAGATGAGATTTGGTGGGGACACAAAGCCTAGTCATATCGTGGACCATGATAATCTCAGAGGCTTTGGGAAGTGTGCTAATATCTACATTTCCTGTAATAACTTTTATATCTAATCGGCATTTAAAAAGCTATTTTAACAACATTTGAGTGACTGTCCTGATAGGCTCTGAAGGAATGCAAAGATTTGTCTCTGTCATCCATCCATGGTCTCTGTCATCCATCCATGGTCTCTATCATTTATCCATTCATACAGAAGGTATTTATGGAGATACCTGAGTGCCCACTATGCCCTAGGTACTGTGTTTTTGAATTGACAGTTGAAAACATGGCAGTACTCTGTTCAGGAAGTTTACTAACTGAACAGACCTGTGAGAAGCAGCGGGACTTTTCCTGGGGGCAGTGGGTGGGCTTCAGGGGAATCTTTGAACCCTTTTAAATTATATATAATATTTTTTGTGTGTAAGCCCATTTTAGGGGGAAGAAAGTTCATAGCTCTTAGTTTCTCAAGGAGTTTGGGTCCCTTAGACTAGTGGAAAGATAAGGAGTTTAGGAGCTATACAGTCATTAATTTCTATCCTGGCCCTGCTGTGATTCTGAGCAGATTATCTAGAGAAGTTGGGGCTCTAATACCTACCTGGAAAGAACAAGATAATATATGTAAAGTTTCTAACATAGTATATAGAAGGTAGTCAAAGGAATTTGAGATGACATACTGCTCCAGTGGAAGTATATTCGGAATATAAGCCAGAGAGACAGGAGAGCCTAAATCTGTCTGAATAGATCATGGACAGTTTCCACAAAGATGCTACATTTGAGCTGGTTTTTGAAGGAAGAGTTTGTCAGGTGAACTAGGTGAGTAAAAGGCAACAACACTTTCAAAGACTTGGAGATAAACAGAGATAGAACTGTGGGTTTTAGATGGGAAGAACAGGGTCAGTGTGTATAAAATAAGAAAATCTTATGTACCCAAATAATAGGATTTCCAAAGGAATATCAGCTTAAATGCTATTATGAAATTGGCCTGTGTTCCTGAGTGTTTTGATGAGGAGTGTTTTGATGTTCCATTATTATGGCATAGTTGTTTGATCTTACAGTAGGACCTTTTAAAAATTGAGTCCTTGTCACATGGTAAATGTTCTTAAATCTGGTAATTTTACTTTATCTCAGGTATATAAAGTAGTACTCTCTCTGTTTACACAGTTCTTAGATGACTAGATTAGTGTTTCTCATTGGCATCTATCAGATATGTTTAAAGTGCCCTGTAGAAAGAAATTACATTTAAAAAGCCTTCAGGACTAAGGCAGCTTATTTATAATGGTGGGTCTCTTGCTTAGTTTGGATTCCTCAGCGAATTGAGTTTTCCATAAGATGACTCTGAAGAGGTTTTGAGACTGCATTTGTGACCAGAACCAACGTGAGAAAGGAAGGGAGTTCTAGGTCACATGCTACAAAACCATGAAGAATAACTTCTCTAGACACCTTCTTCCCCATTGTGTATGTTGGTTTTACTCCTGACGTCATAAACTCTTTAGTGTTAGAAGGAACATAAAAACTGTTTAGAAATTAAGGAGCTTGTTACAGGTCTTGCCATAGAAAGGTGGTGGAACTGGGTTAGACCCAAGTTAGGAAAGCAGATGCTTTTTATATGACATGATGCTGCTTAGGCCAACATTTTCAGTCTTAGGGAAAAAGTCAATAAAGCCCCACTTCCTACCCCCCTAGAGTAGAGCATAAATATCCTCAAAATTACAAAAAAAGTTTTCTGTCAGTATAGATTTTTGGTTGCAGCCTACTTCCAAAAAGTAGCTTAAGTGAAGAAAGAATTTATTGCAATGGAATACTGCCCTTGAGCAGGTTGAAGCATCAGAACCAAGAAATAGAGAGCCTGGGTGACTCCTCTCTCCATGCCAGCCTCTTTGTCTTTCTATGGTTTTCAAGTTTCCATGTCTCTGGGGCTGCTTGGATACTTCTCTTTGCTTCTCTGCACACCTGCTTTACTATTACCTCTCTCTGCATTTTGACTTTCACTGTTTTGGCCTGCATGTGCTGAATAAAGACATCCCTTATGGTAATCTAACCTGTCTCATTCACTTTTATCTCAAATTATGGAAAGAGCTCAGAATGACTAGAATTGCTACATCTTGTTTTCAATTTCCTGAAGAAAATAACCAACTTGCCAGTGAGATGGGTGTTGTATAAGGTGGTGAGCTTATTCATATGTGTATGGAAGGAAGGAACTTTTTTTAGAGAAAGGAAGGGATGGCTTGATAACTAGGCGGGCAGTCCAAAGAGTGTCTAGTAGAGAATCCTTGAAGCAAAATTGAAAAAAAATTTACTATTTTAAGGTTTCAGCTCCATATGAACTCCACCCACCTTCTTTCAGAGATGGAAAAAGCACAAAGAGTCCTTGTGACTTGAGAGAACAATTTGTTGGCTCTGGCAGAGCATTATTTCACATTTACAGTTAGACATTAAACATCAGGCAAAATTTTAAGGTTTCTGTGTAGCAAACTAAAATTAAGATTATCTATAAGCTGCTTATTTATGGTACCTAAATTTAAATTATAATTTTTCAACATTAAAATATGGAACCTTCTTGCAAGGAAATCCTGTTTTAAAGTTTGGGTTTTTGTTTGTTTGTTTTTTTTTTTTTTAAGAGATAGGGTCCTGCTTTGTCACACAGGCTGGAGTGCAGTGGTGTAATCATAGCTCACTGCAGCCCTGACCTCCTGGGCTCAAGTGATCCTCTCACCTCACTCCTGAGTAGCTAGGACTACAAGCATGTTGCCACCATGTCCTACTAATTTTTTTACCTTTTTTGTAGAGACGAGGTCTTACTATGTTGCCCAGCTGGTCTCAGACTCCTGGCCTAAAGCAATCCTTCCATCTTGGCTCCCCAAGTGCTGGGATTATAGGTGTGAGCGACTGTGCCTGGCCCTAAGGATCACTTTTATCAAAGTAGTCACTATGATTTACTCCCTGATCATATGTCAGAAATATATCACTATCTGAAAAACTAACATATTTTCTTCACAATAGGTTTTGCATTGTTAAAATTATCCTAACTATAGTTCTTTTAGTTCATGAATCATCTAAAATTTATGTGTTACTATATTCATTGTGTTTGCCTGGCTATTAGTGTGCCTGTCTTTGTGCCTGTGTGTCTGCCTGCCTGCCTTTGTGCCTCCCTTTGAAATTCTATTTGCCTACTCACCTTTCTCTACCTACTCAGTCAGTTGGTTGTCTGTGCCCAAGATTTATTAATGTGTGTTAACGTGTGGGTAGTAGAGATAGACTGGAAGGTACTTTGTAGTTTAGAAATGTCTGTAATTTACACCTAGTTGTTTGTAATTCATCTAATACGGTAAATAGATTATACAAGGGGACTTCAAAAAGCTCATGGAAAAATGGAATTAAGTAAATAAATGTTATTTATTAATAAATTTATAAATAGACTAAAATTAAAATATAAAGTTAATTTCTGAACATAAACTCCATCAGTTTACTTTTATAAGTGATGATACACCAACCATTTTGTTTATCCCTAAGAACTGAGGGTCCTAGAAATTTAACCATTTCAATGCAGTTTTTTTACATTATTAACTGAAGAGTAATGAATGCCCTTTAAAGATTTTTTTGAGATTAGGAAACAAAACGAAGGCAGAAGGAGCCAAATCAGGACTGTAAGGTGGATGCCTAATGGCTTCCCATCTGAACTCTCACAAAATTGCCCTTGTTTGATGAGAGGAATGAGCAAGAGGCATTTTTGTGGGTAGAAAAGGACTCTGGTGACGCTTTCTTGGATGTTTTTCTGCTAAAGATTTGGCTGACTTTCTCGAAACACTCTCATAATAAGCAGATGTTGTCTTTCCTTGGCCCTCCAGAAAAATCAACATGCATAATGCCTTGAGCATCCCCAGAAACTGTTGCCATGAGCTTTGCTCTTGACTGGTCCACTTTTGCCTTGACTGGACCACTGCCACCTCTTGGTAGATTGCTTTGATTGACTTTGTCTTCAGGATCATACTGGTAAAGCCATGTTTCATCTCCTATTACAGTCCTTTTAAGAAATGCTTCAGGATCTTGATCCCACTTGTTTATTTATTTATTTATTTATTATTTTTCATTTTGTTTTTGAGATGGAGTCTCGCTCTGTCACCCAGGCTGGGGTGCAGGGGCATGATCTCTGCTCACTGCAGTCTCCGCCTCCTGGGTTCAAGCGATTCTCCAGCCTCAGCCTCCCAAGTAGCTGGGATTACAGGTGTGCGCCACCACACCCAGCTAATTTTTGTATTTTTAGTATAGACAAGGTTTTGCCATGTTGTCCAGGCTGGTCTTGGACTCCTTACCTCAGGTAATCCACCCGCCTTGGCCTCCCAAAGTGCTGAGATTACAGGCATGACAGTTTAACATTTCCATTGAAAGCTCTGCTCTTGTCTGTAGCTATCTGGGTGCAATCATTTTGGCACCAACTGAGTGGCAATTTGTTCAGCTTTAATTTTTCAGTCAGAATTGTGTAAGCTGAGCAACTTAAGATGTCTGTGGTGTTGGCTATTGTTTATGCTGTTAATTGCAGGTTCTCTTCAGTTAGGGCAAGTGACAAGATGAATTTTTTTCTCAAAAATCAATGTGGATGGTCTGCTGCTACAGGTTTCTTCAACATCACGTTGTCCTTTCTTAAAAAGAGGCATCCATTTGTAAGCTGCTGATATTTGGGGCATTGTCCCCATAAACTTTGCTTCACCATTCTTCCATCCAAGCTTTGCCATAAATTTGATGTTTTGTTCTTGCTTCAGTTTTTTAGCAGAATTCATGTTGTTCTGATAGGGGCTCTTTTCAAACTGATATCTTATACTTCTTAGTGCTTCAAATGAGATCCTGTTCATCAGACATGTTATAAGAAGTTAGTATGAGTTTATTTTGGTGCAAAACAAAATTGAAATCCATGCATAGTTTTTTCCATGGTACATATTTTCCATGAACTTTCTGAAGACCCCTTGTATGAATGCCAAGGAGAAACATAGGGTGGGTGGTTATTAGTAATAGGATTTTGCAACTGAAATAATTAAACATGTTCAGATATTTATCTCCACACCCATTCACTGACATTATTAGATGGTGCACAAAAGTAAAAAGTTTATTTTAAAATTACTTTATAATTTAGATAGAAGATTATTAAAATTCATTTTTAAGAAACAGAGTCTGTCTCTGTTGCTCAAGCTTGAGTGCAGTGGCACAATCACAGCTCACTGTAGCCTCAAACTCCTGGACTCAACAGATCCGCCTGCCTTAGCCTCCTAAGTAGATAGGACTACAGGCATGAGCCACTGCTCCCTGGTGGATTACTTTTAAAGTATGTTTTTTTTTTTTTGAAAATGCAACTTAAACTAGAAGTACAGGATGAATATTTAACCAATACATTTAATTTCTTGTCATTGCTTTATTAGATGCTGTTTTTGTATTGTTTATAAGGTCTCAGCATCATATGTATGATATTTTCAAATATGTTCTAAAATGACCTCATCATTTATTTCTCTAGTTGTTAAAGAAGGTATAGAGGTTTTATCATTTTTTAAAATAGGATGTAGGTTGGATTAGATCTATAAATTATTATTTTGCCTTTAAAACAGGTTATAGATAAAAGAGGGAAAGGTAATCTGGTGATACTACTGGGCAGGAATCTTTAAATTATTTAAAGAGGGTGTAAACGAAGGAATGTACAAAAGTAAAAATAGGCAGGGAAGAAAAGACCTGATGGAAGTAACATATCTTTGTTAGGAATTTGAGTGTCTAGCATTATAGTGGACAGTCCAATGATATGGTTTACAACAGTTATATAGGTATTAGACCTGGCCATTACTTACTATGTAATGTTGAGTACATGATTTGAACCACTCTCAATCTTAGCTTCTTTATCGTTAAAACAGAAATAGTTTGTAATGTTTGAATTAGTAAGAATAAAGGACACAGTGTCAGATGTGTCAGAAGGAAGCATGATTAGGGCATTAAGTGAGAAGTTAAATAAATAGGAGGGGAAAAAGGCCACCCCTTGCTCTTTTTCTCTTTTGGACCTTTTTGGTGACAGAGACAGAAAGAATGTGTATAGTATATTTAATTATCTGAAAATACAGAGCTGAGCATCCCTAATCTGAAGTTTAAAATGCCCCTACATCCAAAATTTTTTGAGTGCCATTATGGTCTGAGAGCAGACATTGTGTATGATTGCTGTTTTAAATTTGTTGAGGTGTGTTTAATGGCCCAGAATTTGGTCTGTCTTGTTGAATGTTTCATGTAAACTTGAGAAGAATGTGTATTCTGTAGTTGTTGTCTTAGGTAGTCTATAGACGTGCATTATATATCCAGTTGATTGATGATGCTGTTAAGTTCATCTGTGTCCTTACTCATTTCCTGCTTGCTTGATCTGTCCATTTCTGATAGAGGAGTACGGAAGTCTTCAACTATAATAGTGGATTCAAATATTTCTCCTTGCAGTTCTATCAGTTTTGGCTCACATATTTTTATGCACAATTGTTAGACACATATGGATTAAGGATTATGCTGTCTTCTTGGAGAACTGACCCCTTTATCATGATGTAAAGCCACCCTATCCCTGATAACTTTACTTGCCATGAAATCTGCTTTATCTGAAATTAATAACTAGTCTCATTTTATTTTTGTGTTAGCTGATATATTTTTTTCCATCCATTTGCTTTTAATCTGTGTGTGTTTGTATATTTAAAGTGGATCTCTTGTAGACAGCATATAGTTAGGTCTTGGTTTTTAATCCACTCTGACAATCTTTTAATTGGTACATTTAGACCATTCACGTTCAGAGTGATTACTGATAGCATTGGATTAATGTCTACCATATTTGCCACTATTTTCTGTTGTCATTGTTCTTTGTTCCTATTTTTTTTTTTGTCTTCCACTGTTTTTCTGCCTTTTGCAGTTTTAATTCAAAATATCATATGACTGTCCTTTCTTAGCATGTCAGTTTTACTTCTTTTTTTTTTTACTTTTTTTGTTTTTGGTCTTTTCTAAAGAGACAAGGTGTCGCTTAGTTGCTTAGGCTGGAATGCAGTGGCATGTCATAGCTCACTGTAACCTCAAACTTCTGGGCTCACGTGATCCTCCTGCCTCAGCCTCCTGAGTAGCTAGGACTACAAGTGTGTGCCACCAACCCTCAAGTAATGTTTTTTATTTTTTGTAGAGAGAAGGTCTTACCATGTTGCCCAGGCTGTCAAACTCCTGGCCTCAAGCAATCCTCCTGCCTTGGCTTCCCAAAGTATTGGGATTATAGGCATGAGCCACTGTGCCCAGCTGGGTGTTTTCACTTTTTTAAGTGGTTGCTCTGGCATTTGCAATGTATATTTCCAGCAAATCCAAGTCCATTTTCAGGTAACACTGTACCACTTTATGGATGGTGAGATTACTTTATAATGACAAAGTAACCCTAATTCTATCCCTTGTATCATTGCTGGCATTATCTCACTTACAAATAAACATACACACACAAGCATATATAACCAAATACATGTTTGCTGCTATTCTGAATAAACGTATCAGATCAATTAATAAGAAAAATAAAAGTTTTAATTTTACTTTCATTTATTCTTTCTCTCATTTCTTCTTCCTTTCTTTATGTAGATGTGAATTCCAGACTAGAATAATTTGTCTTCTCTCTAAAAAATTTATTTTAACATTTCTCACAAGGTAGGTCTGTGGCAACAGATTCTCTTAATCTTTTCTGGGGGACAGGGTCTTGCTCTGTCTGTCATCCAGGCTATAATGCGGTGGCATGATCATGGCACACTGCAGCCTTGACCTGCTGGGCTCAACCAGTCCTTTTGCCCTAGCCTCCGGAGTAGCAGAGACTACAGGCATGCACCGCCATACTCACTTAAGTTTTTTTTTGTTTCTGTTTTTGTAGAAACGAGGTCTCACTGTGTTGCCCAGGTTGGTCTTGAACTCCTGGGCTCAAACCATCCACCCACCTCAGCCTCCCAAAGCATTAGGACTACAGGCATGAACCACCTTGCCCAGCCTTAATTTTTGTTTGTTGAGAAAGTTTTTATTTCTCTTTGGTTTTTGAAGGATAATTTTGCAAGGTTCAGGATTCTAAGTTGGTGGGTTTTTTCTTCTCAATATGATATTTTGTCACTCTCTTCTTGCTTGCCTAGTTTCTGAAACAGAGTCAGATGTAATTCTTATTATACTTGCTCCTCTTTAGGTAAGATGATTTTTTTTCCTCTGGCTTTTTAAACGATTTGTTTATCTTTTTTTTTTTTTTGTAGTTTGAAAGTGATATGCCTACATAAGTTATTTCTGGCATTTATTCTGATCAGTGTTCTCTGAGCTGCTTGGATCTGTGGTTTGGTTTCTGACATTAATTTGGGGAAATTTTCAATCATTATTTCAAATATTTCTTCTGTTCCCTTCTTCTCTTTCTGTTATTACCCTTATGCATATTTACATCTCTTGTAGTTGTCCCCACAGTTTTTGCATATTCCATTCTGTTGTTTCAGTTTTTTTCTAGTCTTTTTAATCTCTTTTCAGTTTTGGAAGCTTTTATTGAGATATCCTCAAGTTGAGAGATTCTTTCCTCAGCCATGTCTAGTCTACTAGTAAGCCCACCAACAACATTCTTCATTTTTGTTACAGTTTTTTAAAAAAATCTCTAGCGTTTCTTAGGCCGGGCACGGTGGCTCACGCCTGTAATCCCAGGACTTTGGGAGGCAGAGGTGGGTGGATCGTGAGGTCATGAGATCGAGACCATCCTGGCTAACACGGTGAAACCCCATCTCTACTAAAAATACAAAAAAATTAGCTGGGCGTGGTGGTGGGCGCCTGTAGTCCCAGCTACTGGGGAGGCTGAGGCAGGAGAATGTCGTGAACCCAGGAGGCGGAGCTTGCAGTGAGCCGAGATCACACCATTGCACTCCAGCCTGGGCGACAGGGCGAGACTCCGTCTCAAAAAAAAAAAATCTCTAGTGTTTCTTTTTGGTTATTTCTTTGAATTTCTGTCTCTTTGCTTATATTGATTGCCCATCTATTCTGGCATACTGTCTACTTTATCTGTTAGAGTTCTTAGGATATTAATCATAGGGTGTTTGTTTGTTTGTTTGTTTGTTTGTGTGAAACAGGGTTTTGCTTTGTCTCCCAGGCTGGAGTGCAGTGATACAATCATAGCTAACTGCAACCTCCGCCTCCTGGGCTCAAGCAATCCTCCCACCTCAGCCTCCCCAGTAGCTGGGATCACAGGCATGTGTGAACATGCCTGGCTAAGTTTTCATATTTTTTTGTAGAGAAGGGGTTTCGTCATGTTGCCCAGGCTGGTCTCGAACTCCTGGGCTGAAGAGACCTGCCTACCTCTGCCTCCCAAAGTGCTGGGATTACAGGCATGAGCCACCCAGAGCCAAGGTCTCAGTCTTTTAGTGAGCTTGTTTATGGATTTTGAACTATATCCTGTTTCTCAGCGCCTCACCCCCAGGATGGCTTGAATGACCTGTAGTTGGGTATTTCCCTTACCTCATGTAAATAAGGCTCTGTTAAAACCCCAGCAGGTTAGGCTCAGGTTAAATCATTTCTCCGCAGGGCAGACCTTGTTAAGAAGAATGGAATATTCGGCCAGGCACAGTGGCTCACACCTGTAATCCCAGCACTTTGGGAGGCTGAGGCTGGTGGATCACAAGGTCAAGAGATAGAGACCATCCTGGCCAACATGGTGAAACCCCGTCTCTAATAAAAATTAGCTGAGTGTTCCTGTAGTCCCAGCTACTCGGGAGGCTGAGGCAGGAGAATCACTTGAACCCGGGAGGTGGAGGTTGCAGTGATCCGAGACCGCACCACTGCACTCCAGCCTGGTGACAGAGCAAGACTCCATCTCAAAAATAAAAAATAAAAATACAAAAAAAGGGATTTTCTCTAATACTTACTATGAGAACCTGGTAGAGCTCCTGGAGGTAAAACAAAAATGTGGGGTCCCCTTTGGATTGGGTACACCAGGAGTTTTTGTTTGTTTGTTTGTTTTTGTTTGTTTTTTTTTTAGAGCGGTCTCGCTGTTGTCCAGGCTGGAGTGCAACGGCACAGCCTTGGCACACTGCAGCCTCAACCTCGTGGCCTCATGTGATCCTCCCACCTCAGCCTCCCTAGTAGCTGGGACTACAGATGTATGCAACCACACTTATCTATTTTTAAATTTTTTGTAGAGGTGGGGTCTCACTGTGTTTGCCTAGGCTGGTCTCGAACCCCTGGGCTCAAGAGGTCCTCCCGCTTCCACCTCCCAGAGTACTTGGATTACAAGTATGAGCCACTGCATCCAGCCTCCCCTGGAGATTTTAACCCTCATAGTTGTTCACACTGAGCCTCTAGCAGTTCATCAATTACAGTTCAGGTTTCTTATGGAAGTTTGCTGTGTGAGTGTTTCTGCTCTGATTACTCGTGATTCTCCGTATTCACCTTCTGTCTCTCCAGTTTGGGGGCAGCTGTTTGACCTGTGACTTAACTTCTCTTACAGATCTAAGAAAAGTTGTTGATTTTTCAGTTTGTTTAGCTTTTTACTTGCTCTTAAGATTGAGTGACAGATTTTTTTTTGCATTTTTTTATTGTGATAAAATGTATTAATACAAAACATTTATCATTTAAGTGTACAGTTCTGTGGCATTAGATACATTCACACTGTGCAATTAGGACTCTTAAAAGGAAAAAGTCACATACTGTTAGAAGGGTCATACAAGGCTTTATAGAAAGGATTTTTAAGATGAGCTTCTATATATCAATTAAAAGAACATTTCAGTAGAAACATGGGCGTATGGTATGATAATTACCAGAAGACAAATGCAAATAAGTGCTGAACACAGGAAAAAAATAATCAACCTCTCCAATAATCAGAAAAATTGAAGTTAATCATCATTAACTGTTGGGGGAGTAGCTACCAAATTTGATAAAAACTCAAAAATTCGTAATAATTCAGAAATTGAGAATAGCGGCCGGGCGTGGTGGCTCACACCTGTAATTCTAGCACTTTGGGAGGCTGAGGCGGGCAGATCACGTGAGCTCAGAAGTTCGAGACCAGCCTGGCCAACATGGCGAAACCCCATCTCTACTAAAAATAGAAAAATTAGCTGGGCCTGGTGGTGGGCGCGTGTAATCCCAGCTATTCGGGAGGCTGAGGCAGGAGAATCGCTTGAACCCATGAGGTGGAGGTTGCAGTCAGCCAAGATCACGCCACTGCACTCCAGCCTGGGCAATAGAGCAAGACTCCATCTCAAAAAAAAAAAAAAAAAGAAAAAGAAAAAAGAAAGAAAAAGAAAATGGTAAGGATATAGAAAACTAGTGTTTCTAGGTCCATTAAGGGGAGGGTAAACTGGTGAAGCCTGTTTTGGAAGGCAGTTTGGCCACTTCTAATAGAATTGATAAATGTACATACTCTTTGATCCAGCATGTCAACTTTAGGGATCTTTCCGTAAAAATACTTGCATATGTGCATAAAATAGTATGTCCAAGTATGCAACAATTTTTGTGAAACAACCTAAAATAGCTATTAGTAAGGAGACTTTGCATAACTGGTTACCTAAAAGGAAACAGATGTGGAGGGGAGAGAGTTTGGCTTTTTCATTTTATACCTGTATGCAGAAAAGAGTAACATAGCAGGCCTAAGACTACTATCCTTAGAAAGGCCTGCTTACAATGTTATCCCTTGGCTGGTGTCTGGGAACTTAGACTTTTGGGAGAATTTCCATTATCCCCTGATAAGAGTGGTTCACTGTGCCCAAACTGTACAAACAATGTGGTTTATGAGCTGGGCCCAGTGGCTCAATTGTGTAATCTCAGTGCTTTGGGAGGCCGAGGCAGGAGGATTCCTTGAGGCCAGCTTGGGCCACATAGTAAGACCTCATCTCTACAAAACATTTTTAAAAATTAGCCAGATGTCATGGTGTGCACCTGTGTAGTCTTAGCTACTTTGGGAAGCTGAGGCAGGCAGATAACTTGAGTCCAGTAGTTCAAAGTTGCAGTGAGCCTTAATCATGCCACTGCACTCCAGCATGGGTAGCAGAACAAGACTCTCTCTCTGAAAAACAAAAATAAAAAATAATATGGTTTATGTTGAACATCTACTTTTTTTCTGGGAGTCTGGAATTTTGGTATATTCTTAGGCAGAGTGCCTGTGTAACCAGCCTCCAATAAAAGCCTTGGGCACTTTATTTCTAATGCGCTTCCCTTGTGGACAACGTTTCACACATGTTGTCACAACTTATTTCTGCAGGAATTAGAGGATCGTGTGTAATTTCATTAGAAGAGGATTTTTGAAAGCTTGTGCCTAGTTTCTTCTGGACTTTGCCTCTTGTGCCTTTTTCTTTGCTGCTTTTACTTTGTATCTTTTAGCTGTGATAAATTATAGCTCTGAGTATGGTTATATTCAGTGATATGTTGGATCAGTTGATATGCTGAGTTTTTTACATGTGTGTATTATCTAACCCCTTTATTGTGCACATTTTCCCTTGATGGTAAAACAGTGAAAGCTTTCCTTGGTAACATTGTAGGTGATATAATAAAGAAGTGAATCAAAAAGTGAGTGTCTTTAGGTATGTTATTTAGGACAAGGAGATACTACTTTAGGTAAATTATTTTAAATTACACTTCCAGTTTTTATTACCTTCATATGTCAATAGGATGCTAAACCACAGATGTTAAATTTCAAATAGCATTTTAAGTTTTGCTCTCTAGTTTTATAAATCATATTACATAAACTTACTGAACTAAATGTGAAAATAGGGTGCCAATTCACTGACTATGTGATGTTCCGAATGGGTTATCAATGTCTATTACGTCTAGCAGACTTGCCCTGCTTTGTTGAATGTGTATTTGGAAGACACTAGGCTCTGTGGGGGAAGAAAAAGAAATAGGTTATTATCTGTGAGGCAGTGAATTATAATCTTGGGTGATGGCGGCATTGGTAGTGATGGGATAAAATGTGTAAACATGATGGATATTAAAGGCAAGAATGACAAGTACTATATGACTAGGACATGTTTTTGGAATATATGCCTCATTAGAGCAGGGATTTTGTCCTGTTCATCTCTTATCACTAGCACCTAAAACAGTCCCTGGGCATAGGATAGGTTAGGTGGAGTTAATGTGAAGCCAGTCGTCGTCATAAAAGTGATAATTGAGTTTGAAGAGGAAGTTCTTTTTATTATAAATCTCTGAATCCAGTATGTCAGCAAACTTAAAAATATTTTTTGGGAATATCATAACAGTTAATTCATGAATAGGTCAGAACTTTCTAATGTTGTATGAATATTATGTGACCTGGTAATCTGAGACACTTTAATGGCGCTTGCCTGCAACTAGCTGTTCTTTTTGATACTGGATAGGACATTTAATTCTGTACAAACAACTACTAAGGGTTTCTTTCCCTTAAAAAATTTTTTTTAATTGTGGTAAAATACATGTAACATGAAAACCTATCATCTAAGCCATTTTTAAATGTACAGTTCAATAGCGTTAAGTACATTCACATTGTTGTATAACCAATCTCTAGAACTCTTCTCATCTTAGAAAGCTAAAACTCTGTTCCCATTAAACCACCCTCTTTATTCCAAACTCATTCTCCTCCTTCCTCCAACCTGTAGCACCATTCTATTACACTTTCTGTCTGTATGGATTTGACAATTCTAGGTGCCTCATATAATTAGGATTATAAAATATTGTCTTTTTGTGACTGGTGTATTTCAGTTAGCATAATGTCCTCAGGGTTCATCCATGTTGTAGTATGTGTCAAAATCTTCCTTTTTAAAGGGTTGAAAAATACTGCATTGTATGTATATACTACATTTTGTTTATCTATTTGCCCATAGCATGACACTTAGGTTGCTTCCACCTTTTGGCTATTGTGAATGCTCCTGCTGTGAACATGGTTGTACAAATATCTGTTCGAGACCCTGCTTTCCGTTCTTTGGGGTATATACCCAAAAATGGAATTGCTGAATGATATGATAATTCTACTTTTACTTTTTGAGGAACCACCGTACTGTTTCCTATAGTAACTGTATCATTTTACATTTCACAACAGAGCACAAGGGTTCCAGTTTCTCCATATCCTTGCCAATACCTGTTATTCTGGCTTGTTTTGTTTTGTTTTTTGTTTTTTGTTTTTTATAGAGTTGAGGTTTTGCTGTGTTGCCCAGACTGGTCTTGAACTCCTCAAGTGGCACAAGCGATCCTCCTGCCTTGGCCTCCCAAAGTGCTTGGGTTATAGTTATGAGCCACTGTGCCCAGCCTATTTTGGTTTTTTGATAGTAGCCATCACAATGGTTCGAGTGGATTGCTAAGTCATACAGGGATGTAAAATTGTGTCTGTTGAATCATCTATATGAAATACTTCATAGGAATTGAAGCTATTAAGATTTTGATGCCTGTTGGAGATTATTGGTGACTTGCTAAAAGTAATTTTAGTAGGGTAATAAAGGGAAAAATGAAATTTTCAGAGGGTGTAGGAGTTAGTGGTTCACCAGGAAGTGTAGTTTCTCTTTAGAAAGTTTGGTCAGCTGACCACAGCACTGTGGCAGTCTCCGGCCTTGCAAAAATAACTTTTTTCCATATAGCGGTCAATAAGTATTGAGGTCTCTTAAACTACACAAGTGACTCTTCCTGTGCTATATTTGTTTTTGCAGAGAGAAGTGTGAATTCTGAATCTCTGCTACTAATTTGGGAGTCTTTGTTTTATATTTGTAATCGGAGGTAAAGAGAATTGATGTAATTGTGGCTTAATATGTTAATACTAGAACTTAATATTCTCAATTTTACTGTATGTTTTTAATTAATTAATTAATTAATTAATTTTATTTATTTATTTATTTATTTTTGAGACAGAGTCTTGCTCTGTCGCCCAGGCTGGAATGCAGTGGCACGATCTCGGCTCACTGCAAGCTCCGCCTCCTGGGTTCATGCCATTCTCCTGCCTCAGCCTCCCAAGTAGCTGGGACTACAAGTGCCCATCACCACGCCCAACTAATTTTTGTATTTTTAGTAGAGACGGGGTTTCACCGTGTTAGCCAGGATGGTCTCGGTCTCCTGACCTCATGATCTGCCCGCCTCGGCCTACCAAAGTGTATTTATTTATTTTTTGAGACAGAGTCTCACTCTGTTGCCCAGGCTGGAGTGCAGTGGTGCAGTCTCGGCTCACTGCAACCTCTGCCTCCTGGGTTCAAGCGATTCTCCTGCCCCAGCCTCCCGAGTAGCTGGCATTACAGGCGCATGCCACCACGCCCAGCTAATTTTTGTATTTTTTAGTAGAGATGGGGTTTCACCACCTTGGCCAAGCTGGTCTCAAACTCCCAACCTCAGGTGATCCACCCACCTCGGCCCCAAAGTGCTGGGATTACAGGAGTGAGCCACTGCTTCCGGCCTGCTGTATGTTTTTATTATATACTATGAGATAATGAGATTAGTGATGGATTGCTTTGTAATACTTTGGGAGTCTGGGTTTGGCAGAGTGTGCCCCTATGAAGACTAAGTGGGACTATAATGATTGTGTTTTCTTAAATCAGAATCAGGATGCATAACCAGATGAAGGAAGACATAGTCGGGAGCCATAGTTTTAATATCTAGATTTTGGAATTTTAGGGTGATTTACTATAGGGACAAAGTATTTGAAATTGGGATTGGCGGAACATCAGTGGAACCAGCGATTGCTAAGTTAAATATATACAGGGACATTAGATAATGGATGATGAGGAAATGGGTAAAAGAAAGTGAGGGCCTTGTGAGTTGAAACAAAAATAATCAAACCTGGAACACTTTCCATTTATTGTATTAGATATCTTCATTTCAATAAAATTAATGTATATGACAAAATTTTATTGTCCTCCTAGTTCAAGTGGTATTCTACTTTTATTTCCATAAAAATATACTTTCAGGATAGGGAAAGGGTAAACTTGCATTATAAGTTTGTATTTTCTCACGAAGGGACAGGAGAGAAGAAAAAAATCATTTGCTTATTGTCTAGGCTATGCAAAAAAAAAAAAAGAACAGCCTTGTTTTTTTATTACATTTTTTCATTTAGTTTATGATTTGCCATATTTATTATTTTAAAACATGAAGTCTGTAGTACAAGGTTTTATTTAAAAACATTCTCAAAATCAAGGACTATTACTACATGCATTCAGGGAAGATTATCTAGCTATATTGGAGAGATCTCCTTCGCTAGTAATTGATGAAACCTAGGAATTGAACCCCAGCTTCTCTGACTTAAAGCTGCCCTATTGTGAAGTAGAAATGAAGTGTAAGCAATATATTCTTAAGTATACTGGTCAATTCTGATTTACATAGAAGACCTAACAGTTTATTTACTCCCTACTATTTGTTATGGGATTATGCTGATAGTAGCTATTACTAATAGAAGATACGGTCTAAATCAGGGAATTCGTGTTCTATCAGGGATGGCATATGTGCATATCTAAATAATTACTGTACACTGGGATATGTTCTAGATAAGAGGTGTATATAAAGTAGATAGAGATGAGGAAGTGGATGATGGGCCTGTATGCCAGTACTACTATCAGGAAAAATTTCATGAAGATGATTTCTGTATTGGGCTAGTAAAAAGCAGGGAGTTTCTTGGCAGACAATTAGGGGAATAAGTGAAGCATACATTTTGACATGAGCAAAGCACAGAATCATTTTATTACTCCAAGACTCATAAGACTGGCCCTGTTTACTTCAAAGTTACTTTCTTTATTATCAATCCTGAGTTGGCTTCAAATGAGGAGGCATAGCCATGCATTTCTGAAAAAAAAGGGAGAGAATTAGTCTGTTAGGCAGCAGTGGGTGAACAGTGAGCAAAGATAGGAAGATGAATTTTGATAGGCAGAGTTGCATATTTTGCAACTAAAGGTAGACATTGCAGTTGTATAGTTGAAAGACCCTTTGGTTATTTTAGCTGCTTATAACCATTATCGTTAGTGATGTGCATTTTTTCTTTTTTTTTGAGATGGAGCTCTGTCGCCCAGGCTGGAGTGCAGTGGTGTGATCTCGGCTCACTGCAACCTCAGCCTCCTGAGTAGCTGGGACTACGGGCACACACCACGAGGCTTGGCTAATTTTTGTATTTTTTGGTAGAGATTGGGTTTCACCATGTTGGCCAGGCTGGTCTTGAGCTCCTGACCTCAAGTGATCTGCCCACCTTGGCCTCCTAAAGTGCTGGGATTACAGGCACAAGCCACCGTGCCCAGCCCATATACATATTTTTATGTAAGTATGTTTGTAAAGTTAGAGATAAAATAGTGATAATACAGTGTTACTTTGAGATAGTATAGTGTTACTTTGGCTGGTACTCTAATTTTACTGTATGCTGCTATTAATTTATATTTGGGGTTTTAAGAAATTTTGGTTTGGTTATCATGCAGTTTGTAGGGTTAAATTAATACTATTAAGATGGTGTGGTTTTTCTTACTGAGGACAGTTAAAATTTTCAAATATAAAGCCAGATGAATTTATTTATTTAACAATGGTTATTGAATGTGAACTATGTCCCAAACCTGCTACCGTTTAAAATTCAGATGAATTCTCCAGTAATTGCCTCAGAAATTTTCCGGAGCAATTAGGTAAAAGGAGTATGATTTTATGGGTTAGGTAGCCTTAATATTTTGCCACAGTATAACTCTTAAGCTTAAAGTAATTTCCATTTTTATTTACTATACAAAGTATAGTTTTAATATTTGTATATTCTTATATGCATATTTACTAAAAGTTGTGCCTTATGAAACTCATACTGTGTTTTGTTGTTGTTTTTTGTTGTCGTGTTTTTTTTTTTTTTTTTTTTTTTTTTTTTTGAGACGGAATCTCGCCCTTGTGCCAGGCTGGAGTGCAGTGGCACGATCTCAGCTCACTGCAACCTCCGCCTTACTGGTTTAAGTGATTCTCCTACCTCAGCCTTCCGAGTAGCTTGGATTACAGGCATGCGCCACCATGCCCAGCTAATTTTTGTATTTTTAGTAGAGATGGGGTTTCACCATGTTGGCCAGGATGGTCTCGATCTCCTGACTTCGTGATCTACCAGCCTTGGCCTCCCAAAGTGCTGGGATTAGAGGCATGAGCCACCGCACCCAGCTGAAACTCGTACTGTGTTTTAAGTGTTATAACATTGAGGAATTTGAGGCAGTGGTGTGTGGTCTAATAACAGAGCATGAGAGAGCTTCAGCTTTGATACTTAATTTCTATATATCCCATCTTATTCCGAAAGGAATTTCAGTTAGCTTAATTTCCATTTTAGTGCTGTTTCTTTTTGTGTTAATTTATTGTTTTCTTAATTGTGCTGATTTAAAATCCAGCCAACAAATTAATTTAACGCTTGTCTGTCTAAATGTATTTTCACTTCAAAGTCTCTTCAGTGAATATGAAGACAATTAGCTATATTTTTGCTAACAAGATTTGCTGATGGGGAGAAGAGCGAGATAAAGGAACAAATCAAGGATGAGTGTTAGGTTTTTGGCTTGAACTACTGTTGAATGGTGGTGGTTTTTGGCTTGAACTGCTGTTGAATGGTGGTGCTATTTGGGCATGTTTGTGATGCCCATTACACATCCAGTGGACAGGCCAATAGACAGCTCTTTGACTCTGGAGAGATTTAACAAACTTTAAACATTCTCAGGAGCTTAGATGAACAATGAACTGTTCCACTCTTTTAAGAACTTGAATCTTGACACACAAGTGGGTATCTTAAAGTCACATTGCATGTGATTTTGGAGGCTTTTGAGAATCCATTTATTGATTTAGGATTAGGGGAATACAAATTTAGTGTTTTAGGAAATTGTTTAAAGCAAAGTGAATATTAAACTCGAATTTTGTTTGTATCAAAAATTCTAAGTATTAAAAATGTTTCTCTGACTTGTCTGAGAAGGCTCAGTAAATAATTCTTCAATTTGTAATGAGAGTTTTGCTTTGCATTAGCTATTGGTCTATAAAGTCCAGTAAGATAGTCTAATCTCTGCCTTCAGTTTTATAGATTAGTGGACGAGACAGACAAGTACTGAAATACTTAAGAAATACTTTTCACAAGTGGCAATAGAACAATGTGTTATGGACTCATTGCAGAAGGCTGAGGAGCAGTAAAGGAGGGAAGGTTCAAGAAAGCCTTCAAAAAGGAAATAACACTTTAGCCAGAGCCCTACTCACCAGTAAGAGCAAAAATTGTGCAACTTTGATATTTAAGAAATGGAGGGTTACTGCTAGTCATAGTGGTGGTGAGTAATTCTATATGACTAAAGCATCAAACTCTAATAAGAGCATTATAAAAAGAGGCTAGAAAATTGGACAGGCAACATTCAACATATCTTATAATTAAAGATTTGGTAGTTTATGTTAGAGGTGATAGACACATAGGAGAGTTTTTAAATGTGGGAGTAAAATGGTCAGACTTGACTTTTTAGAACAGTAATAAAGGAGTGCAGTTATTTTTGGAATTCATTTATGTGACTTTTTAAAGACTTCTGGGGTAGGCTGGTGCAGTGGCTTATGGCTGTAATCCCATCACTTTGGGAGGCTAAGGTGGGCAGATGGCTTCAGTCCAGGAGTTCGAGACCAGCCTGGACAACGTGGCGAAACCCCATCTCTACAAAAAATACAATTAGCCAGGCGTGGCGGTGCGTGCCTATAGTCCCAGCTACTCGCTAAGGGACGCTGAGGTGGGAGAATCACCTGAGCCCAGGAGTTTAAGACTGCAGTGAGCTGTGATTGCACCACTGCATTCCAGCCTGGGCAACAGAGTGAGTCCCTGTCTCAATAAAGATCTTTAGGGTAGACTTAATTGCAAATGCTTTCTTAAAGGATTTGTTTGTTTTCTTAGCTTTTTTTTAAAAAGTCACACGATAAAGGGTGTGGTGGGTACCTATAACTTAATACGGACATCATTTAGCTATATTTTTGCCCAGTTAATACAGTAAATGATTAAAAATTCTTTCTTGCTTTAGGATTATATGAAATAATTAAATTATATAATAAATGAATTATTTTATTAATGTTTAGTGCTATTCTCATACAGTCTATGAATAAGGTTTCTTAGTATATTATGTTTCTCAATAATACAGAATTTTTTTGTTTCTTTCTTAGTAATAGCTTCATCAGAGACAATAGAATAGTGGTCGGGAAGTTAAAATGAAATTATATGTGTAGATAATTCTGTTTCATAGAGTTTAAATGAACTTTGGTGCTACTTCTATTCAGGAACTATTTAGACATTAATGTTGATGTGTTAAAAAAAAAAAAAAACCTGCTCTAGGCCAAATCAGATCTTAATCTGGTGGTAATTTTGTACCCACAGAGTTTATTGTTTAACAGGGCAAATTAGATGTATTCTCTTTATATATTTATCATAAGAGTAAGAAATGTAAGTGTTCTAAAAGTACATATAAAGGTAAAACAATTCAGAGGGGAAGATTATGTCTGGAGGAAGGGCATCAGAAACTCTGTAGGAGCTAGGGCTTAAAATTAAAAGATAAGTAAGCTTTGGAGGTGTGCAAGTGGGGAGACCACCAACAAGCAAAGAAAAAGCATACACAAAGACACAGAAAAATGATTATCATGGGATTTTTTTTAAAGTAGAATCTTAGCAACTTTTAAAAAGACAAATTATCAGGCAATTACCACCTCAGACCTACTGAATCAGAAACTACTGGGATGAGGCCCAGCAATGTGGCCCTCCAGGTGATTCTGAAGCACACTCAAATTTGACAAACTGCTTTGCAATTTCAGGCAGATAAATTGACCTGGAATATGCAACTCTTTCTGATCTTTGATCTAGGAAAGGTTTTAAAGAAATAAATCTGAAGTAACAACATTTAAAGAGTTCCAGTAATTAGTTCAATAATAATAGTTAACATTTATTGAGCCATTTTATGTACTAGACCTTTTGCTGAGTAAAGGTTATTATCTCAGTTTTATAGATGAGACACAGAGAGGTTAAATATGTTAATTGTCACACAGCTAAGAAAGTACCAGATCCAGAATTTTAATTTATGTAGCTTACTATAAAGCTGACATTTTTTGGTGGGAAATAAGTTCCAACTTGTAGATACCTTTTTAAAGTACAAAACAAAGTTTTTACTTGTTTTATGGACCACTTTTGTATCTCTGATGGGCATGAAAATTGCTAAGAACACTATTGTAGATTTTTATTTTAATAGAGCATTCTCCATTTTAAACTTTAATTATAGAAAGCATTTTAAGAAATGGCATGCTAGGCTTTAAGAAAACTGGATAAATGAAAATCCAAACTTAAATAAGATAAATATTTGGACGCAAAAGTTCTCAAGGTTCATTATGAGAAATGTAGTCATTTCACATAAAAGCTTTGTTTTGCACATTTCTCAATAATGTAATTTGTCATGTAAAAGAAGAAAAGTCTGGAGTGGGCCAGGCATGGTGGCTTACACTTGTATTCCCCAGCACTTTGGAATGTTGAGGCAGGAGGATTGCTGGAGCCCAGGAGTTCGAGACCAGCCTCCGCAACATACATGGGGAGACCCCAGCCCTACAAAAAATAGTAATAATAATTAGCTGGGCATGGTGACATGAGCCTGTGGTTCCAGCCACTTTGGAGGCTGAGGCAGGAGGATCATTTGAACATGGGAGTTTGAAGCTATGGTGAGCCATGATCATGCCACTGCATTCCAGTTTAGACAACAGAGTGAGACTCCGTCTGTGAATGAGTGAATGAATGAATGAAAAAGAAAAAGCTTAGAGTGATTGTACCAGGCATTCCTGAGGTACATTCACATTTTATAATTAAACTCAACCACTCTTTGTACTAAATTTTTTCTCGCTGACATTGACCTAAGATATATTCCTTTCCCCTCTGTGTTTCTGCAACTATTTAAGTTGATATCCTTCTCTAAGTCAGATTCAAAATAATATTTTGAAATGCACTGATACTATAAGTATCTAAAAATACATCTTTTCAGATGCTTAATCTTTGAGCAGAGAAAATACAAACATTCTAATTAAATGTGCAAGATGCGTATATAAGTAACCATGAGGATCTTTGTTAATATGGAGTAACGACATCATAAACAATCTTTTCTACTGTCCTTTTTTATTTACGTTCAATTTTTTGAACAGGCAATACAGTCATACAATCCAAAAGATATGAAAAGACATAATAGTAATGTCTCATTCTCATCCGTTTCCCTTAGGTACCCATTTCCCTTCCCCACAGACACATACTTTGTTAATAGTTTTTCTTCCAGAGATGATATATGCATATGTACAAGCAAATGCAAATGTTTTTATTTCTTTTTAACACCAGTAGTAATATATTACATATATACATACTGCACTGTGTATATAATGTACACTATTGTTTCCTGCTTTTTACATTTATACTTAATATGTATTTTTCAGATACTGTCATCTTACTATATATAAAAAGCTAACTCATTTGTTTTTCAGCTCTCTCATATTTGATGGTATGAATAAAACAAATTTAGCCAGTTTTGTATTAAGAGGTTTCTTTGATTGTAGTTTTTTGCTGTTACTAACAATGCTGCAGTGGTTGGGCGCGTGGCTCACACCTGTAATCTCAGCACTTTGGAAGGCTGAGGCGGGTGGATCACCTAAGGTCAGGAGTTCAAGACCAGCCTGGATAACATAGTGAAACGCTGTCTCTACTAAAAATATGAAAATTAGCTGGACCTGGTGGCACGCATCTGTAATTCCAGCTACTCAGGAGGCTGAGGCACAAGAATTGCTTGAACCTGGGAAGCCGAGGTTGCAGTGGGCCGAGATCGCACCACTGCACTCCAGCCTGGGCAACAGAGTGAGATCCTGTCTCAAAACAAACAAACAAAGTGCTGTGGTATGTAACTTTGAATATAAATCATTTCATGTGTGTCCCATTTTTATCTGGAGGACAAAGTTGTAGAAGTACAATTCAGAGACAGGGTCTTGCATTGTTAAGCAGGCTGGTCTTGAACTCCTGGCTTCAAGCAGTCCTCCCAAAGTGCTAGGATTACAAGTGTGAGCCACCATGCTCGGCCCCCACTTGCTTTTGAATACAGTTTTTCCTCTGACACATGTATATATTTGGAGAACTCTATTACCACAGGAAATCACAAGAAATAGCATCATAAATGTGGGGAATTTTACTTTGACATTGTGCCAGTGCAGAATAAGATTCTAGTAAATCTTTATCATAAAGAAAAAAATGTATTCCTGTTGTAGGTCTCTAGTATTGTGATGATAAAATTTAGTCGTTTTTCAAAGAAAAAGAAAGGTTTATAGGCAGTTTTAGTTCCTTAAATATCAGTATCACAAGTAGCAAAAATTAATGAGAAAGTTAAATTTTATCAGATTTATTTTTCATTTTATTTGTATTTAATAATTTGTTGAATGGTAAAACCAGAATGCTTTTAATATGTCTTGAGGCCTGAAAGAAAGTTCCTTTGAAATTAAATTTCAGCAATGTAGTTGTGTAGAATTTGAACAATTCACAATACTGACTTTCAGTGCTTCTGAAAGCAGGAAGTGTATTACTGACACGCAGAAATATTCCAGCCCAAAGAACATCCCTACTGCCATATGTGGTAAGAATTTGTCACTAACCCACAAACTAGTTCTGTAATGCAGTGAATAAGCAGAATTGGTCTTTGTTGGACATTTCCAATTCAATATGAAAGAACTTTGTTTTGCAGTGTCTTGTAAGTAATTATTAGCTTATGCCTTGGGAGAAAGCCTGGCACATCATGGGTGCGTGCTCATGGTTTATTGAGAGAAGAAAATTCTTTTAGGCATGTTTTTAAAACTTGGTTATTGTGACCCTTAGTTAAAACACTGAAATTACTCGAATATGTTAAAGACTGAGTTAAATATTCTGACTCAGCTTATTAATGATATCTTTAAATTATATTACTTTTATTCTGTTTTCCCTCTTTGCTGCTCATGTGAAATAAATATGAATCTTATGTTTGCACTTATGCTATAAAAGAAATTATCCTTGGGGTTAATTATTAAGGGATGGGGAAATTAAGAGCTAAGAGACAGGAAAATGAGTTGTGAGGAATTGGGGTCACCAGATTTCATTAAAAATTTGAAAATATCACTGTTTCTCTAAACTTTAATTTTTATTTGTTGTATTTTAAGCGGTTAAGAAGATTGTCTACCAAATATAGAACAGAAAAGATATATCCCACAGCCACTGGAGAAAAAGAAGAAAATGTTAAAAAGAACAGATACAAGGACATACTGCCATGTAAGTTGGAAATGCCCTTGATAAAATACATAGAAATGCTAATTAGCCTTTTGTAACCTAACTAGTTTTATTCTTCCTGAGTTTCACTGTTAAGGAAGTAGTAATTAACCTATCTTTCAAAGTACATGGAAAGATAATAATTCATAATTGTGCTTTTTGTTTTTCCTTCTGATCCTAATTTTTGTTTAATTTTTTTCCTGTAAGTATCACAGTTGCTCTAATACTAAATTACTTTTAAATACTGTAAATCCAAGTGAAAATATCTTCTGTCAACTCTCTGTTCAAAGATGTTATTTCATTAAAATAATAGACAACTGAATACATTTTATAAAATGCTAACAATGTTGATTTTTCATATATCTATACATAAGAACCTTAATTGATTAATTATGCATGAGAAAATGAAGCATAGGATGACTCAAACATCTGTGTGTCTACTATTCTCAGCAGTCTGAATATGTGCCTCTAAGTATATGTCTTAGACTGATTGCATTACATTCTAATGATATTTTATTTATTTATTTATTTATTTATTTGTTTGTTTGTTTGTTTAGAGGTGGGGGTTCTCACTGTGTTCCCCAGGCTGGTCTCAAACTCCTGAGCTCATACGATCCTCCCACCTCAGCCTCCCCAAGTGTTGTGATTACAGGTGTGAGCCACTGCGCCCTGTCTGTATTCTTAAATAGCACAGTTTTCTGGCAAGATAACTTTAACTCTGAAAGTATACTTAAGGTGTGCCATCACTTTATCCAGTAAAAGCTATACGTCATACTTGCTATCTTTTAAAGCTGCCGTCGTTTTTCTTTCTTCATAAGTATTTTGAAATATCTACATTCCATCACATCATTTCCTCAATTCTTATTCAGTCTTAAAGGTTGTTCTCTCTAAAATGCCTTTAAAGTTCTTGGTGACTTTTTTTTTTTTTTTTGTGACAGTCTTGCTCTGTAGCCCAGGCTGGAGTGCGGTGGTGGGATCTTGGCTCACTGCAACCTCTGCCTCCCAGGTTCAAGCGACTCTTGTACCTTAGCCTCCTGAGAGCTGGGACAGCTCTAATACAGGTGCCTGCCACCATACCCAGCTAATTTTTTGTATTTTAGTAGAGACAGGGTTTCACCATGTTGCCCAGGGCCCAGTGGCTTTTTAATTGCCAGATTTGGTGGTCTTTTTTTACTGTTTATTCTAACAGGAAGAATATTGATTATTCAAGAATGTTGAACTATTTTGATGCCATTGATCAATCCCTATTTTTGAAATTTTCTTCTTCCATGATAACTCTTTTAAAACACCTCTTCCCTCTCATCTCTTTCCCTCTTTTCTCCACTAACTTCTTTGCCTCAATTTAATCCTTCATCCTTTTGTTGTTCTACATTATTATCAGCTGTGGGATATGTGGATAGCCTGTGTTGGCAGAATTAACAAGTGGCAACATAACATAATGGTATAGTGTTCTGATTCTGGAAGTTGAAATCCTGACTCCACCAGTTGCTAGCTATATGACCTTGGACTGATCCTCTCTGTGCCTTGGTTTTGTCATCCTTAAAATGGAGATTATAATAATACTTTTTAGGATTATTTGCACAATAGGTTAATATTAAATGCTTAAAAGTGTACCCAGTGGCCAGGCGCGGTGGCTCACGCCTATAATCCCAGCACTTTGGGAGGCCGAGACTGGTGGATCACGAGGTCAGGAGTTCGCGACCAGCCTGACCAACATGGTGAAACCCCATCTCTATCAAAAATACAAAAATTAGCCAGATGTGGTGGCACGTGCCTGTAATTCCAGCTACTCAGGAGGCTGAGGCAGGAGAATTGCCTGAACCCAGGAGGTGGAGGTTGCCATGAGCCGAGATTGCGCCATTGCATTCCAGCCTGGGCGACAGAGTAAGACTCTATCTCAAAAAAAAAAAAAACAAAAAAACAAAAAAAACCAGTGTACCTAGCACATAGTAACCAATCATTAAGCTTTTGCAAAATAACCAGTATACCTAGCACATAGTAACCAATCATTAAGCTTTTGCAAAATACACTCCACTTTTCTCACCTGTTGTCTTAGTCTGTTCAGGCTATTACAGAAATACCATAAACAGGGTTGCTTATTAATAACAGACATTTGTATCTTCAAATTCTAGAGACTGGGAAGTCCAAGATGAAGGCACCAGCAGATATGCTGTCTAGTGAAGGGTCACTCTGGCTCATAGATGGTGCCTTCTCACTGCACTTCACATGGTGGAAGGGGCAAACAAGCTCTCTCGGGCCTCTTTAGTAAAAGCTGGTAATCCCATTCACAAGGCATAATCTAATCATCTCCTAAAGGCCCTACCACTTAATACTGTTGCATTGGAATTTATGTTTTAACTTATGAATTTGGGAAGGACACAAATATTCAGACCATAGCACCAGTCTGCCTCAGAATAGGGGATGACATGGCTTTCTGGATACTTCGTATTAAGCAAGATAATTTTAAGGTGATCCTACATTGCTCTGGAATTATTCATGCACACATTCAAAGAGTTAGCCTGTCCACTTTCTTTTTCTGTCGTCTAGCCGTAGGTTTCTCTTTTCATATGATGTTTCATTTTCTTCTTTGTTTTTGAAACGGTGTCTTGCTCTGTTGCCCAGGCTGGAGTGCAGTGGTGCGATCTCCGCACACTATAACCTCTGCCTACCAGCTTCAAGCTATTTTCCTGCCTCAGCCTCCCAAGTAGCTGGGATTACAGGCACCCGCTGCCACATCCGGCTAATTTTTGTATTGTTAGTAGAGACGTGGTTTCACCATGTTGGCCAGGCTGCTCTCGAACTCCTAACGTCAGGTCATCCGCCTCCCTTGGCATTTACTCATTTTACAGAAAGCTTCTGAGGGTGTACTGTATGCTGGGAATGCAACAAAAAACAAACTGGCAAAAATCCCTGCCCTTGTGGAGCTTATATGTTAGTCAAGGTGATGGACGATACATATTAACATATATGGTCTGTCATGTGGTGGTAATTAGTGTTATTGAGAGTGTGGTTCGAATGAGGGATAGGGAGAAAGCAGAGAATAGAAGGGTAAGTTTACAGTTTTGGCTGGGGTAGTGGGAAAGGTTAGTGGTGTAGTGTTAAACTGGTCCTCTGAAAGTTCTGATTTGTATTGTTTGCTGATTTCTGTGATAAATGGATTATTTACCATAATCATCACAGCAAAACTCTGAGGTAAGTACTGTTATGTGCCATTTTGCAAACAGGAAACTGAGACAGAGAGGTTAAAAAGCTTGTCACACAGTTAAATATTGTGGGGTAAGAATTTAAACACAGGCGGTTTTAAAGCCTTCACTAGGGTGATTTTGCCTCTCAAGGGACACTTAGCAATGTCTGGAGAGATTTGGTTGTCACAACTGGGGTATGGGAGTGGACAGGCTGCTAATGGCATCTAACAAGTAGAGGCTAGGAATACTGCTACACATCCTGCAGTGCATAGGATGCAGCCCCCTTCCCCAAACAAAGACTTCTCGCCAAAATATATGAGTGTCAGCGTTGAGAGACCTTGTCCAAGAGCTTGAGTTCTTAATTACTGTGCAGTAATCAGATTGACAGTGCCTTTTTTCCTTTAAGTTATTTAAAGTTTGATAAGTAGGTCTCCAGTAAATTTCTAGTTATTTTGACTTGGGATTTTTTTTTCTTTTTTTTGAGACAGAATCTCACTCTTGTCGCCCTGGCTGGAGTGCAGTGTGGGATCTCGGCTCACTGCAACCTCTATCTCCCGGGTTTAAGCAATTCTCGTGCCTCAGCCTCCCAAGTAGCTGGGATTACAAGCACCTGCCACCATGCCCAGCTAATTTTTTGGTATTTTTAGTAGAGACAGGGTTTCACCATGTCGGCCAGGCTGGTCTCAAACTCCTGACCTCAGGTGATCCACCCGCTTCAGCCTCCCAAAGTACTAGGATTACTGGTGTGAGCCACTGCACCTGGCCTGGAAATTTATATTGAAAGTAATTGTACTGAGAGATATGTGCTTATTTACTGTTAGATAACTATTTAATTCATTGCCCGGGCACAGTGGCTCATGCATGTAATCCCAGCACTTTAGGAGGCCAAGCTGGGCAGATTATTTGAGCTCAGGAGTTCAAGACCAGCCTGGGCAACATAGCAAAACTCAACACACACACGCACGCACGCACGCACACACACATACTCTCTCTTTCTCTCTCTCGTGTGTACACTTGTGGTCCCAGCTACTCAGTAGGCTGATGTGGGAGGATCACTTGAGACCAGGAGGTCAAGGCTGCAGTGAACTATGATTGCACCACTGCACTCCAGCCTGGGTAACAGAGCGAGACTGTCTCAAAAAATAAGATGGAGAAGAATTTAATTCACTAACTTCCTTTGCATGTTTTAACATGTGCAGTGCTTGCAGAAATAGAATTTTTAAAACAGGTTTGAGGTATAATTTACATACCCATGAAATTTATCCATTTTAATTGTGCAATTCAATGATTTTTTTAAAGTAAATTTATAGAGTTTTGCAACAATTAATACAATCTAGTTTTAGGACATTTCCATCACCCCTAAAAGATCTGAGTCTTCAGCCCTGGGCAGCTGTTAATCAGCTTTCTGTCTGTATAGATTTTCCTTTTCTGTGAATTTAATATAAATGTAATCATACAATATATAGTCTTTTGTGTCTAGCTCTTTTAACAGTTTTTTTTTGAGATGAAGTCTCATTCTGTTGCCCAGGCTGGAGTGCAGTGGCATGATCTCGGCTCACTGCGACCTCCGCCTCCCAGGTTCATGAGATTCTCCTGTCTCAGCCTCCTGAGTAGCTGGGATTATAGGCGCACATCACCATGCCTGGCTAATTTTTTGTGTTATTTTTAGTAGATACAGGGTTTCACTATGTTGGCCAGACTGGTCTCGAACTCCTGACCTCGTGATCCGCCTGCCTCGGCCTCCCAAAGTGCTGGGATTACAGGCTTGAGCCACTGTGCCCAGCCTCTTGTTAACACATTTTAAAGATTCATTCACGATGTAGCATGCATCGATAGTTCATTCCTTTTTGTTGTTGAATAATATTCCATTGTATGAATGATGAACATATTGAATAATGCTGCTATGAACATGTCATACAACTCTCTGTGTGGACCTATGGTTTTGTTTCTCTTGGTTGGATAGCTAGCAAAACCATGGAGAGGAATAATTGTTTTCATTTTTTTGATATTTAGATTATTTCTAAATATGCTTAATAAGAGCACCAATCTGGCAGGGCGAGGTGACTCATGTCTGTAATCCCAGGACTTTGGGAGGCCGAAGCGGGCAGATCACTTGAGATCAGATCAAGACCAGCCTGGCCAATACGGTGAAACCCCGCCTCTACTAAAAATACAAAAATTAGCTAGGCATGATGGCACGTGCCTGTAGTCCCAGCTACTTGAGAGGCTGAGGCACGAGAATCACTTGAACCTGGGAGGCAGAGGTTGCAGTGAGCCAAGATGGTGCCACTGCACTCCAACCTGGGTGACAGAGCCAGACACTGTCTCAAAAAAAAAAGAGCACCAATGAAGAATATTAAAACAGCCACCCAAGTTCTTTCTCGCTACTTCTAGTTCCCGGCGCTTTGCCGGGTGTTAATGGTGGCCCAAAATCATGGGTGCTGTGGCTTTCTCCCTAAGGTGTCACAGGAGCTAAGGGTGCCACTTAACAAACTGCAGAAGATGCAGGCAGGTGAAGGACACCCAGTCTGCTGTGGCAGTGGAATGTGGCAGAAAAGCCAGCTGGGAGGGCGGGGAGCAATCCTGGAAGGCCTGGCTGACCCCACAATTGAACAGGGTTTGGTGTGTCATTGCTTTTAGGCCTTTTCAGTGGACAGAACTGGGGTGGATATACACTCATTTATTTGAAATCATGCATTTGTTCCATACTCCAATTCCAGCCCACCCCTTCTTTGCTCTATGGTCAAGTGAGTGAGAACAGGCGGCTACATTTTCAGCCTTGTTGCTCACCGCTTCCTTCCAGTAGTCCCATGTTGCTTCATATCTCTTCAGTACATGTATTATTTAGACCCAGAGCCTTGGCTTTTAAATCAGGCAGCCCCAGTTTCAAATGTGTCACTGCCATCTCAGTTTTGTGATTTGGGCATACCTCTGTCTGTGCATAGCGATATTAACTTCTATCTCCATGGGTGTGTGGTGAGGATAAAATTATGTGCTTAGAGGAAACGTTCATTCCATGGTAGCTATTTTTTATTAATTCTATACTTTTGAACCTATTATGCTACCTATAATGCCCTATTTTTTTTTTCTTTTTAATCATTGGCAAACTTCTCATTCCCTGAGACCCAGCTTGTCACACCTCTGAAGACTGCTGATATCCTCAAGATGTTCCTTACTCCCTTTCCTTGCTACTACTTTACTATGGATATATGAACAACATTATTGTGCTTATTACATGCAATAAATATTTATTGGATGAATGATACTAAAATTCACATTTAAAATGCCAAAATCAAAATACACATGATATGCTGTATAAGTAGCATAATGTTGATTTTTAAATCTAATGTGCTGTGGGTACATAGTAGAAAGCAGTGACTACCAAATTTGCCTGTGTTTTAGAATTTAAATGGGGAGTTTTAAAAAGGGTATTTCTGTGCCCCATTTTTAATTTACTGAATTGAACTTACTACAAGATGTAGTACTCCAGAAATCTTGGATTTTAATTTGCTTTCCCCAGCTGTTGAATGATTGGGGATAGATGAAATAAGATTGGCAAAATGTTGATAATGAAGCTGGGTAATGGATATACAAAGATTCATTATACTGTTCTATTTTGGTGTATGCTTAAAATTTTCCATCTTAGAAAATTTTTTAAAAAAAGAAATTACCAGCCTGCATGTAGCCAGCCTGGCACCAGTCCTAACTATCATTTGGGAGCCACTATTCTCATTTGGATTTACAGTCACCAGAAACTTTACTGAGGACCCAGTGGTAAACCAGCTATTGTATTCTGCCTTTGAGATACTTTGAATAGAGGCTAATATGTCATATGAATAAGGGTAATTAACTGAGACCCCTTATTACTGGCAAACATGGTAAGAGGAAGCTTCCTGTAGTTATTCAGCCATCATTATCCTAACCACTGAATATTCTATTCTCATTTTCCAGAGTCATAGCTTTTTTTTGTATGTGTATTTCCTATCCCAAATGGCATATAAAAAGGGGGATGGGACATGTAGGGTGGCGTGAAATAAATGACAGAGCATTGACAAACATATTTTAAACATTCTGTTTCTTAGAATACAGTGAGGAGATGAATAATTTTCACCAGAAGCAAGTATATCTTCCTTATATGTGTCTTCTACAAATTTCTAAAGAAGACTTTTTTAAAAGTAAATTTATCAATTAAATTAGCAGAACTGGGCCTTTAGTGCTATGTATAAAATTTGAGCCAATGAAAAATAAATTAGTTACTATTAGTTGTTCTTTAATACTTTGCTAAGAAGTTTATTCATGTCTGTTAACATTTCCGTATTTCCTTTTGTATTTTTACTGCCTTTGATACTCATTCATGGATTAGAAGGGATTATAATTTGATAATAATAATGGCATTTTACATGTTATATGTTATGGTCCCTTCTAATCCAGAAACAATGAATACTAGGCAATTCTACTTTAGGATTTCATAATCTGAAAGCGTCTAACCTCAAATACTTACTAACTATAAAAGGGAAAGGCAGTAACTTTCCCTTTTGGTAACCAAGCAATACCATATTAACCAAGTGACCAAGGTTAACATCACAAGTACTAAAGCATATGTATATCATGTATCCTCTGATGTGTTGTGCTGAGAAGGACACAATATCGTTCTGTGGTATTACCAAAAATTCATAACTTCGTTCCAGTCATTTAAAAAAAATCAATCAGAGAAACTTTTTTAGATTGAAGGAGACTAAGGAGAAATAAAAATTATTATTATTATTATCTTGAGATGGAGTCCCACTCTGTCACCCAGGCTGGAGTGCAGTGGCGCGATCTCGGCTTACCACAACCTCCGCTTCCTGGGTTCAAGTGATTCTCCTGCCTCAGCCTCCCGAGTAGCTGAGATTACAGGCATGCGCCACGATGCCCTGCCAATTTTTTTTGTATTTTTAGTAGAGATGGGGTTTCGCCATGTGGGCCAGGCTGGTCTCAAACTCTTAACCTCATGTGATCCGCCCACCTTGGCCTCCCAAAATGCTGGGATTACAGGGGTGAGCCACTATGCCTGGCCACTAAAAATTAAATTTAATATGAGATCCTCGAAAGAGAAAAAAGATTAGAAAACACTGACTTGTATAGTCTTGTTTAATTAATAGTTTTATAAGTGTTAATTTTGTGGTATTATTGATCATTGTCTTATGGTTATATAAGATGTTACTATTAGAGGAAGTTCAGTGAGAGGCATGGGAATTCTCTGTACTATTTTTACAGTTTTTCTATAAATCTAAAATTAGTTCTAAATAAAAAGTTTTAAACATCAGCACAAACTGGAAAAAACTATTTGCACTTCCTGTGACAGAGGGCTGATTTTTTCTTTTTACATAGATCTCATAAAAATCAGTAGGACAAAACAGACGTGGAAAAATGGGCAAAGGATATAAACAAGTGGTTTATGGAAAAAGAAGTACACAGAACCAATAAATAGATTAAAACATACAATCCTTTGCATAATTCAAGAAATGGAAATTAAAACAAGATATTTTTACTTTTTGGTTTGTCAGTGATGAAAAGTTTGGTAATACCCAGTCACCCTTATTACATAACCCTGTATAAATTGTTTCATACCTTTTAGAAGGCAAGTAGCAATTCCTCTGTTAGGAATTTACCCTACAGCAATGCTGGTAACAGCTATATATACATTAGTGTTCATTGTAGTAATGTTTTTAATAGGAAAAAAATGGCCCATCAGTAGAGTAGCTAAATAAAGAATGAAACATTCACATGATGGAATTCTCTGTTACACTAAAAAGAGTGAGATAGCCTAGTGCAAGCTGAGTGCAATGGTTCACACCTGTAATCCAAACACTTGGGAGCCTGAGCCAGGAAGATCTGTAGTCCAGGAGTTTTAGGTTCGAATGAGCTATGATTGCAGCACTGCACTTCAGCCTGAGTGACAGAGTGAGACCTTGTCTCTGTATTTTAAAATAATAGTAAAAATAATAAAGTAAATCTTTCTGTGCTTTGGGAAGAGTTCCAGGATATACTATAAACTGAAAAGTAATGATACAGAACAGCATGTATAGGATGCTTGCATTTGTGTAGTAGTTTTTCAAAGTATATAACTATATGTGTAATAAGTACACTTGGAATGGGAAAAGTAACTTTAATATAGTATCTTGATGGGAGAGAGCCCTGGAATTGAAGGGCAGGGGAGGCTTACTTTTCACTTTATACCTTTCTTTAAGGTCTAATTTTTAAAAATTATATACATATTCCTTTAAAAGAAATCAATAAAAACTTAAAAGAAAAATATACTTCATAAAATTTTTTAAAGATTTTTTTACTCTATTACCTAATAATAACTATTATTAGCCAAGAGCAGTGTTGAACACTTTTTATATATAATCTCAATTCATTAATTTGTTATAATTTGCTTTTTATAGTTTCTTGTGAAATATGAAAGTTACATTTTTTAAATAAGAATTTTAGCATATGGGCTTGTGTATCACTGGTTAGTATTCATCAGCCACTTGGTATGTTTGTTAAAAGCTGCAGAGGCTGAAACCCTAGACTCTGCTCTAGTAAATCAGAGATAATGTCCTGGAATTTGAATTTTAAAAGAGTTCCAGAGATGATTCTTATTGCAACTTTAATACACTGCTTTACGTCACTGGTGGTGGTGTTTTTTTGTTTTGTTTTGTTTTGTTTTGTTTTTTTGCTGTTGTTGTTTTGTTTTAAGACAGAATCTTCACTCTGTCGCCCAGGCTAGAGTGCAGTGGCGCAATCTTGGCTCACTGCAACCTCTGCCTCCCAGCCAGTTTCAAGTG
This sequence comes from Homo sapiens, assembly GCF_000001405.40. Lineage (NCBI taxonomy): Eukaryota > Metazoa > Chordata > Mammalia > Primates > Hominidae > Homo > Homo sapiens. The sequence goes on from NC_000007.14 coordinate 77,581,181, forward strand.
GTTCTCCTGCCACAGCCTCCCGAGTAGCTGGGATTACAGGTGCCTGCCAGGTGGTGGTTGTCTGAAAATTTATTTCATTTCCTTTCAGTTTAATGTTAGAAATTACCCTGCTGGTACCTAGAGTCCATTTTCATCCATTGTTTTTTAAAATAAATGTTCTTAAGCTGTCTATTTAACCTTACTTACGCTTCATTAGAAAATACCTGTGTGTCAACCATACATATTTTATGAATTTTTTTCTCGTAGTTGATCACAGCCGAGTTAAATTGACATTAAAGACTCCTTCACAAGATTCAGACTATATCAATGCAAATTTTATAAAGGTATGTACTAACTTTAAATGGTGTTTCTCTGCCATATTAATGTCTTTCTACATACTAGTTTTGTAAAAACTTTTTGAATTGCTCAAACATGATACCAACAGCAAAAGAAATAAAAATAAAGCCACTGCCCTGGCACAATGTTTTTATATGCTTTCCTTCTAGCCTTCTTATTCATATAGATAAATAGTTTCTACTTAGTTTTGTGATAGCAGAGATAACATTTTCTTTTTTATTTCTTCTTTCCCATGGAAGTCTTACCTATTACTAAATTATTTTCTCAGTTATCCCTTTGGACACAAATGAACATCATCAATCCCCGTTGTTGACCCATATAGGTTGTTTCCAAATTTTTAAAATGATAATATTGCAGTAAACATCTTTGTTGTTTTGAATAATTTCTTAGGATAAATTACTAGGGGTGGGATTACTGGATAATACTGATTTAAAATTCTAGAACATAGCTTTAAATGTAAAACTTTTGGCAGTTGTCACTGTTTCAGGTGGCAACCCAAAATCCAAGATTAAATAGTCTCTTTTATAACCTTTGTTTGGATACCCTTTGATGAAAAGCAGTCAAGTTCTTTTTTTTTTTTTTTTTTTTTTTTTTTTGAGACGGAGTCTCGCTCTGTCTCCCAGTCTGGAGTGCAGTGGCGCTATCTCGGCTCACTGCAAGCTCTGCTTCCCGGGTTCACGCCATTCTCCTGCCTTGGTCTCGATCTCCTGACCTGTGATCCACCCGCCTCTGCCTCCCAAAGTGCTAGGATTATAGGCGTGAGCCACTGCGCCCAGCGTCAAGTTCTTTATGGTAGCAGTAGAGATAGATGCAAAGTGCTACTTGATTCAGTTTAAATAAAAGGCTTTTTTTCCATCAGCTAATCTGTGATTTTTAATCTTTCAAGTGATATGATAGTATAATTTTCATTTATTTTATATATGGTGTTTATACATATTTTCATGTTTTTGTTGATAAAAATGTTAACTGATAAAAGTTTATGCCAGGCCGGGCACGGTGGCTCATGTCCGTAATCCCAGCACTTTGGGAGACCTAGGCGGGTGGATCACCTGAGATCAGGAGTTCGAGACCAGCCTGGCCAACATGGGGAAACCCAGTCTCTACTAAAAATACAAAAATTAGCCGGTCATGGTGGTGCATGCCTGTAATACCAGCTTCTCGGGAGACTGAGGCAGGAGAATCGCCTGAACCCAGGAGGTGGAAGTTGCAGTAAGCCGAGATCGTGCCAATGCACTCCAGTCTGGGTGACAGAGCAAGACTCCGTCTCAAAAAAAAAAAAAAAAGTTTATGTGGTAAAATTATTATCTATGTCAATATTCAGCAGTCATGGTTTTAAATAAAAATTTCTTTTTTTAACAAAGTTAAAAACCAAAATGAATACATTAAATAAAAACTAATAAATTGATAGTTTGCTATTTCAGATGTTGTCAATGTTCATATTCTTTTTTTAAGGCTGTTTGTTAAAAGTTATAGTTTTTACTTATGCTTAATGACACTGATTCATTGTATGAGTCAGTTATGTACCAGTTTAGTATTTTAGTCAGTGACATTGTTTGGTTTATATTCTCATGTTCATTATTAAAAACCTGTATAGTAGATGCTTGATAAACTTTTGAGTTGAATAGATAATGGAAGGTAGCTATGGAAGAAACTAAGAAAGAGCTCTTCACTAGTTTTAGTATTGTTTTAGAATCAGAGCATGCTCTGTATTTCTGCCAGTTAGCTTTGTTGAGTAGGTATTAGGGCTTTTGTTATTAATGCCTAGATAAGTAATAATTTTTAATTAGCATAAGGCGGTTCTTAAATACCTATTCTGTGCACCATATCCAGTAAACACAAAGTAATAGCAGTCATCAAAAGCTTAAGTGAATTGAATATATTTTGCCATGCTTTAATATACTATGAAAGACACATTATTTGGAAATGGTTTAAGTTAAAACAACAATATTACTAATACAATTTGAAACCTTATATTTTGGGTAATGAAATATTTTTGGTAATCAAAATAAATGTGAAATTTGCTTTTAACCATTTTTAGGGCGTCTATGGGCCAAAAGCATATGTAGCAACTCAAGGACCTTTAGCAAATACAGTAATAGATTTTTGGAGGATGATATGGGAGTATAATGTTGTGGTAAGTAATTTACTTTTCACAATAAATTTTGAGAAATACTTATGTAATAACATAGGCTATTTTACTGAATAAGGAATGAGGGGATTTTTAAAAAATCCATAATTATGTTTACTTATTGCTGATGTTTACTAAAAAGATGGACCCATTTTTAGGATGTCTCATTAAATTTTTACAAACTAGGCTAAATATTTTAAGAAGGTGTGATAATAATTTAAATCTTGTCCTAAGTCAGTAAGTAATGATACAGCTATCAAACAACTTATAAAAAGCAGAAAAGGATTAGTGCTCTAATAGGTCAGTAAAATACTTGATAGTACAGTTATACTCATTTGAGTCCCTCTTCTCAGGAAAATATATATAAACACATAACTATAAATAGACTATAAATATGCAGTATAAGAGAATTTCATCTATCCCTGGAGTTCATTCAGTGCCCTCTTGTTCTTTTGGATGAAGGGAAATAATATGCCCTTAGATTTAGAAGCAGAGAAATTAGAATACTGCGAAGAGCTACCCTATACTGCTCTGTAGTATTCTTGAAACCTAACCATGTGCATTGATACTTTTCATTGTGTGGATGTGGAAAATCAGTAATGTGAAACTTTCATTTTTGTCTTACGGCTTTTTAATGGAATTGTAATGATTCTAAAGCATTGACATGCTCTGGTCTTTGAAAGATTAATAAAAGGGGGGAAATTTTCCAGTTATTTATATTTGCTGTACTTCACTTTAAAAACTAGATGTGCTTGGGGATTGAGAAAGAGCATGAAGAAACTTTCTGGATGATGGGAACATCCTGTATCTTGATAAGATTTGTGTTGCACAGATGTGTGTATTTGTCCAAACTCGGAGAATGTTCACTTTAGGATTTGTGCATTTCATTATATGTAAAATTTGCCTCAAGGGAAAAATACTGGAAACAATATAAAAATTATGTTCTAGATTGGCCGCGTGGGGTGGCTCATGCCTGTAATCCCAGCACTTTGGGAGGCCGAGGTGGGCAGATCACGAGGTCAGGAGATCGAGACCATCCTGGCTAACACGGTGAAACCCTGTCTCTACTAAAAATACAAAAAATTAGCTGGACGTGGTGGCGGGCGCCTGTAGTCCCAGCTACTCAGCAGGCTAAGGCAGGAGAATGGCGTGAACCCGGGAGGCAGCGCTTGCAGTGAGCTGAGATAGCGCCACTGCACTCCAGCCTGGGCGACAGAGCGAGACTCCGTCTCAAAAAAAAAAAAAAAAATTTATTGTGTTCTAGATAATAATATGCATGCTGAAGTATTTTGGGGAGAGTGTACTGATGTTCACAACTTACTTTGAAATGCATTTTTAAAATAAGATGGATTGATAGAGGGATAGCTATGTGATAAAACATGGTGAAATGTTAATGATAGAATATAGGTGATGGCTATACAATGTTTACTGTAAAATTCTCAACTATGCTGTGTGTTGGAAAGTTTACATTATAAAATGGGAAAAAGCAGGTGTGATCAACTTTTAAAATGGTGTTAAACGCATTCAATATTTAAATAATTATAAATATATTTTTAATTAATAGTGCTATTTATAATTAGGTAAATATCCTAAAAGTGATATTTTAATATAATTTCAGAAGTCACAAAGTAAATCTGTAAGATTTACATGATTTAATTCAAACCAAAAACATCATGTTAATTGGAACCAATTTAATTTGTTGCTGTATAGTTAGCCCTTGTTTGGAAAGTCTAATTTTGATAATTTCTTTAACTTACACATTTAATATTGAAACTACTTTTTTAGGCAAGCCAATTATACTTCTCGGTGCAAAATTCTTGAAATCTGTATTTTATTAAAAAGTAAAATTGTGTTTAACTGATACGTTCTTTATCTCACTCCCCACCATCACTTTTTAGATCATTGTAATGGCCTGCCGAGAATTTGAGATGGGAAGGGTATGTATAATCTATTCCTCTTACTATTTCATTTTTACGGATAAATATTCTTAGTCTTTTATTATTATAGTCTTAACATAAGCGGTTAATGTAGATACTTCTTTTATTTTGGGGTACTGCTGTTGCTTTTATTTCATACAAGGGACAAAATAATCTCTCAAGCATGTTGTTTTCTTTTATATTTTGTAAGTATGTTTTATCACACACAGGCATACCTCAGAGATATTATAGGTTCAGTTCCAGACCACCACAATAGCGCAATTCAAACAAATTTTTTGTTTTCTTAGTGCATATAAAAGTCATATTTATACTGTATTATAGTCTGTTAAATGTTCAGTAGCATTATACCTATAAAACACTTCATGCCTTATTTTATTTTTTTATTTTTTCTAGACAGAGTCTCGCTCTGTTGCCCAGGCTGGAGTGCAGTGGTACAATCTTGGCTCACTGCAACCTCCGCCTCCCAGGTTCAAGCGACTCTCCTGCCTTAGCCTTCTGAGTAGCTGGGATTATAGGCATGTGCCACCACAACTGGCTAATTTTTGTAGTTTTAGTAAAGATGGGGTTTCACCATGTTGGCCAGGCTGGTTTCGAACTCCTGACCTCAGGTGTTCTGCCCACCTCGGCCTCCCAAAGTGCTAGGATTATAGACGTGAGCCACTGCGCCTGGCCTTCCATGCCTTAATTTAAAAATAATTTATTGCTAAAAAATGTTAATGATCATCTGAGCCTTCAGCTAGTTGTAATCTTTATGCTGGTAAAGGGTTTTGTTGACGTTGATGGCTGCCGACTGATCAAGTTGGTATTTGCTAAAGGTTGGGGTAGCTGTGGCAATTTTTGATAAAATACAAGACAGGACCAGGAACGGTAGTTCACATTTGAATCCCAGCACTTTGGGAGGTGGAGGTGGGAGGATCACTTGAGCCCAGAAGGTTGAGGCTGCGGTGAGCTATGATTATGCTACTGTACTCCAGCCTGGGCAGAGGGAGACTCCACCTATAAAAACATAAAATAAGAAACAGTGAAGTTTGCCACATTGATTGTCTCTTCCTTTCATGAAAGATTGCTCTGTAGCATGCCATGCTGTTTGATAGCAACAGCAGTTGCTGTTCTACCCACAGTAGAACTACTTGGCAAATTGGAGTCAGTCCTTTCAAACCCTTCCACTGCTTTATCAACTAAGTTGATTTAATGTCCTAAATCCTTTGTTGTCATTTCAAGTGCTCACAGCATCTTCACCAAAAGTATATTCCATCTCAAGAAAGTAGATTCCATCTCAAGAAACCACTTTATTTTCTTATCCGTAAGAAGCAACTCCTCATCCATTCCAGGTTTTATCATGAGATTGTGGCAATTCATTTCCATCTTCAAGCTCCACTTCTGATTCTCTTTGTTGTTTCCACCACATTTGCAGTTACTTCCTCTACTGAAGTCTTGAACCTCTCAAAGTTATCACGAGGGTTGGAATTAACTTTTTCCAAACTCGTGTTAATCTTGATATTTCGACCTCCTCCCACGAATCATGAATGTAATTAATTGCATCTAGAATGCTGAATCCTTTCCAGAAGGTTTTCAGTTCACTTTCCCTAGACCCATCAGAGTAATCATGATTTATGGCAGCTTTAGCTTTACAAAATATGTTTCTTAAATAATAAGACTTGAAACTCAAAATTACTCCTTGATCCATGGGCTGCAGAATGGATGTTGTATTAGCAGGCATGAAAACATATTAATCTCCTTGTACATGTCCATCAGAGCTTTTGGGTGACCAGGTGCGTTGTAAACGGAAATATTTTGAAAGGAATTTTTTTTTCCAACCAGTAGTCCCCAGTAGTGAGCTTAAAATATTCATTAAACCATGCAATAGGGATGGGCTGGGGGTGGGGTTGAAAAAACAAAAACATGCTGTAAACAGATGTGCTGACATCCAGGCCTTACTCCATTTATAGAGGACAGACAGAGTACATTTGGCATGATTTTTAGAGCCCTTAGGATTTTCAGAATGGTAAATGAGCATTGGCTTCAACTTAATGTCACCAGCTGCATTAACCCCTAACAAGAGAGTCAGCATGTCCTTTGAAGCTTTGAAGCTAGACGTTGACTTCTTTTCTCTAGTTCTGAAAATCCTAGATGGCATCTTCTTCCAATATAAGGATGTTTCATCCATACTGAAAATATGTCATTTAGTATAGCTTGTTTCATCAGTGCTCTTAGCTTAGATCTTTGGATAACTTGCTGCAGCCTCTAAATCAGAATTTGGTGCTTCATCTCGCACTTTTATGTTATGGGGACAGCTTCTTTCCTTAAACTTCGTGAACCAGCCTTTGCTAGCTTCTAACTTTCCTTCTGCAGCTTCCTCACACTTTATAGAAATGAAGGGAGTTAGTGCCTTGCTCTGGATTAGGCTTTGGCTTGTAGAAATGTTGCAGCTGGTTTGATCTTCTATCTAGACCACTAAAACTTTCTCCATGTAAGCAATAAGGCTGTTTGACCTACTTAATTTTTGTGTGTTTCCTGGAGTAGCTCTTTTAATGTCCTCCAAAAACTTTTCCTTTTTGTTCTAAACTTGGCTGATTAGTACAAGAGGCCTACCTTTCTGCCTATCTCAGTTTTCAACATGCCTTCTTTACTAAGCTTAATCATTTTTAGCTTTTTTATTTAAAGTGAAAAGTTTGTGACCCTTTTCACTTGAATACTTTGAGGCCATTGTAGGGTTATTAGTTAGTCTAATTTCAATATTGTGTCTCAGGAAATAGGAAAGCCCAAGGAGAGGAAGAGAGACTGTACAAAAACTTGTCAATGGAACAGTGAGAATGCTCACAACATCTGTTGATTAAGTTTGCCATTTTATATGGGAGCAGTTTGTAGCACCCCAAAACAGAGTAGTAACTTCAAACATCACTGATCAGATTACAATAACAGATATCATCATAATGAAAAAGTTTGGAATACTGCAAGAGTTTCCAAAATGTGACACAGACCTGAAGTGAGCATATGCTGTTGAAAAAATGATACCGATATACTTGCTTGGTGCAGGGTTGCCACAAAACTTCAATTTGTAAAATATGCAGTGTCTGAGAAACACAGTAAAATGAGGTATGCCTGTACTTAACAATAATTAATTAGGTATTGTTACTTAGTAAACTTCAAATATTCAGTGGTGTTGTAACTAGAATGCTATCTATGGACTGAAATAGAGAGGTATTTTTAAATAGGAATAAAATTGAACAAGTGGAAATACATTTTAAAAATCTGGTTATCATTAATATATGGTTTGAATTTTTGTTTGTTTGTTTGTTTTGAGACTGTGAGACAGAATCCTGCTGTGTCAGTCAGGCTGGAGTGCAGTGGCGCGATCTCGGCTCACTGCAACCTCCATCTCCCGGGTTCAGGTATATTTCCTGTCTCAGCCTCCCGAGTAGCTGGGACTACAGGCGCCTACCACCATGGCTCAGCTCATTTTTGTATTTTTAGTAGAGATGGGGTTTCACTGTGTTGGCCAGGCTGGTCTCGAACTCCTGACCTCAGGTGATCCGACCGCCTTTGTCTCCCAAAGTGCTGGGATTACAGGCATATAATCCCATGTAATCCACCGCACCAGGCCTGAATATCTTGATTAGTCTGTTTGTTAATACCACAGTATGTTTTGTTTGTTTCCTATCTTCAAAACTGAGAGAAGATAATTTCTTACCCTGATTTTCTAACATTGGTATTTTTATGCTATGTCGAAGTAAAATTTATTTCAAAGCTATTCTGGTATCCTACAGCATCATATTCTGTCCTCACTGTAGGAGGTAATGATATATTTACAGATAATTCATATTTAAATAAAACTTATAAAGTGTGGTCTTCTATAAATATGGCATACAAATCAAACTTACAAATTACATAGTGATTTTATTTGAAGTTTTTTAATACTAATGTAGTTAATATATTTAAAATTATCTTTAGTTTGTAAATATGTTAATTTTTTCAGTAAGCAATATATTGCAAAAGATACATCTTTCAGTTATATTACATAAATAATTGGGAAGCCTTAATTTATTCCATTACTCCCAACTATTTCCTATGTCAGTATTAAGTAATGTTGGACAGAAAGTGAATAAAATGAGAAAATATAAAAACTGAGAAATTATTAAGTAATCAAGTTATCTATTTAAGGGTTGTCAATATATACATTAATATTATTAATCAATTGTCTAAGAGAATTTAAATGTCATTCTCCTAATGTTTTAAGTTACTGTTAAGGTTTAGGATGTATTTCTCTTTTCATTATATTAGTAAGCTCATAGTATGTATCAAGTTATTGATGAAAAATCAAGTAGCATTGAGTACATAATTTTTTGAAGCGAAAGGTTTTTGTGATTCACTGTGTCTTATTAGTAATAGATTATGAGCAAGTTAGGAACTATGAAATTATCTGATAACCTTGACTTTGATCTTGACTTTGAATGTGACCTGGTGGAAAAAGCATAGATAATTAAATCAGACAAACCTACCTTTTACAAGCATTTTGACCATGGTGCAGTACAGTTCACTCTGAGCTTCAGTTTCCTCACATTTGAAAGGAAATAATACCCACCTTGCAGTGTTAGAGATTATGTATGTATGATATTTAACACATAGTTTTTGATATCATTATTAGTTTTATACCAGGAATATAAGTACCAATATAATCTTATTACTGCTCATCTGAATGAGGGGCATTGTTAGTCACACCGCTTTCTATTCTTAACTAAATTAATCTCTTACAACTTGTTTTCTATCTGTTTCAAAGTATTAAAGTTTTGTCAGGTAAAAGATTAAAAAAATGTTTTTTAAACTCTCAAAAATAATTTAAGGTCCAAGTGTAAGTATAGTGGCTCACACCTGTAATCCCAGCTACTTGGGAGGCTAGGGTGGGAGAATTGCTTGAGCCCAGGAGTTTGAGACCAGCTTTGGCAACATGGCAAGACCCCATCTCTATTTTTTTTAAATCTTTTTTTTTTTTTTGTGGGGAGAGACAGTCTCGCTCTGTCGCCCAGGCTTGAGTGCAGTGGCACAATCTCAGCTCTTTGCAACCTGCATCTCCCAGGTTCAAACGATTCTCATGTCTCAGCCTCCTGAGTAGCTGGGATTAAAGGCATGTGCCACCATGCCTGGCTAATTTTTTTGTATTTTTGAGTAGAGACAAGGTTTTGCCATGTTGGCCAGTCTGGTCTTGAACTCCTTGCCTTAAGTCATCCACCCACGTTGGCCTTCCAAAGTGCTGGGATTATAGGCATGAGCCACCACGCCCGGCCTCCATCTATTAAAAAAAAAAAAAATTAGCCGGTTGTGGTGGCACACGCCTGTGGTCCCAGCTACTCAGGAGGCTGAGGTGGGAAGATCACTTGAGCCCAGAAGGTAGAGGCTGCAGTGAGCCGTGATTGCACCACTGCACACTCCAGCCTGGGTGACAAAGTGAGACCCTATCTAAAAAAAGAGAGAATTTAATTTAATCATTTTCTGTAAACATCTCTTGGAAAATGAGATTTGGAAGTTACCTGTGTTTTTAAGCCTCTAAAATGTTAGCTAACCCAACATACCAGACAGTTCTACTTTGTTTCTCTGTGAGCATTACTGTCAACTTATAGTTCATTCAGCCTATAGGTAATAACTCCATTTACTGTATTTGGAACTGTGAAGATTTAATTAGGAATTCATTAACCAATGCATTTCCCACTGCTTAAAAGGTTTATTTAAGCTAGATGGTCACTTAGAGACTTTGATTTTATTGGGCCTTGATACAAATTGCATCATTTCTTAATACCTGAATCATTCTATTTTCCATAAAGTTAGGCTTTTCATTCACTTAACTGATTTTCTAAAATGATGAGGTGCTTGATATTAGAAACTGATGAAAATTTATCATTCTTTTTCTATACCTGTTTAAAATAGGAAGGTAAGAGGAGAAATTATTTGACTACACTTTCTGTAATCTCTAATAAAATTGAATAGTTAATACATCATGTTTGTGTAGGGCTTTTACCATCTGTGGTACATTTGAAATACACTGTTATTTAACAAACATGCAACAACTCTGTAAGATAAGGATTATTATTCCTATTTTTACAGATAAAGAAACTAAAGGTCAATAAAGGAGTAGAATTAGTACTTGCAAAATTCTTCTGATTCCAAGTAGAATATTCTTTCCACTTCATCACATATTTTACATTTAATGAGAATTCAGCCAGATATTTGTAGAGATTGTCATGTTACAAGCAATACAACTTACCTAGCAACCTTTATACCAAATACCTCCTTGTACCAGACACTTTTTTAAAATTAGTTTTTCTTGTCTAGAGGAGGATCTTTGGTCTACTCTGTAGACCTGGCAGATAGCAATGAACAGTTATGCACTTAAGTCAGTAAGGTTCTTATGACTATTCTTGGAGAAGACACAGTAGCCTATTTTTTAAAACAACTGGGTAAATCTAAGCTCTCTCAGCTCCATGCCTGCTAATGTGGGTTTTTCTGTTTTGGGGAAGTAGAAGTAAGCAGAACCTCAGGACACAAAATATTTATAACAGTTTAAGAAAAACTTACATGAATTACTTACTAATTTTTTTTTTTGGATGACAGAAAAAATGTGAGCGCTATTGGCCTTTGTATGGAGAAGACCCCATAACGTTTGCACCATTTAAAATTTCTTGTGTAAGTATCCATTTTTGTAAACACTTTTTTCAGAAAATTGGCATGCTATACTGATGAATAATTAAATTATAATGTGGTATGAACCCAGGCTTATAGACGCCAAGGACTCACAAACCTATGCTTACATTTAAAAAAATTTTGTTTATATACTGCTTTTAAATTTGGAAGCTTTTGGGTTGACTTCATAAATGCATATTTTCCTTGTATCTTACTATATTGATTGTGTGTTAGTCTTTGTATATCAATTGATAGTAGGTGTTTACATGTAAATGAAGTAACTGTGCTTTTAATATTTGGAAATCGTGTATTCATTTCAAATTGATTAAATGGGAAAGACTTGGTAACTGGAGTACAGTGTATCATATTAACCCTTCATATCTAATTGTGCTCTCAAAAATTGTTATAATTATATATAAAGATAAGTTTAAGACCTACCATACTGGAAGTAAAGATTGGTCCTGTCTGGCAGATTATTTGATATGAAACTTAAAATGTTTTCTTAATATGTAATGACCTCTGGAAATGAATTAAATTCAAGCTCAAAAGCTAACACAGCAAAAATCTGAGAAAATGAATAAAAAAATGAAAACAGTGAAGGAAATAGGAGTAGGAAAAAGAAAGGCATGGACAAAAAGAAGGAAAATATAAGTGAATTTTAAAATAGAACCAAGTTTTCTTTAGGTGCCATAAAAAGACTGTAATTGAACATAACCTAAAAATCAATTAATTTAGGCCAGGCACAGTAGCTCATGCCTGTATCCTACCACTTTGAGAGGCCAAGGCGAGTGGATCACTTGAGGTCAGGAGTTCGAGACCAGCCTGGACAACATGGCAAAACTCCTTTTCTACTAAAAATACAAAAATTAGCTGGGTATGGTGGTGGGCACCTGTAATCCCAGCTACTTGGGAGGCTGAGGCACGAGAATTGCTTGAATCTGGGAGGTGGAGGTTGCAGTGAGCTGAAATTGCACCACTGCACTCCAGTCTGGGCGACAAGGGTGAAACTCCATCTCAAAAAAAAAAAAAAAATTAATGAATTTGCCTATATTAGGGTTCTCCAGAGAAGCAGAACCAATAGAATAAGAGTGTGTGTGCATGCGTCTGTGTGCATGTGTATACATTTAAGGAGATTTATTACGAGGAATTGGCTCAGGCAGTTATGGAGGCTGGCCAGTCCAAAATCTGCAGGGTAGGCTGGAGATCCTGGAGAGCCAATGCTGCAGTTTCAGTCTGAATGCTGATAAGCTGGAGACCCAGGAGAGCTGATGTTCAGTTCTAGTTGGAAAAGTCTGTTGTAGAATCAGGATGAGCCAATGTTGCAGATGAAGGCAGCCTGCTGGAGAATTCTGTCTTGCTTCAGGAGGCTGGTCCTTTTGTTGTATTCAGGCCTTCAACAGATTGGATGAGGCCCAACAACATTATGGAGGACAGTTTGCTTTACTCAGAGACTACCAGTTTAAATGTTAATCTTCTCCAAAAACAGTGTCACAGAAATAACTAGAATAATGTTTGACCAAATATTCTGGGCACACTGTGGCCCAGCCAAGTTGACAGATAAAATTAAATATCACATTCCTTATTCAGAGTTTCTTGTTTTTGACTTTGTTTTCCATGATTAAACGAAATATAATTTCTGTGGTTTTACTTGTCATTGCTGAGTTCTTGAACTCCATAATTTTATGACTTAGTTATACTCATGACTTCTGAATTCCTCTCATACATACCCAAAGTTTAGTGCTTTCTAGGTTGACATAAAAAAGGACAGGACTGTATCTGTATTATGCTGTCTACTTTATAAATCAATGTTGTTTTTATAATGTTAACTATAACTCACCATTGAACTTTTTGGATGTAGTATTTAGTCAATATTCTTAAGGTGCTGATTAGAATTAACTATTTGTGGGGTAAATGTAAAAATTTTAGGCCAGGTGCAGTGGCTCACACCTGTCATCCCAGCACTTTGGGAGGCTGAGGTGGGGAGGATTGCTTGAGCCCAGGAGTTTGAGACAAGCCCGGGCAAAATAGTGAGACATTATTAACATTTTTAAAAACGTTAAAAATCCCACTGCATTTCCTTTTATTTGGCTTGAATAATACCCAATACACACCACACTGTCTACTTCAGTGGGGAAATACCAACCCTCCTTCACCAATCCAGAAAGAAATCTGTAATATTAGATTCCTCGACAGTGTAGAAACCTAGTTCTGTGTAGTATGGTTGTTTTGGACATTTGTAAATTTATTTTTAAAGTTTTATTTGTATATATCTTTTTGAGACAGGATTTTGCCCTGTCAGCCAGGTTGGAGTGCAGTGGTCTGATCATGGCCCACTGCAGCCTCAATCCCCCAGGCTCAAGTGATTCTCTCACCTCAGCTTCCCAAGTAGTCGGGGCTGCTGGCATGGGCCACTACTAATTTTTGTCTTTTTGTAGAGACGAGGTCTCCCTGTGTTGCCCAGGCTGATTTTAAACTCCTGAGCTCAAGCAGTTTGCCCGCCTTGGCCTCCCAAAGTACTAGGACTACAGGCCACCACACCCGGCCAAACATTTGTAAATTTAGATGTAATAAGATAACTATAGTGAATATTATAATTCAAGAGAAAATACAGTGCTTAACATCAACAACAAACCAACTTGAAATTTTTGAACATTTGAGAGTCAGGAATAGTAAACAATTTACAATAATGGATATAAGGCAGAATGCAATAGTTTATAATGTAGAAAATGAATTGATTCTTGGGGGATGGTTTTTCAATTAAACTAAAAGGTATATCTCTATAAATGGTTCACAAAGAAAAAACAAAACATGGAGAAAGATTTATTAAAAAGAAAACAGATAACTTGAAAGGTCTCTAGATAAGTGGTTTGGTTTGATTTGATTAGTAACGACTTGGTTTAATTTGTCAGCGTCAGGATTGATCCATGCTGAAGAAATATTTTCTTTGATAATTTTAAAATGGAAGGTAATTTGTTTGTCTTATAATTGGTTCAGACAACTCGGGATTTGTTATCATTGACTTAACTGCAAAGAAAAATCAAATTTATAAATAGCATGTTGGTAAAAATATTCGTAGTAAGTCATTTGACTACTTGGCAGTCAGAGTTTGAGACTGAGAAATGACTGTCTTTTCTAGAGCTCTCTCTCGATGTGGGATGAGGACAAGGGTAAAGTGGTGGTGAAAGGGTGAAGACTGGTTAGCAGGAGCTCAATCACATGTTGCCACATGTAAGCACTTAGACTGGATGTCAGCACACTACCCATGGCTCAGATCTAGCCCACTGCCTGTTTCGTAAATAAAGTTTTGTTAGAACACATCTATATGCATTAATTTATGAATTTGTCTATCACAATAGCAAAGTTGTGTAGACAAAGACTTTGTGGCCCAAAAAGCCAAAAATATTTACTATCTGGTCCTTTACAGAAATATTTGAAAAAGTTCAAATATTATTTGAAAAGTTCAAAGTAAATTACTGTAATTTTAAAAATTAAAGCAGGTATAATAGTATTATTTTTATTAATAAAACAACATACACTGTTGTTCTTCATAATCCTTGTTCTAAACTATCTGTAGTTTTAACCAATAAGGCAAAAAGAATAATTTGCTTAGTGATAGACTGATGTAGATTAACACTTTGACTAAATCACAGTAAGAGACCTTTAAAGTGGTTATGTTATCAACAACCACAATAATAATAATAATTTGGGGTGTTCTTCCCTCTTCCTTCTTCAGTTGCTATCCAGTTAATTGAAACTTGAATGTTAGGGAAAATCATGTGTTATGGAAAGGTAAAATGGTTGAAGATAGGATATGGTGGTTGGTACTGAGGAATGACATTCTATGTATATTTACATGATTCTGGGGGTGGTTACTACTTTGCAGATATTTTATTGGGTGGTAGATGCTTAAGTAATTCGTTTAGACACTTTTTTTTAGGTATAAGTAAAACTTACAAAAGCAAATTGATGTTTTTTTCTTTACTGTCTATACAAATTTTTTTAATGAATTTTTTTTCTTCAAGTTTCTTAGTTTAGTAGGTAACTTGATTCCCAAATTCACTTCTCTTATTTGTACATATTGTTTGGGTCTATCTGTTAGGAGACTTTATCTGATAGGAGACTTCATTTTAAGGTTTTTAAAAAAATTTTTTTTTTAGTGTTTTTTGTTTTGAGACAGGGTCTCACTGTGTCACCCAGACTGGAATGCAGCGACGTGATCGCAGCTCACTATATAGCCTTGGCCTCACTGCTGGGCTTAGTGATCCACCTACCTCAGCCTCCCAAGTAGCTGAGAGCACAGGCTTACGCCTCAATGTCCAGCTAGTTTTTGTATTTTTTTGTAGAGACAGGGTTCTGCTATATTGTTCAGGCTGGTCTTGAACCCCTAGGCTAAAGCGATCCGTCCACCTCAGCCTCTCAAACTACTGGCATTACAGGTGTGAGCCACTGCCTAACTTTTTCAAGACTATTTTTTTTAGAGCAGTTTTAGGTTTACAGCAAAATTGAGAGGAAGGTACAGAGATTTCTTATATACACCCTGTCCCCACACATGTAGCCCTCATTATCAACATTCCCTACCAGAGCAGTCTCTTTGTTACAATTCACAAACCTACATTGACAAGTCATTATCACCAAGAGTTCACATTTTACATTAGGGTTCATTCTTGGTGCTATACATTCTGTGGGTTTGAAGAAATATATGATGACGTGTATCCACCATTGTGGTATCATACAGAATAGTGTCATTGCTCTAAAAGTCCTGTGCTCCACCTATTCATTCATCTCACCCCCTTCCCAACCCTAGGTAGTCATTATTTTTACTGTCTCCATAGTTTTGCCTTTTTCAGAAGTCATATAGTTTGTTTTTGTTTGTTTGTTTGTTTGTTTTGAGACGGAGTCTTGCTCTGTCGCCCAGGCTGGAGTGCGGTGGCACTATCTCAGCTCACTATAACCTCTGCCTCCTGGGTTCAAGCAATTCTACTGCCTCAACCTCCTGAGTAGCTGGGATTACAGGTGCGCGCCACCACACACAGCTAAGTTTTGTATTTTCGTAGAGATGGGGTTTTACCATGTTGGCCAGGCTGGTCTCGAACTCCTGACCTCAAGTGATCCACCTGCCTCAGCCTCCTGAAGTGCTGGAATTACAGGCATGAGCCACTGCTCCCAGCTCAGAAGTCATATAGTTTGAATCATACAGTATGTAGCCTTTTCAGATTGGCTTATTTCACTTAGTAATGTGCATTTAGGGTTCATCCATGTCTTTTCATGGCTTACTAGCTCTTTTTTTCCTTTTATTATTTTTAATTGACACATAGTATCTATACTTATTAATGGGGTACATGTGATTTTGGTACATGTATGTGTAATTTAAAATGTGGAGTGACTAAATCAGGATAATTAGCATGTCTATCACTTCAAACATTTCAAATGTTTGATGACTTTTAGAATTTTTTTATAATTATCAGGTACATCTGGAATTTTAAAGATTAATTTTATATTGTGGACTTTGATACAAGTATTTTATTTGTTTTGATGTGTCTTTTTGTTTTAACGTTTTCACTGACTTAGAAATGTTTCTCTTTATTTAGGAGGATGAACAAGCAAGAACAGACTACTTCATCAGGACACTCTTACTTGAATTTCAAAATGTAGGTACTTACCATTTATAGACTATCTGTAAGAATAGTTTTCAGGCTGGGTGCAGTGGCTCATGCCTGTAATCCCAACACTTTGGGAGGCTGAAGTGGGAGGGTGACTTGAGTCCAGGGGTTCAAGACTAGCCTGGGCAACATAGTGAGATCTTGTGTCTACAAAAAGAAAAAAGTTAGCCGGGCATGGTGGCATGTGCCCATAGTCCCACTCACTCAGAAGGCTGAGCCCGGGAGGTTGAGGCTGCAGTGAGCCATGATTGTGCCACTGCACTCCAGCCTGGGCAACAGAGGGAGACTCTCAAAAATGGTTTTGAGAATAGAGAATAGTTTTCAAAGAGAAGACATAGAGAGGGAGGGGAGCGTGGGCTGAAAAACCACCTATTGGGTAGTATGCTCACTCCTTTGGTAAGGATCATTTGTATTCCAGACCTCAGCATTATACAATACACCCATGTAAGCTGCACATGTACCCCTTAATCCAAAATAAAAGTTGAGGCCAGGTATGGTGGCTCACTCCTGTAATCCCCAACACTTTGGGTGGCTGAGGTGGGTTGGTCACTTGAGGCCAGGAGTTCAAGACCAGCCTGGCCAACACGGCGAAGCCCCATCTCTACTAAAAAATACTAAAATTAGCTGGGCATGGTGGTGCACACCTATAATCCCAGCTACTCAGGAGGCTGAGGCACTTGAATTGCTTGAGCCTGGGAGACAGAGGTTGCAATAAGCCGAGATGGTGCCACTGCACTCTAGCCTGGGCAACAGAGCAAGACTCTGTCTCAAAAAATAAAATAAAAAATAAAATAAATGTTTTAAAAATAGAAAATATAATACTACTACCTAAATGTTTTATTTGGTAAAATGGGTTTGCTAGAAAATTATTTTGCTTTATATCTGCAAAATGCAAATAATATATATAATATATATTATTATTTTGCTTTATATCTGCTTTATAGTTTTTTGTAAGTAAAAAAAGTAACAGCAATTTTTATTTTTAAAGCATGTGAAGTTAGTTTTTGTCTTTGCAAACTAATCAACTTTTAGCTACTAAAAAAATAAAACAAGCTATATAAATAGTATACTATGTTATTTAACATAATTAATGAAATTTGGTAATTTTTTAGTTACGAAGATGAAATGAGAGTGTAATATTTAGTCTTGACATTTATGCTTATCACATTACATAAAAAGTAATATTAATTATAACATACCCTAAATTTGTTAAATTTGGAATAGTTATACCTTCTTTGCAGCAAATATTTTTATTCTATTGCAGTAAGCAGGTTATTGCATTGTTTATATAATTATTACCCTGTTTTACTGGTTTACAATTTGTTAAAGAAAAGTCACTATCAAAGCTAAGTCTTCATTTAGATATATATTGTTTTTAGTTGAAACCCCCCACAGCGCCCCGACTTTTTTTTTTTTTTTTTTGGCAACAGGGTCTCACTATATATTGCCCAGGCTGGACTCAAACTCCTGAGCTCAAGCAGTCCTCCCATCTCCACCTTCCTAGTATCTGAGACTATAGGGATGAGCCACCAAACCCAGCTAAATTTTTTATAGTTTATAGAGATGAAGTCTTGCCATGTTGCTCAGGCTGCTGTCAAATTCCTGGCCTTGAGTGATCTTGCCTTTTGCATTGGCCACCCAAAGTGTTGGGATTACAGATGTGAGCCACTGAATCTGGACTGGTTGCTAATTTTTTAATCTACGGTAATAATAATAAGTACCTTAATGAATTTCTGTGGTAGATCAGGCATCTTAATTCTGCTAACTGCATCATATCCAGATACTGTTACGTCTGTTGCACATAGATGAAGATACAGAAGCTTTAAGAAGTTAAATAGCTTACCTGAAGTTATTTAGGAAATGGCCAAAGTAGGAATTTGAGTATGGTTTGCTTAGATTCCGAGTATTGCTCTTTCTGTTAAACACCTGCAATAACCATTCTCAAAACATTTGACATCAGTACTCCTTTACATTCTTCAAAGTTATTGAGGATCCCAAAGTTTTTGTTTCTGGGGGTTGTATCTTTCAGTATATACTATATTTGAAATTAAAACTGAGAAATTTTTAAAAAACATGAATACATAAGCATATATTGTATTGGCTGTTAAAGAATAAGGCACGTAACATTTTAGTATTATTCTGAGAATTATTTAAAGCTCATAGACTCCCTCAAAAGGGTTGAGGGGAGGGGGTACCCAGACCGTATATTGAGAACCACTAATCTGTAAGAAGACTAGTGAGTTTGGCATTGGACAAATTCATCTCTCCATTCTTTTTCAGTTTAATGTTCTGTTAGTCTTCTGATTACAATGAATACTACTCTAACCTACTCTAACATGGTGCTTACGGTATATTGCTCATCCATTTAATAGTGTAGATTAGTTAAATAGTATATATAGTGTTATGTTTACAGTACATGCTCTGGAAGTAGAACTGCCTGGTTTAGAGCCCACACTTGTCACTTCTTAGGAAAGTTTGGGCAAGTTATTTTATCTGTATATCTCAGTTATAAAATGAGGATGGTATTAACAGTACTTTCCTCATGGAAATTAAATTGTTACATGTGAAGCCCTTAGGTATTTGGCATGTGTTTAACAGTCAATAAGTGTTGGCTATTATTTATTTGGGTTTTTTTAAAAGCAGTGCTAAATGCCACACAAATTTCTTAGAAATGGCAGTTTAAATGAGCTGTGCAACTTTAAACTTTGCAAAGTATTTTCATAATTGTTGACTTTCTGTTTTTCTTGAAGGAATCTCGTAGGCTGTATCAGTTTCATTATGTGAACTGGCCAGACCATGATGTTCCTTCATCATTTGATTCTATTCTGGACATGATAAGCTTAATGAGGAAATATCAAGAACATGAAGATGTTCCTATTTGTATTCATTGCAGGTACAAAAGAATTTCCCAAGTTTATAAATACATTATTTAAGTTTGATGTTACACAAGGTTTTATTTCTGCATTAATATGTTAGTAATCTTGAATTTCTCCTAGCCTTGATACAATGTTTGGGACTAGGGCCTTGTAAGTTGATGTGGTCTCATTTGGTTGACAGACCGTTTAGAGTATTGTTGCATTAAAACACAGGATCATCTATTTGAAAATAGTATTCACATGGTGGGAAGCTATAGAACATACTCTTTTTACTGTTCACTGATTAGAGCATATAATCTCAGATCCTCATCATACTCTACTTTCTAAAGTCAGTATGGTAGTATTTTCTTTTAATCAATTTCCCTGAAACAATGACCAAGCAATTTTCATTCCTGATAAACACTGACATGAGATTTTTAAAAACAGGATATTGCTCTGATGCCCAGGTTGGAGTGCAGTGGCACAATCATAGCTTACTGTAAACTCAAACTCCTGGCCTGACGTGATCCTTCTGCCTCAGCTTCCCAAGTAGCTAGGACTACAGGCATGTGCTACCACACTGAACTAATTTTTTTTAATTAAAAAAAATTTTTTTTAAGAGACCAAGTCTTGCTCTGTTGCCCAGGCTGATCCGAACTCCTGTCCTCAAGTGATTCTCCCACTTTGCTCTCCCAGAGTCTTGGGCTTACAGGCGTGAGCCACTACGCCTGGCAACATGACTTTCTTTTTTTAATATATGTAAGATGTACATACGTAGGTCTTATTGATCTAAGATATCATCAATTCTAAGACACACCATTATTATATATATTAACAGTAAAAAAATCACTGCCAATTATAAGGGGACAATGTCATTTGTAAGAAGCCATTGGTGGTAAGATACATACCAATCTCAGAGCTGTTACATTGAGATGAAAAAGTGTGTTTTAGTTTGATGAAAAACTAAATGCTGTTTTTATTCTTGGGGAACATCAGTTTCCACGTTTGCACCACTTCCTGTCATATCATGAAATTTTATAATTTATAGCTACTGAAAAATTTAAAGCCGGAAGCAAGCATTCTTGTAGTAAAGTAATAAAAACTATTGATACACATTTACTAGACATTTTTATTATGTTTTATAGTAGATTACTTCATTATAAGGATTACATAAAATTCAATGATTACTGACCTAGTTAAGCTACCTCTGAATGTGAAAGGACAAGTATAGGTGCACCTACTTTAAATTGCACAATATAAATCTTTTCATTTATTCAAATAATATTTGAAGTTCAGTTAGGTTTTGCAAAATTACTCGTTTGGATGTGTTAAGAAATCATGTAAACTCTTCCTTTGACTTTGGGGGAATGAACATGAGATTTGTTTATTCTTGGGGGGCAGTTAATTTTGTATTCTAGAAGGGGGGTTAATGTATAATATATTTTAGCTAAGAGAAATCAGTTTAAGATAACCAACTTTTCTTAATCTAACATTTTGGCTTATTTCTGTCATCTGGTCATTCTCATACAAATAATACAAAGCTAAATATACATAATACATATGCACATATATGTATATGTATACATTATATGTAATACATAAAACAAAGCTAAATTTGTATTATGGATTTAGGAGTGTAATGGAAAATACCCCTTTAAGAGGAAAAGCACAAAACTGAATTAGTCAAGAAAATAATAAATGTTTGCAATAAGTGTCATGACCGGGTATAGTGGCTCAGTGCTTTGGGAGGCCGAGGCAGGATGATTGCTTGAGCCCAGAACTTTGAGGCTGCAGTAGACACCAATTACACTACTGCACTCCAGCCTGGGTGACATAGTAGACCCTATCTTTTAAAAAAAAAAAAAGAATATAGGTATCATTATAATATGGGTGATACAGGATATTTTGAAACCTAATTTTTGGAATTTCATTATATAGGTATGGGTTTCTACATAGTAGAAGCTACTTGAATCCTTAGACAGTTTTTCTACTCTGAATTTTTAGTTTACATTAGATTCTTCTAAAGGCCTTACAGTCATAGTACTTACTTCATAAGACTGCTATCAATTTATTCCTCTAAGGGACTTGTTATCTGCATTCACATTTGTTATAAAAAGTAAATGAGATTTTTCAAACTTAAGAGATTTATTTTTTATTATTTACATAGTTAAAATATTTTTTCAGTGGAGTTGAAGCATTGAAGATAGTTTTCTTATTCACTTGGTTTGACCGTAATGCTCATAATTAACGAAGTAAAAGGGCTACTTTTTATTCATGGGCCAGGAAAGTAACTTGCTGGTGGAGATGTGGGAATCAGTTAACAACTTGGTTCATTAAAACTATTTTTTTCTGTGGTTAATTCAGTGGTTAGTTGACCATTTAATTAAGTAGGATTGACCAGTTAAAAATAAACAATATGTTTAATTATAGAATTAAAAGATAAAGAAATTGCTTTCACTTTGACTTCTTATAAGTTAGTTAAAATAATTTCCTGTTCAATCATAAATCCATTTGTATAGGAAGGCTTTTCATCAAAAACTAAATTGACCGTTAAATATTTTTAGACAATCAAAACAGTACGTTAACTGTAAGGACTTAGAAAACACATCCATAAAAGCAAGAAAATTCTTTTGCTTTCCACTAGTTCCACTGGAGATAACCATTGTTAAAACTCGAGAATGTGTCCTTTCAGTGTGTGTATGTGTACATACAGTATTGTTTTGTTTTATTTTGTTTGACGGAGTTTTGCTCTTGTTGCCCAGGCTGGAGTGCAGTGGCACAATCTCGGCTCACTGCAACCTCCGCCTCAACTATTTTAAACAGCAGTTTAAATGCTTAGTGGCCACTCTGTTTTTTTGTTTTTAATTTACTTTAATGGCCATCTTATTGTTAAATCTTTGAGCACATCTGCAGTTATTAGGACAAAGTTATTATTGGATAAATATCCAGAAGTGAGATTTGTTGGTCAAGGACATAAACTTTTAAAGTATTTTAATGAGTATTTTTTAATGTGTTATCCAGAAAATTGATGCTACTTAATTCTGCCACTGGCAGTATGTGAGAGTACCTATTTCCCTATACCTTCCCCAATACTGTGTGTTATCTTTTTGTTTGCTTTTTTTTTTTTTTTTTTTTTTTGAGACAGAGTCTTGCACTGTCGCCCGGGCTGGAGTGCAATGGCACGATCTCAGCTCACTGCAACCTCTGCCTCCTGGGTTCATGCGATTCTCCTGCCTCAGCCTCCCGAGTACTGGGATTACAGGCACACACCACTACACCCAGCTAATTTTGGGTATTTTTTAGTAGAGACGGGGTTTCACTATGTTGGCCAGACTGGTCTTGAACTCCTGACCTCATGATCTGCCCGCCTCCACCTCCCAAAGTGCTGGGATTACAGGTGTGAGCCACGGTTCCCAGCCTTTGTTTGCATTTTTTTCTTCCTTTTTTTTTTTTTTTTTTTTTTTTGAGACGGAGTCTTGGGCTGTCGCCTGGGCTGGAGTGCAATGGTGCGATCTTGGCTTGCTGCAACCTCTGCCTCCTGGGTTCAAGTGATTCTCCTGCCTCAGCCTCCCGAGTAGCTGGGATTATAGGCATGCACCACCACACCCGGTTAATTTTATATTTTTAGTAGAGTTGGGGATTCTCCATGTTTGTCAGGCTGGTCTTGAACTCCTGACCTCAGGTGATCACCTGCCTCGGCCTCCCAAAGTGCTGGGATTACAGGCGTGAACCACTGCGCCCAGCCTCATCTTTTAATAGTTATACAAGTGCTTTATATATTGAGGACATTAACTTTTATTCATGTTGTAAGTACCATGGTTTTTCCTGTCTTCTGCCTGTTTGCAATACATAAGTTTCATTTTGTCATGTCAGATTTTTGAATGGTTTTTGTCCATTGAGATATTTGTACATAGAAAGTCTTTCCCTAACACAATAGTGTATATATTTTGCATATATTTTTAGTACTTTCATAGATTTACTTTTTAACATTTATCATTGGATAAATATCCAATATGTTTATATCATATATATATATATATTTTTATCCACCTGGATTTTTTATGGTTAAGGTATGTGATCAGAATTTAATTTTTTGCTCTTCATTGATAGCTAACTTCTCCTTTGCCACTTACTGAACGGTCTGATCTCTGGAGAATTCACTGTTATGTAAGAAATGTTACATGTACTCAGATCTGTTCCTGAACTTTCTATTGTGTTTCATTGATCTGGTTATCTGTATCTTTATGTTATACTTTTAACTATCAAATTTTAGATATATATAATTTATCCCAGTAACTCAACTAAAATTCTATAAATGTTTTGATGCACAGAATTCACAAATGTATCAACTAAAAATTAATATAATTGATTATGTTTATTAAGAGTTTTAAAAAATCTTTCTAGGTTGTTTATAGTGTACTTTTATCAGGAATTTTAGGTTACATGTTTAACAAACTGCTGATAGGTATACATTTCAAAATATGCATTAAAATGTTACACAACTTTGTGGGGGTTTTTGCCAAAGATTATTCTGGTGATGTCAGTAACATCTTATAATTACTCATAGTGATTTTCAATTCTAAGATGCATAAGCCTTTCTCTAGTTGAGAAGCAGTTACTTTAAAATACTTTTGTCATGAGTTTTTTTTTTTTTTTTTTTTTTTTTTTTGAGACGGAGTCTCGCTCTGTCGCCCAAGCTGGAGTGCAATGGCGTGATCTCAGCTCACTGCAACCTCCGCCTCCCAGGTTCAAGTGATTCTCCTGCCTCAGCCTCCCAAGTAGCTGGGATTACAGGCGCCCACTACCACGCCCGGCTAATTTTTTTTTTTTGTATTTGCAGTAGAGACGGGGTTTCACCACGTTGGCCAGGCTTGTCTCCTGACCTCAGGTGATCCGCCCTCCTTGGCCTCCCATTGTGTTGGGATTACAGGCGTGAGCCACTGAGCCCAGCCTGTCATGTTTTAAAATAAAAAAACCTATGGTATGTTACTCTAAAGTCCCCAGCTCCCATTAGTTTTTTGGGATATGAGAGCATATCATTGTCTTGTTCTTTTGTGGAAATCACTGCTGTTGCTCAATCCGTTTTCTAGGGCTTATAGCATTCTTCACCTTTCCTATACCTTCTATAGATTGAAATGATGTACCATTTCCTCCTGTACTCTAAAACAAGAGCCATCTTTTTTTTTTTTTTTTTTTTTTTTTTGAGTTGGAGTTTTACTCTTGCTGCCCAAGCTGGAGTGCAATGGCACGATCTTGGGTCACTGCAACCTCCACTTCCCCGGTTCAAGTGATTCTCCTGCCTCAGCCTCCTGAATAGCTGGGATTGCGTGTGTCTGCCAGCACGCCCAGCTAATTATGTGTTTTCAGTAGAGATGGGGTTTCACCGTGTTGGCCAGGGTGGTCTCAAACTCCTGACCTCAAGTGATCCACCGGCCTCAGGCTCCCAAAGTGCTGAGATTACAGGCATGAGCCCCTGCGCCCAGCCACAAGAGCCATCTTGAACATAGAATAAATGTCTCTGTAAGACGTTGTTAGCTAGTCACATTTTCTGATGTAGCATTAGACTTCCAGAGTGACAACTTAGTAGCTATTCTCTGTGTCACTTACTCTTGGAAGTTCCTTAAATTAATTTTTGTTTTTCTTTTTGAGATGAAGTCACACTCTGTTACCCAGGCTGGAATGCATTGGTGCCATCATGGCTTACTGCAGCCTCGACCTCCCAGGCTCAAGCAATCCTTCTGCCTTGGCCTCCCAAAGTGCTGGGACAACAGGCATGAGCCACTGCGCCCAACCCCTTAAAAATGAAATGTTTAAAAGATAGAAGACAATAGGCCTTCCTTATTCAAGACTTCACTGTCCTCAGTTTCAGTTACTCATAGTTCAAAAATATCAAATGGAAAATTTCAGAAGTAAACACTTTGTAAGTTTTAAATGCTGCACCATTCTGAGAAGCATGGGGAAGTATGTCCTGCTTGCAAGATAAATCATCCCATGGTCCAGTGTGTACACACTGTAGACTCTACCAGCCCATTAGTCACATAGTAGATACTGCAGTTACCAGATGGACTGTCATGGTGTCCCAGTGGTTATGTTCACATGACCCTTATTTTACTTATAATGGCCCAAACCTCAACAGTAGTGAGGTAGTGACTAGTGATAGATTGTTATAATTGTTCTAATGTATTATTAGTTATTGTTGTTAATCTCTTGTTGTGCCTGATTTATAAATTAAACTTTATCATAGGTATGTACATATAGGAAAAATCATAGTGTATATGTATATGTATTCTGTGTAACAGATGTTGCCATGAACACACTGTAAGTTGTATTTTGTTTATTACTAAGTAGAATTTTGTCAAACTTCTTAAATGATTTTTTGTTTCTGAATATTAACATGTCTATCCACATTTATTTTATAGTTGTTTTATCACAAAAATCAATTGTTTTTCAAACTTTATATCCTTAGTGCAGGCTGTGGAAGAACAGGTGCCATTTGTGCCATAGATTATACGTGGAATTTACTAAAAGCTGGGGTAAGAATAATTTTTTGTAGCATTATGTTCAATTGATCTATTATGATTTTCAAACTTAATTATAATTGCAGTAAATTATAGTGTATATTTTATTATACATGTTATTTTTTCCAAAGTAGTTTTATTAAGTAAGAAATAAAGGTAGTGAAGGCCGGGCACAGTGGCTTACGCCTGTAATCCTAGCACTTTGGGAGGCCAAGGTGGGAGGATCGCTTGAGCCCTGGGGCTCGAGACCAGCCTGGGGAACATAGGGAGACCCCCGTCTCTAAAAATAATTAAAAAATAAAATGATTATAAAAAATAAAGGTGGAGAAAAGGTATAATTGCTGCATATTGCCTTTGATAGGATGCATTGGGGAACAATGTGACAGTGTTCTAGGTGAGTGAATACTTGCATTAGGATATAAACTGTTACTGACTTTTCCAATACTAAATTTTCATTGCCTTTTTTTTTTTTTCTTTTTTTTCCGAGATAGAGTTTCACTCTTGTTGCCCAGGCTGGAGTGCGATGGTGCGATCTCAGCTCACTGCAACCTCCACCTCCTGGGTTGAAGCCATTCTCCTGCTTCAGCCTCCCTAGCAGCTGGGATTACAGGTGCCTGCCATCACGCCCAGCTAATGTTTTATATTTTTGGTACAGACAGGGTTTCACCATGTTGGCCAGGCTGGTCTCGAACTTCTGACCTCAGGTGATCCACTCATCTCGGCCTTCCAAAGTGCCGGGATTGTAGGCGTGAGCTACGGTGCCTGGCCCATTGCCTTTTATGTTTACTCTAGGTATAAGTGTATTTCACTCAGTATGTATTTATGCCTGCTGGAGACATTATAGTATTGTAGTCTATGAATGCTGACTCGAGCCAAATTGCCCAGATTATAATTCTGGCTTTCTCATTTACTAGCTGTGGGATCTTGGTCAAAATACTAATCCCATAGTGCCTCTATTTCTTTATCAGAAAATAGGGGTCATAGTAGTAGTAATGCATAAGAATTAAATAACTTTTGTGAAGTTCTTCAGAACTATGTGGTAAATTGTAAGTACTCAGTTTATTGTTAGTGTTGATTACTGTTGCTGTTGTGATTGTTGTTCCTACTACTGCTTTTTCCAAGAAATAGTGTTTGATACTGTGGATGATACAGAGATAAATAAGATACAGCCTTCATTATAGATTTGAAAAACAAGTCTCTTCATTATGTATACATTTGATTCTTTTGCTGGTTCCATAATGTGTTCATTTCTAGAGAGGCGCCTTTAATCCTTCATAGCTTTATAGTTTCCATGAATTGTTCATCTTTGTCTTGTACAGAGTAGAATTAATAAAATGTTTATTTTTTCTTTTTCTTCCTTCTTCCCCTTATTTCTCTTTTTTCCCTGCCATCTCTCCATTTTTTATTGTTGCAAGGAAATATTTACATGTTAAACAGTTCCTTAAAAAGCCCTCTGGGGTTAAATATTTTTTTCCTCAAAAACTATAATCATCTAATTCTCAAATGAAAATGCTTAAGTGAACAAAATTTAACTGGAATTCGATCACATTTTAACATAAAAGTCAAAGATTAAAATTGGAATGAGAAGGGACACATAAATGAATGCTAGCAAACAAAACAAACATTTGGTCATTTTAAAAGTTGTGTATTTTGGATAGGTGCCATGGCTTATGCCATAATTCCAGCACTTTTGAAGGCTGAGGTGGGCGGATCACCTGAGGTCAGGAGTTTGAGACCAACCTGGCCAACATGGTGAAACCCCATTTCTACTAAAAATACAAAAATTAGCCAGGCGTGGTGGCCGGCGCCTGTAATCCCAGTTACTTGTCAGGCTGAGGCAGGAGAATTGCTTGAACCTGGAAGGCAGAGGTTGCAGTGAGCCGAGATTGTGCCATTGCACTGCAAACTGGGTGACAGAGCAAGACTCCGTCTCAAAAAATAAAATAAAATAAAAGTTGTGTATTTTGAACATAGTTCTCTCTCTCTCTTTTTTTTTTTTTTTTGAGATGGAGTCTCACTCTGTTGCCTAGGCTGGAGGGCAGTGGTGTAATCTCGGCTCACTGCAACCTCTGACTCTCAGGTTCAAGCGATTCTCCTGCCTTAGTCTCCCGAGTAGCTGGGATTACATGCACGCGGCACCATGCCTGGCTAATTTTTGTATTTTTAGTAGAGATGGGGTTTCACCGTGTTTCGGGCTGGTCTCAAACTCCTGACCTCAGGTGATCCGCCTGCCTTGGCCTCTCAAAGTGCTGGGATTACAGACATGAGCCACTGCACCCGGCCTAGTTGTTAAGTCTTCATGTAAAAATCTTGGCTGGGCGCGGTGGCTCACGCCTGTAATCCCAGCACTTCGGGAAGCCGAGGCGGGCGGATCACGAGGTCAGCAGATTGAGACCACCCTGGCTAACACGGTGAAACCCTGTCTCTACTAAAAATATAAAAAAAATCGCCAGGCGTAGTGGCGGGGGCCTGTAGTCCCAGCTACTCCGGAGGCTGAGGCAGGAGAATGGCGTGAACCCGGGAGGCGGAGCTTGCAGTGAGCGGATATCACGCCACCGTACTCCAGCCTGGGCGACAGAGCGAGACTCCGTCTCAAAAAAAAAACAACAAAAAAAAAACCCAAAAATCTTATGATGTATATAAGGACTTCCAAGCAGCAAACCTGGAAATCATTTTTAACCCTTCCATCTTAATCACTCCAAAATATTCTTGTTGATAACAGTTATGATATTTCTGCTTCTGTAAACCTCCGCCAGTTTCTCACTCTTTCAGACTGTCCTCTTCCTTGATACAAAAATTGTGTGAATATCAGATCTTCTCATGTCAACATTGCCTATTGCAGTAGTCGCAATTCCATATACACAAAAGAATTGTCTAGGTCGTTTCATAATTAGTTCCCCAACTTGGAGCCAAAGGATCTATATTTTTACCTAGGTCTTTTAGCTGGTCCTTATATAGCCAATCCAGGAGATACTGGCCAATAGAATAAATTCAGTCTCTTTATTATGTTCACAGTCTGATCCTAAATATCCTTATCTTCTCTCCTCCTTTGAGTACCTTCTCCTTCTTTTAGTCTTAGGCTTTGTTTACATCAAACTTCTCAATTCCCCACATAGATTATACATTGAATCTGCTGTGCTTATGTATATTTCCTTCACTTTTTATGGGATAACCTTCTTTTGATATCCAACTATGTTGTAGCTGCACACACTCAACAGTTAGCCATAGCCTCTTTATTCCCTGTATACTGCAGTCATACTTTGGCTGGACATAACTGTCTCCCCATCTTGAATGCTGAGGGTCAAGAACAGTTTTGTTTCCACAGTGCCAAGCACAGTGTCTGAGATGCATTAAGTGGTGTTCAATAAATGTTTGCAGTAAACCAGCAGGTATTTAAGTTTTATGTGAAAAGCTGAAGAAGATTTTACTATTTTCTGAATAGATACACAAAGTTGATGTATTAAATTTTCTGTTTTAGAAAATACCAGAGGAATTTAATGTATTTAATTTAATACAAGAAATGAGAACACAAAGGCATTCTGCAGTACAAACAAAGGTATAGTTGTTTGTTTCCCTTTATAAACTGCTATTTTATAAATGCTTTCTTCTTTTTTAAAATGTTGTTTTCATTTTGTTTTTTAATCATTTTTCTCCTTCATAGGAGCAATATGAACTTGTTCATAGAGCTATTGCCCAACTGTTTGAAAAACAGCTACAACTATATGAAATTCATGGAGCTCAGAAAATTGCTGATGGAGTGGTAGGTGTTCTTGGTCTATTAATTTTAGGAAACTTTTACTCTTTGTTAAGATGTAATATTTAGCCTTTTTTTTGTTGTCTTGTGTTTTGTCTAACATGAGAAGAATATCCAGGACACTTAACATTTTTACTTAAACTCATTTCCTTCTTATTCGTATCTGTATTATGATGGCTATTTAATGACTCCGATATAAGGTAAATTATGTTCTAAATGAAATAAAGTTAGGAAAGATCTCATGTCAAAAATCATATAATTCGTTAATGTTTTACTTTTTTAAAAAATAATTGCATTGTTCTCTTTACTCTTCCCTTCCACCCCCACCCAAGTAATTCTGCATTGATTCTACTTGAATTTCATTTTGTATAAAGTGTTTTAGTTATTTGTGTATATGCTTTTCTTTTCTTTTCTTTTTTTTGAGACAGAGTTTCACTCTTGTTGCCCAGGCTGGAGTGCAATGGCACAGTCTCAGCTCACTGCAACCTCTACCTCCCAAGTTCAAGTGATTTTCCTGCCTCAGCCTCCTGAGTAGCTGGGATTACAGGCGCACGCCACTGTGCCCAGCTAGTTTTTGTATTTTTAGTAGAGACGGAGTTTCGCCATGTTGACCAGGCTGGTCTCGAACTCCTGACCTCAGGTGGTCTGCCCGCCTTGGCCTCCCAGTGTGCAATGTGCTGGGATTACAGGCATGAGCCAACACTCCTGGCCTTGTGTATATGCTTTTCAGTTAAGCAGAATTAAAGAGCCACAGTTAACTCCCTTTTGTTGTGTTATAATTCAGTGTTATTTTAGCCTTGTAACATCTTACTGGATATTCAACTTCTAGACCTGACAAAAACACTGTATTCTCTTAGTATTCTCATTTCTGCCTTTGTTTTCTAACCAATTGTCTTGCTTCAATTCTATATATAACCACCTTGTCCCTGAAGGTGCTGAGATTTTTTTTTTTTTTTTGTAGAATTTGTTTACATCTTTGTCATTGAGTCTATGATAACTATTACATTGTTAAACCAAGTATGAGAAAATAAGTTGCAAAATTTATAACCTTCATTTTCCTTTTCTCCCTTTAAATGGTTTTGTCAGTTCCCAGAATATTTGTTTGAATTTTCTTGGTTTTCCAAATGACAGATTTATTACCAAATGCTGATCTCAGTTTGTTAGGATAATCTAATATCGGTCCATGAGTTTTAGGAAATATGCATTTCTTTTATTAGCCAAGTGACAATTTCACGTTTTTAAGTTTTATGTGACATCGTTCTTATTCCTTTATTAACATAGGAATTATTGTGCAAGGAAATCCTCCTACAATGCCTTTAGCTTAATTAAATCCTATTATGACATGCTCTGAATCTAGCCAAATATTTTATAATGTAGAATCAAATGTGTTTTTGTTTTGTTTTATTTTGTTTTTTGAAATGGAGTTTCACTATTGTTGCCCAGGCTGGAGTGCAATGGTGCAATCTTGGCTCACCGTAACCTCCGCCTCCCAGGTTCAAGCGATTCTCCTGCCTCAGCCTCCCTAGTAGCTGGGATCACAAGCATGTGCCACCACACCTGGCTAATTTTGTATTTTTAATAGAGACGGAGTTTGTCCATGTTGGTCAGGCTGGTCTCGAACTCCCAACCTCAGGTGATCCGCCTGCCTCAGCCTCCCAAGTGCTAGGATTACAGGCATGAGCCACCGCGCCCGGCCTCGAATGTGTTTTTTGTTTGTTTTGTTTGATTGGTTTTTTTTGTTTTTTGGTTTTTGGTTTTTTTTTTGATGACGAAGTCTCACTCTGTCACTTAGGCTGGAGTGCAGTGGCGCAACCTCTGCCTCCCGGGTTCAAGCGATTCTCCTGCCTCAGCCTCCTGAATAGCTGGGATTACAGGCATGTATCACCACATCCAGCTAATTTTTGTATTTTTAGTAGAGATGGGGTTTTGCATGTTGGCCAGGCTAGTCTCAAACTCCTGACCTCAGGCGATCCCCCTGCCTCAGCCTCCCAAAGTGCTAGGATTATAGGTGTGAGCCACTGCACCCGGCCAAACATTTGTATTATTTTGTATAATTTAATCTAAGTTGAGATATTTAATATTTCGAAAAGCTGAGTAGGCTATAAACAGTTTTCTTTAATTTTTGGGTTTTTTTTTTTTTTTTTTTTTTTTTGAGATGGAGTCTCGCTCTGTTGCCCAGAATGGAGTGCAGTAGCACAGTCTCGGCTCACTGCAACCTCTGCCTCCCGGGTTCATGTGATTTTCCTGCCTCAGCCTCCCAAGTAGCTGAGATTACAGGCGCCCACCACCATGCTCAGCTAATTTTTGTATTTTTAGTAGAGACAGGGTTTCACCATGTTGGCCAGGCTGGTCTTAAACTCCTGACCTCAAGTGATCCACCCACCTCAGCCTCCCAAAGTGCCAGGATTACAGGCATAAGCTACTGCACCCAGCATCTTTAAACTTTAATTGAAAAGCATTTCTGTTTTATTCCATGAATTCAAGATTAATTTCAAAGCTAAAGTTTTTATATCTGGAAATACAGGTTTTTAGGCTGGATGCAGTGGCTCATGCCTGGAATCCCAGCACTTTGGGAGGCCGAAGCAGGCAGGATCACCTGAGGCCAAGAGTTGAAGACCAGCCTGGGCAACATGGCAAAACCCCGTCTCTACCAAAAATACAAAAAAGATTAGCCTCCCAGACTCACGGGTACATCACCTTGCCGAGTTTATTTTTTTTATAGAGATGAGGTTTTACTGTGTTGCCCAGCCTGGTCTCAAATCCTTGGACTCAAGCAATCCATCCGCCTCAGCCTCCCAAAGTGCAGGAATTATAGGCTAAAGTTCTTTTATTGCAATATTCAGTGTTTGGGTTTTGTTTTGTTTTGTTTGAGACGAGGTCTTGCTATTTCACCCAGGCCAGAGTGCAGTGGAACAATCAGGGCTCACTGCGCCCTCAACCTCCCGGACTCAAGCTTTCCTCCTGCCTCAGCCTCCCAAGTAGCTGAGACTATAGGCACATATACCACACCTAGCTAATTAAAAAAAAATTTTTTTTTGTAGAGATGTTGCCAGGTTGGTCTTGAGCTCCTGGGCTCCAACAGTCCTCCCCCACCTCAGCCTCCCAAAGCACTGAGATTACAGGCATGAGCCATTGTGCCCAGCTATTGTTGTATTTTTTAAAACTTTTAACTATATTTAAATAATCTCCAGAAAATATGTGATAAATACCGCATCACCTTTTCATCTTTTTCTAATTAGATCAAAGTCTGATCTTTGTAAGGTTTTATTCCATTGAATCAATCCTTTTTTAATATCCTGAAATCTATACTAGGATTATAATTCTATCATAGGCTCTTTCTGTCTAATAGGTCAGAGCTTTACGGGAATATAATAAAAAAGTCATACTTTGTAGGAGATGAGATGAAATAATACCCATAGCAGATAAGTAGTTAACTTCAAACCTACTTTCGTACCTCATTGCATGGTACATAGTAGACATAAACTAAATGTTTGAGAGAAATCTCTCCATAGATGAATGGATAAATAGTAAAAAAAAACAGAAGAAAAGATGGATTATCATTCCAGATAACTTTTTAGTATTTTCTTCTTAAGAAATCATGTTTTCTGTAAACTTGTAAATATAGGTGACTCTTTTTATAGGATGGCTGTCTGTGGTTGCAGACCATAAATCTTAAAGAAAATGTGGAATCTGAAAAATTGAGAAAAATCATCTTAGAACTGTGTGGTTGAATGAAATGACTTGAAAGGTGTATTAACTATTTAGAAGCTATGCTGTGAGAAGTAAAAATAAGTCCCCACTTACTACTTTTCTGACAATTTAATCGGTAAAAGTTTTGTTTAAATGTTCTGTGTTCCAGTATTATTTCTGTAGAAATTTTAGTTTGATATACTAGTTGGTTGTTTAAGACTTTAAAATGAATAGTGTTTTTTAGAGATATTTATAACTACAGTGACTTCCTGGAGTGAGAGATCTAAAGAGAAAATTTATTCTGTAAGCCTGTATCATATTGACTGAGGATTTAGAGGTACCTTAATAAGCAAACATCTGTTAAGTTGTGCAGTGTGCCTTTTTATCTTGTGTGTAAAGGACACCGTTACAAGTACTGTCAACACCAGTATTTCAGTTCTAGAATGATTAAGTAATAGCAATAACAGTTTGTATTATCGTCCTTTTATTGTGTTTGTATAGTACATTTTAGATGTGATAATGAATTCTGGATTTTTTTTCCTAAAATATAATTTTTTTATTTTTAAAGCACCCTGATTTATAATTTATTTTCTTCTGCAGCTGATAATATTCTTAAATATTAGATAATTTGTTTCTTAATGTTTTTGTAGCATTTCATAAAGCTGTTATATGGAAAATAACAGTACGCAAGATAACTTTAGAAAGTTCTGTTTAAAACAAGAGAACACAGGCTAGGCGCCGTGGCTCATTTCATGCCTATAATCCCAGCTCTTTGGGATGCCAGGGCAGGAGAATTGCTTGAGACCAGGAGTTTGAGACCTGCCAGGGCGACAAAGCGAGACCCCATCTATACAAAACAATTTTTTTTTAATTACCTGGGTATGGTAGCACGTGCCTGTAGTCCTAGCTACTTGGGAGGCTGAGATGGAAGGATTGTTTGAGCCCAGGAGTTCAAGGCTGCAGAGGTATGATCATGCCACTGCATTAGATTATTTAATTCCTAAAATTCTTTTCCATTTCAAAAGTTGGTGATTGCTTCAGCAAGTTGTATACATGACAAATGTGGACTCAAAAATTATAGGTAATAAAAGAGAGTCAGAAGATGTGGGTGTGTAGGAGACATTAACTAGGAAATCCAAGAACATTGTGAAGTCCAGTGACCAGGAGGTTTTGTACATGCTGTTTAGGTAGTGGCTCTTTATCGAATTGCAGTTCTGCATTGTCACATTGATTCCTTTCATCAGAGGAAACTCAGTATGTTCTGAAAGCTAATCTCTCCCAGAAGCTCTCTTTTGGTTCTTCCTGTTAATGGCTTCATCCTGCTCTTACTCACCCAGAATGAGGAATCCTTCATGAAACCTTTACTTTCTCACATGTAGTGTTTGCCTAAAATGTCCTTACTATCTCTTCTCTTTACCCTTCCACCTGTTTTCCTTCTTCCAATCCTCATTCATTTTTTGTCAAAATCTTACCAATCCCTCAATGCCATTCTGCATTTTACCTTAATATTGTCAACTTACTTTTTCTCAATTATATTCTTAATATTCTCAACTATAGCTTTTTTTTCTGATTTCATAGCTTCATAGTACTGATTATGCCACTTTGGGGCTGTAGTATTACCCTTCTACTTTTTTTCTGGGGATTTTACCAGACTACATTTTGAAGTTAAAGATAATACCATGTCCTTCTTACATTTTAGTATCCTCTGCTTTGCTGACTTTATTCAGTGCATTTCACTAGATGTCCACATTGCCTTACCTGCAGTTCCAAAATCCAAAGAAAACATAGTTTTGTTTTGTTTTTGTGAATTCAATATTACACTCACTTGGCAACAAAATATTTCATTGACATGACATGAGTTTATGTGTGCTACAAAAGAAAAATGCTGTTTTGTATGTTAGAAACAGTTCAAAAGGAGTTTCATATGGTTTGCCTTTAATTTTTATTTAACCTACTTAATGCACATTTTGGTACAAAATATCAAGTGTTACAGAATTATGGTTATATCATTAATGGAAATAATAAGCAGATGATCAATAATATGTTGGGGGTACTTTTTTGTTTTTTTTTGAGACGGAGTCTTGCTCTGTCGCCCACACTGGAGTGCAGAGACACGATCTCAGCTTACTGCAACCTCTGCCTCTCAGGTTCAAGTGATTCTCCTGCCTCAGCCTCCCAAGTAACTGGAATTACAGACGTGCACCACCACGCCTGGCTAATTTTTGTATTGTAGTAGAGACAGGGTTTCACTATGTTGGCCAAGGCTGGTCTCGAACTCTAGACCTCAAGTGATCCACCAGTCTCAGCCTCCCAAAGTTCTGGGATTACAGGTGTGAGCCACTGCGCCCAGCCTAGGGGGTACCTTTTTGATGCAGAGTCTCTAAATTCTGGTGGTACCTGAGGATCTGAAACTTTGGCGACCAAAAGTCCTGATTTGCGTGAGGCACACCAGTTCACACTAGTTGTCTAGGTTTAATAATTAATAATGCTTCTTTTTCATTCTCAAAAGAGCCCTGATTTAGACAATAAATTATATGGTCACCCTACCTATAGCCAGATATTTCTGCACCAAATGCCTCGATTTTGGTGGGTGGCTTTAATTAAGGAAGAATGCTTTAAGTTTTATGACATAACTCTGTTGTTCTTGTCAGGAAGTGATATGTATAAAACTATTAATTCATCAGATTATATATAAGGAGATAGGGTGCACTTAAAATTGCTAGGAAGTTGAGATCTCTAGTTGTTTAGTTGGAAGTAATTGAAGTAACAGTTGGACAAGCTGTCATGATGGACATAGTAGAAGTGCCTTTTAATTAAAAACAATGATAACAAAACAAAATGCAGCTACGGTTTCAGAGTTCCTTAGTTGATAGTATGTGTAACGATGGCTGTTGTCTAAAATTATCTGAGATGTTGGCAAGGGTGAAAATCATTCCTCTCTTCTGGACATAACATACCCTAGAATTAAAATACCCTAGCTAGATAAATATGAGATATGTTGACAGTGAAACTAATTCAAGGCCGTATTTTCATTTCACCGCTCCCCTATTCACAGTCCTAAACCTAAGGTTCTTATACCTGTATTGACTCTGAAACATCAATGTTAATGATGTTATTGGTCCTTGTGACCAGCAAGAACCAAGGATATTCTGGGGATGGGCTCTGTCTGCCTTTTTGAGGTCCATTTGGGTAGCCAGTGATATAGGAGCTATATTCCCTAATGGATTAGAGCACTCCACATAGTGACAGAGTGAGAGTGAGGCAAGAAATGGTTAAAATGAATCCTAGGACCACCAGTTTAAAAGTACTAGGTAGTAATGGGGAGTCATAAAAAGATACTCCATTACTTGGTAAATGGTATAAGCCTTATTTGTTGGCTTTTTTTTTGTCTCTGCATATATTAAGTTCCTAGTGGTAGTGATGGCGGGGCGGGGGGATACTACGTTCTTTAATCCACATTATCTTGGGGAATCTGTTTTTTTACGGTAGCATTTGAGATGTGTTGAAATGCTGCTGTACACCTTGATCTTTCCAGTAACTGTGATGCGCTGTTTTTTTGATACAATCTCTCCATTGAAGTCTGGTCCTTCAGGCTAAAATATAGAGCCAGAATATAAGACTTTTTTTTTTTAACTTGGCAAAATTGGCATTGTTTAAGGATTGAAAAGCACAGAAACAATTTAGTTGAAACATGAAGAGGAAAAATTATTTTTCTCTTAACCTTAGTGAAGTATTTTTTCCCTTGGCAGAATGAAATTAACACTGAAAACATGGTCAGCTCCATAGAGCCTGAAAAACAAGATTCTCCTCCTCCAAAACCACCAAGGACCCGCAGGTATTGTATGTCTTCGAACATTTTCTTTAAAAGCATACTTGTTTCTACTCACTGTTAATTAAAATGACAAATTCTGAATATTTCTAAATTACTTTTATAACTTTTATTATTATTTTGTTAGGATGTAACATACGTATGACAACTGATTTGTTACTGGTTTATTAAAAATTTGGTTTCATTTTGGATAAAATTTCAATAATATACTGTAGCAGAATGTGGATACTACCATGAATTGACTATGGTTTATGTTTTGATATGTGATATAACTAAAATTTTAGTTATTCTAAAGATTCCCATTTTTTTCCTGATGACTAAATATGCTTGCCAAAAATTGCATGCATGTTGAAGTGTGAGGATATTTAATAACGTTACTAGCAAAGATGAGTTTATTTCTTTAATTTTTCTTGCTTTTCTACCAAGCTCATTTATAATAGTTAAAATCATATATATTCATATCTTTCTTTTCCTTCCCTTCTTGTTCAGGGTAGCTGCTTAGTCAGTAACATGGTAGTATGGAGAGAATACAGAGGCAGAAGAAGATAGTTTCAACTCCTTTTTAGCCATTTAGCTCTGGGATCTAGGATTAATTTACTTAATCCTGGGGAGAAGGAGTTGTTTAAATATTGTCCTAAGGATTAAATAAAAAACTATTAGAATATTTTATAGTGTCTTTCTTGCACATAGATCTGCCAAAACTGATCGACTTCCCATCAAAATAAATTCTTTTATACAGGATACACCAATTGTTTCCATCTTAAAACTTTGGGGAAAGTTGGGTCAGACGGCCAGGGTCATGTCTTAGCATTGAGTTGCTAATTCCAAGAGATCATTCTAACGAAATCATCTCTCTGAACAAAAGAAAAAGCCTGCAGCTTCCCTCAGTAACTGAAGGTTTGGTTAGAATCCCTGCACACCACAGGAATAATTTATTCTCATTTTGACCATGCAAGATTCTAACTGCCTGGGAAGGAAGCTGCTGAGTACAGAAAGAGGCAGTGTACTCTGGTATAAAGAGGCTTTTTACATAAATAGGTCCCATTCCAAATTTTAACTTTAGCATTTGCCACTGAATGAACTTTGACAAGCCACTTCTCTGAAAATACTTTACTTCATTGTAGTGAGAGTACTCGTATTCTCCGTTTTTAAAAATTAGTGATAATGTATATAAAGCATGTAGTTACATGCCCGGCCTATAGTAACAGATTTTTTAAGTGTGGTGGTAGTTATAGTCTCTAGAATACCTTTGCATACTTCTCTTAGGAACCTCAGGAAGCCTATATATAGATGAGGTTAGGTCTCAACATTTAAATGTTCGAGATGTTAACTGTGTGCTATCAGAACTTTTAGTAGTTCTTTCCTGTTCGATTTCCACTTTGGTATCCACCAAAACTGGTTGGCATTTTAGCCGTCTGTGGAAGGTAACCAGTTGAAACCTATAAAATATTAAGTTCTCTAACTTCTCTGTTCCATATAGGAGCCCTAGAATCCTAAAAGAAACTACTGGCCCTAAAAAAATTAAGGAACATTTTTGCTGCCCTGTGTTTTAATTTGGTTTTTGAGATTGAGCCAATATAGAGGTTTTCAAAGTCTACACTGATATTTATGATTTGTATGTTCTTCTACCTCTAACTACATGTAGCAGCAGTCTCTTCTTAATTTTACAGGAAAAAAGAATAGAATATCTGAATTTAAAGCCTTTTTCCTATACCTGTTGAAAAGTTTTACTTCTGTTACTCTCTAATAAACAAAAAGATAATAAAGAAAAAAGCAAATGCATATTAAGAAAAAATATTCAACTCAAGACAGATTTTTATTAGGCATACATTCTAAAAGTTCTTTGTGTGTGATTTTATAATACATGCATAGGTCACCTTTTTTCTTCTTCATGTAATGGAGTCAAATGCCAGAATGTCATTATTTTTGACAAAGAGAACCTTGTGACTTCTAAGTTGGGATGATTTTTAGAACTATTATAAATTGTTCCAACATAACTGAAAATAAAATCACAAAATCATAAGATTGATAACAAGTAAAATAGTATATTTTGTTTTTCAGTATGGCTACAGTAAACACATTAATTGTTTGTTTAAAGTACATGATGGGGCCAGGCGTGGTGGCTCACGCCTGTAATCCCAGCACTTTGGTAGGCCAAGGCAGGCGGATCACAAGGTCAGGAGTTTAAGACCAGCCTGATCAATATGGTGAAACCCCGTCTCTACTAAAAATAGAAAAATTAGCCAGGCGTGGTGGCACGCGCCTGCAGTTCCAGCTACTTGGGAGACTGAGGCAGGAGAATCGCTTGAACCCAGGAAGCGAAGGTGCCAGTGAGCCAAGTTCATGCCACTGCACTCCAGCCTGGGTGAAAAAGCGAGACTTTGTCTCAAAAATAAAAAAACAAAAATAAAGTACATGTTGGCTGGGCATAGTGGCTCACGCCTGTAGTCCCAACATTTTGGGAGGCTAAGGTGGGCGGATTGCTTGAATCCATATATATATATATATATAAAAATATGTGTTGTGTGTATATTTCATTTTTATTTATTTATTTATTTATTTACTTTTTAAACGTTTTTGTTAAAAATAAGACACACACACACAGTAGCCTAAGCATACACAGGGTCAGGATCATCAATATCACTGCCTTCTGCCTCCATATCTTGTCCTGCTGGAAGGTATCGGGCAGAAACACACATGGAGCTGTCATCCCCTATGATAACAGTGCCCTCTTCTAGAATACCTCCTGAAGAACCTGCCTGAAGCTGTTTAACAGTTAACTAATTTTTTAACAATTAGAAGGAATACACTCAAAATTAACAACAAAAAGTAAGTACGTGGCCAGGCGCCTGTAATCCCAGCATTTTGGGAGGCCAAGGTGGGTGGATCACCTGAGGTTGGGAGTTCGAGACCAGCCTGGCCACCATAGCGAAACCCTGTGTCTCCTAAAAATACAAAAATTAGCTGGGCGTTGTGGCGGGCACCTGTAGTCTCAGCTACTTGGGAGGCTAAGGCAAAAGAATTGCTTGAACCCGGGAAGTGGAGGTTGCAGTGAGCCAAGATTGCACCACTGGACTCCAGCCTGGGTGTGACAGAGCGAGACTCCATCTCAAAAAAAAAAGTACATAAGCCAATAACTATTTTCTTTATCATTATTATCAAGGATTGTGTCCTGTACGTAATTACATGTGCTGTGCTTTTATATGACTGACAGCATAGTAGCTTTGTTTATACCAGCATCACAACAAACGTGAATGACGCATTTTGCTACAAATTCATGGGAATTTTTCAGCTCCATTATAACTTTGTGGGGCCACCATGTTATGTGTGGCCCATCATTGACTGAAACGTCACATGACTGTACATGTCTTTCAGTAATTTTTAATATTCCAATTCTTTCTGTTTTATTTTGTTTTGTTTTCAGACAGAGCCTTGCTCTTTTGCGCAGGCTGGAGTGCAGTGGTGTGATTATGGCTCACTGCAGCCTCGACCTCAATTGAACCTCCCACCCTAGACTCCCAACTAGCTGGAACTATAGACACACACCACCATGCCTGGCTAATTTCCGTATTTTTTGTAGAGATGGGTTTTCTCCTTGTTGCCTAGGCCAGTTTTAAACTCTTGGGCTCAAGGGATCCACCCATTTTGGCCTCCCAAAGTGCTGGGATTGCAGGCGTGAGCCACCATGTCCCACCAGTATTCCAGTTCTTCCAGTTCTTAAAAGTGAACAGAACTAGGAATGACTGGGCATTTGACAGAAGCCTCTAATATGAAAAAACAGAGGAAATGGAGACAATACAGAGTAAAATGAAAAAGATGGGGGAAAAAAGAAACAACAGTCCACTTTTCTCAGTCATTGGGAAATGCTGCAACCACGAAATAAGAACTGTGGGTAATAAGTAAGAAGCTCTTAGAAATTAAGAATATAGGCCAGGCGCAGTGGCTCATGCCTGTAATCCCAGCACTTTGGGAGGCTGAGGCGGGCAGATCACAAGGTCAGGAGTTTGAGACCAGCCTGGACAATATGGTGAAACCCAGTCTCTACTAAAAATACAAAAAAAATTAGCTGGGCGTGGTGGTGTGTGCCTGTAGTCCCAGCTACTCAGGAGGCTGAGGCAGGAGAATCGCTTGAACCCGGGAGGCGGAAGTTACAGTGAGTCGAGATCGCGCCACTGCTCTCCAGCCTGGGCAACAGAATGAGACTCTTGTCTCAAAAAAAAAGAAAGAAAGAAATTAAAATACTATAAATTTAAAAATTAAGCAGAAGTTTGGAAAATAAGGAACTCCATTTTCCAATAAAATTTCCAAAATAAAGAAATTCATTCATTTCAAGAAAATGAATGGATAAAGAAAAAGTAGGAGAGAAAAGATAAGGAAATTAGAAAGCAAAACTAGAAGATCTGTCACTGAACTAATAATAGTCTAAAAGGAGAGTAGGGAAGAAGAAATTAGCAAAAAAAAAAAAGAAGAAAAAATGTGTTAGAATTAAAGGGCATAAATTTTTATATAGAGCGTATACACCAAGCTTGATATACACCACCAAATGTGATGGATAAAAATAAAATTGTTAAAAAATATAGTTTTTTAAGTTACATTATGAAATTATAGAACATCCAACATAAGAACCTTGCTTAGGTTTAGAGTAAGATAAAAATAATGCTGAAATTTGGAGTAAGTTTTTTTAAATTAAAAACTTTGAAAATACTCGATTAACAAACCCATATATCATACTCGATATCTGTCAAGCACTGTTCTAATTGTTGTTCAGATGTTAACTCATTTAATTCTCCTAACTACCCTGTGAAAAAGGTACTGTTAAGGATATATGGGGTTTGTTAATCAAGTAAATCTGTAAAATACTGGTCATGAGGCCGGGCATGGTGTTTCACACCTGTAATCCCAGCATTTTGGGAGCCTGAGGAGGGCGGATCACTTGACGTTAGAAGTTTAAGACCAGCCTGGCCAACATGGCGAAACCCTGTCTCTACTAAAAATACAAACATTAGCCGGGCGTCATGGCGCGTGCCTATAATCCCAGCTACTTGTGAGGCTGAGGCAGGAGATTCGCTTGAACCTGGGAGGCGGCGGAGGTTGCAGTAAGCTGAGATTGCACCACTGTACTCCAGCCTGAGTAACAGAATGAGACTCTGTCTCAATAAAAAATATGTAAATAAAATACTGATTATGGAAAAGTGGTCTCACCATGTACACGTAGGGAAAATAATACACCTCAATTTATATCAAAATTTTATCTCATCCTTTTAAAACTCATATTTTCTATTTGTATTATAATATGTTCTTAGGATAACCTATTGGTCTTTGCATATGCTTTATAAATTGTAGGAGGTGTCTGCAATTATTTTTGTTTTAGATCGCAAAAATTTGACAGCCACTCTTTCAGATTAAGAACCAACTTGTAGGCCAGGTACAATGCCTCACACCTGTAATCCCAGCTCTTTGGGAGGACATGGCAGGTGAATTGCTTAAGTTTAGGAGTTTGAGATCAGTCTGGGCAACATGAACATGGCAAAACCACATCTCTACAAAAAATACAAAACTTAGCCAGGTGTGGTAGTGCACACCTGTAGTCCCAGCTGCTTGGGAGGCTAAACTGGGAGGATGGCTTGAGCCCTGAAGGCAGAGGTTGCAGTGAGCCAAGATAGTGCAACTGTACTCCAGCCCAGGTGGCAGAGCAGGACCCTGTCTCAAAAAAAAAAAAAAGAATCTACTTGTAAAACTTGAACAGATATAGGAATATCTTATGAGAGTATTGCTGTCATTTTAATATGATCAGTATTCTGGAGATATTCATTTATCTTCTCATGTCCTAGGAATGTGGGAATGTGTCTAGAGAATCTGAACTTCACAGAGTCTTTATTTATTTATTTTATTTATTTTGAGACAGAGTCTTGCTCTGTCACCTAGGCTGGAGTGCAGTGGCGTGATCTCAGCTCACTGCAACCTCTGCCTCCCGAATTCAAGTGATTCTCCTGACTCAGCTTCCTGAGTAGCTGGGATTACAGGCGCACGCTACCATGCCTGACTAGGGTTTTGTGTTTTTAGTAGAGACGGGGTTTTGCCATGTTGGTTAGGCTGGTCTCAAACTCCTGATCTTGTGATCCGCCTGCCTTGGCCTCCCAAAGTGCTAGGATTACAGGCGTGAGCCACCATGCCTGGCCCACAGAGTCTCTTTTAAGGGGAAACCTGGTGTACCATGTGATTACTGCCAGTTATCTGGTTGGATAAAAAAAGGTTGATCACCTGGGGGGAGAAAAAAAAGCAAAAACTCTGAGGTGGGGTCCAGTGGCTCACCCCTGTAATCCCAGCACTTTGCGGGGGCCG
Source organism: Homo sapiens (assembly GCF_000001405.40). Classification (NCBI taxonomy): domain Eukaryota; kingdom Metazoa; phylum Chordata; class Mammalia; order Primates; family Hominidae; genus Homo; species Homo sapiens. Next base: position 77,624,902 of record NC_000007.14, read on the forward strand.
AGGCAGGCAAATCACTTGAGGCCAGGAGTTGGAGACCAGCCTGGCCAACATGGCAAAACCCCATCTCTACTAAAAATACAAAAATTAGCCAGGTGTGGTGGCATGTGCCTGTAGTCCCAGCTACTCAGGAGGTTGAAGCACAAGAATTGCTGGAACCCAGGAGGTAGAGGTTCCAATGAGCCAAGATGGTGCCACTGCACTCCAGCCTGGGTGACAGAACAAGACTCTATCTCAAAAGAAAAACAGAACACAAAAACTTAAATATACAAGCCCTCAAGAAGTTTGCTTCATATAAAGTTCTTAAAAAGCAACAAAGCCTGGGCAACATAGTAAACCCTATCTTCTTCTTTGGTTTTTTTTTTTTTTTGAGACAGGATCTCATTCTTTCACCCAGGCTGGAGTGCAGTGGCATGATCAGAGCTCCCTGCAGCCTTGACCTCCCCAGGCTCAGGTGATCCTCCTACCTCAGCCTTCCTAGTAGCTGGGACTACAAGCATGCATTGCCACATCCAGTTAATTTTTTTGTATTTGTTAAAGACACAGGGTTTTGCCATATTGCCCAGGCTGCTCGCTCTCTCTCTCTCTCTCTCTCTCTCTCTCTCTCTCTCTCTCTCTCTCTCTCACTCTCACTCTCACTCGCGCTCTCTCTCTCGCTCTCTCTCTCTTTTTTTTTTTTTTTTTTTTTTTGGAGACAGTCTTGCTCTGTCGCCCAGACTGGAGTGCAGTGGCGTGATCTCAACTCACTGCCATCTCCACCTCCTGGGCTCAAGCAATTCTCCTGCCTCAGCCTCCCAAGTATCTGGGACTGCAGGTGTGTGCCACCACACCTGGCAAATTTTTGTATTATTAGTAGAGATGGGGTTTTACTGTGTTGCTCAGGCTGGTCTCAAACTCCTGAGCTCAATTGATCCACCCACCTTGGCCTCCCAAAGTGCTGGGATTACAGGCGTGAGCCACCATGCCTGGCCCCTATTTCTTTAAGGAAAAAAATAAAGGCAACTAGAGGGTATAACCCACCCGAACAAAGGAGTATACCCAGAAAGAGGAAAATGAGACCTGGGAAACAGGAGAATCTGAAACCAGAGAGAACATTAGCTCTGTGATGGACTAGGGAACCAGTAGTCCACACTGGAGCAGGAGGCCAAAAGTTACTAACAAGGATGTCTGTGGTATTGATACTTACTATGTGTGCTTGTCATTATTGAGAGGAGGTATACCAATCTGCAAGAAAGTTAGAAGAAAAGCTGAGTAACTGATGATGCATAGAGAGCTAAGCCATCAGAAATCCAAGGCAGTCATTAGGGGAAAACAAGACACTATAGAAGAAAAGATACGAAATCATGGTGTCATAGATGGGAATACTATCTGCAGTCATACGACTGAGGTAATGAAAAATTACAATATAACAGTATTGGAAAGATAGAGAAGGACACTTCCACAGTAGGAAGTCAGTAGAAAATGTGTGAAACAAAGATCAAGAAATAACTTTTGAAATAGTCTGAAATACAGAGGTGTAAATTTTAGAAGCAGCTATAAAAAAATGTTGAAAGTTGATGCCTCTGGCTAACAGGAGGGCTGCGGGGCAGAGACTATGTTTTTCATTCAAAGTCTTGTATTTGACTTTTTAAACAGTATATGTGTATTACCTTGATGAACATTAAATTTTCTTAGTCTGAAAAACTGCAGTTTTTATTCGCAACCAGATTGTAATGGCTCTTAATATGCTACTCTTAGCTACATAATTCTCAGGTATCAACTTGTTTAACAGTCTTAAAATGCCCTTTTTAAATGTTTGTTTTTCAGTTGCCTTGTTGAAGGGGATGCTAAAGAAGAAATACTGCAGCCACCGGAACCTCATCCAGTGCCACCCATCTTGACACCTTCTCCCCCTTCAGCTTTTCCAACAGTCACTACTGTGTGGCAGGACAATGATAGATACCATCCAAAGCCAGTGTTGCATATGGTTTCATCAGAACAACATTCAGCAGACCTCAACAGAAACTATAGTAAATCAACAGAACTTCCAGGGAAAAATGAATCAACAATTGAACAGATAGATAAAAAATTGGAACGAAATTTAAGTTTTGAGATTAAGAAGGTCCCTCTCCAAGAGGGACCAAAAAGTTTTGATGGGAACACACTTTTGAATAGGGGACATGCAATTAAAATTAAATCTGCTTCACCTTGTATAGCTGATAAAATCTCTAAGCCACAGGAATTAAGTTCAGATCTAAATGTCGGTGATACTTCCCAGAATTCTTGTGTGGACTGCAGTGTAACACAATCAAACAAAGTTTCAGTTACTCCACCAGAAGAATCCCAGAATTCAGACACACCTCCAAGGCCAGACCGCTTGCCTCTTGATGAGAAAGGACATGTAACGTGGTCATTTCATGGACCTGAAAATGCCATACCCATACCTGATTTATCTGAAGGCAATTCCTCAGATATCAACTATCAAACTAGGAAAACTGTGAGTTTAACACCAAGTCCTACAACACAAGTTGAAACACCTGATCTTGTGGATCATGATAACACTTCACCACTCTTCAGAACACCCCTCAGTTTTACTAATCCACTTCACTCTGATGACTCAGACTCAGATGAAAGAAACTCTGATGGTGCTGTGACCCAGAATAAAACTAATATTTCAACAGCAAGTGCCACAGTTTCTGCTGCCACTAGTACTGAAAGCATTTCTACTAGGAAAGTATTGCCAATGTCCATTGCTAGACATAATATAGCAGGAACAACACATTCAGGTGCTGAAAAAGGTAATAATATAGTGTCAAATACTTAAATGTCTTTCCTATGTGCTAGTCACTGTTTTAAGCACTTTAGCTGTATTGATTTATTATGTTTTATTCCACACTCTACCATAGAACCTACAGCAAAATCTGTCTTAGATACTAATTTTTTAATATAAGCTTTTAATGTATTGTTAACAATTTGGTCACATTATATTACTGGGTTTTGTGTTTCTAAATTATTTTAGTAGTTATAACTGGATAACTTATTTTCTTTTTCTTCTGTATTATAGATCTTAGTGTTTTTGTATCGGTCAAAAATTTATCTGACTGAATAATTAGAAATAATTTAGGGAAGAATCACTTAAAATAACAGTGGCAAAAATACTGTAGAATGTCTTGATTGGCCATATAATGTTACTCGTTTTTCCTAAATGTTTAGTCATTTTTTACTGTTCCTTTAACTACAGATTACATTTTTTTGTTTGTTTGTTTTTACTGTCTTCACAAATGCTTCCAAATATGGCTGCTTCCAACCCTGAGTTTAACCCAGGAACAATACTGCAAACTGCTCAATTCAGTAGTGAGTGGGCTATATGCATACCTACTCATCAAAGCTATTATTTAAAGAATTATTATTTTTTTAGCACTCTTAGCATTTCAAGATAATGCATGCACTCAGTTCCCAAAGTGTATTATTGCTTCTTGAAACTCCTCTTTGATCTGCTGAAAGTAATGATGGCTACCATCTTAAACAGACCCTAAGGTTGAGAGTAAACATATAAATTTGAAAGCTGTTTATTGATATATTGATTATCAGTGGTCACTTACCTATCAGTGAACTTTGGTAGTGACACATACAGACTGGTATTTATAACGTGCAGGCAAAATAAGTACTGTGACCTTGAAAGATTTTTTTTTTTTTTTGAGACTTGCACTCAAAAGATTTTTTTTTTGAGTCTTGCACTGTCACCCAGGCTAGAGTGCAGTGGCAAGATCTCGGCTCAGCCTCCCAAGTAGCTGGGATTACAGGCACCCACTACCACACCCAGCTAATTTTTATGTTTTTAGTAGAGACAGGGTTTCGATATGTTTGCCAGGCTGGTCTCAAATTCCTGGCCTCAAGTGATCTGCCCACCTAGGCCTCCCAAAGTGCTGGGATTACAGACGTGAGCTACCACACCTGGCCTTGAAAGATTATTTTCTATTTCTGACCCATTATATACCACCCATACTGTAGTGCTTGTATTTTCTCTCACACATACTGTATTTTTTAACTTGAGAGAGTGTATTTGGTAGACTAGATGACAGTCTTTTTGAGACAGAGTTTTGCTCTTGTTGCCCAGGCTGAAGTGCAGTGGCGCAATCTTGGCTCACTGCAACCTCCGCCTCCTGGGTTCAAGGAATTCTCCTGCCTCATCCTCCCTAGTAGTTGGGAATACAGGCATGCGCCACCATGCCTGGCTAATTTTTTGTATTTTTAGTAGAGACAGGGTTTCACTGTGTTAGCCAGGATGGTCTGGATCTCCTGACCTCGTGATCCGCCCACCTCGGCCTCCCAAAGGGCTGGGATTACAGGCGTGAGCCACCACGCCCAGCCAGGTGACAGTCTTAAACTATTTGCTTAAATTACAGAATTATCTTTTCTTGATTTATCTTTGTTTTATTTGAAGGATCTTTAGAAGATAATGAATAGTATAATATTACTTTACCAGTTTACCATAATTTTAAATTGCTAATGTCTTTTGTTCCTCAGCTTCAGAATTTGAAATATAACTGCCCAGCTGTAACTATATAAGAAAATATGTAGATAAGAAATTTTCATTTTGAGTTTTTAGTATATCAAGCATGTGGTATTGTACCTAGGAAGTTTTATTGTTTTTTTGTTGTTGTTTTGTTCTTTTGCTTTTTTTTTTAAAAAAAACCAAAAAACCATTACTGGAAATAGGATTTGGTGAGGGCCAGAAAGATGTATGATGTGATATGCTTATTAAAAGTTACTACTACATGACGAGTCTGTTGGTGGCTCATGCCTGTAATCCCAGCATTTTGGGAGGCTGAGGCAGGAAGTTCACTTGAGCCCAGGAGTTCATAACCAGTCTGGGTGACATAGTGACACCCAATCTCTACAAAAGATAAAAAACTAGCCGGGCATGGTGGTGCACACTTGTGGTCCCAGCTACTCTGGAGGCTGAGGTAGGAAGATCACTTGAGCCTAGGAGCTCAAGGCTGCAGTGAGCCATAATTGCGTCCCGGCACTCTGCCTGGGCAACAGAGGGAGACCCTGTCTCAAAAAAAAAAAAAAAAAAAGAGTAAGATATAGCTAAAAGCACCCTACTATGTGCCAGCTCATTTCTGTTTGTTTGGTTTTGTATTTCAAAGCAAAAATCACTATACATGTGATTTCTGGTTTCTTTTTACTCAACCTTAACTATGTTATTGGTTTGATTTTAACCGAAGATTTTCCTGTGTGTAAATGTTCTTTGTTGCAGCATAACTACAAGTAGTCTCATTTTTAATGTGTTGCCAAATATTTACCATATGGATTATTTACTTTATAGATTGTTTATTTACCTTATAGATTATTATTTCCTTTGTAGATCATTATCTTATAGAGCCATTGGCACCAGAATTAGAGTTTTGGGGGGTTTTTTGGTCCTAGAACTTGTTAGTGAATTACAGTCACACATTTCTTAATGGCAGGGATATGTTCTAAGAAAAATATGTCATTAGGCAGTTTTGCCATTGTGTGAATGTCATAGAATGTATTTACACAAACCTAGATGGTATAGTATATACTACACATCTGGGCCATACAATGTAACCTCTTGCTCCTAGGCTACAAACTTGTATAGCATATTACCATACTCAACAATTGTAACACAATGGTAAGTATTTGTGTATCTAAACATAGAAAAGGTACAGTAAAAATATGGTATCATAATCTTACAGGACCGCTGTTGTTTATGCGGTCTTGTTGATGAAAACATCATTATGTAGTGCATGACTATAATGGAATACTTTTGTATTGATACCTAAAAAAAACTTTTGCATAAGTTACTGCCTGACAAAAATTCTTAGCTATCAATTCTAATTTCAGTCTTGACTTAGGCCTCCTGAAAGATTTCTCAGATTCAACTACAGAAGGCCCCATACAGTGTATGATTTGCAAAAGCCTATATAAAATACGCAATATCTGGTTGGATAACCTCTAAAACAAAAGTTTTTAACAGGAAAGGCAGCCCAAAGTTCCAGGGAGAAACATGCATTTGCAAAGCAAGGGCCACGCTTAGAAAATAAAAGTTTTTAAGGGTGAGAACTGCCATGAGAGAAAAAGCACAGAGTTTCTGGAAGATAACTGATAGAAAAAGGGCTGAACTGCCCTTTTTGTTTTGTTCATTTAATTTAAGAAATGGTACCAGAATGCCAAGATTATGTGTCCCTTCCTTCCAACAGCCATCTCTTCACTGTGCGCTGTTAGTAGCAAGAGGGCAAGGAGACATATGGTGATGACTCAGACTACCACTACTGGATAAGGTAGATAGTTCTTTAGTGGCAAGAGAGAGTTCTGGTACTCTTGGTAGATGTATCAAGTATTGGACTGGAACTCCTCTTTCAGGAGGACCCAGAAGCTGTATTTTCTTGCGTCTCCAGCTAAATAAATGTAGGTGGGGCAAAAGCAATCATACTCACCTCATGCGTGTTGAAAATTGACAAGACCTATGCATAGCCATCAGGTGTGGTAAAATAGCAGAGTATCATGGCAGAACTGTGTGTTCATTTAAGAACAATGGGCAAGGCTCAAGACAAAATAATACAGGACCGTCGCATTTCTTTTTCTTTATCCCACCCTCCCCAACCTGAGAGTTCACACACAGGATTGTATTCTTATATTTTCTTTCTATTCCTCCAGTGAAAACTCAAAGATCAAATACACTCATTTACCTTAAGCCATAATAAAGCTAACCAATGAGGCTTACTTAATGCACTCTCTTTCCCAAGAGCTAATTTTGTTTTTACTAGTGAAAAACCTGTATATAGCTTCAGTCAGCATTCTCAAAGTACAGCCATGTGCCACTGTACACAAAATCTTTAGCAATAAATAAATGAAGATTTTTTAAAAAACTTTAATAGCTATATCTTTATCTGTTTTGGAAAAATAACTAGTATTTCCAATGTTATTTCAGTTATTGCTGTTTAAGACATGACTGAGGTACACAGTTAAGTTTAAAATGAGTCAGATTTTAAAAGTGAATAGGACACATGTTACATAGTATGGCAAAAATCATGAAAGGTGTTAAGCAATTGAATCCTGTTTGGGAAACACTGGCTTAGGCGTTTCATAACGCAAATGACCAAAGCTTTCCTTTTTGGACACAAAACATCATCAGTAAGCTCAGTAGAGAAGTCACTTGCCAGCTGACTTCTCTACTGAAGATTCCCTTCAGGCTTGGAGAACTGAATGATGTCTGTAGAGTGACAGGAAAGTCATGGGAGAGAGTCATTTCTGTATACATTATCTTTGCTCAATAAGCATCATAATTCTTGATAATGAGTGGAAAAGGTTTCTTGCATTTTTTTGCATTTTTAAAAACTGATCTAGATATTTGTGACAGGAATTTTTAGAATGTCAAGAAAGCTCTCTGATTTTGTTTAGATGACATGTTAATTTGTCTAAATTTTTATGTGTTTAATTTAGATGTTGATGTTAGTGAAGATTCACCTCCTCCCCTACCTGAAAGAACTCCTGAATCGTTTGTGTTAGCAAGTGAACATAGTGAGTGTCTCTTTTGCTTTTACATTTACTTCATATTCTAATAATAAACTCCGAAAAACATACCTGATTTTAATCTATTAGCTATTGTGCTACATAATTAAATTCAAAAACAAGTAAATTGATGTTGACATGCTTTTAATTCTTTGTTTGAAAAATGCTTTTAAATTATATTTTTTACTTGCTAAGATCGATAGAAATTACTGCATTTATGTTAGATATCAGAATTCAATTCATTTAAATGTAATTATAGGCTGGGCATGGTGGTTCAAGCCTGTGATCCTAGCACTTTGGGAGGCCTAGGCAGGTGGATCACCTGAGGTCAGGAGTTGGAGACCAGCCTGGCCAACATGGTGAAACTCCATCTCTACTAAAAATATAAAAATTAGCTGGGCATGGTGGTGGACACCTATAATCTCAGCTACTTGAGAGGCTGAGGCAGGAAAATGACTTGAACCCGGGAGTTGGAGGTTGCAGTGAGCCGAGATTGCGCCATTGCATTCCAGCCTGGGCGAAGAGCAAGATTTCGTCTCAAAAAGTAAATAAATAAATAAATGCAATTACAAAGCCAGGTGCAGTGGCTCATACCTGTAATCCCAGCACCTTGGGAGGCTGAGATGCACTGATCACCTGAGGTCAGGAGTTCAAGACCAGCGTGACCAACATGGAGAAACCCCGTCTCTACTAAAAATACAAAATTAGCCAGGCGTGGTGGCGCATGCCTGTAATCCCACCTACTTGGGAGACTGAGGCAGGAGAATTGCTTGAACCTGGGAGGTGGATATTGCAGTGAGCCGAGATCACACTATTGCACTCCAACCTGGGCAACAAGAGCGAAACTCCATCTTAAAAAAAAAATGCAATTATAAGTGTATTTGCAATCTGGTGTATTTTCATTCATTAAAAATAGCACTTATTGACTCATGCCTGTAATCCTGCCACTTTGGGAGACCAAGGCGGGCAGATCACGAGGTCAGGACATCAAGACCATCCTGGCTAACACACTGAAACCCTGTCTCTACTAGAAATACAAAAAATTAGCTGTGTGTGGTGGCATGCACCAGTAGTCCCAGCTGCTCGGGAGGCTGAGGCAGGAGAATCGCTTGAACCCCGGAGGCAGAGGTTGGAGTGAGCCGAGACCATGCCACTGCACTCCAGCCTGGGCAACAGAGCAAGACTCCATCTCAAAAAAAAAAAAAGTAGCACTTATTTATGAAAACATTAATTGCTTTCCTTAGATTTAGGTCAGTAAACATTTCTGTTGGGTGGGCGTCACTGGATTGGTGTTAACTGAAAGACATTTAACACCACTGGAGTAGACTGAGCACATTGGCTCATACCTGTAATCGCAGCACTTTGGGAGTCCAAGGCGCGAGGATTGCTTGAGCCTAAGAGTTTGAGACCAGCCTGGGCAACACAGTGATACCTCCTCTCTTCTAAAAATAAAATAACTGTCCAGTTGTGGTGGTGGGCGCCTGTAATCCCAGCTGCTTGGGAGGCTGAGGCAGGAGAATTGCTTGAACCCAGGATGCAGAGGTTGCAGCGAGCTGAGACCACGCCATTGCATTCCAGCCTGGGCAACAAGAGCAAAAAACTTTGTCTCAAAAAATAATAATAACAACAAAAAATTAGCCAGGTGTGGTGGCATGTGCCTGTAGTCCTTGCTACTCAGGAGGCTGAAGAAGAAGGATTGCTTGATCCCTGTAGTTGGAGGCTGCAGTGAGCCATGATCGCACCACTGTACTCCAGTTTGGTAACAGTGAGACCCCGTCTGTGGAAGAAAAAAAAAAGACCACTGGAGTATCAGAACTGGGAGAAAGTGATGATACTTTAAAACATTGATAATATACTTCTCCCTATTAATCCTCTAAAAAAGAGTGCAGAAACAGCTTGATTGTATTTACAGTGTCTCATGCTCAGTGGAGGTGCTCACTTGTCTAAGTACATTTTACCAATATATTAATTTTGACTGATTTTTGTTTTGTTTCATTTGGTTTTCTTTTTATTTATTTATTTTTTATTTATTCATTTTTTTGAGATGGAGTCTCATTCTGTCGCCCCGGCTGGAGTGCAGTGGCACGATCTCGGCTCACTGCAAGCTCCACCTCTTGGGTTCATGCCATTCTCCTGCCTCAGCCTCCCATGTAGCTGGGACTACAGGTGCCTGCCACCACACCCGGCTTATTTTTTTGTATTTTTTTTAGTAGAGACAGGGTTTCACCGTGTTAGCCAGGATGGTCCATCTCCTGACCTCATGATCCGCCCACCTCAGCCTCTCAAAGTGCTGGGATTACAGGCATGAGCCACCACGCCCGGCTAATTTTTTTGTATTTTTTTAGTAGAGACAGGGTTTCACCATGTTAGCCAGGATGGTCTCCATCTCCTGACCTCGTGATCGCCCGCCTCAGCCTCCCAAAGTGCTGGGATTACAGGCGGGAGCCACCACGCCCGGCCTTGTTTTGTTTTATTTCGAGTTGGAGTTCCACTCTGTCACTCAGGCTGGAGTGCAGTGGCACGATCTGGGCTCAAGCTGTTCTCCTGCCTCAGCCTCCTGAGTAGCTGCGATTAGAGGCATACACCGTCACTCCCAACTAATTTTTTTATTAGAGATAGGGTCTCACCATGTTGGCCAGGCTGGTCTTGAACTCCTGACCTCAAGTGATCTGCCTGCCTCAGCCTCCCAAAGTGAATTTTGACTGATTTTAAGATAAATGTTAAAGAGCCAAGCACAATGGCTTATGCCTGTGATCCCAGCACTTTGGGAGACCAAGGCAGGTGGATCTCTGTTCCATTTGCCCTAGGAGTTTGAGACCAGCCTGGGCAACATGGCAAAACCCTGTCTGTATAAAATCAAAAATTAGCCAGGCGAGGTGGCATGCACCTATAGTCCCAGCTACTCAAGAAGCTGAGATGGGAAGATTGCCTGAGCCTGGGAGGTTGAGGCTCCAGTGAGCCGAGATCGCGCCTGGTCAACAGAGTGAGACCCTGTCTCAACAACAATTAAAAAGAATGTTGAAAGCAATGAAACGGTATACTTCAGTTGTCTAAGTCTGTCACGTTGTCTGTAGATTAAGCAGTATACTTCACTTGTCTGTCACATTATCTATAGACTGTAATACACTGATGACTGAATTTATTTACTTAGGTTTTGAAGGAAGGAAACAGAATGTTCTCGAATTAATAGAAACTACAATTTTTTTTTTTTAGAAACTTCAGAAATATGCTTACCCAGAAACTACAAAATTTTTGTGGAAGCGATAGTTTCTAAAATCTTTAGGATCTGTTTTTTGTATTACTTTAATGCAAAGAAATTTCAGAAATTCAAGGTGTTAATAACAATAAGATTTCATTTTTCTCAGATACACCTGTAAGATCGGAATGGAGTGAACTTCAAAGTCAGGAACGATCTGAACAAAAAAAGTCTGAAGTAAGTCCTTTTGGAATTGGAACAGTTATAGCTTAACATTTCTACTCTTTTGTTAACTAATCTTGCAGTTGTTGAAATAGCTGTCATCTTAAGATCGTTAAATATAGTTTGTAATTTTTGATCGGCATTTCTTATACTAAGATTTCAGATGAAAAGCCCATATAAAAGGTAGGTTCTGAAATTTTTTAAAAGGGTAACCTGATCTACATACAACTATCACTTTAAAGTATTGTTTTCTCAAGCTGTTTTTGAAATATGTAAATTATGCTTCAAATAATTTTGAAGGTATGAATGAAATAGGAGTTACTATTTTCAGGGTCCTAATTCTTTCTTACATTTCTAGATGCTTCCCATTATAACACTAGGCACATAGTCGCTTCTTTTGTTTTTTTCTGGCTACCTGGCATTTCTTTGACATTCGAGAAATGTTTTGGCAATTAAATATTTTGAGGGCGTGGCATGGTGGCTCATGTCTGTAATCACAGCACTTTGGGAGGCCAAGCAGAAGGATCACTTGAGCCCAGGAGTTCAAGACCATCCTGGGCAACATGGGGAGACCTTATCTCTACAAAAATTTTTAAAATTAGCCAGGCGTGGTGGCGCATGTCTATGGTCCCAGCTTTTTGGGAGGCTGAGATGGGAGGATTGCTTGGGCCCCAGAGGTCAAGGCTGCAGTGAGCCATGATCACACCACTGCACTCCAGCCTGAGTGACAGAGTGAGACCCTGTCTCAGCAACAACACATTTGTCCATAGGAGATAACATTTTTTATTAACATTAATACTTTTTGTATTTTCTCCCATACTTTAATATCTCTGAAATTTAGCTACATCTTATATTTGATTTTAAGACATGATGTAGTTTAATTGACATATAAAATACAATAATGATATAATTAGTAATAGTGGCTGGCAAAACACAGCTGTATGTTCCTTCATGCAGTAGCCCATGCTTTTCAGTGCTCATCCAGAAACATTTACTCCAAGGAGAAATAGCATAACATTTTAAAATTTTAAGCCTAATTAAAAAACAATTGTTTGCTTTTCCTCTGATGCTGAAAATGATAGGCCTTGATTTCTTGGGATATATACCCATAACAGACCCAGCTTTCTATTATTTGTATATAAAATGAATGTATTGTAATAGGTATTAAATGTCTTCCTCGTAGGGCTTGATAACCTCTGAAAATGAGAAATGTGGTAAGTTGTTAGATTTTTTTTTTCCTTTTTACTGTAGATTTTATTGATTAATTTCTACAAAATAACATGCTTCATAGTTCATGCTATATAGTTATTTCTGTATGTGAAAATGTCTAGGACAACTCTTGTAGAAGCTTAATATTGTACTATAATTCTTCCAAATTAATTATTACCACCAGATAGTAGTATTGATCTGGAAAATCATGGGAGCATTTACTATCAATAATTACAGGCTAATGGGAAAGAGATTTTTTAAAAATATTTTTCTGTTTTTTATTTTCTGTTTTTAAAAACACCTAGAAGTTAGATCCCGACTTAAATAAATGATGGAATTGCTTCTGTAGAAACCTATTGTTTTAGAAATCTTCCTTTTAGTACTTTTTCATTTATTTGTGAAGACCAATAAAATTGTGAAAGAATGAATGAATTTTAGTAGTTAACATCTTTTGTTACTAATCTTAAACACTGGTAATTAAAGAGTAAACTACAATCTAAACAACATAAAACTTTAAAAGTGGAGTTATTAGGCCTGGCGTGGTGGCTCACACCTATAATCCCAGCACTTTGGGAGACCCAGGCAGGCAATCACCTGAGGTCAGGAGTTCGAAACCAGCCTTGAGCAACATGGTGAAACCCCGTCTCTACTAAAAATAAAAAAAATAGCTAGGCGTCATGCCATCTGCCTGTAATCCCAGCTACTAGGGAGACTGAGGCAGGAGAATCCCTTGAACCCCGGAGGCAGAGGTTGCAGTGCGCCGAGATTGCGCCATTGCACTCCAACCCGGGCAACAAGAGGGAAACTCCGTCTCAAAAAAAAAAAAAAAAAAACAAGTAGAGTTATTATTTCAAGGTGCAAATAGTGCATTAATTAACCCTGACCTTGTTGATTTCTTAAAATTTTTTTTTTTTTTTTTTTTTTTTTTTTTGAGACAGAGGTCTTGCTCTGTCGCCCAGGCTGGAGTGCAGTGGCGCGATCTCGGCTCACTGCAAGCTCCACCTCCTGGGTTCACAACATTCTCCTGCCTCAGCCTCCTGAGTAGCTGGGACTACAGGCGCCCGCCACCACGCCTGGCTAATTTTTTTGTATTTTTAGTAGAGACGGGGTTTCACCATGTTAGCCAGGATGATCTCGATATCCTGACCTCATGATCGGCTCGCCTCGGCCTCCCAAAGTGCTGGGATTACAGGCATGAGCCACCGCGCCTGGCCTGACCTTGTTGATTTCTATACAAAGACATTTCAGTTGCAACTATTCCCTTAGAACATAGGCATATAGTATAGCTACCTTAAGGGAATGTAATATGTCAAGACCTAGATTTATGAAGTAAGAATAACGAGAATCCTCACATTGCAGAAGTACTCACTGCAGATTTCTGTGTGACCACAATAATACCTGACATGATTTTCTGTGCACACTACACTTGTATTTATATTGTTCTTGACCTGTAAAATTATGGTGCCCAGGAGAGAAAGTTTTCTCTTTTCATGCTTGCCAACATTTAAAAAATTAAAGAGTTATATATATATGATGCTACAAAGGATGGTGATTAACAAAGGCTTTGTGTTGCTACTTAGATCATCCAGCGGGAGGTATTCACTATGAAATGTGCATAGAATGTCCACCTACTTTCAGTGACAAGAGAGAACAAATATCAGAAAATCCAACAGAAGCCACAGATATTGGTAATTTGTTTAATAAATAATTTTTAGTAAGTAGTTAACACTGGCAGGAATGAGAAAAGCTCATTTGCCATTGTGAAATGACACTTGCCAAGAATAAAACATGATTTTCCAAAGTTGCTTGGACTAGTCATGAAATAAATGAAATACTTAATTCTATTTCACATTGAGATTAAAAACTAAAATAGAAAACTGCAGTATAAAAAATCTTTTGTGTTGGAAAGACTAAATTATCATGGATATTTTTCTTACATTGTGATAAAATTGGTTTTATTTCCAGCATAAGATTTTTAAAAGAAGCAATCATTTTCAGTTATTCCAAATAAATTTACAATTGTTTTGCATTTACCAAGTTTTGTTTGGCTTAAATTCTAAATTCCCTTGTGGAAATTTATTTGTTCCAGAAAATGAGAATGTCTGTGGACATGGTTTTTAGTAGTTTGAAAGTATTTCTGAACACTGACTAGTTATTGTGGTGTTTTCACTGTAGGTTTTGGTAATCGATGTGGAAAACCCAAAGGACCAAGAGATCCACCTTCAGAATGGACATGATTCAGGGAGCTAGAAGACACTTTAAGTTATACTGGAAAATTCAGGTGCCACTGAAAGCCAGATTTATAGTATTCCATCTTTAATATGTGGGACTAACAGCAGTGTAGATTGTTACCTTAATATTTTTTGCTGGGACCATCTACCTGCCTTATACTACACTTAGGAAAAAGTATTACATATGGTTTATTTTGAAACTTCAAGTATTATTGCCTTAATGTCTCTTAACCCTGTTACACGCTGCTTGTAGACATGTTAATATAGTAATACCTTTATGATATATTGAGTTTAAGGACTACTCTTTTTCTGTTTTATCATGTATGCATTATTTTGTATATGTACAGGGCAAGTAGGTATATAATTTGATAAAGTTGCAATTGAAATATTATTAACAGAAGATGTAAGAAATTTCTGCATGGTCTAAATCTTTGTGTACTTTATTTGTAAATTATTTGCCCTGGAGTTTTAGAAAATAGTTTCTGAATTTTAAACTTGCTGGATTCATGCAGCCAGCTTTGCAGGTTATCAGAGATCAAAGATTGTAATAATAATTTTGTAAATTGTAAGCAAAAAGTTATTTTTATATTATATACAGTCTAATTGTTCATCCTAATTGTTCCTGTTTTCATCTAGTCAGAGATTCAGTAAGTGCCTTGGAACAATATTGAATTCTCTTAGCTTGTGTGTGTTTCTTTAATATTTGAACTCAAGTGGGATTAGAAGACTATCAAAATACATGTATGTTTCAGGATATTTGACCTGTCATTAAAAAAAACAAACAGTTTTACAGTGCCTACTTGTTGCCTTGGCTTTTCATTTCTCATTCCTAGGATATTGGACTTAACTATCAGCCTTTTTGCTGGCTCAGTCTTGGTATGAAATGAATGTGAATGGGGTTTAATTTCTTTTTTTTTTTCTTTTTTTAGACAGAGTATTGCTCTGTCACCCAGGCTGGAGTACAGTGGTACCATCTTGGCTCACTGTAACCTCCACTTCTGAGGTTCAAGTGATTCTCCTGTCTCAGCCTCCCAAGTAGCCTGCCACGACGCCCGGCTAATTTTTGTATTTTCAGTAGAGATGGTTTCACCATGTTGGCGAGGCTGGTCTCAAACTCCTGAACTCAGGTGGTCCACCTACCTTGGCCTCTCCAAATGCTGGGATTACAGGCATGAGTCACCATGCCAGGCCTAATCTCTTAATTAAGGAATAGAGAGTACCTTCTGCAAAAAACATGGTTCTGCGGATTCTAAATACTTATTGCCCCTAGGCATTCCTCATCCTTATCATTATTAGCCTACCAAAGTCCTAGTAGAAAACCCAACAGAGGGGGCCAGACCGGGTGGCTCACGCCTGTAATTCCAGCCCTTTGGGAGGCCAAGGCAGGCAGATCACTTGAGGTCAGGAGTTCAAGACCAGTCTGGCCAACATGGTGAAACCCCATCTCTACTAAAATTACAAAAAAATTAGCTGGGCATGGTGGCACATGCCTGGAATCCCAGGTATTCAGGAGGCTGAGGCAGGAGAATTGCTTGAACCAAGGAGATGGAGGTTGCAGTGAGCTGAGATCGCACCACTGCACTCCAGCCTGGGCAACAGAGCAAGACTACATCTCAAAAAAAAAAAAAAGAAAGAAAACCAAACCAAGGGGATGTTGAGAACGGGAACTGGTTTCTTGTCATCCCATGACTGGAGCACAGATTCCATTCCTCAATACTAAGTCTGAATTTTCACAACCATAGATTGGAATTGTTGGATATCTGTATTTTCCATCTGCATACAAAAGATTGAAGAAATTGTAAAACTAAAGTACATGGAAAACCTTATATGAGTAGAAGGGGGATTGTTGTGGAGGAGAAAGTAATACTACAATTTCATGTTAAATTTGTTTTAAAGCTAACTGGTCTTCATGTTGATCCCTGTTGATCCCTTAGGATTTTTTTTTTTTTTTTTTTTTTTTTTTTTTTTTTTTTTTTTTTTTTTTTTTTTTTGAGACGAAACTTTGCTCTTGTCGCCCAGGCTGGAGTGTAATGGCGCAATGTCGGCTTACTGCAACCTCTGCCTCCTGGGTTCAAGCAATTCTCCTGCCTCAGCCTCCTTAGTAGCTGGGCTTCCAGGTGCCCACCACAAAGCCCAACTAATTATTTTTGTATTTTTAGTAGAGACGGTGTTTTGCCATGTTGACCAGGCTGTTCTTGAACTCCTGACCTCAGGTGATCTGCCCGCCTCAGCCTCCGAAAGTGCTGGGATTACAGGCGTGAGCCACCACACCTGGCCAATCCCTTAGAATTTGAAAATTTTCTGTATGCTTTGGTAATAAGGAAGTGGTAATACAGTAGATGCTTGACATTTTCAAGACACAGGCACTCTTGTAATAGATCTATTCCTAATACAATGTAAACTGAAATAAAAGCATAACTGAAAAAATTTTTAGCCCCTTCACACACTTGATGAGTTATCGTAGACTACTAAAATCATAAGGATTTTTGTGGTTGGGGTGGGGTTTCTTGGAATACCTTCACTGAAGTATACATGTATTCAGAAGTATGCAAAAATCGTATTAATTGCCAGGTGCAGTGGCTCACGCCTGTAATCCCAGCACTTTGGGAGGCTGAGGCAGGGGGAATCACCTGAGGTCAGGAGTTCGAGACCAGCCTCAACATGGAGAAACCCCGTCTCTACTAAAAATACAAAATTAGCCGGGCGTAGTGGGGCTTGCCTGTAATCCCAACTACTCGGGAGGCTGAGGCAGGAGAATTGCTTGAACCTGGGAGGTGGAGGTTGCGGTGAGCCGAGATCACGCCATTGCAATCCATCCTAGGCAACAAGAGCAAAACTCCAGCTCAAAAGCAAAAGCAAAAGAAAAAAAATCATATTAATCATCATAAAGAATATCACCTATGTGAGTGTGACCGCTGCCTAGGTCAAGCAGTAGAACAGTATCTGCAACTGAGAAGCCACCCCCTTAGGCTTCTGAAATTTGTTCATTTTCATATGTGTAGCAGTTATTTGTTCTTTGTTTTTTGAGACAGGGTCTCATTCTGTCACCTAGGCTGTAGTTCAGTGGTGTGAGCCTACTGCAGCCTTGACCACCTGGGCTCAAGTGATCCTCCCACGTCAGCCTCCCTAGTAGCTGGGAGTACAAGCATACACCACTATGCCTGGCTAATTTTGTTTATTTTCTGTAGAAAATAAAAGTCTCACTATGGGCCGGGCGCAGTGGCTCAGGCCTGTAATCCCATCACTTTGGGAGGCCAAGGTGGGCGGATCACGAGGTCAGGAGATCGAGACTATGCTGGCTAAAACGGTGAAACCCCGTCTCTACTAAAAATACCAAAAAATTAGCCGAGCTTGGTGGCGGGCACCTGTAGTCCCAGCTACTCGGGAGGCTGAGGCAGGAGAATCGCTTGAACCTGGGAGGCAGAGCTTGCAGTGAGCTGAGATTGTACCACTGCACTCCAGCCTGGGCGACAGAGTGAGACTCCAAATCAAAAAAAAAAAAAAAAAAAAAAAGTCTCACTATATTGCCCAGATTAGTCTTAAACTCCTGGCCTTAAGTGATTCTCCTGCCTCGGCCTCCCAAAGTGCTAGAATTACAGATCTGAGCCACTGTGTCAGCCATGCATGTATCTTTTGTCACACACATGTACATGTATCTGTTGGATATATATTAAGGAGTGGAATTTTGAGATCACAGAGTTTGCATATATATTCCAGTTTTAGTACATACTGCTAGTTTTCTAAATTGATTTTTCTAATTGTTAAAATCCTTGCTAACACTTGATATGGTCAATACTTTTCATTTTAGCCATTCTAATGGGTATGTAGTGGTATTGCCTTACCTGAATGTCTATTTCTTTGATGATTAGTGAGGTTGAGCAGCTTTTCACATGCATATGACCATGTGGATATCCTCTTCTGTGAACTACCTGTTCAAGTCTGAAGCAGATACTATTTGGTAGTATCAACTAAAACTGAATATAATACATACCCTAAATTTAGCAATTTTGTACCTGTTTTTTTCTTACATACCTGTAATCCCAGCACTTTGGGGGGCCGAGGCGAGCAGATCACCTGAGGTCGGTAGTTCGAGACCAACCTGACCAACATGGAGAAACCCTCTACTAAAAATACAAAATTAGCCAGGCGTGGTTTCGCATGCCTGTAAATCCCAGTTACTTGGGAAGCTGAGGAGGGAGAATCACTTGAACCCAGGAGGCGGAGGTTGCAGTGAGCTGAGATCTCGCCATTGCACTTCAGCCTGGGCAACAATAGCGAAACTCCATCTCAAAAAAAATAAAAAATAAAAAAATCTCTTTCCACTGTAAGTACTATCAGTTAGCTTTCTTTTGGGAGCCATTTTTTGCAAAGTATTTTTTACTTTATGGACATTTTCTACATATATTGATAAAGCAATAAAGCCATAGTTATATGTAAGTGCTGAGCTAGACTCAGTCACTAGGTAACTGACTTGCTTACATGTAACAGCCTCATAGAATATGTGGTTCAGATTTTTGCCTGAGCAAAATGATGTGACTCTATGTTCTAAACCCTTGAGGCCACTTAAAATAGTAGTAACTATGAATGTTAAATTATTGAATGTAAAGAGTTTACTGTATATCAGTTTGCCTTTTTATGTTCTGAAATTGAATTTACTATAGATAGAACGTTCAGAATTCCTACTTCTATTTAGATAATTAAATGGCTATGAGGGAATGGGCAGGTCTCTTAGTTCCCAAGATTCTGGCTTGGAAAGGAAAAAATGTCAACTTTGGATATGTTGACTTTTAGGTAGACAATACCTTCAGCATCAAAGAAGTGATATCCAGTCCACAGGTAGAAATATATTTGAAGTTCAGAAGAAGGGTCCACATTGAAGATCAAGATTAGGGCATTAATATAGACATGAATGAAACCATGAGTGCACAAAACCCCAGGGAGAATAAATGAACTATTTGATATTTAAATGAATTTTTGCAGTTACATGGTAAATCTTTACATTTCTATTTGTCAAAACATGATTTGGGTTAAACATGGGCAATATCCCCATGCCAGTCATCTGAATCATTTTGTACTCTAGGTTCTGATCAATCAATTCACCTTCCTCACTACCATCAAGCTGATGTTGCTAGAAGGCCAACCTGGATCTGCTCTTGACTTTGTAATTGTTACTTCTCCCTAAGAAATATTTAATGGTTCTTTATTGCCTGTAGTAATGTTTCATCAAAACATTCAAAACCTGGCCGGGAGCGGTGGCTCATGCCTGTAATCCCTGCACTTTGGGAGGCTGAGGTAGGTGGATCACCTGAGGTCAGGAGTTCGAGACCAGCCTGGCCAACATGGTGAAACCCTGTCTCTACTAAAAATACAAAAATTAGCCAGTCATGGTGGCAGGTGCCTGTAATCCCAGCTACTTGGGAGGCTGCAGCAGGAGAATCGCTTGAACTCAGGAGGCGGAGGTTGCAGTGAGCCAAAATCACGCCACTGCACTCTAGCCTGGGAGACAAAGCAAGACTTCATCTCCAAAAAAAAAAAAAAAAAAAAATCAAAACCTGGCCCAGATTCTCCTGCACTAGAATTGAGGCAGTGTTCTTAAAATTCAGGTTCCAAGATCCTACTCTGGACCTGAATTAGAGTGGAGCCAAAGAATGCGTATTTTAGACAAGCAGTACAGGTGATTCTGTTGCGTAATAAAATTGGAGAACAAGACCTACAGGATCAAGTCCAGACTCCTGAGCAGATCATGCAAGACCTGTTCAAGATCTTCCTGTTGCTATTCTCTCTGGCCTTTACTCTGGTCACATCTGTGCTCCAACCATGAGCTACTTATAGTTTCCAGAGCCCCCCAACGCCCTTAGTCATCCTATACCTTTCCTCTTGAACATCGTTCTTTGTCCTGTTCTGTTGAGCCCTACTCATCTAACAAGATTAGTTCAAGTGTCATTTCCTGTATTAAACTTAACTTGTCCTGTCTCCCAACAAGTCAAATCAACCATTTCCTCTTTGTTCCTATACTGTTTAAGTACATTTACTTAAACTTTCTGCTCTACTAAACTAGCCTCTTTGAGAGAAATGACCGTGAAATTTAGTGGAAATATTGGCATATATAGACTCAGGTAGCTAAGTGTGAAAAGTAGGACTAATTTTGAATATAAGTATTTTCTTTTTTGTTTGTTTGTTTGTTTTTTGAGATGGAGTCTTGCTCTGTCGCCAGGCTGGAGTGCAGTGGCGCGATCTTGGCTCACTGCAACTTCCGCCTCCTGGGTTCAAGCGATTCTCCTGCCTCAGCCTCCTGAGTAGCTGGGACTACAGGTACGCGTCACCACACCTGGCTAATTTTTTTTCTTTTCTTTTAGTAGAGATGGGGTTTCACCATGTTGGCCAGGATGGTCTCCATCTCCTGGCCTTGTGATTCTCCTGCTTAGGCCTCCCAAACTGCTGGGATTACAGGCATGAGTCACTGTGCCCGGCCTTTTTTTTATTATTATTTTTTTGAGACGGAGTCTCACTCTGTCACCCAGGCTGGAGTACAGTGGTGCGATCTCAGCTCACTGCAGCCTCTGCCTCCCGGGTTCAAGCGATTCTCCTGCCTCAGCCTCCTGAGTAGCTGGGACTACAGGCACACGCCACCATGCCTGGCTAATTTTTTTTTTTTTTTTTTTTTTTTTCAGTAGAGACGAGGTTTTGCTATGTTGGCCAGGCTGGTCTCGAACTCCGATCTCAGGTGATCCACCCGCCTTGGTCTCCCAAAGTGTTGGGATTACAGGCATCAGCCACTGCGCCCAGCGTTTTTGTTTTTGTTTTTGTTTTTTGAGGCAGAGTTTCACTGTCGCCCAGGCTAGAGCGCCGTGGCGCAATCTTGGCTCACTGCAACCTTTGGCTCCCAGGTTGAAGCGATTCTTGTGCCTCAGCCTCCCGAGTAGCTGGGATTACAGGTATGCACACCACACCCGGCTACTTTTTGTAATTTTTTAGTAGAGACAGGGTTTTGCCATGTTGGCCAAGCTTGTCTTGAACTCCTGGCCTCAAGCGATCTGCCCACCTCGGCTTCCCAAAGTGCTGGGATTACAGGTGTAGCCTGAATGTAAGTATTTTCTTAAATATGGTCCTGAGTCCAGGTGTGGTGGCTCATACCTGTAACCCCAACACTTCGGGAGGATCACTTGAGGACAGGAGTTAAAGGTTGCAGTGAGCTATGATCACACCCCAGCACTCCAGCCTGGGCAAAATGAAACTCCATCCCTTTTTTTTTTTTTAAGATGGAGTCTCGCTCCGTCACCCAGGCTGGAGTGCAGTGGCGCCATCTCAGCTCACTGCAACCTCCACCTCCCGCATTCAAGCAATTCCCTGCCTCAGCCTCCTGAGTCGCTGGGATTACAGGTGTCTGCCATCATGCCTGGCTAATTTTTTTTGTATTTTTAGTAGAGATGGGGTTTCACCGTCTTGGCCAGGCTGGTCTTGAACTCCTGACCTCGTGAACCATCCGCTTCAACCTCCCAAAGTGCTAGGATTACAGGCGTGAGCCACTGCGCCCTGCCTCTTTTTTTTTTTTTTTTTTTTTTTTTTTGTGAGACACAGTCTTTCTCTTTCACCCAGGCTAGAGTACAGTGGTGCAATCACAGCTCACTGCCCCCTTGACCTCCCAGGCTCAAGCGATCCTCCTACCTCAGACTCCGAGTAGCTGGGACTACAGGTGCATGCCACCATGCATGACTAATTTTTGATTTTTTTATAGAGATGGGGTCTTGCCATATCACCCAGGCTGGTTTCTTGGATGCAGGTGATCCTCCTGCCCCGACTTCCCAAAGTGAGACTCCATCCGTAAAAGAAAAAGTATTGGCCACTCGTGGTGGCTCACGCCTGTAATCCCAACACTTTGGGAGGCCGAGGCGGGCGGATCACGAGGTCAGGAGATCAAGATCATCCTGGCCAACATGGTGAAACCCTGCGTCTACTAACAATCCAAAAATTAGCTGGGTGTGATGGCACGTGGCTGTAATCCCAGCTACTTGGGAGGCTGAGGCACAAGAATCACTTGAACCCAGGAGTTGGAGGTTGCAGTGAGCCGAGATTGCACCACTGCACTCCAGCCTGGCAAACAAACAAACAAATAAATAAATAAATGTCTACTGAATAGATGACTTAAATCCAAGACCATAGTACATGTTAAGGTAGCTAGTCCGTACCTGGTTTTGATTTATATTCCCAGTAGAAGTCTATTAATAGACTCCTATTAATAAATCTTTATTTTCAAACTTAATACCTCTTGATCTATTTAAAACACTTACATAAAGATACCCATGGAGTAAAGCTTAATGTAGGTTGTTTACACTCTTATCCCTGCTCCTGGAGTCAGTTCATAAGCAGAGTGGTTAAAAACAACATCTACTGCCGGGCGTGGTGGCTCACGCCTGTAATTCCAGCATTTTGGGAGGCTGAGGCGGGTGGATCACGAGGTCAGGAGATGGAGACCATCCTGGCTAACACCGTGAAACCCCATCTCTACTAAAAATACAAAAAATTAGCCGGGCATGGTGGCGGGCGCCTGTAGCCAGCTACTCAGGAGGCTGAGGCAGGAGAATGGCGTGAACACAGGAGGCAGAGCTTGCGGTGAGCCGAGATCGTGCCACTGCAGTCCGGCCTGGGCGAAAGAGCAAGACTCCATCTCAAAAAAAACAAAACATCATCTACTAATATTATTTGCCAAGAATATACCCATAGTCTCCAAACTTTATATTTGACTCTTTTCTGTAAACATCTATACATGTTTTCTGAAAATTACATATATAAGAACAGTTTTTGGCCTAGCGCAGTGGCTCAGGCCTGTAATCCCAGCATTTTGGGATGCTGAGGCAGGAGGATTGCTTGAGCCCAGAAGTTAAGAGACCAGCCTGGGCAACATTGTGAGACCTCATCTCTACCAAAAATAAGAAAATTAGGCCAGGTGCGTTGGCTCACACCTGTAATCCCAGCACTTTGGGAGGCCTAGGCGGGTGGACCACTTGAGGTCAGGAGTTCAATACCAGCCTGGCCAACATGGTGAAACCCCGTCTCTACTAAAAATGCAAAAATTAGCTGGACATGGTGATACGTGCCTATAAATCCCAGCTACTCAGGAGGCTAAGGTGGGGAGAATTGCTTGAACATGGGAGACAGAGATTGCAATGAGCCAAGACCGTGCGGCTATACTGCTGCCTAGGTGACAGAGTGAGACTCCGTCTCAAGAAAAGAAAAAAGGCCGGGTGCAGTGGCTCATGCCTGTAATCTCAACACTTTAGGAGGCCAAGGCAGTTGGATCATGAGGTCAGGAGATGAGACCATCCTGGGTAACACGGTGAAAACCTGTCTCTATTAAAAATATAAAAAATTAGCAGGATGTGGTGGCACGCGCCTGTGGTCCCAGCTACTTGGGAGGCTGAAGCAGGAGAATCGCTTGAATCTGGGAGGTGGAGGTTGCAGTGAGCTGAGATCAGGCCACTGCACTCCAGCCTGGGTGACAGAGCAAGACTCCGTCTCAAAAAAAAGAAAGAAACAAAGAAAAGTAGCAAATTGCGGTGCTCACCTGTAGTCCCAGCTACTCGGGAGGCCAAGGCAGGAGGATTGCTTCAGCCTGAGAGTTCAAGGTTATAGTGAGAAAGAAAGAAAAAGAAAGAAAGAAAGGAAAGAAGGAAGGGAAGGAGAAGAAAGAGAAGGAGGGAAAGGGGAAGAAAAGAAAGAGAAAGAAAGGAGGGAAGGGAGAAGGAAGGAAGGGAGGGAAGGAAGGAAGGGGAAAGAAAAAAATGTTTTCAGAGTTAAACTAAAAAGAGACAATTTTGTGCCTAATTTAAAGGGGAGCAATAAAATGAATTAATGCAATCTGAAGCTTTTGAGAGAAATTCCAGTGAAGAACGGCATCTTCCTTATATTTAGCCTTAAAACGGTTTTTGGATTGTAATATTTTTGTTGATATATATTTAGTACTTTTTTTTTTTTTTTTTGAGACAGGGTCCCACTCTGTTACCCAGGCTGGAATGGAGTAGCACCATCTCAGCTCACTGCAACCTCCACTCCCTGGGGTCAAGCGATCCTCCCACCTCAGCCTCCCAGGTAGCTGGGACTACAGGAGCGCACTAGCAAGCCTGGACAATTTTTGTATTTTTTGTAGAGACGGGGTTCCACCATGTTGCCCAGGCTGGTTTCAAACTCCTGGACTCAAGCCATCTGGTGGTCTTGGCCTCCCAAAGTGCTGGGATTACAGGTGTGAACCACCGCACCCGGCCTATATTTGGTACTCTATTGCAATCTATGAAATCATTTTGGTTTAATATTAAATACAATACTAAATTGAATTAGCTCACTTTTATGCTGGTTTTAGTAAAGTTCTTGTTGCTTTTGGCCTTTTACAGAGGTATCTCCTAATTGCCTGCTTTTAATGGCTATTCTAGGTATCAAAAATTCAGATTATATTAATAACTTTCTAAATAATGGTGTATAAAGTTAATTTCAGTTTTTTAGTACTTTATTCTTCAATTCTGGGTCTTCGTTACACAGCCTTAAAGGCCAGAAATTCATGTTTTCATTCTGGCAAATAGAGAACTGCAAAGGCTTTAACCCAGATTTTGGCATATTTCCACTCAATAAGCAACCCTTGCATATTGTGCTAAACATGGAAAGTAGATCTAGTTTTGAACATAAACTGTATTTTTAACAGATTTGCTGCAACCTGTTCCCTTGTCTCCAAGGTGCATAATTCCTATAAAATATGCAAATGACCAATATTCAGATCGTAAATAATTTGACCAGTAAAAGCAGCAATGCTTGGGTAGCTCAAGGAGATAGTCTCTCTGTTCTAAAGTACGACAAATCTGAGCTTTGTTGAATTAGTGGGGGAAGGGAATTCCAAAGATTCCAGTCATTTTACATTTTGTAGAGATAACGTGGCATAAGTGCTGTTATCATGACTTAATGTACTAGTATTTGTAACTTTAGAACTCTTGCCAATACTTCAAAAAGAACATATTTTTAACTTCTACAGATTTATACCCAAACAGCCAATATGAAGTAAACAAGAAAACAATGTATATTTCTCCTTAAAATATGTTTTTCTGAAAATCAAGGACCAAGGAAATGTTTTTCTGATCACAAAATTCTACAGTAGGATTAGCAGTTTAATGAAAATTCAAATGTACAAACTTTCTGCACATTTGCTTCTAAATTTTAGCTTTGTCTATATACAACCTAGAATATTTCTTTTTCTTTTTCTTTTTGAGACAGAGTCTCACTCTGTCACCCAGGCTGGAGTGTGCAGTGGAGCAGTCATGGCTCACTGCAGCCTTGACCTTCCAGGCTCAAGCAGTCCTCCCACCTCAGCTTCCCGAGTAGCTGGGACCACAGGCGCATGCCACCACGCCCAGCTAAGTTTTGTATTTCTCAGTAGAGATGGGGTTTCGCCATGTTGCCCAGACCGAACTACTGGGCTCAAGCGATCCTCCTGCCTCGGCTTCCCAAAGTGCTGGGATTAACAGGCATAAGCCACCATGCCTAGCCTAGAATGTTTACAATATCTTCCAAAACAATGTGAAAATTGTTAAAGTGATTTAAATAATTTTCTGTATTAGGCTAAGTATTTACCTTTCTCATTGTATTTGAAGGAAGTACACAGTAACATTTTGCATGCAGTTTCTATGCTAAAATTTTTAAATACCAGGATAATACATAGGTATTATAGTTTGGAAGATATAGAGATTAGCTGATGTTAACGTTAGGAAAGAAGGGTTTTTTTGGTTTGGTTGGTTGGTTTTTGTTTGTTTGTTTGTTTGTTTGTTGAGATGTAGTCTTGCTCTGTTGCCCAGGCTGGAGTGCAGTGGCATGATCTAGGCTCACTGCAACCTCTGCCTCCCGAGTTCAAGCGATTCTCCTGCCTCAGTCTCCCAAGTAGCTGGGACTACAGGCATGTGCCACCATGCCCGACTGATTTTTGTATTTTTAGTAGAGATGGGGTTTTACTCTGTTGGCCAGGGTGGTCTCAAACTCCTGACCTCGTGATCCGCCCGCCTCGGCCTCCCAAAGTGCTGGGATTACAGTCGTAAGCCACTGTGCCCAGCCTAGGAAAAAAGTTTTTTAAAATTAAGACTCTATATGTACACATTTCACTGTTTCAGAAAAGTGAAATGCAGTTTATAAGGAATTTTCTGTTGCCATTCAGAATAACAAAATATTCTTAGATCTTTTCAACCTAAAATGAGTAGTCCATTTTAATAATTATTCTACCTACCAATATCACTTTCCATGTAATAGAAATAAATTGAAATTCATAGGTAGAAGCTTTACGTTTAGACTTTATTTTCATTTGAATTGACTTGAATGTAAGGCCAGAGATTTTTGCAAGTTGGATTCTTTGACTAAGGATTCAAAATATTGATAGCTTTTAGCAGTTTGAGTGGCAGTAGGGATTGGAAATGTCATCTAACTCTTTTGCCATTCCACCAGAAGAGGGCAGCAAAGCAAACCAAGAGGAAATTTATGGGTCAAAAAATTTAGAAAAGTCACTCGAAATTCAGAGAGCTTAGTACAAAAGCTTGTTTGGGTGGCTTCAGTGTTTGGGAGTGTATATGAAGTCCCTACTGCCAGAGGCCCCATAGACCATTTTGCAAGAGGCTTGAGCAAATCTTAAAGCTTAAATATATGTTCCTGCAGACTGAGGCCTGTCAAATAAAAATCATTGACCTTGTTGAATGCTTTCCGTGTGCTAGACACTGCTAATCTCTGTATACATATTTATTCAAACTTCACAAAAACCTCATGAGGTAGACTGTCTTATGAATGAATCTGAAAAATACAGACTTTAGATAATGTTTATAAAGTCACACAAAGTAGTACAAAGCCACAATTTAAATCTAGCTCCTATTCTAAAATCCTCACTCTTAACTACTGACCCTATTATATGCTTCTACATTTCAGAGAAGATAGGAATACAGGCTTTAATGGATAAGAAACATATGTGCTAGTTAACTCAGTTGAAAAAGGGGCTAGTTAAGTCAAGGGTCACTGATAAGCTTTATTTTATTTTATGATTTATTTATTTATTTGAAACAGTCTTGCTCTGGCGCCCATGCTGGAGTGCAGCGGCATGATCTGTGGTCACTGTAACCTCTGCCTCCCAGGTTCAAGTGATTCTCCTGTCTCAGCCTCCCAAGTAGCTGGGAGTACAGACGCCTGACACCATACCCGGCTAATTTTTGTATTTTTAGTAGAGACAGGGTTTCACCATGTTGGCCAGGCTGGTCTCCAACTCCTCACCTCAAGTGATATACCCGCTTCATCCTCCCAAAATGCTGGGATTACAGGCGTGAGTCCAAGACACACACACACACACACGCACACACACGTGTGTATGTATGTATGTGTGTGTGTGTATATATATATATATATTGTGTGTAATTTTTTTTTTTGAGACGAGACTTTATGGCCAGGCTGGAGTGCAGTGGTGCAATCTCGGCTCACTGCAACCTCCCCCTCCCGGGTTCAAGCGATTCTCCTGCCTCAGCCTCCTGCGTAGCTGGGACTACAGTCACACACCACCGTGCCCAGCTAATTTTTTTTTTTGTATTTTTAGTAGAGACGGAGTTTCACCATGTTAGCCAGGATGGTCTCGATATCTTAACCTCGTGATCCGCCTGCCTCGGCCTCCCAAAGTCCTGGGATTACAGGTGTGAGCCACCACGCCCAGTCCCCAAGACATATGTTTTAAAGCCTATGAGTTCGCCAGGCATGGTGGCTCACACCTGTAATCCCAGCATTTTGGCAGGCCGAGGCGGGTGGATCACCTGAAGTCAGGAGTTAAAGACCAGCCTGGCTAACATGGTGAAATTCCATCTCTACTAAAAATACAAATATTAGCTGGGTGTGGTGGCAGTCCCCTGTAATCCCAGCTACTTGGGAGGCTGAGGCAAAAGAATCGCTTGAACCCGGGATGCGGAGGTTGCAGTGAGACGAGATCGCGGCATTGCACTTCAGCCTGGGCAAGAGAGCAAGACTATGTCTCAAAAAAAAAAAAAAAACAAACTTCTTGAAGCTGGGCGCAGTGGCATGTGCCTATCGTCCCAGCTACTCAGGAGGCTGAAGTGGGAGGATTATTTGCGCCCAGAAATTTGAGGCCACAGTGTGGTATATCATCTGTCAATAGCCACTGCACTACAAACTGGGCATCCTAGCAAGAACCTGTATCTCCAAAAAAAAAAAACTTGAAAAGTGATTAAGACTATCCACGTGTTTTTTCTTACTGTTTCTGTCTACTTCCTAATCTGCAGATCTGCAAATGGAATAAATGCAAATGGGATAAATGCAAAATGGAATAAATGTCTGGCAGAAGTCAGAATCTGGAATTTTTACCAATTTTGTCCAATTTAATTTTACAGTCAACTTGATCAGCTACTGAGGTGTGTTGGAAGTCATAGCCACAATATTTTGCAGCTCCTCCCATCAAGGTAGTGTTTGTTTTCCCAGCCCTAGTATTTGAGCTGGCCTTGTGCCTTGCTTTAACCAATAAAATGAGCAGATGTGTTTCTGGGCTGGTTCTGAGACCTTAAGAGACCTTCTGCTTCAGTCTCTTGGGGTCCTGCTGGCATGTAAAGAAGCTCAGGCTAAGCCATGGACGGATGAGAGACCACGTGGGGAGATTCCCAACAAGTCCCAACCCACATCACATGGAAGAAAGTCATACAGCAGCGCCCTCATGCAGAATGGTGAGAAATCATTAAGTGTTCTTTTAAAGTTATGTTTTATAGTAGGTTTCTAATTTATTATTTTTTCAGATGTAGAGATGGGGCCTTGCTATGTTGCCCAGGTCGGTCTTGAACTCCTGGCCTCAAGCAATGTTCCCATTTCACCCCCTCATCGTGCTAGGATTACAGGCACGAGCCACTGCACCTGGCCTACGGTAGTTTATTATGCAGCAATGTATGACACAAACAATTACAATAATGGAGAACAGAACATAAGTTAAATCTACAAATATTTCATGTAGATTCTACTTTTTTCCTATCCACTATCACTTTTCCACTGTTTGTAGGTGTATAAAATCACCTTGTGTGTCCCTTCTCTTTTCCTTTCCACAGCACGGTACTGGTAATGAACAGCAAAAATGTCAAAAGGCTGTAGCTAAATGCCAAAGAATTTCCAAAGTCTTAAGCCTTAAATAATCAGAAATGTGCCTGCATGTTTGATAAAACTCTCTAAGAAGCTCTTAAGTCTGGGAAAGCATTTACCCAGACTGTAAAATAGAAAGGCATTCTAATAGTCCTTTTAGCAATTATGTTTTTTAAGGCTAGAATGATATATACACATAATGATTTTTATTGTGAAAGTCTTAAGCCCATGATTGGGAGTTAGCACAAGTCTAAAAATCCTTCTTTTTTTTTTTTTTTTGAGACAGGGTCTCACTCTGTCACCCAGGCTGGCATGCAGTGGCCCAGTCTCGGCTCACTGCAACTTCCACTTCCTGGGTTCAAGTGATTCTCCTGCCTCAGCCTCCCGAGTAGCTGGGATTACAGGCACGTGCCACCATGCCTGGCTCATTTTTTTGTTTTTTTTTTTTGTAGAGACAGGATTTCACCATCTTGGCCAGGCTGGTCTCAAACTCCTGACCTCAAATAATCCACCCACCTCGGTATCCCAAAGTGCTGGGATTAGAGGTGTGAGCCACCGTGCCCAGCCTCCTTTTTATTTAAATGTCTCAAAACAATTATTTGAGAATTTCTAATAGGCAATGCTGTATCCACTGCCTACAACTTACTTATGTAGCAAGCGTCCATATGGTGCTCACTGTGTCCACATACTGTTTTAAGTAAATCATTTAACTAACCATATAGGCACTATCTTCAATCTCCATTTATAGATTTGGACATCAAGTTAAAGAGAGAAGTTAAGTAACTTGTCCTAGGTTACAATGCAGGGAAGATTTGTTCCCTCTATACTAGATGAAGGATGTGGGAGAGGAGGCGGGACTGGAGTTAGGTGATATTATATATTGAAGTAACAGCTCTGTTTAAGTAATTCTTCCCAGGAAATTAACCATGAGAGCATAAAGGCCTTAGCATTTGACATCTATTATGTAGCTCCAAGCTTTCTACCTTATCTGTCACTCCCACCGCTCCTCCACCCTAACCTTCAACCAGAAATTTAGCCCCCAAATATACCTTGGAATTTTCCAACTCTGTGCTTTGCTCCTTTGGCCCCACCCTGACCACTTTCTCCAAAAGCAAAAGTAGAGTGACATACCTTTCAAAGTCCACCAAGTTTACTTTGTTTATAAAGCCTTCCTACTTCTCCATGTACCACTCCCTTGACCTCTGGCAGAATCAGCTGCTTTCTCCATCAGGCTTCCTTAGCTCTTGTATTCTGTGCAGTTTTTCCACATCATTTAAAATTAGCTGTTTATAAAATATGTCTTCCACATTTGCTTGCAAGCTCCTTGAGGGCCTAACCTGATTTTCTGCTTACAGGTGGACCCAGATGCACATAACTTGCAAAGAAATTGTCTGAAAGGAGGTGGCCGTCAGTCAGAGTGAAGAAGGTACCCTTTTCAGACTGTTACATGAATTTTAAATTCCAACACTTTGGGCAGCTGAGGTGGGAGGATCACTTGAACCCAGAAGTTCAAGACCAGCCTGGGCAACATAGCGAGACTCCATCTCTGAAAAAGAAAAAAAAATTAGTGGGACATGGTGGCGTGCACCTGTAGTCCCAGCTAGTCAGGAGGCTGAGGCAAAATAATCACTTGAGCCCAGGAGGTCAAGACCGCAGGGCGTCATGATTGTGCAATGCAGTCCAGCCTGAGCAACAGAATGAGACCCTGTCTGAAAACAAACCAACCAACCACTTCTAGAAGCACTTGCATATAGTGAAGAATTCATAATTGAGTGGCAGAGAGACAGATTATGAGGCATCCTTCCTGATGGAGTGTTTTATAGGAAAGGTAATGTGGCTCTGGAACTAGCGGCTGTAGGGGCTGGCTTCCGGATCCTGGCATCAACAGCATGTTTTGATAGCCCAGGTCTATAAAGTGGATTTGTGAGTCACTCCTGAAGCTCAGCCTGTACACTGTTTCTTTTTTCTTTTTTTTTTTTTTTGAGATGGAGTCTCTCTCTGCCGCCCAGGCAGGAGTATAGTGGCACGATCTTGGCTCACTGCAACCTCCGCCTCCCGGGTTCAAGCAATTCTCCTGCCTCAGCCTCCTGGGTAGCTGGGACTACAGGCGAGGGCCACCACACCCAGCTAATTTTTGTATTTTTAGTAGAGACAGGGTTTCACCATATTGGCCAGGCTGGTCTCAAACTCCTGACCTTGTGATCTGCCCACCTCGGCCTCCCAAAGTGCTTATACGCTGTTTCTTTAATCTGACAAATTTTATGATATACCATGTAATAAGTCCCTTTTGGCTTAAACCAGCTAAGGGTAGATTTTACCTCTGCGTTGAACCCAGACCAATGCATCTCCTCTAAGAAAAATTATTGTCAATAATTCTCAAACAATCGCCTCTCTAATTTAAAAAGCAAAGTAAATTCAGTTAACTTGTTAACAATTTCCTGAGTTCATAAAACACATATTCCAGGAAGATAAGCCTTTTTTCAAACAAAGAATTCATAGAGCTATTTCACATTTACATTGTCTAAACTTTCTAAAAATAAGTGTTTTTCAGACATTTAAAAATTAATCCAGGCAGGGTGTAGGGGCTTGTGCCTGTAATCCCAGCACTTTGGGAGTCTGGGGCAAGAGGATTGCTTGAGCCCAGGAGTTCAAGACCAGCATTGGCAAGATAGTGAGACCCTGTCTCTACGAAAACATTTTTAAGGCTTGGTGCAGTGGCTTATGCCTGGATTCCCAACACTCTGGGAGGCTGATGCAGGTGAATCACTTGAGGTCAGGAGTTCAAGGGCAGCCTGGCCAACATGGCAAAACCCCATCTTTACAGAAAATAAAAAAGTTAGCCAGGCGTGGTGGCGCACATCTGTAATCCCAGCTACTAGGAGGCTGAGGCAGGAGGTAGAGGTTGCAGTGAGCCAAGATCACACCACTGCACTCCACTCCAGCCTGGGCAACAGAACGAGACTCCATCTCAAAAAAAAAAAATGTTTTTTAATTAGCTGGGTTAATTTTTTAATTAGTCTCTAGTCCCAGCTACTCAGAAGGCTGAGATGGGAGGATCTCTTGAGCTTGGAAGCTCAAGGCTGCAGTGAGCCATGATCATGCCACTGCATTCCAGCCTGGGTGACAGAGTAAGACCTTGTCTCAAAAATAAAAATAAAAATTAATCCATGTTTATTAAGACAATTTTTAAGATGATTTTTGAAAGGTAATTTACGTTATCTCAGCAAAATTTTCAATAATGTGAACTACAAGGCATAAATCTTTAGCAAAAAGATTTTTATTCAATATTTTATTATCAAACATTCAAACAGAAAAGTTGAAAGAATTATACAGTGGGCCATATCATATAATATACTCATCATCTAGATTCTACAATTAACAGTTATTTTTATCACATGTCTAATGATCTATGCATCACTCTATTCATCCATTAATTCATTTTTGTTTATATATTTCAAAGTGATTTGCAAACATGAGTACACTTCACACCTGAACAC
Organism: Homo sapiens; assembly: GCF_000001405.40. Classification (NCBI taxonomy): domain Eukaryota; kingdom Metazoa; phylum Chordata; class Mammalia; order Primates; family Hominidae; genus Homo; species Homo sapiens. The sequence goes on from NC_000007.14 coordinate 77,657,898, forward strand.
TTTAGCACAGCAAAAGGATTTTTTTCAGGTATAGTATTTGTCCACTGGAGGGCCTCCAAATGCCATAAAATGCATTAAAAGTAAGTTCATCTGTAGTCCCCAAGAACTGGAGAAGGTCCAGGGAAGGAGATGCATGGAGTGTAAATTGCATCAATTAGGGCAAGAGACTCAATCTGAAATCCAGAAAGAAGATTTCAACATTTTTTATCTTTACCCTCAGAATTTCTCTTCCTCTTTTTACAGCTACTTTCATTGTAAAGGAGAAAATATATCACAGGCCTCTCTCCCCAACAAATGATTTGAGCTCTTGAAGGTAGCAATTCTTTAGACCAGAAACTCAGGAAACTTGAAGTCAAGATGTTGTTATATTTGTGGAAATGAGTTGATGACATAAATTAAATGTTTGTTAGTTTGTTGATTGTTAACTCTCCACGAGGACAGGGATTTAGTTATCACTTGTCCCCAGAATGTAGACAGACACTCGTTGGAACATACTAGTGCTCAATAAATATTTACTGAAGAAATGAATGAATCCAAGTGCTTTATTCCAAGTATAATCTTCACACATTTAATGTCATTACTGATGAAAGTTAAGACAATTAGCCTACTTTTTAGTGTAATAGAAATAGAGCTCAACATAGCTATGTAATATAATGTATACCATTAAATTCCAAAAAGGAAAACAATCTAAAATGTAACTCATTTTTCCAAAAACGTGAAGAAATCTCGAGGATTCCACTGGGAAATTACCTTTAAAAAAAAACAAAAACAAAAACAAAAAGGGCTGTGCACAGTGGCTCATGCCTGTAGTCCCAACACTTCGGGGTGCCGGGACAGGAGGATTGCTTGAGCCCAGGAATTCAAGACCAGTTTGGGCAACCCAGGGAGACCCTGTCTCTACGAAAAATAAAAATTGAAAAATTAGCCAGGCTTAGTGGTGCATGCCTGTGGTCTCAGCTACTTGGAAGGCTGAGGTGACAGGATCACCTGAGCCAGGGAGGTCAAGGCTACAAGTGAATGATGATAATGCCACTGCACTCCAGCCTGAGTAACAGAGCAAGACTTTGTCTCAAAAAAACCCCATAAAATATGGATATAGATTGATTATTGTAGATCTGGAGCTGCAACTACAGAAATGACCATTTTTTGCTATGTGCAGCAGAAGAGTCAGCTTAAGCCTTCCCAGCTTCCGGGGCTCAGCTGGCGCTGCTGGGGCAGGTGCTGCAGAGACTTGTGTTGCTGGGTGGAAGTCGCGCTGCCTTCTGGAGAGGGCCACAGAGAAACTTTCCAGAATGGGCTTCCCAGAAGCAAATGTGAAGTTTTGAAATGGGGCTGAACTTCTGTGAATCCATGGGAACAAGAGCCAGTGGAATTTGAATCGTTCATGTTACTCTCCTTTTGTACCCACAGACTGGTGATACCTGAGGAAATTCAAGTACATTGCAATTTTTTAATTAACTTTTTTTTTTTTTTTTTGAGACGGACTCTTGCTCTGTCGCCTGGGCTAGATGGCGCGATCTCAGCTCACTGCAACCTCCGCCTCCTGGGTTCAAGCGATTCTCCTGCCTCAGCCTCCAGAGTAGCTGGGATTACAGGCGCCCCCCACCACGCCCGTCTAATTTTTTGTATTTTTAGTAGAGACGGGGTTTCTCCATGTTGGTCAGGCTGGTCTCGAGCTCCTGACCGCAGGTGATCCGCCCACCTCAGCCTCCCAAAGTGCTGATATTACAGGTGTGAGACACAGCACCGGGCCTTTTTTTTTTTTTTTTTTTGACAGCGTCTAGCTCTGTCACTCAGACTGGAGTGCAGTGGGACATCATGACTCATTGCAGCCTCTAACTCCTGGCCTCAAGTGATCCTCCCACCTCAGGTTCCCAAGTAGCTGGGACTATAGGTGCACACCACTGTGCCCAGCTAATATTTTTTTATTTATTTTTTTAAGAAATGGGGTCTTGCTTTGTTGCCCAGGCTGTTCTCAAACTCCTAGGCTCATGCAATCCTCCCACCACAGCCTCCCAAATACTGGGATTACAGGCATGAGCCACTGCATGCAGCCTTTAAATTAGCTTTTTTTTTTTTTTTTTTTTTTTTTTGAGATGGAGTCTCGCTCTGTCACCCAGGCTGGAGTGCAGTGGCGCGACCTCGGCTCACTGCAAGCTCTGCCTCCTGGGTTCATGCCATTCTCCTGCCTCAGCCTCCCGAGTAGCTGGGACTACAGGCGCCCGCCACCGTGCCCGGCTAATTTTTTGTATTTTTGGTAGAGACGGGGTTTCACGGTGTTAGCCAGGATGGTCTCGATCTCCTGACCTTGTGATCTGCGTGTCTCGGCCTCCCAAAGTGCTGGGATTACAGGCGTGAGCCACCGCACCCGGCCCAAATTAGCTTTTTAAGGTAATCATTTTCTTTAATACTTCTTTGGCCTAGAAGAGCATCTCCATATTCAGCACAAATTCAGGAAACTAACATATATCTCAAACAGCAGTCAGGGGCTGGGCTCACATCTGTAATCCCAGCACTTTGGGAGGCTGAGGTGGTGGATCACCTGAGGTCAGGACTTTGAGACCAGCCTGGCCAACATGGTGAAACCCTGTCTCTACTGAAAATACAAAAATTAGCTGGGTGTGGTGGCGGGCACCTGTAATCCCATCTACTCCGGAGGCTGAGGCAGGAGAATCACTTGAACCCGGGAGGCATAGGTTGCAGTGAGCCGAGATTGCACCAGTGCACTCCAGCCTGGGCAACAGAGTGAGACTCTGAAAAAAAAAAAAAAAAAAAAAGGGCAGGGAGCAGTGGCTCACATCTATAATCCCAGCACTTTGGGAGGGCAAAGCAGGCAGATCGTGTGAGCTCAGGAGTTCGAAACCAGCCTGGCCAACGTGGTGAAACTCTGTCTCTGCTAAAAATACAAAAATTAGCTGGACGTGGTCGCGCGCACCTATAATCCCAGCTACTTGGAAGGCTGAGGCACGAGAATCACTTGAACCCGGGAGGCAGAGGTTGCAGTGAGCTGATATCGTGCCATTGCACTCCAGCTTGGGAGACAGAGCAAAACTCTGTCTCGAACAACAACAACAACCAAAAAAGAAACAAAAATTAGCCGGGCGTGGTGGCGGGCGCCTATAGTCCCTGCTACTTGGGAGGCTAAGGAAGTAGAATCACTTGAATGAATCTGGGAGGCAGAGGTTACTGTGAGCCGAGATCGCGCCGCTGCACTCCAGCCTGGACGACAGAGAGAGACTTCATCTCAAAAAAAAAAAAAAAAAAAAAAGACCCAGTCTCTACAAAAAATTTAAAAATTACCGGATCATGGTGGTGCCTGTGTGTAGTCCCCTACTCAGGAGGCTGAGATGGGAGGATCACTTGAGCCCAGCAGGTCGAGGCTACAGTGAGCAGTGATGGTGCTACTGTACTCCAGCCTGGGTGACAGAGCAAGATCCTAAAATAAAAAACAAACAAACAAAACAAAACAGCTATTAGGAGAATTTTTAAAAATATTTTTGTCAGCCAGGCGTGGTGGCTCATGCCTATAATCCCAGCACTTTGGGAACCAGAGGTGGGCAGTTCATTTGAGGTCAGGGGTTTGAGACCAGCGTCGTCAACATGGTGAAACCCCGTCTGTACTAAAAATTACCAGAAAATTATCTGGGCTTGGTTGTGGGCACCTATATCCCAGCTACTCGACAGGCTGAGGCAGGAGAATCTCTTGAACCCGCAAGGCGGAGGTTGCAGTGAGCTGAGATCTCGACACTGCACTCCAGTCTGGGCAACAAGCAAAACTCCATTTCAAAAAAAAAGAAAGAACGAAATTTTTTGTCTCTACAGCAGAATGAGACAAAAATTATTTTTTGATTGTTCCTGCACAGATAATAACATAAACAGTAATTTTAAATCTATCAGTTTTCCTGTTAGCGATCATAATGGCAGCCTATCTAGGTGGGGAGCTAGGGAGAGGGAGAACAGAGAGACTTTAAAACCATAAAAATCACCTTTTATTTGATACCCCAAATAGGTTCTAGGATAAATTTTATGAGATGGAAGTATGTGAGGAAATAAGGTACATACTATTTCCATGTTGCAAAACTCAGTTTAGTGAAATAAACTACAAGAGGTTAGATGTGTGAAGCAATATCCTGCTACAGTTAGTGCTGCCTTCACACTAAAGAAATGTATGATTTGTAGACACCAGGCCCCGCCAATAATTTTTTTTTTTTTAAGACGGGTTCTCACTCTGTCACCCAGGCTGGAGTGCAATGGGCGTGATCTCGGCTCACTGCAACCTCCGCTTCCCAGGTTCAAGTGGTTCTCCTGCCTCAGCCTCCTGAGTAGCTGGGACTACAGGCGCACACCACTGCGCCCAGCTAATTTTTGGATTTGTAGAGATGGGGTTTCACCATGTTGGCCAGGCTGGTCTCGAACTCCTGACCTCATTATCCGCCCGCCTCGGCCTCCCAAAATGCTGGGATTACAGGAGTGAGGCACCATGCCCAAGAATTTTAAATGGCCCAATGATGACTGTTGTTTAAGTAAACTTAGAGAAAATACCCTTTTTCATCATCAGAGGCTCACTTCCACTGGGTGGAATGTGATAGATTTCAAGCACCAAACAGTGGAAGAAAAATTTATCCAGTTTAATTACAATAAATTCCTTTTTTGGCCCAGTCTTTGACTTTCCTATTTATCTTGGAGTTAAAATGTCCTTTTTGTAAATGATGGGAATGAATAGGTTTTTAACATTTCAAGGTACTCACCTTGGCAAAAACAAAAGTTAAAAAACTCCATGTTAGTCCGGGCGTGGTGGCTCACGCCTATAATCCTAGCACCTGAGGTCAGGAGTTCGAGAACAGCCTGGCCAACATGGTGAAACCCCGTCTCTACTAAAAAATACAAAAATTATCCAGGCATGGTGGCGCACGCCTGTAGTCCCAGGTAGTTGGGCGGCTGAGGCATGAGAATCACTTGAGCCTGGGAAGCAAGCCGAGAGTGCACCACTGTACTTCCACCTGGGTGACAGAGTGAGACTCTGTCAAGAAAGAAAAGAAAGAAAAAGGAAGGAAGGAAGGAAGGAAGGAAGGAACGAAGGAAGGAGACAGAGAGAGGGAAGAAGGAGAGAGAGGAAGGAAGGAGGGAAGGAAGGAGACAGAGAGAGGAAAGAAGGAGAGAGAGGAAGGAAGGAGAGAGAGGAAAGAAGGAGAGAAGAAGGAGGGAGAGAGAAAGAAAGAAGGAAAGAAAGAAAAAGAAAGAAAAGAAAAAGAGAAAGAAAAAGAAAGAAAGAAAAAAGAGGAAGAAAGAAGAAAGTAAGTCCATGTTAGTCTCCAAAATTATTTTGGAAATTTTACTGTAATAAAATTCCAATATCTGGAATGTCTAAAGAGTATCTTCCAGAGTAGAGTTTTATAACGCAAAAGATGAATACATTAAAATCACCAATTATTTTAAAAATTCATTTTTCTTATGCAGGTACCAGACAGGAAACTGAACAAAATTGACTGGTAAAACAGGAATGCCTCTATTTTTAGCCCTTGCAAAGCATCTCAAATTCTCTCAGGGGATGTACTAAAGTTAACCAGTAAAAGGTAGCTTTTTGGTATAAATGTAAGGGATACAAGAGCAGTTTTGTGATGTGAATATATTGTAGTGGTGAAGTCTGGGCTTTTACTCACCCAAATAATGTATATTGTACCCATTAAATAATTTTTCACTCCTCTACCCCTCCCACCCACCCTTCCAAGTCTCCAGTGTCTATTGGTCCACACTCTATGTCCATCTGTACACATTATTTAACTTCCATGTGTAAGTGAGAACATGTGGTATTTGACTTTCTGTTTCTGAGTTGTTTCATTTAAGACAATGGCCTCCAGTTCCACCCATGTTGCTACAAAAGATACGATTTCATTTTTTTATGGCTAAATAGTATTCCATTGTAATATATATGTATATATGGGCCGGGTGTGGTGGCTCACACCTGTAATCCCAACACTTTGGGAGGCTGAGGTGGGTGGATCACCTGAGGTCACTCCAGCCTGACCAACATGGAGAAACCCCATCTCTACTGAAAATACAAAATTAGCCGAGAGTGATGGTGCATGCCTGTAATCCCAGCTACTCGGGAGGCTGAGGCAGGAGATATATATATACCCGCACACCAGGCCAGGTGTGGTGGCTCATGCCTGTGATCCCAGCACTTTAGGAGGCTGAGGCAGGTGGATTGCTGCAGCTCATGATTTCGAGAACAGTCTGGGCAACATGGTGAAACCTCTTTTCTAATTTTTTTTTTTGACATGGAGTCTCACTCTGTCACCCCAGGCTGGAGTGCAGTGGTGCAATCTCGGCTCACTGCAACTTACACCTACTGGGTTCAAGTGATTCTCCTGCTTCAGCCTCCCGAGTAGCTGGGACTACAGGCGCGCACCACCATGCCCAGCTAATTTTTGTATTTTTAGTAGAGACGGGGTTTCCCTAGGTTGGCCAGGGTGGTCTCGAACTCCTGACCTCAGGTGATCTGCTTGCCTCTCGGCCTCCCAAAGTGCTGGGATTACATGTGGTGAGCCACTGTGCCCGGCCTGAAACCTTGTTTCTACAAAAAATACAAAAATTAGCTGGGTGTGTTGGCCCGCGCCTTTAGTCCCAGCCACTAGGAAGGCTGAGGTGGGAGGATGGCTTGAGCCCAGGAGGCAGAGGTTCCAGTGAGCCAAGATCGTGCCACTGCACTCTACCCTGGGTGATAGACCCAGACCTTGTCTCAAAAAAAAAAAAAAGAAAAAAATGTATATAATTATGTATGTATACACACACACACATCACATTTTCTGTATCCCATCATTTGTTGATAGACATCACTTTAGTTGATTCCATATCTTTGCTATTGTGCATAGTACTGTGATAAATAGATGAGTGCAGGTATCATTTTTTTCTTTTTTATATAGTGATTGCTTTTCCTTTGGGTAGATACCCACTAGTGGGATTGCTCAATCAAATGGAAGTTCTATTTTTAGTTCTTTGAGAAATCTCCAAACTGTTTGCCATAGAGGTTTTGCTAATTTACCTTTCCACCAACAGTGTGTAAGTGTTCCCTAAAAACTAGTTTTTGAAGTCAACTGCCTAAGTATACTTCCTAGCTCTACCATCTGCTAGCTACATTATCTTGGTCAAATTACTTGAGCCACTCTGTGCCTCAGTTTCTTCATTGATAGAACAGGGTTAATAACAGCATCAAGATCACAGGGCTGTTGTGAGGGTTAAAGCAGATAATCTATATAGAAGCTGAATACACTGCCTGACACAAAAGCACTAGTTTACTGCTGGCTGTATTAGTTAATGTTTAGGCTAACTTGCTGAAATAACTGTTTTAAATAAGAAATGTTTATTTCTCCCCTGTAACAGTTGTGAAGATAGACATGAGTTCATCCAGGGACCCAGCTGGCCATGTCTCTACTTGCCTCTGCATTTAGATTCCATATCTGAGTAACAGGCAGTTGTCTTCAACCACATGGGGTTGAAGTAGCTCACCAGTACCCTGTCCATATTCCAGCCCTGAGTAAGGCAATGTGTGGAGAGTAGGCAAGTTCATTCTTGAGGTCATTAAAGCAGAAGAATGCTGATCACTTCCACTTATATCTCATTAACCAAAACCTAGTTCAAATGGCCACACTGATTTACAAGGGAAGCTGGGAAATGTCTCCAGCTGGGAAGTCATGTGCCCACCCATCATTTTGAGTGAAGAGGGGATCTATTATTTATTTTTATTTTTATTTTTATTGTTGAGATGGAGTTTCGCTCTTGTCGCCCAGGCTGGAGTGCAGTGGCGCGATCTCGGCTCACTGCAACCTTCGCCTCCTTGGTTCAAGCGATTCCCTGCGCCCAGCCAGGGATCTATTATTAAAAGGGAAAAAGGAGGCCTGCTCTAATGACCTCATTTTACTCTAATTACCTCTCTAAAGATCCTGTGTCCAAATACACTCACATTCTTGGGTATTTAAGGACTTCAATATATGAATTTTTGGGGAGACATAATTGGGCACACAGCATGGGTTAAAGAAAGTGGAAATTGTATCCTTTGACTTTTTTTTCTCCACCTTTCTGTGTAAGAAGGAAAGGATATCTTTTGGAAAAAAGATACGGAGAAGAAAATGCCCAGGAATGTGTAGAAGCAAGGATCCTGCATTGTTCTTCTGGTAAGAAGAAAATGAAGGGGATAAAATGGGTCTCTGGGGTACATTGCCTTTAGCTCCAGAAATGTAAATGGGCTCTTAGGCTCCTTCTGTTACAGGCTTACGTTCCTCATCCTAAAGACAAGAATGCCATTAGGGTTATTAGTAAAAGGATGTTTTCATTTTACATTTATGCCTGAACTTAATAAGTTTCCATTTTAAACCAAGAAATAAACTCAGTCAGCACTTTTATTTATTTTATTTTTATTTTTTGAGACAGAATCTTACTCTGTTGCCCAGGCTGCAGTACAGTGGTGTGATCTCGACTCACTGCAACCTCCTCCTCCCGAGTTCAAGTGATTCTCCTGCCTCAGCCTCCCAAGTAACTGGGATTACAGGCATGCACCACCAAGCCCGGCTAATTTTGTTTTTTTAGTAGAGACAGGGTTTCTCCATGTTGGTCAGTCTATTCTTGAACTCCCGACCTCAGGTGATCTGCTCGCCTTGGCCTCCCAAAGTGCTGGGATTATAGACGTGAGCCACTGCACCAGGCCATATTTCTTCTTTTTATTTTTATTTTTTTGAGACAGACTCTCACTTTATCGCCAGGCTGGAGTACAGTGGCTCGATCTCAGCTCACTGCAATCTCTGACTCCCTGGTTCAAGCGATTCTCCTTCCTAGGCCTCCTGAGTAGCTGGGATTACAGGCACGTGCCACCATGCCTGGCTAATTTTTGTGTTTTTAGTAGAGATGGCGTTTCACCACGTTGACCAGGATGGTCTTGATCTCCTGACCTCGTGATCCACCCACCTCGGCCTCCCAAAGTGCTGGGATTACAGCTGTGAGCCACCGTGCCCAGCCATTTTTTGGTATTTCTAGTAGAGACACGGTTTCACCAGGTTGGCCAGGCTGGTCTTGAACTCCTGACCTCAAGTGATCCACCTGCCTTGGCCTCCCAAAGTGCTGGGATTACAGATGTGAGCCACCACGCCCCGTCAGTCAGTATATATATATATTTTTTTAATCAAGGAAATTAACTGTGAGAATACAAGGATAAACAAACCAAGTAATGAATGTCTTCATCACTTTAGTTTTTGGTCATTAGCCAGCGTTTAATCTTTAATTATAAGTTGAGTTTCTGTTCCATGCAACTGAAAAAGATCTAACACAGGTGGAATAACTGAGGAAGACTTCATGGGAGCCATGGGATATAAAGCGGCAGGACAGAGGCAGAGTGTATGTCAAGGGGGAGGGCCTCCTTAGTTGTGACATAGGCATCATAATGAGCACAGTGAGAAGTCTGCCTTTGGATAATGACAATAATTTACACTGGCAGAGTTGTGTAGCAGGGGTCCCGATTTAAGTCTAAGCTCTGTTCCCTCTAGGACTCAGCCATGGGGGCGTCCATCTGGAACACTGGTGGAGTTAGTCCACCGGAGGATATATTCACATAAGGGACAAAATAGCCTTTTGGGAGTCAGAGCGCGTGCATTTGGTTTAAGGCAATGTGAAAAACCGTAAACAATCTCAGATTTCACCCAACTTACAAGCTAAAAAGTTCGCCTGGCACATGGATGCTGGCAGAAGATATCATAGTCCTGAGCCAGAATGAAGAGTTTCTTACTCACAGCAATAGCCATAGCAATAGCCAGAGTATCAGTTTTGTGGTTTGTTTTTGGCATTAGTTAGCAAAGTCCCAATTTCCATAGGGAGAGGCAAAGAAGGCCAGATGGCATCTGCCCTTGCAGTGGGCTGCTTTACAGAAGGGGAACCTTCAGCTTCAGGAGCCTGAATCTTTTATAGTGGCAATAAACTTGCTTGCCCTTTGCTCTGGAAAACCTTATTCCTATCCTCTAAGACTGTTTGCTCTACAAACATCCCTGAAGAGAGAGTCCTGAAAGAAGGGCAGTCAGTGCTTCACTCACCAGATGTGCAGAAATGCACAGAGATCATGAAGAATGATCTCTGCCTAGGCCAGTGTTTGAGTGAAAGGATAATTCCGAGGGTCTGTCCTGGTAACCTCTCACCCATTCTAGCTCATACAGATTCACACCAGAGTTCTAATTTAAGGGGGTTGTAATTTAAGGGGGCTGTGATAAAAAAGTAAAAACTAAAGGGACTGTTTCATTGAAATCCTGTTCCATCACTGAGAGTGCAAGAAATTAGTATCACTGGTATCATTTATTTTGACAAAGCTAATGAATGTGGCTTTGGTACCAAGAGGAGGCATTACCACATCTATAAGCACATTATCACAGTGGCCTGGACTGAAGAGGAGGAGAGTAGAAGATACCACCTCTTACTTAAAATGATACGTTCATGGATGCTTGTGATATTACAACATTAGCCTGAAGTTTAAGTTTCCAAGAAATAATTTTAAGTCTCTAAGGAATTTAGAATGATAAAGTTCCATCGGTACTTGATGACTTTTGGACTATCCTCAAAAAACCCAATCAAATTTCCATCAACGGTTAGTGATTTCTCAACTATCCCCAAATATCCCCAAATAATACTCTTTAATACAAATAGTATTAAAGGGCAGTTTCTTAATCTTTTTTCCACATTATCACAAAGAATGGATGATGTTTATCTGTATGATGTATTTCCATGGATGTACTCAAATTTGGGGAAAAAAGGAAAAAAAAAAAAACACCCTGCAACAATTTTATTAGTAAATGAAGAAAATAATACTACAAAATCATTTTGTTAAATATTCACTTAAGGCTGGGCATCATGGTGGCTCATGCCTATAAACCCAGCACTTTGGGAGGCCGAGGCAGGGGGATCACTTGAGCCCATGAGTTCGAGACTACCCTGGGCAACATAGTGAGACCCCATCTCTACAAAAATTAAAAATTAAAAAAATTATTCTGGTGTAATGGTAAGTGCTTGTAGTTCCAGCTACTAGGGAGGCTCAGGCGGGAGGATGCTTGAACCTGGGAAGTCTTGGCTGCAGTGAGCTCTGATAATGCCACTGCACTCCAGCCTGGGCAACAGAGTGAGACTGTTTCAAAAAAAGAAAAGCCTTGGGTCCAGTGGCTCACACCTATAATCCCAACTCTATGAGAGGCTAAGGTGGGAGGATCACTTAAGCCCAGGAGTTCAAGATCCGCCTAGGCAACAAGCGAGACACTGCCTCTATAAAACATAAAAAATTAGCTGGGCAGGCGTACACCTGCAGTCCCAGCTACTTGGGAAGCTGAAGTTGGGGGGGAGGATCACTTGAGCCCAGAAAGCTGTGGCTGCAGTGAGCTGTGTTCGCACCAATGCACTTCAACCAGGATGACAGAGTGAGACCCTGTCAAACAAAACAAAAAACAAAAAGAAAAACAAAAGATGTTCACTTAATGTTAAGAATTCAACAATAGTGAAATCAGTTATGTAAGAATTGCCAAAATGTAGCATATCTAATTTTTAAATATCATGATTTCTCCCCCAGCCTTTACTCACAACACCAATAAAACAAGTACACATTATTTGAAAAGGCATAAAATTTATTGTTAAAAACATAAAATTGGTAGATTCCCTCCATGTTATTGATATAAGGAATATTTTCACTTTCCTTTGAGAGTTTTCACTTGGCTATCATAACTGTTAGGACCCTACTAACAATGTTCAGAGACTACTGTTTTTGTGTACTGTAGATGTTGATGCACTCATTCACAATTTTCTCTTCTGTGGGTATGGGTGAAGTTTCCTTTATTTATTGATTTTTTTAGAGATGGGGGTCTTGCTTTGTTGCCCATGCTGGAGTGCAGTGGCATGATCATACCTCACTGCTGTCCCGAACTCCTGGGCTCAAGCAATCCTCCCGCCCCATGGGTGAAGTTTTAAAAAGTGAATTTGAAATACAAAAGTAATTCAAAATGGCCATAAAAGTAGGCTGTGGTTTATGTATAACTCCCTGCATGGAACTCCTTTCTCTCTCAGGAAATTATATTGGAATGCATGTGAGAAAGTGATTTCTAAAATGCCTCATAATGGTCTGTGTGGGTATACATACATATACACAGATAAATAATTCAAAACTTTGGTACCTTATTGTAGATGTTTGTTCCTTGAACATCTTGCATACCAAGATAAATTATTTTGGATCACCTAATATCAAAAAGTGACATACCCAAACCAAACCAAAACAAAAAAACAAAATGTGGATAGGCATGGTAGCTGACGCCTGTAATCCCAGCACTTTTGGAGGCTGAGGTGGGAGAACTCAGGAGTTTAAGACCAGCCTGAGCAACATAGCAAGACCTCGTCTCTGCTAAAGAAAAAATAAAATGGGAGGTGGGGTGCCAGCCACAGTGGCTGATGCCTGTAATTCTGGCACTTTGGGAGGCCAAGGCAGGTGGATCACTTGAGGTCAGGAGTTCAAGACCAGCCTGACCAACATGGTGAAACCCCATCTCTAGTAAAGAAATACAAAATTAGCTGGGCATGGTGGCACACGCCTGTAATCCCAGCTACCTGGGAGGCTGCTTGAACCCAGGAGGCAGAGGTTGCAGTGAGATTGCACCATTGCCCTACAGCCTGGGCAACAAGAGCGAAACCCCGTCTCAAAAAAAAAAAAAAAAAAAAAAAAGAAACAAAAAAGTGACATACCAATGTGTTATTTCACTAATGTTGCAAGTGCTGAGCAAGAGGACATCTGAGCAGATGATGTTGATGAGGTATCCTCTGAATGTGAGATTTCCTAGGGTGAAGGTAAAACAAGCGCTAAGGGGACTTTTACATAGGTTAGGGTACTTACCTGTCTGGAAATACTGCAGTATCTGAGTGAAGAAGTTCAATGAGAAAATAATTGTTAAAGCTAGTCTAAATGCACCTTATGCCAACCATAGTTACCGTGAGAGTTATTGGGAACATCTATTTCTCCGTAACCAGGAGACAATTGGGAACTTGGCTTTTAGCACATTTTACTTTTTTTTTTTTTTTTTTTTTTTGAGACGGAGTCTTGTTCTGTCACCAGGTTGGAGTGCAGTGGCACGATCTTGGCTCACTGCAACCTCCAGCGGCTCACTGCAACTTCCGCCTTCCGGGTTCAAGCAATTCTCCCGCCTCAGCCTCCCAAGTAGTTGGGACTACAGGTTCATGCCACCAAGCCGGGCTTACTTTATTTTTTTTTTAAGTTAATTAATTTTTTTTTTTTTTTTTTTTACTAGAGACGGGGTCTCACCATGTTTTCCAGGCTGGTCTCAAACTCCTAGGCTCAAGTGATCCTCCCGCTTCAGTCTCCCAAGGTGCTGGGATTACAGGTGTGAGCCTGTGTGCCTGGCCACATTTTACTTTTCTTAGAGCATATTTAACACTTGGGTTTATATTTCACTATTTGTGTATCTTTCTCTCCTTCCTAGATTGTAACATCCCGAAGGGCACTGGTTGTGTATTTTTACTCTTAGAATCCCCCACAGTGCCTCACATCCAGTGTCCAGGTTTGTTTAGAATTTGGAACTGGGGAAGAACCAAGGAAGAGGCCCCAAAGATGGACACTAATGCTTTTTTTTTTTTTTTTTTTTTTAAAGAGACATGGTCTCACACTGATGCCCAGGCTGGAATGCAGTGGTGCAATCATAACTCACTGCAGCCTTGAACTCCTGGGCTCAAGCAATCCTCCTCTCTGTCTCCTGAGGAGTGTGCCACTATACCTGCCTTATTTTTTAAACTTATTTTTTGTAGAGACAGGGTTTCACTATGTTGCCCAGGATGATGTTGAACCCTTGGCCTCAAGCAATCCTCCCACCTCCAGCCTCCCAAAGCACTGAGTTGTAGTTGTGAACCACCACACCCAGCTCTCTTCTTCTATAAACTATGCCTGAGATAGCTGCTTTTGGGAGCATTGTTGGTGTTTGCCAGTTTCTAAGCATGATTCTCCAGCCAGCTGAAAATCCTCTGATATAGTTCTGACAAATTCCCCTTTGCTTACATTAGCTGAAATTGGTTTCCCTTGCTTACAACCAAAGAACTGTGATAGCAGAAAACAAAGGCAGTTGGCCCGGCGCCGTGGCTCACACCTGTAATCCCACCACTCTGGGAGACTGAGGCAGGTGGATCACCTGAGGTCGGGAGTTTGATCTCCCAGCCTGGCCAACATGGTGAAACCCTGTCTCTACTAAAAATACATAGTTAGCTGTGCATGGTGGCACGCGCCGGTAGTCCCAGATACTCTGGAGGCTGAGGCAGGAGAATCGCTTGAACCCAGGAGGTGGAAGTTGCAGTGAGCCGAGATCGCACCACTGCACTCTAGCCTGGGCCACAAGAGCGAAACTCTGTCTCAAAAAACAAAAACAAAGAGAAAACCAAAGGCAGCCATCTTTCTCCGGTTTTCAGCAATCTCTTCTGGTACCTCTCCATCTAAATCTGTCTTTCCAGTTCCCACCACCAAAGTACTTGGAATTGTTCAAGCCTTAGTTCTTGAGGCCCCAAACACTACATCCACATTGTTCATGGGGCAATTTTTAAATAAAAAATGTGTGAAAGAATTCCTCTTAGAAATTTAACATGTAACTTTTAATATGCTACTGAATTGCAGCAAACATGCGGAAATACTGGCAAAGACAGCTGTAGATGAAACAGCCAAGGGAGAGCCAACAATTATGGTTGGTGTTAAGTTGGATGAATTGAAATAAGAGACAAATACTTCATAGAATTGTATTAAGGCATATGCATGAAAAAGGAGGGAAGCAATTATTTTTGCTTTATTTGGCACTGGGCAGGCTTCAGTTGGAACAAACTATATTTAATTTTACATGTCATACTATATAAAGAGAAAAAACTTGGAGACTGTTCAGAGAACAGCAACTGATGAAAGGTTTGTGAAATTAGACCTATGAGAAATTGTGAAAAGAACTGGGCATGTTCAGTCAAATGCAGGACATCCAGGTGTGATGAATGGTGAACAATTAACTGTAAGTATGTGAAGAGATGGTTACCAAGTCTCAGGTATAGGGGAAACAGAAAGGTAAATCATGGGATTAAAAAAACAAACAGGCCAGGTGTGGTGGCTCACACCTACAATCCCAGCACTTTGGGAGGCCGACGTGGAAGGATTGCTTGAGCCCAGGAGTTTGAGACCAGCCTAGGCAACAAAGCGAGACCCTATTTCTACAAAAAATAGGAAAAATTAACTGGTCATGGTGGTGCGCACCTGTGGTCCCAGCTACTTGAGAGGTTGAAGTAGATGGTCACTTGGGCCTAGGATGTCGAGGGGGTAGTGAGCTGTGATTGCACTACTGCACTCCAGAGGGACATCTTGCCTCAACAAACCGCATAGCAATGGAAGTAGAGACCAAATATTGTGAAAAGGTTAAACTAAAAAGCTTTGAAGAAACTGATGGAGTTATAATTTAGAATTCTGTATATACTATTATTGAAACAATTGAATTCAATTTTATACTTAATTAATTAGAAATAACTTAGAAGAAAAAGTTTTTGATGGATTGCATTTTTTTTTTAAGACAGAGTTTCGCTCTTTGACCCAGGCTGGAAAGCAATGGCATGATCTTGGCTTGCTGCAACCTCTGCCTCCTGGGTTCTAGCGATTCTCCTGCCTCAGCCTCCCAAGTAGCTGGGGTTATAGGCGCCTGCCACCACGCCCAGCTAATTTTTGTATTTTTAATAGAGACCAGGTTTCACCATTTGGCCAGGCTGGTCTCGAACTCCTGACCTTAGGTGATCCACCTGCCTCAGCATCCCAAAGTGTTAGGATTACAGGTGTGAGCCACTGTGCCCGGCCAACGGATTGCATTTAACAAGTAAAAATCATCAGACCAAGTGTGAAGGATGTTTTTAAGAAAAAACGGTGTATTTGGGGGGTCTTCTTTGGGACCTAGGCTAGCTAGAACAGAGAGGAGCTCTGGTATCCTCTTTCAGCTCCTGAATAAGGGCAGTTCCTCTGTGAGTAGGGGATTGCTTGGGGGAAAGGGTAGGAAAAAAAGTGTGGTGAACAGCTTCTCTGGCCCTTGGAGTTTATCCCTCATTAAAGATTCCCCAGGAATCCCCGCCATGAGATATATAATTCTCTCCAGAATGGTCCTGTAACATATTTAATTAATAAAATCTAATATGCATGTTCAAAATCTTTCAATTTTTTTAAATAAAAAGCTGAGATCCTCTGAGTATTCGTTTCTTATTTGCACCCCTTCTTGCTAAACTAGCTTCATTATACTGCTTTTATGTCTCCCTGATGGTAATTTTCTTGTTGCTATTATTACTGTGTATGCTTGGTAGAGAAATTAGATAAATCTTTAAGAAATGAAGAATTTTTTAAATGATCGAAAGCCAAATAACATTTTAATAAAATTCTGGTAAGCAAAGTTTTTAAGTTGTTACATAATTATCTAGTTAACATTCTTATTTTTAAAATTGTATTTTAAATTTGAAATGTAATGCAATGCATTCATACAACTTAAAACTCAATAGCTCCAAGAGGATATCTAATAGAAGTTACCAGCCTGGTGTGGTGGCACATGCCTATAGTCCTAGCTACTCGGGAGGCTGAGGTAGGAGAACCACCTGAGTCCTGGAGTTTGAGGCTGCAATGAGCTATAATTGCACCATTGCACTTCAGTCTGGGTGACAGAGTGAGACCCTGTCTCAAAACAAACAAAAAACCAAAAAACAACAAAAACAAACAAAATCCATACGTGGGCTTTTGTGTGGACATAAACTTTCAACTTCTTTTGTAAATGCCAAAGCTTCCTTGTTAAATACCAAGGAGTGTGATTGCTAGATCATGGGGTAAGAGTATGTTTCATTTTTTATTTTATTTTATTTTATTTTTATTTTTATTTTTTTGAGACGGAGTCTCTGTCACTCAGGCTGGAGTGCACTGGTGTGATCTCGGTGGGATTACAGGCGTGAGCCACTGTGCCTGGCCTGTTTCGTTTTTTAATAAACTGCCAAACTGCCTTACAAAGTAGTCTTCCATCTTACATTCCCACTAGCAACGAATGAGTTCCTGTTGCTACACATCCTCTCCAGCATTTGGTGTTGCCAGTGTTCTGGATTTTGGTCATTCTAATAGGTGTGTAGGATGGGCACTGTGACTCATACCTGTAATCTCAATACTTTGCAAGGCCGAGGTGGAGGACTGCCAGGAGGTTGAGACTGCAGTGAGCTATGATCATACTACTGCACTTCAGCCTTGGCAACAGAAGGAGATTCTGTCTTTAAAAAACATATCATCCTCATCATAGTTTTTTTTGAGGTATGGTATTATTGTGTTTGCATTTCACTGATGACATATGATGCGAAGCATCTTTTTTTCTTTCTTAGAAAAAATCCAGATCCTGCACAAGAAGCATCTTTTCATATGCTTATTTCTCATCTGAATATCTTCTTCGGTGTGATGTCTATCAAGGTGTTTGGTCTTTTTTTTTTTTTTTTTTTTTTTTTTTTTTTTTTTTGAGATAGTGGTCTCACTGTTGCCCAGGCTGGAGTGCAGTGGTGCATTCTCAGCTCACTGCAGCCTCCGCCTCCCAGGCTCAAGTGATCCTCCCACCTCAGCCTCCAGAGTGAGTAGCTGTGACTACAGTGGCATGCCACCATGCTTGGCTAATTTTTGTATTTTTAGTAGAGACGGGGTTTCACCATGTTGGCCAGGCTAGTCTCAAACTCCTGGGCTCCAGTGATATACCAGCCTCGGACTCCCAAAGTACTGGGGTTACAGGCGTGAGCCACCAGGCACAGCCTGGTACATTTTTTAATCGGGTGTTTTCTTATTGATGAGTTTTAAGATTCTTTGTCAGCCGGGGGCGTTGGCTCACGCCTGTAATCCCAGCACTTTGGGAGGCTGAGGCGGGTGAATCACAAGGTCAGGAGATTGAGACCATCCTGGCTAACACGGTGAAACCCCGTCTCTACTAAAAATACAAAAAAATTAGTCGGGCGTGGTGTGGGTGCCTGTAGTCCCAGCTACTCGGAAGGCTGAGGCAGGAGAATGACATGAACCTGGGATGCAGAGCTTGCAGTGAGGCGAGATCGCGCCACTGCTCTCCAGCCTGGGGGACAGAGCGAGACTCCCTCTCAAAGAATTTTTTGTCTATTTTAGATAATAGTCTTGTATCGGATATGTCTTACAAATATTTTCTCCCAATCTGTGGCTTCTCTTTTTATCCACTTGACAGTGTCTTTTGCAGAGCACAAATTTTCAATTTTAAGGAAGTCCAACTTATTGGTTCTTTCTTTCATGTACCATGCCTTTGGTGTTGTACCTAAAAAGTCACCGCGAAGCCATAGGTCATCTGGATTTAATTCTGTCTTATCTTTTAGGTGTTTTCATGCTTTTGCATTGCATTTTATATTTAGACATGTGACAATTTTTTTTTTTTGAGACAGAGACTCACTCTGTTGTCCAGGCTGGAGTGCAGTGGTGCGATCTCAGCTCACTGCAACCTCCGCCTACCGGGTTCAAGCAATTCTCTGCCTCAGCCTGCAGAGCAGCTGGGATTACAGGCATCCACTTACTGTAGCTTTACAGTAGTCTTTTTTTTTTTTTTTTTGAGATGGAGTCTCACTCTGTTGCCCAGGCTAGAGTTCAATGGCGAGATCTCGGCTCACTGCAACCTCCACCACCCAGGTTCAAGCAATTTTCATGCCTCAGCCTCCTGAGGAATAGCTGGGATTACAGGCGCCCACCACCATGCCTGGCTAATTTTTGTATTTGTAGTAGAGACGGGGTTTCACCATGTTGGTCAGGCTGGTCTCGAACTCCTGACCTCAGGTAATCCACCCGCCTCAGCCTCCCAAAGTGCTGGGATTATAGGTGTGAGCCACCACGCCTGGCCAGTAAGTCTTGAAGTTGGGTAGTGCCATCCTCTAACTTTGTTATTCTCCTTCAATATTGCGTTGCTCATTCTTGGTCTTTTCCCTCCTCCATATATACTTTATTATTATTTTTTGGTGAGACAGAATCTTGCTCCATCACCCAGGCTGGAGTGCAGTGGCACGATCTCGGCTCACTTCAACCTCTCCCTCCTGGGCTCAAGGGATTCTCCTGCCTCAGCCTCCTGAGTAGCTGGGATTACAGGCGCCCACAACCATACCCAGCTGATCTTTGTATTTTTAGTAGAGACAGGGGTTTACCATGTCATGTTGGCCAGGCTGGTCTCAAACTCCTGACAGGTGATATGCCCGCCTTGGCCTCCCAAAGTGCTGGGACTATAGGTGTGAGCCACTTCGCCTGGCCCATATAAACTTTAGAATCGGTTTGTTTATATCTACAGAATGATCTCCTGACATTTTGAAAAGGACTGCATTGAATCTATAGATGAAGTTGGGAAGAACATCATGACAATATCGAGTTTTCCTAAACAAAAACATGAAATACCTCAATATTTGTTTAATTGTTCTTTGATTTCTTTCATCAGGTTTTCAAAGTTTTCCTCTTACAGATCTTGTACACATTTATTAGATTTATACCTAAGTATTTAATTTTTGGGGGCATGCTAATATAAATGGTATTATGCTTTTACTTTCAAATTCCACTTTCTTTTTTTTTTTTTAGACCGAGTCTCACTCTGTTGCCCAGGGTGAAGTGCAGTGGCATGATCTAGGCTCACTGAAACCTCTGCCTCTTGAGTTCGAGCAATTCTTGTGCCTCAGCCTCCCGAGCAGCTGGGACTACAGGTGTTAGCCACCATGCTCAGCTAATTTTTGTATTTTTAGTACAGACAGGGATTCACCATGTTGGTCATGTTGGTCAGGCTGGTCTCGAACTCCTGAACTCAGGTGATCCACCCGACTCCGCCTCTCAAAGTTCTGGGATTATAGGCATGGGCCACTACACCTGGCCTCCACTTGTTCTTTAAAGTATTTTTAAAACAATTTTTCCTTGCTTTGCTTTTGCTTTGGCAATAGATAACCAGGTCATTTCTCTGCCATTCCTCCCCCAAATCCTACTCATTTTTTTTTTTTTTAAGACAAAGTCTCACTCTGTCGCCCGGGCTGGAGTGCAGTGGCACAATCTCGGCTCACTACAACCTCCACCTCCTGGTGATTCTCCTGCCTCAGCCTCCTGAGTAGCTGGGACTACAGGTGTGTGCCACCATGCCCAGCTAATTTTTGTATTTTTAGTAGAGACAGGGTTTTGCCATGTTGACCAGGATGTTTTCAATCTCTTGACCTCGTGATCCGCCCGCCTTGGCCTCCCAAAGTGCTGGGATTACAGGGGTGAGCCACTGTGCCCGGCCTATTTTTCTGTATTTTTAGTAGAGATGGGGTTTCACCATCTTGGCCAGGCTGGTCCTGAAATCCTGACCTCGTGATCCACCCGCCTCAGCCTCCCAAAGTGCTGGGATTACAGGCGCGAACCACTGTGCCCAGCCTATAACACAGTTTTTTTCTTTTTCTTTTTTTTTTGAGATGAGAGTCTCGCTATGTTGCCTAGGCTAGACTTGAACTCCTGGGATCGTGGGGTCCTCCTGCCTCAGCCTCCTGAGTAGCTGGGGCTACAGGTGCATGCCACGGCACCCAGCTAGAATGCTGGAATTCCTTTCACTTCTCATTCCTTTTCTGTTCTTTTTAGAGTAGCTTCTTTAACTCTCTGTAGAGCCCTGTTGATTTCCTTTGTAATTGGTATGAAGATTTTATACATGTATGAATGTATTATGCATATAATTTTTTGGTGTAATTTCTCTATCCCGTGAGGCCTGGATTATGTTCAGTTAGTTTGCTGCTGTATACTTAAAACTTAGCATAATGACTGCTAGCATATAGTAGGAGCTCAGTAAACATTTGCTGAAAGAAGGAAGACTCAGAGTATATTTTTATTGAAATGATTCACTGATACCAAACTATCTGAATAGTTTGTTCTTTATATCTTTTTATATATACCCTTTAGAAAAAGGTAAAAATGTCCCTGAACTATGGCTTATGGGCTGTCAAACTAGCCACATGACATAACGTGATCTTGGAAAAATGGGCCATCTGAGAATACCACAAATACAAAAAACCTAATTCTGAAACATTCAACTGCTATTCCCAACATCCCCACATGGTGTTGGTTTTCTTTTTTCTTTTTTTTTTTTTTTTTTTGAGATGGAGTCTCTCTCTGTCGTCCAGGCTGGAGTGCAGTGGCGTGATATTGGCTCACTGCCAGCTCTGCCTCCTGGGTTCATGCCATTCTCCTGCCTCAGCCTCCTGGGTTGGGACTACAGGCGCCCGCCACCAAGCCTGGCTAATTTTTAAAAAAATATTTTTAGTAGAGATGGGGTTTCACTGTGTTAGCCAGGATGGTCTCGATCTCCTGACCTCATGATCTGCCTGCCTCGGCCTCCCAAAGGGTGTTAGTTTTTATGACAATTTAAACATATACAGGCTGGGCGCGGTGGCTCACGCCTGTAATCCCAGCGCTTTGGGAGGCCAAGGCAGGTAGATCACCTGAAGTCAGGAGTTTGGGACTAGTGTGGCCAACATGTGAAACCCTATCTCCGCTAAAAATACAAAAATTAGCCAGGTGTGGTGGCGGGTGCCTGTAATCCCAGCTACTCGGGAGACTGAGGCAGGAGAATCGCTTGAACCTAGGAGGCGGAGGTTGCAGTGAGCTGAGATCGTGTCACTGCACTCCAACCTGGGTGACAGAATGAGACTCTGTCTCAAAAACAAACAAACAAACAAACAAACAACAAAATATAGATCCTGAAACTTGCAAAAAAAATTAAAAAAATAAACATACAAAAGATATATGTAGTTCCAAATATCAGCTTACAGTAATATGACTGGAAGTCATGGGTGAGGGAATAAAACAAACATACACTAAACTGGACAAACAGGTTTTTGAGTCTATTAGAGTCCAAAGGTGGCAAAGTTATAGTTAAATGAATAGTGCACAAAAATTGCTAAAAGAACAATGATGAGAGGAAGGGGAGTCACTTACTGAGAAATATATTTTTGTGAGTAGTAGACATTATATTCTTGACCAAGAGGGTGTAGGACACAGACTGCTGTGTGGCCACAAAGGGGACTAAATTAAAGAGGATAGATGGATTCTTTTTTTTTGGGAGGGAGTCTCACTCTGCTGGAGTGCAGTGGTCCGCCTCCCGGGTTCAAGTGATTCTCCTGCCTCAGCCTCCTGAGTAGCTGGGATGGATTACAGGCGCCCACCACCACGCCCATCTAATTTTTGTATTTTTAGTAGACACGGGGTTTGACCATGTTGGCCAGGATGGTCTCGATCTCTTGACCTCGTGATCCGCCCGCCTCAGTCTCCCAAAGTGCTGGGATTACAGGCGTGAGCCATCGTGCCCGGCCAGACGATAGATGGATTCTTTTTTTTTTTTTTTTTTTTTGAGCAAATTGAGCTACTTGAGCCTCGGCCTCCCAAAGTGCTGGGATTACTGGCGTCAGCCACTGCACCCAGCCTGATGGACAGATTCTTACAAATCCAATCCCATTACTGAAAAGCAACTCCAAGCACAGGCCCTATAATAATAGGTCAGTAGCATCTTTATCATCCCCATCCATGTACATTCCTTTCATTTTGCTAACACACTATAAAATAAACATGGAATACATAGTCATAAAACATGGAACTTCAAGACTAAATTCAAGAAACAAAGATTTAAAACAAGGGTATATTTTTTTTTACGAATGGCCAGTCCTCTATGACTACCTAACATAATTGCTGCATACTGGACTTCCACATAAGATTTAATTTGAAGAAAGGCTTCTATTACTTTAAAAAATCTTAAAACTACCTGTCTAAACAATGGCAAAACTATTACAAATACATGTGGATTTAGGCCAGGTGTGGTGGCTCACACCTGTAATCCTAGCACTTTGGGAAGTTGAGGAGGGCAGATCACTTGAGCCCAGGAGTTTGAGACCAGCCTGGGCAACATGGTGAGACTCCGTCTCTACTAAAAATACAAAAAGGAGACGGGCGTGGTGGTGGGCACCTGTAATCCCAGCTGCTAAGGAGGCTGACGTGGGAGGATCACCCGAGCCCGGGAGGTTGAGGCTGCGGTGAGCCGTGATTGTGACACTGCACTTCAGCCTGCATGACAGAGTTAAGACCCTGTCTCAAACAACAACAATAACAAAACAAAAACCCACAAATACATGTGTTAAAAAAAAAGCAGCATTTCAAAATGCTTTGGTTGACTTAACCTAAATAAAGCCAAAAATCATCAAATATTCCATGGCACACAAATATCTAAAATGCAGAAAATATAATGCACAAAAATATTTTCTGTATTAATACATTAATTAACATATTGCTGAGTTCTGGATTTTGCTGACTTACAAATAGGCACCAAAGAAGTACATCTGAGTTTGAGGTGTATCCCTAGCCTTGAAAACTCGATCACAGTGTTTTGTAATCTCAGGCACATGTCTAATGTATGACTTGTATAAAAAGGACAGGTTGTCCTTAATACTTGAAGATTAAGTAGCTAGACTAGTGCATGTTTTGCCTATAGCCCTCCCCATGCTGATGAGATACTATTACACTGTTCACAGCTATGATTTCGCTTGGTAGGACCCCATCTTCAGTCAGTTTGGGCTGGTGTAATAAAGTACCATAAACTGGATAGCTTAAAGACAATTTATTTCTCACAGCTCCGGAGGCCGAATGTCCAAGATCAGAGTGCCATTGTAGGGTTCTGGTGAGGGCTCTTTTCCAGGCCGACTTCTTGTATCCTCACATGGCAGAAAGGGAGTGAGCTAGCTCTATGGACTCTTCTTATATGGCACTAATCCCATCCACGAGGGTTCCACTCTCATGACCTATTACCTCCCAAAGACCCCATCTCCAAAACCCATCACATTGGGAATTAGGTTTCAACATATGAACAGGAAGGGAAACATACATCCATAACCAGCCATATTTTTGCTTTTGACTCCACTTCTGCCTAATGGGATTAAATGATACTTTTTTTCTTAAATGTAAATATTTTTTGCCTATAACTGTTGCATATCACCATCCTGTCTTGAGTTAAAGATAAAATATTTCCCAATTTCTTCAACCTTTAACATAAACTGTACTACAAATGTAAACAAATTGTTTTCCCACCACAATGGCTTTAAAAAGTAGAATAAACACTGCAATCAAGACATCACTTTAAGTTAAATTATTATTTTTTGTTTTTTGCATCAGGGCCTTGCTCTGTTGTCCAGGCTGGAGTGCAGTGGCATGATCATGACTCACTGCAGCCTCAACCTCGTGGGCTCAAGCAATCCTCCCACCTCGGCATCCCAAGTAGCTAGGACTACAGACATATAGTACCATGCCAGCTTAATTTTTTAATTAATTTTAATTTTTAGTAGAGAAAAGGTGATATGGTTTGGCTTTGTCCCCACTCAAATCTCATCTTCAATTGTAGCTCCCAGAACTCCCACATGTGGTGGGAGGGACCCGGTGGGAACTGAATCATGGGGACGCTTTCCCCATACTGTTCTCATGGTAGTGAATAAGTCTCACGAGATCTGATGATTTTATAAGGGGTTTCCCTTCTCACTTGGCTCTCATTTCTCTTTTGTCTGCCGCCACCTAAGACATGCCTTTCACCTTCCGCCATGATTGAGGCCTCTCCAGCCACATGGAACCGTGAGTCCATTAAACCTCTTTTTCCTTATAAATTACCCAGTCTTGGGTATGTCTTTATCAGCAGCATGAGAACGAACTAATATACAAGGGCTGATCTCAAACTCCTGACCTCAAGCAATCCTCCTACCTTGGCATCCCAAAGTATTGGGATTACAGGCGTGAACTACTGCACCTGGCCTAAGGTCAATTCTTGAATACAGAGACTGAGTAAAGATAGGACGTTGATAATTTGGACTCTTAAACATAAACCAACTCTTTAAAGCCTTTACATCATCTCATCAGTGTTGCCTGAAGTTTTTGACCAAGTAGCTCAATTTGCTAGGGCTGCTGTAACAAAGTATCACAAACTGGATAGTTTAAACAACAGACATTTGCCTCACAGTTCCTGAGGCTACAAGTCCAAGATCAAGGTGTCAGCGGGACTGATTCCTTCTGAGGGCTGTGAGGAGAATCTGTCCCAGGACCCTCGCCTAGCTTCTGACAGTTTGCTGGCTACCTTCGGAGTTCCTTGGCTTGTAAAAGCATTACCCCAATGTCCGCCTTTACCTTCAAAAGGCATAGGTATTCTTCCCGTTTGTGTGTCTCTGTTCAAATTTTCTGTTCTTGGAAGGACATTAGTCATACTGGATTAGGGATTGGGGGCCCACCTTTTCGCTCCTTCTTTTCTTCTTTCTTTTGTTTGTTTGCTTGTTTGTTTGAGACAGAGTCTAGCCCTGTCTCCTAAGCTGGAGTGCAGTGGTGTGATCTTGGTTCACTGCAAACTCCACCTCCCAGGTTTAAGCGATTCTCCTGCCTCACCCTCCCGAGTAGCTGGGATTACTTACAGGTGTCCGCCACCAAAATACAAAATAATTTTTGTATTTTTAGTAGAGATGGGGTTTCACTATGTTGGCCAGGCTGGTCTCGAACTCCTGACCTCAGGTGATCCGCCCGCCTTGGCCTCCCAAAGTGCTGGGATTACAGGTGTGAGACATCAAGCCCAGCCTAATTTGTGTATTTTTAGTAGAGACGGAGTTTCACCATGTTGCCCAGGTTGCTCTTGATCTCCTGACTTCAGGTGATCCACCCACCTTGGCCTCCCCAGAGTGCTGCGATTACAGGTGTGAGCCACCATGCCTGGCCTCCTATTGCTTCTTAACTTGACCTCATTAACTATTGCATCTGCAATGATAGTATTTCCAAATAAGGTCACAGTTTGAGATAATGAGGGTTAGAACTTAAACATGAATTTTTGAGGTACACAATTTAACCTGTAATACACCATATTATGTCTATATTTATTTATTTATAAATTATTTGGATCCAGTACTATAATAACAATTACACACATTGTAACTCCTACACAATTTGAAATTTTCAAGTTAAGACAAAGGTAACTATATATAGAAGCAGTATGTTTTCTGAACCCTTACAGATTGTTTTGCACACTCCTGGATTACACACATCTCATCAATCTCAAGAATAAAATCAAAGTCTTTGGCTTGACAGCCTTCCACAATCTGACCTCTGTTTTCTCGCCAGCCTCATCTCCTGTCATTCACAACATTTCCAGCATTCCAACCAGTCTGAACTTTTGCAGTTTCCCACGTGCGCTAGGCTCTTTCTTCATCAGCATCTCTATGCATGCTGTCTCCTGCTACTGGAATGCCCTCATTCTCGTTGCTTCCTGTGAACACGTGGTAAACTCCAATCATCTTCTGAAACTCGGCTCAAACGTCATCTCCCCTGGGGAGCCTTCACTGACTGCCCTGGGCAGCATGAAGCATTTTGTCAGTGCCCCGTAGCACCGTGGTCATATCTTTATTATTGCAAATTTCTGTTTCCACATATAATGTCAGGTGGAACCGATAGCTGGCTTACAAAAACAATGCAATTTCAGGTGGTTCTACTTAACATTCCCTAGACAACAAGTTCACTGAGAGCAGGGACTGTGTTTTATTTATTTTATATTTCCAGTCCCTAAAATGGAGTTTGGCATAAAGTAAATGCTTAATACAGGCTTTCTGAAATTAAGGAAAAGCTTACTCTAGCACTACAGTCTACTTGCAGATTTTCCTTTTTGAGAACGGGGTAGTAAATTGATGTCTTCTATAACAATAACTATTAACTATTACTTAAATTTTCTTTGACTTTATTTAGCTTAACATTATTTTAAACAATTCCTTCCCCTCTTTGTTTGCTTCTGTATATGTGATAAAATATCTTCAAAAAATATACTCTTTTTGTTTGTTTGTTTTTAATTGGTGACTGGGGTTTCACTATGTTGCCCAGGTTGGGCTCAAGCAATTCTCTTGCTTCAGCTTACTGGGCAGTTGGGAATATAAGCATTTGCCACTGTGCCTGGCCTTATTTTTTAAAAATACAGAAAAATCAGGAAGAAGGTACCTAAGTACTGTTTTGTAACCAATACCAAAGTATTTCACAATTTTACTGTCTTACTTTCAAAATATTTTAATCCTTCCAATGAGAATTACACGTAATCATAAGTAGGAATATAAATAGGAAAGCTAAAGAGATTAGTTGAGTAAAATGAATATGACATTTAAAATTCTAACAATTATTTAGTAACAGCAAAGGTAAATCTAATTCCCAAATTTCAAGTGTCCCTAATATTACCTGTTTTGAAGAAAAGCTGTGATACCGGCAACAGTGTTTAAGTATCACACGGGTAGTTAAAAGGCAAGTTGGTCCTATCTGACATGTGGAAATGGCCAGCTCGTTAGAAGGCAGTACCTGGTGAAGCCTGTGAGGAATGAGCAGGAAGTCAAAATGGTTACGTAAACATTTTTCACTCTTCCTCATTAAAGCCCTTAAGTTAACAAAAGGTATTTACTGACTCCTCAGCATGCCAAGGCAGTCAAGAGCAACACTTTACACAATCTGGCTCTCACCCATTTTAGAGAGCCCTCTCCTTTTACGGCACTTCGTGTCCCTTATCCTTGAACCACAATGAACTTCTCATAAACAATACCACATTGAGTGTGTCATTACTCTCATCTCTTTCCAAATGCTTGTTCCTCAGCCTAGAAAGTCTTTCCCCATGTTCTTTGCTTACTAATCTCATTATATTATTAATTACATTGTCACACAGTGCTGGGCCCATTGTAGACACTTAATACTGTTTGACTGTCATCAGTAATAAATAGGATCACAGTCTTGAACAACAGAGCAACACAGTCTTTTTTTTTATTATACTTTAAGTTTTAGGGTACATGTGCAAAATGTGCAGGTTTGTTACATATGTATACATGTGCCATCTTGGTGTGCTGCACCCATTAACTTGTCATTTAGCATTAGGTATATCTCCCAATGCTCTCCCTCCCACCTCACCCCAACAACATAGTCTTAAACAACAGATTATTTGGAAACAGATCTTGTGATTAAAGTTAACTCCATGAGGACAGAGACCATGTCTGCCATATCTCTTGCTATATTCTAGCACTTAGCCTAGTGCCTGGCAACAGGTAGGTGTTAAGTATTTACTGACTAAACACTTAATATACGTGAAAAATAAGAAAAAGTAGACTTATTGGGTTAGCTTTAAAAGTTAAATAAAAGAGTGGTTAGGCCCGGCGCGGTGGCTCATTCCTGTAATCCCAGCACTTTGGGAGGCCGAGGCGGGTGGATCACGAGGTCAGGAGATCGAGACCATCCTGGCTAACACGGTGAAACCCCGTCTCTGCTAAAAATACGAAAAAAATTAGCCGAGCGCGGCAGCGGGTGCCTGTAGTCCCAGCTACTGGGGAGGCTGAGGCAGGAGAATGGCGTGAACCCGGGAGGCGGAGCTTGCAGTGAGCCGAGATCCCGCCACTGCACTCCAGCCTGGGCGACAGAGCGAGACTCCGTCTCAAAAAAAAAAAAAAAAAAAAAAAAAAAAAAAGAGAGAGAGGTTATTTCCTTGATGGGTCTTTAGCTGTTTTAATTATTCATCTATTTTCAAACTAATGGTATAGAAGTAGTTATTAATTTGAGGGGAATCAAGAAGAGCCAGCACTTGAATCTGAGGCAAAATATGTATTAGGATAGCATCATATTGTTACCTCAAGGCACATAAATCATACAGACAAGCTTTTCAAAGCAGAATCTGCAAAATTAAAATTATGAAATAACTTTGTGACAGTCATAGTTTTGTACTTTGTTGGCTCTACTGGCATGTGCAGTATTTGTACAAAACTGCACTCTTCTAACTGTGGGTTATCAGTTATCAGGAACCCGATCCTGTAAAAACTAATCTACTCCTGGATAATGGCATTAATCCTTTCATGAGGGCGGAGCCCTCATAACCTAATCACCTCTTAAAGGTCCCACCTCTGAACACTGTTGCATTAGAGATTAAGTTTCTAACCCATGAACTCTGGGGGACACACAACTTTCGGGGACACATTCAAACCTGTTCTTTTCTATGAGATAAAAGCACTGGAATCTACCAGCACTCTAAGAAACACTGCATCTTTTTTGAATGCCTATTTTCTAAACATAAAACTTAAATTAACTTAAACTTCTAAAGAGCCCTGACCAATGTCTGGATTTAACATTTTGATGCTTTAGACTTCTGCTTCCTCTTGCAAAATAGGATATATTAGAAAGAAAACTGGTGTAGAGTCAGAATAAACATGAAATTCCAGCTCAGTTTTGAAAAATGCCTTGGAAAGCTTTGTAGAACTGGGATGATGCATAACACCCACAAACATAAGAGATACACAAGGCACTCAGTAAACACTATCCTCTTAACCACAAGTGGTCTGACAGTGTGGCTCAAACTATGAAGCCAAGAATGGTTATTCTGGAGGTTATTCACTGTTCAAAAAGAAAGTAAAGGATAGTAAAGAAAATTAACAAATTACGTACAGGGCTGCATTTGCAATTCAGACATTCTATGAGTCTATCATTTTTCCTTACATTTCTTTGCCAGACCTAGGCTTCAAGGTGTGGATAAATACACTTTACTCTCTACCTACCAGTTCTTACCTAAAATAGCTTCCTCTTCCTGGAGAATTGACTGGAACCACAAACCTTTTTTTTTTTTTTAAACAACCACAAAACTTAAGCTTTTCTTTTCAGAGATTTATATTATTGAATAAGGCTCCTGATACACATTTTATAGGCCTCCTATCCCTTTCTTAAAATAAGTATCAAAATGAGCTGATGTTCTTCCATATGAAAATTCTGGCAGCATAATTAACCCCAGGAGAGACATTTATGGATAGTTTCTATTTACTCTATTTGGCCCCTTTTACTCTCTCTACCTTTTGCTTCCTGCTGTGTGGCTGCTAATGGCTCTTCAGTGAAGCCTTTAAGCAGTGGCTGATGCCTGTACTACAATTTTCAACTTTATTTTCCCCCAGTTTGCTCTCCTTAAGTACACATTCAAACTGGAAAGAAGACTGTGGTTGAGCAAGTGGTTAGGCTATATTTGTAGTGAGACAATTTTCTGGTTAAGAGGTGAGAATTTGGCTGGGCATGGTGGCTGACGCCTGTAATTCCAGTACTCTGGGAGGCTGAAGTGGGTGGAGGCCTCACTTGAGGCCAGGAGTTTGAGACCAGACTGGCCAACATGGTGAAACCCCGTCTGTACTAAAAATACAAAAATTAGCTGGGCGTGGTGGTGCATGCCTGTAATCCCAGCTACTTGGGAGGCTGAGGTGGGAGAATTGCTTGAACCCAGAAGGCAGAGGCTGCAGTGAGCTGAAATCACGCCACTGCATTCTAGCCTGGGCAACAGAGTGAGACTTGGTCTCAGAAAAATAAAGAGTTGAGAATTCAATTTACCTGAATTACCTGAAATGTTGAATAAGCAAAATATGAGCTGAAAGCTTACAATCTTCATAATTACTGCCCCACATCGCCTTCTCCAAATTTCAGGAAAGAGAGAAAGGGGTTTCCTCTCCTCTTCACCCAGGAACTTCCCTGAAAACCTCACCCAAAGACTTTCCCTGACATGTCACTGCTATCCCTAAGAGAAAGAAGGGCAAGCAACTTTTTTTTTTCTTAGCTAGATACTTTGCAATCTCAATGAATTAAGGGATCAGGTAATAAGGAAGAAGGGAGAAACAGATACTTGGCAGGAAATGAGCAGTCTCTGTCATAGATATGCTGAGTTTTAAGTGCTGACATATCTGTGGAAGATGTGGAGTAGTTAGATCACAAACACAGAGGAGCAGTCAGGTTTAGAGATATAAATTGGGGAGCCATTAACAAAAAAAAAAATTATTTATTTATTTATTTTTGAGGTGGAGTCTCACACTGTCGCCCAGGCTGGAGTGCAATGGCTCAATGCAATCTCCACCTCCCAGGTTCATGTGATTCCCCCGCCTCAGCCTCCCAAGTAGCAGGGTTTACAGGTGCACACCACCACACCTGGCTAATTTTTTGTATTTTTAGTAGAGATGGGGTTTCACTATGTTAGCCAGGCTGGTCTCGAACTCCTGACCTCAGGCAGTCTGCCCACCTCAGCCTCCCAAAGTGCTGGGATTACAGGAGTGAGCCACTGCACCTAGCCTGAAAAACAATTTATTGAATACAAAAATTAGCCGGGCATGGTGGCGGGTGCCTGTAATCCCAGCTACTTGGGAGGCTGAGGCAGGAGAATTGCTTGAACCCGGGAGGCGGAGGTTGCAGTGAGCTGAGACTGCACCACTGCACTCCAGCCTGGGCGACAGAGTGAGACTCCATCTCAAAAAACAAAACAAAACAAAACAAAAAACAAAAAACACAAAATTCATAGGAGCCAGCAAACTATGACCTACAGGCCAAACCCATCCTGTCTCCTGTTTCCATAAAGTTGTTTTGGAACACAGCCATGCCCATTCCTTTATATCTTGTCTATGGCTGCTTTTGTGCTATGAGCAGCAGCTGCCACAGAGACCACAAAGCCTAAAATATTTACAAATATTTTAGGTCTGCAAAGCCTAAAATATTTACTATACGTCTGTTTACAGAAAAAGTTTGCTGGCCCCTGTACTAGAGTATGGACTACACTGGAACTGACAGCATGAAAGTTTAAAGGTTTCAGGTTTTCTGAAAGCAGAGTACCAGCCTTTATAACTGGCCAGTGATTGATTGATTCAAATGAGAAAGACACATAAAGATGAGCAGGTCGGCTGGGCGTGGTGGCTCATGCCTGTAATCCCAGTACTTTGGGAGGCCAAGGCGGGCAGATCACCTGAGGTCGGGAGTTCGAGACCAGCCTGACTGACCAACATGGAGAAGCCCCGTCTCTACTAAAAATACAAAAAATTAGCCGAGTGTGGTGGCGCATGCCTGTAATCCCAGCTACTCGGGAGGCTGACGCAGGAGAATCAGTTGAACCCGGGAGGCAGAGGTTGCAGTGAGCCGAGATCGTGCCATCGCACTCCAGCCTGGGCAACAAGAGTGAAATTCTGTCTCAAAAAAAAAAAAAGATGAGCAGGTCAACGTGGTGGAGGTAGAGCTTTGAGATATCTATGCCATAAGGACAGAAGAAATGTCCTTTTTTGTTTGTTTGTTTTGAGACGGAATCTCACCCTGTCACCCAGGCTAGAGTGCAATGGCACAGTCTTGCCTGGCTGTAACCTCCGCCTCCCAAGTTCAAGCGATTCTCCTGCCTCAGCCTCTGGAGTAGTTGGGACTACAGGCATGTGCCACCACGCCTGGCTAATTTTTTCATATTTTTAGGAGAGATGAGGTTTCACCTTGTTGGCCAGGCTGGTCTCAAACTCCTGACCTTATGATCTACCTGCCTCGGCCTTCCAAAGTGCTGGGATTACAGGCGTGAGCCACTGCACCTGGCCAGAAATGTCTTTAAGGTTAGTACATGGCTGCATAAAGTACAAGGGTCAAATAACTGCTTTCTTTATACAAGGGGATCAGGAACCTGGACAAGGCCAGAGGGATAGTACATGTGCAGAGTGAAAATACAGTTCAGCTCAGAAAGGCAGAAGGATGTCACGTGCAGAGAAACCAGATTCTAGGTTGTACAGAGGACAGCTCTAAGCACTGCGAACACACATTTGTTATGGCTGGAAGTTTGAATATATTCGATTAGCATCTATTCCAGCAACGGACAAAGACAGGGTTGTGAATTAAAATAAACAAAACTCTCAAAACGATCTTAACAAAACGAAGCTACTCCTTTCTAGATCAGAAGTCAGCCTGCTAGTCTGTGGGTTATAACTGACTCACAGATGTTTGTTTGGCTTGCATGGTGTTTTAGGAAACTTCCCATTAAAAAATCTATATATTTAGCAAGTAGGACCACTATTTCCATAAGGGAACGAGCAGCGAGAGCTGAGAAACACAAATGTATATTGTAGAAAACACATCATATTCCCAGTTTTCTATAGTACCCTCCACTTCCTGTGATCTCACATTCAACCTGACTCTGACTTATTATTTTTTACCCATTGCTATGGTTTCAATGTGTCCCCTCCAAAATTCAGGTGTTGAAACTTAATGGCCAATGTAATGGTATTAAGATGTGGGGCCTTTAAGACGTGTTTAGGCCAGAGGGGTTGCTCTCTTGTGAATGAGGTTTATGGGATTACAAGAGGCTTCATGGGCAAGTGGATCGCTTGAGCCCAGGAGTTTGTGACCAGCCTGGGTAACACAGTGAGGCCCCATCTCTACAAAACATAAGCAAAAATTAGCTGGGAGTTATGGCGAGTGTCTGAAGTCCTAGCTACCTGGGAGGCTGAGGTGGTAGGATCACTTTAGTCCAGGAGGTCGAGGCTGCAGTTGCGCCACTGCACTCCAGCCTGGGCGACAAAACAAGATTCTGTCAGGCCGGGCGTGGTGGCTCACGCCTGTAATCCCAGCACTTTGGGAGGCCGAGGTGGGCGGATCACGAGGTCAGGAGATCGAGACCATCCTGGCTAACACGGTGAAACCCTGTCTCTACTAAAAATACAAAAATTAGCCGGGCGTAGTGGCGGGCGCCTGTAGTCCCAGCTACTCGGGAGGCTGAGGCAGGAGAATGGCGTGAACCCGGGAGGCGGAGCTTGCAGTGAGCTGAGATCGCACCACTGCACTCCAGCCTGGGCGTCAGAGACAGATTCCGTCTCCAAAAAAAAAAAAAAAAAAAAATTCTGTCTCAAAATAAATAAGATAATAGAGGCCTCATGAAGCCTTCAGCCTGCTGCCTTCTACCATGTGAGGCCAATATGTTCCTCCCCTCAGGAGGATGTGGCCCATATCAAACAAATGAACCTGCCAGTGCCGTGATCTTGGGCTCCCAGCCCCTAGAATTGTGACAAAATAAATTTCTGTTCTTTATAAAAGACCCAGTTTCGGCTGGCTATGCTGGCTCATGTCTGTAATCCCAGCACTTTGGGAGACCGTGGTGGTCAGAGTGTTTGAGCCCAGGAGTTCTCGACCAGCCTGGGCAACAACATGGCGAAACCCTGTCTCTACAAAAATACAAAAATTAGCTAGGTATGGTGGCAAATGCCTTAGTCCCAGCTACTCGGGAGGCTGAGGTGGGGGGAATGCTTGAGCCCAGGAGGTCAAGGCTGCAGCGAGCTGTGAAGCTGCCACTGCACTGTAGCCTGGGTGATAGAGCTGAGACCTGACCTCAAAAAAAAAAAAAAAAAAAAGAAAAAAGAAAAAAAAAAGGTGGAGAAGCAGGGTGTAGGGTAGGTAGGGTAGTATGCTTTCGGTAGAGCTGTTACAGAGAATGAAATGGAAAAGGAAGCAAGAGATAACCAGTGAGTCAACAACACCAACGACTGAAAAGCAAAAAGGAATGGAGATGAGAAAAGGCACGTCGCGTTCAACAGGTCCAAGGTCCAAGAGTACCTGAAACTTGTCACTCTTCCACTGTTTCTTGGCTCAGGGAATGGTACCACTGCCAAGTTTTGCTGGTTAGAAATATAGAAGGTATTCATGATATCTGCCTCCCTTATGTTCATTATCCAAATCATCACATAGGCAACAGCCAAAGGAAAAAGCACGTCAAGTAGAGAGAATCACATATGCAATGTTTCTATGTTGAAAGACAACATGGTGGGTTCTGGAGATTAAAGACCTGTTAGTTTGAAATAGAAGAAGGGGATAGTTCATGAAAGGTCTTACAGGACACATTAAGGATTTTGTTTTTTGTCCCGAGAGCAATGAAAGCCATTGACTTCAGGTCTGAAGCAAGGCAAGAGAGATGGTCAGATCCAGGTTTTTTCGTTTTCGTTTTTTTTTTTTTTTTGAGACAGAGTCTCATTCTGTCGCCCAGGCTGGAGTGCAGTGGCGTGATCTTGGCTCGCTGCAACCTCCGTCTCCCAGATTCAAGCGATTCTCTACCACAGCCTCCCGAGTAGCTGGACTACAAGGACGTGCCACCATGCCCAGCTAATTTTTGTATTTTTAGTAGAGACAAAGTTTCACCATGTTGGCTAGGCTGGTCTCAAACTCCTGACCTCAGGTGATCTGCCTGCCTCGGCCTCCCAAAGTGCTGGGATTACAGGCATGAGCCACTGTACCCGGCCAAGGTTTTGAAAAGAGCTTTCTAGCTGTAGAATGGAAAACCTATATGAGATTATAAAGAGATTATGCTAAAAGAAATTGGTGATAGTGGTAGAAAACCTCTGCCAGTTAAGTGTTGACAAGAATAATCTAGTTGAAAGGGAATGGCTAATTACACAGCACAGAAAAGAGATAGTTGCGCATGTTTTAATAACAGACAAGTCCTGTCTTTAGATCTGGGTAAGGGGCCTCTGTTTACTTGGCCCTCCTCTTGCTGTAAAGAACAAGGAGCCCATGAGGTCAGGGGCCATGTCTGCCTGGAGCCTGCCCTCCTCTTTTAGACTGGCTAGATCTGAGGGCAGAGTGAGCTGCCGATTGTACATCACCATTTGCGGAGTAGGGGGATGTGGACATACACCTGGACATGTTGGGTGCATGTATGGCCTTTCCGTGTGGCAGGTGAACTTGGGGATGGGAGGAGAATGGGGTCAGTGTGGGGACTCTAAGAACTCTAAATTCAAACATGGACTTCCAGATCATATGAAAGTGGATCTGTCAAGGTAGTAGAATAGAATGTATTTTATATAATAGTTTGTTATCTTGATTTATTTTTTAAATATTTAGACAGATGGTGTGTGGACCTCTATAGCCACACTCTTGCTTAGGCTCTACAAATTAAGTGCCAGGCCTAATAACAGTGCATGAAAGTATAATGTAATGCAAGGAGTAACAAATTCATGCAGGCAAGGGTGTAGTTTAACTGGGCTCTTAAGAAGTCCGATTTTCCAGACCTGTGTGCTAGAGATTAGAGAATGAGTGGTGCAAGTTTCCAGGCACTACATTAATGTATGTTAGAGACACTTTTCTAGATCAGGAGGGCCAACAATTAAAAAATGAATTCAATTGTAATGGTTTCGGTGTGATTTTGAAAAGCTTCTTGAATATGGCATAAGTTGAGTGTGGAAGGGACCTTAGTGATCACGTAATCAAATATGCTAACTCAACAGGTAAGAAAACGGAGGTCCTAACAAGTGAAGCAGCCTGACTAAGGTCACGAAACTAGTGCGTTAGCAGATGATTTCCAGCCTAATCCACTCAGTCCACTCTCCCACCAATGCTAATTTTCTTGAAGACATCTGCTGCCAGTCAATTCCAATTAGAAAGTTTTCATGTTACATATTAAATACTGTTATTACTTTAAAAAATTTGAGGCACATAAAAATAAGTCCATAAACCAATATTAAATTTGACTCCAAAACATTCTTTTTTTTTTTTTTGAGATGGAGTCTTACTCTGTCACCCAGGCTGGAGTGCAGTGGCACGATCTCAGCTCACTGCAACCTCCACCTCCAGGGGTCAAGCGAGTCTTTTGTCTTAGCCTCCCGAGGAGCTGGGACTACAAGCACGCACCACCACGCCTGGCTAATTTTTTTTGTATTTTTAGTAGAGACGGGGTTGCACCATGTCAGTCAGGCTGGTTTCAAACTCCTGACCTCAGGTGATCCACCCATCACCGCCTCCTAAAGTCTTGGGATTACATGCGTGAGCCACCCACCACTCTTGGCCGAAAAAAAAAAAATTCTTAAAAATATTCTTAAAAAAATGAGTAAATAGGCACTGTCGCCCCGGGTGGAGTGCAATGGCACGAACTCAGCTTACTGCAACCTCTGCCTTACAGATTCAAGGGATTCTTCTGCCTCAGCCTCCAGAGTAGCTGGGACTACAGGCGCATGCCACTACGCCCAGCTAATTATGTATTTTTAGTAGAGGCAGGGTTTCACTATGTTGGCCAGGCTGGTCTCGAACTCCTGACATTGTGATCTGCCCGCCTTGGCCTCCCAAAGTGCTGGGATTACAGGTATGAGCCACCGCGCCCGGCCACATTCCTTATCTTTTAAGCTAAAACCCATCTCCCCAAATTGCTTATTTTCGAAGCAAAAATCAAAGCACATGCTTACAAAACATCGAACACGCAGTGTGCTTACTAAACGCTAAAATACAGAAACCTAAAAAAACAATTCTTGCTTTTCAAACATCCATAAATAATCGCCAACGAATTTTTCCTGGCAAGTCTACGTTATAATAATAATAATATTATTATTATTATTATTATTTTTTGAGACGGAGTCTTGCCCTGTCGCCCAAGCTGGAGTGCAGTGGCGCAGTCTCGGCTCACTGCAACCTCCGCCTCCTGGGTTCAAGCGATTCTCCTGCCCCAGCCTCCCCAGTAGCTGGGATTACAGGTGCGCGCTTCCATGCCCAGCTAATTTTTGCATTTTTAGTAGAGACGGGGTTTCACCATGTTGGTCAGGCTGGTCTCGAACTTCTGACCTCGTGATCCGCCCGCCCCGGTCTCCCAAAGTGCTGGGATTACAGGTGTGAGCCACCGCGCCCGGCTATAATAATTATTATAAAATTCAAATCTTAAGGCCGCACATGGTGGCTCACGCCTGTAATCCCAGCACTTTGGGAAGCGGAGGTGGGCCGCTCACCTGAGATCAGGAGTTCGAGTCCAGCCTGGCCAACATGGTGAAACCCCGTCTCTAATAAACACAAAAATTAGCCAAGCATGGTGCCGGACGCCTGTAGTCCCTGTTACTGGGGAGGCTGAGGCAGGAGAATCGCTTGAATCTGGGAGGCGGAGGTTGCGGTGAGCCGAGATCGCGCCACGGCACTCCAGCCTCGACAACAGAGCAAAACTCCGTCCCAATAAATAAATAAATAAATAAAATAAAAATCTTAAGGGTCTAGTCACAACAGTTCAAAAGTCTCCAAAGGGAGACTCTCACCTTCAAGCTTGTAAGTAATACTAAAGTTCTAGATTTGCTGGAAGTTATCTCCTTCAATGGATTACAGCACATGATCTAGCAATAATAACGTACCTTGTCACCACATCGAATGATTTTGAACACTTCCCATCAATCGACTACCGACTAACAAAAAGAAGGACTTGATTCCCGGCAATTTTTTCTCTTCTGAACTGAGCATTCCCGAAATCCAGCTTGCTGAACGCGCAGATGCAGGGTGAGAGGCACCCCAGGAAAAATGGAAGGGAAAGTGGTACAAGTTAAAACAGTCTTCGTGGCCGCAGAGACGATCGCTACCTCGGCCATGGCAGATCTGGGGGTCCGGGGCGGGGGTTCTTCCCTGATACCCACCGGGCACGCGAGTTCACGCCAGCGACAGTGGAAAGCCCTCCCCTCGCAGCGCGCTCCGCCACTAGCCGCACCCCGCCGAGCTCTGACCTCCGAAGAGGGTCCCTGTGGCGATCCCGCCCCTTCGTCTGATGTTTGTGCCTTTGATTGGCTCTTAGGTGGATCCCTCAGCGTGGCTTGCCCAATGGAGCAATGCCGGCTGGTGGCCTGGCCGCTCCGCCCCTTCCCTACCCCTCGCGGAGGGCCCGCCCCCTGCCCCGCGCCGGCTAGCGGAGGAGAGTAAATACAACAGGAGCGCAAAATGGCGGAACCGCCGAGCCCCGTGCACTGTGTCGCTGCCGCGGCCCCCACCGCCACCGTCTCGGAGAAAGAACCGTTTGGCAAGCTGCAACTCTCCTCCCGGGACCCTCCGGGTTCTCTGTCCGCCAAGAAGGTCCGGACTGAGGAGAAGAAGGCACCGCGGAGAGTGAACGGAGAAGGGGGCAGCGGCGGGAACAGCAGGCAGCTGCAGCCGCCGGCAGCACCTTCGCCTCAGAGCTATGGCAGCCCCGCGTCTTGGAGCTTTGCCCCTCTGTCTGCTGCTCCCTCCCCGTCCTCTTCTCGGAGCAGTTTCTCTTTCTCCGCTGGCACGGCCGTTCCCTCCTCAGCCTCCGCTTCCTTGTCTCAGCCGGTGCCGCGCAAACTGCTGGTCCCTCCTACGCTGCTGCACGCTCAGCCTCACCATCTCCTCCTGCCCGCCGCCGCCGCCGCTGCCTCGGCTAACGCCAAGTCGCGCAGACCTAAGGAGAAGCGGGAGAAGGAGAGGAGGAGGCACGGTCTCGGTGGGGCCCGAGAGGCCGGCGGGGCCTCCCGGGAGGAGAACGGGGAGGTGAAGCCGCTGCCCCGAGGTGGGTGCCGTGCGGGGAGGGGGAGGGGAGGGCGCCGTGGGTCCCCGCCGCCCCCTGGCGCCCACGGGGCCCGGGAAGGGGGAGCGCGGCGGCCGCGTGCGCCGGCCTGGAGGGGCTGGGAGGCGTCCGGTTTTCAGCAGAGGATTTTGCAGTTCCCAAGGGGACAGGAAATGGAGCCTGTAATTTCGGTTGCAGAGAGGGGGATGGCCGACACTCTTATTTTCTGTATCGTTTCTTCCTCCCAGTTAGTGCGCTGCAGGATTTGTGAAAATCCATCTTGAGGACTCTCCTAGGTTTGTTTGGCTAGGGAGAGAGATGGAGGGAACGGGATGGGGGAAGGGTTTGGTTTTGTAAAAGATGCTTGATTGATTGTTAGACCACTTAGACGTGGTCGCGGGAATTCGTATTTGTGACACAGCGTTCAACCCCGGATAATCCTGTCAAAAAAGGGGTGTGGAGAGAGCACTGGCGTCAGCTGGAAGCTACCAGAGGCCTGAGCTTTTCATCCCTATTAGGGAAATGAGGTAGCGTGCAGGGCCCGAAGTGCGCTGTTTCGTAAGGTACCCTCCCTGCACCCTACTCTCCGCTGCGTATTCTTAAGTGTTTTGGGTGGTCCTGTTTGAAATACCACCCTTCTGAAAGAATTTTCAGCCATATTCTTTTTTTCCCTGCAGCAAATGATAAAACCAGGAGCTTTGACGATTTTTCGCCAGATCAAGCGGCTGCAGAATGTTTGAGCATTAGAAAAAGGCGAATTCTTAAGGGTTCTTGTCAGACAGGGTCAGTTTTGTTTTTAAATGTAGGCTAGTCGTATAATTTTTCAGGTGTTTCCACCACTTCAGCTACGGATACACAATGATCTGACAATAGTGCAACATACGGACTAGTTGAAAATCAAATCTTTATGTGATCGCAAGCTTAAAGCGCATAATCTTTATTATAAATGTGCACTGCTACACAGTGTTGTCAAATAACTCTTTTTGTTTTTTAGAAAAAGAAATGTCAAGCAGTTTCAGCATTGCTGATCTAACAGTAGCTCAGATCATGAAAAATTCTGTTTGGATTATAATGGTTTGTTTTCACAACTTAAAACATGCTGCATGTGCATGTAGCAATAGTGTCACTTCTTCCTTGATATTTTTTGCCTGTAGCAAAGCTTTAACATCTAAGCATAGCCATCAGGGACTCTGGTGCAATGTAAATATCTTTCAGCTTCTGGGAGTGTTGTTTCTAGGAAAGTGGTTTTGAGGATGGGATTTTGGTACTTTTAGTCAGGAATTCCAGGTGATTAGTATTTTAAAGCTATTTTGTTTTAACAATTTATATGTAAAATTTAGGAGATAAGTGCCTGGAAGTTTGTCCATATGCAGCTTGGTATCATCACTAGTGTTTGTGGTGTGTAAACTGCACATTTGCTGTAAGTTCTCTGAAAGAGGAAGTGAATATGAGTATTACATAGTTGGAGTAATGGAATATTTGAGAAGAAATAAGTAAGCATTCTTTAACAATTCTAACTTAAAATGTGGAGTACACAAATGGTCCTTAAAGTGAAATGGCTGTTAAAGAGGAATTTTTATAGTCTTTTCAATTACATTTAGAATCCTTCTTCTTTTGAGGGTTAACACTAATATTATTAATCCTGAATATAAACAGTGATAGGTTTTACATTAAGATGTGGGAATGATCTTTTCCCATGACCTATGTGGGTTTTTTGGAGTAGTGACAAGATATTAACACTACTGTAAGATTTTCATTTTTTCAGACACAAATGCTATCTTGTTGAGGAAAAACTATCAGAGAAAAAGATTCCTTTCCAGTGTCTTGGTGGTAAATTTAATGGTGAAAATTTTTCCCTCGTAACTTGGGGAATACTTATATCTTTCTAAAGTTTGGATTTAACTGAATTGATGTTCTGTTTTAACGAATTAAGAAGATTCTTAAATAGCGGTATTAACAAGTGGTATAGCAAGAATACATATATGCCTTTATTATAGATATAATTGCAAATATGAAAGTCCTGATTTGCAATACAATGATCATTTCTCTGTGCTTTTTGTAAAAATCTTAGTGAATGGGTGACCAAGTGTTTGTTTAGGTATATACCTCTTTTTAGTGTTGCCCTAAGTTGGCTGTGCATGGTTCAGTAACCCCTCAATTATCCACAGCTGGCTGATTGAACAGTCTGAGTCAGAACCAGACATTAGCTATAAAGACACCTAAACAAGGAAGAGATTCTCCCTCAACAAAACAAAACTGAACCACACACACTCGAAAGACCTAGCCTGCACCCCAATTTGATTAAACAATTAAGCTCCTGTATTTATTAATAGTAGGGCTTTTAAAAAGTCCTAAGTCAGAACTGCTTTATTTTTACATTGGTGACCATTCTAACAGAACGTATTTGGGTTAAATGAAAGCATGTATAAGAAAGGGCCTAGCAGGGTATTTAGTAAATGTTATTTGAGTCTGAAGCATAGTTATTAATTTTTTAACCCTATAACTAATTGAAAGATGGGTGAATGCTGATAGAGGAAGGATCATTGACAGATATGAAAGTTAAGAATGCTGAACAAGAGAATTATGAAAGTATACTAATATGGCCCCATTTAGTACCAGGGCCTGATGCCTCACAATCTCTAAGGCCATCTAATCATAGTACTGTAGCTGACTTGCGTGATAGCTTGACTCACCAAGTAAAAGTTAAATTTCTTATAAGAAGGAAAAGTGCAAAACAGTTTAGATTTTTTTTTTTTTTTTGGAAACAGAGTCTCGCTCTTGTTGGCCAGGTTGGAGTGCAGTGGCGCGATCTCGGCTCGCTGCAACCTCCGCCTCCCGGGTTCAAGCAATTCTCCTGCCTCAGCCTCCCGAGTGGCTGGAATTATAGGCACTCGCCAACACGCCTGGCTAATTTTTGTATTTTTAGTAGAGAGGGGGTTTCACCATGTTGGCCAGGCTGGTCTCAAACTCCTGACCTTGTGATCTGCCTGCCTTGGCCTCCCAAAGTGCTGAGATTACAGGCGTGAGCCACCGTGCCTGGCCAACATTTTAGATTTTTAAAACCAGAAAATAACCTGATTTTAGTGCTTACGGAGGTAATTTACTGGAGAGTTAATCAATATTCCTGTAAGACTGAATAAATTGTAGAATTGGTAAGTGTGGAAAGTAAAAGTGGACATATACCAAGGGTATCCAAAATTTAGAATTATTTTATGGCAAACCACAACAAATATTTCATTAGCTGTCAGTGTGCCTTCACTGACTCCAGTAACCAGCAAAATTTGTATAGATCTTCTAACTTTTGTTAGTACTTTTGCTTTGTATTTGTTAACTTACTTTTTTCCTTAAAATGACCCTGTGAAGTATTTCAAGACAAAACCAGAGCATTTCACTGAATTTTTGCCTTGAAAGTGTAGTTGCAGGATTTAACTCTAATGAAAATAGCAGCTTTTCTTAGAATCAAATAATTTGAGGTATATAAATGTGAGTGATGTCAAAGGGATGGGTGTCTGAAGATTTTTCTAACTACACTCTCCTCCAGTATTGTTACTGTACAATTTTAGGTTAAATTCATATTCAGAGTTTTTATCATATGACTAAATATTTGTCTCTGCTGAGGGAATAATTTACTATGATTTTATTTTCTTGTGTAACCTTTTGTTTTTCATGTCTCATTTTTTTCATTTGCTTAGTTTTCTCTGGCAGAGTCTTTCTGTACCCTCCAGTAGCTCCATAAAATGCTTCTCAGTACAATTTTCCACATGGGCAAATCTGTCAGATAAACTTACCCATTCCATTTGTTCCTGTAGACATCCCTTCTGGGGCCGGGCGCGGTGGCTCACGCCTGTAATCCCAGCACTTCGGGAGGCTGAAGCTGGCGAATCGCCTGAGCTCAGGAGTTCAACACTAGCCTGGGCAACACGGTGAAACCCCATCTCTACTAAAAATACAAAAAATTAGCCGGGTGTGGCGGCACGCACCTATAGTCTCAGCTACCTGGGAGGCTGAGGC
This sequence comes from Homo sapiens, assembly GCF_000001405.40. Lineage (NCBI taxonomy): Eukaryota > Metazoa > Chordata > Mammalia > Primates > Hominidae > Homo > Homo sapiens. The sequence goes on from NC_000007.14 coordinate 77,701,064, forward strand.
ATCGCTTGAACCCAGGAGGCGGAGGTTACAGTAAGCTGAGATGGCGTCACTGTACTCCAGCCTGGGCGACAGAGCAAGACTCTGGCTCAAAAAAAAAAAAAAAAAAACAACAACAACAACAACAACAAAAAAAAACGACATCCCTTCTGTAGCTGTCCTTACTGCTTTAGCCTGGGTTGTTTCCTCTTTAGGCCTGCTGCATAGCTGTCACCTTGGGACTTTCCTTAGTTGACATTCTGGGAATTTCTTTAACTTTTGTTGAATTTTATTTTTCCGGATCTCATGCCTTCCTTTTGGTTTCTTCCTTCATTTTGGATTTTCATTTTGGATTTCATTTTTATCCTTTTACTTGACTGGCAGTTAAGAGATTTCTGCATTGGAAATAATTTTCCCTCAAAAGTTTGAAGGTGGTGTTCCCTTATTGCCTGGTTCCCAAAGTAGATGTTAAGACGTCTGATCTCCAAAAAGTTGTCTATTCTACTATCTGGGGAATGTCAATCCTTTCACTGAATTTTATAATTTATATATTTTTTTCTTTGGTGTTTTTCTTCACATCTCACTCTTCCTTCTGAACTTTCACTGAATTTTACTTTTTTTTTTTTTTTTGAGATGGAGTCTTGCTCTGTTGCCTAGGCTGGAGTGCAGTGGCATGATCTTGGCTCACTGCAGTCTCTGCCTCCTGGGTTCAAGCAATTCTCCTGCCTCAGCCTCCCAAGTAGCTGGTATTACAGGTGTGCGCCACCACGCCCAGCTAATTTTTTGTATTTTTAGTAGAGATGGGGTTCCTCCATGTTGGCCGGGATGGTCTGGAACTCCTGGCCTCAGATGGTCTGTCTGCCTTGGCCTCCCAAAGTGCTGGGGTTATAGGCGTGAGCCACCGTGGCTGGCCTTGACTGAATTTTAAAGTTTTAGCTTTTGTTTTTTTGAGACGGTCTTGTACTGTCGCCCAGGCTGGAGTGCAATGCAGTTTTGGCTCCCTGCAACCTCTGCCTCCCAGGTTCGCATGATTCTCCTGCCTCAGCCTCCTGAGTAGCTGGGACTACAGGCGCACACCACCACACCCAGCTAATTTTTTGTATTTTTGAGTAGAGATAGGGTTTCACTGTGTTGGCCAGGCTGGTCTCCAACTCCTGACCTCATGATCCACCCGCCTTGGCCTCCCAAAGTGCTGGTATTACAGGTGTGAGCCACTGCGCCTGGAAAAGTTTAAGCCTTTAATAAGAATTTTTAAGAGCTCCTGTCCTTTGTTTCAGTATTATAGTATTTTGTTCCTTTTTCATGGGTGCAACGTTTTCTGTTTCCTCTTCAAGGATATTAATTACAGCTTCTTTGAGGTGTTCTTCTGTTCTCCCTATTATTTTTGGTTTTTCTTACTTATTTCTGTTTGTTTTGGTTGCTTTCTTTTAGTTGGAGGTTTTGTTCAGATCTTTGTGATCATGAGCAAGGTTAATGACTAATGGACTGCTGTGTTTTTAATCTTCATTTCTTTTCTCTGGGTGGTGGGCAAGAAGGCTTTCAGTTTCTTCAGATAGATGTCCTTTAATTTTCCTGTCTCTTTGTGGGTGGAATGATGGAGAGAGGAGGGGTGTCTTAGTCACTCGGGCTGCTATAATAAAATACCATAGAATGGGTGACTTAACAGAAATTAATTTTTTTATAATTCTGGTGGCTGGAAGCGTGAGGTCAGCATGCCATCATGGCCAGGTTCTGGTAAGGGCTCTTTTCCTGGTCTGTAGGTGACTGCCTTCTTCCTGTGTGCTCACATGACTTTTCCTATAATGGAAAGAAAAATCTCTTCCTTTTCTCTTTATAAAGCTACCAATTTTATTGGATTGGGACTGTGCCCTTTGACCTCATTTAATCTTAGTTACCTCCGAAAAGCCTTATTTTCAGATACAGTCACATTGGGCATTAAGGCTTCAACATATGGATTTTGGGGAGGCATGATTCAGTCCATAGTGAAGGGCTTGGCAGAGGTAATGAGTTTGTATGACAGGGTTCTAGCGCTTCATGGGGGAAGAAAGCTACAAGTCTTGTCATTCATTTCATAAGTTTTTACCTAGTCTCCCTGTTTTCATACCAGCATTTCACTTCTCTTTTCTGTGAGGGATACCCCTCATCTTGGAGCCACTCTGATTCAGTTTTACTGAGGACCATACCTCTTGTTTCCTTAGGAGTGTGTGTTTGTGGGTATTCTGCCCTATTTCCTAGCGCCCTCTGATTTCTGAGCTTTTCTGGGGTATTGCAGGATAAAGAGGATTGTTTGTCATTATCTCTCCCATTATGCTAAGGCATTTACCATTCTACCATCAGCTTTTTGTCTTTATACATTGTATTTCAGGTAATAGTTACAGTATCTCCTAGTTATGTCAGACGTGGAGTGTGTGTGTGTCTCTTTTTTCCTACTGTTTGGGTTTTTTTTTTTTTTTTTTTTTTTTTTTTTTGAGAAGGACTCTCACTATTTCACCCAGGCTGGAGTGCAGTGGCACAATCTTGCTCATTGCAACCTCTGCCTCCCAAGTTCAAGCGATTCTCCTGCCTCAGCCTCCCAAGTAGCTGGAACTACAGGTGCCCACCAACATGCCCAGCTAATTTTTGTATTTTTGTAGAGAAGGGGTTTCACTATGTTGGCCAGGCTGGTCTCGAACTCCTAACCTCAGGTGATCTGCCTGCCTCGGCCTCCCAAAGTGCTAGGATTACAGGCGTGAGCCACCGCGCTCGGCCTATTTGGGTATATTTTTAAGAGACAGGAATCTTGCTCTGTTGCCCAGGTTGGAATGCAGTGGCACAATCATAGCTCAATGTAACCTTGAACTCCTGAGCCCAAAGGATTCTCCTGCTTCACCCTCCCCAGTAGCTAGGACTACAGGTGTGCAACCACGCCCCGATACACTTACTCTTTTTGAGCTGATATACATCCGTTATAAAGGGATGATATTTTCACAGGGTGATTGTTAGAATTATGTGAACATGGTATATTGTAGAACCTGGCATATTGTTAGGCATTCATAAGGGATGCTAGTTCCTGACCTTTCTTTCATACCTAACGCATTGGAGACATGTAGTTTCACTGAATTCACAAGTAAGTATAATTTGTCTAATTTTCTCATGGTGTCCTGGTTTCTGAGACCATCTGATATGTTAGAATGAACAATACTAACTTTTTGAAAGAAGTTTGTATTTCAGAAGTTTTAAGTTGATTATAATAAATCTCATTAATTTTTCACCAATCTCAAATGAATTAAACTTTTCAAGTAATGGATAAACTACCTAAAATAGGATATTGAAAAATAATGATAAACTTAAAACTTCAAAACATTTTTATTTTTGAGTATACATTAAACTTTATGTTGTATGTTTTATTTTTTCTTGAATTACAGATTGAAAAGTTTAACTTTTTAATCATAAGATTTTAAATTAATACAAAAGAAACCAGTATACATTGAATTCTGGGTGTACCCATTATGCTACTTCAACAGTTTTTTTCACCTCCGCTCCTCCATTAATTTATTTATTTTTGGCTCTAGCATTTTAAAGCATATTCCAGACATAAATAATTTCATTAAGAAACAATTAGAGCTGATTTTTTTTTCCCATTAAGTAACTAATAGTGCTTATAAAGTTTAAATTGTGGCCAGGCGTGGTGGCTCATGCCTGTAAACCCAGCACTTTGGGAGGCTGAGGTGGGTGGATCACCTGGGGTCAAGGAGTTCGAGACTAGCCTGGCCAACATGGTAAAACCCTGTCTCTACCAAAAATACAAAAATTAGGTGTGTCGGGCGCCTGTTATCCCAGCTACTTGGGAGGCTGAGGCAGGAGAATCACTTGAACCTGGGAGGTGGAGGTTGCAGTGAGCCAAGATGGCACCATTGCACTTGACCCTGGGCGACAGGCAACAAGAGTGAAACTGTCTCAAAAAAAAAAAAGTTGTGTGTGTGTGTGTAAATGTATAAATATAAGAGTGAGATTCTTCCTCTACCCCAAACTATCATTAATTGATGTATCTCCAATATCTTAACCCCCATACTATCATTAATTTGGTATATTGCCAGTCTAGATTCGCTTTTATATTTTCCAGATTAGCTCTTGTTAAAAAATTATTTTTAAAAATTGTGATAAAATACATGTACCTTGACTTTTTAATATGACATTGACTTTTTGAAGATACCAGTCCAGCATACCTGTTATCATGCAGATTTTCCTGTATTCATAATTTTTAAAATAATTGTCTTATTGTGGTGATATTTACTTTGTATTTCATGTAAATTGAAAGTTAACTATAAAGACTTGATTAAATTCGAGTTAAACAATTTTGGTGAGAGTGTTTCCTAGGTACTCATATTACGTTTGGATCAGGAGGCATACAGTCTTTAGATTGTCCCATTATTAATGATGCTAAATTTGATTACTTGATTGAGGTGACCACTAGGTCTCTCCATTGTAATGGTTTTTTTTTTTTTTTTTTTGTGATGGAGTCTTGCTCTGTTGCCCAGGCTGGAGTGCAGTGGCTCAATCTCGGCTCACTGCAGCCTCTGCCTCCCGGGTTCCAGTGATTCTCCTGTCTCAGCCTCCTGGGTAGCTGGGATTACGGGCGCATGCCACCATGCCCAGCTAATTTTTGTATTTTTAGTAGAGACAGGGTTTCACCATGTTGACCAGGCTGGTCTTGAACTCCTGACCTCAGGTGTTCTGCCTGCCTCGGTCTCACGATTACAGGCATGAGCCACCACGCCTGGCCTGTAATGGTTCATTTTTATATTTGCATTTAGCTTGTAATCTGTGGGGTGATGCTTTGTGAATATCCAATTCCCTAATTGTCTTTTACTTAATAACATTTTCTTTTTTGTTTTTTTCTGAGATGAAGTCTCACTTTGTCGCCAAGGCTGGAGTGCTGTGATGTGATCTTGGTTCACTGTAACCTCCACCTCCCAGGTTCAAGCGATTCCTGCCTCAGCCTCCCAAGTAGCTGGGATTACAGGTGCCTGCCACCATGCCCGCCTAACTTTTTTATTTAATGTTTTTTTTTTTTTGAGACGGAATCTTGCTTTTGTCGCCCATGGTGGAGTGCAATGGTGCGATCTTGATTCACTGCAACCTCCGCCCCCCAGGTTCAAGCGATTCTCCTGCCTCGGCCTCCTGAGTACCTGGGATTACAGACGCCTGCCACTACGTTGGGCTAATTTTTTGTATTTTTAGTAGAGATGGGGTTTCACCATGTTGTCCAGGCTGGTTTCGAGCTCCTGACCTCATGATCTGCCTGCCTTGGCCTCCCAAAGCTCTGGGATTACAGGCCTGAGCCACCGCGCCCAGCAACTTTTGTATTTTTAATAGAAACAGGGTTTTACCATGTTGGCCAGACTGGTCTCCCAACTCCTGACCTCAAGTGATCTGCCTGCCTCGACCTCCCAAAGTGCTGAGATTACAGGTGTGAACCACTAGGCCTGGCCTTAATGGTATTATATTGTTAATTATCCCAGCCTAACCATTTCATTGGGGGTTAAAGAATGATGCCAAATGATTTCTAAATATAAAATGAATTATTCTGGGGGGTGGGAAATTCAGTATAAATTGCTCCTCCTATGTCTAGTTTAAAATTTGGCAATCTATTTTGATTTCAGATACCAGAGTAAATACTGTAAGTTTATTGTTACCTGTATGGTCAGAATCTTTTGGTAAACTCTTTTATTGAATTCTTAATTCACCATAGTTTGAATTTTGGAAGGCCACTTGCACAGTGCTTGTAGATAAAGATTGATTGTAGTAGGGCAATTACAGTTGGTAATCTATTACAATATTGGCAACATGGCCAAAAATAAAAAAGCCCTGCCAGTTTTTAAATATAGCAAATATATATTAATGATACTGTGTATAATTTAGAATTATAATCTCTATTCCATAATGTCCTCTCTTGGCTAATGTAAATTAACTGTATACCCGTATGAATTCCCATTAAACTAGATTTTTTTTTTTTTTTTTTTGAAACAGAGTCTCACTCTGTCACCCAGGCTGGAGTGCAGTGGCGCGATCTTGGCTCATTGCGACCTCTGCCTCCCAGGTTCAAGTGATTCTCATGCCTCAGCCACCCAAGTAGCTGGACTTACAGTTGTGTGCCACCACGCCCAGCTAATTTTTGTATTTTTAGTAGAGACAGGGTTCCACCATGTTGACCAGACTGGTCTTGAATGCCCGACCTCAAGTGATCCATCTGCCTTGGCTTCCCAAAGTGCTGGGATTATAGGCTTGAGCAACCGTGTCTGGCCTTGAACTAGATTTTATAAAGTCCTTCAGAGCAGGTATTGTTTTAGTGATCATTTATGACCTTTCCTTTACTCTCAATGATTAATCTGAAGAAAAAATATATAATACCTTTTTATTAAGAAATTAATTTTATCAGCCATCTTTGCATTGCATATTTAAGTAGCTACTTTTGTTAGCTTTTTTTATAGAAGAGTATATATTTCCTGTAGATATTTAACTCAGAGCCACTTTCACTGGTTTGTCATTGGAGCAATGTATAGAAAGCAGATGTCCTGGGATAATATTCTGGTTGAATTAGTGATGAATTTTATATCTTAAAGGAGTAAATGTTCACTATTACTCAATTTTCTCATTTGATAATAATGAAAGTACCAAAATTTGTAAACTTTGTCAAGCACTTCTTTCTTTTTTTAAATTATAGATGACTGGCATCTATATCAAGCACTTTCGAGATAGGTCATAAGCTTATGCAGTGAGTACTTGGGTGCACCATGAGCTGGGATATGAGCTCTTTGAGGACAGAAACAATAATAATAATAGCTAAAATGTATAGACCTGTACTCAGCACTTTACATATACTGTGGTTTTATATAATTTTCACAAGTCCTTTAAAGTTTAATTAGATATTAGCCTTTCATAAATACTGTATGGAAGTTCAGAAAATTTAAATATAAAATAAGTTGTAAATCTAGGTTTCAGATCTTTAGATAGTCTGATTTCAGAGCCCCAGTTCTCAAATACCTTGCAAACTTTGTTAAATTTGTTTTTAAGTCACCTTCATCCAGAATCGTACTTTGCGTTGTGAGACTACCAAATGAATGAACTGGGTTTTGGAGGAAGAGTAGAATTTAGGTAAATGGAGATGATGGAGACAGGCTTGTTTGGGGTAGGGGGTGGGATGGTGTGAATAAGATTGTAGAGGCAGGAGGGTGCGTGGTGTGTTCGGTGGTGTGTGAAGAGAACCACTGGCTAAGATTGATGCTTTTGTACGGAATTGGAAGTTAAGATGGCATGGCAGTTGAAAGTTGGCCACAGTGTGCCTTCCTTTTGCCAGGATGAGACTATTTTTTTTTTTTTTTGAGATAAGTCTCGCTCTGTCACCCAGGCTGGAGTGCAGTGGCATGATCTCGGCTCACTGCAAGCTCCGCCTCCTGGGTTCATGCCATTCTCCTGCCTCAGCCTCCGGAGTAGCTGGGACTACAGGCGTCCGCCACCGCGCCTGGCTCATTTTTTTGTATTTTTAGTAGAGACGGGGTTTCACGGTGTTAGCCAGGATGGTCTCGATCTCCTGACCTTGTGATCCACCCGCCTCGACCTTCCAAAGTGCTGGGATTACAGGCGTGAGCCACCGCGCCCAGCCGAGTTCAGACTATTTTGTGGGCAACAGCAAGACATGGTTTTTTAGGAGGGTGATAATATATTCAAATTGGTATTTTAGCAGTCATAACTTTGGCATTGTGTAGGATGGATTGGCTGAGGGAAGAATTGGAGACAGATATTGAAGACTACTGTATTAGTTAAATGAAGTGATTTTACTGATAAAATGATTGGTATACTTGGACATGGCAAGGAAAACCTAGAGAGAAATATATGATAAAGCATCTTGATTATTGAATATGTAGCAAGAAAGAAGGATTCATAGATATTTTCATGGCTTCAGATGAAGAGAATAAGCATATCACTGAAGAATTGAGAGTTGGCCCACAGAACTGAGTTTGAAATGTAGGCAGGTACCTTATATTAGAGTTTTGTTATCAGATAGAACTCAAAATTAGTGGTGAGTCAGTGGTAAGGGTTAAAAATAACTGCTCGACATAGAAGGGATTCTGTTTGTGTGTGTGTGTGTGTGTGTGTGTGTGTGTGTGTGTGTGTGTGTATGTATGTGTATGTGTATGTGTGTCTGCCTGCCTGTGTGGAGGGGACCCTTTTAGAACTCTCCTTACAGTGGCAGATAGCAGTAGTTATTTTTTTCTTTTCTTTTTTTTTGAGACAGAGTCTTCCTGTGTCACCCAGGCTGGAGTGCAGTGGCACAATCTTGGCTCACTGCAACCGCCACCTCCTGGGTTCAAGTGATTCTCCTGCCTCAGCCTCCCAATTAGCTGGAATTACAGGCACCCACCACTACGCCTGGCTAATTTTTGTATTTTTAGTAGAGCTGGGGTTTCACCATAATGGCCAGGCTGGTCTCAAACTCCTGACCTCAGGTGATCCACCCACCTTGGCCTCCCAAAGTGCTGGGATTACAAGCGTGAGCCACCGTTCCCCACCAATAGTTACTTTTTTTTATGAGGAGCAAATAATCTAGAATCCTTCTTAGTTCCTAGGTAAGCAATTAACTGTTCAGAGTCTTCCAGCCCCACCCCCTAATTTTCCTTATTTGTCTTCTGCCACTAAGTTTCAGCATTTGGTTTGGTTTTGGGCCCTTTGTACTCTTCTTTCTGGCTTTTGCTAATTGCCCTGGTATTTTTCTAGTGTCCATTGTTAGCACTCCTCAAATTTTAACTTAGTCCATTTTTAAATCTATATAAATTGCCTCCTTGACATTTAATATGTCCTTAGATATTTTTTAAACTGTAAAATTAACGTGTTCAAAACTTTTAGTCTTCTTTATCCAGATTTGTCTTGCTATGTATGTTCCTTGTCTCAGTACCATATACCTAGTGGCTCCGTCTTGGAAACTGGATTTGTACCCTCTGCTCTCATTGAACTTGTGGCCAAATCTTGTTACCACTCACTGTCTTTCATATCTTTCCACTTTTGCTCTGTCTTTTCTACTAGTTTTAGTTCAAATTACCATTATCTCTTGCCAGGATTATTGCACAGTTGCCTCCTTAGTGGGCTCCCTATTTCAGATCCATGTGCTTTCACTTCATTCTTCATGCTATATAGTCAGAGTGATAACCAGATATCTAAATGCATATAGTCTACAGACATACCACCCTGAACCCTGTATCTCATCTAAATGCATGTCTAATCATCTCACTTTTCTGTTTATGGGATGAAGTTCAGATTCCTTGAAATGTCTTCCACAGCTCTGGATGATCATATTCTTGTTTTGTTCTTCAGGTTCTCCTCAGTGCTCCTCGCCGCCTAGAACTTTCTCTACCCGTTTTCTTTCCATCCCCAGCTCCACACTTTTACTACACCTAGCTAATGTCTGCTCATCTCTCTAGGTCTCAACTTGAGAGGGAGGCCTGTGCTCCTCTATGACTAGGTTAGGTTCCCTTCACTTTGTTCTTCTCTTATCCTGACTTTCTTTGCTTCATTTTCTTGTTTGTTTTTTGTTTTTTTTGAGATAGAGTCTCGCTCTGTTGCTCAGGTTGGAGTGTAGTGGCGCGATCTTGGCTCACCGTAAACTCTGCCTCCTGGATTCAGGTGATTCTCCTGCCTCAGCCTCCCGAGTAGCTGGGATTACAGGCGCCTGCCATCATGCCTGGCTAATTTTTGTATTTTTAGTAGAGATGGAGTTCCACCATGTTGGCCTGGTTGGTCTCAAACTCCTGACCTCAAGTGATACGCCCGCCTCAGCCTCCCAAAGTGCTATACAGGCTTAAGCCACCGTGCCCAGCCTTCTTTCCTTCATTTTAGTAACTCGTTTGTCATCTTTGCTAGACTGCAAGTTCTGTGAAAGCTGGGTCTGTGATTATCTTCTTTTGGATCAGACCTTCAACTTCTGGATACATATTTGGGAACTGAATGACTTGCAGTATATTTCAGCCCTTTTTGCCTGCTCAGAAGAGATGCCCGATTATCATTTAGAAAAACAATTGGCTGGTATTTCAAACTGAAAACAGCAGAAGGGTGATAATGGGATAAGAAGTTGACCAGCAGCTCATAGACAACAGGCAAATTGTCAAGTGGAAAGGAAATAAACTGTGGGTAAATAATAACCAAATTATATTTGACAAATTGAGTTATCAGAATTGCCATTTTGTATACTCTAACTGCACATAGTTGAAACTTAGCACTACATTGTATAAAAAAGATATTTTGCATATTAATTTTTTTTTTTTTTTTTTTTTACCATTTTTATTCTTTGGCACATAGTCTTGCTGTCACCCAGGCCGGAGTGCAGTGGCTTGATTATAGCCCACTGTAACGTCGAACTCCTGGGCTCATGCGGTCCCCTTGCCCCAGCCTCCTGAGTAGCTAGGACTACAGGTGAGCACCACTACACCTGGCTGATTTAAAAAAAGTTTTTCATAGATATGGCTTCTTGCTGTGTTGCTCAGGCTGGTCTTGAACTCCTGCGTTCCGGCAATCCTCCTGTCTTAGCCTCTGAAAGTACTAGGATTACAAGTGTGAGCCAAAGTGCCCAGCCTGTATTGTTAAAGCTGTGTTAACCAACAACAGTTTGGGAATGAATAAATAGAAGTAAAGGAGGGAATACTTTTTCTTATTTTAGAATAGTGGCATTTTGAGTAATTGTTCTGTGTTCAGAAGTAACCATGTTTAAGTACAGTGTAAATTTTTAGTAAAATTTTACCTGTTGTGCATATTTCCATATATATAGAATTATGAGTGAAAACATACATGTTGTGTAATATACAATGGAAAAACCATAGGACTGAGAATCAGGAGGCCTTAGGAGCAAATTCTTGCCCTACCACCCATTTGTGATCTGAAGGAAAGGAGTAAAACCTGTGTGAGGGTAAGGGTCTTCATCTGTAAAATAAGAGGTTTGAACCAAATACTGAAAGTTCTTTGTAAGCTCGTTTGACATTTTATAATTGTATGTTTTTTTTGTAATCATAATAAAAATTGCCTAATTAAATTTTCTAATTATAATAATATATGTTCATTGTAAAAATAATTCAAATTTTAGGAAGAAAAGCATCTGAAATACTGTTGTTTTAATGATTACATTTTCACTTAGTGTATTATTTTCACTTAGTATATACATGTATATAATTTTTTATGCATATGCTTTTTTATATGTGTACAAATCTTATATATACATACATGATTTTTTTTTTTTTGAGACGGAGTTTCGCTCTGTTATCCAGGCTGGAGTGCAGTGGTGCAGTCTCGGCTCACTGCAACCTCCACTCCAGGTTCAAGCCATTTTCCTGCCTCTGCCTCCTGAGTAGCTGGAATTATAGACACGTGCCATCATGACTGGCTAATTTTTGTATATTTGTGGAGACGGGTTTCACGATGTTGGCCAGGCTGGTCTTAAACTCCTGACCTCAGGTGATCCACCCTCCTCAGCCTCCCAAAGTCCTGAGATTACAGGCGTGAGCCACTGTGCCTGGCCACATATGTGATTTTTTAATGCACACAACATTGTTTATGTGTTCTGCAACCTGCTTTTTTCATTTAGCAGTATATTAGAAATACTGTTCCATGTCAATATGTGTAGAACTATATTATCAATTTTAATTGCTTACCTAGTATTCATGTTTGCATTATATGTATAAACCATAATATATTTAACTGATACTGTATTGTGGGACATTAGATTCTTTTTTCTGTTGTAAATGATGCTAAAATAAAACAATGTGTAGGCGTTTATTCACTTAAAACTTAGGATAAAGTTCTAAAAGTTGAATTATAGGGGGTAAGGGGAAAGTTAAAGATACATACACTTTAAATTTTGATAAATAATGCTTTCGTGAAAGATAAACAATTTGCTGTCTCACTTGCATTATATATGAGACTGTCCATTTTTTACATTCTTTCCAATGCTAAGTTTTCTCAGATTTCAAAATCTTCCATGTTTTGATTGTTGAAGATTTTATTATTTGCATTTATTAATGATTAAGATTAAACATTTTTTCACATTTCACTTATATGTTCATGTGCTTTGCCAAGTCTAAGGGACTTATCCTTTTCTTTTTTTAAAAATTGATTTGTGAAACTTTGTATATTAGAATATTAGCCCTTTACTGTTGCAATTTTTTTCTCTCTAAACTATCATTAGTTCATAAACATTATTTAAGGGGGTGTACTTGGTCTTTCATACAGAAGTTTTCTGTTTTTATGTACTCAAATTCATCAGTAATTTAATTTTTTGGCTTTTATTTCTCTCTCTTCCTTTTTTTTTTTCCTTTGAGACAGAGTCTCACTCTGTCGCCCAGGCTGGAGTGCAGTGGTGTGATATCAGCTCACTGCAAGCTCCACCTCCCAGGTTCACGCCATTCTCCTACCTCAGCCTCCCGAGTAGCTGGGACTACAGGCGCCCGCCACCATGCCCGGCTAATTTTTTGTATTTTTAGTAGAGACGGGGTTTCACCATGTTAGCCAGGATGGTCTCGATCTCCTGACCTCATGATCCACCCACCTTGGCCTCCCAAAGTGCTGGGATTACAGGCGTGAGCCACCATGCCCGGCCTCTCTCTTCCTTTTTTTTTTTTTTAAAAATAGAGACACAGTCTTGCTGTGTTGCCCAGGCTGATCTCAAATTCCTGGCCTCAAGCAGTCCTCATGCCTTGGCCTCCTCCCTGTGTTGGAGTTATAGGTGTGAGCCACCTCGCCTGGCTCTTCTGGCTTTTATTTCTTAGAAAAGTTATTTCTACCTTTAGTTCATAACAATATTTTCTTAAATAGCCTATTGTTATTTTATATGACATTATTGATTAAAATCTTTGCTCTGTTTAGAATTTATTTAGACACAAAATTAGGAATCCAAATTAATTTTGTTCCAGTAATTAGTTGTTTTAACATCATTTATTGACTAGTCCTTCCTTTCCATAAAGATGTAGAATGCTAATGTTTATCATACTAAAATCACATGTGTAGTTGGGTCTGTTTTTAGATTTGCACTTTTTTACATTTACCTCTGTAAGTTTGTTTCTGCTCAACTAACACCCTCATTACTCTATCTTTAGGATAGATTTGATATCTATAGGGCAAAAATCCCGATATTCTTATTCAGAATTTTCCTGGCTTTTTGAAACATTATTGAATTATAATTTACATAAAATAGATTTGCCCTTTTTAGGTATATAGTTTTATGAGTTTTGATGAATAGTTGATAGCCACCAGTAGAGTAATGACATAGCAGATTTTTATCACCGCAGAAAGTTCTCTCTTGCTACTCAGTGCTCTCCCATCATCTCTAATCCAAGGGTGATCTGTTTTCTGTCTCAGTAGTTTTGCCTTTTTTAGAATGTCATATAAGTTGAATCATACACTAGCTTTTTCGGTCTAGCTTTTTTCACTTGTTATATTACTTTTGAGATCCATCAGTACAGTTGCATGAATCAGTTCATTTATTTTTATTTCTGAGTAGTAATTCCTTTTGTGGAGATAGCACAATTTGGTGCTACAAGTTGATGGACATTTGGGTTGTTTCTAGTATTTGAAGATTGTGGGTAAGCCTGCCCTAAACATTCACATAGAAATCTTGTAGTGGGTGGCCGGGCACGGTGGCTCACACCTGTAATCCCAGCACTTTGGGAGGCTGAGGCGGGCCGATCACGAGGTCAGGAGATTGAGACCATCCTGGCTAACACGGTGAAACCCCGTTTCTACTAAAAATACAAAAAAGTTAGCTGGGCATGGTGGCAGGCGCCTGTAGTCCCAGCTACTCGGGAGGCTGAGGCAGGAGAATGGCGTGAATCCGGGAGGCGGAGCTTGCAGTGAGCTGAGATGGCACTACTGCACTCCAGCCTGGGTGACAGAGACTCCATCTCAAAAAAAAAAAAAAAAAAAAATCTTGTAGTGGGCTGGATGTGGTGACTCATGCTTGTAATCCCAGTACTTTGGTAGGCTGATATGGGCAGGTCACCTGAGGTCAGGAGTTTAAGACCAGCCTGACCAGCATGGTGAAACCCTATCTCTACTAAAAATACAAAAATTAGTCAGGTGTGGTGGCATGTGCCTGTAATCCCAGCTACTTGGGAGGCTGAGACATGAGAATTGCTTGAACCTGGGAGGCAGAGGTTGCAGTTAGCTGAGATTGCACCACTGCAGTCCAACCTGCAACAGAGTAAGACTCTGTCTCAAAAAGAAAGAAAGATTAGAGTGGATGTATGTTTTCATTTTTCTTGGGTAAATACCTAGCAGTGGGATATTTTGTGTGTGTGACAGAGTCTCACTTTGTCGCCCAGGCTGGAGTGTAGTGGTGTGATCTCGGCTAGGTGATTCTTGTGCCTCAGCCTCCCAAGTAGCTGGGATTACAGATGCCCGCCACCACACTCGGGTAATTTTTTAAAAATTTTTAGTCAAGATGGGGGGCTCACCATGTTGGCCAGGAAGGTCTCGAACTCCTGGCCTCAAGTGATTCGCCTGCCGTAGCCTCTCAAAGTGCTAGAATTACAGGCACGACACTGTGCCTGGCCCTAGCAGTGGAATTGTTGGGCTGTTAAGTGTAAGTGGCCTGTTAAGTGTGTTTAAGTTCATAAGAAACTGCTGAACTGTTTTCCAAAGTGGTTGTATTTTTCATTTCTGCCAGCTCTGTTTTTTCCTTATTCAGACCTCCCCTCAAGAAAGAATCCTAACTTGATATTGCCAGTTTAAAAATCTTCAGCCATTCTAGTAGTTGCATAGTAGTAGTTCATTGTAGTTTTAATTTACATTACCCTAATGAATAGTGATGTTGAGCATCTTTTCATGTACTTATTTTCTATATATATCTCTTTGATGAGTTGTCTGTTCAAAGTGTCTGTTATTGGGTTGTTTTCTTATTATCAAATTGTGAAAGTTCTTTACATATTCTGGGTAGAACTCCTTTATCAGATACATGTTTTGCAAATGTTTTCTACCATTCTCTGTCTTTTCTTTCTCTTAATACTTTCACAGTTTTTCATAGCAGAAATTTATAAATTAATGAAGCCCACTTTATACTTTTATTTCTTTTATGGTTTGCATCTTTTGTTTCTTAACTTCGAAAGCTTTTCCTAACCCTAGATCACAGGATTTTCTCTTAGATTTCTCTAGGCATTTTATAGGTTTAGGTTTCACATTTAGGTCCGCAATGCATTTTGAAAACTTCCGTCTGTAAGGTTTGGGTCAAGATTCCCTTTGTCTTTTTCTTTGTTTTTTTTGTTTTGTTTTGTTTTTGTTTTTGTTTTTGACACCGTCTCTCACTTTTGTCACCCAGGCTGCAGGAGTGTGGTGGTGCGATCATGGCTCACTGCAGCCTTGAACTCTTGGGCTCAGATGATCCTCCCGCCTCAGCTGTCTGGCTCCTTTTTTTTTTTTTCACCATTTTTATTAACTTGAGAATTATTCTGTAAAGTTCTTCTACCCACTGTCACGCTCTAGATATTTTCATTAAATTTATTGATTAAACTAGGAGGAAATTATAGTCATGACAGAATTATCTTTGTACTTAAAAGCTGCATGTGTATCTTCATCTTTTTTTTTTTTTTTTTTTTTTTTTTAGACGGTGTCTTGCTCTGTCACCCAGGCTGGAGTGCAGTGGCTCAGTCTTGGCTCACTGCAGTCTCCGCCTCCTGTGTTCAAGCGATTGTCCTGCCTCAACCTCCCGAGTAGCTGGGATTACAGGCGTGCACCACCACGCCAGGCTATTTTTTGTATTTTTAGTAGAGACGGGGTTTCACCATGTTGACCAGGTGGTCTTGAACTCCTGACTTCAGGTGATCTGCTTGCCTTGGCCTCCCAAAGTGCTGAAATTACAGGCATGAGGCATGAGGCATGAGCCACTGTGCCTGGCCTATCTATTCTTACATTCTTTTTTTTTTTTCAAAGGAGACAGGGTCTTGCTCTGTTGCCCAGGCTGGAGTGCAGTGGCGTAATCATAGCTCATTGCAGTCTGGAACTGCTGGCCTTAAGCTATCTTCCCATCTTAGCCTCTTGAGTAGCTAGGACTACAGGTGAGCGACACCACTCCCAGCTGTTTTTTATTTTATTTTTTGTAGAGATAGTCTTGCCATGTTGCCTGGACTCAAGGAATCCTCTCTCCTTGACCTCCCAAAGTTGGGATTACAGGCGTCAGCCACTGTGCCTGGCCGTAGTCTTATATTATTTTATATCGTCTTAGAGATTTTTATTGGTATTTAATACAGATTGTAAGTTTTCTTCTAGTATTTTTATTTTTATGATGGGAGTTTTTCCTAGTATATTTTTGTGAGATTATTACTAGTATATAAAAAAGACTTTGGTTTTTCTACATATAATTGGTAATTGGATATATAATGTTATAACAGTGAGAAGCTATACAATTGTAATCAGAAACAGAATGAATTATAGTAAAATACTTTGTGGTACTTCAAGCATTGTTTTTGTCTTTGAAATCTGAGATTAGCAGAGATAAATATTTTTGGTTCTTAAATGCTGTGGCAAAGTGTTAAGAAAAATGGCAAAATCGATAAATACAATTTCTGCCTCCAAACAATGTAGCAGGATACTTATAATATATACTGCAGTAAGTTAAATACCATAAGTAGAAAGTTGTGGTGTGGAGTGAGGGCAGGCAGATACTAAGGCAGTTAAGAAAGGGACAAGGTCCCGGGTGTGGCTGCTCACACCTGTAATCTGAGCACTTTGGGAGGCTGAGGTGGGCGGATCACCTGAGGTCAGGAGTTCAAGACCAGCCTGGCCAACATGGTGAAACCCTGTCTCTACTAAAAAATATATAAATTAGCTGGGCGTGGTGCTGTGTGCCTGTAATCTCAGCTACTTGGGAGGCTGAGGCAGGAGAATCACTGGAACCTGGCAGGCGGAGGCTGCAGTGAGCCGAGATCGTGCTGCTGCACTCCAGTCGGGGCGACAGAGCGAGACTGTGTCTCAGAAAAGAAAGGGAGAAGAGATGTAGGAGAGGAGATATTTGAGAGAAACTTTGAAAGGGCAGTATGGTAGGATTTCAGCAAAGAGATAAAGGAGTTGTGGGGAGAGAGAACATTATATGAACTAATATTCATGGCAGCTAGATAGGAAAAGCGAGCTCTACAATGTCACAGAAGTTATGGGAGGAAATAATTTCAAGGCGTTTGATTGTGTTTATAGCTCTGACATTATATATTAAGCCTTTTTTCTTTTAGCCCTTCACTTCTTGATTTTAATATATCAGTGTATTTTGTTTTATGTTTTTTGAGACTGAGTCTCACTGTTGCCTAGGCTGGTAGGCACTGGTGCAATCACGGCTTCAACTTCTGGGCTCAGTTGATCCTCCCACCTCAGTCTCCTGAGTAACTGGGACTACAAGTGCACGACCACACCTGGCTAATTTTTTTGTATTTTTTATAGAGATGAGGTTTTATCATGTTTGCCAGGCTGGTCTCAAACTCCTGGGTTCAAGCAATCTGCCTGCCCCGGCCTCTCAAAGTGCTAGATTACAGGTGTGAGCCACCGCACCTGGCCCATCAGTGTATTTTGTAAGACAGTTTTCTACTTTAACATTTTTCTAGAGTCAGTGCATGTCTTGTATATACTTAAACAAAACAACTTTTTCATTATCTATAATAAGACTTTGTGAAGGCTGAATTATCTCTTAATGCATAACAAACTGCCCTAAAATTTTGTGGTTTGAAACAATAACCATTTTATTATATCAGATGATTTTGTGAATCACAAATTCTGGCATGATTGGCTGGGTGATTTCCTCTGCTTCACGCAGTGTTGACTGGAGTTGCTCATTGGTGTTGAGTTGGTGGCTGGTCTGGTATGGAAGGTCCAAGATGACTTTACTCACGTGCCTGTTGCTGTGTTATGTATGGCTAGATACTGAACTGAGTGAACCCTTCTCTTTCTCCAAGTTGTTTCAGGACCATTCCACATGGTCTGTTAATTAGGAAGTTGGATTTCTTACGTGGCAGCTCAGGACTCCAAGAGTCTTGACACCCAGCGACATAGGTGGAAACAGCAAGTCTTCTTATGACTTAGCTTTGGAAGTCTGAACCAATTTCTCACTGCACATACATTAGGGCACATAATGTATGTGTGTTTTGGAAAATTTCACTTGGAGCACATTCCAATTGAATTAAGATTGATAAAGCATCTGTAGGTGTGTATCTAATGATGTTAGCTAAATATACAACTTTTAAAAAATGTAGAACTTTAATTGGTTGTGTGAAAAAGTGTAACTAAGAGTATATAACAAGTACAACGAGAGTCTGGTTCCCATAGTTACATATGCCCACACATATTGTTATCATTAAGAACTATGTATATGATTTACCATTTGCATTACAGAGTATAATTTAAATTGTAATAAATAATGTAATTGTATAATGTGGACTTAGAGGTCTAAGAATGCCCCAGGTTGTATATATGTGAAACAATCACGTTTGATATAGTAGCTATAGACACACGATTCAGTGATTTAAAGTGATTTAATTCTGTAACCAGATACCACCTACAATATCTTAGTACTTCATATCTTGGTTTTATAATATGTTGAGAACAGACGAAATGCTTTTATTTCTGCTCTGGAGACCAATCTTTTCTGATAGTTTAGTGAGGAAAACCTGAGCTAAAATTTTTCACAGGCCACTTTATCATGTTATGCCTGGCATGGTTTTTATGTATATATGTATTTAAAAAAATTTTTTTTAGAGACAAGGTCTCACTCTGTTGCTCAGGTTGGAGTGCAGTGGTGTGATCATGGCTCACTGCAGCCTCAGACTCCTGGGCTCAAGTGATCCATCTGACTGAGCCTTCTGAGTAGCCAGTACTATAGGTGCGCACCACTGTGCCTGGCTAATTATTGTATTTTCCGTAGAGAAAGGGTCTCGCCATATTGTCCAGGCTGGCCTTGAACTCCTGGCCTCAAGCCATCCTCCCACCTTGTCCTCCAAAGTGCTGGGATTGCAGGTGTGAGCCACTGTTCCCAGCTGTATGTGTCCTTTTTTATTTTCCTCTTACTCTTTGTGTGTTCTTGTGACTATTGTTATTGTAGTATTTTTGTAACTCTTTGTTACTGGGTGCTTTTGTAATAAAATTCTGTTTATATTTAATAATAATAGCTACATTTGTCCAGTGCTTAAAATTAGGTATTGTGCATAGTGTTGGAAATAATGCATATGTTGCCTTGTTATAAAAATTGTAAAAGGCTGGGCGTGGTGGCTCGTGCCTATAATCTTAGCACTTTGGGAGGCCAAGGTGGGTGGATCACCTGAGGTTGGGAGTTCAAGACCAGACTGACCAACATGGAGAAACCCCGGGTCTACTAAAAATACAAAATTAGCTGGGCGTGGTGCTGCATGCCCGTAATCCCAGCTACTCGGGAGGCTGAGGCAGAGAATCGCTTGAACCCGGGAGGCAGAGGTTGCGGTGAGCTGAGATCGTGCCATTGCACTCCAGCCTGGGCAACAAGAGCGAAACTCCGTTAAAAAAAAAATTGCAGAAGACAAGTGTTATTATCTATACAGATGAGATTACTGAGGCACAACACGGTTAAGTAACTTGCTTCATGTCACTTGATCAGTTATTGGCAGAGCTAGAATTTGAGCTTAATATGTATAATTACAAAGCCTGAATTATTTCTATTATATCACAATACATTTGGGGTTTCTTTCTTTTTCATTTTCTTTTTCTTTTTTTTTTTTTTTTTTTTGAGACAGAGTCTCACTCTGTCACCCAGGCTCGAGTGCAGTGGTGTGATCCTGGCTCACTGCAGCATCAGCCTCCCAGGTTCTCATCCCTCAGCCTCCTGAGTAGCTGGAATTACAGGCGTGGGCGACCTTGCCCGGCTACATTTTGTATTTTTAGTAGAGATGGGGTTTCACCATTTTGGTCATATGACCTCAAGTGATCTGCCTGCCTCGGCATGCCAAAGTGCTGGGATTACAGCGGTGAGCCACCGTGCCCAGCCTACTGCTTTTTTTCTTATGTGGATTTAACACTTATTTATGGCCCGCTTTGTGCTTGGGTGGTGGTGGAAGAAAGGGAGATACAAAGAGGAGAACTTTCTGTTTCTTGCCTTGAGATAATTTTTAATTTAATTGGAGAGATAAATAGCTGCAATGTAAAAGACACTGCTCATTGTTGGTAATTTTGTTTTTTTTTTTTCTGTGTATTGCTTTTTTGTCTTCTATGATTGCCTTCAAATGCTTATCAATAGTAATTTCCTTCTTTTTACTTAAATCTTTTGCCTCCTGGAAACTTCATTCACATTGAGCATCACTTATATGCAAAGCACCATTCTAGGTTCTACAGAAGGTAGCAAAGAGCAAGATATGATAATTGCAAAGGAGCTTAGAAACCAGGAGGGCAGATTGAGCAGTTATACAAAAAATCAGAATTCAAATTATAGAAGAGGGAGGAGGAGGATATGATCATTTGTGATCATGGGCATCAAGGAGTGCTTAGTGGAAGAAGCTAAATTTCACCGTAATCTTACAGGATGTGTAGGATTTGGGCAGGAGGAATTGGGATGGGCAATCGCATTTTAGCTAAGGGATATATTAGTAAAAATATTGGAGTAAGACATTTGAGTAATGATGAATCAAGTAATCCGGAATCTTGTTATATATGTGGGTGAATAGTTGAAGAAAAGGCTAAAAGAAGGTGAGTCTTAACTGAAGATTCTTGAATGACATATTATGGGAGTTTTCTGTTTTTAGATAGGCAGAGGTAAGCTGAGTTGGTTTATTCATTCGTTTTAAGCAGAAGATAGTGACATGGTAAACTATACATTTAAGGAATCTTTTTTGGTCACTGTGCTTACTTGGTGGAAAGGAAAGAAACTATAGGTACGGAAACCCTTTCTTTTAAAAGCTAGTGAGAATACACTAGGTGGTGACTCTGGAAAGGGAAAAAAAGATGGAAATATTTTAACGAAGTATAAACTGAACTGGTCAAGTGATTTAGTGTTAGGGGAAAATTGAAGAAAGAAGTATTATTAGTGTTACTGAAAATTTTTTGTATTTGGATGTTGGATGAGGATGTGCCATTAACATAGAGAATTGGAAGGAGAACTTGAACTTTTTTATATTAGAAAGATGATATTTTGGTGTTAAATATTATGGAGATGAAGATGTGGAGTTTGGCAGAGGGGTTGGGTTGGGAGATTAATTTGGAGATTAGTTTGCCACAGGGTTATAGTTTACATCATGTGAGTGCATTTTTAGAGGCAATATAGAGAAGAGAGAGGAATGCCTAGGAGAGATCCTAGGTAAATGTGCAGGTTTGGATGGTGGGATTATGAGAATGAGGGAGGAGTCAGGTAGGATAGTACAGTTTCAGTGAAACTTAGGGAGAAATTTTGAGAAGGAATTGATACTGTTATGTTGCAGTGAGGTCCACGGAAAAAAGGGCTGAGAAGCCACTGGATTTTTTAGCTTTGATTAGCTGTGTTAGCGAGGGGCTGTGATAAATCACTTCTTTCCCATTT
The DNA here is from genome assembly GCF_000001405.40 of Homo sapiens. Classification (NCBI taxonomy): domain Eukaryota; kingdom Metazoa; phylum Chordata; class Mammalia; order Primates; family Hominidae; genus Homo; species Homo sapiens. The sequence continues at coordinate 77,722,563 of NC_000007.14, forward strand.
ACTGTTTGTGAAGTCCTTTCTCTTCTTTTTACTGTATCCTTCATCTCCTTCAATTTTTATTTTAGTGTATGTAATTGTAATCATTTTGTAATGTAACTGCTTTTCCTTCTGCTTCAAATTCTTTACATTTCTCTTCTTCTGCCGCTGCTTGTTCTCTCATCTATTTCTAGCCATACATTATTCCTGGAAGGAATAATGTAAGAGAGGGAAGGTGGGGAATGTCATTGTTGTCGTTCAGTTCAGTTGATTTCATGGACTGCGTTATTATGGTGTGAATTATGGCTCATGGCTCATATTCAGGGCAGGCAAAACTGTGATGGTGTGAAGCTTGTTTGATGTTTGTGCAGCAACAATATATTGTGACTGAAAGCTGTAGTATGAAATTCTAACATTTCTTTCTCTCTTCTTTTTTTTTTTTTTTTTGAGACAGAGTTTCGCTTTGTTACCCAGGCTGGAGTACAGTGGTGCAATCTCGGCTCACCACAACCTCCGCCTCCTGGTTCAATCGGTTCTTGTGTCTCAGCCTTCCGAGTAGCTGGGATTACAGGCATGCGCCACCTCGCCTGGCTAATTTTGTATTTTTAGTAGAGATGGGGTTTCACTATGTTGGCCAGGCTGGGCTCAAACTCCTGACCTCAAGTGATCCACGTGCCTTGGCCTCCCAAAGTGCTGGGATTACAGGTGTGAGCCACTGCGCCCGGCCAACATTTCTTAAGAACTTCCAGTGTGGATTTTTATGATGCTGTAATTTCTTAAAAAAATTAATGAACCTATATAAAGAATTTCCTATACATCAAAATCTGTGGTTGAGTAAAAGTATAGCTTCTTTTTCTTAAAAACTGTTAAGCCTAATAAATAATGTATGTGTGTATGCATATTCAGAATACATATATAATTTATTTTTTAATTCTAATTTTAATTTTTTGAGATAGGGTCTCACTCTTTGCCCAGACTGGAGTGCAGTGGCATGATCACAGCTCACTGCAGCCGTGACCTGCTGGGTTTAAGCGATCCTCCCACCTCACCCACCCAAGTAGCTGGGACTGCAGGCATGTACCACCATGCCCAGTTAATTTAAAAAGAATTTTTTTGGCTGGGCGTGGTGGCTCACACCTGTAATCCTAGCACTTTGGGAGGCCGAGGTGGGAGGATCACAAGGTTAGGAGTTCAAGACCAGCCTGGCCAGCATGGTGAAACCCAGTATCTACTAAAAATACAAAAATTAGCTGGACATGGTGGAGCATGCCTGTAATCCCAGCTACTCGGGTGGCCGAGGCAAGAGAACTGCTTTAACCTGGGAGGCGGAGGTTGCAGGGAGCTGAGATCACGCCACTGCACTCCAGCCTGGGACACAAGAGTGAAACTCTGTCTCAAAAAAAAAATTTTTTTTTTTTTAATAGGGACAGGATCTCTCTGTGTTGCCCAGGCTGGTCTTGAATTTCTGGGCTCAAGCTATCCTCCCACCTTGGCCTCCCAAAGTGCTAGGATTACAGGCATGAATGAGCCTTTGCACCAGCTTATAATTATTTCTAATTTTCTCCTTTTTTTCTCCTCTTGATTAACTATAGCATAACATCGAGATAATATATATCAAGTGAGGTAGAACAGCACTTGAACAGTTTTAATGGAGGGAGACCTTTGGAAACTTTTTTTAATGTGTTTATGTGAGTACATATTATGTTATATATTCAGTGTTTTACTTTGAATTTTTTTTTCTTGTATCTCCTTCTAATATACTGAGTGATTCTAAATCTTTAAAAAAGTATGTATCTGAACATAATTATTAATTCTTTCGGGAAGGAGAGTTAGGCTACCAACTTGATTGTACAAATAATACATAATATATGAATCCCTTTCTTTTTCTTTTTTCTTTTTTTTTTTTTTTGAGAGTCTCACTCTGTTGTCCAGGTGGGAGTACACTGGTGCGCTCTTGGTTCACTGCAACCTGTGCCTCCTGGGTTCAAGTGATTCTCCTGCCTCAGCCTCCTGAGTAGCTGGGATTACAGACGTGCATCACCATGCCCAGCTAATTTTTGTATTTTTAGTAGAGATGGGGTTTCACCCTGTTGGCCAGGCTGGTCTCGAACTCCCGACTTCAGGTGATCCACCTGCCTTGCCCTCACAAAGTGCTGGGATTACAGACATGGGCCACTGCGCCCGGCCATGAATCCCTTTCTATTGTAGAAGTTTCAAATAATTTAGGAAGTAAATGAAATAAAAACCAGAAGTTCCTTGTCTTTCTTCCCTAGGGGTAAGCCCCCTATTTTTTTTCTTTTTCTTTTTTGTTTTTTTTTTTTGAGACGGAGTTTCGCTTTTGTGGCCCAAGCCGGAGTGCAGTGGTGCAATCTCGGTTCACTGCAACCTCCGCCTCCCGGGTCCAGTCGGTTCTCCTGCCTCAGCCTCCCGAGTAGCTGGGATTATAGGCACACACCACCATGCCTGGCTAATTTTTTGTATTTTTAGTACAAACGGGGTTTCACCATGTTGGCCAGGCTGGTCTTGAACTCCTGACCTCCGGTGATCCACCCGCCTTGGCTTTCCAAAATGCTGGGATTACAGGCATGAGCCACTGCGCCCGGCCACAAATCCCTTTCTCTTGCAGAAGTTTCAAATAATTTAGGAAGTAAATGAAATAAAAACCAGAAGTTCTTTTTCTTTCTTCCCTAGGGATAAGCCCCCCACTTTTTTTTTTTTTTTTTTTTTGAGATGGAATTTTGCTCTTGTGGCCCAAGCTGGAGTGCAGTGGTGCGATCTCTGCTCACTGCAACCTCTGCCTCCTGGGTCCAATCGATTCTCCTGCCTCAGCCTCCCAGGTAGCTGGATTACAGGCATGCGCCACCATGCCCGGCTTATTTTGTATTTTTAGTATGAACGGGGTTTCACCATGTTTGCGAGGCTGGTCTCGAACTCCTGACCTCAGGTGATCCACCTGCCTCGGCCTCCCATAGTGCTGGGATTACAGGCATGAGCCATGGCGCCCGGCCAGGGGTAAGCCCTTTTAAGTGTTCTGTGCATTTACATATGTACATATGTAAACACACACTCACAGAAGAGATTATATCGTTTACTATTTTATTTTATTTTATTTTTTGAGATGGAGTTTCGCCCTTGTTGCTCAGGCTGGGTTCAAGCAGTTCTCCTGCCTCAGCCTCCCAGGTAGCTGGATTACAGGCATGCGCCACCATGCCCGGCTTATTTTGTATTTTTAGTAGAGACAGGGTTTCTCCATGTTGGTCAGGTTGGTCTGGAACTCCTGACCTCAGGTCATCCGCCTGCCTCCCAAAGTGCTGGGATTACAGGCAAGAGCCACTGCGCCTGGCTAAGATTATCTAGTTTATTTTTAAAAACCTAAATATACTATATATATGCCTTTTTCTGTAACCTGCTTTTTTTTTTAGTTAACAGTGTGTCTTGTAGCGCTTCTGTTATATATTGTTAAATTTATATACACATACATATACATGTGTATCTGTCTGTATTTCTAATTAAGTTTTGCCTTTATAAGTTTTTTAGTAAGCATTTCATTTCAGAGTAGTTTTAGATTTACAGAAAAGTTGCAAAGGTAGTACAGAATTCCCATACACCATTATTAACATCTTACATTTTTCTAGCACGTTTATCATAGTTAAGAAACAGTAGTGATGCATTATTATTAACTAAAGTCCATACTTTATTCAGAATTTCCTTAGTATTTTGTCTTATATCCTTTTTCTGTTCAAGGATCCCATCCAGGATACTGTATTACATTTAATCATCATGTCTCGTTAGATTCCTTTTGGCTGAGACAGTATCTCAGACTTCCATCGCTTTTAATGACCTTGATTGTTTGAGGTGTACCAGTTAGGTATTTTGTGGAACGTCTCCCAACTGGGATTTGTCTGATGTTGTCCTCATGATTAGACTGGAGTTTAGGGTTTTGGGGAGGAAGACAATAACTGTAAATTTTAAAAACAAAATTTAATTTAAAAATATCGAAAAATTTATAGTAAGAAGTGTCCCTAGCTTTCCCTACTGATTTCGTGTTCCTCAGCTCGTTTAGTATCCCATCTACTTTTTTTTGTTTTTGAGACGGAACGTTGCTGTGTCACCCAGGCTGGAGTGCAGTGGCGCAATCTAGGTTCACCGCAACTTCTGCCTCTCGGGTTCAAGCGATTCTCTTGTCTCAGCTTCCCTAGTAGCTGGGACTACAGGCGCGTGCCACCACACCCAGCTAATTTTTTTTTTTTTTTTTTTTTGAGGCAGAGTCTCGCTCTTGTTGCCCAGGCTGGAGTGCAGTGGTGCGATCTCGGCTCACTGCAACCTCCACATTCCTGGGTTCAAGTGATTCTCCCGCCTTGGCCTCCCAAAATGCTGGCATTACAGGTGTGAGTCACTGTGCCCGGCCTAATTTTTGTATTTGTAATAGGGATGGGGTTTCACCATGTTGGCCAGGATGGTCTCAATCTCTTGACCTCGTGATCCACCCGCCTTGGCCTCCCAAAGTGCTGGGATTACAGGTGTGAGCCACTGTGCCTGGCCATCATCTGCTTTTTTTTTTTTTTTGAGATGGAGTTTCGCTCTTGTTGCCCAGGCTGGAGTGCAGTGGCACTCTCTTGGCTCACTGCATCCTCCGCCTCCTAGGTTCAAGCGATTCTCCTGCCTCAGCCTCCTGAGTAGCTGGGATTACACACATGTGCCACCACGCCCAACTAGTTTTATATTTTTAGTACAGACGGGGTTTCTCCATGTTGGTGAGGCTGGTCTCGAACTCCCGACCTCCAGTGATCTGTCTGTCTCGGCCTCCTGAAGTGCTGGGATTACAGGCGTGAGCCACCACGCCCAGCCCCCCATCTGCTTTTAATTCCAAGTTTCTGAATAAAATGCTCATACTACTTTTTTTTAGTTAGTTTTAGACATATAGTGCATTCTTGTTTAGATAAGAATTGTCACTTTTATTATTTATTTTTATTTTTAGTATTTTTTTCAAGACAGACTCGCTTGTCACCCAGGTTAGAATGCAGTGGCTCAGTTAGTAGCAGGGACTACAGGCCTGTCCCACCTTACTCAGCTAATTAAAAAACAAATTTTTTTTTTTTTTTTCCCCTGTAGAGACAAGGCCTCACTTTCTTCCCCAGGCTGGTCTTACCCTCCTGGCATCAAGTACACCTCGTGCCTGAGCCTCCCAGAGTGTTTGGATTACAGGTGTAAGCCGCTGAGCCTGGCCAGAATGACCACTTTTATAACCTAGCTTCTTTCCTTTTTAATAATTCCACATACCTTAGTTAAAACAATAGTCAGTGCTTATAATGACTCTGCAAATGCTGTTTAATGCAGATCAGGGAGAGATCCTTTTATATGGCTTTCTTCATTTTTGTGTAGTTAAAAATTGCCTCTCTTTTTCATTTACTTATGTATCCATTGCTTCATTTTCTCTCTATTCTCTGTGTTCTGTGATAAGAGAAAATTTGTCAGGTCCCCCTTTGTTTCTGGAGGTCTTGTTTTTAAGAGCTCCATTCTTGTACTTCAGCCTGAACTAGTTATCCGCTGAGCCATCTGCACAGTGTTTATTTTAATACATTCTCATCTGCTCTTTTATGCTGGGTCCTCCGATCTCACATTGTCTTCCTTTGTTTACTACTCCCTAGTTTACTTGAGCACACCCTCAAATAACTTCCTGTGACAGCATGCATGTGTGGTAATTTTTTAAAAATTTTTGCTTGTCTGAATATGCCTTCCTGCATACTTGATTGATAGTTTGGCAGATTATAAAATTGTATGTTAAAAATTATTTTCATTCGCAATTTTGAAGGCATTGCTGTATTGCTTTTTAGCATCTGTGTACTGTTACTGTTGAAGAGTTCATTTCCATAGTTACCTGATCTTTTATGTAATCTGTTTATTTTTTACTTTCCTCTAGAGGGTTTTAGTACATTTTAAAAAGTCACGAGGGCTGGCTATAGGTTCACGCCCAGAAGACCCGTGGAGCTTGCCTCCTATGGTGTGGCGCTGCTCAACAGCCACCCTGATTTGGCATCATTTTTGGCAGAGATAAACAGCAGTTTCCTGGGCTGTCTCTAGCTGCCTTCAGGGCTTTTTCTCCCTAAAGGCACTTGCAGTGCTTCTTGCGGATTAAGGCAGAAATTGTTTTCCTGCAGGAGAACACAAGATGGTGAAGAAGCTGGCTGTCTGCCTCATTCTTACTTTTTCTAATGTAAAACTTTTAGTCTTGGGGGATTTTTCTATGGGGTGCCTCGCATATTTGGGGAGGGGAATCACAGAAGTCGATTTCTCTTACCATCTGTTTGGAGTTTTAAATTTCCCTGTGACCCTGGAGATTATCTGTACCTCAGGTTTGAGTTCTGGGATATTGCTAACGATAGTCTTGATCCTGGATATTTGTTTTTGGTTTTCTGTGGGGAAGAGTGAAGCCAGATGGCTTCTGCTCTGCCATTTGATGATGCCACTGTCCTTATTTATTTATTTTTTAACATATTGAAAATATTTTGCTGGCTTATGGCTGTTGAGAAGTCAGTAGACTCTTGGCTGTAGTCTGTTTTTTCCTTCCGCTTCTTTTATAGTCTTCTCTTTGTCTTTAGCTGTTTTGCAGCTTCCATTGTGGTGTTTTTATGTGTGGAATTCTTTTTATTTATTCCATGTAAGAGTTATTAACTTTCTTGAGTCTGATTTTCTGCCCTAATTTTGAGGTCTGTATGGCTGCAGTTGGAAGGAGGTGGTGAACAAGAATTTCTCCAAGGTTTCTGGGGGCCCCATAGCTGCAAGGTCAGAACAGAAATGAAGGCAGTGTCCACTACTGACTCACCTTGGGAGCCCTCATGACTTTAATAATAGTGGAGACTAGTGAATTTTATTGAAACCAGATGAGATTATTTTGTTACTAAGAACAGGTGTTCCAAAGTGGTAGTTACAATAAGAATCAACTGGCATTTGTTGACTGTAAGATTCTTAGTGCAGTATTCATCTTTATTTCCTAAATCCATACATGCTTAATAGAAGTATATTGGGTGAATGAGATACATATTACACTGAAGCATATGTGGCTTATACTGCTAAATCATAAGTTCACCATATTTCTGAAGATCCCATTTGTATTTTGTTTAAAATTATTTTAGGCTGGGTGCAGTGGCTCACCACTGTAATCCCAGCACTTTGGGAGGCTGAGGGTAGGTGGAGTGTTTGAGCACAGGAGTTTGAGACTAGCCTGGGCAACATAGTGAGACCCTGTCTCTACAGAAAATTAAAAAATTAGCTGGGTGTGATGGTGTACACCTGTGGTCCCAGCTACTTGAGGGGCTTAGGTAGGAGGATCGCTTGAGCCTGGGAAGTCAAGGCTGCAGTGAGCTGTGGTCATGCCACTGCACTCCAGTCCATGTGACAGAGCAAAACCCTGTCTCAAAAAAACAATTATTTTAATGAGTTTCTTTTTTATATCTTAATCTTTATGTGTGGGCTAAACACATACTTTATATATGTTTAAAAAGTGTGTGTTTAGCCCATGTTCATTTTTCCACATATATGATTTCTTTTTTGTTCTGGGTTGATAGTAACTTAGTCATACATTCCTTCTTTCTTCCGTTCTTAGATTCCTTTGGCTGTTTGGGTTTAAACTGTATCATAGGTCTGTTTGCATCTGTTTCTCCCACTCCCCTTTGTATTTACTTATTTATGCCTTAAAAAGTTGACCTCATGTTTTAGAGCAGCTTTTGGTTCATAGCAAAATTGAGCAGAAGCTACAGACTTCTCATATATCCTCTCCCCCGACACTTGCATAGCCTTCCCCATTATTAACATCCCCTATCAGAGTGGTACATTTGTTCCAACTGATGAACCTGCATTAACACATCATTACCACCCAAAGTCTATCATTTACATTAGGAGTCACTCTTGGTGTTATAAATTTTCATGGGTTTGGACAAACGTATAATGACATGTATCCACCATACACCACAGAGTATTTTAATTGTCTTAAAAATCCTTTGTGCTCTGCCTATTCATCCCTCCTCCCCACTATACCCTGGCAACCACTGATCTTTTTATTTAAAGTCTCCGTAGTTTTGCCTTTTCCACAGCGTCATATGGTTAGAAGCATACGTTATGTAGCCTTTTCACACTGCTTTTACTTAGTATGCATTTACATTTCCTCCATGTCTTTGCATGGCTTGATAGCTCACTTCTTTTTAGTGCTGAAGAATATTCCATTGTCTGAATGTGCTACCTAAAGGACATCATGGTTGTTCCCAAGTTTTGCCAATTATGAGTAAACCTGCTGTAAATGTTGTGGTACAGATTTTTGTGTAGACATAAGTTTTCAGCTCCTTTAGATAAATACCATAGACTGTGATTGCTGGAACATATGATAAGAGTATATTTAGTTTTGTAATAAACTGCTAACCAGCCTTCCAGAGTGGCTGTACCATTTTACATTCGCACCAGCAGCAGATGAGAGTTCCTTTTGCTCTGTATTTTTGTCAGCATTTGGTGTTGTCAGTGTTCTGGATTTTGGTCATTCTAATAGGTGTGTAGTGGTATCTCATTTTTGTTTTTATTTGTGTTTCCTTGATGACATCAGGTGTGGAGTATCTTGTCCTATGCTTATTTGCTATCTGTATATCTTCTTTGGTGAGGTGTCTCTTAAGGTCTTTAGTGTTTTTTTTGGTTTGTTTGTTTTTTTTGAGGCAGGGTCTCACTCGTTCATCCAGGCTTGAGTGCAGTGGCACGATCTCTGCTCCCTGCAACCTCTGTCTCCTGGACTCAAGTGATCCATCTCAACCTCTCACCTAAAACTCCCACCTCAACCTCCCGAGTAGCTGGGACTACAGGCACGCACCACCGTGCCCAGCTAATTTTTGTACTTTTAGTAGAGACAGGGTTTCATCATGTTGCCCAGGCTGGTCTTGAACTCCTGGGCTCTAGCAGTCCGCCTGCCTCAGCCTTCCAAAATGCTGGTATTACAGGCTTGAGCTACTGTGCCCAGCCTGGTCCATTTTTAATTGTTTGTTTTCTTATTATTGAGTTTAAAGAGTTACCTTTTTTTGGATAATAACCCTTTATTGGATACATCTTTACCAAGTATTTTCTTATAGTCTGTGGCTTCTTTTTAGTCCCTTGACTGTGTCTTCTGCAGAACAGAAAATTTTAATTTTAATGAAATCCAGCTTTATCAGTTCTTTTTTTTAATCTATTGTGCCTTTGGTGCTGAATCTAAAAAGTCATTGCCAAAATCCCTGGTCATCTAGATTTTCTTCTGTGTTATTTTCTAGCACATACCACTTCTCCTAGTTTAGACTTTTTTTTTTTTGGTATGTGGATATCCAGTTGTTCCAGTACCGTTTGTTGGAAAGACTTCTATCTCCATCAAGATAAGTTGATTGTATTTAAGTGGATCTGTTTCTGGACTCCCTATTTTGTTCCATTGATCTGTTTGTGTATTCTTTTGCCTATAATACATTGTCATGATTTCTCTTTTTATTTTTAAATAAAATGTGTAATCCTTATATTTAGTTTGACTTTTCAGAGAATTTCTTGCTTTTATGGTGTTAGAATTCTTACTTTTATTCTGAGAATTATGATGAGAAGATCAGTTACGAATTTTTCCCAAGCCTGAGATTAAACTGTGAAGGATAAAACCATACAAATTCTTGGTCACAGAAATAAATGAATAAAAACTGAATAAGAATTCTAGTCTTGTTAGGAGTAATGTATTATAGTAAACAGTGATGCCACGGCACTGTTTTCCATCACTTCTGTATGTAAAGATCTAGAAGTGGCTTTTTCTTTTTCATTTTTTCTTTGAGACTGAGTCTCACTCTGTTGCCCAGGCTGGAGTGCAGTGGCGCCATCTTAGTTCACTGCAACCTCTGCCTCCTGGGTTCCAGTGATTCTCCTGCCTCAGCCTACCAAGTAGTGGGGATTAAAGGCACCCGCCACCATGCCCAGCTAATTTTTTATATTTTTAGTAGAGATGGGGTTTCACTGTGTTGGCCAGGTTGGTCTCGAACTCCTGATATCAGACAATCCACCTGCCTTGCCCTCCCAAAGTGCTGGGATTACAGGCGTGAGCCACCACACCCAGCCTAGAAGTGGCTTTTTAAAAGGAACATACTACGATACATTAGTGGCAGATTTGATTTTTATATACAGTGGTCTGAATTATGGCCAAAATTTCTTTCTTTGGGATTATGGATACCAATATTATAGGTAAATAGATATTATTCTACATTTGGAAGGCTTTTATCTTTACAAACTGCCTCAGTATGTATTTTCTATTTAATCTTTACACAAACTCCATTTTACAGCTGCAACTGGAGATCTGAAAGTTTGTCAGTTATCTAGGTTGTAGAGCATAATCTTGAACCTAGGTCTCCTGAGTTTGTAGGTATCCCACTTTATCATAGCTCTGCCATGTAACATGACTACAGGAAGTTTAATGGAGGCATTTAAGGTTGGATTTTGGGCTGGGCGTGGTGGCTTAGGCCTGCAATCTGAGCATTTTGAGGGGCTGAGGCAGGAGGATTGCTTGAGCCCAGGAGTTCGAGACCAACCTCAGCAACATAGCGAGACCCTGTCTCTATTAAAGAAAAAATAAAGAATAAAAGACTGGATTTTGAAAAAGGATAGGCTCTACCAAAAAGTGGAAAAATTGTAAGAAGGGTGAAAGGTAGGTTGAAAGGCTGAGAGGTGAGAGCAAGACAGATGTGTGGGTTAAGGACAGAAGTGATGTCACAAAAAAATGCCCTTTGTTTATGTATAGATGGGATTATTTGTGTTTGCTGAGGATGTTTTGATATCAGGAGGGGTAACTGCAATTACGTTGTCTATAACTCTCCTGTCTTGGCTTTGCCATTGTTTTTGTTTCTATAGATGTTTTTCACATAATAACTTCATACCTTCAACTGTACTTGAATTATTTAATATCATACCCGAGTGCATATTCTAAGATTCCTTTTCCTGTGTTATGAAATTAATATGTGCCCATTGCAGAAACTTAGAAACTTTCCACCTTAAATAGTGGAATTTTAAATGTTAAATAAATTAAATATATTCAATATGTTAAATATTTAATTAAATAAATAATTTTAAATAATGGCTTTTAATAATTTGGGTTATCTTTCAGTTTGTTTTTGGAATGTATGTATATTTCTAAAGTTTAAAAATAATTGAGTCATAGTGTATGATAGTTTTATTTCCCTAGAAGCTAGTTTAATTTTATTCTGAAAAATATTTATGTTTTGTGATTGTGGTAGGCTTATATAGTGAATATATGCTATTAAAAGTTTATAGTTGTTGGCTGGGTGTGGTGGCTCACGCCTGTAATCCCAGCACTTTGGGATGCCAAGGCGTGCAGATCACTTGAGGTTAGGAGTTCGAGACCAGCCTGGCCAACATGGCGAAACCCCATCTCCACTAAAAATACAAAAATTAGCCGAGTGCGATGGCGTGTGCCTGTAATCCCATTTACTTGGTGGCTGAGGCAGGAGAATTGCTTCAACCCGGGAGGTGGAGGTTGCAGGAAGCTGAGATCGTGCCACTGCACTCCAGCCTGGGCCACAGAGCAAGACTTTGTCTCAAAAAAAGAAAAAAAAGTTTATGGTTATTTTAACCTGTATGATTACAAGTCAGCATCCTGAGTACCTTTAGGGGTGCTATACAAAGACTGGAAGGGAACACAGAAGGATTCTGTGGTGCCGTTTCACAAGTATCTTCATTTTATTACATTAATATTATACTTTAATAAAATTTAATAGTTACTAAAATAATACGTTTAAGTTGATAAGATTAAATTGAATTATTGGAAAAAGAAATGTGGAGACGTTTTAGGTGACTTTTTTTCAGTTGTAATTTTAAGTGATATATAAATAGTTCATTTTGTTAGAAGTTTAGTTACTTAGGAAATATTATATAATGTGTCTAAGCTCCAGCTACTTGGAGTAACATTTTTTTTTTTTCCAAGATGTAATCTCACTCTGCCACCCAGCCTGGAGTGCAGTGGCATGATCTCGGCTCACTGCAACCTCCACCTCCCGGGTTCAAGCGATTCTTCTACCTCAGTCTCCCAAGTAGCTGGGATTACAGGCATGCACCACCACATCCGGCTAATTTTTGTATTTTTAGTATAGATGGGGTTTTGTCACATTGACCAGGCTTGTCTTGAACTCCTGACCTCGGGTGATCCGCCCACTTCGGCTTCCCAAAGTGCTGGGATTATAGACGTGAGCCACCGCGCCCGGCCTGGAGTAACATTTTATAGCTAGACAGCAGCCTATGACAGGATTTCAAGGACTTTAACATCAGAAAGTAAGAGTGGCAAACCAATCAGAAGTGTGGGAACACTGTAATCTAATTCAGAAGTTAAGTTATATGTGAACAGATAAGGAGTTTTATCTCGTTTATTCTCCCCTGTATCCCTAATCTTTTTCTTGTACTCAGACTGTGTATTTGTTGAGTCAGTGAATTCCTGTTTGCTGTACTTTCGTATGCTTGGAGTGTTATCACTTGAAAAAAAAAAACAAAAAACACTTTGTCAGTGTTATAGGTGAAAGTAATGTCTTTTAATTTGTATATTATTAATGATTGAAGTTTAAAAATGTTTATTAGCACATGAATTTAATTTTTTGAAAATTTATTTAAGTAGTCTAGACCTGTGCTATTCAGTATGGTAGACACTAGTTTTATGTGACTATTCAACACTTAAAGTGAAACTAGTTTCAAATTGAGATGTGTCATAAATGTAAAATATATGTTAGATTTTGAAATCTTATGAAAAAATGTAAAATATCTCATCATTTAAAAATATCAGTTCCATGTTGAAATTATAATGTGTTGGATCCATTGGGTTAAGCAAAATATATCATTAAAATTAATAAAATTGTTTACCAATTCAGATTTAGATTACTGTCTAGATCTGGACAGTGCTTATATAGACAGTAATCTAATCACTACATGATTAGGACCTGGGTTATGGTAGTGTTTATAGAAAGGAAAGTAAGGAGTGATTTTTAAGAGATTATGCAGTATGCATGTATACTATATAATCTCTACTATATTCCAGGACATTTCACAGTTCTTGTATACTTCCATCATGGTTTTGTAATCAGTCGTAAGCTTTTTGAGGGCAAAGGTTTATGTCACTATTTGTATATCCTTCTCTGTATTTTGTCTTTTGCTGGGTGCATAGGAAGTCATTTGAACAAAGAAGAATTTAATAGGCTATCAAATATTTTGTTTGAAGTTTTAGAATGCAAATGAATGATCCCTAGAGTTATTATGCCCTTTATTTAAATATCACAGTATCACCAAGTAGTCAGATTGAGTCATACTATTTTTAAAAGGAGCCAAGGGTAAGGGAACCAACATCTAGTCTTATGTATGCCAGGCTCTATGTAGTCATTTTATATATTTTTTCATTTAGTCCTTATAGTAACCATAATGAGGAAGGTATCAATTACCATTTACAGATTAGGAAACTGAGATCAAGTAATTTTTCTGTTATGCTGCTAATCCATAGATGCTCAATTTCAACACTGGCACTTTTCCATCGTAGCTTTTGCTTCACCTAAAGTTAGTTATTTTAAGTGATTTGAAATAAATTTAATATTTTGGTTGACACGAAGTGAAGAATACTTAGAATAAAATGTATAATGATACATTTTGACAATATGTATTTCATATTCAATAAAAAGGGAAATTTAGAAATATTCCCCAAAACCTGAGAGGAAAAAGAAAAGGCATTATTTGTTCCTCATTCTGATTTTCTTTGTGTATTGTAATTCCAGAAATTTACCTATAGTTTGTGCAGATAAATGAAGTTGTAATTTTTTCATTTTAAATATTTCCTTTGTTTTGTCTTCCAGATAAAATCAAAGACAAAATTAAAGAGAGAGACAAAGAAAAAGAAAGAGAAAAAAAGAAACATAAAGTAATGAATGAGATCAAGAAAGAGAATGGAGAAGTAAAGATTTTGCTGAAAAGTAAGTTTTATTCAGTGATTTTAGTTCTACTTTATTATACTGTTCAGTATCTTTATTGGCTAAGTGAATAAAATAAGAAATGTTATTTGGTGCTGAATTTTGCGGAGAATGAACAATGATGAGGAAATGAAAAGTAAATGTAACAACGGAGAGTTCTAATCTGTATGGTAACATGTCTTATAGTATATTTAGTGAGCCATTAAAAAGTTAAAAGGTTAAGCTTCGTTAAACTTAATTTCTTAAATTATTTTAAAATAAGTTAATTCTATGTTTGCATTACTAGTCTTACTCATATTTAGATAATCTAAAAGGAAGAAATTAAGAAAAATTGCCAAAGCAAGTTTTAGTATGATAGGGATGGTGAAGTAAGTGATCTTCTTAAAAATATTTGACTGTCATCACCATACCATAGTCTAGCATTTAGAGGGAACATTTTACTCTGAGCTAAATCAGAAGCGGTATGTTTCTTGTATGTTTAAGAATATCCTTGTTTTATTCTTTTTTTTCTCTGTTACAGTTGCATTCATTTGCTGTTTATATATGAGGGTGGGGTGGAGAGAAGAATTTGGGGGGTAGGTGGTTGGGTAATAAGTATACTGCAAATCCTGTCAATAAGTCTGAACTTGTAAAGAGAGAATTTGTGGTAGAATAGACGTAAGGATAGTCTTAAATTCACTCAGATGTCAAGGTAAGAAGAATCCGTGGCATTCGGTTGCTAGACAACTAGCGAATTCACTAGCTAGCAAATTTACTAGTGCTATCATGTTGATAGTTGATGATGAGAATATGTTGACCTTGATTAACTTCATATTGAATTTAATTGTTGATAAGGCTTTATATTTGCTTGAGGGGGAAAGACCACGACACTGCATATGTAGCAAAATAACTGGTAGTTTATATTATCTAAGATAAAGAGTATTAGATTCTGTATTTTCATTGCATTCTTTGTCATGTTTTCAGATATTCGTTTTCTATTATCTACATGTCAGAACTTCATTTTCTACGATATTCTTTCAACCTTGAAGAAATACGTCAGAGCTTAAGTTGATGGCTGCTTATTAGTTAATGCTCATGATCCTTTTGTTCTGTTTCTTTTGCCTGCATATTCTATCTGTGTTGTCTAATTAGATTGTAAGCCTTTGAGGCAGGAATTGAATATAACCACACTAGTTATTTATAGCAGCTAGTGATGAATGCTTGAAAAGTCTGCTTAAGGCCAGGTTCGGTCGCTCATGCCTGTAATCCCAGCAATTTGGGAGGCCGAGGCGGGTGGATCACTTGAGGTCAGGAGTTTGAGACCAGCCTGGCCGATGTGGTGAAACCTCGTCTCTACTAAAAATGAAAAATTAGTGGGGCATGATGGTGGACATCTGTAATCCCAGCTACTGGGGAGGCTGAGGCATGAGAATTGCCTGAACCCGGGAGACAAGAGGTTGCAGTGAGCTGAGATCACCCCACTGTACTCCAGCCTGGGCAATAGAGTGAGATTCAGTCTCAAAAAAAAAAAAAGAAAAGAAAAAGTCAAGTCTACTTAACTTTACCCTTGGTTTAGCCCAATAGCCATTTTTTTTTCTGATTTAATCAAATAGTTTTCTTATTCATTTGAAAATATCATGCTGTAAATTCTATTACTTGAGAAGGAATCTGTTTTAGAAATACTTTATAAAAGCCTCATATGTTCTTGATTGAATACTGGATTCCTAACATAATGTGAATTATGTGAATCCAGAGATTACACATGAAAATAAAATTTAAAACAGCCTAAAAATTGAGATTTTTAAAAAATGAAATATACGATATTAACTTTGAAGTAGACAAAAATTTAGGTGATATTTTGAACCGAGTTAAACTGAAACTAGTGATGATTAAGGTAAAAGAATGAGATAGATGTGGAAATTAATTTGTGACTTCTGGGATGTCCATGGAAAAATTTAGGGAAAATGTATTCACAGTGGAGGTAAGTAATAATTTAATTACTGCCTTACAGTGTTACCAAGATTAAATGAGGGAAAGTATGAGGAAAGTGCCAAGTATAGAATCTGGCTCACAGGTACTTACTACTGAGTAGTAAATAGTTATGAAATCTTTCTTGTAAGTATGTATGAGAGATTAACTTTGTGATTAAAAAGCAACAAAATTGGCCAGGCACAGTGGCTGAAGCCTGTAATCCCAGCATTTTGGGAGGCCGAGGCAGGTGGATCACCTGAGGTCAAGAGTTCAAGACCAGCCTGGCCAAGTTGGTGAAACCCCATCTCTACTAAAAAATACAAAAAATTACGGTGGGTGCCTGTAATCCCAGCAACTCGGGAGGCTGAGGCATGTGAATCGCTTGAACCCAGGAGGCGGAGGTTGCGGTGAGCCAAGATGGTGCCACTGCACTCCAGCCTGGGCAACAGAGAGAGACTCCATCTCAAAAAAACAAAAAACAAAAAACACCAATAAAACCAAACTATCTCCTCTCCTCAGTGTGTAGTACATAGATAATTAAGTGAATAAACACATGATTCATTGGGAAAACAGTGCTTGTCGCATTGAAAGCACTGAGTGTTATCTGTTGTTACTATCTACGAGAAAGAATTTGCTTAGTATGTGGGGCCATTTCCCAAGTGAGCCTGTGGTGGTGGTAGGGAAAGGCATCTTTTGTTGTTGGTGACTTGGAACAACAAATCATTTACTTTGCTGAGGGAAAATATACTTTCATTTACTACTGTGTGCCACTTTTTTCCTTGTGGCCTCCAACTTTTATTCTATCCTTGTAATTTTTTTCTTCTGTTAATGATAATGTTGCAAGCTGTGGTATACACAGGTGTTGATGGATGATGGCATTTGAAAATCTAAAATAGATGTCAAGTATGTCACACCAATTCATTTTCTCCAGGTTTTTCTTAAAAATTGTGTCAGGTAGGCTGGGCGCAGTGTCTCACGCCTGTAATCCCAGCACTTTGGGAGGCCAAGGCGGGTGGGCCACTTGAAGCTAGGAGTTTGAGACCAGCTTGGCCAACCTGGTGAAACCCCATCTCTACTAAAAATAGAAAAATTAGCCGGGCGTGGTGGCGCTCGTCTGTAATCCCAGCTACTCGTGAGGCTGAGGCAGGAGAATTGCTTGAACCCAGGAGGCAAAGGCTGCAGCCGAGATTGTGCCACTGCACTCCAGCCTGGGTGACAGAGCAAGACTTGGTCTCAGGAAAAAAAAAAAAAAAAAAAAAATGTGTCTTTTTTTTTTTTTTTTTTTTTTTTTTTTTGAGAGGAGTCTTGCTCTGTCATCCAGGCTGGAGTGCAGTGGCGCGATCTCGGCTCACTGCAAACTCTGCCTCCTGGGTTCAAGCAGTTTTCCTGCCCCAGCCTCCTGAGTAGCTGGGATTACAGCCGCACGCCGCCATGCCTAGGGCTAATTTTTTGTATTTTAGTAGAGACAGGGTTTCACCATGTTGCCCAGGCTGATGGCGAACTCCTGAGGTCAGGCAGCCTGCCTGACCCGGCCTCCCAAAGTGCTGGGATTATAGGCATGAGCCACTGCGTCCGGCCTGTCAAGTTTTTTCTGACTGGAAATACACACAAAATTATATATATGATAAAAAGTGTTTTATTAATGCGAAAACCTTATAAAAGTTTATTTGGTAAGAAAGTTGGATTATTTGCTCTTTTCAAAATAGTTTAAAGGAACAAATAAGTTTGAAACAAAGCTTATTTAGTGGGTCTTATTTTATACTAAAGTTCACCAACTGCTTTTTCTGATTGTATGCATTATGTTCCAGGCATTTTTATGTTGTTTATTAATGATAAAGTGTGAGAACATGTGTTATGATTATAGTATTTTTTAGAGTAAATGTTTGTCATTATAGCATTTTAAATAAGTTTGCTGGTGAGCAGTTAGAATGAGGGTTGAAAGAAGCCAGTGTCCAAGGTGACTGGTAGTGTACTAAAGGTCACAGGTAGGTAAATCATGGCTGGAAGAGTGACAACATTGCAGTGCAAAAAAAGCAGATTCGAATCCCAGAGGCCAAAAGTTGAGAATAACTAAGCTAATTAGTACTTTTTTCCTATATGTAATAATGGGATGGGGGAGAGAGAAAGATAGATATAAATTTTATAAATTTTTCTGAATTTTGTTTTTCACTTTATTAATACAGAAAGTATACGAAAATTAGTGGTAGAATTAACTCAATGAATTTGTGATCTTAAAAGTTTTTTTTTATTTTTCTTTTCATAATTAGCCATTAACAACACATGCTGTCTTTGTTTCTGTGTGCGCTTCTTTCTGCCTCTGTGAGTGTCTCTCTCTGGCTCTAAGTATACCTGCATCTCTGTTTCTGATTCCCTCACTCCCAGTCTGGCACACTCTCTCTGGCTCTGACTCTATACACGTGTGTATCTGTGGTACTTTGTGTGTGTGGTCTGCTTTGTGCATTTGTATGTGGCTTTGGGGAGGGTCTCCCATCAACATTTTTCTTTTCTTTTCTTTTTTTTTTTTTTTTTTTGAGACGGAGTTTCACTGTGATACCCAGTCTGGAGTGCGATGGCACAGTCTGGGCTCACTGTAACCTCTGTTTCCCGGGTTCAAGCGATTCTCCTGCCTCAGCCTACCGAGTAGCTGGAACTACAGGCGTGCGCCACCACGCCTGGCTAATTTTTGTGTTTGTAGTAGAGATGGGGTTTTACCATGTTGGCCAGGCTGGTCTCGAACTCCTGACCTCAAGCAGTCCACCCGCCTCAGCCTCCCAAAGTGCTGGGATTACAGGCATGAGCCACTGCACCTGGCCACCATTTTACTTCTCATCTTACACTTTTGAAGGGGCAGATTAGTTGGATAGCAGTTCTATTCTTTCTGTTATAGGTACCTGTCAGGATCCTTTATTGGGTTCTGTTACAGAATTATAGATTTAGGCCAGATGTGGTGGCTCACGCCTGTAATCCCAGCATTTTGGGAGGCTGAGATGGGTGGATCATGAGGTCAGGAGATCAAGACCATCCTGGTTAATGTGGTGAAACCCTGTCTCTACTAAAAATACAAAAAAATTAGCTGGGCGTGGTGGCAGGCACCTGTAGTCCCAGCTACTCGGGAGGCTGAGGCAGGAGAATGGTGTGAACCCGGGAGGTGGAGCTTGCAGTGAGCCAAGATCGTGCCACTGCACTCCAACCTGAGTGACAGAGCAAGACTCGGTCTCAAAAAAAAAAAAAAAGAAAAGAAAAGAATTATAGATTTAATGTGGACTTTAAATACTCTTTAGTGTAGGAGAAGCAAATTGGTATTTAAAATGGCCTTTTTCCTTATTTTAAAATTTTCTGCATACATATCTACTGCATTTCATATGTAGAGATAGGAAATGAGCGAGAGATTACATAAAGCTCTTAATCTATCTGGTGAATGCTAGTACCCCAGTTTGGTTTCATGTAAAGAATGCATTTTGCCTGTGTCCACTGGGATTCCTAAGGCTACTCCCAGGGCCTGTGATTTGCTGAAAGGATTCACAGGACTCAGCATATGGTTGTACTTATGGCTATGATTTGTTATAGTGAAGGAGGACAGGCATGGTGGCTCACAGCTCTTATCCCAGCATTTTGGGGAGCTGGGGCCGGAGGATTGCTTGAGCCTGGGAGTACGAGACCAGCCTGGGCAACGTGGCAAGAACCCATCTTTAAAAAAAAAAAAAAAAATACACACACACACACACACACACACACACACACACACGGCAAGAATCCATCTTTAAAAAAATATACAGACACACAGTGAAAGGATACAAAGTAAAATCAACAAGAAAAATAGCACTTGGTGCAATTTCTGAAAGAAACTAGGCACAAGTTTCTGAGAGTCCTTTCCCAATGTTGTCACATGTGATGTGCTTAATTCTTGCAGTGGTGAATTGTGACAACACATGTGAAATCTTGTCTGCCAGAGAAGCTCATTAAAAACTCAGTGCCCAGGGTTTTTCTTGGACATTGGTCATATAGGCACCATTTGCCTACCACAAACTAAAATTCCAGACTCCCAGAAGGAAAACAAGTGTTCAGCAAAACCATGTTGTTTAGGCCTGGTGTGGTGGCTCACACCTGTAATCCCAGCACTTTGGGAGGCCGAGGCACGCAGATCACTTGAGGTCAGGAGTTTGAGACCAGCCTGGCCAACGTGGTGAAACCCCGATTCCACTAAAAATACAAAATTAGCCAGGCGTGGTGGTGCATGCCTGTAATTCCAGCTACTCAGTTGGCCGAGGCAGGAGAATCGCTTGAACCCAGGAGGCGGCGGAAGTTGCTGTGAGCCGATTGCACGATTGCACTGCACCCTGGGCGACAGAGTGAGACCCTGTCTTAAACAACAACAACAACAACGAACTATATTGTTTGCACAGTTTTGGCACAGTGAAGACTCTTACTTATGGAATGGGGGGAACCCTCCAAAAATAAGAGTTCCTAGATGCTAGCCGAGAGTCAGCCTTGCAAACAGGACTGAGAATAACAGTCTCAGGCATATTATCTCTTCTGCATACAGTGCTCATTTCAGTATTTAATTACAGAATAGTTTTCCATGGGAATTTTTTTTTTTCGAGACAAGGTCTTACTCTGTTGCCAGTATGGAGTACAGTGGTGTGATCACAGGCCACTGCAGCCTTTACCTCCCCAGGCTCAGGTGATCCTTCTGCCTCAGCCTCCTGAGTAGCTGGGAATACAGGTATTTGCCACCACACTCAGCTAATTTTTGTATTTTTTGTAGAGACAGTGTCTTGCTTTGTTTCCCAGGCTGCTCTGCTGTGAGAATTTAACTCCTTGATGCTCAGTCTAAGAATCTCTTGGCCAGGTGCAGTGGCTCATGCCTGTAATCCCAGCACTTTGGGAGGCCGAGACGGGTGGATAATCTGAGGTCAGGAGTTTGAGACCAGCCTGCGCAACATAGTGAGACCTTGTCTCTATTAAAAAAATAAATAAATAAGTTGGTTTTGTTTTTTTTTTTTTCTAAAGGAATCTCTTAACTGATTTCTTATTGGTTTGCATTTTTCAGTTCCTGTTATAGTACCTTTTGGTTTATCTTCATGCCTATGAAATAGACTAAGTGTTGTCTCTGTTCTATTTCAAACTAATGTGTTCTCCTGGTAATATTTTCTGATTTAACCTTTTTTGGTGTTAGGCATAAGTGTAGGATATTAAATATACTTTCACTCAAATGAAGTTTTATTCATTTTGGCAACAATTGCGTAATTTATGCAGTTCTACATATATTTTCAGTTGTATTTAGGAATGTCATTAATCACACCTTTGCCCTTTAAGCTTTGTTAAATTCTATTTTTTATTGCATTACTGCCTTCTTTCCCTGATTTTTTTTGATTGTTTCATCTTTCATTTTGGTTAGTCCCCTGTTTCACTTATTTTTATTTCATTTTTTTTGTAGAGATGAGGTCTCTCTATGTTCCCCAAGCTGATCTCGAACTCCTGGCCTCAAGTGATCCTCCTGCCTTGGCCTCCCAAAGTGTTGGGATTACAGGCATCAGCCACCATGTCTGGACTGTTTTACTTTTTACATTTATTTTTATTTTATTTTTTTCTCTGTTGCCTTGGCTGGGGTGCAGTGGCATGATCATGGCTCACAGCATCCTCAACCTACTGTGCTCAAGCCATCCTCCTGCCTCAGCCTCCTGAGTAGCTGGGACTACGGGCATGTACCAACATGCCCAGCTAATTAAAAAAAAAAGATTTTGTAGAGACAGGGTCTCACCATGTTGCCTACACTGGTCTGGAACTGCTGTGTGCAAGTGATCCTCCTGCCTTGCCCTCCCAACATGCTGGGATTACAGGTGTGAGCCACCATGCCTGGCCTACTGTTTGACTTTTTTTTAAAAATTAATTTTGTCCTTAAGATACTAATTAACCTAAATATGATATTTTGATAGTTCATACCTAGGTGGCAAGTCTGAATTTGATAACGTTATTCAAGTGTGTGTCTTAGCTGCTTAGAGATAGACTTTTTTTTTGAGGGGGAGACGTCTCACTCTCGTCACCCAGTTTGGAGTGCGGTGGTGCAATTTCGGCTGGGATTACAGGTGCCTGCCACCACGCCCGGCTAATTTTTCATATTTTTAGTAGAGACGGGGTTTCACCATGTTGGCCAGGCTGGTCTCGAACTCCTGACCTCAGGTGATTCACCTGCCTCGGCCTCCCAAAGTGCTGGGATTACAGGTGTGAGCCACTGCGCCTGGCCACAGATAGACTCTTTAGAGAATTAACACTTTGCCTTTTATGACTTTATACACCTGTGTAATGAATAATGTTGACAGATTACTGTTTTTGCTTCTCATACTAGTTCTTCATTGGATACTTATGAATTATCACGTCTGTGAATTTTTACAGAGAATTTCTTAACATTAAACTTCACTTTTATGGATTGCTATCAACTTAAAATAGTTTTTGTTGTTTTCAGGGCTAGAATTTAGTGGTATTCATATGTGCAAAAGCTTGACTGAGGCTGGGCACAGTGGCTCACGCCTGTAATGCCAGCACTTTGGGAGGCTGAGGCGGGTGGATCACTGGAGGTCAAGAGTTCAAGACCAGCCTGAACAACATGGTGAAACCCTGTCTCTACTAAAAATACAAAATTAGCTGGTCATGTTGGCGCATGCCTGTAATCCCAGCTACTTGGGATGCTGAGGCAGGAGAATCACTTGAACCCGGGAGGCGGAGGTTGCAGTGAGCCGAGATTATGCCATTGCACTCCAGCCTGGGAAACAAAAAGCAAAACTCCGTCTCAAAAAAAAAAAAAAAAGTTGACTGAAAGGAAGATAAGGGAAAAAACTATAAGCCTCAGGTAGTCTGTTAGTGAGACAGATTTTTTCATTCATACTTTCATTAAATATTCTTATGTAGCAATATGCCAGATACTATGAGGGATATAATGATGGAAAAGGAGGTATCATTTCACTCTAAATTAATATAAAGGTTATTTGTTTCACTCATAGTGTTGATTGACATATAGTATACAGGTATCCTATGAGAGAAACATGTAACTTTTGTAACATATGACTTAGGAGTGAAGTGATTTCAGTTCTAATTTGAGAAATGAGGGAAAGCAACATGAAGGAAAGGATATAAGAGTTGTCTTTAATGCAGTGGTCCCCAACCTTATTGGTACCAGGGACTGATTTCACGGAAGACAGTGATTCCATGGACAGATGGGATGGTTTCGGGATGATTCAAGGACACTACATTTATTGTGCACTTTATTTCTATTATTATACATTATAATATGTAATGAAATAATTATATAACTCACCATAATGTAGAATCAGTGGGAACCCTGAGCTTGTTAATCTGTATTTGGAGCAGCTCCCAGCACTAGTATCATCTCAGATCGTTAGGCATTAGAGTCTCCATAAGGAGCAGGCAACCTAGATTCCTCACATGCATGGTTCATAATAGGGTTCACCCTCCTATGAGAATCTAATACTGACAGGAAGTGGAGCTCAGGCAGTAATGTGAGCAATGGGGAATGGCTGTAATACAGATGAAGCTTCGCTGGCTCGCCCACTGCTCACCTCCTGCTGTGTGGCCTAGTTGTGACAGGCTATGGACCAGTACCGGTCTGTTGCCCTGGGATTGGGGATGCCTGCATTAAAGGATAGTGTATTAGTCCATTTTCGCACTTCTATAAAGAAGTACCCGAGACTGGGTAATTTATAAAGAAAAGAGGTTTAATTGGCTCATGGTTCTGCAGGCTGTACAGGAAGCATGGTGCTGGCATCTGCTCAGCTTTCGGGAGGCCTCAGGAAACTTTCAATTATGGTGGAAGGTGAAGGGAAAGCAGGCACGCCGTACATGGCCAGAGCAGGAGAGAGGTGGTGATGGGGGAGGTGCTGCACACTTGTAAACAACCAGATGTCACTCACAATGGTGATGCAGAACCAAGGGGGAAATTCACCCCCATGATTTCAGTTACCTCCTACCAGGCCCCACCTTCAATTGTAATTGGGGATTACAGTTCGACATGAGATTTGGGAGGGGACACAGATCCAAACCATATCATTTCACCCCTGGCCCCTCCCAAATATCATGTCCTTCTCACATTGCAAAATTCAGTCATGCCTTGCCAACAGTCCCCCCAAATCTTAACTCATTCCAGCATTAACCCAAAAGTTCAAAGTCCAAAGTCTCATTTGAGACAAGGCCAAGTCTCTTTCACCTATGAGCGTATAAAATATAAAACAAGTTAGTTACTTCCAACATAGAGGGGGGTGGGTATAGGCATTGAGTAAATACTTCTGTTCCAAAAGGGAGAAATTGGCCAAAAAAAGGAGCTACAGACCTCATGCAAGTCCGAAACCCAGCAGGGCAGTCAT
Organism: Homo sapiens; assembly: GCF_000001405.40. NCBI lineage: Eukaryota > Metazoa > Chordata > Mammalia > Primates > Hominidae > Homo > Homo sapiens. Next base: position 77,746,849 of record NC_000007.14, read on the forward strand.
TAAACCTTAAAGCTCCAAAATAATCCCCTTTGACTCCATGACCCACATCCAGGACACTCTCATGCAAGAGGTGGGCTCCCAGTGCCTTGGGTAGCCCCACCCCTGTGGCTGTGTAGGGTTCAGCCCCTGTGGCTGCTCTCAAGGGCTGGTATTGAGGGCTTGAGGCTTTTTCAAGTGCGTGGTGCAAGCTTTTGGTGGATCTACCATTCTGGGGTCTGGAGGACAGTGGCCCTCTTCTCATAGCCCCACTCTGCAGTACCCTGGTGGAGACTCAGTGTGGGGGCTCCAACCCCACATTTCCCCACATTACCTTTTCCAAACCATAAAGGTTTGGAAAATTTGCAGTCTGGCCATGTGGTAGAAAAGAAAAGCCTATTGTCAGGGAAGAGTTCAAGCAGGCTGCAGAAATTTGTGTAAATAACTGCAGAAATTTGTGTAAATAAAACGAAAGAGCCAACTGCTAATAGACTAGACAATGGGGGAAAGTCCTAGAAGGCATTTCAGAGAACGTTGTGGCAGCTCCTCCCATCACAGGCCTGGAGGCCTAGTAGGACTGAGTGGTTTCCTGGGCCAGGCCCAGGGCCCTGCTGCTCTGCACAGCCTCAGGATACTGCTCCCTGCTCCCCAGCCATCCCAGCTCCAGCTGTGGCTCAAAGGTGCCCAGGTATAGCTTGAGCCACTACTTCAAGGGTGCCAGCCATAAGTCTTGGTGGCTCTATGTGGTATTAAGCCTGCCAGTACACAGAATGCAAGATTCGAGGCTTGGGAGCTTCCACCTAGTTTTCAGAGGCTGTATGGAAACACCTGGATGTTCAGGCAGAAGCCTGCTAAAGGAATGGAGCTCTCATGGAGAACCTCTCTACTAGGGCAGTCACTTCCACATTGTCAGATGTCTTTATAGCAATGCCCCATTCCTCAGTACCAGTTTTCTGTATTAGTCCATTCTTATACTGCTATAAAGAAATACTTCAGACTGGGTAATTTATAAAGAAAAGAGGTTTAATTGGCTCATGGTTCTACAGGCTGTACAGGAAGCATGATGCTGGCATCTGCTCAGCTTCTCGGGGGGGAGCTCAGGAAACTTTCAGTCACATCAAATGGATAGAAAAGAGTTCATTTGTAAATAATGAGCAAGTGAAGTGTATTTTAAGGAGAGGAAATACCTTTGCCAGTAGAGTTATGTTTTATAAGAAATTGTAAATAAATAGTTCAGTTTGACCAGAGTATGAGGTACTTGAGGGCACTGTCTTTGGATTCCAGACTGAAGAGATTATAGGTAGACATTGAGAGCTCTTGAAAGCAGTTTAGCTAAGGAATGAATATGATCAAAAGAATACATAAAAATTATAGAAAGGTTAATATGGCTGTAGCATTCAGGATGAGAGACAGTTATGCAGCTGTTAGACCAAAAATTAAGACAGTGGCATCAAGGAATTCAGAAGTAATCAAGGATGAGCTGGATAATTCTGTCAAATCACGGAGACACCAGAAAAAATGACTTGAGTAAATATGACTGGATTTGATATTTCAACATTCTGGGAAAGCAAATTTAAACAGATTGAAAACAGAACCAGAATTTAAGCAGTAAGAATGATAAGGTGGTAAAGGAAAGACACTAGGCATAGATGATTCTTTTTTTCTTTATTTTTTTCTTTTTGGGATAGGGTTTCGCTGTGTCACCCAGGCTGGAGTGCAGTGGCACGATCTTGGCTCACTGCAATCTGCCTCTCAGTTCAAGCAATTCTCCTGCCTCAGCCTCCCGGGTAGCTGGGATTACAGGTGCTCACCACCATGCCCAGCTAATTTTTGTGTTTTTAGTAGAGATGGGGTTTTGCTCTCTTGGGCGGGGTGGTCTCGAACTCCTGACCTCAAGCAATCCACTCACCTCGGCCTCCCAAAGTGCTGGGATTACAGGCATGAGCCACTGCGCCTGGCCTGAAGATTGTTTTCTAAAATATTCATTCATCTCCTTATTTCTGTAAACTGTGAGCATTTGCTATATGTCAGAATGGTAGCACACACTGTAGATGTAACTTTGCTCTATGCCCGTCTGTCTGTCTGTCTGTCTCTCTCTTTCTCTCTCTCTCTCTGTCTCTCTCTCGCTGTGTACATGAAGAGACTGGCTGGCTGGGTGTGGTGGCTCACGCCTGTAATCCCAGCACTTCGGGAGGCCGAAGCGGGCAGATCACGAGGTCAGGAGTTTGAGACCAGCCTGGCCAACATGGTGAAACCTTGTCTCTTCTAAAAACACAAGAATTAGCTGGGCATGGTGACGCGCTCCTGTAATCCCAGCTACTTGGGAGACTGAGGCAGGAGAATTGCTTGAACCCAGGAGGTGGAGTTTGCAGTGAGACAGGATTGTGGCACTGGATTCCAGCCTGGGCGACAGAGCAAGACTCTGTCTCAAAAAAGGCTGACTAAATATTGATTATCAATTCTGTAAAAAATGAGTCCTAAATATATAATTCTGAGTAAATTTTCAGAAGTAAACTTCTTACTTAGACAAAACTGTTCCTAAAGCATGGTTTTTAAAGTAATTAAAATATGGAGTTTCAAAAAACATTTTTTCCAACAGGTGGGAAGGAGAAACCAAAAACAAATATAGAAGACTTACAAATTAAAAAGGTAAAGAAGAAAAAGAAAAAGAAACACAAAGAGAATGAAAAACGGAAGCGTCCGAAAATGTATAGCAAATCTATTCAGACCATCTGCTCAGGATTGCTAACTGATGTTGAAGATCAAGCAGCCAAAGGCATCCTAAATGATAACATAAAAGATTACGTTGGGAAGAATTTGGATACCAAGAACTATGATTCCAAAATTCCAGAGAACAGTGAGTTTCCATTTGTCTCATTAAAGGAGCCACGAGTTCAGAATAACCTCAAAAGGTTGGACACTTTGGAATTTAAACAACTCATTCATATAGAGCACCAGCCTAATGGAGGTGCATCGGTTATCCATGCCTACAGTAACGAACTCTCCCACCTGTCTCCTATGGAGATGGAGAGGTTTGCAGAAGAGTTTGTGGGTCTAGTGTTCAGTGAAAATGAAAACTCTGCAGCTTTCTACGTGATGGGTATTGTTCATGGGGCAGCTACTTATTTACCTGACTTTTTAGACTATTTTTCATTTAATTTTCCCAATTCACCAGTGAAAATGGAGATATTGGGAAAGAAAGATATAGAGACAACGACTATGTCCAATTTTCATGCTCAGGTAAGAGGTTTTTAGTTTTATAAAATAACTTTTAATTATATATTTTTAGATGAGTTTCTGTTTTTTGTTCCTAATTATAGGGCTGAAATAAAAAGGTAAGAATATAATGAAACCATTTGGGAGTATTAAGAGTAAATTACTTTCTTGATGTGAGCATCAGAATTTAAAATTCAATTTTCACTTATGTATGTTTTTTTTTAAAGACAATTAATGAAATAATTAAGATTCTGTGTTTTTTTTTTTTTTTTTTTTTTTTTGCAAGGAGTGGTCTTGAACCTAAGGAAATGAATTTAGCCATGTATTTTCCAGTCCTTAAATAGTTTTCTTACCTGGAAATCACCTAAAATTGTCTTCTAGCTTTAGGATGCTTTAAGGTACTTAGCACCAGGCCCATCACATGGTAGGTACTGAAGAAATGTTGGCCATTAAAAATATTGTGGTATGAAGGAATCATCAGTTACTGTGTAATGATGTGTTAAAAGTAGCAATCAGTATATTGAGCTAATTTTCATTTCCTACCCTTCTCTATGGTGGAGAATATATATTATTCTGGAAAGCAGACAGAATAGAGTCTGCTGGGTCTTGAACATCAGTGTGGGCCCATCTGAAAGGCTGGTGCCATTATCACCCATCCTCAGATTGGGACTGTTTAGTCTGGAGATTGGCCAGTTCTCACATTTATTGATGCTGTAGTTTTTGGTTTTCTAGGAACGGTTTTTGGTTTCTAGGACAACATTCTAGTTTGGAAGGAGGGAAAAAGTAAAGGAAGTCTCAAATGGATCTTAGTGATTATTTATCCCAACACCTCTCAATTTACAAATAAGTAAACAGACGTAGAGAGAGAGGAGTAAGGTATTGTTTAACATTGTCAGCAGTGTCAGGATTAGAACAAAATCTTAATCTTCATCCAGGGCTCCTTTCCTTATTCTGAATATGTTCCTTTTTGGATGGGTGCTCAAGTTATAGTTTCCACTTTAAATGGTAGTCTGGATGTTCAGTCACATCCACATGTACCCCGCCCCCAATAGTATGAGTATGTTTGGTGTATATTCTGTAGTAGATTGTAGTCTGGAAAATAATGTGGTGTTTTTTTGTTTTTTGTTTTTTGAGATGGAGTCAGACTGGAGTGCAGTGGTGCGACCTTGGCTCACTGCAACCTCTGCCTTCCGGGTTCAAGCGATTCTCCTGATTCAGCCTCCCAAGTAGCTGGAATTACAGACATGCACCACCATGCCTGGCTAATTTTTGTATTTTTGGTAGAGACAGGGTTTCGCTATGTTGGCCAGGGTGGTCTCGAACTCCTGACCTCAAGTGACCTGCCTGCCTTGGCCTCCCAAAGTGTGGGGATTACAGGCGTGAGCCACCTCGCCCGGCCTGGAAAATAATTTTTAATGTGCGTATGTGGGAATTATTCTCTAACATGTTTGAGAATTGAAAATTAAATATTTTCTAAACTAGATAGGGAGCTATAGAGCATCCATTACTAGCCCTGTCATTTTATAGAAACCCAAAATGGTGAGTTACTTGTCTGAGGTTACACCTGAATATAATGGCAGAATCAGGACTGGCATCTAATAATAGTGTTTACTATTTATTGAGTACTGACTGTGCCAAGGACTAGTTGTTCTGAGTATTTTATATGTAGTAACTCATTTAATCCTCATTATAATCTTACTTTAGCAGTGAAGAAACAGATCCAGTGAGAGAAGAGATAACATGTTCAAAGTGCCTTATCACCTTATCATTCATTTGTCGTTTATTGCATGTCTCCTAAATGTCCGGTTTTCTATTGGGCCTCTTGGCTCCCATTCCCGGTTATTTCCACAATACCACAAACTTTCTTGCTTTGATACTATGCAAGTTTGCTTCAGTAACCTTTTAAATGTGACAGTACATTGATGTGCATCACATTACATGCTTTTCAGATGGTTTTTCAAATAAGTTTAGGAATTATTTTATACTAAATGATAAAAATTTTCATCTAAACTATCTAATATGTACACCATGAAAACTGCTTTTGTTACTAAATAAAATGAGATGCTGGACTTGTTAATCATGGCAGTGTGTGCCTGGGATGTGGATCTCAAGTCCTTGATGAGCCACCTCCTCTGGTTGTCACCATGTCTTCGGGCTTCTTGGGTAATATATATTGCAAAGAGGAAACTCCAGGCAGATGGATCCTGTTTTTTACCAGTTGTGGTTCTGGCCCCATATCTGTGTGATCTGCTACCCTGGTGACCTAAGCATGTCAGCTGCAGGGACTACTTTTGCTTCTTTAGCTTTAGACTTAAAGGCAGGAAAGTACATGTGCAAGGCCCGTATTCCTTTTATCACAAGATTCTTCAGATCTTATTCCTGTGAGTGGGGAAGTTGTTGTGTGCAGATTGGGGAGGTAGCCTTTGATTTGTCCTTAGGCACTGGCTTTATGAAACTGAATGGGATCCAGAAGAGAGAGCAGTAGGAGAAAAATGAGCATGCTTCTTCTTGCACAGTTCTATTTCTCATCCCTGGAGTCCTCCCAGTTAAAGCTCTCTCAGCCTACATTGAAGTGTCCCTCCAGGAGTTGATTTTATTTAGTAAACTTTTTATTGAAGTGTAATGTATGACATAGTATACATATTATAAATGTATAACTTGATGAATCTTCACAGGGAACACACCCATGATTTTAAAAAGCCAAATATTGTTAATAGCCAGAAACCATCCCCGAACCCTTCTTTATCAGTACTGTGCCAACCCCCCAGTCCCACCACATGAACAAATACCCAGGTGATCACTGTCCTGACTTTGAACATCACTGATATATTTTGCTTCTTTTTGAACTTAGGTGGAATCAGATAGTACGTACATTGTTGTGTCTGGTCTCTTTTCTGTAGTATAACGTTTGTGAGATTCATCCATCTTGTGTGTAGTGGTACTGCTGTATGGTATTCCACTGTGTTAGTATACCAGTGTTAATATACCACAGTTTGTTGATCTTGTTACCATATGGATGGACATTTGAGTTGTTTCCAGTTTGAGGCTGGTAGAACACGGATGCTATGAATATTTTTCACATGTCTTGATGAGCATATGTATGTGTTTCTTTTGAGTATATACCTAAGATTAGGATTTCAGGATCAAAACATATGCACCTATTCAGTTTTGCTAGGTACTGCCAGTGTTCCAAAGTTAAATGTGCCTATTTACATTCCCAGTGGCAGTGTTTCACATCCTTTGCCACGGTTAGTAGTGTCTTTTTCATTTAAGTCATTCTGGTGACTATGTAGTGGTAGCTCCCTGTGGTTTAATTTGTATTTCCCTGATGACTAAGGATGTCAAGTACCTTTTTATATGATTATTATCCAGTTGAATATCCTCTTTTGTAAAGTACCTGTCCACTCTGTCAATTTCTTATTTGCTTTTTTTCTAGTTGATTTGTTGGACTATTATATATGTAGATAAGAATCTTTTGTCAGCTAACTGTATTGCAAATATTTCCTCTCACTTGGTGTCTTACCTTTTCACTCATAGATGTTTTTGGTAACTAGAAGTTCCTAAGTTTAATGTAATCTAATTTATAATTTATAATCCATTTATGATAACTGTTTCTTACATTCTGTTTTAGAAATCTTTGCCTACCACAAAGTCATTAATATATTCTGTGAAGTTTTCTTCTGGAAACTTTTATTGTTTTACCTTTCATGGTTAAATCTATAGTTAATAAAACAGCAGCTAAAAGTATTGGAAAAATAATCTGTAGTTCATCTGGAATTGATCTTTGTATATGGCATGAGGTAAAGATCAGGGTTTATGTTTTTCCATATAAATATATCCAAAAGACCCAGCATCATTTATGGAAAAGATACCCCTTCCTCATTGTATTGTAGTGTCACCTTAAACCAGCTAATCATATGTGTGTGGGTCTGTTTCTGGGCTCCCTTTGATTCCATTGTTTTGTTTGTCTAATTGTTACAGCTTTATAATAACTCTTTCTATTGATTGATTGATAGATACAGGGTCTTGTTCTATCAGCCAGGCTAGAGTGCAATGGTACGATCATAGTGCTTTGTAGTCTCAGATTCCTGGCCTCAAGTGATCCTCCCACCTCAGCTTCCTGGGTAGCTGGGACTACAGGTGTGAGCCACTGTGCCTAGCTTTATCATTAATCTCAATAATCTAGAATCGGTTTGCCAGCTTTGTTCTTCAAGATTTCCTTGGCTCTTTACATTTCCACATAAACTTTCGAATCAGCTTTTCAAGTTTCAAAGAGTTATCTGCTAGAATATTGCTTAGTATTACATTAAGGCTATAGATAAGTTAGGGTAGAATCGATGCCTTTACAACATTGAGTCTTCCGATCTGTGATCATGGTATTCCCCTTCATTTGTCTTTTTATTTTCTGTCAGTAATATTTTTTGGTTTTCAGCATAGAGGTCTTGCAGATTTTTAAGATTTATTCCTGTATATTCAAGACCTCATGTTGTTAATCACCCTTTTTGAGAACATGGAAGTTTTCAGCACTTCTTAGAATATGACATTAACATTCATCCTGAGAAACTGAAACAGTATTTTGTACTCCATTTATCTTCCAACATCCCCCTTTCCCTTATCTGTGGTACTGTCATGCATATGCTAGTTATTTGGAATGTCAGAAGTTTAGTAATTAGCCATGGCACTATTCAGGAGGCTGAGGCAAGAGGATCACTAGGACCCAGGAGTTTGAGCCCAGCCTGAGCAACATAGCAAGGCCCATGTCTCTTTGAAAATGAAGAAAATCACAGCACTGCACTCCAGCCTGGGCAGCAGAGTGAGATCCTGTCTCAAAGAAAACCCCAAAAAACAAAAACAAAAGTTTAGTAATTAGGTTTTATGAAATTTAGAAAAAACTAGTTTTCCATTAATGAATGCTTGTTATTAGAATATAGTGAATATCTATTCACTATATATATATTCACAAAATATAGTGAAACTGTATATTTTGGTGGTGTCAAGTGGATCAGCCTACATACTGCTGTGTGAAATTGCTTTCACCAAAAGAATTGGTTGAGACGACATTAATTGAGCTAATGTGAGTCAGTATTCTAGGGGAAGGAAGAGCAGAGGTACCAATATTGGAATGTAGTTTTACTTAATATAAACCACAGCAAAAACAAATTGTGGATAATAAAGCCAAATTAATGTTAAAGTGTTTGCTCAGGAATCAAACTTGTTGATTTGGTCATGATGATTCCTCAGTAACTTCAGCTGCTCCTCAACTTACGCTAGGGCTGCATCCTAATAAACCTGTAAGTCAAAAATATTTTTAAGTTGAAAATGCATTTAAAACTCTGATAAGCAGCTGGGCGTGGTGGCTCACCCCTGTAATCTCAGCACTGTGGGAGGCCGAGGCAGTCGGATCACCTGAGGTCAGGAGTTAAGAGACCAGCCTGGCTAACATGGTGAAACTCCGTCTCTACTAAAAATACAAAAATTAGCTGGGCATGGTGGTGGGCACCTGTAATCCCAGCTTCTCGGGAGGCTGAGGCAGGAAGAATCACTTGAGCCCTGGAGGCGGAGGTTGCAGTGAACCGAGATCGCGCCATTGCACTCTAGCTTGGGTGACAGAGTGAGACTTGTCTCAAAAACAAAACAAAAACAAAAAACAAACAACCTCTGATAAGCCCACTGAAAAAAAAAATTGTAAGTAAGCTGAACCATCTTAAGTCCTGATGCCGCTTGACCTAACTATGAAGTTTCAACCTGATAAACCCGTAATAAAGTCAAAAAATTATGAGTTGAACCTTCTGAGTTGGGGACCATCTTGACTAAGTTCACTAGGTTCAGTTCAGTAGAACCTGCTCTTGTTATGAGATGATAATGCTTTCTACAGAGCAGAGGAAAGCAGAACTGTAGAGAAAAGTTCTGTACCTGACATCTTTGTAATTCAGTAACTATCCTTCAATTCCCTTTTCTGCCTTTTATATTCTGAAAAATCTTTGATCTAGTTAAAACTAGTCCAAAAGCAGTATTCAAAAGATCTAGAAAAATGTGGGAAGACAGAGTAGAGTGAAGATGATAGAGAAAAATGGTGCAAATCTGACTTTTATTTTTTTATTTTTTTTTTGAGACAGAGTCTAGCTCTGTCATCCAGGCTGGAGTGTAGTGGCATGATCTCAGTTCACTGAAACCTCTGTCTCCCGGGTTCAAGCGGTTCTCCTGCCTCAACTTCCTGAGTAGCTGGGACTGCAGACGCGTACCACCACACCTGGCTAATTTTTTGTGTTTTCAGTAGAGATGGGGTTTCACCATGTTGCCCAGGCTGGTCTTGAACTCCTGACTTCAGGTGATCTACCTGCCTCGGCCTCCCAAAGTCTTGGGTTTACAGGCATGAGCCACCCCGGCCTGACCTTTATTTTTTAGAATATAATATAGTTTGGAAAATACATTTAGCAGCATTAAAGACATTTATAGCTGGGTGTGGTGGCTCATGCCTGTAATCCCAGCACTTTGGGAGGCTGAGCTGGGCGGATCACAAGGTCAGGAGTTCCAGACCAGCCTGGCCAATATGGTGAAACTCCGTTTCTAATAAAAAAAATACAAAAATTAGCTGGGCATGGTGGTGGGCGCCTGTAGTCCCAGCTACTCGGGAGGCTGAGGCAGGAGAATCGCTTGAATCCAGGAGGCGGAGGGTGCAGTGAGCCGAGATTGCGCCACTGTACTTCCAGCCTGGACGACAGAGTGAGACTCCGTCTCAAAAGAAAAGGAAGAAATTCATGGTAATGCCATCCTCTAGGTAATTAAGTAGCACCATTTTTAATCGATAAAAGAGTATATATAGTAATGCTATATGTGTTTTGTATTTTCTTATATAATGATAGAAGCTGCGCACTGCAGCCATTCAGTGATGTGAATGGCAGTCCCTAGGTTGTGCAACCTGATGGTACTGACCACCAATAGCTGTGGAACCCAAACCAAGTTCATGATGAATTTGTATCCTCATGAGCCTAGTTTTCTGTTTTTGTTATTGTTCTTAAATTACAATCAGGGCAACCAAAATAATTTGCTTTAAATTCTGTAGAAACTAAAAGATGACAAATTATGTAGCTGTTTCTATGATTTTTGTAGTGATAGTGTTTATCTCTGTAATAGTATCTTGTAGCTTTCACAAATACTCATTTTTACATCTGTTCAACTTTATTAAACACATATACACAACACTGACAAAGGATTAAAACATCCCTGTTCTTTTGTCTTCGGTTTTGGAATTCTTTTTACTTGTATAATTCTGTTTTCCATCTTCATCTGTATCCTTGCAGGTTGCCTGAAAGGTTTGAAGACCATGTGGTATTATATATATTTTAACAGGTCATGTCATTTCTCTAATGCTGTGGCCCTGAGGTTAGTGATATATTAGGAAACTGTATCATGAAAGTCCGTTTGAGGATAGAAACATATGCATGGACTTTTCCCAAAGTTTGTAACCTGTCCATATCTGTTAGCTTTTGCTGTATTAAATGTATAAACAAAAGCCTCAAAACTTAGTGACTTGAAAAAAGGTTTCATTTATCACAGTTCTTTGGGCTTGCTGGACAGTTCTTGTGGTCTCTGCTAACTTAGCTGGGGCTATATGGCTTCATTCTTATGTCTGATGATTGGCAGACCAGTTGGGTCTTGGGACACCTCACTTATATGGTTGGTGGTTGATGTATGTTAGCTGGGTTGATGGCCACATTTTTCTCATCATCCCACAGGTTAGCCTGGGCTCATTTGCATGGTGGTGGTTACAGGGTTCCATTGAGTAGAAAGAGGGTAAGCCCCAGTGTACAAGCTTCTGCTTGTGTTGTGTTTGCTAATGTCCCATTGACAAAGGGAAGTCACATGGTGAAACCCAGATTCGTGTGGAAAAATAGACTCCACTTCTTTTAGGTTATTTATTCATTTTACTTTAATTTTTTTTCTTGTGACAGAGTCTCACTGTACTCCAGCCTGGACGACAGAGTGAGACTCCATCTCAAAAAAAAAGAAAGAAATTCATGATAATGCTATCCTCTAGGTAATTAAGTAGCACTGTTTTTAATCGATAAAAGAGTATATATAGTAATGTTATATGTGTTTTGTATTTTCTTATATGATGGTAGAAGTTGTGAATTATATATATTTTAACAGGTCATTGTCCAGGATGGAGTGCAGTGGTGCGATCTCGGCTCACTGCAACTTCCCAGGTTCAAGTGATTCTTGTGCCTCAGTCACCCAAATAGCTGGGATTAGGCATGTGCCACCTTGGCCTCCCAAAGTGCTCGGCCTATTTAAAAAATCCTTTAAATTTTTAATATTTGTGGGTACATAGTAGATGTATATATTTATGGGGTACATAAGATGTCTTGATACAAGCATGCAATATGAAATAAGTGCATCATGGAGAATGAGGTGTCCATCTCCACAAGCATTTATCCTTTGAGTTACAAACAATCCAGTTAACAACACTCTTTTAGTTAAAATGTGCAATTATTACTGACTATAGTCACCCTGTTGTGCAGTGAAATCGTAGGCTTTATTCATTCTTTCTTTTTTTGTGTGTGCGCATTAATAGACTCCACTTCTTGATGACAGGAGTGGCAAAATCACATTGCACAGGAGTGAGCATACAGGCCTGGGAAGAATTTGGGGCCATTTGCAGTTGACCACGTTCGTTTTAGGTTTTCTAGCATCTGTATTTCATTCAAATATTCACTCAGACATTTATTGTGCTCCTGTGTTCTACCGTAGGGATAGAAAAAGGCAAATAAAATAGGAATTTTCTCTGTCAAGAAATAAATTAGATTTCTGTCTTGTCACTATGTTTAATCAGTGTACATACTCTGGAACCCTGTACTAAGAACTGTGAGAATGTGAAAACTGGAGTAGTTGTTTTCTAACCACCCTTCCTCCACTTCCAAACTCTAAATCTTATTTTTATTGTATTGTGGTTCTAAGTTATTTCTCAGGTAACTTATGTCAAAGTGTTAACTGATGATTAAAAGTCTATTATTTTAATAATGAAACTTATTAAATCTGATCTGACTGTTAGACCTGCTTCACTGTAGAGTTGGGGCAGAACACTAGCATTTGTTGAATTTGTGCTGGGGCCATTCACTGTGTTAGGCTACTAAAAGCAATTTGATGTTTCATCTTTGAAACATTGCTTGCCTTTGTACTAAATTTTCATTTTGACCAATTGTGCCTGCCCCATGCTCCCCAAATACTTAAGAACTGATCTATACAAAATATCGTGTCAGGGACCAGATGCTCTAATAATAATCAAAAAGCTTTCCCCCTTTATTTTACTAATTTTAAAATGGATAATACTTTCGTTCTTATTTTAGTTGCCGTTATATGGGTATTTTTGAAATAAAATGTTGGTTAAATATTGCCTATTTTGATTAGAAACCATCTGCCAGAAGTGATGGATAATGGCTCCCCCTTGTGGCACAGTCATTTATGACATGTTTAGATTGCCTCAGAATGTCCTGAGCAGGCCTTGTTTTTAAAAATAAGGGACTCTCCTCCCCACCCGCTAAAAAAAACCTCAGCAGAATTGAATCAACAGCTTCTGCTCCCACCCCCCTCAATTCTTTGGCTCTAATAATGATCCTGTTTTTGTATTTTCTTCACATTGGTGCTGATACAAGCTAAAAATATCTGTATCTCCATATTTATGGTGGATCACTATGAAGGTATTCTGAGGAACTTTTAATATCTTGGAATGTTGATAGGTATACTAAAACAAGTACAAAAAAAACAGGTTTTGAAGTCCAAAATAGTGTAATGCTGGACCAAATAAGTAATATTTGTTTGCAGTGAGACTCCTCAGAAACTTTAATAGCCAGTGTGCGTGGTGAGCCTCCTAAACAAGAAGGGTTTTCCAAACTTAGTGGACTGTAGAGCTCTCTCTTCAGGGAACATGTTTTGGGAAACAGCAGGTTGTTTCAAGTGAGTCGTTCTTTGGGGTTTTTTAAAAAATTACTTGTTATTACTATATTTGCCTTTTCCCCCTTGCAGCAGTTTTCGTAATTACATAAGAGAAAACAGCAATAAGTAAAAAATCTTATAGATTTGTTTTTGGCAACATATTTCCTGTTAAGAATAGGCTACTTTTTTCCCTTTGTAGCAAGCCCACCTCAGAATCCTAAAGTGTTTTTTTTAAAGATTACATTATATAAGTCGAATATTAGTTTAAACAATTATTTCATTTTATGTTAACCAAAGCTTCTCAGATTTTGGTATTGACACTTACTGGCAATGGGTACAATAGGTCTCCTACTTCTGCTTTCTTTTTTCCCTTCATAATATTTATAGAGAATATACAAGGGGAAAAGTGAAAATGTGGCCATGATGGTCATGGGGTTTTGTGGGGAGGGGGAGGAGATTTAGATTAAATATGTTATATTTCTTCTGAAGGCCACTATTTAAATATAAGCTTTTCCACAAATACATAATTATCATGCCTGTCTTTTATTGTGTTCTGACACATCTATATACCTAAATCAAGAGGAACTATATGTATAATCTTTGTAATTCAGTGCATTTCTTTTTTTAGAAAGCAAGTATATTCTATTATTATTTTTTATTTAGTTAACTTATTTTTTGAGACTGAGTTTCACTTTTATCACCCAGGCTGGAGTGCAGTGGTGCGATCTCGCTGGCTGCAACCTCCGCCTCCTGGGTTCAAGCATTCTCGTGCCTCACTCAGCCTCCTGAGTAGCTGGGATTACAGGCACCTGCCACCATGCCTGGCTAATTTTTGTATTTTTAGTAGAGACGGGGTTTTGTCATGTTGGCCAGGCTGGTATCAAACTCTTGATCTCAAATGATCCTCCCGCCTTGGCCTCCCAAAATGCTGGGATTACAGGCGTGACGCCTGGCGTATATTTTAAAGCAGTGACATGTTTTGACTTTTTTTCAGGTTAATTTTTTAACTACACCAGAAAACTGGTTTGATTAATGTTTACTGGAGTGAATAAAAGCAAATATAGTAAGCTCACATTGAGCGTCATCAGGATGTGAGGTTTTCCAGATAGGCTATTTTTTTAGTTAATGGAAACGTAGTTTTAAGTATTAAGATTTTATAAAAATATCTTCATTGCTGAACATATGCAACATAATGTCACTTTATTTTCAGTATTGGTTTGTCATTATGATACAATACTGATGCCTTAGGGCAGCTGCAGCTGTGCTTACCCTTTTTCCTTCCTTCCCCTTCTAAATATGTGGTTTCTTGTCCTTTATGATTTTAGAGAGTAGTTACGATTGTGCCTAATATAGGAACTGATAGGTAAGAAGAAGAACTTTTATGAGCCATGGTCTTTGTGACATTTACTGTGATTATTTAGAGATTCTTTTAATCCTTATCTGTTACCTCTTCCACCTCACCGCCCTTGAGTTCTTCGCAGTCTGGCATAGTCTGGATAGGTGATTTTTAGAGAAATGAGGCTTGATTTTTTTGTAATAGGTGAATTCTGCATATTTGGTATATAGTTTTGCAACAAAAGAGGTGTCACCAAAATCAAGAAGTATTTACATTTTTGTGAAAAGCGTGTGGATTTTATTCTTACATTTTATTTTAACAACTTAAGTACCATCATGTATTTTATCAAGCAGTATATACTTTTTAAATTGGAAACATTGTTGTGTGTAACTTGCCATGTTTATAACATTTAAGTTAATGGTTACAACTGATGGATTTGAAATATTGTGTTATTAAACTAGAAATTTGTATGAAATGATATATAGTTAAAGGTTATATTACAATATATTTTAAAATTTAATACTTTTACAGATTAAGATTTTGATGACTTCAATTTAATTTTTTAAATTTGGTCTAAGTTTAAATATGTTTATTCAGGTGGGTGATCATCATTTTATCTTTACTGTTGGAGAATAAAGGTTTTGGAAGATCATTGCCGTTTTGTTTTAAACATGTGAGAGCTAAGCAGTTTTTATAAAGGCCAATTTCCTAATAGGATTTATTTTTGGTTTTATTAGTGGGCAAATGGCATCTACCTGTACATTCTGGTTACAAGGGAGAGACTTATACTTTTGTTATAATAAGTTATGTGTGAAAGTGAATTTTACATATCTATATGTTTTATATGTATTTTGGCATGAGGTGGGAAGAACTAACTAAAAATTCAATTAAGATATTTAGCAATATAATCGGAGTAGAGTCTGTATTACTTTACTTTAAAAATTCAGGGTCTCTAAAAAATCCTTTGAAATAGTTATGAATTTTAATAGGACCATACTTAAAAATAATCAGCAAAAGATAAAGCCTCTTCTTAGGTAGTGCCCAAACTAGACAGAGAATGGGGGAAAAATCGGTTTTTGATTTATTCAGTCTATTATGTTAAACATTTTAATGTTTAGGTCTATACTAATTTAGACGTGTTTTGTTTTATTTTGAAATAAAAAGCATTATTTGTAAACTTGGAAATTAATGTAAATGTATAATTTGAAAGAAATGAGATGGCTAGGTCAGTAATACTTCTTCAGTCAATGAAATAATTATTCTAACCTGAAATAGCAACATCTGGTCAAAGCAAAATTAGTAAATAAAGTTCTTGAGTCATGACACAACATATGATGTGTCTGTAATATTACCACCCAAGTTTTACCCAATTTTTTCCTGTTACTCAATGATACATGTTTTTACTCACATTTAAATACATAAATTTTACTCTACAAGGACTGTGTTAACAATTGGTTCCGGTTTTCTGATTATTATATTATCTCCTACTCTCTATAATTTAATAATGTTATAGTTTTTTGGTTTTATTTCATGTATAATATGACTTTTTAAAACTACTAGATAAATTGAAAGTTTAGTTGTGCTTCGTATTTTAGAAGAATTCACTTAATGAAAATTCTTTCCTAACAGTCATCCCCTCCGCACAAGATAAACTGCCCAAATTATTTAGGTGATCATTGTTGGTACTGTGATGTCATAGAATGAACCAACTCAGTGGCAAGGACTTGATTATGGCTTTGTTAGAACTAAATGTTGTAGGTATCTAATTTAAACAAGATAAGGAAATTTATGCACAGAAAATGTACTTATTTGTATGAGGTGGAAATATATATAATTTGACTTTTTTTTTTTTTTTTTTTTGGTCTCGCTGTGTTGCTCAGGCAGATCTTGAACTCCTGGGCTCAAGTGATCCTCTTGCCTCTGCCTTCTGGGTAGCTGGGATTACAGTTTCGTGTCACCACCCCTAACTCTAATTTGACTTTTTAGATATATTTCAAAGCACTTGGAAAATTTGTGTTTTACAATATCAGTTGTTTGATTTCACTTTCTAAATGGTTATCGTCTCTCAAAACCCCTTATGGTCATTTGCAGACACAAAACTCAGAATCTCAGAATCACTTAACAGACTTGATGTGTTCTATTCTGGTAAATGTGCTAGAGTTGAGATTGATACCCTTAGCTTCTTTGATAGACTGCATTACAGAGGTGCATAGACTGAATTTCTTACTGTGCTGCTATTAATGCATCTAGAGCCTGAAGACTGTTGTAGAGTTAGGCTTTAACTGTTAGCTCTCTTGATATTGGAGATGATAGGAATTTTTAGGCGACAGGAAAAAGATGAGACAATGAGCATACAATGGGGGCATAAGCCCCAGCTGTTCTTATATTTGTTTGTTTTTTTGAGACAGGATCTCGCTCTGTTGCCCAGGCTGGAGTGCAGTGGCCTGATGACAGCTCACTGCAGCCTGGACCTGCCAGGCTGGAGATATCCTCCCACTTCTCAAAGTGCTGGGCTTACAGGCCCTTAATTTTCTAACTTGTAGGAATGGTTTGTGGTTCTGAGAAGTCAATTTGTAACAGTTTAGGAAAATTTAGGCTTAGAAATCTGGTGAATTTATTAAAGAATTAATGTCATTATTAAACTGCTTTGCTGATTATAATAACAAATGAGATTCTCTTCCTTAAATGATTTTGTATGAAAACATGTGGGTTGGGGTTTACTTTGTTACGTTGTGATACTCTTACCAGCTATGATTGTAAGGATTCAACTTTTGATGTGACTATCTTTTATAATCTGTGTCTGTGATGTGATAAAAGTTGACCATCCATGTTTGCCTGAAATACAAGACTTTCAGTTTTAAGACTGATAGTCCTGGGCAAACTGGGACAAATTGGTCTCCTAAATTTGTTGTCCACAAAGGCTAATCCAGAGAAAGAGACAATTACAGTTTTGCTTATAATTTGGTTATCAAAACGAGTTGTTTCGCTTGAAGACAGACTCAGCTTGTTTACTAGTGTTAGTATATGAAAACACATAGGTTTCTTTGTCAGGATTTAAATATGCTGGCAAGAAATGTAGTTACCAATCAATCTTGAGGTGCACATGGCTTTGTTTTGGCTCTTTGAATGCCACCCATTTGCTAGCATTATGGCAGGTGAGTTTATATCATTATCAAATTTTCTTCAGCAATCTGCTGTAAAACATTCCAGTTAAGGAAACCACAGCTCAAGGAACGCAAATGATTTCTGAAGGTCATGTAACTGGTAGATAGCAAAGGCAGATTTGGATTTTAGGATTCCTGATTCTTAATTTCTTTCTTTCTTTTTTTTTTTTTGAGACATAGTCTCGCTCTGTCGCCCAGGCTGGAGTGCAGTGGCACAATCTCGGCTCATTGCAAGCTCCGCCACCCAGGTTCACGCCATTCTCCTGCCTCAGCCTCCCAAGTAGCTGGGACTACAGGCGCGCGCCGGCCACCACACTCGGCTGATTTTTTTGTATTATTAGTAGAGACGGGGTTTCACCATGTTGGCCAGGATGGTCTTGATCTCCTGACCTCATGATCCGCCTGCCTTGGCCTCCCAAAGTGCTGGGATTACAGGTGTGAGCCACTGCGCCCGGCTGTGATTCTTAATTTCTAGTAGTTTCTCATGAGAGTTAATAATAGGTATATAAACTGGTTTCTAGTTAATATGGTAAGATCAAAAAAGAAGAGCATCCCTGGTGGCCTTTTAGTCATATAAGCCACTGTTGATGGTTAAATGTTTTCAGAGGGTCTAATTTTGAAAATGTTGATGAAAAGATATGAACTTCATTTCACTTTAGAAAAATGCAGGTACACCAACTTTTGAATACTCAGATAATGAGTTCCTCTGTTCTAAGGAGATGTTAGTTGTCTAGAATTAATGCTTATTTGTCTTAACTCTGTTTTCATAAGCAGTGTGTAGGAATAGTTAGAGAAAGTAAAATAGCTTGATTTAGTGCAAGTTTTATTTTTAAAATGCCTTATCTGTTACTGTTAGTAAAGTTTTGTTTTGCTTGCCTCATTATGATATAATATTCTGAGATAATAATTTATTGCTACAAAATGATAGCAAGCATTATCTTATGTGTAACTTTTAATTAAATCCATATTCTTCAGGTAAAAAGAACGTATTTAACTTTTAATTAAATCCATGTTTCTTCAGGTAAAAAGAACGTATTCTCATGGTACTTACAGAGCTGGCCCAATGAGACAAATAAGCTTGGTGGGAGCAGTTGATGAAGAAGTAGGAGATTATTTCCCTGAGTTCCTTGACATGTTGGAAGAGTCACCATTTTTAAAAGTAAGAGACAATCTGTCATGGGATTAGAGTTTTTTTTTTAAAAAAGGGAAGAAAAACCAATATGAGTAATCTAAATTGTGATTGTTTCTTTCATGCTACATGCAATATAAATGAATGGCTGTTTCAGAAATAGAAACGTTTTGGTTTTATTTGAACTGGAGGGAAGGAGAGCAAGAGATGGGAAACTGACATAATTCTTGTGTAGTGTGTACATGCGACATCTCAGGTTCTAATTGTAATGGCAAAGCTAAGTGGTGGGCCATGAAATAACACCTCTTAACACTTTAGGAAATTAGGTTCCATGTGTTTATCAGCTCTTTGTAAACTAAGTACTAAAGGACTTAAGAAGTACAGGAAGGATTCTACTACAAATGTTTAAGACAAAGGAATGGCAGTTTAGCATTCCTAAACTAAATTCCAGGAAAACTCGCCTGGGAAATTACACACCCATATTTTAGCCATGGCTGTACTTATCTGGGTTGGGCAAGCCCTTTAAACTTTCTGGGCTTCAGTTTCATCATCCATAAAATAACATGTTTAGACAATGTAGCCAAAGGCCCCTCTATTTAATTTATTTTTTTGAGACAGCCTCACTCTCTGCCCAGGCTGGAGTGTAGTGGTGTAATGTGGAGCCCTGACCTCCGTGGGCTTGGATGATCCTCCCACGTCAGCCTCCCAAGTACCTCGGATTACAGGCACATGCCATCATGCCCAGCTAACTTTTGTATTTTTTGTGGAAATGGGGTTTCACCATGTTGCTCAGGCTGGTCTTGAACTCTTGGACTCAAGTGATCCTCCTGTCTTGGCCTTCCAAAGTGCTGGGATTACAGGTGTGAGCCACTGTGCCCACCACCACAGGCCCCTTTAAATAGTTTGTAGCCAGATTCCTTTTTTTTTTTTTTAAAGCCTCTTGATTTTCAAAAAGTATTTCTTATTGTGAGGTGCTAGGGCTATCCCACTGAGAGAGGAATCTCTGAGCTGTGTGGTTAGGTTAATTATTTAATCAGTAACTCAAAGGTCAATGCTGCAAACCTACACTGAAATTCAGGGTCCAGGTAAGCTGTGGAATGTGACAAGATTTCTGATACCACATAATCTATAGGACATCTCTTCTTTTATTACTTCTGTTTGCTTGGTGTTTTTACCCTATATGTACATATATCTTTTTCTTCCCTTTCTCTTTAACCTTGTTCCATTCCTTTTTCTCTTTTCCTTTTAAACTTTTTGTTCCTTTTCTACTTCTCTCTAGTAGTTACATCATGGAATTAGGTTGCATTTATTATTGGACTATATTTAAAAATTACCAAATATTACTTAAATGGTTGCTTCAAGTTTAATTTTCAAAGCACATGAACTAAATGCATTATTTCTCCTTTCCTTTCCTTCCCCTTCCCCTTCCCTTTCCCCTTCCCTTCCCCTTCCCCTTCCCTTTCCCCTTCCCTTCCCCTTCCCCTTCCCTTTCCCTTTCCCTTCCTTTCTTTCGATGGGGTCCTGCTATGTTGCCCAGGCTAGCTTTGAAGTCCTGGGCTCAAGCAGTCCTCCTGCTTCAGCCTCCCAAAGTGCTGTGATTACAGACGTGAGCCACCCACACCCAACCTAAATGCATTGTTTCTAAAGAAATTTGACAAGCCTTTTTGAAAAGGGGGTGTGTGGTGAAATTTTTTTTTTTTTTAATTTTGTTCTCAACATTCCATGGACAGTGGCCCTCAGTTTCCTTCTTCCCTCTCTCTGTCTTTTTTTGTTTGTTTGTTTTTGGTTTCAGATGGAGTCTCGCTGTGTCATCCAGGCTGGAGGGCAGTGGTGCGATCTCGGCTCACTGCAACCTCTGCCTCTCAGGTTCAAGCAATTCTCATGCCTCAGCCTTTCGAGTAGCTGGGATTACAGACACACACTACCATGCTAGGCTAATTTTTTGTATCTTTAGTAGAGATGAGGTTTCTCCATGTTGCCCAGTCTGGTCTCAAACTCCTGAGCTCAGGTGATCTGCCTGCCTCAGCCTCCTGAAGTGTTGGGATTACAGGCCTGAGCCACCGTGCCCGGCCACCGTCTTCTCTTTTCTCTTCCCCTTCCCCTTCACCTCTGTCTCTCGCCTCGCCTCCCCTCCCCTCCCCTCCCCCCTTTTTCCCTCCCCCTTCCCCTCCTCTCCCCCCTCCCCCTTCTCCCTCCCCCTTCCCTTCCTCTGCCCCCTCCCCCCTTCTCCCTCCCCCCTTCTCCCTCCCCCCTCCCTCTCCTTTCATTCTTTGGAGTCTCGTTCTGTCACCAGGCTGGAGTGCAGTGGCGTGATTTCGGCTCACTGCAACCTCCGCCTCCGAGGTTCAAGCGATTCTCCTGCCTCAACCTCCTGAGTAGCTGGGACTACAGGTGCGCGCCACCATGCCCAGCTAATTTTTGTATTTTGTAGAGACGGGGTTTCACCGTGCTGGCCAGGACGGTCTCGATATCTTGATATCTTGACCTTGTGATCCGCCCGCCTCGGCCTCCCAAAGTGCTCGGATTACAGGCGTGAGCCACTGCGCGCCCAGCCTTGTTCTTTCATTTTAAAATACTTTAGTCTCTGGTTTAAGCCAACAACCTCTTCAAGAAACTGCTGAACAGAAATATGTTTTGATTTTGTTTTGTTTTGTTTTTAATTATCATTAATCAAAGAGGTATCCAGTTTTTAAACTTAAATTTAATTGTTCATTTTTATAGATTCTTATGAGAGCACTTGCTTATTTAGTCCGTTAACATCATATGATCTATATGGTAGAAGGAAGAATAACAAATGATGAATATAGTGAATCATACCTCTAGCAGGGTATAGGGACAGAACCATCCAAGCATAATTATTTTCTTGGTGTGTTTGAAACAGTTTTTTGAAGCAAAGTATATCAATATATAGGGATATATTCAATATTATGTATTTCAGATGCTTAAGTATAAAGCTGTGTATGAAAGTGTGTTTGTCAGGGGAACAATATTATTATTAACATACACTTGAAGATACATTTTGAAAATAATTGCAATCTGCATAATTATTTATCTCCAGTGTACACTGCCATGGGGGACGCTATCTAGTCTAAAATTACAGAGTCGAAAAGATAGTGATGATGGTCCCATCATGTGGGTTCGTCCAGGAGAACAAATGATCCCTGTGGCTGATATGCCAAAGTCACCTTTCAAAAGGAAAAGGTATGTTGTATACACATTTTTATTGGAGGGGATGAGTGTTTGTATGTTGGGGTGTGTATGTTAGTTGAAAATTGGAGGAAGGAGGAATGCAAAGTTTAGAGCATAATTGGAATATAAATTTAAAAATAGCGATACATGCTAATACAATTTGTTATAAAACCTAAAATGTAAATAAAGCATGAGAAATGTAGGCAAATGACAAGAAATTGTAATGATGGATGGAAAAAATGTCATAAGATATAAACTATTTTAGAATAAATGTAATATTCAGAACCTATACTAAGAAGACTAAAATGTTTTGTGGAGGATATAAAGTAAGATCAGAACAAATGGAAAGCCCTGCTGTGTTCTGGATTGGATAAAAATGATAGTTCTTTAAAATTTTCTGCATTTCAATTGGACTAACACTTCCAGTCCTGGATAAAATTATTTTAAAATTCATAAGGAAGTAAACTTTTCAGTGAAAGAGAAGATTAGTGAGAGGCAGCTTATGATACAGGATATTAAAAATTACTATAAAGTTCAAATAGATCATTGGAATAAGAGTCCAGAAATAGATCTAAGTATATTGGGAACTTAATATATGAGATAGGTGGGAAGAGGAAGATGTATTTAATGAATAATGCTGGCATATTTGGCTCTCATAAAAACAAAGGCAGAGCCCCTACCTCATACAAGAAGTAAATTAGAGAATTAAGCATCACAGATAAAACAGTTAAAATATTAGAATAAAATTGTTTAAGCCTGGAGGAGACCTTCCTAAGCAAGACCAAACAATGCAGTGGCAATAGTATTTGGGGGGGAAGCGACATCAACAATGAGGTTCAAAATTATGATAGACTGGACTAAGACATTTGGAACTCATGACACACCAAAGTTAATGTACAAAGAGCATTCTCAAGTGTAAACAACCCAGTAGAAAAATAACCTCAGGTAGTTAAGTTTATTTTAAAAGAACTATGAGATATTTTTATTCATTATATTGGCAAAAATTATGAATATAGCATTAATATTATAGGCTGGTAGGTATGTGAAGAAACAATTTTTTATATATTGTTGACTGGAGGATGAGCTGCTGTAATTTTGTGAAAGTAATCTGGCAGTAGATCATAAAATTTAACATAAAACTCTTTGATCTAGCACTCCTACTTTTGGGAATCCCAAGGAATAAAAACACGAAAGGTAAATAAATTTGTGGTAAGAAAAACATTTTAAAATGGTCTGAATGCCTGTCAGTAGGGGAATGGTTGAATAGATTTCATACATTCTTATTGAAGAGTATAGTTAGGCCGGGTGCAGTGGCTCACGCCTGTAATCCCAGCACTTTGGGAGGCTGAGGCGGGTGGATTACCTGAAGTCAGGAGTTTGAAGATCAGCCTGGCCAACATGAGGAAACCCCGTCTCTACTAAAAATAGAACAAATTAGCCCAGCGTGGTGGGACATGACTGTAATCCCAGCTATTCAGGAGGCTGAGGCAGGAGAATTGCTTGAGCCTGGGAGATAGAGGTTGCAGTGAACCCAGATCGCTTCACTGCACTCCAGCCTGGCCGATAGAGCGAGACTCTGTTTCAAAAAAAAGAGTATAGTGAAATACGCCAGGTGCAGTGGCTCTTTCATGTAATCCTAGCACTTTGGGTGGCCGAGGTGGGAGGATAACTTGAATCCCAAGAGTTCAGGAGCAGCCTGAGCAACATAGTGAGATGCCGCCTCTACAAAATAAATTTAAAAATTTAGCCAATGTGGTGGTACATGCCCGTAGCCCTAGCTACTCGGAAGGCTGAGTCAAGGGCTGCTTGAGCCCAGGAGTTTGAGGCTGCAGTAAGCTATGAGTACATCACTGCACTCCAGCCTGGGTGACAGAACCAGAACCTATCTCTTAAAAAAAAAATGGTGAAATAGTTAAAGTTTTAAAAAATGTCTTGATCTGGATGGATATTCATGACATTTGAAAACAGCCAAATGTAGAGTAATGTATCTAATATGATTTTGTTTTTATCCAAAGAAATAACAAAACCCTACTATGTGTGATTGTGTACTTATGTGAGCACAGAGAAAAGTGTGGAGAAAATGTACATTAGGTTAACGTGGATTGGAATGGATGGAGATGATGCTAGGAGAGATTATAGCCTTTTGTTTTGTTTTGTTTGTTTGTTTTTGAGACTGAGTCTTGCTCTGTCGCCAGGCTGGAGTGCAGTGGTGCAATCTCGGCTCACTGCAACCTCCACCTCCCGGTTTCAAGCGATTCTCCTGCCTCAGCCTCCCGAGTAGCTGGGACTACAGGCGCACGCCACCACACCCGGCTAATTTTTGTATTTTCAGTAGAGATGGTGTTTCACCATGTTGGCCAGGATGGTCTTGATCTCTTGATCTCGTGATCCTCCTGCCTCGGCCACCCAAAGTGCCTAGGCATGAGCCACTGTGCCCGTCCTGATTATAGCTTTTTAGATTACCTAAAGACGGTTTTAGCTGTTACAGTGATTATTAAGTTTACTGGTTACGGTGATTATTAAGTTAAAAAGAAAACAGGGAAAAAGTCATTGAGTAAACTCTGGGTTGCATGATGGCAGGGACTTTGTTGGGTTTGTTACTAATGTTTCTCTAGCACCTAAACACAGTGTCTGGTGCTTAATATTGGATGAATAAAATTTTACAGGTTAATTTGTAAGTTAGTAGTAAATGGTAAAATTGATGTGTTCCTCAGCGACTCTTTTTTTTTTTTTTTTGAGATAGAGTCTAGCTCTGTCACCCAGGCTGGAGTGCAGTGGCACAATCTCGGCTCACTGCAACCTCTGCCTCCTGGGTTCAAGTGATTCTCCTGCCTCAGCCTCCTCAGTAGCTGGGATTAAAGGCGTGAACCACCATTCCCAGCTCATTTTTGTATTTTTAAGAGAGACGGGATTTCGCCGTTTTGGCCAGGCTGGTCTCAAACTCCTGACCTCAGGTGATCCACCTGCCTTGGCCTCCCAAAGTGCTAGGATTACAAGCGTGAGCCACTGTGCCCGGCCTCCTCAGTGATTCTTAATTTTTTTTTCTTTTTTTTAGAATGTATGGATCATTTTGAGAATCTGAAAGTCTCTTCTCAGAACAATACAGATAAATACAAACTTTTAGATGTACTTTAAGGGGGTTCACCACTACCTTGAGGAACTTCCATTCACTTCAGGGTATACAACCCATGGTATATATGATAATAATAGTCTAACAAAAACAGTGTCAGGCATTGTGTCAAGTGCTGTACAGTCTTAATTCATTAGAATGTGGTATTTATGCAGCTAAATTTGTGGGTTTGAGAACCTGTTAGGTTTCCAGAGGAAGCAACACCATCTGGCATTGTGACACATGTAGAACATTATTCACAAAGAACCAAAAAAAAATTATTATGTATATGTGTAATAAGACTGTAATGCAGGGGTGCACAAAGAGTAGTTAAATAATAGAGATTAAGGGTGGGAAAGTAGAGAACCAGTAAGGAAGAGTGATCCCTGGGAAGATAGACAAGGATGAGAGGAGACAATTATGGGGGTAATACAGAGTTGCATCTGGAAGAAACAAAAACCGTAGAGGAAGATAAAATGATGACTCTCTGCCAAAGAAATTCTTACCCTTTTCCTTGCCTACAGCAAAACTGGAGAGGTTTCTGCAATGAGTGAGGCTAAGTAGGCAGCAACTTCTGCGTGTATATGCATTCTAGAAGGAAAGTGGTGGAGGAGAGGGCCAGTGGGAAATAGCTGTCTTCCAAGACAGAGCTAAGGTTTTCCTTTCTACCTCCAATAAAGCATGCATGTTTTGTGGAAGCACTTACTGCTGGGTGTTTACTGCTAAATCTGTTTTTTGATTCTTCCCTCACTAGACAGACTATAAACTCCCACGAGAGTGGGGTCCTCTTCTGTCTTATTTGCTATTGTCTCATTCACTGGCCCCAGTTCTTAGATAGTACCTAGCACATAGTATGTGTCCTATCAATATTGAATTAATGCATTTTTAAAAGTTACCCATTTGTTTCAGATATATATCTATCTTGTGTTACCCAAGAGATCTGAGTGGGGGCATGGTACCCAAACCCCAGGTAAAGATTCTGTGTATAGGGAAACTTGGGTAAACAACACCATTTGTAATTTAATTTTTTATCCATGTGTTTCCTTACAACTGTTCCTGTTGTGAAGGTATATTAGAAAAATGAGGGTATCGTATTTGTGTTTTTGTTTGTTCGTGTTCATTTTAAAGATAGAATTTGATTTGAGAGCAAATTTCATATATTTTTGTCTGAATTATGTGATTATTGAATGTTTGATAGCAATTAAGTGTCACTATATAAATGTAATTTTCTTTTTTTAAAAAACAGAACTACCAATGAAATAAAAAATCTTCAGTACCTACCTCGAACAAGTGAGCCCCGTGAGATGCTCTTTGAAGACAGGACAAGAGCTCATGCAGATCATATAGGACAAGGTTTTGAACGACAGACTACAGCTGCTGTTGGAGTGCTGAAGGCTGTGCACTGTGGAGAGTGGTATATATAACTACCGCTATTTTAATGAAAGAATTTCTTGGCTTCTACAATTTTTCTTGGAAAATCTTAGTAATTCCTCCTTACTGTGGGAAAAAAGTTTCATTTTTTACCCGTATTTGGATATCTTAATTGTATAATTGTACTAAAGATTTTAAATTGCTAGAATCTGGCTGGGTGGGGTGGCTCACACCTGTAATCGCAGCACTTTGGGAGGCCGAGGTGGGTGGATCACAAGGTCAGGAGATCAAGACCAGCCTAGCCAATATGGGGAAACCCCGTCTGTACTAAAAATACAAAAGTTAGCCGGGCGTGGTGGCGCACGCCTGTAGTCCTAGCTATTCAGGAGCCTGAGGCAGGAGAATTGCTTGAACCCGGGAGGCTGAGGGTGCAGTGAGCCGAGATCGCGCCACTGCACTCCAGCCTGGGTGACAGAGCAAGACTCCATCTCGAACAAAAACAAAAACAAATAAATTGCTAAAATCTAGGTTTCATCATTTGGGTTAACTGAAATAATTAATTTCATGTTCTAAGTGACTAGATGTAAAAAAAATTAAAAGGAAAGCTAAGGCTTACCTGGTGCATACTGTATGCCTGTTTACAAATGTCATTTAATTTTTCTCAACTGCTTTTTGCTCCGTATTTATCACATAAGGAAACTGAGGCTCAGGGCTGTCAAATAATTTTTTTTACAGTCATATAGTTAATAAATGGTAGAGCTGAGACTGATTTCAATCTGATTCCATACTCTTCTGTTTTCTCTTCCTCCTGCTTTGCTGTACCCTTTCTGAGGTTTGGTTTCTCTTTGTTATGTATTTGCTTTTCTGTATTCTTTTTTTTCCAGCTTTGCTTACAAGTTTCACTTTGAATATTTTGACAGATTAAAAAATAGATTATTCTTTTTAATATACTTGAGGTGTCATCTCATACATTAAATACCTTTCCATTTATTAAATTGATAAAACATATAAAGCAAAGTTATTGTAATTTTGCGGCCAGGTGTGATGGCTCACGCCTGTAATTCCAGCACTTTGGGAGGCCGAGGTGGGTGGGATCACCTGAGGTCAGGAGTTCGAGACCAGCCTGGACAACATGGTGAAACCTCATCTCTATTAAAAATACAAAAATTAGCTGGGGCCAGGTGCGGTGGCTCACAACTGTAATCCCAGCACTTTCGGAGGCTGAGGTGGGCAGATCATGAGGTCAGGAGTTCAACACCAGCCTGACCAACATGGTAAAACCCCATCTCTACTAAAAATACACACATACACAAAAATTAGCTGGCCGTGGTGGCACGTGCCTGTAATCCCAGCTACTCAGGAGGCTGAGGCAGGAGAAGTGCTTGAACCCAGGAGGCAGAGGTTGCAGTGAGCCAAGATCGTGCCACTGCACTTCAGCCTGGGGCGACAAGAGCAAAACTCCGTCCCACCACCAACAACAACAAAAAAAGATAATTTTGCTTGCTTAGATTTTTGTTTTCCAAAATTGAGTATTGTTTGGGTATGAAATGTGAGTTGGAATATGCTATTTTGCTTATTAGAGCCATTAAAAATTTTTTTTTTCTTTAAGAGATAGGGCCTCACTCTGTTGCCCAGGCTATAGTTCAGTGGTGCTGTCATGGCTCACAGCAGCCTTGACCACCCATCTTCAAGCAAGCCTCCTGCCTCAGCCTCCTGAGTAGCTAGGACTACAGTCACACACCACCACATCCAGTGAATATTTATTTATTTTTACATTCTGTTTATTTGTATTACTGTTCCTTGCAGAGCAGGACTAACTCATAGGCAGTATGTCCAGAGTTGGCCTATTTTAAAATTTTTTGTAGAGACACGGTCTTGCTCTGTTGCCCAGGCTGGGAGCTCAAAGTGCTAGGATTACAGGTGCGAAACACTGCACCTGGCCTTATTAGAGCAGTTTAATTTTTTAAAAAAAGGAGAAACAGGCCAGGTGCAGTGGCTCATGCTAGTAATCCCAGCACTTTTGGAGGCCGAGGTGGGTAGATCACTTGAAGTTAGGAGTTCAAGACCAGCCTGGCCAACATGGTGAAACCTTGCCTCTCCTAAAAATACAAAAATTAGCTGGGCATGCATGCCTATAACGCCAGCTATTTGGGAGGCTGAGGCACAAGAATTGCTTGAACCTGGGAGGTGGAGGTTGCAGTGAGCCGAGATCGTGCTGTGTTTCACAAATTTTTCTATTGCATTTTCATTTCAGTTCAGGATATCTCTAATTCCTGTTTGATTTCTTTTTTAACCCATGGGTTATCAAGAAGTGTTGTTTAGTTTCCAATATTTGAGGATTTTTTTCCAGATTTTTGTTTTGGTGTTTTTCATTTCTAATTTAATTTCTTGTGGTCAGAGAACATATTCTGTATGATTTTAGTGCTTCTAAATTTCTTGGGGTTTGTTTTATGGACCATCTTGATGAATTTTTATATGTCCACTTTAAAAAATGTGTATTTTGGCTAGGCGCGGTGGCTCACAACTGTAATCTCAGCATTTTGGGAGGCCAAGGCGGGCGGATCACCTGAGGTCAGGAGTTCCAGACCAGCCTGGGCAACATGGTGAAACCCCATATGTACTAAAAATACAAAAATTAGCTGGGCGTGGTGGCACACACCTGTAATCCCAGCTCCTCGCTAGGCTGAGGCACAAGAATCGCTTGAACCTAGGAGGTGAAGGTTGCAGTGAGCTTAGATGGCACCACTGCACTCCAGCCTGGGCGATTGACGTGAGACTCCGTCTCAAAAAAAAAAGTGTATTTTGCTGTTGTTAGGGATATAGTGCTCTATAAATTAAGAGCAATTAAGTCAACTTTGTTGATAGTGAATGTGGTTCACTTTTTTTATATTCTCACTTATTTTTGTCTGCTTGTTAATTTGCAACTTTAATATTGGATTTGCCTGTTTTTCCTGTCAGTTTTTCTAGGTTTTGCTCTATTTTTGTGACAGCTTTATCAAGCTATGATCACGTATCATACAGTTCACCCATTTAAAGTGTACAGTTGAATAGTTTTTAGTATATTCACAGAGTTATGCAACCACCACCAAAACGATAGAACATTTTCATCACCTCAGAAAGGAACTACACCTTTTAGACATCACCTCCCCAATTCTCCATCTTCCATCCTGCCAGCCCTAGGCAAGCACTAATTTACTTTCTGTCTGTAGGTATATGTCTATTCTTAACATCTAATATAAATGGAATCAAATAACGTGGTCTTTTGTGATTAGCTTCTTTCACTTAGCGTAGTGTTTTGAAGGTTATTCCATATAGTTTGAAGCTGTGTTCTTAGGCAAGTACACATTTAGAATTGTTATTCTTGATGAATTGGCCCCTTTTTTCATTATAAAGTGCCCTTTTTATCCTTGGTAATATTCCTTGTCCTGAAACTTTGTTAATATAGCCAATTCAGCCTTCTTCTTATTTGTATTTACATGCTCTATCTTTTCCCATTCTTTTTCTTTTAACTTATCTGTATGTCTATATTATTGTTACATGTAGATAGATATCATATAGTTGGGTCTTACCTTTTTTTTAATCCAGTGACAATCTCTGTCTTTTAATTGGAGTATTTAGATTATTTATATTTAATAGAAATATTAGTAAATTTGGTTTTAAATTTACCATTTTGCTTTTTCCAATTTGCTTCTTTATTCTTTATTCTTTTGTTTCCCCTTTTCTTGTCATTTTTAAGCATTCCATTTTACCTCCATGATTTGGTTAGTAGCTTGTAGCTCTGTGGGTTTTTTTTTTATTTCAGTATTGTCAACTTACCACAATCTACCTTCAAATAATATGAGACTTCTTTATGTAATGTGTAAGAACCTTTCAATAGTATACTTCCATTTATTCCCTCCCCCCTCACATTTCTGGCCTTTGTGCTAATTGTCATGTATTTTACTTTACATATGCCATAAACCCCATGATGTATGTTATTTTGCTTTAAAGAATCATTTCTAAAGAGATTTCTTTAAATTTAAAGAGAATAAAACCTCTTTCATATTTATCATTAGGTGTGCTGTACATTCCTTTTCATAGATCTACATTTTCATTTAAGTATCATTTTCCTTCAGCCTGAAGAAATTCCTTTAGCAGTCTTTGTTATGCTGTTTTCTCGGTGACAGATTCAGCTTTTGTTTATTTGAACATGTTTTTATTTCACATTTTTTGGAGGATATTTTTTGGTGGATATAGAATTCTAGATTGACTTTTTCTTCTAATACTTTAAAAGTAGTCCATTCTCTTCAGGCTTGCATTGTCTTTGATAAGTCTATGGTCAGTCTTATCCTTCTTTCTCTGTATATAATGTATTACATGATTCTCAGATTTTCTCTTTTATCACTGGTTTTTAGAAATTTAGTTATGATTTGCCTTCATATGATTTTCTTTATGTTGTTTGGAATTTTATTCCAAAATCCATTTTTTAGCATCTCTTTAAAAATGTATTTATATATTCCTAATTAATTGAAGAATTTGAGAGTTTTTTAGAATTATATTTAAAGGCATGAGTAACCTCAGCAAATACCAAGTTTATTGTATTAGTACTTTTCCAATGAAGTCTCTTAATTTATAAAGTTATTTAAGAGTTTTATGCATCAGTATAGTTATATGTATCTTCTATGGAAATAAAATACTCCCTTTTCCTCATATTTACTTCTAATTTTTATGTAGTGTTTTCAACTTTAGCACTTAAATTTATGAAGCATTGATCTTATTCTTCAAATAGAACACTTAATTTTCTTGGTTTGTATAATTTACCAATTCAGATCATTTCAATTTTCCAAACTCTTGTGACAAATGTTTATATAAAAACGAAGTCAGTTTTTAATCTGTGTCTAGGTTGAAAGTCATGGTGTTGGCCCTTTCTTTAAATATGTGAAATGGCTTTCCAATTAACAGTTTAACTTTATTTGTAAGACAGTACTATGGTATTGACCATAAAGTATTTTTGCTTTGAGTTTAATAAGGACTCAAAAGAGTGAAGCATTTATGGCAGATTCTTGTTATCTCGTTTTCTTTTTTAGGCCTGATCAACCCCGTATAACCAAAGATGTAATTTGTTTTCATGCTGAAGATTTCTTAGAAGTAGTTCAACGAATGCAGTTAGATTTACATGAACCTCCACTGTCCCAGGTATTTTTAATACACTTACTGTCTTTGGTTTAGTTTTTATTATGAAGAGAGTTATTTGTATTTCTTGTTTTATTATTTTTTAGTGTGTCCAATGGGTTGATGATGCAAAACTGAATCAACTGAGGAGGGAAGGCATTCGCTATGCCAGGATTCAGCTATATGATAATGACATTTATTTTATTCCAAGGAATGTTGTTCATCAGTTCAAGACAGTTTCAGCTGTATGCAGTTTAGCATGGCATATTCGGCTCAAATTATATCACTCAGAGGAGGACACTTCTCAGAATACAGCTACTCATGAAACAGGCACATCATCAGATTCCACATCATCTGTTCTTGGACCTCACACTGACAACATGATTTGTGCTGTAAGCAAAGCCTCCTTGGATTCTGTTTTTTCAGATAAACTTCATTCTAAATATGAATTACAGCAGATTAAACATGAACCTATTGCATCTGTAAGAATCAAGGAAGAACCTGTGAATGTTAATATTCCTGAAAAGACTACAGCACTGAATAATATGGATGGCAAGAATGTTAAAGCAAAATTGGATCATGTTCAATTTGCAGAATTTAAGATTGACATGGATTCTAAATTTGAAAATAGCAACAAAGATTTAAAGGAAGAATTGTGCCCTGGAAATCTAAGTCTAGTTGATACAAGGCAACACAGTTCAGCACATTCAAATCAAGATAAAAAAGACGATGACATTTTGTGCTAAATTTGCATATACCATCTAAAATCCTTTTTTAAAAAAATTTAATGTAATAAAGATTCATGAATTCTGAAAGCAAGCCAAGGACTTGCTCCTATGTCTGTTACAAAACATAGTTTATGTAGCTTTGTAACATTCCTCAGTGCCTGTCCATAACTGTGAAGTATTAAGCACTTAGGGCCAGATGCACTGTAAACATTGCAGGTTTAAACATAAAGGAGTCTTTAAAAAAAAATCATTTACGTTGGAATTTTAGGTTTTAGAATAGAGCTGACATTAACATATATATATATATATAAATATATATATATATTTTGTAATATGAGCCAGAATTCTTTTTCAACAATTTAAAGCTTTTCCATAGAGCTTATTTATATCCTTTTTTTTCATTTTAAATGTGTCAGCACTGTAGTGTAAATAGCTTTTAAATATCTTTTTAGTGTGATTTATACTGAAATGTGAGCCACTTAATAAAGGTTCATATGTTCATATTAATAAATATGTTTTCTGTTGAGTCTGTAAAGACAAACTGACAATTCATTTAAGTCATTTGATAATGATTCTCTGCTGGTATATCTATTTAGTGTGGTATTGTAGTGCAAATGTACGTAATTCAAATCTAGTAAATATTTAAGTTCCTCACACTGTGCAGGCTTTTTTTTTTTTTTCTTTTTTTCTTTTTTTTGATACGGAGTTTCATTCTGTCACCAGGCTGGAGTTCAGTGGTGCGATCTCGGCTCACTGCAACCTCTGCCTCTCGGGTTCAAGTGATTATTCTCCTGCCTCAGCCTCCTGAGTAGCTGGGACTACAGGCACGCACCACAACACCCAGCTAATTTTTGTATTTTTAGTAGAGATGGGGTTTCATCATGTTGGCCAGGATGGTCTTGATCTCTTGACCTTGTGATCCGCCCACCTTGGCCTCCCAAAGTGCTGGGATTGCAGGGGTGAGCCACAGCGCCCAGCCTATGCAGGCATTTTTAACAACCAAGACTCAGTTAAGAAAGTGTGCATCTGCGTGTGTGTGAATGTGTATATATATGTATATATATATCATATTTTGCATAATTTTCTTAAATTGCTGAATAAGATCAATATGTGAAATTCCTTAGCCCTTCTCCCCAAAATACATTGAAAAAAGTTTTATATTAAACTATTAAGAAAGCAGTTTAGGTAATAGAAACAGTTTTAGAAAGTTGGGAGAAACAAGGTATGTTAATGATAACAAAGGCTTCTAACTAATAGTTACGTGGCCAGATTACATAGCCTACCATAGATTTTTTTTATTGTGTATGGGATGATAAGAAGTTTAGAGAATTTTCTTACTAGTAAGTACCTTTACTAAGTAATAGCTAAGTATAAAATCTTTAGTTACAGAAAGCTTGTGAGCAATTAAAATCCTTTTACATTTTTCTTGCAGAATGGGAGAAAAATATGGCAAATACAAAACTGTAAAATAAGGGCAATGACAATGACTCAACTGCCATATAGAGATATAATTAACAAAATACTTTGTGGTACCTCTTATCTCTCAGGATCTCCTCCCTACCCTAGCAAGGCAAACAACTTGGAGTACTTCCTTTTCGAAAGAAGTTCTAGAAATTAAATTGAGGTAGGAGACGGATTGACAGTGCCTAACTAAAGATGAGTAAAACAGACCTCTTTAATGATAGACTCACTATTTGACACTGCTTCTACTATTGTAATTAAAAATCAGAAGTCTTTGATGTATGCGTTGCTGTAAGAAACTCTGCTCATTGCAAATCTATTTTGTTTGTTTTTGGTATTATTCTGGGCACATACTTTGGTTGATGACTTTCAATTGGGGTTCTTTGTGCTGCCTTTTGGGTTACTGTTGGTATTTCCATTTCTGGCTTAATTTATGGTAACCATCAAAACTGCTTATATTTCTGGTTAGGGCGAAGCCATTTAGGAAGAAGCATTTCACCAGAACAAGTAAAAGTTAATTGCAGCAATGATGTCAGTTTTGGCCCCTAGTTTAATAAAAGGATAGGCAAATATCATAGGAAATCTTCATGGTTTGTAGGAAATCAGTGTTTGCAACGTAGGAAGTTTCATGGGATAGGGAAGGTATAAATCAAGATAGTAAGGGTTTTGTTTTATATGTCATTGTCTTACCATGCTCCCCACCTATTTAATCTTCTGTTTTAAGCTAAATTTATGGATTTGCACCTACCTTTTTGAGTGGCAGAAGTTCTTAACAAACCAGTATTGAGAAATAAGAAGGGATGTAGTTAAAATGGTTTTCTGTTTCTCTTTAAAGTTGAAGAATGATATATTTAACAAGAGTTGTGTTTTATTTCCAGTTTTCCAGTAGCATATATGTAGATGCATTGAGGTCATACTGTGAGAAAATGTCTTTAGGGTATCCCTCCAAAATAGGAGCCTTAAACTTTTTAACTTAAAGGAAGGCATATCTAAAAACCATAGTGGTTGCTTTTAGGTATAGTTTCCTATATAACCTATAGTCAGACTTATCTATAATATGAAAATTTAATTGTTTTAAAAATGCATACATCGGCCGGGTGCAGTGGCTCACGCCTGTAATCCCAGCACTTAGGGAGGCCGAGGCGGGCGGATCACGAGGTCAGAAGTTTGAGACCAGTCTGGCCAACATGGTGAAACCCCGTCTCTACTAAAAATACAAAAAAATTAGTTGGGCGTGGTGGCGTGCGCCTGTAATCCCAGCTACTTGGGAGGCTGAGGCAGGGGAATTGCTTGAACCCGGGAGGAGAAGGTTGCAGTGAGCCGAGATCGCCCCACTGCCCTCCAGCCTGGGCGACAGTCTCAAAAAAAAAAAAAAAAAAAAGCATACATCTCTGAAGGTAAAGTATAAATCAGTGGGCTCAAGATTTGCAGGTACAGCCTTGTTAATGCCTTCAATAATGCTTACGTTCCTTGTCTTATGGGTTATAATTTTCACATCCTCTTCAGATACAATCTGAGAACTTGTTGACTACCTTTGTTACATGCAAAAATTTTCTATTTTAATATTGCATTATATTAATGGTTTCATAGTACATTCCAGTTCTTTATCTGAATACAAGCGTTTTGCTTTTATTTCCAGTTTCTTGGACCAGAACAATAAAATACATAAGACATCGTTTCTATATGGTCATATACTATATAGAATAAAGAATTGTTATGTAAATTATTAAATGAGTATACAGACCTTTACATAAAAACTAAGGTACCTCAGTGGAATCTGCTACAGTGCTTCCCCCTCCCTACCCCTCCATTTTGTTTATAACCTTTTAGCTATCTAAATAATACGTATTCCATACTCAGGATAGCTGGTTAGCTAGCAAAAGAATTAACATTTGTGATATTTACTTGCAAACTTTACTGAAGCCATATTCATTATCTTCCTTGTCACCAAGGCTGTTGACCTTAAATAAACATTAAGTTGATTTTGCACAACACTGTATTTGTGTGTGTGCATGTGCCTGTTTTTGTGTGTGTATGTTTGTGGGAAATAATTATGTTTGTTTCCGCATATATTCATTTTTAATGCATTCTGTAACTTTTCTCGAGTGGTGGTCATTGAGGGTAGGGAAGATTTTATTTTTTAAGTTGTCGTTAAGGTATTTCATTAGTGTTCCTGAGTGTAAAACAGTTTTTTCCCAAATACTTATGGCAGATAAGAGCATTTTTGTAAATAATAAACTAGCACCGTTTGGGTAAATTTGCATTATTTTTTGGACAGGTTCATTGTCATGTAAAACAAATATCTCAAAATTCATTTTACATTTAGCAAAGGTGCAACATTTGTTTTTGGAGTTTGAGAGATATTTTCCTTGTCTTCCATCATTCAATAAATACTAAAATTGATAACCACAGTCTTTTTACTTTTGTAATTATTTTCTTAAAATTGACATTTTAATCTTGTCAACTTTAAAAGTTCTTTTCTGTCTTCAGTAGAAACCGTAAAATCTTGAATTGACTCCAATTTGAATTTTTTTTTTACTCTAAAGCTAATTATCAAAAGTTGACTTACGCCAACAGAGACAGATATTGAGGATTATCTTAAACAAGGTCACTAAACTAGGTATGGGTGCTGGGAATGGTATGATAAATACCTCTCTTGTCCTACTAGACATAATGATTTCTGTCCCAGGAAGGGAAGACAAAAGTGCCATTCTTTTCAAAATACTTTTAGGCTGCTAAAACATGATGGGTTTTAGGTGTGGTAGAATAGATCTCACTCTTTCTCTTACTTGATGTAACTACATTTATATGTAAACAAAATTTTACTGGTTTTAGAATGCATTGCCTGTTTTATCAAAGAGTTATGTTTGAGGTTTGGCACTGACAGTACACTTCAGATATGATAATTAAGAGGACAACTCAGGAGAGCTTGTAAGTCCTTTTGTCTTCTGTCCTGGCTTTTCTTTTCTTTCTGTAACCCAGTACATACTACAGATGGAAATGATTGCTTTTTAGAACATCAAGCACACACAGCCTAAAAACAAAAATGTCTTTTCCTTGTAGCTTTATAGGCGTTGTATAGCAGTCATATCTCTGTTGAGAGAGCAGGGAAAGGAGGGGAAAACATCCTGCATTTCAGGTTATCTTCACTTCCAGCTCTTCTTGGACTTCAGACCCAATCAGAGAATATGAATGAGCTGAGAACAAAATATGGTCTGGGCGAGTAGAATTTATGTTAACTAGAAATTAAAATTTATAACTTGTGTGTTTTATTACTATGATCTGCCTACTAAGAACTGCACTGTGAACATGTGAGAACTCGATCCTTCTGTACATTTTGAAATTCAGAACTTACGCATCTATGTTGTTAGAATGTTAAATCTACACTTTTCTGTAAAGTTCATTGCTGTTGTACTACTTAAGACTACTTGGCCGGGCGCAGTGGTCACGCCTGTAATCCCAGCACTTTGGGAGGCCAAGGCGGGTGGATCACGAGGTCAGGAGATCGAGACCATCCTGGCTAACATGGTGAAACCCCGTCTCTACTAAAAAATACAAAAAATTAGCCGGGTGTGGTGGCGGGTGCCTGTAGTCCCAGCTACTCGGGAGACTGAGGCAGGAGAACGGCCTGAACCCAGGAGGCAGAGCTTGCAATGAGCAGATATCGTGCCACTGCACTCCAGCCTGGGTGACAGAGACTCTGTCTCAAAAAAAAAAAAAAAAAAAAAAAAAAAGGACTACTAAGTGTGCAGACTCAGAGGCAAATTAATATTACAGTCGCACAACCTGGCCAACGTGGCAAAACCCCGTCTCTACTAAAAATAAAATCGGACGGGCGTGGTGACACGCACCTGTAATCGCAGCTACTGGAGAGGCTGAGGCAGGAGAATCGCTTGAACCCGGGAGGTGGAGGTTGCAGTGAGCCGAGATTGTGCTATTGCACTCCAGCCTGGGTGACAGAGCAAGACTCAGTCTCAAACAAACAATATTATAGTCACAAATGTTGTGTAATACAGTGTTGATAAACTTAACTTGGACAGACAGTTTGATCCTTCTGCCCCGCCAACCCAAAGTTTTTTCTTGAAATTTTGTCAACTAAGCCAGATTTTTACCTGAAACATCTCAAATCTGTCGTTTTTAAAAATACCTTTATCTTAAGTCTGGCATTTGTTAATGCTCTTGTGCTGTGTTTCTTCCTAAGTTCTTGGAAATTTCTGTCTGCCTTCACTTCCTCATCTTCCATTTATTCCTCATTTCACTACAGTTTCATGTAAATCCTCACATGTATGCTGAAATGGTTTTCTCAAAGGTTACCTTTTGACTGCCAAATTCAGTGGCTGTACTTCTTAGTATTTCTGCTTGACCCTTGCAGCACTATCATTTTACTCCTAAAACTCTTTATGACCTGTTTTTTTCATGTTGTTTTTCAGTTTCTTTGGAAGGATTCTTTGCCTGTCTGCCACTATTTAAGGCAGTCTCCACGGTCTTTCCTTTAGGCCTCTACAGTCTGTCCCTGAGCTACCTTCAGGATCCCACAACTTCAGTCAGCCTGGTTTTTCACTTTAGTTCTAATGATCCATATGGTCAAATCTAAATTCTTTTTCGCCTTGCCCTCAAGCATTAGCTGTTTCTTTCCTCCCAATTTGGTTATTGTCATCACTGTCTTCCTTCATAATCACCTTATAGTAATTTGATTTTTCTCTTTTCCTGTGTCCTTTTGTTTTGTTTTTTGAGACAGAGTCTCTGTTGCCCAGGCTAGAGTGCAGTGACATGATCTTGGCTCACTGCAACCCCTGCCTCCTGGGTTAAAGCGATTCTTGTGCCTCAGCCTCCTGAGTAGCTGACATTACAGGTATGCACCACCACACCTGGCTGATTTTTGTATTTTTAGTAGAGATGCGGTTTGTCATATTGGCCAGGCTGGTTTCGAACTCCTGACCTCAAGTGATCTGCCCGCCTCAGCCTCCCCAAGTGTCGAGATTACAGGCATAAGCCACTGTGCCTGGTTCCTGTGTCCAATTTGTTATGAGATTGAGTCAATCCCAGAAATACTTAAAATTCATCTATTGCTCTCTTGTCACATCACAGTTATAGTAGATGTTCATCTCACCTGGATTCAAAATACCCTAAAGTGTTCTAGTCCTGTGCCCTTTCCCTCTTTATTCCATTCCATTCTTTGTGTTACCAACAGATTTAACCTTTCTAAAATATAGAATTATTATTCTTTGTAGAAGTACTCCTTGGCTTCTCCTTTGCTAAAGAATAAAGGTCAAATGCTTAGCATAGCACTGAAGAGCCTTTATTATTGGCCCTCCTTTTCCAGCTTCATGTAACACAATTTCTTCTATTTGATGTGACCAGTTTTCCACTTTACCAGATGGCAGTCATTGCCATTTCCTTTGTGAACTTTTAAAATTCTTTTACTTTGCTGGGGAAGTAAATATGTGGAATACAACACAGTGAAATCTTATTTCTCTTTTCAAAACTCAGACATCATCTCCTGTACTGTCTTTACAGCAGTGGTCCCCAACCTTTATGGCACCAGGGACCAGTTTTGTGGAAGACAATTTTTCCACGGACAGGGGTTGGGTGGGGGATGGTTTCCACCTCACATCATCAGGCATTAGATTTTCAGGAGCATGCAACCTAGATCTGAACTGCATGTGCAGTTCACAGTAGGGTTTGCGCTCCTATGAGAATCTAATGATGCCACTGATCTGACAGGAGGTGGAGCTCAGGTGGTAATGCCCACTTGCACCCCACTCACCTCCTGCTATGTTGCTTGGTTCCTAATAGGCCACGGGCTGGGACCAGTCTATGGCCCAGGGGGTTGGGGACCCCTGCTTTACAGTACAGGGTTTTATAGGCTTTACAGGGCACATCTCCAACTGTCCCCTCACCCAGAAGTTGGTATAGACCCAAATCTGTCTGCTGCCCTCTGCTCAGAGCATTAAATATACATATTAAGTACATGTTGGACTGTAGCTAAACTATGAGCTAGAAGTTAGGAATTTTATCACTTTGCATCCCCAACACCTAATATGTTGTATACTTGGTGTTCCATAAATACTTGAAGGAACATATTGTACACTAGGGGTGGGGGAAAGTTAGGTAGGTTTCCTTTCTTTTTAAAGACAGTCTTGCTCTGTCACTCAGGCTGGAGTGCAGTGGCACAATCATGGCTCAGTACAGCCTCAAACTCTTGGGCTCAGGTGATTCTCCTGCCTCATCCTCTTGAGTAGTTAGGACTACAGGACCCACCACCATGCTTGGCTAAATTTAAATTTTTATTTTGTAGAAACAGGGTCTTGCTATGTTGCCCAGGCTGAACTTTAAACTCCTGGCCTCAAGTGATCCTCCCACCTCTGTAGGTTTGTATAATTTAAAGTCAGTCTGACTTCAAATGTAATTCTAGGATTGCAACAGAAAGAAAAATGGAGACAAGTTAGATGAGAAGATACTATAAAGAAACCAAGTTTCTTGTTTTGTACTGCAGTCTAACCAAAACTCTTATGGATAAAGTTTAAGAAGGTAACTATTAGATATCCAGGCCTGTTGGGCAGCTTGGAGAGAGTCAGTATTGTAGAAATAAACCTGTAAAACCCGTGAAACTTACCCAACAGTTTTCCTTCAACTGGTTTTTCTGGAGATACACTGAAAATTATTGCAAACTAAAGATACATTTTAACTATTCCTAAAATGATTAAAATGGCAAATATAAGAAGCACTTTTTTTTTTTAATTTTTGAGACAGATTCTCCCTCTTTGGCTTGAGTCACTTTATTTATCTTTTTGGGACAGAGCCTCAGGCAGGAGTGCAGTGGCACGATCTCAGCTCACTGCAGCCTCAACCTCCCAGGTTCAGGTGATCTGCCCAGCTCAGCCTCCTGAGTAGCTGGAACTACAGGTGCACGCCACTATGCTCAGCTAATTTTTGTATGTTTTGTAGAGATGGTGTTTCACCATGTTGCCCAGACTGATCTTGAACTCCTGGGCTCAAGCATTCCTCCCGCCTCAGCTTCCCAGAGTGCTGGGATGACAGGCGTGAGCCACCATGCCTGGCTACATAAGAAGCACTTTGATATCTCAGAGTCTGAGGCAGAATTTCACATTTTTAAGTCTTAATTGATAGATAAAGTCTGGTTATCAGACAGGTATTCTGTTTAAGCTTTTGTGGTTTTCCCTACTCATGTTAAAAAAATTCAAAAATTGAAAATACTGAAGATGACAACCTGCCCTAGTTTTTTTCAGTCTATATCCATTCCACTGCAGGAATGGAAGGAGGACATAAAGGTCGCACATTTTCATACAGTTAGTCCTTCTGTAAAATCTGTAAAGCCACTTTATTATTTAGGAACAGGGTCCCACTTTGTTGCCCAGGCTCACTGCAACCTTGACTTCCCTGGGCTCATGTGACCCTCCCACTCCTCAGTCTCCCGAGTAGCTGGGACTACAGGTGTGCACCACCATGCCCCGCTAATTTTTAAATTTTTTGTAGAGATGGTGTTTCACCATGTTTCCCAGACTGGTCTTGAACTCCTGGGCTCAAGCATTCCTCACCTTAGCCTCCCAAAGTGCTGGGATTACAGGCATGAGCCACTGCTCCCAGCCACGATATTTGACTGCGGGCATTTGTAGCAATATAGCTGAGGTTCATTAAAAGGGAATAAGACTGGGCATGGTGGCTCACACCTGTAATCCCAGCACATTGGGAGGCCCAGGTGGGAGGATCACTTGAGCCCAGAAGTTTGAGACCAATGTGAGCCACACAGCAAGACTCCCATCTCTAAATAATAATAATAATAAAAACAGCCAGTCATTGTGGCACACACCTGTAGTCCTAGCCACTCCAGAGGCTGAGGTGGGGAGATGGCTTGAGCCCAGGAGCTCGAGGCTGCAGTGAGCTATGATCAGGCCACTGCACTCCAGCCCAAGTGAAAGCGAGACCCTGTCTCAAACAAAAACAAAAACCCCACCAAAACCACACTTGAATAACTTTGAGAAAATTACTTATGTGTTCTGTTAATTTGTGGTGAAAGATAAGTGACAGAACATGCCAAATGTTTACTTAGCACATTGCCTGGCTTACTCTACCTACTTTACATGTTAGCTTCTGCTTCTGGAATTAAAATAGTCAAAAGAATAGTTAAAAGAGTTCTGTGCTGGGTCACTCCAGTCATTTCACACCTTCCTCACTAATTATCTCTTCTTTGTATTATTCTAATTTGGGGCAGAGGATAGGCATGAGGAGGAGTGAGGAGGAGTTTCATGAGGGGGTCAAGGCAAGGTATGGTGAAGGCAGGTGAACATCAGAAACAATCTTCCTAGTTCACTGTTTTTCCCAAGCTGGCATTTCAAAATCATGTCTTATCACAGACTGCCTGTTCTTGATATACTTGAATTATAAATTTGTGACGGTCATGTATAGGTGATAGTGGTGGACAGGCAAAAGGATAGACGGATGACAATTGCCTTATGGTGTAATACAGTATGACAGGCTGACTTGAATACAGGGCAATGCAAAATGAGAAACATGAAGTGTAAGGCAGTTCCCTCAGAAAAGCTTGTAACCCAGTGGTATCTTCAGGGTTTGATAACTGGTATCTTCCATTGATGTTTTTTATTTTTTCCTTTAACAGGAGACATATTTGTGGAAATAGCATTTGGAGTCCCACTCCTCCACTTATCTGTGACCATGGGCTAAAATTATTTATCTGGGCTTTAGTTTCTCCATCATTACAATGAAGAGATGTGCTATCCTTTTCCACCCTGTTCTAAAATTGTGTAACTTTTTTTTTTCTTTTTTGAGACAGAGTCTTACTCTGTCACCCAGGCTGGAGTGCAGTGGCATGATCTCAGTTTACTGCAACCCTACCACCTCCTGGGTTCAAGCGAGTCTCCTGCCTCAGCCTTCCGAGTAGCTGGGATTACAGGTGTGTGCCATGACACCGGCTAATTTTTGTATTTTTAGTAGAGACAGGGTTTCACCACGTTGGCCAGGCTGGTTTCGAACTCCTGACCTCAAGTTACATCATGTTGCTCAGGTTGGTCTGGAACTCCTGGTCTGAAGTGATTCTCCCACCTTGGCCTCCCAGAGTGCTGGGACTGTAAGTGAGAGCCACCAAACCCAACCCTCGGCATCTTTTAATATTTATGCCACTAAGTATAAGGACACCAATAATACTTTGTGCTCATAGTGATGTTTACTGGGCAAACATGACCAATCAACATTAAGGAAAACTCCTTTGGTAGTTTGTGGCTTGTTTATATAACACCGAAAGGACTCTGATAATTTTCCTCTCAATAAAGAGAAATTAATTGATTTTCCTGATGACTCAGGTGCATAGTGATATGCCTGCCCTGGTATAAAGATGATTCTATGGTTTCCTCTCCTTTGGCTATCACTTCTATTCATTAGTCAATAGTTCCCTCTTATTTGCTACACTGTGAAAAAGCAAAGTGGAAACCAGATGACCAAATTTATAAGGTTAATAACTTTTTTTCTTTTTCTGAGACGGACTCTTGCTCTGCTACCCAGGCTGGAGTACAGTGGTGCGAGCTCTCCTCACTGCAATCTCCACCTCCCGGGTTCAAGCAATTCTCCTGCCTCAGCCTCCTGAGTAGCTGGGATTATAGGTGCCGGCCACCACAACCAGCTAATTTTTGTATTTTTAGTAGAGACGAGGTTTCACCATGTTGGCCAGGCTGGTCTCAAACTCCTGACCCTCGTGATCCACCTGGCTTGGCCTCCCAAAGTGCTGGGATTACAGGCATGAGCCACCACGTCCCGCAGGTTAATCACTTTTAAAATTGCAGTAAGCTTGAACCCAAGGATAGATCTCTACTTCTTGAAGGTTTATACAAGTATTTTTCTTGGTGCTTGAAGGCTCTTTGTTGGCAGATTTGTGTTCATGTTTTACATGTTTGGTTGAGGCTACCATATCTGGTCCCTATGTTCATGAAATGTTACTAAGTTTTGGATCATTTGAATGTTTTTTTAAATTATTATTTTATTTTTTGAGAGGGAGTTTCACTCTTGTTGTCCAGGCTGGAGTGCCATGGTGTGATCTCGGCTCACTGCAACCGCTGCTTCCCAGGTTCAAGTGATTCTCCTGCCTCAGCCTCCTGAGCTGGTACTACAGGTGCCTGCCACCACACCCGGCTAATTTTTTCTATTTTTAGTAGAGACAGGGTTTTACCTTGTTGGCCAGGCTAGTCTCGAACTCCTGATCTCAGATGATCCACCCGCCTTGGCCTCCCAAAGTGCTGGGATTACAGGTATGGGTGTGGGCCACCGCACTCAGCCATTTTTTTTTTTTTTTTTTTGAGACAGAGTCTCACTTTGTCACCCATGCTGGAGTGCAGTGGCATGATCATAGCTTACTGTAATCTTGAATTCCTGGGTTCAAGCGATCCTCCCACCTCAGCCTTCCATGTAGCTGGGACCACAGGCGTGAGCCACTGCACTCGGCCCCTTGTCATAGTTTCAAGTCTTATAAAAAGTTATTTTGTGCACAGGTTGCTTTTACTCAGATTGTTGATGACAAATCTTTTGCCCAAACCAGAGTGAGTTACATCCATGCTAACCTAGAAAAAATCGGCTTTGGTAAGAACCTCTGATGTTTAAGTTTCTTTCATGAGGCATTGTGTGTTTAATCTTAAAAAACGTCATTGGTAAATATCTCTGTAATACAAAGGAAGAATCCTATAACTAAAACCTAGGAAGGTATTTTTGTACAATACTAATTGTTTACATATTAGTCCATTTGTTTTGATTTTTCTACCTGTAAGCATGATTTCTATCTTTAATGTCTTTCATTACGTAATGTTTTAATGTAACACACTGATGTGTGTATTGCACATATCCATGATAATTTATTGTGCTGCTTCAAGTGTTTATTTAGT
Organism: Homo sapiens; assembly: GCF_000001405.40. Lineage (NCBI taxonomy): Eukaryota > Metazoa > Chordata > Mammalia > Primates > Hominidae > Homo > Homo sapiens. The sequence goes on from NC_000007.14 coordinate 77,791,516, forward strand.
GCGGCAGTTCTACTTTCTGGGAATCCTTCAGATGCTGTTAAAATTCATTGACGCTTGTGTAAACAGGTCGGTTATTGTGTTGCAGTTTACATACAATTCTTACTTAATCTCTCTCTTCCTTCCTCGTAGAACTGTTTGGGGGAGCAAGAGACCTGTTCTACCTTTCCTCTTAACGTCTCATACAGAATTCCATTATGCTTTTATTGCCTAGCACAGGGGTCAGCAAATTACCTCCTGTAGGCCATATCTAACCTACCACCAGTTTTTCTATTGTGTGTGAGGCAAGAATGGTTTTTATGCCATTAAATGGTTGAAACAAAAGTAAAAATATTTTGTGATGTGAAAATCATTTGAAATTTAAATTTCATGTCCATAAATAAGGTTTTATTGGGATATAGCCATGGTCTGTGGCTGCTTTCTCTGCCATAAGGACTGAGTTCAGTAGTTGCAAAAGAAACCACATCACCTAAAAGCCTAAATATTTACTGAGAAGCCCTTTACAGAGAAATTTTGCTGACTCCTGGCCTAGCTGATTGTTTGCTGTGGTGCCATCCCTTCTTTTCCTTTTCCCTGTACTCCAAAATCCTCTTGGCTGGTTTCTTAGAGAGATGTAAGCTTTCTTCTACTTTGAATTTATTTAACGATAGATCCCATAAACCAAAGTATGCATCTCTCAATTGAGTTAGAGGTATCTGATCAAGCCTGGAACATTCCGTTCCCAGTACTAACTGTTCTCAATCCTATTTTTACATACTGAAAATCCTAATTATTGTCAATTATAAGATGAAAACTTTGCAGTTGATTAGTTTTTATTTATTTAGCCTAGCTCTCTAGTTTCAAATGCCTAATGAGTTAAGCTGTATTAATCTGTTGTATTGTGAAACTTATGTTATCTGTCATTACAAGGGAGAACTAGACCTTCTGTATCAGTAGCCAGAAATCACTTTTTTGTTTGATTTTTTTAAAACGGAGAAAAAATCACTTGAGGTTTCTCTTAAAGCTAAAAGTGAGGGTTGCATAGGGTAAGAACAATCATCGTGCTTCAGGGTTATAAGACACTTCAACCTCTTTGGAATTTTTATAAGTACTGTCACCTCTGCTTCATTGGAATTGATTAGTACCTTGGGAGGGTGATAATATGCTTTCTCAATTCAAGACACTTCTAATTGTGAGGGGGCACTAATTCCTTGAGACCCCAGGACAATAGGTATATAAACTGGGCCTGTCCTGACAGAATCAGGATTATAGGGTCTCCCTAACTTTAGGAAGTGGCAGGCTTCTGCTGTTTGTTTTTGTTTTTGTTTTTTTTTTTTTTGAGATGGAGTCTCACTCTTTTGCCAGGCTGGGGTGCAGTGGTGTGATCTCAGCTCATTGCAACCTCCGCCTCTGGGGTTCAAGCGATTCTCCTGCCTCAGCCTCCTGAGTAGCTGGGACTACAGGCGCCCACCACCATACCCAGCTAATTCTTGTATTTTTAGTAGAGATGGGGTTTCACCATGTTGGCCAGGATGGTCTTGATCTTTTGACCTTGTGATCTGCCCGCCTTGGCCTCCCAAAGTGCTGGGATTACAGGCGTGAGCCAGTGCGCCTGGCTTTTCTGCTCTGTTTTAACATGCCACCTCTAAATTATTTGTCCCAACCAGAAGGTAGAGGTAATAGTGAATTTAGCCTAGATAAAAATCTGTCAAACTCAGATTCTTTCTAAATGTAAATACGAAGTGGCATCCCTGTTTCAGGTTTTTTTTCCTTCATAATTTAGAAACACAAATGGCCATTTACTTTGGTCATAATACAGCCATGGTATATTAAACTTCTATTAAAAAATGTAGGTTTTGTTTTGTTTTTGAGACGGAGTCTAGTCCTATTGCCCAGGCTGGAGTGCAGTGGTGTGATTTTGGCTCACTGCAACCTCCACCTCCCGGGTTCAAGTGATTCTCCTGTCTCAGCCTCTCAAGTAGCTGGGATTACAGGCGCCCGCTACCATGCCTGGCTAATTTTTGTACTTTTAGTAGAGACAGGGTTTCACCATGTTGGCCAGGCTGGTCCTGAACTCCTGACCTCAAGTGATCCACCCGCCTCAGCCTCCCAAAGTGCTGGGATAACAGGTGTGAGCCACCTCGCCTGGCCCAAACATGTAGGTTAAAGGTTTTATATTTAGTTACTTTAGATATTGACCACATACAACAGATTATTCAAGAGTCATGTAGAAAAATGAGGTCCAAAACAAACTTTATTTACATAGAGATAATAAGGATCTCAATAACTCAAATGCTGAATAATTAAGCTGTAGGTTGACTAGAAGTCCGTGATTCACCAATCCTGTTTTATGGAAGTAGTATAAAACTACATTTGGTATTTTCCCTCAGTTCTCTGGTATTCTTGAAGCTTGACAGATTCAGAACACTTTAATGGTAACTTGTTGAACAGCAATAGAAAGGAGATGATGTACTTAGAAGTCAGTCTCTCACAAAAAAGACATTATATCCGAGTTCTGTTAAAGCCCCAGCCAGCAAGGCCCATAAAGGAATGAAGACATAGGATAGATTCATGGTAGTAAACTGTTCCAGTTTAGCACAGAGTGCGAGGCAGAAGGCTAATTTAAGTAACATTGCAATGAGGTACCAGGCTTTTTTTTTAATATTGTGTGATCCATGTCGAGGGTCAAAGCCAGACTTACACCGCCCAGCCATTTTCACAATCAGCAGGACAAGAAGGATAGTATCAAATATCCAGACTGGAATGAATATGAGGAACCAGTTCCAAGGTGCTTTCTCATCCAGTTTCAACACCAACATGATCAAGAAGAGTAGTGTGAAAAGCCAGGTGAGTAGTACTCTCTGAGCCAAGGACATTCTCATTTAAACAGTTTAAAGAGGCTGTTGCAGGATCGGAAAAAAGGAAATATACCCTAAGAGAAGGAGAAAAAGTCAAGATTGTTTTGATACCAGAAAAAAAGTATCACTTCCATTCCTAATGAACAAAACTGGTTCTTTCCCAACTGACTTCCTAATTTTGAAAACATTCTACTATTCTTCCTTTCAAATCCTCTAAAACTTAGTGATCATTGACATTATATCCACCATTCCTTACAGCCCATGACAAAATACAATTTTTATTATATCTACTGTATAAGCTCTATTCAAAATGTCAGGTGATTCCTTTTCAGTGCTATCACTCGAGTCCAGGCACTTACAACTTTATTCCTGCACCTCAAAGATGTTCTTAATCTTCCTATACATTTGCAAATCTAATTTTTAATTCAATTTCAAGGGGTACAAAGAAAAAAGCATTCAAAGTAGTGAAAAAGTGAAAGGTGGGTATCAAGCTGAGAAGAGAGAGAGTTTTAAAAGAAGGGAATGGGAAGGGTGCGTGGCTCATGCCAGTAATCCCAGTATTTGGGGAGGAGAAGGCAGGCATATCATTTGAGCCCAAGAGCTCCAGACCAGCCAGGGCAAGAGTGAAACCCTGCCTCTACAAAAAATAAAAAAATTGGCAAGGCGTGGTGGTATGCACCTTGTAGTCGCAGCTACTGAGAGGCTAAAGTGGGAGGATTGCTTGAGTCCAGGAGGTCGAGGCCGCAGTGAGTGCCCCGTGAGATCATGCCACTACACTCCAGCCTGGGCAAAAGAGTGAGATGCTGTCTCAATCAGTCAATCCATCAATAAAAGGAGGGAATGGTTAATAAAAATCACAAGAATATAAAGTAGAATTAATATTTTAGTGGCTGGGTGCAGTGGCTCACACCCACAGTCCCAACACTTTGGGACTCTAAGGCAGGTGCATCTCTTGAGCCCAGGAGTTCAAGACTAGTCTGGGCAACATGGCGAAACCCCGTCTCTACTAAAAATACAAAAAATTTAGGTGCAGTAGCACGTGCCTGTATTCCCTGCTACTCGCGAGGCTGAAGTGGGAGAATCACCTGAACCCGGGAAGTTGAGGCTGCAGTGAGCCGTTGCACACTGCACTCCAACCTGGGCGATGGGAGTGAGACCACTGTCTAAAAAAAAAAGATTGTAAAGAGGTTGTTGGGCTATATAATATAAAAGGCACTGATAACACTGGATTTTCATATAATTTGAAACATATTCTTAAATTCTCACTTATTTTCTCATAAAAATTCTTACAAATATCTTTCTTGGTATAATAGTTTTTTTCCTTTTAACAATAGTCTCACTGATTGGTGGTGTATATATGTATTTTTTTAAGCTACTTGTTATCCATTCAATAATCAGGACCACCTAATAAACTTTTGATGTTTTGTGATTATTAGATGCTAAATTTTGGGGGCTATTTCTTATATCACTATTCTGCCTCATTGATCTATATGTTTCTCTTTTGCACTAATACTATATGACTTAGTGTTGCTCTAGGAATGTATTAATATCTGGAAGGCCTAGTATCTACTCGTTGTTCTCTTTTCTAGAATTTTTTTTTTTTTTGAGACGGAGTCTCACTCTTGTCACTCAGGTTGGAGTGCAGTGGCACGATCTCAGGTCACTGCAGCCTCTGCCTCTCGGGTTCAAGTGATCCTCCCACTTAAGTTTCCCAAGTAGCTGGGATTACAAGTGTGCGCCACCACGCCCAGCTAGTTTTTGTATTTTTAGTAGAGATGGGGTTTCACCATGTTGGCCAGGCTGATCTCGAACTCCTGACCTCAAGTGATCCACCCACCTCAGCCTCCCAAAGTGTTGGGATTACAGGTTTGAGCCACCACGCCGGCCTCTTTTCTAGAATATTTTCTATTTTGCCCTTACAGTTTTTCAATGCTAAATTTGCTGATTCTTGAAAACCTAGAATTTTGATTATGAATGCATAAAACTTAGCTTGGGATAGCATTTATTATATTTAATCTTCACATATAGGTTTATGATATGTTCCTCTACTTAAGTTTTTTATACCAACCTTTATGGCCACTTGGAAAAAGGATAAGTAGAATGGGAAATCAGAAGCCAGACTGCATGCAGCTGGGTAAGGAGTTAACAGAAGACCAAGAAATGGAAACAATTGAGAACATTTTATTCCTTTGAGGCATTTGGAGAAGAGAAAAATGAAAGATAGGGTATATGAAACTGAAAGAAGAAATTTTCAGGAAAGGAAGAATTTATGACTATAAACAGAAATAAGCCAATGGGGAATGACACTGAAGATGAGAGAGGATACTTGATGGAAAGAGAAAAAGATCAGAAGGTGCTAGGGATAGGAACAAAAGCATGCGTGGTAGGAGGAAAGATGCAGGAAGATAACAGGGAAAAGGTGAAGGAACTGGCTAATTGAGCCAAATACCCTAGATTAGCGTGCTCAATTATATTTTAGAACTAACTTTGATGTACTGTGCAACATCTCTACTACTTTAAATAGTGGGTGGCTATCACAGTGCAAGAGGACACATCTGTTCTATTTCAACAGTTAAGTATTAGTCTCCTAACTCACCTCTTTTCCCTTATACCCATCTAGTGGCACTTAAACTTGTTTACTTAATTGGCAAAGGCTTCATACTGCAGTAATTTTGCTTCTAAGGAGGCATTTTTCTGTGTTGGTTTCCTTTCCCGGCCAGAGGCTGCCATAGAGTGGGATGTGGGACTGAATTTGGAAGCAGGGTTGGAGGGGTGTGTGTTGATTAATAACCATGGATGGATTTCATCCCGTAAATTGCACAATCCCCACCTCCAATCTATCAGGCCGTTTTTGTGAACCTCTGAAAAACGGTTTATGATTATACACTTGCTTAAACCTAACTGTTCCATCTGCTATCGGATAAGACAAGCTTCATTTTTTTCTTACATTTGGCTGTACTTACCACAGGTGCTTTAGGGCTGGAGGTGAAAGGATGCAAGTAACAATCTTATTGTGCCTACAAGATTTATAATGTGGGATGCAACAAAATTCTGTTATGTTCTTGCACGGAAATACCCTCAATGGGGAAGCACTGCTGATACTTAAATGACGATTGAAGGATTGTACGCCTGTATGCTGAGCTACAACGATGACATACGATCCCAGTTTTACATTTACGTCTTCATCAATTTGAGCAGTCGTTATGTTTCCTACTATTCTCTCCACAAGAAAGGGGGAGGTGCGTACTCCAAAAATGTGCTCAACTAAAATGTTTCCCATTTAAGGTGGTTATTTCTGGCACTAGGAAGACAGTTAAATATTTGTTAATGATTCCTTACTCATTTTTAAAACCTTCGGAGTTACCCCTGTATGGACATATATAGAGCCCCACCCACATAGCCCACGGCTGGGTATCAGCCCCCATTTCCCTTCTCTCGCCACTGCCAGTAGTCTACCAAGTGAACCTGCCTCATCCCAAAGATAATTTTGCTTCATGAGCCCACATATTTATTCTTCTTCATAATGAGTCGCTTTTGAAAAGCCCGTGCAGCAACAGCCTTGGCCAAAGGAACAGCGTTCTGCTTACAACTTAGCTCATCTGGGGGCCTATTTGCCCCTGGAACTTCAGGACGCTCCTAAACTATACTTGCCCTTCTGCAAACACCGACAGTCGGCTCGCGGCGCCCCACCGGGACGCTCCCCTTTCATGGGCTGTAAGCCCAGCACATGCTGGAGTTTAACACGGTTCCTGCTGGATGCGCACAGAAGCCCTGGAGCCAAGCAGGCGTGTGCGCGTTTGGGGCTGGCTGTGTGATGGGTTGAGGGTCGGCCGCACAGCCCACGGAAGCATCAGGAGACCAGCGCCGGCGTACGGTGCGGGCTAGGGCAGAGCCCCAGACTCACCTGGCAGCGCTGCCGGCCGGAAAGCGGAGAGGGACGCGAAGATCAGCAAATTCGCCAGTTTGGATCCTTGTCCTTTTCCGCCCTTTTCCCCCCATTAAATCCAGAACCCGTCACATGATAATTAAGAAAAAACTTCAGTTCCGCCTCCTCAAACGACTGCGGTAGAGGATCTCTCAGTTCTACCTCAGTGCCGCGCCCACATCCGGGGCTGGTTCTCACCGCCCCTGAGCCTACCCTATAGGTAGAGAGGACGCCAATCTGGATTCAGAGGTCCCTTTTCCGCGGTAATTGGACCATTTGTCCGCCAGTGCAAACCAACCGACCTTTCCTTACTTTCGGGTTCGACAGAAAGGCGGCAATAAAAAGACCCATTGGTCCCGCCTCTCTACTGTCACGGGTTAGTAGGGAAGTCAGTCCAAGATCAGCCTGGAGTTTCCGTGCTCCCATTGGGCCCACAGATGTTAATCAGAGCAGCCGGCGCTCAGCTCCGCCCTCTCGGGACGCCCCGCCCCTCCTCCCATCCTCCCTGCCCGCGCGCAGTGACTGCAGGCTCCGGCGCAAAATCCTGCGGGAGAGGGGGTGGGGCAACCCTCTGGAGGCAGCGCGCCCGCGGGCAGCCTCGTTGTGGCTCCTTGGGCTCTGTTGGCGGCGGCGCTAGCTTCGGAGTCTCCCGCGCGCACCTCAGCCGCCTCCTAGCGGCGCGGCGCTCGCTCCTACGGTAAGAGCGGCATCACCTCCGCGCTCGGGTGGGCAGTGTGGAGGTCGTCGAGTTCTGACAGAATTTCGAGGATGGATCGGGACGAGGGAGGAGAGCGGTCGTCGGGATGGAGGTGGGGGCTCCGGGGCCAACGCGTCGCCCTCCGTCGCCGGCGACTTTCCCGGCAGTCTCCCGTACCTGAGGGCCGGGGTCAGCCGCGACCCCTTCTCATCAGTCGGCCGGTGGCGGAGGCTCAGCCGCCTTCCTCCCGAGCTCGCGCGGTCCTCAAGTCTTGATGGTGACGGGCCGAAGCCCAGCGCGCCACCCGCCCCTCGGGCCCCGCTTCCAGGCCCCTGTCCTTTGCTTCCTTCCCTTGGCGCTGTGCTGAGGGGTCGTCGGGTCCTGGAAGGGCGTTCAGGGGTCTCGGGTGGCTAGCCCGGCTGGCGGGGAGATGTCAGCTAGCGGCCGGAGGAGCGGGCTCGGGAGGGGGCGGCGGCTCGCGCGCTGGAGGAGGTGGAAGGAGGGTCGCTGCCCTGCCCCCTCTGAGCAGGCGGCAGTCGAGTTTTCTGATCCCAACACGGCGGAGTGGGTGCTTAAGGCATGGGCCTTAAGGGATAGTTCCCGTCTGGAAACAATACCGTGCTCCATCAGCATGCTTCAGCTTTTCTTATTTTTATCTGCCCAGTGTTGACAGCCAGCATTCTGGTATTGTCCTTCGAGTCATGGCTTTCTAACTCAGCACCTCCTTGTGTAACTTCAGGGATCATTCTGTCACTAATCTGTCACCCTTCTTATTTTTAGCGTGGCGAAAACAAGGAACTGCCTTATACTAACCTGGGCAGTGCAGAATCTGGAACAATTTATTAATCTCAGTGTGTACTTTACATGCCAAGTAATTTTGAAATTCATGGTGAATATTAAATATTTTGTAGTTTTCGGTTGCTTTCTTTGTTAATAGTATATCCTCCTTGCTTTGAGACTACTTTTCAGGTGTGATACTTTAATCTTAAGGTTTTTGGTTAGCTTTTGCCATTTTTAAACGTTTCTTTCATTTTTTTTTTCTCCAAGACTTTGGCAAGAGACTTAGTATTTGATCTTGTTTTCAGGTATTTTTGTAAAGTTTATTTTCTTTCAAACTGGGCTTTTTTCACCATATTTTTAATATTGGAAGGGGAATTCTGAAAGTCTGGAAACTGCACACTTTAGCCTAAAGAGTCACAAAACAGTATAACAATTTGAAATCCTAACTTGGATATGGTGTATGGACTGCAAATTTTAAGAGAAGGAAATGGATATGCGTTATCAGTTGTAGTGGCTCCACCTCCATAACGTAGAGGAGAGGAATCTGGAGGTCTGCGGAGAATGAGCCATGTCTGGGGCCAGAAACAGTGGTTCCAGGAAATATTTTTGCCCCAGAAATAGCCTGCCTCCCACACAGACTGGCTGTCTGAATGCATCTGATAGTTTTAAGTTAGGTGTTAGTGAGGTGGAGAGTTTTCGTGTTCCAATTTTGACCACTTTCTGGTGGAGCATGAAAATGTGGTGAGTAAACAAGTATAGTATACAATGGGGGCACTCTTGCATAGATAGTCAAGCCTCCAAGAGTAAACTTTTTTTGAGCCCAAACTGGCACTGGACAGTTGGCCCTAAAAATGAAGAAGGTGGCCCACCCAATTTTTAAACCATGAACTTTTTTTGGCTGGTCCATTTAATGCAAAATTGCAAGGAATATGTAATGAAAAAAACCTTCACTAAACTGAAGAGAATTTAGGGTGTCATGTGGATAAAATGAAACTCGAAAATAGTTGGACTACTTGTATATTATTTAATCATTTTAGTCCTGTGAGATGGGTACTGATTACTGTCATTTTATAGATGAGCAAACCAAGACTTAGTTTAACTAATTTGTTCAAGATTTCTTCACAAATGAGTCAGTAGAGGTGAGATTCACACCTAAGCAGTCTGATTCCAAAGCCTACATTCCAAGCCATTATACTTTATTACCACAATAAAATTGGCTTCTTGGAGACTTTATAGTAGGAGACTACTCAGTGGAAAATAACACTGCAAAACCGTAAATTGAATCCACTATTGTACACAGTAACACTTTGAGATCATTGTATAATAGGCACTGTTGGATTTTGCTGAAGATAAAGGGATGGAGTCACCTTCTCTGTGTTTGAGGAGCATTCATTTGATGGGAGAAATAGATATTTGAACAAATGACGATAATACAATATATACAGATTGAGCATCTGTAAACTGAAAATCTGAAATGCTCTAAAATCTGGAACCTTTTGAGTGCCAAGATGATGCCACAAGACACTTGACTTCATGTGACAGGTTACAGTCAAGCTGGGTGCGGTGGCTCACGCCCGTAATCCCAGCACTTTGGGAGGCCAAGGCGGGTGGATCACCTGAGGTCAGGAGTTCAAGACCAGCCTGACCAATATGAAACCCCGTCTCTACTAAAAATACAAAAAAAATTAGCCGGGCGTGGTGGTATGCACCTGTAGTCCCAGCTACTCGGGAGGCTGATACAGGAGAATCGCTTGAACCCAGGAGGTGGAGGTTGCAGTGAGCCGAGATCGCACCACTGCACTTGGCCTGGGTGACAGAGCAAGACACCGTCTCAAAAACAAAAACAAAACAAAACAAAAAAACAGTCAAAACTTAGCTTCATGCACAGAATTATTTTAAAATGTTATATAAAATTACCTTTGGGCTATTTGTATAAGGTGTAAATGAAACATAAATGAATTTTGTGTTTAGACTTGAGTCCCATCTCTAAGATATCTCTTTATGTATATGCAAATATTACAAAATCCAAAATCCAAAATGCTTGTGGTCCCAATAATTCTTGAGACAAGAATTCAGTTAAAGTATAGACAGTCTGGATTTGAATTCCTATCAGGCTTTGTGACTTTGAACATAACACCAAACCTCTTTTAGCATCAGTTTCCTTATCTGTTTAATGGAAAGGGCAATACTTCAAAGAAGACATTAAGCCTTAAATAAAATATATAAAGTACGGGCACATAGAAAGCAGTGAATACAAAAGAAACAATAAATAATTTTAAGAGAGAACTAGTTGGGTTTCAGGGGAGCTACCACTGAAGCCTTAAAGGTCTGAAGGTGGTGTTTGTAGGTGGAGAAAGAGGGCATTCCATGCAGAACAGGAAGAGGCAGAGTCTCAGAACAGAAATATGGATTGTTTAGGGAATGGTAAGTAATTGTAGCTTTGTATAAAATGTATGTGTGAAGGCCAGCTTTAAATGATAATGGTATGTAAATGTGGTTGGGCAAAGTGAGTACTACCCAATTTTGATAATTGGAAATTGCATACTTAGATACTAAAATTATAGGAAAACCTCAGCAGTTTGTCCATTATTACATGTTTATTTAATATTCACCTTCCAATACTTACTTTCCCAGTTCAAATTAAGACTCAAAGAAGAATTCCAAAATGATGGTTGCCATCCCTTAACCCCTTTACCTAGCCTGTAGCCACATGGAGTCATTATTGTGAACTCCCCTTTGCATATATTTTGACTGTCTTTTCTTAATCCCTACTTGATACATGATAGTGGGACAGAGTTTTTTTATTTTGAGACAGGGTCTCATTCTGTCTTCCAGGTTGGAGTACAGTAGTGTAATTACTGTAACCTTGAACTCCCAGGCTCAGGCAATCCTGTTGCCTTAGCCTCCTGAGTAGCTAGACCTGCAGGCATGCACCACTGTGTCCAGCTAATGTTTTAATTTTTATTTTTTTGTACATACAGGGTCTTGCTATGTTGGCCAGGCTAGAGACCTCAAGTGATTTTCCCATCTTGGCCTACCAAAGTCCTGGGATTACAGATATAAGCCACCACTCCTGGCCAGTGTGTTTTAAATTGGGACTGCCCTTGAAAATCTGAGAAAGTCTCGTGCTTCTATCTTCTTCTCAGATTAATACCAAACCATAAATACGTTAAATTTACAAATCTGAAACATCACTTGATGACCAGAATCATATGACTAAGTGGAAAATATTAAGTGACATTTAGGAAAACTGCATTTTTAGTCCACTTTGTTATTCTCATGAAAATTGCTAATGTGACACAAAATATAGAAGTGAGTTTTCAGATGAGAACAACTGATTGCTTCCTGGAACAGGTAGTTTTAGAGCACTAGGAATGAAAATATGCTGGATTTTATTCTGGGTACTGAACAGGAACTGGGGCAGGAAATAGCTGTGGCTGAACCACTACCTGATAATAATCATAACATGATTAAATTTGACATTTAATGAGAGGAAGTAAAGGGAAAAGTGCATAGTATGCAGCTTTCCAGTTGCAAAAACAGTACAAGAAAGGGGCTGTTAAAAGTATATCTACAGAAATTTTAAAGACATGTAGGCATTCATATTTGTTGCATGAATGAAAGTACTTTTGTAAGACCTTTTGTATAGGATTTGTTACAGATACCAGAAAATTTATGAAAATTAGGTGGCACAAGTTTTGGTGCTCTGTAGACCTAGGTTCAAGTCCTGATACTGCCATCACTGGTTGTGTGACATTGGACTCATTATGTAATATTTTTGAGGTTCAGTTTTATTTATTCTTTAAATGGAGTTACCTACTTTGCGAGATTTTAAGAATTAAATGAGATAATGTATGTAAAGCACTTGACATATTCTTGATTTCTAAGACTAGCTCAAAAAGTGGTTGTTGCAGTTATTTGACTGAGTTGAACAGGCGTGTGTGTGTGTGTGTGTGTGTGTGTGTGTGTGTGTGTAGGTTTTAAAATAACAATTTCCAGATAGAATAAGAGAAGCCAGAAAATGGCAAACAAGCAAATAAAACCTTAAAGGGAGGCAATAGGATTCAACCGGCAGAGTTGAATAATCATTTTACCCACACAAAAGAAGGGAAAATATAGGAAGAGAGCTTCACATTATCAACTTTTTTCTGAAGAAAGTACATCAAACTCATTAAACCAGATGGAATGCATAAATAAGGTTTTGCTATTGGAAATGACAATGAAAAAAATAAATGAAGTAGGATTTCAGTGCTGTGAATTAAGTGTATAGGGAGAGGAACTTGTTTTCTCAAATCTCTTGACTACTTTCTTACTTATTTCTAAAATTCTTTGACAAGGAAAAGCTATTAATTGTATAGTTATGGGAATGCTTTAATGGCAAGTAATCCTGGGGGATAGAGCAAGCTGATTTATCTACACAGATTTCTTGTGTGTTCATTCCATATATCCCATTGTCTATTGTGTGTCTTTTGGGTGCTGAATGTATGAATATATCATTTGTTGAAAAATAAACCTATCTTCTTGTTCCTAAATCTATTTTACTCTTGTAGTCTCTGTCTTAATGAGGGGTTTTTTGTTTGTTTGTTTGTTTGATACGGAGTTTTGCTCTTGTTGCCCAGGCGGGAGTGCAGTGGTGCGATCTTGGCTCATTGCAACCTCCTTCTCCTGGGTTTAAGCAATTCTCCTGCCTCAGCCTTGCGAGTAGCTGGGATTACAGGTGCCTGTCACCGTGCCCGGCTAATTTTTGTATTTTTAGTAGAGATGAGGTTTCACCTTGTTGGCCAGGCTGGTCTTGAACTCCTGACCTCAGGTGATCCACCCACCTTGGCCTCCCAAACTGCTGGGATTACAGGCGTGAGCCACTATGCCCAACCTTAATGAGGGTTCTTTTAGTGTTCAAGCCAAGAGTCATGTGGTGTCCTTACTCTGTTCCTCTCCATATCTTTAATTGCCATTCAATCACTTCATCTGGTCCTCTATCTACTAATATCTATCTTTCAATCATGCCTCGTCCCAACACCCACAATTAAGAAAAAACAAAACAACCATTGGCACTTAGTTCAAACCCTCATTATTGTCCCCAAATTATTGTCATTTATTTCCTTTTAATTTAGCCTTATACGAATCAGTTCTTCCCACAGCTTCCTTCAGAATAATTTTGTTGAAATACCAACATACTGATATCAAAATTATATCCTCAGTGTCTGCACATGATAATTAATAAATATTTGATCCTTCCATGTATCTTAAACTTCAGACAATACTAAGTGACTTGCACATGTAGGCTTGGTAGGCTCTAGTTTTTCTTTGTGGGGAGGATTTTAACTGCAAATTCAATTTCTTTAGTAGATAAAGACTTAACTCAGTTTATTTCTTCTTGAATTAGCATTGATAGTTTGTATTTTCCTAGGAATCTGTTCGTTTAATGTAAAGTTGTTAAATTCATTGGCATAAAGTTACTCATGACATTTTCTTATTAATCTTTTTAATATCTGTAAGACATATAGTGCTGTCCTCTCTCTCTTTCTGACTCTGATGTCTTTTCTCTTTTCTCTCCTATTCTCCTGGCTAGAGGTTTATTGATCTATTTTATTGATCCTCTCAAAGAACCAGTTTTTCGTTTTCTATGTTGATTTTCTATCCTCAATTTGACTGGTTTCTATTCGTCTTTATTATTTTTGTTTCTACTGTTTATTTTGCATTTTATTTGCTCTTGATTTGCTAGAATCTTAAGTTGGAAGCTTAGCTCATAATTTGAAACATTTATTCTTCTGGAAAATGAGTGTTTAATTCTATAAAATTCTCCCCAAAATAGTGTTTTGACTACATCTCACGAATTTTGATATGTTTTCATTTTCATTGAAGTTCAGAATCCTTGATAAATTCCTTTGTGATTTCTTTGACTCCACTGGTTATTTAGAAGTATGTAGATGAGTTTCCAAATATTTGGGGATTTTTCAGATATTTTTTCCTTAGTTCTAACTTGATTTCGCTCTGGTCAAAGAACATACATTGTGTATTTTGAATCATTTTTAATTTATTGAGACTTGTTTTATGGCCCAGATTATGGTCTGCTTTGGCAAATGATTCATTCACACTTGAAAAGAATATTGGATGGAATAATTTATAAATGTCAAACAAGGTTGGGTGGAGTGGCTTACGCCTGTAATCCCAGCACTTTGGGAGGCCGAGGCAGGCGGGTCATTTGAGATCAGGAGTTCGAGACCAGCCTGGCCAACATGTTGAAACCTCGTCTCTACTAAAAATACAAAAAGTGGCAGAGCATGGTGGTGCGTGCCTGTAGTCCTAGCTACTCAGGAGCCTGAGGCAGAAGAATCCTTTGAACCTGGGAGGGGAGGTGGAGGTTGCAGTGAGATCGCACCATTGCACTCTAGCCTGGGTGACTCCATCTCAAAAAAAAAAAAAAGTCAAGTCAAGTTGGTTGATAGAATTGTTCTTCTATATATCCTTGTTGATTTTGTCTACTCGTTTTATCAATTTTTGAAAAAATGGTATTGAATCTCTATAAATGTGGACTTGCTGATTTCTCCTTGCGATTCTTTAAATTTTTGCATTATGTATTTTGAAGTTCTATTGCTAGGTGCATGCATATTTATGATTGTTATAATTACTTGGTCAATTGGATCCCTTTATCATTGTGAAATGGACCTCTTTAATCCTAGTAATATGTTTTGCTCTGAAATCTACTTTGTATAGCCATTCAGACTTTCTTTTCATTAGTGTTAACATGATATTTTTTTCCATCTTTTTACTTTCTACCTTTTTATGTTTATATTTAAGTGAGTTTCTGACAGATACACGTAAAAATAGGTCTTGCTTTTGGGTCTTGGGTCTTGCTTTTTAATATCCAGTTTCCTAATCTCTGCCTTTTAATTTAGACCATTTATATTTAATGTGATTATTGATATTATTGGGTTTAAGTCTATCGTCTTGCTATTTGTTTTTTGTTTCATCTGTTCTTTTTACCTTTTTTGGATTCTTTGAGTATTTTTATGACTTTATAACCTTTTTTGACTTGCCTATAGCTCTTTTTTCTTGTAGTTTTGTTTGTAGTAGCTAGTATACATCATCACAGTCTACTTTTGAGTAAAAAAACTACTTCATATATTTTATGAGAACCTTTTAACAGTATACTCTGTTTCCCCTTTCTGAAACTTTGTGCTGTTATTTGTGCTGTATATTATAAATCCCAAACAATATTGTTGATCTTTTGGCTTTAGTCAGTTCTCTTTTAAAGAGATTTAAACACACATACACACACATACATTTTATATACATATAATTTTTTAAAGACTCTTAGATTTGCCCCTTTTAAGGTTGAATAATATCCTGTCATATGTATGTACTGTTTTGTTCATCCATTGATGGACATTTGGGCTGCTTCCACCTCTTGCACATTGTGAATAGTGCTGCTATGAATATGAGTGTGTAAATATCTCTTTGAGACTCTGCTTTCAATTGTTTTGGATATATACACAGAAATGTGATTGTTGAATCTTATGATAGTTCTATTTTTAATCTTTTTGTACCATTTTACAGTTGCACCAACAGTGCACAAAGGCTCCAGTTGTTCCACATCTTCATCAATATTTATTTTCTGTTTTTTTTTTATGATAGCCATCCTAATGGATGTAAGGTGATATCTTGTGGTTTTGATTTGTACTTTTCTGATAATTAGTGATGTTGAGCATCTTTTTGTGTGCTAGTTGGCCATTTGTATATCATCTTTGGGCACATGCCCATTCAAATCCTTTGCCCATTTTAAAATCAGGTTATTTGATTTTTTGTTACTGAGTTGTAGGAGTCATCTATATATTCTGAATATCAACCCCTTACCAGATTTCTGATTTGCAAATATTTTCTCTCATTCTGCAGGGGAGAAAAATATATGCCTTTTGTGTCTTTTGATGAACAAAAGGTTTTAAGTTTGATGTAGTCCCATTTGTCTATGTTTGCTTTTGTTGCCTATACTTTTGGTGTTACAGCCAAGAAATAATTGCCAAGTCAGATGTTATGAAGCTTTCTCCTGTGTTTTCTTCTAGGACTTTTTTAGTTTTATTTCTTATGTTTAGGTATTTAATCCATTTTGAGTTAAGTTTTGTAGAGGGTGTAAGATAAAGGTCCACCTTCATTTTTTGTTGTATCCCATTTTCCCAGTACCATTTTTTGAAGAGATTGTTCTTTTCCTGTTGAGTGGTCTTGGTACCCTTGTTGAAGATTATTTGACCACATATATGAGGGTTTATTTCTAGGGTCTTTATTACATTTGTTGATTTATCTTTATACCAATATCACACTGTTATGATTACTGCTTTGTAATATGTTTTGAAATCAGGAAGTGTGAGTCCTCCAAATTTGTTGTTCTTTTTAAAAATTGCTTTGGCTATTTGGGGTCCCTTAAGATTCAATATATATTTTAGTATGAGTTTTTCTATTTCTGCCAAAAATGCTCTTGGGATTTTGATAGGGATTGCATTGAATCTGTAGATTGCTTTGGGTAGTATGGAAATTTTAACAATATTAAGTTTTTCAATCCATGAACATGGGATTTCTTTTTGGGTCTTTAATTTCTTTTAGCAGTGTTTTTAATAATAGATGTTTCAATGTGCTTGTTTACAAGTCCTGTCATCTTTGTCATTTGTGGGTCTGATTCTGTCTCCTCATCATGAATTATATTTTCCTGTTTATTTATATGCCTGCTAATTTTTGTTTGAATGCCAGACATTTTGTATTTTATGTTGTTTGAAGCTGTAATTGGTCTTCCTGCTCCTTTTGGTGATTCTTTCCCTTGCTTCAGGTAGTTTTTCCTACATTGCATATGCCAATCAATATTCAACTGAAGACTTAAGGGGAATCCTCTACAGAGCTACAGCACTCTCTTTGTGCAGCTCTCTCCTCTTTGGATACTTTGCTCTAGTAATTCTAGCCACCTTGGTATCTCAATACTCAAATCTGGCTTCTCAGTGTAGGGGTACTTCTGGTCTTTGGTTTTCCCCTTCTAGCACTGCATCCTGGAAACTTTGCAGACAGCACACTTGGACAATCATAGGGCTCACTTTTTGTTTCCACTCTTTCGGGGATGTGCTATCAGTTACCCAATATCTGAAAATGTTTCACTTTTTTTTCTAACTTTTTAGTTTTTAAATGGAGAGGAATAATCTGGTTCTCATTACTCCCATCATGTCTAGAAGTGGGAACTCTTGTATATTGAGTTTTGAAGTAATAATTTAAATGGAAAATATAAAAAGTACCATTTTGATTTTTATTATTTTTAAATCCCAAATTTGTGTTTAGGGTGCATAAGCATTGTATAGCCAGAACCAGAGTAGACTATAGGTTTGATTGGCTGAATGTGTTTAGGTTCATTGTTCCCTTGAAAGAAATGTAGGCATGTATGATGAGTTAAAAGGTAAGCAAATAATTGCATTTTCCTATATAAACCCAGTTCGTTGTTTTTTTTTTTTTTTTTTTTGAGATGGAGTCTCTCTTTGTCACCCAGGCTGGAGTACAGTGGAGCGATCTTGGCTCACTGCAACCTCCGCCTCCCGGCTTCAAATGATTCTCCTGCCTCAGCCTCCCAAATAGCTGGGATTACAGGAACCTGCCAACATGCCTGGGTAATTTTTGTATTTTTAGTAGAGATGGGGTTTCACCATGTTGACCAGGCTCGTCACGAATTCCTGAGTTTAGGTGATCCACCCACCTCAGCCTCCCGAAGTGCTGGGATTATAGGCATGAGCCACTGGGCTCAGCCATAAACCCAATTCTTATTGACAACAAAACTTTGTGTGTGTGTGTGTGCGCAAAATATGTCTGTATAATTTCTAAGGGAGATTAATAGATTAATGAGAAGTGTTTATTTCCTTAAGGGTATAATAATTCAGTTTTTATCGTCTTTGGAAAATATTTGCAACATTGACTGAAAATACTACTATGATCATATATTGAATGGTAATTTAACTTAACCTTGGACATAGTAGATATTAAGGACTGTTGAAAATCTCTGTAGGTGAAATGGACTTGAGATGGGCTTAACCTGTCTCTTCATTGATGATAGGCAACTGGAATGACCTTTAGCTTTTCTTCTGATGGAAGCAGATTATATGAATTGGTAAAATTGAAGCACCGGGCTAGTTTTCTTATTCCCACCCATTGCAACCACACTAAATGAAATTATGAGAGGAAGGTTGTATGTGTATTAAGTCAATAGTTGGTATATAGGAAATTAACGTGATAAAGGAGGTATTTTAAAATTGAGTTAAGCTTATCATTTATGTTCTTTTTATTTTGATGTAATTTTAGATTTTAAAAAAGTACAATAATAAGGAATTCCTGTATACCCTTCACCCAGATTACCTGTATTTTAACATTTCACTATATTTGCTTTATCATTTTCTTTCTCGATATATATATAGGTACATATGTATTACTTTTTTCTTGACTCATTTGAGTCATGATACTCCTTTACCGCTACTGAGTTTTTATTTCCTAAATATAAGATTATTCTTCTTCATAAAGACAGCACAATTATCAAAATCAGGAAATTAACATTTATAGTACTGTTTTCTAATCTACAGGTACTCACATTTTACCAGTTACCACAATACTGTACTTTATTGCAGAAGAAAATTCAGGATCACATTCTGTGTTTAGTTGTCACATCTCTCTAGTTTCTTTTACACAGAAACACTTGAACCTATGTTTTATTTCATGAAATTGACATTTTAAAAACTGTTGAGGCTGGTTATTTTGTAGAGTGACCTCCCATTTTTTTTCTTTTTTTGAGACGAAGTCTTGCTCTGTCGTCCAGGCTGGAGTGCAGTGGCACAATCTTGGCTCACTGCAACTTCCACCTCCCTGGTTCAAGTGATTCTCCTGCCTCAGCCTCCCAGGTAGTTGGGACTACAGGCACGTACCACTGCACCTGGCTAATATTTGTATTTTTAGTAGAGATGGGGTTTTGCCATATTAGCCAGGCTGGTCTCAAACTCCTGACCTCAGGTGATCCACCCACCTTGGCCTCCCAAAGTTCTGGGATTAAAGGCATGAGCCACCCCACCCAGCTGAATGACCTTCAATTTGAGATTGGTTGATTTTTTCCTCATAATTAGATTTGGGTTATGTAATTTATTTTTATTTTTTATTTTTGGGATAGAGTTTTGCTCCTGTGGCCCAGGCTGGAATGCAATGGCGCCAGCTTGGCTCACTGCAACCTCCGCCTCCTAGGTTCAGGCGATTCTCCTGCCTCAGCCTCCCAAGTAGCTGGGACCAGACTCCCACCACCATGCCCAGCTAATTTTTGTATTTTTAGTAGATACAGGGTTTCACCATGTTGGCCAGGCTGGTCTCAAACTCCTGACCTCAAGTGATCCACCTGCCTCAGCCTCCCAAAGTGTTGGGATTACAGGCGTGAGCCACTGCACCTGGCCCTGGGTTACGTACTTTAGGCAGGAATACCACAGACATGATGTTGTGTACTTTCCAGTGCATTATATGAGGAGGCAAATACTGTTATTTCTCCTGTTACTGGTGATGATAACTTTTATAATTTAGTTAAGGAGGTATCTGCCAGGTTTCTACAAGGTAAAGTCACTCTTTTATTCTCTGTAATTAATACATACTGTGGCTAGATACTTTTAAATTATGTTAGTATCCTACTACTCTCAAACTTACCCATTAATTTTAACATCTATTGATGATTCTTGTGTGAATCCATTATTAAGATGGGTGCCAAATGGTGATTTTTATAATTTTGTAATTTCTTTTATATTTATTAGCTGACTTCTGTGATAAAGAAAAGCTTCTACCTCTTTATTCACTTACTTATTCATATCAGTATGGACTCATGAATTCTTGTTTTATCATTTTGCCAATGTCTCTATGATTCTTTGAGCATTTTCTTACTTTCTGATCCAACAAGATATTCCATAATCATCTGGTACTATCTCTGTGCCAGCCCTAGCATAAGACATTTCTCTAAGCAGTGTTGATTTCTTTTACTATGAAGTGGTATTTAGAGATCTAGGTGTTAGATGTGCTTATTGCTACTGAGGAGTCTTTGTTTCTAGGCCCTCTCAGTGGACGTAAAGTATATATGTATACGGATGAGTATATATGTGGTGGGTGTGTGTAATACAGCTTTATTTTCAGAAAGAATATTAACTAGTGTCATGGCTGCTAAAAATAAAAAAGTGAATATAGGCATAGGCTACATGACCATGTGATCATATCCTTATCACAAGAAATTATAGCTCCAATGTTTTGCATTCTTCAAATACATTATTTTGTTGACTAACTGGATTCCAGGAATTACTTAGATCTTATCTGATGAGAAAAAGAACCTGGATGGTGAGGGGCCTGGAAATCATGTTATATGAAGAACAGGTGAAGGAGCTGAGAACATTTAGTCTGGAAAAAGATTAATGACAACATATGCTGATTATATTAAGTTGTTTGAGGCAGAAGAAATGACACACATTTATTCTGTGTTCACTTAGAGTATGTAATTAATACAGATGAATGTATTTGAAGAGAGATATAAATTTAACTCTGCATAAGGATAATTTTGAGGCAAGTTTTCCTCTAATGCAGTAAAATGACTTGAATACCTCAAACCCAATTATTATCTCTAATCAGGAGAAGCTTGCTTATTTTTACATAATTTGTGTGTACTGTAAGAAGTTAGAACTACTTGAGAGATGTCTAAGTATGCTATATTTAGTGGCTTAGTCAGTAGTATGCTTCACAAGATGAATCACAAGGAAAGGATTCTGTTCTAAATAAATGTAAGAAATAATGTGTACATAATCTTCTTTTTTTACTTTTTTTTTTTTTTGAGACAGAGCCTCGCTCTGTCACCCAGGCTGGAGTGCAGTGGCACAATCTTGGCTCACTGCAAGCTCCACCTCCCAGGTTCACACCATTCTCCTGCCTCAGCCTCCCAAGTAGCTGGGACTACAGGCGCACGCCACCACGCCCAGCTGATTTTTTGTGTTTTTAGTAGAGATGGGGTTTCACTGTGTTAGCCAGGATGGTCTCGATCTCCTGACCTCGTGATTTGCCCACCTTGGCCTCCCAAAGTGCTGGGATTACAGGTGTGAGCCACAGCACCCAGCCAATAATGTGTACATAATCTTCTATTGGATATTTATAATGCAGAGTAACGTGTTAAAAGGCTCTAACAAGTCCTCAAGTAAGGAAACTTGTTTGACTTTTTCTAATGTAGTGGATATAGGAACAGGTGAGGTTATAGGTATAATCTAATAGTAGTCATACAGTAGTCATCTATAGATGCATGGTATTTATTTATTTATTTAATTTTAAACCAGGCCTTCAAGCATTTTATCCTTTGAGTTACAATCCAATTACACTGATTTATACATGGTATTTAAACCAAGATATTAGATGTGATCACCAAGGGACTGTGTGAAGATAAGAGATGTGCAAAAACTGAGCTCAGGGAGAAGAGGAAAACTAGCAAAGAAACTGAGAAGGAGTGAATAAAGAGGAACAAACTGAAGAGAGTGGTTTCCCAGAAGCTAAGTGAATAAAGTGTTCCAGGAGAAGAGAACATAATCAGCTGTGCTTTATACTACCCGTAGATTGTATAAGATAAGCAACTGAGACCTGACCATTGCATTTAGCGACTGGAAGTCACTGGTGTCCTCAAAGAGAACTTTCAGTGGAGTATTGTGAGCAAAAGATGATTGGATTAAAGAGAGGAGATGGAGAAGTGGGAGTAGATAGCAGTGTTTTGCACTGTGAAAGGGAGAAGAGAAAGGTACTGTATTTAATGAGCACCTTGGGAGAAGAGAAAGGCATTGTATTTATTCAGCACCTTCTGTGTGTTATATTGCTGAAAATATTTAAGCAATAATGAAATGTATGAGCTATACATAGCTTACTTAGCTCATCATTCTGGCTTAAATAGTAGTTGCAGTATGTTTATTAAGTACTTTTCTCTGTGATGTGGAGTTGAATAGACTACAGATTGAAACATTGGTTTCCTGACTTACAGAAAATTTCTTCAGATTAAAAGAATGTTAGAGGTAGTGGCTGTTAAATTGTATTGCATTCTCCAGTTTCTAGGTGGTTTAGACCAGTTGGCTTAGTAGTTTTATCAATCATGAATTGATGATCTGGACATGTTGATAATGATGTTACATAAAATCGTAAGATTTGGTGTCCAGTCATATGTTCCTCATTTTTAAAATGACCTGGTATCAAGAATAATATTTAAAGCCACATACCCTAATTTTAAATTGGCCTCTGTAACCATAGGAGGAGAAAACTCAGGAAACACAATTCAGTCCTCATTTCTACTTCATTAACTTTCCATCTACCTTCTTGTAGCTAATTGCAAGCCCAGGCTGTAAATCCAATTACAGCAAATTCTCATTGTTCACAGCTGTGTTAATATAAGGTCGCTGCTAACACTGAATTAGCCAATAGTGAAGTGTTGCTCTTAGAGGAAATACAGAGTTGAGTTCCTGTGAGCCACTGGTCACAACATTTTTGTCATCAGTGATCAATACATAACCTTGTTTCATATGTGTTTCTATTTAAAGACACCTTATTTAATTTTATTGTTTATTTTGTTAACATTGAACTCACAACCAACAGCACTATAATTCATGTCTGAATGAAACTTACCTAACACAGTATTTTCTCTGTAAGACACATTAAATCGTTCTTGCACTTAGGAGCACTAGGCCGCACTTCAGCACTACACTTGGGGGGCATTTTTTTTTTTTTTTTTGAGACAGAGTCTTACTCTGTCGCCAGGCTGGAGTGCAGTGGCGCAATCTCAGCTCATTGCAACTTCTAACTCCCTGGTTCAAGCGATTCTTCTGCCTCAGCCTCCCAAGTAGCTGGGATTACAGGCACGCGCCACCGCGCCCAGCTAATTTTTGTATTTTTAGTAGAGATGGGGTATCGCCATGTTGGCCAGAATGGTCTCAATCTCCTGACCTCGTGAGCCACCGCGCCCGGTCTGGGGGGGCATTTTTAAACAACATCTAGGCCGGGTGCGGTGGCTTAGGCCTGTAATTCCAGCACTTTGGGAGGCTGAGGCAGGTGGATTACTGGAGGTTGGAAGTTCATGACCAGCCTGGCCAACTTGGTGAAACCTTTTCTCTACTAAAAATACCAAAAAATTAGCCAGACTTGGTGGCGTGCACCTGTCATTGCAGCTGCTCAGGAGGCTGAGACAGGATGATCATTTGAATCCGGGAGGTGGAGGATGCAGTGAGCTGATATCACGCCCCTGCAGTCCAGCCTGGGCAACAGCTACACTCTGTCTCAAAAATAAAATAAAATAAAACAGCAAAATCCCAACAAAAAGAAAAAAAAAGCCAAAAACAGGACACTACACCACAAAAAGGACCCTTGTTTATGGTATAATAGCTGTCTTATTTAAGAAGATAGTGTCATCTTGTTCAGCCTTTGCTGGGAACATGCGTGTTGGGAACCTCAGATTTTTCTCTGCTTTGTGCATATCTGTAAATGACTGCAAAAGTACCAGGAGTATTGATTTTAGCAAGCAGGCAGATTTGCATACGAAATCTATGAAAGTGGCTGTCCAATATGTTAAATGGAAATGTTGGAATATATTGCATAATTCCATCATATTTATGATGGTAAGAATTCCAGTTTACTGAAGCTATAACTATTTGGAAATTGAAATTTAAAACTGGTTTCAATTTGTAGTTTTTATCAAAGTTCTGCAGATAGATGTTTTCAGAGATAGTTATACAAAATTTAGGAAAATAGCGGCCATAGAGCCCCTTTTCCACAGTTTCTGTTTCCCAGGGACAAACAGGTTCAGCTCTTTCAATTGATATTTTATTTACCATTCATAATGATACATGTTTGACTTCCAGTCATCTGCAGGGTCATAGAGAAATAGTCACTCATTGGCATGGTGTGAGAGAAAATGGATCTTTTATTTTAACAGCTTTCAACTAGTCTGCCTAAAGATGGGACTAACTTTATTCCCGTTTCCAGGGGATGCTTAAACCATGAATCCCTGAAACTTTGTTTTATTGCATAAATTGGGTTAATATTCTCCTTTCTCTACTATTGCTGTCTGCTGTCTCGGATCTGCTAGGTCAGTTACAAGTCACATATCTTCTTTCAAGCTTCATTTTTGTTGTTTTTTTCCGTTCTCTCTGTTCTCATGTATGTATGCGTTTGCTGTCATTTCAGTTAGATATTGTAAGGTAGTAAAGTTAGATGCTTGTGTTTAGTCTGGCTTTTTGTATTCTCTTGGAAATTTGGTTATTCTTTTTATATATTGGAATAACTTTTTTTTTTTCTTTGAGACAAGAGTCATGATCTGTCGCCCAGGCTGAAATGCAATGGTGCAATCTTGGCTGGCTGCAATCTCTGCCTCCTAGGTTCAAGTGATTCTCGTGCCTCAGTCTCTCAAGTAGCTGGGATTACAGGTGCGTACCACAATGCCTGGCTAATTTTTGTATTTTTAGTAGAGATGGGGTTTCACCATGTTGGCCAGGCTGGTCTCAAACTCCTGACCTCAAGTGATCTGCCTGCCTCGGCCTCCCAAAGTGCTGGGATTTCAAGAGTGAGCCACCATGCCTGACATGAAATAACTTTTAATAGTTTGCCTGTTTATAGTACATGGGTCCAGGACAGATACATGTTTCATTTTGCTCAATTCAATTACATTATTTTAAAAAACTACTTTTATTAATTGACACATAATGTACATATTTGAGGGGTACATAATGATGTTTCAGTACATGTAATGTATAGTGATCAGATCAGAGTAATTGACGTATACATTATTTCAAACATTATTTCTTGTAGCTATTTGCAACTATATATTATTGTTAACTATAGTCATCCAACAGTGGTATAGAACACTAGAACTTATTCTTCCTATCTAACTGTGATTTTGTAACCTTTCACAAATCTCTTCTGATCTCTCTCTTCCTTATGCCCCTCCCAGTCTCTGGTATCCTCCATTCTACTTTTTACTTCTATGAGATCAGCTTTTTAGCTTCTACTTATGAGTGAGAACATGCAGGGTTTAACTTTCTGTTCCTGGCTTTTTTCGCTTAACATGATGTCCTCCAGTTCCATCCATGTTGCTGCGAATGACAGGATTTGATTCTTTTTATGGCAAAACAGTATTCCACTGTCTGTAGACCCCATTTTCTTTATCCATTCATCTGTTGTTGGGCATGTAGGTTGATTCCATATCTTGACTATTGTGAATAGTGCTGCAATAAACATGGGGTACAGATGTCTCATCAATATACTGATTTTCTTTCCTTTGGATAAAATTCCCAGTGGTGGGATTGCTGGATCATATGGTAGTTCTATTAGTAGTTTTTTGAGGAATCTCCATGCTCTTCTCCATAGTAGCTGTACTAGTTTACATTCCTACCAAATGTGTAAGAGTTCCTTTTTCTCTGCATTCTCATCAGCATTTGTTATTTTCTTGTTTTTTTGACAGTAGCCATTTTAAGTTGATGAGATGGTATCTCATTATGGTTTTGATTTGCATTTCCCTGATGATTAGTGTATTAGTTCGTTCTCACGCTGCTAATAAAGACATACCTGAGCCTGGGTAATTTATAAAGGAAAGAGGTTTAATTGACTCACAGTTGAGCATGGCTGGGGAGGCATCAGGAAACTTAAAATCATGATGGAAGGGGAAGCAAACACATCCTTCTTCACATGGCAGCAGGAGAGAGAAGAATGAGAACCAAGCAAAGGGTGAAGCCCTTTATGAAACCATCAGATCTTGTGAGAACTTACTATCACAAGAATAGCATGAGGGAAACCACCCCAATGATTCAGTTACCTCCCACCAGGTCCTTCCCATGACACACGGGGATTGTGGAAACTACAATTTAAGATGAGATTTGGGTGGGAACACAGAGCCAAACCATATCAATTAGTGATGTTGGGCATTTTTAAATATGTTTATTCGCTACATGTATGTCTTCTTTTGAGAAATGTCTTTAGATTTTTTGCCCATCTTTAAATTGGATTGTTTGTTTTTTGATGTTAAAAAGTTTGAGTTCCGGGCCGGGTGCGGTGGCTCATGCCTGTAATCCCAGCACTTTGGGAGGCCAAGGTGGGTGGATCACGAAGTCAGCAGGTCGAGACCAGCCTGACCAACATGGTGAACCCCCATCTCTACTAAAAATACAAAAAAATTAGCCGGGCATGGTGGCGGGCGCCTGTAATCCCAGCTACTTGGGAGGCTGAGGCAGGAGAATCTCTTCAAACTGGAAGGTGGAAGTTGCAGTGAGCCGAGATTGCACTACTGTACTCTAGTCTGGGCAATGAGAGCAAAACTCCGTCTCAAAAAAAAAAAAAAACAACAGTTTGAGTTCCTTGTATATTCTGGCTATTAATTCCCTGTCCCATGAATAGTTTGCAAATATTTTCTCCTAGTCTATAGGTTATCTTTTTACTCTGTTGATTGTTTCCTTTGCTATGCAAAAGCTTTTTGTTTTTATATAATCTCATTTATTTTTGCTTTTGTTGCCTATGTTTTTGAGGACTTATTCATAAAATCTTTTCCCAGAAACCAATGCCCTGAAGCATTTCTGCTGTTTTCTTTTAATAGTTTTGTAGTTCTGGGTTTTACATTTAGGTCTTTGATTCATTTTGGGGTTGATTTTTGTATAGGATGAGAGATGGGCATCTAGTTTCATTCTTCTGCATATCCAGTTTTCCCAGAAGTATTTATTGAAGAGGCTATCCTTTCCTCAATGAGTGTTCCTGACACCTTTGTCAAAAATCAGTTAACTGTAGATACATGGATTGATTAATTTCTGGGTTCTCTATTCTGTTCCACTGATCTATGTGTCTGTTTTTATGCCAGTACTATGCTGTTTTGGTTACTACGGCTTTGTAGTATATTTGAAAGTCTGGTGGTGTGATGCCTCCTCTTTGTGCTCAGGATTGCTTCAGCTATTCAGAGGCTTTTGTAGTTCCATATGTATTTTGGGATTGTTTTTTCTGTTTCTGTGAAGAAAGTAATTGTTATTTTGACATGTGCATTGACTCTGTAGATTTCTTTGGGTTGTGGGGTCACTTTAATAATATTCTTCTGATCCATATGCATGAGATGTCTTTCATTTGTTTGTATCCTCTTCAGTTTCTTTAATCAGCATTTTATAGTTTTCCTATAGAGGTCTTTCACCTCCTTGTTTAAATTTATTCCTAGGTATTCTTTTGTTGTTGCTGTAGTAAATAAGATTGCCTTTTTTATTTCATTTTCAGCTAGTTGATTGTTTGTGTTTAGAAATGCTACTGATTTGTGAATATTGATACTGTATCTTGCAATTATACTGATTTCATCTATCAGTTCTAAGAGTTTTTGGTATAGTCTTTAAGTTTTTCTATATATAAGATTGTGTCATCTGCAAATAGACATTTTGACTTCCTCCTTTTCAACTTGGTTGCCTATTATTTCTTTCTCTTGACTAATTGCTCCAACTAGGACTTTCAGTAGTATATTGAATAAGAGTTGTGAAAGTAGGCATCCTTGTCTTGTTCTAGTAGTCAGAGGAAACACTTTTGGCTTTTTCCTAGTCAGTATGATGTTAGCTTTGGCTTTGCCATATATGGCCTTTATTATGTTGAGATATTTTCCTTCTATCCCTAATTTGAGAGGTTTTAATCATGAAAGAATGTTGACTTTTATCAAATGCTTTTTCTGTATCTATCAAGATGACCATATGGTTTTTGTCTTTTATTCTATTGGTGTGATGTATGATGTTTATTGATTTGTATTTGTTGAACCGTCCTTGCGTTCCTCAGATAAATTCCCCTGAATCATGATGTATTATCTTTTTGATGTGTTGTTAGATTTGGCTTGCTAATATTTTGTTGAGAATTTTTATGTGTATGTGCATCGAATATATTAGCCTGCAGTTTTCTTCTTTTTGTTGTCTTCTTGTCTAGTTTTGGTTTCAGGGTTATCCAGGCCTCATAGAATGAGTTAGGAAGAATCAGTCTGCTTCAATTTTTTGGAATAATTTGAGAAAAATTGATATTAATTCTTCCCTAAAGGTTCAGTAAAATTCAGCTGTGAAGCCATCCAGTCCTGAACTTTTCTTTTATGGGAGACTTTTTGTTTTGTTTTGTTTTGAGATGGTGTTTTGCTCTTGTTGGCCCAGGCTGGAGTGCAATGGTGTGATCTCGACTCACTGCAACTTCCGCCTCCCAGGTTCAAGTGATTCTCCTGCCTCAGCCTCCTCAGTAGCTGGAATTACAGGCATGCACCACCACACCCGGCTAATTTTGTATTTTTAGTAGAGACTGGGTTTCGCCATGTTGGTCAGGCTGGTCTCAAACTCTCGACCTCAGATGATCTGCCCTCCTCGGCCTCCCAAAGTGCTGGGATTACAGGCGTGAGCCACCGCACCCGGCTTGGGAGACATTTTATTACTGATTCAATCTGGTTACTTGTTATTGGTCTGTTCAGGTTTTCTGTTTCTTCCTGGTTCAATCTTGGTAGGTGTTACGTGTCCAGGAACTTATCTAGTTTCTCTAGGTGTTCAAATTTATTTGTGTATAGTTGTATGTTTTTTTGTTTTATTCTGTTTTGTTTTTTTAGACAGGGTCTCACTGTCTCCCAGGCCAGAGTGCACAGGCGTGATCATAGCTCACTGTAACCTCAAACTTCTGGGTTCAAGCAATCCTCCTGCTCCAGCCTTCTGAGTGGCTAGGACTATAGGTGTGCACCACCATTCCCAGCTAATGTGTGTGTGTGCGTGTGTGTGTGTTTGTGTATACGTATATTAGAGATAGAGTTTTGCTTTGTTGCCCAGGCTGGTCTTGAACTCCTGGAATCAAGTGATCCTTCCTCCCCAGTCTCCCAAAGCAGTGGGATTACAAGCATGAGCCACTGCACTCATCCCAAGTTGTTCATAGTTCAGCATTTCTGTGGTATCTGTTGAAAAGTCTCCTTTTTGATTAAATGGGGAATTTAATCCGTTTACATTCAAGGTGATTATTGATAAGTGAGGCCTTCTCCTGTCATTTTATTGATTGTTTTCTTCTTGTTTTCTATTTCCTTTTTTCCTCTCTTATTGTTTATTTTTGTGGTTGGGTAGTTTTCTGTAATAAGATTTGGTTCTTTTCTCTTTCTTCTTTATCAACTCTACTGGTGAGTTTTATAGTTTCACATGTTTTTATGATGGTGGTTATCATCCTTTTACTTCCAACTGTGAGACTCCCTTGAGCATTTCTTATAAGGCTGGCTTAGTGGTGATGAATTTACTGAGTTTTTGCCTGTCTATGAAAGGTTTTATTTCTCCTTCATTTCTGAAAGATAGCTTTGCTGGATATAATATTCTTGGATGGCAGTTTTTTTTTTTTCTTTTCAATATTTTGAATATATCATCTCATTCTCTGCTGGCCTGTAAGGCTTCTACTGAGAAATCTGTTATTAGTCTAATGGGAATTCCATTGTATGTGACTTGATGTTTTCTCTTGGTTTTAGAATTTCTTTGTGTTTGTCTTTTGACAATTTGAATATATTTTGCCTTGGAGAGGATCTATTTGGGTTGCGTCTATTTGAGGTTCATTGAGCTTCCCGGACCTAGATGTCCATCTCTCTCCCAATATTTGGGAAATTTGCAGCTGTTATTTCATTAAATATGTTTCCTTACCTTTTCCCTTCTCTTCTGCTTGGCTGGCCTGTGGATGTATGTATCTGCTGTAGATGGCCCGTGGGGCTGTTTCTCAGGTTTGGGACATGGGTACAAGGCTGCTCGGGGAGCTCAGGAGTGTGTCCACCATAGATGGCCCTCAGAGCTGTTTCTCAGGCCCTTGACATGGCTTCACAACTTCTTGGCTGGTGTGGGACATGCCCCACATGGAGCTGTTTATAGGCCCAGGAGCAGGCACAGGGCTGCTCAGCCAGCCTGGGAATGAATCTGTCTACCGGGGGGGCCCACAGGACTTTCTCAGGTTTGGGATGCAGATGCAAGGCTGCTTGGCTGGCTCAGGGGTGTGGCTCAGGAGTGAGCCCTCCATAGGCCCACAAGTGATATGTTTGCTAGAGGTGGCCCACAGGGATGTTACTCAGGTCCAGTCATGGGCTCATGGCTGCTTGGATGGGCTGAGGGTATGCCTACCAGGAGCAGCCTGCTGTGCCCAGGGACAGGACTGTTTCTTAGACCTTGATTGCAGGTGGAGAGCTGAGGGCATGTCTGCAGTGGGGGAGTGCTGTAGGGCTGTGTCTCAGGACCTGAGTGCAGATGTGTAGCCTCTCTGCCAGCCCGAGGGATGTATCAGCTGCTTAGAGACGTGGGGGGCACTCTTCCACTTGGAGGGCATATAGCAGTTTTCTCTGGCTCAAGGGCAGGTTTGCCTTAGGTGGGAGTGCCAGACTGTTCCTCTGACTGGAAGTGTGGCAGTGGCAGCAGAGTGTTGGGGAGCAGAGGGGAAGGGAGGTTGGTTTCCCTGCTGTGCAGGACTGGAGTCACAGCCGATCCTGGGCCCAGGCTTTGCATAGTTGGGGTTGTGGTTTTCAGCCACCCATGTGAGTGTGATGGAATGAAGATGGAGCCCCAGTGCTAGAGAAGTTCACTGGCTACTAACCTCCAGAGCAGGGTGCACTCCAGAGGTGGCTCTGGTCTCAAGATGGCACCATGCTGCAGCAGCTTTTCTCACAGGGAGTGGTTGGGTGGGGGAGGGGAGTGTGCACCCTGTGCTCCTAATCTGGGGCAGCGCAGCTGCATGAATTCCTGGCAGCTCTCCAGACTGGGCTTGGGGCTTGCAAGGACTGTGGGATTCTCCTGTAGTAAGGATTGTAGGTGTTTGCAGTGGCAGTGGGGGCTGGTAGGGATCTTCTGCTTACCTTTTCCCTGAAATGGGAAGTCCCTCCTGACTCTGGGCTGATCCAGTCTGGGTTGGGGAGACAGGGCTGCAGTGGCCAGGTACTTCCATGCTGCCCTCCAATCTCATCACGTGCATCTCCAGTTTCTCGCTGCACCCTAGTACTCTCCCATTGACACTCAAGCTGAATCTTAGCTGTTTATGTGATGCCTAGGTTCTTTCTTATTGGGGGGATGAGTGCTGGGTGTCTCTAGTCAGTCATCTTATTGATGTCACCCTCTGAAATTAAAAATATTTAAATCTTTTTTTTTTTTTTTTTTGAGACGGAGTCTCGCTCTGTCGCCCAGGCTGGAGTGCAGTGGCGCGATCTCGGCTCACCGCAAGCTCCGCCTCCCGGGTTCACGCCATTCTCCTGCCTCAGCCTCCCGAGTAGCTGGGACTACAGGCGCCCGCTACCACGCCCGGCTAATTTTTTCTATTTTTAGTAGAGACGGGGTTTCACCGTGTTAGCCAGGATGGTCTCAATCTCCTGACCTCGTGATCCACCCGCCTCGGCCTCCCAAAGTGCTGGGATTACAGGCGTGAGCCACCGCGCCCGGCCAAATATTTAAATCTTAAATTACTCTCTTTT
This sequence comes from Homo sapiens, assembly GCF_000001405.40. NCBI lineage: Eukaryota > Metazoa > Chordata > Mammalia > Primates > Hominidae > Homo > Homo sapiens. Next base: position 77,823,234 of record NC_000007.14, read on the forward strand.
TTTTTGGAGACGGAGTCTCGCTCTGTCGCCAGGCTGGAGTGCAGTAGCATGATCTTGGCTCTCTGCAACCTCTGCCTCCCGGGTTCAAGGGATTCTTCTGCCTCAGCCTCCCGAGTAGTTGGGACTACAGGCACACGCCACCACACCCAGCTAATTTTTGTATTTTTAGTAGAGATAGGGTTTCACCATGTTGGCCAGGATGGTCTCGATGTCTTGACCTCGTGATCCACCCATCTTGGCCTACCAAAGTGTTGGGATTACAGGCCTGAGCCACCGTGCCTGGCCTGAATCTTAAATTACTCTTTAAGTAGTGGAGTTATTTGAACACCATGGCTTATATGTTCTCACAATTTAATTTCCTTAGAAGGAATTGAGGTAACTTTTCAAATAGATCAGAACAAGGAGAAAGTTATTTTAGACAAGGAATATTACCTGGAGTAGAAGGCAGGCATGAAAGTATATGGTATATTTGTGAACCTGTGTAGCTAGAATGTAAGGTATGTGTAGCTAGAATGTATGGATGGGAGGTTGGGGAGGGCGGGTAATTGAAACTGTGTGAAACAAAGTAGAGACGATAGATGCTACTGACTGGAGAAATAATAAATCTATGGTCAAATTGTAAAAGAAGGGTTTTGAATACAGTGTTGATTAAACTCTTTTCTTTGGCAGTGGGAGACTAGAGATTTTTAAGTGATGAGGTCAGTATTTTAAAAAGATAAGTAGTGAAAGTAAAGCAACAATAATAGATTGTTAGTGTAGTCCTGGTATTAGATATCAGCTTGTACCAGGTGTATGGTAGTGGGGCTGGAGAGGGATCATATGAGAGAAGTTTGGAGGTATGACAAATACGTTATATTAATTTATTCCTTCATAATTATTGAGTGGTTTCTGTGTGCCAGGTATAGAATTGATAGTGGTGGGAGGTGGGAAAGGGGAGGAAACAAGAAAGATTCTAGGGTTCTTTGTTGGAAAATTGAGCAGATAGTAAAAGATAAGATTTGAGGAGGGAAAATACATCCTGGTTTGTTTTTTTTTTTTTTCTTGGAGGTAGTTGTAACAAATTCACGGAAGAGCTTAGTTTATGATCTTGTGTTTTTTGCTTAGTATCTTGAGTTTATAAAAAGAATTGAAACTGGGTATCCTCCCTTTACTTCCTTTTGTTAGAAATAGCAGAAGTAAAAGTGCAGCTGTTGTTAGTTTAGAATCTCATCTTAGAATATTTAAATTTTACTTTTAGGCTGGAGTGCAGTGGTGCAATCTCGGCTCACTGCAACCTCCACTTCCTGGGTTCAGGCAATTCTCCTGCCTCAGCCTCCTGAGAAGCTGGGATTACAGGTGTGCACCACCATGCCTGGCTAATTTTTGTATTTTAGTAGAGATGTTTCACCATGATGGCCAGGCTGGTCTTGAACTCCTGACTTCGTGATCTGCCCGCCTTGGCCTCCCAAATAAATTTAACTTTTTAATTGAGTCAGTAATGTAAAAGATTAAGTACTTAAATGTTAAAAGAAGTAAAATGGCAAGCACAGTGGCTTACTCCTGTAATCCTAACATTTTGGGCTGCCAAGGTGGGAAGATTGTTTGAGACCAGGAGTTCAAGGCCAGCCTGGACAACATAGCAAGACCCCACCTCTACCAAAAAAAAAAAAACGTTAGCCGAGTGTGGTGGCACACACCTGTAGTCTTAGCTACTTGGGAGGCTGAGAAAGGGAGGAACACTTGAGACCCCAGGAGTTTGAGGTTGAAGTGAGCCATGATTGTGCCACTGCATTCCAGCCTGGGTGACAGAGCGAGCCTCTGTCTCTAAATAACAACAACAACAATAATATAAATGAGAGATTTCTGAGTAAAAATGAAGTGGGGTCACAGATTTTTTCTTCACTAAAACCAAATTAAGGAAAGAGTAGATGGTGGGTTGAAGAAAGAGGGCAGAAATGGAAAGAAGCAGACAAAAAAGGGGTATCTGTAGCTTTATACCAAATACTTCAAAAAGTGGAAGGTAAAGAAAGAATGAGAAGATACTAGTTGTATATGACAAGGCTTCTAATCCCAGCCCCGTATCCCAGAAACAAGACAAAGGAAAGAGGAAGCCTACAAAATATTGCGATATCTCATTCATACTTTTAGAGAAGTAGACCTAGGAGGTGAATAGGAAGCAAAAAGTCAAGGAAAAATCCTTGAGAAGACCCTACATACCAGCGCTGAGCCTCAGCAGAGGCAACAAGCACTGGCATTTTGAATGGTACTCTGAGTTAAGGGCAAGAGCCAAAGCCCATGAAGGTAGGCTAGATCCCTAACTAGGGAGATCAGTCTTGGTACAGGACATTTAAGGACACCTCAGCAATGCCTGTGCTCAGTCCAATTTTAGCTCTTCCTTTTCTGTGTCGTTGGATTATAGAAAAGTAGATTAAGAGTAGTTCCTGATTCTCAAACTGAAGTTTGTGTGTGTATGCATAAAGACGTGTACACAAAAATAAAAATGGCCCCAACTAAGATGAGAAAGGTGTTAGGGGTGGCCGAGCAGAATCTTGGATATCAGAGTGAATAGGAGCTGAGGATAGCAGTTTCTGTATTAAACGTGATAAAAAAAATAGCATGGCAACTCTACAAATATAGGAGAAAAATAAACGAAAGAAGTAACTCTGAAAAGACTGTCCTAGGTAAGAATAGCTGATATCCCTAAAATAGAGACTTCAACAAATGGAACAGAAAAAGTATTGAGAAATAAAATCCAGACAAAAGCTTTTGAAATGAAATGTGTATTTGCAGATTGACAGGCACACTAAATGCTAGGAAAAAAATATGAAATGATTAAAATTGACCATATCCTAGTAGTTTTTAACTTCAAAACTAAGGAGAGAATTATTTTGGTATCCTGGCCAAAAAGAGAAAAACATGACCTATATACAAAGAGAAAAAAATTCAAGATGGAGAATTATTTTGTTATCCTGGCCAAAAAGAGAAAAACATGACCTATACAAAGAGAAAAAAATTCAAGATGGCTGAATTTTAATTTCTCAATTATTGTCAATTCCAGAAGACAATGGAAAAATGTTTACAAAGTTTTGACGGTAGGAAGTTGTCAACCAGAAGTATTATACCCAACAGTATCAGTTAGATTTCTTTTGGCTGCTAATAACAGTGGCTTAAACTATAAGGATTTATAACCTTGGGTACAAAAAGTATGGAAATAGTCAGTCTAGAACTAGTATGGTGGCTTCACCCAAGGCAACCCAGGATCTTTCCTATCTATGAACACACCTGGTTTCTAGTCTCAATGTCACTGTCCATGGTGGCTGCTGGAGCTGTCGTCATTAAAATAACATTGAAAGGATCAGGAAAAGGGAGAAGAGAAAGAAAAAAAGTGCTTTTCCCAACTACAAGTACTACCCAACACTTTTGGTGGTGTTTGGAGCAGAACTTAGTCTTGGCCACATCTAACTGCAAGAAAGGTTAGGAAAGGTCTTTATTTTGGGCAACAGGGTGCCAGCACAATTTTCAAAGAGGATGATGGAATAATGGGTGTCAATTAGCAGTCTCTGCCATGCCAACCAAGTGGTTAATCAAATACACAGGAAGCAAGCAGATGTTCTCTAACATGTAAGAGCACAGAGAATATAGCACTCCTTTCTTGAAAAATACTGCTTGATGATTAAATCAAGTCAACCTCAAATGAAACAAAATTAAATAGTGATGACTTCAGGTATGGCAAAGCCATCTTAAAAGAATCGGGGGTGATCATCAGATCCATTTAAATACAGAAGAAAATGGAACAACTTTGAGAATGGTGGCTGTGGAATAAAATCTAAATGTTAGATCTTTGGAGAAGTATAAGCATGTTGATTATGTCTGCTTTCATAGCAGGAAGTCATGGATACCATGTAAAGTTGAACATGTAGATAAAAGTTAAAATCACTGTGGATTTATTAAAGAATGATTTTTGTCACTTTTTTCTTTTGTTTTGATGGCTCTATAAGCTAAGGAAACTTTTTTCTAAATGTTAGGAGGAACTTTTAAGACCTAAATAACTCGTGTGGCAAGACATCTGAAGTTCATGAGTTCTTCCAGTTTTCATTTTCTTTTCTTAGAATTCGTGGAAAATTAAATTAATATTTTATTTTTATTTATTTATTCTTTTTGAGACGGAGTCTCACTCTGTCACCCAGGCTAGAGTGTGGTGGTGCAGTCTCGGCTCATCGTGACCTCTGCCTCCCGGGTTCAGGCAGTTATTTGCTTCATCCTCCTGAGTAGCTGGGATTACAGGCACCTGCCACCACGCCCGGCTAGTTTTTGTATTTTTAGTAGAGATGGGGTTTCACCATCTTGGCCAGGCTGGTCTTGAACTCCTGACTTCATGATCTACCTGCCTTGGACTCCCAGAGTGCTGGGATTACAGGTGTGAGCCACTGCGTGCAGCCTTTTTTTTTGAGATGGAGTTTCGCTGTTTCACCCAAGCCAGAGTGCACTGGTGTGACCGCAGCTCACTGTCTGCTCCTCCCAGGTTCAAGCGATTCTCCTGCCTCAGGATCCCAAGTAGCTGGGATTACAGGTGCCAGCCACCATGCCTGGCTAATTTTTGTATTAGTTTTTAGTAGAAACTGAGTTTCACCATGTTGGTCAGGCTGATCTCAAACTCCTGACCTTAAGTGATCCACCTGACTTAGCCTCCCAAAGTGCTGGGATTACAGGTGCGAGCCACGGAGCCCAGCCTCAATAGTATTTTTGATGATGAGGTATTGTTAGCAAATTTTAATCTCTAAATTAAGTCATTTTTAAGGTCTGTTAACTCTTTAAGCCGTTTAGTTAACTCTTTAAGCCATTTAGATATCATTTAGTCCATTACTATTTTGATAAAGAGTACTTGGAACACTAATTTAGAACGTTTCTGCTGAAGACCAGTAATAACATGTCCATGTTTGAATTGAGCCTGATAGGTTGGTGGTAAAACTTTCCTGTGAGTAAATGAGGAAGTTAAACCATTTAAATGGATCATATTTCATTACTGATTTTTCTAAGCAGCACAGCAGTCAAATAAAACAAAAAGCCAATACATTATAATTAGCTATTTAAAGGACCTTTAAGTACTTAACAAAACAAAAAACCCAAAGAATGCTCAAGGAATGGTAGAGTAAATTAATTCATCTGTGGTGGTACTTTGGTTGGTAATAGTAATATTGAAGTTAAGGAACCCTGAAATTTAAAAAGTTGCTTTAAAAGACATATCAGGTGGGTTGATTGTGCCCATCAGGAAATTCTGCAGAGGGCTTTGTGGTTAGTATCAAGATTATAACTCTAGGCTGGGCGCAGTGGCTTACATCTGTAATTCCAGCACTTTGGGAGGCTGAGGCAGGCAGATCACTTGAGGTCAAGAGTTCAAGACCAGCTTGGCCAACATGGTGAAACCCTAAAAATTCAAAATACAAAATTTATATAGGAAAAAGATAGCAACATATATGTTTGGTACTATCTGCTAAAAATACAAAAATTAGCTGGGCGTGGTGGTGCGCACCTGTAATCCCAGCTACTCGGGAGGCTGAGGCACAAGAATTGCTTGAACCCAGGAGGCGGCAGTTTCAGTGAGCCGAGATTGCACCACTGCACACCGGCCTGGGTGACAGGGCGAGACTCCATCTCAAAAAAAATAAAATTATAACTCTAGGCTGGTCGTGGTGACTCACACCTATAATCCTAGTACTTTGGGATGCCAAGGCAGGAAGATTGCTTGAAGTCAGGAGTTTGAGACCAGCCTGGACAACAAAGTGAGACCCGGCCCCACAAGAAGTTAAAAAATAAAAAATATTAGCCAGGTGCGATGGTGTCCACCTGTAGTCCCAGCTACTCGAGAGGCTGAGGTGGAGGAACACTTGAGCCCAGGAGTTTGAGGCTACAGTGAAATATGATTTCACCATTGAACTCCAGCCTAGGTGGCAGAGTGAGACCCTGTCTCCTAACAAAGAGATTATAGCTATAGGGATTCACTTAGATTTTGTAACAGCACAAAACACTTTTATTTAGTACGGGTATAGAGAGATGTTACTTGCCTGTAGTTTTTTCTTCTTAGATTATGTATCATCTTCTAGCCCAAAGTACACAGACTATGCATTGGTTCCATTAAGGAAAATAAAAATTACAAATATTCTTTTTATGACTGGTATAATAGAAAATGTATAGCTGTTTATTAGACCTTATTTTGCATTTTGTTTAAAATTACAACTTTGACCATAAAACGTGTGGTGTTTATTCTTTCAAATATTTCCATGAAATATTATCCTCCTTCCAGATGAAGAATTAAAATTGTTCTTATAAGTTGTAATAATTTATAGATCACATGATTACAAAGTAGGAACCCTGAAACTAGTAGAAGATTTCATTCTTTTTGTTTAGCTTTTGTATCATTATGAAAGATGTGATTTGAACCTTAACATTTATTACCCTTTAAGGGCAGAGCAACTTTGTTCCCAGTTTTCAAGGTCTAAAAATTTCTTGTTTTGGTTGTGGTGAAGGCAACTGAGTTATATTTAACTTTAGCATTTAGGAATGGTGTTAGACTAGACTTTAACTTATTTTCATTAGACCTTTTAGATCTGCAATATGTAAAACCTTTTAAATCTTAATGTATTGGTGACTGAGTGACATGTCAGTAAATAAATGAACCATGTTTATTATACTTCATGATATCTTTGTACCCTTTAATGTTATGAAAAAGTATGTTTGTTTATGTGCATGTTGGGGGAGTACAGGAGTTGGACAGGTAGAGTTTTCAATTCTAGCCCTCAAATTCATCTGTGGTGGTACTTTGGCAACTTTTTAATATGGTGTGTAAACATTTGTGTTTAATATAGGCGAAAAGTTTTAGGAAAATTCAGAGATAATAAAGACATTGGACTGCTCTCAAAGAACGTGTGGGTGGGAGGTGGGGGCACATACAGATAAGTACACTAAAGTCTATATAAAACAATATAGTAAGTACACAGCAGTCCCCCTTATCTGTGAGGGTTATATTCCAAGATCCCCAATGGAAACCTGAAGCCACAGATAGTACCAAACCTATATTTGCTGTGTTTTTTTCCTGTATATACATACTTATGATAAAGTTTATATTATAAATTAGGTACAGTAAGACAGGGTCCCCAACCAGTTGGTCTGCGGCCTGGTAGGAACCGTGGGCTGCACTACGGGAGGTGAGCCAGTGGGCAAGTGAGCGAAGCTTCATCTGTATTTACAGCTGCCTCCCATCACTTCCATTACCATCTGAGCTCTGCCTCCTGTCAGATCAGCAGCGGCATTAGATTCTCATAAGAGTGCGAACCCTATTCTCAGCTGTGTATGTGAGAGATCTCGGTTGCATGCTTCTTATGAGAGTCTAATGCCTGATTGTCTGAGGTGGAGTTGAGGCAGTGATGCTTGCGCTGGGGAGCAGCTGCGAATACAGATTAACGTTAGCAGAGAGGTTTGACTGCACAGAGATCATAATAAATAAATTGCTTGCAGACCCATATCAAAACCCTGTCAGTGAGTTGAGTGCTTCATTTGTACAGCTGCATCTGGTGACAGGCTTTAAGTCAGAATCCAACACTTAATTTTAGTCCATGCATGACCCGCCCATTATTTTACTTACCTTATCCGTCCACATTTCTTTGTCACACTGGGCACTTACCTCAGTCACAGATTTGGTTAAGCCCACAAGCTAACCTTAGCCAAAATGAGTAAATAACAAAACATTACTAGAGAGCTTCTTTGTAAAGGGGGAAGACCCAATGATGAGACAGCAGAAGACTCTTAAGACTGCCAACAAAAAGAAAGCTGCATTTAAAAGAAAACACCAAGAGTCCCACTTAAATTATGGGTTCATTGCAACAGGTGATTCACATTCTCTAGGCCTGCTTTGTGTATGTGGTGACTGGCTATCCAACAAGCCATGAAACCTTCAAAAGTGCTTTGTCACGTGGAGACCACTTATCCTGCATTGAAAGACAAGGCTTTGGAGTTTTTCAAAAGAAAAAAACGTGAACATGAAGAACAGAAGCAATTATGGAAGGCCACCACTTCATCAAGTGTGTCTGCACTGAGAGTATTATTCTTAGCGGCTAAAGCATTGCTAAAGCTAAGAAGCCGTTTACTATTGGTGAAGAGTTGATCCTGCCTGCTTGCTGTTAAGGACATTTGTTACGAACTTTTAGGAGAGGCTGCAGTTCAGAAGGTGGCACATGTTCTTTTTTCAGCTAGTACCATAACTAGATTATTTGATGAAATAGAGGATATTGAGGCACAATTGTTAGGATTAATGAGTCACCATGGTGTGTAATCCAGGTTGACAAGTCTACTGACGTTGACAACAAGGCAGTAATGCTTGTTTTTGTGTGATACACTTCTCAGGAGGACGTGCATGAGGGTATGTTATGTGCCCTTTTGTTGCCAACCAATACCACAGCTGTAGAACTGATTTGGTAATTTTGTGTTGGTATATGCATGAACAGAGCACGGCTGCCATGACTGGACAGCTTTCTGGTTTCACTACTTGGGTCAAAGAGGTTGCTTCTGAATGCGAGTCTACGCACTGTGTCATCCGTAGAGAAATGCTGGCTAGGCACAAAATGTCACCGAAACTTAACCAACATTTTGCAGGATGTGATTAAAATTATCCACATTAAAGTACGTGCCCTTAGTTTATGTCTGTCTGTGCAGCTCTGTGAGGAAATGGATGCAGAGCACACACAGCTTCTCTTATATGCAGAAGTAAGATGGCTTTCTAAGGTAGATCACTGGCCAGAGGTTTTGAGTTACAAGGTCTCTCCAGAGATTTTTTTTTTTTTTTTAGAAAAATAGTTATCACTGGTAGCACATTTCAGTGATGCAGAATGGGTCACAAAACTTGCTTACTTGTGTGACATATTCAACCTGCTCAAAGAACTCAGCTTGTCACTTCAGGGGAGAATGACAAATGTGTTCGAGTCAGTAGATAAAGTGGCTGCATTCAAAGCCAAACTGGAATTGAGTGAACATTGAGGGATTTTTTTTGACATGCTTCAAACATTAACAGAGATTTTTAAAGAGACTCAGCCAGGACCTTCTTTCTCCCAGCTGGTGCATGATCACCTATCTCAGCTTTCAAAAGAGTTTGAGCATTACTTCCCAACCACAGAAGACCCCCGAACTGGGAAGTAATGGATCCACAAGCTGTTTGTGAATAAGCCAGCTGTATCGACTTTGTCCGTGCTAGAAGAGGATCAACTGCTTAAGGTCACAAATGATGGTGGCCTTAAAAGTATGTTTGAGACAACTTCAAATCTCCATACATTCTGGATTAAAGTCAAGGCGGACTATCCTGAGATTGCCACAAAACACTGAAAAGTCTGTTTCCATTTCTAACATCGTATCTTTGTGAAGCAGGGTTTTCTGTAGTATAGTTAACAGCAACCAAAATGAGATTATGGAATAGACTGGACATAAACAATACACTTTGGGTGTCACTGTCTTCCATCATCCCCAGATGGGACCATCTAGTTGCAGGAAAACAAGCTCAGGGCTCCCACTGATTCTATGTTATGGTGAGTTGTATAATTATTTCATTATATATTATAATGTAATAATAATAGAAATAAAGTATACAATAAATGTAATGCTCTCGAATCATCCCAAAACCATCCCCCCTACCCTGGCCATGGAAAAATTGTCTTCCACAAAACCAGTCCCTGGTGCTAAAAAAGGTTGGGGACTGCTGCAAGTAAGAGATAGATAATAACTAATAATAAAATAGGACAATCGTAACAGTATACTCTAATGAAAAGTTATGGAATTTGGTCTCTGTCTCCAAATATTTTACTGTACTGCAGTTACTGCAGTAACTGAAATGTGGAAAGCAAAGCCTTGGATAAAGGGAGTGCTACTCTAAGGGGAACACAGAACAGGATGAGAAATATTAAATGGAAGAATTTGGGAGAAACTTATGGAGAAAGTGGAATTTTGGAAGTCTTGTCAAAATCTTCCTTGTTTTAGAAAGAGAAGTGTTAATTTTGGCACAGAGGTAGAAAAATGTTGAAAGTATGGGATGGTTGAAACAAGACATATGAGAAGATGATGAGCAATAATGTTGGACAATTAAGGTCAGATTGTAGAGAGTCTAAATACTTGTGGATTTTATTTTGTAAGCAGCAGAGAATGATACAAGGTTGTTGGAATGGAATAATAATATGAGAGTCTGAGGAGATTTATAAAAACTACCTTTAAAAAATTAAAAGCTCTTTAGGGCCAAGCGCAGTGGCTCACACCTGTAATCCCAGCACTTGGGGAGGCTGAGGTAAGAAGATTGCTGAAGACAGCAGTTCAAGACCAGCCTGGGCAGCATAATGAGACTCCATCTCTCTCTACAAAAGATTTAAAAAATAGCCTAGTTTGGTGGCATGCAACTTTTTGTGTGATATACTTCTCAGCAGGATGTGCATGAGGATATGTTATGTGCCCTTTTGTTGCTGAGTCTAGCTACTTGGGAAGCTAAGGCAGGACAGTCACCTGAGCCCAGGAGTTTGATGTTACAGTGAGCTATGATCAAGCCACTGCACTTCAGTCTGGGTGACAGTGAGACCCTATCTCTAAAAATAAATTAAATAAGATATTTTTTATTTAGTTTAACAGTTTCTACTATGTTAAATTCCATATATGTAACACTAATTTAAGTAGTAATATTAATGTTTTTGGGTGTGTTAGAATTCAGAGAAACTTCTGTACATTATTGGAATTGGTGACCTGAAAGGAAGAAGCTGGAGCAAAATTAATACAATTAGAGGGTTTATTTGAATCAAGCTTGAGGATTGCAACTGGGAGCACAGATTTGAGTTGCTCTGAATATACCCTCTGATTAGCAGCAGTTAAAAGTGCATTTTTCCAGCCTGGACAACATAGCCAGACCTCGTGTCTGCTAAAATTAAAAAAAATTAGCCAGGCATCATGGTACATGCCTATAGTCACAGCTATTTTGGGGGCTGAGGCAGAAGGATCACTTGAGCTGGGAAGTCGAAGCTGCCGTGAGCCCTGATCGTGCCACTGCACTCCAGCCCGGGCAACTGAGTGAGACCTTGTCTCAAAAAAAAAAAAAAAAAAAAAAATTTTAAACGGAAGGAAGAAGCAGTTCCTGAGTTGTTTACTGAGAATTTATGTTAAAATAACATAAACTGTTGATTGGCTATACATTGTTCTTTGTATCACAAATTCCAGAAACATGAAGATAAATGAGTGAGGCAGCTAGTCAGGAAGAAAATGACTTTAAACAGTTGCCCCCAGGCTTGGGTGTAGGGGCTTGACTCAAGTCCTATACTCACGTGTCTGTGCTTGCCTACCTCACATGGCTCAGACTGCTCGGAGCTCTTTTTCTTTTCACACAATTGTTATTTAACCTTTATTGAGTTGTGGAATATCTGGCTAGATGGCACTTGGGGAAAACTGAGGTCCAGAGAACTCAGTAACTTATTCAAGAGCACACAGCTCTTAGTATCAGAACTTGGATCTAGAACCCAATTATCTTGATGCTTAGTCATTGCTTTTTATCTGCTGTACTTCCTGTACCATATATTACAGTGTACTGAGTACTTAGAGACAAAGAATGTTGCCACATTTTTTCCTTAAGAGTGTTTACATATGACCAAGTGACCTGTGTGGCCACATACTGCTTTACATTTCTATTTAAATTACAGATTTTTGAGCATATGTTGGTGCTAGAAGAGAGACATTAAGCTTCAGCATTTTTTAGTCCAAAGGAAAGCTGGCCGGGTGCGGTGGCTCATGCCTGTAATTCCAGCACTTTTGGAGGCCGAGGCGGGCGGATCACCTGAGGTCAGGAGTTCGAGACCAGCCTGGCCAACAGGGTGAAACCCTGTCTCTACTAAAAATACCAAAAATTAGCCAGGCGTGGTGGTGGGCGCCTGTAGTCCTAGCTACTGAGGAGGCTGAGACAGGAGAATTGCTTGAACCTGGGAGGCGGAGGTTGCAGTGAGCCGAGATCACACCATTGCACTCCAGCCTGGGCAACAAGAGCAAAACTCCGTCTCAAAAAAAAAAAAAACAAGAAAAAAAAAAGAAAGCTTCATCTTGGAGGAAGTAGGATTTGAGCTGATTTAGAAGGATGTATGAGTGGAGAAAAGAATGGAATAGGAATAATAATAACACACGCAAAGTGTCAGGGGTGGAAATACATTGTTTTCTGAGCCTAGTGAGAGTCATGCCAGAACAGACAAATTTGTTTCAGAATAATGAGAGATGTACATGGTAACATTTATGTAGTATTTGATAGAATTTCTGTAACATGGGGATTGGTTAAAAATCTGACAATGTGGGAGACCATATTTGTACAAAGAATACTCATAGGCATTATTATACTGTTGACCCTTGAACAATTGGGGTTAGGGATACTGACCCCTGTGCTGTGGAAAATTTGGCTGTAACTTTTGAATCCCCCAAAATTTAACTACTAATAGCCTACTGTTGACAGGAAGTCTTACTAATAACATAAACAGATAACACATATTTTATATGTTATATGTTTATATACTGTATAATTACAATAAAGTAAGCTAGAGAAAAAGTGTTATTAAATTGTAAAGAAGAGAAAATAGGCCGGGCACAGTGGCTCACACCTGTAATACCAGCACTTTGGGAGGCTGAGACGGGAGGATCACCTGAGGTCCGGAGTTTGAGACCAACCTGACCAACATGGAGAAACCCTGTCTCTACTAAAATTACAAATTAGCCGGGTGTAGTGGCGCATTCCTGTATTCCCAGCTACTCGGGAGGTTGAGGCAGGAGAATCGCTTGAACCCTGGAGGCAGAGGTTGCGGTGAGCTGAGATCACGCCATTGCACTCCAGCCTGGGTAACAAGAGCGAAAACTCCATCTCAAAAAAAAAAAAAAAAAAAGAAGAGGAAGAAGAAGAGAAAATACATTTACTATTCTTTAAGTGGAAGTGGATCATGATAAAGGTCTTCATCCTTGTCATCTTCACACTGAATAGGTTGAAGAAGAGGAGGGGTTGGTTTTCCCTTCCTGGATAGCAGAGGCAGAAGAGGTAAAGGAGGTGAAAGGGGAGGCAGGAGTATCAGGCACACTTGGTATAACTTTTATTGAAAAAATCCACATGTAAGCGGACCAGCGCAGCTTACCCACCATGTTGTTCAACTGTATTTGATTGAGATTCCGTAAAGGCAGACTTAACATACCATCTCTTCTGTACTCATCTTTTCCCACCACCCTGGTCTTTGGCATTTTGTGTGGAAATCAATACAGCAAATAAAGACACATGCACACATATGTTTATTGTGGCACTGTTCACAATAGCAAGGACTTGGAACCAACCCAAATGCCCATCAGTGATAGACTGGATAAAGAAAATGTGGCACAGGTACAACATGGAATACTATGCAGCCATAAAAAAGGATGTCCTTTGCAGGGACATGGATGATGCTGGAAACCATCATTCTCAGCAAACTAACACAAGAACAGAAAACCAAATGCTGCATGTTCTCACTCATAAGTGGGAGTTGAACAGTAAGAACACATGGAGACAGGGAGGGAAACATCATACACCAGGGCCGGTCGGGGTGGGGGGCTTGGGGAAGGATAGCGTTAGGAGAAATACCTAATGTAGATGACAGGTTGATGGGTGCAGCAAACCACCATTGCACGTGTATACCTATGTAACAAACCTGCACATTCTGCACATGTACCCCAAAACTTAAAGTATAATAAAAAAAGCAAAAAAAAAAAAAAAAGAATTTCAGATATTTTGTTAAGGTGTGACAATTAAATCTATGTCAAGGATAGTGTTAGCTTAGAGTTAACTGCCTAATGTTATGCCTGCAGTTAGCCCTATGGTTTTAGGATTGGATTATTTCTAAATAAATAAAGATTATGCATCATAATACCCATCCTTGTATCAGATCAGTTGATCAAAAAAGATTAAGATCCTCTATTAAAGGTCCCCAGTAGGTTTTTTATGCTTTTTTCTGTAAATAAACTTTAATATGATCATTTAACATTAAACCTGAGCTATCATGACAATACAGTCTATGAACCTGTATTCCTGGACTGTCATAGAATCAAAGAAGTTGGAAAGGCTTTAGAAATAATCTTCATTATTCCTGAAATAATTTGACTTGTTAATCCTTGTTGATTATACCCACGTGTAATTGGGTATCTTTGAGTGCTTTGTCAGATAGCTGGTTCAGAAATCTATCTTAGCATGCTGTAAAACCTGTTTTAAAAATAGGTATGAGCCATTCAGTGTGACTGAAAGGTTGTTGACACAATGGAAAAACTATTAAATGAGTTTGCACAGAAAATCACCATTACTGAAGAAAGGTTTTTTTATTTTAAACAGAAAATTCGTTGAATTTTTATTTCTATAGACCCAAATAAATACAGTTTAAAATATTTAGAACACTTTATATAACTAGAATACTGTTAGATTTTTGGTATTTATCTAAGTGTAGCTTGGTAAACAAATATATAAAGTCTTTGCGATTATTTTCTTGTGAGGCAGGCAGTGTTTTTCAAACTTTCATTTGAGCTTTTTCTTTTAAAAAATACTATTATTTATATGTGAACATTTAAATATTCCCTAAATATATTAAATATCTGATATGTTTAATAGAGTGATAAAATCCTTTCACGTTTTGTGTATGAAATGTATATTATTTACATTGTTGGGGGTTAGGAAAGAGGATCTTTATTTTGTTAGATAATCTGGAATATTTGTCAATAAAGATTGGGTAAAGTGAAAAGAGGGTAAAGTGAAAAGTTGATATTCTCATATTTTTGTACCATTTTTCATAGTTTGCTTGAGGGGATAGGTTATAACCAATCTGGAAAGCATTCACAGTTGTCATGACAAACAAATACAATGAAGGTGTAGTGTGTATTGAATAGTCCCCTAGCAAAATCAGTGGGGCAAACCTCTGGGATACAAGGTGGTTGAAGTTAATAAATCATACTCAAAGGCTTCCAGGACAGAAAAACAAAAATGGGAGATTTTAAGTCAGTAAGGGAAAGCTTCCTCAAAAAACCCTCGTGAGAGAAATGAAGATAGCCACACCTGACTGAGAAATTAAGTGGAGGTGAACTTTGAAATCTGTAAATAATCCATGTGTATGTAATTGAGAATTGACATTGTGACCTTATGATAATTGGATAGCTATTTTTATTTTCAATGTGAACAAAAACTGATTGCATGTATTTCTCCTTAAACTGCTATGTTTAAAAAAGGAAATATAAATACTTCTAGTTCCTAGATTGGGGAATTTTTTATATGAAAATTGATGTTAAAAATAATTATAATTGAAAACCTACTGTATGTCCTGGACTGTGGCAGGCATCTTATATATATTATTTATTGGTTACAAAGATCCTATAAGGGGTGGGGAGGTACAGTTATTTCTAGTTTATAAGTGAAAGAAACAGGTTGAGAGAAATTCCGTGACTTATTCAATATTACATAATAGATAGTAGAGCTAATATTTGAATTCAGGTATTTTGACTCTAACCTTCTTTTCTTTCCATTATGTTAGGCTGTTTGTCAGGAATTTCAAAACATAGTTTGCTTGAATTTGATCAGTTAGAGTCACTAATATCTTAGGAAAGGTTATAAAATAATTTGGTTTATAACAGTCAAAAATACAGGCATTGAATAAATTCTGCTTTAAATTTTAGAGGTTTATCGTCTAAACATTTGAACTTGTTGATAATTTTTATTGTATCTGAATCTTAATATGCTCAAAAAGCATGCATGCTCCCACTCATGCATGCTCCCACTCATCATGCATGCTCCCAAGAGTGGTATATAAAACCTCCGGTACTTTGTTTACTGAGGCAAACTAGTGGTAGCGTTTCTACAGTTGCAGATCTGTATGTGCTAGGATTGGCTCAGCAGGGTGCTTTACCCCCAGGATTTCCCTGAGATCATCCTGTGTGTCCTTGGATGATTTTGGTTTGTAATGAGTTCTGCAGCCAATAACTGCTTTTGAACCTGTTTTAGGCTCATCCTTAACACTAGACCAGAGGTAACCTCTATGCCAGTGTCATCTTGTGACTAAAATAGTATTCTGGAGTTGATGGGAATCAGTCTCAAATAACCTCTAGGGTTAAGGAATCATTAAGTTTAGTACCTATCCTGTTTTAGACAAACACAGAAAAGATGCTTATGAAATGGTTTTTGGTATTTGTCTTAGTTTGATTATTTTTAAAAGAGATTTGCAGAGTTATAGAACATATCAGCAGTTTTAATCTGTTTCTTGTAAGTTACAATTCAGTAGCTTAATTTTTTTCAATAAAATAAACTTTTAGGGACTGTATTTTATAAACTGAAATATTAAAGAGTTTTTTTGATCTTTGAGGATTAATTGTCATAACTACTTAAATGACAGTTAGCAAACTGTGATATCTGGGAAGTCTTTAGTGTTAATTATTCCTGTGTATTAACTCTAATATTGGCTTAGTATTTAACATAAATACTTTTTGGCTCTTGGGTTATTTTAATTCAGTTTTGTGTTTACTGAGTGTCAGGGAAAATTAAATATCATTATAAATTCTGTCATCTCTGTTAAGCCATCCTTTAGCAATGGTAACTGACACTGGTTTTTAGAAACAAACTACATTACTGATTGAATGAATTGGTTTCTTGTATGTGGATTTTTAGATGAACAATTTCTGGTATAACCTAGGAAATTCTGAAATTTCTTTAAAAGATTAAAAAAAATTCAATCTATTTTGTAAGAAAACAAGTGTTATTTATTCATGCAAATAGAACTTTCTATTATTGTGGCAACTGATTTTTGTTTACTTAAGAGAACCTGTTGCTAAAATAGTAATGAGGAAGAGTGTAATATAAGTCTCGTCATACACCCCTTGCTCTGCAAGTAACCAGAGTGCTATGTCTGCATGCTGTTCAGTCTCCTTTTGGAAGGTGGGAAATAAAGTCATTTGTATGTTTTTCTCTCTTGCACAGCCTAAAATGACCAATGTGTGATTTCAGTGGAATAAATGGCGTCCAAAGTCACAGATGCTATAGTCTGGTATCAAAAGAAGGTAAGTTGATAGTCAAAACTTTTAGCTTTCTAAATGTTTGAATTTCAAAAATACATGTTTATTTCATGCTATAGATGTTAGGATTTTGAGTGGGAAAGGAAGATTATTTTTATTTTTCTTGTACTTATTTTACTTCTAAATAAATTGGAAAGATGATGCTTAAACATATTTTTTCTCTACTTTTTACTCTACAATAGCAAAGTAGCTAGATTAATTATAATAGAAAGCAAATCTCCAGGAGTGGATAAAATTAGCATTTTATAAAAACATTAACACTTTCCTTAGTTTAA
The DNA here is from genome assembly GCF_000001405.40 of Homo sapiens. Lineage (NCBI taxonomy): Eukaryota > Metazoa > Chordata > Mammalia > Primates > Hominidae > Homo > Homo sapiens. The sequence continues at coordinate 77,840,591 of NC_000007.14, forward strand.
TTTTTTAAAAGAAAGATTAGCAGAGCTGTTACATAACTTATATCAATAGTTTTTAATTTGTTTCTTGTAAGTTACAATTCAATAGCTGAATGTTTCAGTAAAATAAAGTTTTGGGAACTCTATTTTACAAACTGAAATATTAAAGTGTTTATTTTGATGTTTTAGGATTGTCGTACCTACTTTAAATAGCTGTATCATCTTATATATTTCAGAATAAGCTTTACCAATGTAATGTTTTTCTTTATAAAGTCCAAAAGAATATAGGCATTTTTTGACAATACAATAAACTGTTTGCTCCTAATGAGTGTTGTTTATATTCTTTAAAATTTATGTTGTTTTGTGTAATACCTTAGATCTTTTGTGTACATAGTGGATTATATTTGTGTTCACATTTTAAAACATTTTTATACCTTATTCTTCAGGTCTCTATTAACAAAATATAATGATACATTTAAAGCTTTTCTTATATAGGAGAAAAAACAGACTTTTTTTTTTTTTTTTTTTTGAGATGGAATCTCTCTCTCTGTCACCCAGACTGGAGTGTAGTGGCGCGATCTCGGCTCACTGCAACCTCTGCCTCCTGGGTTCAAGCGATTCTCTTGTCTCAGCCTCCCAAGTAGCTGGGATTACAGGCATATGCTACCATGCCTGGCTAATTTTTGTATATTTAGTAGAGACAGGGTTTCGCCGTGTTGGTCAGGCTGATCTTGAACTCCTAACCTCAGGTGATCCGCCCGCCTCAGCCTCCCAAAGTGCTAGGATTACAGGCTTGAGCCACCGCGCCCAGCCAAACAGATGATTTTTAAGTTTTGTTCAATTGAAAATAAGTGATAATTAAAACACTTTAAAAGTTAGACAAACTAAGAATATGGCCTTTTTAAAAATATTTTTTGAGACAGGATCTCACTCTGTTGCCCAGGCTTGAGTGCAGTTGCACACTCATGGCTCACTGCAACCTTAACCTCTTGGGCTCATGTGGTCCTCCTACCTAAACCTCCCTTAGTAGATGGCATGGGATTATGGTCTGTTTTTAGATGTGTTATTTGTTTTCTGGGTAGAACATGCCATAGGTATACAATTATATTTTTCATATGAGGTACTTTATTGGAAGTATTGATATTGATATACTATTAATTGTCTTTTGTGTTTGTTAGTGCCTCCTTTTAAACTTTTAAACTTCCAATCAAGTTAAAAATCAGTCTGCTTAGCTAAAGAGCTAAAGAAAATTGTAAGTTAAGGAAAACAAAACAAAACAAACTTTAAAAATTTTCCTGTCTATATCTTTGAAAGTTTTTCTCTTTCCTAATTTCTATCTACGGGAGTAATAAACATTTTCTCTGTTTGGCTTTTTACATTAAACACTTTAGACTTTACTGAAGATCATTTATAGAACATACTTGATTGACCTTTCTTGGGATCAGAGGGTTTGAAATATTATACTCAGATTCAGTTAGCCCTGTAACTGAAGTTAGCCCTGTAATTGAAATGACCCTCTTATCCAAGGGTCATTTACCTGACAGCTTTGGATACATGCAACCAAAATATTCTCCAGAGCAACTATAGGAAATGTCATAAAATATACTAGCAAATGTAATCACATATTCTATTATATATATATTTATTTATTTTTGAGACAGGGTCTCACTCTGTTAACACAGTCTGGAGTGCTGTGGCACAATCACGGCTCACCGCAGCCTTGACCTCCTGGGTTCAAGTGAACCTCTCACCTCAGCCTCCCAAGTAGCTGGGACTACAGGCATGTGCCACTATGCCCAGCTAGATCTTGTATTTTTAGTAGAGACGGGGTTTTGCCATGTTGCCCAGGCTTATCACATAAATTAGGGAGTTGCCAGAACCATTAACTGGATTTGATTTGCTCTATTTTTTTCCTTTTGCTTTTAAATTTAATTTTATTGAAGAAATACATGTGATACTTTGAAAGATTAGTGTTTCAAGGATTATTGCAAAAAAAAAGCAGCCTGCAATACTATCCATCCCTATCCTTACCTAACCTTTGAGTTTTGCTCCCCCAGAGGCAATCATTTTAAAGTCTTTATAGCTCATTGGTTCTGAAACCAAAGTTCTCCCACTCCTCATCCTAATAACTTTTGATGGAATACTGGCATTTATGGGTGGGAGTCAGAGATACAAAATGTCGTACAACATTCTAAACTAGGATTGGATTGACTGACTTTTTCTTTAAAGGGCCAGATAGTAAATAATTTAGGTTTTGAGTCATAGGTCTCTGCTGCAACCACTCAACCTTGCCTTGCCATTGTAGCACAAAAGCAGCCATAGACACTATATAAAATTAATGAGCATGGCTGTGTTCCAGTAAAACTTAATTTACAAAAGCAGGCAAGGGTCTAGATTTGACCTGTAGGCCTTGATTTGCTGACCCACACTCTAAGACAGCCTTTGTTGAATAACACCATTTTTAAAAATGATATTTCATGTTTTGAAGCATGCCTGCCTTGTTTTTTCTTGGTCATTTTATTGTAGATGTTACTTGTTGACTTCTGACTATATGATTAGGATTTAGCTTTTTTATAAGCTTCCCCTAAGTTTCCCCCCTCTATCATCCCAGTGACTCCAAATTTTGGTAAAATCAGTATTTGGTGCTTACATTATTATGTTTGTGTATGTATCATTTAAAGATATGTTATGTTGTAATATTTCCAATCTGTGTAACTTTTTTTCCCCTTTGCTTGGTTTTACGAATTCTTTTTCTAAGTCTCTGATGAAATTGTAACACTTCTCTTATTGCAGTCAGTCATATTCAGGTTTATCTCTTCCCTTTTTCCTTTCTTGGAACTGACTCTCCTAGAATTCTCTGTTCATCTAGTCCATACTGAATAGATTGTTCTTAAGTCATGTCTCCCGGCTGCCATCTTAGTATTTTCTTTTATCATTAGCCTGAGGGTTCCCCTCACTGGCTTAGGTCACACAGATCTGTTTTTCTCTTAAATATATGCTTACTAAAAAAAATTTTTAGAGGCATTTGTACTTCAGTGAAATGAAGGCAGGAGAACTGCAGCTGTACTTACTGATTATTTAACCACAGGTGAATAACTTTATTTCTTTGAGTCTCAATTTCCACTTTTCTACATTGACTAGCTAATGGTTCTCAGCCTCTTTTCAATCATGGACCCCTTTGTGTTGAAAGCCAAGGATCATATTTTGAGAAAAATGTATACAATATACATATACAGAAAATAACACATCTGTCTTAAAACCCAGGTTAAGAAGTCCTGGATTATATGATTTTTAAAAGTTTTAATATTATAATGTTCTTTGATTTTGTGACTATCATTCAATAGTATCCAGCTTATACTGAGTAGTATCCTTGTAAATAAAAACCAAAAACATTTATCTTCATTTTCTTGAATATTTGTTTGGTTAGTAACTCACTTCTTTTTATTTTTGAGGGAGGGTCTCACTTTGTCACCCAGGCTGAAGTGCAGTGGTGTGAACACGGCTCACTGCAGCCTCGACCTCCTGGGCTCAAACGATCCTCCTGCCTCAGCCCCCCAAGTAGCTGGAACTACAGGCTCATGCCACCACACCCACCTAACTTTTGTATTTTTTTGACGGGATTTCACCATGTTTCCCAGGCTGGTCTCAAACTTCTGGCCTCAAGCGATCCTCCTGCCTTGGACTCCCGAAGTGCTGGGATTGCAGGCCTGAGCCACTGTGCCCAACCATAACTCACTTTAGAGTCACCTTTCTCCACTAGAAAATTGTGACGTTTTTATATTTATGATTTGAATACTGAATGGCCAAAAACCATCACTTGATTTGTAGACTCTTTTGAACATGAGCTCTAATATCAGATGTGAAATTTCCAGGAGAAAATGAAAACAAACTTTGAAATTATTATAAATGCGTACAGAAATTCTACTTAATTATCAAGTATTTTTGAATAAGTTATTCTTTTGTTTTGTTTTTTTGTTGAGACAGAGTTTCACTCTTTCACCCTGGCTGGAGTCAGTGGTACGATCTTGGCTCACAGCAACCTCTGCCTCTTGGGTTCAAGCAATTCTCCTGCCTCAGCCTCCCCAGTAGCTGGGATTACAGGCAGGTGCTACTACGGCCAGCTAATTTTTGTATTTTTAGTAGTGATGAGGTTTTGCTGTGTTGGCCAGGCTGGTCTCGAAATCTTGACCTCATGCGATTTGCCCACCGTAGCCTCCTAAAGTGCTGGGATTACAGGCATGAGCCATTGCACCCGGCCTAAATAAATTATTCTATGCATGGTTTATTTTGACATTTTAAAAGTCCTTTAATATCCAATTTTAAACTTCATTTTATCCTATTGTAGCCTTCATAGTTATGAATAATTTTAAAATTCCTGTTGGTCCAGAGTAATTTTCAGTTATTAACTTGGAGGAACTGTTAATGCAACAAGAATGACAACAGGGGAGAAACCAGAATAGTTTTTAGTTAATAATGAGCTGTTGAATGTGTTTTGTGGCAAAATACTCTGCTTTCATATATCTAGTTTCTCATTTCCAAGGAGAGGGAATGGAGTTACTTATCTTTTGGAAGTTATTTGAAATAGGGACCTGAAATTACATGTATTGAAAGATAATTGACACACTAAGTATTCCTTTAAACAATATAGTGACCTGTAAGATTCCACTGTGACTGTGCAGATAAAATTATGAGAGAATGAGGTTCTATTTTCACTAGGTAAATATATAAGAGAAGAGTGGCTTAGAAAAACTCCCCAAATTTAAAAGGGAAAAAAAGCACTGGCAACATTGTATAGTCATAGTAAAACAGTGAATTTAGCTTATAGGGCTGAGGAAGAACTGTATGATACAGATCTTGGTCATTGTCTTTAAGGAGTCAGTTGCCAATGAGAAAACTAATGAATATGTTTAATGGCCTTTAAATATGAGCCAGCTTTGGGATTCATTTAGTAATTTAAATGAGAAACTAGCCTGAGTAACATGAACTTGACTGGTAACTGCTATCAATTGTAAATAGTTGGGAACTTTAAATTTTCCACCTTTTTGGTAAAGTTCAGCCATGTTAATGTGTGTGTGGGCATGCACACGTGTGTGTGTGTATGTGTGTGTACTTAAGTATGTGTAGGGCATTTCAGAGTACTAACTTGCCTAAGATTGCACAGATGGCTCAAAAGTATTAAGTCTCAGCTTTCAACTCCAAAACCATGTGCAGTCATTTAATATTATCCTTCCTCCATCAGTCTCCTGGATTCTTTCGCAGGTAAGACAAATCTAACTCAAACTATCTTAAAGGGGAAATTTATTGGCTTTCAAGCTAAACCGTGCTGAGTAGTGAAGCTTTTCTCAGGGTTTACTTAATCCCAAGACCAGAGCACCATCAGATGTGTCCGTCTGCCTCTTTTTTTCCTATTGCTTTTCTAGAGTTGGCTTATTCCTTCCCATCACAGATGCCTTTCTCCATGTTGTGAGAATAAGCCCCAAGGTCCCTCCATACCCCTTCTCTTTTAGCTCCTTGAGAAGAAAGGATGTGTGGAGGACCGCCATATGGGGGTTTCCTACCCAAAATTATTCCTGACCTTTTTTCCTGGTGGAAGAGCCTCTATTTTGTTAAGGAATTCATTCCTCTCCACAGGTCTTACAGCCAAAGAATGTGTATCCGAAGTCTCAGAGGGGGTGAATCCTGATAAGTCTAACCCAATCATGGCATTCTGTTTCCCTTGCCAGTGACTGGCATAGAATGGGGCATGTATTCCAATTATGGCTAATGAGAAATGAAGCCTTCTGGGAAAAGTCTCTCACATCCTAAAAACAACCAATAATAATAATAGCAAACCTTATGTGATGCTTATTATGTGCCACTTTTTCAATGCTTTACATATATTAAATAACACAGTATAATGATATGAAATAGAGGGTTGCCTTCCTGTCTTGGGACATTGGTGGGTGAGGCACTGTTGCCTGAAATTAGTTTCCCTTCCCTTCCCTCCCCTCCCCTCCCCTCGCCTCCCCTCGCCTCCCCTCGCCTCCCCTCGCCTCCCTTCCCCTCCCTTCCCCTTCCCTCCCCTCCCCTCCCCTTCCCTTCCGTTCCCTTCTCTTCCTGCCTATCTCGCTCTGTCACTCAGGCTGTTGTGCAGTGACACAGTCATGGCTTACTGCAGTCTCCAACTCCTGGGCTTAAGCAGTCCTCTTGCTCAGCCTTCCGAGTAGCTGGGACTACAGACTTGCACTATCATGCCCAGGTAGTTTTCTTCCTTTTTTGTAGAGGCTGGGTCTTGCTCTGTTGCCCAAGTTGGTCTTGAACTCCTGGCTTCAAGTGATCCTTTTGCCTCAGCCTCCCAAAGTGTCGACATTGCAGGCATGAGCCTGCAAGCCTGAAGCTTTTATAGTGACTTAGTTCCCATGAAAGGAGCTTTCTAATAGGCTGAGGATGTCAGAAATGAAAGATGGAAAGAAAACTTGAGCTTTTTAGGACTTTATGAACCATAAAATTAATCAGTTCTGAAAGTGACCTAATTTGGGATTTCTTACTGTATGAGAGAATAAATCTCTGTATTTTTTCAGTCATTTGAAGTTGGGTTTTTTAGTTTCTTGTTTCTGAAAGCATCCTAAGTGATACACAGAAGTGCTTTCTGATGGGGTATGGCTTTCTATACAGTCCTCTTGCCTTGGCTGGTTATAGTAGTAGAGAGAAAATTAAGATCTACCAAAAAGAAGTACTGAACCATAGACAAATGCGCTTATTACATTTTCACTTTTATGTCCTTTTCTTGAATGTAATTTTAAACTACCATGCTTTATAGTATGATAAGGTTAAAAGAGCACTGTGTATAGCATCGCGACCTCTATTTGATTTTGTGACATTTACCAGCTTATGATATTGAACATGTTATTTAATTTTTCTGAGCCTTAGTTTTTTCTTTTGTAAGCTGCAGATAGTAATGCTTCCCTTGGATGAATCACACAGGTTGTGACAGAATAAGTCAACTTTAAATATGATTTTTAAATCTATGTTCATGTTTATAGGTACATAGTAGGTTTAAATATTTGTGGGGTACATGAGATATTTTGATACAAACATATAATCACATCACTGTAAATGGAGTATCCATCACTTCAAGCATTTATCATTTCTTTGTGTTCCAAACATTCTAATTATACCCTTTTAGTTATTTTAAATTGTAGAGTAAATTATTGTTGACTGTAGTCACCCTGTTATGCTATCAAGTACTGGATCTTATTCATTCTATCTAACTGTGGTTTTGCACCCATTAACCATCTCTGTTTCCCATCCCTACTACCCTTCCCAGCCTCTGGTAATGATCACTCTACTCTACATTTTCATGAGTTCAATTCTTTTAATTTTTAGCTCCCACAAATTAGTGAGAACCTGTGAAGTTTGTCTCTCTGTGCCTGGCTTATTTCACTTAATATAATGTCCTCCAGTTCCATTCATGTTGTTGCACATGTCGGGATCTCATTCTTTCTTACGACGGAATACTACTCCATTGTGTATATGTACCAATTTTCTTTATCCATTCATTCATTGATGGACACTTAGGTTGGTTCCAAATCTTGGTTATCATGAATATTGCTGCAGTGAACATGGGAGTGCAGATATCTCTTCAGTATACTAATTTCCTATTTTGGGGTATATACCTAGGAGTGGGCTTGCTGGATCATATGGTAGTTCTATTTTTAGTTTTTCAAGGAACCTCCGTACTGTTCTCCATAGTGGCTGTACTAATTTGCATTCCTGTCAACGATGTACAGGGATTCCCATTTCTCCACATCCTTGCCGGCATTTGTTGTTGCCTGTCTTCTGGAGAAAAGCCATTTTGACTGAGGTAAGATGATATCTCACTGTAGTTTTGATTTGCATTTCTCTGATGATCCATGATGTGAAGCACCTTTTCATATACCTGTTTGCCATTTGTGTGTCTTCTTTTGAGAAATGTCTATTCAGACCTTTTGCCCATTTTTAAAATGGATTATTAGATTTTTTTCCTATAGAGTTGTTTGAGCTCCTTGTATATTCTGGTTGTTAATTCATTGTCAGATGGGTAGTTTGCAAATATTTTCTATCATTCTGTAGGTTGTCTCTTTGTTGATATTTTCCTTTGCTCTGCAGAAGCTTTTTAACTTGGTGTAATTGCATTTGTCCATTTTTACTTTGGTTGCCTGTGCTTTGGTAGTATTACTCAAGAAACCTTTGCCCAGTCCATTATCTTGGAGAGTTTCCCCAATGTTTTCTTGTAGTAGTTTCATAGTTTAAAGTCTTAGATTTAAATATTTAATCAATTTTGATTTGATTTTTGTATATGATGAGAGATAGGAGTCTAGTTTCATTCTTCTGCATAGGGATATCCAGTTTTCCCAGCATCATTTATTGAAGAGACTACTTTCACCATTTGTTGAAGAGAACATCCATCGTGATGTTCTTGGTACCTTTGTTGAAAATGAGCTTACTGTAGATATATGGATTTGTTTCTGGGCTTCTATTGTGTTCCACTGATCTTCATGTCTGTTTTTATGCTAGTACCATGCTGGAGTTTTTTTTGTTTTGTTTTTGCTTTTTTGAGATGGAGTCTCCCTCTGTCGCCCAGGCTGGAATGTAGTGGCGTGATCCCGGCTTACTGCAACCTCTGCCTCCTGGGTTCAAGTGATTCTCCTGCCTCAGCCTCCAGAGTAGCTGGGATTACAGGCATGCGCCACCATGCCTGGCTAATTTATATATATATATATTTATTTATTTATTTTAGTAGAGACGGGGTTTCATCAGTTGGCCAGGCTGGTCTTGAACTGACCTCAGGTGATCACTCACCTCGGCCTCCTAAGTTGCTAGGATTACAGGCGTGAGCCACTGTGCCCAGCCACTGTGCTGTTTTTGTTATAATAGCTCTGTAGTATAATTTGAAGTCATGCAATGTGATTCCTCCAGTTTTGTTGTTTTCACTCAGAATGTCTGACTATTCTTGGTCTTTTGTGGTTCCAAATAAATTAAATTCTAGGATTATTTTTTCTATTTCTCTGAAGAATGTCATTGGCATTTTGATAGTGCTACATTGAATCTGTAGATTGCTTTGGGTAGTATGCACGTTTTAACAATATTAATTCTTTGCATCAGTGTTTTGTAGTTTTCATTGTGGAGACATTTCATTTGCATGATTAAGTTTATTCCTAGGTATCTTATTTTATCTGCAGCTATTGTAAATGGGATTACTTTCTTGATTTCTCTTTCAGATTGTTCACTGTTGGCATATAGAAATGCTACTGATTTTTTTATGTTGATTGCATTCTGCAACTTGACTGAATTTGTTCATCAGTTGTAATAGATTTTTGGTGCAGTCTTTAGGTTTTTCCAAGTAAAAGATCATATCATCTGTAAACAAGGATAATTGGACTTCTTCCTTTCCAATTTGGATACCTTGTATTTCCTTCTTGTCTGATTGCCCTAGCTAGGACTTCCATTGCCGTGTTGAATAACATTGGTGAAAGTGGGCAGTGGCTGGGCATGGTGGATCATGCCTGCAATCCCAGAACTTCGGGAGGCTGAGGTGGGAGAATTGCTTGAAGCCAGGAGTTCAATGTCAGCCTGGGGAACATGGCTCAACCCTGTCTCTACAAAATTTAAAAAAAAAAAAAAAAAATCCAGGTGTGGTGGCATGCCCCTTTATTTCTAGCTACTTGGGAAGCTGAGGTGGGAGGATCACTTGAGCCCTAGAATTGAGGCTGCAGTGAGCCATGTTTGTGCCACCACTGCACTCTAGCCTGAAAGACAAAGCAAGACCTTGTCTCAAAAAAAAAAAAAAAAAAAAAAAAAGGCACGATGGCTCACACCCTAAGGCAGGAGGGTCTCTTGAACCCAGGAGTTCAAGAGCAGCCAGGCAACATAGTGGGACCTCGTCTCTAAAAAAAATAGAGAAAAAATAAGCCAGGCATGGTGGCATACACCTGTAGTTGCAACTACTTGGGAGGTAGAGGCAGGAGAATCACTTGAGCCCAGGAGATTGAGGCTGCAGTGGGCCATGATTGTGCCACTGCACACCAACCTAGTTCACAGAGTGAGACCCTGTCTCAAAAAAAAAAAAAAAAAAAGAAAAGTGATCTGTTTTCTTCCCAGAATGTGGGGGCTTTGGGGGGAAAAAAACAAAATGGTCATCCTTGTTGTGTTTTAGATCTTTGAGGAAAGTCTTTCAGCTTTTCCCTAATCAGTTTGATACCAGCAATGCATCCATCATATATGGCTTTTATTGTGTTGAGGTATGTTCCTTCTATACCCAGTTTTTTTAGTGTTTTTATTATGAAGGGATGTTGATTGATTTTGTCCTTCATTTTGTTGATATGATGTATGACATTGATTCATTTGCATATGTTGAACCATCATGCATCCATAGATAAATCCTACTTGGTCATGATGAATGATCTTTTTAATGTGTTATTGTATTCGGTTTGCTATTGTGTTGAGGATTTTTGTCTTTATCAGGGATACTGGCCCATAGTTTTCTTTTTTTGATATGTCTTTGTCTGGTTTGGGTATCAGAGTAATACTGGCCTCATAAAATGAATTTGAAAGTATTCCCTCTTTTTCTACTTTTCAGAATAGTTTGAGAAGGATTGGTATTAGTTCTTTAAATGTTTGGTAAAGTATAGCAGTGAAGCCATTGGGTCCTGGGCTTTTCTTTGCTGGGGGACTTTTTATTACAGCTTTGATCTCATTACTTATTATTGGTCTGTTCAGATTTTGGATTTCTTCATGGTGCAGTTTTGGTAGCTTGTCTGTGTTTAGGAATTTGTCCATTTCTTCTAGGTTTTCCAATTTATTGGCATATAGTTGCTCATAGCAGTCTCTAATAATCCTTTGAATTTCTGTAGAGTCCATTATAATATGTCCGTTTTCATCTCTAATTATATTTATTTGTGTCTTCTTTTTTTCTTAGTGTGGCTAAAGGTTTGTTGATTATTTTTTCAAAAAACAAACTTATTTCATTGATCTTTTGTATTTTTTGGTTTCGATTTCATTTATTTCTGCTCTGATTTTTTTTTTTTTTTTTGGAGACAGATCTCACTGTGTTATGCAGGCTGGTCTTGAACTACTGAGCTCAAGTGATCTGGCTGCCTTGGCCTCCCAAAGTGCTGGGATTACTGCTCTGAACTTTTATTATTTATTTTCTTCTACTACTGATTCTGGGTTTGATTTGCTTTTATTTTCTAGTTATTTACGATGCACTGTTAGGTTGTTTGAGTTTTTCAACTTTTTTGATATAGGGGCTGATTGGATTAAAGAGGATTAAACTTTCCTCTTAGTACTGCTTTCACTGTATCTCATAAGTTTTAGTATGTTGTATTTCTATTTTATTTGTTTCAATAATTTTTTAAATTTTCTTCTTCATTTCTTCATTGATTCACTGGTAATTCAGGAGCATATTGTTTAATTTCCATGTGTTTGTGTAGTTTCCAAAGGTTTTTTTGTGTGTGTGTGTGAGATAGCCTTGCTTTGTTGCCCAGGCTGCAGTGCAGTGGCACAATCATAACTCACTGCAGCCTTGAATTCCTGGGCTCAAGCAATCCTCCTGCCTCAGCCTCTTGAGTAGCTGGGACCACAGGCATGTGCCACCCACCTGGCTAATTTTTTAAAGTTATTTTTGACTGGGCATGGTGGCTCCCGCCTGTATTCCCAGCACTTTCGGAGGCTGAGGCAGGCAGATCACTTGAGGTCAGGAGTTTAAGACCAGCCTGGCCAACATGGTGAAACCCCATCTCTACTAAAAATAGAAAAATTAGATTTCTTGCTTTTTATTTTTTGTGTATCTGTTGTAGGTTTTTTGATTTGAGGTTATCATGAGGCTTGTGAGTAACATCTCATAACCCATTGTTTTAAACTGATGACAACTTAATACCGATTGCAAAAACTAACAAGCAAATGCCCCTTGCTTTTTAACTTTTTGTTGTTTCTATTTATATCTTTTTATACTGTCTTTATCTTAAAAAGTTGTTGTAGTTGTTAGTTTTAATACGTTCATCTTTTAGTCTTTCTACTCAATATGTGAGTGGTTTATATATCACAAATACAGTGTTACAATATTCTGTGTTTGTCTGTGTACTTAACTATTACCAGTGTGTTTTGTACCTTCAGATGTTTCTTATTGCTTTTTAACCTCCTTTCAGATTGAAGAACTCCCTTTAGCATTTCTTGAAGGACAGATCTGGTGTTGATGAAATCTCTCACCTTTTGTTTGTCTAGGAAAGTATTTTTCCTTCATGTTTGAAAGATATTTTTCCTGGATATACTATTAAAGGATAAAAGTTTTTTTCCGTCAGCACTTTAAATATGTCATGCCACTCTCTCCTGGCCTGTAAGGTTTCCACTGAGAAGTCTGCTGCCAGATGTATTGGAGCTCCATTGCATGTTGTTTCTTTTCTTTTGCCAGTTTTAGGCTCCTTTCTTTATTCTTGACCTTCAGGAGTTTGATTATTAAATGCCTTGAGGTAGTCTTCTTTGGGTTACATCTGCTTGTTGTTCTACGACCTTCTTATACTTGAATATTGATATCTTTCTCTAGATTTGTTATTATCTCTTTGAGTAAACTTTTTACCCCAATATCTCTCTCTCTGCCTCCTTTTTAAAGTCAGTAACTCTTAGATTTGCCTTTTTGAGGGTATTTTCTAGATCTTATAGCCATGCTTCATTCTTTTTTATTCTTTTTTCTTTTGTCTCTTCTGACTGTATTTTCAAATAGTGTGCTCACTAATTCTTTTTTCTGCTTGATCAGTTCTGCTGTTGACAGACTTTGATGTTTTCTTCAGTATGTCAGTTGAATTTTTCAGCTCTGGAATTTTTTTTTTTTTGAGACAGAGTCTTGCTCTGTTGCCCAGGCTGGAGTGCAGTGGTGTGATCTCAGCTCATTGCAGCCTCTGCCTCCTTGGTTCAAGCAATTCTCGTGCCTCAGCCTCTTGAGTAGCTGGGACTACAGGTGTGCACCACCATGCCCAGCTAATTTTTTGTATTTTAGTAGAGACAGGGTTTCAACATGTTGCCCCGGCTGGTCTCAAACTTCTGAGCTCAAGCAATTCGCCTACCTCGGCCTCCCAAAGTGTTGGGATTACAGGTATGAGCCACCGTGCCTGGCCACTCAGCTCTAGATTTTTTTTTCTCTCTCTCTCTTTCTTTTTTTTAAAGTCAACCAGTATATCTTGAAGCCCCAGAATTTGATTAACATTTTAAAATTATTTCAATCTTATTGTTAAATTTTTCTAATAGGATTCCAAATTCCTTCTCTCTTTTATCTTGAATTTCATTGAGCTTCCTCAAAATAGCTATTTTGAATTATCTGTCTTCATGGTCTCATACCTTTGTTACTCGGGAATTGGTCACTGGTGCCTTATTTAGTTCATTTGGTGAGGTCATGTTTTCCTGGATGGTCTTGATGTTTGTGGGTGTTCATTGATGTTTGGACATTGAAGAGTTAGGTATTTATTGTATTCTTTGTATCCTGGGTTTGTTTGTACCTATCCTTCTTGGGAAGGATTTCCAAGTATTCAAAGGGAATTTAGTTTTGTGATCTAAATCTTTGGTCACTGCAGCCATGTCTGCATCAGGGGGCAACCCAAGCTTGGTAATGCTGTGACTCTTGCAAACTTGTGCAGGTACTGCTTTGGTTGTCTTCAGTAAGAACTGGGAAGACTCCCTGGATTGTCAGGGAGAGTCTCTTCCTTTCCTTTAGTTTTCACCAAACAAATGGAGTCTCTCTGTCTGCTGAGCTGCCTGGAGCTGGGGGAAGGGTGATGCATGCACCCCTTTGGCTACCACTACTAGGACTGTGCAGGTTAGACCTGAAGCCAATATGGCACTGTGTCTTGCCCAAGGCCTACAGCGACTACTACCTGGGCTATCAGTAACATTCACTCAAGGCCCAAGAGCTCTTCAGTCAGCAGGTAGTAAATCCAGCTAGGCTTGCGTCCTTCCCTCCAGAGCATCAAGCTCCCCTGCCCTACTCCCCGTACCCCCCAACCCCAGCCCAGGGCAGGTACAGAAATGCCATCCAGGAGCCAGAGCCTGGAGTCAGGAATCTTAGAAATCTACTCCATGCTGTATTCTGCTGCAGTTGTGTTGGCACCCAAGCCACAAGACAAAGTTTTTTGCACTCTTCTTTCTCCTTTGCTCATGTAGGAGTTTCTCTCTGTGGCCACCACCGCCCCAGGCCCACAGCAAGTACTGCCTGGCTACTGCCAGTGTTCACTCAAGGACCAAGGGCTCTTCATTCAGTGTTTGGTGAGTAATGCCAGGCCTGTTCTCTCTGTTCAGGGCAGCAGGCTTTGCTCTGGCCCATGCTGGGTCCAGAAATGCTGACCAGGACCCAAGGCCTGGAATCAAGGAACCCAGGAGCCTGCCTGGTGTTCTACCCTACTGTGGCTGAGCTGGTGCCCAAGCTGCAAGACGAAGTCCCCCTTTCTCTTCCTTAAGCAGAAGGAATCACTCTTTGTAGCCATCACAGCTGAGAATGTGCTGGGTCACACCCAAAGCCAGCAGGACCCTGGGTCTCACCCAAGACCTGCAGTGAGTACCGCCTGGGTACCACTTATGTGTATTCAAGACCCAAGGGGTCTTTAGTCAGCAGGTGATGAATCATGCCATGGCTGCGTCCTTCTCTTCAAGGCAGTGGGTTCCCTTCTGTCCCAGGGTGTCTAGAAGTGTTGTCTGAGAGCTACAGCCTCGAATGGGCACTTCAGGACTCTGCCCAGTGCCCTATTCTGTTGTGGCTCACCTGCTATCCAAGTTCCAAGACAAAGTCTTCTTAGTCCTCCTTACTCTTCACTCTCCTCTCCCCAAATGGAAGGAAGGAGTCTCTCCCAGAGCTGTGAGCTGCACTCCCTGGAGTTGGAGAAGGAGTGGTGCAAGCATTCTCTTGGCTGCCCCAGCTGCTATCTCACTGGGTTGCATGCACGCCAAGTCCACTGGCTCTGAGCCCAGCACAGTACCAGGACTTGCCTAAGAATTGCAGTCCTTGTGGCCTAGAGTGCCTTTCAAGTTTATTTAGGGCCACAGAAGGCGGTAACCTGTGGTGGTAGGGCTAGCCGGAACGCAGTTTCTGACTGCTTGGCTGGATGATACCCCTCTGCCTAGGACTGGTCTAAATGCTCCCTCCAGGGGCACCAGCTGAATTCTGCCCCATGTTGCTTTCCACTGTGACAGGGCAGCACCGAGTTCCAATGCAAAGTCTCATAATCACTACACTTTCTGTCCCCCAAGCACGTTGATATACTCTGTCCACACCACGTGGCTGCTGCTGGGAATGTGGGAGGGGTGGTGTTGACAATTCAAGACTGTCTTTCCTACCCTTTTCAGTGTGTCTTTCCTTGATAAGGGTTAAAACAAAGTACTTTGTTTACTCACCTGATTTTTGGTTTTTATAGAGGTGCTTTCTTGTGTAGTTTGTTCAATTTGGTGTTTCTTCTGGTAGCATGATTGCTAGAGGTTTGTATTTGACCATCTTGCTCCAATAACCTAAATATGATTTCTTGAAAGTTTTTTTTACCAGGTGTGATGTTGCACACCTATAGTGTGCACACCCAGCTACTTACAAAGCTGAGGCATTGATTGAGTCCAACATTTTGAGTCCAGGTTGGGCAGCATAACAAGACCCTCATCTCTAAAAAATAAAAATAAATGTTTAAGTGGTTTATAAATTGTCAATAAATATGAAGTACAGTCAGCCCTCCAGGTCTGTGGGCTCCACATCTGTGGATTCAAGCAACTGTGAATCAAAAATAAATTTTTAAAAATTTTTACTTATTTATTTATTTATTTTTAGAGACAGTGCCTTGCTCTGTCTCCCAGGCTAGAGTACAGTGGTGTGCTCATATCTCACTGTAACCTAGAACTTCTGGACTCAAATGATCCTCCCACATCAGCCTCCCAAGTAGCTGGGACTACAGGCACGCACCACCACACCCAGATCATTTTTTAATTTTTTGTAAAGATGGGGTCTTGCTATATTCCCCAGGCTGGTCTTGAACTCCTAGGCTCGAAGTCCTGGGATTACAGGTGTGAGCTACCATACCTGGCTTAAAAGTATTTTTTAAAAATGGGTGGTTTTGTTTGTACTGAGCATGTGCAGACTTTTTTTTCCTTGCCGTTATTCCCTAAACAATACAGTATAACAACTATTTACAGAACAGTTATAATGTATTAGGTATTATAAATAATCTAGAGATTATATAAAGTATATGAGAGGATGTGCATATGTTATATGCACATATTACACCATCTTCTATAAGGGACTTGAGCATTCATGGATTTTGATATCTGCAAGTGTTCCTGGCACTAATCCCCCACAGATACTGAGGGATGACTTTATCACTCTTAAAAATAATAATAGTAATTATCTTATGACTTGCAATATAACAGATGACAAATTAGAGTATCTTTCAGTACTTAAGAATATCTCTAATGACCATGTTTTTGCTACTAATACTCTTCCTTTGATCTGGCCAAACTGGTGGGTATGTGGTTAAGGCAAGGCCAGAGATGGTTCTTCATCCCCTTGGCCACAGTGATCAGTCCAGGTATGCGCAGTGACCTAAGCTGTCCTTTCATAAACTTTTCAAAAATTAGAGCTGATAGGAAAGACTCTTGCTTCTTTCATGGGGGAGTTAACAAGGATGAAAGTCTGGAGCTACCTCTAGATGTGTTACTGTATTGGAGAAAGTTGTGGAAAGAAGGAGGAAATGAGATAGCCCCAGAGGTCATGAATAGGAAAAAGAGACAACCACAGGCCATCATGGTACTCTGGTCTTTGGATTCTCTCTACCCTGAGATTAGCTTTGCCCCAAGCTTTGAGTAGTTCAGCCATTATCCGCTAAGGAATTCTCCCTTTGTTGAAGCTAGTTTGAATTGGATTTTTTTTAAGAGCCCTGACTAAAACATGGAAGGAGTATGTATATACAAACACGTATTAATTTTTAAAGAAGTAACAGTATATATTCAGAAAATCACATGAAATATAAATCAGCCTGATGAATTTTTACCAGCTGAACACCTGTGTAAAATATGGCTCAGATCAAAAACCTTCCGTCACAACCATCTGATGGTAACCACCATATGAGGCAGTGTATCTTAGTAGTTAACAAGAACACAGGTTTTGGGTTTTAGAAAGCAGAGATTTGAATCCTTGTTCTTGAGAGTCTGTATAACTTTGGATAAGTTGCCTAATTTCTCTGAATTCCACTTTGTTCATGTATATAAAGGGATAACACTGTCTTTTATATTTATTTAAGGATTAATTATTGTTACATGGGTCAGCTGTCAACCCAGAGTTATTGCTTTATATTCCTTAAACTTATCAGAGTACTTTATTTCATGGATTAAAAAAATTCTCATGAGGCTTAAAATTTCTTGTAAATGAAAAATCTGAAATACTAGACTTCTAATATCCAAAGGTAGAAAAGTGGGTATTTAGTTGGTGTTTGTTGTCTAACATGCATACAGCAAAATCATGATTAAATAGCACTTATAAACCTCAATTTTGCTTGCTTCAGTCACTGATCATGTTTTCCATCTCTTCCTCTTTAATGTCACTTACTTGCCAAAAATAAGACTTATCCTAGCAGAAATAGATAGGTTAGTTTAGTTGCTGTAACATTTGCCTTTTCACTTAGGATTTTTCTTCCCTATTTTGGTTATGAAGTTCTTAATTTTCCTCCTACACACTGTCTCCAGTTTGGGTATCTGTAGCCTAAATAATTTGGGTTTTAGTTTTATTTGTTTACAAGGAAAAAAGAAACTATACTATGTGATAGTTGAGGGTTTGACTTTAGAGGTTATCTAGTTCCTGTTAAACTTTTTGCTTTATAGGCAAGAAATCGGACACCCTTAGAAGTTAATAACTTGATCATGAATTAGTGATTAAAACCAAAACTAAGGTCTGCTGACTTTTAGGCCACTGGTCTTCCTGTCCTAAAGTTTCTTTGAGAAACAGACCGAAGAGACTTTGATGTAACTCATTTGTTTAATTTGAGAGGTTTTTTTTGTTTGTTTGTTTGTTTTTAGGTGACCTCTGATGTCTCTGTCTTTGGAGAAGTATACACTTTTTTTTTTTTTTTTAAAGATAGGGTTAGTATTACAGATACATATGTGTTGATTTAACAATGACAGGAATGATGATGATGTTAGAGTACCACCATACATTTAAATAGCATTTTTCCCAAGAGTGCTTCTGTATATAGTCTCATGGTTTAATTTATTGTGATAATGAAATAAATTAACTCAGTGGTTATAACAAGATATAAGAAGTTATATTGGTTTTCTATGTCTTTCATAACAAATGACCACAAACTGGGTGACTTAAAACAATAGAAGTTTATTTTTTTCACCATTCATGAGTCCAGAAGTCCAAAATCAAGGTGTCAGCAAGGATGGGTTCCTTCTGGAGAGAGACTGTGAGGGAAAAACTGTTCTCTGCTTTCTCCTAACTTCTAGTGAACAATCCTTGTTGTTCCCTGGCCTGTAGATTCATCATTCCAATCTTCACCTCAATCTTCACATTGCCTTCTTCACACTCTTTCTGTGTTCTCTCCTTTTCTTATGAGGACAGTAGTCATTGGATTTAAGTCTCATCTAAGTTAAGATCTTATCTTGAGATCCTTAACTAATTACATCTGCAAAGACCTTATTTCCAAATAAGGAACTATTCTGAGGTTCCGGTGCATGTGAATATTTGTGGGACACTATTCAACCTACTACTGAAGGATAACTGAAGTATATTTACTGGTTTTAATGGATTTCGTGTGGAGATGTGTAGCTTTATTTCCATCTGTGTAGCTGTATCGTAGACCACCAGTGAAGAACTGAGTAAGAGAAGGTCAGGATCCCAAATATTTTCTTCATGTTCTTAAAAGTTACGATTGTCGAACACCTAGGTCCTCTTTTTTTAAAAAAAATTTTTCATTCCTTAAAGATACCTTGCAAAACAGGAAGTGAGAATTTCTTTTCTTTCTTTCTTCTTTTTTTTTTTTTTTTTGAAGCAGGGTCTCTCTGTGTTACCTGTGTTGGAGTACAGTGGCACAATCACAGCTTACTGCAGCCGCAACCTCCCAGGCCTAAGCGATCTTCCCGCCTCAGCCTCTGGAGTAGCTGAGGCTATGACTATAGGCATGCACTAACACACCTGGCTAATTTTTTTATTTTAATTTACAATGAGACCCTGTCTCACTGTGTTGCTCAGGCTGGCCTTGAACTCTTGGGCTGAAGCAATCCTCCTGCTTTGGCCTCCCAAAGTGCTGGAATTACAAGTGTGAGCCACCATGCCTGGTACCTAGCTCCTCTTATATGAAGTGTTAAGGAATACGTTTATGCAAAATTAAGCACAATTTTCTGCTTTCAGTTCTTATTAAATAGATATTTGGGTTGTTTAACCTAACAGTTATGAGGTTTCCTTTCTTACTTATTATAAATAATAATAACATTCTTTCACTTTTAAAAAACTGCATGTAAGTTAAACCAGAGTGTATATTTCTCAATGTCCTAATCTTGGAGGATTGTCAAACCTACTTTGTGATAAATTATTGATTGTCTCTTAAAATGCTGATTGTCTCTATTGGGACCAAAAAACATTGAATATAAAAGTTTACATTTAGATGTGTATAAAATATTAATCTGTTGTTTTTGTTATAAAATTGGAGCAGTTGAGTCGACATGTGCAGTTTAAAAAATTTATACTCTTATTGAAATCAAATGTATGAGAATATTATTTTTTCTATAACTGCTACAGGCTACCGAAAAGCCATTCCTGTCTTTGAGGCTACAGGATTTTGTATTTGGGGCTAATTATACACAACAATTTAAAGTGATTATGTACTAGAGGACATATTTGGCTGTCCTAGGTTAGCTGGTTTTATTTTTATTTAGCAACTTTGGGTGAGTTTCTTAACTTTCCTAAGCCTTGGTTTCTTTATCTGTAATATTGAGATAAGAATCCTTTTAAAATTGCTGTGATGATTAAATGACACAACATATATAAACACCAAGTACAGTGCTTGGTGTATAGTAGGTATTCAATAAATACTGCTATAGCACTTCCTCTCCCTTCTGTTCACTTTTGCTAAATATAGACTGTTGTTATTAATCAAATGTTAAATTAAAGGTTTTTGTTAATTGCTCTTTTTTTTTGAGGCAGGCTCTCACTCTGTTACCCAGGCTGGAGTGCAGTGGCACAATCACGGTTCACTGCAGCCTTGACCTCCTCGGCTCAAGCAATCCTCCCACCCCAGCCTCCCATATAGGGACGTGCCATCATGCCCTGTTAATTTTTTGTTTTGTGTATTGTAGTGATGGGGTCTCACTCTGCTGCCCAGGCTGGTCTCGAACTCCTGGGCTCACGTTATCCTCCCACCTCGGCCTCCCAAATTGTTAGGATTACAGTCATGAGCCACCTTACCTGGCCTTAATTGTTCTCTTAAATTGGACATTTCTATATCAGTTAAAATGGAAAAACACCATTAGAAGTGGTCAGTTTTCCTTTGTATTTTTGAAAATTATGTACTTACATTTAATTGCTCTCTCCCTTATTCTTTAATTTCTTTTTTTATTTTTATTTATTTATTTTTATTGTTTGCTTTAATTTCTAACACAATTTTTTCCTTAGGGTGTGTCATTCTTTATCTGGGATCCTTTGAAGTACTTTGTTTTCATGGTAAAGAGGGGTGTTTTAGGAAGGAACAAAACAAATGATGCATTAAAAAGTGGATAGAATAGATAGCTATAAAGGCAGATATAGTTTCAGTTATATCTTACACTTAATTCTACATGGTAATTTTGAGGAATGCACTATCCTACGTGGTGAATTTTCTGGGTATTTTTTTTTAAATGATCAAATTTTCTTTTACTTTTGACTCTTTCCTTTAACACTGCAAATAGAGTAGAAATGACCATTTTCTAATATTTTCCTGATTTGTGGTGGTTATTGTCTATTATGACTTTGGTTATAATACATTGTGATAGATCTGTCCTTTATTGTGAGTTCTCAGTTTAGCCTTATCTTGATTTGTTGTTTAATCAGTTTGCAGAATTGTAGGTAAATAGGCCAGGCACAGTGGCTCATGCCTGTAATTCCAGCACTTTGGGAGGCCAAGGTGGGCAGATCACTTGAGGCCGGAAGTTTGAGAAGAGCCTGGCCAACATGGTGAAACCTCGTCTCTACTAAAAATACAAAAATTAGCCAGCTGTGGTGGTGCATGCCTGTAATCCCAGCACTTTGGGAGGCCATGGCAGGTGCATCACCTGAGGTTGAGAGTTCAAGGCCAGCCTGACCAACATGGAGAAACCCCGTCTCCACTAAAAATACAAAATTAGCTGGGTGTGGTAGCGCATGCCTGTAATCCCAGCTATTCAGGAGGCTGAGGCAGGAGAATCGCTTGAACCTGGAAAGCGGAGGTTGCAGTGAGCCAAGATCGTGCCATTGCACTCCAGCCTGGGCAACAAGAGCGAAACTCCATCTCAAAAAAAAAAAAAAGAAGGAAAAATAGAAAAAAATACCTTTCACTCTTCCCTAGCAGTACCTTTTTAGGCTTCTACACAGTAATGTTTATAGACTCCAAGGGGATCCATCTATAGTTCTCCTTAGTATAAAAGTACTGAGTTCATAAAAACATTATCAGTAGAAAATTCTTTAAGGTTTTTGAAATGTCTTTTTTACAGTGTTAAGGCACTATAATACATACATTTCTACATTTTTAACATTTATTTTATATTTGTTCTCTTTAGAAGTTAAGTGTTTCATAATAGAATGTTTTTGGTTTTTGTTTTGCAAATACCTTGGTACATCAAGACTAGGAATTTCTATATAGTATATAATTTATTTGAAATACTGCAGTCATTTGCTTATGACTTTTTTTGGATAAAAGGAATAGTTTTTCCGTTAAAAGGAAGCAATCATTGGCCTGTAGCGGTTGCCAGATACAGCACCTAAAAATTAAAGTAGTAGTTTACACAGGTATGAGGAGATCCAAGAAATGATGCTATTTGAATAGAGCTGAAGTTCTTTATTGAATAAAGCTTCTTATACCTGTGGGGTATTGGAAAGAAAAATATTTTATGACTTACTGGAAAACTAGCCTGGAATCTTTTTCATTTTTTGATGAATAGGTTTAAAACAGAGATGTTCATCAATGATATAATATTTGCCGGTTATATTCCAAGTGTCTTGCAGTCAGTTTATTTTTAACCATAGCAACAGACATGATGGTGAAATAAAGTAGTAGATTACTGTTGGCAGCCTAAAATTAGGCAAATGTACCAACTTTGAAAGGCCTGGGAGTGACTAAAACACTGTAGTTAACCTGCTGTATGTTTACAGTTCTACAAAGAATGACATAAATGCCATTTAACAGGTAAACTTAGAAGCTAAATTGCTCTTTGCCTAATGGACCATAGAGTTTATTCAAATAAAAGCTGTAGATTCAGCACCAAGGATTGATTCACAGAGAATAAAATGCTGAAGATATACAACCTAAAAGTTTCCCATTTGAACTTTTGCCCTGAATCAATATCCTTATTGGCATATATTTGCCTGGCCATTTTAAGTGAAGTCTTGCTTTAGTTTGCTTTCTGTTTTTGGTGTCTTTTTCTCTACCCCTGTGATGGATTCGAATTACAAAGAGTTCTGGTTTACCTAGTTTGTGGAGAAGGGGGATAGTGTAATCTCTAATGAAGTAGGATGGTATATAAAGAGCTAGTTAGTAAGGTAGCCTTATTAAAATGTACTTCTTTTACAGCTTTGGGGAATCAGAGGAATGACGTCTTATTTTTCCAATCTCAAAATGGTAGGCAGCAGGGTGTATTTCTAATTACTGCTGTTTTGTCCACTGTGACACTTTATTATATGGTTCATTTTTATTTACTGGTAGAAAACCAAGGAGTAAATTACTAGGTAGAACCTCCTTACATTGATTTCATATAAGGAAAATTCAGTACATTTAGTTTTACCTATAGAGATTGATTTTTAGGATTAAAGATTTTTTTTTTCTTCCCTGTCCACCTCACCTGGTCTCAGTGTAGTTCTAAAGCTAAAGTTTATTACACATGGATTATTAAAGACTTTTTTTTTTTTAACCAAGACTTTCTCTTTCCAAAAAATCATGTCCTGATAGGATTTACACGCATTTATGTTTAAATAACATTTATGATGTGCCTACTATGTATCAGGCACTGAGTTCCCTGTTTTGTTTTGTTTTTTTTTTTTTTTGGAAGATAGGTTCTTACTCTGTCGCCCAAGCTGGAGTGCAGTGGCACGATCATGGCTCACTGCAGCTTCAACATCCTGGGCTCCTACCTCAGCCTTCCAAGTAGCTGGGGACTACAGGAGTGAGCCACCATCCCCGCTTAGTTTTAAAAAAATTTTCTGTAGGGATGGAGTTTCTCCATGTTGCCCAGGCTGGGCTCAAACTCCTGAGCTCAAGTTATCCTCCAGCCTCTGCCTCCTAGAGTGTTGGGATTACAGGTGTGAACCACCTTACCCAGCCCCACGGAGTTCTTATCTTTAGGAAACTCTGCATCATGGGGGAGCCAAGATGTAAACAAGTAACTATTATGCTTTATGGTAAATGCTACAGTAGAATTACCTTGAAAGTGTTACAGGAACTCACATAAAGTTCCCTGTAAATTTTTTCCTCTAGTCACCATTCTGTTACTGCTTTTGTCTTCTAAATATTTCTCAAATCTGTTGTGATCTCCCTACCTTCATTACTCTTTCATTCTTGTGCCAGTTAAATATTTTTTCTCACATCCACCAGAGTGATTTATCTTAAACAAAAATTTGACCTTGTCACTTATCTTTTTAACACTCGTCAAAGCCTTTCTTTCATATGTGGTATAAACTCTTTGCAAGGCCTATAACGATTTTTCTGGTCTAATTCCAGTTAGCTTTGTAGCCTCATTGCCTACCCCTTTCAGCCTTCAACTTTTCTTACCTTCTAACACCATCCCTCCAAATAAAACTGTTTGAAGTCTTCCCATGCTATTTTTCACCTTAGTGTTTAGACTGCCCACTTATGCTTTTAATTTTTTTTTTTTTTAACTGAAGTTGCTCCTTAAAACTCAAAGCTGGCATCTTCCCCTCACGGATATCTTTCATAATCCCCTGAAAACTGGATTAGGTATCTCCTCCTGCTAGTGCTCCTATGGGAAAGTTGTGTGTGTTCTTTTTGTGGCAGTGGTATAGCGCTTTTTTTTTTTCTTGATTCTTTCTCTTTACAGTTTACAGAGTAATATTGTAGTTACCTAGCATCCTCCAAAGGTCACCACTGTGTTGCTTGTTTGTTTAATTATCATTATGAACTTATGGCTTTAAAGATATTTCATATGTTTCCACCTGTTGGAGTTATTGTCCATAATAATGTCTTTCCCATTGTCAGACAGATTGTTCTGTCTTAATAATAGGAGCTTATTTAGGTTGGCTTCTGAATCTTTTTGACATGACCCTAGTAGTATGATAGTATTCACTGAGGAAAAAAATTTGAAATGGGAGCAATTGTTTCTGCATGGAGACAGGGAAAGCTACAGAGAGATCTTGATCCTCTTTTACCATCCTAGATATAAACATTCTGAGATGTTCCATATAAGCTAAATTCATTCTGCTCCATTTAACAATAATTACCTGGGAATCTCCTCTTTTTTCTTTTTTTTTTTAGACAGAGTCTCGCTCTGTTGCCCAGGCTGGAGTGCAGTGGCACGATCTCAGCTCACTGCAACCTCTGCTTCCCGGGTTCAAGCGATTCTCCTGCCTCAGCCCCCTGAGTAGCTGGGACTACAGGCATGCGTCACCATGCCTGGCTAATTTTTGTATTTTTAGTAGAGACGGGGTTTCACCATGTTAGTCAGGCTTGGTCTCAAACTCCTGACCTCATGTTCCACCCAGCGCAGCCTCCTAAAGTGCTGGCATTATAGATGTGAGCCATGTCACCCAGCCAATCTCTTTTATAATATCAATTATTATTCTACTTCTGTATTACAGTGGTATTTTGTTTATTCTACTGCTTATTACAGCCTGACTTGATAATTAATCTCCCCTGCTAATCCATGAGAGTAAGAATCATTATCTTTATATCGCCATTATTTCAGGGTCTTACTGTATACTTGGTACTTGGTAAATGTTTACTGCTTTGATAACAGTGCTGTCAGGAGACAGTATTTATATTAAACTTCTAATTTATATAGTTTTTTATTCTTAAATTAAGTACCTTTGATGTGCCATGTATCAAGCCAGGCACTTATTTCAAGGGACTTGATTTGAGTTGTCAAATCTGTGAAATAGGCTCTTTATACTGATTATTACATTAAGTATTAGGCTGGGCTCGGTGGCTCATGCCTGTAATCCCAGTACTTTGGGAGGCGAAGGCGGGCAGATCTCTTGAGGTCAGGAGTTCAAGACCAGCCTGGCCAATATGGTGAAACCATGTCTCTACTAAAAATACAAAAATTAGTCAGGCATGGTGGTGCACACCTGTAGTCCCAGCTATTTGGGAGGCCGAGGCAGGAGAATCACTTGAACTTGGGAGGCAGAGGTTGCAGTGAGTCAAGATCACACCACCACACTCCTGCCTGGATGACAGAGCGAGACTACCTCTCCAAAAAAAAAAAAAAAAAAAATTATTAAACGTAATAGTTTATTCTGTAGTAACATTTCCTGAAGTGTGCTCTACATGATGTTAATAAGTATTAGGAGAATAAAAGGATTTTGTAGTCAAATCAGTTTGGGAAATATTGAGTGAGACACAGGCAAACAAGTTATATGATTTCAGGATTTTCCAGTGCAAATAATGTGCAGTTGACTGTCTAAGAGGCAGACAGAGAAAATATCATTTCTCAATTTATTTGACTTAATTTTTTCCCCTGAGTATCTGTTGAACATACTTAGGAAAATACTGGCCTGTGGTTAACAAGTTACGTAAAAGAGTGTGGTGCAGTGGAAAGGGCATGGAATTGGAAGTCAGAAGCTGGGTTTTACCATCTGTAAAACCTGACGTCTCTTAAAGCCTCAATTGTCTCGTCAGTAAAAAAAAAAAGTTAATACTGGTCTGTACAGCATAAGATTGTTCTCTTTAATGGTCTCTTATTTGATTTCAAATGAATGAATAGCAATAATATGTTAGGTATTTTTAAAATAAGTAACCAAGTTATGTTAATATTTTTGGCATTTAAATTGCCTTAAAATATGACATAGCTTTTCTTGTTATAGTAAACTATTAGAAATATGTAAACAAGGATGGTGCTGTAGCCTTGATTTATATTTTGTACACATGATTTAGTCAGGGTTATGTTTTAGAATGATAAACCAGAGTATATGCTATGATGAGTAGTAAAAGAATGCAAATAGGCATATACATTCTTTCCTTGTCACATGCTGCAATATGAAGGAAAAGGAAGCATTAGGTAATAGCCAGATGACATAATGGTTAATTATTGAGCTTTTGCATGTCTGTTCCTGTTGTTTGCTCCATACATATTAGTACATTTAGTCCTTATAATTACCCTTTGATTAATAATACTAATTATTTTACATGTTGTTAAGGCTAAGTTGGACTTCTTGAAGAGTTTTGTGTATTTTTATTTGCTTTTTAAATAAGCCCTGACAGCTTGCCTGCTGGCAAGATAGCCCACAGAAGGTAATACAGGGAGAAGTATATGACAATGATTAGGGATTAAATGTAACCCTTCCCAGACATCTCTTAGTGATCAGAACCAAGGCAAGTGAACGTAGGGTCGTTTTTGTGGATGGATATTAATGAAATTACTGGTGGGTAAGAGCACAGCTATGGAGCCAGGTTGTCTGTGTTTGAATTCCTGTTTATTGCTACTATTTAACCTTGTACAGCCTAAGTCTTTATACTGTAAACATAGAGATAGCTGTAATACCTACTTAATAGTGCTGTGAGAATTAAATAAGTTAATACGTGGAAGGGGTATCAGCACTTGATAAATGCTGACTACTTATTATTGCTGTTATTGTAATATTGTGAACATTAACTGCCTCAACTGGCATTTGAGGAGTAAAAAGCAGAGACATTAGTATACTTCAGTAACTGTGGTTGGACTTTCTATCCAAGGTGGGGGAAAGGGCGCAGCTAAGGAGTTCTGGTGTATCATAGGAAAAAATTATCTAATAGTAGATAGCAGTTGACAAGAGTATGTGAGAGCTTTCATTTTTTTCTCCTGACATCATCTTAGATTGGGTGATAGACAGTGTAATAAAGTAAATACTTAATCTACAGCTTGATGCTGTAAAACATCTGTGCAGTTCTCCTTTACATACGATCTTTTGTTTTAGTAGATTGATGAATCCCTGTTTAAGGAATTTACAAAGTTGGCAGAACTTTAAAGCAAGTTGTATTCTAGGGGGCAAATCATGCCCAGTACCTTTTATAAAGTAGTTAATACAGATGAGAGGATATCATAAATATACCCATTAATGTTAAGAAACATTTCCTTTTTTCCCCCCATTCTATATAAAGTACCTTGGTGGAAACTTCCCAGTCTCCTTGGATGGCATTTAGCCTTTTATATGTGAAAGAAGTAATAAAATTGGATCTTTTGTTTTTTTTTTTGAGACAGGGTCTCACTTTGTTGCCAGGCTAGAGTAGTATCCTGCACTATCATAGCTCAATGCAGCCTCCAACTCCTGAGCTCAAGCAGTCTTCCTGCCTTAGCCTCCCAAGTAGCTGGAGCTACAGGCATGCACCACCTCGCAAGTGGCTAATTAAAAAAAAATTTTTTTTTTTTTTTTTTTTTTTTTTTTGCAGAACAGAGTCTTGCTTTGTTGCCCAGGCTGGTCTTGAACTCCCGGCTTCAAGCAATCCTCCTACCTCAGCCTTCCAGAGTGCTGGGACTACAGGCATGTGCCAACTCGCCCAGCCAAAATTGAACTTTTTATTACAATCATGAATACAAAGAAAAAGTGAAAGCTATTCTTCATATTCTGATTAATTAAAAACAAATTTCAGTAAGTCAAAGAATGGATATACCTGAAATGGGTAGCACATTTACTTAATTCTCATCTAAACAAGTAATTTGAAACGGTTTCTGCTACTAAGAATAGCAATTTCCACAAATTGCTATTATTTTGAGAAAAGACAAATCAGATTTATCCTAGGAAGGTAGCATTAGATAATGGAAAGCCTATGGGCTTTTATGCTTGCAGATGGAATCCAACTTCTGTGTTTTAAAAACTATCTGGCCTTGGGCTAACATCTCTGAGACTCAGTTTCCTCACGTTTAAAAGGGGAATGATAATGTTGACTTTTAAATGATTTTTGAGAAAGTTCTAGCACAGTATCTGAGAAATTTTAAAATAAATATTCCCTTTCATTTTGGCTTGAACAACTTGAATTTGTACCACACATAAATATAGATCCTATTCGTACTTTATTAATCTTAGTGACTTAAAAATCAAGCAGGAAAAAGCAAAAAAACAAAAAAGATCTTTGGAATAGAACATCCTGTCTTTCAGTCTGGTTCTGTCATTGGTTCTCTTTTGACTTTGAGCAAGTTATTGAAGGTCTTTACATCTGTTTCATTTTTTCAGTTTTTAAATTTTTAATTGATACGTAATTAATTATACATCTTATGGGATACATGTAATATTTTGATACATACAATGGGTAATGATTAGATCAGGGTAATTAGGATATCCATTACCTCAAACATTTATCATTTCTTTGTGTTGGGAACATTTTAAAACTACTCTTCCAGCTATATTGAAATATATAATAAATTATTGTTACCCTCCTGTGCTATCAAACACTAGAACTTAATTCTTTCTATGTGTGTTTTGCACCCATTAACCAAACTTTCTTTATCCTCCTCACTTCCCAGTCTCCTGTATTACTCTCTACCTCCATGAGATCAACTTTTATAGCTCCCATATATGAGAACATAGCAATATTTGTCTTTCTATGACTGGCTTATTTCATTTAACATAATGACCTTCAGTTCCATCCACGTTGCTGCAAATGGCAGGACTTCCTTCTTTTATATTGCTAGATCATATGGTAGTTCAATTTTTAGTTTTTTAAGGAACCTTCATACTGTTTACCATGGTGGCTGTACTAATTTACATTCTTACCAACAGTGTATTAGCATTCCTCTTTCTCTAGATCTCACCAGCATATGTTATTTTTTGTCTTTTCAATAGTAGCCATTTTAACTAGAGTGAGATGATATCTCATTGTGGTTTTGATTTGTATTTCCCCGATGATTAGTGATGTTGAGTTTTTTTGTTGTTGCTGTTTTTGTTTTGATTTTTTAACATACCTGTTGGCCACTTGGTTTGTCTTCTTTTGAGAAATATCTATGGCGATCTTTTACCCATATATTTGAATTGGATTATTTGTTTTTTTGCTGTTGAGTTGTTTGAGTTCCTTATATATTCTGGTTATTAATCCTTTGTTGGATAGTTTGTAAATATTTTCTCCCATTCTGCAGGTTGTCTCTTCACTCTGTTGTTTTCTTTGCTGTGCAGAAGCTTTTTAGTTTCATGTAATTCCATTTGTCTATTTTTGCTTTTGTTGCCTGTGCTTTTGGGGTCCTACCCCAAAATTCTTTGCCTAGATCAGTGTCCTGAAGTGTTTCTCCAATGTTTTCTTCTAGTAGTTTTATAGTGTTAGGTATTACTTTTAAATCTTTAATCCATTTTGTTTTTTTTTTTTTTGGTATGTTGTATTAGGGTTCTCTAGAGGGACAGAACTAATGGAAAAAAATTATATATATGAGTTTATTAAGTATTAACTCACACTATCACAAGGTCTCACAATAGGCCATCTGCAGGCTGAGGAGCAAGGAGAGCCAATCCGAGTTCCAAAACTGAAGAACTTGGAATCCGCTGTTCAAGGGCAGGAAGCATCCAGCACAGGAGAAAGATATAGGCTGGGAGGCTAGGCCAGGCCAGTCTCTCTTTTCACATTTTTCTGCCTGCTTGTATGCTAGCCACACTGGCAGCTGATTAGCTTGTGCCCACCTAGATTAAGGGTGGGTCTGCTTTTCCCAGCCCACTGACTCAAATGTTTATCTCCTTTGGCAACACCCTCACAGACACACCCAGGATCAAAACTTTGTATCCTTCAGTCCAGTCAAGTTTGCACTCAGTATTAAGCATCACAAGTCCACCCCTTGTCAACCTGAACCCATACACATCTCCTGAGATCATATATAATCTTCAAATAAAGACAATAATAAGCCTAACATAACACAGCTATCCTTTGTACAACCAGAAATGCACCAATCCCCATTCCAAATACTATTACATAAAGTTAACAATACTTAAATGCTGATGTGAAGTCAATAAATCTTTATATCACATGATAAAGGAGAAAGGAAATAAAAATGAAGATATTTTCTTAGTATAAGTGTATACATGCACAAACATTTTTAACAAAAGAAGGAGGAAACACTCATGACAGTTACAGTCCTTGTTTCTGCAGCTGATCGTGTGGTCGTAGCTGGTATTGATGACTACCTTCTTCTACTACCCATTCTGTATTCCCTTGGCCTTCAGCAAGCACCTCAGCAAGTCATGGTGTTTTCTCTGGTGGAGTGACCCAAACCTTCATTCCTGAATGGTCTCGGGGTCATTTGTAGTCCTGCCTGAATTGGGCTGTTGTAGTTTCCCATTGACCTTAATCACACGGCATGGTGATATTAAGAGACGCCTTAATGGATCTTGTGTATTCCATGAATACTCTTCCTTACCTCCGTTGTGGAGTAGTAGACTGATTTCATCTTGATAGTCCAGGCCAATCACTGTAACTCCCTTCTTAGCCTGTTGACTTAAAGGTAGGGGGAGCCCAAAGTGTCCAGGTGGCAATCTTAACTTCCAGTTTAATGGAGTTGTGTCTCCTCTTGGCAGTGTTCCTCCCTCTGGAACTAAGACCTCCAGGCCAGGAGAACGTAATGTCTCAGGAACAGGAAGCAAAAATTTTACTAGTGTATCACTAGGGGTGATGGTAAGTGGTGCTACTTCCAATTCTACCCCTTGATTCCTGAACCTGTGAATCCTGGCTATTGGAGAAACAGTACCATATATTGGATGCTGATTCAGAGCATACACTTTGCCCCAGCCCTGCAAAGTATTGTCACCTAGTTGCCGTTGTAATTGTGACTTCGAAAGGGTATTCCACTGTTGTGTCAATCCAGCTGCTTCAGAATGATGGGGAGCATGGTAAGACCAGTGAATTCCATAAGCATGAGCCCACTGCCACACTTCTGTAGCTGTAAAGTGAGTGCCTTGGTCAAAGGCAATGCTGTGTGGAATACCATGATGTTGGATAAGGCATTCCATGAGTCCATGATGGTAGTCTTGGCAGAAGCTTGCATGCAGGATAGGTAAACCCATATCTGGAGTAAGGGTTTATTCCAGTGAGGACAAACCTCTGCCCTTTCCGTGATGGAAAAGGTTCAATATAATCAATCTGCCACCAGGTAACTGGCTGATCACCCCGAGGAATGGTGCCATATGGAGGGCTCAGTGTTGGTCTCTGCTGCTGGCAAATTGGGCACTCAGCAATGGCTGCAGCCAGATCAGCCTTGGTGAGTGGAAGTCCATGTTGCTGAGCCCATGCGTAACCTCCATCCCTGCCACCATGGCCACTTTGTTCATGGGCCCATTGGACGATGATGGGGTGGCTGGGGAAAGAGACTGAGTGGTGTCATCCTCTCCACTTGATTGTTAAAATCCTGCTCTGCTGAGGTCACCCACTGGTGAGCACTCACATGGGGTACAAATACCTTCACAGTTTTTGACCACTCAGAGAGGTCCATCCACATACCTCTTCCCCAGATTTGTATAAACTAAGTAGGAATGCAATAGGCTTCCTATCAGTTTTACTTCTAGGAACACTGTGATTAATTAGCCAATGCCAGAGCTCTACATGAGTCAGACTATTCTGATTGCCGCTTTGCCTCTGCTGTCCATTATGGTAGCCACACCCACCTTGCCTTTGATGGTTGATTGCTGCCACTTGGCCCCTGCCACCTCAGGATCCAGTTATTCCCATTGTAATTTAAATTTTGTAGTTGAGTGACTGCACTTCCCACTGTTAGACCTGACATACCTGAAAGAGCAATTACAGGGCTCTTCAGAGATGCAGGTGCTGCCCTCACAAATCTAGTTCACAAGGCATTGGTCAAGAGTACCTCTTCTGGACCCTTCTAGCTGGGGAGGTCAGTAGGTCTAAAGTGACTAATCCGCTCCACCATCCCAGTCTCCCTAAGCCTTTAGATCCCTTCCTCTACATTAAACCAAGGGAGATCAGACATTTCTAGCTCACTCAGAGTGGGCCATCTTTTAATCCGGATTTCAGCAAACCAAGCAAATAAACTATTAGAACCTTTTTTTTTTTGGAGACAGAGTCTTGCTCTGTCACCAGACTAGAGTGCAGTGGCACGATCTCAGCTCACTGCAACCTCTGCCTCCCGGGTTCAAGCGAGTCCCCTGCCTCAGCCTCCAAGTAGCTGGGATTACAGGCATGTGCCACTATGCCTGGCTAATTTTTTGTATTTTAGTAGAGACGGGGTTTCACAATGTTGGCCAAGGTGGTCTCGATCTCCTGACCTCGTGATCCCCCTGCCTCAGTCTCCCATAGTGCTGGGATTACAGGCGTGAGCCACTGTGCTCGGCCTAGAACCTTTTTTAACTCCCGGAGCTGCAGCATTAAATGCAGAGTCCCTACTTAGTGGGCCCAAATCCATAAATTCAGCTTGATCCAACTCTGTGTTCCTTCCGCCGTTATCCCACACCCTTAACATCCATTCCCATGCCTGTTCTGCAGATTTCTATTTATATAAATTAGAAAACTCAAGCAGTTCTTTTTGAGTTTAGTGCACCTCCTCATCAGTCACACTATCAACCCCCCCATCTCTAGGGGCCGGCTGGGACTTTAGTCTAGTTATAGTTCTAGAAGCAAACAGGGGTGTGAGAGGTGGCACCTGAGGAGAATCAGTGTTATCTTGCCTCACAGCTGCCTCAGGGGAGGCCATCACTGTTGCCTCAGGCAGCACAAGGTTTATCTCTTCAGACAAAGGTGGAAAGGCTGATGGCAGCATGGGTCGGGGAGGGGATGTTGCCACTACTGGGGATGAGGAAGCTGTTCCTTCTGGCAAAAAAAGATTCATCAGAATTTACAAACTCAGTGTCCTGCCTCATCAGGGTCCTCCCACACGTCTCCATTCCAAGTTTCAGGGTCGCATTCTTTTCTATCAATGCCCTCACTTTAACAGTAGACACCTGGCGACGCTGTGCATGTACCTTTCAGTGAAGGTCAGCCACTTGCGTGATAATAGCTTGTGTCTGTTTTTCTACAATTTCAGCTATTTCTCTAGGGGAGATAAGACTCTCACCCAGGGCAATCTTAGCAGATTTGAGGCTCAGTATCTGCTTCTGAAGCCAGGAGATAGAATCCCTGAGTTCATAATTTTCTTTCATCACTTTGTCCACTGAACTTAGGAGCAACCAACCAACTTCATTATGTTCCTTGGTTCTCCACATATGGTCAAAGGTATTGTGTTGAGTCACTAAACTCCTTGCCTCTCATGAGTGATGAATCAGGAGTGTCAAATGCATTTATTTTGCAAAACTCTCCAAACAGTTCATGCCAAGGACTAACAGTGTTCTCCATACTATTAGAAATAGAGTCCTTAGCATTTTTGGGTCTAATCACATTAAGCAGCCAACTCCAGAAACCCCAAAACCAACAAAAGAACTCCATCCTTAATATTCTGTTCCTCTAGAACCACTCCTGGTACCAAAATCTGTTGGTCAAGGTTCTCTAGAGGGACAGAACTAATGGAATAACTATATATATAAAGGAGAGTTTATTAAGTATTAACTCATGATTACAAGGTCTCACAATAGACCGTCTGCAAGCTGAGGAGCAAGGAGAGCCAGTCCAAGTTCCAAAACTGAAGAACTTGGAATCCGCTGTTCCAGGGCAGGAAGCATTCAGCACATGAAAAAGATATAGGCTGGGAAGCTAGGCCAGTCTCTCTATTCATATTTTTCTGCCTGCTTATATTCTAGCTACACTGGCAGCTGATTAGATTGTGCCCACCCAAATTAAAGGTGTGTCTGCTTTTCCCAGCCCACTGACTCAAATGTTAATCTCCTTTGGCAGCACCCTCACAGACACACCCAGGATCAATACTTTGTATCCTTCAATCCAGTCAAGTTGACAGTCAGTATTAACCATCACATATGTGGTAAAATATAGGGGTCTAGTTTCATTCTTCTGTATATGGATATCAGTTTTCCCAGCACCATTTATTGAAGAGACTGTCTTTTCCCCAATAAACGTTCTTGGTGCCTTTGTCAAAAATCAGGTGGTTATAAATAGGTGGATTTATTTCAGAGTCCTCTATTCTGTTCCATTGGTCTCTGTGTCTATTTTATGCCAGGCCCATGGTCTTTTGGTTACTATAGGTTTGTAATATATTTTGAAATCAGGTGGTGTGCTGCCTTCAGCTTTGTTCTTTTTGCTTCCAGTCACTTTGGCTAGTGCTGTATGAATTGTAGGATTGTTTTTTTCTATTTCTGTGTAGGGGTTGCATTGACTCAGTAGATTATCTTTGGTAGTATGGTCATTTTCACAACATTCTTCTAGTCCATGAGCGTGGGATGTCTTCATTTTTTTGTGACCTCTTTGATTTCTTTCATCAGTGTTTTGTAGTTTTCTTACATAGATCTTCCACCTCCCTGGTTAGATTTATTCCTAGGTTTTTTAAAAAAATAGTTTAATTTTTAAAAAATCTATTCCTGTGTGTGTGTATGTGTGTGTTTAAAGAAAACAGTCATCTTCTTTAAAATTGGAATAACTCTGTCTATTTCCAGGCTTGTTATAAGGATTAAACAACATTGTTTAAGTAAAGTAGTTGGCCCAGAGCCTCCTATATCATGGTTGTTATATTTGTTGACTAATAATAACAGGTAATATTTATTTATTTATTTATTTATTTATTATTATTATTATTTTTTTGACATGGAGTCTCGCTGTGTTGCCCAGGCTGGAGTGCGGTGGCACCATCTTGGCTCACTGCAAGCTCCGTCTCCTGGGTTCACACCATTCTCCTGCCTCAGCCTCCCGAGTAGCTGGGACTACAGGCGCCTGCCACCACGCCTGGCTAATTTTTTGTATTTTTAGTAGAGACGGGGTTTCAGTGCGTTAGCCGGGATGGTCTTGATCTCCTGACCTCGTGATCTGCCTGCCTCAGTCTCCCAAAGTGCTGGGATTACAGGCGTGAGAAACCGTGCTGGGCCAATAACAGGTAATATTTATTGAACACTTCATGTGTGCCACACAATGTCTGAAAGTACTTTATATACATTTCATCATCACAAAAAGCCTATTAAATATATATTACTGCTATTATCCTGATTTTATAACTGAGGCAACTACGGTTTAGAGAAGTCTAGTAGTTTTCTTAAGGTCACACAGTGCCTGTGTGCCTGAGCTAGAATTCAAATCTAGTTGGTCTGGGCCATAGTATCTGCACTCTTTACTTAACAGTGATTCCACTCCCCACTTTACAACCAAATCTAGCCTATTTCTTTTACTTTTTTCTTACCTGGCTTTGGGTTCTTAGGTGGTTGAGAGAAATGGCATTAAATTTGTCATCTGTGTCTCATTCCCTGCCTGGACTGCCATCAAGGACCAGCAAATGCTTAATAAATGGTAGCAGCAGTTACTGATTATTAATACAACTATCACTTTTTAAGTGTTTTTAGTCTATTAGAAGTCTTGTACATTTACTGACTAGGTCGATTTTGGTCAGTGTTATTTAACTGAGTAAATTCAATTTTTATAAATGCGTCTGTGGCCAAAAGAATTATGACCAGTGTTGATTAATGTCTTAGATTAGGTGGGAAGATGAAGTTCATGTCTTTTGAAGTTTTTTTCTCTTTTAAGTTTGATATATAAAATATGAGCAACACTTTTATTAGTGGTAAAATGAAGATAATGTTTATATCCCATCTTTCACTGTGTTTCTTTGATTTAGAAGCTAAAGAAGTCAGCTGGGCTTGGTGGCTTACATCTGTAATCGCAGCACTTTGGGAGGGCAAAGAGGAAGGATCACTTGCGCCCAGGAGTTCAAGACCAGCCTGGGCAACAAAGTGAGATCCTGTCTCTACAAAATAAATAAAATAAAATAAAATAAATTATCCAGGCATGGTGGTACACACCTGCAGTTGCAGCTACGCAGGAGGCTGAGATGGGAGGATCACTGTGATTGCACCACTGCATAATTTAAGAGTGTGTTTTAAATAATTTTCAATGATTTCCACTCTATAATAATTCAGATAACACTTATCAAAAATTCCAAATAATTTTGAATTGAGTAATGTTAAATTGTGTGGGTTTGGCTCTAAAAGCTTTAACACTTGGGAATTATAGGTTTGTTAAATAGAACTTGGGTATTTACCCTTAAAGTATTTTCACCCTCTGTTTGATTTAAATAAGATATATTTGAATTATTTTCCCATGATTAATGGAAGTCAGTAATGATCTTTTCTCTCTCTTTTTTTTTTTTTTTTTTGAGACAGAGTTTCGCTCTGTCACCCAGGCTGGAGTGCAGTGGCACAATCTTGGCTCACTGCAACCTCCACCTCCTGGGTTCAAGCGATTCTCCTGCTTCAGCCTCCTGAGTTGCTGCACGTGCCACCATGCCTGGCTAATTTTTGTATTTTCAGTAGAGACAGGGTTTCACTGTGTCGGTCAGGCTGGTCTCGAACTCCTGACCTCATGATCCCCGCTCTCGGCCTCCCAAAGTCCTGGGATTACAGGCGTGAGCCACCACGCCTGGCCAATAATGATCTTTTCTTTCCTCACTAGCAGGGTCTTCACAGTTCATCATCCAAGGTTAGGTTAAGTAGAAAAGCAGAAGTTAAATTATCTTTGCTAAAATGACTTTTTGGAAAAGGTTATTAATCACATAGTAGCTTGATAAATAAATCCACTCAGAACATACTGCCATGTACCAGCAAGTTGGAAAATGAACAGTCTTCATAAATTATGCAGAATGGTATTGGTTTGCATGCATTAACAGCAATGTTCTCATTAAACTTGGGCCAGGAAAAACCACCATGGTGTTCTGCTTCTACTTTTCACCACATGCGTAAACTGTGCCAACATCAGCCAGCTAAGACATGGGAAGGAAAGGAAACCAAGGCTGTGTAGGGCCCCTTAGCATCAGGATTTCTGGAAACTTCTCTCTTAGGATCTGTAGTTAATGTTAATTTTATTCCTCTGTCTCAGCCGTCTGTCTCTGTTTCTCCTATTCATGTGATGTCTAGAATGGAAAGTCTGGCTCCACTTGAGTTGTGTGTCTGGCTTTGAATCACTGTTGGGGGAAGGGGATGTGCAGGATCAAATAACACAGATGTGGAGGTTGGTAGTCCCTCTCAGAGTATAGCAAGACTTCAGTACTTTATGCTTAGTGATGTAGTTGCCCAATTAATTCATCTTGCCTACTGCCCGGAAAAACCAATGCACTGAGAACAGCAGGTTTTTGCAGCAGAGAGTTGAAAAATCGCAGGGCCAGGCAAACAGAACAAGAGAGGTTATTATTATTCAAATTGGTCTATGAAATTTTGGAGACTGGGTTTTGTTTTGTTTTAGGATAATTTGGCAAGCAGTGGGCTAGGGAATAGGAAATGCTGATTGGTTGGATCAGGGATGAAATCATAGGGTGTTAAAGCTGTCTTCTTGCACTGTCAGTCCCTGGGTGGGATTACAAGACCAGTTGAGCCATTTTATGGGTCTGGGTGGCGCCAGCTTGTCCATTAGAATGCAGGGTCCGAAAAATACCTCAAACACCAATTTTAGTTTTACAATAGTGATGTTATCTGTAGGAGCAACTGGGGAGTAGGAGCAACTGGGGAGGTTATGAATCTTGTGACCTCTGGCTACATGACTCCTGAGCCATAATTTCTAGTCTCATGGCTAATTTGTTAGTTTTACAAAGGTGGTTTCAAAGGAGGCTGTAGTTTTGGGAAGGGCTGTTATCATCCTTCCTTTAAACTATAAACTAAATTCCTTCCAAAGTTAGCTTGGCTACTCCCAGGAATGAACAAGCACAGCTTGGAGGTTAGAAGCAAGATGGAGTCAGCTATGTCAGATTTCTCCTACTGTCATAATTTTGCAAAGCAGTTTCAGTGATTGATTTACTGATTTTACGTAAGTATAAATGAGAGATGGGTATTGAATCAACTAGATGTGTATTTTTAATCTCTAAATTAAAGATTTATTTCTTTAAGTATTAAAAAGGGTGGCTTGGCATTTGAGGGTTATTGAGGGACCCCTGAAGTGACACTGTATCTAGATAGATCTATCTAGATCTAGCTAGGTAGGTGGATGTTATCTAGTTCACCTGGCCGAATGGCCTTTTTTCAAACCTGCTTTTATTCTGTGATGCCGTGGTTAGTAGTAGCAGTGCAGTCCCAGGTACTTAAGCCAGAAACTGTCATCTTTATTTCTTATGCAACCATATCCAGTGAGTTTCCTATTCCTGTACATTTTATCTTACAGACATTGGTCCTTTCAGACCATCTCTTAGTGGTATGCAATAGTACTTAACTTGATTCGGCTTTGAATTTGACTTTTTGAATATTTTTTCTTTGTATTTATAACTTCTTAGAGGCAGATTCTACCGTAATCATAGTGTTACTAGCATTGAGGGCTAATCTTTTTAATATTTTTTGAGGACTGAAGGACCATAGCTGGGGAGGAGTCAGATGAGATGGTCCATGGCTGCTGCTGCTTCTCATATGGCCAACCCCTCATGGCTGCAGAGGCCTAAAGAACTCGTGATGGCCTTCTCTCCTTGGCTTCTTCCAGAAGTTGGAATTCTCCCAGCTCTACCACAAAGCTGTTTGCCGGGCTCCCTTTCTTCCATTCCCTCCCTTTCCTGTATGAACCAGTTGAATTATTTCCACAACCACCTAATGCAATTTAAGTTACTCTTCTGTCACAAAGATGGAATGTTTTTGTTTTCCTGGGTAATTGGCATATTTTAGCATTTTGGCTCTTTAACTCATTTTTTTTCCTGATGTCCAAGAATGGATGGATAATTGACATAGTCAATTATCTATCATCTATCTGCCTTTTTATACTACTAAAATTTCTTATGGTTTTGTTGTTAAAATATCTCTTTAGCTGAAAGTTTCTCTTATGTATCTTATAGGAAAAGCCAAATTTATTTTCATAAATTGATTTTGAGCAGTGGCAGTTGCTTTCTTAATAACTTGCCCTCTTCTACTCACAGTACTTTTCCATGAGAAATGTATACAAAAGCATCTAGCCTAACACCTAACACTTGATTGTTAGTTGAGGGTATTAGCTCCCTTTTCCTCTTGATTTGTAAAATATTGGTTTTTATTATAAATGTTAAAGTGATACATATTTATCATAGGAAAAGTGGAAAATGCAGGTTAAGTATAATGAAAGTTAGAATCACACAGTTGCTCTACTGTTGACATTATGACTTTTTCCCAACAATATTAGCATCGTATTTTTTATTTTCCTGTTTTCATGTAACATAACCAAAAGTATGTTCTCACATTACTAAATTTTAAAAACATAATTTTATGACCATAACATTTTATTCTCTGAGTATGCCATAATGTATTTATTAAGCCATTCCCCTGTTTACAAATAGCATTCGTTAAGTTGTCAAACTAATCTTTTATTTGTTTATGAGCTTTCTAGAGGTAGAGATTTCTCAGTAACTCAGTAAATAGGAACATTTTCAGGCTTTTAAGACATCAGTCCCCACATATAAAATCATTCTCCCATCTTAGCTGCCATCCCATCCTGTATGTAGATACCCTGTTCATCTCTCTCAAGATCTTTATTCTAGACCTTCTTTGTCTTTCTTGGGCTCCAACACCTCACACCAAGATGTCTTACAAGTGGATGCCCTCCTTACCCTGCTTGAGTTTCTGTACCCTGTGCTTGGTCATCCCCACATGTGGTCATCCTTCTCGCCCTGCTCAGGCTCTGACTCTCCTCACCCCCACAACGTCCTCCTTCACATCCCGCTTGGATTGATACCCCATGCCTGGCTACACACGTGCATCAGGCTCTCTCCACTGTAGCTCTGGCACCGTGCTTTAGGCCCCCATGGTTCTGCCCCATCTAATGGCTTCAGTGCTGAATTGTTCAGGAGAAGCAGAGGGAAAAGAGAAAGGAAACTATAAAGATTAAATGAGGAAACTTGCAAGTGCATATTATCATGCCTGGCATACTTGTAGGTGTTTGGTGGTAGAGTATGTGTGGATATTTAAATTCCGCTCCTGATCCTGGACTTTTGAACCTTGGTGGTAAAAGGAAAAATACAAACATAACCTACTTGACTGCTTCTAATACCAACTCAGCTGCTTATGCTCTATCTGGTATCCCTCCAATCACTCTCTCTAGTGGACAATATATTCTGTCTCTCCAAGTGGTT
This sequence comes from Homo sapiens, assembly GCF_000001405.40. Lineage (NCBI taxonomy): Eukaryota > Metazoa > Chordata > Mammalia > Primates > Hominidae > Homo > Homo sapiens. Next base: position 77,881,046 of record NC_000007.14, read on the forward strand.
GTTTTTTTACCTTTTTTATTGTCCCCATTCCCCAAACTCCCCAGCTTCCAAATCTCATCTAATGACTGCCTCCTGTTTAAACGAGATTAAGGTCATTGACATTAATGTATTTAACTGCCATAACCACTTCAAAATATTTCAGTATTTTTAGCTCTTCTTGCTTTACCTTTTCTTGAAACTCTTTCCTTGTTTAGCCTTAATTAGTATATTGTCCCAGTCGTCTTCCTACCTATCCAATTTTTGTAAGTCTCATTACCTGCTTTTGATTCTTCTCCCCTCCATATATATGTTTATCCTTCTTAATATTTTGTTCTTGGTCTCCTTAATGTATTCAATTTCCTTAGGTGATCAAATTGACCACATAACATCCAAACACCCAGTTTATGCTGCTGAGGTCCAGATTTTGTACCTTCCCAACTCTCCTGATCTCTAGCCATAATTCTTGGCTGTCTTATGGCTCCAATGGCTGGTTTTGTTTTTTTTTTTTACTTCTTTTTTCTTTTTTTGTAGAGATAGGCTTTCGCCATGTTGCCCACGTTGGTCTTGAACTCCTAGACTCAAATAATCTGCTCACCTCGGCCTCCCAAAGTGCTGGGATTATAGATGTGAGCCACTGCACCCAGCCAAATGGCCTTTTTTCAAACCTGCTTTTATTCCAGGATGTCATGGTTAATAGTAGCAGTGCAATCCCAGGTACTTAAGCCAGAAACTGTCATCTTTATTTCTTTCTCATGCATCCATATCCAGTGAGTTTCCTACTCTTGTACATTTTATCTTACAAACATTGGTCCTTTCAGACCATCTTTCAGCGGTATGCAACAGTACTTACTTGATTCTGCTTTGAATTATGACTCTTTGAATATTTTTTTCTTTGGATTTATAACTTCTGAGAGGCAGATTCTACCATAATCACTTCTCTTCATTGAAATAAAAAATACCTTCAAGACTTTTTTCTAAACTTGAGTCAGTGTTTTACTATGTCATTAACTGGCTTTCCTTGGCAATAGGAGCTTGATCAGGATTCGTGATTTGATGATAGGTATGTGGTCTGTAGTATCCTTTTTTGGGGATTCATGCAGAGAATCGTGTCATTTTAGATGATGTTGGGAATATTTTAATTAGCTTTAGCTTTTATTACTCATAATGAATGGAATCTTTGATAACTAGCTAGCTTTTAGTATCTGCAGATGAGAATGTGTTTGGTGTTTTGATCCAAATGGCTAGCTAGATATATAAATTGACCGAATTCTAGAAATCTGTTTTCTTCCTTGAAAAGTCACATTGTCCCCCAACCAAAAGATTTCAAATCTTAAAAAAAAAAAAATTTATTTCTTTTAAAATTTGCCTTCTACTCAAGTAGCTTTACTTTTTTTAGTAACACTTTTTAATTATATTCCGATAATGATTTATAGAAAAATAAATAAATGATTGGTTAAAGCAAAGAGATTTGCAAGTGGTTGCAGAGCAAACTCTTTGCTTATAGTCAATAATATTTATTCCATGGTTTAGACTTCTTTTCCCAATTAGGATATCTTAAATTTGAATACTTACCCATTTAAGGTCTTCCCGAAATAACACTAGAATTGTAGGGCAGTATTTTTAATGATTGGGTTAAAGGTCTTCTATGGTTTGGCCTTTCATTATGTTTTTAGAGTTTTAAAAAAAGATTGATTCAGAAAAGTTAGAGATTTGGTAAAATAATTTGGTAGTTGTTATGCATTTGAAAGAGTTGCTAGCTTTGGACATTTTCTCAGACCACAGCTTTCTGTGTGACATTATCATCATAGTTTATATTGTGTAATTAAATGATTCATCTTCCTCATTTGATCCTCATCATTAAAGTCACCTGAGTATCTGACTTATACAAACTTCTTTAGAGGTGTGTGTGCATGTGTGTGTAATTGTCCATTGCACATGTGTGTAATGGACAACTAGAAACATTGAACAATATGTAGATTAAAATAGAATGTTGTAAAAACAAAAAAAGAATGGGGTAGCACATAAATTGAGTAGTAGGTTAGAAATAAGTCCTATTAGGAGCAATTTCAGGATTCAGAGATATTTCTAGGTGGTTCAAGAGACAAATTTGTTCGAGAAGTAGTAGTTATGAGCAAAATCAGTGAAAACCTATTTGATATCCAAAGGATTGAGAACTTTACTTTTGAATTAGAAGTCTTAAAGAATGTCAAAATAATTAGTTTCCACTATTTCTGGATGAGATTTGTCTGAAGGTTATTCATCATTCTAATGATTTGAAGTGGCCCAGATGTCTCTTATTTTTTGCAATATGAACAGAAGTACTGAGAATAATTGTCAAATGTTCATCATGACCACATAATTTTGGGGATTATAGATATAATTTTCTTTCATTGGTGATTAGTGTTTTATTCTCACATTCACTATTTTGTTCAGTAACTTAACTTTGTTATATCACTTAGCCCTCTCGGTTTTCTCTTTTTTACCAAATTTATAGGTAGATAATTATGGCAATGCAAACCATATATTTTTAGCTTTTATTAGTATATTGTATCTTGGCAAATGTGATCCTGTCAACAAAATGATTTTATTAGCAGCTCCATTTTATCTATAAACTGTAAGCAGTTAACAAAAATATTACACTGTCAATTAATTAGGAAAAAGACTTTTATCTGCACACCCGTTTTGGCTTTCTTCTTTGTACCTTCTCCCCACACCTTTCTAACTACTCTTATTGCTTCTATCTGATGTTATAGCATTGAATCTTTTGTCTCTCTGTAGCCATCCAAATCATTAGTGAGCATAAATATTGTCATAATTAAATATTGTTCAGCTTTAGCAATTTAAAAGTGAAATAATTGAAGCCTAGAGAGATTAAGATTTGCCAAGAAAGAAAAGAACTAATATTTTTACAGTGCACCAACTATATACAAGACTATCTTTTTACATTTCAGTTCTGTGAAATGTGTTTTATTGTCCCCATTATACGGAGGTTGAGAGGTCAAGTACCTTGTCCATGTCCATGAGGCTCTAGTTATGGTGGAGGTAGGATAAAAATCCAGGTATCTTAAACAGTCCAGGGTCTTTTCCATTTGTATCAGCAAATATTAAAAGCTGGGGAAAACAAAGTGTTAAAATCCAGCACTCCAAATATGACAAAGTGTATTTTCTTTTCCTTGTTTTCTCTGAGAATTTGTCTTTTTAAAATTAAAAAAGAAAATTTTCAGTAGCTTTTGGGGCACAAGTGGTTTTTGGTTACATGATGAATTATATAGTGATGAAGTCTGAGATTTCATTGTACCTGTTACCTGAGTAGTGTACCTTGTACCCAGTATGTAGTTTTTTATCCCTCATCTCCCCTTCCCACCCTACCCCTTCTGAGTCTCCATAGTCCATTATATCACTCTCTATGCCTTTGTGTACTACCCATAGCTTAGCTCCCACTTATAAGTGAGAACTTATGGTATTTGATTTTCCATTCCTGAGTTGACAAAGTGTATTTTCTGACTGATAACATTTATTTTTTTAAAAAGACTCAAAAAATTATCTTTGGTTGTACAGCTATTAAATCACTATTAAAATATGGAATGTTGGGCTGGGCGCAGTGGCTTACCCCTGTAATTTCAGCACTCTGGTAGGCCGAGGCAGGTGGATCACTTGAGGTCAGGAGTTCGAGACCAGCCTGACCAATATGGTCAAACCCCGTCTTTACCAAAAATGTTAAAAAATTAGCCGGATGTGGTGGTGGGCACCTGTAGTCCCAGTTACTCGGGAGGCTGAGGCAGGAGAATCGCTTGAACCTGGGAGGCAGAGATTGCAGTGAGCCAAGATCGTGCCACTGCACTCCAGCCTGGGTGACAAAGCGAGACTTCGTCTCAAAATAAATAAATAAATAAATAAATAAAAATATGGGATGTTTGCATTAGGTATAAAAGCAACATAAACTTTGCCTATTAACATCTTATGATTGATGATGCATACACCAAAAAAAGTAATGTTTTTAGAATATCAATTTAGAGATGGAAAGAGTCACCAAGGGCTTGTGCATCTACTTTTTTTAAAATTTTTTTTTGTTTTAAAGAGGTTATCTCGAGATTTTGTTGTTGTTGTTACCTAGGCTGGAGTGCAATGGTGCAATCATAGCTTACCGTAGCCTCGAACTCCTGGGCTCAATAAATCCTTGCCCCTCAGCCTCCCAAGTAGCTAGGACTACAGACACATGCTGCTGTACCTGGCTGATTTTTAATTTTTTTAAATAGAGATGAGGGTCTCACTGTGTTGTCCAGGCCAGTCTTGAACTCCTGGTCTCAAGTGATCCTCCTGCCTTGGCCTTGCCTTGCAAGGTGCTCATATTATAGGCATGAGCCACCAAGCCCAGCCCTATCTCAAGACATTCTGTAATCTCTTGCCTTGAGGGTATTATTGTTATACTTTTTTTTTTGACATGGAGTCTTGCTCTGTCACCCAGGCTAGAGTGCGGTGGTGGGATCTTGGCTCACTGCAACCTCCGCCTCCCAGGTTCAAGTGATTCTCCTGCCTCAGCCTCCTGAGTAGCTGGAACTACAGGCGCCCACCACCACACCCAGCTATTTTTTGTATTCTTAGTAGAGATAGGGTTTCACCATGTTGGCCAGGCTAGTCTGGAGCTCCTGACCTCAGGTGATCTGCCTGCCTCGGCCTCCCAAAGTGCTAGGATTACAGATGTGAGCCACTGTGCCTAGCCTTATTGTTATACTTTTAACAGATACTCTTGCTGACAAAATTAGACAGCATTTATCCTGGCACATGATTGGCCTCTGATGTTTGTTGCATGGGGTTCATCTAGGAATAAATTTGGGCTCTGTGTTTTCTTTTTTGTATGGCATTTAGTGTTTGTGAGAATTAATAGCTTGCTTTTCAGAGTTTCTTAAATGAGATTCAGAGAAAAGAAACTAAACATGGTGGTAGGAAAAATTAGGGCTTTGACATACAGTATTATGATGTATCTGTTCATTAGTTAAGGAAACTAGGTGCTTTAAATATGTTTGCAAATCTGGGTCTCTTTTTGCCTTGCTTATTTTTATTTGAGAATTCTTAATCTTTTATCTAAGCACTCAGTCTAATTAAACTATTGATAACTACCTTTTTGAAGCAAGACACCTTGTCTTTGGCCTCTTGATACCTGAGCCACTGCTGTTCTGAATGTGATAACCTAGGGGTAATTAGATAGCCGAAGAGTAGCTTTTCAAATTGTTTTTCAAAGATACTTCTTTTCTAAAATTCCTAAGTGATACGTTTCTCATTTCACCATCTAATTATCTAGGTTTTAACATTTGTATTTTTGATACCATCATATTCATAAGAAAGTTGTTTCATAGGAGCCAGAGCTGACCTTGGCAGATACCTAGACAAAGGCAGTCTTTTTCTCTACCTACCAATCCTCCCGTTTCTTTACGCTTTTCTTTCCTTCCCAGTTTTCCCTTCCTCCATTTCCCCCTTTCCCTTTTCTTCCTGTTTCCCATTTTGTTTGTCTCAGTGTATAGAAACATATAAAATTAGAGTAATGGTAGGAGGAGGTACATGATTCTCTATAAAGTTCCTATTCAGTGATAGTAACTTTACTAGTTACTATGGAATATATTAGTTTCTAAGATAGCTAGTTCAAATTACTTTGGAATCCAATAGACCTGGGTTCGAATCCTGGTTTATAAAAGTAGTACATCTCCATTGTGGTGAGGGGCAGGGGAGGAAGTGATACAGTGGCTGGGCGCAGTGGCTCACACCCGTAATCCCAGCACTTTGGGAGGCTGAGGTGGGTGGATTGCTTGAGCCCAAGAGTTCAAGGCCACATAGGGAGCAACATAAGGAGCTGTCACCTCTACAAGACATAAAAATTTAGCTGAGCAAGGTGGGGGTGCACCTGTGGTCCCAGGTGCTCAGGAGGCTGAGGTGGGAGGATTGATTGAGCCTGGGAGATCAAGGTTGCAGTGAGCCAAGATCATGCTACTACACTCCAGTCTGGGTGACAGAGTGAGACCCTGTCTTTAAAAAAAAAAAAAAAAGTGATACAGTAACAATGAATATAAGGCAGAAAGGAAAAGTGCTGTTGTCTTTGGTACTTCTCAGAGGTAATCATTATTAATGATTTTCATGTATCCTTCTAAATATCTGGTGTATATATTTACATATATTTAATATAGCATATTAGCTATGTTAATTTCAGTTTTTACAGCATGTATAAAGTGTTCATTTTCCTGTTAGAACAGTCTTCAGTAGGTCAGAAAGCATCTAAAGAATATTCATTTAGTTGAATTTTCATCTGTTTGATATTACTAAATTCCAGTATCTCAATTTCTTTTTTTTTTTCCTTTTGACTCTTACCCTTCTTACTGCTTTCAGGTTGCTGTTCCATAATTATTGTTGTTGTTTTTTTTTAAATCAGTTTTGACCTCTGTAATGGCTCAAACTTTAGATGAGAAAACATACTAGAAGTGGAGATGACAGAAAATGATGTTTGTATCTTAAGACTTCAGTCTTCTCAGGGAAGTAGTAACTGGCTAGACATTCTTCCAGGAATGGTGATGGTCACAGTAATTAGGAATTAAAGCTTGTGGGAAGAAAATCTTTAATTGACCTTGTTGTCATTAAGAAGAAGGAGTTATTCTAAGGCATTGGTATAGGATTGCCAGACATGTTACCAAAGATACAGGATGAGTTTGTAGATGACAAAGTGCTTGGTCATCTGGAACCAGGAATGGAAAAGCTGACTGTAGGTCAGCTCTGGGAATGAGTGCACCAGAGGCTTAAGCTATTCAGGGCGTCTCTGGGAGTAATAACAAGAACCTTGATAAAGTTGCTTACCATAGCCAAGCACCAGAGAAAGGACTTCACATTCTCACAATATACAAAACTATTGGCTACAGAATATAAATCAGGATTTCAGAGTCTCCTCTTACATGATGGAACAATGTTTTTCCCTCCTTGAAACAGATCATTACTTATGAAGAATATGGTTGGATATCTATACCATTACTTGTACGTTAATTACCTTGGTATATCTCTCTCTGTGTATCTATCAACAAAACATTATTTGAGTATATATCCTTTCAAAATGTTAGGTACTTTTTTTTTTGAGACGGAGTTTCACTCTTGTAGCCCAGGCTGGAGTGCAATGGTGCATCTTGGCTTACCGCAACTTCCTCCTCCCGGGTTCAAGTGATTCTCCTGCCTCAGCCTCCCAAGTAGCTGGGATTACAGGCGTGCGCCACCACGCCCAGCTAATTTTTTGTATTTTTAGTAGAGACGGGGTTTCACCATGTTGGCCAGGCTGGTCTGAATGGTCTGACCTCAAGTGATCTACCCACCTCTGCATCCCAAAGTGCTGGGATTACGGGCATGAGCCGCTGCGCCCGGCCTAGAATGTTAGGTACTTTTAAAGAAACCTCTTTTCTGTGAACCTATGGATTATGTTGAATAGGCCCTTTTCTAAACACACAAACACTGGAGGCATTGGGGGAGGGAGGAGAAAAAGAACAGTTAGGAGGTATCAAAAATTTCGAAGTCGTCAAAATATTACATAGTATTTATTTCTCAATTGAAGACATACCATCTTATTAAAATCACTGTACCATTAGACAAATGTTACCACTGATCTTCTTTTAATCTTTTGTATGCCATTTTTAAAAAAGTAGTTATTTTCTTCCTGAGTTTTCTTTCACAGAGAACTATAATTGAACTTGGCCTTGCGATTTAATTTTATGTAGAAGAAATTTGTTAAAAACCACCTGTCAAACTTATGTGACTCAATCAAGTCTGCCAAGTCTCTCTGAGCAACAGACTGAGACCCTGTCTCAACAAATTAAAAAAAAAAATAAGAGGGATACAGTAACAATAATATAAAGCAGAAGGGGAAAGTGCATTATTCGTGTTTAGAGGTAAAATGGAAAATGTGTGTTAATGGAAATATCTGTTAGGGGTAAAATATAAATGTTGGAAATGGTTTGGGTATATTTGTGTGTTAGAGGTAAAATAGTTGGAAAACCTGTCCCGTTATTTTTTAACTTTGGTAGCACAGCTCTGCAAATTATTCTTTATCCATGACCCTAAGTCTTGAGAAGATGGTTATTCTCTTTCCTAGTCCTAAGTGTCACTTCTTTTCTTGCCCTATAATGATTGACAGTAGAATTATGTTTCATTCAGGGAAGAGCTTGACTCCAGCCACAGGGGGTCTGATCTACTATCCTGCCAGCTGGGAATAAAGTGAGACTAAAGGCTGGAAGAGATCTTTAGAATCCCTTCACTCTCACTTCTAGGATCTGGCTACCACTCTGATTTCATGATGCCACTGGTGTACTACACACATATCCCAAGAAACAAACAATTTCAGAGATAATTCAGTCTGAATTCATATGTAAGGGTAATTTGTTAAAGGCATACACGTTATTAAGCAAAACCCTGAACATCTCCTTCTGAGACACCTGCATTTAGGTTAACCAGCGTCCTCACAAAAAAACTACCTCTCCAAAAAAGTAGTCTGTTTGCTTAAGTAACTAAAATGTTCATTCTGGTAGTATTTTCTTTTTTTTTTTTTTTCCTTTTTTTTTTTTTTTGAGACGGAGTCTTGCTCTGTCACTAGGCTGGAGTGCAGTGGTGTGATCTCGGCTCACTGCAACCTCCACCTTCTAGGTTCAAGCAATTCCCCTGCCTCAGCCTCCTGAGTAGTGGGGACTACAGGTCTGCACGACTACGCCTGGCTAATTTTTTTTGTGTGTGTGTGTTTTAGTAGAGACAGGGTTTCACTGTGTTGGCCAGGATGGTCTCCATCTCCTGACTTCATGATCCGCCTGCCTCGGCCTCCCAAAGTGCTGGGATTACAGGCGTGAGCCACCATGCCTGGCCTATCTGGTAGTATTTCCAAAACAGAAGAAGTCTGCTGCAAAGGAGAACTGATTCCTGCACTTACAGACATTTAATTGCTGTAATTGAGAATGAAATTTATCTAGTTTAAAAAAATTAAGACGCGCCCCCCCCCACCACCATGAGACATTCTATTAACAGTAAAAGTTGCCCTTCCTCTCACCTATCAAATCTTTGAATAAATGTGTCTTTCCAGTAAAACAAATCATTTTATCCTGTGGCTTTTTTAATAGGAATGTCTATCCACCCACCTTTAGGATTGCATTCTGCTATTTACAGTGAAATATGTCAGCTTTCAAGAAGCATTTCCACTTTTACCTACTGCTTCACTGTGGAGTTTCTTAGGCTTTCTGTACCTTTCTAACCTCGGGCCTATTAAGTACCATGCTGGAGTTGCACTGAACCTAGTTATGCCAAGGATTGACATCCATTTCTGATTTGGTCTATCGAATAGGATTATTTTATTTTTCCTGATTTTAGGATTATAGGACATGTATCTACACATTCACTTTCTTGAGTCGCCTAGAAATAAAAATAGTTACTTTGTAGACAAGTTAGGCACCCTTTTGTGTATGAAAACAAAATACTGCCAAAATAGTTATTAAAACATATTGGTGCCTATTCTTTATTAGTTTTAATTATTATTTTACTAAAAAGTATGTGGTGCATTGAAATAGTTACACTTTTTTTTTTTTTTTTTTTTTTTTGAGATGGAGTCTTGCTCTGTCGCCCAGGCTGGAGTGCAGTGGCGCAATCTCGGCTCACCGCAAGCTCCGCCTCCCGGGTTCACGCCATTCTCCTGCCTCAGCCTCCCAAGTAACTGGGACTACAGATGCCCGCCACCACACCCAGCTAATTTTTTGTATTTTTAGTAGAGACGGGGTTTCACTGTGTTAGCTAGGATGGTCTCGATCTCCTGACCTTGTGATCTGCCTGCCTCGGCCTCCCAAAGTGCTGGGATTACAGGCGTGAGCCACCGCACCCGGCCTTTTTTTTTTTTTTTTTTTTTTGAGACAGCATCTCACTCTGTCACCCAGGCAGAGTACAGTGGCATGATCATGGCCCACTGCAACCTTGACCTCCTGGGCTCCAGTGATCCTCCCACCTCAGCCTCCTGAGTAGCTGGGACTACAAGGGCACACTACCATGCCCAGCTAATTTATTGTGTTTTTTGAAGAGACAGGGTTTTGCCATGTTGTTCAGGCTTGTCTCAAACTCCTGGGCTCAAGCAATTTGCCTGCCTTGGCCTCCCAAAGTGCTAGGATTACAGGCATGAGCCACCATACCCAGCCTAAAAAAATAAATTACTGCACCTGGCCTAAAAAATAAATTTTTATTTGCATTTAAGCCCAGTTATTCTGAATTATTCTATTAGAGCAGAATTATTCATGTGGAATCTATGTTCCCATACTTACCTTTTCTGATTTTAAGGAAGATGACTGATTGATTGAATTTATAATTTAAGAGGATGAGGGGCAACTAGTCACCGCAGGTCACCTCTACCATTAGGACTAACCAGTTGGTTGTTGTTTACCTAGAGTTTCTTAATCCTGCTTCATAGAGACTCATGGCAGTTTTAGTTACATATAAGTATGTTGTTTGGTCTAGGTAGCTTGGTCTAGGTGTTACAATATTTTAATTTTGGGGGTATAATATGGTTTTTTTTTGTTGTTGTTGTTTGTTTTTTGTTTGAGGCAGAATACTCTGCTGCCCTGGCTGGAGTGCAGTGGCATGATCATGGCTCACTGCAGCCTCAACCTCCCAGGCTCATGCAATCCTCCCACCTCAGTCCCCTGAGTAGCTAGGACTACAAGCATGTGCCACCACACCTAGCTAATTTTTTAATTTTTTGTAGAGACAGGTCTCACTACATTGCCAAGATTGGTACCAAACTCCTGGGCTCAAGCGATTCTCCCACCTCAACCTCCCAAAGTACTGAGATTGCAGGCAAGAGCCACTCTGCACTCAGCCATAATATGATTTTTAAAATAAAAGAGTCACAGGAAAGTGGTGAAAAAGAGAATAGGATTTACAGGACCAGAAGAATTAATACGAGCAAGATAACGTATAAGAGAGAATAGCCGGGTGCGTTGGCTCACGCCTGTAATCCCAGCACTATGGGAGGCTGAGGTGGGTGGATCACGAGGTCAGGAGATCGAGACCATCCTGGCTAATGCGGTGAAACACCGTCTGTACTAAAAATACAAAAAATTAGCCAGGCGTGTTAACCAGGCGTGGTGGCACGCGCCTGTAGCCCCAGCTGCTCAGGAGGCTGAGGCAGAAGAATCACTTGAACCCAGGAGGCGGAGGTTGCAGTGAGCCGAGATTGCACCACTGTACTCCAGCCTGGGCAACAGAGCGAGACTCTATCTCAAAAAAAAGAATAACAGACATTAAAGGTTCTTATCAAGTCACTTAAGTTATTTTATTCTACCTCCTTTGTGTCTACTTTTAACCCATTTTGGTATTCTCAGTTTCTCAGTTCTTGAAATTGAGATATAAAAAATAATGTGTAGATTAAAGGACTTTAGGGTAAATTATGTTGTGAGTCAGAAAATACTCTTTCCTCCTGTATTTTCTTATAATATCATTGCCTATCTCTGGTCATTTTCTGTCTCTAGTCTCTTAAGTGTAGTTATCTGAAATATTTTTAATTTCTTAGGCTTCTAATTTTAAATTAATGCAAATAATGAAAATTCCTAGTCACAGTTATATGGTGTTGACCCATTTCAGTGTCCTTTTGGATATGGGGAATTAAGTGGAAACTGGAGACAGCAGGAGCTAATAGCAAATAACTTGGGTGGGAACAATAAAGAATGATTTGTTCATCCTGCCCTGGTGAAGGTATAGTTCAGAGAACTTTCCAGCATCTAAGAATAATAAAAATAGAAGCTGTAAGAAATTCTGCTTCATAATTATTTTCCTGTGTCTTCAATCATTTCACAACTTTGTTTTCCAATTTAAACTTTAAGTGGTAATTGCAGTCTGCATGTTTATAAATTTTTAATTGTATAGCATATTAGTACTTGTCTTCTTTAAAAATAATGCCATAAAGAATTTGTCACTTGGAAGTTTTTCCCCAAATATAACAGAGCTGTAGCAATTGTGTTTATTTACAATTAAGGATTCCCTAGGGCAGTGGTTTTCAACATCAGAATCATCAAGAGGGATTTTAAAAAGTTTTTTAATTTTTATTTTAGGTTCAGGGATACATGTCCAGGTTTGTTATATAGGTAAACTCATGACTTGGGGGTTTGGTGTATAGGTTATTTCATCACCTGGGTACTAAGCATAGTACCTGATAGTTTTTTGTTTTTTTTCTGAACCTCTCCCTCCTTTGAACCTCCTCCCTCAAGTAGGCCCTAGTGTCTGTTGTTCTCCTCTCTGTTCAAGAGGGATTTTTAAAACATAGGTTTTGGGGCCTCACTCTTGTATTTCTGATTCTGTAACTCTGGAGTGGGGCCTGAGAGTTTGCATTTCTAACAAATTCCAAGGTGACGCTAGTACTACTGGTCCTGAAATCATACTTTGAGAACCACTGCAATAATATGATACTGATCTGAGAAGTCTGAGATAGGGCTAAATCTAATCTGTGCTGAATGAATACTGAGTTGCTTGTATTTCAAGCAGAGTTATACCTATTTGATGGGTACCAGCAATGACCATTTAATGTAGTGTCTTCTTTTCATAGATTGGAGCATATGATCAACAAATATGGGAAAAATCTGTTGAACAGAGAGAAATCAAGGTAAGGAGTTTATTTCATTTTGTTTATTTTGAAACATAGTTCTATGAATTATTAATTACATTTTCTGTAGTGTTTTTTAATATACTTTTAAGATATAAATTACTATTCTATTGAAGCTTTTAAAGAAAGAAGTAAACTTTATTTACCATAGTCACGTTTACTCCTGATGTTGGTTTTTTCTTTTTATCATCTTTCTGTTCTTTTAAAATTGAATTTCTAATGACTATTTTTTTGTCAGCTTTTTTCCCCTTTCACTTGTCACCTTATACTTCTAGTTTGCTTTTTCTCCCTTTTGATGCTGTCATTGCTCTGTACAGTTTATTAAACTGGTAAGTGTTTCAGGATTTTTCCCGCCTGAGTGATCCTGTGCAAATGCTGGTCTGCTTAATTGAGATCTGCTTTTTGGTGCTACTAACAGATTGACTTGGACTCGAAAAGAGTCACTGAAAAGTTGGTCATTTTAAAAAAGAAGTTAGGACAGTAAAGCACTAATTAAAATGTTTTTGTAGTAGGCATTTTCTTCCTGAACATGTAATCATATCTCTTATGCTGATAAAATATTCTCATAGATTACCTTGCTAGCATGAAAACTGTTTTTCAACTGAATTTATTGTTTCCCAGCACTCTTTATTGGTAATAAGATTTATATTTTTTCATTTGCATAGATACTAATCAGTGTGTTTTTGCACGAGCTAAATTTAATCTGGGCACAGACAGTATTACCTTAGTTACTTGACATTTTCTATTTTGTATAGAAAAGTTTTCATTAGATTGAAAACCAGTGTCTATAGTTACTAAAGATCAGTCCAAAAATTTGTTAATGTTTAGACTACTTAGTCACTTGTAATAAAGAGCAAGATTCTTTCCCATTTGGCAATTATAATCTCTAAACTTTTGAGGAAGGATTAATACATTTAACAAAGTTGTGGTATGCGTTAAATATAGGATTAAGTCCTGGGACAGAAAGATAAAATAGATTATAGTTTTGTAGGGGAGATGCATAATTACACATGAGATAAATTCCTTTAAGAGAGGCATGTCTAAAACTCTATAGAAGAGCGAGAGGGGAGACAAGCCTGGGGAGGTTGGGAAAGATTTCATAGAGGAAGTGGTTCATTAACTCAAGGAAGACATTTCAGACAGATGAAGAGCAGATGGAAATATATGTAAAGGATGGAAGAAACATGATTGAGGCAGGACTCCCCAAGGAGTTTGATTTGATAATAGGTTGGATAGAGGAAGGAGACTAGTGTCATTAGGAGTAAAACTAGAAAGGAAAATGGAAGTCAGATTATGAAGGGGCTTGAATGCCTTGCCAAAGAATTTAGACATAATCTGGAAAACAACAGGGGAGATATTGGAAGATTTTAAGCAGAAGATTATATTTTGACAAATGTACACAGGCAGCACTAAGGATGATAGGAAATACTGGAAGAAGAGCACATTTAGAATTCTGTTATAGAAATATCTATTTGGTACTTGGGAGGGACATTTGAGAGTTCTCAGTTTATAAAGTGTGAATATGTATAGGTATGTGTTTGTATGTGATACATACATACATATATAAAACATTATATAGATATAGCTATAGGAATGAGTAGATTTCTGTTGAATGATGAAATAAAAGGACTGAGAACAGAGCATTGGGAAATAACTAACATTTAATGGGTAGGTAAATAAAGAGATGCAAGTAAAGAAGGAAAGAGAAGTAGGAGATCCATGAGAAAATAGTATGGAGAGAGTATGAAGAAGAGTTGGGATAGTCAAGCAAATAAAGAGCAGCAGAGAGGTCTAGTAAGATGCCATAATACCTTTTATCCTCTTTGACAGTTAGAAAGCCTTTAACTCATTAGACAGGAGATATAAGTACCTTGAGAGGTTATGTTATCAGGTTGACACATTTGGAATTTAAAAGCCTCAGAAAAAATATATATAAATAATTTTTTTAGTTTTTGGAAGCTATTCACAAATTACTATTTGTATTCACAAATTACTACATTACTTATGTAACCTCCTCTTTTTTAAAAGAACTCTTTTAAATCCTAAATGTATGTTAGGGTGAGGAAGGATTATATTAGTTACTACTTGGTGCTACTAACAGGATGATCTTAGGGAAAGTTAGGACCTACAACTTCTTTCTGAAGTGTGTCTCCCTTTAAAGATGATACCTTGTAATAGTAATTGAAGAATTAAAAACATAAAAACTTGCTCTTTTGGTAGGTCTGAAGGTAGCAAGTTATCTCGATCGTTCACAGACAGTTATAGATCAGATGAAGTCCTTGTTTCACTCTTTCCTTCTTTCCCACTATTGCACTTGACTAGTCTTTAAAAATAAAGATAAAAATGAGACAAAATTAAAGAAAAGTTGTTCTCATTATTTTTTTTTCCTTTTGGGGTGATAAAAAAATTTCTAAAACTAGATAGTGGTAATGATTGCACAATATTGTGGATGTACTTAGAACCACTGAATTATAGATTTTTATTGTTTCCTTTTTGTTTGTACAAAGTCATGGGGTACATGTGCAATTTTGTTGCATGCATAGCTTGCGTAGCAGTCAAGTCAGAGCTTTTGGGGTATCCATCACATGAATAATGTACACACTACCCATTAATCAATTTATCTGGCTCACACCTGAAATCCCAACACTTTAGGAGGCCCAGGTGGGAGGATTGCTTTAGTCCAGGAGTTAAGACCAGCTTGGGCAACAAAGTGAGACACTATCTCTAAAAAAAAAATTATTTTTCTTAATTAGCTGGGACATACCTGCAGTCCCACCTACTTGAGAGGCTGAACCAGGAGGATCACTTGAGCCCAGGAGTTCGAGGCTGTAGTGAGCCATGATCACACCACTGCACTCCAGCCTGGGCAACAGAGTGAGACTTTGTCTCTAAAAAATACATACATACATAAATAATAAACTTATCATCCTCCCTACTCTTGTTATTTTTAATTAAAAGGATCAATTTGTTAACAAGCCTAAAAGCACATTTCATTTTTACTAAACATTCTAGTGGAGGCAAATTATGGTGTAAAATAATTCCGTATTTATTCTAAGGAAGTTAGAGAGGTACGTAACTGTGGTGTATTAATGTTAATATTTGATTAAGAAAAAAACACTCTACCTGTTGTTTAGAGAACAGTGTACCAAATGTATTGAGTTTGTCCAATGTAATTGATTCTTTCATTAGTTGTCAAAGCAGTGAGCAGCTACTAGAGAAATCAAAGACATGAAAATATATTTTTTGGAAATGTTTATTTTTCAATTAAAGACCCAGAGTTGATATTGCTAAAGCGTAAAACCTTTTGTAAGTTGCGAATTATTTTTCCATAACCATTTTAGAAATTATAACTAAAAACTTTGATTTTTTCTGATTACCGTGACCAAAATTTAAAAGTAAATTTGGAAGTTTTTCCTGTTTTACTGTCTCCTAGACTTTTAAAGCTTCTTAAAAGACTAGACTTAAAAAGCTTATAAAGTCATTACAGAGAAAAAGGGGGTGGGGGAACTAAACAAGATTTCTAGAAAATGAAACTGTTTATGTACTTTGATGGAGTCTAGATATTAACAATACACAGAAGTCTAGATAACTGAACAGAAGCACTTTCTAAACTTAAACAGCCCATTTCATTTTTTTTTTTTTTTTTTGGCCCAACATTATCTGTGTACTTAGAGAGTTTTTTTTAAATAAAAAACTTTATACTACTGTGTTTGAGTCATTTCACTATAGGAACATACTATAAGAGTTTAAATTATATTTAATAAATAAAATATTTTTATTATTGGATATTAATTGCATTTGTGGTGCTTGTTTCTACTTTCTAGTTTGTGCATAAATTAGTAGTTTTAAAAATCTCATTTTTTAAAGAAAATGTTACTTTTCATTTTTTATTTGTTCATTTAAACTGTTTAACAGTTCTTGATAGTACTGAAAGCTATGCTACTTTGTGTGAATGTGGTTTACCCCAAGCCAATTGAAAATTTTCCAGTGTAAAATAGCTACTTAATTAAAATCAGATGTTATGAATGTTATATCTTGATGCTTTCTTTTATTTTTGTGAATAAAATAATTATAGATTTGATCGCAACTCACTGCATCCTCTGCCTCCCAGGTTCAAGCGATTCTCCTGCCTCAGCCTCCCAAGTAGCTGGTATTACAGGCGCCCGCTACCACGCCTGACTAATTTTTGTATTTTTAATAGAGATGGAGTTTCACCATGTTGGCTAGGCTGGTCTTGAACTCCTGACCTCAGGTGATCCTGCCCACCTCAGCCTCTCAAAGTGCTGAGATTACAGGCGTGAACCACCTTACCTGGCCTTCTGTTTTTTTTTTTTTTCTTTTTAAACCTTTAAATTATCTTGATAGGCTACCTTAGAGGGAAAATTTTATTGAAACTGGCTATTAGGGTGTGGCTCTACAATATAGCTCAAAATAAATATATTTTAATAGAATATAAAATTGGAAATGAACCCCAAATAAACAAGGTCGATTAGAAGAAGCATGTTGAAAAACAGTAGTTGCACATATCAAGACAACTTACTGTTTCTCCTGTAGGGACTTTTGATTCTTAAAACAATCTTGATAAAAATTTTAGGTATACAGCAATAAATTAGGATTCAGATTAGTCAGAAGACATTGGCAATAAGGTTACTTTCAAGTTGTTAGGGAAGCAATTTATAAAAAACAAGTAAATTAAAATGTGTTACTGTTTTCAAATATTTTTACAGTAATAAAGGTAAAATCTTACTGTAATAAACAATACTAAATCCAAATAGTGCTTTATTAATGAAGTTTTGTTTAAATATATGTATTATTACAGTTGCTTCTCCAATTTGCAAAATCTTGGGAATGATTTCTAATCCATCAGCCGCTTTATAGTGACATTAAAATCAGAAATAATGTACAGATACAGCCCATACTCATTATTTGGGGTAGCTATGTTCTATAAAGTCACCCATGAACACTGAATTAGTGCATACTGAACCATTGCTGCCTGGGGAAGTACCTTGTTTTATGTGTGTTTCTGTTTAAAGACACCTTATTTAATATATATTTTTGATTCATTAACAATTCATGGCCAACAGCACTGTAAATCATATCTGAACAGAGGTTATCTTTATTTATTTATTTATTTATTTTATTTTATATTGTTTGGGACAGAGTCTTACTTTGTCGCCAGGCTGGAGTGCAATGGTGTGACCTTGGTTTATGGCAACCTCCAACCCCTGGGTTCAAACAGTTCTCCTTGCTTCAGCCTCCCCAAGTTGCTGGGATTACAGGCGAGTGCCACCATGCCCAGCTAATTTTTTGTATTTTTAGTAGAGACGGGGTTTCACCATGTTGGCCAGGCTGTTCTCAAACTCCTGGCCTCAAGTGATCCGCCCACCTTGGCCCCCGCAAAGTGCTGGGATTAAAGGCGTGAGCCACTGTGCCTGGGTGAACAGAGGTTATCTAACACATTTTCTCTGTAAGACACATCACAGCATTCTTGCACTTAGGAACACGAGACACTGTTTTAAGCACTATACTTGAGGGCCATCTTGAACAACAGGATTGCCAACAAAAAGCACAAAAATGTGAAAAACATAACAAATAAAGGACACTGTTTACAGTAATCAGAGCTGAAACAGGAAGGTTAAAGCATCACCTTGTTCGACCTCAGCTGAGAACATGCACGTTGGGTGACTCAATTTTTTTTTTTTCACTCCATGCGTGTCTGCAAATTAGGGCAAAAGCACCGTGAACGTTGATTTGGGGGTACAAAGAAATTTTACCAAGTAGGTGTGTTTGCAATTATGGAATCTGAGAATATGAGGATCGACTATATATAAAATTATCATTGCTATTTCTTTAACTTTTACCCTGTCTCCTTCATTTTTGTTTTTGCATCTCTGGGTGGTTTGCAACTTCAGCCAGAACTATTTGAAGGGATTCAAAGATTAATTGCATATTGGTTTCAGGGCGCATTTTTGGTTTAGACACCTCAGTTAATTCTGACCTCAAATATGGTTCTCTTCTTTGTTTTAGATTCAAACAGAATACTTAATCAGATTTTTACTTTGATGGGGGGTGTCATTGTTACTTGGATTAGGACCAAAGACAGGATTTACTGCACAGTTACTTGCTTAATTGAATGAATAAAAACCAAATCATCTAAACACTTGTGTCATCTCGCAGTAATTGGCTCCTGAAGAGTTTAGCTTAAGCTCTTGCAGTTCTTTTTGTTTGTTTTCTCTTTTTTATTTTTATTTTTGTTAGCTCTTCCAATTCTTAACATTCTAGTCTTAAGTAATAATTTACTTTGTTATAGGTTTTTTTTTCACTAGTTTTGATCTACACCCCCCACTCCACTCTGTATACTGATAGCAGAAACTTAATTTTACTCAGTGTTCAATAATTTCAAGTTTAAATGAATTCAGTTTATGACAACTGCCTCTCCCTCCTCCCCTTCCTGGTTATGGTGTCTAAGTTTTGAGGTGATGAGGTGGCATTTATGGTCTGATGAGGGGTTGACATGTGAACATAATGGCAACCATCATCCTTGAGTAGTGCATTGTCCTCCCTGGGTCTCAGCTGATTGGCGTCTGCTGAGAAGTCTGCATCCTTTCTGGTCCTCAGCTGTGTGATTTACTGCTTTCTGAAATAATGCCTCCAGCACCACACCTTGAGGTTCCTTCAGGGCTGCTGCTCCCCTAGCTAGCCTCAACGCTCTCCAAATGCCAATATGGGGCCAATATAGTTCCCTCTACACCTAAAGCTGTACACCTAAATTTGCTTGGTAGTAATAGTATTTGTAGTAGAATTTTACTGTTGGTAATAAACCGGCCTGGCATGTTACACACATCTCTAAATATATCTTTTTGAACAATAATAAAATTTATTACAATACTGTAATTGTGTTCTGTTTGTAACAAATGCATAATGTGTTACATTTTGTTGGTACTATTAACAATTTTATTTTAAATTGAAAGCTTTAGAAATTGATTTTCTCCTGTTCTAGATTTAAGTATATATACAATTCCAATGCTTCTTTTGATATATTATAGGGGCTAAGGAATAAACCAAAGAAAACAGCACATGTGAAACCAGACCTCATAGATGTTGATCTTGTAAGAGGTGAGTCTGATAAATAAATGCTTAATACAAGTAGACATTGTTCTGGAAGAAACAGAATTCAAAATAGGTTTAAATATTGTATTAGGCTGTTTTGCATTGCTATAAAGAAATACTTGAGATTGGGTAATTTATAAGAAAAGAGGCTTAATTGGTTCATGGTTCTGCAGGCTGTACAGAAATCACAGCACCAGCACCTGCTTCTGGGGTAGGAAGCTTTACCCATGGCAGAAGGCAAGCGGGACCAGGCACATCACATGGCCAGAGCAGGAGCCAGAGAGTGGTAGTGGGGAGGTGCCACACACTTTTAAATCACCAGATCTCCTGAGAACTCACTCACTATCTCAAGGACAGCCTCAAGCCATGAGGGCTTCACCCTTATGGCCCGTATACCTCCCATGAGGCCCTGCCTCCAGCATTGGAGATTACAATTCAATATCAGATTTGAATGGGGACTGATATTCCAAACTATATCAGATATCTATCTGTCTGTCTATCTTTTTAGAAATAAAAACATTGTGAACCTTGATGAAGACAAGAATAGTATTAAAAAGAGAGAATGGGACCAGGTACAATGGCTCACACCTATAATCCCAGCACTTTGGGAAGCTGAAGGCAGAAGGATCTCTTGAACCCAGGAGTTTGACACCACCCTGGGCAGCAGAGTGAGATCCTATCTCAACAAACAAACAAACAAACAAACAAAACCAAAAAACAATTAAAGTGGTGATTTGTAATTCCTAACTAGAACTGACATTTGAATATTGTTCTATATTTATAAAATATGTGGGAGAAATTCTGTTATTTCAAAAAATGTTTTTTTCAAAATATTTAAAGTATCTATAAATTGGACATTTCTCACTCATAGTATAATACAGAATAAAATTATGTGGTGATGTTTTTCAAACATTGAAATTTTTTTCTTTAAAGAAATTAAAGAATAATATATAAATATACTCTGTTGTCCTATTTTACTTTTTTCAGGGTCTGCATTTGCAAAGGCAAAGCCTGAAAGTCCTTGGACTTCTCTGACCAGAAAGGGAATTGTTCGAGTTGTATTTTTCCCCTTTTTCTTCCGGTGGTGGTTACAAGTAACATCAAAGGTCATCTTTTTCTGGCTTCTTGTCCTTTATCTTCTTCAAGGTATAATTAAGTGATTTTTGCTTTTACTTTTCAGAATGTTACATTGTTAGGTTTAATAAGTCTTTGTTTTAAACATATGCTAACTACTACTGAGTATGATGTATAAGTATGTTAATAAAGGCACATAATTGATTTGGTATTAAAAATATTTGAGAAAACAAAGCAGTTATTTTTCAGTATAATTTTATGAATATTTGAATCTATAGATGGCTAAAGAAAAATAGAAATCGAGAAGATTTTTTAAAATTAGAAAAAAAACCTCATCAAAATGCATCTTCCACACATACATACATACCAGTCTTTTAAAAATACAACCTATACAAGTTTATTATTCCTGCCATAGGTATAGTTTCTTTTTTCTGTGCCTTTTACCACCGTGATGTGAGCTGTCCTTATACTTTATCAAAATTCTGTATACCGTGCACTCTGCTAGGTGCTTTCTAGATTCTCATTTCATTCTCACATCAACCTGATGAAGTACAGGGACTGTTACTATGCTTCGCTTATAGACGTGGGACCTGAAAGACCTGAGTGCCCAACGCCACATAGTCATCAAGTATGGTAGAGCCCAGATTCAATTCTAAGCATTCTGATCCCAGAACCACACACTTAACCGCTCTTATGGTGCCTCCTAAAACAACATTCTAGTGCATAGTCTTAGCAGCAGTATATAACACAACATGTATAACATTGTAGAGCATTTAGAAACTAAAGAAGAAACTATTCATATTCCATCACGTGAACAAAGCCGTTATTTTCATTTGGTTCATGTCCTTTCAGTCTTTTTAATATGTGATTAAAAAAAAAAACCATGATTACAATCCTGAATGATTATTTAAATTTGTTTTATCAACAGATTCTAAGAGATACTTTTTAAATAAATGAAAATATAATAAAAACTGCAGACTGTTATTTAGATAAAGTTGTTTCTTCTAAGCCAGGTTACATCTTATATACATAAAAGGGTGTGGACTATGATAATTTTGTGGTTTGTTGTTATTAGAATGTGTGTATGTGTTTTCTGATTAAAGATATAATAATATTTTCATGGCAGGAAATTTGGAAAATGTAGAAAAAGCTAAAGAAAAAAAGAACTACCCATCATCTTGCCTTTAAATTTATAATACTTTTTAAATAGTTGAGATTATTTTATATGAACAGCTACATTTTTTTTTACCTAATGTCATAATATCAAAGTCTTTGTAAATATAACTTCTAAGTTACTAGAAAATATCTTGTCCTACTTCAATATTGGGCAGTTAAGCTGATTGCTATTTTTTGCTATTATAATTACTGCTGAAGTGATCATATTTGCTTATCAGTATTTTCTAGTTATAGTGATCATAATTTTTATCATTTTCTTGTTTTCTTCTCAAAAGGACTTAAGAGAGCTTAATTTAAGTATAGTTATCTTCAAAGGTTTTCTGGCTTACCTAGATGAGAAAACTTTATTTGAATGTGGTCAGAAATTGCAATAGTTTATTAGAGTAATTCAGTACCATTGATTGTACATCACAGTGCATTGTGCTTTTTAAGATATTGCTGCTTTCTAGTATTCCACGACAAACAAGTTTCCAATGTAACTAAAAGTTCACTGACATTGTATAATTATATTGTGTCTGAAATTTACTTACTGGTTCCTCTAAGTTAAATAGGGAACACGGGTTAGATTGGGCATTAAATGAGATATTTTTAAGTTCAGAATCCAAGTTTAATCATAAGGCCCTTATGATGAACACTAAACATTCTCCTAGTAAAGCTTAGTTAGAGAAATGACTTAACCTTCTTAAAGTCACACAGCTAGTGCCAAAGTCATGATGTGACTCTGATGACCCTCGGCAGGCTGCCATTACCTTTGAAAACCACTGTATGTCTGTCTCCATTGCAGCACCCTGTGGAAAAGCAGGGTGCTGCAGTGCTCTGAGTTATGTCCTCATTCTTGTTCGCACTTCTTGAAAGGCAGAAAGAATCAAATGCAGTCAGATTTGGTTTTATATAACTATGTATAGTTTTTTTTATTTCAATTACATGCTTTTTAAGTATCTCAGCTATGTATTCTCAGCTCTATCCCCATTTCTGCATGTCTTGGTTGCCTAGTTTCTTGCCAAGATTACTGCCAGGAAACCTCATATCATCTTCTACTTTCTGTCCATTTACCTATTAAATGACAAATTCAAACCAGCTGCTTAAGATCTAAATTTCTTCACTAGTTATCATTGCTTTCAAGATGCAATCTGAGTTTTCAAATCCCTCCTTGAATTTCTATCCCACCTTAACCAGGCTAAACTAGCTCTTTGCTGTTTCTTAAACATTCCATGCTTTTTTGCCTATGTGTCTTTGGACATGCAACTCCCTTTGCGTGGGGTAGCCCTTTTCCCTTTTGTTTAGTCAATCCTCTATGTTCTCTCAAATTTAGATTAGACATCAGACATCACTTTCTTGAAGAATCCTTTCGTAACTCCCCAATGTAGTTACATATCTTTCTTATGTATATTATAGCAGTTAATCATAAGTGTTATATTAGTCACCTTGGGCTACCATAACAAAATACCACAGATTGGGTGGCTTATACAACAAAATTTATTTTTTCACCATTCTGAGGGGTGGAAGTGCAAGAGTGAGGCAATGTCAGAGTTGGTGTCTGATGAGGCTTCTCTGACTTGTAGATGTCCACCTTCTTGCTGTGTCTTCACAGGGCCTTTCTTGTGTGTGTGAGTGGAGAGAGAGAGTACTCTGGTATCTCTGCCTCTTCATATAAAGACAAGAGTCGTATCAGTTTAAGGCCTTACACTTACGAATCTGTTTAACCTTTACTACCTCCTTATAGGCCCTGTCTCCAAACGTAGTCACATTGTGGGTTAGGGCTTCATTCAGCATATGCATTTGTGTGGGGAGGATGAAAGGAGCACAGTTTAGTTCATAACAGGTATTTTCATTGTTTCTTTATATGTCTCTTCTTTCCTGTAAACCAAGCTTGTCCAACCCATGGCCCATAGGCCACATGCAGCCCAGGATGGCTTTGAATGTGGCCCAACCCAGGTTCATAAACTTTCTTAAAACCTTATGAGATTTTTTTTAATTTTTTTAAAGCTTATCAGCTATCGTTAGTGTTAGTGTATTTTATGTGTGGCCCCAGACATTTCTTCTTGCAGTGAGGCCCAGGGAAGCCAAAAGATTGGATACCCCTGGTCTAAACCAAGGGATAGGGAGCGGAGACTGTGTCTTGTCTTTTTTTCTGCATTGCCTAATTGCCACTGAATCTTAAAGATTAACAGTCCTAAAAATGGAAGATAATATTCCATTCTATTCTATTCTGTTTTTTAGACATAGGGTTTTGCTTTGTTGCTCAGGCTGGAGTGCAGTGGTGCGATCATAGTTCACTGCAGCCTTGAACTCCCGGGCACAAACAATCCTCCAGCCTCAGCCTCCCAACTAGCTAGGACTATAGGAGCACGCCACCATGCCCAGCTAATTATTTTTATTTTTATTTTTGTAGAGATGGGGTCTTAATATGTTGCCCAGGCTGGTCTTGAACTCTTGACCTCAAGTAATCCTCCCACTTCACCCTCTTAAAGTGCTGGGATTACAGTTGTCAGCCACCACAGTTTCTCTCTGTTGCTCAGGCTGGAGTGCGGTGGTGCAGTCATGGCTCGCTGCAGCCTCAACCTCCAAGGCTCAATCATTCCTCCTACCTCTACCTCCATAGCTGGAACTACAGGCATGCACTGCCATTCCCAGCTAATTTTTGAAATTTTTTTGTAGAGGCAGGGTTTCGCCTTGTTGCCCAGGCTGGTGTCAAACTCCTGGGCTAAAGCAGTCCACCCGCCTCAGCCTGTCAGAGTGCTGGGATTACAGGTGTGAGCCATTGCATCCAGCCTACTCCTAGAGTTCCCCTTGCCCAGTACGTGAAGTCCTGCCTTTGAAATATTTGTGCCCAACAACATTCTGTCTTAGTTGATCTCCAGCAGAAATCTCTAGCAGCACTGTCTAGTTCGTAGGACTTCATTAAATGCTCAAAAAGTATAACTCAGCATTATATAAAATAAGTGAATGTTTTCTCTATATATCTTCTTTTTTTTTGAGACGGAGTCTCGCTCTGTTGCCCAGGCTGGAGTGCATGATCTCAGCATGATCTCGGTTCACTGCAACCTCCACCTCCCAGGTTCAAGCAGTTCTTCTGCCTCAGCCTCCCGAGTAGCTGGGACTACAGGCGTGTGCCACTAAGCCCAGCTAATTTTTGTATTTTTAGCAGAGATGGGGTTTCTCCATATTGGCCAGGCTGGTCTCAAACTCCTGACCTCGTGTTCTGCCGGCCTCAGCCTTCCAAAGTGCTGAGATTACAGGCAGGAGCTACCACGCCCGGCTCTCCATATATCTTCTAAACCTTAACTTGAGAGGAAAACAAAAAGGGGAAGTGATACCAGAGTTACGGAGGAAAAGCTACTGTCTCAGGAACTGAGACCATGGGAGGGACATGATCACTTTTAGAAAGATACAGTCAGAAGAAAGAAGGAAAAAGAGAGGAAGAAAGTGGCTCCTCCTCCTTTTTCTAATGCCTTGTCGTCAGAATTTCACAGTATGTAATAACTTCCTGTTAAGATATACAGAAAATATAATTTGTATGCTCCCAGCCCTAGGATTACAGAGAATGGTGATCACAGGGCTGAAAGAGTTCAGATAAATAACCAGCAACAGGTTATATAAAACCTAAAGTTTTAAAAGATGTTCTCCTTTGTGTCTGAAACTCTGAACTTCTTAAGTAAGCATTTGTACTTGCCCCTTTTAAAATTAGAGTTAATGGCACGGTGAAACCCCATCTCTACTAAAAATACAAAAAATTAGCCAAGCGTGGTGGCGGGCACCTGTAGTCCCAGCCACTCGGGAGCCTGAGGCAGGAGAATGGCGTGAACCTGGGAGGCGGAGCTTGCAGTGAGCCGAGATCGCACCACTGCACTCCAGCCTGGGCAGCAGAGCGAGACTCCGTCTCAAGAAAAATTAAGAGTTAATGGTAGCTAAAAAAAAAAAAAAAAAAGCTACTATTCACCAATGTTAAGTATACATTTACGGTGTATAAGCAGCTTTTCAAAATGTTTTACATGCACTACCTCACCTAAAACCTATTATAGTGCCTATGTACTGTATGTATGCTGTGTACTATGTAGATACACAGAAGATTAAACCAAGGCTCAAAAACATTAAAGAACTTGATAAAAGTCACATTAGAATTCATATTAAAAACAAAAAAGACTCTCTGCTTTTCAAAATTCCAGACTGTTATGGAATAACTAGAGAATTTGGGTTAAATTCCAGGGTAATTCATAACGATGATTGGCATTTTAAATTTTTTTTTCTTATTACTTACAGTTACATACAGCTGAAATTTGTTTTCATGATACTCTTTAAGTATATTAAAGTGTATTAGCAGATTAAGTGATGTTTTAAGCGTTTGGTATATTGGACCAGGATTCTTTGAGTTGCAGGTGGCAGAAACTAAATGCAAACTAGCTTTTACAAGAAGTTGGTTTTTTTGGTCGTTAATTTTACTGTTTATCATAAAAGCTAAACAAAAAAAACCCAGGAAACTAGATAGAATAGTACAACAGCTGGGGTGGCCATATGTCCCAGTTTGCCTGGGATTGTCCAACCCAAGTTTACTCATGTTGTCCTGGTGCCTTTCACTCTCAAAAGTGTCTTGGTTTAGATGGTAAATTACATGGTCACCCTAAACACCTAAATACCCATCTCTTTAACAATGATTAACGTTTTGGGATGTTTACTTAATCTGTTTTGTTAAGTAAATTATATACATTGAGACATTTTACCCCTGAATACATCAATATATGTCTCTTCAAAATAAGCACATATAACCACATTACAGTGATAACACTTAACAAAATGACCAAAAATCTTATAATATTTACATTTTATTTTAGGTACTCCTTGGCCCTGGATTCAGGCATGGCTGGATTGAGAGGCTCGGATAATATCTTCACTTCTTTTTGCTGTAGACTTTGGTCTTGCTGGTCACATTCTTAGGTTGGCTCTTTCTAGGTGGTGGCTAAGGTGGCCCCTAGCAATTTCATTTTTTCATAGTCTTTAGTGTTTGTGATCTAGGAGAAAGGTCTTGAAGCACCTATATTAGTCCCTGAAAAAGACTGATTGGCCCTGCTTAGGTCACTTGCCCATCTTTTTATAAGCTTTTGTATTCAGACTTACTAAGACTGTGACAAGCCTAGGTTACATGTCTATCCCTGAGGTGGGAGAAATAAGAATGTATGATTGATGGATAAAGGAGGGAGACGAAGGTAAAGAGAGTTTATGTCCAGAAAGTCTAAGGGATGCTGTGTAGGCAAAACAAGATTTCCCTTCATGTAGTAATAGTTAGCATTGATGGATGTTTAGTGGTTTCTCTGGAAACTATGCCTAAGTAAATTTGTTATTAATTCTAAGGAGATAGACCTCTATTAATAAGAAGCTCTTTGTATCTGTATGATACACTTATCATAAGATTTCTTTATTTGTAAAACAAAGAAATAATGTACTTGAGGTTAGGGTAGTTCTTTGATTGTCTGTGATGTTACTTAGAAATGTCCTTTGATTCATATGCATCTAATTTACGTTGCAGCGTTGAGGTGTAGTTTAGAGACTATGTTGGGTGTTGTCTTGTTCCGAGAGTTTATTACTAAATACCATGGTTAGGCTGCGGCAGACAATAAAACAGTCTGAGAGAGCTTGTCTCTATAGTAATATTTTAAACTCATTTAAATTTAGAAAAATATTTTGGCAAAAAATAATGTAAAAACAATTTTAAAAGTTTTGAAGAGGTGACTATCAGATCTATAATTAAGCATATTTTCTTTCCCTTTTTATAGTTGCTGCAATAGTATTATTCTGCTCCACTTCTAGCCCACACAGCATACCTCTGACAGAGGTGATTGGGCCGATATGGCTGATGCTGCTCCTGGGAACTGTGCATTGCCAGATTGTTTCCACAAGAACACCCAAACCTCCTCTAAGTACAGGGGGTAAAAGAAGAAGGTACTGTTTTTTAAAAAGTAATCTTTTTGTACATTTATGTAATTTGAATCTACGATTGTTCTTGACTCCTCTTACCTTCATAGACTAAAATCTTATCTTGTAAGGTTGCTGTTTCAAAAAAACACTGAGCTTCAGAATCAATTACCAGATGATTTAGTTTCCATATTTGCTTCAAGGCCATTTTAAGACCACATGCCTGTGTTTTTGTTTCTTTTTTTTTTTTTTCCTTGAAGCTCATTTATAGTCACCTAATATCAATGTAGACAATATATGTTAGCTAGATTGTTAATAATTCCTACTACTTATAAAAATCTTGTATTTCTAATAGAAGATGCTTTGGCAAAAACAAAAACCTAGAAAAAATTTCAGCTAAACTGTATTTACTAAATGCTATTTGGTTTTGTTTTGTTTTTTTTTTTGTATTTTTTTTGAGACAGGGTCTCACTGTCTCCGTCACCCAGGCTGGAGTCCAGCTCACTGTGGCCTGGACCTCCTGGGCTCAAGTGATCCTCTCACCTCATCCTCCTGAGTAGCTGGGAATACAGGTGTATGCCACCCCACCTGACTAGTTTTTTTATTTTTTATTTTTTGTAGAGATGGGGTCTCACTTTATTGTCCAGGCTAGTCTTGAATTCCTGGGCTCAAGCGATCCTCCCACCTCGGCCTCCCAAAGTGCTGGGATTACAGGCATGAGCCACCACACCTGGCCACTAAATTCTGTTTGAATCTGTTTAATATTACCCTTGATTCAGTAAATATAGCATATCTCACTGGCCAATCAGCACACTGGAGTTTGTTTTAAGGTTCTTTTGGAGCAGGTCCTCTTTTGAATATCATTGCTAAGAGATTGTGACATTTGTAGTTTTTTGGTGCTGAGATTTAAGCCCATCTCATTTTTAAAAGATAATACATTAGATAAATAGCAATGTCCATAAATTAGATTATAATTCTCTCCAATCTAAATTTTCTTCTTTCTTCATCTGCAGATAAGTGGCATTCAAATAGGGAAGAAATGCTTTTGTAAATATCCATCCAATGCAATCCTTTCAATCTTCTGTCCACTGACCTGCCACTATAAGCAAGGACCAATACCTTAACATTTCTAGAAATTGGTCTTGAATATGCATCATGATATTTGGATTAAATTTTATCTAGTAAATCTAAATTTTATTATGTGTTAAGTAAAGTTCCTGTGTTTATGTTTTCCAAAATTTTGATTGTACTACTGAGAAAGTGGTTATTAAAATATTAAAGCTGCCTTCCATTCTTAATCTCTTCTGATGAAGGAAATTAAGAAAAGCAGCCCATTTGGAAGTACATAGGGAAGGAGATGGTTCTAGTACCACAGATAACACACAAGAGGGAGCAGTTCAGAACCACGGTACAAGCACCTCTCACAGCGTTGGCACTGTCTTCAGAGATCTCTGGCATGCTGCTTTCTTTTTATCAGGGTTTGTATTTATTTAAGGTTTTATATGGCATAGAGATGGCACTATCCTTTTTCTGGCACTTCAGTCTCAGGTAATGAATATTAATTACTTTAAATGTGACAGCCTCATTATGGATTTTGTTTTGATAAATTATAATAGTATAGATAATGGAAAAATAGACACTGTAAACTTTATTTGGCTCATGTGTACATACATCTATACGAGAATGAATATATCAAAGCATATTTAGCTAGGATTTCCTTTTTTTTTTGGGACAGAGTCTGGCTCTGTTGCCCAGGCTGGAGTGCAGTGGCACGATCTCGGCTCACTGCATCCTCTACCTTCTGGGTTCAAGTGATTCTCCTGCCTCAGCCACCCGAGTAGCTGGGCTTACAGGCACGTGCCACCACACCTGGCTAATTTTTTGTATTTTTAGTAGAGATGGGGTTTTACCATATTGGCCAGACCTCGGCCTCCTAAAGTGCTGTGATTACAGGTGTGAGCCACCGAACCCGGCCAGGATTTCTTGATTTTGGTTTCTTTTATATTTCTGAAGTACTATTTTACTTGTGTTAATTGGTTAATTTATTTTTATCACCGTTTTGGGTCAAAATTGGCTGTATTAAAATGTCATGTGAATTGTATAATTTTTTTCTTCTAAGTTCTTGCCTCAATTATCCAAAATTATCTGAAATAAAACATATAGGCATTGTTACTTAAGTGAATAAAATGTATATTATAGTATGTGATTCTACTTTTGTACAATGTACCATGAGCATTTGTGTACTATACAAAAATGGCTTTTTGCATACAACTATACAAAAATGGCTTTTTGCATACAACTATACAAAAATGGCTTTTTGCATACAACTATACAAAAATGGCTTTTTGCATACAACTATACAAAAATGGCTTCTTGTATAGTTTGTATAGTTGTACCATCAATGAAGACTTACCAAATAGGAAAATATAATTACAGCAAACATTAAAAAAAACCTAACTCAAGCTTGTATTATTATTATTATTATTTTGAATATTCAGAACACTTAAGGGTTGTATTACTAGTTTATATATACCTATAATAAATGTGAAAAAAGTTAAAAGGCTATGATCAAAATATTGAGTGTAACTGATGAAAGGTACTTAATCAAGAAAAGGGATATTGCAAATAACTATTCTGTCACTTTGTTAACTCCACTAATACCATATTTCATCAATTTGTGATTGTGCTCTTAGGATAAAGTTTATCATGCATTACAGAACTAAGCAGTTATATCCAGGGCATATTTTCGTTGATTGTAATTTTGGGGAAAGTTTTCCAGATTTTAATAGTTTACAGTAACATGGCATTAAGTGAAAATCCTTTCTATTCCAATCACCTATTCTTCCTCCAGGGACAATATGTTTTGTTTTCGTTTTTAAACTTGGGTTGAATTCTGTCTATATCTCTCTCTTCTTTAGTCTTTTAAAAAAAATGTTTTGCACATAACTAACTTGGATGTAATATAGCTCTCCTTTCTAACTTTGGCATGCAACAATTTAGTCACTGCAAAGTCAGTTTCTTGAGCATTTCCAGATAAGCAGTTATAAATAGCGTAATGGATATATTTCACTTTTTGGGAATCATTCTTTTGTTTTGGTTGTCTACAACTGATATTATGTGTAGTATTCAGAGTCCCCCTAAAACTAGCAGGGTTGATACCTTTGGAAGTTTACTATGTTTCTCTTATCAAATGAGATAGAGACTTAAATATTCCTCCTGTTGGGCAGCAGCATGACCATGATCATGACTGCCATTGCAGTGGCTGTCCATTATAGTGGCGAACTCACTCTGGATTTATTCTCTTTAATCATGACAGCTGTACATCTAAATATTTTAAAAGATGTACTGTGTTTATCTCATTTTGGGGCTGGTTTGCTAGCATATGAATGAGACTTTTATTAGGTACAAGTAGATCTTAAGAGAAGTGTTAATTTTAGAAGTCCTAAGCTGAGTTCAGAGATCTTGATGATATTTTCTTCTTTCAGGCTTTGTTAAGACAGGAAGTGCTTAAACTAAGCACTTATCAACTAAGCACTTATCAACTTATCAACTAAGACTTAACAAAATTGTTTCTGGTGATAAATTGAAAAGCTGGATACTTCCGTTAAGTTATCTCTGTTAACATAACTGATAGGAAAATAAATTAATAACCACACAGATACCTAAGCTTTGTGTATGGTATGTTGATGGTTTTCTAGATGTTAGGTTGAGAACCACTATTCTATTTTTGTATATATATATATTTTTAACCTATCTCACTGCACACTGAGAGAACCACCTTTTTTTTTTTTTTTTTTTTTTTTTTTTTTTTTTTTTTTGAGACAGGGTCTCACTGCTGTAGTCCTTGGTGGAGCGCAGTGGCGTGATCATGGCTCCCTGAAGCCTCAACCTCCCAGGCTCAGGTGATTCTCCCACTTCAGACTCTCAAGTAGCTGGGACTATAGGCATTTGCCACCATGCCCAGCTAAGAGAACCACTATTTTAAAACCCTGTATTTATAAGTTGGAAAGGTACTGTTTGTCATCTCTAAGTACATTTTATTCTCAAGATAAAACTATTATTTTTGAAACAAGACATAGTATTTTTCATTTGAAAAATTGGGAATTACTTTAATAAACCTTTATGAACCTGAGAAAACAAAGTCTAAGAAAATGTCAATTTAAAAAGAGATAGAGGCTGGGCACGGTGGCTCATGCCTGTAATCCCAGCACTTTATGAGGCCAAGGCGGGTGGATCACCTGAGGTCAGGAGTTCAAGACCAGTCTGGCCAACATGGTGAAACCCCACCTGTACTAAAAATACAAAAATTAGCTGGGCGTGATAGTGGGTGCCTATAATCCCAGCTATTTGAGAGGCTAGGGCAGGAGAATTGCTTGAACCCAGGCAATGGAGGTTGTAGTGAGTCAAGATTGTGCCACTGCATTCCAGCCTGGGTGACAGAGCGAGACTCTGTCTGAAAAAAAAAAAAAAAAAGATAGAAATCAATTATATTTCCTAAGGATTTAGTACTTTAATTTCAATTAATTTTTAATTAATGTAATTATAGTTTCTATTAAAGAGATTGAATAGGATGAATTACATCTTGATTGTGTGTCGTTCAGCATAGTACTTACTTCAGAAGTCACATGGATCCTAAGTTTTCTTTCATGTCCTCTAAGATTCATTTCACCGTGACAATATCACTGAAAAACAGCAAACAGGAATTACAGCTCTCACTATGTTGCCAAGGCTGGTCTCAAACTCGTGGGCTCAAGCAATTCTCCCACCTTAACCTCCCAAAGTGTTGAGATTACAGGTGTGAGCCACTACACCCAGCTTTATTAAATCTTTAACTTTCACTTTAGTGTTAAAAACAGTAAATACTAAGGCTAAAAGTGACAGGAATCTTAAAGGTAGATCAGTCAGGCATATTAGTTAACATGTGATCTGGTTTTATTCTGATTATCTGTCTCTAAATCACCAGGTCAAATTAAAATACAAAAAAATTAGCCAGGCATAGTGGCACGTGCCTGTAATCCCAGCTACTTGAGAGGCTGAGGCAGGAGAATCACTTGAACCTGGGTGGCAGAGGTTGCAGTGAGCTGAGATGGCACCACTGCACTCCAGCCTGGGCGACAGAGCTGGACTCTGTCTCAAAAAAAAAAAAAAAAGGAAAAAAAAAAGAAATATCTAATAAGTACCATCCTAAGCCAGGCATTGAGTCACATGCTGGGAGTACAATGCTGAAGCTCATAAGCTAGTGGGGGAAAATCACATATAAACCCACTGAAATACAGTGTTAGAAATGCAAACAAAATATCCTAGGAGAACAAAGGAGGGTACAATGATCTCTGCCAAGGAGAGTCAGGAAGGCTTCACATTTCGATTGGGTCTTGAAGTGAATTTAAACAAGGAGTTGGATATGCAATATTTTTACAAGAAGAGTAGTTCTCAGAAATCTGATAAGGTCATAGAAACTAAGCTAAACTCAAGAAGCTAAGAATAGGAGAGTGAGCAGCTAAGGCACAGTGGAGGAGGAGAGCGGCAACCTTATGATGGTTCACTGACTGGCTGAATGACTAAGTCTGGATTGCTGGGCCTTCTTCGAGGTCCTTCCCCCTCAGCTTGGAAAGATATTCCTAGGAAAAGCCCCTAGTTGTCCCTACAAGCTTCTTTAACACCCAGACCAGAATTAAATCTGAGATTTTTTTTCTCAGAGAATCATGGAATGATAGAGTCAGAAAAGATACTGAAAATCACAGTTTTGTTGTCTCTAACATCCCTCAGAATCTTAGGGATTCTCAAAATGGGAAATGAAAGTCTGTAATCAATTTTCAATATTCTGAAAAACCTACCAGAAATTTGACATTTTCTGGTAGTATTAAATCACAGCTTTCCTTGGTTTGTGCTAGAGTTATATCGGATCCACATTAAACTGAGATTCTGACTGAGCTGTCTTCTAAATATAAGCTGTTTCCTCATTATTATTGTTATTATTATTATTAGTTTTTTTGGGGTGGAGGATGGAGTCTCGCTCTGTTGCCAGGCTGGAGTGCAGTGGCACGATCTCGGCTCACTGCAACCTCCGCCTCCCGGGTTCAAGTGATTCTTCTCCCTCAGCCTCCCGAGTAGCTGGGACTACAGGCACGCACCACCATGCCCAGCTCATTTTTGTGTTTTTAGTAGAGGTGGGGTTTCACCGTGTTGGCTGGGATGGTCTTGATCCTTGACTTCGTGATCCTCCTGCTTTGGCCTCCCAAAGTGCTGGGATTACAGGCGTGAGTCACCGCTCCTGGCCATTATTATTTTTTATTTTTTATTGTTTTTGAGATGGCGTCTCACTCTGTTGCCAGGCTGGAGTGCAGTGGTGCAATCTCGGCTCACTGCAACCTCCGCCTCCCGGGTTCAAGTGATTCTTCTGCCTCAGCCTCCCAAGTAGCTGGGACTACAGGTCCCACGCCCAGCTAATTTTTGTATTTTTTAGTAGAGAAGGGGTTTCACCATGTTGGCCAGGATGGTCTCAATCTCTTGACCTCACGATCCGCCCACCTCGTCCTCCCAGAGTGCTAGGATTACAGGCATGAGCCACCATGCCCGGCTTGTTTTCTCATTATTTTTATGCTCAATTTGGTAAAAAGCTTTTCAAAATCTAGGAGTAAGGTAATAAATTACTACAATATTTGCAATTTACAAAAAAACATTTTCACTGATTTCATCTTAATTTATTCTTCATAACACTGCAGTCACTAATAACAGCAGAGCCGGGAGGCCACCACTCTCGGGCCAGAGTTCTTTTCAACCGCTCCAAGCTTCTAGGGTTTTTTCCTTGCCAAGGGTGTTGCTAAGGGTGCACTGTGCATGTCCAGGAAATACTGCTTCTATCATGGAATAAATAAAAGCGTGTATAGAGATATATGTCTCCTGTTTTCAAGAAACTACTAGCCTTGCTGTCCAGGTGCCTGTGATTCATGGTGTTTGGGTTGATCTAAGAAAATAGCATTAACTCTGGTTTTATGAAATGAATATTACATGCATGAATTGTAAATATCAGAAGGTAGATTTGTGTGTCTGTGTGTGTGTGTGTGTGTGTGTGTGTGTGTAATACTAAAAAGTATAATTTCTTCCTATACGGTAATACTTTAATTCCTAATATCAGCTTCTTTCTGCTTTCCATTTTTGCTGAGGAATGGTGATTTCAGTATATATGTTTATTTTAAAATCAAAATGCTTTTTATCTTGCATTCTGTTTATTTTTGTGCATGTTTTGAAGTTGACAAAATAGAATTAACTTCCCTTTTAAAAATGTAAGTAGAATTTTACAATATTTGTTTTTTAAATAAGTCTCTCATCCCCACTGCCTTTACTGTATTTTTATTCCCTAAAACAAGGCAACAGGAGGAATTATTTAAACATCTAAGTCTCAGTAACCTGTGTTCCTTTTAATAAATTAATTTTACCAATACTGTCCCTTTGAGGTAGTTACTTTTGTTTATTAATGCCAACATGAGTCATATAGCAATCAGTGGTAAAACTAAACCTGCCTGGAGCAACCACGTTTTTGACCCTCTTTACCTGCAATAATTGGAATTTAGCTCTCCTACCATTTACACTCCAGCTTGGGAGACAGAGTGAGACCCTGTCTCTCTTAAAAACAAAACAAAACAAAACCACAGTTGTTTCTTGGTATCCATGGGAGATTGGTTCTGGGATACCTCCACCCACCACCACTCCCAACCACCCCCCCACCCAGGATACCAACCTCTGAGGATGCTCAAGTCTCGTGTATAAATGGTATAATATTTGCATATAACACATGCATATCCTCTCATTTACTTTAAATCCTC
The DNA here is from genome assembly GCF_000001405.40 of Homo sapiens. Classification (NCBI taxonomy): domain Eukaryota; kingdom Metazoa; phylum Chordata; class Mammalia; order Primates; family Hominidae; genus Homo; species Homo sapiens. The sequence goes on from NC_000007.14 coordinate 77,916,755, forward strand.
TTTTAATACCTAATAATGGTATAAATGTTATGTAAATCATTATTATACTGTATTGCTTAGGGAATAATGACAAGAAAAATACGTCTGTACATGTTCAGTACAGGTGCAAGCATAGTAAGCCTAACTGCATTTTCAATTTGAGGTTGGTTGAATCCACAAATATGGAACCTGTGGATATGGAGGCCTGGTCGTGACCCACTTATTATCCTGCTTTCACCTTCTAGCTTTAGCATCTATAGATTATTCTTGCCCTAATTATTGTTATGATTCCCAAGTGGTTATTTTTCTAACTCCATCATTCCTTCTACATTTATTAGTCGGCATTCTGCTTTAAGGAGAAGTTTTCCTTTATTTATTTACTCATATATTTCTATTTTATTCAATTTTTTATTGTCATTTATTTTGATGATCAGATCAACCTAATTTTGGCCATGGAACCCCTTTGAGCAATTAACCTTGCTATCCGACATATCTGTATCAGTCTTTGAGCATTTCCTTACTTTCTGGCACAACAAAATGTTTTGGGTTCAACTTGTATTTCCTCTGTCCCAGCCTAGAATCAACTATTGTTTCAAGAAGAGTAGTATATAGAAACCAAAATCTGAGTTCAAGATACACTTGTTGCGATTGGGGTGTTGTTAACCCCAGTCCTTTTCAGTGAGCACAGCTAGAAAATGTGTATTTGGTCCTTTACAATTACATTTATTTCTATAGCTATCCAGGTATATTATACACCATCAATTTGCATTGATAGCTCCAATTCAAATACAATCCTGCGGGGTTCATTCTATCTCTTCTTTTTATATTTATATCTTCTTTCTGTGTCAGTGAGAAAAATCTGATTCCCATTATCCTCAATATGTTTACTTATTCCATTAGTCACCTTTATATAGATCAACTTCTAACCCTGCCAGGCTGCACCTGGTACTTTTCTCTAATATTGTCCCTAAATGGGCTTCCATTATTGACTATCACTGGGCTGCTTTTGCTGTCCCACTCCACTGATATTCTTGCAAGTGCTTTCATTACCAGCTACTGGCAGGCTGCCTTTGTTTGTAAACTCTGAGAGTAATACTTACATTTAGCATTTTTCTTTTGCCACTGCAGTTTAGTTTGCAACTTACCTTCATAGGGTTCATGAGAAGCATCAAATACCTACTACAGCTTAGTAAATTACTGTTCTTGTCTGCTGAGAGTGTAGCATGAACTTTGAGGAGATAGTGGGGAGAGAAACAACCCAGAGAAGATTGGAGGGAAGCAGAGGTAAGGACAGGAGGAAGTGAGAGATAGCTGAAAGGTATCATATGGGATGAATGCTACCAGTACTCTTTCCCCTGCTTTCACGTAGTATTTACCCTGCCCTGTTAAGGAAAGAATACATTCTCCTTAGAAAAATGGTTAAAGCAGCAGTTATTACAGACTCAAAGACCCTTTTACTGGCCTACCCTCACCCCCCTACCACCACCCTTTTTTTTAACCCTATAGAGTCTGGTTCATTCTACACATTCCCAAATTTTCAGCCACTATTTCTACTTTGACTGCTGGCCTCCAGGCTCATGTTTTCAGTTGCCTACTAACATTTCTCAGAGTGTTCCATCTTTCTTCCTAAATAAATTTCTCTTCTTGCATATACTGTCTGATTAATGGTTCTACCAACTTTTCCATCTTCTTTCACCTAATTTATCCCCCTTTTCCTCTCCCTTCTCAGCCCAGTCTGATTTTCATGAACCTTTATAAATACCTTTCCAGTACATTCTCTCTTCCTTATCTTTGAGTTTCTGACATTTTCAGGATATCAAGTAACAACTTCACTTGGTCTTTTTCCACATCTGCAGGTTGCACAGTGTTCAAGGGAGAGGTAAAGGAGACAATTAATAACTAATGTTTCTATCACTTTCTTTCCCAGACAGAGGAAGTAACAAGTTTCCTCTGCGTCTTTTATTTTCTATTTTTTGCCCATTTTCCTCTATCCTATAATTCATGTTCCTCCCTCTCTCCATCCTCTTTATCCTATGGCTTATTGTTCCCTTGGTCTCTCCATGCTTCTGAGGATCATACAGAAAGTAAAGGATCTGGAGATTTGGCTTTTCAGTCTTGCAACTCTGTGGAGATGTGCTCTGAATGACTAAAAAGCACTGGAGCTCTGTAGAGCATATGGGAAATAATGGTCTTTCTGCCCCTTTAGGAACCTTGGAGAAGAAGGACAAGGAAGGAAAGGGGCCTGTTTGCATAAGACAGAAACTTTCTAGGTTGATGAGTGTGTTAAAAAATCCTAACAGGCAGTTTCCCAGAGAGTAGGCAGTTTGAGGTAGTATGGAGAATATAATTAACTTAATAGTCAGAAGGTCTGTACTCTAGTGCGAGCTTTGCTTCTAACTGACTGCATGACCTTAAATAAGTCACTTAGACTGGTTCTTCGTCCTTGTTTCCAAAATGAGCATGTAGAATAGGTGAGTTTTAAGGTCCTGCTCAGTTCTAAAATACAGATTCCAATAGAACTGAGTAACTTAGTGTTAAAACTAATGTGGGGTTTTTTGGTATGTGTGCATTTTTAAAAAACTTTTGGTTTTTGACCTAACTGAAGGCAATATACTATTTTTATTTTTCCTTACTTGCAAAATTGATACCTCTAACAAAAATTCAAGGGAATTTATTTAAATATAATTGCTTTAAAAATGTTTTATGATAGATAATCTGCATTGAGCACATTTTAATTTTGTGTGGGACTAACTTTATATTTCTACTAACCGTTTCCTTTGGATAACTGTTCTTTCATCCACTGTAGTCTTTGAAGAGGACTCCTCAAGTGTTTGCCTGTTAGTAAAAAACATCTTATTTCCCATGTTGTATTTTATGTGTTGAAAAAAAAATTTATTCTTATAAATTCCTCAATTCTAGCCCTTTAGATATTTATAAGCTGCATGATTGCTAATATCTTTTCCAGAGATTATTTCAGTGGGTGAAAGAGGTTACTTCTTTATTTTCTTTGTGTTGTTCTTTTTCACTTCTTCCATTATTTAGAAACTTATTTAAAATTTTCGTTTTTTTATATCTTTTTATGTTGCAAAAGACCTGTGTCTTCACTGTATATTAAAATGAGTTGTATACTAAAAGGAATTTATCAAACTAAGTTAAACCATGAATTGCAACTTAACCTGACAATTAGATCATTTCTTAAATAAAACTTCAAAATATATTTTTAACCATAATAAAATGGGCAAAATTTTGTTTCTAGATTTTGTTCAAAGACCAGATGATTTACTAAGAATTTTTTGATAAGTTAGGGCATGTCTCCTAGAATTGTTATCTGTAAGACCTCAAAACCTTTAAGCTGAAATAGGACATTAATTTACATGTTTATTTTAGCTGTTAGATATATTTCTAAATTATTATACAAATAGGGTGGTCATTAAAATTTAGAGAAATAGCTATCTGATGTAATTATTAACAGATTATAATTTCTATCAGTAACCTATCCAAAATAAGCTAAGTCCAAACATTCTTCTGCATATTTTAATTTTTAGATCAAAGAAAGCAAAGAATTCAATTGATAAATCAACTGAAACTGACAATGGCTATGTATCCCTTGATGGGAAGAAGACTGTTAAAAGCGGTGAAGATGGAATACAAAACCATGAACCTCAGTGTGAAACTATTCGACCAGAAGAGACAGCCTGGAACACAGGAACACTGAGGAATGGTCCTAGCAAAGTACGTGTGATTTTTAAAATAGTTTGCCTATGTGATTTTATATTAGCCAATGTAAAGTGACTTAGATATAGTAGTTGCCCTTGAACTAAGTATTTTCTCCAGAATTAATTCTGTGAGCGTTTATAACACTGATGAAACTGTAAATGAGATAAAGTGTTGTGATTAAACTTGATTGACAATATAATCTGACACCTTCTGAATTGATGGCTTCAGTTTTTCCAAAATGCTTTTTTTGAGACGGGGTCTTACTCTGTTATCCAGGCTGGAGTGAGGTGGTGCGATCTTGGCTCACAGCATCCTCAGCCTCCCAGGCACAAACGATCTTCCCACCTCAGCCTCCTGAGTAGCTAGAACTACAGGCATGCGCCACCATGCCCGGCTAATTTTTTTTTTGTTTTTTGTAGAGACAGGGCTTAGCCATGTTGCCCACGCTGGTCTCGAACTTCTGGACTCAAGCAGTCCACCCACCTCAGCCTTCTAAAGTTCTAGGATTACAGGCATGAGCCACTGTGGCTAGCCCCAAAATGTTAAAAGCACTTTATAATTTACAGTTGTTGTTTGTTAAGCCTTACTTTTTCTTTCCCTATTTCTGTGTGTGTAAGAATTTGCACTAAGTGGAACATGCGAATAATTCAGGAAGCTGAACAGGGAAACCAGTTTTCCATTCATGTTCTCTATAAGAAGATATCTTGTTTTTCCTGCATTCATTACCTGTGGTGTCAACATACCTGTTTTGTTTTCTTTTGTTTTGTTTTTAATCTGGAAAAAATCTTACTGGGGACATATTTGTTAAAGAGAACAATTATTTCTTTACTTTTCCAAAATAGAGAGACTCTGGTTTTATTGTAACAAAGCTTAATGTGATGTCTTCTATTTCTTTGCTTCACTGAATTTTTTTTGGTTGAACAGTTTATTCTTTAGAAGCTGTTACAGTAAAAAAATAGAGAGAGAGTCAAATTAAAAGATGTTACCTCTCTTACATTTGGGAATGTGAGCATGAACATATTGTGTTAAGGAAAATAAAGAAAAGAGGATTCTCTAATTTTGGGTAAAGTATATGTTACTACTTGAACGTTCATGTATTTTCAGTACCAGTAGCCATAGAAGAGCATGGGCCTGCAATGAATGTAGTCCCTTACTCTGATTTTAGATTTTTTTCAGCATTTAGCTCTGATAATGTGAGCCTCTCATCACTGTTATTCAGCAGATAAATTTTCAGTCATATGCTTTCAAACACGTTTTCAGGCTTGTATTAATATTACCTAGTAAAGTTGTATGAGGAACATGAAAATATCAATAAAACGTATGCTCTAGAGTCATTTAATTTCGTAATTTCTAAACTCTGGATATCTTTTACAAATTGATGTGTGTAGAATGTTGTCTGACGTGCGCACATGCAGTTGCTATTTACTTCCTCTTATCCTGTAAACCATTATTAAATTAGTGGTGGGTCTTACAATTGATGGCTTTTTCAGTTTGAAAAAATAGTATAATATGTTCTTTCACCTTCTTTTAAGTGGTCTCTGTTCTGCTTTTCTCCTGTTTATATTCCTTTTTTTTTTTTTTTTTTTTTTTGAGACATGGTCTCACTATGTTGCCCAGGCCAGAGTTCAGTGGTGCGATTATAGCTCACTGCAGCCTAAAACTCCTGTGCTCAAGTGATCCTCTCACCTCACTCTCCTGAATAGCTAGGAGTACAGGTGTGCACTGCTATGCCTGGCTGATTTTTTATTTTTATTTTTTAAGAGACTGAGTTTTGCTATGTTGCCCAGGCTGGTCTCGAACCCCTGGCCTCAAACAGTCTTCCCACTTCAGCCTCCCAAAGTGCTGAGATTACAGGCTTGAGCCACTGTGCCTGGCATATTTCTTATTTTTGGATGCTGTTTCAAATCCTTTTCTGAACAGAAATATTACAGGATAATATTTGACAAATGGCTGTTGAAGTACTTTTAAAAGTAAAAATGCCTTAAAAGTATAGTCACTGATTTAAGATATTTTTTCAGAAAATCAGGTAATACTAATTAGTTACTTTGTGGTAGTTGAGGATATTTTGAAGTTGTGTGTATATATGTATGTGTAATTTCAAATTTCATAGTTTAAAAGCTAAAAGGTTGGTTAGAAATTACCTATAATCCTCTTTGTGTACTCCCAACTTAGGATACCCAAAGGACAATAACAAATGTCTCTGATGAAGTCTCCAGTGAGGAAGGTCCTGAAACAGGATACTCATTACGTCGTCATGTGGACAGGACTTCTGAAGGTGTTCTTCGGAATAGAAAGTCACACCATTATAAGAAACATTACCCTAATGAGGTATATACTTTGTCCTTAAGTGTATACATACGTATCTATTTTATATGTTACTAATTTATAACTTCTTTCAACAATTAAAAATTGTTGAAATAAATATTTCACATTATTATCAATATTTATTATTGTTGTATGATCTGGATTTATAAAATAGCAGTTTTAGGTTTACGTATTGCACATGTATTGATAGATAGCCACACATTTGAGCTCATTTTATGCATTATCTTTGAAGACTCATACATTGTTTGTTGTTTGCTTTTAAAGAAGAACATTCTGGAGAGAGAATCTGCAAACTCCTGTGTTCACTTTTTCCACAATTTGAAAGGCTTTATACATTTGATCATAGCAAAGTTATTTTAAGTAACTTCCTTCATATTGCTGTCACCAGTTATTAAGTCCCCATACTTCAAAATTCAGTTCTTTTTTCTTTGTTTCTATTTTTCCTTATTAATCTTTATTTTCTCTAAACCCTTTTCAACTATATCATATCTCTTGAGCTTCAAATTGTTTAAATAAAGAATTTCATTCAATTGTATTTTCAGTTTCTAATCTAAGGGTAGAACATTTGGCTTTAAGGCAAATAAATTACACTGTTTATCACTTTTTTATAAACATTACCTTCTACTCTTTTTGAGCTATGTTAGTAATTTTTTCCTTGATGGTTTTGGGTTAAACTTGTAAAACAAACACATGTTACGCTGTGCTGGAATATGATTGCCTTCAGAGTATTAAGATTAGAAGAGTTACTATTCTTTGCACACTCTTCTTTGTGGTTGTGTCTCTGGTTAATCTTTCTGGTGATTGTGGTTTTGTTTCTTTTCCCAGTGGTTGCCATACAGACACTAATGCCAGTGTGTCTGCTCTATTGCCTCTTCACCCATGTCATTTGATGTAGTGTTTCTTGTTCCTAAGCCAGATAACCAAGCTTGTAAAATTTTGTCTTACTGTATGTACTGTTAGAAGTCAGTTGGTGCTGGAAGGGAGACGGAGGGCTGTTTGACCCCTCTCCCAGAATAAATTATTTAGCAGTAGCAGTATTTTTCTCACTCCATGATCTTGGCTTTTGTTGGTTTGCAACTGTATTTTAAACGATTGAGTTTCTTGAAGCGCAGAACATTATTCTACCTATTAACTTTTAAATTAAAAGGTTGTTTAAAATCTTGATTTCCAGCTAAGTAAGGCTGATAGTAAGCATTGATTTACATCTTTTTTAATGATATAAGAAATTACATAAATATAAAATATGGCTATAAAATTCTTCGTCTATAAAGTGAAGAATGTAGACTAGGTGATATTTTAAAAGCTGCATTCAGTTCTCAAAAATTTTTACTCTTAAACCAGCTTTAAAGGGCGTTTCTAAAAAAAAGCAAAATAAAGCCTCCTTTGAATAAATAAAATGGAAACAGAAGATTTGTAGTGCTCTTTTGCGTTTTTATTTATAAATTTAAATTTATTTTATAAATTACTGTACTCTCTCCAATTGCTAGTAATGTTTTTTCTTTAAGAGTGAGGCATGAAAAAATCATTTGGACCCACTCAAACACAATGAGCAAGCATCTCTAGTACCTAGATTGTGCCATTTATCACTAAATAACCAAAACCAAAAAAAACAAAAACAAAACAACTTCTTGAAGAAGTGGCTGATTCCTGATTGTCGTTTGTTGCAGGAAATATACAAAATGACTGTGGAACCTCTTATAATATGATAGAGGGCAAGGAAGCTATCAAAGACTACCAAGGTCTTTTCAGAAAGACTTGGGAGCCAAAGATAGAATAGTTTGAACTTTAATTTTTCTTGATAAAAGTATTCCAATGATAAATGAAAAGGAAAATTCTTTGGGGAAGTATTTTGTGCATGGATGGGATTGGTGGGTTTTATTGTAAGATAATGGGTCAGGAACCTAGCCATTTGTTGTAAGCTTCCCAGATGGCAATATCTGTAGATAAACTTTTTAGGGGCATCTATTTTTTAGGGAAGACTTATCCAGTCTTCTGGTGGGATGGGGGTAGTAGATAATAAAACAGGCTGCTCTGGTGTTTGGCACCAAGGGAACTGGGGATGAGATGGGGATTTTGTCATTTAATGTGTAGACTTTCATTTAATCCCCGGTTTTTGCCTTTTTCTACTATCTACTGTATCTGGTTGACTTCTTCCAGTGTTCTGTTGGGAGGAATTACTTGGTTATCTGGGATGCAGGAGGCGTCCTAGGGAACTGACAGCTTCTTTTAAGTGTTTCTTCTGTTACCTACTCTGTCCTGCTTTGTTCAGCTCTACAAATATTGTTCAATTTTTACTCCCAATTGTAGGTTAGCTTTTCATCCCAGAAAGGTAACATTTGATGAGAAGCGTAATGAAGAAACCATGGGCTTGGAGTTAGATTATTAAAATGACCTTGGGAAAATTATTTAACTTCTGAGTTTTTTAAAACAATTTTCCTTCCACCCCCCAAGAAAGCATTTATAAGTCCATATTCCCTTCAAATAAATACTATGTGTTCTCTAAATCTCATTATATGTTCAGTTTTAGGCGTCTAAAGATTTGACATGACTAGCAGTAGAAACCAAAACAAATGTGTTTTAACTTGAACTGTTCAATTCTAAAATTTTCTTTTTTTAGACTTTATTTGGTAATTTTTAGTGATATTCACTATTAATCACACAAATATTGTAGGTAAAATTCTATTTGAAATTTAGGCAATTATAGGCAATAGTTTTTAGGGTTTTTTTTTTTTTTTTTTTTTTTTTTTTTTTGAGACAGAGTTTCACTCTCCTTGCCCAGGCTGGAGTGCAGTGGCGCCATCTCGGCTCACTGCAACCTCCGCCTCCCGGGTTCAAGTGATTCTCCTGCCTCAGCTAATTTTTGTATTTTAATAGAGATGGGGTTTCGCCCTGTTGGCTAGGCTGGTCTTGATGCACCCACCTGGACCTCCCAAAGTGCTGGGATTATAGGCGTGAGCCACCACTCCCAGCCAGAGTTTTAAATGTATAAAATGACCCACTTGGCCGGGTGCGGTGCTCATGCTTGTAATCGCAGCACTTTGGGAGGCTGAGGCGGGCAGATCACGAGGTCAAGAGATCAAGACCATCCTGGCCAACATGGTGAAACCCCGTCTCTACGAAAAATACAAAAATTAGCTGGCTGTTGTGGCACGTGCCTGTAGTCCCAGCCACTTGGGAGGCTGTGGCAGGAGAATCACTTGAACCCAAGAAGCAGAGGTTGCAGTGAGCCGAGATCACGCCACTGCATCCAGCGTGGTGACAGAGTGAGACTCCATCTCAAAAAAAAAACAAAAACAAAAACCCACTTACTAATCTGCATTTGGCAAAAAACACTTCTAAAGAATTATAGATATTTTCTTAATCCTGAAATCATTAATTAGTTTCCGTTAAAGTCATCAGGCCTTTAATCCTGATTAACAAGTCTGCAACAGACGTTATATATAATAAACTATCTTTATCACAAGTTTTAAATTAGCAATTATTAAAAGCTTAATGTGTTCTGTGCCTTGCTAATGAAAACTGGTGACATTAGAGAACCTGAAATATTTTTGGAGTGCTGTTCATAAAACAGAGCAGAGTGATTTTTGTCCTCTTTTTCTTTGTATATTTGTTTTTACTTATTAATCATTTTCTTCTCTTTTGAAAGTTTTTCTTTTTACTTCTTTCTAAATAAACAGCCCTCCTCCCACAAACACTCTATTAACACACTGTAGATTCACAGTCCCCATTCTAATATCAGTAGATTAATTATTAATAATGTACCTCATTCACTCAAGGTATTTTGTTACCTGTGGTAAGGAGATGGCCAAAAAAAAAAAATCTGTCTTTTGTGGACTCGTAGTATATTTAGATTTACAATCTATTTGAGAATATTAAACACATGAATATTTAATTGAGACAGACAATATTGGCCGCACATTCAGTGGCTCACGCCTGTAATCCCAGCACTTTGGGAGGCTGAGGTGGGCGGATCCCTTGAGCTCAGAAGTTAGAGACCCGCCTGTGCAACATGGCGAAACTCCATCTCTCAAAAAAAAAACAAAGTACAAAATTTAGCCAGGCATGGTGGTACACGCATGTAGTCCTGCTTCAAAAAAAAGAGGCCAGGGCCATGGCTCACCCCTGTAATCCCTGCACTTTGGGAGGCTGAGGTGGGCTGATCACTTGAGGTTGCGAATTCCAGACCAATCTGGCCAATATGATAAAACCCCATCTCTACTGAAAATATAAAAATTAGCCCGGTGTGGTGGCGGGCTCCTGTAGTCCTAGCTACTCAGGAGGCTGAGGCAGGAGAATTGCTTGAACCCAGGAGGTGGAGGTTGCAGTGAGCTGAGATAGTGCTGCTGCACTCCAGCCTGGGTGACAGAGTGAGACTCCATCTCAAAAAAAAAAAAAAAAAAAAATATATATATATATATATACATACACACACACACACACACACACACAAACACACACATACACATAAAGAGAGAGATTGATTGTGGAAAGCAGTACAAAATTTATTATCAAATGAATATAAATAATAACTCACTTCAGGCCGGGCTTGGTGGCTCACGCCTGTAATCCCTGTACTTTCAGAGGCCAAGGTGGGTGGATCACCTGAGGTCAGGAGTTCAAGACCAGCCTGGCCAACATGGTGAAACCCCATCTCTACTAAAAATACAAAAATTAGCCAGTCGCAGTGGCATGTGTCTGTAACCCCAGCTACTCGGGAGGCTGAGGCAGGAGAATCACTTGAACCTGGGAGGTGGAAGTTGTGGTGAGTGAAGATCACGTGCCACTGCACTCCAGCCTGGGCGACAGAGTGAGCCTCCATCTCAAAAAATAGTAATAACTCACTTCAGGAACAAAGTGATCACTCTAGGTAGGTGGCTTTAAGGTAGCATTTGTTGAGCCCCTGCTTTGTGCCAGGTTTGTATTCAAAGTTCCCATGCTCATTTAATTTTTAACAGCTTTTTAAAGGAGTGCAGGATTAATGATAAGAGGTAGGAGCATAATTAAGGCCTAGGGTGGAACATAATCAAAGCAAAGAACAAGCCATGCTTAGGGGCTCAGAAGTAGCCTACTGTCACTGGAGTAAAAGGTTACGGTATGTAGTGGAAGACAAGGTCAAAAAGTAGCACATATGAAGATGAGCATGCTAGGTGAAGGAATCGGAACTTTATCCAGGAGAGCAGTGAGAAGCCAAGGAAAGATTTTGACTAGAGGAGTCAAAGAACAGCTGTGCTTTAGGAAGGTTAATCTGGAAAGAAGAGGAAGGCCTTTTAGGCAAAGATCAATTAGGAGGTGCTTATAGCAATGAAGGTATAAATGATAAAGTCTGAAGTCGGTGATAGCAAAGGAAAGACAAAAGGATAAATATAATGCATTTTAAAGGTACATGACAAATCTAGTCACAGAGGACAGCCAAAAAAAAAAAAATTGAAGATACCTGGCCATAAGGATGACTATGACCATGATTTATTCAGTAAAAGTTTTTTAATTAATTTAAATCAAAATTTTACTCATCTTTATTTTGTACATTGCAAACTCCCAGGATAAAGTAAACTGATTAGAAATTACTTAACTTGTTTTAATTTTTTACTTTTATACCACAGATTATCTCAAGAACATGAGTTGGCAGTTACCTTCTTGGTTTAAATATCAATTTTATGTTGATTTCACTTCCATTTGTGAAACAAAAACAGTAGATAAATCCACTCTTGCTTAAAAAAAAAAAGACTAGAATAAGAAAATACAGTCATTCCTGGGTATCCACGTGAGATTGGTAGATATCCGGCCCTTCTATAAATACCAAAATCCAAGGATTCTCAAATCTCACAGTCAGCCCTGTGGAACCTGATGACACATAAGTCAGCCCTCGCCCTCCATTTCTCCAAAACTGTGGGTTCTGCATCTCAGGAATATTGTATTTTCTATCTGCAGATGTGGAATGCATGGATATGGGAGGCCAATGGTATTGCCATTAATAACATCAATTAAAGTCAGTTAATGTTCACCGTGCAGACCGTATGAACTTAGACTACTTAGACTACTCTCTCTGCCTACCTGAGTTGTGAACTTCATATAAAATTTAAGAGAAAATAGATACAACCTTTGTATGCAAAGTAATATCTGAGCTGAAATATGAAATCAAATAAATTTTGATGTGAAGGTATTTTGTTACTGAATAAAAGCTAATATATTTTGTAATGTTTTGCTGTCTCACTATCTTTTGAGGGTGTATTTGTTGTTTTAGCAAAAAGTATCAATATATGGGTTCTGATAGTATCCTTTGAGTTGGAAAGAGTACATAAATTGTATTAATGTCAAAGAATATCTTGATTTCAGGACGCCCCTAAATCGGGTACTAGTTGCAGCTCTCGCTGTTCAAGTTCCAGACAGGATTCTGAGAGTGCAAGGCCAGAATCTGAAACAGAAGATGTGTTATGGGAAGACTTGTTACATTGTGCAGAATGCCATTCATCTTGTACCAGTGAGACAGATGTGGAAAATCATCAGATTAATCCATGTGTGAAAAAAGAATATAGAGATGACCCTTTTCATCAGGTTGGTTTATGGTTTTGGCTTATGTGGAGCTATGAGTCAAGCTCCTTTGAATTTATGTTCAAATGTTACAGAGGTGAAGAAAAAGCTTACATTCAAGCTTATATTTCTATAATTTTTTTTCTTTTTATGTGAGCTGTGGTCTGGCTTCATCAAAACATAGAATCTCAGTACTTATATTGTGGTTATGTATGTTCCTGAAAAGTTATTGGTAACTGGAGTTTCGTAAGTCAAATCGTGTGTTAGGTGCAATAGTACTTTCTTACTGAACATACTTTGTGGCCAGATGCATGTACACCTTGGTCTAAACTCCACCTATAAGATTATATTCACAAATCTACATCTCATGAATATCAAATTTGTAGCTCCAAGTGCCCATAGTAATGCTATCCAATGGAAATATTATGAGAGTCAGATGTATAATTTTTAATTTTCTGGTAGCCTCATTAAATATTTTTTAAAGGGGAAATTCAAATATGTTTTATTTAGACCATTATATTCATAATATCACTTTAACATATAACTAATATGAAAAAATTAATGAAATATTTTACATTTTTAATACTAAATCTTCAAAATCTGGTGTAAACACTTAGAGCACATCTCATTTTGGACTAGCCACATTTTTTTTTTTTTTTTTTTTTGAGATGGAGTCTGTCCCTCTTGTCACCCAGGCTGGAGTACAATGGCACGATCTTGACTCACTGCAACCTTCGCCTCCCAGGTTCCAGCGATTCTCCTGCCTCAGCCTTCTGAGTAGTAGGGATTACAGGCGCCCGCCACCACACCCGGCTAATTTTTATGTTATTAGTAGAGACAGGCTTTCACCATGTTGGCCAGGCTGGTCTCGAACTCCTGACCTCAAGTGATTCTCCCACCTCAGCCTCCCAAAGTGCTGGGATTACAGGCATAAGCCACCCTGCCCAGTCGGACTAGCCACATTTCAAATGCTGAATAGCCACATGTGAGGAGGGTACTATATTGGACAGCACGATTTTATAGGATATCTTTATTTGAATGTCCCACCAATACCTCAAATTTAACCAGTCCTCCCTCATAAATCTGTTTTTCTTATTCCATTCAAAATTTTGGTGAATGACATCTCCATTCATCTACTCACTAGTCCAGAAACTTGGTGGTCATTTAAAATTCCCCTCTTCTTCACCTTCTCTCTCTTATCCAACTCCTTATCTAATCCTGTCAAACCAAGTAAAGTCAGAAAACTCGAGAAAAAAAAGAGAACTTTCAATCTGATAAAAGGGTGATGCATAGCTATCAAAGAACCTTCTGCTATAACAATCCCAGAGGCTGGGTGGCTTAAACAACAAACATTTATTTCTCACAGTTCTGAGGCCTGGAAGTCCAAGATCAGGGTGCCAGCATGATTGGTTCTTGGTAAAGGTTCTCTTCCTGGTTTACAACAGCTATCTTATCCTTGTATCCTTACACGGTGGAAATAAGGGAGCTCTGGTCTCTTTACCTCTGTCTGGTTTTGGTTGGAGTTAGGCTGATTTAAAGTCCATATTAAAGAGCAAAATATCAAGAATAGCAAAAACAATTTTGAAGAACAACAGGGATCTTTCCCTACTGGATATAAAAATTTACTTTCAATTTAATACTCAAGATAGTATAGTATAGACATATAAACATATATACCGATGGAACAGAATAGAAAACTCAGAAATAGACATTTGTTTATAATGGATCACTAATACATGACAATAAGTGGCATTACAAGTCAGTAGAAAAAGAACGGACTATATGGTTGTGAGTCAAATGATTATACACTTGAAAATTTATTCCAAATAGTTTCTAAAGGTGAAAAGCGAAACTTTAAAGCATTTAGAAGAAAATACAGGAGAAAAATCTTTATTACTTCAGGTTAGAGAAGAATTTTTAAAAACAAGATATAAAAAGCACAAACAAAAATGGAGAGATAAATTTGAATATCTTAAGATTTAAAACTTTGGGCGTGTTAAAAGATGAGCCACAGGCTGGGAGAAGATATTTCCAATACATTAACTATCACAGTGTTACTACATACAGGACATAAAGAACTCCTACAGATGAATAAGTAAAAGACAAATGACTCAATAGAAAAATAAAAGGATGTGAACAGGTCCCCTGATGGCTAATAAAATATAAGTGAAGATGGTCAGCCTTGCTATTAGTTAGGGAAATGTAAATTAGAACAATTAGATACTACTTAATATTGATCAAATTGTCAAAATTTAAAACCTGATAAATTTCAATGTTGGCAAGAATGTGAAGAGAGAACTCTTTAATACTGATGTTTGTTTGTACAGCTACTTTGAAGAGCAGTTTGTCATTATATAGTAAAGTTGAAGTTCTATATATTCTAGGACCCTTTCATTCCAATTTAGAATGAAACTTTAGAAGATAGGCACTATCATTGCATTGTGCATGATAGTGAAAGTTGAAAATATAATAGCCAATAATAGTGGAATTAATAAATAATGTTGTATGATAAAACAGTATACAGCAGTGAAATTGAATGAACTCGGCTGCATGTATCAACATGAATAAGTTTTTGAATATAATTTTGAATGAAAAAGGCAAGCTGCCTTTACTTTAAATAACCCTGTCTCTACTGAAAATACAAAAATTAGCCAGGCGTGGTGACAGGCACCTGTAATCCCAGCTACTCTGGAAGCTGAGGCATAAGAATCACTTGAACCTGGGAGGCAGGGCTTAGCAGTGAGCTGAGATGGCGCTATTGCACTCCAGCCTGAGCGACAGAGCGGACTCTGTCTCAAAAATAAAATAAAAAATAAAAAGGATGGCTATGAATGTTTAGAAAAAACAAAGTGGTAATTAGGGAAATTGAGCTGGAGTGTTTTGGTGTTGACTCCCTAATATATGAGATATTTGAAAACATTGATATATACAGGAGAAAACAGGTAGGGAAGAATCAAAGAGATACGGAAGAAAATGTTGACTGGTGGAATGATTTCTTAGGATTCTGGAGGGGAATCATAATCAGGAAGCTTAGCATTTGACAGGAAGAGGAAAACATCCTCTGCTGAGATAGGAGGATAAGGATGAGTGCATGCAGCAAGCAAGATGGTAAGAGAGTTATTGCCTGATGATCTTTTTTCCGTGAAGTGCAAGAGTCCAAGGGATCTACTGGCAATAAGCGAGATGATACAAGAGGAGGCTTTTGGATGGTGGTGAAGGCTTTAAGTTACCATTTGTGGAGAATGGAGAAAGGGGACAGAGAGAGGGAGAGAGAGAAAGAGGAAGAGAGAGAGAGAGAAAGAGAGAGAGAGAGAGAGAGTGTGTGTGTGTGTGTGTGTGTGTGTGTGTGTGTGTTCAAGCCAATGAACACATCAAAACAATCATACTGCCTTGCCACATTGTTGAGGGTCCAGCTGGAATCTGAAACCATGAATTTGTAGTTGCCTATTCTACACAGCTATGTGATGTTTTCTGGAATGTAGTTGTTACTATATCTGACATTTAATAAGCATTTACTTATGCCACACACTGTGCAAAGTAATCTAGTTGCATTATCTCATGTATTTAACCTTTACAACCTGTGGTAATGTAGTTTATTTTCATTTTACATTGCTCAGAGTTGAGTAATGTGCCCAAAGTCACACAGAGTAAGTGTTCAATAAATAGTTGCCACGCCTGTAATCCCAGCACTTTGGGAGGCCGAGGCGGGTGGATCACAAGGTTAGGAGATCGAGATCATCCTGGCTAACACGGTGAAACCCCATCTCTACTAAAAATACAAAAAATTAGCCGGGCGTGGTGGCGGGTGCCTGTAATCCCAGTTACTCAGGAGGCTGAGGCAGGAGAATGGCGTGAACCCAGGAGGTAGAGCTTGCAGTGAGCCGAGATGGCACCACTGCACTCCAGCCTGGGCAACAGAGCGAGACTCCGTCTCAAAAAAATAATAATAATAAAATAAATAAATAAATAGTTGCTCTTCAAGGGACAGGAGAGGGGATGATTGAAATGGTGGATCTGGTGGCAGTCTAGTCATTAAATTGTTAGATTGAGAAGGAAATGAAATCAGGAAGGGACTGATAAATTTAAGGATAGGTGTGTTCAAGGGAACAAGTGTTTCAGAATTGAAGCTTTGAGAGACCAGGTAAGATGGGAAGTTGTAGTAGATTCCTTTCAGAAGTAGAGCAGTTCCGTATGGTGACAAGGTCTAGGGTGTGGCTGTGGGAGTAGCGTCCTTGGGATTGAAGAAATGAAAAAGTGAACAATCCATGAAAGCATAGGGTGTTGAATGAGTCATCTGCATATTCATCTAAGTCACTGAGACTAACAACTGGAGTTAAGATTGAGGGAAATGCCTGTGAGCTATTTTCCCAGAGATAACTATAAGCAGCATAAAAGCAGGGACCATGTGTTTTTTTTTTTTTTTTTTGCTCAGTGTTGTATCACACAGCGTGAGGTACACAGTAGGTATTTAATAAATATTGAATGCCTGAAACAAAATTAAATTTTTTCAAAACATGCCAATTAGGCCTTTCTTAAATGATTTAAAAAATTGTTTTATGATGTCTGTGCAGAGTAAATTGCTCCTAAGTCTGTCACACCAGTCGGCTACCTTTTTGGTAAGATAAAATTTGTTAATGCTCTACTCTGTATATCTAATTATGGTATCCTAGGCTTATATTGGTTTTGCTTTTAGATTAAAGACTTGATCTTAAACAGATTTTTAATTCTCAGGTTTCAAAAAATAAGCTCATGCTTTTAGTTTTACTAGTAGCTAAGTAATGGAAATTAGCTCCCTTTTACTAAAAAGCTACTAGTTTTTTTTCTTGTTTAACCAGTCTGTTAGGTTTGGAAGACCTTTTTCTGTCTGCTATACAGATGGAAAAATCCCTTCTCATGAAAAAACACTGAGCATTTGAATTAGTATGTTCTAATCAGAATATTCCCAAATGTGTATCTTTATTTCATTGTTTTATTTTGTTTGTAAATAGTAATTGAAACATTTCCACAGAAGAAAATTTTTCTCCTATAGCCCTCCTCTATAGCTGAATATATACTAAAATATAAAGCTATATTCAGCTGAAATTCAGTTTTTAGTAAGTGTAAAGCTTTAAATGGCTGCATTCCCACAGTTGGAAACACGAGTATGTGGTTGGCATGGTGAATTTATTTGAAATAAAACATGCCACCATTTAAGCAATAAGGTTTTCAGGTAGTTTTGAATGAATAAGGAGCAAAGCAGTTGAGATTTTAAGTGAGGATAAAGTATAATCATTTTAGAAGTTCTAAATTTTTGGATCTGTGATGCTGTCTTCAAAGGTAAAAAAAAATTTTAAGTTCTAAATTTTAGTTTGAAAACATATATAGCGGCCGGGCATGGTGGCTCACGCCTCTAATCCCAGCTTGGGAGGCCAAGGCGGGTGGATTACTTGAGGTCAGGAGTTCGAGACCAGCCTGGCAACATGGTGAAACTCCATCTCTATTAAAAATACAAAAATTAGTCGGGCATGGTGGTGGGCACGGTGGCAGGCACCTGTAATCCCAGCTGCTCAGGAGGCTGAGGCATGAGCATTGCTTGAACCCGGGAGGCGAAGGTTTCAGTTAGCCAAGAACCACACTCCAGCCTGGGCAGTGGAGCCCAACACAGTCTCAAAAAAAAAAAGAAAAAAGAAAATGTATTTAGAGTAACCTATGTGATAAAATTATAAAATGAAATTATTTGCTCTGATGTTTTCCCTGAACCTTTTAAAAAAAATTTCATGTGATGCTGTTCTCCACACTGCAGACATGATTCAACAAGACTGTTTTTCAGTGTACATTCCCCCCCCCCACACACACACACAGAGGAATATAGCAGTCTTTTTTATTTATTTTTTCAAGTTTCTACACACAACATTGAACATGTAATTTACCCTTTTTTTTTTTTTTTTTTTTTTTTTTCAGACGGAGTCCCACTCTGTCGCCCAGGCTGGAGTGCAGTGGCGCGATCTCGGCTCACTTCAAGCTCTGCCTCCCGGGTTCACGCCATTCTCTTGCCTCAGCCTCCCCAGTACCTGGGACTACAGGCACCAGCCACCATGCCTGGCTGATTTCTTTTTGTATTTTTAGTAGAGACGGGGTTTCACCGTGTTAGCCAGGATGGCTACTATCTCCTGACCTCGTGATCCGCCCACCTCAGCCTCCCAAAGTGCTGGGATTACAGGCGTGAGCCACCGCGCCCGGCGTAATTAACTCTTTTAAAATTCACCAGTTTCTAGTTGCTGTCTTCTCTTTTGCCTTTTGGCATTCTAGAAATAATGTAATATCAGATGCTGGATAGAGTAATTGGCAAGGTAGCTAGATGTAAAAGGAGTGCTTTTGGGAGGACAATGAGAATGTCCTGATTTCCTATTTCTGTCTCTAGATGGGCTTTCTTGGTATTGATATTCCTTTCTTCATGTAATTAGGAAGACCTTAATTCACTATTCCAGACTGAGAGTTTAAAAATGTCTGTAAATCAGTGGTTGAAATCTGTTGGCTCTCAAGCTTAAACTTCTTTCCTTTTAGCTTCTTGCACTTCCTGTTTCTGGCTTTTTGGTTTCCTTACGCTTAACAATTGTAAAATTTCTAGTGAAAGTTTGATACATATTTTGGTACAGATTATTTCTTTCCCAAAACAGAATATTTTGTTTGGAGATAAATGAGGAAATAACATTTGAGAAATTAAGTTGGTAGTTAATAACTAGTATCTTAGCACTCTTCAGGACCTCAAGTAGTGAAATGTATACCATGAAAGTTAAAGTATATTAAAATCCTTCATCTCTAGAAAAGATAAAAATTTCCCACCTCTTTTTTTTTACATTATTGAATTATTATTATTCAACTTTAGTTGAAATTAATCAATGCAACTTTACTCCCCCTAGAGGAAAGTGTTAAAAGTTTACAAGAAACATTTTTTTTACCATATTTTAATCACATTTTTGTCCTCTAAAGAATAAATGTACCTAGAGTAGATTCTTCTGTTCATTGTTAGAAGTTATATTTAATGAAATATTTTATAAAATTTGAGGTTGCTACGAATGCCAAAACTATTGTTTTTAGAAAATGTGGGAAGTGGCCAGACACCGTGGCTCACGCCTGTAATCCCAGCACTTTGGGAGGCTTAGGTGGGCAGATCACAAGTTCAGGAGTTCGAGACCAACCTGGTCAACATGGTGAAACCCCGTCTCTACAAAAATTTAAAGATTAGCTGGGCGTGGTGGTGGGCGCCTATAGTCCCAGCTACTTGGGAGGCTGAGGCAGGAGAATCACTTGAACCTGGGAGGCGGAGGTTGCAGTGAGCTGAGATCGCACCATTGCACTCCAGCCTGAGTAACAGAGCAAGACTCCGTCTCAAAAAACAAAATGTGGGAAGTATATGAGTCCTTAAAAATACACTAGAAATACTGCAATATAAACAAGCAAACTGATCTCTATCTGGGTTTAATCTTTTAGTGTTACTTCTCCTCTTGAAGTCTGATTATATAAAGGTTTAGTGTTTCATTAATTTTGTTGCCATCATTAACTCAACTGTTCTGTTTTGGGGCTGGGCGCAGTGGTTCACACCTGTAATCCCAGCACTTTGGGAGGTAGAGGCCGGTGGATCACCTGAGGTCAGGAGTTAGAGACCAGCCTGGCCAACATGGTGAAACCCCGTCTCTACTAAAAATAAAAAAATTAGCCAGGCATGGTGGCAGGTGCCTGTAGTCCGAGCTACTCAGGAGGCTGAGTGCTTCAGTTTTGTAATATTTGCTTTATCTGGAAAAAAAAAAAAAGTTAAATGGGTCCTTTGGAGAAATGCTGGATTAAAATATCAGAAAAGTAACTAAATCAGATATTAAACGTTAAATATGTAAGGAAGAGTCTTTTTTGGGATAAGACTAGCACTATATGGTCTTTCAAAGAGATTCAAATCTCAGCTGTCATATTCTTTTTTAATGATCATAAGTTGGACAATGATTACTATGAACAAGTTGATATCCATTTGTCTTTTAGCATTAGTATATTGCAGCTGTGTAGACTGACAACTAAGTACTTTTGCTGACATGTTTTAGTATATTTTTGAACATAGGTTGACTAATACTTGTTACAGAAAGTTCTCAACTTGTACAGTTTCATAACCATGTAACTTCTTATGATATCTGTTCAGTGTATATGCTAACTAATTTTAAGATAGAATTTTAGTGTCTTAGAGTTGTGTGTATAAATATATTAGCTGTGCACAGATCTATATATTCCATTTATAAAACATGATAAATATATTCACCAATTTTTATTTTTAGTGTCATTAAAATTGTGTGTGTATATAGAGATATATATACAACTTTATATACACACATTTTATTTATTAAATGTGATCTATATATTTACTAATTTTTTTTTTTTTTATAGAGTCATTTGCCCTGGCTCCATAGTTCCCACCCAGGATTAGAAAAAATAAGTGCTATAGTATGGGAAGGTAATGATTGTAAGAAAGCAGACATGTCTGTACTTGAAATCAGTGGAATGATAATGAACAGAGTGAGTTTTTAAATTTTATTCTTGTAGTTCAAGGGTAAGACTTAGTAATTATATATAAGATAATTACTGGAATATTATATTAGTAACCTTCTGACCTCATTTCTTCACCCTGAAAAAAAAGTTACATGTGTGTATTTGTTTCTGTCTGTAATTTAAACAGTGATTTGTCACCAAACCACTCTCATCTTCTAGTGTTTTCACTTATCTGACCAAGAATAGATGATACGGTCTATAATTTTTCTCTTTTATCTTTTTCTTTCTTTTGAAATTCAGGAGCTTGTTAGATATATACAGGTGTTAATAAAGACTTTTCTTTGGACTAGAGATTGTTGTTACAAGAACTTTAAAAATAAAAAAATAATTAAAAAGACTTATTTTTCTGTATCATTCTTACTGGTTCATTTGTTTAATAGGACTTAAGACATGAAAAAATCAAACTAGTAAATTTGCATTCATACTTGCTTACCTACTTAAATATATAGAAGTAATGCAGATAGTGGTAAAAGTCTTGAGTAGTTCAAAGAAGTCTAATTGAAATACTGTGGATTAAAATTTTATTTTCTATTATTTCTTTTTTCAGATAATTACTGATTTTTAAAATGTGTTGATTGGCCGGGCGCGGTGGCTCACGCCTGTAATCCCAGCACTTTGGGAGGCTGAGGCGGGCGGATCACAAGGTCAGGAGATCGAGACCATCCTGGCTAACATGGTGAAACCCCGTCTCTACTAAAAATACAAAAAAATTAGCCAGGCGTGGTGAAACCCTGTCTCTACTAAAAATACAAAAAATTAGCCGGGCGTGGTGGCGGGCGCCTGTAGTCCCAGCTACTCGGGAGGCTGAGGCAGGAGAATGGCATTAACCTGGGAGGCGGAGCTTGCAGTGAGCCAAGATCACGCCACTGCACTCCAGCCTGGGCGACAGAGCGAGACTCCGTCTCAAAAAATAAATAAATAAAAATAAAATAAAATAAAATGTGTTGATTTCTCTGGACTTGTTTTTAACTTGCAATTTCTAAATTTCTTTGGTGCATTATTGTGCTTGAACTCTTCTCCACACTTTGTGTAAGACAGGAATTATAATAACTGGGTCTAGAAATTGATAATACTCCCTATAACATATCTCAGTGTGAGCAATTAAAAGCAGTTGACGGGGAAGTCTCTGGAATCTTGGATCTAGTTTGTGCTCTGTAACTTAATTACCTGTGAATTGGCAGATCACTTAACTTACAATGGTCTCATTTATCTAATATATATTATAAAAAGTTGGCTACATGATAGTTAAGATCTCTTTTAGTTCTGCCAGTCTAGCATACTGGAAGCTTTTATATTGTCCCATTATCTAATTTCCTTTTTTAAAATAATTCCCTCACCTTTTTCCCTTTCTGTTTAATTTCTTCTTCCTTCTATCATCTCTCTTCTAAAATGCTTTTAGAGTTTAAGGAGACACTTATTTATATATTGGACTATTCAAAGAGAAATGTAAGCGGCTGGGTGTGTTGGCTTATGCCTGTAATCTCAACACTTTGGGAGCTAGAGGAGGGATGATCGCTTGAGCCCAGGAGTTAAAGACCAGCCTGAGCAACATAGTGAAACCCTGTCTTTACATCTCTACAAAACCCAAAAAATTAGCTGGGGGCGGTGGTGTATACCTGTAGTCCCAGCTACTAGGAATGCTGAGTTGGGAGGGATCACTTGAGCCCATTATTGTGCCACTGTACTCCAGCCTGGGCAATAGAGTGAGACCCTGTCTCAAAAAAAAAAAAAAAAAAAGAAAACAGAAAGAAAACCTCAAGTTACAAATGTACAAACGTATGAAATAAGTGTAATGCTGAGTTTTTTCTTCAATGAACTGAATTTCAGTGGATATGAGATCTCATTCTCTTTAATATTGCAGTATTTATGAATATTTCTAACTTGAAATAATGAAATACATAAATTTTTTTCAAGATCTGGATGACAGTCCTTTTGCCATCTACTTAGTAAATTAGCGATCTGATAATTGTTTTTAAGATCTGAAGAATTAATGACATTTTATATGTAGTAGGCTCTCAAACTTGAATGGGATTCAAATTACTCAGAATGAGTATATTTTAACAAATGATTTCATATTGCTATAAATAATTCTACTGTAGATAAAATTTATGGTATAATTTTATTTTTCTTTTCTCTCTCTTCCCCTGGCTCCCTCAAGGTGAACAGCCATATACCAGGAATAGGATACCAGATTTTTGGAAATGCAGTCTCTCTCATACTGGGTTTAACTCCATTTGTTTTCCGACTTTCTCAAGCTACAGACTTGGAACAACTCACAGCACATTCTGCTTCAGAACTTTATGTGATTGCATTTGGTTCTAATGAAGATGTCATAGTTCTTTCTATGGTTATAATAAGTTTTGTGGTTCGCGTGTCTCTTGTGTGGATTTTCTTTTTTTTGCTCTGTGTAGCAGAAAGAACTTATAAACAGGTGGGTATAATGTAGACTTCCGAATAAGAATATTTTATCGTTTTCATAATATTAAAAGTATTCCTGAAGTACTTTATTATTTCATTATATCATTTTTACCTAATTATTTTTTATTTTGCTTTTATAGTACCTAACCAAATAAAATCTTAACAATTCATATTTTGTTAATTTTGTTTTTCTGTGGTAATCTACTTGAAAATTAATCCTCATCTTAATCTTTTTTAGCGATTACTTTTTGCAAAACTCTTTGGACATTTAACATCTGCAAGGAGGGCTCGAAAATCTGAGGTTCCTCATTTCCGGTTGAAGAAAGTACAGAATATAAAAATGTGGCTATCTCTCCGTTCCTATCTTAAGGTAGAATGGGAGTGATAAAAGTAGCTTTAACATGCTGGCCCTTTCTGATAGTTCCAGTTTCTTTATCAATATATATTTGTCTCTAGATGTATAGTAACCAGCTTTTACTCATTCAAAAACTGGATTAGGGATTTTGTTTCTACTAGCCTGGTTGTCACAAGCCAGCAGAGGGAGCCCACTACTTAAAAAAGAATTTAAAAAAAATAACCAATGAGTTTCCTCACAGAAGTGACCTATTACTATTTTAAAATATTAGTTTGCAATTCAGTGTCATTCTTTTCATGTCATTATTTTCCTTTAATCTTTTGAGTAATTTTCCTAATTATGGAAGTATGATATAAAAACTCTGGAGGGAAGAGGGAAACATCTAAATTGGTTTTAGGAAAACACTTTTTTTCTGAGGATTACTTCTTGTTATTGCATTAAGTAGCAGTAGAATGTCATTATATATGGAGTAATCATGCAAATTCCAATGATATTTATTCACAGCACTGTCTGTATCTTAGTAAAGTTGACCTGAAGACCAATCATCCTCTGACATACCTAGATCTTTAATGCTTTATATTTTGAAATAATAATCAAAGAAGCCCTAATAATAATAATGCCCTATTTCTCTACTCTTATATTTAAAAAATTCATTGTTCTGTTTATTAATTTAACTTGTTAAATTTAGCTTACTTAGTGTCACTGCTGCAAATTGGCATGGATATTTTTTTCCTATGACATATCTGTTGTATGGAGGGATGAATCTGATCGCTTGAATTCGTCCAAAATTTCCTCCATTGTCAACCCTAAGCAGGTGTTACATTCTTTTGTACATTGATTATTTTATTCCGTAAACACTTATTTATGTTAACCATGTGCCATTCATTGTTGATGAGATGAAAGCCCCTACCCTCATACGTAAGCTTATACTTCAGTGAGGGAATGTAAGCCCAGACCTAGGAATTATCCTAGTTTAATCTCTAGTCTCCAATTTATCACCAATTCCTATCTTTTCTGCTCCCAAAATATATCTTGAATCCATTTGCTTCTCTTTGTTCCATTTCTGCCACCCTCATTGAAACCATCAATCATCTTCTACCTCATGCTACTTCAGTTACCTCTTACCTGGCATTCCAGCATTCACATTTCTTCTTTTCATTCCTTTCTTCAGTCTGCCACCAGTGATCATTTAAAAATGTATATTTGGCCCTATATTCTTAAAACTTTTTGGAGGTTCTTCATTTCTCTTAAGATAAAGCACAAAATCTTAACAAGGTTTATAATGCCCTTTATGATCTAAGTTCTCCCTTATTCACCTGTCTTTTGTTTCATTTTGAAACACTCTCCTTCCTAGTCCACTACATTCCAACCATTTTAGACTGCTTCCGTTCTTTACATGAGCTGTGATCTGTCCTGCTTTATGTTCTTGCACATGCCCTTCCTTCTACCTAGAACACTGCTGTGTGCCATCATGCCCCTGCCCCTCCCCCTTAGTTTGGTGTAAATATCACTTCCTTAGGGAGATCTTCACAGGCCCGCACTCCTAACCCTCAAATCTAAATGAAGTCTCCCTGCCAAGTATCTCAAAGCATCCTATGTCTTTCCCTTTTAGCACTCATCACAATTTATCACATATATCTGTGATTATTAACTTGATGTCTCACTCCCCTCCTAGTTCCTGTGAAGGTAGAGGGACCATGTGTTGTTCTCTGTTGTATTTGTAGCACCCAGCACAGTATCTAGTGCTAAGCAGGTGCTTAAGAAATATTTGTCGAATAAATGACTTGTGTTTGACAAAATGAAGTATTTGAAAGTTATACCAATAATTTTATGCTATATAAATATAGATACCCTTTTAACTCTGTTGCAATTCCTCAGGAAATCATAACACTATCATTAAAATTTGCCTAACAAATTAGGTATATTCAACATTGTGGGCTGTGATCAACTGATGGTGATGAGTCAACACCTTTATTGAAACCATGGAAATTATCTGCTGATTAGTAAATATATTTTAAAATGTTTCCTTTTCTCCCTTCCACCCACACCCTGCAGCGTCGAGGTCCTCAGCGATCAGTTGATGTAATAGTTTCATCTGCTTTCTTATTGACTATCTCAGTTGTATTTATCTGTTGTGCCCAGGTGAGTTAACTCGCTCCATGTAGAAATTAACCAGATATATAAATATTAACTTTCAGATTAATAAATAATCAAATAATAATATAAGTAAGCCTAGTTAGAAAGTAAGTTTTGAAGTTACCTTTTTGCAGTTTTTTTGGTAGAATAAATAAGTGCATCTTATCTCTGTGCCATGAACAGTGAGCATGTATGCTCAAATGTCTGTTGAATGAACACAGATTAATTAATTTTTGCCTAGAATCCTTCTCATTATCTTTACTTCCCAAAAGAAACGTATGAGTTATGAAATTGTCCCATGAATATCCAATTTATTCATGTTTACTATTCTTTTCTTTCTTTCTTTCTTTCTTTTTTTTGAGATGGAGTCTCGCTCTGTCGCGCAGGCGGAGTGCAGTGGCGCGATCTCGGCTCACTGCAACCTCCGCCTCCCGGGTTCACGCCATTCTCCTGCCTCAGCCTCCTGAGTAGCTGGGACTACAGGTGCCCACCACCACACCCGGCTAATTTATTTTTTGTATTTTTTTTAGTAGAGACGGGGTTTCACCGTGTTAGCCAGGATGGTCTCAATCTCCTGACCTCGTGATCTGCCCGCCTCGGCCTCCCAAAGTGCTGGGATTACAGGCGTGAGCCACAGCGCCCGACCTATTCTTTCATTTTTTATACCTGAATTGTTACTGTGACTTAACTGCTGCATACTCTGAAAAAGAATTTTTAGTGACCCAGCTTAGTTAGGGAGTACAAAAGTATCTCAGGATATGCACTGCTATAATGCAGGGGAACATGTTCTCAGGGTCTCCTGAGGGTTGTGTCATGGGCCGTGTAATATTAAAAAATAAGTTTAAACGTATTAAAATTTTAAAAACAAAAATAATAAAATATATGCAAACCTCCATTCCAAGTAGTATGATGTACTAGATTATCTGAAAATTCTTCTACTTTAAAACATCAAACAGGCCGGGCACAGTGGCTCACACCTGTAATCCCAGCCCTTTGGGAGGCCAAGGAGTGCGGATCACCTGAGGTCAGGAGTTCGAGACCAGCCCGACCAACATGGTAAAACCTCGTCTCTATTAAAAATACAAAAATTAGCCGGGCATGGTGGTAGGCGCCTGTAATCCCAGCTATTCAGGAGGCTGAGGCATGAGAATTGCTTGAACCCAGAAGGCGGAGATTGCACCACTGCACTCCAGCCTGGGGGATACAGCAAGACTCTGTCTCCAAAAACAAACAAATAAAAAAAAAAATCAAACAATGCTCGGGGGAACCCTCAGCTTTTGAATGTACATATTGTGTACATATCTGAGTTCATAAGATAATAAAGGGCCAAAAATGAAGACAAAACTGAAAACCAGAGCATTTAAGAATAAGCATTAATGCTATGGCAGCATGAGAATAAGAGAGTGAAGTACATTGCCAGTATTAGTATTGTATCCCAGAGACTTGAAATTTTATGCCCACGTAGGACAGGAGATGAGGCCTTGACCTGTGTACCTCCCTACTCACACCATGAAGTCAAACCCTCAAAGATCTACAGCCTCAGTGAAAAGTTGGATAAGAAAAACAGTCTGCTCACCAGCACTGGACGACAAGAAGGAAGCTTATCTGACTCTGGATGACAAGGACGGGGGAAAAGTCTCTTCTAAGAATATATAATTATAACTCTTCCCTTACTACAGGTTTAGGGTTCATATTGACATTATACATCTTGTCCTGTAACCCTCATGTCAAAAAGTTAATATAAAAAGTGGTCCTAGGCCCCTGGATACCTGACAGAAGCAAAACCAAGGCTGTTTGGAGGCATGCGACTTCAGCCTAGACCTCACGGGAACCACAGATAAAGCTCCTTCCGGTATCAAAACATAGGAAGAAACAGTCTAACATGAAGGAGTCAACAGATAAACCCATAGCAGGATTAGATCTCCAGCTATTTCAGTTTGATCAGGTGGAAACTAAGTTTGTTTACAGTGATGAAAGACATAGATAACACTGTGAAAAAAGAACAGATAAGTTTGAAAAAGAACTTCAGACAAATGAAAAATACAGTTATTGACTTTTGACTTGTTTTTTGCTTTTCACTGCTGGAACAAAGTCACTGACTTTTAAAACACAATGAACAGAATAAATAGCAAATTAAAGAAAGCTAAAGACATAGTGAACTGGGAGGTGAAAGAAATGACTAAAATACAGGACAGAGATAAAGAGACAGAAAATGCAAAATGGATATTTAGACATCGTGGGAGATCCAACATAGGTCTAATAAGAATTACAGGAGGAGGCTGGGTGTGGTGGCCCACGCCTGTAATCCCAGCATTTTGGGAGGCTGAGGCAGTCAGAGCACTTGAGGTCAGGAGTTCGCAAGCAGCCTGGCCAATATGGTGAAACCTCTCTCTACTGAAAATACAAAATTAACTGGGCATGGTGGCTCGCGCCTGTAATCGCAGCTGCTCGGGAGGATGAGGCAGGAGAATCGCTTGAACCTGGGAGGCAGAAGTTGCAGTGAGCCAAGGTCACGCCACTGTACTTCAGCCTGGGCAACAGAAAGAGACTGTCTCCAAAAGGAAAAAGAATTCCAGGAAGAAAGAATGCTGAAAAACAACATTTGGAGAAATAATGGCTAAGAATTTTTCTGAATTGATGACTTTTTTTTTCAGATACAAGGAAGTTTATAAAACTTTCCCATGTATTAGGCAATAAAGTAAAAACTAATACCAAATGTCTGATACTATACAGACCACAATATCTGGCTGTCGTATAGTCAAAGTAGAAAAGAATGATAGCAACAAAAAAATCTTATATATTTGGAGATTTAAAACCATACAAATAATACATTCTTTAAAAGAAAGAGCACACTATTAAACTGTAAACAGTTTAATACTGGCACAATTGAGAATTTTTTTTAAGATACTAGTATGAAGTGCTTTATGTCATTAAAGTTGAAGGCATCAGTGGCCAATTTTATAGAAATGCATAATCTATTAAAACGGACTCAAAAAGTAATTGAAAACCTGAAGAGATCTGTAACTGTAAGTAGTTTAAAATTTTAGTAGTTTAAAATATGCCACCAACAAAAATCCTCCATACCCGTATGGTTTTACAGATGAATTTTGTCAAATATTTAAATAGATAATCCTAAACTTACACAAAAGATCTAGTCAATAGGAAAAGGGGATATTCTTCAACTCATTTTGTGAGGCTAATATAACCTTGATGCCAGTACCATAGAGCTAGTATGAAAATGGGAAACTGAGCTGGTTTCATTTATTAGATACAAAATTCCTCAACAAAATACTAAGAAGATGAAGCCAGAAAGTGAATTACAGTAAATAGGCCATGACTATGATAGTTTGTGCCTGGAATGCAGATTTCAACTTTAGAAAATCCATTAATGCAATTTAAGCTGATTAAAGGCAGAAAACATGCAATCATATCAATAGATGCAGAAAACAATTTGTAAATTTTCAGTGGGCATTCATGATACAAGGACTAGGAAGTATTGTCCTTAATCTGATAAAGTATATCTTTTAAAATTTGGAGCAAGCATTATACATAATGATATCACCTTAAGAGTTATTTACTTTAAAATTGGGAATAAGACAGTTATCTGCTTTACCACTTCTAGTCAGCATTTGATGGAGGGTATTAATCAGCAAAGATGGAAAAAAAAGTGGTCTAAAGTTTGGGGAAAAACAATCGTAAACTATATGATTGTTTATATAGAATATCCAAGCGACTTTACAGACACATTATTTAAAATAGATTTGTTATATGAAGATTAACAAAAATAGATACAACAACATTTTAAAAATTAATTTTGTTTCTATAAACCAGAGATCAGCAAACTTCCTCTGTAAAGGGCCAGATAAATATTTTAGACTTTTGCCTGACACATACAATCTCTGAAATACATTCTTTTTCTTCTTCCTTTGAAGTAATATAAAAATTTCCTTTAGCTATGGGGCGAGACAGACAGAGGCCTAAAGCTAGATTTGGCCAGTGGACCATAATTTGTTGACATCTGTTATATACAGAAATAGATAATTGAAAACTGTAAATACTGGCCAGGGACAGTGACTCATGGTTATAATCTTAGCACTTTGGAAGGCCAAGGTGGATGGATCCCTTGAGCCCAGGAGTTCAAGACCAGCCTGGGCAACATGGTGAGACCTGGTCTCTACAAAAAAAAAAAAAAAGCCAGACATGGTGACACATGCCTGTGATCCCAGCTACTTGGGAAGCTGAGGTGAGAAGATCACCCGAGCCTTGGGAGGTCAAGGCTGCAGTAAGCCATGATTGTGCCACTGCACTCCAGCCTGGAGTAACAGAGTGAGACCCTGTCTTTAAAAACAACAACAACAAACGCATATGTTATTTTCAATAGCAACAACAACAACAACAACAAAAGATTCCCGAGAATAATTCTAACAAAAGATATGTAGGACCTTATGGAGAAACAGGATAAAACTTTATTGAAAATTTTAAAAGAAGGTACACAATGAGGCTGAGCGCGGTGGCTCACGCCTATAATCCCAGCACTTTGGGAGGCCTACGTGGGCGGATCACCTGAGGTCAGGAGTTCAAGACCAGCCTGGCCACCATGGCAAAACCCTATCTCTACTGAAAAATACAAAAATTAGCCCGTCGCGGTGGTCCATGCCTGTAATCCCAGCTACTTGGGAGGCTGAGGCAGGAGAACCACTTGAACTCGGGAGGCAGAGGTTGCGGTGAGCCAAGATAACGCCACTGCACTCCAGCCTGGGCGACAGAGTGAGACTCAGTCTCAAAAAAAATTAAAAAAAGAAGGTATACAATGTTAGTCACAATGTTAATAGGTGGGAAGGCTCAATTTCAATTTCATATTGATTCTCCTGGGGGAATTGTTGGAATCCCTTGTAATTAAACAGAATGCTTTGTTTATTTAAAAAAATAAGTAACTCATCAAGCTCCCTAAAACTCATCTGGAAGCACAGAAAGACAAGAGTAGTCCAGATAATTTTGAAGAACAAGTTGCTGTACCAGAAATATGAAGATTTATTTTCTTTTTTCTTTTTTCTTTCTTTTTTTTTTTTTTTTTTGAGACAGAGTCTTTGCTCTGTCGGCCAGGCTGGAGTGCAGTGGCACGATCTCAGCTCACTGTAGCCTCTGCCTCCCCGGCTCAAGCAATTCTCCTGCCTCAGCCTCCTGAGTAGCTGGGATTACAGGAGTGTGCCACCACGCCCGGCTAATTTTTGTATTTTTAGTAGAGACGGGGGTTTCACCATGTTGGCCAGGCTGGTCTTGAACTCCTGACCTCAGGTAGTGCACCTGCCTTGGCCTCCCAAATTGCTGGGATTACAGGCGTGAGCCACTATGCCTGGCCTAATTTTTCTTTTTGTTTTTCTTTTTTAAATTTCTCTTAGAACCTTCAGATGAGAGACTTATTTTAAAATTACAGAAAGACTTTATGATTTTTGCCCAGGTATAGAATGACCAATGGGATGAAATAGAGTTGTAAATAGCCATATATATGTAGAAACCTAATATATGATCAGATGGCATTATATATCAATGTGGGAAGGCTTTACATAATGGAAATATGAGGTAAAAATGGAGCAAAACCAAATGACTTCATGCTATACATAAAAATAAATTCTAGGTGGATTAAAGATCTAAATATGAAAAAATTTTTAATATGATCACAAATGAAAATTAAAATTTTGTGTCCTGCAAAGACACCATAAACAACAAACCAGAATCTGGGAAAGATAGTGGCAAAATGACTTAAATAGGATTGTTAGTCACATTATAGAACTAAGTTCTACAAATCAATAGGAAAAACGAACAACATACTAGAAAAAAAGTGGATGTAGAATATAAAAAGATAACTCACAGGAGGAAATTCAATTACCAATAAGCATATGAAACATACTGATCCTCCCTAAATATCAGGAAAAGTAAAATTAAGGCAATGAGAGAACACGTCACGCCCATTAGATTAGCAGGTATTAGGAAGTTAGATAATAACAAGTATGAATGAAAATGATGGCAAAGGGAACTCTGATACACTGCTGAGAGTATAAATTGGTGCAACTATTTCAGAGACTAACTTACAATATCTAATATAGTTGAAGATGTAATATCCAAGAACCCAGTGATTTGGCTCCCAGATATTAACTTCTGGAGAAAGTTTTGCATGTGCGTACAAGGAAACACATACAAGAATGTGTATTGCAGCATTGCTTGTAATAATGGAAATTGGCAACAAAATATTAATGATAGGGTTGACCAATAAGTTGTGGTTGATTGTTTTACTGGCCAATAAATTGTGGCTGATTTTTTTACTTTAACATAGGAGTTAGAATGAATAAATTTAGAGCTAAATCTATCATCATGAATCAACCTTGAAAACAACATTCAGTGGAATAAAAAGAAATTAAAGAATGATGTAGATAATGTAACATTTATATAAACTTTTTCCTTTTTTTTTCCAACTCCCAAGTGCTTAGAAAATAAATTTTAAAATATACAAAAAATTATATAGTTCAAGGATGTATATGTAGCTAAACTATAAAAACCATTATGGAAAAGATAAACATAAAATTCATTACTTCTGGGGTGGGAAGGGGAAGAAAAATGAGATGGCAAAGTTTAAAGTGATTTCAACTGAATCTGTAATATTATTTTTTAATCTGAAAGAGATGTTGCAAAATATTAAGATTTGACAAAACTGGGTAGAGGCCCCATGGATATTAATTACCTTATACTCTATACTTTTGATATGCTTAAAATATTTCATAATTAATGTAGAATGTTTCTAAAATGTAATACTAAATTTATGAACAATCTATGTTTATTTCTTTTGAAAAGAAATTGTTTGAATCACATTGCTGCTTTATGTTACCTTTTTCATACTTTTAGCTACTTCATGTACACGAGATCTTCCTTGATTGTCACTACAATTGGGAATTGGTAATCTGGTGCATCTCGTTAACACTTTTTCTCCTAAGATTTGTTACCCTTGGATCAGAAACAAGTAAAAAATATAGTAATACCTCAATATTACTTACTGAACAGGTGAGTGTGCCTACTTATTATGCTACAAATTAATGTCTATAAGTTAAAATGTTTTCATTTCCTTTATGTTTTTCAAGAATGTGTTCTATTTGATTAAGGTCATTTGTGCTATAAAGCAAAATGTAAAATTTAATAGGACACAAGCCTTTCTTCAGTGTTCCTGCCTTGACTCATATTTCAAATCCAATCTGCTTTTTTAATGTCCCATTTTTATTTGACAAGAAGGAAGTACCATTTGTTAAATTAATGTATTTTAAACTATGAATGGGACATGTTTGCTTTGCAGTGTAGCAGAGCCGCATTTGAGTAAGTATACATTTTTACTCAGTAGAAAGAATAAAGTATAATTGGTTAATTTTATTTTGTATGAATTTGTTAAATATTTTCCTCCCGCCACTTTATAGGAATTTTGTAAAGAAACTTATTCTCATGAATATTTTAGTTAGGGATAGTTTGATTTTAAACAATCAATAAACCTGTCAAATGAGCTCAAACAGGAGAGTAACCCACAAAGATAAAGATCCCTGAGAAAGTATACTTGAGCCCGCCAGGCACGGTGGCTCATACCTGTAATCTCAGCACTTTGGGAGGGTAAGGCAGGTGGATTACTTGAGGTCAGGAGTTCAAGACCAGCCTGGCCAACAAGGTGAAACCCCATCCCTACAAAAAATACAAAAATTAGCCAGGTATGGTGGTGCGTGCCTGTAATCCCAGCTACTTGTTAGGCTGAGGCAGGAGAATCGTTTGAACCCCGGAGGTTGCAGTGAGCTGAGATTGTGCCACTGCACTCCAGCCTAGGCAACAGAGTGAGACTCCAACTCAAAAAAAAGTATACTTGAGCCTTATGAAATTGGACAAAATCAACCACTTCCTCCAACTCGCTCTGAGGCTAATGGTTTCTCATTTCCACCCTTCTAATCACCTTTCTTTCTGTGGCCTTTCTGTAGACTTGTTACCCTATGATTTTGGTTTACACACGGTTTTGGTTTGGCTTAGCACGAGTTCTGGCTTAGACTTTTACTAACTTTTCAGTTCATGTTCCTACAATATCTGATAGATATATCATGTTAGTCTCACCAGTCAGTATATTGACTAGCTTTGGTTTGGGTGTACATTCCAGCCTAATCAGCGATGGCTGCCAGATTGGGGGTAAAGGTGAGATCAAATGGGGATAAGCACAGTTGCCTAGGCTTGCTTCTTCCACTGGCTTGGGGTTAGAGCATTTTTCAAAGAAAGGAACTGTGGATACCCCAAAATTATCTATTATAGAGTGGATAATAAAAATACACAAATATTTTTGAGTGACTTTCAAATAAATCATAAAACAACAAGGCATTGTGACTGCCTATAATCCCAACACTTTGGGAGGCTGAGATGAGAGGATCACTTGAATCCAGGATTTCAATACCAGCCTGGGCAACATAGCAAGACCCCATCTCTAGTAAAAAAGAAAGAAAGAAAAATTATAAACTATTGGTTTAGTTTATTCTAATTATTATTTATTTTTTAGGTTGATTTGGCTCCGATAATAAAGTGTCTCACCTTTTAAATAATGCCATCCAGTCTTTTTTATTTTGGCTTTTGATTACATTTCAAAAGTGTTTGAGAAACAGTTATTATTTTCCTATTATAAAATAAGTATAGGAAATTTGGAATATATAGTATAAAGACTATTAAAATCACCTATAATCTCAATAACCAGATACTTGAGTGAATATCTTTCAAGTCCTTTAAAAATGTGTATTTATTATAATTTGAAGCATTTCTATTCTTTTTATAAAAGATAAACCTCTACTTGAAAATGGAGAAAAAACCTAACAAAAAGGAGGAACTGACACTAGTGAATAATGTTTTAAAACTGGCTACTAAACTGCTAAAGGTAAGAATAGAACTGAAAATGGTTATAATGTCAAATATGCTGTTCTGACATAATTTTATTTTTTTGTTTATAGATATTACTTTGTATGTGGTTTTCATGATTATCCAAGTTGTTTCCAAATTATACTTGTGCACATACATACAATTTATATTTTACTTCTCATTGCAAAAGTGCTTGAACTAATCCAAATAATTTCTTTGGAAATTGTATATTAATAATAATATGTCTGGAGTATTGTAGAGGTTGGCATCTTTGGAAATGTATGCCTCCTACACCTTAAAATAGATATCAAAAAAGAAAATTTGTTGTTTACTTGGGAAGTTTTTTATTTTGTATTTCTCAGAGAAGTCTTCTGGTTGGCCTGAGTTAGCTTAAAAAGTAATAATACATAATTATCATAATAAATATGTGTCATAAATAAACATTTAATTTTTGATAACAAAAAGGAATACAATTTTGATGTATTTTATCTCATAGTAACTCTTTGGGGGTAATTTAATAAAACA
The DNA here is from genome assembly GCF_000001405.40 of Homo sapiens. Lineage (NCBI taxonomy): Eukaryota > Metazoa > Chordata > Mammalia > Primates > Hominidae > Homo > Homo sapiens. The sequence continues at coordinate 77,952,219 of NC_000007.14, forward strand.
TTTTTTATCACTGCTTACAATATTCATTATGTTTTTAGTTCTTAAAAGGAAAATATTTTTTAAAATTTCAACTTCTATAACCAATTGAATATAATTGTTAGAGTTATTTATGTTTTCAGAGAATGGTATGAAATTAGTTGTGTTTCAGTGTTATAGTTAATTCTTCAGTCAACTAAACAGTGTGAATTGGGTATAGACTATGCACCACATAGTATTGAAGGGTTCAGAAGAAGTGGGTGGGGGGATAATAAAAAGCAATTACAGATTGCTTTCTTTTTCAAATCCCTTTAATTATCCTGAGGAAGATGATGACATTTAAATAACAAGCAAGATAATAGAGGCAAACTCCATTTTTGACCAAAATGCTCAATGGGAAAAAAATATCTTGAATTAATAGTTTTGTGTTTGCTTGACACATGTATATTGCCTATCTTCAGAGTGTAGGCACTGTGTAGGAAGGGGCTACAAAGGTGAGACTCAATGAGCAGCCACAATCTCAGAGCAAAGTATAAAAATGACTAGAATAACAAAGCATAATAGTATGATTCTTTTTGATCATACATAGTCTCCTAGTCAGAAATCTGGGACTTAACATAGATCGTACCTTCTTTCTCTCTCTCTTTACAGCCAAGAAATTCTCAAGTCCGCTGATTCAGTCTTTTAAATATCTTCCAATTCATCCTCTTCTCTATTAGTACGGCCCTATGTGAGATCCTTGTCTCTCACTTATGCTTTTGATACACTGAACTCCTTACAGATATTCTTGCTTCTGATCTCATTGCTCCCTAGTCTTTCTTCTACATTGCTGGCCCAATGATCTTTCTTCCTTGTACTTGGGCCCTAACAATGCTGAGCAACCTGTAGCAATTCAGATGTGTCATGTTCTCATGTGTCTTTTAGAATATTTACTCCCCACCATCCACAAAGTTTCAGGAGCACCTTCCTCTATGGCCCCATTATTTGCTTTTTATATGTACCTTTGAAATGGGACTTTCATATTTTAATTATTTGTTGCATGTCTACTAAACTGTAAGGTCCTTCAGTTCAGGGACTGAATCTTAACTTCCCAGAGCCTAGCACAGGGCTTGGCATATGATAGAACTTTAAATGTTTGAATTAACCAATTAATTAATACATGTATTTGAAAATGAATTGACTCAAAGAGGAGTTTTTACATGTTATAATCTTGTCAGAAAATTTGGCCAATTTCTAATTGTTCTACCGAAAGGTATTGTTCTCTTTCGGTTTCTAGTCTAGTTCTTATATTAAAAAATGTTCTCTAGCCTCTTTATAATAGCTTAAGGGACAGAAATTGGAGTTACATATTTAGTCACAGAGTTCTTTTAAAGGAAGTTCCTTTTTCCTTTAAAACCATTAAAACTATTATTGAAATTTACTTCTTTCAAGTTTAACCAAGTTTATCCTTTCTAAAAGCATCCATAATTGGTAACTTTTTTGAAAGTGTTTTTTAATTCTCATTGTATATTGTTCTGAATTAGCTTAGTAATTCTTTTTGAATCTGGGACTGACTTTTTTTTCTCTTCTGCTAGGAGTTGGACAGTCCTTTTAGATTATATGGGCTTACAATGAATCCGCTGCTTTATAACATCACCCAGGTTGTTATCCTGTCAGCTGTTTCTGGTGTTATCAGTGACTTGCTTGGATTTAATTTAAAGGTAAGAGGTTGCAAGTACTTTTTATTTCTTAGTTTCCTGTTGCATTTTTGTTGCGCCCATTTTACCCTCACATGCACAGTAATGCGGTCATTTTGGTAAGATTGCAATTATTGAACATTTCACATTTAATTTCAAAGAATTATATGTATTTATGTTTTATAATACTGCAGGAATTTCTAACTTGGAACAGTATTTATTATAAATAGAAGTCTTGTGTAGGATAAGTAGAAGTATTTGGTTTTTTTTATTTTTTATTTTGAGATGGAGTCTGCTCTGTTGCCCAGGCTGGTGTGCAGTTGCGCGACCTTGGCTCACTGCAACCTCTGCCTCCCGGGTTCAAGGATTTCTCCTGCCTCAGCCTCCCAAGTAGCTGGGACTACAGGTGTGCACCACCACGCCTGGCCAATTTTTGTATTTTTAGTAGAGACAGTGTTTCACCATGTTAGCCAGGCTGGTCTCGAACTCCTGACCTCAAGTGATACACCCACCTTGGCCTCCCAGAGTGCTGGGATTGCAGGTGTGAGCCACCGCGCCTAGCAAGAAGTATTTATTTTTACTAATAAAGCTTTAATTTAGGTGATAAAAAAGAAAAAAGCCTTATTTCTATTTTTGGCCAAAAGTTGTATTATTTATCTGTATAGCAATGCATACATCTTCCAATATATGCACAACTAACTGTTAGGAAGGTGTAAGATAATCATATTAAACAAGTACTGTGTATATATATATATATATATATATATATATATATAGCCACTTCTCAAGAGAAAGCAATAGAAATCTGATTTTCACATTTTTGTTTGTGTTTAAGGTGAGTTCTTCTTAAAAGGATAAAGGAGTTAAAATATTAGAAACTGCACTTGTTTGTGAATGAAATTTGAATTTAAAAATGGTGTTATATGATATAATTTAAGCTTTGATATTAAAACTGGCTTGTCACCACTTCTATTTTTTTTTTTCTAGCTATGGAAGATTAAGTCATGACAATTCAAAGAAAAGAAGATGTAGCCTCTTTTCCAGAATAAGAGTACTGACTAAGCTGCCTGAAAGCTTGTCACTGATTCTTTGCTTCAGGAGTCTCAGCTAGGGAGTTGAAGTGTTTACATCAGACTGTCTTGTGCAATTCTTATATTTATTTTACTGGTTCACTTTTTTTTACATTTATTTTAGTCTTTATATTTTTATTTTTAAGCATTGATGTACTTAGTTGTTGAAAGGGTGATGAAACTGATATCCAGATACTTGAGATCCTGGTAATTGGTCATAAATAATTGGCAAAATAACAAATTGTGAAAATAGAAGCCATTGCTCAGCACCGTTTCTCCATCAATGCCGTGAACTTGCCTTACTTGAGGAAAAATTCTTTAACTTTGGAATATTGCATTGAACTCAGCTATACACATAAAACATTTTCTTTGGTAAATCAAGATCCAGTCAGGGTTTCTCTTGAATTATTTTGGAACAATGCCAGGATCCAAACTGATTAAGTTACAGTTTAAGCACCCTTCAGTATTAATATATACGGTATTATATAACAGGTCAACAAGTGCTCTTTGATGATAAAACTTGTAATAGAGCAATAATTGTAAATGGTTACCATACTGTAAGATATTTTGATAAAAATTAACTAGTAATACTTGTATTTATTTGAAACACTGGGCTGTTTGCACAGCTCCAACTGTGCATGCTCAAAATGTGCACTTTTTAAAATTGTTACTTTTAATGCGTATCTTTATATGGGATCTGTTATAGTATACTAGGGCATGATATGGTATCCTTTTGAGTGAGGTATATACTCATCTCACAAGTGAAGTGCCTACTGATATTACTAAAGTACATTATGTTTACTCAAGTAAATAATTTTCTCCCCATGGTACACTCTAGTGTAGGCTATTCATACCACACTGAAATGAACAACTGAAGAATAAGGCTAAGAACCAATAAAATATTTCTCTAATTGCTAGTTGTAAAACTGTATCCAAATTTTCAGAAAAGACAGCTTCAGCTTGCAAATTCTATCCTCTAAACTTATCTGGTGCATTCTCCCCACCCCACCCCCATTATATAAGGGCTATTTTAGATGCTTTTAACCTCCCCAACAAATAATTTGCCAAGTGTCCAATGAGAACTTATCATGTTGGTGTGTTAGGTAAATCGGGCAAATATGATAGTGTCTTACATTGGGCCTTGATTTTAAGTTGTTATATTTGTACAATCGAGTATTTTAGAAATTACATGAAACATGAAACAGTTTTTGCAATTTTTTTTAAACTGGGCATCTGGTTTCTAAAAATTTATTTGAAACAATCTAGAATTTTCTTGGTGCAAAGTGTATCATGTGGAATATCCTCATATTTTTACCATATTTTAAGAACTTTAAGACGATTAATTGTAAATAATTTATTTGATTGGTGCAGTTCTAATCCCTAAATCATAATCTTAAAATCAGGAATGTGTGGAGAACAGAGCCATGTCATATCACTTTGCTCTTACCATTCCTTTTGATCAGCCTCAATTCAGCCTCATTGTGTAGTATGTTTTTTCTTTCTATGAAAAACAACAGAAAGCATTTCATTTTATTTGCCTATGTTCAAATATGTTTAATAATGACCAAAGTGCATTCTGAGTTTTTTCAAGGAATGTAATACTGGAGCTTTAAGAACATACTTAGTTTCTCATGTGAAAACTTAGGCTTTGTCTGATGTTTTTCCTTCCTCTATTGTCTAATGTTGAGGTTGTTTTTAGGAATTATGTTTTATAAACTTTTTCAATATAAGGTACATGCCTATACAGAACTTAACATTTTGCACAGAATATATCAAATATATTTTGAGAAAAAAAGTACGGCATGAGTTCTGTTAGGAATAAAAGATGAAACTATTGTATCTCACAAAAAATCTTATTTCAGAATGGAAATATTTTTGAGAAAAGTAGCTGAGTATACTGGTTTAAGAAAATGCTTGTTTTAGATTGAGGTTAACTTAGAGTTGGGAGTTGATTTATTAAGTACAGTATACCTCTCAACAGTTTATAAATAATATGTTGAATTATGTCAGTGTGGGCAGCAGTAGAATACTAAAAGGAAAATGTCATGTTAAGCAATTTCAGAACATTAACTGAACTATTTTCAAAGCAGAAAAATTGACATTGCTGCCTTTAAGAATACCATGAATGTAAGAAATTGAAAGAAATTGTAAAATATCACATAATATAGAAATGGCAGTTCAAAGAGAATTGTGGCAGATGTTGTGTGTGAACTGTTGTTTCTTTGCCACATGTGTTGTATTTGAAAGTTTTACAGTAAGTTTAAAATAAAACATTCTGTGACTGACGGTGTTTTTTTTTTTAATTTTCAGGTCATATACATTTCTATGGTAATTTTGTGTTTACTTAACATAAAATTTAGTTAGATTTGGGGGGAGTGAAAATAAATTTTTTATAACTTTCCAACATTTTAGATTTTGTTATGATTCTTAGAACATGAAAGAATAATACACAGGTTTTTCATCACCAAAATGATATTATATCATTAATGTTTGTTTGCTTCTTTGTTTTTGAATACAGCAAACTGGCTGTGGCCTGAAATATTAAAGCTCATTGTGAAAAGATAGTGGTTTTTTTGGTTTGTTTGTTTGTTTTGAGACGGAGTCTCACACTGTCACCTGGGCTGGAGTGCAATGGCACAATCTTGGCTTACTGCAACCTCTGCCTCCCAGGTTCACACCATTCTCCTGCCTCAGCCTCCTGAGTAGCTGGGATTACAGGCGCCCACCACCACGCCCTGCTAATTTTTTGTGTTTTTAGTAGAGATGGGGTTTCTCTATGTTGGCCAGACTGGTCTCAAACTCCTGATCTCATGATCTGCCTGCCTCGGCCTCCCAAAGTGCTGGGCTTATAGGCGTGAGCCACTGTGCCCAGCCGATAGTGGTGTTTTTAAACAAATGATTTTGCCACATGAATTTAGCATGAGAGATTATGATCAACAGTAGGATGGTTAAACATTCTAATATTTCTGTTATCTGATTGGTCCAAGTGTTCACTGGGCTTAAATTAATCTAGGACTATTAATTCAAGTGCACTTTCAAACTTACTTTAAGCTTACAAATGGCTCTTTTAATGAATCTCCCTTCATACTTCAAAATAGCAATATGACTGGCACTTCTTAATTGTTTGCTGTATCACTTAGAACATAATTCTCAACTTTTTTTCTGCCAAGCCTATACAAAAAGACACCACAAATGCTTAACAGTAGCACTGGCTCCCCAAAGTACTTACTGCCTGGGGAATCTAAAAGGCCATTAGGGATGGGAAAAACCCAAGTGTTTTTTTCTACTCTCACACCATTCAGCATAACACTTCTGATACCAGATTCTCTGGCAGACACCAACTGGGTGTTTTAGAATTTAACTCAGCTCTAACACTACACCCAAAAGAATGTCAGATCCCACAGGTTGAGGGCTCATTCCCACCAGACTGCCCCCACTTCAGATGCCAGGCACAAGACCCAGGTTGTGATCTGCCTCCCCATCAGGGTTCCTACGACCCTCTTCTTGGGTTCAGTTAATTTGCTAGAGAAACATTTAACTTTTACAGGTTTATTATAAAGGATACAGATGATGGAGGAGATGCATAGGCAAGGTATGGGCGAAAGAGTGTGGAGCTTTCATGCCCTGTCCAGAGTGTGCCACACTCCAGGAGGCTCCATGTGTTGTGCAACCCAGAAACCCTCCAAATCCCATGGTTGAGGGATTTTTATGGAGACTTCAAATCACATAGGCATGATTAATAAACTCCACTTCCAGCCTCTCTGGAGGGAAGGTGGAACTGAAAGTTCCAAGTTTATAATCATGGTTTGGTTCTTCTGGTGACTGGCGCTCATTTAGGAGCCCACCAAGATTTGCCTCCTTGCAGTAAAAGACATTCCTATTACCTGGAATTTACAAAGCTATTAGGAACTGCGTGACAGGAACTAGAGTCAAAGACCAAATATTAGAAGAAAAGATTCTCCTAGCACCCTTGTCATTCAGGAAATTACAAGAGCTTTAGGAGCTCTGTGCCAGCGACTGGGGGCAGAGACCTGTGTATATATATAATTTCAGAGAGGTGGTACAGATACACTTTCAAGAAAGTATTCCCCAAGTGACTTGTAAAATTTGTTCCACTTAACCATTTGTCACCACCCTGAGAATTATTGGCTTAAGATACAAAATTTTGTAGAATGTGTAAAAGAAAATAAAATTTAAGGACCCTCCAAACTTACTATGCCCAGGGGAAGTTAAGTCCTAGAGACAGAGTAACGTAGCATATTTGCCCCTTCTGCTTCTTAGATTATAGATTAACTTTCTTCCTTATTGTTCTTGTTCTGTAAATGACTAGGAAAGACCAGAGACCAGACTTCTGCCTCTTCTAGTCCCTAATCTTCGTTATAGGTTAACTGCCTCTTTTATTGTCCTATACCTAAATCAGACCAGGTGGAGCAAAACACCCCCATGACTGTTACATCTTCAGTGTGGAATATTAAATATACCTTTTAAGAGAAAGAAAGACCACCTCAGCTAATTAGATCATTGAATTATGCATTAAACCTTCTATAGAAAGATGTAGAAATTCTGTTAAGCTCCCCTAAACTTTGTCTATATAAATGATCCCAAACTTCTAGACTTCAGAACACTGACTTCCATCCTTTGGAATATGTTCTTCTCCGGGGACTGTTGTCAAACTTCGTGCTTGGGTAAACTTACTCAAACTTAGATTTTTTTTTTTTTTTTTTTTTTTTTCCTTGAGATGGAGTCTCACTGTATCGCATAGGCTGGAGTTCAGTGGCACGATCTCAGCTCACTGCAACCTCCACCTCCCAGGTTCAAGTGATGCTCATGCCTCAGCTTCCCAAATAGCTGGGATTACAGGCATGTACCACCATGCCTGGTTAATTTTTGTATTTTTAATAGAGATGGGGGTTTCACCATGTTGGCCAGGCTGGTCTTGAACTCCTGACCTTAGGTGATCTGCCCGCCTTGGCCTATGTGCTGAGATTATAGGCGTGAGCCACTGCACCTGGCCAATTTACTGGATTCTAACCCTTTTGATTATTTTAGGTTGACAAATGTAAATTCCATGAGATATTAACTGTATTTACCACTATTCTCAGCACCTGGAACAGTGCCTGATACACAGAAATATCACAATATATTTACCTAATGTGTGACTTGAGTCGAATAGGACCTTCGACACCACTCATTCCAAAGTCCCCATTTTACCACATGAAAAAAATAGGACCCAAAAGAGGTTAAGAAGCTTGTCCAAGGTTGCACAACTACTCAATGATAGAATCCAAACTCTCCGTATCCCCTTTGCAGGTATACATTCTATAATCGTATCTTTGTGTAAGCATTTGGCACCTCTTGACTGATCAAAATTGTTCATCATAGGAAGAATACCCTGGGAAGAACAAATATATTGATAAATTATCTGTCCATTTTTTTAGTGAGGTCATATACAAACTAATAAACCTTGGCAATAGGAAAACGTCAGAATTCATCTTGACATCTCCCTGTTCAACTCTCTGCAGTGTGCCCTAGTGGAAAGAACATATGCTTTGGCATCAGGCTTCTTTTACAATCTTGAGCAAATTACTTAACCTCTGTGAGCTTTGGTTTTCTCAGCTGTAAATTACTAACAGTAATACCTATCTTACAGGGCTATTAGGAGGATTAATGAGATAACATATGTAAAGCACCTAGCAAGGAACTGATGTGTTAGTTATGCAGGAAAATTGGTTCTCTTCACCTTTCTTACCAAGAAAAACAAGTAACGGCCTAGGGCAATTAACAAAAATTTCCAAGCTAAATCATTCATATTACATAAGATATCATATGCATCCCCACCAAATGTGAGAACTATTAAGAATCATCCTTCTTATAAACTATCATTCTTCTGTATGTGAAAAATTCTTTTACAAGAAGTTGACATTTAATTCCCTTTCTTCCTAAGCAGGCACACTAAAATGTGGGAGGAAAGTCTCATCCTTTTGCAAGCCTATGTGTTACTGTATATCCAATTATGAGCAATTTTGCTAAATTCTCAGATGCATATTCCATTCATATCTCTTCATTTTTTTATCTCTGGCTCATTTATATGTGGATACTCTCACTAACAGTACCCTAGAGTCCTTTCATTTTCAACCTGCTTCTCAACTTTAAGTTGTCTGCTCACTGTTCATACTTGGAGTTGCTGGGAGAGCATTGAACTTGACTTTCTAGAAATCATGCTTATCAAGATGTAGCTGAAATCTCTCAGCTCTATATTTGGCAACGTGCCTTTTAATCCATTTCATGTCCATTTATATGCTGCCTACAATGGCTCTTTTGAACCTCCTTTATCACCCTCAAGTTTCTCTCATCTGTATCTGTTTCCTCTAACTTTACTGAAAAGATAGAATTCATTAAGCATGAATTCTACCATCTTCTCCCCACTACAGCTCTGTCAAAAAGATGTTGCTCTCTGAGCCCAACTCTCCCTCAGTCCCCAGGATTCTGTCCCTGTCCACCTTTAATCTTTTCCTTTCCTGATTTTATGTTATAAGTTATTTAGATTTCGATGAGAGATAATCGTACCTAGAGTATGGGAGAACTATTTAAGGTTTACAGGTTGGGTGGAACCCTTGTATATACTAGATGGTACTGTGAGGGCTTGCCACACTGTCAGCCTTCATCTGAACAGAGCAGAAAGTGTTTCTGCATGTTCACCAAGCCCTGCTGGACTGTATCACTTTTCTCTGTGGGCCGTAACTCAGTGGTCAGCGATTGGTGCCTTGCTCTAAAGCAGCCAGCCATTTTATGTGCCTGCAAGTAGCCTGTAGGGTTGGTTTTGGCATGAGAGCTTTGCCCAGTAGATGCACTGTATCCTTGATGGTGACTTGCTAACTCAGTGTGATTCTCTCTTACTGCAAATTTGAATTTAGGACACAGTGTTAGCAGGAGGAGTTGCTAGAAAAGCAGAAACCCAGGAGAAACCATGAATTGAGCAAAGCCATAAAGTAAAAAGGAGGTAGTGATAGTGGAGAAAGGAGAAGAAAGTAACAGAAACTGCCCAAAACTGGCAGGAGCAGAGAAACCGAGCAATAGCTTGGGTAGTAACTTTTAGACCTTTAACATATCATTACAATGCTAAAATCCCTGCCCCTAAATGAAGATGGCCACCATGTTGTATACATACAATGTATGAAGAAGCATGTGTGGGGACTGCACCTGTGTGGAACTCCACCCTGAGCATGTTATATACCTCCCCTGCCTCTCATCTAACTCTTTGCAATCCCCTGACTCCTATTGCTCCAGGAGAAGGTGACTTTAGAGCAAGAGCTCCCCTTCTCTATTCTCTGGCCACTGAATAAAACCCAACTGCCTTTTCCAGTTGGACCTACTTTCTTTGCAGCTGATACAAAGTAGGGAAGGTACTCAGTTTACTGTATCACATGTGAACAGTTTAGTATGGCTGGGGAAAATGATGTGTAGGCAACAGTAGAAGATAATGCTGGAAGATGACTTTGTGGAGCCAAGAAATTTGAATTTTATCTTCAAGATGAAGACTGCCTAGCACAGTGCCTGATTTCCTAGTTGCTTGGTGAGTACAACAGAGATGTCACCATCTTCACTAGGATACTTAGTAAACAGCTCCAGACTGAGATTGATTGATTGATTGATATTTTGAGGCAGGGCCTTGCTCTGTTGCCCAGGCTGGAGTGCAGTGGTGCAATCACGGCTCACTGCAGCCTCAACCTCCTAGACTGAAGTGATCCTCCCACTTCAGCCTCCCAACCAGCTGGGACTACAGGTGTGTACCACCACACTCAGCTCATTTTTTATTTTTATGTAGAGACGGGGTCTCACTAGTTTTCAGGGCTGGTCATTTTTTTTATTTAAAATTTAGTATATATTAAGGGTTCTATTCACTATGCTAGAATTTTTTATGTAACTAAAATATTGACATGGTACAAGTTTGTATCCAAGGGTGTCTCAGTCCATTTAGTGTTGCTATCTAGGAATACCTCAGACTGGGTAATTTATTTTTAAAAGATATATTTGGCTCATGGTTCTGCAGGCTGTAAAAGAAGCCTGGCACCAGCATCTGCTTCTACTGAGGGTCTCTGACAGCTTGCACTCATCAGGGAAGGGAAGAGCCAGCATGCACAGAAATCACATGGGGAGAGAGGAAGCAAGTGTGGGGAGAGAGGTGCCACGCTCTTTTTAACAACCAGTTATCATGGGAACTAATAGAGTGAGAACTCATTGCTAGGAGGATGGCACCAAGACATTTAGGCGGAGATGAGTAAATCATGAGTAAGACATTCATGATTTGTCCTGTGACCCAAACACCCCTCATTGGCCCCATCTCCAACATTGGGAGTCAAATTTCAACATGAGATTTGGAGGGGTCACACAAACGATAGCACAGGGTATGTATAATTAAGTTGACCTCAGTTTCTTTCTCCACCTTTGTTGTTGTTTTTGTTTGTCTTTTGAGAGAGGGTCTCGTTCTGTTGCCTAGGCTGGAGTGCAGGGGTGCGATTATGGCTCACTGAAGCCTCCCAGACACAAGTGATCCTCCCACCTCAGCCTCCTGAGTAGCTGGGACCACAGGCACAGGCCACCACGCCCGGCTAATTTTTGTATTTTTTGCAGAAACGAGATTTCCCCTGTTGCCGAGGCTGGTCTTGAACTCCTGAGCTCAAATGATCCACCCTCCTGCCCTGGCCTCCCAGAGTGCTGGGATTACAGGTGCGAGTCACTGTGCCTGGCCTTTCTTCACCTTTGAATGATACAGTTGATTTCTAATTATTAGCAAAGTGACACCATTTTTAAAAAATTTACAGAATAGCTCAAGTTAATCTTGCACTATGGTGAAGATCACAGGCTCTGGAATCAGGCAGAGCTGGGACTGACTTGAAGCATGTATATGGCCTTGGGCAAGTTATTTAACCTCCATAATCCTCATCTGTAAAATGAGATAGGAAGCAACTAATACTGGAGCCTCATGTGGTTCTTGTGAGTGTGAAATTGAGAGATATCTGTGTAATGGGCAGGGACTTGTTCCACAACACTCCCTAAATCTGGCTTTGAGTACCTATTCAAAAGGTATCAGGTCAGGCTGGGCACAGTGGCTCACATCTGTAGTCCCAGCACTTTGGGAGGCCGGGAGTTGGAGACCAACCTGGGTAACATAGCAAGACCCTGTCCCTATGAAAAAATGTAAAAATTAGCCAGGTATGGTGGCATGGCATATGCCTGTGGTCCCAGCTACATGGGAGGTGGAGATGGGAGGGTCGATTGAGCCCAGGAGTTTGAGGTAGCAGTGAGATACGATTATGCCACTGCACTCCAGCCTGGGCAAAAGAGCAAGACCCTGTCATAAAAAAAAAAAAAAAAAAAGAATCAAAAAAATGAATCAACCTGTTATGTGTGGAGGAGCCCCTCCTTCCTAGATTGGCACAAAAGCCCAGGGGCTTCAGCTAATGCCTGAAAAACATGGAATTGGGTTGCTCTTTGTTCTCTGGTGGCATCTGTACTTCCATCTTGGTGCTTTCTGGTGCCCAGCCAACTCCCCCTGCGCCTGCTGGGTGTGGATACTGCAGCCCGCTCAGCAGTGCTCCTCACAGAGGTCCTCCCTGCTGAACCCAGGCTCAGCCTCAAGATCCTCACCTCTGCTACAAGGCCTCAGATCCCAGAATCCTTCCACACATACCTCCTAGCCGTGCGCCATTAGGCACACCTGCAACCTGTCTTGGGCAGGAGCGCCTCTACCAGCAACTCCCACCTCCTCAGTCTCCACCGCCTCTTCTCAATTCACCAGACTTTCAAACCAAAGCCTGGGTGAGTAGTTGTCCTCGGGGGACTTGACAACTTCTGTTTTCAGCCTAGAAACTCCAAAGGCAATAATACCCTTAGAGGGGAGGGAATTAGTCTCAAAATAGGATTGTATGACTATCTTCTGGTCGTCTTGGAATAGGGGAAAGAAAGATATTGCCCATTCTTTTGAGTCTCTTCCAATAGCAAATTATCATGCCATTTAGAGAAATGCTTAGTTCAGAGTTTGACACATAGTAATCCTACAACTCTCAGAAAGTATTAACTATTAATACTATCATTTTTATTTGGCTCCCCTTTGGACAATAGGCAAGAATTGAAAGTGATTTCAGTAAATAAGACCAACTAGAAAATGAACTTGGAGAAACCAAAGCTATCTGAAGAAAGAAATCTAAGTTGTTAAAAGGATGAAATATAAAGGCTTTGGGAGAAAACACTTGGATTACTTGATATGGAAAATTTTTAAAATGGAAAGCCTACCTTTGTGTTTAAGCATATGACAATTTATGGCAAAGACCTGATCATTCTTCATCAACCCTAGGATTTAAAATAACACATAGTCATTTGACTTGTATCGTTAGATCTGGGCTAGCCATTCAGAAAAAAAACTATCAATTATTCCCTCAACATGGAGTGTTTTTTGTTTTTGTTTTTGTTTTTTGAGACGGAGTCTCGCTCTGTCACCAGGCTGGAGTACAGTGGTATGATCTCGGCTCACTGCAACCTCCACCTCCTGGATTCCAGCGATTCTCGTGCCTCAACTTCCCAAGTAGCTGGGATTACAGGCACATGCCACCACACTCAGCTAATTTTTGTATTTTCAGTAGAGACGGGGTTTCACCATGTTGGCCACGATGATCTCAATCTCCTGACCTCGTGATCCGCCTGCCTCGGCCTCCCAAAGTGCTGGGATTACAGGCGTGAGCCACTGCCAACGTGAAGTGTTAATAGAAGCTGTGGATTCTCCAACCCTAATGATGCCTTGGGCAGTTTTGAAGTTCACCTTCTTGCAAAGAAGATTGGCTTAGTGGATGCATTCAGGTCCTACTCAACATTGTGATTCTACATATGCTTTTCCACATAGCAGGTGATCCTGAAAATCATATTTTTTACAATGGTATATTTTTCATGTCAGTTGACTATGCATAGAAGGAAGGTCCTGCTGTAAATATCAAGAACCTAGGTTTGTACCTTTGCATTCAGACAGATTTCCTGGTGACCTGGAGTAGCCATTTATCCCATCTGAATAAAGATGGGACAGAATTAGAATTACTTGATTTAATCCTCATTCTGCTTTAACACTCAGAGATATTTTTCCTTCAAATATTCTTTCTCTATTGCTAATAAGCAGTAGAATTAAGAATTCTTTTATTCTCAGAAAGTAGACTGTGGTCATAATTTCCTAATGTAAATATTTAATTTAAATTTTTTTTTCTTTTTTTGGAAACAGAATCTCGCTCGTTGCCCAGGCTGGAGTGCAATGGCACAATCTCGGCTCACTGCAACTTCTGCCTCCGTGTTCAAGCGATTCTCCTGCCTCAGCCTCCAGAGTAGCTGGAACTACAGGCGCCCGCCACCATACCCGACCAGTTGTTTTGTATTTTAAATTTTGTTTCTAAAAGGAAATTAAAAAGCTGTCTTGTGGAGGACTTCAGCTACCCCATTATTCTAGCAGAGTGTTTTCATCAGTTGTCCTAATTTGAGGAAGTCTATTTTTTTGTGGGGCAGGTAATTTAAGACACTTTTGTTTCTTACCATGCCCCATCACTTTAGCAAATTAGGCTTTTTCACTGCTTCCTGAGTGAATTTTCACTTGTTTTGGGTTGGTAGGATTAAGCAATCATGCTTTTAAGCAGGGCCTTGGTGTTCAGGCGTGACCCTCTTCAGTTTCAGGTTTTCTTAATTCCTTGAAATCAGCCTGTCTTAATTCAGCCATTTTACCAGGAGTTAATCAGACTGCATCTCATTAGTAGGCCCTTGTTTTAAAACTCTGGGAACAGAAGTTTCTTCTCCCATTGATCTTCTACCCATCTCTAAAATGTAGCTCTTGGTGGCAGTTATTTGTCTTATTCTAAATAGTGAATCCCAGGATTGGGACGCAGGACCCTTGACTAATTTTCATTTCATTTTTCCGTCTGTGCTCCAGTCCCCACCAGGTACTAGACTCTGATTGCCACCCTGAGATCTGGTGACAAAACCTCTGCCTTTGGCTCTTTGCGTATTGTTTAGCTTGGCCTTCTCTTTCCAATTTACTCTTTTTATCCTCTTCACGCGTCTTATAAAATCGCTAGGTGGACATATCATTTAAGCCAGCCTAACTTTGCCACTCTAATGGTGCATAACATTTATGTAGCAAGGTTGTAAGATGCTCATCAAAGTCTATGTCTTACCATTTTTATTTTTGTTATTTATTTTATTTTATTTATTTTTTTATTTTTGAGACAGGGTCTCTCTGTGTTGCCCAGGCTGGACTGCAGTGGTGTGATCATGGCTCACTGTAGCCTCCACCTCTCAGGCTCAAGCTGTTCTCCCACCTCAGCCTTCCAAGGAGCTGGGACCACAGGTGTGTGCCACCATGCCTGGCTAATTTTTTAATTTTCTGTAGAGACGGGCCTCCCTATGTTTCCCAGGCTGGTCTCGAACTCCTGGGCTCAAGTGATCGTCCTGCCTTGGCCTCCCAAACTGTTGGGATTATAGGTGTGAGCCATTGTGCCAGGCCCATTTTTACATGTTCCAAAACATGTAGTGTAGGTCTTTGAACATAGCTACTCATTGAGTGGAGGGTAAGGGAGAGCATTAGAAAGAGATGAGAGGTTTGCTTAGAATATGATATCTTCATAATGGTCTTAACACTGGCTGCCTTTCAGAATGACTTAGATTATCTTTAAAACCATACTAACAACTCTGCCCCACCCCCAGAGATTCCAATTCAATTTGTCTGAGAAGACTTTTTTTTTTTAAGCCCCAAAGCTATTCTTGGTGAGCCAGAATTGTCATTATTAAAACACTGATCAAAAACATTTTTGGACAAATGATGAAGACATTGTGAGTGGGTACAATGATTGAGGAGGCTGGGACAAATGTTTCCGTTATGTTGACATCTTAAAAGTTTTGTGCCCTAAATAATGTGGCAGTATTTTCCTTTTGACACTTCTTAGGCCCAGAGACCCTGGTTGATATAGTTAGGCTTTGTGTCCCCACCCAACTCTCATCTTGAATTATAATCCCAAGGTGTTGAGGGAGAGACCTGGTGGGAAGTGACTGGGTCATGGGGGTGCTTCCCCCGTGCTGTCCTCCTGATGGTGAGGGAGTTCTCACGAGATCTGATGGTTTATAAATGGCAGTTTCCCCTGGGCTTTTCGCTCTGTCTCACCTCCTATCATGTAAGATGGGCCTGCTACCATTCCGCCATGATTGTAAGTTTCCTGAGACCTCCCCAGCCATGCAGAACTGTGAGTCAATTAAACCTCTTTCCTTTATAAATTACCCAGTCTTGGCTAGCATCTTTATAGCAGTGTGAAAACGGACTAATACACTGGTGATCCTAGTTATATGCTGACAGTAAATGTAAATAATGCTGTTCCTTCCTCAGGGACTTAAGATAGATGATTTGTTCCAACAGAATATGTCAGCTGAGTGGTGTCAGTGACATTTAACCCCGTTCCCCTGAGTGCTCATATGTGGCAAACAGTTACAGCAGCAAGTCTTTTAGGAACTTTGTTTCAAGAGGGTGTTAAAGAAGAAAGTAACAGTTGGTGCAGAAATGGAAGTGATCCAAACTACCCAGCGTATCTAGTCCTTAAATCAGCACAAAGCCTGCCTTCCTCCCTTCCTCACTTCTGTATGGTCTGAGCTCAGTGAAGAGAGCTGCCTACACTTCAGTTGATTATTCATTTATTTACTTATTTATTTTTGAGGCAGAGTCTCACTCTCACCCAGGCTGGAGTGCAGTGGTGTGATCTCGGCTCACTGCAACCTCTGACTCCCAGGTTCAAGCGATTCTCTTGCCTCAGCCTCTTGAGTAGATGGGATTACAGGTGCCAGCCACCACGCCCAGCTAATTTTTGTATTTTTAGTAGGGACGGGGTTTCACCATGTTGGCCAGGATGGTCTCGATCTCCTGACCTCATGATTTGGCCCACCTCGGCCTCCCAAAGTGCTGGGATTACAGGTGTGAGCCACCGCACCCGGCTTGATAATTTAATCCTTAGAAGAGAAAACTTTAAAAAAACGAACAATCCACACCAGCGATTGTCAAAATGTGGTTCAGGGATCTCCGGGGGTTTTTCAAGACTCTTTCAGGGGTCTGCAAGGTTAAAATCACATGTAGGTAAAAGACCCATCAAAGTGTAGTAAGAAACAATGGGTTTTAATGTAACAGAATGAAAAGTATATTGTATGGTTTTGGATTCTACTCAATGACTTAACCTACCACATGTCAAGTTTTGGTATAGCATAAAAGAACACACACAGTTATCGGAAGGGGCTAATAAAATATTTTTCTTTTCCAACAACATATCTGTGTAAGGCTGGGTTTTCTTCATGTACTTTCAAATAACAGATCAAAACAAACTGAATGAGGAAGCACAATAAGAACATAGCTATCTTCTTTATTTGCTAATATCTTTATTGAAGCACAGTATAATGAACATAAACTGCACATATTTAAAGTGTACGATTTGGTAAATGTTGACATATATATGCAATAAAACCTCAACATCATCTCCATAGGTTTCCCTATGCCCCTTTGTATCCACTCGCTGCTGTACCTCTGGACATCCTCCCATATCCAGACAAATACTAATCTGCTTTCTGTCATAAATTAGTTTAGAAGTTTATATATATTAAGTTGTATTCATGTTTGTCAGGATTTTTACATTCAGCTAATTATTCTGGCATTCATCCACATTGTAGCATATATCAATATTCCATTCCTAGTATATTAGTGCACAATATTCCATTGTATTAATATATCAGGCCAGGAGGTGTGGCTCATGCCTGTATCCCAACACTTTAGAAGGCCAAGGCAGGAGGATTGCTTGAGGCCAGGAGTTCAAGATCAGGCTGGGCAATATAGCAATACCCTGCTCTACAAAAAAATAAAATTAGATAGATGTGGCGGCATGCCCCTATAGTCCCAGCTACTTGGGAGGCTGAGGTAGGAGGATCTTTTGAATCCAGAAATCAGAGTTACAGTGAGCTATGATTGCACCATTGCACTCCAGCCTGGGTGAAACACATATATTTTGATATATATCACATTTGGTTTATTCATTCACCTTTTCATAAACATTTACATTTCTCACTGGGGCTATTACAAATAAAGCTGTTATGAACATTCATATATAAGACTTTGTATAGACATAAGCTTTTATTTCTCTTGCTAAATACTTAGCGGTAAAATGGCCATACAGTAAGTGTCTGTTTAATTTTTTGAGGAACTATTAAACTGTTTTCTAAAATGGTGATGCCATTTTACATTCCCAGCATCAGTGTATGAGGCCTCCAGTTGCTCCATATGTTCACTAGTGCTTGGTGTGGCCAACCTCTTTATTTTATTTTATTTTATTTTATTATTTTATTTTTGAGACAGGGTTTTGCTCTGTCACCCAGGCTGGAGTGCAGTGACGTGATCGTGACTCACAGTAGCCTCGACTTCCCTGGCTCAAGCAATCCTCCTGCCTCAGCCTCCCAAGTAACTAGGACCACAGGTGCATGCCACTATACCCGGCTAATTTTTAAAATTGTTTTGTAGAGACTGCGTCTCACCTGCTTGCCCAGGCTGGTTTCAAACCCTGGGCTCAAGTGATCCTCCTGCCTTGGCCTCTCAAAGTGCAGGAATTACAGGCATGCACCATGGTTGAAAAAGTAACCCTTTCTCCACCAAATTGCCTTTGCTCTTTTGTCAAAAATTAGTTGTCCATGTGTGGTGGGTCTGTTTCAGGATTCTCTCTTCTGTCCTGTTGCTCTGTTTATCTTTATGTCAATGCCATACTCTATTGATTACCGTAGCTTTATAATAGTTCTTGAACTCAGGTAGTTAAAGTCCTCCAAGTTTGTTTTTTTTTCACAGTTGTTGCCTATTCCAAGTCTTTTGCATTTCTCTACAAATTTTGAAATCAACTTGTCAATTTCTACAACAAAAACCCCATTAGGATTCTGACTCTATAGATCAATTTGGGTAGAATTGATATCTGTACAATATTGAGTCATTCAATCTGTAAACACTATCTCTTAATTCATTTAGTTCTTTAATTTCTTTCAGCAATGTTTTAATAGTTTTAATATACAGGCAGGTCTTGCACATTTTTTGTCAGATTTATCCTTACATATTTCATTTTTGGATGCTATTGTAAATGGCATGGTAAAAGTTTCGGTTTCCAATTTTCAAATATTTGTTGCTAGTACTTAAAAATACAATTGATTTCTGTTTATTAGTCATGTATTTGGCAACCTGGCTAAACTCACTTAATTATAAATGCTTTTCTGTTGTTGTAGATTCCACTGGATTTTCTACAGAGCAAACATGTTGTTTGTGATTAAAGATAGTTTTTCTTCTTCCTTTTCAACCTGTATGTCTTTTGTTTCTTTTTCTTTCTTTATTACACTGACTAGAACCTCCAGTACAATGTCACATAGAAGTGCATAGAAGTGGTGAGAACAGCCACCTTGTTTCTGACATTAGAGGGAAAATATTCTTTTTCACCATTAAATACAACATTAGCTGTAAGTTTTTTATGGATGGACTTTATCAGAATGAGGAAGTTGCTATCTATTTCTCATTTGCTGAGTATTTATCAAGAATTGATGTTGGATTTTATACAAAAAAAGTTTGCATTTATTGAGATGGTTGTGTGGATTTTTTTTTTAGTTCATTAATATGGAGAATTACATTGTTTGAATCTTGAATGTTAAAACCAACCTTGCAGTCTTGGGATAAACCCCACTTGGTTGTGTATTATCCTTTTGTTTATATTGATGTATTCAATTTGTTAACATTTTGTCAAGAATTTTCATGTCTGCATGCTCATGAGAAATATTAGATTGTAGTTTTCTTTTCCCATTATAACTCATCTAGTTTTGGCATGCTGGTTTCATAAAATGAGTTGGGAAGTTTTCCCACCTCTTCATTTTTTCTTGAGGGGACTTGTGTAGAATCATATTATTTCTTCCTTAAATGTTTGGCAGAATTCCCCAGTGAAACCATCTGGGCTTTGAGTCCTTGTAGGAAAGTTTTGTAGCTACAAATTCAATGTATTTAATGAAAGTGATTTTGGGGAGCTTGTGACTTTCAAGGAATTTCTCCTTGAGTAAGCTTTGGTGGTTTGAAAGACAAACCACCAAATTTTTTAAAGTTTTATTGGCATTAATAATTGGCATAAAATTTTTTTAAATTTCCCTTATTATCTTTCTTCTTTAATTTTTTTTCAAAGAGGCAGGGCCTCACTCTGTTGCCCAGACTGGAATGCAGTGATGCTATCATAGCTCACTGCAGCCTCAAATTCCTGGGCTCAAGCCATCTTCTGAGTAGCTGGGACTACAGGTGCACAACACCATGCCTGGTTTATTTTTTATAGAGATAGGGTCTTGCTATGTTGCCCAGGCTGGTCTCAAACTCCTGGCCTCAAGTGATCCTCCCATTCAGCCTCCCCAAATGGTGGGTTACAGTTGTGAGCCATCATGCCCAGCACACTGATTGTCTTTCTATTATCTGTGGAATCTATAGTGATGTCACCTCCCTCATACCCGATACTGGAAATTTATATATTCTCATTGCCCTGTTTAGTCTGGCTAAAATTTTATAAATTTCATTGTAATTTTCCAAAAACTAGCTTTTGATTTTACTGAATTTCCTCTGTTGTTTTTTATTGTCTATTTCATTGATTAACATTCTCATATTTGATTCTGCTCTTCTGCTTTTTCCCCTCAAGTTTTGTAAAGTGGCAGCTGAGGTCAGTGAGTTGAAACCTTTCTTTTTTCCTAATATAGGCATATAATGCTAAAAATATTTACTAAACACTGCTTTAGCTTCATCGCACAAATTTACATATATTTGTTTTTAATTTCATTTAATGCAAAATACTAATTTCCCTTTTATTATCTGACACATCAGTTATTTACAAATATGGTGTTTTTTTGTTTTTTTTTTTTTTTTTTTAGTTGGTGTCTTGCTCTGTCACCCAGGCTGGAGGTTGGAGTGTGGTGGCGTGATCTCAGCTCACTACAACCTCTGCCTCCTGATTTCAAGTGATCCGCCTGCCTCAGCCTCCTGAGTAGCTGGGACGACAGATGCGCACCACCGCGTCCGGCTAATTTTTGTATTTTTAGTGGAGACAGGGTTTCACGGTGTTATCCAGGCTGGTCTCAAACTCCTGACCTCAAGTGATCTGCCCGCCCTGGCCTCCCAAAGTGCTGGGATTACAGACGTGAGCGACTGCACCCGGCTTTAATTTCCAAGTACTTTGGGATTTCCAAACATTTGAGATAATCTTTCTGTTGTTGATTTCTAGCTCAATTTCACTGTGGTCAGAGAACATGTTTTGTGTGAGTCAAATCCTTTTAAATTTATTGAGAATTGTTTTATGTCCATGAATATGGCCTATCTTGGTAAATGATCCATGTACACTTAGAAAGAATGTATAAAATAATTTGGTGAAGTATAAAATAAATGTCAATCAG
Organism: Homo sapiens; assembly: GCF_000001405.40. Taxonomy (NCBI): domain Eukaryota; kingdom Metazoa; phylum Chordata; class Mammalia; order Primates; family Hominidae; genus Homo; species Homo sapiens. The sequence continues at coordinate 77,973,433 of NC_000007.14, forward strand.
GTCAAGTTGGTTGACAGTGTTATTTAAGTTTTCTGTATACTTACTAATTATCTGTCTACTTTTCTCATCAATTGTTAAGGAAAGGATATTGAAATATCCAACTATATTTGTGGATGTGTCTATTTTTCTTTTTAGTTCTATAAATTTTTACTTTATTTATTTTGAGATCCTTATTAGGTACATATATGTTTAGTATTGTTATGAACTCTTGAGGAGTCGATGTCTTTTTCATTATGAAATGACCCTCTGTATCCCTGATAGTATTCTCTAGTCTGAAATCAGCTTTGTCTAATATTAATGTAGCCACTCCAGCTCTTTTGATTAGTGTTATCATGGCATATATTATTCCACCCTTTCACTTTCAGTGAACTTGTATCTTCGTATTTAAAGTGTGATTTTTGTAGCCAGGATATAGTTTGGTCTTGTTTTTTAAATTCAGTCTCTCAATCTCTGCCGTTTAACTGAAACATTTAGATGATTTATATAAAATGTGATTTTTTTTTTTTTTGAGGCAGAGTTTCACTCTGTTGCCCAGGCTGGAGTGCAATGGCCTGAACTCAGCTCACTGCAACAACCTCTGCCTCCTGGGCTCAAGTGATCCTCCCAGCTCAGCCTCCCAGTCGCTGTGATTACAGGTGCTTACCACTACACTTGGCTAGTTTTTATATTTTTAGTAGAGACAGAGTTTCACCATATTGCCCAGGGTGGTCTCAAACTCTTGGCCTCAAATGATCCACCTGCCACTTCATCTGGCCAAAATGTGAATACTGATATGGTTGGGTTTGAAATGTGATTATTGACGTGGCTGGATTTAATACATTGTTGGTATTTGTTTTGTATTTGTTTCATCAGTTATTTGTTCCCTTTTATCTTTTTGCTGTCTGCTTTTGGATTGAACATTTTTATAATTCCCTTTTATCATTTTTGTTGGCTTATTAGCTATAGCTATTTGTTTTATTTTGTTTTGTTTTAGTGATTTCTTTAGGATTTATATAATACACCTTAAACTTACCATAGTCTGCTTTCTATTGATGTTATACCACTTCACATATAGTAAAATAATTTTATAATACACTTGCATTTCTAGCCTCTGAGCATTTGTGCTATTGTCATGCGTATTGCTTCCACATATGTTATAAATGCCACGGTGCACTGTAATTATCTTTAAATAATTTGTTATTGTTTCAAGACATTTAAATGATTTAAAAAAACTATATTGATTGACATAATTACCAGTCTGGCCTGCTTCATCCATTTGTGTAGCTCTAGATTTCTAGCTATTGTTCTTTTGATTTTGCTTGAAGCACTTTCTTTAGTGTTTCTTTTAATGCAGATCTGCTGGTGACAAATTCTTTCAGCTTTTGTCTATCTGAAAAAGTCTTTATTTTATTTCGCTCTTACTTTTGGTAGATTTTTTAATGAACTAAGACTTACAGTTTGGAGGCTGGGTGCAGTGGCTCACGGCTGTAATTCCAGCACTTGGGAGGCCGAGGTGGACGGATCACTTGAAGCCAGGAGTTCAAGACCTGCCTGGACAACTGGGCAACATGGCAAAACCCTGTCTCTACTGAAAATACAAAAATTGGGCCGGGTGCGGTGGCTCAAGCCTGTAATCCCAGCACTTTGGGAGGCCAAGGTGGGCGGATCATGAGGTCAGGAGATCGAGACCATCCTGGCTAACGCGGTGAAACCCCGTCTCTACTAAAAATACAAAAAATTAGCCAGGCATGGTGGTGGCGGGCGCCTGTAGTCCCAGCTACTCGGGAGGCTGAGGCAGGAGAATGGCGTGAACCCGGGAGGCGGAGCTTGTAGTGAGCCGAGATCACGCCACTGCACTCCAGCCTGGGGGACAGAGCGAGACTCTGTCTCAAAAAATAAAAAAAAATAAAAATAAAAATACAAAAATTGGCCAGGTGTGGCGCGCATGTGTAACCCCAGCTATTCAAGAAGCTGAGGCATGAGAATCACTTGAACCTGGGAGACAGAGGTTGCAGTGAGCAGAGATCATGCCATTGCACTTCAGCCTGGGTGACAGAGTAAGACTCTGTCTCAAAAAAAAAAAAAAAAAAGACGTGGTTTGGTAGGGTTTTTTTTTTTCAGTCCCATTTTTCTTTTACCTTGCACTGTTCATGACAAGAAATCCACTGTCAGTCTGGGTACCATGGCTCATGCCTATAATCCCAACACTTTGGGAGGCTGAGGCAGGAGGATTAATTGCTTGAGCCCAGGAGTTTGAGTCCAACCTGGGCAACACAGTTAGACTCTGTCTCTACAAAAGATTTAAAAAAAGATTAGCCAGGCATGGTGGCATACACTTGTAGTCCCAGCTACTCAGGAAGCTCAGGTGGGAGGATGGCTTTAGCCTGGGAGGTCAAGGCTGCAGTAAGCTGTGACTGCACCACTGCACTCCAGCCTGGGTGACAGAGCAAGACCTGTTTCAAAAAGAAAAAAAGAAAAAAAAAGTCCACTGCCATGCTTCTTTTTGTTCCTCTATGTATAATGTGGGGTTTTTTTCCCCTCGGTTACTTTTAAGTTTTTTTTTTTTTCTTTAAAACTGGTTTTAAGCTATTTGAATATGAAGTCAGTTGGGGTAGTTTTTGTCACAGGTGTGACTGGCTGGGGCTGGCATCATGGATAGTAAAAGAACTTACCAAGACAGTAGTGGGTAAAGAAAGGCAGATTTATTAGAGAAAGTACAAAGATACATTGTAAGAATGCAATGGGCAGCACAGCAGAGAAGGGGCTGTCTACAAAGAGGCAGGGGCAGGAGGGAAGTTTTATAGGGTTGTGCTGAAGGGGCTACTTGCAGAGCGAGGTATTTGGAAATAGGATGCTGTGCCAACAGGTTGTTTGTGGTAAGCCATCTCTCAGAATAACTGTTCTCCCCCACCTGGGGCCCCTTCCTCATTGTTGCTTACTTATCTTATCAAGACTCCACAGTTTTCTTTATGTTTCCTGTGCTTGGGATTCATTGAGATTCTTAGATATATGAGTTTATAGTTTTTACCAAATTTGATTTTATTAAAATCTTGACCATCATTTATTTAAAATTTTTTTTCTGTCACTTACCTGCTTCAGGGACTCCAAAGGCATTTGTATTAGGCTGCTCAAAGCTCTTCTGCATCTCACTCTGATGTTCTGTTTGCTTCTTTTCATTCTTTTTATCTCTGTGTGTTTCATTTGGTATGGCTTCGATGGCGATATCTTCAAGTTTACTAGTCTTTTCTTCTTCAGTGTCTAATTTGCTGCTAATCCCCAGTTAGTGTATTTCCATTGTAGTTTTCATCTCTAGAATTTCAAGTTCAGTCTTCTTTATAAAACTATGTCTCTACTTAACCTGCTCAATCTTTTAGCTTGCTCCTTGAATATATGGAATACAGTTAGAATAGACTATTTTAGGCCGGGCGTGGTGGCTCACGCCTGTAATCCTAACACTTCGGGAGGCCAAGGAGGGTGGATCACCTGAGGTCAGGAGTTCGAGACAAACCTGGCCAACATGGCAAAATCCCATCTCTACTAAAAATACAAAAATTAGCCGGGCCTGTAGCGGTGGTGCGCGCCTGTAATCCCAGCTACTCAGGAGGCTGAGGCAGGAGAATTGCCTGAACCTGGGAGATGGAGGTTGCAGTGAGCTGAGATCGCACTACTGCACTCCAGCCTGCAAGATAGGAGTGAGACTCCATCTCAAAAAAAAAAAAAAAAAAAAAGAATAAACCATTTTAGTGTTCTTTTCTATAAATTCTATTATCTGTCATTTCTGGTTCAGTTTCAATTGACTGATTTTCCTCCTCATTTTATGTTATATTTTTCTGCTTTTTTGTATTGGTGATTATTTACTGGATTTCAGACATTGTGAGTTTTATTTTGTTAGGTGTTGTAATTTTTTTTTTTTTTTTTTTTTTTTTTAGACAGGGTCTCTCTCTGTTGCCCAGGCTGGAGTGCAGTGGCATGATCATGGCTCACTGCAGCCTCAACCTACTGGGAGCAAGTCATCTTTCTGCCTCAGCCTTCCCACTAGCTGGGACTACAGGAACACGCCACTATGTCTGGCTAGTTTTTTAAAAATTTTTTTACTAGAAACGGGGGTCTTGCTATGTTGCCCAGGCTAGTCTTGAACTCTTGGCTCAAGCAATCCTCCCACCTTGGCCTCCCAAAGTGCTGGGATTATAGGTGTGAGTCACTGCACCTGGCCCTGTGTGGGGTATTTTTGTATTCCTATAAATATCCTTAAACTTTGTTCTGGGAAATAATTAAATTACTTGGAAACAGTTTGATCTTTTGGGGTCTTGCTTTGTAAGCTTTTTAAAGCAGGACCAGAGGATGTTTAGGTTAGTTTTGTGTTAATTTTTTCTCCACAATTGAGACACTCTCTTCTGAATACTCTACCTGCTCTTCCATTATGAGGTTTTCCATTCTGGCTGGTGGAAATAGACACTATTTTCAACATTGTGTGCCCTTCCTAATCTTTTCAGGTTATTCTTTCATTAACTTTGGTTAGTTTATTTTCATGCATTCACTGACCAGTTCTCACCTGAATATTTGAGAGGTGTCCTCTAAGATCTTGGGAATTTTCTGTCTGTTGAGTGCTCTCCTTTTTTGGTATTCTTCGCAGGTTCTCTATCCAATTTGACCCACCTCCACGCCCAGCTTTATCTCCTCAACTCGGGGAGACCACAGAGCTTTACTACGTTTCTCTCCTGGCACTGCTGCCTGGGAACTCTCTCAAGGCAATTGTACAGTTCATCTCGTTCTCCATCTCTCCAGAAATCACTATCCTTCATTTCCTAATGTCTTAAGAACTATTATTTCATATATTTTGCCCAGTTTCTTTTCTTTTCTTTTTCTTTTTCTTTTTCTTTTTTTTTGAGACAGAGAGTTTCCCTGTGGTTGCCCAGGCTGGAGTGCAATGGCATGATCTCGGCTCATTGCAACCTCTGCCTTCTGGTTTCAAGTGATTCTCCTGTCTCAGCCTCCGGAGTAGCTGGGATTACAGGCGCCCGGCACCACACCCAGCTAATTTTTTTTTTTTTTTTTAGTAGAGACTGGGTTTCACCATGTTGGCCAGGCTGGTCTCAAACTCCTGACCTTGTGATCCGCCCACCTCGGCCTCTCAGTGCTAGGATTACAGGCGTGAGCCACCATGCCTGGCCCATTTTGTCCAATTTCTTAGCTGTTTCAAGCAGGAGGGTAAATCCAGTTCTTGTTATTCTATCTTATTTTAAAGCCATCTTTTAGTAAGTTCTATGTTAAAGATACTTGCAAAGATTTAAAACAATTCTATTCTTTAAGTCATTTGTTTTGGAAAATATCATTATTTTCATAAAAATATTTCTGTTAACATGTTGGCTGGGCGCCGTGGCTCACGCCTATAATCCCAGCGCTTTGGGAGGCCAAGGCGGGCAGATCACCTGAGATGAGAAGTTCAAGACCAGCCTGGCCAACACGGTGAAACCCCGTCTCTACTAAAAATACAAAAAAATTAGCTGGGCGTGGTGGCAGGCGCCTGTAGTCCCAGCTGCTTGGGAGGCTGAGGCAGGAGAATCACTTGAACCCAGGAAGTGGAGGCTGTAGTGAGCTGAGATTGCGCCACTGCATTCCAACCTGGGCGACAGAGTGAGAAAAAAAAAAAAAATCTCAAAAAAAAAAATTTTGTTTCATGTAATTGGCTTATTGCTATCATCAAATAAATTAACAAATAAATCTTTAAAACATTTTTAGGTTTAATTCTGAATATGGTAAATCTTGATAAAAATAACTATGTAAACAAAAGGTCTTTGGGTTCCTCAACAATTTCTGACCATAAAGGACTCCTGAGAGCAAAATGTCCGAGAACAACTGATCTAAATGAACTGATGGGATTTCTGTTTGGATTGAAGGAAACTAAAATATTTTTCTTTAAAATACTGAGGATTGTTGAGCTGAACGAAGTTAAAATGCGGGGGGACACCCTGCCCTTCCTTCTGCTTGCCTGATGATAGTACAATGACTCACAAAGATGAAAGTCCTCCCCACCTCCTCTGCCCCTTTCCTGCCTAAAGACAGAGATGTAAATTCTCACTGGCTCATCAGCCCAGAGACGGCACCACAGGGCCAGGGAAATCTGGGAGCAAACTATGCTACCTTCCCACAGTTTTCCCACCTTTGAGAGACTCTCCTTTGTCTTGTCACTCCTCTAAGAGTTACGGCTCTTTGTTGAAATACGATTTGAGGCCGAACTGCAAGCCATTGCCTTGAAAGATACCCCTGATCCGAGGTTCCTCCTGTGCGATGTGCACTGCAAGCGTTAAAGTAAAACTTGCTTTTCTCTTGTTAATCTGTCTTTAGTAACATAAAGTTTTTCTCAGCTGTAAACTTTTAAGGGTTGAGAAATTTATTGTATTTTCTCTCCTTAAGGATGCATGAACTGGGCAGTTGGGTAACCCAGGTGCTGGGGAAGACATGAGTATCAAAGATGAGAAGGCCCATAGACAGGGAGAAGAAGGAAGAAGAACAGAGAAAAGCAAAAGTTAAGAAGCCATGTAGCCCCCAAGAGACACAGAGCATAATACAGATTCCTAATTTTCCAATGGCTGTCTAGACATTTGGGTGACATTTGGGTGGCCCAGTTATACTTCCTGCCCTTGGGATCTTTGAGATAATCTTAAAAATAAAATTCCATATTTTTTCCTTAAAGAGAAAAAAAAATACAAAAGGGAGAAAGTAAAGCGCAGTGGTAGACTTGAAAGGAAGATATTAGTGTTTGGAGAGTCCAGGATCATTTTGGCATCCAGAGATTCCAGTGCTCTGACAAAGACTGACACTGTTCATGCTGATCAGACAGGGATAGAAGATCACATGGCTGGGGTGTGGAAAAGGGCTCCCCAACCCTGTGATTCTGGGGTTATTTTTAGTACACTGGTTAATCCGTTGGCATTGTCTAATCTTGGCCAACACTCTCCAGGGTTTACTTTCTCCACATTTACAAAATGAGGGTCAGAAGACTTTGTAGGTCTTTGTCTCCAAGTGACAGAAACCTACATCAAATTAGCCTAAGGACAAAAGAGCATGTATTGACTCCTGTAACTGGAAATCAAGTTAGGCTAGTGCTGGCTCTGGCATAATTGGATCCAGGCGTTCAAATATTGCCATCATGACCTCACTCTGGTTTTTCTTTCCTCCTTCTTTTCTTTCCCATTCAGCCAAGTTTTCTCCATTCAACTGCAAAATAGCCCCCAGAAGCTCCAAGCTCTTATGTACCTTTGAGTTTATGATCCCAGAGATAGAGACAGATGCACTGCCTCCCAGCATCCAGTTCCAATACCATAAAGATGATTTTATTGGCTTTACTTGGTTGTACACCCATCCTTTGAACCAATGACCTTAGCCATAGCTATGGAGTGCCAAGATGGGCCAGACTGGGTCATGTGCCCACTCCTTAGGCAGGGGGTGGAAGAGGAATTGGAATTGGTGGTCCTACCAGAACCACATGGAATGAGCAGGAAGTGGGGGGCAATTTAGAAAACAGAGGGGTGCTGGACAATGGTAACCTGCACCCTTGAGGTGTGAACTGAAGCAAACTGTGTCTGTATCGAAGATTTTTAAAAGAAACACAACCACGTGGCCACAATATCATTGTTGGGAGTTTGACATTTTCTTCTGAGTTCCCCCAATCTCTTCTTAGGAACAGTTTCATCTTTTTCTGTTGATTTTCAGGTATTTCATCTGCTTGGGTAAGATTTCATTTTTTGCTCCAAGGCCTTTTACCAACTTCTGTTATGTCAAGAATAGAGTCAGCGGTATCTACAGCATTTGCAGGCAGTGACTCCAGTCCCTGCCAACACATTCATGCTTCCTTTCCAGTCTAAGTGTTTTCTACCCAAAGAAAAGTTTTTCTTTAATTCTGATGTATAACAGAGATGTAGAGTCAGAGTCAACATAAAAAAGACAACAAGTCAATAAAAAAGCGAAGAGGAAGGCTGAGCGCAGTGGCTCATGCCTGTAAACCCAGCACTTTGGGAGGTTGAGGCGGGCCGATCACTAGAGGCCGGGAGTTCAACACCAGCCTGGCCAAGATAGTGAAACCCCATCTCTACTAAAAATACAAAAATTAGCAGGGTGTGGTGGCGCACGCCTGTAATCCCAGCTATTCGGGAAGCTAAGGCAGGAGAATTGCTTGAACCCAGGAGGCAGATGTAGCAGTGAGCCGAGATCGTACCACTGCACTCCAGCCTGAGCAACAGAGCAAGACACTGTCTCAAGGGAAAAAAAAAAGAAAATGCGAAGAGGGTGATTTCTTGATATGATGTGCTCATCAGATTTAATTTTTAGTTGACTAATCACATCCAGTCTCCTTGGGAGTGCAAAGGACAGTGAACACATAGGTAAAGGGTTTACTCACTGTGCCAGAAATACTTGGTATGCAAGACGTAGTCTCCTCTCCTCAAGGTAGCTGCCCTTAGTAAAAAGCTCGCTGTACTAATTCACCTTTGAATCTTCTTCCTGTGTTTTTCTCCTTTTTTTTTTTTCAGAGAACTGAACAAAAATGTAGAGTCTGCATCTCTTTACTCAGGAAAATAAGGTCTATAGTATCATTATAGTTTCAGAATGTACTTATCACTTACATGTTATGTTAAAATGGTGCTATCAAAATGCAAAGGCAACATGTCAGGTGGCTATTATATTCTAGGATACTCAAGCAAATAAATTTGCATTTAGGATTAACATATAAGGGGCTGCTTCACCTATGGAGTAGCCATTCTTGATTCCTTTACTTTCTTAGAATTAAAATACAAGGGTCTTGACCTTCCACAGACCCAGCTGAGTGACAGTTCAGTGAGGAGCAAGAAGCTAGTGTTCACTTGTTATGTGCCATTAAATGGGTGGGCTCCTGTTAAGAAACATGCCAAAATGTTACCAGAAGTTGTCTCTGGAATACATGCAATATTGATTTTATTTTTTCTACTCTTCTATGCAAATTTTCTGCAATGAGCGCATACTACTTTCACGATAAAAATAATGGAAAGAAATTACGTCTATATTCAATTATATTAGGTTGGTGTAATAATCGCAGTTTTCATCATTAAAATATGGTGGAAACTGCGATTACTTTATTAGAAACCTAATAAAAGTGGTTGGTCTATACCAAAGTTTGTTTAAGCAAGATCTACCTACTGAATGAGACTGGCTGGCAGCCAGCAAATGCCTCGGCTTGAACCCCACTCGTGACATTCTGTCCTGAGTCTGGAGAAAGGGTCCTGGAAGAGCTGGACTGGGTACCCACATCAGACCCTTTGCCGTGCCATTAGGCCATGAGCACCAGAAGGTCTCTTAGGACAAGCCCAGAGGAGACTCTGGAGTGTAAGTAAGGTCTCCAGTGCCCAAGGTTTCAGACTGAACCAAGAAGAAGGGAATTTTCCCCAACTTACAGGAGTGAGGGCTGGGGTGGGGATGGGAGCGTGTCCATGTCGGTGAGAAGGGGCAGCCACAGGTGTGCCACCCTTCTTAGGAGCCTCAGGCCCCTGCCCTGAAAGCAGATGCTTCATTCTCAACCCTCTCCTCCCTGTGCCCTCCCCCAGCCATTTTCATCTGGCTCAAAACCTGTTCTTTAAGTTTTCCATCGAGCCTGTTTATAAGACCAGCAAGAGTTTGTTGCTTATCTCTGAATCAGCTATTAATTGTCCTTATGATGCCTCAGCGACCACACACGAGCTGAAAATGACTTGGCGTCATCTTTTGGATTCTCAGGATGACTTTTATCACCTTGAGAGACTTAAGCATGCTTAGTCATAGGATGTGCTAATATTGGGGCAGATCATTATCACTAGTGTTGAAATTTAAACATATCGGAGTATAGTTTTCTTTCTTTTTCTTTTTTCTCTCTTTCTTTCTTTCTTTCTCTTTCTTTCTTTCCTTCCTTCCTTCCTTCCCTCCCTCCCTCCCTCTGTCTCTCTTTCTTTCTTTCTCTTTCTCTTCCTTCTCTCCCTCCCTCCCTCCTTCCCTCCTTCCCTCCTTCCCTTCCTGCCTCCCTCCCTCCCTCCTTCCCTTCCTGCCTCTCTCCCTTCCTCCCTCCCTCCTTCCCTCCTTCCCTTCCTGCCTGCCTCCCTCCATCCCTCCCTCTTTCCCTTCTTTTTCTCTTTCTCTCTTTTCTTTCTTTCTTTCTTGACAGGGTCTTGCTCCGTTGCCCAAGCTGGAGTGTAGTGGTGCGATCACAGCTCACTGTGGCCTTGACCTCACTGCAGCCTTTAGTGGCTTGAGGTGGCTCCAGTGATCCTCCCACCTCAGCCTCCCCAGTAGCTGAGACCACAGGTGTATACTACCATCCCTGGCTTTTTTTTTTTTTTTTGGAGAGACAGGGTCTCACCTTATTGTCCAGGGTGGTCTCAGACTCCTGGGCTCAGGCGATCCTCCTGCCAAAGTGCTGGGGTTATAGACATGAACCACTGTGCCCAGCCTGTTTGTTTGTTTGTTTGTTTTAAAGAAGAAAGAAAAGAAGAACCAACCCTACTGAGCCTACTGATCCTATAGTTGAAGTTTGCATACTTTTCTATAGCTAGATTAACTTTCATATTTTACTCTTTTTTGGTTAATAAGACCACTTTTGATGAAGACATGATCACCAAATCAGTCTGTTTCTATACTGGAGCAACACATGTGGAGATAACGGAAGGCTTAGAGCGACTGGTCTTACCAGAAGCTAACTAAAGTGGGCTGCCGTGGAGTGAAGCAAAGGAAAGTTTCATTAGGAAGCCTGGAATTTTCATTACGTCATAGACACTATGGATAATCTTATTTGCCACATGTAAATGTTAAAATAAGGAAATGGCTACAATTTATTTTTCCCCAAGATTGTAAATCAACCAATAAGTTCATATGAACAAGTAGCTTGCAATAGTGTTTTATTGAATCTAAGGTGCCATATATTATAAAATACATCATTGTTTTATGTATTACTAAGAAAGAAAAAGCACTGCCATTGATCGCGAGATATTAAATGTGAAAAAGTGAGTCTTGGAATTAACAAAAGATGGTATGTCCTTCTATGTTTGATGAGCCCATTTTAACATCCTTCCTGTCCCCCTCCGATTAATATTTAAAGGTATTAGTTGACTACTTTGAGAACACTAATCACAATTAAAATAGATGCTCCACTTTAAGCAACACAAATATGCCATTCACCGCTCAATGCCCTAATCATAATGACGTTTTAAGCACTAATGAAATGAAACTAGTTTGTTTTTTTTTTTTGAGACGGAGTCTCGCTCTGTCGCCCAGGCTGGAGTGCAGTGGCGCGATCTCGGCTCACTGCAAGCTCCGCCTCCCGGGTTCACGCCATTCTCCTGCCTCAGCCTCCCGAGTAGCTGGGACTACAGGCTCCCGCTACCACGCCCGGCTAATTTTTTGTATTTTTAGTAGAGACGGGGTTTCACCGTGTTAGCCAGGATGGTCTCGATCTCCTGACCTCGTGATCCGCCCGCCTCGGCCTCCCAAAGTGCTGGGATTACAGGCGTGAGCCACCGCGCCCGGCCTAGTTTGTGTTTCTTGAAGTGATTAAACAAAACAAGGGCTCAGTCATTAGGCAGATCAAGACAGCCATCACCAGGAGAAACGGCTGGGTCTTAAAGCATTCAAAGGATTTGTAAATGAAAATGTCATTTTGTCTCACTCTTACCTTCGTGAGTACTTGTTCCTAACAAATCTTGGGATAATAACAGATTTTTTTTTTTTTTAGAACCATCGCAGAAGGACTCCAAACTTAGGCTTATATTAATCAGTTCACCCCAGGCAGTTACGGCATGTTCTCCAGGAATATAACAGGCAGAGTTGTTCAGCAAGAGACTTTTCCTAGCAGAAGCTAAGAAAAAACTTAGCGGAGAAAATGTAGATGGAAAATGTCAGGAGAGAAATTGGGTTTCTATTTTGAGGCTAGTAAAACCATTACGTCTTAATACATTCAGGTTCAGACTGATTCATAGCCAATGACCATGCAAGTTAAAGCCCGAGGGAGCACACCCCCACCACGGTGCAGTGGATTTTGGCTGTGTCAGGAGTCAGAGCATTGGAGGTAAGGGCTTGGTCTCAGTTTCCTCACCGAGGCTGTTGGACTGGGTGGTCTCCAAGCCCCCGTCCGTCTATGATGCTATGGTCTCTCCAGAGGTCACTGTTGGGCCGCAAGCTGAACCCTGGGTCAGCCTCCCCTGCGAGGAGGTTTGGACTGAGCAACTGTGTCATGGTGCCAAGGACTTCTGTCTTCACACGGGCACAAGACCTCACACTTAAGGTTCCTGGGCCTTACAAAGTGGTCCCTGAAGTTATTCATCTTCCTTATGGGCTGTCACTACTCCCACAGAGATGCAGGAAACTCTGGCAGCACAAGATTTGCACCGAACTTGACAGGAGGCAGCCTGGGACAGGGAGACAGGGTGCCGGGAGCTCTCTTCTTGGCCTGCTTCCCTTGGGGGTTTTCAGTGCTTATCTCTTAAGTCAGTGAGGTTCTTTCTTCTTTTTTGTTTTTATTTTGTATTTTTTTTTAAGTCAGTGAGATTCTTGTTGTGTCCCCCCACCCCAATCCCCAACATAGAGAATGTCCTACATCACAGTGCTGGGGTAAAGTGGATTTCTTTCTTTCTTTTTTTTTTTTTTTTAAAGTCACAGTATTTGGGCCCTGGGGAATATAGTTCCTGGCATTCAAGAGAGGCTGCCTGTTAACTTCTGAATCAAGCCATTTCCTCTGCAATTAGAGACTTTTGGCTCAAACAAGATCTCTTCCGAGAAACTATAAGCCCATATTCTGGTACTGTGACATTTCATTCCTCATTCTGCCCCCACTCCTCACTGGAATTCATATTGACCTACAAATTCAACACCACCATGAAGCAATCGCCCAAACCGACTCTTCCATTTTGTAGGCTTAAGAAAATGAAGTTACACACACACACACACACACACACACACACACACACAAAACCTTCAGTAAAGCTTTAGCTCGAATATATGAGGAGCCATTTTCAGAAGGAATAATAACTAGAAGGCACAAATAAAGTACTGAAATAAAATCCCCCTTTGAATTATGCATGAGAAAAGTAAATTAGTAAAATCCAAGTGCACTTTAAACATAGAGATTTGCCATTTGCTGGGACTGGGACTTATTTCATCACTGAAAAGGAAGGGAAAAAACCAGAAGTAATAAAGTTAGCTGTGCTTAGTGTTGATGACAAATGTGCTTCACATTTCTGATGATCGTCTCTCTGCTCCGTCAATGTGTTGTCTCAGCTGCACCTGGGTTAAAATTGTCAGTAAGGGGGCCGAGCATGGTGACTCATGTCTGTAATCCCAGCACTTTGGGAGGCTGAGGCGGGCAGATCACTTGATCAGGAGCTTGAGACCAGCCTGGCCAACACGGTGAAACCCTGTCTCTACTAAAAATATAAAATTAGCTGAACATGGGCACCCGTAGTCCCAGCTAATTGGGAGGCTTAGGCCAGAGAATCACTTGAACCCGGGAGGCAGAGGTTGCAGTGAGCAGAGATTGCGCCACTGCACTCCAGCCTGGGCGACAGAGCAAGACTCCATCTCAAAAAAAAAAAAAAAAAAAAAAAAGCAAAAGAAAAAAAATGTATATATATATAGAGAGAGACCAAGAAATCCACCAAGAAGAACCTGTTTAGCTCTTAAGGTGCAGGCTTCCTCAATTCCCAAACACTTAAGTTGTGGAGGAGATGACTGAATAAAGAGGTATCTTTCCCAAACTCCATCAAGGAGAGCACCCATATACATCCTGGAAAACCTAAAGGTTCCCACCAGCAGTGTAGAAGTGTTCCCTGATCACCGCATCCATGCCAACATCTACTGGTTTTTGATTTTTTGGTTATGTCCATTCTTGCAGGAGTAAGGTGGTATCGCATTGTGGTTTTGATTTGCATTTCCCTGATCATTAGTGATGTTGAGCACTTTTTCATATGTTTGTTGGCCATTTGTATATCTTCTTTTGAGAATTGTCTGTTCATGTCCTTAGCCCACTTTTTGATGGGATTGTTTGTTTTTTTCTTGCTGATTTGTTTGAGTTCATTGTAGATTCTGTATATTAGTCCTTTGTCAGATGTATAGATTGTGAAGATTCTCTTCCACTCTGTGAGTTGTCTGTTTACTCTGCTGACTGTTCCTTTTGCCATGCAAAAGCTCTGTAGTTTAATTAAGTCCCAGCTATTTATCTTTGTTTTTATTGCATTTGGTTTTGAGTTCTTGGTCATGAAACCCTTGCCTAAGCCAATGTCTGGAAGGGTTTTTATAGCCACTATGGAAAACAGTGTGGAGATCCCCTAAAAAACTAAAAGTAGAGCTACCATTTGATCCAGCAATCCCACTACTGGGTATCTACCCAGAGGAAAAGAAGTCATTATATGAAAAAGATACTGGCACACACATGTTTATAACAGCACAATTCACAACTGCAAAATTGGGGAACCAGCAGGAGTTGATTTCCAGTTTTAGTCCACTGTGGTCTGAGAGAGTGCTTGATATAATTTCAATTTTCTTAAATTTATTGAGGCTCATTTTGTGGCCTATCATATGGTCTATCTTGGAGAAAGTTCCATGTGCTGTTGAATAGAATGTGTATTCTGTGGTTGTTGGATGAAATGTCCTGTATGTATCTGTTAAGTCCATTTCTTCCAAGGTATAGTTTAAATCCATTGTTTCTTTGTTGACTTTCTGTCTTGATGACCTGTCTAGTGCTGTCAGTGGAGTATTGAAGTCCCCCACTATTATTGTGTTGCTGTCTATCTCATTTCTTAGGTCTACTAGTAACTGTTTTATAAATTTGGGAGTTCCAGTGTTAGGTGCATATATGTTTAGGATTGTGATACTTCCCTGTTGGACAAGGCCTTTTACCATTATATAATGTCCCTCTTTGTCTTTTTTAACTGCTATTGCTTTAAAGATTTTTTTGTCTGATGTAAGAATAGCTACCTCTGCTTGCTTTTGGTATCCATTTGCATGAAATGACTTTTTCCACTCCTTTACTTGAAGTTTATGTGAGTCCTTATGTGTTAGGTGAGTCTCCTGAAGGCAGCAGATAGTTGGTTGGTGAGTTCTTATCCATTCTGCAGTTCTGTATCTTTTAAGTGGAGCACTTAGGCCATTTACAGTCAATGTTAGTATTGAGATGTGATGTACCATTCCATTCATCATGCTATTTGTTGCCTGTGTACCTTGGTTTTTTGTTCTTGCTTTTTAAATCGTATTTTTGTTTTATAGGTCCTGTGAGATTTATGCTTTAAAGAGGTTCTGTTTTGATGTGTTTCCAGGATTTGTTCCAAGATTTACAGCCCTTTTAGCAGTTCTTGTTGTGGTAGCTTGGTAGTGGCGAATTCTCTCAGCATTTGTTTGTCTGAAAAAGACTGTATCTTTCCTTCAAATATGATGCTTAGTTTTGCTGGTTACAAAACTCTTGGCTGATAATTGTTTTGTTTGAGGAGGATGAAGATAGGGCCCTAATCCCTTCTAGCTTGCAGGGTTTCTGCTGAGAAATCTGCTGTTAATCTGAAACGTTTTCCTTTATAGGTTACCTGGTGCTTTTATTTCACAGCTCTTAAGATTCTTTCCTTCATCTTAACTTTAGATAACCTGATGACAGTGTGCCTAGGCAATGATTTTTTTTGTGATGAATTTCCCAGGTGTTCTTTGTGCTTCTTGTATTTGGATGTCTAGGTCTCTAGCAAGGCTGGGGATGTTTTCCTTGATTATTTCCCCAAATATATCTTCCAAATTTTAGATTTCTCTTCATCCTCAGGAACACTGATTATTCTTAGGTTTGGTCATTTAATATAATCTCAGACTTCATGGGGGCTTTGTTAATATTTTTTCATTCTTTTTTCTTTGTCTTTGTAGGATTAGGTTAATCCTACAAAGCTCTGAATTTCTTTCTTCTGCTTGTTCAACCCTACTATTGAGACTTTCCAGAGCATTTGTCTATAAATGTGTCCAATGTTTCCTGAAGTTTTGATTGTTTTTTCTTCATGCTATCTATTTTCTTGAATATTTCTCCCTTCACTTCTTGTATCGTTTTTTGGATTTCCTTGCATTGGGCTTCACCTTTCTCTGGTGCATCCCTGATTAGCTTCATAATTAACCTCTTGAATTCTTTTTCAGGTAAATCAGGGATTTCTTCTTTGTTTGGATCCATTGCTGTTGAGCTAGTGAAATTTTTGGGGGTGTTAAAGAGCCTTATTTTGTCATATTACTTGAGTTGGTTTTCTGGTTCCTTCTCATTTGGGTAGGCTCTGTCAAAGGGAAGGTCTAGGGCTGAAGGCTGCTTGCTGTTCAGATTCTTTTGTCCCATGGGGTGTTCCCTTGATGTAGTATTCTCCCCCTTGTCCTATGGATATGGCTTCCTGAGAACCAAGCTGCAGTGATTGTTATCTCTCTTCTGGGTCTAGCCACCCAGCAAGCATACCAGACTTTGGGCTGGTACTGGGAGTTGTCTGCAGAGTCCTGTGATGTGAACCATCTATGGGTCTTTCAGCCATGGATACCAGCATCTGTTCTGGTGGAAGTGGCAGGGTTGTATAATGGACTCTTTGAGGGTTCTTAGCTTTGGTGGTTTAATGCTCTATTTTTGTGCTGATTGGCTTCCTGCCAGGAGGTGGCGCTTTCCAGAGAGCATCAGCTGTGGTAGTATGAGGAGGAACTGGCAGTGGGCAGGGCCCTAGAACTCCCAAGAATATATACCCTTTGTCTTCAGTTGCCAGCGTGGGTAGGGAAGGACCAGGGCTAGGTGTGTCTCAACTCAGACTCTCCTTGGTTGGGCAGGTCTTGCTGCGGCTGCTGTCAGGAATGGGGATGAGGTTCCTGGGTCAATAGTGTTGTGTACCTAGGAGGATTATGGCTGCCTTTGCTGAGTCATGCGGGTTGTCAGGGAAGTGGGGGAAAGCCAGCAGTCACAGGCCTCACCCAGCTCCCACGCAATCCAAAGGGCTGGTCTCACTCCCACAGTGCCTCCCCTAACAGCACCAAATCTGTTTCCAGGCAGTGGGCAAGCAGGGCTGAGAATTGCCCCAGACTACCCACCTCCCAGCTGCAAAGGAAAAGGGCTCAGTTCTTCCCCCACCTGTGGAGTCTGCATGCTGGATTCCCGTTCTCCCCAGAGTTCTGGCCAGGAGGCTTCTTGCCTGGTTCAAATTGTTATGAAGTTCAGCTGGAGACTTCCTTCTCCCTGTGGCATTTTCCCCACACCTCTAGCTGCCCTCCTGAAGGATCCTGGTGGTGCCAGGTAAGAATGGCCTGCTTGGGGTCCCAGCGAGCTCCCAGGGCCTTTCCCACTGCTTCCTTTACCCTTGTAGTTCACTCGGCTCTCTAAATTGACTCAGCTCCAGGTAAGGTCGGAAACTTCTTTCGCAAACTAGGCCTTCAGTTTCCCCAGTGGGGGTGTGTGTTCGGGGGCGGAGGGTCTCCTTTTCCCACTTCCACAGTTGGGGCACTCACAGGATTTGGGGTGTCTCCTGGGTCCTGCAGGAGCAGTCTGCTTCCTTCAAGAGGGTCTGTGGGTCCTCTCGGCATTCCTGGTTTATTCCTGCAGTTGTTCTGGAGCTAAAATTCATGATGTGAGCCTCCGTATGCTGCTCTGTCTGTCCAAGTCGGAGCTGCAATCTGGTTCTGCCTCCTGTCTGCCGTGGTGATCCCTGTTGTAGTTTCTGTGTGTCTTCTTTTGAGAAATGCCTTGCGCCCTCCCGCTCTTCCAGGATAACTCAGGGCCTCCATCTCCTCCTTTGAAAACTGTAAGTGACATCTACCTCCAGGTCATATTTAATACCTTTCACAACTGGTATGTCCCAGGCCACTGAGAATAGAAGTGGATTATAAATAATTCATTAGGACTTACCGGTGCCAACCATCTGAATATCAGCCCTCTTGGGGTTAAATTAAGTGAGTTAAGTGAGAATTAAGTGAGGTAATGTGCTTGGCACAGTAATATGAAGTGGCTATAGGGTTATCCTCATGGTCCTGGATGCCCAGAACGTGAATGGTCTCACTGAGATTACATGAGGTGCCAGTGGGCAGCAGCCTGCGATGAGACTCTGTGAACACACCCAAGGCCTTAAAGGAGAGAGAATGCTGTGGCACTCTCAGAGAAGAAACCCAGGATGCTTTGGGGAAGAGGCTGGCAGCCTGGTCTTGTTTTCTGCACGTGGAGGCCTCTGGACCATGCACCTGACTATCAAGCCTGTACAGAAGGCAGAGGCGAGGCAGGAGTTAAGCGGTCTGTGAAGGAGGAGACCTGCTCTATTTCTCAGCTGTTGTTCTGTTGAAACAGGTGGATGAGTTTGAGCCTGAAAGGTAATAAGTAAAGGAGAAAGACTGGGAGCACTAGGCTCTGGGATGCCCTCTGCATGAGAAAGATGGGCACTAAACCTGTCTGAGGGGAAGGTGTAGACAGAAATAAACACGCCACAGCCTGGAGTCCAGAACCTTGAAAGTTTAATGAGAACAGTTAGTGAAGCACTGCCCTGTGATTCATCTCCTCACAAACAACACTTAAATCACGTAGGATCAGGGTAGACAACGATCATTTCATTTAGCTACTTAAAGGTTATTTGGAACTCTTAATAGCATGTTGTCAATAGGACCTGGCTTCTAAATCCAGGCAGATAAAAGTCCATTCGTTCCCCAGAGTGGAGGACTTAGGATCTAAGCCAACTCCATAAGCCTGATGCACCTGAATACGTGAGAAAAGGCAAAAGGAGATGGGAGTGAAGGGAGTTGAAGGGAGTTGCTGTGGTTTTGTGGGGTTTTTTTTTTTTTTACTTTTAAAAAATTATTTTATTTTTTCATGATCGCCTCCCAATAAGTCTTAGAAAAGTAATATTGAGGCCAGTGTTATTTTATTTTTTCATGATCGCCTCCCAATAAGTCTTAGAAAAGTAATATTGAGGCCAGGCGCAGTGGCTCACGCCTGCAATCCCAGCACTTTGGGAGGCCAAGGCGGGCAGATCACTTGAGGTCAGGAGTTTGAGACCTGTTCGAGCCTGGCCAACATGGCAAAACCTCATCTCTACTAAAAATACAAAAATTAGCTGGGCATGGTTGTGGGTGCCTGCAGACCCAGCTACTCAGGAGGCTGAGGCAGGAGGATCACTTGAACCCAGGAGGCAGATGTTGTAGTGAGCTGAGATCGTGCCTGTGCACTCCAGCCTAGGTGACAGAGTGAGACTCCATCTCAAAAAAAAAAAAAAAAAAAAGGAAGAAAAGTAATATTGAGAAAGGCAGTCACTGAATAGAAGGTTGCTGTTAGAGGGAATATTGCTATTGTGTTTTGTGAGCAAAGGAACATATTATACAAGCAGCAAGTTATAAGGGCTGTGCACACAAGGGCAGTTTAGTGTTATCAGAAAATAAAGCTTGCAGCCGAATGTGTCTGATGCATATTTAATAAGATCCTAACCAAAGGATATTAGAGCTATAAGGGACCTTGACGATTATCTAATTTAACCTTCTCATTTGCACCATGAGGGAAAGAAATGCAGAGATAACGTGTCCTGGGTTTACACAGTCTACAAGGGGTAGGGCAGGGATTGGCAATCGAGGACTCAGCCCCTCAACTGTCTGTCCAGGGCCATGCACTTCGTCATTACTGTGCTTCAGAGGCCTTGACTGTCCATAGAGAAACATGTCATGATTTTGTTGCAACTAGACAAAGCCCTCGGGGAGGCAGCTAGGGAAGGGAGAATTGAACAGAGCCAACATAGCTCAGGAGATCTTAAAACGCATGAATCTGGAAGCCAAAGGGCAGAGTCTTCCTCTTCCCTGAGAAGAGGTTTCTAGAGGTGTCAATTGCAACTGTATGTTAGCTATGGATAAAGGATTTGACAAAGCTCAATGAAAGCATATGTGAGAATCAATTGGCTGCATGGAATTTACAATACAGAGTATTATGTAGTTTACTGTTATTTGCTTATTGTGGGATATACATCATTTATAGCAGCAAAATGTATAATAAATGTATACATGTATAGGCATTTTTTTCAGAGAACTAGTTGTGAAACACCAGCATACCTCTGCTTACAGAGATATAAAGATAAATAAGATAACACAAATTTGAAGTGGATGAGAAAGAAAAAGGAACGAAAAGAAGAGGAACATATTAGAATAGGAAATAACAGTAATAGAAAATTTCATCTCCTTGTGTGCAGCTATATGACATGGTTGGCCACAGATTTTGTATCTAAGCTTCCTAGCAGATCTTGTATAAAGAACATTTGATTAGGTACTCAAGCTTTAGTGTTTTGGTGAGAAATTGTGAAGTTTCTCCTAAGCACAGTCCAGGAGGAATTTTATCCTGAGGATCTGGGGAGAGAAACAGTGTGTTTTTATAAAAGTCAGCGCTGTCCTTAGAGTAAACCATCATTTAGAGACACACGGGGCTGGGCAAAGTGGCTCCCACTCCTGTAATCCCAGCACTTTGGGAGCCTGAGGTAGATCACTTGAGACCAGGAGTTTGAGACTAGCCTGGGAAACATAGCGAGACACTTTCTGTACAAAAAATGAAAACAGCCAGGCATGGTGGCACATGCCTGTAGTCCTAGCTCCTTAAGAGGCTTATATAGGAGGATCACTTGAGCCCAGGAGTTTGCAGCTGTAATGCACTCAAACTTCAGTGGAGTGCCACTGCACTCCAGCTTGGGTAACACAATGAGACCTGGACTCTTAGGGAAAAAAAAAAAAAAAAAAAGGCACAGGGTTGCTTCCAGTAGAGCCCCTTGTCAAAGGCTGAAAACATTTTGCCGAAGTGTACTTGTAAGTGCCATACATTAAAGTACTTACGGATGAAACAATAGAAACTCTAGGATTTACTTTAAAATATTGTTGTTTTAGTCTGTTTTGTGTTGCTATGACAGAAACCTGAGACTAGGTAATTTATAAAGAACAGAAATGTATTCTCTCAAATTCTGGAAGCTGGGAAGTCCAAGATTAAGGCATTAGCATCTGATTAGGGACTTCTTGCTGTGGCCTCACATGATGGAAGGTGGAAGGGTGAGAGAGGAGGAGGACTGTGTTCTCACGTGCAGAACAGCGGAAGAGGGAAAGACAGAGAACTCACTCCCCAAGCCCTTTCCATAGTGGCATTAATCCAGTTGCAAAGGCAGAGCCCTTGCGACTTACCTCCTGAAAGGCCTTACCTCCTAACACTGTTGCATTGGGGAGATTATGTTTCCGACACATGAATTTAGGGGGACACGTTGAGACCATAGCTACTATACACAACACAGACACACACACACACACACACACACACACACACACACACACGCACGCACACACCTGTTGGAATGAATAATTGAAGCAAGAAGAACAAAATATTGATAAACATTGATGGTGAGTGATGCACAATTGGGAATCCACTATACTCCTGTCTCTACTTTGAGACAAGACTGAATCTGACTAATGTCTTTCATCTCTTATGTTATAGCCGTTCCTCCCCTTCACCTCCACCTGATTATTCATGTCGTGAAGAAACTGGTCTACTTGTCCTGTAGAATCGCCCGTATTGTGGATTTGGCCATTGCTTCTACATGATGATAAGAGAATGTTACATTAGCAGAGACATCCATTAAACAGGAGAGCTGAGGCCATCTGACGCTGAGAATCACAATAACAGGGACAAAGCCAAAAGGGAAGGAAAATGGGGGCCAAAATGGTGAGGGGAGCCAAAAAGCGTGAGAAGAAGCACGCTCAGCCTCACTGGCTCCTGACTTCTCTCTGAGTGAGTTCCGGCTTTCTGCATCTCCCCTCCTTGCCCTGGCACCTCGGCCTTCAGGCAGGATGGTGGGGTGAAGCCAGCGAGGGAGGAAGGTGCCGGGGCATCTCCCCCTCTGCCTGCACTGCTGGGCTAACACTTACAAAGGAAGATTTGAAAAAGTCTCTGAAACTGCAGGCTCAAAGAAAGGACAAATGCACTTCCAATCAAATCAGTGTTGAAGGGGCAGCATCTTTATCATCTGCCATCCTTAAGATTCATTTCACATTCAAATAAATAGAAAACTACTTGCAAAGGCAAATTAGACCCAGATTTACCCGCAGGTGGCATTTCATGCCATAACTTGATGGCACTTCATCAACATCGGCTTTTCTGGGCTCACTGATTAGTTCATGCTGTATGAAAAGTGCTTTACCATAATTTTTCATTATCTTCACAAGTTATGCCATTTGGAATCATGTAAGGTGGCTAATGTTTCAGGGATTCTTTTAAACACTTTACAATAAGAGATTCAAAGGCCAACTGCTGGTGACTCAGGGACCATTAAGACATCTGAGACATGACCATGATTAAAGATTAGTTGCGATAGTTATTTGGATATTATAGAGTCTTTGAAATATAGAAACACTCACACAAACTAATGACGATGAGCATCCGGGGCTTGGTGTTTCTCTGTGTCAGCTGCAGTAGAGGTGGGCGGCTCTCAATTCAGGCTCACTCCATGTCAGTTTCACAAGAAAACGCCAGTGCTGCCCCCAGCTCCCCTAGCTGCTAGGGCAGGTATTTCTATTTTCCATGCAGCACAGAAGAGGGGGCCTTACCACAGACACCAGGAAGAATAATGTCAAACCCATAGCAATCCAAACCTGGGAGAAGCTTGAAAACTGAGGATTGGTCTTGTCAATCCTACTGGCGGGTCTTGCCAGTTTTAAAAAATGAAATACAACAGAATGCAACAGAATGGGAAACAATCAGAGCACATTAAAAGAATAAGTACTACTTTGTGATACTTTTCAGTTATGTATGTGGGTATCAGTGTGTACTGAGGGTTGATGAGAAATGTATTTTTAAAATGTGAGTCAAGTTAAAAGACCTCAAAGAATGATGCTCTAAGAAATTATATACTGGAGACAGTCACGATTATATATTGGATGACGAAAAACAAAATAAAAATTAAAAATTAGAAATTTATAATTTACCCCTGGAATAAGCCACACTTGTAAGAAGTGATTACTTGGAAACATCACAGTGGTCTTGAATCAATGCTTTTTTCCCCCTGCTGCTCATGAGCTGTAGAATCAATGCTTAAACATTTCCTTAACAACAAGTTGAAAATGAAACAAACCTGTTATCTTTTCTGTCTTACCTCCCTGAGGTATATATAAGTTTGATGAATTTCTCTGCTCAGGTAATAGGATTTAGCATCCATTCATGTATTCATTCACTCAACAAACATTTACTGAGACTGTTGAAGGTGCTGAGACTATAATGGCAGAGAAAAAAAAAAAGATAAAAATCCCTGTCTTAGTGGAACTTTTGTGTGGGAGTCATGGGGGAAGCATAGGACATCAGCAAGGGAAATTGGTGAAATAGAAAATATGTCAGAAAGTGGTAAGTGCTAAGGTGAAAAGATAAATAATAGAAAAGGGTCCCAGGGAGCAGCGTTTGGGCTGTATTAGCTTTTATTTTATTTTATTTTTTTTGAGACGGAGTCTTCTCGCTCTGTCACCAGGCTGGAATGTGGTGGTGCGATCTCAGCTCACTGCAACCTCTGCCTCCTGGGTTCGAGCGATTCTCCTGCCTCAGCCTCCCTAGTAGCTGGGACAACAGGTGCGCTCCACCACACCCAGCTAATTTTTGTATTTTTAGTAGAGACAGGGTTTCACCATGTTGGCCAGGATGGTCTTGACCTCGTGATCCACCCGCCTAGGCCTCCCAGAGTGCTGGGATTACAGGTTTGAGCCACCGTGCCCAGCCTAGGGTATATTGGATTTCTATTTTTCTGCATAACAAATTACTACATACAGCAGGTTAAAACAACACACACACTTATTGTCTCACAGTTTTTGTGGGTCCAGGAGTCTGAACGTGGCTTCACCAGGTCTTCTCTCCAGGGCCTCACAAGGCTGTGATCAAGGTGTCAGCAGATGCATTCTCATTTGAAAAAAGGACTGGAGAAGAGTCCTCTTCCAAGCTCATTCACGGTGTCAGCAGAATTCCTTCCCTCCCTCCCTTCTTTCTTTCTTTTCTTTTGTTTCTTTCTTTTCTTTCTTTGTCTCACTCTGTTGCCCAGGCTGGAGCACAGTGGTGCGATCTCTTGGCTCATTGCAACCTCCACCTCTCGGGTTCAAGGGATTGTTGTGCCTTGGCCTCCTGAGTAGCTGGGATTGCAGGCTTGCCACCATCATGCTCAGCTATTTTTTGTATTTTAGTAAAGATGGGGTTTCACCATGTTGGTCAGGCTGGTCTTGAACTCTTGACCTCAAATGATCCACCCGCCTCAGCCTCCCAACATGCTGGGATTACAGGCATGAGCCACCATGCCCAGTCCAAAATTTATTTCTTTATGGTTGTGTGACTGAGGTTTTAAATTAAGATTAGAGGTTTTAAATTTTGATTTAAGTCCAAGTTACGTATTCAGATTTTCAGATGACTGAGGGCCCCTGCTTTTTGACAGCTGTCTGCTGGAGGCCACCTTCAGATCCTAGAGGCCTCCTAGTTCCCTGGACCCTCTCACAACATGGCAGCTTACTTCCTCAAGCCAGCGAGGACAATCTCTTTCTTCAGTTTGCTAAGATGGAGCTTTCAATAATGTAACGTAACCATGACAGTGACAGCCCATCATCTTGTATATATATAATGTATAATATAATGTAACCTATTCAAGGAAGTGACACCCCATTACCTTTGCTATATCTTATTAGTTAGAAGCAAGTAGGAACAGGTTCTGTCCTCACTCAAGGGGAGAGGGACTCTTCAAGGGCTCATTGAGGTCACCTGAGGGTATGCCCGCCACAGGGGGGTTGCAAGCTTTGGCAGGGAAGGCATCCCTGAGAGGTGTCATTTGGTAAGGACCTGCGAAGGAGAGGGAGAGAGCCATGTGGCTATCATGGGGAAGAGCAACTTCCCTAGAGGAAAAAAGGAATGAAGAAGCCCCCCAAAGAAAAACATAGCCTGTGTACTGATGAGGAAGATCAAAGAGAGAGGGACAAATGAATGACGCAGGAGCAAGAGAGGAGAATTGCTGCAGTATGGCCCCTGAGCAGGCGAGCTCAGTCTAGCCCAGAAGGGCAGGGGTTGACATTTGCTAGTGGCATAGGCAAGTACTTGAGAGTGAAAGGCCTGGAGGCAGAGTATAGGGCACAAATACAGGTGTAGATATGGTGATAGAAAATTCTTCTAATTTCTTAATGTGACCTAGGAAGCAAGGTCATCTGCTGAGAGCAAGGATTAAGGAGGAGGTGTTGGCAATTTGAAGGGAAATGAGAAGGTACGAAATAGTCATCCACGAGAGGTGGATGGAATGGGTCTATCCCTGGAAAGGACCAAGGAGTGTCAGCCTGTTTGCCCAGCAGCATACATGGACCACTTGAGGTTAGTGGTTATGAATTATAGAGATACCAGTCAGCATGGTGAATGTTTTTCTCCAACATGTATGGGAAGATAGGCAAGGTACA
This sequence comes from Homo sapiens, assembly GCF_000001405.40. Taxonomy (NCBI): domain Eukaryota; kingdom Metazoa; phylum Chordata; class Mammalia; order Primates; family Hominidae; genus Homo; species Homo sapiens. The sequence continues at coordinate 77,998,837 of NC_000007.14, forward strand.
TGCAGAGAGTTGGCTTGGACCACAATTGTGGTTTATGCACAGAAGCAAAGAGGGGCAAGGGATTTGAGAGTGTGTGTAAGGGAGTGAGTAGAGTGATTGACCATGGAATTTGAGATAAGTCAGATCCATCAAGCAGAAAATCAGTAAGGATATAGCTGAACTGAACAGCACCACCATCAATCAACAAGATATAATGGGCATCTATAGATGACTTTATCCAACAACACCAGCACACACATTTTTTGCACACTCACATGAAGATTCGCCAAGATACAACACATTCTAGGCATAAACCATACCTTAACAATTTCAAAAGAATAGGAGTCATACAAAGAATGCTGTCAGACCACATGGAATTAAACTAGAAATCAACAACAGAAAGATAGCTGGAAAATCCCAAAACATTTGGAGATATGCATTTCTAAATAACACGTGGGTCAAAGAGGAAGTCTATCTTAGTCCAGTTGGGCTGCTATAACAAAATATCATAAGCTGGCAATGATAGACTGGATAAAGAAAATGTGGTACATATATACCATGGAATACTATGCAGCCATAAAAAGGAATGAGATCATGTCCTTTGCGGGAACATGGATGAAACTGGAAGTCATTATCCTCAGCAAACTAATGCAGAAACAGAAAACGAAACACTGCATGTTCTCAGTTATAAATGGGAGCTGAACAATGAGAACACATGGACACAGGGAGGGGAACAACACACACTGGGGCCTGTTGAGGGAGGGCAGGGAGAGGAGGGAGAGCATCAGGAAAAAGCTAATACATGATGGGCTCAATACCGAGGTGATGGGGTGACAGCTGCAGCAAACCACCATGGCACAGGTTTATCTATGTACAAACCTGCACATCCTGCATATAACACCCTGGAACTTAACATAAAAATAAATAAATAAATACGTAAGCCTATTTCAACTCTATAAGAAACTGCAGGCTGGGTATGGTGGCTCATCCTTGTAATCCCAGCACTTTGGGAGGCTGAGATGGGGGGATCACTTGAGCCCAGGAGTTTGAGACCAGCCTGGCCAACAAGGTGAGACCCCATCTCTACAAACCATACAAAAATTAGCTGGGTGTGGTGGCATGTGCCTGTAGTCCCAGCTACTTGGGAGGCTGAGGTGGGAGGATTTCCTGAGCTCAGGGAGGTCGAGGCTGCAGCCAGCCATTATCAAGCCATTACCCTCCAGCCTGGGTGACAGAGTAAGACCCTGTCTCAAAAAAACAGAGAAAAGGAACTGCCAAATATTTTCCAAGATGATTGTATCTACTAACAACGTATGTCAGTTTTTAAATTTTAGCCATTCTAGTAGGTGTGTAATTGATATCACCTGGTGGTCTTAATTGGCATTTCCCTAATGACAAATAATGTTGAGCATGTTATTATGCAGTTGTCTTCTGTATATTTTCTTTGTTGAAGTGCCTTTTTACAACTTTCTTTTTTTTTTTAATTTTTCATCAATTGGTTGATTTTTTTGAGACGGTCTTGCTCTGTTGTCAAGGCTGGAGTGCAGTGGCATGATACATCTGACTGTAAACTTGAATTCCTGGGCTCAAGTGATCCTCCTGCCTTGGCCTCCCAGGTAGCTGGGACAACAGGCATGTGCCAGCATGCCTGACTTTTTTTTTTTTTTTTTTTTTTGTAGAGATGGAGGTCTTGTTCTGTTGCCCAGGCTGGTCTTGAGCTCCTGGCCTCAAGTGATCCCCCTGCCTCAGCCTCCCAAAGTGTTGGGATTGAAGGCATGAGCCACTGTGCCTGGTCCACTCTTTTAAAGAATTGAGTTGTTTTGTTTTATTATTGAATTTTGAGACTTAAAAAGAAATATTGAGGATACAACTCCTTTGTCAGATTTTTGTTTTGCAAATATTTTCTACCAATCTGTGACTTTTTTTTTTCATTTTCTTAACTATCTTTTGAAGATTAGAAGTTTTAAATTTGTATTTAAGTCAAATTGATCACATATTCAGATTTTCATATTTAGGCCTCTGATCCATTTTAAGTTTAATTTTGTATATAGTATGACATATGCATCAAGGCACATCTTTCTTATATATATGGATATTCAGTTGTTGAGACTATTCGCTCTCCGTTGCATTGCCATTGTACCTTTGTTGAAATTTAATTGACGGTATATGTATGGGTCTGTTTCTGGACTCTCTGTTCTGTTCCATTGACGTATGTGCCTATCATTTGCCAATGCCTCACTGTCTGGATTCCTGTAGCTCAGTGGCCCTCAAATCTCCTCTACCTCTGAGGATATTAGGCAATGTCTGGAGATATTTTTGGTCATTATAATTGATGGGTAGAGGTCAGGGCTGTAAATAAATATCCTGCAATGCACAGGACAGCCTCCCACAACAAAGAATTATCTGGCCTAAAGCTAAGGCTGAGAAACTCTATGTGGCTTTACAGAAGAGTCCTGGAGTGAAGTCATGTGACCTAACAAAAGCAGTTTTGGAGGTGCAAGGAGAATATTATGAACATGCAAGACTGCTGTGAGGATAACACTGGATGCCATATGTAAATGTCAGGGCACATGGCTCATGATGATTTAATGCTATTTCCTCATTATTTGTGACTGCTCCTGACCTTGACCAAGTTTTCTCTTAGCAATCCCTTCAGTATGGCCTCTGTACTTGTCTAGGGCCTCCATATTAGGTTTTGAGCCCCACTCTGACGAGTCCTCTATTAGTAGGTCCCTGCTTGTCTCTCTTCTGCATGTACAAGCATTGCTTGTCCTGCTATTGGGCCTTTGCTTTCAAGATGGTGGCCACCTGCTCACTGAAGAGAATGGGTCATCAGGCCTTGCTGTTCTGTAAGGGCCCTTCCTGGGCCAAGTTACCAAAGGTTATGACCTGGTGGATGACTTCCTTTTGTCTTATTCTGATCGTAGGCTTCCTGGCCACCTTGACTATGTGGATCTCTTGGCCAGGATGGACCTCAAATAGCTTGCTGTAGTTCTTCCAATCTGTAAATTTTCCCTTGCTTGATGTTCATTTGACCATTCATTCTTTCATTCTATAAATGTGCCAGTCACAGTGCTATGTTCAAGGACTAGAGTAAGGAACAAGATAGATATAATACTTGCCTTCATGGAGTTTACATTTTGACTGGGTTCAGAGACATTACATTGCTTAATAAGTGCTCAAGAAAGATTTGCAAAATGAATGATGGTCAGTTCTCCTATGCTCTGTTTATATAATGTGAATTCATTTATATTTTATCTATGGCGGCTTTCATGCTTCAGAGGCAGAGCTGAGTGATTGTAACAGACACAACATGGCCTGCAAAGCCTAAAATATTTATTATCCAACACTTTACAAAAACGTTTGCTGTTCTGTGGTCAGATGCCTCAGATGTGTTCGGAGGAGAAGGTCATCTGGGGATACCCTCTGTGTTAGGGGTGAGGGGAAGCAGGCACTGCTGGGAACCACATGGGATCACAGACTCTTATGAACATGATGGCTTGTGGTGAAGAAGATGTTTTATCTTCTTGTCTGAAATATTAGTCCAGTTGGCACCACCTTCACACAGAAACCTGGAAAAATTCCCATGATGCCATCCCCCAAGGCAGTTTCTAGAGGAGAGGAGGAAATATTCTTTCTTCTAATGAAAAAATGAAGGCTGAGTGTGGTAGCTCATACCTGTAATCCCAGCACTTTGGGAGGCCGAAGCAGGCGGATCATCTGAGGTCAGGAGTTCAAGACCAGCCTGGCCAACATGGCAAAACCCCATGTCTACTAAAAATAAAAAAAGTAGCCGGGTGTGGTAGTGGGTGCCTCAATCCCAGCTATTCGGGAGGCTGAGGCAGGAGAATCACTTGAAACTCGGAGGCGGAGGCTTCAGTGAACCCTGATTGCACCACTGCACTCCAGCCTGGGTGACAGAGCAAGTCAAAAAAAACAAAAAGGAAAAAGAAAACATACACAAAGTACTGTGTGTGAATGAGAAATGTCTGTCTACCAAAATCTGTCCTCCCAATTCCATAGTGTGGAGTGGTGTCTGCCAGACAGCTGCCCAGTCAGGGACTACATTTCCCAGCTCCCTTGTGTCCAGTTGTGGCCACGTGACTAGTTCTCATTAAGGGAATATGAATGAGTGTGACCGGTCGCTTGAGGAAGCAAAGAAGGGGCTGTAATTGCTCCAGACCTTCTTTCCCCTTCTGCTATCTGGTTCCAGAGGACTCTGGGGCGCTAGGGCAGGGCTTCTCAAACTTCTATGTATAGGTGGTCCCTAACTTAATGATGGTTAGACTTACAATTTTTTGATGTTATGATGGTGTGAAAGTGATACAGTAGAAACCATCCTTCAAGTACCCATAGAGCCATTCTGTTTTTTACTTTTAGTACAGTATTCAATAAATTACATGAGGTATTCAACACTTTATTATTTATTTATTTTGAGACAGGATCTCACTATGTTGCCCAGGCTGGTGTGCAGTGGTGCAATCACAGCTCACTGCCACTTTGACCTCCCTGGTCTCAGACGATCCTCCCACCTCAACCTCCTGAGTAGCTAGGACTACAGGCTTGTGCCACCGCACCTAGCTAATTTTTGTATTTTTCTTTTTTTTGGTAGAGATTGGGTTTCATCATGTTGCCCAGGCTGGTCTCGAACTCCTGGACTCAAGGATCCATATGCCTCCCAAAGTTTTGGGATTAGAGGCATGAGCCACCACACCCGGCCCTCAACACTTTATTCCACAGTAGGCTTTGTGTTAGATGATTTTGCCCAACTATAGACTAATATAAGTGTTCTGAGCATTTTAAGGTAAGCGAGGCTAAGCTATGATGTTTGGTAGGTTAGGTATAGTAAATGCATTTTCTACTTATGATATTTTTCAACTTACAATGGGTTTAGTGGGATGTAACCCCATCACAAGTAGAGGAGCATCTGTATATGAGTCACCTGGCCATGGGCATCTTCTTAAAATACGGCTCTGAAACTGTAGGTCTAGGGTGGGGCCTGAGATCCTGCATTTCTAACAAGCTTTCAGGGATGTCCAAGCTGCTGGCACACAGGCCAGTCTTTCAGAAGCAAGTCTCCTAGGGGACAGTGGAGCTGGAGAATGAAAGGAACACAGGGCTCTGAATCACTGCACAAGAAAAGCCACCTCTTCAACCAGCAACTTCTGACCTGTCACCTGAGTGAGGAATAAGCTTTTTGGGGGCGTTGAAGGGTGAGGGTTATTTGTCACAGCAGCTAGTCTTCTAGAAGTAGTTCAAATGATTCACTGCTGCTCTTTTCAATATCTTGGCAGGGTAATTCAGGACAAAATCATCCCCGCTGCCCCTTCCCCTTAGCGAGGCTGTGTGTTCCAGATGACTGCTTTATGTTTTAAGGTATTTATACCTAACTATGCATTTAAACCTTACAAAGCTCTCACCCTGTACCATTAGGTCCTTGATGATGGTGGTGGTTAGAAAAAAAAAACACCTTGGTTTTATCTTTGTTGACTCAGATTAAAAACGGAGTGAAAATGTGTTTTGGGGTTGGGTTGTGAGGAAATGGCCTCTTCTGGTGGGAAGGTCAGTGGAGAACAGGCTATGAGGGACTTTGGTCTTGAGAGGCCAATGCAGGGAGTTCAGCTGGGAGTCTCTTATCCAAGAGGCTGGCTGGTGAGTGGCAGGACCCCATTGCAGGCTGCAGGGCTGAGGTTGGCTGAAACAGCCCAAATGTGCTGCTTGACATGAGTAGCAGGAGCCTGGACAGGGAGTCAAATGGGATATGTGGGCTCTGTGTGTGTGTGTGTGTGTGTGTGTGTGTGTGTGTGTGTGTGTGTGTGTGTGTGTGTATGTTATTTAGAGGAGCTGCAATTGGAGCAGAGAGGCAGAGGGAGTCTGGAATAGTCCTGGCCCAGACTGGCAGAGGCCTTTTACATGCTTCCAGCAAACATTCATGGTGTGGAGGCCGAGCCCATCTAAGGAATCCTGACCAGCTGGACACCATGTACCTGAATTCAGCCAAGGATATTAGTGGAAAGTTTTTCCCTTCGTTTGTGCAAGGAAAGCTAGAACAAGAAGGCCTGCCCTGTCATTGTAGCTCTGCTCCTGCCCTTGCCTTCCCAAAATAAGAGCCAGGGCCAGGCCTCCTCAAGCCCTGCTGGCTTCAGAGGCTGGGCCTGAGCATGAGGAGGAGAAAGTCCAGGGGAAAGAGTTATTGGACTTATTTTGGATAAAGCACCTGAAGGAGTCCCAGAAGCTTAGCTTTAATCCCAAGGGATGCTCAAATAACAATATCAGGCTCCTGTGTCAGAACTTTGTGGACACAGGTGCAAGCAAACCTGAGGAAAATCACAAATTGCCCACTCTGACTCATCAGAGCTGCTTGCCAGGCTGAAAGCCATTCCTACTCAGTGATATGGTTTGGTTGTGTCCCTACCCAAATCTCACCTTGAATTATAACTCCCACAATTCCCACATGTCATGGGAGGAACCCTGTGGGAGGTGATTGAATCATGGGATAGGGTCTTTCCTTTGCTGTTCTTGTGATAGTGAATAAGTCTCATGAGATCTGATGGTTTTAAAAATGGGAGTTTCCCTGTACAAGCTCTTTTTGCTTGCTGCCATCCATGTAAGACATGACTTGTTCCTCCTTGCCTTCCACCATGATTGTGAGGCCTCCACAGCCACGTGGAACTTTAAGTCCATTAAACCCTTTTTCCTGTATAAATTACCCAGTCTCAGGTATGTCTTTATCAGCAGTGTGAAAACGGACTAATACACTCAGGGAAATGATGTTGGATTTAGAGAAGAGACCAGTTCTAAAAAAATTATTCAACCTTCAGCAAGCATTCACTGAGAACCTATTCTACGGTAGGCATAGCAAATATTAATTCCACAGACATAAAATCAACTTTCAATCCACACCTTGGTGTTGGAGAAAACGTCTGAGAACTTGGAAAGTGAGGGTTGTGAGTTGGTGTACTGATGACACCTGTCCAGGAAGGTTCATCACAGAATTGTAGATGTACCAGTGAGGCCTCCTGAGCCCTCCCAGAAAGGCTCATGCCTGCCCCAAGACAGAAGTTCAGGAAGGCTGAGCTTGGTGTCTCCAGCCTCCAGGGCTCGGGAGCCTGGACACAGCACAGGACACAGAGGATGGAGAGTAAGGAGAGGAGGAACTGAGGCCAGGGGAGAAAAGTGGGGTAGGGAGCACAATGGTGGTCTCCACAAGGCCCGTCCCCTCTGAAGTCTCTACTCCATTGCCAGAGTGTTATTTACAAGAAACCCACATCACATCAGGTTGTTCTGCCCAATTAGAACCCATCAGCAGTCTCCTGCTGCCTTTTGAATGGAGGCCCACATACTGGCCAAGGCCGATTAGGCCCTGTGTGATCTGGATTCTGCGGCTCCCAGCCTCCTGCTGGTGACTTCTTTCTCATCCTCTGTGCCTGAGGCAACTGGCTTCTGTCGGGGCCTCAGATTTGCTAGCCTGATCACTACACCATTCCTTCTTGGGTAATCAAGCCCTGCGGTTGGCCCGCGCCTGGGAGGTTTGCTGGAATGTGGATTTTTAGTTTGAAAATCAGGACGGTCACTGGCTAATGGGTGAGTTGATCATCCTGGTTCCCTCAGGCCCTGACTCTCCCCCAGACGCTTCTGTTCCACAGAGCATGTTCCTGTCTGAGTCCTGGGCACCTTCAGCCTTCAGCAGAGCAGTCACTTCCTCAGGAGAAGCTGGGCCCACCTGCCCCCTCAGCCAGCAAGCCCCCTGCTATGGTGTCCTTGACTTCTCCCTGGGGGCACCCACCACCCTGCAATTGTGTCATTGGTTGTGGCATTACTTACCTGATGATGAAAAGAGGTGGGGAACACTGTCAAAGGTGCGGCCCTTGCACAGCACCTGGCACACAGCTGACCGCTCAAACATACTTGCTGAATGGCAGTCCCAGAGCACCACTGCAAATGGTATATGTCTTTTAATTAATGATAACAGTACTAATAAAAGTATGTGTCAAGTATTTACTCTGTATTAGTCTCAAGTAATTTTTTTTTTTTTTTGAGACAGAGTCTCACTCTGTTGCCCAGGCTGGAGTGTAATGGCATGATCTTGGCTCACTGCAACCTCTTCCCCACCAGGGGTTCAAGTGATTCTCTTGCCTCAGCCTCCCAAGTAGCTGGGATTATAGGCGTGCTCCACCATGACCAGCTAATTTTTGTATTTTTAGTAGAGATGGGGTTTTGCCACGTTGGCCAGGCTGGCCTCGAACTCCTGACCTCAGGTGATCTTTCTGCCTCGGCCTCCCAAAGTGCTGGGATTATAGGTATGAGCCACCGTGCCTGGCCCAGTCTCAAGTAATTGATCCCAGGCTGTTTCTCAGCATGGATGATGGTTCTACATGTGCCTATTTTAAAACTGAGTAAACCATCCAAATGTTTTTGTGTACTTTTTGGCATAGATGTTATTTTGTCACAATGAAAGTACTAAAATTGGAGTCCCTGGATAGATGTGTGTGAATCTGGGTATCTGTGTGCTCGTGAGTCTCTGTGTGTTCACGTGTGAGTATATATACATATATTCTCAGCCTTTGTCTTGTAGTGCCGCATTTGCTCACTTTGGCTTGCTTTGGGCCATGCCTAGGGCCATCTCAGAGTTGGAAATCCAGATCAAGAAGCAAGAATCCAGGCATGCCTGCAGAACACAGAGATAGTTGAAGGTATGTCCCTGAATCTTATGACCCCTGCTAATTTTTAACATTTGGAAAGGGTAGTTTACATGGGTCTCTGTTCTGAAGCATTCTTTCTATGAATTTCTCTTTTTATTCCATGTCCATTATGGTTGAAGCAGTTGCAGCTCATTTGTATTATCTTGTTAAGCGCTGGAAAAATAAATTGGCTCATGTCTTTCCTGGTACCTGGATTTCAAGAAGTCAAATCTTTTCTGTCTTTGCTTCCAGTAGCAAGGCACTCTTTGCATCCTAACACTTTTGTGAATGCATTTATGATGCATAGGACAGTTCCTTTGCCTAATGGTTCAGCAGTCTCCCTTTGCTGTGGCTTTTGCCTTAAGGCAAGCATTTAAAGATATTAAGAGAGCGTTCTGCTTTCATTAGCATGTTTTATTCTTTATTCCTAAGAGTCGTTTTAATCATATTAATTTGGAAGGACCCACCTGAAATTGCACAACCTCTTGTCTCCCTCTCTCTGAGGTCCCCTCCAGCTACATGGTCTAGGAGTCCCTACCATCTTACCCACTTCTGATGTTCTTCCGTTGTCTTGACCCCTGTCCCACCCCTTTGCCCAAGCCATGGGCTCCTCCCACTTGGTGGCTTTGTCCTTGTACTCCCTCTGTACCCTTCCTCTCGCTGTGCGCTGGAAAGGGTCTAAGATTGGGATTTAGAAGCTGAGTGCTATGCTTCTTAGTAGCTGCGTGACTTTGGGCAAATAATCTTAAAGACCACAACTTCTTCGTCTCTGCAAAGATATAGTCCCCATTCCCATTTTATATAGTGTGAGAATCAAATGGAAATATGCATAATATCACTGTGAAAACAATCATTATATATATCCAGAGTAATAATCCTGCCATTCTAATGCTAGGTTAACTCTACTGTTCATGTCCTTGGCTCCTGGCCCTGGAACGAGGCTAGATGTCTTACTGTTAGGGAACAAATCCTGTATACACATGGGCTGTGTCAGGTGAAGAGATGGCCCAGGAAGTCCTAGGCAGAGCATGCTCTGTTTCAGAAATGCCTGCAGAGAAACAGGGAGGCTTGAATCACTCCTGCTCTCAGAAGTGTTTTGGAAGGAGTATTCTTTTATTTAACAACTCCTTGTTGAGCACTTACTCCATACCAGACTTTGTATTAAGACGGACCTGGGTTAGAATTCTAGATCTGCCCAAGGGTACACAGTAAGACTGGTTAAGCCTGGAACCAAGAACCAAGGGTATACAGTAAGACTGATTAAGCCTGGAACCCAGGACGATGGGGGATGCCCCATCCAGAATAATAGGAAGAAAGGGGGGATGCCTTCTTTTTTCTTTTTTTTCCCGTCCTTTGTTCTCTTCATGAGTGGCAGATGGGTAATCGCATCTCCATACCACAGGACATGCCCCTTGGATGCATTCTCCAAAACTGGGAAAAGTTTAATTTCCTCAAATCTTAAACTTCTTGGCTTAAAAATAAACTGGAAAGAAATTACAAGACTCAGCTTCGAAACCCAGTACACCATGCAGGAAGTCCTCAGATTAGCCTCTTAAGTCTTTTATAATGGAGAGTAGAAAAAGGATGACAGGGCTAAGCCTGTTGGGTGGGGCAAATGGCATCCCCTCCCTCCAAAAGAAAATATTAAACTTCTTACCAGTCAGACTTCTGGCTTCTCTCTCTGTGCAAACTGGTTGTAGAAATGGTAAAAATCACTGTATTCCCTGCCCCTCCATGCACAACTTCTGATTTCTCTCTCTTTTTTTTTTTTTTGTGACGGAGTCTTGCTCTGTTGCCCAGGCTGGAGTGCAGTGGCGCGATCTCGGCTCACTGCAAGCTCCGCCTCCCTGGTTCATGCCATTCTCCTGCCTCAGCCTCCTGAGTAGCTGGGACTACAGGAGCCCGCCACCCCACCTGGCTAATTTTTTTGTATTTTTTAATAGATATGGGGTTTCACCATGTTAGCCAGGATGGTCTTGATCTCCTGACCTCGTGATCCGCCCGCCTTGGCCTCTCAAAGTGCTGGGATTACAAGCATGAGCCACCGCGCCCAGCCTGATTTCTCTTCTTGAATTTTCCTTTCTCAGAGCTACTTTTGTGGACTCTAAATTTTGTAAAAATTGCTTATCACTTTTCTAAAAATACCTTGTACACTCATGGTTAAGTCATAACTTTAGTTAAAACTTATTGACTTCACCTTTGAGGTTGCCTTTGGCAAAGCTCAAAAGACACAAGTATTTGCCATTTGGCCAGGCTAAAGTCAGGTATAAGAGATTAAAAGAATTTTGGCCGGGCACGGTGGCTCATGCCTGTAATCCCAGCACTTTGGGAGGCCGAGACGGGCGGATCACGAGGTCAGGAGATCGAGACCATCCTGGCTAACACAGTGAAACCCCGTCTCTACTAAAAATACAAAAAAATTAGCTGGGCATGGTGGCGGGTGCCTGTAGTCCCAGCTACTCAGGAGGCTGAGGCAGAAGAAGGGCGTGAACCCAGGAGGCGCAGCTTGCAGTGAGCCGAGATCGCACCACTGCACTCCAGCCTGGGTGACAGAGCGAGACTGTCTCCAAAAAAAAAAAAAAAAAAAAAGAGATTAAAAGGATTTTAAGAGCATTATGATCAAAAGTCAACTTAATTAAAAGCGGATATCCAAGCTATACCTATATAGAGCTGAAATGTTCATGAATATCAAGCAGAACAGAGCTTAACTGAATGGATTGAACTAATAGGAGAGTGAGGTAATCTTTTTTTTTGACTTTTTGCTCATCTTTATTTTATTTTTCAGAGTCAAGGAAACTTTTTAGCTATTTACAGCTTTTAACAATTGAGTATAGTATACACCCGTGAACAAAATTTGGAGCATATTTCTCTCTACCTGATTTCTCTAGAATTTGGAAAATTTGTGAGTATTCTTATGGCAATATAGTTATTTGCATAAGTGGAATAAGAATGTTTTCTTTTGCAATAGAATGCAATTGGAGAAATTTGTTGTTTTACCAAGGCTTTGACTGAAATGGTATGCTTTAAGAAATCAAGCTCGACTTATAGAGCCAATAAAAGCCCCTTGGGAAAATTGGCCTCATTCCTTGTCTGCACAGTCCCTGTACAGGGTTCTTAACCTGTGGTGAGTAAAGACTGTCACTTTCTAACAGGCCCAAGAGCCCCAAGTTACCTTGGTACCTTAAGAGAAGAGGAATTTACCCAATTCATAGGTATTTGAGGGTACAAACCCATGGCTGGTACATGTCTTTAAAAAGTATTATCTAAGAGTCCTTGTGGAACACAGTTCCATCAAAGCCAATTTTAAAAGCCTATGTGAAAAATAATTATTCTTGCTGCACTTTATGCAAATAATCAGGCCAAGTGTAATAAGACTAAAGTTAATTGTGCAAAAAAAATCAGTCCTATCATGATTTGTTAACAAAAATAAGGACTGGAGAAATTATGTTTCAAAAGTTATGGCACACCTGTCATTAAATTCAAGTCTCATAAGTTGTTTTTAAGTTTTTGTCTGGATTTTAGATCAACCCTGCTTATTCCTGTAAACCAACCAGTGATCTCTGGCTGCAGCTCAGAAGAAACAAAAGGGATGGGTAATGTAAAAATCTGGATCAATGTTCTAATTCTGGGCAATTATCCTCCAAATCCTGTCAGGTGATGGGGGTAACCCTGGAGGTTTCTTTTTTGGGGAAATAAGACCAAGGGAGCTAACCAAAGCCAAACCCCATGCACCCAAGTCTTAGCAGGCATAACTGTAGCCACCAGCTGCCTGGATGTGTCAGCAGCCTCACAAGTTTTGGAGCTGTCCTCATCCCCTTGTTTTGCTTTGGTCCATGTCTTCTAATCTAATAACCCGATTTGTCTCCACTTGCCTTCAGGCCATTAAGTTCCAGATGATCCTCAGTGAGGGATACCGTCCTTTCAATATTTAATAATCTCACCCTTCTACACAGACCCTCTAGACTGCCAGTCAGTGGGACACGACAGAGGCAAAATGCTGTCCCTGTCACCCTTGACCTGGCTGGATACTGCTTTCACCAACTCATGGAGCCAACCCAGCCCTGCAGGCAAGAAACCAAGACCCACAGAACCACCACTGCCCCTCTGTTAGCAGGAAGCAGTTGCAGAAGGCAGACCTTCGTCCATTTTACCCCAAAGATTTGGGGTCGTGGACTCTTGAGGGGGAAAATGTTATAGTCGGCAGCTAGTTAGGTAGGCAGGGCAGAAAAGGGCTCTTCCCTCACCACACACACACCAGGAGTGTTGGGAGACCCTCAGGGCATGGTCAGGTGGTTGTTAACTATTTCTCTAAAGTAATAATTGGTCACAGCCGGTGCCAGGGAAAGACAGGCTCCTAATAGAAAACACCTGAAACTAATCAGCAGCTTCCCAATAAGATCTCAGGAGTGGGGAGAAATGCAAGATCCCAGAAGTAGGCCAACGGATAAAACTCCCAGTCAAGAGGTAAGCTGCGCCCTTGGCTTCTCAGGTCACCTGCTTGGCCCTCTTCCAAGTTGTATTTTCCTTCTTTTCTTCCCTTACTCTTCTAAAGCTTTTTAGTAAACTTTCACTCCTGCTCTGAAAAGAAAAAATTCTAGATCTGCCACTTAGCTTCAGAAAGGCCCTGTCTTTCTTTTCTTGTTCTCTTGTTCGTGTTTCTCTCATTCAAGATTTCCAGGAAAATGTTTTAATTCTTTTCAAATCTTCAGTGTCACCTCTACATTTTACAGATTTGAGCAGACTTCCAGTAGCTGAAAACACAGAAGGCATAGGATATGGACTCCCTTGACTCTTTAGTGTTTTTCCAAATCTCTGAAAGACACACAGCCTTCTCGAAGTGGATGAGTGTTCTTCTGCCAAGTCTCATCTCCACGCGCCCTCTGCCCCGCCCCAGGGTACTTCTTATTCCTTCCCAACCTCCATTTCCTCCAGGCCTTCTGACCACCTCCCTCCCTGCCTGCTGCCCACAGTCACTTTCCCTCCTTTCCCCCAGCTCCCTCCCCTTGGGCTGAAAGCAGGCAAGTCACCTCCAGACTAAGAAACAACCAGCCAACCATGAGCAGCAATTTTCCTGTTTCTCCTTTGAATCGACAACATTTCTGTCAACAAGACCTCTGCCTGCTCACTCCTCATTCACTCGGCGACTTAAATGTACTATTCTACTAAAAGGTCTCTTGAACCTCCAAAAATAAAAATAAGTGATTCAGTCGTACCCCTGCTTCTGAGTGACATCATTGCACATGTGGTCACTGATGTTACTCCTTGTTTGTTGAAATCCTCTCTTCCCTAGGGGTTCATGGCCCTGCACTGTCCAGTCTCTCCACTCCTTCCAACCACTCCTTCCCTGACCCATCTCCCCAGTGTGGCTCCTGTCCCTTTTCCTTTTGCCAATTCTTTACCTTGAAGATCATAATCAACTTTTACTCCTAGGGTAGTGGTTCTCATCCTTGGCTGCCCAACCTTTGTCTCCTGGAGGAGCTTTAAAAAAAATCCTGATGTCCAGGTCCCATCCCAACCAATTACATCAGAATGTCTAGGAATGGGTCCTGGTGGGGTCTGGGGAGTTCACTCTTAAATCTTTAGACTTAGTTTCTCACTGAACCTAATTTTCTGAAACACCTTCATTTTTAGGCTGTGATTATTGGCTGGATGAATATTTCCATCTGGGCAATCTAAGAGCCCCGTGATGTCCCTTGTAGATCTGATCCTCTTCCTATTTTCTCCTTTCACTTGGGCTGGAAGGCTGTGATTGTCCTTAACTCTCGGCATCCAGTAAGTCTGAGGTCTGCTTGTTTCCCCTCCTTGAAAGCCCTCAAAACTCTCCCCTCCATTCCAGGTGGGCAGGTCTTCTTATCTCTCACCTGGACTGATATGAAGCACCTGCCAGAGTTTCTCCACTTGCTCTTCCTCCTAGACAAGGCTGCCAGGACTAACTTCAGAGCCAAGGGCTGATTTTGTCTTTTCTCTGCTCCGAAATCTTTCCTGACTCTCCACTGTTCACTAATGGCTTTGTGGCCTGCTTTCATCCCCGCCCTCCACCCACTCTCTCTTGTATACTCTCAGCCAAAAACCAATAACTTCCCACTCCCCTGATATTCCTCCAACATTTCTCTTAACTTTGCTCAAGCTGTTCTCTCCCTTATACTCGCTCTGCCTCTTGAAATCCTTCCCATCCTTCAAAATCCAAGTAAAATGCCCCTTATCCAGAACAACTTTTAGCATTTCTGCATCCTACAAAATCCTGCATTCCTACTGTCACACAGACCACATTCTGTCCTGGGTTAATTGTCATGGTCTTTTAACTAGATTATAGGCAACTTGAGAATAGGGCCTGTGCGCTGTTCACCATTAATGCTTTTACATAGCAGCTATTTGAAAATTTTTACTATACTAAATTAAGGAGGTTTGCCTATGTGAGTGCTCTTTTTAGCTCACATAGCCCCTAAAATAACTTTCTAAACCATTAGATCCAATTTTTTAAACTGACATCTGCATTTTTTAAATCATAAATTTAAATATTACAAAGAATGTATTTCCTCTTGTATGCATGCATGCCTTAAATATATTTTCATTTAAACCTGAAATCAAGTAATTATAGATTTGATGCCTTTAATCTCAAACTCCTGCACTCAAACGATCCTCCTGCCTCTGCCTCCCAAAGTGCTGGGATTTCAGCTGTGAGCCACCATGCCCGGCCATGATGCCTTTAATCTATGGAAAATATGTGCTATATAATCTCATTGGCAGAGCTAGTCTAAGTGGTCAAGGCAGACAAATAGCCAATCACACGTTCAATCAGAAATCTGACTTTATTTGAAAACTCATATACATGTAGGTGCCAATTCTGAGATCACCAGGAACTCTGCCTGGGCTCCTCCATCAAAGAAGGTGTTGCCCACTTAACTATTTCTTACTGCTGAGGGCTGCATTCACCAATTGTCTCTTTAATTCCCTAGAAGTTTTTACACCATAATGCACCAGTGTCAAATGCAGGACAGGTGATAGATGGAGCTTTTCCTTGCCATGTAAAGGGCCCTTGTATAGAGCAGGTGGACATGCACACAGCCTGCTAGGGTTTTAGAAAATGTACCTCCCACTTAGGAGGTCAAAGGTCGCTTTATTGTTTCACAGAATACCAGGTTCTTCCAGGTGAGATCACTCTCCAAGAGGCAGTTTCATCAGGAGAAAAGATTCGTCAAACTCCTAGAGCTCTTAAGATAAGGCTCTCATTTGTGGTGGCCGGTTACCCTCCCCAGGGGTGGTGGGACAGACTTAAGCTTTTTTTTTTTTTGGAGGCAGAGTCTTGCTCTGTCACCCAGGCTGGAGTGCAGTGGCGCGATCTCAGCTCACTGCAAGCTCTGCCTCCCGGGTTTACGCCATTCTCCTGCCTCAGCCTCCCCAGTAGCTGGGACTACAGGCACCTGCCACCACACCCGGCTAATTTTTTTGTATTTTTAGTAAAGATGGCGTTTCACCATGGTCTCGATCTCCTGACCTCCTGATCCGCCCGCCTCGGCCTCCCAAAGTGCTGGGATTACAGGTGTGAGCCACTGTGCCCGGCCCAGATTTAAGCTTTTATGAAGTCCCTGATCATTGAGTTGCCTGGGTGATCTGCTACCAAATGCCCAGCAAGGGTTTGGTTTAATTCTAGGGTGTTGCTCCATTGTTTATACCCAAATGTTCACAATCACAGCTGTTATTACCACCAATAATCATAATCTCTACACATATAACTGGGGCCCTGTATACACTAGACATGATGCAGAACTTACTAAACACAGGACTCTTAACTATGTTAAGACTTGGAAACTATATTCTTGTGATTTTACAGGCATCCTGTCTGGCACTATAGTTGTCTGAAACAGAAATGTCTGTTAAATCCAAATTCTTTCAGCAAAGAGGTCATTTGATTTTGCCATGACTTTGGCCTGAAATACAGCAGTATCAGGGGAGCAGGGGCAGGTTACTTAGGGGAGCCCCAAGTTTACATAATTTTGGGGGAAACATTAAAAAGAGAATATAAACTTTCAAGTAAGATTCAGGGCCCATGCAAGCGTCAGTTTCTATAGATTTACAGCAGATCCACGTCTACTGCAGAAATACAATCAGGTTTCTGGTGGCGTGTCTCATGCTTGGAATACACATTTGAGGCGATTCCTGGCATGTGTGTACCCCAGTAGCCACAGGGTTTACCACCTCTGGGGGCTGTGCCTCCACTGCTTGGAAGGTGACCCAGGCCCTGATGAAAACAATGGGTTCTCCTGCCAAATGCCTGGCTGTAGTTCCAAACTGATGGGCTGTGGGCCAGATGTGGCTGCATCTGGTTTGTTGTGGTACTGTTTTTTTTTTTTTTCCTTGCGTAGCCTTTCTTATAAATGTGAATGAAACTTGTCAAACTTTAAAAACCAAAAAATTTCAAATAAAGACCTGATTTTTTTTTTCTTCCTTCTCTTGAGAAGTTGGAATACTGTTCCGTACTGGACTTGACAAACAAGGAGCTTTAGAGGAAGGCACACTCACCCTTTGGCCAGTCCCCATCTGAGTCCCTCCTCTGTTCAGAGTTTCCTGCCTATACCTTGGAGACATGAATTCATGATAAGGCCCTGTTCAAGCCAGCAGGGGCCTTGCTGGCTTCCCCCTAGTTCCTGCCTTATCCCTATCCTAGTCCTTTGATCTCTGGCTTCCTATCTTTTGGTGTCTTAGTAATTTGTATTTCTTATTTTAAAATAAGTAGTGCAGGATGAATATTTATATTCCATTTAAACAACATTTTTATATAGGTCTTTTTCAGCTTGCACTGGCCCATTCTCAGATTACTTCATAAAGAACTACATGTGTTACAAATTTCATAATTTTTGTGTTCCATTTTATACATCACCTCTTTCCTTTTATAAAAATGATGCACGATATTAAAAATTTTGTATTGGAATGAAAGATGGACAGTTTGGGAACTTTAGGCCTCCTACTGACAGGTGGAGAGGAGGATCTTGATTAGCGTTGAACTGTTCCTTCCGATCGTCAACTCCTCGATGGCAGGGTTGTAATCACCCAAGGGCCAAGCAGAACTCTCCCTTCCTACCACAGGCATCGCAATACATGACAAAAGCTATATTCAACCATTCATTTTGGACCAGTTCACTGCTGCTTGCTATGTTGGCTTCTGCATGAACTCCTTGGGATTTTGCATGAGAAAATTTCAGAATTAAAAGGAAAAAATGTGATGGAATTTATTACAGATGGATACTTTAAATCCTTTTTGAAAAAAGGTAAAGTATCGATCAATGTAGCAAGCAACAGAAATATACAGCCAATTCATGAATGATGTAGTAACCTGACAAGCAAATATCAACAAGACTGAGAAAACTGTTTACTTAGGCCAAAAAAGCCAATGATCTTTCCCATGTAATGCCACTGCTTTTAGATTCAAGTTTCAAAAAAGTCCTATTTGGGGCATTAAAACTTATACTTCCAAAAATAAAAAAAGTCGATGAAAACTGCAGTTTTGAAAAACTAAGTTAACCCCCAGTAATAATCTATTTCAAATTAACACACAGCCTATATAGTTGGAAAAAGAAAAGATTTTTGGATATATATTTTATTTGACAGTGTTTTAGAATATCATACAGTAAACAAGATTTCTGTAAAAGTTAATTTATCCATAGTGGTACGTTTCATAAAAATAGTTGCTCACTTACAGTCTTTCTGTGACTATTAATACATGGAATTATATTTATAGAGATACAGCTGTACAGGGTAAATTCACAGCTAACACTACACAAATATTATTTGGAATGGGATTTAGATGATGTGCTGTCTTCACAGGTTATGGATTACAGCCGCATAAAGCAATTACTGCACAAGTAGTAGCTGTGAACTGTGCAAACTAGAGTTTATGCCAGTGTAATCTCAATTTTTTTTTCCTTTTGTAATACATGGAAAATAAAGTCAGAGGATACAGTACCAGGACGTGCAGCTACACTACAGAAGCATTGTCCAAAACCAGATTCAATAAATTAATGGCAAACTATACTGGATTTCTAGTCCAGGGGAGAAAGACTAATTGAGATTAAACCAAAAGCATTATAAACTGCTACAAGTGTTTGTGCTTTTGTTTACGATGAATGGGTTTCATTTTTGGAAATTGCTTTTACAAGCTGCAAGATCCTTCACTTGAGGCTTTCAGCCTTATTCTCCTCCTGTCAAACAACTAAACTACTCCGATGTTTGATGAAAATTAAACTGCTACTCAGGATACTGCAATTACAAGGAGAGGGAATGATCAGCCCAGGGAGGCTATTACGTGTGACCTTTGAGATGGACCTGATCGCCCCTTTTACTTTTTAGACTACAAGTGCAGGGAGGTGGAGCTTATTTGCATTTGAACTCCTGTAAAGAGTAAGAATATGGAAAGGATGAAGCCTCATTCATTCGGGCATATTAAAAAGAAATTGCCTTCAGAAACACTTTGCCTTTTAATATGTGTAGCTACAGTAAGTACCAATGGCTAATTAATTGAAGCTAACATTTTACAAAGAAATGCTAAAACAGCAGGGAAGAAAGGCAAGACTTAGAATTTTACTAGGAGGTCAATCATAGATCCATGAAGATAAACATCTAGAAGTTGCTAACAAAATAAAGTGGCAAGGAATACAAGACGAAAGAAAACTAATGGAAACAAAAGGACAAAGGGTAAGGAAAGAAGGATAAGCAGAAAGGAATGCTAAAAAGACTCACGTTCTTTAATGAAAATAAATTGATTGTAATTTTTTAATATTATAATCTGAGAAATATAAGACAAATACTCTGCCTCTGCTCTGTCAAAGTGCAAATGAAGTCATGGAGACAGGGTTTAAAATAAGACAATAAAATAAGTGAAATCACATTGCTGACAAAGAAGCTATCCATCTCTGCTAGCCTGGGACGACAGAAAAGCCTCTTCATAAAGGAACTGCAGCGTTGCCTATCTTGATTAAACAAATTGTGGTCCTTCAATTATAAAATTCATATTTTAGAGAAAAACCAATTAAGATCTATGAGCTAAACTGCAAAATTCTGACTTATGGCAAACTGTTCCCTAGGATACAATTTTTAAAACCTTTTTTTTCTACCACTGAAAATGTACAGAAATATGATTTGATCACAGAAAGGGCAATAAAAATGGCATCACACCAAGAAACTCACTAGATTTCTAAGTCATCCTGCAGGAGGCAGGGAACGCTGCTGCTAACACCGAGGATGGATGCCAAGGGTGAGCCATGGAAACATGTCATGGGTGAACGGTTCCGAATGTGTCAAAGAAACCCTTTAACCCCTGTCTAGATATGTCGAGAACAATTTATTTACAACGCTTTAGATCAATTAAAAGATATAATCTTGTCTCAGTTTCAGCTTGCTCCGTGCAGTTTGATTTTTAAGGCGATATTCCAGTTTGTGATTGCTCTTAACTTTGTCCTGTTTCTTGATATAAAGTTTGGATGACATCCAAGTCCTTCATGCAGTGGGGAGGAATATTTTTTTTTCTTAAACTAAAGCTACACTGCACTGTCTCTCTGTGATGTTCTTCACGTTATTTTGGTTCTTCCATAGCTGCCAAAGCCCCCACAAGGGAACCGGGGGCTTTAGGATCAGTTTAGGTCTGCGCGTTGATGCGATGCCGCCCAAGCACACCGGACACGTGGGACTTCACGTCGATGCTCCCAGGCCTTGGTGCCTCGTGGATCTATGCGTGTGACAGTGAAAATAAATTAAAACGCCGTGAGACGGAACCTAAGAAGAACTGCCTGCGCCGGGGCGGGCGGGTTGGCCGTGGCCGCGCGGCTCATCTGCTGGCGGCCGAGGCGCCGGGTTTGAGGACGCTGGGCAGCTTGTCAGAACCCGGCACCTTCCAGGGCCCCGGCGCGACGGCGGCCTTGCGCGCCGGGGCGCCCCCCGGGGGTCGCGGGCCCGGCCGGGGACCCGCGCGCGCACCCGCCCTGCCCTCGGCCTCCAGCGCGCCGCTGCCGCCGCCGCCCGGGCCGGCAAACGCCGGCGCAGCCCCCGGGCCTTCGCGCCGGCAGAGCTCGGAGCCCGCCGCCGCACGGGGCGCCTCCTTCCCGCCCGCCCGCGCCGCGTCCGCCGCGTCTGCCGCCGCGAGCCCGGGCGCCCTGGCCTCCGAGGCGGGCCTGCCGGCCTCGGGCCGCCCCTGGCCGCCGGGCGCCTCCTCGAGCCTCGGCCGCGCGGCCCTCTGCGGACTCGCCGAGCGCTCCCTCTGCTCCCCGAGGCGCTGCTTCTTCTGGCCGCAGGCTGAAAGCTCCTTTGGTTTCCTAACGTCGTGTTCCCGTTTGATATCCCAAGTTGGGCCTGGGCTTATCTGGTGGGAAGGGTCGGAGGGTGGGGCTGGATGTGATGGAGAGAATGGAGCGAGGCCGTCGTCCAGGGAGACGCCTACTTCCGGCAGACCTGGGGCGGCGGCAGCGGGAGAACTCCAGGGGGCGGGTTCGTCTGTGGACGGGAAGCACAGGCGTTAGCAGTGGCGCACGCAGGACGTCCCCGTGCCCTCTCTACGCCGGGGACAGGGGCAGGCAGCTGGGGCGATTGCTCTCAGGGGCCGGAGCCACCGCCGCCCCCACCCCCACCCCCACCCTCACTGCCGAGAGGGCAGCGGCCGCGCCCCCGGGGATTTGGGGGTTCCCTCCGCCCCGCTTAGCCCCCACGCCCCGAACCTCGTCCGTGGACCGGGGAGGCCAACGCGAAGCCCAGGCCTAATCCCTTCGCCTTGGCCCTGCTAACTTCCGGGGGTGTTCTCGGGCCTGATAGTCCTGTATAGACAGCTCACTTGACAGCCCTTGAATAAATGGGTCTCCAACTCGAGTAGACCTTGGAATCACCAGGGTGGTGGTGAAAAATACAGATTCCCCGGGAGGAGCAGGCCCGGAGGTTTCAGCAGCACGGGGCCCAGGAAGTCCTCTGTATTTTTATCAGGCACCCATTCTGAAAAAGGTGGCCTAGCAGGGGTGTCCAATCTTTTGGCTTCTTTGGGCTACATTAGAATTGTCTTGGGCTACACATAAAATACACTAACGATAGCTGATGGGCTCAAAAAAAAAAGGTCCATGCATAAATCTCATAATCTTTTAAGAAAGTTTACAAATTTGTGTTGGGTCACATTCAAAGCTGGAGGCGGGTTGGACAAGCTTGGTTTAGAGCCAAGCTTTGAGAAACACTGGTCTGGGTTCTCTGGAAGTTGGGAAGTGACGTTCTCAACCAGTAGGTGTCACTCAAAGCATATTCCTAGCTGCTGTCAGTTTCAGAATTTGGATAAATACATTTTAAAACTATCATTTTTTAAAAAAAATCGTCCTTAATTCCATTTTTTTTCTTTGCCAAGTCCGGATGGAACTTAATTCTTTTTAGTACTTCTAACATTATGGAGGGCCCCAGGACTAAGATAATTCTTTCTAGGAAGTCTAGTTCCAACATTTACTTAGGATTTAAGTTACCTACTTCCAAAAAGGATTTAAGACAATTGACAACATCAAAACACATATAAAACAATGATTAAAATGAGAGATGACTTTTTTTTTAAAGCAACAGCTGGTCAGAGGCCAAGTAGAAGGACAGATGTATTAGGAATCTGAGATGAGTTAGCTGCTACTGTGAGCAACAACAGTTCCCTGGAGCTTCTGGCCACTAAGGGGAAATGAAAGCAGGGAAATCCAATTACTGTGAATCCTTGATATTTGTAAGAAATATGTCTCATGACCTTGGAAATGCTCAAATTTTGTGATATTCTAGAGTGTAATTTTTCTTCCACAGAATTGGTATATGGTCATGAGTGGAGAACGAAGAAACCACATTGATAGATTTGAATTCTGGGTGCCAGGTGAGCCTCCCTCACTAGCTAAAAGATTCAGTCCCACACAGCAACCTCAGTGCATGTGATTCAAGCTCTTGCCTCTGTAACGTGTCAGAGGCTGTCAGTGATACTTGTGCATACTCAGTCCATTAATGTCCAGGGTCTACTTTGTTTGAAACTTGAGGGTTCTTATATAGTACCTTTGATACTGATTTATAAAGCAATAAGGAGAGGAAAAGGGCAGTGGCAATGGTTTTCCCAATAATTCTGGCCATCTTTAGAATGGCAAATCAAAAACGTTTCTCATTCTATGTGAAATTCGAATGGAACATTTTGGGCATAATGTTAACCTTCCTTCTTCCATACACTGATGTCCATTATCATTTTCACATGGTAAAATCCTAGAAGTCCTGGAATCTAATCCTGGCTCTGGCATGTATTTACTGGTGACGTGATTTTGGACCAACAACTAAATCTCTCTGAGCCTCAATTTCTTCCTTTATAAGATGGGGATAAAATATCCAACTTTACAGATGTGAGACATACACTTTCTAAGGGAAAGCACTTTGCAATGGGAGGGTCAATCATATTTTTCTTCTGTACCCCACCTGCTGCCTACTTATGGATTGGGCTCCTGTGGAAGCCGCCTCATTAACTAGTACCTTTGCAGGTGAGGTTTTGAATAAGTGCAATAAGGCAGTCATTTCCAGGTGCTGTGATTCCCAGGTGTCATTTTGCTACACC
Organism: Homo sapiens; assembly: GCF_000001405.40. Classification (NCBI taxonomy): domain Eukaryota; kingdom Metazoa; phylum Chordata; class Mammalia; order Primates; family Hominidae; genus Homo; species Homo sapiens. The sequence continues at coordinate 78,022,075 of NC_000007.14, forward strand.
TCAGGTATCCTTGGTTACCTTAAGGAATAGTCTGAAATCCTCAAAGGCAAATATATCCAATGAAAATGAGAATGTGTTCTACTTTTGGGTGGGTTAGAGTTTAAAATCAGACTAACAAATGATAAGTGGTGGCAATCCACCCATCTAGCGAGATACAGCTTAGAAGAGTTAAAAAGTGGTCTTCAAAAGGCCTAACTAGAGGGTAGCTTGTGCAACAGTGATCTCTGACTTGGACCATGGTAATGATATTTCACATTTTAATAGCTCTTTTCCCCATCATTACATCACATATGGTAGAGTTAATTAGCTGGCCTCAAATTACTTCTTAGATAAGGGGAGAAGGTTGATATTACTCACACCATTTCCTGAAGGAGGAATTGAAGTAGAGAGAGGTTAACTAACTTGACCAAGATTACAAAATGGGCCAGTTAGGAGTAAAAATTTGGGTTTCTTTACTCTTTTTACTTAGAAACTGTCCCAAGATGTTACCTTGCAAATAGGATTAAAGTATGTGAAATGGGCAAGAACAGTGGCCACTGCCAACCAACAGGAACCAGATCTTATCCTTAAGCAGAAGACTTAGCATTTATTTCTGAACATCTTACTACATATCTGGCATTGAACTGGAGAGTTCCTATCCAGAAAAATGAAAAAATATTCATCCATCCATCATTAGTTGGCTTCAAATTACTTCTGAGATTCAGGGAGACACTCTTTTCTTTCCCTCCTCCAGTGATTTTTCATATCGTAAAAGGTGAAATTATTCACAAATTCAAAGATTCCTCTTATAAAAGTTTCTCAAGAGTTTGTTTATAGATCATTAAACACTTAACAGCGGGAGAAACTAAAAACTAAAATGTTCCAAGTCACTATGGGTTAAAAATATTAACAAGAAATTAAGATTTACTATATCACAAAGTGATTTAAAAGATGGATATCTATATGAGTGGTTGAATATTTTCATTTTTCTGCACAGGAACTCTTCAGTTCAGTACGAAACATATGGTGTCTGTCCAGGCACGAGCCTGCAAAGCTCCAGGCACGAGCCTGCAAAGCTCTGTAAAGCACAAGGGGCCTCTTCAGTAGGCAGCCCATATCCCACCTTGCCCTATCACCTGCCTCAGCAAGGTGACACAGATTGTGCTGGACAGGAAGAGCCCTTCTCTAAGACTGGAAAATCTAGTTTTTATGAAATCTTGACATATAATAACCAGAAGAGTTCAATTTAGTTCTGCTTCCTTCAGACGATGTTTTTCTCCTTCCTGCCTCCCTGCCTGCCTACCTGTTTCCCTGCCTCCTCCTTCCCTCCTTCCTTCCTTGCCTCCCTTTCTCCTTTTTTGGACCTGGGCGTTGGCTAAAGTGTGTGATCATGTTCATTTATGAGGTGGTTGCCAAGGAAGATGTGCTACACAGCATCGTTCACGTTCTGAGATGCTCTAACTACAATTAGAAATAATAGAGACCCATCCTAGAAGGATGAAATCAGCCATATCTGGCCTGCTGGGATTTATGCAGCCCCTTTGTCCAATGTCCCCAGGCCCAGTGGCTAAAATTAAGAAGGAAAATCCTTTCATTCCAAACTGGCTTCCTCAGCCTGCCCTCTCCACCACTACCCTGGTGAAACTGCTCTAGTCAAGGTTGCCGATGACCTTTCTGATGTGAAATCCAGAGGACTCTGTATTCAACTTAACATAGTTGGCCCTCCACATCTGTGGGTTCTACATCTGCAAATTCAACCAAATGAGGATGGAAAATATTTGGGAAAAATACAAAATAACAATACAACGATTAAAGGTAATACAAATTAAAAACACAGTACAGCAGTTGTTGACATAGCACTTACATTGTGCTGGGTATTATAAATGACCTAGAGATGATTTAAAGTATTTGGGAGGATGTATGTAGGTTATATGCAAATACTATACCAGTTCATATAAGGGACTTGAGCATCTGAACATTTTGATATTTGTGGGGGTCCAGGAACCAATCCCCCAGAAACTAAAGGATGACTATATCTTACCACATTTTCACACAGCTGACTACTTCCATTAACAAACTGGACTCTTGGTTGTCAGGACACCCCATTCTCCTGCTTTTTATCCTACTTCTGGCAGTTTCTCCTCAATTTACTTTGCAGATTCCTCTTATTTTACCTGACTTCTTTAGGGCTTGGTCTTACATAGTTTTCTTTCTCTGCATTCCCTCCTAGGTGTTTTCATTATTCATGTAGCTTTTATATAACAATACTCCCAAATGTTTCTGCTGAGCTCTGCCAGCTGTACACTGGTATATCCATCTGCCTTCTCGATGTCCACTTGGACAGTTCATCGGCTTCTTTAATAAGTCCAAATAGAAATCTTTTCCCCCAAACCTATCCTGGACTCTCTCCCTTATTTCCCCATGTTGGTGAATGGCACAGTCATCACTTGGAGTCATCCTTGATTCCTTTCTCTCCCTTACTGCACAAATACAACCCACCTGCAAGACTTATTAGTCTTATCTTCAAATATATGTGAACCCTGTCAACTTATCTTCACCTTCACTTTCACCGCCCTAATTCAAAATATGGGGATTTCCTGGAAGGATGCAACCAATGTGGGCTGCTGAAGACACAATTGAAAGAGGGCCACGTGTGGACATCTTTCATAAACCCTTGGGGATACTGTTGAAGACAGAAATTTCTAAAATGAATTTCAGTGCTATTCAGAAAAGAGAAGTATAGTCTACCATGAACCACATACCCTCCCCAGGGCAACTAACCTAATTACCCTACTCAAGGGATTGGCCTGCCAAGCTATCATTTCTCACATGGGCTACAAGAACCCACTCTTCTTTCATTCTACTCTTGCCCACCTCCAGTGATTATCTGTATAACATTCACAGCTATCTCTTTGAGACATAAATTAGATCATGCCATTCCCTTGCTTGAACACTCAATGGATCCCCACTGCTCTTAGATCAAAATCCAAAATGATTTAACATAGCCTAAAAAAGCCTGCATGATCTGGCCCCTGCCAGCCTCCCCAGCTTCATTTCCCCTCATTGCCTATTCTCCACCCACACTGGTCTTCGTTCAGTTCTTCAAATGCTCCAAGCTCACTTTCTATTCTGGGACATCATTGCTGACTTCTCTGCTGGAGGAAGGCTTCCCCACAACTATCTAAAAAGAACATGGCGGGTTCTTTTTCATCCTTCAGGACTCTTAATATCATCCCAGAGAACTCCAATCTACAGTAGATACTACACCCCCTCAGCAGCTTCTCGATTTTATTTCGTTGTAGTAATTATAATGTGTAATTATACTTTTGCTTGCTTATTTGATAAACATCAGTCTCAAATGCTAGCTGTAAGCTTCATAAGGGCAATGACCACATTGGCCTTGTTTATCACAGTGTATTTAATAACTAGCATAGCCCTCGACACAAAAATAAGTGCTTGATGAATATTTGATGAGTGAATACATATATTCCACAAATAGAAATGGAAGACTTGAAACCAAATGCTGACTTGAGGAAACACTTCAGGGCAAAGGATTTTCATTTGAAGTATAATCTGTCAAAAACAGGTTTGTATTTGGAACTTTGATCAGTTTTGAGAGGGATGATGGTGGTGAAATGGTAATGTGTATGTGAAGCGGGAGGGGAAATGACTAAGTTTGGGGAGAGGGAACAAGGAGGAAGCCAGCCACAGAAATACACTGGGAAGAGTTCCCGCTTTCATCGGAGGCCCCTTAGGATGGACAGGGATGAAGAGAAGCTCAGATTCCCAGGGCGCAAAGTCAAATTCTGAATTTTTATGGATGTTCTTTCCCGTGTTATGAGCTCTAATGATGCAGTAATAGCTTTACTTAAAGGAGCTCTGTCCCTGGGAAGTCATTAACCAACATGCCAGAAAATGTTCCAATGAACCCACAGGTAAGATAGACTCTAAATATCTTATATTCCACTGTGGGAGAAGCAAGCCCCTCTCCTAAGTTAGGATCAAGTTTCTTACCCTTCCTATTGTCAGTTCTAGCCAGTTTGGATCTTTCCTAGAAAACAGATTGATTAATCCATAAGTACATATCAGTATATATACACACAGATCACACACACCCCATTATGTTTTAGTTAAAAGATGTATGGTTTCTCAAATTATCTTGTAGGAGCCCAGCAATATTAAAAAATAAAATGTGCTCCTTCACTTCATATGCCAGAAATAAAAAATCTCATCTACAGAAATTGTGTTTCAACAGCTTGTTTATGATATATAACCAAAGTGATGGTAAAACCAGAGAGCTGACCCAATAGGAATAAACTGCTTGTTGCAGTAAATAAGTATCTGTATTCTTGGTTTTCCCATATGGCTCTTAACTCCAGCAAACATTTGTGCAGAAGAGGAAAGCATAACCCACATCAAAGGAGAGTTAATTTTATCCTGTGCTGAAGACACAGAGGTTGAGAAAGAAAAATCTTTTAAGGATTGTGCCCAAATTATAATGGTTCATTTGCATCTGTTCCACCATCACAAAGGTGATTGCTCTTTATAACAAAACATAAACAAGAAAACCCTTAGAAGGGAGCCAGAGACTGTGGGCAATGGTGGGGTTCGGGTGGGGCCGGAGGTGGGGTGGGGAAAGAGACTTTGTCAGCTGTCCCATACCTCACCAGTGGCCTCAGGGCATCCAGCTTCAGGCTGGGTGTTTCCGAAAGCCATGAATAAGAGTTCCTACATTGCTTTCCTACTCTCATTACAGGGCATGAACCCAGGGCCTAACGACTGCGTCTTGGATTAGAGTGGTCAGGAAGATAATAGAAGCATTATTGCTATTGATACTACTCATAATGGCAATAGCTAACACTGACTGAGGTACTTACTAGATGCCAGGCACTCTTTGAAGGCCCTGAAATGTATTAACTCATGTTAATACATGTAAACTGACACATTTTACAGATGAGGAAACAGAGACACAGAGGTTAAGGAACTTGTTCAAGGCCACACAGCTGGTAGCTAAGGGGCATTGAATGGCTTTCGGAATTGGGTAATGTTCTACAAACTCAGCTGAAACACTGACGCTGAATGTCTTTACTGTCTGCTAGTCTGATTGAGAAATGAGGGCTCATGTCTTCTTCTGGGGCAGTATAACAGAAACTTCCATCTAAAGTGATTGTCAGAAGCAGGTCCATCGTTATTCCTAATGGAGACTCTCAAACGCCATTTGTGTTTGAACCTTGGACACAGTCGCTATGATTAGAGCATTGATCTGTGAAAATGATAGAAATATGACCTGCAGGCCAGGCGCGGTGGCTCACACCTGTAATCCCAGCACTTTGGGAAGCCAAGGCGGGTGGATCACCTGAGGTCAGGAGTTCAAGACCAGCCTGGCTAACATGGTAAAACCCCGTCTCTACTAAAAATACAAAAATTAGCCGGGTGTGGTGGCACATGCCTGTAATCCCAGCTACTCGGGATGCTGAGGCATGAGAATCGCTTGAACCTGGGAGGCAGAAGTTACAGTGAGCCGAGATCATGCCTCTGCACTCCAGCCTGGGCGACAGAGTGAGACTCCATCTCAAAAAAAAAAAAAAAAGAAAGAAAAAGAAAAAGAAATATGACCTGCAATCAGAGAACAATAAAATTGGATTTCTTAAGGGCAGGGATAGTACTATCTACTTAAAAAAATATCTTCACAGTGACATTCCTTGAAGCTGGATTGAATTGAAAATATATTAGATACTGGAGACACTGAGTCACTTTGAGACATAAATACTTTTACTGCTCAAATGACTAGAATTATTCTGTAAAAATATCCATGAATTTAGTGCCATTTGTTATAAAACTCTTTCCTGTTGCAACCTACAGTTGTCTGGGGTTAGACAATACTGGTGTGGTTTTATTGAAATCTATTTTCTTTTAATTTAGAATATTATGGGAAAATACTAAAATGATTAAGGTAGATCAAAGGACAGTAATGTGAAGTCATTTGGCATTCAAAAGAAAAACCTTTTAAGAATTGTGTTCAAACTATAAAGGTTCATTTGCATCTGTTCAGCCATCACTAAGGTGATTGCTTTTTGTAACAAAATATAAACAAAAGTACCTTGAAAATTGCAGAACAAATGGTTTTACTTTGCATCTGCTCTTTCTGAAGCATTGTTTCCAAGTATGGAGCCATCGTTAATGGCCTTCAAACATGTATTTGTTTCACTTATATTACCAGAGATGTAAACTAGATGTTATGAACATTAATAACTTTTACAATGGTGATGGTATTTGCTTATTGAAGCTTCACATTTATATTCATTTTAAAAGCATAATCAAAGGTGCAGCAATGAATCTGTGGCAAGTTTTAGCTACCTCTATGGCCAAAAGGGCAAATCTCATGGATAGGTGGGGCTGTTAACAATGGAGCAGCTATCTACTGAGAGCCTTCTATGTACTAGGAACTCTGCTGCGTGGATCACATATGTATATTATCTTTTAATCCTCCTAACAGTTCAAAGAACTATGGTGCTATTAGGCCAGGTGTGGTGGTTCACACCTGTAATCCCAGCACTTTGGGAGGCCAAGGTGGGCAGATCACTTGAGGTCAGGAGTTCGAGACCAGCCTGGCCAAGATGGCAAAACACCATCTCTACTAAAAATACAAAAATTAGCTGGGCATGGTGGCACGTGCCTGTAATCCCAGCTACTCGGGAGGCAGGAGAATCTCTTGAACCTGGGAGGCGGAGGTTGCAGTGAGCTGAGATTGTGCCACTGCACTCCAGCCTGGGCAACAGAGCAAGACTCCATCTCAAAAAAAAAAAAAAAAAAAAAGAACTATGTTGCTATTATCCCCATTTCAAAGATCAGGAAACTGAGAGGTAGATAAATTAAGCAATTTGCCAGGACCACTAAGCTAGTAAGTGAGAATCAGGATAACTGACTGAGTAACTCTAGAGTGCAAGCCCAAAACACTACTCTGTTATATTAATAACCTTATTAATATAACCTTATTAATATTCCAACCTTTTCCACATTGGGACACATACAGAAAAGGATGATACCTGGACAGTGCACTGTAGTAAACATGAAAATGATCAAGGTCTGAAGATACCAAACCCTTTCTGAACACTCTGAGGGCTAAGGGGAGGCAACATCTTGGTATAACTCACGAGAGGTGTGAGCACAGGTTAGGAAACTCAGGTCTATTTTCCAAGATTTTAAAAAATCCCGGACTGGTTTGGGAATGTGGGGATGCCTAAGGATGAGTTTGAATGAGTAAAATCTGCATTAGAGAATCTATGAGAAATGTGCTGGTTCATTTATTTCAAGCATGTGTTAAGTGTTTGAATGATGCTTGGAGACCTTCTTCCCCTCAAATATTTAAAGACAAGTTTTGAGGCAGTGGTTTTCAGACCTGTTTAGAAAGCAACACATCCTCCTGCTCAAATACGATTTTAAATGAAAGCCCAATATGTAAAACAGATAAAAATGGATCTGCTTTTGTTAGTCAAGTAGGACCCAAAGCCTGCTGCCACCCACCCTGAGTCCCAACCGCAGAGGCCCTTTAGGCCATTTCTTGGGATGCTCCAGGCTCTAACAGAACAGTCTGCAAACGACTGCGTGTTGAAAACTACTGCGTGTTGAAAACCATTGCGTGTTGAAAACCACTGCATGAAGAAGTGGTGTCTCTCAAAGTCCCCATTGAAGTGCAGAAATCTCTACTCTGGTGGTAGAAAGGCAAGGAAGTCAGAGATTTGCTCACTAGCCTGTGTTTTTAAGTATTGGTAGCTGAGAGTTAAGACTCCAAAGAAGGGAGATAAAGCACAGGGAAGTTTTGCTGAAGTAAGGGGGTTGGAAGCATCTGTCACACAGCAGGGAAGGACAGACTTTACCTTTCCGTAATTTTTTCTAGGGCACTCAGTCACTTGGAGCCTCAGCTGACTGTTCACAGTCCTGCTGAGTCAAGATTTGTCCTACTTGTCTTTAGGAAGCAAGTCAGCAACTTGTGGTAGAGAGTGGCTACTGGGAGACCTGGTTTCCACCTCTAATTCTGCCCCTTGGTGTGAACTTGGGAAGTCATGTAACATTTTCAGCCTCAATTTCTCACCTGTAAAATGGAACAATACCTGCCATACTTCCTTCTCAGAGTTGTAAAGAGCAAATGAAATAATCTATATGGATGTTATATGCACATTAGCCATTAAATTAATAGTTTGAATCCAGTTATTTTTATTTTTATTTTTTGAGATGGAGTCTCGCTCTGTCACCAGGCTGGAGTGCAATGGTGCGATCTCAGCTCACTGTAACCTCCTGGTTCAAGCGATTCTCCTGCCTCAGCCTCCAGAATAGCTGGGATTACAGGCACACGCCACCAAGCCCAGCTAATTTTTGTATTTTTAGTAGAGACGGGGTTTCACCATGTTGGCCAGGATGGTCTTGATCTCTTGACCTTATGATCCACCCACCTTGGCCTCCCAAAATGCTGGGATTACAGGCATGAGCCACTGCACCCGGCCTGAATCCAATTATCGAATGGACAGTTTACCAAGATGATATGCGGATGGACAAATAAGCACATAAAAGAGCATCTTTTATGTTCAACATCAGTAGTAGAAAAATAAAAATGAAAACTACAATGAGATACCACTGCATACCTATGTGGCTATAATTAAACAACAGTGACACAACTGAAAATAACTGGCAAGAACGTGGAGCAATTAAGACTCTCACACAATGTTGTCCGGAATAAATGGTAGAACAGCCACTTTAGGAAACAGTTTGGCCGATCCTTAAACATTTAGTTAACATCTGACTCAGGAGTCTCACTCTGAGGTATCTACCTGAGTGAAATAAAAACTGTGTTCACACAAAAACCTGTATGCGGATTTCTATGGTGACTTTATTCATAATCACCAAAAACTGGGAACCACCAAAATGTCCATCAACTGGTGAATGGATAAGCACTCTGTGGTACAATGGGATAGTTCTCAGCTATGAGATGGAACAAGCGACTTATACACTCAACGTGAGTGAATTTCAGCTGAGGTATGCTTAGTGAAAGAAGCCAGATTCAAAAGTGACATACTGTGTGATTCCATCTGTATGACATTCTCAAATAGGCAAAACTAAAGGGAGAGAAAACTGATTAGTGGTTTCCAGGGCTGGGTGTAGGAGGAGGCTTGACTACAATGGGGGATAAGAGAATTTTAGGAGGTTATGAAACTGTTCTATATCTTAATTATGGTAGTGATGATATAACTATGTATTTTTGAAACTCATAGAATTTACACTAAAAAGGGTAAATTTTAATGTATGTAAATAATACTCAATTTTTAAAATGGAAAAGCTTAATAGTGCTGATAAAGTATTTTTAAACCTGGGTGAAGAAACATTTTTAAGTTGATTACACCTTTTGGAAAGAATATTTCCACCACTACTTTGCTTTATAGCTTCAAGCCTCTGTGTCCCTCACCATTGGCTCAAGATGAGCCTTAGCCCAATGAGATGGATAATGAATTCTGAGTTCGTAGAGTTAGAAGAATCTGAATTAAAGAGGTTTTACTTTAATCTTTAGAAGGCATCTTTAATCTCAAAGCTTTTCTAGAATCGTGTTCTTCTTCTTCACAGAAATACAGCCCTGTCTGAAGTGGCAGAGAGCTGAGAAAAGGGATGAGAATAATTAATCAAAAAGTACTTATGTCACGGGAGAGATGATGGAAACCGATAATAGCCACATCTTGCCAAAGATGGAAGAAGTGGAAATGAATTACTCAGAGGATATTCTTGGGCTCCAGCTAAATCTATACCTTCTGGGGTATTCATGATCTTCCTCCTGATCTCTTCGTCTCCTCTGTAAACCGTTTATGTGCAGGGCTTGGGCATAAGATTAGTTCACTTCTAGACTAAGGCCTCATAAGTGATGTGCAACTATATCCCCAACAGTGTGTCCCCAGGGGACAAAGCCCCCCCACTTTTTTTTTTTTTTTTTTTTTTACAATTCCGGCTGTTTAAAAAGAAAATGAATTAGTGAAAATAGAGCCCCTGTGCCTGGAGCTGTCCAATTGTGTTATTGTATTTCAGCAAGGATATCCTTGCTACATTTTTTTCTGTACTCAGCTTTATCTTTCAAAACCCTTTCTTCTCATTCATATCTTTCTACATTAGAACCCAATACCCAGCTGCTTTATTCAACAAATACTATTTCTTTCTTTAGTCACCCAGGCTGCAGTGCAGTGGCACAATTTCCACTCACTGCAGTCTCAACCTCCTAGGTTCAAGCAATCCTCCTGCCTCAGCCTCCCGAGTAGCTGGGATTACAGGTATGCGCCAACACACCTGGGTAGCTTCTGTATTTTTTGTAGAGATGGGGTTTCGTCATGTTGCCCAGGATGGTCTTGAACTTCGGGGCTCAAATGATCTGCCTTCCTTGGCCTCCCAAAGTGCTGGGATTACATGTTTAAGCCATTGTGCCTAGCCAACAACTATTTATTCAGCATCTACTTTTTGTGTTGTACAGGTCTATGCACTGAAAATATGCCTGTGAAGAAAGCAATATTTCTGTCTCCATGGACCTTACTATCAAACTGGAAGAGACCAAAGATTAATATACAAATAGGTGATAATAGAAAGTCTGATATGGATTGGTGCAATGAAGAAAAATAAGGTAAGTTAAGGAGATAGAAAGTGGTGGGTGTTGTTTTAGATAAGCTCATCAGGGAAGGTGATATTAAGCAGGGATTTGAATGCAGAGGAGGAGAAAGTCATTTGGATTCTTGGGCTAAGAACAGACTAGGCAAATGTAACAGACAGTGCAAAGATCCTGATGAGAGAGGGCTTGACATGTTCAAGGAATGACAAGAGGACTGGGAGGTAGAAGGAAGTGTGAGATCATATAGGGCTTCAAGAGAGAGTCTGGATTTTATTCCAAGTGTGATGGAAGCCACTGGATGGTTTCAAGCAGAGAAATGGTATTTTAAAAGGCCAAACACGGCTGCTGTGTGCAAAATAGATTGCAGGTGGAATCAAGAACAGCAGTCTGGAGGCCATTGTGGTAGCTCGGGCAAGACATGATGGTAGCTTGGATGTGGGTGATCGTGATGGAGGTAGTGAGAAGGGGTTGGATTCAGGATATCTTTTTGAAGATAGACTAGAGTGGACCTGCTGATGGATTGAATGTGGGGTGTGAGGAAAGACAGCAGTCAAGGAGGACCCGGAGTTTTGTATTTGTTCACTAGAAAACACCAGTCTGGGCAACATAGCAAGACCCTATCGCTACAAAAAATAAATTAGCTGGGTGCGGTGGTGGGTGTCTGTAGTCCCAGCTACTTGGGAGGTTGAGGTGGGAGGATCACATGAGTCCAGGAGATCAAGGGTGCAGTGAGCCATGATCATGCCACTGCACTCTAGCCTGAGCAACACAGTAAGAGCTTGTCTCAAAAAAAAAAAAAAAAAAAAGAAAAAAGAAACTACTAATTTTTATACAGGCTTGTGCAAGGCACTGGAGAAGTAAAGAAGAACAAGACACAGTTAGTGCCTTCAGGGAACTCATGGTACTATTTCAAATTTCTAGACTTCTAGAGGGAAGTACAGAGTGCTGTGGAGTGGGTGGGAAGAGAACAGATTGTTCTGTATATGGGCCTTAGGGAAAGTGTGAGTTTGAGTTTGAAGGGAGAATAAGAGTCTGCTAGATGCAGAGAGTAGGGAAGAGTATCCCAGAAAGTGGGGTCAACAAGGGCCGAGCTCAGTGGGCTGCTGTGGGAAGGGGGAGGGGTGCATGGGATGGTGGTGGAAGAGGTGGAAGCTCAGAAGGCAATTTGTGGAGAACCCTGTGTGCCAACCAAGGAGTGGGACCCTCACCCTGTAGACAATGGGCTGCCAGTGAGATTTTTTAAGCAGGAGAGTGATGCTCAATCCCTCCGTCTTACCTAAACAGATGAGTCAACCCAGAATACCAACAAATAAACTACATGTGGATTACAACTTATTGTGGTGTTTTAGGTTCTTTTATCAGCAAATTTCTATATTATTTGTATTGACAAGTAGAAGCACGCTCACTCTTAGGGTGAAGAAATTCTACTAATTTTGTGGCTAATGAATATCGAACATCTACTTTGTGCCAGGTGCTGTGTTTGAAGTTTAATTTGTTATGACAAAGTGACATGCCCTTAAGGAGCTTGTTATAGGAGGTAGACATAGAACAAGTGACTTCAAATGTGATGATTAGAAAGTTGGGGGGAAAAAAGACGAAAGGTGCTACAGAAGCATTTAATGGAGGAGGTACTCTCATTTAGGGGTTCAGGGAGGCCTCCCTGAGGAAATGGTCATTAGGTGAAAACTAGCTGATCATAATTTTATTATAAGCAGCAGAATCATTCCCTATTTCTTTAATAACCAGCCATTCTTTCAAGTGGTCCCTTCCCTTCTACTTTGAAGCACTTCCAGCTCTTGCCTACCTTGAAAAGAGGAAAAAACCAAATATCTCAGTTTATTTTATTTTATTTTATTTTTTAGATGGAGTCTCGCTCTGTCACCCAGGCTGGAGTGCAGTAGCGTGATCTTGCCTCACTGCAACCTCTGCCTCCCGGGTTCAAGCAGTTCTCCTGCCTCAGCCTCCCTAGTAGCTGGTACTACAGTTGTGCACCACCACGCCTGGCTAATTTTTGTATTTTTAGTAGAGACAGGGTTTCACCATGTTGGCCAGGCTGGTCTTGAACTCTTGACCTCAAGTGATCCACCTGCCTTGGCGTCCCAAAGTGCTGGGATTACAGGCATGAGCCACCGTGCCCGGCCGAAATATCTCACTTTTATACACCCAAACTAAGCTTTTCATTATTTTCTAGAATCAGCCATATAATTCTGACTTTCCTACAGTCTTACATCCACTCATTCATTCACCTGTTCAAGTTCTGTGCCTCCTGCGTGGTATTTGGGGGGACTCCACATGGATTCTGTAGTTGAAACACAGGATGTGAGGTGTGGCGTGAAGCAGGGGAAGCCATGATGCGCTTCTGCATTTGCGGGACATACACAGGACTAAGGCGTCCACTGTGCAGGTGCTGGAGACACACTGGAGGGTTTGAAGCCTGGGCATCAGAGGTGTGTGTTAGATCCCTGGCATGGGTGCTGATGCGGCCTTGAGATGAGATGAGGAGCCACGGTGGCCGGCAGGGCTGCTGTGCAGGTGAGAGATGGGACGGGGCGGGACAAAGCAGAGAGGGAGGGATCAGCTTTGGAAGGTAGCGGAGGCGAGAAATAGGACTGAGATGTGTGGAGGTGGCGGAGGAGAGAAACAGCAGGACTGAGGAGGTGCGTGGAGGTAGGAGTGAGTGAACGAGGGGTCCCAAGAGAGCCTCAGGGCTCCAGCTTGTGTGATGGTGGATGGTGATGCCATAGCGGAGATTGGGAACAGATTGAACAAGCAGGTTTGGACCTGCCCAGTGTGGGGATTCTGAAATCTCCTTTAACCTCTTCCTTTCCCTTAATCTCTCTATATAATCAGTCAATAAGTTCCCTCAGTGTTTTTTCAGAACGTCTCTCGGGTTCATTCCCACTCTCCCGAGGTTGACTTCAGCCCTTGTTTCCTTAAAGTGAGATGTTACAGCATCATCCTATCAGGCCATCTGGCCACTGGCTTCCACTCTTCAGCCCAGCCTGTATTCTGCTTCCTAAAATACACCCTCTTATTTGACATCTAATCATGGCCTGAATGTTTTTTTTTTTTTTACTTTATTGTAGTAAACCCTTAGTCTATCCCTTACTTCTTCATGTGTTTACTCTCCTTTTTATGTCCTTCTTTCACAATTAAATGATTTATTCCTTGAAGACAGAAACTGTATTCTAAAGCTTCGTTGTTAGTAGTGCCTTCCAAAAAGTTTTGCCCAACAGTAAATTTGTGTTAAATTTAATTTTACTTTAAAAACAATAAGAATACAATGTGGTGAATATTATTTTAAAGTCTCACATTTCAAAGCATTTTTCATCAGGTATTGGCAAATGCACGTTTGTGTGTGTGTGTCTGCGTGTGTGTGTGTATTTTTTAAGGCATATTATCCAAATTTTTGCCAGTAGCAACCTGAGGTGGATTACCTATTGAATGAATTCCACTTCAGTAGCTGACTTTGTTATGTCAGCATCGACAAATGCCAGGGATAGGAAAGAATTGAAATCTAGAGTGAGGCAGTGTAGATATAGATCTTAGCTTCACTACTGAACAGCTGTGTGGCTTTGTGCAAATTACTTAACTTCTCCAATCATAAGTGATATAATATCTATCCCAAAGACTGTTAAAAAATTAAAATTATGCAAATTTTCATAAAAATTAAATGAGCATCTAACATGGTTTTTGGCATATAGTAAGCACTTGTAAATAATAATAATAATGATGGTAAAAAAACCAGCTAACATTCACTAGGCGCTTTCTCTTCATACTCAATGCTGTGCATGCGTTCTGTCATTTAAGTTTCATAACAAACCTAAGAAGTAGATACTGCTGCTGTTTTTATTACACAGATGAAGAAACAGAGGTTCATAGAAGTTAAGTGGCTCATCCAGAGATTGTCCAGTTTTATCCCCTTTAGATAACTTTTTAGTTTTTTTTTTAAGACAGGGTCTTGCTCCGTTGCCTAGGCTGGAGTACAGTAGTGATCATAGCTCACTGCAGCCTCAATCTCCTGGGCTCAAGCAGTCCTCCCACCTCAGCCTCCTGAATAGCTGGGACCACAGGTGTCTGCCAGGCCCAGCTAATTTTTGTATTTTTTGTAGAGAAGGGGTTTCTCCATGTTGCCCAGGCTGGTCTTGAACTCCTGATCTCAAGCAATCCACCCTCTTTGGCCTCCCAAAGTGCTGAGATTATAGGTGTGAGCCACCATGCTTGGCCTCTTTAGGTAACTTTTATCTTAAGCTCCTGTAAGGAGAGAAAAGGAGAGGTGTAGGTGTATCACTTCTTTCCCATATATCCTGCAGAAGATGCTATGAGTAGAGCAATAGCCCTAGAGAAGGATGAACAGAGAACCTGGTAGATCTGCCACCTGGATAACCCCCCTGTGCAAGAACCAGTGCCCCCAAGGCATCCAGGTAAAAGGAGCTCTCCTAAAGGCAAGCAGGGGCTGATTAACATGAGCGTTGGGCAGACAGTGGCTCTGGGTGTACCTAGCGCAATTGGGGTCACAGGCCCCTCTTTGAACTTAGGGTGGGGGTGGAGTGGTGGAGGGCCTATGATGTCCTTAGCTCCAGCTGCAAGCTCCTGGTTACTGCAGGCTTCTTTCTCCATAAGGCAGCTGAGGATGCAGAAAACCTTTCCTTTCTACTCCTGTGTTGTGAAAGACCCCTGCATCTTTCCTGCTGTGATAATAAAGAACAAAAGATGAGACTATTTGGAACCATCTGAGCCCTCATCGGTGTTGATAAAGCCTGCCTATGAATTTTTATTTCTGCGAACAGTCCCAGAATTCCTTCCTAAAAACAAACTGATTGGTGTCAATTTGTGTAGCATTTAGGGCTCATATATAATGGCCGATTTCAAGCAGGCTTAATTTCATTTTAGCGCAAGATAAGTTTTTTCATTGGAGCCACTTTGTCAGAAATAAAATTGAGCTGGAAAGAAAAACAAGAAGCAATTTGACTATCCTTACAGATGGTGGTTTATCAAGCCTTGAATTTTTATAGGTGTGTGATGCAAATGTGGAAAAACCCTCCTGTGTCAGCAACCCCTGCAGAGAGTGTCAGTGCAGCACCCCAGGGAGGGGGAGCCAAAGGATGGCTGAAAAAAGATCTCAGAGCTGAGGGGAGAGGATTTATGTTGGTGGACCTGCTGTAGAATGGTCCCCATTTCTTTCGTTCAGTACCTTTGCTGAAGCAGTAGGAACTAGTTCCTGGGCTGTGTGCACGTCTGGAGTCTAAAAACTCAGCGCTTTGTCTCTTCACAGGAGTAGACATGTCAGGATTAGATCTTTGGCCATCAGCGTCACCTACTCAGAGAGGCCTCTCTTCCCACCTTGTCCCAAGTGGTTATTTTCTTAGTTCCTTCTTCGTTTCTTTTACAACATTTACTATAATTTGTGTTCGCTCTTTTTTTGTAAGTGTGTCTCCCTTTACTAGACTATAAATTCTGTTAGAAAGGGACTGGGATCTGTCTTGTTCACTGTTGCAATTTCAGCCCCTAACACAGTGCTGGGCACATGTTAAGTGTTCAGTAAATATTAATTGAATGAAGAATGAAATCAGAGATCACTCATTCCCCTTTCTTGAAAGTGGAGCCACCTTAATTTTTCAGATGAATATGGCGTATGTGTATATTTCACATATATGTAACTAGATCAGGATCTGCACCTGTAATGTATTCATATGAAACACTAACTTGATGTTTTACTTTTTAATTAACTTTAATTTTATTGTAGTATTGTATTGTTAAATGCAAAAAATTTAAGGCTATCACATGCTTTGTAAAATTTGCAGGAAAAAATTTGTATGAATTTCTATATCCTTGCCACTCAAAGTGTCCTCTGTGGACCACATCACCTGAGAACTTGCTAGAAATGCAGACTCCCCACCTAGACCCACTGAATCTGAATCTGCATTTTAACAGGCTCCCCAGGGATTCACATGCGGGTTGAAGTTCAAGATGGCTCTAAAGTCACAATTTAGCCTGTGAGTTCACTTTGTAAACTGTGGGAGGCAGGTGAACTGAAGTTGAGGAAAGAAAGAAGAGCTTCAACCAGGACACTGAAGTGAATGATAGTTGCAGGAAGAATGAGAAATTCTATGCTTCACAGGCCAGTTTTTGTTTTCAAACCCTCACAGTGCCTGTTGGTTTAGTTAAGTTCGTGGGCGTTTTCACTGAGCCAAACTCACGTCACGTTACCGGCATAGCCAGGACAGGACAACAACACCTGGACTGCCATAACTATGATTCCAGAGAGGGTATCTAAATAATACGTTAATAGTGTTTTTAAGTTTTCACAAGTGATTCTAATGGGTGTCTAATATTCACTTAGAGGATTTTTTTTTTAAGTTAGTAAGTTAGTTGCTGTTGTTATAAAGAACATCTTAGAGCCTGTTTATCCAGGTAACACATTCCTGAGATTTGCAGCTGGTTCAGACACTGCAGCCAAGTACCTGGCCCTTCCTCTCTCTCTTTGACTGGCAATAAGCTGAGGGAAGAATTGAAATTATACAGGCTCTTCTTTGAAAAACTGGGTTAAAAAAATCTCAATTCTCTAAATTGTAGATGTGATCTCTCACACCTGAATTAATCAATTAAATAAGCATTTATTCAGTGCCTAAAGGTGCCAGTGTGGGGCTGGTTCTGGGGACCAAAGACTAAGAATACCAGATTCCTGCCTTCAAGAGAGAGTCTGTGACTTTGGTTTATTCATGACAAATCTCTTCCCCGCCTGGTGGAAAACCTGGAATTCTCTGTCTTTAATCAATTTACTTTGTGCTCTAGGTCAATAGGAGTACCCATCACAATGAAAAAGTCTTGTTCTTTATCATTTGGAAAATTAGACCTTCTTTCCAAGATGTCCTTAGTCACTGATCCTCATCAGTGTGGATGATCTTTCCTTTACCCTGAGCAGGTTGTTTTTATTCTGTGGGCCTTCAGAGCAGAAAGAAAAACCATTTTAGAGGCGGTTCTGTTGAATGTGCCTGGCACATTGGTGCTAAACAGGGAATAAATCATAATAAATGGAAATAGTCGCCCATGGCATGATCTGATTGAGTCGTTTAAACAATCATTTTGTGTTGACAAAGGGTAGAGTGATTATGCTAGAGGAATTCAAAGGTGCTCGAAACAAAGCAATTGGAGAAATTGCTTGAAAAATGTGGGGAGTTATTCCAGGGCAATAGACTTGCTTCATTCTGGCTCAGTCTTGAAGTCTATAGACCCAGGCGGATCTCTGCAGTTTTGCGAGATGAACCTCCTAGCAACCTGCTAATACCATTCATTCTGCAGCTTGGGAGGTTAATCCTCACAGTAATGTGTGGGTAGAGTCACTTAGAGGGCAGCTCCTAGCATACGTGCAACTGTGCTCATACAGATGTCTGTTTGACTTGAACAAGGAAGACATTATTAGTAATAATAATTCGTGCAAATAGGCTGCTATTGCCAGAGCATTCCTGAGACAGCTCGTTGTGCTCTTGGGGCGCCCCTCTGGGGCTTGTGGGTGGGGACTATTTTTGTATGTCTTTTCCAAAGGGAAATGCCAGGAGGGTAAGCGACTTCCTTTGGATCACCTTGCAGGCGGGCCGGAGTGAGAGCTGAATTCTAGTCTTCCCCACCCTCTGTCCAAGCAGAGCGAGGATGAGGGGAGGCACAGGCGGGAAGGAGGACGGGCGCCCCCTGGCGGCCCCTGGTCGTGCCGCAGCCTCACATTCCCGCGGGTTCCCTTCTCGCCGCGTTCTCTACCCTGCCCGGCTCAGCCCAGGGTCAGGAAGGGGGCGCCCGATTCCACCCCTTTCTCAACCTTCCCTGGGTGGGTAAGGTCACCCCACACGGGTTCAGGTGGTGGTCCCTCGACTGGGAATGAGGGGATCCTGAGGATCCCGCAGGTAGACGTAGAGCAGCGGGGCTCAGCTCTGGAAGCGCGGGATGACTTCTGGGAACCGCACCCGGGGCAGGTCACCTCGCCTTGGAGACAGCCCTGAGTCAGGTCAGGTGGCAATCGGGATGACGTTACACCTCCCACGGAGACGTCTAAACCCTCGTGAAGTCTGCCTACACATTTACATCATTCTCTATTCATTACGGCTCAACTCAGGAATGATTGTTGACTGGCACGGAAATAAATGACAACCATTAAGGGGCTAACTGGAGCTGTTAATCGTTTGAGAGGCCTTTCGGTAAGTCATCCTTCCAAGGCGGCTAGATCATTCTGGAGTAGCCTCAAAGGTGCCTGCTGCTGTCCAGAGAAATCTCACTGCCCGCTTGTGCATCCTTTGACCCTCCACCAGCACTTTGTTGAATGCTCGTGGCGTGTTGATGGGGAAAGATTGAAACTAACTCAGGCTCCTTTAGTACCAAAGACCACATCTGATTCTTCTCACCTGAAGTCTGTGTGCTTTAATGTGAGTCTCTGTGGAAAGAAACAAATCCACCACTCATTCCAGCTACCTGAGACTGCAGTATGCGATGGAAGGCTCCTTCAGCCTCAGACACTGCACAAGAAGCCTCTGGAGGCTCCTTGGGTTGGGATACTTAGACAGCCAAACACAAACACACAGAAAGGATTCTTTCAAAATAGAGATACGAGTTTGGTTGAATGAAAGACATAGTAGGAAATTCTTGAGGTTAGGAGCTTTGCAACCTCTAGTCAGCTTGCTGCAAGGCTGCTCTCTCAGGCTCCTATCACCTGGAAAGGCACCAGGTGTGGTGGCTTACGCCTGTAATCCCAACACTCTGGGAGCCCAAGGTGGGAGGATCTCTTGAGCCCAGGAGTTTGAGACCACCCTGGGCAACATAGCAAGATTCTGACTCTACAAAAGTACAAAAATTAGCTGGGTGTGGTAGTGCGTGCTTGTACTCCTAGCTACTAGGGAGAATGAGGTGGGAGGATTGCTTGAGCCTAGGAGTGGGAGGCTACAGCGAGACATGATTGCACCACTGTACTCCAGCATGGGTGACAGAGTGAGACGCTGTTTCAAAAACAAAAAGCAAAACAAAACAAAACCAAAACAAAAGGCTGGAAAGTCAGCTTCCTGAATGCCAGTTGGTGGGCTGTGGCCAGAACCTACCAGACTTGATGCCCTGCTCTGTCCTCTGAGTGAATAGTTCATTGAATGGACCTTCTTTAAGTAGGCCTTCCTGCTGGAAAAGACTGACAGAACCCTACTCCTACAAGTGAGGCTGCTGTCTGGGAGAGGTGAAGAGGTTTGGCATGGAGGAAATGAGCAGCTGGGACCCCCCACAACCCGCCCTGTGATAGACACAGGGGTCTGCCGCATTGCGGACTGGCAGAGCTGCTCCCTTCACTGTGGTCCACTTTCTAAGGCTGAAAGATGGTTCCATTAACATGGATACTGAGAGCATCCATGAGTACAGGAGACATGAGACATGGGCCTAAATTGCTCCTTCTGATCTCAAATCAGTAGTGTTATTTACTTTACCCTTTCTTCCTTGATTAATAAAGGAAGGTCCTTGAAGAGGTTTGCTGTTGACTCCAAAGAGTCAGGGTCATGGGGTCTTTGTTCAGGTGCCCAGTGGTTGAGGAATATGTTCTTTGGCTAAGCTTACATGCTTTGATGAGTTACCCAAAGAGGAACGATATGATAATCTTAAAATGCTAACATGGCAGCTCTTTCTGATTCTGGCAAACATTATAGGTTTTGAGCCAACATGGGTGGGCTGCTACTTTGTAAGACAACATTCTGTGTAATGGCTTGGAGTCTGGTTGAATTTTGGGAGTGTCTGGAGGGTTATAGGCTGATCAAGAGGGCGTGAACTCCTCTGGGCTATTGTAGTACAGGGTTTAAGTCTGGCCTGTGAAGTCAAACTGCCCAGCTTCTAGTCCTTGATCGTGCTCCCTGACCAAGCAGGTCACCTGAAATGCTCTAAGCCTTGGTTTTCTTATTAGCAAAATGTGAGTGAGTAGAGTACCTACCTCATAGTTGTTGTGAGGTTTCAATGGGCTCAATAACTTAGTGTGCCAGGCACATTGTTAATAAGAAGTAAATGCTCTTGTTATCATTTGGCCTGCCAAAAAAGACCTAACCTTCTGGAGGTGCTCTGAAGGCCTCGGACTGGACTGAATCTCTTGGAATTACTCCCGATAAATAAGCTTTATCTAGATTTGGAGTATCAGAGCTGGGGACATCTGGGGATGCCAAATGCAGCTGACTGATACAATTGCCAGACCCCACGACTCAGGGCTTCATCAGTACATCAATATATACAATATGCCGGGATACACCAACATCCCCTTAAACCTTTTGAATCAGATCAGCAGGGCACAACATAGGAGAAAGAACATTATCGTTTGGAGTCAGAGGACAGGTTCAAGTACACTGTCTGTTGCTTCCTAGCTGTGTGACCTTGGGCAAGCCACAGCCTCAGTTTTCCTAAATGTTAAATGTTAACTACTTCCCTTGCCTTCTTCACAAAGCTGCCTGTGTGAAATAATTAGATAACAGCATTATTTAATATGCATATAGAGTGGGATATTACTTTTCTTACCTATAACACCTGACAAGAAGAGGCTTAACTCATAAAAATAGTGTTTTTTTTGAGCCATCTTTTGGTAACTAAAATTGATACAAAGGGCCTTGGATCATGTCCTAGGTGAGCTGAATGGTCCCATTGTTTCTGCGTGTGGCAGGTGGAGTAGGGGGTGGGAAAATACCTGCGTAGCCAGTTTGTATAATACTCTGGAGCTTCCTATCAGCCTTAAAGGTCAAGAGAAAGTTTTGTTGGGAACATAGTTTTAGATTAATTTTTAGAAGTGCAGCTGCTCCCTTGACCTCTGGGGCTGGAAAGGATTGGCCAAAATCTCCATTTATATCCACTTGAAATAACTGACAAAGCTGGATTTGGGATTCAGAGAGTCCCAGAGGAAGGCCTGTCAGTGCCTTCTTCTTTTTTAGCCTTTAAGCTTGAATGAGTCGAGCGAGTCAAAGAAATTTTAACGGATGTACAGACAATGTCTTCACGGTCAACTTTTCACATCGTCGTTTGCTTAGGAAAGAGTGAAGATTAAGCAGCTTGCACTTTATTTTTGGCAATGCCTTTCCCTAGAACACAGGAATCCACAATTTACTGAGGGGAAATAATTATAAACCTTAAGAGGTGTAAGTTTCAGCCTCAAAAACTAACAAACTGAGAACTAATGTATTTTTGGTATAATTACTAGTTTTACTAAGTTTGATTTTTGCCAGACTTTCACCTAAAGCAAATGCAAAAAAGAATAGTGACAATTAATGGATTGGGCCAGTTACTAGAGTAGAAATCTTTCAGGTTCAAGCTAATTCTCTTTACTCCTCTATTTTCCCAGGGTAGCATGATTAAAGGTAAATGAAAAACCAATGGGGATAATTTGTGTTATAACTTGCACTTCTATTATGAGGAGGACATCATTATTCTATTATTTTATGAGAAATGTTCATTAAAATAATGTGACTCCCCCAACTCCAAAATTTACGGTACCATTAATGTTTCCTTTTCAGAACCGAGAGTTCCTATAGCATTCTCTCACTTTTTAAGTTTGTCATCCATTATTTCTAAGTAGACATATGGCTGCTTTAACTAATAGAGGCATGTGTGTATGTCTGTATAGGACTAGAGAAGAGATCTTTCTTTTCCTCTCTCCAACATAGCTATGAGGAAGACAGGTCAGTTGCAATTACTGCCATTCCAGAGACAGAATGATAGAGGTGTAAGGGCCACCCACGATGGCATTAACACATCTGCAGACTCTAGATTCTCCTTTTGCTGAACACTAGCAAATCACTTTGAATCAATGTGGAGTTTTAGTATAGCTTTTTGTTCTTTTTCTTTTTCACAGCAGTATGGAAGACTGGTTAGTACGACAGTACACTGTGAAATCCTTAATTCATTTTTTCAGTTGACACATATTTTTGGGGACTTGGTAGATGGTCAGGATACAATGATCAACAAGATAGACAAAGTCAGTGCCTTGTGAGGCTAATGTACCGTGTGTGTGTGTGTGTGTGTGTGTGTGCACGTGTGCACACGCAGTTGGCTCCCACTGAGAGATGGAATGAGTGGCAAAGTTAAGCTGGCCTTTCATAGAATCTCAGTGTTACCTTTTGCTAAGAATGGGAATAAAGGCCAAATGTGAATAGAAACTTAGGACTCAAGAGACTTTATTTGATAAGTCTGTCTCAGAAATCTAAGGATGTGGCCGGGTGCGGCGGCTCACACCTGTAATCCCAGCACTTTGGAAGGCCAAGGCGGGTGGATCACGAGGTCAAGAGATAGAGACCATCCTGGCCAACACGGTGAAACCCCGTCTCTACTAGAAATACAAAAATTAGTCGGGCGTGGTGGCACATGCCTGTAGTCCCAGCTACTTGGGAGGCTGAGGCAGGAGAATTGCTTGAACCCAGGAGGCAGAGGTTGCAGTGAGCCGAGATCGCACCACTGAACTCTAGCCTGGCGATAGAGCGAGACTTGGTCTCAAAAAATAAATAAATAAATAATAAAATAAATAAAACAAAATCAAAACCAATAATAAATCTAAGGATGTACTTAAATTGTAGAGACATAGGTATATAGGAGGACAGCAACAGCCATTTAATGATCTTTGGTTGGGGTCTTATTTTTTTTAGTTTTGTTATTCATTCATCCATTCACTCATTTCGTCAAACACTGGGTGACCTATCCATATCCTTAAGTTAGAGCAATGTGCTAGCCATTGGGAATATGAAAATGAATTTAGAAACACTTCTCTTCATGACCTTGAGCAGCTCACATTCTAGGGAAAGGAAAAGAATACCTGAAGAAATAAATATGATACAATGTGTTAAGCACTTTAATAGAATTACATACTGAGCGATATAAAGATATAGAAAAGTCCCTCAGAAATACATCTTTGAGAAAAAGAAGCTGAATAATGATGGCGTTTTCATGAGCCTTTTCAGTTCCAGTCAACAATTTTATGGTTATGTTTATATGTGAGACAAGCCCTCTTTGCCTTCATCTGAGATCTGAAGATTCACTTAATCAGAGCCTGACTCCAATTTCCTTTACAATTATGTACAGTTCTCTTAGTAAAGAGCATGCATGCAGGGTGCTTTATAGCCTTATCCCACAGAACCCATACTCCGGATGGGAGATGTTACATTTCATCTCCATTCTCTGTCCCTTAACTTTTCCCTGCCAGCAGCCATCCTATACTAAGTACTAATATATAAACCTTGTGATACTTGCTCTATTGGACATTCAGTGGCCTTGCATCCTTCCCGTCAATGCCAAGCTTAAGAACTAGATGGTTTCCGGTGTCTCAGACCTGGCAGAACTTGAATGATGAACACACAGTTGAGAAATTCAGGAGAGTTAGGAACTTAATACCAAGGGAAGGAATCCCGCTTTCTCTGGGGCCTAAAAGGACCAGAAATAGGAATGTGGGCCAGGCACGGTGGCTCATGCCTGTCATCCCAGCACTTTGGGAGGCCAAGGTGGGTGGATCACTTGAGGTCAGGAGTTTGAGACCAGCCTGGTCAAAGTGGTGAAACCCTGTCTCTACTAAAAAAAAAAAAAAAAAAATTAACCAGGCATGTTGGTGGGCATGTGTAATCCCAGCTACTCTGGAGGCTGAGGCAGCAGAATCGCTTGAGCCCGGGAGGTGGAGATTGTGTTGAGACAAGATTGAACCACTGCTCTCCAACCTGGGTAACAGAGCGAGACTCTGTCTCAAAAAAAAACAAAAAAAAAACAAAGGAATGTGTCCAGTATCACACCCAGTGAAAATCTGGGTCATCATCATAGGTGAGACTGCTGACCACACATGTTGAATTACCTTCAACATGGCTTCTGCAAGCTAAAGATTTGACCATGGAATAGAATTCACTAACAGATCCATTTGAGAATAAATATCTGCATAGAGCTCTGACAAGGTGAGATATGGCCAAGTCATGGGGCTGCATGTGTGACCTATGAGGACACTCCTTTTAATCAACGTCCTCTACCAAGCAACTCATGATAGCTCTAAAAAAAAACCCAGCGTTAGTTATGGACCAATTGAATGATGGCTCTAGCTACCCTTATTTGCAGATCAGGGAAGAACTAAATCAAAAGCTGTAATTAAAAAAGATAATGACTTTTAAATTAGTTTTTATTAATAGAATTAAGCCATATTAAGTCTTGAGATGGTATCATAAGTATGCGAATAAAATGTTCTTCCCTAATGAAAACATATATGGACTGAATAATTTAAAAGTCATATATTACATGTTGGTTTATAACATTAAATATTAAATATATTAATTGGCAATATAAAGTAGCTTATGGACATTTTGTATCACTAGCTAAATAACTAGGTAATTCCTTATTGATCTCTATAGAGTCCAAACCCACATCAACCGGATGTAACAGTTTTGATACTGACTAGACAGAATGAGCACTTCTTAGAGAACCACAGGATGACGATGGGGGTTCTGTGCTCTCTGTGCATCATCTTAATAGGAAAGAAACAGAGACTGGGGGAGGATGATTTAGATTATTCACAA
The DNA here is from genome assembly GCF_000001405.40 of Homo sapiens. Lineage (NCBI taxonomy): Eukaryota > Metazoa > Chordata > Mammalia > Primates > Hominidae > Homo > Homo sapiens. Next base: position 78,047,215 of record NC_000007.14, read on the forward strand.
ATAAATTCTCCCTTGAAGGCAAATAAAATGGGGAGTGGGTGTCAGTGGAATCTTCTTTCCTAGATATGTATTTGGTCAGCTGTCTGGGGAAGTCTGGCATGGAACTGCCTGGGGAGGAGAAAATGAACAGAATCATCTCCTGGTGAGCCTGTAATTGCACCAGCCTAGATTCCACATGGTAGCCTGTTGCCTTTTAGAAGGCCGCCGAGCCTTCTTGGATTTTCTAATGATGACCTTGTCCTTTGTCCTAAACCTGCTGTCTTCTTACACCCCCACATCTCTCCTCTGCCAGCAGTAACTCAGGAGCCAAGCCTCAGGGTTTGTCCTCCTCTGTTTTCCCTTAATCTGGTAACTGCAGCTCCTGTGTCTCTGCCTGATTTTCCACTCCCACCCTGGTGGAGGCCTTTGTCTCTGCTCACCTGCAACACTGCCATGGCTGCAATATTGTCCTTGTGGCCCCCAGCTCCAGGAACTCCTTTGTTGCCCCACTGCTCTGACTGCCCGCTCTGTCTTGCCTCTGTGGATGGCCTGGGCCTGCACTGTGGGCCTTGTCTGCCTCCCACCGTCTCTTGGGAAGACACCTTACATTCCAGTCACACTCCTTTCCATGCTTCAGCCCCAAGCCCTTGCTTGCGTTGATTTTGCCTATGACTGGATTGCCCCACTGCCTCTCTGCCTCCTAAAACCCAGCTCAGCTCAGATGCCGCCATATTCTTGCAGTCCTCCTTGATAAGCTCACAGAGAAAATGCACTTTTCCCTCTTCTGAGCACGTGTTGGCTGAAGTTTACTTGCTGATAGGATTGTGTTGGCTTTGCCTATCAGATAACAGCTGTGGCTTATTAATCTTTCCATTCCTAACAGTGCCAAAGTAAGTGCCTTGTACCAAAAGCTTTGTGGATTTGAGGAATGAATCAATTTAAGAGAAAGTCTTGCCCAGGTGACATTTTGGAATGGAGACTCTGAAATTAAATGGCAACCAAATGGACATTATGATGTCCTCACTGGCTTGTCTTCTATATGCAGGGTATGTTAAATTGGGTTTATTGCTTTGCTTTTTACACTTGAAGGGATAGTGTCTTAGGAAGAACGCTCCAGTGGAGAAAACAGTGACTCCCCTAGTACTGAGGTCCTGTGAATAGAATCTGTATTTTCACATATGCATATCTCTACATATGACTGTCACAATGGATGTGTCAGTTGGAGTCACTCTCTCACCTTCTTCCTCGTTGTTCCTCACGCTCATTAAAAACAGTCCCCGCCAATGCCCCCCTCCACCGATTACTAAAATATCAGAAGCAATTTGGATAATATATAAAAATGTATGATCTGGGTGGTATTTCTCACTACCCCCCTAAAAAGAACTCTCTTAATTTAGATTTTCCTCCAGTTTTTTTCTTCCTATAATATTTCTCCTCAGTCTCATATTTGTATAAGCTGGACTTTCACTTCATACTGTTTTTGGGTCAGGGAAGTGGTTTGTCCCAGGGCTTCCACCTAAGGATAAGCCTGAAACATAAGCAGTTCCATCAATTTCTGGTCTTAGTTTTAAGACATTCTGGGAGATTTCCAATGAATATAAGGAAAGCTGGATAATTTTAAGAAATGACTTCTGGCTGTGTGCGGCGGCTCATGCCTGTAATCCCAGCACTTTGGGAGGCTGAGGCGGGTGGATCACAAGGACAGGAGATCGAGACCATCCTGGCCAACATGGTGAAACCCGTCTCTACTAAAATACAAAAAAAATTAGCCGGGCGTGGTGGCGTGCGCCTGTAATCCCAGCTACTTGGGAGGCTGAGGCAGGGGAATCGCTTGAACCCGGGAGGCAGAGGTTGCAGTGAACTGAGATTGCACCACTGCACTCCAGCCTGCGCAACAGAGTGAGACTCCACCTCAAAAAAAAAAAAAAAAGACTTCAAAATTAATGTTAATTTATTCTTTCTTTTTACCCTCAGACTTAAGACATGCTGCTTTTGTTTAAAGGACAGGACATGATGAGAAAGAGACATTGTGAAATAAAAGACGAGACGGCATCTCATAATTTCCACCACATTACCAGTCTCATTAGTAAAGTGCTTCTCCCAGGAAATGGCTATTGCAAGCTAAAAACAAGTGTAAAGATGAGGAATAAGAGGAGCTTAAATTCATCTTTGGCTCAGAGCAGTTAGGGCTAAGGCCCAGAGTTGAAGTTTTTTCCTTCTAGACATTTTACTTAGTGCTCCTACCTTGGCTGATGTCTATTGTACTGCTCAGCCATTCCGCTTAATTCCTCTCTCAGCCATTCTTCCACTGCAAATCATGGCTGAGAGCTCGGTAGTTACTCTTGTAATCTGCTCTTGCCTATAACAAATGGTTGCAGACAGAATTGCAGTCCTATGATGTTTTTTTTAAGTGGCTCGCGGTAGAACCCCTAACAGCCTTTAACACCTTTTCTCCACTTCTAGTTGTGTATGTGGGTGGTGGGATCTATGTGAACTTGATAAACAAAACCCATCAGTTCCAAGAATACAGTTGACGAGACTGTATCCTTGTAACAGACGACATCCTGTAACAGTATACCTGGCAGAGCAAAACCATCGATGCAATGATTCTTTTAAAACATTGCAGAGATGTTGCAACGTTTTCTTATTTAGTTCAGAAGGGGCAAATGAGAATGCCAGGTTTTCAGGGTCTCACTGAACACCGATGAACTTCAGAATTGATATCTGTAATTTTCCACACATTTGTACTCGTGGCAATGAAATGCTCACTCTAACATCTTATGGTCCTTTGGCCTATGAAATATGCCACTATTTCTCTTTTCTAATAACCATTTCATACATTGGGACTGATAATGAGAGCTGTATGATACTTACGTAAAAGGTCAATAAATCGTTCACAACAGAGAAAATTCACCTGGTAGATGGTCCAGATTTTCTATTTTTCTCATCTAAAAGTTTCCTCAACTCGTTTTGCTAGCTATTACGTATGTATTAAGTGTTACATCTGTGTTTATATAACACATTTTCATACTCAATTTTGTCCTTGAATAGTTTTTACCCTTGGCTGTAAACCTGTCTGAACCTTAGGGATCTCATATTTAAATTGCCTGATGGTTTTAGGCCAATGTGATTGACCAGAATTGTAATTTATTTATTTAGTCTCATTTTTCCACACCATAGGCTCTTCAAATTAAGTCAGTATTACAAAAAAAGAGAGAAGATGGCTATTTAAAGTGAACATTGACTAGGAATAAATATTCTCAACTCAGTCAAGGTGGTCACACAAGACACTTTCTAAACATGCCTGGGACGTCTGCTTTGAACAGCATCTAAATGACACAAGAGGATTTAGCAAAGGCTACTGCTGTTCAGCTGAGAATATTGTATGATTAGAGAGAAAGCAGGGGAATTGAAACGTTTGTTTCTCTCTCAGGTTTGCAGGTTAGGCTGGTCAGAAATGCTGTTTGTGTCTCAGATTTCTGAGCTACAAGGTGGTGATCATTCTCTCATGGGCCTGATCTATCTTTATCTGACTTAAGGCATTCTCGGGGGCCTGTCTGCTCTAGTTCTCATTCTGCCTGAAAACATCATTTTATGAGGACTTTCTTAATGAAACAGCACATATTTGCAGGCAAAGGCATTCTTACCAGGAAGAGTGATAACTAACGGGCTCTACTGGCTCCCTCTACTATCACTAACTCAGCAGCAACCCCCTGTTGAAGCACTTTCACACTCAGTTAATAGGAACAGGCCACACAACTCTCCACCTTGCCCAGTGATACCTCTGGAGCCAGAAGCTAGTGGTCTCCTGGCAAAGGCCAACCCCCACCTGGAGCATTGACCTGTTTTGATTCTGCGGATTAGTCACTGTTTAGTGTGCCATAGGTCAGTTCTGTCACTAGCAAATGAAGCCTGCCTGGCATTTATTCTCAGAGAAATGTCTGAAAAGCTCTTATGGCCCATCACATTTCAGAAGAAAGCCATAGTCATGTCAAAGATGTCATGGGCTTCAGCCTTCTCTTGACTAATTGCTCTTCCCCAAAGAAATACAGTACACAGATGCAGGCAAGCTCCGAGGTGCTGGAGAGGGCCGATGATTTTTTTAAACTGTCAAGAAAGTGTGTTACGAGGTTGTACACAGCCCTCTGTTTCTGAGAAATATTGTTACTGCTGTTTAAAAACAAACTGAAGAAAATGGAAGGAGCAATAAAAATAAAACAAACTGTACATATACATAAATGTTATGCAATTGTTGGTCCTCACTGTCTTTTTCAATTTTGAAGGGAGTCTTCTTGTGTTAGAGCTTGAGGAGAGGTTTGAGAATTCACAGTGCAGCCATTGCGTAGCCATTTCCATGAGGTCAGGGCTTTGCTGGGTGTGGAGATGCTATAGTTTGGAGATACATATTTGAGACAGAGTCTGGCTCTGTTGCCCAGGCTGGAGTGCAGTGGCGCGATCTTGGCTCACTGCAACCTCTGCCTCCTGTGTTCAAGTGATTCTCGTGCCTCAGCCTCCCAAATAGCTGGGACTATAGGCATGCACCACCATGCCCGGCTAATTTTTGTATTTTTAGTAAAGATAGGATTTCACCATGTTGGCCAGGCTGGTCTTGAACCCCTGGCCTCAAGTCATCCACCTGCCTTGACCTCCCATTGTGCTGGAATTGCAGGTGTGAGCCACCATACCCAGCCTTTTTTTTTTTTTTTTTAAGACAAGATCTTGCTGTGTTACCCAGGCTGGAGGGCAATGGCAGCATCAGAGCTCACTGCCTGGGCTCAAGCAATCCTGCTGCCTCAGCCTCCCAAGTAGCTGGGACTATGGCACACACCACCACACTTGGCTAATTTTTGTATATTTTGTGGAGATGGAGTTTTGCCATGCTGCCCAGACTGGTCTTGAATTCCGGAGCTTCAGCGATCCACTCACCCTGGCCTCCCAAGTGTTGGAGGTGTGAGCTACTGTGCCAGCTGTTAGTTTGGATTTTTGACCCTCCAAACCTCATGCTGAAATTTGATCCCCAGTGTTGGAGGTAGGGCCTGGGAGGTGTTTGGGTCATTGGTGTGGCTCGCTCTGAATGGCCTGCTGCCGTCCTCATGGGACTGAGTTCTCCTTCTTGGTTTCCTGGGGAACGAGTTGTTGGAAAGAGCCTGGCACCCCCTCCTCTTTCTTGCTTCCTCTCTCACCACGTGACTGCTGCACAGTTTCTCTACACCTTCCGCCAGGAGTGGAAGCCGCCTGAAGCCCTCACCAGAGGCAGATGCTGGTGCCATGCTCCACAGCCTGCAGAACCACGAGCCAAATAAATCCCTCTGCTTTATAAATGACCCATCCTCAGGATTCCTTTTATAGCAACAAAACAAACTAAGACAAAGGGGCAGCCAGGCATCCTGGACCATTGCTTACTCTCAGCAATGGGGACTTTTCATTATATCACACGGCCCCTGCCAGAGCTCATAAATGCTTGGCTACTGGGGAAAAAAATACTTTAATAATTTACTTTATCACCCAAGAGTGGCTCCCAAAGCTGGTTATATATGACAACCAGAACTGACCCCCTATAAGAATGCAGGTACACTGACCCACTGGTTTTGCTCTTCAAAGTTACCCTGAGGAAATAATCAAGGATATATATGGGAAGATACAGCTTCAAGGATTTTTTTTTTTGGTAGGATTTTTTTAAAGTAGTGGAAAAATTAGAAAATTAAAATTAAAGAATGATCATCCCAATAGGAGACTGCTTAAATGATAAATGTATAGAACTAAATGCTGAGCAGCCAGTAAAAACAAGGTATAGAAGGATATTTATATCATGGAAAAGTAGTCGAAATATTGTCAAATAAAAAAAGCAGGTTTCAAAATAAAATGGTTACATTTTTAAAAAGAGAATTATTTTACCTCTTTTGATTATTTTCTGTTTTTGAGGTATTCTATAATTAACATGCAGTATTTTGTTAAAATCAGAAAAGTTACCTAAAAAGAGAGCCCATTAGAGCATCATTTGAGAACTAACGCTACTTGCAGAATGGCAGTAGGAACGTTTTCAAAATTGAGATTTTAAATACATCCTTTTAAAATGTCTGTCCTAGGAGTTTTAGAACATTAGTCTTTCAAAGAGCTTTGTCAGATGTGTAGGTGAGGAGACCCTTAATATAGAAGCTGTCCCAGGACTGTGTTGTCCCCTGTCTGAGGGTGCAGGGAATTCAGCGGGAGGGGCCGTTCTCTGTCCCTCCTTCCCCTCTCCTTGTCAGATTGGCCCCAAGGGGGTGAGGACCTGTGTGGACAGACTGGCTATGCTCCTGCCATGGGAATATGCATATATTTGAAGGTCAAAAAGTGAGGCCAAAGCTTCTAAATGCTTCTCTCTGGAGTAATCTACTAACCAGAAATTCAGAAAAACATAAACACCTTTCCTTTATTTTCTCTTCTGAGGTCTCTGGCAGGACCAGATGGTTTCTGGCTGTCTTTTCCCATTCTCATAAGCTCCAATCCCCAACTGTGAGTCCATCTTTCCCTGTTTCAAAGTAGAAGTGCCCATTTATTGGGGTGGGTGGATTAAGGAACGATCAGGTAGAGAAGGATGACAAAAACGCGAAGTGAGAAAAAATTTCAGCTGAAAAATTGTTTACTCTTTGCTGGGCTATAGAGGTGAAAATAATTGACTGGATTTTGTTGCATTCTGTTCAGCAGTCCAAACTGAACCTCCAGCTTGCTGTGAGGTATTAAAGGCTTAGTTCCAGCCTTTTGATTTTTCAAGCACACTTGTACTCCCCCGAGATCTACCTCAGAATCTGCTGGATCCAATACCACTTTCTTTTATGGATTGAGTTTATTTTGTACCTTCTCTTTATAAGTGGAGGAAACCAGGCCTTTCAGTTAGATATGGTAGTTCTTTCTCAAAATGGACTCACTTTACACAGCAATACACATATTTTATTTTATTTTATTTTTTTGAGATGTGGTCTCGATCTGTCGCCCAGGTTGGAGTGCAGTGGTGTGATCTCAGCTCACTGCAAGCTCTGCCTCCTGGGTTCCAGCTATTCTCCTGCCTCAGCCTCCTGAGTAGCTGCGACTACAAGTGTGCATCACCACGCCTGGCAAATTTTTGTATTTTTAGTAGAGATGGGGTTTCACCATGTTGGTCAGGCTGGTCTTGAAATCCTGACCTCATGATCCGCCTACCTCAGGCTCCCAAAGTGCTGGGATTACAGGCGTGAGACACTGCGCCTGGCCTAAAGGGATATAATTTTTATTCTGGGATGCTGAAGACTGGAGAGGCAGGAATTCTGTCTTTAAAAAGCCTCCATCTCACTCTACGGACATTCTCCTTCACATGGGTGTGTGTATGTATTATATTCTTATGTAACGATTATTTAAGCCCCTTCATTCATAGGCATACTTTTTTTTTTTTTTCCTGAAAGACCATAACCTTCTGGAGGGAAGGACCTGACTTGCTATTTCACTTAATTTTTTTTTTTCTGTTTTGAGACAGGGTCTTGCTCTCTGTCACCCAGGCTGGAGTGCAGTGGTGCAATCACGGCTCACTGCAGCCTCAACCTTGTGGGCTCAAGCGTTCCTCAACCTCCTGAGTAGCTGGGATTACAGGCATGCACCACCAAGCCTGGTTAATCTTTGTATTTTTTGTAGATACAGGGTCCCACTACGTTGGCCAGGCTGGTCTGGAATTCCTGGGCTCAAGCGATCTTCCTACCTTGGCCTCCCAAAGTGCTGGGATTACAGGTGTGAGCCACTATGGTTGACCTTAACCTTATTTCTTTTTCTTATTTCTTAACCTTATTTCATTCATTCACACAATGTAGGCCTGCCTTGGCCTCCCAAAGTGCTGGGATTACAGGCGTGTGTTTTTTTTAAATAGGTGACATCCACTGGTGTGAGGTGATACCTCATTGTGATTTTGATTTGCATTTTCTATCCAGTGTTAAACATGAGGCTCTGGGCACAATCATGCTTGCAAATAATAGATCTAGTGCTTTGGAACTGTGAAACAGATAAGATAATAACCTAGTAAAAATTTCCTGAGAGACAAGGTCACAGAAAGGCAAAAAGAAAGCCATGATCTTCATGTCACATTTTGCAATACTAAATAACCTTGCAATGTTTACATTTACATTACCTATCCCCATAGGGAGTGCCTTAGCCTGCCACTTGCAGCTCCCAGTGAAGATGAATGGAAACGCTTTTCCCTTGTCAGTGTGCTTCTGAGTCAGAATCAGGATTGTGTTCTATTAGTATTTGTCTGTTTTGCAAGCTCCTACCTAGAGTGGCTGTCAAGACAATTGATATTCTTCCTCCCTACTGAACCTGGGCTACTGTCTATAATAAGTCATCGTGAAAAGAGGTGGGGTACAAAGGAATATAAATAAACCACCGACACCTCCCAGACCCTGGAACCTCCTTTTCTATACATGCAGTTCTACTTCCTTACTGCCCCTGGTAGAGTCCTCCTTCCAAAATCAATCAGGGGCAGGACCCAAAACAATAGCAGCAAAAACAGAAGCTGAACAAAAACCTGATAACTAGAGAGTGAACTGATGATAATGCCAACCTTATGATAATGAGCTGCCTGGCTCCTACTGATTGCTCCTTTAAGAAACTCAGCACCTCTTATCTAATTGTCCTGAAGGCTGCATAATGTATCAAATGAAGCTCAGGAAGGGGGGCAATCCTCTGAAGTAACCTCCGCTGAAGGCTTAGGGCTGCTGGAGCTCCTGTGTGGCAGTGTCTTTTTTTTAATTATTGTGGTAAAAAACATAAAACTTACCATCTTAACCATTTGTAAGTGTGCAGTACAGTAGTGTTATGTGTAACAGATCCCTAAAAGTTCATCTTGCAAAACTGAAACTCTATATCCATTGAACTCACCCTTTCCCTCCTCCCCAGCCCCTGGCAACCACGTTCTATGTCCTGTTTCTAAGAGCCTGACTACTTTAGATGCCTCATGTAAGTGGAATCATGCAGTATTCATCTTTTTGTGACTGGCTTATTTCACTTCCCATAATGTCCTCAAGGTTCATTCATGTTGTAGCAGATGACAGGATTTCCTTCTTTTTTAAGGCTAAATAATATTCCATTGTAATACCATTTGACCCAGCAATCCCATTACTGGGTATATACCCAAAGGAATATAAATCATTCTATTATAAAGATATATGGATGCATATGTTTACTGCAGCACTATTTACAATACTAAAGACATGGAATCAGCCTAAATGCCCATCAATGATAGACTGGATAAAGAAAATGTGGTACATATGTACCATGGAATACTATGCAGCCATAAAAGGAACAAGATCATGTCCTTTGCAGAAACATGGTTGGAGCTGGGAGCCATTATCCTCAGCAAACTGACACAGGTACAGAAAACCAAACACTGCATCTTCTCACTATAAATGGGAGCTGAATGGTGAGAACACATGGACAAATTGAGGGGGGAACAACACACACTGGGGCCTGTCAGGGCTTGGGGGGAAGGAGAGCATCAGGAAGAACAGCTAAGGGATGCTGGGCTTAATACCTAGGTGATGGGGTGATCTGTGCAGCAAACCACCATGGCACATGTTTACCTGCATAACAAACCTGCACATCCTGCACATGGACCCTGAACTTAAAAGTTGAAGAAAAAAGAAATTCCACTGTACGTAGGTGTACACACACACTGACACACACACATCCCTCCCACATTTTCTTTATCCATTCATGTGTTGATGGACATTGAGGCTGCTCCACCTTTTGGTTATTATAAATATTGTGAATAATGCTGCAATGAACAAGAATGTGCAAATATCTCCTTGAGATCCTATATATTTTATATGTATAAATATTTTTATGAGTGTGTCTATATATATAAATTATATATATATATATATAAAATCTCCAAAAGTGGGATTGTTGGATTATATGGTAATTCCATATTTAATTTTTTGAAGAACCTCCATACCGTTTCCATAATGGCCACACTTGCAATCCCACAAACAGAACACAAGAGTTCTAATTTCTTCACATCCTTGCCAACACTTGTTATTTTCTGTGTATTTTTATTTTTATTTTTGAGATGGAGTTTTGCTCTTGTTGCCCAGGTTGGAGTGCAATAGTGCGATCTCCACTCGCTACAACCTCTGCCTTCTGAGTTTAAGTGATTCTCCTGCCTCAGCCTCCCGGGTAGCTAGGATTACAGGTGCCCTCCACCATGCCTGGCTAATTTTTTGTAATTTTAGCAGAGAAGGGGTTTCACCATGTTGGCCAGGCTGGTCTTGAATTCCTGACCTCAGGTGATCCACCCAAAGTTCTGGGATTACAGGCGTGTGTGTTTGTTTAAATAGTTGCCATCCACTGGTGTGAGGTGATATCTCACTGGGATTTTGATTTGCATTGCCCTGATAACTGGTGATATCAAACCTCTTTTCTTATGCTTGTTGGCCATTTGTGTATTTATGTCTTTCACAACCATAGCACAACTTGGGGTTTCTAGCCAGAGCTTTTTTACATGCCTTGGAGCTTTGGATGTAGAGAGATTGGGACATGGTTTCACTGTATTTGATCACTGAAAGGCAAGCAACATTTCACTTACATGGTGAGTAAGCAGTGAGATTTTTTTTTTGCCTGGGCATTGCCTGATATTTTACTTTGAAAACAAGCTAAAGATATTGACTGCTGTATGCCCAGGGGTAACAAGCTATTGATGGCTATAATGGAAAAGGCCAACTGAACAGATGTATTTTACTTAGAAGAGATAATTTTTCTCCCCTCTGGCATTTTATATATATGTGTATATATATATATATATATATATATATGTATGAGAAACATCTTGAATATAAAAAGACATTAAGTATTCCTGCTAGTTGCTTTTTCTGTAGTAGTGAATTTTCATAAGGAATAGCAAAAAGACCCAACTCCTTTTTTTGAAGGTACTATGCTAACATCAAACAATCTTTCATCAGAAAAACCCAGTGTATGAAAGCAGCTCCAAGTGGTCATAGTACAATGATTGTGTCTATACATTAAAGTTGGGGTTATGAGGGAAAGTAGCCTCTGTATCACTGCTCATGTGTCTCAAAGTAGCAGGAAGGTGACACAGAGCCTGGAGCCGGCAATGAGGGAATGTCTGTGTTCTTGCTCGCCTTTGCCAGCCTCCCTCCCCCCACTTTTCCGTGCCCTTCCCTGGGGACTCCATCTGCTCTTTCGGTTTTAACTGCTGAAGCCACAACTATGATGCAGTTGCTTGTTGTGAATCACTATTTGAATGTTCACATACATCTTAAAATTCCTTTTTTTTTTTGAGACGGAGTTTCGCTTTGTTGCCCAGGCTGGTGTGCAATGGCGTGATCTCGGCTCACTGCAAACTCCGCCTCCCGGGTTCAAGCGATTCTCTTGCCTCAGCCTCCTGGGTAGCTGGGACTACAGGCGCCTGCCACCACGCCCAGCTAATTGTAATCCCAAAGTGCTGGGATTACAGGCGTGAGCTACCACTCCTGGCCACGTGTTTTTTTATACCCTCAGATTAATTCATTCATAGTACTCTCCATGTAAGCATTAAAAAGGAACTAAGGCATCTTATAACTGAACCCTATTATTTTATGGATGAGTAGACCAAGGTCCAGAGAAATTAGGTAATTCTTGAAAGGTTGCACAGCTAGTTAACGGCATCACTTTAGAATTTTCCTATGTCTTTTTCCCTGATGATGGCTCTGCCGTTTTCTCAAATACTTAGTTTCTAACGTGGGGATACTTTTTGAATCCTTCTTAATTCTTAGTCCCTTTATACCATCATTCAGCAGGTTTTATTGATTCTTCTTTCAAGGCTCTTGGTATTGACAACTCACCTGCATCTTACTTCTGTTTTTAGTTTCTCATTACCCCATCCCTGCATCTCCTAGGTTATCTTAATAGCTTATCTGATCTACCTCTAGTCCACTGGTTCTTAGCTCTGGCTTCTCATCATATTGACCTGGGGCATGTTAACAACAGCAGAAGCCCACCTCTGCCTGCCAGTCTTTCCCACCCCGTTCTGGTTGAATTGGTCTAGGGAGGAGCCTCTGTGGGTATTTTTCAAATCCAAATCCACAGGTGATGATAATGGGTACACAGGATTAAAAACCCTTTCCAGAAATGTTTGCCACCACCCATAAAGCACTTCTTTGGCAGTGTCAATATGATGCTTGAGAACTTTCTGTGCCTTCTCATTGTCATTAGTTTCTAGATATCTGCTTCTTCCAATCATTCAATGCTTTTGTGACTTTACCTTTTGGTAGGAACCCTATGCTCTAGATATATCATTTGCGTGTCAGCTTCAAAATCATCTCTGACAATATCCTACATTCGTTTCAAGTTGTAGAGCCCTTTGCTCTCCTCTCTGCCCATCTAAAATCCACTGGCTCCTTAAGGGTATCTCAAGACTACCTTCCTCCAAGGAGCCCTGTCTGACTATTCTGGTCATTATTTCTGCTACTTGCCTCAAATGCTCTTATTCTGGTTTGTACTCTCTTATTCTAAGTAAGAATTTTCAGCTCTTTAGTGAGATGGAGAGCTCCTCGAGGGAGGAACAATGCCATATATATATATATATATTTTTTTTCTGGAGTCCCTACAGCATCAAACAATGGCTGACATATAAGAGGCAAATTTGGTTAAACTTGGTAGAGACCCAGGAGACTAGAAGGGAGCTTAGAGAATTTTCGTGGCAGCCCCTTTTCCACAACAGAAAGGCAGGCACAGAATCTCATTCAGACAGACCTAACATTAGCTCTCATTCCACAGGTCCTGGCTACCTTATGTCTCCAGGAGACCGTGCTAGACATGGCATTTCTGTAGCCCAGCAGCACTGGCATATTAGACTACAGTTTGTGCTGCCAACATAGGTCACAATTACAATGTGAGAAAAAACACTTTGTAGTAACAGTAAAACTTAGATGAACCAGAAGCAACTACCTGGAACATTCAAGTAGCCAGTTTTCTTCCACTCAACAATTAACACAGAGATACATTACATGAGAATAAGTGGATAGGCAGGAAATTATTTAAAAAACAAAAGGGACCCCCCCCCCTCTTTAGATTAGATTGAGAGTGTCAGTGAAAATTTGGGCCACCAATCTTGTGGCTTCTACAACCATCTAAATAAAAACCTGCATTGAAATTTGCTGTCAGAATGATGACCTCGTTCTGACAAACATCTTGATAAACTGCAAGATGTTTATTCATCCATTCACTTACTTATTCAGTCTTTCTTGTTGTCCTCAATCTGCTAAGCACTGTACAAAGAACCTAGGTTCCTGGCTTCAAGGAGTTTGAATACCACAAAGGGGAGGAAGTATGTGGACACTGATAACTATGCTGCAAAGCAGAGAGTGAGAGAGAACAGGAAAGAAGCATGAGGGCTATGAGACTTCAGACGACTGAGAGATCCCTTCTGATTGCCGGACTTGGGAAAGGATTCATGGAGGAGGCAAGCTTTGGACCTGGATCTTGAAGGAGGACAAGATTTGGGGAAAGGGTTTACTAAGCCAAGAAAACAGCATGTGCCCAACCCTGAAGGTGGGGATGCAGGTCAATGACAAGTGTTCCCGTGTAACTGGAACACATCTATGTAATGGAGTATTGTGTGAGATAGGAGATGAGAGTGAATAGCAGGATGGGGCCAAATCACGGATGGCTTGGGGATGCACTTAAAGGTTTTTGTTGGGTGCAGTGGCTCACACCTGTAATCCCAACACTATGGGGGGCCAAGGCAGGCAGATCACTTGAGGCCAGGAGTTCAAGACCAGCCTGGCCAACATGGTGAAACCCTGTCTCTATTAAAAATACAAAAAGTAGCTGGGGGCGGTGGCATATGCCTGTAATTCTAGCTACCTGGGAGACTGAGGTGAGAATTGCCTGAACCCAGAAGGCAGAGATTCCCCTGAGCCGAGATTGTGCCACTGCACTCCAGCCTGGGTGAAAGAGCAAGACTGTCTCAAAAAAAAAAAAAAAGGTTTTCTTTTTTTTTTTAGATGGAAAAGATTTTGAGTGGGGCAATCCTTTAGGACAACTGTGGCATCAATGAGCAGGGAAGATATACCATAGCAGTATAGCAGTAGGGCAAACAAGTAAAGGCTGTCTAATCCGGGGGAGTGGGCCTGAACTGGGACAGAATGACAATGGGAATGGAGGAGAGGCTGATGTGGGAAATGAAAGAAGTATGCTCACATCTGGGGACTGGTTGTACACACACACACACACACACACACACACACACACACACACACACACACGAGTGGGGAAGCCAGCCAAGGTAGTTTTGAGCCAACCAGGAGGGTTGATGGCCCCTTAATTAATAGGTGATTCAAGAGGAGGAATATTTTGGGAGGGAAGGTCATGAATACAATTTTCAATGCATAAATGCAGGGTATCTGGGTAGAATTGTCTAGCAGGCAGTTTGAAGTCTTGGGATGAAGCTGTGAAATGAAGGCAGGGGTGGCAAACAGACACAAGAGTCCTCTGCACAGTGGGACAGGTGGAACCATGAGAGCAAGAGAGATCCTGAAGGAAAGGGTGGGGAGGGCTGTTATGGGTGGAAAGAGAGTTGAAGACCCCAGAGGAGCAATTGAACAGGTAAGAGAAAATCCAGCGAATACACTGACCAACAGTGTTAGTTGTTACAGGGGCTGACGGGTTGAATCCGTCATTAGATTTTGTTATCATAGTGAAACTGGAGATCTTTGAGGGGACTTCGTCATTGGAGTCTTGATAAAATTCAGATTTTAAAATGCAGTATGTCACAGGAAAAGAGAAATTGGGCAGAGCATGCCTGTTTCCAGAATACCTTATACATCAGCCGGGAAAGGAACCCAAGAAATGATTTCAACAAGAGTGCGACATTTTTTTGTTTTGGTAACCTACAAGCACCCCGTTTTCCTTAACCCTTCCCCATATAGAGAGTTACTTTAGTGTAGAGATGGTATCTTACTCATCTTTGCACTCTGACCACCTCTGCCTCTGAAAAAAGAAAGCAGAAACAACAGGGCCTGGGCCCCCATGGCTGGAGCTAAGTAGAAGCTCTAGTTATCCGAGGTGGGTGTCCACACTGGGTGGGTTCCTGGAGTGGCTCAGAACATGGGGAGGCATGTGGGGAGGGCCTATAGAGAGGTCCATGGAGTAGCAGGCGAAGGCCACTTCCCACCCACAATCCACACAAAGCCATCATGTCTTGAGTGCTATGTGCCTGGCATTGCGCCAGTCCTCTCCACTCCTTTTCTAACTTGCTTCCCAGCCTATCTCTGGGTGGTGCAACCACTTTTTCATCTAGAAAATGGGTAATTATTTTTGAAGCCCCTCTCTGGCTTCCAAATTGCTTTTCTCTCTGGTTCTCTTCCTGTCTCTCAGATTGCCCTCTCCTGATTTTCTTCACCAACTTCTCTTACTTCCCTGTCCAATGTGGCTTTGTCATCTGGCGCTCCTCTCTCTGTATGCAGTGGGTGCTCTCTGGGAGAGCTCAGCCCCACTTATGGCTCCAAGTCCTTTCCAGGACTCCCCAAATGCTCCGGCTCCAGCTCCTGAGTGCCTCATCCAAGTGCCCTGTTTCTGGGCTTCCTCACTTAAGTGTCTCTCAGGCCTCTGAAGCTCAGTAAGTCCAAAATTCCCCTCATCATCCTTCTGCCTAAGCTTGGCCCTTCACTTGTGTTTCCTGTTAGCTTCCTGACATCATCTCCCACCCAGCCCAGGGCCACAGTCCTCCTCTCTGATCCTGTCCTTCACATTCATTATTCACCAACCTTCTTTATTTTCATCAATGAAATGACTGAAATATCCCCAATATCCAACCCCAATGTGCTATTTCCACCACCACTTTCTTAATTCCAGCCCTCACGTCATTTGCTTCAACTTCTGCAATAACATTTTAACTGCCTGCATTTTTCTATAAAGCCCATCTTAAATACTACTGAGGTATATTTCCAAATACAGATGTTTTTACCCTCCCATTAAAAAATTTCTTTTGGTGACATCTGATTATATAAACCTCAGATTCCTTCGCTTGGGATAGAAGGTATTTTTTTCTTTTCTTTTCTTTTCTTTTGAGACAGGGTCCCACTCTGTCACCCAGGCTGGAGTACAGTGGTGCAATCATCGCTCGTTGCAGCCTCAAACTACTGGGCTCAAGAAATCCTCTTGCCTCAGTTTCCCAAGTAGATGGAACTACAGTCATGTGCTTGCACACCTGGCTAATTGTTTATTTTTTTGTATAGATAAGGCCTTGCTATGTTGCCCAGGCTAGTCTCAATCTTTTGGCCTCAAGCGATCCTCCTGCCTTGGCCTCCTAAAATGTTGGGATTACAGCTGTGAGCCACCGTGCCCAGCCAGAAGGCTATTTTTTAAAGGGCTCCTCTTTCATTTTGGCTATCCCCCTTTGCCATTTAGCCTATGTTATAGCTGTTCTGAACACATCTCCCTGACTTTCCTTGAACCATTTCGTCTGCTTGGAAACAAACAGGCTTATCTTTTTTCCACTCTGGTGAAAGCAATGCCCAGCTAAAATTTTACCACTTGGGTAGAATTTTCTACAATTCTGCTAAGCAGATTAGTTTACTGCCTGCTTTGGGTTCTTATCACCCTTTGCTGATACTATTGATCTTGCCCCATTATGTAATTATCTCCCTGTCTTCCATCCTAGCTTATGAATGGACATAGCAGAGCCTTTTTATTAATCTTTATATCCCTAGCAATGAGCAACAGGCCTGGGGTCACAGGTGGTGCTTGACAGATGCTTATGGAACTGAACTGAAACCACAAAGAGCCCTCTCTCTCTTTTTTTAAAGTTAATGACTCTAGTGAATTGACTCAGGCCTCCTCATCCCCATGGATTACAGACTAGTTAAAGTAAATTATATGGCAAGCATAGACTTTTCTTTTGTCAGAAACAGAAATCTATCCCTCCTTAACCTACAGTCATTGGACTAGATTTCCCCAATAAGTATTCCATGGCTTTATCCCTTTTCTAGCACATTGCAACTTTCTCCTTTATGCCTTAACTTAGCTATGTAGTTTTCCCTGATCAGCAAGTTACCTTTTGAGAGACATACTTTGGAGAAATGATACATTTAAAATTTGTTTTTGTAGATAGCTTCAAGGAATGACTGTGATGGTTTTGTGTGTGTGTGTGTGTGTGTGTGTGTGTATCTACATAAATTTATATAAGCATAAAACTTTTTGATAAGAAAATGTTTAGTAGTAAGCCAATTAAATAATTTACTTAATGAATAATGTTGTCTTTTATGTTAAATTCTAGCCAGTCCTGGATGGTAATTAGCAGGGTCATTAACAATTGGAAAATATGTTTCAGAAAAAATTCAGAGAGCCAGTTTAAAAGAATTTGGTGGAGGGGTGCTTAGCCATGGTTGTGACAGTGTGAATGGGATAGAATCAAACCAGAATTGAGAAGTGTGTCAGTTTGATTTATACTTATATGGCTAACCATGGAGACTGAGCATGAGTACAGTTTCTGCTAAAAAGCCAAAGTGACATATAAAATCCCAGTCCAGTTAAATTGCGGCAGTAGCTACATGCCACTGCAGAATGTGACAGTGAAATGTGGGCTGCTCTAGGGATGTATTTCAGGGGTAAAAAGTTGCTTGAACCATGGTTGCAAGGCTATCATCTACATTCTGATTTTTTAAAAAATTATGGGTTACATTTTCTTTCCTTGAGATTTTTTAACCAAGGCTAAAATATAGCCAACACTTGAGAATATTCCTTTTGAAACAGTAGCGAATACTAACTCGATGTAAAGTTATGACTACTTTAAAAAAAATAGTCACAATTGGGCCCTTAAAATTTTTTTTTTCTTTAAACTTGGTGCATCACTGAGTATGGAGGAAGGAAGGTGACAGGATCTTGTCCTGATTGGATAACTGCCACAGAGCAGGCTGGGAAATACCCATGATGCCAGGTGGAGTTTGGAGTTTCTAGGGCTAGAAGGTCTGGCAACTGTGGCTCTCTTTCTATCGGACACAAAAAGGATAGCTTAGGTTACAGCTGTCTATACTTTGGCTGAGAGGAAACAAATTTAGTGACTTGCACTGAATCCCAGGGAGGATGCTCTGAAATATGTGGGGTGGAACGCGGCCAGTGCTGCTCTGCTGTTCTCTACCTGCTTCCTTCCTGCTGGGGTCATTCTAGGCTGGCCCCTGCTAGAATGCGGTGCATCTCAAATTTTCATGAATCTGCAAATCTTATCCTTATCACTTATAAGGTCTGAGCTATACATATATTCCAGAACTCTAGAAATAATTAGACAAGCTACTATGAAAGAGAAAGCATTATACATCAGTTAAAAACATATGCAAAACCAAGGCTCATTAGAGAAAGATAATATTCATGCAGATTTTACAAACCGTGTCTTTAGGGTGGCCCAATAAGTAGAAATATGGGGACCCATGCTTGTCACTTTTCATGCACATGGAGAGACTGGAAGGTACCATTCCTAAAGGAAGGGGAGGAACAGCCTAGGACCAATCATTAGAATTAACAGAACCAGTAACAAAGATATATTATTACTGTTAGAATCAAGATTGCTTAGTATGTTTAGAGCAGTTGAATAAAAATTATCTAGGCAGTAAGAATAAAGACTTTAAGTAAAGCTAACCCTATCAAGCATGCAGCAAGTGAAATTAGTGAAAGACTGAGCTATATGTGTATTTCAAAAGTAGACTTTTCTCAAAATATTGAGGGCATCCTGAGGTGCTTTAATGGAGGCACAAATGTTAATAAAATTTGAAATGGTAATATGTAAATTCTTGTAGGCTTTTCTCATAATAATGAGATGTTTTAGGGATATCAACTGTCATTTGAGAATCAGTCACAGTAATCATTTCTAAATTTTAAAAGGATTATAAAAATAAATACGTAGTGTCCCCATGTTTATATTTTCTCTAATAATCTCATAAATTCATAGAGTTCCCCTTACCACTAAAACTTTGCGTATTAAATTCAAAATTCATGGTCAGGCACGGTGGCTCATGCCTGTAATCCTAGCACTCTGGGAGGCCGAGGTGGGCGGAACATTTGAGGTCAGGAGTTCAAGACCAGCCTGGCCAACATGGTGAAACGCCATCTCTGCTAAAAATATAAAAATTAGCTGGGCAGGTTGGTGTGCGCCTGTAGTCCCATCTACTTAGGAGGTTGAGGCAAGAGAATCACTTGAACCCGGGAGGCAGAGGTTGCAGTGAGCCGACATAGCACCACTGCACTCCAGC
Source organism: Homo sapiens (assembly GCF_000001405.40). Taxonomy (NCBI): domain Eukaryota; kingdom Metazoa; phylum Chordata; class Mammalia; order Primates; family Hominidae; genus Homo; species Homo sapiens. Next base: position 78,066,435 of record NC_000007.14, read on the forward strand.
CTGGGCATCAGAATGAGACTCTGTCTTAAAAAAAAAAAAAAATTCATAGTTGACTTGCTGGATATAATTGCTTTCTGGAAGAAAATAAAGCTGAAAAAAAAATGCAGCAGTGTCTTGCCTGTTCTGTTCCACTGTACTCACCTGCTGTGGGTTGTGCTCTGAAACCAACCTCTTCGTGGTGGTCTTGGTCTGAATCTAGCTCAGATCATGGACTACAGTTCTTTACCTATACAAAGATGAGTACTAGAAATTCTGGAATATCTAGATTAGTAATTTCCAAGAGACAGGCCCCTAGAAGAGGCAACAACTGCTTCCTGCACTGCCTGTGTTCTCTCAGCTCTGCTCAGGGTGAGATAAGGGGGATGTGCTCATTGTGAGGTTAATGTGATCAGAAGAACTTAATCCATGCAGCTTGGATGTGTTGAGGCCTGATTTCCTCTTTGCCAGCAAACACTGATTCTCCCCGTCTGCATGCCCAACTTGCTCCACACGTGGTGCTATGTATATACGGCTTCAATGTGCAGAATGGAATTGCACTCCACATCAATTTTGGGTTTTGCCACATGGGGTGTTTTTCATAGCACGGTGTGTTTGAGGAAAGGGAGAGTGCAGGCGGAGCCCTAACACCTCGAGGTTAAATGGAAAGTAGAACCTCTGGAGGGTAAGGAAGCACATGCTTAACAATAAATGTCAGAAGTAGAAATTAAATTTCACGATTTATTAATTGAGTTTACCACTTAGCCCTGCCAAGATGCAAGTAATTTTGTGCAAAAATGATCAAGCTGTTTCAGTGTCACACAGCGAAGGCTCTCATTTGGTTTTAAACATGGCCTTTACTGGGCTTGGAAGATACACGTGCCAGGAGACCTCATGCCCAGAAGGTCAAATAAAAGTGCCCAGAGCATGGTGGAAATAAATTGCTGTGAAGGCTGGAGTAGAAACTGCAGTGAAATGTGAGAAACAGAGAGTTGCATACTGTGCTAGGCATATTAATGCATACATTATGAGTGTATGTGTCCAATCCTAAAACCCAGGATCCCAATAAGGCCAGGGTCACTCTTGAAGAGTGCATGCTGAACCGACCAGAGACCTTGCTACAGAACTGTAAAGGCAGGTTATTTTGAAAGCAAATGTCTGAGCCACTTTATAGTTAACAGCTATTTAGTCTGGGCTAAGTGTGCATTTGTTGTTCTATTAAAAAAATATTGAATCCAAACAGCACATTGATGAATGTGTGATTCTTAAGTTTAGAGATTTTGTTGTAGTTAGAGCATACAATTAAAGCCTGGAGTAAGGCATTATATGACTTTATTTCTGATCCTGACTGAAGGTCTATAGTTAAATATTGGGAGTTCTTATCAGAACAGGACATTGGGGCAATGCTAACTTCGAGCAAGGTTGTAGGCAGTTTGTGAATAACAAAAATCTGGACTTATGGTAAAAAATACAGAGATAATAAGACGGTTATTGGTTGCCAGGGGTGGGTGTGGAGGGAATGGATGAATAGATGGAGCACAGAGGGTTTTTAGGGCAGTGACACTATTCTGTATGATACTACAAAGGTGGACACGTCATTAGACATTTGTCTACACCCATAGAATGTGCAACAGTGGTCTCCAACAATTTTGGCAACAGGGACTAGTTTTGTGGAAGAGAATTTTTCCATAGACCAGGTGGGGGTAGGGGGATGGTTTCAGGATGAAACTGTTCCACCTCAGATCCTCAGAGCATCAGGCATTACATGCTCATAAGGAGCAGGCAACCTAGATCCCTTGCATGTGCCATTCGCAGTAGGGTTTGCGCCCCTATGAGAATCTAATGCTGCCACTGATCTGACAGGAGGTGGAGCTCAGGCAGTAATGCTCCCGTGCCCACTGCTCACCTCCTGCTATGTGGCCCGGTTCCTAACAGACCATGGACCAGTCAGGATCTGCAGCCCAGGGGTTGGGGACCCCTGATATACAACACTAAGACTGAACCCTAGTGTCAACTGTGGACTCTGAGTGATAACAATGTGTCAATGTAGGTTCCTCAGTTGTAACAAATGCACACTGTGGTGGGGGTGCTGATCATGGGGGTGGCTGTGCATGAATGGGGGCAGGGAGTATATGGGAAATCTCTGTGCCTTTCTCTCAAATTTGCTGTGAACCTAAAACTGCTCTAAAAAATCAAGTCTTAAAAAAAGGTGGCCTTATGGACTCACCTGTTTGTTCCACTGGAAATGAGGGGTTTAGAGTACTTTGGTTAAAAAATTAAAGCTTGAGTTATTTGACTAGGGGAAACCAGGACAGGGCAGTAGGCATGGGCCTGGCTGAAGTGATGCCTTGGAGACTGGACCCTTGCTGGTGATGGCAATTGGTTGGACTTACCCTGGAATTTGTCTTAAGATACTGGACTGTACTTTGAGCAGCCGGGCTTTGTTGTTAAACTCCTTAAGATCAACATCTTTTCTGTAATGTCTCTATTTCAAGACATGAGAAAATGAGACTGGAGAAAACAGCTTTGGCATGTAGCACCAACTTCTTAATAGGTCCAGCTGAGAGGTTCGAAGCCTTTTCTGGAATCAACATTCTCACATTGTGAACTACAGGGCCAGACTCTCCGTAATGAGGAGAGCTCAGATTGTCAAAAAGGCCTGATATGGAAAATGGGAAGACAATGGGAGGAAAATCTAGTTTCCTTTCTCTAAGTTGCAAGGGCTGACAAGTCATAGAATGGAGAGCAATTCAGACTTGATGGGCAAAGGCTGAAGGGGTGGGGCACACTCAAATAGTGGGAGGCCATGGACAGAAAGAGGACAACAAGTAGAAACTTCGGCAGGCCTGGCCTTTACAATAGAGCTAGAGCAGATACGTCCGGCAATCCCCAGGATATATTCCCTGAAATCCCTGGAATGATATTAATATTTTAAAAATATAGAGTCCTGGACTGAACTGACTCAGTCAGAATCTCCAGAGGGTATGTGGAGAGCGAGAGGGAATGCAGGCATCTGTGTATTTAAAAGGCTGAATCATTTCTCTAAGACTGTGTGTGTATGTGTGTTTGTGTATGTGTATGTGTGTATGTGTGTGTGTGAGAGAGAGAGAGATTGAAAGAAAGAGAGAGGAGAGAGAGAGAGAGAGAGAGAGAGAGAGAGAGGCTTCTGATTCCTCTTAAAGAAGTGTTAATTTTTCTCCTCTTCTGCATTTTAGGATTTTCTTAGTTTCCATATTTGATCTTGTCCCTTGATCCTCAATCTCAACTCCTCACCCCACAATCCCCGGTTGTGTAAGAAAAATTTTCTTGAATTGGTGACTTCTTTAAGGTCTTCCCCATAGTTCTTACAGTATTCAGCAATGTTTCCACTGAGACAGCTGCCTTTTCTCCTGGACTCTTAGGGAAAGCAGCCCTCTTGCGGGAGAGCTCAACTTTGTGTTGGGGCAAGGAAGGGAATGTTCCTATTAGATCCTAAAATATGACTCTTCATGATGGGTTACTGGAGGAGCTGGAACCTTTAGGTTTTCCAAGATGTACATGGGTGCTCTTCTTGATGAAGTTTGGGAAAAATACCTCTTTATTCACTCATCTTCTCCACGACTTAAGTGTTTGGGAATTGAGGAAGGCTGGACCTTAATAGCTAAACAGGTTCTTCTTGGTAGATTTCTTGGTCACTATAAACACACACACACACATACACACACACACACACACACATATATGTGTGTGTATATATATACACACATATATATACACACACACACATATATATATATATATATATATATATATATATATATATATATATACACACACACACACAGACATTCTGTCCCCTTCCCTAGGTGCTTTATCATTTTCTATTACGCAGTGGAAGGTGTTCTTGAGTGATTTGTGGAACCTCTCATGGAAAAGGAAGATATGCTCAACCATGAATGTCAGAAGCTGAAATTAAATTTCAGAATTTATTATTGCAGCAAGCCACCTTTTGCCCTATGTGTGTGTGTATATATATATGTGTATATATATATGTGTATATATATGTGTGTGTATATATGTGTGTATATATATGTGTGTGTATATATGTGTGTGTATATATATGTGTGTATATATGTATATATGTGTACATATGTATATATGTGTATATATGTATATATATGTGTGTATATATGTGTATATATATGTGTATATATGTGTATATATATATGTGTGTGTGTGTGTATATATATATATATTTTTTTTTTTTTTTTAGACGGAGTCTCACTCTGTCACCCAGGCTGGAGTGCAATGGCATGATCTTGGCTCACTGAAACCTCTGCCTCCCGGGTTCAAACTAATTCTCCTGCCTCAGCCTCCCGAGTAGCTAGGATTACAGGCACATGCCACCACACCCGGCTGATTTCAGGCATGTGCCACCACACCTGGCTGATTTTTGTATTTTTAGTAGAGATGGGGTTTCACCATGTTGGCCAGGCTGGTTTAGAATTCCTGACCTCAGGTGATCCACTCACCTCGGCCTCCCAAAGTGCTAGGATTACAGGAATGAGCCACTGTACCCGGTCTGGTCTAATATATTTTTATCAGAGTCTTAAATACCTAACAAGTTAGGACTTGCAGGTTGTGGGCAGGGCACAAAATATCCTTAAAAAGAAAAATGCTTGTTGCAAATCATGTAAGAATATGTAAAAAAGAAGAAATATCATTATAGTCCGTGATTTTCAATAAAACAATAGGAAGAAATGTGATTTCATCCTCATCCTAAAATCACTTACGATAACAAATGAGGTTTTGGCTGAGCATCAGGGAAAAGGAATTCAGTGTTGTGTTCTTTAAGAAAGCCCCTGGCTGGGCCTGGTGGCTCATGCCTGTAATCCCAGCACTTTGGGAGGCTAAGGAGGGCAGATCACCTGAGGTCAGGAGTTTGAGACCAGCCTAGCCAACATGGTGAAACCCGGTCTCTACTAAAAATACAAAAAATTAGTTGGGCATGGTGGTGCATACCTGTAGTCCCAGCTACTCAGGAGGCTGAAGCAGGAGGATCGCTTGAACCTGGGAGGTGGAGTCTGCAGTGAGCTGAGATCACACCGTTGTACTCCAGCCTGGACTACAGAGCCAGACCCTGTCCCCGCTGCCAGAAAAAAAAGAAAGCCCCTGTCTCTGGCTCCATGAAGCAAGAACTTATTTACTGCAGTTTTTATGGTTAGCGGATTTCCTGGGGTTGCCTACATGCTGCAGAGAGCATCCTGAGCCTTTCAGCTAGGAAGAACCCTGTTCTCTGTATGATGTAACCCAAGGTTCTGCCAGACATTCTGTCCCCTTCCCTAGGTGCTTTATCATTTTCTATTGCGCGGTGGAAGGTGTTCTTGAGTGATTTGTGGAAGCTCTCATGGAAAAGGAAGATACGCTCAACCGTGAATGTCAGAAGCTGAAATTAAATTTCAGAATTTATTATTGCAGCAAGTCACCTTTTGCCCTATTAAAAATGCAGGTGAATTAGTGCCAAGGCTATGGTGCCACTTAAAACTTCCATCAACGTGGTCTCTGAGGAACAGGTTAGGGCAGTGGTGACCGTCCTTTGTCTTTTATTGAGGAGGCACGTCAGCACACCAAGGCAGACCCAGGGTGTGAGGTAACACGTCCGGGCTCCCAGAAGTGGCTGATGGCCACCGGAGGGGAAGAGTGAATTTGATAGATGAAGTTTTGGCTCATTAAATTATAATTTAGAAATAATTCAGACAAGGTCTCAGTAGAGATTTACCCCCACTCAGCAAGTTCTTTCTTCAGAAAAACTACTAATTATTAGTACAAATATTATAAAGGAAATTCTTAACAAACTGAAGAAGCCAAGTGCTCTTCAAGGATTCTTAACACTCTAGAAGTACTTGTTAAATTCTACAAATAATTAATAAAACCCATTTAAATGTTTTTCATGAGAGCAGATCCTTTGAGACCTTTTTATGAGTCACTACTCTGCTAAAAACACATTTCTTCATTATTAGTGTCAGCTCACTGAGGACCAGGACTACATTTTACCTTCAGTGCCTGCAAAGCATCCTGCACATAGTAGGTGTTAAGTAAATCTGATTTAGTTGAGGAAATACTAATTATATCAACTAATAATATTAATCACAGGATTTGTTCCATATAGAGTACTTGGTAGGAATATATTGTCTGGAGTTTATTTTTGTATCATTAGAGGGAAGAAAGGATGTACTCAGCAGATAATAGCAAAAAAGATTATAATGGCATACTTATAACATTTACTTGGCAATATTTTTTCTTTCTTTTGAGTTGGGGTCTTGCTCTGTCGCCCAGGCTGGTGTGCAGTGGCACGATCATGGCTCATTGCATTCTCAACTTCCTGTGCTTAAGTGATCCTCCTGAGTAGCTGGGACCACAGGAGTATGCCACCACGCTTGGCTAATTTTTTTGTAGAGACAAGGTCTCCCTATGTTGCCTCTTCTGTTGAACTCCTAGGCTCAAGCAGTCCTCCTGCCTTGGCCTCCCAAAGTGTTAGGATTAGAGGTGTGAGCCACCCCGCCTGGCTGGCAATATATGTTCTTAAAGAAGAATAAACAAATGACCATTACTTATTGCTATCTACATAGAGGCCAGTACTGCTTCACCTGCTGCTCTAATATAATTGTTGTAAGTCATTTTAACTTACTGATTAAAGGAAGACTTTTAACTAAACAACTGTTTGATCCATTCATTTCTTTACCTATAGTCACTAGCTCAGATCGATCTGTTTCTCCAATTAGTGCAGTTTTATTATACTTACAAAACGTAAACAATTTCATTTACCAAGTGCTTGTAGTCAAGCCAAAACCTATTATATTAAAGAAACGATTAACTTTGAAAATGAAAGCGTAGGCAGAAGTATAATTCACTGATTGGCTGTTTCTCCCCCTTGGTGTGGGTATGTGGCATTAGTTGTCGCTGGGCCATTTTCATTGTGAGATTTCTGCTTCATCCTCTTTAACCCTGCTTGGCCTCCTAAGACCACCGAGACTCCCACTTACAACTGGACTCTCTTCAGTGTTCTATTCATAAAGCCCTGCCCTATGGCTTTTTAAGAGAATAAACAGGCCAGAGCACCAACCCAGACTAAAAAGCATGTTCCTATTATATTTTGCTTTATTCTGATTAACTTTGAACAGCAGTCATTAACAAGGGAAAGGCTCCACTTTGGTCTGAACTGCTTATGTTGGGAATTTTTTCATCCAGCGGCACCTCTATTTACCTTGGCCCTGACTCTGTGGCTCAGTTGATAAATCAAGTGTATGTTCGTGTTGTACTCTTTGAATGCTAATGAAGGAAGCCTGCATTTCAAGGCAGGGAGCTAATCTGTATAATTTATTCCTGTGCAGTTTTACAACCATGATGCATACTTCCTTTTCTCTTAACCTTTGTGGATTTCATTTGAATAGCAATAACCAGGGTGAAGGAGGGCACTGCTTTTGATGCATCTTCTGATTCTCTTCTCAGTATGGCATTGAGATGTGTATCAGGGGAGGGGAACTCACGCTTCCCACTGAGTTTACAATCAACAAATTCTTATCCTGAGGACTGGAGTGGAGTTGAAGTATCTATCTCCTGAGCTTGTCTTTCAAGGACTTAACTATGAAAGCAACTCCTCCTTCAAAGCCCTTATCATTTTCCGACTCCTCTTGCAGCTGCTCCACAACCTCTGTGTGCAGCCACTACTTTCGGGGTGGCATTTGTTGATTTCTACCTCTGAATTGGCTGAGGTGGCACCTGACGTTTAGTCTTTGGGTAATTAGAGATGACATATTTGCGGCATGTTTACTCCTTCCCCCAGCTCACTTGGAGTCATGCTGATTTTGTTTAGTCAATGCTCTGACAGATCGCCTTTGGTATTTTTTCAATTGTACCTAGGCTTATCTCTCGGTCACAGATCACCTTGAGAACTCAGAGTGAGAAATTTTATTTCTCTTGACTGAAATCAGCTTTTTCTTGACATGTCCAGAAGTCCAGATAAGGGTCTTGCTTCAAAGCTGTCCTGAATTTTGAATCATAGGGATATCAAAAGGAGGACTGGTTGAAATCCTTCCACAGGGAGTGGTTAAAAAAAAAATCGGTTTTCCCATGATTAGGGTGCATTAGGAAAAAGTAGGATTATATTCTTGGCTATATCTACTGGTTAAACTCAAGTATTTAATTTTCCTTTTCCATTAGCACTTTCTTTTGTTGTTATTGTTGCTATTATTTTGCTGTTACCCAATTCTGCTACTTAAGAATTTATTAAGATATACTCTAGTTTATCTTAGACAAAAAGAATTCTTTTTTTAAATGAAAGCATAAAGTTGGTGAAAGAAGACAAGAAATTCTGTTTCATGATATAATCTATTTGATGCTGGAGGAATTATGGTGTTCCTAGCAGTGGGCACTCCTTGTATGTAGTGGTCACTTGTATAGTTCATAGATGTGGCCACTTCTCTGGCTTGCTTCTGGCGCAGAAAAGGTTAACAGAGCAGGCCTGAGACTGCTCTCCTTAGAAAGGCCAGCTTTCGAGGTTGGCCATTGGCTGGTGCCTGGTGCCTGGAAATGTGACTGGTAAATCATCCCCTAAGCTAATGTAAACATTTTACTAAATTATAAGTGTGTCTCGCTGTATCTAAACTGTTTGTACAATCAGTGTGGTTTGTGCTGAACCTGCTTTGCTTCTGGGAGTCTGGAAGTGTGGTATGTGCTGGGCAGAGGGTCCCTGCATCACCGGCTCTAGTGAAAACCTTGGGCACTGAGTCTCCAGGGAATTTTCTTGAGCAGCAATGTCACACATACGTTGCTGCATTTTTGTTGCTGGGTGGAAAGAGTGTTCTGGGTGACACCTTGTGTGAGAGAGACAGCATATGGAAGCCTGCATGTGGATTCCTCCAGACCCCGCCTGTGTCTTTTCCCTTGTGAGCCCAATGTGTATTTTCACTATATTGATGTAATAAATCTTTTTTTTTTTTTTTTTTGAGACGGAGTCTCGCTCTGTCACCCAGGCTGGAGTGCAGTGGCACGATCTCTGCTCACTGCAAGCTCTGCCTCCCAGGTTCATGCCATTCTCCTGCCTCAGCCTCCTGAGTAGCTGGGACTACAGGCGCCCACCACCACACCCGGCTAATTTTTTGTATTTTTAGTAGAGACGGGGTTTCACCGTGTTAGCCAGGATGGTCTCGATCTCCTGACCTCGTGATCTGCCCACCTCGGCCTCCCAAAATGCTGGGATTACAGGCGTGAGCCACCACACCTGCTGATGTAATAAATCTTAGCTGTGAGCACAGTTATATTCTGTGCCCCAGGAGGCCTCCTAGAAAATCTCTAAATGTGAAGGTGGTCTTGGGGACTCCTGGGCCCCATCTGCCCACCCATCAGTCACTATGAAATTCCAGAAATATCACTTGATGACATTATCCTCAAAGATGCTATGATCCTTAATCTTGGTTTCTTATGCATAACCAAGCACCTTTCAGCTTAGATTTTGCCAGACAACTAACATTTATTTAGTTTGACTATTGTTTTACTTCCTTAAAGGAGATTGTTCTATGCTATTAAGTTCTTTCTTTTGTGATATCATCTCTAAAGTTTTTACAGTCAAAATCCATCTCAATTTAATATCAAAAGTAGCAGACAAGTGCTAATATTACTAGCAAGTATGATTTAATGTTCCACTTTAGAAGAATATATTTAGAAGAAATTCTGCAATATTGCTACAGTTAACAATGCTGATGATTGGCCACTCAAAAGCGTGCCCAGGCTGGGTGCGGTGGCTCATGCCTGTAATCCCAGCACTTTGGAAGGCTGAGATGGGCGGATTGTTCTGAGCCCAGGAGTTCAAGACCATCCTGGGCGACATGGTGAAACCCCATCTCTACAAAAATACAAACAATTAGCTGGGCATTGGTGGCTTGCACCTGTAGTCCCAGCTACTCAGGAGGCTGAGGCTGAAGAATCGCTTGAGCCTGGTTAGCAGAGGTTGCAGTGAACCAAGATCACACCACTCCACTCCAGTCTGGGCGACAGAGACCTTGTTTCAAAAAAAAAAAAAAAAAAAGGTGTGCCTGGATATTTAAAAAACTCTGGTTAATTTGAGAATTTCACTGTAATCATATCTTTTTAGGTGATGTTAAGAATTAATGAAATAAGGCCGGGCGCGGTGGCTCACGCCTGTAATCCCAGCACTTTGGGAGGCCGAGGCGGGTGGATCATGAGGTCAGGAGATCGAGACCATCCTGGCTAACAAGGTGAAACCCCGTCTCTACTAAAAATACAAAAAATTAGCCGGGCGCGGTGGCGGGCGCCTGTAGTCCCAGCTACTGGGGAGGCTGAGGCAGGAGAATGGCGTGAACCCGGGAAGCGGAGCTTGCAGTGAGCCGAGATTGCGCCACTGCAGTCCGCAGTCCGGCCTGGGCGACAGAGCGAGACTCCGTCTCAAAAAAAAAAAAAAAAAAAAAAAAAAAAGAATTAATGAAATAATGTTGACACGATCTTGAATTTTTGTCTTGTTCAAAAACATGTTTTTATTTCTTCTTCATGATAGCTTGAGGTGGCTTCACATTTGTTCATTACAGTTTGAGTTATGCCACAGGCTGATCAGTAGTATGTTCTACTTGCTCACTACAGACAAGCAGCTGATGTGGTGGATGCTGAGAAAGCGGGGACCAATAGTGATTCTACAGAAAAATGAAAAGCTCAGGATAGTCATGCAGGTTAGATTAACTTTTTAAAGATAAACTTGTTAGAACAACATTAACTCTGTGAAAATGTCTGGGTATAGATAATATTCAGGTCTCACCATGGAGTGAAGCATACCATTAAAGGTGGTATGTTTTAGAAGTGATAGAATTTCACAGGTCACTTTGATATTACTGAATCAGTCAATGCTCTAGAGTGCAAAAGGTTATTCTATTCCAAGAGTTCAGATTCTTTACAAAGGGATTAATGCTGGTACATTTTAGCAGGATCATGCCTGTGCTTATTGATAATATATATATATATATTTAAAAATATTTTATTAGATCCAAGCATTAAGGGTAGGAATCTGGAATGAAATGTTTCCTTGGGCCTAGAGCCAGCCCTGCAGAAACTTCTGAATGCTTTTTGACTCACTGTGAAGGCTTGCTAGCTCTCTCTGTACGCTTTGAGGGGTGCACAAGATGCTGGAAACAACGCATTTAAGGTCTTTGAGTTTAGATATTTCATTTGAACTCAGGGTATAGATCTGCCCTGCTAAGTAAGGAGATATTAGCTATTTAGACAATGTATGCAAAAAGAATAATCTGAAATGAAAAGTACTCTTTAGAATGTTTTTTTTTTTTTTTTTTTTTGAGACAGAGTTTCGCTCTTGTTGCCCAGACTGGAGTGTAATGGTGTGGTCTCAGCTCACTGCAATCTCCGCCTCCTGGGTTCAAGCGATTCTTCTGCTTCAGCCTCCCGAGTACATGGGATTATAGGCATGTGCCACCATGCCTGGCTAATTTTGTATTTTTAGTAGAGACGGGGTTTCTCCATGTTGGTCAGGCTGGTCTTGAACTCCTGACCTCAGGTGATCCGCCTGCCTAGGCCTCCCAAAGTGCTGGGATTACAGGTGTGAGCCACTGCGCCCACCCTAGAAATCTTTTTTTTTTTTGGGTAGGTGATAGAAGGATGAAAGTGAGTCAATTTATCTTAATCAACTTAGAGCTCATTATTCAGGTCAGCAGTTAGATCTTGTTTTCCTAATCTGAACAGGTATTATCTGCACTAGTCTGATGTGTCTGTATGCCCGTCTGTTTCTGTCTGTCACTCACTGAGATTATCTTTAAAGGCCACCTCAAGTTTTGGTGCTTTTCATGTAATGACCACTCAGCTGTTTTGGATACACTAGAGCTATGCTGTCAGTAGTGTCTATAATGGGCTGCTGGGAAACAACAACTTTAAAGATGTTTGAAGACAAATCCATGAATCAAAACATGCTTTAAAGCCTTCCTCAAAAGCATACAGAAACACAACACAGGAGTGAATTTTCAGAATAATTCCTAAATGTCAAAGAAATGCAACCATTGCGTGAACTGAAGTTTACATTTTAAACTTCACACCCTGAAGATATGTTGCTTGTCTCTGGCCCCAGTTACAAATCCTTTGAGATAGTCTGATGCATAAACAATGTTAGGAAATAATTGATAAATTACTGTGTACTCAAATGAACAGTGGACTATCAGTCAAATTGTAACAGTTCTAATATTTAAGTGGTGCTAGATCTCCTCGCACACTCACAGATGCCCTGAAAGGTCCTACATTTCATATTTTAAACATTCCTTAATGGAGGGAGCAAAAGAAAGAGTTCACACACATTTATTTCCTGGGCATAAACATACGTGTGTGTGTGTATGTGTGTGTGTGTGTGTGTGTGTGTATATATATACCTATTGATAGCTAAATATATATTTAGGTAGAAGTGGAGAACTGATGTAGTTTTATAAATAACCATAAGCATTTATGGTTCACAGAAGGAAGAGCAAAAGGGTGAATTAAAACGTGAAACGTACCATATTCTGGGACCTGTCCCGTGCCTCTCTTGAGCAGCAGCCTCACTCGTCTTCCTCCAGATTTGATGAGTTCTATTGCTCTGGCATGTGTCATGTCCCTTGTGCTTTCCCCATTGATTTCAATGATTTGATCTCCTACCTGTTGATTAAAGAAAAATTAAGTCAGCCAAAGATGGTTTTACTCAAGTTGCATTGTCAACAGATTAAAAAAAAAGCATGTCTAGATGACCTGAGAGCATCCGAACAATTTGGTGGCAGCCTGCTGCTTTTTGGAAGAGGCTATTCCCTGGCTGCATCCTGAATCTGATCACCAAATTTTATTTACCTTTACAGAAATGAAAATATCAGACCACAAAGACTGCAGCCATATGTTACTTATTATGTTACTTATTACTTATTATGACAGAGACTGTAAACTAGTTAGCATTGTTTTAAAAATTAGGGAATATATCTGATACAAAAATTCAAAATAACCTGGCATCTTTGCTTTGAATCAAAAAGTAAACATTTTAAGGGCTTTTCATTGATTCTATTGCCAACTGTCAACTTAGTGCAGCATCCAATTCAGCATGTTGGATAAATTTATTGGTTTTTGTGCTTCTCTGAGAATTTTTTGTATGTATCATTTAAATTTCCCTGGGTGCTGTTGTGATATTGCCTTCTTTGTAAACAGTGGTTGGTTGGTATTCACATTTGATGATGAGTTTTCTATCACAGCCCCTTGAATTAAAAATGAGATTCTCCATTCTCTCCACATGACTAATGCCCTGGCTAAATCTTTGCCATGCTCACACTTGATTGCCAGAAGCTGTCTGGTTAAATACCAATTCCTCCTAAATTTTCAGAAATGCCTGGGTTCCATAAGCAATTCCCTTTTGGCGTTTGTGAATAGATAGTTGAAATAAAAGAGGTTCAACCATGAGCACATCATGTAACTCCCACAGTACCATTACTGTCAGGAACCCTTGAATTAAAAAATGTCTCATCTCAGTGCAAGTAACATAAGACAAATTAACCAGCAAAAGCACAACGAGTTGCTTTGCAAAAATGCTATTTTAGTTAGGTCCCTTAAAGCAGATCTCAGTCTAAACTCTGTAATGCAAACAGAACTGTAGAAAAACTCTTTATAGCTAATCATTATCAGTGTGGATGCTGCAGGCTGGCTGAGAATAGGAACACAAATTTTCCATCACAATGGCAGGAGAGCCTGAAAACAAGACCCCCAAAGTCGGGGGGAAGAACATGTTTGTTGTAGCAAGGAAATGACATCTCTACCTAAGGATGATTCTCTAAGTGGTAAGGGTTCCACTGTAATGAAGGTAAAGACCTTCCTTTGTATACTCAGCTGCCTTTAGAAGTATGGATTTGGGGCAGTGGATGAGGTTTACCTCACTGGTATGACTTCCACATTCCACAGAAAAACCAAGAAGACGGAACTAACTTAACTGTTTTAGGGCCAGTAGCTTTCTTCAGGTTTCCTTAATTGTCTCCTTTCCTCTGAGGCAACGGGCATAACTTGAATAGTTTGCCAGAGGCCATGTATCTAAGCCAGAGGCAGAAATGGGACCAATTATCCCTCCCCCAGTAGCCCTCTCCCACAACAGAAACCTCATGGCACAGAATTAAACTGAAAAAGTAAAATAGCAGTTCCAATGAAGTTACATATAGAAAAAGTGTTCCTTCCTGGCTAGACTCTCTTCTGAGCTTCAGACTCACACGTCCAGCTGATTACTAAACATCGTCACCTCATTGTCTGTCCAACAGCAACTCTAACTCAACAGCAGTAGAAGCAGTAGACAGGGCTAACTACCTTTCTCCCAAAGTGGTTCTTCCTCTTAATTCCCAATCCTGGTTAATGGCAACACCATTCACCCAAGCAGAAACCTGGGGGTCACGCTACACTCCTTGTTTTCTCAACTTCTCTGCATCTGTCCCTGTCCTCATATGTATCCCATCGCTCACAAGCTCAATTCAGGCCTTTACATGGTTATTCCAGTATTCCCCTGTCCCTCTCCCGCCAACCTCTTTTCATTGTCACCAGAGTAATCCTTCTAAGGAAAAGCTTGCCAAATGTGTCATGCTGACTGAAGCATTCAGGCCTGTACACATACTGCTGTTCTTTTTTCTCCTCCTCCCCACAGGCCTGGTGATTTCTTGTTCTTTCTGAAGGTAATAAGAATCTTCTCCTATGGGTGCCTTCCTCGACTCTATGCTCTTCACAAGCAGAGATGTCCACTCTCTCTGTTCAGTAGTAATGGCACCCCACTCTGATTATTATGCCTCATTACAGATTCATGAGTCTCTGTCTTCCCTCCTAGGTTTTGAGTGTCTTCATTCAGTAAATAATTTCTGAGCACCTGTTATGTACCAGACAGTCAACTGGGGATATAGAGAGAAATGGTATCATTTCTATGTACAGTAAGTTCTCAGTCTAGTTGGGAAGAAAATGGGTAAATAAGGCTATTACTACTCAATGTATCTTTGCTATGACAGAGGCATTCACAAAGTACTAAGGGCACAGAAAGAACAGACATCTAACCCAGAAAGTGGGGGTGGTGGGTAGTCAGGGAGAGCTGCCAGGAGGTGGTGACATATCGGTTGAGTTTTGAAGTGCCAGTAGGAGTTCCCTAGGCAAAGAGGAAAGCATTCTAGGCAGAGAGAGTAGCATATGTAAAGGCTGCAAAGTTTGAGGGAATGGTATATTTGGGAAACTGTCAGTAGTTTATTATACTGTTCAGGAGTTTAGGTTTTATTTTAAAGGCAATGGCAAGGCACTAAAAAGTTAAGCATGGGGTAACCTGACCGGGGAAGCTGAGTGGTGGTTAGAAATCTCCCTGTGACCTCACTATGGAAAGTGGAAGAAGAGAAAGCTGGAAGACTGAGGAAGGGAGTTGAGTTGCGGTGTTGTCACATGGTCTATCCAAGTGAGACATTAGGAGGCTGTGGGGAAGGAGATGATGAGGACAATGACACAGAGTCTGGGTCTCTTTTAACTGTGTGTCTGGATGAGGTGCACTGAATATATTGGTGAATGAGTGAAGTACTTCCACATGGGTTATCTTGAACCCATGGGAGAGGGAGGTATAAACCCCCTCGAACCCCAAATCGAATCTTGACAGCCACTGCCGCCTTGTGGTTACTTGTGTCCTGAGACTGACATTTTAACCAAAAACCATGTGGAGGGCAAAAGGGATCTTGTATTGTGATAGAAATAGTCCCGTCTTTTGACTCTGGTCCCATACTTGAGTTTAGCAAGACTTAGAAAATTTGAAGTTTTCATTCACTTGTGTGTTTATTTTCCCTTTTCCCTACAAGGAACTTATGAGACTTAAAGGAGAAGGCATTAGCCTGGAGGAGAGAAGCGGTGGTTTGAAAGCTACGGGGGAGGAGGAGAAGCAGAGGGGTTTAGGGGCTGCGTAAGGGCTGAGCTGAAGTCCCCTCTGTGGGGGCCTCAGGAATGAGGCTCCGGGAAGTCAGGGACATTATTTTTATCGGGTTCCCAGGAGCCTGGGCTGACCTCTTCACCTGGCAGATTTCCATAATTTCGGCTTTCCATGTAGGGTCCCCTCAGAGGGAGAGGCTCTGATACATGCTGAATCTCTCCTATGCCCTTTCCCCATTCCAGGGTATCAGTGCCATTGGGTGGTGAGGGTTGTGTCTACTGATTTTCTGCCTCATTTTGGAGCAACGGAAGTTTGGGAATAGTTCAAGATCTTACTAAATCGAGGAAAAAACATTTCTAGGGGCTGGTGGTGGTTAGGTAATGGAACGAAAATGCTGCTGCTGACATAGACTCTGACCGTTGCAAAGCACTCTGGGCATTATTTTAAAAGTGGGCTGACTCACGGGGACCTGGTTTCAATGGCAACAGACTCAGTCCAGACCTGGCTTCAAGACTTCCATCTCTCTTTGGAACAGTATGAACTGTGAAAGGGTTGAATTTTCATTTTCATTCCAATATCAGTATTCTGTATAATAATTTTAACTGGAACTCCCTAAATAAATTTGGGATGTGATCTCTTTCACTGTCATCTGGATATATAAGAAGATCGACTTATCGGGGGACAGCAGGAGGTGGGGCAAGGGGTTCTCTTGTTACTTTCCTACTTTCCGACCTCATCTGACTTCAGTGCAGTGGCCAGTGTGTGACAAAAGAGTGTCACTTTCCGCTATCACAATCGGGAGAATTAATTTTTTAAAACCAATAGAAAATTCGCAGCCCTTTTAGAAATGAAGAAAAAGACCAACTGTGACTCTGATGTAGTCTCTTTCTATACTCTCTCTGCCACAGAGCTATCTTCAACTGAGCTATGTTACTAAAATGAAACTTCTAAGATCTCCACTCATTCTTAGAGTATTTTTAAAATATCGAGTTCCAGTTGAGAGGGAGAGGGAGAGGGAGAAGGAGATGGTGGGGGGGCGGGGGAGGGAGGGAGGGGGGGAGAGAGAGAGAGAGAGAGAGAGAGAGAGAGAGAGAGAGAGAGACAGAGAGAGAGACAGAGATACTAAAACCAGATAAAGGTAATTCAGGAGTCTCTGTGTGCACTGCATTATGTGGGTCAAGGAAATGCCAAATTTAGGAAACTGATCAAAGGACTTAAGAGGAATTCTAAGCACTCATTTTTTTCCTATGGAAGAAATACTTTTATCTGTGGTCCCCTTGGGGCAACTAACAACCTTAGAGTAATGTCACAGGGACAAGGCGGAGCGGGATAACTGCTGTGTCTAGGTCCCCGCCTAGTAAGTTCTGCATTCCTACTCACACATTTCTGCTCATACATCATAGCGGATTTTTCTTTAACAAAACACCAAATCTTTGAACTTGCTTGGGGCTTTCCAGGTAAAAAACTTTTTCTTTTTTTGCCTATGGAAGGCCAAGGCAGGAGAAGGCAAACATCTCATAATTCCTTATGTTGTTAATAGTTCAGGTTGGAAGAAAAAATTTAAACTCTGTACTGTATGCATTTTTGTAGCCAAGTCATATATAAAGTATTTGGCTTGTCTCAATGAAATATTTATAAGAATTAGATTAAATCCTGGATTTACTTTAGCCATGAGTCATGGCAGTCCCAGCTCAAAGGGTTGCTTGGACATCGTTACAAACGTGCTTACCTGGTTGTAATCAGTTAATTGCCCTCATGTTACCATTGCATCCTAAGAGCCTATTTTGCATGATCATATATGACTAAAGTGATCCCAGATTATAACTAGGTATGAGGAATTGAGCTTCTTTGGAATACTATACCAATAAATCATGAATAATCTCTATTCCTTATTTCATGATGGACTTAGCTATGGACGATTTTTGTGGCTAATGATCTGAGGTCACAGGCTAATGCCATCATCGTTCCTCCCTTATAGGCTGGTTTCTCCCACTGACACTAGACCCCTCATGGACAGGGAACACACCTATTGTCTCTGTGTCATCTATACCTGCCACAGTTCCTGAGAAGTAGGCCCTCGGTTAATCACAGTTGAGTCAATGAATGTTTGGTTTGCCTTTCAGCGATAGTAAACGTCTTCATTTGCATGCCGTGTAAGTTAAGCTTTAGGGCACCTCAGCATACCTCAAGCTTTCTTGAAATACTGCCTTACGCAGTTCCATCCAAATCATGACAATTTCAATGGTACTTACAGGAGACCAAATGAGGCTTCAGTACTGGTGACCTACATACATTGGTAGTGACAGGTAAAGTTATAGGAAACAAATGCTAGGATTGAGAGTAAGAGGAATGGAGGCTGAGTCTGAATGAAATAATGAAGTTCCAGGAAAAGGAAAAGTCAGAATTAGGGTCTTTGCTGCTGCAGTCATTGTTATGGGTGCTCTGACGCTGGGATGCCTGTGCCCTAATGGCCCTGATGGAACAAAGGACAGGCTGATTTCCAACTTGATGGTGATCTTTAATATCTACTGGCTGTTTTCATGATTAACTTTGTTCAATATTATTTAATAACCATTACAGGAAGAATATTTTTCAAGGGGTTACACTGAATGTTTTCATTAACCTTCCCATTTCTTTCATTAGATCGCGATTGAATTAGATGGGTTCCAAGTGCCTATTACAGGGCCTGGCTTTTGTTATAAACTGTTAGGCTCAGTTGCCTCAGCAAGGCACAGGAGCCCATAAAATTAGCAGGTTTTTCCAGAGAGAAAACTTCTAATCCAATTGGAAACTGAAACACATGTTTGAGAGCACCAGAACTGTGAATTTTATTTGCTTCAATTCATTTATGTATTGAAAACTGTCTGAGACTCTCTTTATGCTATGTTTTAGACAGTAATCACTTAAACAGAAAACAGGCTGGGCATGTTGGCTCATGCCTATAATCTCAGTTCTTTGGAAGGCTGAAGTGGGAGGACTGCTTGAGTCCAGGAATTCAAGACTAGCCTGAAACACATGGCAAAACCCGCATCTCTACAAAAAATAAAAAACATTTGCCAGGTGTGGTGGTGCATGCCTAGCTACTCAGGAGGCTGAGGTGGGAGGATCACTTGAGCCCAGGAGTTCGAGGCTGCAGTGAGCCATGATTGCACCTCTGTATTCCAGCCTGGGGAACAAGTGTGAGGACTTATCTCTAAAACAAAACAAAATAATAAAACTCCCACACACACACACACACACACACACACACACAAACAAAACAAAATCAAACCCAAAAAAGTCCCAGCATCTCTTGAGAAACTTCATCCAAGCAGAAGTGTGAAATGACCCTTATGGATGCACAGAAGAGAGAAGAATCCTTCATCAAGGTTCTGCCTAAGCACATAACCTGCTTAGGAGGGTCACAAAGGTGAGGGGAAAAAGCTGCTATTGGAAGTGAAAGGCTGCTGCAGGATTCTGAGAATTCACCACTTGATGCAGGTGGTACGCCTTCTTTGGTGTTGTTATTATTTGTGTTTAGAAAAGATGTAGTCACAGCTCAGAAAATATCCGGCCTTTGACTTGAGCACAGTATCCTATGGTGGGAGTGTGGCCTTGTCTGGACATTCATAACGGGGAGCTGGCTTTAGCAAAGATTTAGGGGGAGCTCTCCCTTCCGGAGCCTCCATTTCTATTTACAAAAATCCTCTAAATTAAAATGTGAAAATATAAGTAAAATTGGAAGATGACACAGTATCCCTACTGTGGAAGTAGTTGAGCTCTAAATTATGATCTGGTATCTTCTTCACTGATTCCTTCCTTTTTCCTTGTCAACTGTTACTGATATTAATCTCATACAGAGAATTTTATTAGATAGCTTCTTTCTAAATCTCCTTACTCTTCTAGGGCTCTTTTTTTTTTTAATTTTTAATGTTTTTTTTTTTTTTGAGATGGAGTTTCACTCTGTTGCCCAGGCTGGAGTGCAGTGGCACGATCTTGGCCCAGTGCAACCTCCACTTCCTAGGTTTGAGTGATTATCCTGCCTCAGCCTCCCGAGTAGCTGGGATTACAGGCGCACTCCACCACGCTTGGCTAATTTTTTGTATTTTCAGTAGAGAGGGTTTTACCATGTTGGCCAGGCTGGTCTTGAATTCCTGACCTAAGATGATCTACCTGCCTTGGCCTCCCAAAGTGCTGGGATTACAGGTGTAAGGCACCGCACCCGGTCTCTTCTAGGGCTCTTAACTGGGGTTTATGTTTAATTCTTTTAAGTTTTCCCCTCCCCTAGCTCTATGCATGCTCTCTGGGTGATCACTTCCCATTATTATTATTATTTTTTTTTTTGAGATAGGGTCTCACTTTGTCACCCAAGCTGGAGTGTAGTGGCGTGACCTCGGCTCGCTGCAACATTGACCTCCCAGGTTCAAGCAATCCTCCTGCCTCAGCCCCCCAAGTAGCTGGGACCACAGGCGTGCACTACTATGTCTGACTAATTTTTATATTTTTGGTAAAGACGGGGTTTCGCCATGTTGCCCAGGCTGGTCTTGAGTTACTGAGCTCAAGTGATCCACCCATTTTTAGCCTCCCAAAGTGCTACGATTACAGGCGTGAGCTACTGCGTCTGGCCCTTCCTACCTTTCTAAGGTATTTGGCATGTTTCCTTTTTGGTGCCTTTCTCTGTGCTGTTCTTTTTGCTAGAATCTGAGTCCTCCTTCTCCCCACTTCAAAAAGGGAAATCCTACTTATCTTTTAGGAACCAAACTTCAGGGATGATATCATCCAGACAGCCTTTTATGATCCCAGCAGTCTGGGTTGGGTGCCTTTTCTGTGCATTTCTTTAGAAGTATTGACCTTTGCCAATAATATTGTAAGCTCTCCAAGGACAGGAACTCTGTCACATGGGAAATAACCACATATATCTGTTCAACAGATGGATGAATGTTTGAAAAAAGGCATTTTTCAGAAATTATCTTTTTGGCTGTATGCTCCTTAGAGTTTAAACCAAATGTAAACAAGGTTTATAATAAAATTCTAATTTGGTTTCATAATATATGTCAACCAGGTTTGATCATGATCAAATAATATATGGGAAGTGCATTGTAATCTCTAAATATACAAATGTAATCTATTATTAATCATAGTAGTTACAATTAACAATAGATCATTATAATTATCATAATAACGGTAGAAGAGATAAAAAAAGTAATAAATTTTTCATAATGAACCTGGGAGAGAAGCGGTTGAGCTTCTGAGGGTGTATTAAATGGGGAAATGGGGCAAATGATATTTTTCTGGAAATATCATTGAGAGGTTAAAAATGAAAACAAAACAAAACAAAAACAACTCTTCTTTTTGATAAGCACTGCCTGATAGAAATTCTTTTAGGACATGAATGGTATTTTGTATTCCATGATTTTAGATGAAGTTCTTAGGAAAAGAATCTCATGAATGTTGGGCAGATAATCCAAACCCTAAACTAATACAGAGAAATAACTGCAAGTGTGGCAACAGACATGAATGTGAAGAAAGAGATTTTAAAGACAAGCTGGTTGGAGCAAAACATTTTCTACAAAGGAAAAATAACTACCATCATTACATTTTTCATATGCTAGTTTGACTGCTCAGGTGAAAAGAAACTGGGGCAATATCTTAAAATTATCGGCCTAAGAATAGAAAGCTATCACTGGCAGCTCAGCTAGCTTATCCAGTTCTCAGAAATCACTTATATTAGGTCATGAAGTCAGTTTCCCTAGTTGACTGAAAAATAAACAAAAAGGAAATCAAAGAGGAAACTTTCTATTGTGAACTCTGTATGAGTGTTATTTCTCTTCCTTGGATGTAATTGAGAGAAAATGCGGGATTATTATTATGTATACTTATCTAATCAGATACATTTATTTTCTGGATAAGCATTCGGCTTTGTGCAATGACTTCTATACTGACTCATGGTAACAATTCCTTGTTTTCCTGAAGCTAACTGTCTTGCATATTGCATTTACATTTCAACTTTTTAGCACCTTCTCTCCTCTCTGACCTCTGCTTCTGTCTTTACATCTCTCTCTCAGACTGTGTGTGCACCAGTCCTAGACCTGACAAGTTAACAGCATGAATGAGCATGAAAAGGTACACCAAGATGGGTGGCGGGGACATTGGTTAGCTGGGATTTTGAAGATAATTTAATGATGGGACTGTTTTCGAAGAATGGGCAGGGTTAATGCAATCAAAGAGGGCTGTTGAGGCAATGAAGGATAAATATGGTGAGTGCTGTTACCACCTCTAGTCTGAAAGACATCAGGGAGGAAAAGAAGTTACAGGGGCTGAGTGAGAGCTGGCGCCATGAAAGAGAGGCTGCCTGTCTACAGCTGGAGCTGTAGCGGGAAGGAATGCTGCCAGGCCCACAGCACCAAGGCAGGAGCAAAGGGTAAGAAATACCCCAACCTCTCTGTGGCAGACAGAATAAAGTCCCCCATCCCCAGATGTCCACCTCCTAGTCCCTGGAAGCTGTGTTATGTTCCCTTACATGGCAAAAAGGATTTTGCAGATGTGCTTACCTTAAGGATCTTGAGATGGGACGATTATCCAGGATTGTTTGGGTGGGCCTAATATAATCACAAAGGTCAAAGTCTGAGAGAGAAATGCAAGACAGAAGCAGAGGTCAGAGAGGACAGAAGGTGCTAAGCTGCTGGCTTTGAAGATGGAGGAAGGAAATATAAGCCAAGGAGTTTCTAGAAGCTGGAAAAGGAAACGAAATGGGTTCCTACCCCAGAGTCTCCAAATGGAACCAGCCCTGCTGACATGGTACTTTGATTTTAACCCAGTGAAACAAACCGATTTCAGACTTCTGACTCCAGAACTGTAAGACAATCGATTAGTGTTGTTTGTGGTCATTTATTACAGCAGGAATAGAGAACTAATGTACTTTCTCTCTTTCTGCCCTCTGATCTCCTGCTGATGCTTCTCATTGGCCAAATCCAATAGGAAGCCAGAAGGCAAGAGTGTTTGGGTGATACAGACATAGCCATCATTCCCCCAGAGTAGGGCAGAGAAGCAAGTAGAATAAATCTGGGGGAGAAGGTAGAATAAAGGAAGAACAAGCACTGGGGTGGGGTAGGTGTGGGATGGAATTGATTTTAAAACATCAAATATGCCAAATATGCCAGACGAAGGCTTTAAGCAATAATTCAAGAACAAGACAAAAATCAAATGGCAGTCTAGCTCAAATCCTATTGGAGAAACTTTTTGGAAACCTTTATTTGTTTTAATATTTTACTTTAACATGTGTCGCCTCTATACCATTATAGAAAGAGGAGTGGCGTCAGGGTTACTGAGTTGAATGCTCTTTTTAAAATTGCCTAAGATGTCAGAGTTACCTTTGCCTCTGGTCAGTTTCCAAGTCCCGTCAGTTCTACATGTACCCTGTCTCCAGCAGCTGCCTCTCATTTCCCATTTCTCTTGCTGCCATTCTACATTGGCTGTTCCTCTCTTTCCCCTCTTCTTTCCATCCATATGGTTGCCATAATTATATTTCAAAGAGCATCTCTGATTTTGCCTCACTCCTCCTCAAACACCTCCCCTCCTGCCCCATGCTTCTTGAACAGAATCCAAACTCCTTGACATGAGGTGTAAATCCTTTAGGACCTTGTCCCTGTGACCTTCTGGCTTATCACCACCCTTCTCTTGTGTTTAGTCTGGCCCACTTGTACTTCCTCCACTCTTCCTTCCTCGGCATTTTTGCTGCTGTCCTCAGCCTTCCTTGTTATTTTTGTCATTCTCCCTGGATCCTTCAATCCCATCTCCTAATCATGCCCATTCTTCAAGGCTCTGCTCAAATCCTCCAAGAAGCCATTGCTGGTCACTCCAGGGGAAATTTATCCTCCCTTCTCTGTGTGTCCACTGCTCTTACAGCTATGCCTCTCTTATAGCACTTACAGTCACACTGCCTGTTAGTCTAGGTATCTGTGTATTTATTTTCCCCACTACCATTTCTGAACCTACTCAATTATAAACTCTTGGAAAGAGGGAGTGTATCTTTGTATCTTCTAGTAGTAGCTGGTGCATTGCCTTGAAAATAATAGATGATAAAACCTTGCAGTGGGGACAAATTGATTACTGTGTAGGGCACAAATGATTAATGGCAGAGGGAGAGTCTTTGGGGGAGGTGAGGGTGTATGGGAGACTGGAGGGGGGCTTTGAGGCAGCCTGTGCCTTGCTCACTATGGTTTTCCTACTGTCAACTGAGGTGCCTGGCACAAGATAAGAGCTTCATAAATATTTCTTAAATGAATAAGTAAATGCTATCTACTTCACTTTGGCCAAAGGCAACCTTGAATTCTGAGAGAACAAAGTCTTAACAAAGGTCCCTAATATTTGTTATAATATGAAGAAGGCAAAAAAAATGTATTGAGGTAAAAACAACACAATCTTCTACTTGCAAGGAGAGGCAAGCTTACAAACAGCAAGCCTGTGCCAGCAACCAGCTGAGGAAGACACAGCCACAAGGTGGAAGCATCTCTTTTCTTTCTGAAATAACCATGCCTTTGTTGGCATAACTGGCTGAAAGCAGACAGACTGATTTTTGCATTTACCAGTCCTGTGAGAAGCACTGGGAAATACACTCTTATTTATGATAGTTATTCTATAACTACCTCCCAGTATACAGCTTGAGAGCAGAGATTTGATTGTATATTTCCACAATATCTTTTGTAGCTTTTAACATCGTAGTGACTGATGTGTATGTGTGTGTATGTGTGTGTGTGTGTGTGTGTGTGTGATAAGAGAGTAAGAGTGAATGAATAAGAGACAGAATGATCGATTGAATGATTTGGGGGTAAATTAAGGAAGTGGTTGCTGATAATTATTACTCTGCACCCACTGCTATGGTCTGAATGTGTCCCTCCAAATTCATGTGTTTGAAACAGCCCCCAGTGCAACAGTGTAGGGAGGCAGAGTCTTTGGGAGGTTTTTGGGTCATGAATGGGTGAATGCTGCTATTAAAAGGGCTTGCGGGAGTGGGTTTGTCCTCTCTTGCCCTTCTGCCATCTGCCATGTGAGGACACAAGAACGTTTATACCAGATATTGGTGCCTTGATCTTGGACTTCCCAGAAACCAGAACTGTGAGAAATAAATTTCTCTACTTTACAAATTACTCAGTCTCAGGTATTCTGTTATGGTAGCACAAACAGACTAAGACACCAATTAAAGCATGCATAGGGGCACTGAGGGCAAGGAGCTCATCTTATTAATCTTTTTATCTCTGGTTTCTCTTATCCTTACTTAAGGTGATGACACTGACCTTTGGGAGGAATAGGAATTTATGAAAGATCTCATAGCTTATAAGTGGAAATAACAAGACCAGTTGCAGGTTCCCTAATTCCAACACCCAGAGCTCCTTACCCTTTATGAAGTTGCTTCAGCATTGCGGAAGTAGGGAGTGGGGAGAAAGGCACAATAGTAGGATTTTACTTGGTTCAGAGATAAAGGTTTCTTCTACATGAAGAAGCAGCTATTTGAGATTTTATGATGTATTGTTAACCTTTGGGACATTGTTTGCAAATACATATTCATGTGTTGCAAATAGCTTTAAAACCCAGGTTCATTTAAGCATGAGTAGGATGAAAAAGAAAGTCTGATTCACGTGTACTGAGGATAGCTGTAAGTGTGAATACATCTAGTTAGTACTTCATGGGTCTGAATTTCCCTGGTCACTATAACTACCTTCTCTTCAAATAAATGTTAGTTTTGTCCTTAGCTTTCAAAACTACATGTGTTAAAGTTTCAGATCAGTGGGATCACCAATGTCCTTGTGCCCAATTTTAACAGTGCACAAGGAGTATACCAAGTGAAAAAACTCATGTCTCTGAGGTCTACTATCTTTGTTTGGCCATAATAAAAATACAGTCTGTCTCTAATAGCTTGATTTAAGGTCAGCTCTTCAGAGAATCTGTACTCTTTGCCATAATACTCAATGGTATTGACAATGAGTGCATGGATTATACTGATTTTTCTATTGATATGCTAACAAAATAAATAGAAAGAGTAGCAGTGCATCACTATCATTTTGATGCACGAAATAAACATTATCCATTTTACTTTCTTTGACTATTTAAAGTCACATATTAATTACTTAAATTTTACAACTAGGAATGTAGCCGAGTGTCTAAAAATCTTGTTTCTGTTCATGTTAATTCAGATTGTCCATCCATGCATGAGAACAGCTGAGCTATGAAATTGGGCAGCATGTTTTCTGGCAATAATGAGGAGATAATATTCCTTAGGAGTATTTAAGTGACATCACTATTAATAGGTTAATTGGAAATAAAAACATAAAGCTTTCTTAAATCACTAAAATAAAAAGCCTCTGGTTTATTGTAGCTTTGCAATGTACTTTTTGAACTGTCCCACTTTTCAGTTTCGGTTAATAATTGTCTGATTAATGTAACTGCAGCTGCTCTCAGAATTCCACATACATCCCTTGGATAATCAGCCATTTCAAAAGGAGACTTTCCCATGCATATGTTGATTCACAGTCATACTGTTACCTCTATTGCTTTACCAATTTCTTGAAAAAATGACTCCTGCATCCAATGAAGTATTAGGTTGGTGCAAATGTAATTGCAGTTTTGGCTGTTGAAAGTAATGGCAGGGAAACCCCGTCTCTACTAAAGAAATACAAAAAAATTAGCTGGGTGTGGTGGGGGGTGCCTGTAGTCCCAGCTACTCAGGAGGCTGAGGCAGGAGAATGGCGTGAACCTGGGAGGCAGAGCTTGCAGTGAGCCCAGATTGAGCCACTGCACTCCAGCCTGGGTGACAGAGCGGGACTCCTTCTCCAAAAAAAAAAAAAAAAAAAAAAAAAAGAAAGTAATGGCAGGTGGGGCGTGGTGGCTCACATCCATAATCCCAACACTTTGGGAGGCCAAAGTGGGCAGATCATTTGAGGTCAGGAATTCATGACTAGCCTGGCCAATATGTTGAAAGTCTGTCTCTATTAAAAATGTAAAAAAAAATCATGGTGGCGCACGCCTGTAATCCCAACTACTCTGGAGGCTGAGGCAGGAGAATTGCTTGAACCTGGGAGGTGGAAGTTGCAATGATCCGAGATCGTGCCACTGCACTCCAACCTGGGCAACAGAGTGAGACTCCTTCTCAAAAAAAAAAAAGTAAGTAATGGCAAAGACCACAATTACTTTTACACCAACCTAACATATGTAGAATATTTGGTGGAGAACAAAATACAATTTGATGTGAAGTCACAAGAGCTGACTACAATTGGGAAGCTGATATAAGAGGCGCCCTCCATGTTCAGAACCCAGAGTACCACTTGCTGCTATTTAAGAGTTTCATAATTGGTTTGAAACAGATAGCTAAAGTGATATTACTCTATCATACGTTCTAACTAGACTTAAATTATTTTTAGTTCTCTGTGTGAACATTGATACTTATGCCACGAGATACATGCATTTAGATTTCCATTTCTACACTGAGATCTCAATTAATTGCCCAAGAGCTTGTTACGGAGTTGTGAACCACCCAAATGAAAAAATGGACCCTTCATAATAATTAGCACTTATTCACATGGTTTTATGCCAGGTACTTTTGAAATATTATCTCACTTAATTCTCAAATCAAGCTACTAAGCAAGCAAGCAACCAACCAACCTTCTATGGGCTGGAGGGAGCAGAAAAATTCAAATTAGCCCTGAAAAATATAATTCTAATTCATATATATATTTTTTCCATTGAGAACTGATCAATCAATAAATAATGTAGAATGAACACCACCGGTACCAAGATATCAAGTTAATCTTTGCATGATTATTTAGCTTGAGCTCTCCCATGCCACTGACTGTACCCCTTAATTTGGGTTAGACAGATACCTTTAACACTGTATGGGTGACTGTTCAAGAACAACTTCAGTCCACTTCATGATGCTTCCTCTGTCCATGTATTTTAATTCCTTGAGCGTATTTTCTAGTTTTCTGTTCTTGGTTCCTGCCTTAAACTATGGCTCTTGTCATTTCTTCCATTCAATTTCTTGCATTTTCTAGTAATCTTTGGATATCTTTCAGTGATACTCCCTCAAACCTGCCTGAATTCATCATTATATTGCTACTTGTGGAGGCTGGCCCCTCCTGCATTGTCCCTGTACAATCTTGCATTGTTCTTTGGTGTGATGCTGCATAGTCATTTTACAAATGTGGACCACTTGTCACCAAAGGTTGGGGTACAAATACATGAATGGGAACCCTAAAATTCATCACCATTTCTACAAAAACAATTCCACTGGCCTGTCCTGACAGAAAATCCTTATTTTCTTATCACCTTTATTTTCCAAGGATATCACATTATTAATGTAACTGGTTTGATTGAACTGTCTGTAGTCACTGAGAGACAATGTGCAATTGATTTATTTTTCCAATAACTGCTACCAGCTGTGCTGTTGACTCCTGCCCTTTTCCCACTGGGTAGCAGCCTAATCCCATTATTTTTTCAACATTTTAATCTATTAAAGTCTAGCACAATTAGCATTGCAATCTTCAATTAAAATCTCTCCCACTCTCATTGCATACTAGGCTGAAGGCTTGAGCTACTTAAGTGGAGAAAGGGCCTTATTCTTCCCTCTCTCCCCTCTGCAGCCGCCCTCTCTCTTTCTTTATCCCTCCAGTCATCTAAGGAAGTGCTGGTAGCAGGGTATGTATGAGGGACAACATACCCTAGAGAGATCAAGAGTTGCTGGTGGCAAGTCTGCTCTCTTCTTTTTGCTGGTGTTCTCTGTATGGCAGATCTTAATCAAGTGCTTACTTTGTGCCAGGTCATGTTAGATGCTGGGGATAGGGTAAGAAGACATCAAGGAAGACAAGATTTCTGACCTCAGAGAATTCAAATTCAGTGATATACTTGCTGTCTCTCGTGAGGATGATTTGGGTTACTTTTTTGGAAGATAGTAAATCTTTTTTGGAAGACCTCTCCATATTGGGAGATACAGATGAGTCTGGCCTCCTCCTCTTTCACTCAGCACCCCTTCCCCACTATGGATATTCCAAACTACAGCCTCTTCAGTAGGGGTCACTTTAGTTAGCAAATGCCCCAACAGGCTGAAGCCCCAAATCACCTTTTGTAGTGTCCACTCAACCCATGGGAAATGGTGGGAGTGCTGGCTTCTCTAGAACTACCTCTCTTTTCTATCTTTTCTCAGTTCTTTTCTGCGATCCCTAGCTCATCTGGGTCTCTGCTGATTCAATGGCTCAGCTACTTTTAGACAAGAAGCAATCATAAGTCTCCCATGGAGTAGAGGGCAAGGATGGTTCAAGGATCCCCAATTATGAAGGAGGAGAACAGGGCATATATGATACCTTTTTCCCTCATGGAGAATGGGGTGGGATGGAGAGAAGGGATGGTTAATGCTTTTAAAAATTCTGTTATCCCAAGCTCCCAACAGTCACCACAAGGAGGTGGCTGGCCTCACTATTGGTGACTCTCTAAATAAAATGTGAGGAACTTAGTCTTTATCTTTGGCTGTGGCATGAGTCATAATTTCCTAGACAACTGGAAGGATCTAGGCTGGGAACTTATATTATCATACCATGTGGAGAGAAAGAACAGAATAAAAACAGGGAACTAGATAAAGCTTGTGGATTATCTGTTAATTTTAATTACTCATTCTCACTCTAGAAAATGGAAAAGTGACTTCATTTTCATTTCTTCTTTAAGTCCTTATTAGCCAAATTGTAAAAAGGGTTACCGACTAATGTGTATAACATGTTTATTCTTAAAACCTAATATGCTAGGTTCTATTCTGACAGTATGTTTTGATCTTTTAGTTGTTATTGTTTATACAGGATAACTCACATTGTGAAGGCATGAAGGACACTGTGGAGGAAGATAATGTAGCAATGGTAGCAATGTTATTAAGAGCACGGGCTTTGGTGGAATCAGGAGTCCTTGGTTTGCACCTTATGACTAATATCACTTATTAACTTAGAGATGTTAGACAAGTCATTTAACCTCTGCAAATCTCAGTTTCCTCCTCTGAGAATGGGAATTATGGTGGTGTCCATCTCATAAGGTTGTTGAGAAGATCATAGGGCTATGCAGGTAACCTTAGCACAGTGCCTGACACATGGTAAGTTTTCAATAAATGTTAGTTACATTAAAACTTATTCAATAGGAAACTTTCAAACTTACCTAAAACCTGACCATATAAAACTCTAATAATTGGGGTTATCTTCTTTATTGAGAGTTAACATTGGAATTAATGTATGCATCTCTGAGTTTAGAGTAGGGGTTGGTAAACTGTGACCCATAGGTCAAATCCAGCCCAGTGCTTGTTTTTTTAAGTAACATTTTATTGGAACACAGCCATGTTTATTTATTTACATACAGTCTACAGCTTCTTTTGTACTATTACTGCAGTAGAGTTGAGTAGTTACATGAGAGACTGCATGTTCCCAAAGTCCAAAATGTGAACTATTTGTCCCCTTATAGAAAAAGTTTGCCCAAAGGCAAAAATTGACAAATGGGATCTAATTAAACATAAGAGCTTATGCACAGAGAAAGAAACTATCAACAGAGTAAACAACCTACAGAATGGGAGAAAATATTTGCAAACTGTGCATCTCATAAAGGTCTAATATCCAGCATCTATAAGGAACTTAACTTTACAAGAGAACAAACAACCCCATTAAAAAGTGGGCAAAGGACAAGAACAGACACTTTGCAAAAGAAGACACACATGTGCCCAACAAGCATATGAAAAAAAACCTCAACATCACTGATCATTAGAGAAATGCAAATCAAAACCACAAGGAGATGCCATCTCAAACCAGTCAGAATGCCTATTACTAAAAAGTCAAAAGCCAACAGATGCTGGTGAGGTTGTGGAGAAAGGGAAAGCTTATACACTATTGGTGGAAGTGTAAATTAGTTCATCCATTGTGGAAAGCGGTATGGCGATTCCTCAAAGAACTAAAAACAGAACTACCATTTGACCCAGCAATCCCATTACTGGGTATGTACTCAGAGGAATATAAGTCATCCTATAATAAAGACACATGCATGTGAATGGACATCGTAGCACTATTTACAATAGCAAAGACATGGAATCTACCTAAATGCCCATCATTGACAGATGTGATAAAGAAAATATGGTACCTACACACCGTGGAATACCATGCAGCCATAAAAAAGAATGAGATCATGTCTTTTGTGGGAACATAGATGGAGCTGGAGGCTATTATCCTTAGCAAACTAATACAGGAACAGAAATCCAAATACTGCATGTTCTCACTTATAGTGGGAGCTAAATGATAAGAACTCATGAATACAAATAAGGGAACAACAGACACTGGTGTCTACTTGAGGGTGGAGGGTGGGAGGAGGGAGAGGAGCAGAAAAGATAACTATTGGGTACTGGGCTTAATTCTTGGGTGACAAAATAATCTATACAACAAACCCCCATGACACATCTTTACTTATGTAACAAACCTTCACATGTATGCCCAAACCTAAAATAAAAGATAAAAAAATAAAAAATTTGCCAATCCCCAGTCTAGAACTTTAAATTTAGGAAAGGCAACTACTTATCTTGGCTGACTTGTGCACTAATAGACCTGTGGGTAGGGTGTATGTAGCTCACATGACTTTTTAAGAACCCTTCTCAGATTCATAAATCTATGATGAAAAATTTCGTGTGTTATTAAAATTATGTAATATTCATGTGTTATTAAAGTTATGTAATATTTAAAAATATTACAGAGTTGAGAATAATAAAACACCCATCTTTGCACTCACCAGCCAGAGTTTAATTAGGTTAATATTGTGAGAGATTTAATTCAAACTGTTTTGCATAAAAATGTCTTCAGGATAGAGTTGGAGCCCCTTGCATGCTTTCTGACTTTATTCCTCTCCTCACAAAGGTAACGGCTATTCTGTAATTGATGAGTGTCTTTCTAGTTCCAGTTTTTATGATTTTCACTACATATGTACATATCCATAAGGAATATACATGTAGTATTTCAAGTTTTAAAACTTTACATAAATAGCATTACATATGTGATTCTGCAACTTGTTTTTTGACTCAACATTACGTTGTTGCAATTTAGCAAATATAGAAGATATCTGTTCATATAGAGGATACAGTTCATTTTCACTACTACATAATTCTCTATTATATAAAGTCTACAGTTTTTTTATTCTATTGACGTATATTTAGAATTTTCCCTCTAATATTTGCAATTAAAAATCATGCTGTAATAAACATTGCTGAAAATGTATCCTTGTGTACATTAGCAAAAACGAGATCTATATACATAGCAGTGGAGTTGCTGATTTGTAGAGTATATGTGCACCCTTAAATTTATTTGATGTTGCCAAATTATTTTCCAAAGTTGCTGCATCAATTTACACCAATTTCCAGTAGTGACCGTAGTAAGCTCCCAGTTCTCCACATCCTTGCCAATGTTTGGAGTTGCCAGACTTTAAACTTTTGCCAATTTGATGGATATAAAGTGCTATCTTACTGCTTTAATTTGCATTTTCCTGATACGGAGTATGTTTTCAGATATTTATTAGCCATTTGAATTTCTTCATTCATAAATTCTTCCTTAAGTACTTTGCCAATTTTTTTCCCATTAGGTTGTCTTTCTTGTTTTTAATTCATGGAGTTTTTTTTATTATTTATATGTTCTGGAT
The DNA here is from genome assembly GCF_000001405.40 of Homo sapiens. Taxonomy (NCBI): domain Eukaryota; kingdom Metazoa; phylum Chordata; class Mammalia; order Primates; family Hominidae; genus Homo; species Homo sapiens. The sequence continues at coordinate 78,098,995 of NC_000007.14, forward strand.
AGCATTCTTTATCCCCATTTTCAAATACAAATGATTTCCAAAGTCTTTGGTTACATAAAGTGAATAATAATCAGCATTTCAGTTTAAGAACAATACCTATGCTTTATCTCTCTACTTCACTTGTAAAGTTTCATGAAATGTATTAAGTATCAGTTCCTAACTCAAATATTTTAATTGTAATTTGCAGACAAAGGTTTTATTAGAAGTTAATCCTTAGATGTTTAAGAGGTCTTCTTTAGAAAATGAAAAGCATTTTTCTCAAAGAATTATTCATATAAATCAAAGTTCAAATTTTTAACCATTTGACATTTTCTTTAATGAAATATTTAGGAAACAACTGAGTTATAAATGATTAACTTTTTTCCCTTAAATTATACATTTTACAATAGTGTTCTGTTTAATGCCCAATTGCCTATTCCAGCCTATTCAAAAATGAGTTTTGAGTGTGCATTGAATTAAACAGGGAGCTTTTTAAAACCACTCTGTTCCTTTTCAAATTTAGATATTCCCAACACAGATTTGAAAACAGTAATACATCACTAAAAAGATAAGGCTTTTACCTAATAGAAGAACTGTATAATGCCATGTGTTATTATCATGATCTATATAAAATTGTGTAAAATATGAGGTTCCCCAAACTCTTATTCCATAATTCACCTTGCTGCACCAAGAAACAATACCTTTGTTAGCATAGAAAGCTATGATATACTTCCTTGTGGTATTGTTTTAACTGTTACCATGTTCTCTTGGACATTTCCAATGCATTTCTATTTTCCAATTTGCCTTTTCTCAGTGTAAGATTTATTGCCACTTGGGTACTTGGGAGACAAATGGAAAATTTACATGTATTCATTTCATTCCAGGACACTTTAATGTGCCAATGATAATAGTGTGGTCAATTTAAAAGGAGTGGGAATTCCCACAAAGGAGTGGGAATAGAAACAACTAACAGTTTAAAAAATGAGTCACTGATTCTTACACTCTTCTTACAGTGGATGACAATATTCTCTGTAATTTCCCATAGTATACATCTGAGTTGTTATTTTCACTAGAGGCCTCTAATTCACCTTCATGTGGGAGCTCAGATATGAGACATACCTGTTTACAAAGAAGCCTGCTTGTTCAGTATGTCCCTCTAGGGCGTAACTATGAGCCTATGATATAGTACTTTGCGTCGCTTCCCACTGGTGCTCCTCTCAGAGTGTCCAATATCTACTATTCAGTGTCACCATCCCAACTCCTACTTGACATGTCAGGAGGGCTGCTTTTTCCCCACAAAAGGATTTGAAGCACAATCTGAATCATACAACCCTGCATTCCAGGCTGAGTTATGCTTGTTCCACATCCTCCTTGGGCCACTTCTTTTTTTCTTTTTGAGACAGGAACTCACTCTGTCACCCAGGCTGGAGTGCAGCTGTGTGAACATGCTCACTGCAGCCTTGACCTCCTGGGCTCAAGTGATTCTCCCACCTCAGCCTCCCAAGTAGCTGGGACCACAGGCACATGCCACTGCACCCAGCTAACTTTTTAAATTTTTTGTAGAGATGGGGGCTCACTATGTTGATCAGGCTGGTCTCAAACTCCTGGGCTCAAGTGGTCCTTGTACCTCCGCCTCCCAAAGTGCTGGGACTAAAGGTGTGAGCTACTGCACCCAGCCAAGGGCCACCTCTTTTTAAAACAAAGTTTGGGTATGATGTTAGATGTGTGCTTGCTATATGTCGGTTTCATTATTTTGAGGCATACAGACTGGAAAGGAAGAAGTAAAATTGTCTCTGTTTGCAGATGACATAATCTTTTAAATAGAAAATACTAGAGAATTTACCAGAAAAGCTGTCAGAACTAATATGTGAATTCAGTAAAGTTGCAAGATACACAATTAACATATAAAAATCAGTTGCATTTCTATACATTAACAATGTTATATCTGAGAAGAAATTTTTAAAAATTCCATTTACAATAGCATCAAAAAGATTAAAATACTTAGAAAAAAAAAAGTAACCAAGGAGGTGAATGATCCATATACTGAAAACTATAAAACACTGATGGAAGAAATTGAAAGAGACACAAATAAAGGAAATGATATCCTGTGTTCATGGATTGGAAGAACAAATATTGTTATAATGTCCATACTGCCCAAATGATCAACAGATTTAATGTAATCCATAACAAAATTCCAATGGCATTTTTCACAAAAATAGAAAAAGAAAATCCTGGAATTTGCATAGAACCCTTTGACCTCAAATTGCCAAAGCAATCTTAAGAATGAAGAGCAAGCTGGAGACATAACACTTCCTGATTTCAAATTATATTACAAGGTTATAGTAACTAAAACAATGTTACTGAAATAAAAATAGACTCACAGACCAATGAAACAGAGTAGAGAACCCAGAAATAAACTCATGCATATGGGGTCAACTAATCTTCAACAACATGAGTGATAAGAATACACAATGAGGAAAGGATTGTCTCTTCAATAAGTGGAGTTAGGAAAACTAAATTTTCACATGCAAAAGAATGAAATTGGACCCTTATCATACACCATACACATAAATCAACTCAAAATGGATTAAAGACTTAATTATAAAACCTGAAAATTTAAAACTCCTAGAAGAAAATATAGGGAAGAAGCTCCTTGACATTGGTTTTGGCAATGATATTTTGGATATGACACTAAAAGCACAGGAAACAAAAACAAAAATAAATGGGACTGCATCAAACCAAAGAGCATTTGCACAGCAAAGGGAACCTTTGTACCACTGTTGATGGGAATATAAATCAGTACAGCCATGATGAAAAATGTAGTGGCCCCTCAGAAAATTAGAACTCTTATTGAACTAGCATATGATCCAGTAATCCTATTTCTGGATATATATCGGAAGGAAATGAAATCAGAATCTTGAAGAAATCCGTGTATGCCCATGTTCATTGCACCATATTCACAATAGCCAAGATACGAAAACAACCTAAGTATACATCAACAGGTGAATTTTTTAAAAAAATGGAATATATATATGAATGTAACTCAGACTTCAACCATCAGGAAATCCTGCCATTTGTGACAATGTGAATGAACTTGGAGGACACTATGCTAAGTGAAATAAGCCAGACACAGAAAGACAAATATTGCATGATATCACTTATATGTGGAACCTTAAAAAGTGAAACTTAGAGAAACAGAGTAAAATGATGGTTGTCAGGGGCTGGGGGTTGGGGAAAAGGGGAGATAATGGTGAAAGGGTACAAACTTGCAGTTACAAGATGAATAAGTTCTAGAGATCTAATGTACAGCATGGTAACTATGGTTAATACTGTATTACATACTTGAAATTTGCTAAGAGAGTAGATCTTACATGTTCTCACCACCACAAAAAAATTAATGGTAACTGTTGGATGATGGGTATGTGAATTAGTTTGATTGTGGAAATCATGCCCAAGGCACACTTACGTCAAAATATCATAATGTACCCCTTAAATACATATGATGTTCTATTTGTCAGTCATACTTCAATAAAGCTGGAAAACATTTAAAAAAGAAAATTATCTTAAACTTCCCCCTTTCCCCCACAAAAAGACAGTCCCAGACCCAAGTGACATCCCACAGCACTGTTGGCTTCTGTCTCCGGTAGGACTCACACAATTTTGCAAGATAAGTAACCAAAGCAAAAGTCATCTTAGGCTCACCAAAAGGGCTACATAGATTAGTTACAGAAAACAAGGCAAGGCTAAGCACACTACCTAACAATATTACTTTTTACTTTTCATTAAGCAGTGGAAAGTCTTTTATAAATGAAATTTTACTTGAGAAAGGCAATAGATAATACATAAGAGCAGAACTGCTTTGTCTGAAACAGGGTTGCGGGTGTGAGGTGGTACGCAGCGTTCTGCTGATTTTACTTCCGTCTTATTTTCCTGCTTCCATACCTACCCGGGGGGATTCTCTGGAGTCCTGAGGATTATCTATAATCTTTTCCATATGATAAAAAGGCACTTGGGGGATAGGGCCATGTCTTCTGTCCTGTTCTATGAGACTCCTTCTTCTATCTGGAATTCCTCCTCTCTTTCCTCATATCTACCTGTTGAAGTCCCATTAAAATCCCATTTAAACTTCACCTCTTTTAGGGAATCTCCTCAAGACAAAATTGATCTTTCCCACTGCAGATGATCAGTGCTTCTGTTACAGCTATAGGGATTGCATACCTTAGATATTCTGGGACAATCCCAATTTTTGATATTAGATCCCAATATGCTCTTACATTCATTTACTTCTCAGATCACATTTTAATTTTTGGTTTTGAAAATATGGTTGTGATAATTATAGTTCTCATTTGTAGTCAGCCTTGTTTCTGAGTTATTGATCTATACAGACATGAAGTATATATTTCCAAAGAGTAGGGATTGAGTCATTTTATCATAATTAATGATCCTTCCGACACTTCCCTCTCTTTTTCATCATCATCATACTTGCAACAATTTATTAATGCCCTAGAACACATGAGGTAGTGTTAGGCACTTATATTAATTACCTTGTTTAATTATTACAAAAACTCTGCAAGGTAGGTATGCATTGACCTTTCTTTTGTGATGAGGAAGCTGAGGTTACCCGGCTAGTAAGTGACGAAGTTGGGCTCTGCCCAAACCCAGGCTCTTTCCCGTATACTACTCTGCCTCCCACAGTGCCTCACAGTGTCTGTCTGCATATTCTAGAAATGTTTATTCTGGTATGTAATGAATAAATACATGTTCAATTGCTCAGAATTGAAAGCATGGAAAAAGTACAGTGCACATGAATTTATCGAGGCTATGAATTGAAATATTTCCCTTTCATGCTTGCATGATTCAGAAAAGAACTTTATACTTGTATTTAGTGCCATTTTAACTCACTCTAGTAGTTGAAAAGCAAAGTGAATCCACTCGAATTTTCATTTTACTGGCAATGTGTAGGTAAGAAAACTGGCACTCCAAAACACAACAAATACCTCTCCATGATTTGTGATATCTGAGCTACGGTGGATTACCTGAACACAGCCTGGGATCAGCTCTGCTCTGGTGGGGCCTCTCTTGGGCTTCTACAATACTCCTGGGAGGTGTAATTACTGGGGACCAAAACAAAACAAAGTGGCTGGCCATTACTAATGCCCCTGATATCTAGGGGCCCTGTTCCCTGGCTGTGCTTGTGAGGAATGGAGCAGGGGAGCAGCTCATGAGAACTTCTGAAAAGGACAGGATGGGGAGAGGGGCTGTTCAACAAGATGGAGTCTCGCTCTGTCACCCAGGCTGGACTGCAGTGGCTCGATGTCGGCTCACTGCAAGCTCCGCCTCCTGGGTTCGCGCCATTCTCCTGCCTCAGCCTCCCGAGTAGCTGGGACTACAGGCGCCCGCCACCACGCCCAGTTAATATTTTGTATTTTTAGTAGAGATGGGGTTTCGCTGTGTTAGCCAGGATGGTCTCAATCTCCTGACCTCGTCATCCGCCCGCCTCGGCCTCCCAAAGTGCTGGGATTACAGGCATGAGCCACCGCGCCCAGCCCGGATTTTCTTTAAAAGGCCTTCTACAGCCTAGTCCCATGCCATTTTCCATCCTTGTATGCTACTCTATTCCTCCAATTTATACCAACCATTGCTGTTTCCAGGACACACAATGCCATTTCACACTTTTAAGTCTTTCCTCATCCTGTTCTTCCCAGTGGAAGCTCCTCTCTGTCCATTTCTATCCTTAAAACCCTCCTCATGTTTCAAGAACCAGTTCTGACTACACCATGAAGCCTTCACGGATCCCTGCCTCTCATCTCCCACTCCCACCTCCTTTCAGATGAAGTGCTCCCTCATCAGCACTCCAATAGCACACTGTTTGCTATATCTTTATTATGAAATATATCAAAGTAGAAAAGAGATTATAGAATATATATATACAGCTTAAACAACAATAGTAAATAAATGCCCATGCAATCACTAACCGCCTTAACAAATAGAACAATGTGTCTCCTCCCTCCCACCTCATCTCCCAGAAGTTACTCTTCTGAATTCTGTTTATCATTCCTTTGCTTTTCCTCATAGTTTATAATATATGGCTATATCCCTCAATAATATATTGCTTAGCTTCACATTTTTTAAACTTTATAGACATTGTTTATATTCCCTTGATTTTTTTAGCTCAACATTGTGAAATTTACTGGCGTTAACGTATATTACTATAGTGTATTCATTTTCACTGCTGAATAGTTTCCTGTTATATAAATACTAACTTAAGTAACCATTTTCTTGTTGATGGTCATTAGGGTCATTTCCAGTTTTTTACTGTTGAAAACATTGCTGTTACAGACATTCTTCTAAAGGTCTCCTGATACACATGTGCAAGATTTTCTCAAGTATATCCCTGAGAACAGATTTGATAGGTCCTGGGGTCTGAGCAACTTCAACTTTGCAAAATAATGCAAGGAAATTTTCCAAAGTGTTTGTAGCATATTGTGTATTTCTATGTGCAGGATATGAGTCCTTGTTGCTTTATATCTTTGTCATCATTTGATATAAAATTGATATACATTTCTATTATTATGGTGGAAATGAAAAACATAATAGTATATCATTATGGTTTTAATTTTCTTTCTAGTTAGTAATGAACATCTTTTCATATGTTTGAATCATTCATTTTCCTCTTCTGTGATATGCGTGTTGCCTCTTCGCCACTTTTCTATTGTTATTGTTGTATTTTCCTTTTTTTATTTTTTATTTTTGTTATGGGTACATTATAGGTGCATATATTTATGGGATACATGTGATGTTTTGATACAGGCATACAATGTGTAATAATCACATCAGAGTAATTGGGGTATCAATCACTCCAAGAATTTATCATTTCTTTGTATCAGAAACATTTCAATTCTACTTATATTTTTAAAACTACAATCAATTATTGTTGACTATAGTCACCCTGTTGTGCTATCAAATACTAGATCTTCATCATTCTATCTAACTGTATTTTTGTACCCATTAACCATCCCCACTTTTCCCCCTTCTGCCTGCTTCACTTCCCAGTCTCCGGTAATTATCATTCAAATCTCTGTCTACATGAGTTCAATTGTTTTAATTTTTAGCTCCTACATATAAGTAATAACATGAGAAATTTGTCTTTCTGTACCTGGCTTATTTCATGTAACATAATTTCCTCCAGTTCCATTCATGTTGCAAACAACAGGATTTTATTCCTTTTTCTGTAGCTGAATAGTATTCCATTCTGTATATGTACCACATTTTTTTATTCATCCATTGACGGACACTTAAGGTTGATGCCAAATCTTTGCTATTGTGAATACCACTGTAATAAACAAGGGGGTGCACATATCTCTTAAAATACACTGATTTCCTTTCTTTTGAGTACCTAACAGCAGGATTTCTGGATCATATAGTTCTACTTTTAGGGGGTTTTTTGAGGAACTTCCACACAGTTATTCACAGTGGTTATGCTAATTTACATTCCCACCAACAGTGTACAAGCGTTCCCCTATCTCCCCATCCTTACCAGCATTTGTTACTGCCTATCTTTTGGATAAAAGCCATTTAACTGGGGTGAGATGATATCTCATTGTAGGTTTGATTTGCATTTCTCTGATGATTAATGATGTTGAGCATTTTTTTCATATACCTGTTTGCCATTTGTATATATTTTATTTTTAGAAATGTCTATTCAGATATTTTGCCCATTTTTAATAGGATTATTTTACTTTCCCCTGTTGAGTTGTTTGAGCTCCATATACATTCTGGTTATTAATCCCTTGTCAGGTAGACAGTTTGTAGATATTTTCTCCCATTCTGTGGGTTGTCTCTTCACTCTCTTGATAGTTTTCTTTTTGTGCAGAAACTTTTTAACTGGATGTGATCCCATTTGTCTGTATTTATTTTGGTCTTCTGTGCTTCTGAAGTATTACTCAAGAAATCTTTGCCCAGACCAATGTCTTGTAGAGTTTCCCCAACTACTTTTAGTAGTTTCATAGTTTCAGGCCTTAAATTTAAGTCTTTAGTCAATGTTGATTTGATTTTTGTATATGGCAAAAGATAAGGGTCTAGTTTCATTCTTCTGCATATGGATATCCAGTTTTCCCAGCACCATTTTTGAACAGACTGTCCTTTCCCCAATGTATGTTCTTGGCACCTTTCTTGAAATGAATTCCCTGTGGATATCTGGATTTATTTCTGGGTTATCTATTCTGTTCCTTTGGTCTATGTGTCTAGTTTTATGCCAGTACCATGCTGTTTTGGTTACTATAGCTCTGTAGTATAATTTGAATAATGTGACCCCTGTAGTTTTATTCTTTTTGTTCAGGATGGCTTTTGCCTACTCTAGGTCTTTTGTGATTCAGTATAAATATAGAATTTTTTCCCTATTTTTCTGAAGAATGTCATTGGTATTTTGATAGGGATTGCATTGAATCTGTAGGTTGCTTTGAGTAGTATGGACATTTTAACTATATTAATTCTTCCAATCTATGAACATAAAACATTTCCTGTGTGTGTCCTCTTCAATTTCTTTCATCTATGTTTTATAGTTTTCATTGTAGAGATCTTTCAGTTCTTTGGTTAAGTTTATTTCTAGGCATTTTATTTTATTTGAAGCTTTTGTAAATGAGATTACTTTCTTGGTTTCTTTTTCAGATGGAAACTTTTTAGCAGCCTCAATCTCATTATTTGTTACTGGTCTATTCAGGATTTTGATTTCTTCAAGGTTCAATCTGGGTAGGTTATGGATGTCTAGGAATTTATCCATTTCTTCTTGGTTTTCCAGTTTATTAGTATATAGCTATTCATAGTAATCTCTAATAATCCTTTATATTTCCGTGGTATCAGTAGTCATGTCTCCTTTTTCATCTCTGATTTTATTTATTTGGGTCTTCCCTCTTTCTTAGTATTGATTTTGTTTATCTTTTCAAAAAACCAAGCTTTCATTTTGTTGACCTTTTGTATCCTTTTTTGGTTTCAATTTTATTTATTTCTGCTCTGATCTTTATTATTTCCTTTCTTCTACTAATTTTGGGTTTGATTTTGTCATGCTTTTCTAATTCTTTAAGATGCTTTGTAAGGTTGTTTATTTGAAGTTTTTCTACTTTTTTGATGCAGGCACTTATTGCTATAAACTTTCCTCTTAATATTGTTTTTGCTGTATCTCATAGGTTTTAGAATACTGTGTTTCCATTTTTATTGTTTCAAGAAATTTTTTAATTTTCTTATTAATTTTTGTATTTACCCACTGGTCATTCAGGAGCATATTGTTTAATTTCCATGCATTTGTATTGTTTCCAAAGTCCCTCTTGTTACTGACTTCCAGTTTTATTCTACTGTGGTGTGAGAAGATACTTGATACAATTTCAATTTGTTTGAATTTTTTAAGACTTGTTTTGTGGCCTAACATATGGTCTATTCTTGAAAATGATCCATGTGCTGAAGAGAAGGATGTGTGTTCTGCAGCTGTCAGATGAAGTCTTCTGTAAATATCTGTTAAGTCCATTTGGTCTATAGTACAGATTAAGTTCAGTGTTTCTTTTTTGATTTTCTGTCTGGATGATCTGTCCATTGCTGAAAGCAGGGTGTTGAGATTTCCACCTGCTGTTATATTGGGGTCGGTCTCTCTCTCTCTCATTCTCTCTCTCTCTCTCTGTATGTGTGTGTGTGTGTGTGTGTGTGTGTATACACACATATATGTGAGTGTATACACACACATATGTGAGTGTATATATGTGTGTGTATACACACACATATGTGAGTGTATATACGTGAGTGTGTGTATATATGTGTTTGTGTGTATATACACAATATATACTCAAAAGGATAATAACAGAGAACTTCCCAAACCTAGAGGAAGATATCAATATATCTATATCTATATATATCAATATATGTAACATGATATATTATCAATATATACATCGTGTGTGTCCTGGAAACAGCAATGGTTGGTATAAATTGGAGGAATAGAGTAGCATACAAGGATGGAAAATGGCATGGGACTAGGCTGTAGAAGGCCTTTTAAAGAAAATCCGGGCTGGGCGCGGTGGCTCATGCCTGTAATCCCAGCACTTTGGGAGGCCGAGGCGGGCGGATCACGAGGTCAGGAGATTGAGACCATCCTGGCTAACACAGCGAAACCCCATCTCTACTAAAAATACAAAATATTAGCTGGGCGTGGTGGCGGGCGCCTGTAGTCCCAGCTACTCGGGAGGCTGAGGCAGGAGAATGGCGCGAACCCAGGAGGCGGAGCTTGCAGTGAGCCGACATCGAGCCACTGCAGTCCAGCCTGGGCGACAGAGCAAGACTCCGTCTCAAAAAAAAAAAAAAAAAAAAAAAAAAAAAAAGAAAAAAGAAAAAAAAAAGAAAATCCTGTGGCTCACGCCTGTAATCCCAGCACTTTGGGAGGCCAAGGTGGGTGCATCACGAGGTCAGAAGATCGAGACCATCCTGGCTAAAATGGTGAAACCCTGTCTCTACTAAAAATACACAAAATTAGCTGGGCGTGGTGGCACGTGCCTGTAGTCCCAACTACTTGGGAGGCTGAGGCAGGAGAATCAGTTGAACCCGGGAGGTGGAGGTTGCAGTGAGCTGAGATGGCGACACTGCACTCCAGCCTGGGAGACATAGCAAGACTCCGTCTCAAAACAAAACAAAACAAAAAAACTTGTGAACCTAGTTAGATCTTATCCTGCAAGCAAAGGCAGGCTGTTGAAGACTTTTGAGGAAACAAGTGATTTAATTACACCTGTGATTTAGAAATACAATTTTGGTAGTTGTAGGAAGCATGAATAGGAGAAATTTGAGGCTAGTGGGACCCATCTAGCTACTGGAACAGTTCAGGATAGCAAAGACAAGGGTCTGTATTGTGGCAGTGGCAATGGAATGAAATGAAAGAATGCATAATTTGAGACCTGACTTATATTTCCTAAATGTATGTGCCCATTTCCAGAAAGACACAGACTGAAGCAAGGTGTACTGGCTTATTTCAGGCCAGCCCCTGCTCAGGCCTGAGCACGCCCCCTAGTTAAGTAGTTAATTGTGAGCACTGACTCGGGAGCTTGCCCCCAATTCCCTGTTCTCCAATTCCTAATTCCCTGATAGAAGTACATTTTCCAGTTTTCCTGGCTGTTCCCTTTCTAAAGCAAGGGAGGCAGTATTTGAAAACAACCTCTTTCCAATATTCATTAATTTGTCTTTTTGCTTACTTACATCTGCCCTTAACTTCCCTTTCTGGGCTTTCATTCTTCTCCCAAGGTCTCATACACAAGCACAGTCATGCTACTAGGTTGAGGAGTCTTTTTCTTCCACAAGAGACTAATTCAGCTGATACCATCCTAAAGACCAGGGGTATATGCATCCTTCAGGCAGATAATTACACAAAGACATGGGACACTAAGATGGCATTAAGATGGCATAACAACAACTCGTGACTGGTCTGAGATGAAAAATGAATGCGCTGAACATCCAATAGGCAGTTGGAAATTCAGGCTAGGCATTTATGAGGAATGTCAGTCCCTACCTCTTCCCCGCACCATGCTTGACCAAATAATGAGACATAAGCCTGCCTTGGGAATTGTGCTGTTTTATTACGGGACCCAGCAGGGGTGATCCCCATATGGAGAAGTACTTAATTCTCCCTTTGTATGGGCTCTACTTGTATTTATTAAAAAAGAAATATTTTGTCAAGTTGAACCATGCAGGAGTCAGATCTTTTCAACCTGGAGAAGGAAGCAGCAATGTTCCACAGGCAGGAGCAATGCCATCTCTGAGTTCAACACAGCCAGAGCTAGGAAGCAGCCACAAAGAAAGAAGGGGACAGGGTCTGACAATGGTGACTGCCAATCAGGAGAACACTTCTGGGCACCCCAAAGAAGAAACGTGAATGGCCTGAGATTCACATTTAAGAATACAGTACCCAGCTCTCCATAGCTTCTGAGTCGCTCTGCCATGCAAACCAAATCCTGTGTGAATCATGATCAAGGTGCATTTCATATCCATTTTCTGATGAAAATGGAAAGTAGAAGGTAACTGGGCAAACTGAGTGACTCCCCTGCTCATCTGCCAGAAGCTTTAGGTCTGGGGGAGAGATGGAATGACAAAGAATCTCAAGCAGAGAGCAAATTTGCGTAAACACTGCTTTGTAAAAATGAAGAGGGAAGAAATTGTAATTTATTCTCAGGCAAAGACAGAAAAATTACGGTTAAGCTTAAAAGAGAAAATGATACAACCCTTCTCCTCACTGAAGAGGCAAGTAAAGTGTATTTTTTCAGATCACAGCAGTGGTTTGTAAACTTTCTCGTTCTTTTCCATAGGCACCGGCCCCCACCATGAATAATTAAAATCAAAGACTCTCCTCACACTTCTAATGTATTCAATTCCTTTCTATGTCTTTCCATGCCAAGATGCAATCTCAGCCCTTTGATTCCTTACCAAACCTTTAACTAGCCCTCATGGGAAGATGCTTTTGAAATGGTTCAAAGTTGGGCATCTACTAGAAGAAGAAACAGAGCAAAGAAATGGAGTCCTCCTCATGTGAGGTAATGAGCCCCTGAATAATTGACAATGGAGCTCCCCATGGCTCTCTTCTCTAATCAACACCACGCTCTCCCTCATTGCTGCAAGCAGCTCGTGTAACTCATTTAACACAGTGCTCATAGGTCAGACTCTGAAAAGAAAAAGGTAATGGATTTGATCTCTGTGAGAGGCTTTTCTTTTCCTTCGTAAAAGGCATGGAGCAGGGCCAGACAATAAAGGGAAAAGAACTCATATTTGCAGACAATCTGAAGGATGATTAAGAGTGATGGCTGAGAGACAACCAGGCATCTGGACGAAATGGTCTTTGGGATGGCTTGTAAAGAGGCACGCTGTATGCAGAGAAGAGCTTTCAGGGTTGGCTGAATTTCAGCACCCAGACGTGATAAAACATTGGGTGGACGATCTTTGCAATGCAGGGCCCTCGAAATGATCTACCTGAGCCCATACAATTGCTTTATTTCTCTAGACAGGCTGCTTTATTTCCCTCTTATGTACTTGTTATCTCTCTTCTCTCATGCTTTTGATTTCATCAACTTCCTTAGGTCATTTGTCTGCATTGACCTGGAGGGGCTTAGCTCTGTGGGGTTGGTATATTCTGCTAAGCTCTGGCTTTCACATCATTCAGATTGCACTGCTTTCCTGTGTACCTTTTCTACTAGCCTCCAGCACACCTGTTTTGTAACTTTTATTCTGTCATGTTTTGCATACCCAGTGCTTTTGAAGTTCTTTATTATTTACTGTTTGACCTTATTTTACTTTATTTCCATTCTTTCCTTGTCATCCACGTTTGGTGAGAGATAGTTTACATATAAGGGAAACAAGTCTTGGAATGTCACCTAGTTTAAGATTAAAGGCATTTCTTAATGCTAGGCACAATAGGGTTTTGCATATACAACCTCACTGATTCTGCAAAATCTTAGTTAGGCATATCTGAACAGGGACGATGTATTTACAGTGAGGCACGTTATAAAAAAAGCTGACTGCGAGTTAGACTGAATTGCCACATATATTCATATAGTCAGTTACCTGCGCAATCCCATGTCCTGGTTCATCAGGTATCTTTGTGGCCATGGACTTGAAAAGCACAGCTAGTGAATGTGCAGAGTTGGAAAACACAACTGCAGTGTTCTGTACTTTGACAGCTTCTGTTCACGTATGCATTCAGCAGTCAATATTTACTGAGTGCCCCAGGTACACAGCCCTGGGCCCTGGGGTATAGTGGGCAGCCCAGAGCAACATGATTCCTGCTCTTGCAGAGCTTATGCTCTGGAAAGACAGACTTCATAAAGTGATCAGACACAAATATGTAAAATTATCACTGCGACAAATGCTATGAAGAAGATGTGCCTGTTTCTGGGACAGCCAATGACAGGTGGATGAGACCCAACTGGAAAGCACGGGGAAGTCTTCTCTGAGGAAGTGATGCTTGAAGTGGGATGTGAAGGATGAGGAGGACTTACCCAGGGGAACGGGTGGGGGAAGAGCCTTTTGGGAAGAGGGAGCAACATGTGCAAAAGCCCCATGGGCAGGAAGAAGCATGGGGAGAGAGACTGGTTGGTGGGATAACAGAGCAAGGGATGGAGGAGCTGTGTGAGATGAGCTGGGAGGGGGACTGGGGATAGAACACGCAGGGAGGGGGACTGGGGATAGAACACGCAGGGCCTGGCAGCCTTGTGATGAGGGTCTGATCTTTAATCTGAAAGACCATGGGGTGCCATGGAAGGGTTTTAAACAGTAAGCAGATAGATCAGATGAGTGTTTTGAAAAGGAACCATCTTATCTAGCAGGCTGAGGGGAGGAAAATACAAGTTGATTTGTATTTGAAAGCTTTTGTAGCCTCTTGACATACATACTTACTTAAAAGATGCTCTCCGTACCTCTGTGCTGAGTAGTGAGTACAGTCGTGCACCACATAATGATGTTTTGATCAACAGTGGACTGCATATGTGATGGTAGTCCCATAATATTTTAATATGATATTTTTACTCTACCCTTTCTATGTTTAGATATGTTAAGATATACAAATACTACTGTGTTAAAATTGCCTACAGTATTCAGTACAATAACATGCTGTCCAGGTTTGTAGCCTAGGAGCTATAGGTTGGTGGGTAGGAGCTGTAACCTGGTGTGTAGGAGGCTATAGTATCTAGGTTTTTGTAAGTGTACTTCTTTGATAGTTGCATGACAAAATCACTTAATAATGCATTTCTCAGAATGTATCCCTGTCATCAAGAGATGCATGCCTGTATTTTAATAAATAACAGTACAGGCCTTGGGGAGAACAAGAGAGTAGAAGAATAGAAGAAATTTCAGAAATATTGAACTAGGCACTTTACCCTTCCTGGAAATATTATTCCCATTGATTAGATCAGTAAAATTGACTCTCTGTGAAATTACTTTCAGGATATGAGGACAAGCTATCATTCCACTAATTGCTAGAGTTGACTCAACTGATCCTGCTGCTCAGGAGGACCTGGTATTTGATCAAAGCTATAGAGCAGCTGTGAGCCCCTGACAGGGTAACTTGTTCAGGTCAGAGCTAGACAGCCAGTGAGTTGTTGAGCCAGTATTTGAATATGTCTGTCAGGCTCCTGCTCTTTTTACTAGCTCGTTATTTCCTTACAAGGGAGGAAAACAAATGGACAAGAAAGTCACTATGACAGGTAAGAATTTTCCTCTAAGCAAGTCTTCAGGGCAAGGAAGAAATAGAGTGAGCTTAAGAGAGCTGATCAGTGAAAGTATCTTAGGTGATTGAAATAAATGAAGTAGATGTAAATCATGCACCAATGACTGGAGTCCTCAAACAGATAAACTCACCAATGGGTATATAACACTGTTTTACCCAACTTTTTCCCACTGGGAAATTCTGTGCCCACGTGACAGTCTTTGTTAAGGGAATCAGCCTCAATGCTTTGTTTCTCTGAACTCAGGGGCATATTATTTCCAGACTGTATGCCATGCCATTCAATCCCAGTGGCAGGATATGAGCAAGCTATGAAGAAGCTCCTCCCCAGTCCAGGCAAAGCCTCCAGCCAGGCAGGCCTGCACATTTATGGCCCAGACAAGCCACCTGGGTCCTGAGGAAGATAAAATGGGATTCTGCAGTGCTGAGGTGACAGTGTGTGGCAGGGTGGAGGGGACCATGCTTCTCTGTGCCCGGGACCCAGGAGTGCATGAGGGAGCCCTAGGGATCACAGTACCAGCCCCTTGACTGTGGAGTGTGTTCTCAGGCAGGACTGTGTGGCAGTGGCAAGAACTCATTAGTGACTTTGTGGACATGGGACTCACACAAGTGGGGACTGGAGCTGGAGAGGAAGATAAGGACGTATGCTACAGAATGAATGCGGCGGGCACACGGGAGGCACCCTCTGGGGTTCCTCTGTGGACACACTGTGAGAGGGGGCAACTGCCAGCTCTAAAGCTGGAAGTGGTTGCAGCTACTGTAACTTGGTCGTTAAAGGTAAATGTTACTAACTGCTGTTTATGGCAATATGGTGGATTAGATTCCCTAACCTTACCATTGCTGAATAGGGAAGAAAGTAAAGAATCATCTGATGCCAAAAGCAAAGTGAGAATAAGACTCCTGGAAGGTAAACAAGTACAAAAGGCAGCTTGTAGCCAGAAAATAACTGCTGATTCCTGGGAACCTTGAGTTTCCATTTTGATGACTAGGCAATAATGATAGAAAATCAGCTTAGGGGCTACAAATGGAAAGTCTAATAGGAGATCCTTGCATGAACCGGAACCCCAAAGAACAATTCAAAAGAGAGTTGAAAAAATAAAAAGGGTAAGATAGAATAAGTGAAACTAATAGGAAAAGAACAAAAATGATAGAATTAAATACAAGTATAAGTAAATAAAATTAATGTAAATTGACTGAAATGACCATGGTGAAATATATTGTTAAAATATAAAAAATCCAGGTTAATAGGCCAGAGAAACACATACAGTATAAAGACACAGAACGGTTAAAAGCAAAAGGATAAAAGAGACATACCAAAGAAAACTAGCATGCTTATAATAATATCAGACCAACTTTAAAGCAAAAAGCATTGACAGAGATACAGTAGGTCACTACATAATGAGAAGGATTGATTCACCTGGAAAATAAAAGAAATAACCTGAGTACCAAAAAACATGTCCTCAAAGCATACAAAGTAAAAGTTGATAGCTCTTCAGGCTGGGTGTGTTGGCTGATGCCTGTAATCCCAGCACTTTGGGAGGCTGAGGCAGGAGGATTGCTTGAGCTTAGGAGTTTAAGACCAGCCTGGGCAACATTGTGAGGCCCCATTTCCATCAAAAAAAGTCAACTGCTTTTCAAAGAAAAATTTGCAAAACCATTAGCAAAGATTTTTAAGAACCTACCCCAGTATTTAATAGATCAAATAGATAAAAATTAGTAAGACTATAAAATAGCTGAATAGTTCAATAACCAAACCTTATCCAATGAACAAATCTATACAACACAGCACTCAACAATTGCAGAATGCACATTCTTTCCAAGCACACATGGATCATATATAAAAAATGCAACATGTTAGGCCAAGTTTGTAGCAAGTTGCAACAAAATTGAAAGACTGAAATCTTGTGGAGTATTTTCTCTGAAGACAAATTAAGAGTAGAAAACTAACTAGAAAATCCCCATACAGTCAGAAATAAAAAAACAAAAACACCTTCTAAATAATTCATGAGTCAAAGAAGAAATCACAGTGGAAATTAGAATGTATTTGGAACTTAATGAACATACTACATATTAAATCTACAGCCTTAAATTTGTATTTTAATAGAAATGAAGAAAGCCTAAGAACTACTACTCTAAGCATCCAACTTAGGAAAAAAAAAAAAGAAGAACAACAGAGTAAACCCAGAAAGAATGGATGGAATGAAATATTAAGTATAAAAACAGAAATGAATAAGCAAGAAGACAAATATGTAAGCTGACTCTCTGAAAAGAATAAAAGAAAATTGAACAATCTTTGGCATGATTAATAAAGAAAAATGGAATACCAGAACAGTAGTCAAATGAAACAGACACAAATACAAATACCCCAAACATTAAAAATAGCAGGCAGGTGAGGTGTGATGTCTCCCATCTGTAATCCTAGCACTTTGGGAGGCTGAAGCAGTAGTATTGCTTGAGCCCAGAAGTTTGAGACCAGCCTAGGCAACGTGGTGAGAGCCATCTCTACATGAAAGAAACAAATCAGCCAGGTGTGGTGGTGCACACCTGTGGTCCTTGCTACTTGGGAGGCTGAGGTGGGAGGATTACTTGAGCTCAGGAGGTTGATGCTGCAGTGAGCCATGTTTGTACCACTGCACTCCAGCCTGAGTGACAAAGAAAGATCCTGTCTCAAAAATGAAATAAGATAAAAATAAAAATGATATAAAAAGTTTGAAAACTAAGATGAAATAGGTAAATTATTAGGAAGAAAAGCAGTTTATCAGAATAGACTTAAAAAGCAATAGAAAATCTGAAGATAATTATTTAGAAACATAATTAGTGAACTAAAACTTTCACATGAAGAAAACATACTAGATCTGGATGAGTTTGCAGGTGTCTTCCACCAAACATTCAAGGATAATTCAAAACATACATAAACTTTCCCAGACAACAACTGTAAACAACAGCAACAAAAAGGATTATTCTATTTCTCATTTTATAAGGTTAGGGTAACATTAATATCAAAATCTTTCCAAGATACTACAAGAAAATTATAGGCCAATCTTACTCAATAACATAGATATAAAAATCTTAAAGGAAATAACAGAAAATTGAATTGATCAATGCATAAAAATGATACATCATGAATAAATAGGGCTCATCCCAGGAACTCAAGAGTAATTGAACCATAAAAATCCTTTAATATGATTAATCATATTAATTACCATATAAAAGAAAAAGATCAGATGGTATTGTCTATGGATGCAGAAAAAGTAGACAAAATTCAACATCTACTCATAATAAACTCTCCTAGCAAACTAGTAATAGAAGAAAACATCTTTAATCTGTTGAAGGTTATCTATAAAAACCTATTAAACATCATGTTTAATGAAATTTTAAAAAGCATTCTCTTTAAGATTAGAAATAAACAAAAGTGCCTGCTTTGACCACTTCTATTCAGCATCATACAGTAAGCCAAGCCAATGAAATTTAAAAAAAAGAAATAAAAGGACTTAAAGGGAAAAAAACCTCAAAACTCTAATTAGAGAAAATGTGATTTTTATGCAGAAAATCCAGAGGTAGGTACAGATAAATTATTTGAAGTAATAAGAGAGTTCAGTGAATTTTGCCTGATATAATTGATCAATATACAAAATTCAGTTGCCTTTCTCTTCACTGGTTAACAGTTAATTTTAAAATGACATTAAAAATACTATAGCCAGGAGAAGAATAAAGTTGGAAGACTGACACTACTTACCTTCAAGACTTACTATAAAGCCACAGTAATCAGGACAGTGTGGTATTGGTGAAAGAATAGACGAATAGATCAATGGAACAGAATAGACAGAAATAGACCTGCATAAATATAGTCAACTAATCTTTGACAAAGGAGCAAAGGCAATGCAATGAAGAAAAAATAGTTATCTCAACAAATGGTACTGGAACAACTGGACATCCACATGCAAAAAAAATGAGTCGAGACACAGACCAAAACACCTTTCACAAAAATTAACTCAAAATGGATCCCGATCTAAATGTAAAATGCAAAACTATGAAACTCCTATAAGATAACATAGCAGAAAATCTATAAGACCTTGGATTTGGCAATGACTTTTTAGATATGACACAAAAGGCATAATCTATGAAAGAAATAATTAGGAAGCTGGATTTCATTAAAATTAAAAATTTCTGCTCTGCAAAAGACACTGTCAAGAGAATAAAAGGACAAGCCACAGACTGGGAGAAAATATTTATGAAAGATGTATCTGATAAAGGACTGTTATCCAAAATGTACAAAGAACTCTTAAAACTCAACAATAAAAAGAAAAATAACCTGATAAAAAGTGGGCCAAACACCTTAACAGATACCTCACCAAAGAAGATATACATATGGCAGATTAGCATATGAAAAGATGCTCCACATCATATGCCATCGAGGAAATGTAAATTAAAACAACAATGAGATACCACTGCATGCCTATCAGAATGGCCCAAATCCATAACAATGACGGAACCAAATGCTGATGAGGATATGGAGAAACAGAAACTCTCAATCGTCACTGGTGGGAATGTAAAATGGTATAGCCAATTTGGAAGACTGCTGGTTGTTTCTTACAAAACTCAACATACTTGTATCATATGATCCAGCAATTGCATTCCTTGGTTTTTACTCAAAGAACTTGGAAACTTATGTCCACACAAAAATCTGCACACAAATATTGATAGCAGCTCTATTCATAATTGCCAAAATCAGTAGTGCATCCAGACAATGGAATATTATTCAGCACTAAAAGAAATGAACTGTTAAGCCATTAAAAGACATGGAGGAAAGTTAAATGCATACTACTAAGTGAAAGAAGTCCATCTGAAAAGGCTACTACATACTGTATGATTCCAACTATATGACATGGTGGAAAAGGCAAAACTCTGCAGTCAGTAAAAAGATCAGTGGTTGCCAGGGGTTAGTGGGGAGGGAGGAATGAATAGTGGAACACGGAGAATTTTTAGAGCAGTAAAAATACTCTTTATGATACTATAATGTGGATACATGCCATTATACATTTGTCCAAACCCATAGAATGTACGACACCGGCCGGGGGCAGTGGCTCACGCCTGTAAATCCCAGCACTTTGGGAGACTGAGGCAGGCAGATCATGAGGTCAGGGGATAGAGACCATCCTGGCTAACACGGTGAAACCCCGTCTCTACTAAAAGTACAAAAAAATTAGCCGGGCATGGTGGTTAGTGCCTGCAGTCCCAGCCACTTGGGAGGCTGAGGCAGGAGAATTGCTTGAACCTGGGAGGCGGAGGTTGCAGTGAGCCAAGATTGTGCCCCTGCACTCCTGCCTGGGTGACAGAGTGAGACTCCTCAAAAAAAAAAAAAAAAAAAAAAAAAAGAATGTACAACACCAAGACTGAACCATACTGTAAACTATGGACTCTGGGTGATAATGATGTATCAATACTTATTTGTCCATTGTAACAAATATACCAGTCTGGTGGGAAATGTTGATAGAGAGGAGGCTGTGCATGTGTGGGGCAGGGAGTATAAGGAAAATCTCTGCACCTTCTTCTCAATTTTGCTGTGACCCTAAAACCGCTCTTAAAAAAATGAAGAAAAGAAGACTGGGTTAAAAATAGTAAAAGCATATATTCACTCAACACATGTATTTGTGTAAAGATTTAAAAATACTGTATTCAAGAGTAAAAATAAAACACAAAAAGTACCTGAGAATCAGTCTAAGATATTTGCAGGTATGTTATGGAAAAAGCTATAAAACTTTAAGCACTTTATGGAAAATCTACATAAATGGATTACATCATGTTCATGGAAAGACTCGATATTATAAAGATGTAAATTTTTCCATATTTATACATGGATTTCAAGCAATTCCAATAAAATTCTAACAGGATTTTTTAGAAACTTGACAAGTGGCCGGGCACAGTGGCTCATGCCTGTAATCCCAGCACTTTGGAAGGCCGAGGTGGGCGGATCACGAGGTCAGGAGATTGAGACCATCCTGGCTAACACGGTGAAACCCCGTCTCTACTAAAAATACAAAAAAATTAGCCGGGCGTGGTGGCAGGTGCCTGTAGTCCCAGCTACTCAGGAGGCTGAGGCAGGAAAATGGTGTGAACCCAGGAGGCGGAGCTTGCAGTGAGCCGAGATTGTGCCACTGCACTCCAGCCCAGGCGACAGAGCAAGGCCCTGTCTCAAAACAAAAACAAAAACACTTGACAAGAAAATTCTAAAATTATATGGAAGGGCAAAAGCCCAAGAACATCCCAACACCACTGAAGAATTAAGATGTGTGTCTGGGGGAGAGAAAGTTTCCCCATACAAAACTCAACACTCATTAAAAGGTAGCTAAGTATGGCATTGATGCAGGGATAGACAAATAGACTAGTAGAACAGTATAAAGAATCCATATACAGACCACTGCATTTATAGAAATTTAATTTATTATAGAGCTGTCATTGCAGATTGGTGGGGGGTGGGACAAAGAAATACTCATTAAATAATGATGCTGTGGACCGGGCGCGGTGGCTCACGCCTGGAATCCCAGCACTTTGGGAGGCCGAGGCGGGCGGATCACGAGGTCAGGAGATCGAGACCATCCCGGCTAAAACGGTGAAACCCCGTCTCTACTAAAAATACAAAAAATTAGCCGGGCGTAGTGGCGGGCGCCTGTAGTCCCAGCTACTTGGGAGGCTGAGGCAGGAGAATGGCGTGAACCCGGGAGGCGGAGCTTGCAGTGAGCCGAGATCCCGCCACTGCACTCCAGCCTGGGCGACAGAGCGAGACTCCGTCTCAAAAAAAAAAAAAAAAAAAAATAATGATGCTGTGACATGTGGTTATCCATATGGAAAAATTGAGATTGAGGTTCTACCTTATATCATACAGAGAAATCAACTGTAGGTGATTAAATACTTAGATATAAAAAGTAAAACTATACAACTTTTAGAAGAAGATATAAGAGAAGACGTTTAAGACCATGTCTTGGAGAATGATTTCTCAAACAAGACACAGAAAGCAGAAACTATAAAAAAAAAAAAAAGGGTTAAGCCAATTACGCTAAAATTAAGACTTTCTCATTATCAAAGAGCATCATAAAGAAAGTGAAACTGCAAGCCATAAGCTGGCATAAGATATCTGTATCACATTAATTGATGAAAAAGATCACCAATAATATATAAGCATTTCTATAATCAACATGAAGAAATATTCAACAGAAAATGAGGAAAGACATGTACAGGCATTTTTTAGTTAAGAGAGAACATGAACGTCTAATAAATATAAGAAAAAATGATGAATATGAATTTGTAATCAAGAAATGCAAATCCAAATCTAAAATATATAATTTTCTACCTACCAGAATGAGAGTTTAAAAGTCTGACGTACAAATCTTGTGAGTGTGTGTAGTAAGAAAAACTTTTTTACATATGCTAATACAAGTATAACTTTGTAAAACCACCTTGGACAATACTTTTGTGTTACTTAGGTAAGTTAAATTTGTGCCCTCCAAGGCATCTAGTCTAGTCTAGAGAAAGTCTTGCATAGGTACAGCAGGAAAGATGTACAAAGATTGTATGAGTTACAACAAACTTGGAAACAACCAAAGTGTAAATTGACAGGGAAAATCTCAAATGTCCATAAAATGGAAAAATAGATAATTATTATAGGTTGTAGCATATTCACATAATGAAATAACTTATAGCAGTGAAAAATAAATGGACTATAGCTTCATGCACCAACCTTGGATGAATCTCATGAACATAACATATAGAAAGCAAACCACAGAGAAGAACATGTACAGTATGGTTCAGTTACATAAAGTTCACAAAGTGCACCAAGCTAAAGGTTATAGTTGAGAGATACACACATCTGTGGTAACAACAGAAGAAATGTCAAGTGCTTTATTTAGGAAGGTGGTTCCCTCTGAGGGCTGGAGAGTAGGAGGAGAATGAAATCATGGGAGCTTGGTAATGTTCTGTTTTTTAAGTGGGGCTATGGGTTCATGGGTCCTTGAATCATGGTTAGTATTTACACTTATTACATATGTTAGAAATATTCTTGTAAATCGTTTTATGTTTAATAAAAACAATATATAAACCAAGATGCTTTTGTATTGACTAGTTATATCTGGTCTATAGAAGGAAAGGTGACAAATTTAGAAGAAGCTAATTTCAGGGAATGTTGCTTTTCCTTTAAAAAAAAGATGGGCAAATGATATTTTTTTGTGCATTGATTGGTTGAACAAAATGTTTTAGTCATTCCAAAGCCCATTGCAGGCAGACTTTTGCATCATGTGAGTTTCAGAAAGTAGGTAAACCATCTTATAAATAAGCTTATGTGATGCTAAATAGGCATACACAAATGGTACCCAGCTGCAAGTGATGAAGTTATGAAATAATGTTCTTTTTCATCATAAAAATACATTTTATGGAAATGCGAACTATATTACACTTTTATGGAAACAGGAAAATATTTTACCATTTTAAGAGCAAACGATCTCCTTTCAGATTTCTCTTTTAACTTGACTCTCAGATTTTTATTTAAGCACTTAGAATTTCTATTCTTTCCCTCCAAATGTCTCCTGATTTCTTACATTCCCTGTTTTACTGAGCTTTGCCAATATTATTTTTTATGTTCATTATTTTTTGCCTGTGTTTTCTATTTAGTTTTGGCTTTTAATTAGGTTATATTCCTAGGAGCTTTGTATCAGAGATTTTATTCACTAGCTATGAAAATTTCATCCCTCCCAATTTTATTAGGCCATTTTACAAACGTAAGTCTTCTTTTTATAAACAGCTCCAGTAATATTTTCTAATAATTTATTATCCTTTTCCTTAAAATCTGAATGTCCATTGTGTTTCTCTTATGACACCAGCCTTCTTGACTGACTGAAGAAAAGCAAGCAGACGTGACAATGATATATCTCTTTTTATTATTCCCCTTATTTTCTGCATTCACAGATTGTGTTTTGTTTTATCTATTCAACTTTTAATACATCAGTATTAACTGATGTTGAAAAACCATCTAGTATAATAATTAAAGTCAAAACTTGCTACTCTCCACTGGTTTTTTGATAAAGTGAATATAGTAGCTCCCTCTCATACCTCTTGCATATATTCCAACATCTCCAGCGGATGCCTGAAATCACAGGCAGAACTAACCCTATATACACTGTTTTCCCTATATATATCTATGATAAAGTTTAATTTACAAATTAGACACAGCAAGGGATCAAAAACAATAAAAAAAGAACAATTATAACAAAATGCCAGCATCACTACTCTTGCACTTTGGGGCCATTACTAAGTAAAACAACGGTTACTTGAACACGGGCAGTGCGATACCATGATAGTCAATCTGATAATCGAGAGGGCTGCTGAGTAACCAGTGGGCAGGTAGCATCTACAGTGTGGATAAAGGGCTGTTTCACCTTCTGGGAAGGACAAAATTTCAGCACGATACTCACAACGCTGCACAATTTAAAATTTATAATTGTTTATTTCTGAAAAATTTTATGTAATATTTTTGGATTGCAGTTGACACAGGTATCTATAATAAAACCTCGGAAGGTAAAACCTCAGAGTTTCACCTGAAGAGCTTCCTAAAACATAGCCTGGTGACCCCACTCCTAGAGTTTCTGATTCAGCAGTTTTGGGTGGGGCTAGAGAATCTACATTTCTACCAAGTTTCCAGGTGATGCTGATGCCAGGAACCGTGCTGAGAACCATTGCTCTGGCTTAAATTCTGTAAGAAAGAGGAATCTTTTCCTGCAAGGGTATTTCTCTATTTAGGCTTCTTTGCCTTGGGAGTACTGTGTATATCCAGCAGCGAGTCATTTAGATCCCTTGTGAAAATACATGGCCACTGTTTGTAACCGACAGAGACCAGCCCTGTAGTCCACCGTGGGTCTCTATCTCTCACAGGGCTCTGGCCATTTTGCACATGGTCTTCCTACTGTGTTTCACCTGCACTGGAAAGATTAATTTTGTTTTACTTAACTGCTTGTGAGCTGGCCTTATAGCAGGTTAAGAAAGTGTCCTTCTGGCTTATAGGGAAGCTGTAGAGCCAGGAAACCATGTGGAGGCCCATCTTCAAATCAGGGCTAGACGGGGTAAGAGGAGGCTGGTGCTAGATCACGGGGAGGGCTGCCAGTCTCTGGTGTCAGCCCTGCCTGGGTTTAAATTCCAACTTGGATGCTTCCCAGCTGTCAAAGGATTGTGGTAGTGGGGAGAAACAAAGACATGATGTGCATGCCTTCTGCTTTTGGACTGTGGATAATCCTCTGACTTGGAAATGCGTATCATAGAAATGCAGACTTGGTGGTAGAAATAACAGATTCAGCCATCAGGGAAAATTGGTTGGTGAGGCTCTGCACAAGAACCTGAGGTTCCGGAACCCCAAAGCCACAGCTTTTCTTTATTAACTTAAAGAGGCAGGAGGGAGGGCAAGAATAAATTCTAGATTTTATTCATACACCGACACACACACACACACAAACACACAGAGAGAGTAAAGAGACTAATATTTTATATTGTTAACAAGCTTTGTTTTATACCCTTAAATGAAGAATCAGTTACCCATCAATCAGATGCCTCAAAGTAATTATTAAATGAAAAAATCTACTCTTAACTTTAATTGGAAAATTTCTAGCTGCTGTCTTTTTTTTTTTTTTTTCTTGAGACAGATTCTCACTCTGTTGCCCAGGCTGGAGTGCAGTGGCACGATCTTGGCTCACTGCAACCTCCGCCTCCCTGGGCTCAAGCGATTCTCCTGCCTCAGCCTCCTGAGTAGCTAGGACTACAGGCGCCCGCCACCACGCCTGGCTAATTTTTTTGTATTTTTAGTAGAGATGGGGTTTCACAGTGTTAGCCAGGTTGTTCTCCATCTCTTGACCTTGTGATCCTCCCGCCTCAGCCTCCCAAAGTGCTAGGATTACCGGTGTGAGCCACCACGCCCGGCCCCTGCTGTCATTTTTAAGAACAACCTGTATCCAAGAAGCCAAATCCCTTTTACTCCTAATGCTTCTGTCTGCCCAGTATCAAACCAAAAGACCAGTCAACACAAAGGAAAAATTTCCTAAAAGTCCCGCAAAACCATGTGATTAATCAATATGGGGGAAAAAGCACAAAACTAAAAATAAATTTCAAAAGATTCAACCTTAATCAAAACAGAATCATCAAACCATAGAAAGAATTATGGAGAAATAATGTTTCCTTTTCAAGCTATTTCTTAGATTTCTTTCATTTGCTCTTTAGAAAAATAGTACTTTACTGAGGTTAATCAATTAGAAGGTCATAAGCAGAAAAATGAGAATGAGAGATATTATAAAATAGCAAGTGGCCAGACTTTTAAGAAACTGGGTCATCATCAACTAGAAAGAGGGCAAACCTACAGCAACCCCGCTTGACAGCATGCTTCAGTACTCTTCCAATACCACAGTCGGTTTTTCTTTCAGAATTAAGCAATTCTATAAAAAGAGACTGTTCTTACCCTCATCCTCCCATTCCTTATTGCTGGTCCATCTTCTGCCAGTCTCAACACATACAAATCCATTTTGTATTCCCTTCCTCCACGAATGCTGAATCCAAATCCTTTGGCTCCTTTCTCCATGTCCACAGTGAAATAATCAAAATCCTTTGGGGTTGGGGAGAAAATGGAATAAATAATTATTTAGTTATCAGAGAAGCTTCTGTGGCTAGTCTCTGTGTTCTCCTTCTGTCTCTTAGTTAATGTATTCCAAATGACATGATGTTGGGAGAAGTCGTAATCTGGCTTCATAAACTACCCAAATGAAAGACAAAATTCCAAAGGTTTGAGCAGGCCAGAGCACAGTTTACTTGGTCATCAAAGAATTACTGTGTAGCTTGTTTACTTTGGTATTCATCAGTTTACTTGGCAAACGTGGAATGATTACAGATAGGCCTGAGTGACATCATCTCTCCTTTTACTTCTCTCATTCACTGCTATTGAGCACCATAAATAAATGTCAGGTGTGTGTGTGTGTGTGTGTGTGTGTGTGTACAAATTACAGAGTTTGCTGATTAGAAAAGTAAAATTTAGTGGGATCTGATAATTAGATCTCTCAGTTGCACAGACTATTGAATATCAAGTTGGAATGTACAAAATCAATTTCTCTTTTACCTAAAATGCAGTATGTCCAAGATTCTCTGATCTTCACTATTCTTAAAATCTTTGGGCATAAAGTTGATCTTCAATTCATAATAAAACACAATGTAATCTGATAGAGTTGAGATTGTACTTAATTTATATCTTGGTATGTAGTTACGAAGTAGGAAATATTTTCTAGATACCAAACTCTGGTCTAGACTCTTTTCATAAATGTTGAATCCTCATCCTGGCCTGTAAGGAAGACTCTCCCTTTAGGAAACTGAATCTCAGAGAAGTTAAGGAAGTTGACATGAAGCACATCAACAAATAATCATAACAACAGTGACACTGGTTGTGTAGACAGAGAGTTGTTGGCTGTGGCAGGCGCTACACTCTGGATTGTGAAGCCAAGCCTGGTCTTATTCTTACGCACAGGGGCTTGGCCCTTTATCACAGAGTGGCAGGTAGGGGGCCACGTAAAAAAATATGGACCTAAAATACCTCCACTGCTAGCATCTATAAAATTTTCTGCATTAGCAGCACTCTCAGAGGTCCCAGGTTAGAGCATTTTTAAAACTTTGACAAGGAAACGTACAAGGAGTTAGCTAGTATTAGCAGGGATTAGTTTATTCCATTACTACTCATCCGCTATTTATTTATGTATTTATCCATATTTATTTATTGTCCTGCTTTATTCTGAAATAGATTTATTTATCCAGCATGTTTCTGAGGATGCAGGTGTTACCCCGATGTTACCAGAACTAGGAATAGAACTTCAGCTCTCCATCCCAGACAGGTACTCTTTCCTCTGCCTCTCCTATTTCATTCCTTGCAGTTCTCTGGAAGCCTTGGTCAGGACCCACCCTGCTCTCCGGGAGGAGGTACCTGGGGTTGTCTGTAGTCCGACAGAGGGTACTGCCTGGTGTCGGGGGAGTGCTGCCTGTAGTCCAGTAGGGGAGGCTGCCTGTAGTCCAAGGGTGGGGGCTGCTGGTAGTCCCCTCCTGGGGGTTGCCTGTAATCCAGCGGGGGCTGCCTGTAGTCTGTGAATGGAGGCTGTCGGATGTCTGGTTTCACATCTTGCCTTGCTTTCACTTCCGACCTGTAACTAAATCAATGGAAATGGGATTTGCTTTTGTAACTCTGCATTCTAAAGAGGCTAGAGTGATCACACGGCCTCCAGAGGTGGGCCAGCCATGACAGCTCACACAAACCACTCCTCTCGGTGGTCCTGTTGGATGCTCAGGATTATGAGAAGGTTAAATATTATTTAAAAATCTCTGACAAATGCCATATTGTATGCTTTTTATTTGGCTCCTTACGAAGTCAAGGTAAAAATGATGGTTCAACCAGAACCTTGTGAAAAAGCACTCATGGATGTTCCTCTTTGACTTTGGCTATTTAAAAACTGTACAGCCACAGCAAATCAAGGGATTGAAGCACTGAACTATACAAACCAAGACATCAGCCTATCTTAAGACTGGTAAACCAACCTTCCTCTCTCACTCTTACTTTTTTCTCTCACACACACCCCTTGGCAGATCATTCATTACTTCATAAAAACATGATTGAAGTGATCTCTAAATACATTACAAATACACAATCAAAGGCTATTTTAACCTGCTGAGTTGGGTCTTTTTGAATATTTTACAGAGGTTAAAGGAGTGATGGTAAAATATAATCACCAACTACAAACCAAGTGGCAAGTCATTGGACCATTGGTAAAATTGGAAACATATTACACAGAGGTAATACTAGATCATAGCTATCAAGATTAGCATCAAATACTACTGTGGTCATAAGATGGAAGAGAAGGCAAAAATGTTTATGTCCAACATTTATCTCTTGCTTGCTTCTAGATATTAGTTACTAATGAAATAAACACAGAGATGAGAGCTAGGAGTGTAGCATTGTTTTGTGAATCCAAACTGCTTTAAGCTGAGGGGGTTACTAGTTTCAAAAGAAATAGCCAATCCCTACCATTATGGGATCATTAATAAGGTGAACTGAAAAATTGTCACCATGGTATGGAGGCCATTTAATTCTGTTGTTCATTGCCTATTGCCATGGTAACAGTCTATAATGGGCTACCCAGGGATGTAGGTAGATTGAAAAAATACATTCTACATAGTAACAATTTTATCTAAAATTAATTGGAGGGTATGAGGAATTGAGAAAATATTTAGCAGCAAGAAAAAGCTCAAATGTGTCAGGAAAACTAGTGCAAACCAGTAGAATTCTTACCTTTAAAAGAGTCTGGATTTTTTTTTTTTTTTAAACTGGCTTACGGTCTTACTGATGCTGATTAGTATTAAGTATTTTTAAAAATCACTTGCCTGAACAATTGCCATTAGTGCAATCTAATATTTGGCAAGGTCACACTGAAAGTGCATGGCAATAGATGTATTTACTTGGGGCTCCTTAGAAGGGGGTTAGTAATGTAGTTATTTTAATCAACCCTTTGAGTAGGTCCCATTTATTACTTAACCCTGCAGAGGAGAGGCATTCCTTTTATGAGGTGCATAATTTCGGCCTTGCTTTATACCTCAATTGTCCACTCGCCTACTGAGAGCATGCATGCTGAGAATAGAATTATTTAAAATATACTTTGAATAAGATGCTTAACTATGCAAATGCATGCATTAAACAAAAGGAATTAAACTGGGTGACATTTGTCAGTGTGTGTTGGTTCCTTTCTGGAAATAGCTTGTTTGGTGGTTTGGATGTCACACTGTTTTAAGTTATAGCATAGTCACTTTATTTCCATGATCTGTATGGTATTGATATGCAATATCCATTGTGTGCTCAATTTCCAACCAAATGTGACATGAGGTATGGCCAAAGAGGGTGAAATGTAAGAATTTCCCCCAAAGTAATACAAACGAGTAAAAATAGGAGCAGATGAAACTTTCAAAACTCTCATCCAGGCCATCAGGCACTTAAACTATATTCTACCCAGTGTCGTGTGTCAGGATTTTAAGTTGAACTACACATTGAAGAATTCTTTAATAAGGGAAACATACTAAATTTTTTATGAGTGTTGCTAACTTTTAAGTGAATAATATACCAGCTAGGGCAAAAAATTATGTTGCTTTGAATGTGTGAAACACTTTAAGGAAAACTCAGGATTATTTTAAAAAGCTGGCTCTCTAAAGTTCTTTTACTTCTGAAAGAAGATCATCAAAACCCTTCATAGCTATTAATTCAATTGCTAAAGAGATTTTAGAAATGATAAAACCAGACTGCTAATGGTAAGTTCTAGCAGGTTTTTTGTGGTATGAAAAAGTTCCAGAACAAAGAAATGCTGCCAATGGTGAGAATGCACATCTCGTGGGCCCTTCAAGAATCACTTCCGGCCAGATGCCGTGGCTCACGCCTGTAATCCCAGCACTTTGGGAGGCTGAGGCGGGTGGATCACCTGAGGTCGGGAGTTCGAGACTAACATGGAGAAACCCCGTCTCTACTAAAAATACAAAATTAGCCGGGCGTGGTGGCACATGCCTGTAATCCCAGCTACTAAGGAGGCTGAGGCAGGAGAATCGCTTGAACCTGGGAAGCAGAGGTTGCGGTGAGCCGAGATTGCACCGTTGCACTCCAGCCTGGGCAACAAGAGGGAAACTCCGCCTCAAAAAAAAAAAAAAAAAAAAAAAAAGAATCACTTCCAGTCCTGAGCATCTAGAGTTCAAAGTCTGTGAAAGAAGTCAATTTCCAATGCTCTTTCACTGACCTTGCCATTTTAAACTGCAAATATCAATTGCCCTTGCTAGAGAAGGTGAACTCTGCTATTTATACTTAGTTTTGAAATATATTCCATAACAGCTCTTCTGTTGTTTTCAACAAATGCTTCTCCTTGAATAGTGTTTTTGCTTATCTTCACATTAAACATACTTTATGCTTCCTGAGCACACACCCAAAAGATGTTAAAGGACTGAGAAATGGGGAGAAGTGTATGGGTGTCATGGGAAGCCAATCCAAGAGTAAATACAGCAGGAAAAAATATCACTCATTCTAACTCACAACACAGACATTTGCAAGCAGATTGTCATTTTATTTTATCCCGCTCTAACATGGGAACGGGCTGAATCTGACATGTAGGTGGGCACTTCTTACACAAATGAAGAAATAGGAAATTCATACCGTGCACTGGCATATAAACTGTCTTAGAGACATCTCCAGCCTGATCTAAAAAAATGGCAAAGAGTTTTCCCTCTGATACCATGGCCATCTTTAAATGCAATTGGGAAAAATGTTTCTGGTACCTGTAAGATTACTGAATCTCTTCATTCATATGCAAATGTGCCACCACCAACAATCACAGAGTTCAGCCAGGAAACCCGAGTGGCAGTAAAGGGCCCTAGAGTTGGAGTGGGCACTTCCTGGGCTGTTAATATAGTAATGGAAGCAAAATATCTTAGAGGCAATGTAGTAGTAGAAGAAGCAAAATACCTTAGAACTCTGGGCAAATATGTTGGTGACTTATAAACATTTGGATTAGGTCAATCTGAATCCCAGAGTTAGGAATATTTCATTCTGCAGTCAGGATGTCCAAAGACCACTGCTTCTGTGATAGGGAACAAGGTATCCCAGTTGTGAGCTGGCAGCAGATGGGACATGACAGTGGCTGTATCCAGCTGTTGTTCTCCCCTCAGAGCTATAGCACACCAGGGATGAGCTCACCCACTCAAGGCTGGGAGCAAGAGCCATGTCCAGGGAAATCTGACTCTGGAAAGGAGAATGGAATGTGGCTGCGAGATTAATCGACAGTGGCAAGAAGAGTCTGAAGCTGGCTCGGGGACTGCTGGGGTGCTCAAGTCCTTCCTCTTGAGTCTAAGATGAATTCTGGGGAAAGCCAGTGCAATCTGTTGAAGTGATAGATGTTGAGAGCAAACCCATCTGGGGCTCATTACTGAGACACTCAGGACCTACCCTTCTTAGGGATTGTCAAATTCTCACCTCTGCATCATTTGCTTTATGGGGCTTTTCTCTTCCTTGCGTATATTTAAAAACATAAGCAGCTGAGGACAATCAGACATTTACTTTTCTATGAAAGCAAATGGGAAATCAGTAGAATAAGGCTTTGTAGAAATACCACCTGTGGCACAGGGAACACAGTTTACTTTGCAACAATGTGAATGATGAACCCAGAGAGTTCTGGGAATCAAAAACAGAGTCTCACTTCATCTTCGCCATCATGGGAGGAGAGGGATGGGAAGCAGATGTTCAGAAAACATTAGAATCATTAAAAAGGCCAGTGAGGGGTTTATATGCAGAGGTGTTTCTGTGAGTTGTTCTGTTTTTGTTTGTTTGTTTCCCACGGAAAGCGAGAAAGCATCATGGGAACATGTCTTCATCTTTCTCTTTAATGGCTGAACCCAACCCAGGCTCCCTGTTATATACAAGTCACAATAAGAAGACAATGTTGTTCTTATGACAGTCTTTTTCTGGAAGTTCAAAGTGTCTTATTCATTAGTCTATGATGCCTATCTCTAATGCTATGTGTGGAATAGAAGAACCTCATTAGATTGTGGGTAGGAGGATGTAAGGTTGTTATAATCAGTAAAAATGCTAATTTATTTTATTTTTGAGACAGAGTCTCACTCTGTCATCCAGGCTGGAGTGTAATGGGAACGTTCTCAGCTCACTGCAACCTCCGCCTCCTGGGCTCAAGTGATTATCCTGCCTCACCCTCCCAAGTAGCTGGGACTACAGGCGTGTACCACCACAACCGGCTAACTTTTGTGTTTTTTGTAGAGGTGGGGTTTCACCACGTTGCTCAGGCTGGTCTTGAACTCCTGGGCTCAAGCAATCCTCACACCTCGGTTTCCCAAAGTGCTGGGATTATAGGCGTGAGCCACCACACTGGCTGCTAATATTTACTAATGCCTACAAATCCTTCAACATTCTCCCTACCTCCACATCATCATCATTCTCTGAGCCATGACTTTTGTGGTTCAATGGACGTCTGCAGCCACCTCCTAACTGCTTAACCTGCATTCACCCTGCCAGCCTCCTGTCTGCGCTCTGCAGGGCAGACCGAGAGGCCTTCTTATAAAGCAAATCCAATGATAGCAGTCCTCAGCTGAAGACCCTTCAATGACTTCCCGCTGCACTTAAAGATCAAAACATTAAGTAAGCATGCTTACAAGGCCCTTTAGGGTGGGCCCCAGCCACCCTCACTGGCTTCATCTCACATCATACTCTTCTCCTTCTGCCACCCCATATATTGGCCGCATTTCCATCGTGCATACTGCAGGCTTGCGCCTGCCAGGGGGCCTCTGAGTAAGTTCTTCACTCTGGACTCTCTTTAACATGCTCTTCAGCTGTTAAGCCCTACTCATCTGCAACTGCTCACCATTTCTGCAGGAAAGCATCTCTCTTTGTGAAGGACAGACACTCAGCTATCTTTACTAATAAAACCATATCTATAACACACACAACCTCGAAATCACACAAAGGTATGCACGGCGATTTCTACTTTATAAAAGTCTCTCTCTCTGCCTGTCCTGTGCTGTCCCCAAATACTCCCTCCTTTCCCCACCCTATCACCTCTCAGAATCACAAAAGTCAGAGGAAATTTTACCTATTTTCGTGTCCTTGCAGCTGAAGTGGTTGAGGTGGTGCTGGCTGGGCGATGGGGCTGTTGGGGGTGGCTGGGCTTGGCTGGGCCAGGGGACTCTGCTGTGCCAGGGGACTCTGCTGCGCCATGGGACTCTGCTTCTCTGAGCTGGGTGCCGAGGTGGGGCTGTTGAGCTCTGCGATGGAGAACCAAAGCGGCAGATGCAGTCAGGTTAGTGTTGATAAGGGGAAAGAAGTGACTAGAGGCAGTGACTTTGCCTCTGCTGATGGCTCAGGCTTTGGTTATTTCCGTTTCTGCTAGGTTTTTAGATAGCAGGTTAATCTTATCAAGTTCTAA
This sequence comes from Homo sapiens, assembly GCF_000001405.40. Lineage (NCBI taxonomy): Eukaryota > Metazoa > Chordata > Mammalia > Primates > Hominidae > Homo > Homo sapiens. The sequence continues at coordinate 78,133,222 of NC_000007.14, forward strand.
TACCATTTCTGATATTTGTATTCTTTCATTAATGATCACTGCAGAACAAGGCTATGAACAGTATCTTGTCATTCTGCCAGAAGAAAAGATTACCAAAAAACCTCATAAAACTATGAAAAAAATTATTCAAAGGACTAAGCTCTAAAACATACTCTATTTTTGCAGCATCGCTTGCTGAGAGAAAATGGATCCGCCACCAGTTTTTGCTTGTAATAAACAGCCTGAAGAGTCTTCCAAAGTGTGGATAAGGAATGAACCATAAAAAGAAAAATGTTTTTTACAATCTTTTCCTCATCCCTTGTCAGTCTTATTGCCTCATAGCCCACTGGACTCCACACTTTTCCAGAAAGAAGAAAGAACCCTGGACACAGGAAGAGTCACAAAACTATTCTATTAAATAATTGCTTCTGGAATTCTTTGCTAATAACATCAAATTTTCAACTGAAATTGACTCTATATATTGGAATAAGGGCCCAACAGACACATTCCAGACTCAGAAAACTGAGAAGCGTTTAGATTTTCAGCGAGCAATCTTGTTTGCAGTTAATTTCCATTGAATAGCTTATACATGTTGGTGTCTGGAGATAGTAGGTTATAAAGCAGCATGGCCATTTTCTTTTCTCTCTCTCTTTTTTTGATTGGGTAAGAAAAGGGAGGTGATCTATTAGCATTCCCCTATGAACTCTTCTTCCCCCCCCTTTTTTCCCCACAGTCCAAATCTTTTAATTCCTTCTCCATTTATATCAGGGTTTCCCAGACTCAGCACTGTTGGCATTTTGGGTGGGGTAATTCTTTCCTGTGGACGGCTGTCCTGTGCATTTTAGGATAGTTGGCAGCATCCCTGGCCTCCACCCCCTAGATGCCAGCAGCATGCCCACCTCAATCAAGACAGTCAAAAATGCCTCCAGACTTTACCAAATGTCCCTTGGGGGGACAAAACCACCCCCGTTGAGAACTACTGTTTTATATTTAAAGTCAAGTGGCTGTTTAGCCATTTGCTGCCTACATGTCAGATAATCCTAAAATGGAATTGGGGGCTGAATAAAACAGAGGGTACCAAGTTGAGTGAGCCCATCAGCCTCTGTGTGGGACACTCATCAGTGAGCTCCAGAAATGGAATTCTTCAATATCGTTGATGAGTCAGCAGCCAGAAACTAGTCATGAACCCACTGTCTCTGGAAATGGTGAATTTTTGGTGCAGTGATGTTCACAGCTCCATGACCCCTTAGGGCATGGTTATGAATTGTGATGTTCACTACTCTTTTGAGCCTCAGGGGGGAGTCCTTGTACAGACAAATTCAAAAGGCTCAGTGGGAATTTTAAATTCTTATCAGATGCAACATTTTCTAAATGAGCTCTCCTTATACCACAAAACTTCACGTTTTCAAAATCAATCTGACTTTGAGGAATCCTCTAGAGATTTACTGTTAACATAAATTTTTTTTTTCAGATTTGTAACTCTGTCACCTCTGTTGAATGAATTCTGACTTAATATAACCATAAAAGTGGGGGCCCACAGGGAATGATTGAATAACCTGGCGTCTTGGAATTCACACTATTTAGCCTGCAATGTCACATAGCTTGACCTCTGAATGAAACAGGTACTGAGTAAACAAGATATGGATTGCAACTGAGTGTGAGTTTTTGCAAAAGTGGAAATAATAATCAACCTCTGACACTCTGACACCACAGTGACGGCAGGCAGGTGCACTCCGCGACCCTGGCGGGCAGGCTGAGAACACCCGGTGAGTGTGTCCATGTGTTGGCCGCCTCTCTGCAAGGCTGCCTCAGGCACTCACCCTCCTGAGGAATGATGCGAAGGGTGACACTAAGACCTGCATCCTTGATGAGCTTCACGATGTCAGCGTGAGGCATGTTGATGATAGACTGGCCATTCACTGCTAGGATCCGGTCTCCCACTTTTAGTTTTGCACAGCGATCTGCAGGACTCCCATCAATGATGCGTCCGATTTTATGGGGCACAGCTAAAAAAACCCCAACAGAAATAGGTATCAGGGACATCACCAATACATGTTCTTTCAGTCCCAGCCCCAAAGGAAACAATGAAATGTCAGAATTCCTTCCTTCGTCAGTGTATTTGCCTTTTGAAATCACACTAATTTCTATCAAATGGGGTCCTGTGCATACTACTGAGACCAAAGTTTCTAAATTCAAGTCCTTTGCAGTGATAGGCCAATTCCAAACACAGACCAGGGGTTCTCAAACTTTGGGGTGATCATAATTAACCTAGAGTTAAAAAGACAGCTATTTGGGCCTTACTGGGGACTGTCTGAGTTAGAATGTCCAGGCAGGAGGCGAGGACCATGAATTTCTAAGAAGCTCCTAGGGAGATTCCAATATATATGAGTGTTTGAGGACCACATAGAACTTTGTGCCCCATGAGCTCATATTCTAGGGACAATAATCAATAATTTAAGAAAGCTACAATAAATGCCAGAAATTCAATTTCTATCCTTTTATTATTTTATTGAGAGGAGAAAACAAGGAAGGAAAGAAATATGTGTTAAATGGGTAGTAGCCACTTGGTAAAGAAGTTATAACCACCTTCCCACTCATGTACTAAGCTATAAAGGTTGGTGTGTTGTCACATCTTACCTCTTCTTTTTGATTTACTTTTACATGGTGCTGATATCTTGCTAATGTCTGATACATAATGCATTTATTCAAATCTACAATGCCATGGATGGTAAGACACACCTTTATTTTATATGCCACGGGAAAAAAAATAAAAAGAAACACTGCTAACTAAATAATGATGCTCCATTGATTATAAGATGCTCTCCAACTGTCAAAATATTAAAATATAAAAATGTTTAGGATTGGTAAAATGTTATACGTCTTTTAAAAACAATGTACACTTCTTTTCTTTCTTTCTTCTTTTTTTTTTTTTTGAGATGGAGTCTCACTCTGTCGCCCAGGCTGGAGTGCAGTGGCGCGATCCTGGCTCACTGCAAGCTCTGCCTGCCTCCTGGGTTCACGCCATTCTCCTGCCTCAGCTTCCCGAGTAGCTGGGACTACAGGCGCCCGCGACCACGCCTGGCTAATTTTTTTGTATTTTTAGTAGAGTCGGGGTTTCACCGTGTTAGCCAGGATGGTCTCGATCTCCTGACCTCATGATCCGCCTGCCTCGGCCTCCCAAAGTGCTGGGGTTACAGGCTTGAGCCACCATGCTCGGCCTATTTTCTTTTTACTGTTTATTTATATGTGTGAGGAGAGCCACACACATGGGAATACAGATTTTTCCTAGAAGGTTGACTTCAGTGTAAATGTTTAAGTACCTACCAAGATAACTATTTATGGGGTGGACATCAATAGTATACCCTGTGTAAACCCCCTCAAGGAGTTTACCAAACTAGAAGCCTATTCCCTTTCCATTCTCCCTTCAAGACTGTGAGCCCCAGCTCAGAAACCTGTCAATAACTCTGTGTTGTTGCTCTCCCTATGGAATCAGGTACTGCTTTGATCTGTAGAAATATGCAAAAACACAACCCACCATTCAGTATGTTTCAGGGATGTCTAGTCCTTGAACTCTCAATCTTGCACATGCTTTACAGCGAAAGGCAGAACATTAGCTAATAACCATGGCAAGGAAGGACAATTAGTGATTTAATGAGCCAGTACCTTGTTCATTCTTCTATTGTGAAAGGTTATAGATAGCATATGAAAATATTGGCTGAGCCTGTGTCCCTGAAGTGAAACTCATCATGTTGGAAACTAAAACATGTTTTTATATACCATAAGCACTAATGGCTTCAATTAAGAACACCTTACATAGAGCATGCTAATGATCATCTTAGAATCTTAGGACAATCAATGTTTTTTCAAGTAGAAATATAAGAACTCATTAATTTACTGACTTTAAAAAAATGATGTAGGCATTGCAAGGTATTTAGGGTTGCAATTATAATTAGGGTGAACTTTAGTTCCTGTTTTTGCCCCCTTTCATGTTCAACAGTGTCTCGGAATGAATGGTTCATCAATGATTTGGTCTCCCTGGCCATAATGTGTATATTGTTATCTGTCCCGTGACCTCTGCAAAATTACCTAACTTCTCTGAGTCTGTTTTTCGACAGTAAAATTGGTATACTAATAGCATTGACTTCACAGACTGCATCTGAGAATTAAATGAGTTATCATATGTAAAGCGAGTAGAACAGTGCCTGATGTGTGAGAACTGATCTATAAGTATTAACTGTCATTCTTTTTATTACTATTATCTTTTAAATATTTCTGATATCACTATTAAGGGGTATGTGTGTGCTTGTGTGTAGGTACCAACTTGGTTTCTTTCCACATGGGGTAAACCTGTAATACTGCTAGAATTGAAGGAACACTTTGCTTACTACAGGATTATACAGAGTAATATCCCCTAAGTATCAACACAGGAAAATAGCTTCAGTTATGAAAGAGATGTGTTGGGTGGATTAGACAGACACTGGATGAGGTCAAGAGTCTATGTTCTCTGATTTCACAAAAAAGACGATGTTGCAGGTCTCTGTAGGAAAACATCAGCTTGTAAGAGTTTATTATTCAAAGGGAAATCAGCATGATTTAAATCTCTTAATCACCCACATTGAGCCCTACACACATAAACACACACACTTTCATATTTATTGAATGTTATTAACCATTTTTCTTCCTACCTCTTATGAGTACCTACCTGAGCCAAGCACTGTGCTAAGTGATAATATATGTGTGTATATATATGTATATATATGTTTAAAAAATATCCTTAACAAATCATATGAAATGTTTGATATCATTACAAGTTTACAGTAGAGGAAACTGAAGCATATAGCAGTTATTAATTTGTCCAAGGTCACATATGCCAAACAGGGCTTAGAACCCTAGTCTATCAGATTTCATAGCCTTTGCTGTTATTATAGCCACCACCCTGCATCTCTTGACTTTTCTGGCTCTGATCTCTAATCTATTACTTGCTTTGTGAGTATCTGGTGCTTTTATTTGATGGGTATAGCCTGCCTCTGAGCCAGGAACTAAACACTTCATGAGTGGTCCTGATTCAAGGATGAGTGGAAGTCAGGAACTTTGTCTGAAGCAGGTTCTTTGCTGCAGTTGTCTTTTGACAGGCAAAGTGGGAGGAGGAGAGAGAAGAAAGAGAAGAGGAGAGGAAATTGGACAGCTCTTCAGATCCTATTTAGTTAGGATGTCACATCATGGTGTCATTCTTTTGTGTGAAGTAATTTCTTTGGGTTTTAGAAATACTGACTTTTGAAATGAAATTTAAAAACGTACTTCAAAACACAAATGGTATTTGGATGATTTTCTGTTTTGACTTATTTATGCCTCTGCTCTCCTCTATTACTGTAGATCATTTAAAATTTATTGGGCATAAAATCCCAAATGTTTCAAAACATAGATTCACACACACACACACACACACACACACACACACACACACACACACACACACAATTTGTATGCTCAACGACAATGATAAACTATTACTTGTTAATTTCCAGGCACTGCAGAACTTGCTCATTTTAAATCCTTATAGCAATAGTGTGAAGTAGCTGTAAAAGTATAATAATCATGCTAATTTCACTATTAAGAAAACAAGTGTCAAAGGCACAATTCAAATCCTTGCCTATGGCTTCAAACCTTGGGGTTATTCCTTTCTTTTTTGATATGTTGGAGGTTGAAAGCAATTTGAATTACGAAGAGCAAGCGAATGACTATTGAGACTTAGTTTGGAAAAGCTTGCTGGTTGAGACTTCAAGATGAAAGTTTCACTGTAAACAGAATTATTTGCTCATGGTAATAACTTAGTTTCAAAGCCATTTTAACTTTATTAGGGTAGTTAGAATAAAAACTAAGATAAAAGACTAGAAATCAAAATAAAAGAATGAAAACTGAAATAAATTCAGTGGTAGACACATAAAATGACTGAGTGACTTGCATAAAATGTAAGTGAGCACACAGTTTAAAAATGTATCTTCAGTAATTGAAAGTACCTGACGTGGTTTTATTACAAATGTTTTCTATTGGCATTTACTTTAATAAAAGCAGTACTTGAAACTCTTGGCAGCTAACGGCAGCCTCACTTTTCCTTTACTAGAGTTTTCCTTACATATGTAAGTGCACTGAATGTTGATGTACAACAAATCTCTGACAAGGGATGTGCTCAGAGAGGATTCTCTCTGAAAACAAGATGCAGTTCCATTTGCTCAGTGATAAGGTCTACAGAGCCTATGACCTAAGTGCTTTCAGTGCAATGCTAACGGAATTACAGAGCAAGGAAGAGGCCCTGACCTTGGTTTCTATTATTGGGATGAATGGTACTCATTAATTCCCTGAGAACTGATGACTAAGGGAACTGCCGGAGCACAGTCCATTTAGACAGCATGCCTTGCAGACATCATCTGTCAGGGAGCAACATAAATCAAGTCTTTGGATCAGTCGTCTTGACACAGTGTGCTTAGGATACACAGATATTTGGGAAAAGTTGCAGTATGTCATTTGGCTTTAGACGTACTGACATTTAGGAAGGAGATAATGTGTCACTAGTCAGAAATTTCCTTTTAATTGAAAATCTCATAAATTATGGAAAAAAGAAACCCAGCTTTTCTATGTCTTTATTCCTTTATAGATAAAACAATATTGTCTACTTATATTGCAACATGTTTTATATTTTCCCATAGATGAATGAACTCTTTTGGCTCTGCTCAATGTTCCACACTGTTTTGGTAGGAATATTCAGAGATAATCAGTTGGATTGGATGTCCTCTAAGTGAATTTGGAAGGGCTGGATTCTTGGGGTCTGTAGCCACATCACTACTGAAAGCAGGGATCCTCCCTTTTTTGCTGTTGGATTCTCTTCTGGGACCTTGTATAGTCTACTCCGGCTCCTTCAGTCACTGGTCAAAGTGGGCCGATCCAGCCAATGAACTCCTGTTATTTCTACCTTGGGTCAGTCCCCATAAAGAAGACAGGATGTTTACTTGAAGGACTTTTCTTGCTTTGGTGATAGATTCTTCCTGAAATCCTAAGGGAAGGGATTATTAGATCCCCCCTTCTCTCCTCTTTCCTCATTATTTGTCTTGCTATTTATGTGTATTTCATTTCAGAGAAAGAAAAGTCTGTGACTCATGTTTACATTTAATTATCTTCTTGTTAATAGATCCCACAAAGTGGAGTTATATGTGGAGAAAGTATTAAAAAGGCAAAGTGGATTTTGCATCGATCATGCCAAACTTACAAGAGGGAAGTTCCTGAAATGAGTGTGAGAAAAATAAATACTTCAAAGGCAATCGATAGCATAAACTCTCATTAGCTCGCATTTCCATTAATTTGTGAAGGTTAAACAACATGTCATTAGCTTAAAGAGGCAAAGGAAGTTAGTTTGGGTTTAGAATCTGTGACCTGATGTGAAAATAAATGCTTTTTAAAAGTTGGATAATTCCAGTTGCTTTTCTTTCAATAATATACGTGAAAATTACCTTCTGTCTAGTTTAAATTTGTGGGTTGGAGCAGAAGGGTCAATTACTACATCAATCAACACATTTCAGAATAGCATCTTCTTAATAACAGGCACTATGCTAGGCCCAGAGGGGAAGGCAATAATAAAGCCAACACATGGTATTTGTCCTTAAGAAACTCACTGTCTGGTTGGGGAGACCAGGGATAAATTTATAAAAATACATAAAGCAAAATGCAAATGGCAAATACATGGCAAATATAACGTGCAGCAAAAGTAGAGTGGAGGAGTGAAATCCTGAGTCCAGGTGTAGACTGAGAGAATGGTGAGGAACGGGAAGGTCATTCTGGGGAGGAGGGAATATGTGCCCCTTGGTAAGTGGCAGCTCTCTTAGAAAAAACTTATGAGGGTAAATGGGTATATAATCCAAGGAGGTTTGCGGGGAGACAAGGAGAGGTGCTTTGTGGGCTGGGGTCCCTCCTGCCCTCATAATTATTGCTTCCTTGAGAGCTCTGATGTGATGCCTTTAGCCCAGCTCCCGTGAATGGAGACTGAGCACAGAGGAATGATGCGAGATTGTCACAAAGTGTTCCCATCTCTTTAATACATGGTGGAAACTCCTGATCTGTTTTTCTGCCTTTAGAAACCAGAGCATAATATTAATCTTGCTTATTTTCCATCGCTGCTTCCTAAAAATTCTGCCTTCATATGTTTTATTGTGACAAACCCATTCAGATAGATATTGTCCCTTCCTGGAATATGACAAGGTGTCCTTCAAAAGAGTTTTCTTTGTCATCATGGGGTGGAGATGTGGGAAAAAACATGTGTTTTGTATTTTAAAGTTTTTTTTGGTGGCAAAATTAAGAAAAAACAGACGGCATGACTTGTTTTCCTCTAGAACGCTGTGAAATTTAGCTTTCCAAAGATGAAAACGTCTTCCCTGAAATTCATAGCCAACTGATATGCAAAACCCAAAATCAAACAGCTGGTGTTTTAAGGACTGCATATTCAAAAAGTGCGTTTTCCCCCCTCCCAGCACCCATGAGTCATTCTCTTGTGGTTGAACAGTTTAGCTACCCTGCAGTTGGTAATAAGCAGATGGTCAGACAGGAGAATGGGAAGAAGGGCTCATCACTGGCAATTTGGGAACCCAACTGAACTCACGTTGCTGAGGGCAGAAAGCATCCTATAGATACGATTAACTAAATGGCTGGAGAGAAACACTCAGCAGCCATATATTACCGTTTATGCTTTTATTTTATACCAATTGTTAAAAATTTGCATAGCTAAGTACTGAGAGTAAATTAGTAACTGAAAGAAATCTCACGACATTAGGAATTGTAATTAGCTATGACTCAACTGTTCTATCCTGGAACATGAGGCTGGGTTAAAATGGATTTGTTGTTTGGAAACATTTGATGGGCCAGGGGTCACATGGCTAGCTTCATGTGACCTGGGCAGTCACACAGGCCACCATGCTCAAAAGGGCCTGGTGTTTGGTTTAGTCACCTGTCACCAGCTTGATATTCTTAATAATTTTTGAACAAGGACCTCACACTTTGATTTTGCGCTAGACCCTGCAAATTATGTAGTTGGTCTTAGGTAGATCTGTCCATAATGTATTTCTTCCTTGCGCCACTCCACTGTTCTTAGTGTCTGCCGTGGAAGGTGTAAATGAGAATATGTTACAGCTACCAAGAAAAATCACCAACAAGGTGGGTGGTAGGAAAGGAGCCAAAACAATCCTTTTCTCTGTGGGTGCATTTTCCACTCCCCTGTACATCACTAGAAAAGGCAGTCCAAAAAATTTCTGTTAAGTATACTCTTACTTTTGATTCTTCACATATTTATTGAAGAGGTCTAAAAATTACCTTGATTCTCTTACTCCACTGTGAAAATTATTCTTATAAGTCACTCATTATTGTGTCATTGACAAAGCAACTATTCTTCTGTAACCCTCTTTAAGTAGATGTTAAGATAGATCACGGTATTTCAAGGGGTTCATGTATTCTTTTGATATGGTTTTTCTCCTCACAGTCTGACAAAATGTCTAGACATTAGAGTGGCAGGAAGCAAAGAAACTTCAGAATAGTCATGATCCTCAAATCTGTAGGTGTGTGGGGTCTGGGAGCTGGACAGAGAGAATGAAAAAACATTTCCATTTGTAGATACACCTCTTTTCTTCCGTAGCAATACTTTTCATTTCTCTGTATGTCCCTGAAAATCACCTTGCCAACTTGTACAATAACTAGCAAGGATATCTTTTTTGACCTGTTTGGGTCTGAATGTCAGGATGGAAAATCTGGTCCCACTAAGCCAAATAAATATTAACCCTATTTCGGCAATTTTTGCATTTTTCGCAAAGACTCAGAAAAAGATATGTATTTCCATTGCCCAATAAAACCAGCAACTCAGGACTTTCCAATCAAGGGGTGGAAGGTGAAATTCTATTGTTCAACTAGAGTAATTTTAGTTAGTAAAATTGTGTAGCTTTTAGCAAGCATGGCTTGCAAATAACCAAACAGCAAGCCGATTCAGTAATAATGGAAAAATCTTTAAAGAATTATTGATGTTAAAATATGATAAAGGAATTCTTCCCTGTAGGGCAGAAAAGCCAGTTGCTTTATTCTTTTTAAGAAACAGTTGCAGGGTTGAGGTTTGGTATTATACTTCCATCCCAGGCATGCAAATCTACCTTTTAAAGGGCTGGTTGCCCAATTTTATGATGACCAATTTAGTTCCTGAATATGGGGTTCCTTTTATTTATAATTTATTACAGAGCCTCATCAAGTTATTACTAGAAAATACTAGATGGTTCTATTATGATAAAAATTGTATAAAAATTTCAAAATTCATATAATGTAAAAGGAGGAGAGTAAACAATCTTCTAGTGATTGGAAATATAACTAAAGCAACTTGATTATTTTTTAAGGTGTCATTTTTATTTTTTGAAGAAGCATTTATATTTAAAACTTGGTACTGATTATTAAGACAGGTACAGTTTAAATTGCCCATTTAAAAAATCGTATGTCATTCCCAAACTAACCTGTCCATATGCATAGAGAAAAATACGTCAAGTATGTACTCATTACTTTGGCCTTTCCTTAATCTGAATAATTTATTTTTATGAAACTTAGGATTTTTGTGATGTTGCTTCATCAGCTCATTTCCAAAACTGCTATATGATCTTATTCAGTGTTGCTTAATCTTAGGACCATTTTTCTTTCACTTATAGTCCTATAAGTTTTTTTTTTTTTTTGGCCACAGACTCTTTTGTTTCTGTCTTTAAATTAGTGGCTGTCTATGTTTTTAGTCCTCCCACTCACTACCAATTGCTCTCAATATGATGACAATTTAAGAGACTTATAGCAAGCTAATTGTTTTCCTTACATTTTCCCTATCTATAGATTTCTTTCCTCAAAGAGCTCTATGAGAAGTGTTAGGCATTAAAGCAACTTAATTGAAGTAATATATGTGTGAACTTAAATAAATTAAACATAACCAAAATGGTTATAATAAAAAATTCTAGTCTCTTGCCCTAACTCTCCCATCCTCTCTAGTTCTGTGACCCAAATGCAAACATTTTAAATCTTTCAGCTGTTTCTTCACATTTCTAATAATATTCCTACATAGCTGTTTCTCATTTTATCAATGTTAGTCAATATCTATTCACTTCTTATTCTGATAGAGGATTTAGCACTCTTCCTCTGCATCCCACCTGCTCTCCTTATCCCAAAGTAGTTTTATTACAATTTTTAGTTAAACCAGTTATCATTGTTTGTGGTTTTACTATGTAAATCTTGTTCACTGAAGCGTTTATGATTTCATTTATTTTCTTGCACAGTTTCTTTCCTTCTTTCGCCACTTCTAATCAAGGTTTCTGATTGTGTCTTTTCCTCACATCATTAATTGCTTCCCCAAAAGCTGTTAAAATCATCAATTTAATTTATTCCTCTGAAGACTTTCCTCCCAGACGTAGGTAGTTTGCTCTCCAGTCTGCTGGACAGTGCCATCGTGGGGATTGTTGTTGCACTCCAAGGTGGACTCTGTGTCAGTTTTTCTGATTCAGTTTTTATTTATTTTTTGTTATTTTAATTTCTGAGATACACGTGCAGAACGTGCAGGTTTGTTACATAGGTATGCGTGTGTGCCATGGTGGTTTGCTGCACTTATTGATCCATCATCTAGGTTCTCTCCACTTGCCCCCCTGCCCCCCATGTGCTCTGGTGTGTGTTGTTCCCCTCCCTGTGTCCGTGTGTTCTCATTGTTCCACTCCCACTTATGAGTGAGAACATGCGGTGTTTGGTTTTCTGTTCCTGCTGATTCACTCTTTCATTTTGTTGAAGCATATCCTACAGCAGCTTTCTAAGAAATTATGCAGGGAAAAAACCAATTTTTCAATTCTTAGTGTTTGAAAATACATTTATTTTTACCTTCTTTTGATTGAATTCTGGCTTAGAATTCTAGATTGTATGAAACTCCTAGACTGAAAAAATGATTTTTCTTCAGAAACTTACAGGCACTGCTTTATTGTCTTCTAGCATCCAGCATTACTATTGAGAGGCCTGAACCCATTAGGATTTTTGCTCCTTGTATGTGATATACTTATATTACCTTTTCTTTTTGAAAATTGTTAAGATTTTTCCCTGTACTTTTTTTTTGTTTTGAATTATTGCAATGGTGCATTTTGGTATGGTTCTTTGTCAGTATGGAGACTTGTTTCCTTTAGTTTGGTTTTGTGAACCTTTATTATACTATTTCTTTGATAATTTCCATTCTGTTTTTCTGGTCTCTCTTTCTGCAACTCTCATTAGATATTGGCATCCCGGATTGGTCTGCTGCTTCTCCTATAGGTCATAAGGATTACGCCCTCATGGTAGAATTAGTACCATTATAAAAGGGCAAATTTGGCCCCCTGTTGTTCTCTTTTGGCCCTTCCTCCTTTTGCCATGGGATGACACAGCAAGAAGGCCCTTGCCAGATGCTGGCACCTTATATTAGACTTCCCAGCCTCCATAACTGTGAACCAATATATATCTGTTCATTGTAAATCACCCAGTCTGTGGTATTCCACTATAACAGCACAAAGTGGACTAAGATGGCTACCTCCTTGCTGTATCCTCATATGTTGGAGTGAGAGAGCTCTGGTCTTTTCATCTTCTTATGAGGGCACCAATCCCATCATTGGGGTACCACTCTCATGACCTTATCTAAACCTAACTATCTCCCGAAGGCCCGTCTCCAAGCACCATCACATTGGGAATTAGGGATTCAACATATAGGTTTTGGAGCAGGAGACACAAACAGTCAGTTTGTAGTAAATATCATATCATTTTTTGGCTATAAATAAGTTTTTGAAGCTTTCTTTTCTTCCCTGAATTATCTTTATTTCTTTTATTTTCTTTCATTTCTTTCATATTTGCTTGCTTTATTATTTTAAACATAAAAATTTCATGGTTGTTTTATTCCATTCTGTCCCGAGTATTTTAGGTTCTGGGCCTCCCTGAGTTTCTAAAGAAATGAGTGGGTCTGTGTTATTCATATCTGTTTTAGATTTCTCTGCCCTGCTGAGTTGTCACTTTTTTGTCTTTGAAATATCTTGACCACTCCTGCCCACTCCTTTTCTCATTCATTCACTATTACTACTTGGGGTCTAAGAAATGAGACCCCAAGTAGTTATAATTTACTACTATCAATTAGAAATTAGAAATATCTTTAGTAATTTTTAATCAGTTTTTGCAATCAATATTTTGGTGCCCCAGTTAGAGATTTGGAATCTGTTTGGAAAAAAAATTAAAGTTTTATGTACCCAACGTTTAAAAGCCCTGTTGTCACTTGTAGTCTTGAGAGATAAAAACATAAAGGACAACTTGTTTCTTTTCAAGTATTCAGAAAGTGTCATAAAATTACCTTTCATCAACTTCAGGTTTAGGGTTAAAAATGTTCAATAAAACTACACTTTCTTTCTCTCCTCTGTGTCTCTTGACTACCTTTGAAGCACTTTTCACACCCATCAATGTACTTGGCTCTGAGTAACTTCTCAGCAGGCCCAATAGAAATGGTTGATAGTTACAAGCAGGTGTTGCTGACAACTCATGTTTCTCATTTTTACAGATCCAGTGTATTTTATCTCTGCCATCTCCTTTTTCCTTTTATAGCTTCTGAAATTGTGTTTTGTAAAAAGTCACTTGGCTATCTTCACACAGTTTCCTTGTTACAATAGGTAAATGTCAAAAGTGATCAGATGCAATATCAGACTTCCACTGAATTCCCCCAAGCCCTCCGGCAGATAATAACTTCTTGCAATATTTTCTTAATATAAATGGAAACAGATACTAACCCAGGCAAATGATCCCTCCTGAGCCAGCTGTCCTTTTCAATATATTATCCAGAAGATTACATGAATATTTATTGGCCCTCCAGTTACACATACAAGCCAAAGTTCCACTAACAGTGTATACAGTATGTTTTAACCTGAAAGAATGCAATTTCGCATGACTGGATAAAATTAAATATGAACAGACCCTCAAGCGAAGTGTTCAGGAGCTAGAAGATCTTGATCATATATTAACTTTGAAAACAACTTGCAGTGTGACCTCTGAATGGTCAAATAAATTATGTCAGTTCCCGGACTTGAAAAGTGAGACCATCACCACATGTGGTCTCTCTTTCTTATCCTTATCTTTCTTACCCAAGTATTGTACATTTTAACTTCATTTGGATTTCTGCTTATATGTACTTTCTCTCATGACTTATATTTTAAAGTGTTATAACTATATGTGTTTTCAGTTTTACTAAGCAAATATACATTTCCATAATTTTATTTGAGACTATCATCACAAAATGACTTTTATTATGCTAACGTAAGAAATGAATGGGAAATAAAAAAGGATTGAAGAGATTCAAAACGTGTTTTGTTGTCCATAATGAAATGCCAATTATACTGGAGGGGGAAGAGACTAAAAGTGAAAAAAAACTCCTTGGCAAAGATATGCAGATGGAAAAAAGCACACTAACGATCTTCAATATCATTAGTCTTTAGAGAAAAACGCAAACTAAAACCAAAATGATTTGAGAGGCTGAGGCAGGAGGATTGCTTGAGCCCAGGAATTCAAAACCAGCCTGGGCAACATAGGGATACCCCCATCTCTACCAAAAAAAACCACCCCCAAACCCCAAAATGACATACTACTATGCACCTATTGGAATGGCTAAACATTAAAAAAACCATAAAACCTAAAAATAACAAGTACTCACAAGGATAGGAAGCATCTGGAGCCTTCACACATGGAATATAAAATGGTACAGCCACTTTGGAAATTGGTACCATATGAATCAGCAATCCTACACCTAGATATTTACCAAGTGAAATAAAACCAATTTCCACACACAAAAAGACCTATATGAAAACGTTTATAGAAGCTTTATTTGTAATCACCAGAAACAGGAAACTACCAAAATGCCCCTCAACTAGGGAATGGATAAGCAAACTATGGTGCGTCTATACAATGGAATATTATTCAGCAATTGAAAATGAAACAAATATTGACACATGCAACAACATGGATGAATCTAAAATGCATTATGCTTAGTGGAGGAAGCCAGACTGAAAAGGCTACATGCTGTATCATTCCATTTATATAGGAGAGGCAAAACTTTAGAACAAAACAAATCAGTGCTTGCCAGGGCTGGGAGTGGGTGAACAGCTGATTCATTACAGCAGTAGTTATAACTAAACACATCTGTCAAAACTCAGAGTATAGACTAAAAAGGGTAAACTTTACTATATAGAAATTAAACCTTTAAAATAGGGGGAAAAGTGAAAAAGCAGAAGGAGATAAGAGGTTTTGGATGGAAATAAATAGAGATAAGTAAAAAGGAACTGATGTAGAATAACTAGGAGACAGGAGGTGAGCAGGGGAAAGTGTAAGGGTTGGAAGTCTTCAGAGAAGAAATCCTGTCTAATCTGAGTCATAAAACACAAACAGGACTTTGCCAGGTGGTCAAGGTTAGGGGAAGCAGGCAGCATAGTCACAGTGGTATGACTTGCAAAGACACAGATCTGTGGATTAGCAGTGTCTGTGTTGTGAGGGGTGAGAGTGCAGTGAGCACAGACATCAGTGGGCCCTGGAATAAAGAAGGAAAGCCAGGTCATGAAAGGTCTTAATGTCTATGCTAGGGGTTTGGAATTTATATTATAGCCAATTGAGGAGCCACTAATGGATTATGGCAGCTAAGTGAGATCATCAGACTCGTCTTAGAATGAGTCTGATGATAATAGGTAGTATGAAGGGTAGACTGAAGCATAGGGAGAGTGGGAATTAGGCTGGAGGCAGGGAAGTAATTTAAAGACCACCATAATACTCCAGAATTGTGCAGTCCAACATGGTAGCTACAAGCATCATGTGGCCATTTAATTATTTGAAATCAAAGATAATAAAAAATTAAATTCCGGGTCATGCCAGCCTCATTTCAAATGCTCCACAGCCACATGTGGCTAATGGCCATAATGTTGTATAGTGCAGGATAAAACATTTCCATATTGCAGAAAGTTCTGCTGCACAGTGCTAACCTAGAACCTTAAGGAAGGCATTAGCAGTGGTGGTAGGGAATGCCTAATGTATCCGTCTTATATCTGGAAAGCATGTTTGGGTAACAGTTTGCCTTCATTGCTCAAGAGTGACAAATATAATTGTGTATAAATTCCGCTAGGATATGAATGTAGGTACCTGGAGGTCTGCTTTAAAGCTTGTGATCATACACATCGATTAAAGCTAAGAGTGACTTAGCACCAGGAAGCATCAATATCAGTGATTAATTTGGCACCCAGGTTTTATTGTATTTCAATTTTGTCAAGCGTCTACAAGAATGTGGCTATTTTTCATCTTGCTGTTCATCTAGCAAGTCTAATAAACATCTGAATGAAGATTTCTAAGTTGAACTATTCTTCTACTTCATGTTATCTCAACTGCTCTGTGCCAGAAAACTATAAGAACAAAACCTTTTACATGTGCTCTTTCTTGCTTTCTGGAAGACCCTCCTCTCATGATGAATCCGTAAGTATACATCTTTATGATGAACAGACTTATAACAGAAGGTTTTAGGCACTTCACTCTTGAAAGCAGATGGTTCATCAGGTACCCAACATCTGGCCATTTTTGTAGAGCAAACCCTTGCCTGGCTTAGAGAAACAAGATCTTGGAGAGGTCAGATTGAAAAATGAAAATGGCAATGGCACACTCCACTATTTAGTTGATTTTCTCTGGCACTGCAAAAACCTTGGGAATGCCTAGTGATCTGACTCATCACCCAGAAAAGGCTGTCTGATTAATCTGCAGAAATGATTCCAACCAAGTACTCAGAATAGTTTGGTTGGGAACAAATCCAGCTTCAATTGCAAAATTATTGGTGGTCAAATGCACAAATAAAAAATCTTTTACCAAGATTTGGTGTGGTAGGAAAGAGTTTCGGTAGAAGCACTCCCTAAGTTCCTGATGGAAACTGGACATCAAAAAGAAATATTTTATCCCAGGCCAAATGGGAAAAATATCCCCTTATAATACCCTTTCAACATGACTGGACAAGGGTGATAAATAACAGTACTGTGTTCACTTAACAATTTGCTCTTAAAATGGTTCCACATGTGGAACAAGCTTCATTAGGACCCTTCTCTGAAATACTTTCTTATGTAGTTGATTGTTGGGAAGAAAGAGAAAAATAAAAAATCACAGAGAGCTTAATCCACCATGAGGCCCTGAATGCAGTATAAAGAAAAACTGTCTTTTGCAAAAGTGCCCTGCGGGCTCTGAATTTACTTGAACCTAATGTGGGAGAGTGATGGGCATCCTGCATTGGTAGAGGATCATCCTGTACATGATGCCTGGGGTCTCTTCGCAGTTGCAATCTCCCTGTACTATCTAGTGAATAAGAAGGAGCTGCAGGACATAAGCCCAGAGGAAACGGCCACTGATCACCCATTTATGAGCTTTCAAGGCAACTGAATAGCTAAAGGTAAGAAGATATCCACCTTATGCTGCTGCCTGGAGTCTTTGAACACAATAATAAGAACTCTCCTGAAAAATGATTCCCTAGTGGGGGAAACATGATTTATGAGGTCTATTCAACAGTAAGAAAAATAGTCCAGAATTTTAGAAAATGCATTGTGAACACACAGATTTTTTTGATAGATTGTATTGCTCCTCTTTTTGAGGATAAATAAGAATGATGGTGTTCTCTGCAGACTTATTCTACAATATAAAGATCCTTAAATTTGTTAGTGCTAGCAGAGTAAAATGTTTGCGTTTGTCTTTCTATTTTACTTCATAAATGCTTCAGTGTTCCGGTATCAGGGGACTTGGAGTTTGATGCTTTATATTTATATTTATATTTATATTTATATTTATATTTATATTTATATTTATATATTTGCACTTGTTTGCTTACTAGTAGGAACCAGGCGGCCAGGTTGTAATTTGGGAAAAAAAACTAGTCATGTTCAGGACTGAAAAAGCGGAATTGAATAAATAGGTCCTATTCATTCTGACCTCAGTGAGTACAATCCTATAAAGGAGTAATGTGATACAGAAGTTGTTTAGTTGGAACTGAAATGGGTTGCTTTGTTAATGAGAATTGTAAGTGAATAAATAATCTGAAGTAATACTTTTTTCTAAGGAGTCTGGGATGCCATCCAAATCCTCCTATTTAGGACTATATAATTATTGCTGAGGTGGTGCTCACACAGATGGATGACGGTTCCAAGGGTTGGTTCCAGGAGAGGTGAATCAGGGGGCACATTAAGGCCACTGCCTGGCCCTTCGGAGAACAAGGGTTTTGCAACCAAGAAATGTAAGATGACCGGGGCTGGCCAGAGGCAAAAAGACAGCTTCCCTACCCCTGACTTGTTAGGGTGCTCTCTCATCTGAGTCTTCATTCACCAGGCCCCAGGCTGACTGCTGAATCATTTACCCAGGCTGAGAACAACTGATGGCAACTCTGTATTCTGGGACATTGCTCCGGTTCTGCTTTATTATCGTGTGATTTCTCACTCTGGCCAAGGACCAGCTTTCATGTAATTCCTCCCCTAAGTGATCCTCTACTGCATCGCCCATTGTCAAAAATATGTCACGCTACCTTTGCGAGATGAAACAGCTAGGTTTGGGTGCGGAGTAACTTAGGACAGAGCACCAGTCACAGTCTTCCTTTTGATGAGGATTGCGCTGGATCACTGTATGAGAAGCATACAGCCCCATCGACATAAATGGCATGAAAATCCTTGAAAAAAACCTATCAGGAATTGTGAAGGATCCAAAGAAATGCCACCATTTCTTGCCCTTAAGCAACTCACAACTTTTGTGGGGAAAGCAAAACAAAAACACATGAAAAGTGAAATGACTATAATAGCAATAACAGACACAATAAAAGAAGGGAAGTCAGGAAGCAGTAAGCAATAGGCGATGTTTACTGTTTGGGCAATAGTCTCCACCTCCTAGGGGTGCTGTGAAGATTAAATATGGTGTAAGATTCCAAGCACAGTGCCTGGGAGAAACCTTCATACAAAATATTATTGCATAAGAGAAGCATACCAAGTGACAACAGGCAAAACATGGCCTCTGGGACAGGGTAAATAACTGAACCAGCTTTGATGGAATGGAACCTGTGAGGAGCTGCTGGCAAAAACAGATGCCCCAGGGTCTTGAATGGACAAGAGATGTGTTTAAGCTTTATCCTGCAGATATTTGTATCAGGAGTGTTATGGTCAAGGACTTGGTACAGGAGGACTGGATTGTATGTAGAAAGTGTGGTCTTTCTTGATGTACTTTGTATCATTAGCAACGATCTACCACTCCCCCCTTAGCCCCTGGCTACCTCATGGAACAGAAATTAAGTCACAATAATAAATGTGAAAAGACTTACTTGACTGAAAACATATTATATCAGCATAGATGATGAATACAGTCTTATCTTTGTTGTATATGTAGGCTTTCCCAGAGATTTTGAGGATATGTGCTTATCTTCGGCTTCAATTAGTTATATTAGAAGCCAGATACATGAGGGGAAAACCAGTACTTTATATAGGTTCCCCACCCCACTATTTCTTCTGCTATGAAAGCACTCACAGTAATATTGTGGGTGACACCACTGTGCCTCCTGAGTGAGCCACTCTCAGCATAATCAAAGCCCACAGTAAAAGCATTTGTGTTGTTGAAGGAATCCAAAGCAGGGATTCATTTAAGGAATAAGAGAACATTACATGTTGAGAAGCTGGTTAAGAACTCTGAAAGGGAACTTGTTTGTGCAAACCAGTGAGAAATAGAGAAATGAATGAGACTCACTTTCTAATTCCTATGTTCAACAGTGTGGGTATTTCAGTAGCTCTAGCAATGACTTTCGGAGATGGAACATTGATGGGTCAAAGTTTATAATGACATAGAGAAGGCTAAGGCACTAGGATAAGCACCAGTTGCATCTATTACCTGTGTTTTTAAGGCAATCAATGAACAAACCTCACTATGGAGGTTTGAAGAAAATTCACTGCCACAACCCAAATCCCAATAAAACCTAAAATGAATGGCTAATTGGTTGCTATTTGGAGGATTTACTGTAAGGCAGAGCTTTGTAAACATGATGCCACTGAAAGGGGCGTGCCTTAAATGTTACATGTGTGCCAAGACAGTTGGGGATGGTTGGGTGAGCTTGGTGAGGACCAGGCGTAGAGCCTCCTGGGGGACTGCCTCTTGCTGCCATCAGCCTCATTCGTTTTATCTCAGCTTGTTATACAAATGCCATCAATTTACAAGTGTGCCAAGAAGTGAAGGAGGTTGAAAAAACACTGCCTTATATTGCCTTGAAAGGGGAGCTGGGTTAGTGTATTTAAGTGATTGTTTAAGATAATTTCTTGACAGAGGTTGAGACGAACAAAAGAACTCAAAGTGTTAGGAGCCATTTTCATTATGTAATCAAAGGTAAAAGTAATAAAAGTTAAAATGATAGCTTAGCTAATGAAAAATATGATCTAGGCCTCAAACTTACCCAATACTTTTTTACACACCAACAAAACTAACTTAATACCTTATTTTCCATGCTGATTCCTGGCATCATGTAATTTAGAGCTGGAAGAGGATGTAAAGACCATCTTCTTTTATATTTTAAATGACAAAAGGACACAGGAAGACCAAGTGACTTGCTCAAGGGATACAATATTTGGTGGACAAGCTGGAGTGAGCCTTGGGCTCATTGTCCAATGTTCTTTTCATTTAGCTTGAATCTCCTTGTTTTGAGGCAAGAGTAGAGAGACCTTGGCTTTTGTTTTACTTTGTGCCTCCTCTAATTTCAATGATTATTCAGTGTTTGCATGGTTAGTGAGGTGAGTTTTGGTGGGGGAAATCCTAACTCACATCACTTCTATTTCATTTTGATTTCATCCCTTTTAGGAACCATACTCTAAAATGTCATAAAAGACCTGTTAGTGAAGTTTTAAAATCTCTAGGATAAGTTTTAATCTCCAAAGCCTATGGACATCATCAAGGACTTCGAGAAACTCACCAGGGTGCTTTATCAAAGATAACTAATTCCTTCCCTGAGCATCAGATTGCAGTGGCCTTAGGGAAAGTCAAGAATGACCAGGTCCAAACTTCAACCCATGCTGGAGAAAGCACACATGTGGAAACAAAGATTTTCAGCACCAGTCCTGAGCTGGAGGATTGCGAGGAGCCAGCAGCGTGCTGACCAGTGATGCACTTGCGGATAGGGACAGAAGATGAAATCAACACCACTAGAGGAACACCAATGAAGAAAGGAAGGATTGAAAAGTTTGTTCCCCTACTGCTGACTGTTTAGATTGATGCTATGACCACTGTCCTGAATATGTTCTAACCTGCTGCTTGTTATCCTATATCTAAGTTTAGAAATTCCCTCAATAGCCTGTCAACCTCCACCACCGATACCCAAGCTGCCATGTGTGTCTACCTCATATATTCCGGCATAACCTCCTGACAAGTGACAGAAAAGGTGGAGACTTTCAAATTATAGAAAAGGGCCACTTCATTACTTGTACCAAAGCCCTTCTTGGGAACCTCTGGTGGGAAAGTAGGTTTGTTAAGGAGGTAGGAAGCACCTATAAGGACAGGTGCTACAGCTGGACAATAAAACCTGGATGTCAGGACTTGGGTTTTGAGTAGGGAGGACCAAGGATTGGCCTGACAACCTCACTGCACGTAGCCCCTGGGACATTTTACAGAGCAAGCATCTAATCCATTGAGTCATAGGCTACCTGAGTCTTCTCTAACCTGTGCATGCAGACCTCAGTGAGAATGAAAACAGTTAGTCAATGGCAGAAAATGCTTCAAACTTCCCAAATACACCAAAGTTATCTGTTTTGGTGAAGTTTCTAACATTATTTCCAATTTTCTATGCTTAACAATAATATAGCAATGAACATTTTGCATATAAGTCTTTGTTCAAATCTTTTTAAGAATTTAAAGTGAAATTGCCTATTACAGTTTATTTTTATTCAAGGCTTTGTTCTGGAAACCACTTTAGTTTCCCTTGGGCCCAATGTTAAGGTCTGAAACAAATACATAATATTTTGCATAATGGGACCAACATGCCCAGGATGCTTCCCTGTTCTCACTGGAAGTCAAGAAGGATAATCTGGCTGGGCACAGTAGCTCATGCCTGTAATCCAAGCACTTTGGGAGGCCAAGGTGGACAGATCACTTGAGCCCAGGAGTTTGAGACTAGCCCAGGCAACATGGCAAAACCTCGTCTCTACTAAAAATACAAAAATTAGCTGGACATGGTGGTGCATGGTGGTCTAAGCTACCCAGGAGGCTGAGGTGGGAGGAGGATCACTTGAACCCAGGAGGTGAAGGTTGCAGTGAGCCCAGATCATGCCACTGCACCACTGCACTCCAGCCTGGGCAACAGGGTGAGACCATGGCTCAAAAAACAACAAAAACAACAAAACAAACAAACAAGCAAAAAGATATTCCTGCACTACAGATAGAAAGCTTCTAAGCTTCTAAAACCTGTCTACTCCTATGCAATGGTTGGCCTACTTGGTCACTGACCTCGGAAGGAAGCAGCTTGCTCCTTCATTACATTGATTGATATAAAGTTTTTTCCTTATTTCCTGGGGAAATAATATTTTGAAAACAAATCTGTCAGCCTTTGGTAAAGAGCATTACTAAATGCCAGCAAATAAGTAAGAAACCCTAACTCCCAGTTTCCCAATTAGCTGAGCATCACCTGTGCTTGGCAAAGTTGTTGTCTTGGCTGAAGAAGCTATGGACGTATCTCCATCCATAGGGAGGGAAAGTTTACATTTGGGTCCTTCTTCTCTCCTCTCTCCTCTGATAATATTTAATAGCAACATGTTTGCAAGGGAGATTCTAAAAGACATCCCCTTGAGTCTGAATTTCGATGATTTCCATTACTTTTATAGCTTATTGGCTTGTGAACTCTGGAGAGGGAAAACTGCAATTCTAGCCTGAAGCCTCAGCAAAGGCACCTCAGCTGGACTGACTTGGCCACCAGTACTCCAGTTGCCCCCATTGCTGACCTAGGCTGTAATTTGGTGGGTAGTGAGAAAGACTGTGTTCCCAGAAGGGCCACATGTGGGGAAGGGGACAGGGAGGGGAAGCTTCCCTCAGAGATATGTTCATCTGTGGCCCAGATTTAGCTGCCCTGGGAGAGTGGTGGCTCTGACTAATGGCTAACAGAACCTATAGCCAGAGTAAACTCTGCACTACTCGACAAGAGTGAGCTGGTGGAATGAAAGATAATTCCTAGAAGGGATGATATCTAGATAGCAGCAATGACATATTTAGTGCTTACTCTGAGCCAGTGCTCTTTTGAGCACTTCCACATATTCATCGAACTCTCATGGCAACCCCATGATTGAGGTATTAAAGTGTTCTTTTCTTCACACCGAGGAAACTGAGGCCCAAAGAGGTCATGTAACTTCCTCAAGGTCACATGGTTAGTAAGTGATAGAGCCATGTTTCAAGTCCAGATAGGATGATTGTAGCACCTGGGCTGTTAACCATGCCCTTTTCTTGCTTAAATGTAATGATGCTCCTATCAAAAGCAAAACAGCACTTAGTCCACCAAGAAAAAGCTCCCGAAGCCACGAAAAAAAAAACAAACCCAAAAAAAAACCCCAAAAAACAAAAACAAAACAAAACAAAAAACAGTGAATATGTTAATGATCCTTGGGCTCGGGTAAGACCTGAAGAGTAAAACAATGCAAACTCTGGGAATGATCGTGATTCTTAAGTACCTGATAGCATAAACCTCGGTCAGTCTCAGAGAGCCCAAAACCTTTGATATTTTGACCAGGGATATGTGGCACAAGGATGGCTTTTTACCATTCACGAGACACTTCGCATTTCTCTTCAAAATTAGAATTCAAAATTATCACAGATGTTAAGTATGAGGTAGCATCAGCTCCAGGAAGCTTTTAGGTGCATGTTGCAAATTACATACTGTAAATGCAACGTGCCATCAGTGAGTAAGCTGCTTTTGCCACAGAGCACGGGGCAACTTGCATTTTAAACTCCCTAAATTGAAAAGAAATAAACATGTGAAGAAAAGCCATGAAGCATCATGAACTGTAGGATATATTTCCACTCTCCAGGGTGAAGTAAAATAATATCATTTTGAAAGTGGTTAGAATTAAATTTTGGAGGTCAGTCTGATGCCATTTGGTAGGAAGAAAAATTCACATGTTAATTATAAGCATTTGCACCTATTGTTTTCCAAATCTACTTATGCATGGATTTTATTTGCAATAGGAAAAGTGTTTGTAGTTTCTTTACATAGTAAGTGCACATGTACACATACATACACACACACACACACATTCCCCTATACATTTAGAAATAAGGCTGTTATACTTCAAACAAAGCTGAGACTTTAACTACATGCTAAACACTTTCATTGTGGCCATATACTTTTTATTTTTATTCTAGTCCTTTAGGTATTCTGCCCCAATAAACAATTGGAAAGACTGGAATGGCTGCAAAATCTCTCTGTGAACACCTTCCTCAAGTGTAAATTATTGGAAGGCTGTTTATATAATTCATGAAAATCCTTAGTTTTGTATCCTTTTAATCTTGGTGAATCCATCGTACTGACAGAATTCTGCTTTTAGTCTATGCTTAAAGATTGGATTTATTTCTTCAGCTTTTCATGAAGAAAAAGGGAAATGAAATTGTACTTTCAGATGTATGTAATTTGGCTTCTGCACATATTCGCTGAGGTTTAATGCTTCTGTAGTTTTCACTCCTGAATTTATCAAGGCTTAAGCCAAACAGGGCAATTCTCTCCATGAGGTTCTGGTGGTTTTCTTTCTTTCTTTTATTTTTATTTTTTTGATAACATTAACTTTATCACATAAAGTTCTTATTCATTCTCAACAACTTTATTTCTTGAGTATTGCTTAATACTCACCCCTCCCCTATCCCACATGTGCTAGAAACTCCCACAGTTTATAAGAATTTTAGGACTACAACGTACGTGCATTTATTTACTTTCTCTTAGTGCTCCTTTATTTTCGTGTTTCCATACCCAACATTTTGGGCCAAATCACTTCAACATGAAAAATGCACAAATTTTCCTATCCTCTCTTCTGTTCTACTGCTTGCAGGCTGCTGAATGAGCTCTGGAAGACTGTGGTAGAAAAGGAAAAACAACCAAGGAAGCCTGAGAATCTGAAAAGGTGGCCAGTTGGAAGACAAATATGGGCTATGACTGTCACCTGTTGTATAGGATCATAGAACCTTAGAGCTGGAGGAGCTTCAGAAGTTGCGTTCATCTACTTCTCCTCCCTCTACTGCTACCCAGGGGAGGGTGAAACTGCCTTTGCCAAATTGTAACCGAGGAAACTATGACAGTGGAAGAAATCAGACCTAACCGACTCCATCTTGCTTCTAATCTTTAAGTCGTCCTTGTTCATTCCTGGGCATAGGCCAAGCTAACTTTGAGAAGGAATTCAGTTCATGGTTTGACTTAAACAAAATTGATAACAGCTCTTTCCCTGAAAGACCCGCTTCTTGCCTGGGGACCAATCTGCCTTTGTAGGACTAACAAATTAGCCTCAAGATTAGAAATTACAGTTTAGGGGTCATGCAGCCTCTGGCTCCTAGAGTCTGAACCTCCCCAAATTGCTCCTGGGGATAACATCACTATTGTAAAACCTAAGATCAGTGCTTGAGATATTTTGCAGACCTTGCACTCAGTGTATCAGCTGACACCACCCAGACCAGTAATCTGCTTTAACCAGGTCTGCCATCCCACCCAGGAACAGAAGACAGCAAGAAAACCACACTTCGACCCCCTATGATTCCATCTCCAACCCAACCACATCAGCACTCCCCATTTCCCAAGCCCCTACCCACCAAATTATCTTTAAAAACTCTGATCCCTGAATGCTCGGGGAGACTGATTTGAGTAATAATAAAACTCTGTCTCCCCGCACAGCCGGCTCTACGTAAATTACTCTTTCTCCATCGCAATTCCCGTCTTGATAAATTGGCTCTGCTAGGCAGCGGGCAATGTGAAGCCATTGGGCAGTTACAAAGTCACCAGTGTCTCTGAACCTACAGGGATGTTTAAATGGCCTTCTGACTATATCTCATGCTTCCACTCTTGCTTTCTCCCCCACCCCCAACCCTTTGGTTTCAATTTCCACAAGCATTTAGACTCATCTTTTACAAATATAAGTCAGATTTCAGTCCACTGCTTAAAACCCTCCAATGGTTCCCATGGACTTAGACTACAGTTGAGACTTCCTACCAAGAGCACATGAAGCCAGCACTGTCTGCCTCCTGCCACTCTCCCTTGCTCCCCGTACTACAGCTGCACTGGGCTTCTCTATATTTCTTGGATGCCAAGCTTGGCGTCCACCTTAAGCCTTCTGCCTGGACTGATTTTTTTCTGCAGATCCTTTGCATGTCTGGTTCTATTCTGTTGAACAGTTCTCAATCAAGTTACTTACAGAACATTCCCTGACCAACCCATAAAAGGAAGCACCCCTCCTTTCAAGGCAACATTACCATATCACTCTGTTTTCCTTTCTTCCTAATTTACAAATGAATGAAGAGCTTTTATAGGGGTGGAGGAGTTGAGGGCATTAGTTGTGTTCTTGCCTTCTTCTTGAGCCAGAGGTCAGTAACTGTCTGCTAGTCAGTGGTATGGATGCCTTATTTGTGCCCACAGCCTGTGGCTTTCAGGCTATACAGTATGTCCGTGACAGTCTTCTGATATACTTGTCCGGTATCTGTATCACTGGAACAAATCAAAACAAGACCCCTTATTCAAATGCAGGCAAATTTCAGCACTTACTTATAGTGGATCCAGACTCAGGCCTGTTCAGGGAGCTGATGATGACAAAGCCGAAGCCCTCATTCTCTTTGCGGTGAATGACCACATCACTGGTCTGCAGGCTGTGGGAGGCGAAGCCTTCAGGGGGAGAGGCATTGCTACTGGGGGCAGCGTGGTTGCTGTTGGTGTAGGTTGCGTAGTCACTGCGTGGAGAGCTGTGGTGGGTGGATACAGAGCCTGGACTTCTCCCGTTCTCTGGGCAGGGCTCCCCTGCAAAATATACCACACACAGGTAATCAATTACCTTACAAGGGTCTCAATGAATGCTTCCTATGTACTAGGCACTGTTCTAGACAGTGGTATTGTTACAAGACTGGTTGAACTGCTTCTCTTTCTCCCAGATTTGCAGAGCATTTGAAAAGCTACAGACCTAGGCGTGGAGCTCCCAAGGTCTTGCTCAGTCCTAGTTTTCATAGCAAACAGAGGTGAAACCCCTCATCAGCCTCCTCTGTGCTGTTACTGATTTATATCTTCATCTCATGAGGACTGCAAACCCCTGGGACAATGCCTAGTTTTAGATATTGAGGTTCTTCTTTGCATAAGAATAATTTACTGAAGATGGTCACAAAACAAGTAGAATCTTACATGATATGGTGCATAAGAATCACTTAAATAAATTGTAAAAAAAAGTACATCTTCACGGGCCACCCACAGAATGTTTTCTCAGTAGGTCTGGGCACAAGAATCTGCATCAAGTTTCAAGGCTACACTTCGAGAAATGCTGCTGTAGATGTATTATAAGGAAGGCTAACAGCACAGGTGCCATCCATGTAAAGTTAACTATCATGCATTTTTCTAAAGAGCTATAGTTCTATTTTATAATATTCTGCTAGCCTAGAAGTATTGATTTACTTCATGTATGTGGAAAATATACTTCTTAAAAGTAGTTTGCACAGCTTTTTGTATATCAGCCATATCACAATGAAGTGGCTTAAAAGAATAAATAAATAAGTTGAGATTTTCATTTAAAAAATAGCTTGCTTGCTCTAGGATCAAATCTAATTTCAGGCTCTGAAATTATGAAGTTTGAACCTCTAAGGAGCTGTTGAAGGTCTTTTCCATTTTTACAGTCCATCTTAATATAAAATACACCCTATTATCAACCAGATAAACCAAACTAATACTTTCATGAGAAAAAGCCAGCATATTTCCATGGAGAAATGATAGAAAGTTGGCAGCCAAAAGAAGCTAGTTTTTGAAATGAAAGTTTATCTGTCATCCAGAAAGAATTTCGTCATTTTAATTTAATACCTAGGTATTGGCACTCTGATGAAAAGAACCGAAGCAGGCACCTAGAATAATGTAATTAGAAATAGGGTTGCTTTCATTTCCATCTTAAAATTTGATTAGTGTACTCAAAAGATGTTTATGGAACAGAGGAATAATAAGATGGAAAATAATCACCATTAATTATTCCATTTTGGGTCCCTAGGTATAGCATCCTATGTAGAACTCTGGAAGTTGTTGCATATGGCAAATTAAAAATAATTTTCAAAAGTTCCAATGAAGGCTCTTAACCTTACAAGCTGCAATTCCATTTTGAGATGAAAAAGTCAGGGAGAAAAAACAAAGACTGCAAGAGACGTTTTGTTACATCGATACCTAAAAAAAAAAAAAAAAAAAAGAAAAAAAAAAAGCTGTATTTGTTTATATACTTAGATTTTAAAAAATGGCCTAACCAAAATATACTAATTTCTTGTTTGCAATTACAGAATGAATGAGACCCAGGCTGTTGCTCGTTATTATTTGGTAAATTTGATTTTTCTTTAAGATCTAATTAATCACGTTTAAATAAAGGAAAAGATGGATGCTTTTTGTAAGAAATGTACCGAGGTCATAAGAGAACAGAATGTCAATGTCAAAGCCTTTCTTTCTGTTCAAATGGAATTTAAAGCTTCGCTTGTAAAATGTACCCTCCCTGCTGGACAAGTTGTTATTGTCTTGGTGCATCACATGTCCTTTATCAGTCCTTGTACAAGTGGGAAATAAAGTGATTAGGGATAGTCAGGAAGAACAAAAACAAACAATTATTATGCTGCTACATTAAATTGAAAATCTCCTCGAGTTATTGGACCAAACCAGTAACTAAATGTCATAGGCAGTGACAAGAGAGATCTCATTTTCTGGCTGTCATATTTTAGGAGGTTGAGAGCTGTGATTGTCAGTAAGTCAGCAAGAAAGAAGAAGCGCGGTGGCTCACGCCTGTAATCCCAGCACTTTGGGAGGCTGAGGCGGGCGGATCACGAGGTCAGGAGATCGAGACCACGGTGAAACCCCGTCTCTACTAAAAATACAAAAAAAAAAAAAAAAATTTAGCTGGGCGCAGTGGTGGGCTCCTGTAGTCCCAGCTACTCGGGAGGCTGAGGCAGGAGAATTGCGTGAACCCGGGAGGCAGAGCTTGCAGTGAGCCAAAATCACACCACTGCACTCCAGCCTGGGCGACAGAGCGAGACTCTGCCTCAAAAAAAAAAAACAAAAAACAAAAACGAAAGAAGAATTATCTGTCTTTGCAGTAAAAGGCTGGGAGTGGCAATGTTACAGGTTCTGGAGAGAGAGAAAATCATCAACTAAGTCAATGTGAGGATTCCCTGGGTAAGTCAAAGAGTCATATACATTAATAGGATACTTTTCTATTGCCTTTGGACTTCTCTTTCAACTTCCAGAACAAAGTTCTTTATCTTTAGCCAAATGAGCATATTTAAAATCAGGAAGTTAAGAAGACTTCGAAGGTCTTCCTGGGCTTGTTCTGGGCCCTTGACACTTAAAAACTGGTCACATGATTGTCTTTCAGGGATTGACCCCACATCATTTTTCTACTCATCTGGCTCTGGACCCAAGTGAGACGGTCTTCTTTCCAATGGTCTTTCCTACTGTAGGGCATTAACAGCCTTGTTTTATAATAATATAGTAAAACATCCTAAAGTGACTAAAATTCATGTATTATATAATTTTTTTAAAGAAAATTCACTAATTTCTAGGATCCCTGACTCATTCATCTAGCTCATACACAAGTGGCTGCATAGAATTCAATCACTTAGTATCTACTAAAGTCAAATAATTAGTTTAGTTTGTTTGTTTGTTTGTTTTGTTTTGAGACAGAGTCTCACTCTGTCGCCCAGGCTGGAGTGCAGTGGCGCGGTCTTGGCTCACTGCAAGCTCTGCCTCCCGAGTTCATGCCGTTCTCCTGTCTTAGCCTCCCGAGTAGCTGAGACTACAGGCGTCCGCCACCACGCCCGGCTAATTTGTTTTGTACTTTTAGTAGAGACAGGGTTTCACCGTATTAGCCAGGATGTTCTCGATCTCCTGACTTTGTGATCTGCCTGCCTTGGCCTCCCAAAGTGCTGGGATTACAGGCGTGAGCCACCGTGCCTGGCCTAAATAATTAGTTTTTAGGGTAAGCTGTTTCGTCTCCACCAGTCACAGTGGAACTCATCACTGTGCTAAGAGAGGGTCTCCCATTGGGAATGTGGGAGTCAGTGACAATGCCTGCCAGGTAAGATGGTGTAGACCAGTACATTTAACTATTGGCCAAGAGCTGTTTCTGGTCTGCACAGTGCTGGCCTATATTTCATTCGATAATTGTTAAAACTAATTGCCCTTTGGGAGGCCGAGGCGGGCGGATCACGAGGTCAGGAGATAGAGATCATCCTGGCTAACATGGTGAAACCCCATCTCTACTAAAAATACAAAAAAATTAGCTGGGCGTGGTGGTGGTCGCCTGTAGTCCCAGCTACTTGGGAGGCTGAGGCAGGAGAATGGCAGGAACCCAGGAGGCAGAGCTTGCAGTGAGCTGAGATCGCGCCACTGCACTCCAGCCTGGGCAACAGAGCAAGACTCCGTCTCAAAAAAAAAAAAAAAAATTAATTGCCAATGTTTGTAAATAGGGAGATTTTTATAGAAATACTGATTTCCAGTTTTTCTTGACACATTTGGCACCAGTTGGCTGGAGCTCAGTGATGGCTGCTCCTTCAACTGGGTATGGGGTTTGCAGGTCACCACAGTCCTGCCCACTCCCCAAGACCTCTTGCAAATACCTCATTTACTCATTTATTCACACAGTGAGGAATTCTCAGGGCTGAAGGAACTTGTTCAACTGGACCCTTGGTTTCTCTTCTAGACCATATGCTACATACCAGGACTCTAGAATTCTGTAACCATATAGACCTTGCCTGCTTCCAGGATGTGCCTGGGTCTCTTCTCAGGACTGTCTTTGGAAGGATGACAGCATTGCAGACAGGCATATTTTGCCTTGAAGCATGGCTGAGGCAATGGGATGTATGTATGGACAGAGCTTGGTCATGTGGGCTGTGATGTCCACATGCATGTGTACCAGGTCCCTCATGGTCCTTATGGGGCAGGAGCAGCCTACAGGCTGTGGCCCTGAAAATGTTAGGGGCTGGCCTGCCTATAGGCATTTGTGCAGACATTCCCAGTTTATACTCATCAAGGCAGACAGCTTATTTAAATGGGTGACATGGTTGCAGACAAACAACAAGGGAATGCATTTAGAATTGGCAAAAAGTGTAGTCACCAGGATCAGGGAACGTACTGGCACCTTCAATACTGGCTAAACTTTTCACCCATCTGCCAAGACAACCTCCCCTTTTTTGGCATTAGGCCAAGAATTAGACTTTCCCTTAGGTGTTAGAGAAAAGATGCTGATAGCTTTAAGACTGACTCTAACATGTTTTTATGAAGTCATAAAATGTTCTTTCACATCAATTCTAGATTTACACTTCAGGAAATTCCTCAGAGACATGGTGTGCATCCAAAATAATGTGCCATTAGCTTGAATGTCTCAAAGCTGATCTGCTAAACATATAAATATTTATGCTTTTCAGTATAATAATTAAAGCCACTCTTCTCATATCCTTGGGAAAAAAAACAACCAAATACTGGAGCTGGAGGCATGGATAAGGCATCTTCTCTCAAAACTAATGCAAGGTGAAAGTGTGTGCTATGACTATTTGGTAAATAAAACTGGAGGCAATTTATTATCCATAGTTGCCTACTGAAACAATAAAATAAAAATAAATGAATAAAAGAAAAATTGGAAGCACTACCCGATAGCCTCTTCCTTTACTCAACAACTTCTCACTTTTGAGAATCTAGTTTATCTTCTGATTGGAAATTCTGGCTTTCTAGGCCAGGCATGGATCACTGAGGCAGAAGGATCACTTGAGCCTGGGAGGTTGAGGCTGCAGTGAGCCATGATTGTATCACTGCACTCCAGCTTGGGTGACAGAGTGAGACCTTTTCTCAAAAAAATTTTTTGCCTTTCTATCCTTAGCATGTACATTTAAAAATAACTTAATATTTGGGGCAAGTTTTTGTGTTATCTTAGTTTTTGCTCAGTGTAACTAACCTTTCTGTATCTCTCATAATGAACGTGTTCTCTTTCTTGAGCATCAGTTAAAAAGCCAGTGCCCTCTGTCTTCTGAGGTGGGGCGGGCATTTGTATAAGCTGAGGCAAGGAGAAGGCGGAAGCGTGTCATCCCTATGACCTTGCTTCTTCCTAGCCCTTTTCCCACACACAGCACTGCTCCTCTGTGCAAGGGGGTGGCGATGCTGCTCCTCTTCCTGCTGCTATCTCTTCCTTAGCTAATTGCTCACTTCCCCTCAGCTTGGAACCATCCACTCCTAAGCCAGGCTTGCACCTCCCACTGCCTTTGCTTAGGAAAGCATAATAATAACAAAACGACAATGACAGCAACAGTCCTTGAAAAGGCATCTCCATTGTCATATTCATTTGTAGTTGTCCCTTCTCACTTTGAAGAAATGGCAGCTATGAAGAAAGGTCACCTTTCCATGCCTGTTTTTTAAATCTTTTCCATCCTATTTCAAGGCATTACTTTGCTATCAAAGTATCCTTTGCTGAACTTAATATTTTCAATACTGATGAAGCTTTCAAGGAAGAGTGGGCTGAATAAACTTGGAAACTCTCCTGGTGTGAACGAGCAATCTGCAGCATAACATTTTCAAAAATTAAATGCACTTGAAATGCACTCAAAAGCCTAACTGAGTAAAGTTGGTAAGAGCTGCAGCAAAGAGCATCTTTACGGAAGTCACATGATCCACAAATTGCAGGAATACATTTTTGCAGCATTTGGTACACACTTCAACAGCTCGGGTTGATTAAAAGAAAATTTAATTTGCAATAATCAGCTGGTGACAAGGGGAGCATGAAATTATGTTGGTGCATTGGTTTTGCACTTTGTGGTATATTTCCTTGTAAATCAGGTATCTTTTTAATTTATCTTTAGGTTATAGAACATACAGCACAGCAAACTTTTTATTAAAAATTACTCTGCGGGGAGAGAGACAGTTAAATGTTAACCAAGCAAGCACTGTCTTCCTCCTGGCATCTAGCCCAAGGATAAGGCATAATTTAAGATGCTTTACTTCTTTGGGTCAAGTGACATGCCATGAATTTCTGAAGACAAATGGCACCTCTTAGCAAAACCTCTATAAGATACAAGATATATAGCAGTCTCTACTGGTGAGGGCTAACAATTCTTTTGACTTGCCCTTTTAAATGACCGCCCTTGCTCATGGTCTAGTTTCTAGGGGGACTTAGAAAGAAAAGGATTTTTCGTCACATGAATAAGCCTTATCCTCTCTACTAGTCATTCACAGCCTGTCATTAGCCTGTGGTCCTCTTCTAGAATGCAACTGGTATAACAGCACATATGGGAAGACTCCCTGTATTAGGGAGTGACATTTGCTAAGTTCTGGCCTAACATCTTCTAATTCTCTAGGGGAGAGGATTGTGGTTGAATGGGGTAGGGGACAAAGTAACATAAAGAAATAAGCACTGGCCTTAGAGAGAAGAGTCCCTCTCTGCATTGTCACAGACTCACTGTGGACTGCTGGGCAAGCTACCAAACCTCTGGGCGTCAGTTTCTTCATCTGTAACAAGATGAAGCTCATATAGCTAAGGTCCTTCCTACTTCTAGTATTGATGATTCTGTATGAGGGCTATCAAGGGGTCAAGCAGAGAAGCCAGCGGGCCGCTGGGGCAGAAGGTGACAGATGAGCATTATTGGAGCTGCTGCCCCTGTGATTCACAGAACAAAGGCTGGGTGGTTCTGAGGGGAGGTAATACAATCCCAATGTTATTGAATGCTCAGATTCTAAAAAAACTGTGATGCTTGTAACTGACATATTCCTTAAAAATATAAATAATTTTTTATAGGGTTGATATGGTAAAGAGAGATAAGTGGAATCATATTATAAATACAAAGGCTGACTTTGAAAAGTATGTCTTTGGTGGATTCCTTTATGAAGCTGAGAAAATGGTTGTAAAGGGAATGATTATTTCCAATTTATCTGTTACATAAATTTGGAACTATATGAACTGTGTTTTCTTGGAGCGAGGTACAGCTGTATTTTTTCTATATCAGGAGCAACAGCTTTATTGTTACCTTTTATCAGGCTGTACAATGAAAGCTAATTTTCCATCCTGGTTGCCTCATTATGGCATCAAAATGCTGTGGCTCTTGGTTTGCAAACACATTTTCAAATGGCATATTTTCCATGACTATCATGTTCTTCTTAGAACTAGAAACTACCAGAAAGCAGAGAGCATACATACCTTAAATTAGCCCCAGGCTATTCTAGAAATTTTTAATGAATACATTTAAAATGCAGGCCTCAAAGACTGGATTTTTGTCCAGTGGGGTGAAAATCAGCACTTTCAAAATCATCATTACTTTTGGAATATCTAGGTTGTTTCCTTCCTCATATAATGTAGAAATGGATTTAAAATTTTGTTTCATGTGGCCTTACCATGTCTCACAAAAGCATCTTACCACCTAACCCTCGATTCCTGCAGCAGGCTCCAGGTACATACCTCCACATAGCACCTTTCTTCTCACAGTGAGGTTGACCTGCCCATTGCGGGCTGCGTGGTGCATGAGGTCGATGACATAGCGGTGGGTTTTGCCGGCTACTGGAATCCCATCAACATACACAAGCTCATCTCCTGGGTGAAGGCGGCCATCTCTGTCGGCTGAGCCCATGGCAATGACAGCTCCAATCAAAATCTAGAGAAGCAGTGAGAAGGAAAGGACATTCACATTTCAATCCTTTTTCCTTTTTTTTTTTTTTCGAAACAGAGTCTCGCTTCGTTGCCCAAGCTGAAGTACAGTGGCCCAGTCTCAGCTCACTGCAAGCTCTGCCTCCCAGGTTCACGCCATCTTTTTCCTTTTTATATACAGTTATATAACTTGTGGAAGATTTGATTCTCACATTCCATCTCTTGCCCTCAAATCTGAGCATGCACTTGTAAAGTAAAAAATGAGATGTTGGAAAGATGCCCTTTCAACTCTTTTAAGTTGTTTAGTGCTAGAGATAAATATTTTGAACATGCTGCAGACTGCCATGAAGTTTTGGGGACACCTGCTTTCTGGCTCATCATAAATGACGAATACCCTTAAGGAAAATTCTAATCCCAAATAATCTGATGCTAATTGGCTGAAACAAGGTGAGGATTGAATTCTGGCTCCGTTTCACAATTTGTGTGGTCTTGGGTAAAGCTTCTTAAACTCTGTGAGCCTCAGTTTCTTCACTTGCAAAATAAGAAAAATAATAATCAGACCTACTTCATGGAGTTATTGGGAGAATTGGATGAAATAACTCATGTGAAGCATTTAACTTTTTTCACGGCACTTAACGAGGGATCAAAAAGACTCAAGGGGAAACTAGCTGTTGCACATTTTTAAATTCTGACAAAGATTGAAAGTTTTCTTTTTCTTTGCTTTGAAAAGCTGGAGGGTAAGGAGAAAACAAAACAAAACAAAGCAAACTCATAGTTGGCTTTTTCTGGCCAGTTGACTTACTCAAAAAAATCTCAAACCTTCTCCAGATTTTTGTTCTATTCTTTTGAATACTTCCTCAGAGCACTGTCCTCTACGCAAAGGACATTCCCAGTTCTGCCTGTTCCCTGAAGTGCTTCTGCTGTTTGGGTGGCTACTGTGCCAGGAAGTGAGAAGGTACCCGTCTAGGAAATGTGGTTATTTTTATAATTCCCTGAACCAGGGACTGTGATGAAAGGCAACACATAAGTTTTCCCATGTCCCATTAGAGGCACTCAGTTTAGTGTGCATTAGCAGGGCTTTTTTCTTTCTCAGAGGAAAGAAAATAGTATTACATATTTTAATTTTGCTGTTTAACCTATAAACAATTTTTCAAACTCATGACCAATAGGTCCCCCTTTTCTTTTGCCAGTGGCTTAGCCACACAGCAGCTGATGGCAGTGGTTACCATTAGCCTGATGATACTACAGAGGCTATGTTTCATTTTAAATCCCTTGCTTCCAGATTGATTTCCTTCAGGCATAATAATTTCTTTCAAATCCCCTATCTGTGAATTCCAGCTAATTTGCAGAGTTGCTCCATCATGACCTTCGGGCTTGCCTTTGTACTTAGTCTCACTGCTCAGTGTGGCCTGTTAACATGATAGCCAGATCTGAACACCCAGGACTTCTCAGGTATGTGCAAAGTTATAGTCTGAAGGGCATCACAGACTTAGTCCATGGAATAGCTCTCTTTCTACATAGGAATGAAAATTTCCCACACTACTTCTGCTTTCCCCTTATTCCTGGGGAGTGAGGTAGGGTGAGAAATAGATTTGCTTCTGTGTGGAATATTAAGTGTTCTGACAAATGATTCATGATTGCTGTCACAGGACAGGCCTGACATCTCCTGCCTTAGACTGGCTGCACAGTGCAGTTCTTTCCCTGCAACTCACTGTAACCATTCACTACAGTCCAGAAGTTGGGTATGCTCTGATATTCTCCACTTTCCCTTCTTGTCATGCCAACCTGAATTTATGAGTTTCTTTATAAAGATGTTCCAATCTATTCTTCAAAAGGCTCAACCCACTATGGAGCACTTCAAAGATTTGGTAAGTGCTTTGTGCAAAAGCCAGTTAAAACAAATGTTTCTCCACTGTCCCATGAAAAGGTGCGTTTAGTTGGTTTGGCCTTAAGAAAATGCTTCAACCTTTAGCTTTCCGATACACTTTAGTGAGAGACTTTACAGCTAGTAATAGAGAAAGAAAATGGCTTGTGAACTTCTTGGCTGGTTAATAATCAATTTTAAGGTATAGCTCTGATTCTAACTGATGAAAGTAAAACACAAAATAGTGGTTACAACTGAGAGAGCCATAGCTGCTACTGGGCCCTATACAAAAATAGTAAAGATGAAATTTCACATCAGAAAATTCCTCTCTTGCTGTAGGAGAACAGCAAGATATACAGCAACATTTACAGATACTCTCAACATTACAGTGTGTGCCAGCAGTTTAATATCATGTATTGAAAAACAGAGCCCAGTAAAAGATCTGCTTTTCTACCATATTGCTGTGATATGAAGTACTCCCCTCATTAATTCATTTATTCAACAAATATTCATTGAGCCCAGGATACTTTTAGGTGCTGGAAATTCATCAGTGAACAATAAACAAAAATCACTACCCTATAGAGCTTCCATTCTAGTGGTCAGACAATCATAAATATAATAAATGTGTAAATTATATAGGATGCCAGAAAGGATGTACTATGGAAGAAATACGGTGGTGGAGATTGGTGTCAGTCATGTGGTCAAGGTAGTGCTAGAGTTGGTTAGAGTAGGCCTCTTATATATTTATTTCTAAATAGGCAGTATATTCAATTACCCCTTCAATTGAATATCTAATAAATAGCATATTCACTATAACACAAGTATAAATTATATAGTATTACATAATTATTATATGTATATATTATTATATAGTTACATTATATAATGTGTCCTTAGCTGTGTTTCAAAAAAAGGTTGCCATACTGTTAAATAAAGTTGAATTGAGCTGAGCATGGTGTGCCGTGTGGTTGCTAGTGCTGCTTGCCCATTAGCGGTATTGTACAGTTACATTTGCTCCATCCATCAGGAGCTGCAGCCTTTGCTGGGCAGAGGCTGACCACTTGCACCGTCACTGCTTCCAGCTCTCCTGCCGCTGTGCTCCTTAGCCTTTGGCATTTGGCACCTTTGTGCATTATATTTCACTGCTGACACAGAGATAGCTCGATATATCTCTCTATTCTGAGAAAAAAACAACTTTTTTCATTTACTTCCAATATGATTTGTACCCTTGACACATTCTATTATTTCCCCTTTGCCACCGTAGGGACTGGATAATCTATGATTGTATCTTGCACTGTAACTCATATTGGTTTCCCAATGCATACATTCTCATGTTGCTTAAGCTTTTGCGAACATGCTTCAGGATATCTGACCCTTTAAGTCAGTAGTTCTCAAACTTTTGGATGCATAGGAATCACCGGGTGAGCTTATTAAAACAGTTCTGGACCCACCCCATGAGAGTCTGATGCTGCAGGCCTGGGAGGGGCCTGAGATTCTGCAGGTTTAACAAGCTCCCAGGAGTTGAATGCTGCTGGTCCTCAGATCAATCACCCTTTGATAGCAAGGCTCTGATTCTTCTCACTTCCCAATAGCCACAGGATCTGTGGTCTCACTGATCACGTCCCAAGTTGGCTGAGCACAAGACCTGAGCTCCCTGACCCATCACAGTAGCTGCTTTGTAGTTCTGCTAAGACACCTATTCCCGTTACCACTGGTCCTGGGATCAGGATCCCTTACTTACCAGGTCACACCCTTTTAGTCTTGCTGACCCCTGGCCCACTGGCCAGTGAACCTTCCAGCCAACTCTAGCCTTGCCCCATTCATTACCTCCCTCTAGCCCAGGGGGACTCTTCAGCCTCAGCTGACCCTTCAGTTCCACTATTCAGTTTTCTCTTCTCTGCCCCCTTGGAGGAGGGTTTTTTTGTTTGTTTGTTTGTTTTTTTTTCCCTATCCCCATTGTTTTGGCCCTGAAGGGAGAGCTTTGTGGCAAAACAGAGCAAGAAAGAACTTCTCCATGAACAACTGATCTGTGGCCCTATCTTTTCAATTGCCTTCTCTAAAACCCCAAAGAAACAAAACAATTCTACTTTATCTCTCGCTGTGAGGGCACAGAACAAAACAGAACATTTGATGTGAAATAACAGCAATTCACATTCAAGTGGCTGCGGTGCCAGTAAGTCAGGGGAAAAACTCACACTAAAAAGAAAAAAAACCAACAAGTAAGACACACACAAACCCAAAACCACCTTTCCAGGCCTTTTGATCGCTTTCATTCTTTCCTGCACTGCCCGATGTTAGCCTAAGCCCAGTAGTATCTGCTCTGTAGTATCTGTAGCCTGGGACAACTTGCCACTATGGCGAGCAGATTTCAGGCTCTTTCCTTCTGAAACTCCTCCAACCAGTGTGCACCACACTCCTGTGCCAAAGACTAGGTCTGTCATCGTCTGTCTTTGAATGGCTTTTCTCCCATGCAGTGTTTTCCAGATCTCTCCCTCTTGATGCCTTTCCATCTCCTCAGCTCACAGCTGGAAATCCCATTTTTGTTCCTTTCTGGCAACTTTTCACTTCTTTCTATTTCTATTGTTATTTAACTGTGAAAAGTATTTCCTCTTGCAGGAAAAATGCCCGTATGCTTTGTCTGAGCAGGAGTCCTGCTGTTCATTATTTGCTGAAAGCCGTGCTGTTGTGTTTAATGTGCACCCTGGGATGTCAATACCATTTCGTATATACAGAGGCAGAAACCCATTTGATGTACTTTATGAGACCTCCTTTAGTTGGGACCAAATCACCTTACATGCCTCTCCCTTTGTAGCTCACCAGCAACTAAATGAGGCTAGCACATTTTGTTTGTTATCTCTGGACTTAGAATGTGGAAAAGCTGGAAGGAAAGGCTTATGGGAGATCTTTACAGTTTCACTCTCCCAGACGGGGTCATTCTGAGATTCAATATTCTGGTTTTCAGGACTAATTTTTTGGCTTTGGTTGTTTTGGAGAGACTTAGGCTGCTACTTTATGGCTTAAATGTCAAAATTGTTAACTTGCAGCATGAATATGTCTTAAATCATTCAAATGAAGGAATAAACCGGAATAAATCTAAGTAAACACAACAGGATAACCAGCAATCCATGTAATCTGAGGAGGCTTATCATAAATACTTGATGACTGCCCACTGGAGGGGAGAAAGGATTCAGGAATGCAAAGCCAATATTCAGAAGTGATAGGAACCTGGGAACTTGTGTACAAACCAGGCAGAAAGATGTCCTGAGGCTGGGTGGTGATCATGGCTGCATTCACGCATCTGAGCTTCATTTCGTACAGGACATCTTCCATTCTGGTAACAATTCTATTGCTTCTGCACCAGGCAAAGTCCAGCAAGGCCACTCTCCTCTTGAGCCAGCCAAGACTATTCCCTCCCTGTGACTCAGTCATGCAATCCCTTCTGCTTTTGGAGGAGGAGGGGAGCGGTTGAAGATAATATCTACAGAATGGGGTGCTGGCTTCCCCCCAAAGCAGACAAAGCATGAGCCAAGGGGTCCAATAAATTCAGAATTTCATTTTGTAAAGACTCTATTAAAGTAAGTATCATAGAAAGAATTAGAAACTTTGTTGCTTTGCCTAATATTTATTTTATAGTTTAATGTTATTTGTATTTCTTAATGGGAGAAAGGACCTGATAATCTTTTCCGTGCTTAGGTTAGGTTTTGTAATTATCTGGCCCTGGTTGAAGGCTCAATTGGCATAAAATATTCATCTTTCCAATGTCTTTTAATTCAGTCCTCTGGGTTGGGTACTGGGATGGGAATCTCAAAGACAGTAGCTTTAAAGAGTAGCACAGGCATACAGGAGTTTTGGGAACTGCAGCCAGGCTCAGTCTAAAAGGGGCCATTGCTTAGTTCCAGCCAGTTGTTGTCATGGAGAAAGGCAAGCTCAATGTTGCTAAATTTAATTTTCAAGAGAAGATGAAAATCCGTTTTTCAAAAGATGAAATTAATCGGCGCTCAACAATTGTAAAATACTGGGGGAACTAAAAAAAACATGCTATAGGGCCGCCAGGACGCTATCTCTGTTTCTGGGACTAGGCCACTTTAATTCTACAGAGCCTGTAGAACTTAGAGGCCTCAGAAAATATAAACTCCAGATCCTTACTTGTTCTGAGAAGCTCAGGTGACAGTTTTGACTTGGTGGAAAAAATACAGTCTTCAATTCCATTTAATAAATATTTACTGTACCAGGCTAGGCTTGGAACACATAAACACCATTAAATTACAGTCCTTGCCTTCGAGGAGCTCAGAGATTAGTAAAAGGGGGAAAAAAGAGCACATGAGTCAGTGTATTCCGGAACAAACAGAGAGCTCATCTTTCTGGTGGAAACCCCTTAGGTTGGTAAGTTTGAAGTATTATGTTAGTATAAGTGCAATGGATTCTAGATGGGTTTACCCTTAAATGCCCTGTAATTGTTTCAGCAAGTGCTCAGTGTCCCACAGAAGTGATACAAAAATTGCCTTAAAGTTGTATTTTATTTTGAGCATGGTTTCATTTTGTTTCATTCATTTGATATCTTTTAAGCACATGGCTTTGCCATAAATAATTTGGTCTCAGCCCAAAGTGAAGTCTGGCCATTCTCCCTGGTTTCTGAAAGGTTAACCCTTGGAATTAGGAGTGTCTTTGTCATTCATGGTGAGCCCCTTTGACCATACCTGATGGTTTATGCTAAGGAGATGACCCAGGATGGGGCCAGCCTCACCAATAATCTTAGGGTAGGGGCTGACCATACCCGAAAGACCAGCATTGTAATTAGAGGGTTGTGTCTTTGAGCCACATGATATCAGCCTGGCCTCTGAGGAAGAAAGGGGGCTGAAGATTGAGGTCATCCTTGTGGGCAATGGTTCAATCAATCATGCCCATGTAACAAAACACTGGGATAAAAACCCTGGACACCAAAGCTTGGGTGAGCATCCCTGGCTGGCAATCCTCTCTGCATGAATGCTGGAGGGTAACAAGTCCTTAAGGGTGATGGAAGTGTCACATTTGGAACCCTTCCAGACTTTATCCTGTGCATCTCTTCTTTTGGATGGTTCTAATTTTTATCCTTTCACTACAATCAAACCATAATCATAAGTACAGCACTTTCTTGAGTTCTGAGTTGTTCTAGTGAATTATTGGACCTGAGGAAAGCTGTGAGCACAGGACAGTTCTCTGGGTGGCCTTGGACTCACCCAATTTTTTCCCCTTCTTCTCTTGTAGTTGTCAAGAATAACTATAGAAGGTGCTAGGAACACAACATCTTGAGATAAAGAGGGGCTAGCTGGAACAGCCTGTGTTTTGTTCCAGTCCCCCCTAGAAACAGGATGTCCTTCAGTGCTTGAGTCCAGTGTGACATACTTCTCCAGGGTAGAAAACCCACAGTAGGCTGCTTTTTGGGGCCCCTCAGCTGAGGTGCAAGTGTGAGTGGAGACTCCATCTGTCCTAGGCAGCTTTCCTGAGCCTTGGGGAACTTGCTCTTCATGAATCCTTGGCTTCTACTGTCACTTGCTGCCTCCCTGTAAGTGATAAATCCACTTCACGTAGCCTGGTGTGTGGGTGGGTGTTCTGTCTCAACAGACACAGATAAGTTGGCAACCAGTGCACGGCGAACCTACTACATGGTGGGGCCCCCAGATTCAGAGCTAGTGTTTAAAGTTGGGGTGGTCTGTGGAGACTGTTCCCTTAGACTCTGACATTTGGCAAACTTATTTCAGCAGACGCCAGGAGTCTTGGGCAGAGGTGGCAGTCTGAAGACTGTGACCTTAACCTCGAGTTTGGCTCACTCTGGATAATGACACGTTTTTCAATTATGGAGTACTCATGTTGGAAAAAAAGGGTAAGACAAAGTCCTTGCTTAGGAGAAATTTAAAATCCTGCTGATTAAAACAAAATCGGCAGACACATGAACAATCCTGAAGGAAGCCAAGCTGTATAAATATCCTGCGGAGGTCAGGAGGTTCTGTAGCATAAATCAGTGCGTTAAATGCTTACAGATATGAAGGGACTTGAGAATGTTTTCAGTTCTCTCTATTATAAAACAAGGTAAGTTATAGAGGGCAGGGAGGCTGGAGGGCTGACTCGGTCACCTAGGATCCCTGGTAATCTCAGAATCGGAGATGGGGGAGAGTAAACAAAGCTGTGAATGGGAGTAAAACACAGCCAAGAGTTCCTTTTCCTTGTGACATGAGATTCTTAATTTAGTCTCTGAATAAATTTAAGTCTGAAGTTACTTGAGCCCTGTATTTTACCTCAGCATTTTCCCTCCTCTCAAAGCACCAAGAAAAATCTGGCCAATCCTCCTTGGCAAAAGCACCTTCATGTCTTCTTTGGCAGCTGGGAAGTTAGTGACGTTCTGGTTGACTGTTG
This sequence comes from Homo sapiens, assembly GCF_000001405.40. Taxonomy (NCBI): domain Eukaryota; kingdom Metazoa; phylum Chordata; class Mammalia; order Primates; family Hominidae; genus Homo; species Homo sapiens. The sequence goes on from NC_000007.14 coordinate 78,176,356, forward strand.
CCAAATTTCATCCCCAGGAATTCGGAAATAAGTCTTTTTTTCCTGGAGAGCCCTCATCCTTGGAGTATAAGCTCAGCTTCCTGGGGTTTTCTGTAGAAAGGGACCTCATCAATCATCTAGTTCAACTCCTCCCGCAGGGCAGAGGAAGCGCCTCGGGGTTCCTGCCAGGTTCCCATTGGTTGCTTGAATACCTCTTGTGGGAAGGAGCCCACTCTTCACCCAGGCAATCTACTTTACTCTGAGACAGTTTTAACCGTTTCAGATTCCTCTCATTTATTAGATTAACTTTTTTCTCCTGAAGATTTCTGCCCAGGTTTTATTTTTATTTTAAATTTTATTTTCTGGGGCCAGGCATGGTGGCACATGCCTGTAGTCCCAGCTACTCAGGAGACTGAGGCAGGAGGATTGATTGAGTCCAGGAAGTTGAGACTGCAGTGAGCTGTGATCACACTACTGCACTCCAGCCTGGGTGACAGGACAAGACTCTGTCTCAGGAAAACCACATATATATAATATTTGTAGTACATATAGTATATTTAAAAACCATATATAGACACACACACACACACACACACACACACACACACACACACACATATATAGTATATTTCCTGGGAGAATCTAGTAACAAGAGAAACAAAATTGATAATGATAAACATTTATTCAGCACTTAATGTGATCCAGACATAATGCCAAGACCTTTATATATATATATATTATCTCCTTTAATCCTCAAATCTACTCTACAATAGAGCACTATTGTTATCCCCATCTTGTAGATGAGAAAGCTGAGGCTTAAGATTTAACTCCCTTACATGAGCTAGGATGGAGTTCAGGTGCCAGAGCCGGATGGGATGTAGATAGCTGACTGCACTGCTCAGGCCCTTCACTTATTCAAAACTTTCGTGGACCTAACTTAGTCACATTGGGTACCATTTAAGACACATCTTTTACAATGAGTGTTTTATAGCTTATATTTTAACATATGCTCATAAATCTAGCCTTGCTGTGTTTTCTGTGTATTAGTGACTACTAGTATTTTATGTTTCACTGTGAATACGCGCACACACACACACACACACACACACACAGACACACACACACATACACACACACAAAGTGTTCTACAAAGCCCTTCTAGATTTCCCAATATATATTAGGCCAACTGCAGTTGACTTTATGAACACCTTCTGGTAATCCCTTAATTCAAATCTGGCTGAGATTCTGCAGTGCTGAGCTTGATTTTATTTCTGTTTATCCCTGTGTTTTATCTCCTTTGCTGTTTTGGTTAAAAACATACATAATTCTGCTGTTCCCAGGTGGGTGTTACCTCTACTCATAAACTGTTACCCAAAGATACCAGGGGTTCAGTGCAATTAGATAACGAAAATACTCAAGAGGAATTCAATCGATTCTAAAAAAAGAGCAATGTCCCTATTGAATGTGATTTCTAAAGAGATATTTGTCGTGGAGATAACTGCATGTCGTGAGATCTTTTTAAAGAAAACAGCAAGGAAAAAAAAAATCCAAAGCTTAAACTTCTTTATGAGAGTCCTAAAACATTTCCTTTTAGATATCACACTAAACACTATTTTCCCTGGTGTTTACTCATACAATACAGCCCCAAGCATGGAAATAAAGAAGATTCAACTTACAGGCTGTCCAGGCTCATCTCCCCCGAGGATTCTGAAGCCAAATCCAGACTCCATCCTCCGAAGATGAACATCCAATTCCTTATAATCTGGACCTGGCATAAAGGAGATCCCATTGAGTAATGAATCCTGCCTCTTTCCCAGCCCCTGAGGAACTGAACATACCAATGATAAATTAATTTTGTGGATGCGATTAATGAGAGTGCTGTTAGGGTCAATGGAAACCATAGAGGATACAAAAAATATGGCAGCAAAAAAGTAGGTGTTCCAAATGTAGGTTGTCCCTGGAATAATAGTGACTAGCCGAGGGCACTACTGAGGTATTACCAGAAGCAGAAAGAGTACATGAATTTTCTGAGTAAAAAAATTGATGCCTTTATAATTCTTGATTTTCCTGAGAGCATTCAGATTGCCCTCAAGAAGCTAGACTGTCACTTTGAGGATGTTTACTCTGATTAGAACAATTATTGCGCAAGTAAGAGAGAACAGATGGCAAAACCCTGGAACTGTCCAGTAAAGCACTGCCTGGTAATTTATTAATATCTGTTTATGACATGATGCATCCAGTTTAGGAGTGTGTGTGTGTGTGTGTGTGTGTGTGTAGGGTATAAACGTATGCCCAATAGAAGTTGTCTCTTTTAAAATTGCAAAAATTAGAAGATATAGAATTTAAACTTTCTTGTATTGAGGTTCAAGAAGCATTTATTTTCTGACAAACTCCTTTAGGGTTTTTATAACTTACAGGTAGAAATTCATCTGGGTCTAAGGTGGACTTTTATCACCGAAACATTTTAGAATGTGCAAGCCATAGATTGACTTTTGACTTCATGAGAGTACTCAAAATAAATAGAAGATACTTTTCTGAAGTCAGCTGAAAGAACACAGTTGTATTTCAAAATAAGATGAAAAACTCTCCTGAATGTCATTTTTTCAGCCTTAGAAGAAACTAAAACTATTAAATATAAAAAGTTTTGACTTTTTAAGTAGAATCTGATTTATGCTTAGCCTGTCCCCTTGCCCCTTGGCACCTTCCTCAGGGGGAAATACTTCAGTTGTGACCAAGCTGCGCATACTTTCATGTCCACTGCTGGGGTGCCAGCAGATGATCAGCAATTTAAAGAACTATTTATTATGCTGTCTCTTGCTTAAGAAATGTTTAGTGGTTTCTGGACCTGAATGGTTTAAAGGAGGTATTAGAACTGATAGAAGCAGGTATTAAGTAAAATTCCCCTTGCTTAAACAGGATAGTTGTAGAAATTAAGACGAGATTTCAGAGAATTCTCATGGGACAAAAATCTATGTCTGAGCCACATGATTATACAGTAGCACTCGTTGTAGAGAGAGGCTCATTGAATGCTGGCCAGGCAAATATTTTCCAGGCTCTGCAGTAGGTGGGACTGCTGGAGTGATACAGTGTACAAAGCACAATTATACAGGCTTGCCTTGGTGCCCAACAACCTGGGCTATTCCCAGGGATATATGAAAGGCATCATTCACTTCTGAGACGTGGGCAAATGCCGATTATTTATCTGGTGCTCTTTTAAATAAAGATGAATCAGGCGCTTAAGTACATATGTTTATATGCATTGTACAAGATTCAATGAGCATTCATACCCTTTTATGACCAAATGCACACATGACCAAGACCTTTTCCATTCAATGAATAATATTAAACTCTGCAAGAAGAATAACCAGTTAGACCTCCACATCCTTTAGAAATTATATAATCAGTCATATTTTAAAGATGGGAGAACTTAAAAAATTCCATTCCTATTAAATAGAGGTGGTGGCAGAGGAAAGATGAAAATTTTGCCTTACATTCTATGAGACACAACCGGCTTTTGAACTCAGTTTCTTCTGAAGTCTGTATATCATATATGAAATCACATATTGGGGTGTGTGCTAAGCCTTTGGGAGTCTGGAGGCAGATGGAGTAGAGCTCTACAAAATCATAGCAGGTATCTGTACTCCTCCCAAGAGAAGGAGAAAGACAAGGGGAGATCGGAGATGACAGATATTGCTCAATCACTGTTCAAACTTCTACAAGTTGAGGATAATACAACTGCTCATGGCAATCTCTTCTGTAAGTCACTTTAAGCTGGGAGGAACTCTAGACCACATACACATTAAAAATACAAATAGAAGGTGCTGTATTTGTGACACTTAAAATGATAGAGCCAGCATATGTTTAACTAGAACTTTTCATCTCCTGTATTCTTCTCACTTTTGCATCACCACTGAATATGCTAAGTGGGAACTTGTTCTTCCAGTGACTTCAGCACCCATCCATATTGCACAAGGAGCTTTACAAGACCTTTATTGTGTGATCCATCTTATTTGCTACGTAAAACTTTTCCCCTAAAGAAATGCCGAAATTATGACCATCTCAGGAATGGAACTTTCAGAGGTGTCAAGGCACAAGAAGTTTGTCTTTTGTCAGAGAATCTGTGATTCCTGGAGGAATTAAGGGGCTTTTCTTTAATGAATAACTTATGACTTCTTTTTAGGAGAAAAATCTAGATTTTAGCAAGTAAATTTTATTGAACTCTGAAGAACAGAGACACGAATAAGGCATTTTTTCTCCTCTTCCTGCTCTTCTTGCACATTTTGGTGACAATACCGATCCTGTTGCTCTGACCCACCCTGATTTCAAACATAGGGTGGTATGTGCCAGCCATTTATTTCATCTTCACTCTTCCATTCTTCCCAGCAGGGGTGGCCAGCTTCATGGTTCATGAGCAGGAAACAGAGGCAAAGAGAGACCCCTTAGAGAAGAATGCTGGTAGATGTGATTTATTTTTTATTTCTTTGTTAATTTTGAACACAGATTCAGAGGCTGCAGGGTCTGGACTATTTTACAGAAATAGTCAACTGGAAAAAAAGTTCATATGATAGATTGTGCCTTGAGGCAGCAGTATTTTTTTTTTTTTTTTTTTTTTTTTTAGGGAAAATAAGAACATTTTAGGAAGATAATTTTTCTTTGGTTTCTTTTTTTCCTTGGAGTCTGGCTTTACAAAATAACTAAAATTATATGTACAAAGCTGGGAGACATCATTCTTTTTCCTTCCTGCTTTGTTAGCTCTCTTCGCAGATTGTGATGTTTCTGACTTTCCCCTAGTTGCTCTTCTGGCCCGACGACATGTTTCAATTACTGTATCAGGTTTTGTCTCTTTCCTTATTAATGCAAGAACTTAAAGTGAAGAAATCCAAGGGCCATCTCTTTACCTCACTGCAACAGAGTTAACAATCACTATTCCTTTCTCTTGTTTCAAGAAACTATGCACCAGGGAGGTTGTTAGATGAGGGTGTCTGGTAGACACCTATTTGGACCTGAGTTGCTTTGCATGTTGTTTAACTGTGCCCCATCCTTTTACTCTTCTGTTCCCTTCTTTATTTTTTCTGTGCTCTTTTTAAAAAAATCTTCTTTTTCCTCAGCACTTTTTGCAGAACTGTCAGAGACACTCTCAGGTGTCGCTTAATGCAGCTCAAGAGGAGGCAGTGGTTGTAAAGAAATGGACTAAGAGGACACAAAGCATTCTTTGGATATTAGTGTTCAGTGGCCAGCTGTGGCTAGTGTTGCTTCTTAGAAGTTGGGTCCTCGGATCCTCAGGCATTATGGAACAAAGCATCTCATGATCCTCTTCCTAGATGGAATTTTACATGACCACTGTGGCAAGTTACTGAAATGAAATTTAGAAGTCTTAATTTATTCTGGGCTCACACCAATATTGCAAAAACGAACTTTAAAAAGTAGCAAATGGTGAGCACATCCAGGTATCAGGACAACCTCTCTCATAATAAAGAAAAGCAGATTTCAAAAGTTGATTCCTACTTCACATGAAGACTCTAGGGGCTTCACATGCTGTATGTTTCCTTAGTCTTGCTTTTGAAAGAAGTAGCTCTGTGCACAGTTAGGGAAAAGGCTGGGTAACTGAACACAACTGATTAATTTTATGAATGGATTCAATCTTCAGAAATGCAAAGAACAACATTTTTATGAATTAATTTGGCATATGGGATGCTGCTGTAAACATGTCAATTAAAATTTGGTACTTGAATCCCCTTTCATGTTTTAATTAAAACATAAGTACCATGGCTTATCATCACAGTTTGGCACAGAGGATACATTTATTCAATTTTTCCTGCTGGAAAGAGCATCACTTTTTGGGCTTTTCCTTGTAAAGAGATCTAGGAAAGTTAGCATGAGGAAGATATCAGGAATCAAAAAAGGTTATTAAACATGGTCTTGACTTCTGGATTTCTATGCACTCCAGATATAGAAAGAGTTAAACAGGAATTATATAGTTTCTGTTGCTCAAATCTAACATTACCTAGTAAGTAGCTAATACTCCATCCTTTAAAATATCCCTTCTCTTTAGTTGTTTGCTTTATCCCTGTGGGTATGTGAATGTGACCAAGCACGTGTTAGCCATAGTAGAAGCCATCTCCCAGTTTCTATTTGGTTCTCTCCTCAGCCTTCACATGAGCTCAGATTTTTCCATCCTAAATATGACTTTGCTCCTTCCTTCCATCTCTTTCTAGGAAAAGTAGTCTCTAGGGGAGCCTTCATTCTACCTCTGATTCATTCCTGCCAGTCTGGTTTATGCTCTCTCTTAGCACTACTGCACTCTTTAAGGTCACTATGCATGCTAGTGACCAAATTAAATGGCCTCTTTTTCTTTCCTCATACTGATTGATTTCAGTGCCTTATTTGATATCGTTGATGCACTGTTTATGACTTCAGATTTCTTTTGATCCTAAACAAGGAAAGATCTCCTTTGGAAGTCGTTTCTGTGACACCCCATTTCCTGGCTCTCTTATTTTTGGGTGGAGTTGCCCATTCAAAGTTCCTGGCCATAGATTCCATTGTTTCTCACTAATATTCTCCTTAGGTGATGGCATAATTATCATTGGCCATCTATAGTGTTCCATTATGCACAGTCTGTAGGAGTTGCTAAATAAACATTACCTGAACTTAGTTGCCTTAAGGCACTCTCTAGTCTCCTAGTCCCAATGAACCACAGCATTATTCCACTATGGAGTTATCACTTAGTTTCATAAATATGTATTATTTAGAACTTCCTACTATCAATTTTGCCTCTGTACCTAAGGATCTTATGCAGGTAAAGTTAATAATATACCTTATAATTATGATAAACGTATCTGAGTCAGAATCATAACATAATTTGATGAGACATTTTATAAATGTGACAAAAAACATGGGGCATCTACTTATTTTATCTTATTTTTGTATTTTTGTATTTTTTTTTTTTTTTTGAGATGGAGTCTCGCTCTGTTGCCAGACTGGAGTGCAGTGGTGTGATCTTGGCTCACTGCAACCTCCACTTCCCAGGTTCAAGCGATTCTCCTGCCTCAGCTTCCCGAGTAGCTGGGACTACAGGCAAGCACCACCACGCCCAGCTAATTTTTGTGTTTTTAGTAGAGACGGGGTTTCACCATGTTGGCCAGGATGGTCTCGATCTCTTGAACTCGTGATCTGCCAGACTCGGCCTCCCAAAGTGCTGGGATTGCAGGCATGCACCACCGCAATCGGCCATTTTTGTATTTTTTATTAGAGATGAGGTCTTGCTTTGCTGCCCAAGCTAGAGTGCAGTGGTGTGATCACAGCTCACTACCACCTCACATTCCTGGGTTCAAGCCATTTTCCCGTCTTGTCTCGGTCTCCCAAGTAGCTGGGACTACAGGCATGCGCCACAGCGCCCAGCTGTTTAAATTTTTTGTAGAGATGGAGGTCTTGCCATCTTGTCTAGGTTGGTTTTGAACTCCTGGGCTCAAGCTGTTTTCCCACCTTGGCTTCCCAAATGCTGAGATTATAGGCATGAGCCACAGCGCCAAGCAAGATATATTTATTTTAAATGCAGTCATGATTTTCCAGAATATTCTGATAACTTGTGTGGACATTCAACCAACTATTTGGATTGGTTCTTTTCTTCAAAATGTGAATTGCACAGTAACGTAATATACCCCAACTATATTATAACTTTTGTCTTCTAAGTAATGTATTTTTTAAAAAGGTAAAAACTATTACTTTGCATATATGTCAAAGTAATCTAAACTACTGGGCCATTCTCCTTCTCTTGTTTTTAAATGAAGTGCATTCAGAATCTGAGATTTTTAAGACATGTGCTTTTTGTGACCAGTAAGCTGAGATTTAAAATTCCAAATTAAATCTTGATTTCATTTTGCAACTGTAATTACTAGGTCCCATTTTCTCTCTGGGCATAAGATAATGTTTTAAAAAAATTGCAAAGATTTAGCAGCCAGTATAGAGGAATAATCATGCTGTAAAATTTTTAGACAAAGCTAAACAAATACTTTAGACATTATTTTAGGAGAAAACACTAAATAATATCTTCCATATTTTCTACATATCCCCCCAAAAATGACATGGAAACTTACAGAATGAAATGATCTCAGGCACATATATTCTTCAAGGGGTGTTAGAACATGCTGAGATGGATAATGAGCTGTCATCATGGAAACACTCTGGAGATGTGTGCTGTGAGCCCACAGCCCTGAAATAGTGCTACTATTATAAAACACTATTTTCCGCAATTGTTTGAGTATTCTGGCTTTCAATCTGGTGGTCTGATTAGCTGTTTAAAGCATTTTCATCACCAATTCTAAGAGCAAAAAAAAATTAAATCTTCTTTTTCCTCCAACATTTGTACAATAATGTTAAATATTTTAGCCTAAACCAAAATTAGTGTTTTCGAAATGGTTAAGTAAAAAATAAAATTTCCTTTTAAGCAAATTAATTGGTGTATTACTGAAAGCTCTTAAAATTAAAATATGATATTTTAGCCTAATTTAAAATCTTATTGAAATATAGTATTTTATAATTGGCATGGTTTAAAAAAATTAAGTTGATATAGATATTTACTTGATTTGAAAAGAATTTCATTCTATGTTAGCAACATTTCTAATCCGTTCTTTGGAAATGTCTAAATTGCAAATCTCTTGAGACCTTCTAGCTTCTTATTTGTATCTAGTCTAGTGTTATTCAATGCAAATAAAATGTAAGCCACATAAGTAATTTAACATTTTCTAGTAGCCACATTTTAGAAAACAAAACAGATGAAATAAATTTTCATAATATATTTTGTTTAACTTAGTATATGCAAAATATTGTTTCAACATAAATCAATATAAAATAATTAATGAAATCTTTCTTTTTTGTTTGGGTACTGTCTTTGAAATCCAGTGTGGATTTTACACATATATTACAGCATATCTAACTTTAGAACAGCCACATTTCAAGTGCTCAATAGCCACATGTAGCTAGTGGCTACTGTATTACACAGCACGGACCTAGTCAGTCTGATGGCTCTCTTTGGCAGCTGTTTTTAATCCAGCCTTTTACTAGAGTATTTTATGAAAGAAATTCATGAATATGACTGTTTTCCTTTGTCTTTTGTTGGCAGGCATTTAGGCTCACCATGATGAGACTTGCTGTCTACCTTGAATACATGTTTTATGTAGGTGACTAAAGTAGCACAGCGATTATATACTAGGAAACTGATACTATCAGAAGAATGATTTGTTACACAAAATGGAAGACGTTTTGTTCACAGAACTGTGAGTACTGAACAATACTTGCCAGAGGAATCCATTCGAAAACTGGTCCTGGGTGGCACTTGTTCTGGATGGGAAAATGGGGAATTAAAGTTGAAATTCATTTATGGCATTTTAAAATTCATCTTTACTTTCTTTTTGTTGCTATCATAACTCCCCCAACCACAATCTCATACTTATGTTTAAGACTTTTTTTTTCCTCTAAGATCCAAGTTAGTGGACAAATTTACCCTGCTTTACGTATGAGCATGTATGTAAATATGTTTCTTTTACATGCATCCAAAATAGAAAAATCTGAATTTCTTTTTAGATCAGGGTGGAATAAGATTACCATTTCTAAATATTAAGTTTTGATTTTCATTATAAGAATACTTATTTGAAAGTAAAGTCAATCTAGAACCTGAAAGGTATACAGAAAATATAGGTCCTTTAAAATTAGGTTATAATTTTGTGTCATAAAACGTTGAAATGAAAAGTGGAAAATCCAATCAATGATTGTATTGATTTATGTACACTAGTCCAAATATATTGATATTTCCAATTATCTGGGTAGTTGAAATTATGTATAAGTAGTTGAGTTAAATTGGTTTATTTTAGCAATAGAGATCCTTTATAAGAATTATGATATAATCTATGCTACTTCTAATAACATAAAAATTCAAAAAAGTGAGTGTAAAACACCTTTAAAATGTAGGCATAGCCCACATTTAGAATTCTAGAACCTAGAACAACCTGGTTGCATACTGGGTTCTGGAAGTATTGGGAGACATGTTGCTCTCATACATGAACATTTTTCAGGGGTAGGCAAGGCTCCAATTGATTGACATGCTTCCTCCTACTCTACATGGTGGAGATGTGCAACTCCTTACTGCATGTTTGAGAAATGCAGACTTTCACCATGTCTTTATCTGGAACTGCTAAATGTGAAGAAGAACATAATTAAATTGTCCCTTGATTTTCATTCTGCCTTCTAAATCCCTGGTCTTACTATCATAGAGGCATTAATAGAGTGACAGAGATGCAAGGCACCTTTCATTCCACAGATGGTTAAGACCCAAAATGCTAAGTGACTTGCATAAGGTATTCTATACTATCTCACAAGAAACTCTTCAAGATCCTTTTTCGAAAACATACTTATTATATCTAAGTTTTAAACTTAATTAGAATGCATTATCCAATAAAACACTTTCTTATTTCATTTTAGTATTATTATGAATAAATAATACACTCTTTTCTGAACATGCTATACATTTTTTCCTAATATCTCCAGAAATTCTTCCTATTCCTTCATGGTTCTGTCAGTAGAGAATTTCCTAAACCACACAACTGGGTTTAATAAGAGATGGGCAGAAGACACATGTATGCAAACCTCTGGTCAAGAAATACTCAAGAAGCTAAAGATCTACGTTAAGATATGCTGAGTTACTTCTATCTGAGAGAATGGCAGGATATTTTTGCCCCTGTGATGAATTTCATGTTAAGTTTACCATATTGTTTTGCTTTAGAATCATGTAAGGAATTACAGATAAAAATTAACTAAACATTACTAAACGTCTCTAAAACATAAATTCACATTGTAGGTAGAAGAACTGTAAGATATTCTTGCAAGAACCACTCCTCCCACACATTTAGGCTTCAATATGTAAATTAGTTGTTGCTTGGAAGAAATTTCATACCATTATTATTATTTTGGTCTATAAAATTATATATTTATGATATATAATCATCAATCATATGCGATTATTCCTTAAGAGCATTTACAGAGGAGGCAACTTACAGTTTTGAAAGGCAGAGAATAAGAATATAGTACAATAGAACCTCCCCCATTCTGAATGTTTTAAGATGACATAATTTTATAAGATAGTTGTACCATATAAGGCTCACATAATACCAAAAAAATGAGTATTTTATCCTTAAATTTTAAAAATTAAAATAAGACCAAAGTCTGGTTGCTTTTTCATTGAGTTTTGTTTCAAATAAAGAGCCAGTTGGCTCATGGAGAGCATAACAATCATTCCTGCCAGGTAAGCTGTGTTTTCCCAGTAAAGGCAAATTAGCTTTCTGGCACAATTGTTATTTTTTAAGAACTTTCATGTTTGGTGTGGCTGCTTAGGATTATGACTTGAGAAATGTCCTTTTGTCTGTATGAGGGATGGAAGACTGCTACCTTCGAAACGCTTCCATTAGGTATAAAACTGACATTTTATGTTATACTCTCACGAGGACCTACTTGCCATCTAGCACTTAAACTCTATAGCCCTGATGGTCTCATATTAATTCATGAATATACATTGGGTTACATTGTCAACTTGTGCAACCAACAAAATGCTTTGATATATTAAATAACTTTCAATCAAGAGCTGATTTTTAGAGTTTACTTTTTACTCCTCCCCCTGCCTTTATCCCTTAATTCCAGGATCTTTTAGTTTTAAATTACTAAATGAAATAAATTTATCAGCTCTAGGATTGGATCTAATTTCTAAAATACATGGGAAAAATATGTGTCCTACCACAACTTTTATTTTGCTATCTCTATATTACTTAGCTCATACCATGGTAATTTCCTGTTTCAAAAGGAACTTGTTGGAAATATAAACGTTACCACAGTTTCTTAGAAAGCTATCTGAGGATACCTTTTTAAAATTAGATTTCCAAATTAATTAAAATCTACATATTAAAATGGCAGACACAGCTTAACCGGATTTACTGATCTTCATATCAATATAACGGCAAAGTAATGCACAATGTGATATATTAGAAAATCCAGCTGAAAGGCAAATTTTTTTCACAGATCAAATCATAACATACATTATACTAAGGATAACAATAATGCTTTTCCCATGAGAAAAGGTTGCAGAAAATCTCTCAGTACAATTGAGGACATTTAAAATGATAACATTGTTACATCTTTTTCTATCCTTTTATTTTTCTAATGCTAGAGTCACTGGTAAAAGTGTTTTAACATTTATTTATCACCTTATTTTAATATTTCACTAAAGTAAGATTGTGTTCCAGAGAACATACGTGGGGGGTACTTTAATGCCATCGGACACCAGCAGTGTTCAAGCAAATCAGGCTGGGGCTTGATCTAGCACAGTGTTCACATGTGAGGGTGTTTTCTGGGAAGGCATGATGGCCTTTCATGATCACCTAATAGCTGCCTGTAGCTATGGCATCCATGAATTTATTTAAACCTTTGTGAAACTTTTTGATATTTCCAGCTTGGCTCAACTGGGTATTTAATTACGTGGGAAAAGGAGACTTGGAGTCAGGAAGGCTTGAGCTGAAAGATTTCCACAGGCTTCAGAGCTCTGGTTTTGAGCACCCTAGACAGATACTACCATATATGATGCGGCTTCCCCCATCACTTTTCATTTAGAGATTCAAGCGGTGTTCTGTGGTGAATAATACGATTACAGTACCCCATCCTTTCAAGTGGCTCTGCTGTTAGGATGGGAGACAGTGCAAACTACAACTCTTGCTCACTAATAACAAGGAAAGAGCAGCAGAAAACCTGGTAGTTTAGAAATACAACCACCCGTTTGTGATCAGCCATGAATTACATGTGTATTACAATACTGAACAACGAAAGAATTCAATAATCAAAGAACAACAAAAGAGCAGGACAACAGCCATAGATGTGAAAAACATAACTGTCCGTTTTTGATCTGCCACAAATGATAATTTCATTTCATATATAGTACTAAAAAACAGTTTGCTTCTCCATTATACTCTTGAACTGGCGTGTGATCACTTTTGATTGCTACCTTTGCTATGATACTCATCGCTTATTATTCTAATTCTGGAAAGGAAAATTGATTGTGTGAGCTCTTTTGAAGACATTTCAGAGAAATTTCTGTTCTAAAGAGGTTATACCATAAGGCACATTACACCATACGGATCCTTGACATTTTTATGATTCTACATTTGAGTGATGTCTTACCACAAAGGAGTGTGGACATGGTGTACCTCATAAATTGTTTACTTATAATAACCAAAGTTCAATGTGAAGAGAAAAAAGTTTGAACAACTTCAGTCATAATTCAACTTGGGTTTAAACCAAGGGACAGAACCCTGAGGGAAGAGTTTCAGGAAATAAGAATTTTTCTTTTCCATTCCTGGTTGTATCTGCTTATTGCTCCAGCTTTCAAGGCTGCAGTGTGGAACAGGCCCAAGAAATGTCCCCATGAGCTGAATGATAAGACAAGCCCTTAGAGTAAGACTAGCTTAAAGAAAAGTGAAGCAACAGGACAAGGCCCTCTATCCTGTATCAACACACCCATCAGAATGATCAAGACTGAATTTCATAAGATTCCAAAGTGAGCAACATTCATTTTCTTTGGGAAGCACCTTATACTGCCTTGCCTATCACAGTTCCTCTTTTTAGTACCAGTATCTAGCTGTAGTTATCTAACTATAATCTTTCCCAGAAGAAGAAGACAGATGAGATTAACTAACTTTCAGTTTGGTGATTATTGTGATGTTGAACCTGACTTATTTTCTATATTAAGAAAGAAGACTCCATGGCATAGTACTTAAATGTGGGAAACCTTACTACCTATTTTTTTCTACTTCATTTGCCATGCACTAGATTTGTACATATGTCTAACTTTCTGGGTTTGGAAGGAGTTTACTGGGAGTTTGGCTACTAACACAAGTCACTAATAAGCCTTTACCTCAAATTAGGGATAAAATATGTATAGGCAAACATTGTATCAGCCAAATAAATTAGCTTGAAAAAATTATTTATCTGAGTAGGTATTACACTTTTTATTCATAATGTGTACATTTAGAGATATGCTTTTCTTGAACAGTAATGATGATTATTCCTTGAATAGAGTATATAAAAAAGGAAAATTTTATAATTTATCATTCAAATGATGAGAGTCTAGGGTGGTGAAAAGTGAACTATTGATAATCACGCCAGGACAGCACAGACAAGGATTGTCCAGGAAACTTCCATGTGTAGTCACCCTAGATAGTCTTATAAGTAACTAGACCAGTAATAGAAGATTTCCTATCAAATCAGAAATAAGTGGTGGACGCAAGGATGCAGTCACACATAGAGAAAGAAGGGCAGGAGGAGATGAGGGGGAGAAAACACTAAGGGCCCTTAGAACTACTTTTCTCCAAGGTTAGAAATGGCATATGTAGTCCAGCATTAGGAATATTAGCATACAAACAAGAACATTCAAGCCATTCCTGTTGTGACTGTAAAACAAATTCAAGTCCTTCCTTTATGAGATTCTCGGGAAAAAGACAGAGAAAAGAGAAGTAAAACATAGCACGGCTTGTCCCACTATGGAAAGGTATTTTCTTTTGTTTTCAATTTTCAAAATTGCAAGTAGTGGGGACATCAAGAAGTCTGTTATCAACAGAGACTATTATCACATACAGAATAGTCACGTTTGTCTAAAAATCTTTGGTAGAGATGGAAGTTGGGGAGATTTTTGTTCTTTTCTGGGAATTGGTAGTAATGACTTAGGGTCAATGTTTAAATAATTAATATGAAGATCCAGAAGGCCCATTGATTAAAACTTTTTTAGGGATTTTTTGGGCAGAGTTATACTTTTATATATGTAAGTTTAAGCTTATATGGAATTAAGTTAGTGGGGAAATAATTCTTTTTTTTTTTGCACAGAGTTCTCCAGCAAGGATTAATGAAATTTTGATAATGTAAAGGTACTTAACACATAATATTGTCTTGATTGAATATGAATTTTCACATGGAAGTTGAGAAACTCTCAGTATTTAGTTATTTTTACTGCACAATTTCACACATTAAAATATTGATATTATTTGCTGTGTTGTGTAATGGAGCCTTGTTCAGAAATCGTTTTTCTATGTGTTGTGTGTTTGTTTGTGTCCTCAACTTCATTGTAAGCTTCTAATGAGCAGAGGTTATTTTTCATAACTTCTCTTGTGGAGTGCCTTGCAGAGTTCTAGACACATAGCGAGTGTTTCATATATTCTTGTTGATTGATGTGGAGCCTGGAGTTGCCACCTCTGGGCACTGAGCCTAATGCTCTGAAATCAGAGGCGCTGCCAGCCTGCTGGGTGGGAGAATCTTCCTGTCTCTGTCCTGCTCCATTCCCAGCTCATCTTGAGATCTCATGAAGATAGGAGGTGTTTCCTATCACAGCATGTACCTGTCATGTTCTGTTTCACGTGGCCGTAGTATCCTATGATCATCTTCATTTGTTTAAAATCACAGCTTTTTTTTTCAGGAATACGTCTTTATTAAGATGTCCTGTGCATGCACATTAAAATGTCAGCATAATCGAATTATAAGTCAAATGAGGCACGGCAGCATTTACATCATTTGATAAATTTCCATCATTTGTAGGGGACTGGTGACTTGAATCCAAATATTTCTTGACAGCCTTGACAGAACAAACGTTCTGTAGCTCTGTACAGCTCAGGCTTGTGGGTGGAGGGGCGTCTTTTTATTTGGCAACTGCAACCCAGTTTTGAAAGTGAATGCAAAAATCTCTTTAGCTTTAGACCTGGTTGTAAGGAAGGACACCATGAGATCACTATAGGCTAGGGGAAATGTCAAAGGACTTAGTTTAAACAGCTCTGGTTAGGATTCTTTTCCACACCTTCCCTGGTTGCACTGATTTTTCCCCCCCCAGGAAAAGACACAAGAATAAATAGAGCCAAACCTAAATGTTATGCATGTGATTCAAAGGAATAAGAATAGGAATGGTTCATAATCACGAATTTTGAAATATTGATCTTTTGTTTCGGTATGTACATTTTATGATCATTGCATTAAAAAAACCTATTTGAAGATGATGAGAAACAGACTGAGCTTTCCAATCATTAATTAAAATCTTTTTCTTTTAGTACTGCTTTAAACATTTACATGAGAAAATAAAACTTGGAAATGGAAACGTACAGGAGGGCAAAAGGCTGTCTTTTTTTTTTTTTTTTAAGACACTCACATATCCACAAGCAGAGCGAACTGATCAGCTATTCAGAGAGACTAGAGAAAGTGGCGCCATGCTCTCCTGGTTTCCTTAATCTTCAGTGGTAGAGCTTTTCTTACCTTGACATAGTTTCTATGTTTCATTTACACTCCATTTAGTGTTATGAAGAAATGTGATAGAAAAGAGAAGGATAGGAAAGGAAATGAGCTTGTCCTCTTTTGGCTTTCTGAGATTTTTGACCCTGAAAACATTACTGTGACCTTAGAAACATTAGAGAGAGCTGATGAAAGCAGGAAGGGGTTGTGATGAGGCAGCAGCAGCAGCGGCACAGGGAGAGCACCGATGAGGGGCCCACGGTGGGGTGAGGTGGGGAGTCAGGATGTTTGCTGTCCCTGCGGCTGTAGAGGGAAAGGGCGATGAAGAGCTACCAGAGGAGAACTGAAAAAGAAAGCTCTGGAGGTTAAGGTGGACTGGTTTGCTTGGTTTGTTACAGGTGAGGAGGGGAAAGGCAAGGAACAGAAACAGTATTGCAGGGGCTGGATAAAGAAATAATTGTTTTAGAGTTGAGAGAGCATCATGTACAAGAAACTGAGGGCACAATGGTATCAGACAACCATAAAGAGAAAACTGGAGATAAATACCAACATTGTTTTTGTCCTGAATCACAAAGCTTTGCATTGGCTAGGAAATTGCAAAAAAGATGGAAGTGAATGATGAAGGAAGAGGCAAAAAGCAGGAGGAAGCATCTCTTAATGCTCCCTAAATGCAACCACAAAATTAAGCCAAGGAGGTGAGGATGATATTTTAATCCTATGCACTTCCAACTTGCATCTTAGAACTGTTAACTTTATCTTACTCTCTATTTGTTTACATTCATTATTCTTATTTCCCCAGTTAAATGTGTGAGAGCAGGGCATATTACTCATCTTTGGTATCTCCTCACAGTGCTGACAGCAAAATGGGCATTCCATCAATACTTGGTTATCAAAGCAGAAAAGGTATTAGAAACTGGGCTGAAATCTTTTCAATTTTTTTTCAGTTTAATGAACATTAATACCCTGAATTCATACTCTATATTATGTAGCTAAGAATGCCTAATTTGTTCTTACTCTGCTACAGCAAAGACATTCTAATGATACAACCTAAAAATATTTCATTTGTTCATCCAGAAGGAGAGGAATGAAATACAGTAGCTCTGATGTAGCCGCTTCTTTAAAAAAAAAAAGTATATGTGGGTTTCAGGTTGGGGGATGTTTCATTTTGACATTAATGATTTCTCAATGGCTTGCCATCCTAACTATTTTTCAACCAAAATTAGTTCTACAAAGAGTTGTAGAGGATAGGGAAAAGGTATTATGTCTGCTTTCCCCTTTACCAGCTGGGTGCATAATTCTCAGCCCCTGAGCTCATCAAAAGAGTAAGCAGATTTGAGATCCTCTGAGATCACACACAATTTAAAACTTGCTATTCATGCTACGGATGATAAAGTTGGAAACAAGACATTGATGGAACACTGAAGCAAAGGAAATCAGCAGACCGTAATGGGAGCGCCAGGGACCAAACTCTTCTACGAGGCTGGGTTTCCTGATCATTTAATACACAGATTCTTCTGATACTGTGAGATTCCTGTCCTCTAACATGTGGAGATGACTTGCAAGATGGTAGAAAGAAGCACAACAATGGTGCAAGCAATATCAAAAGCCTTGTTTTCTAATGTTTATAAAGTACAACAATTTTAAAAGACCTTCAGATAGGGTGACAAGTGCATACACGATATTTTAAGACTGAATGTTCAAATGTGCCTGACTGCACTGAAGGAGAAGCAGAAAACTGTGGCAGAGATGATTGGCACCTAGATCAGTACTGCATTCGAAACCAATTGATTTCATGCTTGTGAGCTGGGAAGGCTTGGCTGACAATTTACTCAAGGTCCTAACTTTTTAAATGGCTATATTCAAGGCTCTAAGAAAGATCTATGCTTTAGGCTCAAGATCAGATTAAACAGATTAAAAAAAAAGCCAAACACTTCTTTTCTGTATTTGGTAACCTAAACAAAACCAGCAACCTCACCCCCCAACCCCCAAAAATATATTCCCGATTTTCTTCAGGAGATTAGGGGAAGAAAAGTAGGAGATAAAATATAAGGCAAAAGATATAATAAACCGACTTTTAGAGTCAACAGGCTTTCTAAGATAATTTTAGACCAGCTGGCTCTGCTCTTGAAACACTTTTGAAACTCAGAATATAAAACCATGCCAGATCATTCAGCCTCAATATATCTCCTGGCAGGGCCTCAGCTATTATTAATGTACCCTTGTTTCATGTGGCTTTCACTTACGCCTACTTTCATAAATGGCCCTAGATTTCTCGTAGAGCTCATATGGATCAGGCTTCCGTGGGTCAAAGGCCTCTGTTGAGTCAGGAAAGGAGCTCCTGTGAAGGGCAGGTGGGAAGGGCAGGTTCTGCGGTATGGCCGGAGCAGATAAACTCGTTTGAGGACTGCCTTGATTCTCCCATCGGTCCATTATCTGAAAAGTGACAGAGGACAGAGAAAATGACTGACAAATTCTTCCTGGCTATTTCTCTTGTCACCTTTAGGTTAACCTTTTTTGCCTTGTGGACTTTTCTTCCAGGGGATGGGTAAAACTTTGGCATAAATTCCTTGAAAGAAAAGATTTTATGTCTATGTAAGACAACATCATAAACTGTTATAAATACAAGTGGTGCCTGACTTTTGAATGCAAACTTATCTATAACTTACATAACCTTGTCAACAATTAGCCAGTAATCTTTGGCAAACCACTTAATTTCTCTGTTTTTTTCCCCCTATAAGATAAAGATAATGTGTCTCAAGACGATTCATGTGTAGGTGCTTAGAAATGTATGGTATTAGTTGTTCCTTTTCTAAGATGGTTTCAACATATTACATCACTTTCACTGGAGCAGAAGATACAGTCGTCTGCATATACTCATTTGACACCTATGCATATCGCAACAACTTCCTACGCTTGAGCATTCAGTCGCTTTCCTCTCAGTTTAGACGTAATTATGCAACCATCTAGGATTCAGGGATTGTTCAAAGTCTTCTAGGAAGCCTCATTTACTGTGGATCTGGTGGTTCCTCCCCCAGAATGCTGCTACTGATGTTGCTACTGCTATAATTTAAAGACCTGCAGAGTACTTCCCAGTTTATCATGTTCTTTCACATACGTGATCTTCTTGGATCCTCACCATAGCACCATAAGATAGAGAAGGCAGAGATTAATACCATTTTTTATCAAGGAGGAAGCCAGACTCCCTGAGACCACCTATTGGCACTGCCAACTTCACCTTCATTCATCAACTGATGCCTCATTCAAACTCAATTTTTCCTTCCTGCTTTGAATTGACCGGCAGCGTATGTAAGATTTAGACTAGTTTGCCCTCCTGCTGAAACTCTGCTCTGAGTATGCATGGTCCTCAGGACAAAGGCCAAACTTCCTAGAGGGTCATGGCGGGCTCCTTTTGAGCCTGGGTCTGCTCACCTTCCTCATATTGGCTGATGGGCTGGCTTCTCATTCCCGAGGACCCACCCAGTTCTCTTCTGCTTCTGAAACTTTGCATACTTCATTTCTCTTTCTACATGTATTTTCCACTCTTCCTTCCCCTCTCTCATTTCACCTAGCTACTAGATTCAGAGGAGGTGTCTCCTTTCCTAGAGGGCTCTTGCTGACCGCCCTGTCCCTCCTGCCCCTCGCACCACTTCCTCACATCCAACTGTGATTACCACGAGTCTACCCAGCCATGTCTCAAACAGATCAGACGCAAACAGGGCTGCGTCTTTCTACTTGTTGTATTACCAGTGCATAGTTAGTACTCAGAAAAAGTACATTTAGTGAGTGAATAAAATATGGCCACTTAAAAAAAACAGTTTTGATATACACTACATTGAACTTGGCAGGATTGTAACTTTCTGTCCCCTATGGCACCGTCCTGCTTTAGTTTTCACACTAGCTATATTTTTGTCGGGGCTCTGATTCCACCTCTGGTCTGTCCATCATCAATATTTTCAAGCTGGAAGGGATGTGAGGTGCCATATACTCCAGTGTTTTTTAAACTGTGCACATGTGCTGTGTAACACCAGAGACACCAGGGGCCTGCCCTGCCCACCTGGGACTGGGACTGTGGCAGGGGTTCATGTTGAGCCAGCAAACTGGAAAAGAAATGGGTCACTGACCCTTCCTTCAATAAGACTGGCTTCGTTTTAATTTGTTTTCTATGTGGGCTATTGCCCAAGATCTCATTTGAACAAAGTTTCTATAACTGTCAAGGATGGAAAACCTCTAGTCTAGTTCAATTTCCTCCTGTGAAACATAATCTCTAGAAGCATAGAGAGGGTAAGTGGCTTGTCTGAGGTCCAGCAGTTGCCAGTGGCAGATCCTGGGTCAGAACCACCCTGTAACTCTAACAGAAGTAATTGTTTATATAATATCACACTGGGGGGAATAACTGTTAAATATGGTTTGAGTTTTAGTGAATTTTAGTGAATTTTCTGCTCAGAAGGGCTTGTGCTCCCATTTGTAAAAATCTTTAACTATGTACTTCATAATTCATTTGATCGCAAAATTCATACAGAAAGCTATTCTGGGTTTCCTTGGTCATCCATTCTGGGTGAACTTGCCATGATGTGGAAGGCCACATTTGTGGGTAAAGGCATATCCTCGGTAATTTTTCACTTTAGCTGACTTTAGGCAGCATGTGGATGCATTCTAGCTGTGACTTTATCCCTTCTGTTTTCAAATATAAGATACTAAATACTAAAAAGTAAATAAATTAGAAATATGGTCTGGGGAGCTGTAGTACTCTCCCACTTGTCATCACAAGGCTTCAGCAAATGTCTATTTCTTTCTCCCATATTCCATTGAGGGTTACTTCATACCCAAATGTGTCTTGCTGGTATATGTATTGTTCATGTAGTCATTGGACATGCTTCACATGAAATATTGGTATTTCTAAAAAACAATCTTAAAACTACAGAACAAGTAATGCTTTGGGCACTGTTTGGGAAGGCTGCCATGGCAGATTGACAAATTCTACAATTTCTGTAGCACAGAGATTGGGGAATTAGTCAAGAGTCCAGTTCATGCTTAGTAAAGCATTCACAACTTCCTGTTGTGACATTCATTAACTCTTGAGTCACTCTGTCAGGGTTTCCTAAAAGGCTGTAAAGCAGAAAATCACTGCACCCAAGAAAAAGCAGACATATTATTCTGTTCCCCACCACCTCCTGCCCTGCTCCCTCCTAAACGGAGTTACCTGGTGGCTCCTACCCAGAAGACCATGGGACAAACCACCTGCCCTGGGGTCAGAGGTCATCCCCTTACCTGGGGCTGGTGTGCTGGCCTGACTGCACCTTCTGAGGGGTGGATTCCATTGACTCTTCCCTCCTTCCTTAGACACTTTGGTCTCTGGACTTTTGCTTTCTACCTGGGATACTCACTGTGTGCTCCTTTCTACCTTCATGAACCCCCTGGATTCTGATCCTGTCGCCTTACTGAGGTCGATGGGCCTCACTTGCTCTGGCTAGCATCTTCTTGGCCTTTCCCTGTTTAGAGTTTTTGTTACCTGCCAGGTGTTTATTTCTCAACAAGCTTCTTTTTGGGCCCCTCTTGTCCAGTCCCAGTGGTGTCCACACCCAGGCCAATGTTTATAAACATCTCACTAGAATAAGCACAAATGGAAATAAAGTTGTTTTCTATAGCTGAGAGAAGTCTGTATCTCTTGGTGAATGAATGGATGTCTGTGCAACTTTATGAACGGACAGCCACTGAAATATCAGTGAGCAGCCTGGATGTACAGTCCACACCCAGGCATCAAATAGTAAAACAGAACACTCTGTTCATGGCTGTGGCCGTTTTTTTTTTTTTTTTTTTTCGAGACATGGTCTCACTCTGTCGCCCAGGCTGGAGTGCAAGGGCATGATCTTGGCTTACTGCAACCTCCGCCTCCCGGGCTCAAGTGATCCTCCCCGCTCAGTCTCCCGAGTAGCTGGGACTACAGGCATATGCCACCATGCCCAGCTAGTTTTTGTATTTTTAGTAGAGACAGGATTTCGCCATGTTGGCCATGCTTGTGGCTGATTTTTCAACCTCAGCTTCTGATTCTAGGGTGCATACAGGGAGTAGAGAGATTATGAATGAGGCAGGCCCCTCTCCCCTACTCCCATGAAATGCTCTGTCCAGAAACTGTTTTCTTACTGTAGAAAGTGGGGTAGTTTAAATCATCCCCCTCACTATTTTGGGCAGGGTTGGAAGATGATGGCATTTATCTTGATTCTGTATTTGAAGAATGCACTTGATCCTTTCCAGATGGAGAGAATGAGAACTCACTATTTTAGCATATTACTTGTTCAACAGGAAGTGACTATCTTGACATGGAATAGCATAAGATGTGAATCAGTAGGACAGAAAAGAGTCAGGAGGTAACACAGGACTAGGAGGAAGCTAGAGCTCACCCCATATAACATTTCCTTATTCTGACCCAAGATATCATCAATACTCTACTTAGCGTCTTCCTGGCCTTCACCTATTTAGAGTTTGTGTTACCGGCCACGTGGTCATTTCTCAACAAGCTTCTTATTGGGCCTCTCTTGTCCAGTCCCAAGGTGTCCATGCCCAGTAAAGTGGGACTGAATAAGAGAGGCCCAATAAGGGCCACACTCAGAGGACAGGTGTATAAACCTACATACTGTGGGTATATTGTTATATACTTGTTTTGATTAATAGTTTAGTCAACTATGTTCATTTCATACAGTGACTTGGTAAAGGCTCATGAATGGAGGGTCTGCTTCCTGTGGTGATGGTAGTTAATGTTTTCAAGCTCAACATGTAGAGGCAACATGTTTTAAGCACCTTACATGGATTAACTCATAGAATTCCTCACAATAACCATGTGAGAGGGGTGTTACTATCTCCATTTTACAGATATAGAACTTGAGACTGATAGCTTACGTAGCTAGCTCAAGTCATCTGTTAGGAAAAGAAGCAAAACTTGAGTCCAGGTAGAATGCCTTTAGTACCAGCACCCTAAACAAGTACATTAATGCCACGCTTCCTCTCATTATAGTCCTCAAGAGTTTCTGGTAGATACATGGAAGACATCAAATCTACAGCCTTCTACCTTCCTTTGTCTATGCCGTGGAAGTCCAAGCCCTAGCTTTTGTAGAAATACATGGATTCAAGATTAATTGTACATTGAGTTCTATAAAACAATTTTTGGAATTACTGACTATGCATGTAATTACAATAATGACAGCAAATGCTGCAATTATACCAAATGACATAATTTTGTATAAATGTGGTACGTATAAGGAAATCACTAGATTGTATAATTGTAGCACCATGATGAGGTCGCAAGGTTCCTTGTTGAATTAGATAAAGATGTGTATAACCACAGAGCACAGATTTAAGTTTGGTGGTGAAAGGAAGGAACTATTTAGACATTGGTTAAGATAAACCAAATTTCATTTTAAACATTTAAAAGTATCTCTTTTCAAAATCACATGCATCCTTAAGTGATTTGCTAAGCTTAAATAGGACTGGTTTTCCCATCTAATGTTCTTTGTGGACCAGATGAGTCAAATCCTAAATGAGGTCCTGCTTAGTGAGAGTGTTCTGCTTTGCTGCAGCCTCTTCCAGTCATGGGTTTCACATATCCCAGTTAGGGCCGAGTATTCTAACACATAAAATGGGATGCCAGAAAACCAGTCCCAGCTCTTGGGACTTGGGCAATTAATAGTTTCAATCTATCTGCAAGTGAAGACCACCTCTAACTGCTAAGCCAACTTGGCTAGCCTAGCTCTGCAAAAAGATTATTAAAACCCACCAGCTTCCTATACTGGCGCAGACATTTTAGCATGTTTCGTAGGCCTATAGTGGTCAGATGATGGTAGAGATCTCCAGTATCTGAAGAAGATTCAGAAGCACCATTTTGAGTGCTTGTCAGGTTTGGCAGAATATATATACAGTATACAGAGCTTAAATATACGTGTGTGTGTATGTGTGTGTGTATATGTATATACATATATATATACACAAAGACACATACACACATTATATGTATACATACACATACCTATTTTATATATACACATATATACAAAGCTAACATATATATACACATGACACATACACACATGTAGCTCTGCATACATTAAAATGTAAATATAAATATATACAGAGTTAAATTTTTTGTGGACTAGATTTAATTTGCAGGTCAAGACTTCTGGACCTATAGTTTGTATTGTTCCTAAAAATTCCATGTTATGAAGACTACATTGTATTGTGGACAGGAGAAAAACAAAAGGTTTCTAAAGTATTTTCATTACATTAGGCTGCATAGTGTTAATGTTCATTTTGTAAGTATATATTTTTTAAAAGGGCAGAATTGTTTTTATAGGAAGGTAAGGTGAGTGACTCATGTACTTGTGGGACAGATACAAGACAAAAGGACACAGAGGATTTATTTTTTTTACATCACAGACTCCTAGAGTTGAAAGAGATTTTGAGGTCACCCAATTCAACTTTTATTAAATGAAATTGCAATAGTAAGTAGAAATAAAGAAAGAAGCATAATAATTCCAACTTACAGGCTTTGGAGTTTTCCATGGAGAAAAGAAACCTGTAATAAAGAAAACAATATTTGAACTTTGAAAATATTACCGACTGCCACTTATGGGTGGCACGATATTAAGATAATTGTAATTGATTTTAAATTAGTTAACAGCGAACAATAACAAAAACTTCTGCCTGGCTGTATCGTTTTCTTCAAGGAGCTCAAAATCAAATAATTTCATTGGAATTGTATTAATGATTCTAAGAACATTCCTTATTTGGCAACTGAAGATGCTAAGGCACAGAGAAGGCAAGTGAACATGTATCAAATCCTCAGAGCTTGACAAGGCTCAAAACTCAGTCACCCTTAGGGATTTCTATTGCACAGCCTTAGTGGGAAAGAGAGAGAGGATATTGACATACATTTTGATTTCAAAGGTAAATATCTTTGCTTGGTATAAGAAATGGTTGTTTTATTTACCTGCTTTATGTGGTTAAAAATCAATTAATAAGCCTTCATTATTCCTAACTTTAAAAATAACGTATATGCCTACATTATGAATTAGGTTCCACTATAAATTTTTGTGAGTGTTTCTCCACTGAGATGGGGCAGATTTCTATCTTTGTGCCCCGGTGCTAGCAGACATTTTGTGTGAAGAGCTCAAAATGTTTGTTACTTGAATGAATCATGTATCATGGAAGCCTTTTTTACCCAATGTATTGATCTCTTTGTATTATCACAAAATATAATGATTCGAGTAACCCTGTTGTGATCCAAATGATTAAGATAATTAAAAGTAAAGGATAGATTAACTCCCTTTTAAAAAATATTATTTTAGCATATGAAATCAATTTTTTAAAAGGTGATAAAACAAGCTTAAAATAGAGGGAGAGGGCACTGCCACATGCTGATCCTAACAATCCAAAACTTAATTGAGCACATAGAACAAAATCATATCTTTTCATATATCTTCCTTCTTTCAACAATTTTCACTTAAGTTAGTATAAGGTAGTTTCTGATAAAATCCCTAATAAAAATGAATATTGAAAACATGCCACATACTATGTTTATCATCTTTAAAACAGACTTGTTCAAAATGGGCATAGTTGACAACTATTCCTATTTCCATTTGTAGGAAATATCTATAGAAATCGGGACACATAGTTACCTACACACATTAGGGAATCCAACTCAGCATGTCAAAAATACTAATTGCACCACAATGCACTGTTGTGAATAAGTGATGATTAATTTTATGAAAAGAATTAAACTGGGCCGGGTGCAGTGGCTCACACCTGTAATTCCAGCACTTTGGGAGGCCGAGGCGGGCGGATTACCCAAGGTCGGGAGTTTGAGGTCAGCCTGGCCAACATGGTGAAACCCTGTCTCTGCTAAAAATACAAAAATTAGCCAGGTGTGGAGGCATGCACCTGTAATCCCAGCTACTTGGGAGGCTGAGGCAGGAGAATCGCTGGAACTCGGGAGGCGGAGAGTGCAGTGAGCCAAGATCCCGCCACTGTACTCCAGCCTGGGCAACAGAGTGAGACTCTGTCTCAAAAAAAAAAAAAAAAAAAAAAAATTAAGCTATATAATCCATCATGTTTCTTAGCTTTCCTTAGAACCTAGAGTTACACTTAATGTTTAGGGGTAATAACCATCTTACCCAAGAAGTTGGTAAAATTAGCTCTCTTTCTGTCTTACATATGCTGTTCACTATTTCTCTTTCCAATTAATAAAAAAATTCTGTTCAATGTGTGGTTCATAAGGATTTAATCGCATCCTTTTTGGAAAGAGTTGACAGTAAAAATTACATATAAATAAATACATTTATCTCCTTGACTCATTCTATAAAATACCAATGAAAACAATTTGACCATGAGTTTAAAAGTGAAACAGATTTTAACCTATTGGCTGATTGACCATTGTCTTCAGTGAAGTATAAAATTTATTTGCTGTTTTACGGAATTGCCAGCAATAGCACTTTTGCGAAAAGATGTCATTTATATATTTTCACCATGTCAAAATATTCAATGATTTCCTCTACTTTCTTTGTGTCATCACCTTCTTCCTGCAATGCCCAAACAGACTTTGAGTATTTGCTATTTCACATCTGACAGGTGCTGGGATTCTTAGACTTTGATACAGAGGTATTGAAAATAGTTCCTCTTAATGGTGCTCTCATCTCCACATGAGACGTTATCTTGAAAGATGATTTTCCCTCCTATAGAAAATGTATAATCATCTACCGTCTCAGGAGTTATGGTGTCAGAACTAAAATGGTGTAAGCAGGAGCCTGGTGGAGAAGAGACAAGGAGAGGGGGCGTTTAATTTGACTGCCTTTCATCATGGGTACTTGGGCTCCTCATTCTTCTAAGGCTGATTCATTCAGTCTGACCTCAGACCATTGGTGCAACCCAGGGCTCCTTTACTGCTCACGTGATGGCAGTTTCTGGAATATTTCTAATGCTGAGTTGTGCTGCAGAAGCTTCAGTCTTTGAAGCAATAGTAGTCCTTTCTGAATTATTGTTAAAAAGAAGTTGCGTGCTGCAGAGTAAGGAATTTTATATGGTAAGAGAGAGCATCAGAATAATTTCCTTAAAAATAAATGCTATTTTTGTGTATCTGTCAAATTATTAATCATGTTACAAACATTTAAATTAAGATGAATGAAAAACATTTATTTTGGATATACTCAATTTGGTCCTGATGAAGACAGAAGGTCAAATTTTCTATGTGATTCAACTCCAACTTTCCGCTCAACTTCATGGGAAGTTGTGGGTCAAACTACTACACATTTCTTACTTTTTTTGTGGGGATGGCCCCTCTAGGAAATCTAGTCTATTTCAATTAAAATTAAAAAGCACTAAAAACCAAATCAAAACTGTCAAGTCCTTGAAGAGACATGCTGGTTATTATATTGAGCTTATTTCTGAAATTATTCTGGTAGGACATAGATCACAAAAGCAAGATAAGACTTCTGAGATCTAGGAAGTTTTGCATATGCATGTATTGTGTGGTGAATTTCCACACTCCATGTGAATGGAATAATTTCTAATAATAATTATGGAATAATTTCTATTGGGCATGATTATTTAAAAACTGCTTGCTAAATTTCGCCTTTGCTGCTTGCCTCACAGATCATAGGACACTATTCCCCTCATCACCCAGAAACTATTACACCTCGCTTGGCGTCCTAGCCTTTCTCAATTCTAAGCATTTTGCTAGGCTTGGTTCTCCTGAAAATATTAATTTTGGGGCATCTCTTCACCCATTTTCATAGGGAAACAGGAACAGAGATACAGAAAACCTTTTCTTCAGCCTTTCTGAGTTGAGGTAGTCTTCACTATAAAACCAAGTTTATAGAAAAAGAGCCATATTCTTTAAAATAATAGTAATAGTAATAGTTTGTTTTAGTTTCTGGTCTTTATTTCCCCTACTTCTGTAGAAAGCTGTATATTAGAATTCTCTGGTGGGATTAAAATTTTTTTTATAATGATCTGACTCATGTTTTTCGTACTGATCATGTATTGATTTTTATCCTTAGCAACTTGTTGTGTGTTTGAGTGTGCATTTGTGTGTGTACAAATGCAAATGTATTTATTTAATCTTGCGTCTTATGATAAAAGCAAAAGAGCTCAAGATATAGTTGTAAGTTAAATGAAATATGGATAAGAACATAAAACAAAAGAGAATAAATGGAAAAATTTAGATGTAGCTAATATAGAAACTAGATGCATTTTTAAAATTTATTTTTAAATAGATGCGTTTTAATATAAAGCACAAAACTGATTACACCTGTAAAATCTGTCTTCTTTGGAACCAGAAATAAAACTAGAATATATTTGTAACTCTGCATCTAAGAGCATAGTGAGATGGGCAGAGAAACAGACACACATTGCAAATTGTTTAGGCAGGAAATCCTGGTACTTGAAAATGACAGAAGAAAAAAGACAACACTGATTTCATTATTGAAATGTAAATTAAATCTACATGTCAACTAAACACGATTTATTTTTTTCTTGAGACAGGGTCTCACTTGGTCACCCCACGCTGAAGTGCAGTGGCGTGATCTTAGCCCACTGCAACCTCTACCTCCCAGGCTAAAGCGATCCTCCCTCCTCAGCCTCCTGAGTAGCTGGGACCACAGGCATCTGCCACCACACCCAGCTAATTTTTGTATTTTTAGTAGAGATGGGGTTTCCCCATGGTGGTCAGGCTGGTCTCAAACTCCTGGCTTAAAGTGATCTGCCCACCTCAGCCTCCCAAAGTGCTGGGATTACAGATGTGAGCCACTGCGCCTGGCCCAAAATACAACTTTTAATGAACTGCAGAAATATGGTTGCCAGATAAAATATATACCCAGCCAAATTTGAATTTTGGAGAAAACAATGAATAATTTTTTTGGATGTAAGTATGTTCCATATATAGCATGAGACATATACTACATGGGACATACTGCTATTAAAAATTATTTGATACTTCTGGAACCT
Source organism: Homo sapiens (assembly GCF_000001405.40). Classification (NCBI taxonomy): domain Eukaryota; kingdom Metazoa; phylum Chordata; class Mammalia; order Primates; family Hominidae; genus Homo; species Homo sapiens. The sequence continues at coordinate 78,205,618 of NC_000007.14, forward strand.
ATTCATATTAAAATTATTCATTGTTTGAAATTCAATTTAATTAGGAATTCTATATTTTTATTTGCGAAATCTGGTCATCCTATATAGAGAACAATTTATATATGTCCCTGGTAACCATTTTAAAATAAAAACACAATAGTAACATCTACTGCAGGTAATATTTATTTCATTCAGAAAAAAAAGCCCTGAAAATATTTACTATTTCCTTTATTGTCAGGAATCTTGATTTTGAGAAACCTTAGAACATTCCATTTGCTATACAGATCATTGCATTGTGCTGACTGCCTTCTCATTGGGATCCTGGACTGAGGGCACCTCATGTGATACAGGATGCTGTGGCCAATGCTAGTGCCACAAAAGGCCATTTTCAAACTGCTTGATGCAAATTAGAGTGGCTCTTTTCAGAACTTACTTTTCCTGACACATGATAACCAAAATGAAAGAACATCAATGTCTTTACAGTAGATCTGAAGTGGAGATCCCCTCTCTGGGTGTGCATTTGTGTGGTAACAGTTTTATTATTATTTATTTTCACAGGGCAAAAAGATTATGAACTTTCTTAAAATCACCCCAATTCAAATAAGAGTTCAAAATACAATGAAGAGCAACTTTAATCTATCATGATATCGTCAATTTGGCATAACACCAAGACAACTTTTCTTTTTCCTTTTCCTTTCTTTTTTTTTTTTTTTGAGATGGAGTCTTGCTCTGTTGCCTAGGCTGGAGTGCAGTGGCGTGATCTTGGCTCACTGCAACCTCCGCCTCCCGGGTTCCAGCGATTCTCTTGCCTCAGCCTCCTGAATAGCTGGGACTACAGGTGTGTGCCACCATGCCCAGCTAATTTTTGTATTTTTTAGTAGAGATGGGGTTTCACCATATTGGCCAGGCTGGTCTCAAACTCCTGATCTCATGATCCACCCGACTCGGCCTCCCAAAGTGGTGGAATTACAGGCGTGAGCCACCGCGCCTGGCCGCCAAGACAACTTTTCAAGATTTTCAGGAATTTTCCCAAACAGAACTAAGTCTTTCAACATCCTTCTGTATTCCAGTCGATACACTGAACTCCCATTTGCAGAATGTGAAATAGTTTCTCCTTTAGCTGAAATATTTGCTAGAACATATGATTCTACTTTTGAAGATTACTGTTACAACGTCATGTATTTCATAGGGGATTCTGCAGTTACTAAATATGATGGAGATGCTGGGGAAACACTTTCTAGTTCTCTTTTTTTTAAGCACAGAAGAGGAGTAGGAACGACTTTTAAACAAAGATATGTTTCACTACTGATTTCCATGCCCTAAAGCTGTGTGTTCTGTTTTACATAAGAAAAGGAGACAAAATAATTTGAATACACTTAACATTGTTGAGCTGTACACTGAGATGTAAGATAAGTTTTATGTTATGTGTATTTTACCACAATTAAATTTTTTTCAAGCAATAAAAGAAAAAAGTGAAAAGAGAGAACAAAAGTGTGCACATATCACATGTGTAAGAGAGAAAAAAGAGAAAGTAATAAATGGAGAGAGTTTTTTTTTCACAGTCCCTGTGATGCCCTGCTGGAAGACAGGAAACTCACCTGAACACCCACACAGACCTTTCTACCTCTTAAATTATCCTTTTTTATGAAGGATTGTAGGGAATAAACTGAATTCACATTCTCACTACATTTCTGAAAATATTTCAGGGATTATGGAGAAACTCTTTCAATACAAGAAACTGTTTTTTAAAAGTTTCCCAAAGAGGAAAAAAAGCCCCAGGGCTTTTATAATCTCCATTTAGGGTTAATTGGATGGAGAAAAATACCACTAATAAAATTAATGTTTAATTTAAAGATCCTCCCATTCTCCCACAGCCTGGAAAACAGACCTAAGCTTTCCATCAAAAATTTAGCCTTTGGTAAATGTAAGCCAGCAGAGTCATGAGCTAATTTCCATGAGAACTAGTTCAATGTTATTCACTTTTTTTCTGGTTTTTGACTGATTCATGTATTCCTTATTAAAATTCATTAAATGGGTTAAGCCCTGCAGTTCTTTGAGATAATTTGTTTAAGCTGCTCGAAGTGGGTAAAAGGGCAATTTTTCCTAATGAAACTGACCTAGGCTAAGAAAAGACCTGTCCCTTAGCAAGAGTGGAAGACACACTACTGCCAGTACTCAAACATCACATCACCATGTGTTAGCCAAGCAATACGTTCAATTTGCAAAGAAAATTTCACATAACTACCATCTTTGACCTGCAGAATCCATTTTTGTTGTTGTTGTTGTTTTTTGTTTTGTTAAGATGGAGTCTCACTCTGTCACTCAGTGCAGTGGCCTGATCTCGGCTCACTGTAACCTCCGCCTCCCAGGTTCAAGCAGTTCTCTGCCTCAGCCTCCCAAGTAGCTGGGATTACAGGCGCCCACCACCATGCCCGGCTAATTTTTGTATTTTTAGTAGAGAAGGGGTTTCACTATCTTGGCCAGGCTGGTCTCGAACTCCTGACCTCGTGATCCATCCACCTCGGCCTCCCAAAGTGGCTTTTTTTTTTTTTTTTTTTTAATATGGGGAGCTGAGGCTTTCTCTGCAATGCTTTAAAAACGATCCTTTCTGTACCTTTTAAATAAAAGTGTTTTTCTTAGAAACACTGTAAAATTGTTTTCAAACAGCCATTTCTCCCCTGGCTTTGTTCCTTATGGAGAGAGCCATCCAACCATTTCAAGTAATCCCAATGACTATCAAAAGGATAAATCTGCACATATTGTCTTCTGATAAACTCAGCTATATAAAGGATAGGTTCAAAATAATGCAGGCAAGGTGAAAAGCCTTAAACAGGAATAAAGGAATGGACTGGAAGAGGAAGAATTGTGCTAGGAAGGCTAAAACTCAGAGTGAGGTGAGTCTGGAAGAAAATATTAACAACTACAAAGGGCTTTTTATTTATGTTCTGAGCAAGATAAGGGGAATAAAGAGAGAAACCTGCTCTGGGTTTATGGCACACTGTAAAAAATTGGCAAAGAAAATGTGGAAGGCAATCAATACTTGCAAATGGAAAAATCCAGTTCTGACATTTTTTAAAAAATGGTGAATGTATAGCATTTTTTTTTTTTTTTGGGAAATCCATCTAGAAAGATTTTAAAGTAATTTAAGATGGATTACATGTCTGTTTGGTATTTTACACCAACATTAAATACATCTTTATTGAGTTGTTGGTGTCTTACAAGCATCATAAATTCAATACAGAAATGGAATCTTTTATCTTTCCTCCCAAATCCACTCTTCACTCTTTAGTGTTCCTTATTTTGGGAAATTTCACCTGCCCTCTGAGGTTTTAAGACAGGAACCTGGCCGGGCGCGGTGGCTCACGCCTGTAATCCCAGCACTTTGGGAGGCCGAGGCAGGTGGATCACGAGGTCAGGAGATCGAGACCATCTGGGCTAACACGGTGAAACCCTGTCTCTACTAAAAATACAAAAAATTAGCCGGGCGTGGTGGCGGGCGCCTGTAGTCCCAGCTACTTGGGAGGCTGAGGCAGGAGAATGGCGTGAACCCGGGAGGCGGAGCTTGCAGTGAGCTGAGATCGCGCCACTGCACTCCACCCTGGGCGACAGAGCAAGACTCTGTCTCAAAAAAAAAAAAAAAAAAAAAAAAGACAGGAACCTAAAAGTCATTCTTTTTTTTTTTTGAGACGGAGTCTCGCTCTGTTGCCCAGGCTGGAGAGCAGTGGCGCGATCTCGGCTCACTGCAAGCTCCGCCTTACGGGTTCAGGCCATTCTCCTGTCTCAGCCTCCCGAGTAGCTGGGACTACAGGCGTGCACCATCACGCCCCACTAAAATTTGTATTTTTAGTAGAGATGGGGGTTTCACCATGTTGGCCAGGATGGTCTTGATCTCCTGACCTCATGATCTGCCCACCATGGCTTCCCAAAGTGCTGGGATTACAGGTGTGAGTCACCGTGCCTGGCCTGAAAGTCATTCTTAACACTTTCCTTTCCTTTCCTTCCATACCACCAAATTTCCGTCTTTTCTGTCTCCGAAATCTATTTCAAATCTCCTTCTATTTACCTCCATGGCCACCATTGTAATTCACGCCCTATTTTCTCTTGCTTGAGCTGAAACAACAGCAAATTTGACGATGTCACTGAATTTGATTATGCTTGAAAATCCTTCAGTGAATTCCTGTTACAGTTGAGACGAAACGCAAAACCTACAAGGCTCTGAAGAAATTGGCTGCTACCTATTCCTTGGCCAGAGCATGCGTCACTCCTCTTCAATTGTTGAAGTTCCTTAAGCCAGGTGTTTTTAACCACAGGGCCTTTGCACCAACTCCTTTATTTGTCCACTCTTTCTTACTCTTTACATAGCTATCTCTGACCCTTTTTTATGTGTCAGCTTAAGTATCATTTTCTCAGAGATGTCTCTGACCTTTCATTGTTAATCAAGTTTCCTTATTATAGTTTTTCATTGTATCCTGCATTTTTCCTTTATATGGTTCTATTTGTAATTATATTTATTAGATCATATTTATTAATGTCATAATTTTAAAATTATTAGTTTAATGTCCATCTCCCCCATTAGAGCATAAATTCCATTAGTGGAGATATTATACCTATTTTCTTCATCATGTATCCCCAGTACTTAGCAAATACCTGACACACAGTGGATACTTCAGTAGACCTAATTGAATGGCTCAGTAATGGTAGTGAAGGGTGAGGAATGTAGGATACAGAGACATAGTCAAAAGATACTCGGGAGAACTGATGAGTCCCGGAGATTTGCTGGGGATGGAGAAGTACTATAAAGGAGAAGATGAAATCTGTGATGACTTCTAGCTTGGGAACTTGAGTGTATGATGGTGTTGTTGGCTGAGATAAAAAAAGAGGCTTGTTTGAGTGGAGTCTCATGAGTTAGATTATGGGCAAAATAAGTCGGAGGTGCCTTTGGGAGTATGGGTTCAAATGTAGTTTGAACTACATTTTGAAGTTTGCACCAAAATGAGTTTGAGTTTAGGTGTTTAAGTTCTATAGTAATTGGCTCTACTGTGTGGTGCTCAGAGATATGTGTCAGGTAAAACTTAAAATAATGCAGCAAAATTGTGTTGCATGAAAAGTGAAATCCTTGGATTTGTAGAAGAATGAGTGAAGTGTTTGAAAAGTAACAGAGATCCAAGTAGAAAGAAAGCTTCAAGAAGTAGTAGATGTAAATATTCATAATACAAGACTTTTTATTGGTTTGTCAGAGAGGAGGGTCACTGGTGACCTCAGTGGAAGCAGTTCAATTGCCAAGACAAAGGCAGAAATCAGATTGCAGTGGGTTTGAAGAAATGGAAGGTGAGGAAGTGGGACTGAGAAATGGTTATGGGGTTGAAGAAGCAGTGTCATAGTGGCTACAGGGGAATAAAGCCCTCCATAAAGAGATTTCTTTTTGGTGGGATAAGCATGCTAACATCCAGATGAGAAGGAACCTGAGTAGAGACAGTGTGAAGATTCAGTAGGAAAGAGGCTAACTGGTGAAATCATTTCATGAGACAAGAGAGGGTGTGATCTAGAGCACCAGGGGAGACATTCACCTTAATTGGGAGAGGAGGCACCCAAATCCTTATCAAGAGGCTGGAGCAGATCTCTCAGTGGGTGAACCCCCCAGGATCTGCCCCATGGGGAGGGATGGGACTAGACAGGAGAATTCACTTACAGTGGCAGAGATTGGTAAGATCAATGGGAATCTTAGGGGTCCTGGTTATGAGGCAAAGATAGAAACAGGAACACAATTTCTGAGGTGGTGGAGTGAGAGTTATGCACACAGAATATGGGGTAAAACTGACTTGGGTTCTAGTCCCAGCTCCACCTCTCACTAGCTATGTGGTCTCACATATATGGGTGGGCACATGCTATCAGGATGGACTCCTGGGCTGTGAGGGAGACCCTGGATTTGCTTTGTGGCTCACAGATGCATGACTGTGATTGAGTCCCCTAACCTCTCAGAGGCTCAGATTCTTTTTTCTGGAACAAAGTAAAGATAATAACAAACTATTTTAATAGTAATGCACTTTACATTCTATCAATATAAAGTGGAATGTTTGTTCATTTAATGCTTTTGATGGATTTCAAATTCTATTTCTACAAAGTAGAGGTCTGCTTTTCAGCAAGGTGTTCAACAATTTATTGCCACAACAGATGCATGTTATTTTTCCTTCACTGTTTTCCACTTTTTGTTCTTTTAAGCTTACTTTTAAATGCTTTTGAGCTGCCTTATGCTGTATGGACTACGACTTGTTTTGATTTGCTTTATCTTTTTCAATCACTGTTTTCATCCCATTGGAGTTTTCCAGTTCCTCCTGATCCTGGTTAGGTGAGAAGGTTTAACCTCACTCCAGTCTCTGTGCTCTAGTATAGACTGTGCCTCCAGCTTCAATGATTATGCTACCATTATTCTTTTATGAATTGCTTCTAACTTTGCATTTTCCTGTAAGTATTTATACGATTATTTACATTTACGCAACTTAACTAGTTTTAGTGCTTGCTACAGTTCGTTTTATACCAGTACTTCTCTATTTGAGGATTTTGAATTTTGATTCCTCTCTTAATGTATCTCCTCAAATAATTGTTTGGTGTGATAGGTGGAACAGTGGCCCCCACAAAGATATCCACATGCTTATCCTCAAAACCTGCGTGTAGGCTACTTTACAAGGCAAAAGATAATTTGCAGATGTGATTAAGGCTAAAGGCCTTCAGATGCAAAGAGTATCTTTGATTATACAGGTGGGCCCAACCTACTACACGAGTCCTTTCAAGAGAGGAAACGTTCCTGGCTGCAGCTAGAGAGAGATGGCAGCGTGAGGAGGCTCTGACTTGCTGCAGCTGCCCTGAAGATACGGGAAGGGTGTCACCGGCTATGGGGTGCTGGAGGCCTCTGGAAGTGGATTCTCTTCTAACAACTACAGAAAAGAATGCTGTTGTGCTGACATTTTGATTTTAGCCCAGTGACATCTGTGCTGGATTTCTGACCTACAGTACTATAAGGTCAGTTTATATTGTTTTAAGCCACTAAGTTTGTAAGGAATGTATTATGGTAGCAGTAGCAAATCCATATAGCTGGCATCTTTCCTAAGCACTTCCATGTGAATTCTAGTTTCAAATGAAACTAGATCTCAACTGCTTACTGCAGCCTTGACTTACTGGGCTCAGATGATTCTTGCACCTCAGCCTCTCAAGTAGCCAGTGGGATTACAGGCATGTACTGCCACACCCGGTTAACTTTTTGTATTTTTAGATGGGGTTTCACCATGTTGCCCACACTGGTCTCAAATTCCTGGGCTCAAGTGATCCCCTGCCTTGGCCTCCTAAAGTGTTGGGATTACAGCGTGAGCCACCACACCCAGCCAAGACTTTTCTATTGTCCTCTGATATTTAGTGATGGAAGGAGAAGCCTGGATCTGCTCAATTTTTATTGGTAAGTCACCTTTCATTTTCCTCCCAGAAAAATTGCACTTTAAAATCCTTTCTAGTGCTTTATAAATTACCAGAATATGCCTAAGTGTTAATTTGTTTTCATCAATTCTTCCTGGACTATAGCAAGAGCATTTGCTTTGGGATTTCTCTGAAGTCTTTCTACTCAAGATGTGGTTTGAGACCTGCAGCATCAGCCTCACCTGGGAGTTTGTTAGGAATCTCAGACCTAAGATTTATACTGAATCAGATTTGCATCTTGACAGGGTCCCCAGGTGACTAATGCACATTCCAGAAGTCCTGATAAAGGTTATTCTATTTGTAGATTTGATCTTGACTCTTTTATTAGAGTCCTGAATTTTTTTGTCCTTTGACTCCCTACGATCAATATTTATCAAAAGAGAGACATGCTTCTTCCTCTCCTCCAAGAGGTCATAGTCAAAGCTCTTGGTTCACACTTCTGTTAAGTTTAGCCTAAAGCTGCCTCCTTACCTATTTTAAGTTCAGCCTAAGAGTTTCTCTGTACATGGTGAACTACTAATCTAACTGGATGTGTAAACAGACCATAACCTGCTCTTGTGCCAGAGTTTCGGCCAAAGGCAGCCAACTGTTCGAATCGTGTTCAAATCAGGGAAATGTCAAGCTGTAACCAATCTGAGCTGTACCTCAATTCCATTTTTGTAGGTTACTTTGCTTCTGTCCATAAATCTTTGTCGATCATGCGACAGTGTTGGGGTGTCTATGAACCTATTCTGGTTTGAGGGCTGCCTGATTCACGAATCATTCTTTGCTCAAACTCTGTCAAATTTAATCTAAGGTTTTCCTTCTAACACTTCTTTCCCTTCCTCTGGTAACTCAGGCATACTACTCCCCCAACCTCCCCAGCCTAGGTTTGGTCTCCTATTTGAAACACCCAATCCAAACCAGAATTACCTGGGAGAGTGATGTGCATGTGATTGCTGTTGAGTTGGAATAAAACGTGAGACCTACTGCTCCATAATTGGAGACCTCCTCATGTTGACCTCTACATCATTAACTTCTTGCAGCATCAGGTCTGGTTCTCACTGATGTTAATGAATGTTTTCACCTGCTGAGGTAATCCGAAGCCCACTGATTTGTCTATTTCAGACTTCTTTATCAAGCATTACTTTGTGTGGTCTTTGCATTTTGAGCGGCCGTGCCCATTTCTCCTTTTTAAATATTACATCTTCTAGCATCTGAGGATCCCAAGTATGTTTTCTGAGTTTCTTGTTTTCTGTAGTAAATCTTTTTCAGTGTCATGCTCTTCTAATCTTCAAGGCTAAACATTCCTTTTTAAAATACTTACCTATTTTGTTATAGATGCCATCCTCCATTTAAAAATCAATTATTGCTAGAATCTGTGAATCCCTGATACTATCTTTTTGATGTCTTGGCACTTTACTGGGATGTTGGGAGATATGAGATATGAGATATCAATATGAGACTTTGGCCTGATGTCATTTTAAGATTTCTTAGCATAATCTATTAATGTTAAGAGCAATTTATTTCTATCTCTACTTTGGTCTACAAATCTAGATCTTTTACTTTTTAAAAGTAAGATCTGGAATATAGGTAGAACTGATGTTTATTTCTTGTTTTGACTAACCAGCTAAGACTTGAAATCAATCTTCCCTTAAGACTATGGCTTCCCTGATTAACAATAGTTGTTACTACTTGTGGAGATAAAGCACAAAAATCATCAGAGGATTACCCCTGCAATGTATTTTCTCATAACTACAATAGCAAGAAATAGGGATTAAGAACAAACTTGTTTGCTTTACAGTGGGGATTCTTGGTGCAACTGACTTCTCTTTCTCCCTGTTTATTTTTCGTATCCCCAGGTTCTCCTGTAGAACTTCCCAGGCAGAAGAAAAGATAATTCTAATGGTTCTGCTGTGGAGCAGAGAGTCACAGCTTGCATCACAGTCCACGGATCACCAAGAGGAACCTTACTGACTACTGGTGAGTCAATGTTTTACATCACATGAAGACAAAAGAGGATCACGGATGTCATTTTAGTTTGGGTTCTCACAAAAGCAGACCCTGAGAGGAGGACTTGGGTGACTCTACGAAGCATAAAGCGAAGAATGGGGAAAGTGATTCAGGGAAGGGAAACGTTAATGAATAGATTATTGTGTTGAGCAGCTGGGGCTTAGTCTCATCGTGGATCTTCTGAAAAACCACGAGAACATGGGGGGATAAGGATTGTTCTCCTATGGTGTTAACTCTCCTGCATTCTCGGTTGTGCCTGCTTTAAGGCTGAGGAAGTATCTGTGGTGCCACAGAAAGTTCTTCATTACAGAATAAGAGGCTGGTGCTTGAGGTAGAACTATCAGTTTGCTAGAAGCATCCCAGCCATCTGTGGACTTGGGTCAGCTGAGAGGATATGAGTAAGACATCAACACCACCTGTTGTAGATGCTGTTGATGAAAACAGGCAAACCATACCTGTGGTAGGAGGAAAATGTAACTATGCACTTAGAGTGATGATTTTTTGGGAAGAAGGGATTTACATAGCATTAAAATGGAGATGGAAAACGAGTCCATTCTTTTGCCAACTCTGATCAACTGCTGCCTGGAGTGCTGTGGTGGGGATTCTCAACGGCCTCAGCAGGAAATCATCTTTATTGATTAGCAACCCCAGCCATGGGAATGGAGGAAAAGGGGGTAGCAAGTGGGCACTGTTTTGCCACTCTGTTTTAAAGTGGAGGCTAATTTTTATTAATGAGTTGAGTGAACATATCTCTAATGAAATAAAATCTTCCACAGATTTGGCCTTTTAAAAATGCACAGATGTAAAGTGCCTTTGGTTAATGGGAGAATTCTCCAATTGTTGCAAGACTGGGGTAGACTTATGAGGCATAGCAGTTAAATAAGCATTAGCTTTGTTATTTTGGCACAATTTTTCTGGTAAACATGCTAATCTCTTTCCCACTGATACATAAAAAATGAAATAGTCATAGTATGAACTGAAAGTATGAAGAGATCAAGGTGGAGAAAATGTAAGAGTGTCAATACCTAGTCCTAGCATCAATGCTGAGACAGGCGTAATCTGCCATCATGTTTTAAGGAAATATCACCATTCACCCTGGGACATATTTAAACTGTTATCTGAGTCCAACAATAACAACCTGTGCCATAGCAATTCAAGTTGATTTCAGGTCCTGTGGTTATTTTCTAAATAGTCCTCAATTCTCATGTCCCATGCTGCATCTGAGTAATTCACTGTCAGGTCCTGCCTGGCCTACTGCAGCCAACCTACCTGCCTCCTGCTCGTACCTTCATCCATCTGCTCTTCACAGTGTAGTCACAACAGTCTTTTCAAAGAATAAATCTGATCATGTCACTCATCTACTTGAAACCTTGTAATTGGCTTCCCCATGCTTGTAAGAACAAAGTGAAAATCCTTTGTAGGACCCTAGTCTGTTCCCCATCCGTTTTTCTAGCCTCACCTCGCTCTGGTGCTCAGCTCCTATGTGCTTTGCTTTCTCTCCTCCGGCCACAGGGACCTTCTTTCAGACTCTTCAGTCTCCCTCTTACCACAAGGTCATTGAGCCTGCTTCTCTGCCCTGCTGACCCAGCTAACTCCTGTTTCTCCTTTAGATCTTGGTTTGCTCCAGGGTCACTTCAGAGGTAACTTCCCAGACTTGTCTAAACCAAACCCGATAGAGGCTCTCATAGCTGCATAAACCTCAATGCTACTTCCCATTTCCATGGTTGAGACCACTAATTCGTAAAGGTATTTCCCCTCTTTGGGTCTAAATAATAGAAGTTTGCTATATTACACTTCTTGGGGCTAGAAGTCTGAGATCAAGGTGTTGGTAGGGTTGGTTCCTGCTAAGGGTTGCTGGGGAAAGATCTGTTCAGTCCTCACTCCTGGCCTCTGGAGTTGGCTGGAAATCTTTGCCATTCCTTGGCTTTTCAGATCTCTGCCTTCATCTTCACAGACATGCACACAGGGGATGGCATCTCCAATGTTCTCCTTTTTAATAAGGACACAAGTTCTATTGGACTAGTGGCTCACCCTACTCCAGTATGACTTTGTTTTAATTAACGACCTCTGGAATGGCCCTATGTCAAATAAGTTCACATTCTGAGGTACTGGGGGTAAGAACTTCAATATATAAATTTGAGGGTGGGAACACAATTCAACCTTTAACAACCCCTTACATTAACCTCCCTGGGCCAAAGTTTTTGCATCTGTTACAATTGGAATTCAGGTGCATGTTTCTGGGATAACTTTTCTCTCCCCTATGGGTTTAATTTCCTGAGGGCAGGGATCTTACGTGTATGTATTCATTCTCCAGTTCCTAGCACAGTACCTAGTGTAGGGTAGGTGCTCAATAAATACTTGTTGCGTGAAAGGAAACATCAAAATGTATTTTTACCAATACTCAATTTTTATTTCTCTGTGGTGTATCTCTCATGTAGCAGTTTGTCATTGAAATGGCAATTTTGGATATATTGTCACATTCTTTATGAAATCTGTGTGAAGGAGGCAGGAAAGGGATGACTACACATATCTTACAGAAGGAAGTAGAGTTCTGATGGCATCCCAGGCATGCAACAGGGAGATGGCAGAACTGAGACTTGGCCCACACCCTCTCTGACTCCAGGTCTAGAGTTCTTTTCCCACACCAATTTGCCATAGCAAGATGGCAGGGCATTATGCAATTAGCAGACTAGTTACTTGCCATGATCTTGTCCTAAAATCTTTCAGGTCAGCACAAAGACCTGTAATAATTATTTGGATGTTGCTTGTTGGTTTTATATTCAATGGAACAGAAGAGGCCAGCAATAGTGACCACTTGGTAGCCTGGGGGCTGTAGTGGCAGAGAATGAGGTTCTTGGCACATCATAATCTCCTGTGTATTTACTTAGATGCATGACTATAAGGGGCATCATTTCAAGCTGCCGTTTTACTTAGGAAAAAAAGTTGGAGACCCTCTGATGTCCCACATGGGCAGAACTAGGGTTGGAAAGAGAATAGACACAGATATATGGCACTGAGGGAGCCAGATATGGTTAGGCCAAGAGCCTTCTACAACTCTGAAGTTTTCAAGAATATTTTATTGCTCTATTGCATAGATGAGAGACTGAAGGAAGTTCTCCTGGGCTGCCAGCAATGTGCCTTGGTTGAGTCATGATGTATGTATTACAAGTCTGTGGCATGTTGGAACCATAGGGGACCTTCCAGCCAATGGATTCTGCCTTTGCAGATGTACATACGAGGGCTTCCCACTGAATCATCATGGAGCTGATGACAATCACTAGAAGTGATGTAAATCTTTCAGAGAAGGGGAAAATCAGCACTTAAACTCACTAGTAGTTGACTTCTAAACTAAATAACACCATGTTTTATTTTGGTTTTAATCTTAGAAAAACAGTGAAGGCAGGGGCCATGCTTGTTAATAATTGTATTGTTAACAAGCATATTGTTAACAATTAACTTTTAGTGATACCACAATATTTTTCAGCTGAATTGAATTCAATTAAGTTGACAGCTTATTTTTGAACAATTTCCCATCTTCAAGTCACTTAACAAAGAAGCCTGCAAACAATGTTGGCTTTCAGGTTTCTAAAGAGAAACAGGGTTTGAAAAAGTATGAGCCACCTCTGTCACCTGCATATGACAAAGGAAGTGTGTTTGTGTCACCTGGACCCACCTAGGGACTCTGTGGGTCTGTTTTGCTTTCTGAAGCTGCATTAGTAGCGTGGGGCTCATTCTCAGCTTGGATTCTTCACACAGCGTCAGTGGGGACTAATCTAGGTTTTTTCCTAATGGAATTAACAAGTCGAGAACCACACTTTACAGCCCAACAGCGCCTCTTCACAGCTGGCACCTGCTCATACCGAACCTGGTGCTTCATCATAGCCGACATTTTGTGCCTCTTCTGTCCTCGTCTACCTCCCACGTGAAGGGGAACTGGAACATTATCTTCTTTGCTATGGATGAAGGTCAAATTGTGTCTCTAATGGCTGCTCTGGCTGACTGGGCTGCTCTGATTAATGATGACTAATGTTTTACAGAGGATCGTGGAGAACGTGCCTCGTCTACCTTCCTAATGAGATAAGGGTTCACTCCTGAGTCCTTATTTTCTCACTTTATACACGTTCCCTTGGGGTCTCCCTCTCTCTCATGGTTTTAGCTTCTGTCTGCAGGAGAGGAATTGGTAGTGCTGTGTTTCTAAGCCTGACCTCTGCTACTTACACTAAGTGCCCCTCACTTCTCTCTCAACGATTCCCTCACTCATTCATTTACTTATTCATCATTAAATGCATATTGATTGAATGGCTACTGCAGGCCCAGCACTGTCTATCTGGACAGCTTACCAAGACAAAGGTATGACTTCATTTTGCTGAATCTGCTACACCTGCTTCCTCCATCTGCACCCACTTTTCTCTTCTCACTGAGGCATTCTCCTGGGTTGAGTTCATTTTATCCTCAGGGCCTCTCGTACTACTGAAAACATCTAATCTCCTTCTAAATCAGCCTTGTCCTTCCCCCCCACCGATGTCAAGACCAACTGTTCAGCTGTATTTACACTGACTATTCTACAGGGCCCACAGACTCACATCCAATAATGAATGTAATCTCTTCCCCCACAACTTGCCCTTCTCCAACAGTCATGGTGCTATAGCAAACCATTCTCCAATCCAGAAACCTGGGGCTCATTGCAAATTTGTCCATTCCATCCTCCCTTTCACATTCTGTCATTCCTTGATGTCGCTGGTATTGACCTCTTCTCTCGACTCTTGCTTCCTACTATTTGATTCAGAGCCCCAGTACCTCAGAACTTCTTGCCTATAGTACTGTAAATGACTTCTAACTATTCCTTCCTTTCCTCTATTCCTGTCCTGCCCAATCCATTCTTTCCATTGCTGCTAGAGGAATCTTTGTAAGGCACAAATTTGAGCATAGTACTTCTCTTTTCTTCTATAGTGGTGTCCTATTTGCTGCAGAATGGAGTCCAAACTCCTTATTATACAACCTACTCCATGACCTGGCCCTGCCTGCAGCTCCAGCCCCACTGCTTACAAAGTTCCACCTCAGAGCCCTCTGTCTGTCTGCCCCACTCCATTTGCAGCTCTCAGAACACCTGGGCTGTGTGACAACTCTATCTTTGCCCTGCTGGGCCCATTTCTACCTAGAACTCCTACCCCATCCTGATTGCCTGGCACGAAGTTACCTCTTTATAATTCTTATCTCATGCACCACCTCTGAAATGCTGTCACCACTCTTTCTCTTCCTGGTAGAACTGACCAATCTTGCCGTGTCCCCCCACCCATGGTACCCTGGCTGCACTCTCATCACAGCACCTGGAACACACCAGGACACTTCATTGTTATGTGCCTTGGGCTAAGTAGATTATAAGCTTCTTGAGGGCAGGGGCAACATCCTGTTTGTCTTTGCATCCCCAGTGCCTACCAAAGTGACATGTATGTAAAGAATGCTTGCTAAGTAAATAACAGGGCTATTTATCCTGAAAGGGAATTCTGTAGTTTGATACTTTGGTTTTTTAAAAATTATTTTTGTTAGTTTGATCAGTATATTCTATTTCCCTTTAACGGAAGATAAAACCAGCTTATATTTTAGCATAAGACACACATTAAGTAACTTGACCATGAGAAAAATAATAGAGTGGACTGGAGCAAACATTTGCCCAAACGCATCCATTTTTACAGAGGTGGAAGCGGAGCAATTTAATGATGTACCATGAAATCACGTCAATAATTAATGGCAGAATTGGGACAATATTCCTGTTCAGTACCTTATTGTCCTGCTGTGTTAGGAAAACAAACTTTATTGAGCTTTGACTGTGTGCCAGGCACTGCTTTGGTCATTTGTAGACATTTTATGCCATAATCTCAGCAGATAGGTGCAGCTGCCGGGTTTACAACCCATATGTTGTGTTTACCCCTCCCACCTCTCTAAGGCTACCGTACCTGTACTGAGCACACACGTTTCTTCCTTGGCTCACTATGCCATGTTGCCAGGTCACTTTTCTGATCTTTAGCATGTCATGAATTTCCTCCTGAGCCTTCCTGGATTCTTGAGCTTGACTATGCTAACTCCCCTCTAAAGTCTCCTCTTTCCCATCTATGGCTTTGTCAGATTTAAATTCCCAGGACAGGTTCAACAGTCTATTTTTCCTTTGCTAGTGTATTCTGGCCTCTCTTGTGGCTTTCTCATCAGGATGACTGCTCCCCACATGGCAGACCCTTAGTTCTCTTCCGCCTGTTGTCCAACTTTTCCATTTACTCATGAAGCAGCATTGTGCCCCAGACACCTCTTTCTCACTATGTGAAAACCATCAAAGGGTTTATTGTCTCAAATTAACTTAGGTTGTGAGATCTCAGAACTGTTTAGAGAACTAGACTAACTTTATTGTTTAGAATGAAAAGATAATTATTTAGCATGATGCTGTGGGAAGCTGAGAGTGGCCAAAACTATGACCAAAAGGTGAAGAACAGAGTAAAAGTACAGACAGAGTAAAAGAGGACATTAAAGCAATGGCCAATTTGATATTTACAAAGATTTGGGGAAATCCATATCGCTCATATTATTTGCATATTCACATATTCAGAAAATGTGGACAATAGAATATTATTAATGACAGTTAGATAAAAACTTAATTTAAAAATACCAAGGCCAGGTGCAGTGGCTCACACCTATAATCCCAGCATTTTGAGAGGCTGAGGTGAAAGGATCGTTTAAAGCCAAGAGTTCAGGACCAGCCTAGGCAACTAGGCAACACAAGGAGACCTTGTCTCTATATTGCCTAGGCTGGTCTTGAACTCTTGGCCTTAAACGATCCTTTTGTTTAAAAAATAAGAACATTAGCTGGGCATTGTGGTGTGTGCTTATAGTCCTAGCTATTTAGGAGGCTAAGGTGGGAGGATCGCTTGAGCCCAGGAGTTTCAGGCTGTAGTGAGCTATGATTGCATGACTGTACTTCAGCCTGGGCGACAGAGCAAGATCTTGTCTCTTAAAAAATCAAATATGCAAAACATAGCTCTTTGAAAAGCGCTGGACATTCAGGAGAGATGAGAGGTTTATGCTGGGTTTAATATGTTGGGAATGCACATCATTCTGTGTCTTCTTACACAAGAATGTGCCTGAAATATGCCCCATTCCTCGAGGGTTTCAGTTTAGTAAACCACGTGTTTTATGGGATAGCAAAAAATTGATGTTGATTTTTCTCTTCAGCAGCTGTTTCAACTCCTGTACACAATCTATCAGTAAGTTCTCTAGCTTGCCAGCTTCATGAGCTCTATGGAGAAAAATAACACAGAACAAGGAAAAATGAAAAACTGCAAACAATAAGTCACATTTCCTGGGTCCTTATTCTGGCAGGCACTTCACATCATGCCATTTAATCCTCACAACAACCACGTGAAGTAGGTTCTCTTAGCATCCCATTTTACAAATGAAGTAACTGCAGATTTAGAGATGAAAAGTAACTTACCCCCAGTCACACAGTCACTAGGTGGCAGAGCTAGGATTTTAAAACTACTTTTGAACCTAAGGTTCTTAATCATTGTTTGTTTTACTGCCCCCAAACACAGTAGGGTTTGAAAATGGCCAAGTGTGAATCTATGAAGGCCCCATCTCTGATTGCTAAGAAAACTAACAGTCACTTTATGTAGAGTCCAAGCTTTGCCATCTGATGCTTCTTAACACATAGGTCCTGTACTGTTGCAGGAAACTTCATGAGCTAACAAATGAAAAGCCAGAAAAGAGAATTTCCTTAGATTAAGAGGGAATTTATACCCAGAACATGGATATTTCTCAAGCCAAAAGGAAAACCAAATAATTAACACTGAGTGAAAAGTGTAATGAAAAGCAAAAATCAAATCAAACCACACCCATAAAAGTTACCCAGGGCTGAAGAGATAAATCAGAAAATAAACAGAAGAAAAATTGTCTCCCTCATGAAACATGGTTATGGGGGGATACTCTGAACAACACAGCTGTCAATATTTCTGTGGATCATAAATAGCCTCTCAATTGTCTGGGCAGTCAAAGGTGAACTGCTCCTGTCTCTGTCTGTTCATACCACAGTTTCTAGGTGTGCGGGTATCACACCTGGGCTTTCATCTTTTAAGACTTTTGAGTTCTAAGCCTGTATGTTTCTTCCTTTACATCAGTCTTCCTTTTAGGAAGATTAGAAAAACATGTATGTTTTCTCACTTTGTTCCCCAGACCATTTGTTCTTTCATTTTTCTTAAAATGCTCTCCACTTTTAAGAGCTTTCTGTACTAAAAAAAAAGTGCTCTCACATACTTGACCTACAGGTTTGAAGAACCACCCAGAGATATATTTAAGAGTTAGCTTTGAGATTTCTGAAAATAGAAATTATATTCTTAAAGTACTTGTAAAGAGGGAAGACATAAATAGTGGTGACAGCAATCCAATTTAGGGGAGAGGATAACTACCTCAAAAGTTCTGAAACTTTAAAGAAATATTAACAAGTTATGTTATCAAATAGTTCAAAGAAATAGTAACCAATAAACTGAAAATTTCAAAATATTAATATACTAAATAATCAAAAATAACCATTAAAAATGTTGATAAGGACTTAACAAGATAATTTACCTCACCAAAACCATTTACTGTAATGCCACAAGCCTCCCTATTTTATGATTTATGGCCAATATTTTATACTGCCCCTTTTTTTTCACAATGAAAACAGATTTATGGTATAAAAGCTAGTAGAAACCCAGAAGAGAATTTATGCATTTTTGAATCCAAAACTAAAAAGGGAACAGATGAGTATAAAATATCACTATTATATTCATCATCATTATTGTCTATTTTTATTAAAGCCACTGCTTTTCCCAGGCATGTAGGGCACTTTTAAAATAAAATTGCTCCATGTTTAAGCTTACCGACTTGGTACAATTGACTTGCAGAAGCAATTGCTCTCCTGAACATTTATTATCCCTTGGACCAAAATCATGTAAAGCCTTGGACTGCTTGATTCAAAGGCAAATGTTAGGGTAACGCTTTCTCATTCTCAATTCTACAGAGTACGTAGATTTCATTGTGAAATAGAATGGTTTGTTCAGTTGGCATTTTTGGAGTTTTGGATTGATTTGCCTCATCTGGGAATTGGAGTACAGGAGCAATGAACAATGTAGAATTTATGCAGAAACCAAACATTTTATTTATTTTATTTTCTTTAGGATGATTAAAAGTAAAGTTTTTACCTATGTGACTTGTGAGGTGAGTTATCAGGTTGTGTGGGAAAAAAGCTCTCCACTCGTTAGTCTTCGTACTCACTTAGTTTTACACAGTGAGTTATAAGTGCTCTTTTTTTGACCAGGCGCGGTGGCTCATGCCTATAATCCCAGCACTTTGGGAGGCTGCGGTGGACAGATCACTTGAGGTCAGGAGTTTGAGACTAGCCTGGCCACCATGGGGAAACCCTGTCTCTGCTGAAAACACAAAGATTAGCCGGGCATGGTGGCGTGTGCCTGTGGTCCCAACTACTTGGGAGGCTGACGCAGGGGGATGGCTTGAGCCCAGGAGGTGGAGGTCGCAGTGAGCCAAGATCAAGCCACCACATTCCAGCCTGGGCAACAGAGTGAGACTCTGTCTCAACAACAACAACAGCAACAACAACGTAAATTTTTTTTTTTTTTTTTCACCAAATAGTTCCCCTTTTTGTTTTGGAGGAAGTGTATCAGGTAAATAACAGACAGTTTTCCACCTTTGTCCTATTTCAACAGTCTCCATTCCCACCAAGGAAAAGCCTCACGGTGAATGGCATTTTTGGAAGTCCATGTCTCTACCGTCACTCAGCATCAAGTCACTGAAGATGCTGGGCATTCCTCCATGTTCTCAGGACCCCAGACTGTCATTCCCAGCAGAGAAATAGGTCCTGAGGTCTGGCTGCTACCCCCGCCTTCCCTCTGCTCACCTCACCTCCAACTTACACAGAATTGGCTCTGCTGGCCCAGTCCCTGCAGATATCCTGGAAGCAAACTACCTGCCGGCCTGGCTTCTGCACACTGCTTCCCTGGAGTCTTTCTTTGGGATACTGCACAAACTGCTGTAAGACCCAAGGCTGATTACTCATCAGAGATCACTTGTCAGCTGCAGCAGCCTTTCAGCTTGAATTCTTACCCCCTTATTTTCTGAGATTCCAAGTTTTTGTTTATCCCCGTGAGCAGGTTGCCTCTCAGACCATTGCTAGAAACACTATGCCTTGGTTTATCGTCAGTAGAGCCAACCAAGATGATTGTCTAGTGAAGACCCTTCCCACATTTAATTTTTTTATTTATAGATAATTTTTTTTTTTGAGACAGGGTCTTGCTCTATTGATTAGACTGGAGGGCAGTGGCACAGTCACCATTCACTGCAGCCTTGGCCTCCTGGTCTTAGGTGATCCTCCTACCTCAGCCTCCCGAGTAGCCAGGACTACAGGCATATGCCAACATGCACCTGTATTTGTGTTTTTTGTAAAGATGGGGTTTTACCAGAAAAATGTTTTGAGCACTTACTATGTATCTGGCTCCATGTGTTCACATTTCTGCACCTCAGAGTTTTAGAAATAGAACTGCTTTAGGCACAGTTCCAAAAGCAAAATAGCCTGAATATTTGTTGGGGTGAGAGTGCTTCAAAACCAAGTCCATATTTGGCAAGGACTGACCAGAGAGAGGTCAATTTCTTTCTAAACAGTCCAGTCCAGACAGCATTCTGCGCATGGGCTTCTTTTCGCCCTAGTCCACTTCTTGCTGAGTGATTAAAATATTTCTAGATAAATTAAAATTCTTCTTTTAGTCCTTTGAGTGTCCAAGGCAGATCTTGTTTTCTGCAATTCTTTGCTCCTGCAGCCACATTGTACAACGCCGAGGGTGCTGTTCACATGATAGATAAGTCTAAGACAGGGAGTGCTTCTCAAACAATCTCTGGCAAAGACCAGTTTTTAAAAAAATTCAAATCCAAAAGCCAAATGTTTGTAAAGAAAATTATTAGAAAATTAAAAGAGAAAAATATAAGCCCCTGTTTTAAAAATTGATTCAACTGATATAAAATTACTCATGTCAATTTGCCATATGAGTTTTTAATGCTTAATTTCAATTTTTTATGTCTTTCTTTGAGCACTGGTGACAGGTTTCTGGACCACTCCCAGTCAATATGCCACCCTCACAGGTCTAGGTCATAGATTCTGTGCGAATGGTGCCCCCTACCGGTGTGCAGTGCAGTTTAACTGAATGTCAGAGAGTGACTGCAGAAAGTATACAAATGTTTAAAAAAAAAAAAAAAAAAGTGGCCAGCAGGAACTTCTCTCAAATGAGGCTTTGGCATGATAGGCAAATTAATGGATTATAGACAAAATACAGGCATTACTCTCCTTATTTCAACTTTATAGCTGAGCCTTGAGACCAATTTGGAGTTGGGACTTTACATTCATGCTCGTTAGTGATTCAGTGCCACTGGCAGCGAATGAGACCTTTTTCAGTTAATTCAGATATTCTGGCTGAAGTCCAACCCTGGTAATTGCCTCGGCCTACGTGAATGTCTCCCACCACCGAAATTATATTTCCTCTCTTAAACTACCGTGTAATATCACGGTCTGCCTTTGAATAGCTGCCATTGTAAGCTTTAGAGGTAACTACCTTTTCCTGCCAGGTAAAACAATTTTAAAATGCACTGTGCGTGTGTATGTATATATGTACGTATTTCTCTGTGAGGCTTATGAACATATAAATGGCTTCTCAAGGAAGAAACTGTTAGGTAAATGTACAGTCAGATTGACACTTTTAACAGAACTAGAGTTTCACTGGACATTTGCACAACAAGGCTGAGGGGACCATGGAAATGAGTTTTCTGTAAATCAGATGTGAATGCCAATAATTGCAGGGTTGGGACATGCATGATTAAATGCATGGGTTTTAAAATCAGATTTTAGTTTGATTATAGATATTTTGTGGGACAGCATCATTAAAAAGAGAGACTTAAAAGAGCTTTAAGAAAAGTTTAGGGCATAAATCTATTCAAGGCTTCCACCCTCTCCACAATTTTGGTGTTTCTATTCTTTTCTTGTACAGTTGGTGTAAAAAGGGCTGTAAAAGTATAACTCTCTGAATATTCATTTAAAAATAGTTTCTTAGATATATTTTTCCTTTTTGAGTCTGATTCCACATTGTTGTCAGTCATTTTTCTAACACATGTTCTTGATATGTTGATAAAACACCTACACTGGTCATCATCATTGCTCATTAGAGTAAGTCTGGACTCTCTTGCTGGGCATTCAAGGCCCTACCGGAGGATCTGTCCCTATTTCAATTACCCAACAGTATCTTGATTACATCCCAGTATGAACTTTCACCAGAGTTCTGCTCATCAAAGAACTTCTCTAACTGGACCTAGTCCATCTCACCTCTAAGGTCTCATGACTCACAGAGCTACTCAAAGTGGGAAGTCCTTTTCCCCCTTCTCTGTCCATTTAACCTTAAATCCTTGTCCACCTTTAATCTCACCTTCAGGCGATTCTTTTCCTAAGTTCCTCTCACTTTTATTTGCATCATAGGATTTAGACTTTAAGTATATTTCTCTTTTAATATTTATTGGATATTTCATGTGCATGAACTCCACCTTCCTAATGAAATGATGTTCTCTTCACAGGCATGAGTGAAATAGAAAAATATAATTTCCCCCCTTCTTGTTGTGCAGAAAGCCTGGGTAATCCTCCCCTCCACTTCTCATTTGTCACTCTTGTCTTCTCTGTCACCTGAGGAAGTTGTGTCATAGAAATACCATACTGCCTTCTTACTCAGTTGTGTGTGTGTGTGTGTGTGTGTGTGTGTGTGTTTTAAACCCTTAGAAGCATCATTGGTTATTGTGAATGCCTAGACAACAGACTGGCAAAATTTTTCTGTAAAGAGCCAGACAGTAAATATGTTAGGCTTTGCAGGCTACATGATCTCTGTTGCAACTACTCAACTCTGCCCTCACAATGCAAAAGCAGCCATTGAGAATGCTCAAACCAATGAGTGTGGCTGTGTTCCAATAACATTTTATGGACATTGAAATTTGAATTTTGTACAACTCCTACCTGTTACAAAAGAGTATTCTTCTTTTAACATTTTAAGACATTTAAAAATGTAAAAACCATCCTTAGCTCAAGAGCCATACAAAAGCAGATGGTGGACTGAATTTGGCAAGAGCCATGGTTTGCTGATCTCTGACCTAGATCACTGTTTCCTAAGTTGCGGTCCCTAAACCATCTGCA
Source organism: Homo sapiens (assembly GCF_000001405.40). Taxonomy (NCBI): domain Eukaryota; kingdom Metazoa; phylum Chordata; class Mammalia; order Primates; family Hominidae; genus Homo; species Homo sapiens. The sequence continues at coordinate 78,228,305 of NC_000007.14, forward strand.
TCAGAATCACTTAGGGTTACGAGTTTATAGAAAATATAAATTATGGAACCAGTGAAGGAGAATTTCTGAAGAAATGAAGGCTATTAACCAATAGTTGTGGCTCACCACATCTAGAATGGTTATGATGGGTTGGCCTTTTGAGTTAGTATTTGGGAATCAGTAAGCAAGGTTCTAACAGGAAGGGGCAATGATAGAGCAGGTTCCTTAGAGACCCATTTTACAAGACTCACAACCCAAGAGGGGCAACATCAACAGCAGAGACTCCATGCTTTAAATCAGCATTTTAGAAATTTTTTAGATGCTGAAAATACAAAACTCAGGGTTTCCGAGTGTTTATATTTAAAATACTTGTTATTGAGAATATCAGTAGATGTGGCAAATCTTTATTTAACTAAAAGTCAGTAAAAGTAGAAATATATTTATGGGGAAGGAAAAAAACACTCATTAAATATAATGTATATGAGACTAAAATGTAAATAAGAAAAGATCTTTATGATCCTGCCCACATTGAAAACCTTTGTAGCTGAGGCCGTTGTTACCTATGGTGAATTCCAGAGTAATTATTTCATTATGAGGAAACAGTTTTGAAGGGAAGATGTAACATATTTCTTGGATAACTTCATTTACCTAATACACTAGATTATAACATAAACATCTTCTAGGAAGGTGGAGACCATCTAGAATCTCGTGCCCACAGGGGCCTTTCGGCCAATGCAAATCAATTGAGGCTGGAATATGGCTCTGCCTGAGCAGAGTAGATTTGATGGTTTCTGATCTATAGACCATCATGACACACATTTTGCAACTTATTCCCAAACTCAAAAGAAATGGATGAGGGGAGAGAATGGGAATGGTCTGTTAACTGGGGACTCTAACTGCCAACACCAGCCAAGATTTATTGAGCACAGCTTTTGCACCAGGCACTGTGCTAAGTGCTCTATGTGGATTTTCTTGTTTAGTCCTTGTAATTAGCACACTGATAGCTCCATTAGAGGTAAGGAAACTGAAGTTTGGAGATCCTAAGATACATGTGGCAGATCACACAGGCCAAGTGAACACCAAGATTTGAACTCAGGGCCTGTGTCCTAACAACCATGCTGGGCTGCCTCCCAACACCTTCACTTTGCAAGGAAATCAGGCTTTGGTGGGTTTTCTTTCACTCTAGCTGAGGAAGAAACCACATACTGGGCTCTGTGTGGATTCTGGACAAATGGGGCGAGCTTCACGTCAAAAAGGCCAGCACTATGGTGTGGCACTGTGCTAGGTCAGGAGGAGACAGCCCGTGGTCCTGCAAGGACACTGAGCCTGTGTGACAGCTCTGGATCACTCTGCCAAGGAGGGATAGGCTGTTTTGGCCTTTTACAGTAATATTTGTTTTGGAACCAGTAAGCCAGGTTCCTAAATAGGAAGGGACGATGACAGAGAAGGGTCCTTGTGATCTATCTTACAAGACCTCCAACCCAAGTGGGAGACACCAATAGAAGTCACTGCAGGTGTCATAAGAGAGAGCTCCTGGATTCTGGCAGAAGTGGTCAAGCATGTCAGATGAAAACTGAGACTCCAGACACAGATTCGGAGGATCCCCAGCCATTCTTGGCCAAGAGGTCCACCAATATCTAGTAAACAGGGATTAGTGACCCACAGAAAAATGACGATTAGAACATGGTTCTAATAAACGTTCAGTTAACAGTGCCTACGTTAACTGTTAGTAAACTGCATATATTTGAATCGACACATTGTCCTTTTTTTTGTCCTTATTAATTTCTCAAGTTAAAGAATGCCTTCAAGTATCGCTCAGGGGAATAGCACTAGAACTAATTAGACCAAACACTGTGCTCATCTCATCATGCCTGATAAGGCAGAGCAGAAAAATTCTCCCTAACACTCGAGGGCACTGTTTTGAATTGCATTAAAGTGTTTTCAGACATTTTGGAGTCAAGAGTATAATGCTACTTTTATATGACATTGATAATTTAAAGTTACATAGGGTGTACAGAGTTATTTTTATAGCATAATATAGTATTTCTAAAGGATGAGAGTGATAAGCCCAATTTCAAATCCCTTCCTTTAGAACGTGATTTTATTTCTCTATTACAATTCATTTTGTTAAGCATTTTACCATAGGTGTATACAAGTTTTAAAAACTTTGTTGCTAGTACTTTTTAGTGAATATGCAATTTTTTTTTAGAGAATAACTTTCGTCTTACACATGTGAAACTAAGTTCACATTTTTCATCTATCATTCTGATACCTGTTTTTAATGATTTTCCAAATTTCTGAAGGAGTCAATTGAAATTCTAGGCTCACAAACTACAATATCAAAAAAGACCTCCTTATTTATTGAGACTTTGAGGGGCAGCTTGGGTAATTAATTCTTCTGAGGAAAAAAGAGAAACAATTGGAAGGCCCCTATTTCATTAGCCTGACGCCAGCTCAGATTCTGGGCATCTTTTGGTTTCTGTAAAAACCCTGGAAGTGTGACTTCCTTCCATGTGACTGGCTGTCTCAGAAGTTGACTTGTTCACAGTTTCCTGATGTGCCTTCCTCAGGCAGTTTTTTAGTGTGTTCAAAAGCATCACTGACTGACTTTCACAAACTCCTGCAATTTAGAGACGTTTGTTGAAGTAAGCTTTCTCAAGAGCCTTGGGGAGGATGGTCTTTAGTAATTTCATAGAAATCTCTTCCACTAAATTAGGGGATTCTGTCACTGGACCAGGATCAATCATTCAAGGGTCAGGCTTCATGCTGGAATATGGAAACTTTAATTGGAATATAAATCACTTGGGAGATGATGTTAAAATGTAGATAATGATTCAATAGGGTCTAAAGTGGGATGCAAAATGACCTGGTCTCCCAGGTACTGAGGACCACACCTTAAGGAGCCAGGTGCTGCCGTAAGGTTAAGTGAGAAGGCTCAGCAAAGCTTGCGTGCAGCAGAAAGAAAAGATCTGAGGCAACAAGACTAGAGAAGCTACCTGGTGGTGAGAAAGGGTCAGAGTATTCCTCCATGGAGAGGAATACTCTTTGGAATTCTGGATGGGATGGGTTTTGGGATTGCGTGCCTGTTCCCCACAGCTGGGTGTTTTTGCATTCCTGGCCCCTGCGCTCTAAATGCCAGTAAGAATCCAATCAGTACAACAATTGATGATAAACAGCTTCAACGAAAAACAAATTCCATTCATGCTTTCTTGAAATTAAAATGATATCTGACAGATTCTTAATGTGTTATTTCACCATACAAGCACTGTAACACTTCTATGCGTCCCTAAAGGTTTTTTTAAACTGGACAAATATGGCGACTTCTTCCACTGTATGTTACTGGCACCATCTTCAAATAGCCTTCCTCAAGTTTGCTAACATAAATGAAAAGGTCCTCCCTCCTTCCCTACACCTGAAGTAAACAAGCTCTCTTTTCCCTCACTTGATCCTTTTCCCTTTGTTGGACACAAAGGGAAGTCTTTGAAGGGACTTTAGGCTGAAGAAAGGATGTAATTTGGATGTGTTGGGAACTTAGGGTATGGTAGAAGTCCAGTCGTTGACTGAATAGCTGGACTTGTCTCCTTAAGCCTGCAGTGTAGTTCTTACAAGTATATTTTTAAGGATTTTTACTTCCAAGTCTAACCAAGAGGGTTTTTTTTCCCATAATACAACCCCAAAATGACCCTGGGTAGTTACAAACCCACCCCTGGTGTTTGGGGGAGGGTGGGATGGCCTTGACTCAGGAACCATTGCTAAGAGGTATTCCACAAGAAAAAAAAAACCACACAGGCAAAAAAGCAAGGCATCCACATATTTTAAGGTATACTGTTGGAAAGTAGGTAGCTTCAAACAAAATTGGCAGGCAAACTCATTAATTTAATAGTCTTTTCTGACAAGGGCAAATAGCTAAACACTGTTTGCTAGACACTAAAATATAATGCAGGTAGGAACAATGTAATCTTGCTTGTATCCTCTGCTAATAGGATGATCCTTAGTTTATGAACAAATAGAATTTGAAAGTCATATATGACTGTTGCTGGGTTTATAACAATTTTTAAAGCTGTAGTATAATTAGGCTAAATAACATGGTTTTATAACATAAAAACATAATACTAAATTTATTCATGTTTTACAATACATGTGAGCAAGGCTATTTGGGGAAACAAATTGTCCGCTCAATTACCAGATAATTGTCGTATGGACTCTTAACAATCGGAGATTCGGTGATCATTTGGTGTGTGCGGGTAAGGTGAAATTACTTGATCTAGCACTCCATTTACAATTTATTAAAGGACTAGGCATCTTCCAGTCCAGAAAGCACAATGTGTCTTTCTGGGATTTTCCTGAGAAATTCTGAAGAAAAATGGTAACCCCAATGTTATGACTTAACAACAAACCTGGACCTGAAGAAATGATAAAGATTCTTATAGGGCTGGTGGGAAAATGTGAGGTGCTGGGACAGTCTTTCTGGAAGAAGTAATGTCTGACCTGAATTCACAAGGATAAATAGAAATTTGCCAAAACACACAGATTTTTAAGATAGGAAGAAATACTTTGCAATGACAAAGAGATATAAAACAACAGCTCTGTGCTACTAGGAGAATATGAATGCCATGAAGGCAGAGGTTTTTACATGTTTTGTTCACTGCTACATTAAGGAGCTTCAAGTGGTATCTGAAACACAGTAGAGGATCAGTGAATATTTATGGAATGAAGAATGAGTTAATTGCGATGAGTCATGTGAGATGAGGCTAAAGAGACTGGTGTGGACTAGAGGATGAAAAATTTGGATGTAAGAGAAAAGTTCTGATCTTTGCCTTCTAGAGGCCATGGAGAACCATGGAGGGGTATTAAGATGGGGAAATAAAATTGTAAAAGTAGATACAATCATGTGGGTGGTCATGATTGTGGTGGTGAGGTTACAGAGTGATAAAACAAAAAGGTTAACAAGCAACACAAGCTGGGAAATCTCAGTTTTTGAGGAGTAGACAAAGAATTCATTAAAGGAGTCTGAAAAGAAGCAGAGAACCAGGAAGACCTCTAGAAGATATGAGCGTCCCGGAAGCCACGGGAGGAAAGATTCTGGAAGAAATGAGAAATATTCATTCGACAAATAGAAAGTCAACAGAGAGAGCATTTTCAATAGTGGGATGGGGACTGAAACCAGACAGCAGTAGGATGAGAGGTGCAAGGCAGAAAAGGAAGTCAGATGTTAAGTAAAGGCTATTCCTACAAGAATCACTATCTTTATGATTTATGGTGGGGTAAATGTAGGCCCATACTTGGATAATCTTTCAAGAAATTTGGCCCAGGATGAAAGAAAAGAGAAAAATCCATGGCTGGAGGGGAAAGCAGAATCAAGAAAAAGTTCTTAAAGAATGGGATAAATTAGAGCAGGTTTATAGGCTAAAGGTAAGGTGCCTGAAGAAAAAGGAAGTTATAACAGGGTCCATGATAAAGGGAATGTTGATGAAGTGGTTCCCTGAGTGACTAAGAGTGACTTCCTTCCAGAGCAAGGTGAAGTTAGTGTCTTTGATTATGGGACCTATAAATTTTCTTTTGAAGCCAGAGGGAAAGAAGGAAGGATGCGCCTAGGTAGAAGGTAGTTTCCTTAGCATGAGGGAGAGAAAATTATCTGTAAGTACTTGGGATGATGGCATATTAGATTAGCTTCAGCTAAATGTGGATCTAATGCATGTATTTTAGTGGTCATGAATGTTTTCATTTTATGTTCTTTATATAAGTGTGCAGATTTACATGCCAAGTGGCAAGTGGGATACAGCAGGCCCTGCAAATCACTTTAGATCACTGGCAAGTGTGGTATGGGGAGTTTTTTGACAAATAAAAAAATACATAGCTAAAATGCAGTATTAATCCCAAATTTATAGCCATTTAAGTATAATGGATTCATCCATGCTTCCCTTGTTAAATTGTATTCCAGATTTTTAGTGGAAGTATCACTTTGGTGCAACATTTTCCAATCTACTAGCAGAAGATGCTTTGTAACATAAAACTGCTTCTGAACTGAAATGCATTGTAATGCTCATTACAACCCACTCTCCTGGAAATACAAAACTGATTTATCTAATGCACTAAAAAATTCTCCATAAATGTACCACACAATATGAAATAACGTTAATTAGGAGGAGAGGCACAACATAATACATTTTCTTTAAATTTTAGGGCAATCTGCATAACTTTCATTAATGTGGTATAATAACTGCAATTATTTCCATTTGCACTTTTCGTTAGAATTTATATTCATTATAATATAATGAATATTTTTCATATTCATTATATTTCATATAATATAATGAATATATTTCATATTCATTATATTTCATATAATATAATGAATATATTTCATATTCCACAGTATGAAAAATGAACATGACTTTATAAGGCTTTATAGCAAGATACTGCTATAGGTGATTTCGTTCATTTATTCAAAAAGTAAGAGCCAACTCATGCAGGCACTGTGATTCAACAGGCTTCACGGCAAGATTTTCAGTTCACCATCTGGAATTCTCTTGTACATAACTTTAATTGCACCCAGTCCATTTAAATTTCTGCTCTCATGCATAAGCAACGAACACTCCAACAGCAGAGCACATTTTTGACATGACAAGCATAATTTCTAAAATAAAATTTATTACAGTATAGTGGCAGAGAGTGAGGAATGTGATTTTTTTTTAATTTAAGTTTTAAAATTTATAGAACCAGGGGAATTTGAGACTTACTTGGCAAATTTATTGTATACTGGTTATTTTTAGATTTGAGTTTTGCTTTTTAAAAAAGTCTCCAATGAAAGATTCCCTCCCTCCACTTAAAAATAATTTGAATAAACTGATTGAACATATTTTACATAATAGTAAATTTGACCATCCTCCTGTAGCTTTAGAATTGTTGGCTGTAACCATTACTACTACTTTTTCTTCTTCCCTCTGACATTTGTTGAAATCCCAAATTTTGCTACTGCCATGTTTTATCTAAGGTTAGTAAATTTTGGGCTGCATGCTCAAGGAAATTACTACTGTTGATTAGAAGGGGGCAGGAAATAGGTTTATAGAAAAATACATAGTAAACAAACTGTTTGATGTGGTTTGGCTGTGTCCCCACCCAAGTCTCATCTTGAACTGTAGTTCCCATAATCTCCACGTGTCGTGGGAGGAACCCAGTGGGAAGTAATTTAATCATGGGGACTGTTACCCCCATGCTGTTCTTGTGATAGTGAGTTCTCACGAGATCTGATGGTTTTATGAGGGACTTTTCCCCCTTTGCTTGGCACTTCTCTCTCCTGCTGCCATGTGAAGAAGGACATGTTTGCTCCCGCTTCTGCCATGATTGTAAGTTTCCTGAGGCATCTCCAGCCCTGCAGAACCGTGAGTCAATTAAACCTCTTTCCTTTATAAATTACCCAGTCTTGGGCAGTTCTTTATAGCAGCGTGAGAACAGACTAATACTCTATTTTTTTTACAACTCCTTTCTTCTGGATCCCCCAACTCATAAAATAGACGATTGTAACTAAGCCTGTGAATCCAGAAACATTGAGAACCCTGGGGTTTTTTTTACATAGTATGGACATTGCAGGTTATCTTCAATTTAACAAAGGGTAGTTGGTGGCCAGAAAAGTGACATACTCAAAGTAACCATGTGAATTAGCAGCACATATTATACTAGAAATCTAGTATTATGATTCCAGTTAAAAGAGTTTTTCCTTATCTAATTCAGGTAAGACTGTATGTTTTTTTTTTTTTTTTTCTGAGTGAGGGCACTGTCGTATGGAAGGATTTACAGTCATAAAACTAGCACAATTTGTGGGTTAATGTATAGGGTTAATCTGTTCTTACCCATTAGTGTTAAACTCCATAAGAACAAGAACTTATCTTGTTAACTGGATGTTCCCATATTTATAACAGCACCTGGCACATTTATGGAATGAACAAAGAGGAGGAAGATAGACAAATTAAACAAAGACTTGGTACATGACCAAAGAGAATCGAATGATGATAGGTTGCTTGAAAAGCCCAGACAGAAGACAGTCAGTAGAAAAATAGTTTTGTTCATTTTTATACACTCAGCTGCATTATTTGACTCACACATGCATCTTCCTGATTTTGTTTTGTGACTGTTCTTCTCTCCCTGGTGTCATAACAGAATAAAATAATTCAACAAATATGCACGCCAAGCTCGAGGAAAAAACTGGTATGAGAGATACAGTCCTTGTTCTTGAGGGAAATTAGCTACTTTAAATAAGGTATTTAAAAGACAGTAGTTTCTCTGAATTGGCATTTCTGTATATATCCACTAGAACAATTACTTACATTTATACTGATAACTGATGAAGGTAAATGTTAACATGTTCCTTATGCATTTAGGTGTGCATTTAAGGTGTTAGAAACTGGGGTAAATAACATTAGAAACTGAGGTAAATAACAGGTTAATACAAAATTGATAATTAACAATTATATCCTGTGTATTAGTCTGTTCTCATGCTGCTAATAAAGACATACCTGAGACTGGGTAATTTATAAAGAAAAAGAGGTTTAATGGACTCAAAGTTTCACATGGCTGGGGAGCTCTCACAATCATGGTGGAAGGAGAAAGGCATGTCTTACATGGCAATAGGCAAGAAAGAAAAAGAAACAAGGGAAAGCAGAAACCCCTTATAAAAACATCAGATCTCGTGAGACTTACTATCACAAGAACAGCATGGGGGAAACCACCCCATGATTCAGTTATCTCTCACCAGGTCCCTCCCACAACACATGGGAATTATGGGAGCTACAATTCAAGATGAGATTTGGGTGGGGACACAGCCAAACCATATCATCCTGTTATACACATAGATTTACCATCTGTAAACACACTTCTACTGTCCCTCTTTCACCAGTATTTAGAAATGGCCAACAGACATATTTTTAAATAAAACAAATAGATATATTCATCCAAATACTTAAGTGATATGTGTTTGCAGGGTGGGGTTAGAATGGCACAATGTACTTTTTGTTGCTTTATGTTATTTTATTTTTACATTTTAGATTTGAGGGTACATGTGCAGGTTTGTCATATGGATATATTGTGTAATGGTGAGCTTTGGGCTTCTAGTCCTGGTTCTTTTTGTATTAAAGAGGGACTGTAGTTTAAAATTTTTTATTTTTATGGTATTTGAGCTTTATGATAATCTAAACAAGTAATTTGTCTCCAAGAATCTCCTCGATACAATGAATGCAATTTCCCTGCCTCTAAGCTCCAAATGAATGAGGTCTAAAATATTAAGAACAATAGCTCCTTCTATTGAAACTTACCACAAACAACAACATTTCATCACTTAACATTGGCACAAATAGGAATATTAGTTCTTTTTATTTTTTTTATGGATTTCTCAGTGCATGGAATTTTGGTGATAAGAAGTTGATCTCATATGAGTTGAATGGGAGAAAATAAAGATCACCCAGGATAATAATGAAGAGACAATGTGTATTCCGCCTCATCCCTGAATATATATAAAAACATAGTACATGCAAATAAATGTACTCTACCAATTTGAACATGAAAGAAGCTTTGTTTTCAAGTGACCAAAACACTAATATTGACTTCTTGCCAATTAGTCAATCATTTTTTAAAAAATTGAGTTTACTTACAACTGACTTGAGTGGTCACGTTAGCTCAAAATATTTGATCCTGTTGCCAAATCCAAAGCTACCTTCTCCGTCCTATTTTACTCAGCACTTGGCACAACTGCTCACACCTTCCATCTTGAAATGCTTTCCTTCATAAGGCTACTAGGACATGGTTTTTCTTCTTCCTCACAAGTTATGTGTTTTTGGCCTTTTGCTGGTCACTCTTCCCCTTCCTGACATTTAAAATTGGAGGTTCCTAGTCCTCAGAATGTTTCTCTTCTTTATTTGCACTCATTTCCTAGATGTTCTTATTCAGTCCCCAGCTTTAGGCATACTCCCCACATACCAGCCATCTCTACGTGGATGGCTTAAAGGCATCTCAAGCTTGACATGTCCCAGACTGGATTCTCGGTTCCCCATCCTGTCTCCTGTGACCATATGCATCTATCATAGTCATTATATAAATAAAGGGCAACTTTGTTCTGGTTTTTTAGGTTAAAATTTTTGTAGTCCTCTGGGTGTGGTGGTACATGCCCGTAGTACCAGCTACTGGGGAGACTGAGGTGGGAGGATTACTTGAGCCCAGGAGTTCGAGGCTAGCCTGGGCAAAATAACGAGAACCTGTCTCAAAAAAAAAATCTTTGATTTTTCTCTTTTTCTTATATCCCCCATCATGTCCATCAGTAAATCCTGTGGCTCTGCTTTTAAAATATATTTACAATCCATTTCTTACCTCATCCACTCCTAACCAACCTCCTCCAAGCTTTCTTCATCTAGTTTGGACTGCAGTGGAAGCCAGCTTGCCTGCCTGCCTGTTTCCATCCTTGCTCACCAACAGTCTATTCTCAACACAGCAGCTAGCACGAGCCTTTAAAAATGTTATGTCCTATCACTCCTCTGCTCAGACACTCAGAAACTCGTTTCATTCAAAAGTGAAACCCAAAGTCCTTTCTCTGGCCCATGGCTACACAAGATTCCACATTACTTGCCTCCCTCCACCTCCAACAATCTCTTGGACCTCTTCTACCATTCCATCTCTTCCTCACTTAGCTTTAGCCAACTTAGCTCCTTGTCATGGCTTGTCTGCATCAAGCACAGCCCTGCCTCAAAATCTTCTGCTTGCATGGGCAATTCTATCCTGGATATCTCTACAGCTTGCTCACTCACTTTCTTTAGATTTCTACACAGATGTCTTTCCCTGGCCACTCTTTCTAAAGGAGAACTGTCTGACAAAGTTTCCAGGAAAATACAATGGAGAAAGGAAAGTTCAGTAAATGGTGTTGGTAAAACTGAATATCCCCATGCAGAAGGATGAAATTAGATTATATCTCTCACCATATACAAATATCAACTCAAAATGGCTCAAAGACTTAAATGTAAAACCTGAAACTATAAAACTAATAGAAGAAAACATAGGGGAAAAGCTTTATGACATTGGTCTGGGCAGTGATTTTTCAACATGACCTCAAAAACCCAAGTAACAGAAGCAAAACTAGACAAATAGGGTTATATCAAACTAACAAACTTCTGTGCAGAAGAGGAAACAATTGACACAATGAAGTGACAACATGAAGAATGGAAGAAAATATTTGTAAACTGTACATGGATAAAGGGTTAATATCTAAAATATATAAGGAACTCAAATAACTCAATAGCAAGAAAAAAATAACCTGATCAAAAAATAGGCAAATGCCTGAGTAGGTATTTATCACAAAAAGATATACAAATGGCCAACAAGTATATGGAAATTGCTCAACATCACTAATCATCAGGGAAATGCAAATCAAAACCACAAGGCAGTATCGCCTCGCTCCTGTTAGAATAGTTATTAGGAAAAAGACAAAAGATAACAGGTGTTGGAGAGGATGTGGAGAAAAGGGAACCCTTGCACACTGTTGATGGCAATGTAAATTAGTATAGCCATTATGGAAAACAGCATGGAGGTTTCTCAAAATATCAAAGATAGATCTATATGATCAGTAATTCCACCACTAGGTATATATCTGAAGGAAATGAAACAAATATGTTGAAGAGATGCGTGCACTCCCATGTTTATTTTTTTTTCTATTTGTTTCCTAGAACTTTTTTTTTTAATACTTTAAGTTCTAGGGTACATGTGCACAACGTGCAGGTTTGTTACATAGGTGTACATGTGCCATGTTGGTTTGCTGCACCCATCAACTCGTCATTTACGTTAGGTATTTCTCCTAATGCTATCCCTCCTTCAGCCTCCTGCCCCCTGATAGGCCCCAGTGTGTGATGTTCCCTGCCCTGTGTCCAAGTGATCTCCTTGTTCAGTTCCCACCTATGAGTGAGAACATGTGGTGTTTGGTTTTCTGTCTTTGTGATAGTTTGCTGAGAATGATGGTTTCCAGCTTCATCCATGTCCCTGCAAAGGACATGAACTCATCCTTTTTTATGGCTGCATAGTATTCCATGGTGTATGTGGTGCACTCCCATGTTTATTGAAGCACTACTCATAATAGCCAAGGCAGGGAATCAATGGATAAAGAAAATGTGTTATATCTATATAATGGAATGGTATTCAGCCATAAAAAAGAATAAAGTCCTGTCATTTGCAACAGCGTGGGTGAACTAAAGCATATTTTGGTAAGTGAAATAAGCCAGGCATAGAAAGGCAAATACTGCATGATCTTACTCATGTGGAATCTAAAAAAGTTGATTTCATAGAAGTAGAAAGTAGAATGGTGGTTCCCAGAGGCTGGGATGGTTGTGGGGCTGGGAGGAGTTGGGGAGATGTTAGCTAAAGGATAAAACCATCACAGGAAGAATAAGTTCAAGAGATCTATTGTGCAGCATGGTGATTATAGTTGATGATGATATACCATATTCTTGAAAAATGCTAAGAGTGGACATTAAATGTTCTCATCACAAAAATAATTATGTGAGATAATGCATATATTAGCTAGATTTAACATTAGTACATATATTAGCTAGGTATTCAAAACATCATGTACACAATAAACACATATAATTTTATGTCAATTTTAAAAATAAATTTGGAAAAAAAAGAACTGTCTTCCTTGCCCATCACTTTCCTTTGTCTGACCCTGTTTCTCAGTTTTTCTTCATTCTCATCCCTAGTATGTATTACTGTGTTTATTGTCTAATTTCCTCCTAGGAGGCAAACTTCTTGAGGCAGGGACTTTGTTTTGCTCATTGCCGTATTTCCAGCACCTAGACTAGTGCTGGGCACACAGTTAGCCCTAAGTAAATACTTATTAAATGAATGAATAAGTCCTGCAGAGCCAAGCAGAAGCCATCAAAATCAAAGTCTTTTTTTAAAAGATAAAATTTTGGGAAACTGACAAAATATAAAAACTCGCTACAATTACAGTCAGAAGATTCAGGTGTGAGTTCTGTTTCTGCTACTTCTAAATGGTGTGACAATAACTCTACAAGATTCCCAGAATTCTGTCTCTTTCATGCTAAGTGTTGTTTGTGCATCAATATCCCCATTTGGTGTATGTCTTGTAAAATGCATGGCATTTTCTATGCTTAGGATGGGGTATCTTGTCATTGATATTTACTCAGATTTCTCACATTTGGGGGGCCCCCAAATTGCTAATCTCTTTGCATAGACACACTGAAATTGGGTCAATTATTAACTCTCAGTCTGTTAGGATACCTTGTGAATTTTAATACATATACCAGTGGCTTGAGTATACCTCACAAAGCTAGAATAAATCACATCACTATATCATGTTAGAAAAAAGATTTCATGGCCAGGTGCAGTGGCTCACGCCTGTAATCCCTACACTTTGGGAGGGTGAGGTGGGTGAATCACTTGAGGTCAGGAGTTCGAGACCAGCCTGGCCAACATGGTGAAACCCTGTCTCTACTACTAATAAAAAAAATTAGCAGGGTGTGGTGGTGTGCACCTGTAATCCCAGCTTCTCGGGAGGCTGAGGCAGGAGAATCACTTGAACCCAGGAGGTGGAGGCTGCAGTGAGCCGAGATCATGCCACTGCACTCCAGCCTGGACGACAGAGCGAGAACCCGTCTCAAAAAAAAAAAAAGATTTCACCTGATCACCTGATGACGTGACATGATCAATAGTTATATATCCTTGATGTGCAGGTCAGGGTATAGACAGCACATAAGGAATAGCAAGGGCAGAATGTCTACCACATGTTTGACCACAAACCATTTTTTAATTCCTGGACACACAAGAACGTGTACTACCTTTCCCAGTCTCTTATGACCAGTGGGAACTAGAACTGAGTTCTGGCCAATTGAATGTGGCAGAAAGTGAGGTACACCACCCCTTCCTGGGCTGGCTCCTAAAGCCTCTTGCATGACACTTTGCACTTTTGGTCTTATTTTAGCTGTGAGTTAGAGAGAGGACCCAGAGAGGGATGCGAAGGTCCTAGGGCATGAATCTTCACCAGAAGAAAGCCTGGTTCCCTGAGCCACTGCATGGAGGGGAGGTGCTCAGGAGATCTGCCATTCAGGAACACATGCACTGCAACTTATGTGAGTGAGAAATAAACTTTTATTAAGTCGCTAAGACTTCATGGTGTATTTGTTAATACAGTAGCCAGTATGTCATGTCATTCACAACTCATGCTGTGGATTTGTGACTTAGTTTGCTCTGTCATATATGCTTTTTTGCTGCTGACTTCAAATGGAAAGTTGGATTATATAATAATTGAATGTGGAATATCCACTTTGATTTTCTCCTAATCTCCCTGGATACAAATCTTTTCAAATACCTGGTGCTTTTCTCTCTCAGTAACGTTTCTATATTAGATCTTTATCAGTGATAGCTATTCTCTTTCATAGCTTAAATCTGTTTTGATAACTTCTTAAGTCTTTTGTTGTTGTGGTCATGGTGGTTTTTAAATTGTAAGTGATTCTTTATCTTTGGCCAGGTATGGTAGCTCATGCCTGTAATCCCAGCACTTTGGGAGGCTGAGGAAGGTGGACTGCTTGAGCTAAGGAGTTCAAGACCAACCTGAGCAACATGTTGTAATGTTACAAAAAATACAAAAATTAGCCAGGCATGGTGCCATATGCCTGTGGTCCCAGCTACTTGAAAGGCTGAGGTGGGGGGATCGCTTGAGCCCAGGAGGTCAAGGCAGCAGTGAACTGTGATTGTGCCACTGCATTCCAGCCTGGGTGACAGAGTGAGACCCTGTCTCAAAATAAATAAATAAATATAAGGTATCTTTTATAGCATTACCTAACTAGCTGCTTAAGTATTTCTCCAAACAAGTAGCAACATGAAACAACCTCTAAAATATTTGGGGGTAAAGGAACATGATATATGCAACCTACCCTCAAATGGTTCAGATACACACACACACACACACACACACACACACACACACACACACACACTCTCTCTCTCTCTCTCTTATAAAACAAATGGGGCAAAATGTTAATAGCAATGTGGGTAAACCGTATATGGTGTTATGTATATTATACTTGCACATTTTTTCTGTAAATTCAAAGCAACTTGTGAATATTTTTTAGAAAAAAGTATTAGCACTGTTATATTAATACTTCTAGCTTTACTTTTAATGTTTTATCTGTGCAGTTTAAAAATCGTGGTACAGTAGTTTTCTCTATTATGCTTTTTAAAATTTTAAAGCAAAAACACAATTCTCTGGGTTCTTAATTTTCTGCTTTTCACTCAAAGCTATGATATAGTCTATGATACCTCTTAAATACTCTGAATTCTCTTTGAATGTAAAAAAAAGATGTGTATTATCCATACTAGTTAATATATTGTCAGCATAAGAGAATATACTGATCTAGTGAAAACTTTGGGGGATCATGTTTTATAGAACTAGGAAGAAAAGTTTTCAAAAACGGGTCAACTGAAATTAACAGGAAGCTCACAAATTAAGCAGAAGACTTTGTTGCATTTTAATATAAATATGAATAAAATATATAATAAGGCTTGATTATGGCAATCACTCTGGGTTTGTCATATTCCAGACCCCAAACAACAGTGTCCTTGAGCAAAGTGTAATTATTCCCTCCTCTACACTAGGCTGGGCATCAGCCAATAAATTATTTATAAATAAATTAGTATGTTTCTTGAGCCATTAAAATAGAAAAACTACCAGCCAACCTAATTAAGAAAAAGCACTAATAAGAAATAAGGGCCAGGCATGGTGGCTCACACCTGGAATCACAGCACTTTTGGAGGCCAAGATGGGAGGATCGCTTGAGGCCAGGAGTTTGAGACCAGCCTGGTCAACATAGCAAGACCTCATCTCTATTTAAATTAAAAAAAAAAAAAAAAAAAAAAAAAAGAAAAAGAAATGGGAGTAATAGAACTACTCTCAGGTAAAGTGGAAACTGGAAGAAAAATGGAGAATATTTGATTTTAATTCTATTTAAATACTTTTGAAAACCTGAATAAAAGAGACAATTTGTAGGATAACATGCATTGTAAAAACTGAGCCCTGGCAAGACAGAAACTCTAAAAAAAATTAATTACTATGGAAGAAATTGAAAAGTTCTAAAAGGGTACCCTTCCTCCCACCAAACCAAACCAAATTAAACAAAAAACAAAACCTAACACACCAGAACTAGATAATTGCAAAGATGTATATTATATCTGCAAGGAATAGATAACTTTGAAGATAATTAAATTATTTCTCAGCAGAGAAAGTATATTGATTGCTTTTAAGACATCAGCATAACTTTAATAGTAAAATGTGATGGTAAAAAATATAACAAAAAGGAAATTTTAGGCCAATGTCATTTAAAGTTGATGCAAAATTATATGTAAACAAATAGAATTTAGGAGTGTATTATAAGCATAATATGATTGAACATAGTTTATTCCAGGAATGAAAGGATAGCTTAATGCTAATGAGTCCCTTAATGCAACTCATCATAGTGATAAGTCAAAGGAGAAAATAATAATCATCTCCAAAGATGGCAAAAAAAAAAGCTTTGTATAAAATTTATTACCCATTTTTGATGCAGATTCTGAATGAAATGGGAATTGAGGGGTATTTCCTTAGCATGGCAAATATTAATCTTAAATGGAAGGCCAGTATTGTATTTAAGAGTGTAAAATGAGACTTTCCATTTAAGTCAGGAAATGGATAGAAATTTCCATAATCCTCACTATTAACAGTGACATGTATATAATAACACAAATCAAAGGTATGCAAATAAGAAAGGAGGAGGCAAAGCGATTGTTATTTGTAGGTGGTACGCGTGTATGCCCCCAAATACAACACCATGAAATGAACTGAAAAAATTACGAGAAACACTAAGATAACTCAGTAAAGGAGCTGGGCAGAAGATAGATATTCAAGGATAAAACTCCAGGGGGATAGGAGATATAAATGTAAAAAACAAACTAAGGACATATTTATGTTATTTATTTTTTGGTCTGTCTCTAATAATATCAATTCCATGAGGAAAAGGACATGATTGGCTTTGTTTATTGCTTTATCTCTAGTGCTAAAAAAGCGCCTAGCACATTGTGGGCATTCAAAAAGTATTTGTTGAAACTGAGAAAGGGGCAAGATGGCCAACTAGAAACCCTTAGCACTTGTCCCTACCCCACAAGGACAGTCCAAACAACAGATAAGTAATTACATTTTGATGAAAATAACTAAAGGAGAGCACTAGTGCACATCAAAGGAGTGGCAGAAACCCTGTAGAGCACAGAAATCTAGGATGGCCCCAGAGAGGATGGAAGGAAACCCCTGGCCTCCACCACCTCACCTCCCAGCTGGGCTCAGCTCAGAACCAGGAGGGACTTCTCCCTGTGAGGAAAAGGTAAGCAGGTGGACCCCAGCATCCCCCCATCAACACCTTGGACACCTGCAGTCCTCACCACTGGGGACTCCTGCAGTCCTCACAGACACTGAACCCAGCTGAAGGAGGTGTCAGGAGTCCACACAGCCATGCTCCCTCCAGAAAAGAAGCCGACACGGTGCCTTGCCCCCTGTGACCCACACGGCTACTGTGCTTTGCCATCTTGGAATCAGAACTACTGCTAGGTTATGTCCTGCTCTCGGGGTGAGTGGCCATGGCACCCTCCCATGCCTAAGGGCTTAGCCACCATGGAGCCACCCCTGTTCAGTGGTTCACCATCCCTGAGCGGAGCTGCTACCATACCCTACCCTGTGAGGCCAAGCTGCTGTAGAGCTGCTCTATCTACCCCTCCCAGTGGTTGCTGCATCTTGTCAATCAGGGCCCAAAATAAAGCTGTGCACTGCCTCCCAAGGAAACAGTGGATTAACAACACAGCTTCATCTACACCTCCCAGTAACTGCTACATCCAGCTCCCCCATGTCTGAGCTGAAATAGTGCCCAGCATCCTGGGGAAACAGTGTCTTGGCTGTCCAGAGGAGTCATGTCCCACCAGTGCCTGAGTTGAAGATGTGCCCTGCCTCCTGGGAAATGATGTCTTGGCCACTGAGAGCAGTCACACCTCCTGGGACTGAGCTGAAGCAGCACATTGCCTCCAAAGGAATTAGTGCCCTGGTGAAGCTGAGCAGCCATGCATCCCTGGGCTGAGCTGATAGAAACCCTGCATCCCAGAGAAACAGCATTGGTTGGGCTGAGACACCCTGGCCCGCACGCAAAACAACTAGTACCCTCCTTCCCTGGAGTCAAACCAGCCCCTTAGAGTCTGAGCTGCTGAGACAAACCCTTCACTGGGGAGTAAAGTCATCTCTGTGCTGCTCCCTGTCCCACCAGAGCCTAAGCAATTGCTGCACTCTGCTATTCTAGGGTTCTGGCTGCTGCACCTGACCAAGTCTGGGATGCTGCTGTGTTCCACCACCTCAGGGTCCAAAGTCACCACTAAATAGTGTCTCATCCCCCACGATCTGACTTGACGCTATGTCGTATTGGCTCTGGTTCACAAATTGCAGCTGTATCCTGCTCACCAGGCCCAAATCTCCATAGCACCCCTTCTTTTCTGGAGCCAGGCCAGTGCCGTGCCCTGCCCTCAGGGTCAGAGACATAGCTACAAGCTGGCCCCCTGGGCCTAAGCTCCTGGAGGTTGCCTCAGAGTCACAGATCCTGGCTCTGTGGGCAATCTCTATCCAACTCTGCCTCAGAGAGTAAACCTATAGCACAAGACCCAGTTGTTACAATAGGTTGGCAAGATCTTGAACCCCGGACCTCAGTTTCACAGCTGCTCTGACACCTGTGTCCTGGAGCCCAGTGCTGCTGCAGCTGCATATGCTGCAGCTGCATATTGACCATGTTAGACCCAACACCAAGAGGGATTCATTCAGCTAAGTCTGCCCATTGTGGAGAAAACATGATCAGGACAGTCTCAAAACTCTTGCCACCAAGAACCCCAGCAATCTATGCTGCCACTGCTGTTGCCACAAACTCCTATAGCCTAGGCTGCTGAGACATCATCGCAAATGTTAATTGCAGCTGAAGAATCTGTGCAAAGACTATACCACTGAATATACTTGGAACCAGCCACTACATCTTTTTCAGCCGGCATACTAAGACTTGTTTGGAGGTGAAAATATGACCCTACCAAAGGAACACAATAACTCTGTAACTAACCTCCAGAAAAAGGGAAATTTATAAATTGTCTGAAAAGGAATTAAAAATAATGGGCTTTAAGCAAACTCAGTGAGATACAAGAGAATACAGATAGACAGTTGAAAAAAATCAGAGAAACAGTTCATGATCTCAAAGAGAAATTTAACAAAGAGATGGATATCTAAAAAAGAACCAATAGAAATCTTGGAGCTGAAGAATTTCATGAATGAAATTAAAAACATACAATACAGAGCTTCAGTAGCAGACTAGATTAAGCAGAAGAAAGAATCTCTGAACTTGAAGATAGATCTAGATCTTTTGAAATTACCCAATCAGAGGGGAAAACAAAAACAAAAACCCAAAACAATAAAAAAGTGAAAACAGCCTATGGGAGTCCTGGGATACCATTAAATGAGAAAACATTTGTATTATGAGAGTTTCAGAAAAAGAAGTGACAAAGATAGGGACAGAAAGCTTATCTGTAATTATAAAATAGTTGGTGAAAACTTCCCAAGTCTTGGAAGAGATAAAAACATCCAGATTAATGAAGCTTACAGGTTCCCAAACAAACTCAACCTAGAGAGGTCCTCACTGAGACAAAGTGCAATTAAATGGTCAAAAGTCAAAAGAAAAAGTAAGAATTTAAAAAGCAGCAATGAGAAAAATGTCAAGTCATACACAAGGGAACTACCATTAGACTATGAACAGATGTCTCAGCAGAAACCCTGGAGTCTAAGAAAGAAGGGGATGATATTGAAAGTGCTGAAAGTCTTTCCTGAACAAGCAAAAGTTGAGGGAAATCATTCCCCTACATCTGCCTTACATCAAATGCTTAAGGGAGTTCTTCAAGTAGAAATGAAAGCATATGAAAGTACAACATTCACTGATAAGGGCAAATATATCAAATCCAGAATAATTCAATACTGTTATGTTGCTCTGTAAATCATAGATATCTCTACTATGAACCATTAACAAAACATCAGTAGTAAGTCCTTATCTATCAATAAATACTTTGAATGTAAATGGATTGAAATCTCCAATCAAAAGACACAGATTTGCTGAATAGTTTAAAAAACAAGATCCAACTATATGCTGCTTACAAGAGACTCACATTAACCTTAAGGACACACAGAGGCTGAAAATAAAGGGATAGAAGAAGATATTCCAGGCAAACAGTAAACAAAAGAGTAGGAGTGGCTATACTTAGATAAAATAGATTCATTGGGGAAAGCATAGCTTTATAAATGGTGCTGTGAAAATTGGAAATAAAACTAGACTTCTGTCTCTCTCAAAAATCAAATCAAAATGCATTAAAAACTTAAACGTAAGATCCAAAACTATAAAGGTACTATAGTAAAACATGTGGAGATACTTCATGATATTGGCTTGGACAATGGTTTTTTGGATATGCCTCAAAAGCACAGGCAATAAAAAAGCAGACAAATGGGATTACATCCAATTAAAAAGATTCCATACTGAAAAAGAACAATCAACAACCTCCAAAATAGGAGAAAACCTACAAAATAGGAGAAAATATTTGCAAACTACTCATCTGACAAGAAGTTAATATCCAAAATATACAAGGAACTCAAACAGCTTAACAGCTAAAAAAAAATAATAAAAAAAAAGTGCGAAAGAGCTGAGTAGACATTCCTCAAAAGACATACGAATGGCTAACAGTTATATGAAAAATTGCTCACCATCACTAATTATCAGGGAAATACAAATCAAAACCACAGTGTGATATCACCTCAATGTGTTAAGATAGCTATTAGCAAAAAGACAAAAGATAACAAGTGTCGGCGAGGATGTGGAGAAAAGGGAACCCTTGCACACTGTGGATGGCAATGTAAATTAGTATAGCCATTACAGAAAACAGTATGGAAGTTCCTCAAAATATTAAAAATAGAACTACTACATGATCAGTAATTCTACTGGGTATATATCTGAAGAAAATAAAATGAATATGTCACAAAGTTATCTTCACTCCTATATTTATTGAAGTACTATTCGCAATAGCCAAGATATGGAGCCAACCCAAGTGTCCATCAATGGATGAATGGTTAAAGAAAATGTGGTAAATCTACACAATGGAATACTATTCAGCCACAAAAGAGAATGAAATCCTGTCATTTGCAACAACATGAATAAACCTGGAGGACATTACATTAAGTATGCCAGGCCCAGAAAGACAAATACTGCACGATCTCACTTATATGCAGAATATAAAAGAGTTCATCTCATAGAAATAGAGAATAAAATAGTGGATAGCAGTGGCTGGGGAGGGTAGTGGGAAGGAGGGGTAGGGGGAAATTGTACAAAGGATACGAAGTTACTGTTAGGAGAAAATAGTTCCTGTGTCCTATTGCACATTAGGTTGACTATAGTTACCAATAATGTATAGTATATTTCAAAGTAGATAGAGGATTTTGAATGTTTTCACCACAAAGAAATGATAAATGCTTGAGGTGATGGATTTACTTACCCTGATTTGATACTTATACAGCATATACATGTGTTGAAACATCATATACCCCATAAATATGTATAATTATTGTCAATTAAAAATAGACTTAAAAGATACACTGTTTTTCTAATAGAAAAAGCCTGAAAGCAACAATATCCATTAGCTTTAGTGGGAATCTGATTAAGTATTAAAAACAAGATGTATTTCTGAACTAATATATAAAACCCTCCAAAATAAATGAATATTAAAAAACAGCAAGGCACTAGGACATATACAACTGTAATGTACTCAACAGGACCAAAATCATACAAAACATGTTCTCTTCGACAATGAAATTATTAGAAATCAACAATAGAAAAAGATTTGGGAAATTCCAAATGTTGGGATAATACACAGTTTTCTAAGTAACCTATAGGTCAAAAAAGAAATTACAAGGGAAATAAATATCTTAGACGGAGTGAAAAAGGGAAACACAACATAGTAAAATTTATGGAATTTAGCTAAAGAAGTAGTTGGAGTGAAATTTATAGTTTTAAGTGATTTCGTTAGAAAGAAATGGAATCATTAATCCTCTAAGCTTCCACCTCAAGAAGACAGAAAAGGAAAAGTAAATCAAACACGAAGTAAGCTGGAGAGAAAAAACTATTAACTACCAGTGTGTAAAATGTTGAAACGGAAAACAGAAAATCAGCAATTTCAAAAGTTAGTTCTTAAAAAGGAATTACATAAAATTTTATTAAAAACTTTATGCTAATTCAACAACTTAGATGAATTATAAAAATTTCTAGAAATACATAAATTACCAAAACTGATTTAAGAAGAAAACATTAAATCAAGAAAAGAAATGGAATTAATAACTAAAAACCTTCCTACAAATAAAAGCTCAGACTAGATGACTTCACTGGTGAATTCTATCAGACTTTTAAGGAAGAAATAATATCAATCCTACACAAACTGTTTCAGAAGTTAGAGGAGAGGGAACACTTTCCTACTCATTTTATGAAGCCACTATTATCCTGACACCAAAGCCAGAGAAATATATCACATGAAAAGAAAACAACAGAAAAATCTTCCCCCAAACAGATTAAAAAATCTTTAACAAAATATGAGCAAACAAAATTCAGCAACATACAAAAAGAGTTATATACCATGATCAAGTAGGGTTGTTATCCCAGGAACATTAAATTAGTTCAATAACTAAAAATCGTGTTATGTAATATACCATTATTAATAAAGGACAAAAACTACCAGATCATCCCAATAGCTGCAGCAAAAACATTTGATAAAAACCAAGACCTATTGATTATTTAAATTTCCAGCAAACCAAGAATAGAAGACAACTTTCTCAACCTGATAAAGGGCATATAAAAATCCTGTCCTAAAATCAGATGTAATGATGCAAGACTAACAGTTTCTAAAACTGGTAACAAGGTAGGGATGTCTGCTCACCTCTCTTGCACTCAATATTATTCTGGGAAGTTCAAGCTAGTGTAATAAGGCAAGGAAAAGAAGTCAAAGGCATACAAATTGGAAAGGAAGAAGTAAAACTGTCTTTATTACCAGATGGTATAATAACTACATAGAATATATTATGGAGTCTACAAAAAGCCTCCAGACTTAAAGAGTCAGTTTAATAAAATTGCAGTGTACGAAATAAAAAATGAAAAACAAATGCATTTCTATATATTAGCAATAAACAACCTGAAAAGACATAAAACAATTCCATTGACAATAACATCAACAAGAATAAAATAGCTAGAAATAAATTGAACAAAAGTACAAGATCTGTACATTGAAAACTACAAACTGTTTCTGAGAGAAATTAAAGATCCAAATAAGTGAAGAGATATACTATCTTTATGAATTAAAAGGTTCAATGTTGGCAATTTTCCACAAATAGCTCTATAGATGCAATGAAACACCCAAATCTCAGCAGGCCTTTTATGTAACAAAATAATTAAAAAGGCAATCCTAGGCCAGGCACAGTGACTCATTCCTGTAATCCCAACTTTGGCGGGTAGAGGCAGGAGGATTGCGTGAGCCCAGGAGCTCTAGACACCCCTGGGAAACACAGTGAGGCTTCATCACTAAAAGAAAATTTAAAAAGCCAGGTACAGTGGCATGTGCCTGTAGTCCTACCTACTGGAGAAGCTGAGGTGAAGGATCACTTGAGCCCAGGAGTTTGAGGCTGCAGTGAGCTATGATTGCACCACTGTACTGTAGCTTATGCAACAGAGTGAGACCCTGTCTATTAAAAAAAAAAAAAAAAAAAGGAACAATGCAATCCTAGAATGTCTATGGAAATGCAAAGGACCTAGAATAGCCACATTATTTTGAAAAAGCAGAAAAAGTTGGAGGACTAACACTCTCTGGTTTCAAGACTTAATAGAAAGCTAAAGTAACCTAGAGGGTGTGGTAGTAGCACAAGAATAGACAAACAGATCAATGGAACAGAATAGGGCATCTAGAAATAAACCTCCACATTTATGCTAATTCATTTTTGACAAAAGTGTCAAGGGAATTCAATAAAAAATTAGCTTTTTCAACAAATGGTGCTAGAATGATTGGATGTACATAAGCAAAAAAAAAAAAAATGAAGTTAGGCCCTTAATTCACAGTATACACAAAAATTATCTTGACATGTTTACAGACCTAAATAAAAGAGCTAAAGGTATACAATTTTTAGAAGAAAACACAAGAAATCTCAGGTCAGGCAAAGATTTCTTAGATATAACACCAAAAGAATGATCCATATAAGAAAAAAAAAAACTTGGGCCAGGCACGGTGGCTCACGCCCGTAATCCCAGCACTTCGGGAGGCTGAGGTGGGTGGATCACGAGGTCAGGATACTGAGACCATCCTGGCTAACACAGTGAAACCCTGTCTCTACCAAAAATATAAAAAATTAGCCAGATGTGGTGGCACGTGCCTGTAATCCCAGCTACTCAGGAGGCTGAGGCAGGAGAATTGCTTGAACCCAGGAGGTGGAGGTTGCAGTGAGCCAAGATCGTGCCACTGCACTCCAGCCTGGGCAACAGAGTGAGACTCTGTCTCCAAAAAAAAAAAAAAAAAAACAATGGGCAGCTATTGGAAACCTTGTACAACAGCCATTTTAGAAAACATTCTACTTCTTAACAATTTAAATATATATTCTTCTTACAGCTGAGCAATACTACTCCTAGGTATCTACCCAAGAAAAATGAAAACATAAGCAACACAAACATGTGTATCCAAATGTTCATAACAACATGATTCATAAATGTCAAAAACTGAAAACAACTCAAATGTCCATACACTAATGAATGGACAGGAAAATGGAGTGTATCTGTACAATGGAATACTATGCAGCCATAAAAGAAACAAACACTTAAACCTCACCGACATAGGTAACTCTCACCAGCATTAAGCTAAGTAAAATATTATATACTGTATGATTCCATTTATGAAAAAATTATAGAAAGACAAAACGATTCAGAAAGCATATTAGTGGTTACCTGGGGTTTGGGAGAATTCGGGATGATGGATGTTCTAAGGATTATGATGATTGTTGCACAACTATATCATTTTAGCAACTTACTGAGCATACACTTACATTGGTGAGTGTTGTGGTATGTAAATTATATCACATGGTGTATGTAAAACACCAAATAACCTAGGTATTTTAAAGTAGCACACACTTATCCCATCTATATTAAACATACTATATATATTCATACACGTGCTAGTAGACCATAAACTTTCTGTGACTATACATACAAACAATATATTTGCTTCTGGGAGAAAGGACTGAAAGTCTGGGATAGGACAGACAATTACTTTCATTTTATACTTGTTGACATTATTTGCTTTAAAAAAGTTAAACCATGTACATTATTACTTTATAAATTAAAAACTCTAGTAAATAATTAAAAACAGCCGACCACCCATGGTCCTGATATAAGGACCCAGGCCTGCGACTCAGCTCTTGAGTCTGCTTATCTCAAAGAGGTCATAGGCACTTCTGGTAGCCCATAATAAGATAAAGTGAATTTCACCACATAAGCATGGTGCTAGTTCCTATTAATTTCAGAGAGATGAGTATAAATTGTGGGAATTAGGGTAAACTCAAGAGGTTTTCGACTAGAAGTACTTTAAGCATCACAGCATTCTGCATTTTGCTATGCTAGGCAAAAAACAAAAACCAATTCCCTCATCCCCAAACACAAACCAAATGCAAAGACCACTTTGATTACTTGTGGAGTAAATGGGGGGCAAAGGAAAAGTGAGAATGGGGTAGCCAAGCTGATAGCAGGCACACAACGAATATTTTCAGAAAAGTACAAATTACCATAATGTAAATTAGGGATTTCAAAGTACCTTTTTTCTGCTATGTCATGCTTTTAGAAGAAGCTGTATATAAAAAATGCATCCAAATTTGTTTCTATGAATCATACAGTGGATACTGCACAGTGAGTTTGTGATACCATTTAATATCAAGAACTTGGTCCAAATATTTGATTTTCATTTGGACACTATGAAGATATGGCTATTTAATTAGCAATGTTTATTTTAATCTTAAGCAATGCAAGAAATTAAAATACCTTGCCAACATTTAATTATGAGAATTCAAGTGCTATTTTGTAACAATGCCTTGAGAAGGTCAAATTTAAGATTGTTTGGCTATCATATGAATTTCCCTTTTAGTACCGGGAACCTAAGACTTTGTAGAGTGCTGCTCACAAATGCCTGGTGTTTGCTGTCCGTTTCCAAACAAGGAATCAACAATGTGATACTTCCTTGAAGGAAAAACACCTGCAGACAGGGCCAAATAAATCATAAAAGGTGCTTCTTTCTTTCAGCTTTGACAGCCTTCACTTGCATTTCAAACTGAGAGTTTCAGGCTGTTTTGAGTGCTTTGAATAGGCAACCACATGTTTGTCACACGTGTGTCCTTCATGCATGAGTTCCTCATTGTCCTGTTCCTTCTGACCCACCCATGCTGAAGCTTCGATGTTTACACTCGCCAGACATTTAGTGAGCAGATGTTGGGCTACAACACTACCACTGGGTTAGGTAGTAGTATTATCCCATTGTAACAGATGACATGGCTGAGGCTCATTGACTTTCAGTGTCCTAAGTCCACAAATTGGCAAATGGGAAAACCAGGGCTTAGCCTGATCCTTTTCCTTTACACTCTTTTTTCGAGATAGTATCCTCTTTATCTATGGCCCCTTCCCTCCCTTCTCTCTCTAGGTTCACTGGTCATCCAGAGCAAAGCAGCAGAGGTGTGGAGAAGGGGCCCTGTGCTTTACCCCATTCCCTTCCCCACAGAAAAGGTAGAGGGGAAGAAACATTCAGGGCTCAGAGCTTCTACCACACTTGGCACTGTTCCTATTTCCATACTTTGCCCGGGACACTCAGGCCAGAACTTCAGCCCTCACCCTGTTCTGTAACTTTCTTCCCAGATCATGGGAGGCACTATGGGTAATTGTTGCTAGTGCAGTTCCTGTAGTAGCAGAAGTGTCCTGAACAGCATCATTCCAAACTGTGAAAAGATTTTTCTACAGCAGCACAGCTCCCACAGCTCTCACAGTTCATGGTCCTTCTGAGTATTGTCAAGACTGTGCTTGGGCTTAGTAGGGGTTGAACTGGCTTCCACCTGCTAGCCTGGAAACCTAAGCACGATTAAAAGCGTTGCTTCCATCGTAAAAGCAGGTTTCTTAATTAAATCAATGGGAAACCAGTTTGAGTTCTCCATGACCGATACATGAATGAATTTTTGAAACAAAATACATTCATAGTTGGGGATTTAATCTTTACCCTCCAACTTTCTATCAATATGTCTGTAAGACTGAAAGAACTATTATTATTGTGTTTAATACAAAATAGAAAAAGACATATTCTGAATTCAAAAACAAAGTTTCCTTTAATTCATGTTTTTCTCTCTCACTCTTTAAGCTTTATTTTTTAAAGTATAATTTCATTCAACTCCAAGGAAATCTGCATTTTAACAATATTATTAAATGATCCTACTATTTTACCCACATATTTTATTGCTGAGCCAGTGTTTGTCTTACCTCCTCGATGGATAATCAAAGAAGTTTCACTTCCAATGGGACAGTCCTTAAGTATATCCACTACTTCTGTATGGCTCAGGTTCTGTACATTCTGCTGGTTGATCTCAACAATGAGGTCGCCTTCACACAGGCCAGGGCATCCCTGAATGTCAAGTATTTGTTTCACCCGCTGTCCTGTAGGACTGTCGGCAATAGTGAAGCCGAAGCCCTGGGCACCTTTCACAATGGTTAAGGTCATAAGTTCAGCTTGGGTGGCCCCAGATGAAGCCATAGACACATTGTCATCATGGACGGGCGGTGGATACGTGCCGTCTAGCTGACCATCAGTTGGCATGGAGTGCAGAGAATGAGGCGGCCGATCTGTTATATCTGGAACTGACTGTGAGGTCCGAGAAATGTACTCCAAATATGTTTCATAGTTGTGTCTTCCATTGACCATCACTGGAGGTGGCCTCTCCATTATTGCAAGGGGTGGCACCATGCTGTTAGCAGGGTCTTCAGGATCAAAGGGCAAAGGGTAGCCACGACACAACACCAGGTTGACACTCTGACCAATAGGAACAGACTGGAAAAGTTTGACAACATCTGCATGAGTGTGTCCAAGGACACAAACTTCATTAATATAGACAATGACATCACCTGTAAGAAAAAAAGAGATTGACAACATGAGGTAAGTTCAATTAACATTGACATAGAGAAATGGAATTATTTACGAGACTAGTGAGAGGTGTTGTTTCTTAGTAAGCAGTGAGAAATCAATTAGAATAATACTTAAAATCACTGTGGGTGACTCAAGGTTACAACAGGACTGCCAGCAAATACAATGATGAAGTGCTGAAAAAAAGCTATTTGGTTATTCTTGAAGTTCAGAAACAACTTCATATTCAGAAACAAAGGCTCTGAAAGAAAAGGTTAGAGGAATGTGTACCTTGAAGAAGCACATTCTCTATGCTTCTTTTTCATCTTATATTCCATCTTCAGTGTAATTCAGTTAATATAATTTTCGAACTATTGAGAAGTAGTGGTCATGAGTTTTAGACGAAAAACAAAGCCCTAGCATATTTTTTTTTGTATAAGTTGAATAAGTCAATTGCCTTTTTTCTTTTTTATGGAACAGAAAAATATTTGCCCATTTATTTTTTTCCATCTATAGCAGGTAATTACAAAGCTTCCATGTATATGCGAGCAAAGGTCAAGGGTGCAGGTTTTGGGATTAGGGAGCTGGGTTGACACCTTGGCTCTACTATTTAACAGATACATGATATTGACCAAGTTCCCTGCTTTGAGCCACAGTTCCTCATTTGTAAAGTTGTGAGAATGAAATGACATAATGTAGGAAAAGTACTTGGCATAGTGTATGACACACAGTGCTCAATAAATGTGGACTATTATTAATATGATTGTTGTTAAAATAGGATGGAGGAGATTTGGGTCCCTTGGTTTCAAACAGAAAGTTGCCACAGTTCATCCTCTGATCTTAGATAAACTAATATTTCTGTGGATCAGTTTCAATAAAGGCACTTGTCCTTTCTCCCCAGTGAACTATCACAGATTTTCAGAGGTCTACTGGTTAGAGGCTAACTTTATGATTAGAAATGCTCTGAATGCAAATTATCCATTATAAAATATATTCAGAGAAATATTTTTTCCTGCTTAAAATGCAGAAAATCATGGCTGTTTGAGATAAATGTTTTTTTAAAAATTTCAATTATGTATGAATAACAATTTTATTTTTGGAGAACTATTTTATCATGGATTGGTATTTTTATCTTCACAAACCATAATACTTGAAAATTGAGCTTGCAAATTGAGATTGTGCCTGACTATGCTGAGGAGTATATTAGGGATGAAGAGACATGTTTTCACAGATCTTGAAATAAGCAACTCAACAGACATCAGTTTATCAGAATAATTCTGGAATGGGAGGTACAAATGGCTAGGGATTTCATTCTGAGACATCCTTGCCCAGCAAGCTTGCAAACGTTAAAAATGAAAAACAGAGTTGAACTTTTAGAGTTGACAACTTTTCTGGTCTTTTGTAGGTGTATAACATAAAATGAATAAAACAATTAACAGCATTGTCTTAATTAACAGTCCCTCTTCCCAAATTGACAGAGAGGCCAAGCAGACATTTTCAGGGATCCAGGTTAGGTCTGCCTCTAGAAAATGTCACAACCTATGTGATTGGTCAGATGGAACTTCACTTTTCCATAATGTCTATCAGAGAGGGTACTGATGTGGTGGCTGGAACGTGGGTCCACGGCTCAGAACTGAATTGGAGTGGACATTCCCTCACTGTTATTATAATTCCTCTTCAGACTGTGGCAGCTGGGGATGCTTTGGGAATCGTTTTTAATTGATTCCATTCATCTCAGTGTCCCAGAGAAGTGTCTGATTCAGATAGACTATTTTTCTCTCCTGTTTCTTTTAGTTTTAATGTTATATTTTCTACATTTAAAAGGTTGAAAGAACAACAAATACTTGTATACTAACATCCAACTTAATGATTGGAACATTGCTCATATTAGTTGAATCCCCCTTGGCTAGCACCTCTCCCCCAACTTGCACTCCTTTACAGCCCTTTCCAAGGTAACCATTGCCCTATTTGAGGTTTGTTATTTACATATACCTTTATAATTTATATCATATCTAGGTGTCCGTAAAAACAATATCTCTAAATAGTATCTAATCTCTAAATAATAATAATCCCTGGAAAGTATTTTACATATTTTAAGCCTTTTGTAAATGGTATATATTTTAATATTCTGTAACTTTTCTTAAAATATGTTTGTGATATTTATCTATTTTGATACTTGTGCCTCTAGTTGATTAGTTTTCATTGTAATACAGTATTTAGTGATGGCTATATTACTACTTAATAACATTCATCCATTCTTTTGTTAATGGACACCGGAGTTATGACAAATCTGTGGCTATTGAAAATAACTCTGCTATGAACCCCATGCTGGCACAGACCATGTGCATCTTCAACTTTGTTAGATAGTGGCAAATGGCTGACAAAAGAGGTCACATTGATTTACACTCTGATCGGTAGTGTGTTGAAATTTTCATTGCTTTACATCTGACACAGTACTTCGTATTCTCAGACTTAATTTTTACCAATCTAATGGATGTGATCATAGTTTTGATTTGCATTTCCCAGACTGCCAGTGAAGGTGAGCATCTTTTCATGTTTATTGGCCTTTTGGATTTTCTCTTGGGTATGCCTCATTTCCTCAATTTCCTATTCAGTGAGTTTTTTTTAACTCATTGACTATTTTTTATGTCTACTTTCATTCTTGCTCCAACATTCTTCTTAGGTTCAGGAGGCTGCAAGGTATAGTAGAGATCACATGGGATATGAGGTCAAAAGACTTTGGTCTGAGTTCTAGTTTCATCACTTATTAGCTGTATAACTTTCCCAAACTGGCTTCAATCCTCTGTGACTCAGATTTTTTAGAAGTAATGATGAACAATAGTAATAGCAACTTATTGTTCCATGGGAAATAACGAATGAGATCATACAGGTGAAAGGGTTTCTAAGCTGTAAATTGTTATGCAAAAGATGATTGCTATTTCAGTAATTACTCTTTGTCCTTTGTTATATTCTTCTATAAAATCAGGACAGTTCTACCCAGATATTCCCACCACAGTTACAGTCAAGGATGACTTGAGTATGATTGTGGAAACAATGGGTTTCTGAATGGCCAAGTAAAAGTCAGAGAGGTAACAAATGCCACTTCCTCTAAGGCTCTCCCTAACTTTAATCACTGTTAACAGACTCCCCAGTCCCCAAGCACGCTCTCTCCTTCCCTCTGCTCTGCCAGAATTTCACGGGAAAGAACTAAGGGTTATGTTGAAAGCTCTCAAGTTTCCCTGCCAGGTCTAGAGAGTAGTAGTTTGAATTGTAGTGATTAATGTTACCTATTTTTGAGTTTTAATGTGATCTTGCTATTTAGAAACAGAGTGAGAACTATTTGTGTTTCTTAGTAAGACTGCCTTTTACAATTTATGGATATTTTCCACTAACAGCAATTTTTCAAGTCATCAGGCAAGGATAAAGAACACTGCAACAATATCTTTATGAAGATACGTAGAAGATTTCTGAATGTAAAAGATGAGTGGTCAGTTATCACAGGATAAAACTATATAACAACTTGATGGTACTCAACTGCCCACTTTAAAAAAATATATAGATGTCTAGATAATAAGTCATGCCCAAAACTCTTATAGACGGGGATGTCAGCAAACATTTGCTTGTTCAGATAGAACTTATTGGATAGAATATTAATAGACTGTGCTGTATGAATGTCATTTACATGTCGTGAAATAAAAATATAAGACACCTGGTATATGTCATCTGACGGTGCCATGCCAAGTCCTCAGACAGATTGGGTTTAAGAGCACAGAAAGGGACATCATCAGGAAGACTGGCTCTGGCTCTAACCTGTTGGCCTACTTAAGACGGAGAATTGGAAGAGTCACTTGATCTCCCCATCTCTCAATTTCTTCTTTTATAAAATGGGAATAAAAATATCTCTTACATTTCCTCTTTTGCAGAGCTACTGTGAAAATGAGATCATCCTTGTGAAAATACTTATAATTTTATCAAATTTTTTCTCCATAAAAATAAGAAGATACATTTCTTTTGAAAGCTAAGCATATATTTTCATTACTACATTGCTGGAAAATTTACTTTGTTTGCTAAATGGTCATTCACTTCAGGCCATATTTAGGTTAGTTCTAGGGCTACTGACCTCAGGCCTGTTGGTCAGATTGAGTGTGAGTGATGAGTTAGGTGTCCCACAGGTCTGGTCTCACACTAACCTGATTGCCAATTATGGAATTTCAAAGTGCAAGTGAGGTAGAGTGAGTTTGATGAAGCAGGAGCTTTAAAACTGCTGTCCTGTATGAAAAAAATGTTCTAAGATAATTTTTTCTTTCTTAGTCATGGGAATCAAAATACAGAATAGGATACCTCATCATTTTGGATAAAATAGGGCACTCTACATAAAGCATTGCTTTAATTAGAGTTATTTTTATACCTCTTTCCTCTACCCCCGCATTCTTTGAGTCACTGTGGCCTACAGAATCTTCCTTTTCAACATCTCTCACTTACCACTCCCTGTCTGCCTTCCTTAAACACAACCTTGGACCAGACTAGAATAATTTACTTCCTAGTCAATTCTCATCTTACAGTCTACTCCATTAAGTTCAAACTACTTGATCTCTTGATCAGCTGTTTAAGTCTTTCCAACTTATCTTTGTCTTCACCACCAAATAAGTTATTATTGTGAAGCTGGTATCTTTACTACTCACAACTTACAACTTGTTACTTGCCTCTAGTTAAATTCTGCTATCCCTTTACCCTCAAGAGCACTTCCTTTCTATGTATGGAATCATGCCTACCAATTCATTTCCTTCCTCACCTCTTCAAAGGTATCTTCCATCACTCTTCCTGACATTGCTCCTATCTCATGTCTGAGGCTTGCAAATGCATCTCAGACTTTGTTCCTTTGTGTGAGTTCTACCCGTTCCAAGATTTCTCTACACTATATACAGAGCATCATTACTATGTTGAGAATTCTTCAGATATTTAGGATAGATTCTCACTGAATAAAGGATGGAAAGATTTAGTCAGAGGAAACCAGAAAAGATTTCACAGCTAAATGTACTACCTCCAGTTTAGTGTTTCTAACTTCTGTTTTTGCCAGGTTATCCAGATTTTCGATAAAAGAAAAATAAAAAAACCTGACAACTCCCATCCTACCAATTACATGCACTCTACATTAAAAAGGATTATTTTTAAAGTTTCCTCTCGGTTAATAAGATTTGACTGAGCTTTATTTTCTGCAGCTTATATTAATTTGTGTTTTAAATCATAATACATAATTTTATTATAATATTGTACATCTATTCTGAGTCTACTCAACCCCCACAAACATAATAAATTCTGACATGTACTTTTGGGGGTGTGCTACTCACCACATCAGTTAAATGGAAAATAACTGCTCTCAACACAGTTTATTCCCCAAAGTGAAACACTGTGGTATGTCATACCAGTAGAGTTGAAGTTGGGTCTCCCTTAAAATAATTTGAAGCAGTTTCTAAAAATTCCCAGATGGTCTCCTTAGAGTGACAGTTATAAAAACAGCCATCAATTGGAGAAGAATTCAATTTTGGAGGTTCTGGATCTTACCATGGTTCTACTGACTTTACACATCAGTCTTGCAGGTAGCATTATTATATATACCCATCAAATTATGTATTAATAGAAATGCAAAAACAGATACTTAGGCATGAAAGGTGTAACAGATGATAAAAAATTCCTTCGTTAGAAGAATCTTTTTGTTTATTCTTATGTGTTACTTTATAAATGACACTGTGAATAAAAATTAGGTTCAGACAACGTCTTTCTCAATAATTTTCTATGTATTATGAGCCCAAATGTGGCTTAATGGCTGCAAAACACTAGATATTGCCTTCTATCTGCTTCGCTGTCAACTCATCTTCCATACCATACACTCTGTTGTCCTTTTCACCTAACATCCTTTAGTGCCCACTCATAGAGACAGAGCTCAGTCCAAACTTTCTAGCATGACATATGAGGCTCTCAGAGCACTGACTTAGAAGTCAGGGGGTTTATGTTGTTAGGCCAGGTATGCCAATAACTAGTGGTATCAACACTTCCTAGGTCTTATTCCTCACTTATTCATTAATTTATTCAGCAAAGATTTACACATATTCAACTACTATGAGCCGGGCATCATGTTATAAAAAGAGAGGATTGAACCAGATGATCTTGAAAGTATCTTCACTTTAAAATTCTAAGACAAAGGCCCTTAGATTCTAGCTCTTGGATAACTTTTATTTTTTAAAATTTCAACTTTTAAATTTCAGATTCAGAGGATACATGCGTAGGTTTGTTACATGGGTATACTGCTCAAGGCTGAGGTTTGGAGTATGACTGATCCCATCGCCCAGGTAGTAAGCATAGTGCCCAATAGGGAGGTTTTTTCAGTCCTTACTCCCGTCTCTCCCTCCTCTGTCTAGTAGTCCCCAGTGTCTATCGTTGCCATCTTTATGTCCATGAATATCCAGCATTTAGCTCCCACTTATAAGTGAGAACATGTAATATTTGATTTTCTGTTCTTGTGTTAACTCAGTTAGGGTTACAGTCTCTAGCTGCATTCATGTTGCTGTAAAGAGCATTTTTTATGTCTGTGTAGTATTCCATGGCATTATATGTACCACATTTTCTTTATCCAATCCA
The DNA here is from genome assembly GCF_000001405.40 of Homo sapiens. NCBI lineage: Eukaryota > Metazoa > Chordata > Mammalia > Primates > Hominidae > Homo > Homo sapiens. Next base: position 78,263,216 of record NC_000007.14, read on the forward strand.
CCATTGGTAGGCACCTAGATTGATTCCATGCCTTTGCTATTGTGAAGAGCACTGCAATGAACATATGAGTGCATGTGTCTTTTTGGCAGAACGATTTATTTTCTTTTGGATATATACCCAGTAATGGGATTTAGACAGCTTTTCAACTGGTTCCTTGCTTTCTTTTTTCTACTACTACTACCCAAGATGAGATTCTTACCATCTATTGTATGAACTTCTGCAATAGTCTCTTAGCTGGGCTCCCTGATGTCACAGAGGGAATGACTAGGGAAATAGCAAAGAGAAGCCCAACATATGGCATGACCAAGTGAGCTTGTGGGGTAATGGGGTTCTAAAGTCTCACCCCATTTTGACCTCTAGGAATACATAAGACATTGCTAAATCTCCACTTCTGGTCGGGATTGGCTCAAGAATCAGGAGGGTGTGAATAGTCTTCATATTCTCCATATCCAGCGGCTGCAAAGCACTAGATACTGCCTTCTACCTGCTTCCCTGTCAGCTCATCTCCCATACCATACACTCTAATGCCCTTTTCACTTAACATCCTTTAGTGCCTGCTGACAGGGACAGAGTTCAGTCCAAACTTTCTAGCATGACATACGAGGCTCTCAGTTCACATTTTCATTGTCTCCTGCTTTTTCCAACCTACTCTATGCTTCAGTTGGCCCCAGCTTTAGGACATGCCCCCAACACTATATTTTCTTTCCAGTCTCTGTGCTCTTGTTTCTCCTTCTCTCCTTGCTTTGTCCCCACTAACAAGCTGCTCGTTACCCTTTAAGGCCAGCCTCACCTTTTAAACCACCTTTCTGACCGCCTCCTTTAGCTGAATGTTAATTACTTCTTCCTGTGTGTTACTCTTCCTGATAGCGTGATTCTTCAATCCATTTAACCACACTAACAGCATTGACTACCATTTTAATATACTTAATATTTATCTGGCATTTACAAACTCCATCTTACCTAATCCTTACAAAACCCATATAAGATAGCCATTGTTATCTGTACTTGATACATGGGAAACTGAACCTAGAAGAAGTTAAGTCACTTCTCTAAAGTCACATTGATAATTAGGTTAGATTGAGGAAGTGAATCCAAGACTTCAACACAAATGCTAAGAATTTCAAGCAGCCCAGGATGTATTTTGAGTTGAGGACTCTTTTGTGTCCCTCAGCTTATTATCGGTCAGAATGCTGGGTAAAATATCTTTAATTCCTGAAGGTGAAAATTGAGAGATGAACTGCAATATTCTTTTGATTAGCTAAGTTAATGGAGGCATGCAGTGAAGCAGATAATTGCAAACAGGGGAATCGGGGAATCCACTGTATTTGCTAGGTCCATTTTCTGCAGTCCTCCAAAATAAGCTGCTTGGAAGAGAGCTAGGAGAATGCTGAGGTGGGAGGTGACAGGGCATTATAACTCACAGAACTTATAACCATCACAAAACATAAGCTCTAGTATAAATTGTTTCAATAGCTGTGTGATCTTGGGCGAAGTATTTAACTTTTCTTGGTCTACTTTATTTTCACGTAAAATGCAGAAGTCAGAAAAGACAACTTCTAAGGTGCAGCTTTAAGAGTTCCTACATCTGATGAAAATGTGGAAAGCTGTCCTACTGAATTCATATAAGGCACTGGGAAATTTCAGTGGTGCAGTTAAACAGGTAAGTGATAAGCCTATCGGGGCTTACCTTGAACTTCTCTGATTTTCTACAAAAGTAGCCAGTGACTCCAACACTCTTATCTATAGGCAGAAGGATACTAAGATACTGGAGTAGCCACTTATTTCTCAAAAGAATGAAAGGCTTCTTAATCACATTTTATAATTTCATCTGTGTGACCCAGTGCAGATGCTTAATTAAAAGCTTGTTTTTTTTTTTTAAATTATGATTAAGCAGCACACATCCAACAATTACTCCCTACCAGATGTGAATTAGTCCAACGATGTATTTACATTTCCTTTGTGTTTGGCATTGAGTGGTAAGATATATTTAAATACTTGCATTTTACTTTGTTGAAAAGGAAACAGAAAATACATTCTAAGAGAATCTAAAGCACTGATTATTTGCTGATCTGGCAAAGATGAAACAACACTTCAGATTAAAAACTATAAGTAAAGCCACAAAAAAGAAAGCACAAAAGACTGTTTCTTGCAAAGCTCCAAAAAGCACTGGCTTTCTAAATAGCTTGCTCACGTTGGGAATTCAATAGCATAAAATGGTCAATGAATCTGTCATTTCTCTAAAGAATGTAGTGAATTTTAAACAAAAAGTAGCAAACATTTTATCAGAGGGGTTGTATAAGATAAAAATAGGTTACTAGAAAAGAACCCAAAAGATTTTCAAGAAGAAATCTTAAAACCCTAAAAGTTTATGAAAGCAAGATAAAAATGTAGCATTCCCCTGTACTCTTCTGTGGGTTATGGACACACCTGTGGACTCAACCACATATTAACCGCCCCCAACCCCCACTCCAAAAACCAAAACTCTAGTTACAAAAATACCTTGCAGGAAAGAGTCATAATTTTATGTGGACATTGAACAACATGCATGCTTATTTTCAAACAGCTGTAATTGTATTCCTGAACAAGCATGATTCGTTTTTGCAGAAATGGCTCCTAGAGGCCAGCATGGCATGACCTGTCGCCATCTTTTGACCTTACTCCAACATAGCGTAGCAAGTAGCTATCAAACCTCCCCTGAAATGAAGGGACTGCTGGCTGGGGTGGAGCTGGGAACTGTCTCTGGTCACACTTTCCAACAGTTTATTCTACTCTACCCGCAACTGTCAATAGCCTGCAGTTCTGACTGAGCAAGAAAAAGGAATAACAAGGAGAGAGAGTGAGAGGGATGAAAAAAGGATGGATGCATCCATTTCATTTCAAACTGCTACCTCCCGCCAAATGGTTGAAGGTTTTTGTAATTGTGTGTGTATGTGTGTGTTTACTACCTGACCTAGGCACGTACACACACTTTTAAGACACGTAGAGCAGTGTTTTTATGTTTATTTGAGACAAGGTTTCCCTGTCACCCAGGCTAAAGTGTAGTGGCACTATCCCGGCTCACTGCAGTCTTGACCTTCAGGGTTCAACTGATCCTCCCACCTCAGCTCCCCGAGGAGCTGGGGCTACAGGCTCATGCCACCATGTCTGGCTAATTTTTGTATATTTTGGTAGAGATGGGAGTTTTGTCATGTTGCCCAGGCTGGTCTTGAACTCCTGGACTCAAGCAATCTGCCCACCTTGGCCTCCCAAAATTGTGCGATTGCAGTCGTGAGCCAACACACTCAGCCAGAGCAGTGTTTTTAGCCAGAGGAAAGTAGAATTTAGTTTCTGATACCATGAAATTGACGTAGAAGAGGGGGAAAAAATCCCTTTTTTTTTTTGAGACAGAGTCTTGCTCTGTCACCCAGGCTGGAGTGCAGTGGCATGATCTCAGCTTACTGCAACCTCCACCTCCCGGGTTCAAGCAATTCTCCTGTCTCAGCCTCCCGAGTAGCTGGGACTACAGGATCACGCCACTACACCAGGCTAATTTTTTTGTATTTTTAGTAGAGACGGGGTTTCACCATGATGGCCAGGCTGGTCTCGTGACCTCGTGATCCGCCCACCTTGGCCTCCTAAAGTGCTGGGATTACAGGTGTGAGCCACCATGCCTGGCCAAAAAACCCTCTTTTATGACTCCAACTGCAGACAACCTTCTGAGAAGTTGCTTTCTTGAATTGCTTTTGAAAAAAGGTACTGTTTGCTGCATTGTGAGCTGGTTGCTAGTCCTGAATACCCACACTGGGTGTTGCAGGATGTCTACTGGTGGAGCTGCTTGGTCGGAGAAGTGCTCAACCCTAGGTCTCTATCAACCTACATGGTAATTCTGGGAAGTGTTCTGACTAGTGCTTCAATTGCAAGCCAGTCAACATGCCTTAACTGGTAGTATAACATATTCTATTATGTTGATCTACTCTTTCACTCCCTTCATTTGTGAGAAATTACAGGGCCCCTGCTGCCTTGCTGAAATGAGGGCTGCCAGAATATTTCTCCCATATGGATTTCAGAAGTGCTGCAGCATTAAGTTGCTGAGCTTCATAAAATGGCTGGCAGAAAGAACAAATGTGCCATGCTAAAAATGTGACTGTATATTGCATGCACATGGGTCCAGGGTTTGACGAGAGAGCCCTTCTAACTTGTTAAAAGGGAAATAGACTTGGCAGATGTGAATCTTCATTGACAGACTTTGATTGTTCAAACTTGGACCCTTTTATTTCCAATTTCAGTTTCAGAAAGAGCAATATTTTATACAAGTATCAAGGAGTCAGCCTGTTCATTGGGCCATATACACCAAGGATTGCCAATTAAAACTCCCTCAAACACATGGCAAAAAGGAAGAACAAAATTTGTCTTGGCTTCACTGAAATTTTGGAATCCAGAGAAAGATAGTTATTATCTCTCTGATTTATGTGAAGAGAAAGGGAAAGCAATATGGTACCTTATTTTATCAGACATCTACTACTTTCTCCATAGGGCATATACCCACCACTACCCTCTCCGTGTTAGACACTGCACACAGATTCTTAAGGGGATGAATAACCTAGCCTAGGGGTTTCAGGGAAATATAAAGCAATTTCACTGCAGACAATGGAAGATTATTTTATTCTCAGACACAACAGACAAATGGCACGGAGGAAAACAATCTAATCCCCTGCTGTTTCCAATGTTACAATTATTATATGATACTGAAGCTGACTGGGATAAGTTAGCAGAGAATCATCACCAAAGATTTTAAGTTGCCCCCTCCCTCTGTACGACTATTGAACATGTATCTACGTAAATATACATGTAGATAGGTCCACATGTTTGTATGTTAATTTGTTCACTTCTGTGTTATACTTTCCATTCCAGCAAAATAAGGTTAACAACAGAGTCAGAAACAATGAAAATTTCTTGCTTTTTAAACTAAATCTAGTATGAGTTTTATAATTATAGCACTAGCACTTTATTTTATATCAAGTTCCTTCAAATTATTGTACAATGCAAAAATCTTAACCATGTGGTGGCATATTAATTGAAAAGCAAAATTTTGGATATTTTAAATTTGATATTTTTGGTATAGGTAATGCAAAACAGCTAATTAAATCCTTTCTACTGAATAAATATATTGTTGGAGATCAGGGAGAAATGGCTAATAATAACTATAGCTACTACTATGTGCTAAGAACAATAACCGTATGCCAAGAAGTCAGTCAAGCATTCCAGAGACTTCATTTTATTTTAATCCTTGAAGTAGCGTGATGAAGAATATAGTGTCCCCATTACATAGAAGAGGCAATTGTGGCTTAGAGGAGTCAAGTCCAACAATTATAAATGACTGAGCTGCCATACCCCTAGTGGGTTTGGGGTTACATTCAGACTTGTCTTCCAACTATGTGGATGTTTGTTTATATAAGCTTATAAAATTTCAAGGTTCATTTCATCTATTTATTTGGCATTTCTTAAGACAGGCTAAAATTAATCACTTCAAATTTTGTGTATCTAATTTACATTTGACTGCTTGAACTGAAAAGTATTACATAATGTAAACATAGATTATTTTTTATTATACTTTAAGTTCTGGGGTACATGTGCAGAATGTGCAGGTTTGTTACATAGGTATACACGTGCCATGGTGGTTTGCTGTACCCTTCAACCCATCATCTACATTAGGTATTTCTCCTAATGCTATCCCTCAACCAGCCCCCCACCCACTGACAAGCCCCGGTGTGTGATGTTCCCCTCCCTATGTCCATGTGCTCTCATTGTTCACCTCACACTTATGAGTGAGAACATGTGGTGTTTCGTTTTCTGTTCTTGTGTTAATTTGCTGAGAATGATGTTTTCTAGTTCATCCACGTCCCTGCAAAGGACATGAACTCACTCTTTTATAATGGCTGCATAGTATTCTATGGTGTATATATGCCACATTTTCTTTATCCAGTCTATCACTGATGGGCATTTGGGTTGGTTCCAAGTCTTTGCTATTGTGAACAGTGCCACAATAAACATATTTGTGCATGAGTCCTTATAGTAGAATGATATATGATCCTTTGGATATACAACCAGTAATGGGATTGTTGAGTCAAATGGTATTTCTAGTTCTAGATCCTTGAGGGATTGCCACACTGTCTTCCACAATAGTTGAACTAATTAAACTCCCACCAACAGTGTAAAAGCATTCATGTTCTCCACATCCTCTCCAGCATCTGTTGTTTACTAACTTTTTAATGATTGCCATTCTAACTGGCATGAGATAGTATCTCATGGTGGTTTTGATTTGCATTTCTCTAATGACCAGTGATGATGAGCTTTTTTTTCATGTTTGTTGGCTGCATAAATGTCTTCTTTTGAGAAGTGGCTATTCATATCCTTCGCCCACTTTTTGATGGGGTTGTTTGATTTTTCTTACACATTTGTTTAAGTCTGGATATTAGCCCTTTGTCAGATGGATAGATTGCAAAAATTTTCTCCCATTCTTTAGGTTGCCTGTTCACCCTGATGATAGTTCCTTTTGCTGTGCAGAAGGCCTTTAATTAGATCCCATTTGTCAATTTTGGCTTTTGTTGCCATTGCTTTTGGTGTTTTAGTCATAAAGTCTTTGCCCATGACTATGTCCTGAATGGTATTGCCTAGGTTTTCTTCTAGGGTTTCTATGGTTTTAGGTCTAACATTTAAGTCTTTAATCCATCTTGAATTAATTTTTGTATAAGGTGTAAGGAAGGGGTCCAGTTTCAGCTTTCTGCATATGGCTAGCCAGTTTTCCCAACACCATTTATTAAATAGGGAATCCTTTCCCCATTGCTTGTTTTTGTCAGGTTTGTCAGAGATCAAATGCTGGTAGATATGTGGTGGTATTTCTGGGGCCTCTGTTCTGTTCCATTGGTCTATGTATCTGTTTTGGTACCAGTACCATGCTGTTTGTGTTAATGTAGCCTTGTAGTATAGTTTGAAGTCTGATAGCATGATGTCTCCAGTTTTGTTCTTTTTGCTTAGGATTGTCTTGGCTGTGAGGGCTCTTTTTTGATTCTGTATGAAATTTGAAGTAGTTTTTTCCAATTCTGTGAAGAAAGTCAATGGTAGCTTGATGGGGATAGCATTGAGTCTATAAATTATCTTGGGCAGTATGGCCATTTTCATGATATTGATTCTTCCTATCCATGAGCATGGAATATTTTTCCATTTGTGTCCTCTCTGATTTCCTTGAGCAGTGGTTTGTAGTTCTTCTTGAAGAGGTCCTTCACATCCCTTGTAAGTTGTATTCCTAGGTATTTTATTATCTTTGTAGCAATTGTGAATGGGATTTCACTCATGACTTGGCTCTCTGTTTGTCTGTTATTGGTGTATAGGAATGCTTGTGATTTTTGCACATTGATTTTGTATCCTGAGACTTTGCTGAAGTTGCCTATCAGCTTAAGGAGATTTGGGGCTGAGACGATGGGGTTTTCTAAATAATGGGAGACGTTAACACCCCACTGTCAACATTAGACAGACCAACGAGACAGAAAATTAACAAAGATATCCAGGACTTGAACTCAGCTCTGGACCAAGCAGACCTAATAGACATCTACAGAACTCTCTGCCTGAAATCAACAGAATGTCCATTCTTCTCAGCAACACGTCTTATTTATTCTAAAATTGACCACATAATTGGAAGTATTGCACATAATTGCAAACAGTGATAATTTGACTTCCTCTTTTCCTAATTGAATACCTTTTTTTTCTTTCTCTTGCCTGATTGCCCTGGCCAGAACTTCCAACACTATGTTGAATAGGAGTGGTGAGAGAGGGCATCCCTGTCTTGTGCCAGTTTTCAAAGGGGGGAATGCTTACAGTTTTTTCCTATATCAGTATGATATTGGCTGTGGGTTTGTCATAAATAGCTCTTATTATTTTGAGATATGTTCCATCAATACCTAGTTTATTGAGAGTTTTTAGCATGAAGGGGTGTTGAATTTTATCAAAGGCCTTTTCTGCATCTATTGAGATAATCATGTGGTTTTTGTCATTGGTTCCGTTTATGTGATGCATTATGTTGATTGAACCAGCCTTGCATCCCAGGGATGAAGCCGACTTGATCGTGGAGGATAAGCTTTTTGACGTGCTGCTGGATTCGGTTTGCCAGTATTTTATTGAGGATTTTCGAATTGAGGTTCACCAGGGATATTGGCCTGAAATTTTCTTTTTTGGTTGTGTCTCTGCCAGGTTTTGGTTTCAGAATGATGCTGTCCTCATAAAATGAATTAGGGAGGATTCCTTCTTTTTCTGTTGTTTGGGATAGTTTCAGAAGGAATGGTACCAGATCCTCTTTGTAGCTCTGGTAGAATTCGGCTGTGAATCTGTCTGGTCCTGGACTTTTTTTGGTTGGTAGGCTATTAATTATTGCCTCAATTTCAGAACTTGGTATTGGTCTATTCAGGGATTTGACTTCTTCCTGGTTTAGTCTTAGGATGGTGTATGTGTCCAGGAATTTATCCATTTCTTCTAGATTTTCTAGTTTATTTGTGTAGAGGTGTTTATACTATTCTGATGGTAGTTTGTATTTCTGTGGGATCGGTGGTGATATCCCCTTTATCATTTTTTATTGAGTCTATTTGATTCTTCTCTCTTTTCTTATTAGTCTTGCTAGCAGTCTATTTGGTTGACCTTTTCTAAAAACCAGCTCCTAGATGCACTGATTTTTTAAGGGTTTTTTGTGTCTCTATCTCCTTCAGTTCTGCTCTGATCTTAGTTATTTTTTGTCTTCTGCTCACTTTTGAGTTTGTATGTTCTTGCTTCTCTAGTTCTTTTAATTGCGATGTTAGGGTGTCGATTTTAGATCTTTCTTGCTTTCTCTTGCGGGCATTTAGTGTTATAAATTTCCCTTTACACACTGCTTAAATGTGTCCCAGAGATTCTGGTGCATCGTGTCCTTTGTTCTCATTGGTTTCAAAGAACATCTTTATTCTGCCTTCATTTCGTTATTTACCCAGTAGTCATTCAGGAGCAGGCTGTTCATTTTCCATGTAGTTGTGTGGTTTTGAATGAGTTTCTTAATCCTGAGTTCTAATTTGATTGCACTGTGGTCTGAGAGACTGTTTATGATTTCCGTTCTTTTGTATTTGCTGAGGAGTGTTTTACTTCCAATTATGTGGTCAATTTTAGAATAAATGCGACGTGGTGCTGAGAAGAATGTATATTCTGTTGATTTCAGGTGGAGAGTTCTGTAGATGTCTATTAGGTCTGCTTGGTCCAGAGCTGAGTTCAAGTCCTGGATATCTTTGTTAATTTTCTGTCTTGTTGGTCTGTCTAATGTTGACAGTGGTGTGTTAAAGTCTCCCGTTATTATTGTGTGAGAGTCTAAGTCTCTTTCTAGGTCTCTAAGAACTTGCTTTATGAATCTGGGTGCTCCTGTATCGGGTGCACATATATTTAGGACAGTTAGCTCTTCTTGTTGGATTGATCCCTTTATCATTATGTAATGCCCTTCTTTGTCTCTTTTGATCTTTGTTGGTTTAAAGTCTGTTTTATCAGCGACTAGGATTGCAACCCCTGCTTTTTTTTGCTTTCCATTTGCTTGGTAAATATTCCTCCATCCCTTTATTTTGAGTCTATGTGTGTCTTTGCACGTGAGATGGGTCTACTGAATATAGCATACTGATGGGTCTTGACTCTTTATCCAATTTGCCAGTCTATGTCTTTTAACTGGAGCATGTAGTTCGTTTACATTTAAGGTTAATATTGTTATGTATGAATTTGATCCTGTCATTATGATGCTAGCTGGTTATTTTGCCCGTTTGTTGATGCAGTTTCTTCATAGTGTCAATGGTCTTTACAATTTGGCATGTTTTTGCAGTGGCTGCTACCAGTTGATCCTTTCCATGTTTAGTGCTTCCTTCAGGAGCTCTTGTAAGGCAGGCCTGGTGGTGACAAAATCTCTCAGCATTTGCTTGTCTGTAAAGGATCTTATTTCTCATTCATTTATTAAGCTTAGTTGGGCTGGAGATGAAATTCTGGGTTGAAAATTCTTTAAGAATGTTGAATATTGGCCCCTACTCTCTTCTGGCTTGTAGGGTTTCTGCAGGGAGATCTGCTGTTAGTCTGATGGGCTTCCTTTTGTGGGTAACCCAACATTTCTCTCTGGCTGCCCTTAACATTTTTTCCTTCATTTCAACCTTGGTGAATCTGACAATTATGTGTGTTGGGGTTGCTCTTCTCGAGGAGTATCTTTGTGGTGTTCTCTGAATTTCCTGAATTTGAATGTTGGCTCCCTTGCTATGTTGGGGAAGTTCTCCTGGATGATATCCTGAAGAGTGTTTTCCACCTTGGTTCCATTCTCCCCGTCACTTTCAGGTATACCAATCACACGTAGATTTGGTCTTTTCACATAGTTCCATATTTCTTGGAGGCTTTGTTCATTTCTTTTCACTCTTTTTTCCCTAATCTTCTCTTCTCGCTTTTTTTCATTGAGTTGATATCAATCTCTAATATCCTTTCTTCCACTTGATCGATTCGGCTATTGATACTTATGTATACTTCAAGAAGTTCTTGTGCTGTGTTTTTCAGCTCCATCAGGTCATTTATATTTTCTCTAAACTGTTTATTTTGGTTAGCAATTCATCTAACCTTTTTTCAAGGTTGTTAGCTTCCTTGCATTGAGTTAGAACATGCTCCTTTAGTTCGGAGGAGTTTGCTAATACCTACCTTCTGAAGTGTACTTCTGTCAGTTCGTCAAACTCATTCTCCACCCAGTTTTCTTCCCTTGCTGGCGAGGAGTTGTGATCCTTTGGAGGAGAAGAGGCATTCTGGTTTTTGGAATTTTCAGCCTTTTTGCACTGGTTTCTCCCCATCTTTGTGGATTTATCTACCTTTGGTCCTTGATGTTGGGGACCTTCGGATGGAGTTTCTGAGTGGATGTGCTTTTTGTTGATGCTGATACTATTCCTTTCTCTTTGTTAGTTTTCCTTCTAACAGTCAGGATCCTCTGCTGCAGGTCTCCTGGAGTTTGCTGGAGGTCCACTCCAGACCCTGTTTGCCTGGGTATCACCAGCAGATGCTGCAGAACAGCAAAGTTTGTTGCCTGTTCCTTCCTCTGGAAGCTTCATCCCAGAGGGGCACCTGCAGATGCCAGCCATAGCTCTCCTGTATGAGGTGTCTGTCAGCTCCTACTGGGAGGTGTCTCCCAGTCAGGATACACAGGGGTCAGGGACCCACTTGAGGAGGCAGTCTGTCCCTTAACAGAGCTCAAATGCTGTGCTGGGAGAACCACTGCTCTCTTCAGAGCTGTCAGGCAGGGACGTTTAAGTCTGCTGAAGCTGTGCCCAGAACCGCCCCTTCCCCCAAGTGCTCTGTCCCAGGGAGATGGGGGTTTTATCTATAAGTCCCTGACTGGGGTGCTGCCTTTTTTTTTTAGAGATGCCCTGCCCAGAGTTGAGGAGTCTAGAGAGGAAGTCTGGCTGCAGAGGCCTTGCTTAGCTGCGGTGGGCTCCCCTCAGTTCGTACTTCATGGCAGCTTTATGTACACTGTGAGGGGAAAACCACCTACTCAAGCTTTAGCAGTGGTGGATGCACCTTCCCCTATCAAGCTCAAGCGTCCCAGGTCAGGGTCAGACTGCTGTGCTGGCAGTGAGAATTTCAAGCCAGTGGATCTTAGCTTGCTGGGCTCTGTGGGGGTGGGACCCGCTGAGCCAGACCACTTGGCTCCCTGGCCTCAGCCTCTTTTCCTTTCCAGGGGAGTGAATGGTTCTGTCTTGCTGGTGTTCCACGTTCCACTGGGGTATGAAAAAAAAAACTCCTGCAGCTAGTTTGGTGTCTGGCCAAATGGCTGCCCAGTTTTGTGCTTGAAACCCAGGGCCCTGGTGGGGTAGGCACCAGAGGGAATCTCCTGGTCTGCCGGCTGTGAAGATGGTGGGAAAAGCACAGTATCTGGACTGGAGTGCATTGTTCCTCCTGGTACAGTCTCTCATGGCTTCCCTTGGGAAGGGGAGAGAATTCCCCAACCCCTTGTGCTTCCCAGGTGAGGTGATTCCCCACCCTGCTTTGGCTTGCCCTCTGTGGGCTGCACCCACTGTCCAACCAGTCCCAGTGAGATGAACCAGGTACTTCAGTTGGAAATTCAGAAATCACCTGCCTCGATCTCGCTGGGAGCTGCAGATTGGAGCTGTTCCTATTTGGCCATCTTGCCAGCAGACCCAGATGATACTTTATCTTGACATAACAGTCTTGTTTTTATTCACAAGTTGTGGCCCATAGGGAGAATCACTCAGTGACAGAATTACTCAGTGACAGAATTAGCTATATTTGAATGGGCTAGTCAGCCTGCCCAAGTCCTAAAGCAAGCAAATGAGAAGAAAAGAAAAACAAAATGCCAAGCCTATCAGAGAGGATGACTGGGGATGTAACTCTGAGGTCATAAACATCTAATATGTACAATAAAGAAAACAATGAAAATGATTTTAAGGTATTTTACGAAATGCTGAAGCTTTGAAAATCTTAAGTCTTAGTTTTTCATGAATTCTAAAAGGCAGAAGAATTATTAGTAATAGGACTGGATATACCAGTTAACTGACAGTCGGTTGGATAATCTTAATGAAAATAATGGACTAGAATATGGAGAGAGCAGTTAGCCCTTTAGCTGACTGTAAATAAATCAGTTCTCTTAGGTCTAGAACACCTGAAACATATACGTAATATCTTTTTTGTACACTGTATTTTCAGTTTTAGTTACACAGACATGCTAACTTTTCTACATAAACAGTAATCAATGACTGTTGAGGCCATGTGATTATTACCCTTTCCATTTTGAATTCTACTCAGGAAACTGACAGAGAAAGCATAAACTCATATTTCATCTCCCTAATTACTGGTCTAGGGAAGCAAGAGATCTAAGGACTTAGTCAATGAATAATATAAAAATACAGTCAGCAGATCATAAATATTTATTGCTACATCAAAAGTCTGCTAGTCGATCTTTCAATAATTCCTTCAGCATAAAATGCTTGAGTCAAGATATTGGAAAAAATATTAATTAAAATTTAGACTTAGCTCTGAAAGGACAGGAAATAGAAACTCTACCAAATATTTTCTACTGTCAAATGTCTTTAATTTTTTGTCTTAGTTTCATTTTCCCTGTGGGTTTGACTGCAGGTTCTTAAATTTATTAACCTACTACACATGCAATTATCATTTTAAATCTGACAATGCATCTACTTGCTTAGTGGGGAAAGATTAGAGCTAAGTGGTGGAATTTTATTTTTTTTTTCCCCAAAGGCAAAGGGAATACTAACATAAACTTCAGTGTTTATTTCACTTAAGTATTTTTCTTTGTTCAGTCAAAATTTTCTTATAGACTCTTTACTAATTTTTTTTAAATCAGGAAAGATGCATGAACACTAATTTTAACAATTTACTGACTATAGTTGATTAACAGTCGAGTGAATATAGGTAAAAGATAATTGCAGTTATGAGTTACCTTACATATTATATGTATATGAAATATACAATATCATCTTTATTTTCAGTATCTTACAAGCTAAAGATATATTTAAAATGTTAACCTGGTTATCTATGAGAATAGTAATATCACTGGTGTGCATGAAAATTCATGGTAGAGGAGAAGAATGATATGTGCCTGGTAAATTCTAGTGGAAGGGGGAGGAGACTTGTAAACATTGAGGGGAGGGGCTAGAGATACAAATTTTGGAGTCATCAATATAGAGACCTAGGTCCTAAGCATTCACTTCCAGACTTCTTATTTCTCTCTGCATTCCATATTTAAAACGATTTTCCAATCTCAATCTTATTTATTAAATTAGTTCTATTTTTACTAATTTAACTACTAGTTGTAGTTTCTAATCAGCATGAGTGAGTCAACTAGTGTAACTTACATTAGTTTGATGTATTTTTGTCATAAAAAATAATTTTAATGTTTTAGTACCCATTTAATAAATATGAAGTCCCAGCAGATACAAAGATGAGTAAAATATAGTCCTTGATCTTAAAGTATAGTAAACTATGATTTAGCAAGGAAAATTATCATAATTTATTATGATTCAATGTGTAATTCCCATTTAATACTTCAGTGAAATATTAAAAATAACCAGTGATCACAAAAGTATCAAAACAAAATGAAAGAAACTTTTTACCTCTTCTCTTTGGAATAACGTAGAAAATAATCACCCTTATTTCTCATTTATCTAGGGGGCATCCAGTACAGCAGTGACACACAGTAAAGGCTTGCAAACATTTGCCAAATGCAAAAAATTAGTAACATTTCAAGAAGGCATGAGATGTCCAGAACAGAGCTATCCAAAGGTGCAGCAAGTTTTAGAAAATGGGGTTAGCAAGAGAGTGGATTCTGAGGTAAGAGAAGCCCATGAGGGAGATAGGAAAAGTGAGATTTCAGAGAAGAGTCATTAGTGTAGGGTGCCAGAGAAGAATGGTGTCTGAAGAAGGGCTGATTACCTGTTTACAACGTGGCAACAGTAGAACATCAGATTGGAAAGTAGCCATTGATTTCGCCAAGTGGGTATACCCCAGGAATAGTTTCAGTAGGCTACTGAGAGTAGAGACAATAGTATAGGAAATTGGAGAGAGAACAAGTAGTGAGACTATAGATGTGGTGGCTGTCTATCTACTACATCTAAGAAGTCTGGTAGGGAGAGGTAGAAAATGCATAGAAAAGTAATCAGAGCAGGCAGACAGAAGAGCAAAGAGGAGGAGGAATTGGGAAAGAGAAAACACATTGGGTTAGGAGAATGTGATCCAAGATCAGAGTATGTGAATTTGAAAGTTTAGCTTGAAGTTTGGCTTCAGATTGAGAAAAGTACCTTTTTATCTGACTCCAGAGGGGAAACAAAAGGGTAGTAGGAGCAATAGCATCTTGATTTATAAGGAAACTCACATCATTATTTCAGCAAAGTAGGGTAAGAGATGCTTATCCTGGGGAGTACTGGGAATTACAAAAAAACACACAACAACCAAACGTGCATTCTAAGGTTTTTCAGTGTCTCTGCCCTGATACAGAGTACCATTAATTAGCTGCTGATTTCATGGCACTGCTGTTCCTCAAGAGTAGGTTTGGGAGTAGAAGACAATCAAGTTTCTAGTGAAGTGAGGTTGTCTGCTCTACTAATTCAGATAAGCAAAAACTCATAATTTAAGTATTTCAATAATTGCCTGCACTCCCGCCTTGTGTTTTGTGGATCTGGATTGATATGGTTTTTATAAGCTCTCTGAAATAATACAAGTTAAAGAAGAGATTACTACTCAAATATAGATGTGGAAGATTTTTCTGTTCATAAGGACTGTGATGGATAGTTTTATGTGTCAAGTTGGCTAGACTGTAGTCCCAATTATTCAATGAAACCCTAATCTCGATGTTGCTTGGTAAATACATTTTGTGGATATAGTTAACATCTACAATTAACTGACTTTAAGTAAAGGAGATCATCGTTGATACTTTGGCCAGGTCTCATCCAATCAGTTGAAAGGCCTTAAGAATAAAATTGAGGTTTCCCTGAGGAAGAAGAAATTTTGCCTCAAAACTGAAGCATCAGTTCCTGTCCAAGAGTTTCCAGTCTGCTTCCCTGCCCTTCAGATTTTAAATTTGCCAGCCCTCACGATTTGTGTGAGCCAATACCTACTCTGGTTTTGTTTCTCTGGAGAGCACTAGCTATACAGAGACCAAAGCTCAAATTTTACTGAAAAGAGGAGTCTGATCTCCTATTTCTGGAACTATACAATGTATCTATTCAAACTTATTTATTAAACTTATTGAAGAAAAATGAAGATGATGGTGATGGTTAGTGATTAGGGCAGGGGATATGTGACAGGGGATGTGGGAGAAGGATTTTAACATATCAGAACTGGTTTCACACTACCTGGTTTTACTAGTTGGTTTTTAGTCCTTTACTTACTTGGTACAGCACAAACACCGAATGGGATCAGATTCTTTGGATTAGTCACACTTCTTCAGTTCTGGGATTGTATTTCCTGTTGACTCAAACGGTGGTATCAGAACTCTCAGTTAAACACACAGAAATACAGCTTATGTCTGAACAATTTTGATGAGACATAGTCCAAAAACATTTGTCTAGGGGAAGGCTTAAGTCACTCCGAGTGGATAAACTGGCACGTCTAAGTCTCCTGCTTTGTAGGTAAGTTGTGACACACCATATTGTATGCTGTGTGTGTGTATTCATATTTAAATTTTCTCTTGTTTGTGCTGTTTTAGACACAATTATTTAGTCAGGAAGAGAGTGAGTCCAGGCTGAACATCAGGCTTAAAACTGCAGTAAACAGGTGAATGATAGCCTAAATTCAATCACCCTCAGGGCATCTTAGCTGCAGCTAGGAAATAAAGAAGGGAGAAGTCAGGTGGGAGCTGATGAAACCAAACTGATAGGCCTGAGCCAGCATTAAGGAGACTAACCCATGTTCCTGTGTTCAGATCCCTCTGAGTGGGGAGACAGTCATGGGATATATACATGTCTGTGCATGTGTGTGTGTGGTGTGTGTTGGTCCATCCAGAGTGTTCCTTCCCATTGAGGCTACAGTTGTAGTTTAAGTGAGCACAGAAACAATTTAGTGAAAATTCTTGCTTTTCTGGCTCCAATAGCAGGATCTGTCATTAACTAAAGCGGCAGTGCTTAACTACTATCAATACGGAGATTGAAAACTGAAAAGTGTAAGATTTGCCTCATACAGGACACCTGCAGGCATCCTCAAACCCAGCAGCAATCTCAGCTTATCCTTAAGCAAACTCAGCTTAAACATGGCAAGCAAACCCAGCTTAATCAAACCCAGCTTCACCAGCTGAAACATGGCAAGTTTGCCGCCTTCAGAGTGACCTCTGGGAAAACTCAGAATTTAAGCTGGAAATAGAATGGCCTTTGAGATAGAGCAAGGTAAGCAGCGCTCAGCATAGTTTCTGGGGGATTTGGAAGGGTGTCCTGATGCTGCAGGATCAGGTGGCACTCATGGCATGGGGAAGCTATCTCCTGTGGGGAAAAGGAAGTCACTTGTTTAGCTAAACTGAGGCTCATCACCCCACAAATACCTCCTTCACAAAGAAAGACAAATTGTGGGGGATGTGGAAGGGGTGGTGGTTACTGGTGGATACCAAATTTGTATCTAATTTAGAGTTAAAGCCAGGAAAGGACAGGAAAGAGCCACTGAACTTCCACTTTCTCAGCTTACAACATATTGTTTGTAAGAGACCTGCAAAACACAAGAACTCCTCTTTCAGAATTCCTGGCAGCTGGTTATCCCACTGCAGCTGTTATAATAAGGAAGTGAAGGAGGAAAGGAGATTGATATTTATTAAGTATTCATTATGTGTCAGCACATAGAATCTTGTTTAGTCCTCCCAAGAGTCCCGTGACATATAAGTATCACTACCTCCATTTTACCAGGTTAGAAAGATTAGACTGAGACGTTAAGTATGTTCCAAGGAACTCAGGAGTAAGTGGTGGAGCCAGGTGGGTGGAACCATAAAGCCTTGACACTCAGACTGTGGACAGTCAGGGACTACAACAATGGCACCACTGGAGTTGGTTAGAAATACGGAATGTCAAGTCCCTCCCCCGACCATCTGCATCAGGAATTGCCTTTTAACTTGATCTTCAGGTGATGGGTATACAAAAAAAAAAAAAAAAAAAAAAATTGAAAAGCACAGCTCTGAAGCGTGTTGTCTTCCCACCAGTTCACTCTATGGAGGTGGGTCATCACACCATGGCAGAGCCATAATTGTTAAATATTCTTCCTTAAACTGAATCAAAATCTCCTTCCTCATAACTTTTACCTGCTATCCTTCAAAGAGTCATCAGATATCATTTTTTTCTCTTCCTTTTCATTTTTCTAATCTAAGCTCAACTCTTTACATTTATTAAATATCCTCTTCAGTCTACATTTTTAGTCTGAGATCCTTTTGAATCCTGATCCATTTCTCCAGCACTTATAATCTATACATTTAATAGGCATATTTTGTTGTTATTCATTCATGATCTATTGATATTTTTAAAAACTTTAAAATACATACTGATGTGGCTTGGCTGTGTCCCCACCCAAAATCTCATCTTGAATTGTAATCTCCATAATCCCCACATGTCAAGGGAGAGATCAGGTGGATGTAATTAAATTATGGGGGCAGTTTCCCCCATCCTGTTCTCATGATAGTGAGTTCTCACCAGATCTGATGGTTTCATAAGGGACTCTTCCCCGCTTCACTGAGCACCTCTCCTTCCTGCCACTTTGTGAAGTAAGTAAGTGCCTTGCTTCCTCTTATCCTTCCACCATGATTGTAAGTTTCCTGAGGCCTCTCCAGCCATGCTGAACTGACTCAATTAAACTTCTTTCCTTTAGAAATTACCCAGTCTCAGGCAGTTCTTTATAGCAGTATGAAAATGGACTAATACACATACATACTCTCTCATTCTAAATACAGTCACAAGTAGAGTCTGGCAGCATAGTGATATTAATTCATTTGTGAACTCACTCTCTGTATTCAGAAAGCTACACATTATCCTGAGGTATTTTCCAGGTGATATTTAACCAACTTATCTCCATCAAGAGTTTTTTTGTTAAGTGTCTTGCTAAACTCAAAATACTCTATGGGACTATCCTAATAACCTTATTTCATGGAAGAAATAAGATGGAGCAAAACTCCATCTCAAAAAAAAAAAAAGGAGAAAACTTGCCTGGCTTTCATGTTCCATATTTCTCCCATTCACTTTCATTTCTTACAGAATTTTCACTGTGAGTTCTTTCAAGAGAATAAACTTTGAATGCTTGGAATCAGAAAACATGTTTCTAATACCATTGAATTGCCTTTGCAACAATCACTTCATCTATGAAACAGACATAATCTTAAGAGATGATATATGGGAAGGTATTATATAAACTATAAAGCATGTGTAGTACTATTGCTGGTATTAAAACAACTTTGGATTTAAAAAGAAGCTTTGGAATATAATCAATGTCCTGGAGACTTAAACTCATTTAGTGGCTGATGCTCCTTTACCTTGATTTTCCCTGTCCTGGTTCTTCTACCACTCGGAGTCCCTATGCCAAATTCTTTCCAAAGGCCATTGAAGTGATACTGTTTGTCTTGCCAAGACTTTCTCTTAGACCAAGAGTCAGCAAACTGTGACAAGTAGGCAAACCCAGCACACTGCCTATTTTTGCAAATAAAGTTTTATTGGGACAGCCAACGTCATGTTTTTACATATTGCCTGTGAATGGTTTTGTGCTACAACAGCAGAGTTGAAATGTTGCATCAGAGACCGTGTAGCCCATAAAGCCAAGAATATTTACTATCTATCTATCTATCTTGTCTTTTCCAGGAAATGTTTGCTGACCCCTGCCTTAGACTGTAAGTTTCAGGAAAAAAAGACTTTCTGAATATGTAATTTTCTGCATACAATTCCTAATCCAACTTTGTACTTAGGTAATAAATAAATTCATTTTATGATAATTTCTTTATGGCCTAAATATAATTCTGAAATAAAATGGTGCAGGGTGATTCAACTGATCAATCTGGATTAAGATATTTAGCTAGAAAACCCTATTGATTTCAAGCTTTGTTGACTTCATGAGGGGTGGGAGGGTCACAATATTTGTTCAATTTTCAGCATTAAGAAGTCCTAAACATTAAACCAAAATGGATCCTTCATGATTTGACTGATGTTTATGTTAACAATGAGCTATCAGATTCCATTATCCAACAAAGTAAATATCTATGGAAATAATATAGAAGTTTAGGCTGAACTCAAGAAATAATAAGATATGACCTGGATTTCCTTTCATTTATTATATTGCTTTTATTATTATTTTAGAGATGAGGTCTCACTATGTTACCCAGGCTGGTCTTGAACTCCTGAGCTCCAGTGATACTTCTGCCTCCCAAAGTGCTGGGATTATGGATTTCCTTTGAAAATAATTTTCCTAGTACAATGTGTTCTCACAAAATTTGAATATTCTAAAACTTAAGTACAGAGGAAAAGTTTTCTGAAATTACGTATCTCAAGAGTCAAAGCTTGAAATCACTTTGTTTTCTAGGCCTTCTTCAATAAAGAATTTCGGATGAAGTACATGTTATTCTGTATGACAGTCTGTTGTTTCCAAGAGAATAATAACAAGCTGTCCTTGAAAAGAATGGCTGGTGATGGAATTAGCTCTAGAGAATTTAAGGTAGTATTTGCCAAGAAAGAAGGTCAGTCTGATATTGTGTCAAACATATCCTTTATTAACCTGAATAAGTAAATATATGAATAAGTAAATATACCTAATAAATTACGAAGTGCTTGGTGAGTTACCTGACCATTGTTTTTAAATGTTCTCATTAGCATTTCTTGTCTGTAATAAATGATTTTAAATTTCGTGTTTCTCCGAAATGGTATTTTAAATTCCCTGAAAGAAATATTCTCAATTTTTCATGGGAGAGAATGGCTAGGAAATTCTTTTTCATAACTGTGATCTAGCTTGTGTACTCAGGTAACTGATAAAGTAATGGATCAGTCATCTATAGAATACATGCCTATTCCAAAGTGGTTACTGCTGTATGTCATGGCATCTGTAATTGGCCTAAAAAGCGATAAATCTGTTTTTGTAAAGTAACCCAAAAGACCCCATTAAAAGTGGTATTTTAAATGTCAGTGAGCATGTATTCTATTTAATTTATGTTAATAGGCCATAAATGGGAGAAAATTGATGAAAAATATTACCTTTTCTGCATGTTAAAACTCAGGAGTAATTATTTTTCATTTTTCACTTAAGGATAAGCAGGTGTTTAACACAACATTAAATAAATGCCTCAGTACCACAAGGTGATAAATGTGTAACATTTAACAGATGAGTAAATTAAAATTGTGTCTAAAACAGCACAAACAAGAAAAAATTTAAATATGAGTACACACACAGTATATAACATGGTGTGACACCACTTACCTACAAAGCAGGAGACTTAGACATGCCAGTTTACACCTGAAATGGCTTAAACCTTCCCCTAGGCAAATGTTTTTTTAAGAACCAGTTTCTAGTTATTTTTTGACATTTTAAATATGAAAAATAGCCAATTCTGTTTAAAAATAGAGAACTATGCAGTTTAATTAAGTTGCTATCCAATCTCAGCTGTTCCTGAGGACTTTTGGCAAATACACTTTTATCCATGTGTCCACTCCTCTCTGCTTCACCTACCCTAATTGGTGTTTGGGCTGAGGAAAGGGGAGGTTTTCTTTTCTTTTTTTTTTTTTTTAAAATAAGAATCCTTCATTTCCAGTCTGAAGAAGCTGATCACGCTGATTTGGCCAGAAGTCAATGCAATGTATTTATCAGTATCTAGCTGAACTTTTGAAGTGCTGCATTCCCTTTATATATTCTAGTGGATTCAGCATGATTTCCAAGCAAAAAGGAATAATATAGTTCACTGAGCTGTAAGGTAGTCACCAGCTCAGGACATGAATTCTAACATGAATTCTAATTTGACTCCAGGTGTGGTTTTGTCTTCAGTGGAGAAACTTAGCTGCCTGTCATCAAAATGGGAGCAGAATCAGCCGCTAGTGTGTCCATTAACAAAGGGACCTTGATTATATGGTAGGAGAATCTTCCTCCCTCCCCCAAAACACTGTTATGTTTGAGCTAATGACCAGGAATTTCTCTGGGCAAAATCACGTTTTGAATTTCATTCCAGAAATAAGTACAGAAAATATATGCTAAAAATAAATGTTTACAATTTTAAAAAACACACTTTACAGTTTAAATTAGAATTAACATGGGCAGCAGCTGAAGGATAAATAAGGGCTGGTCAACTGGCCACGGACACTCTGAATGGTTTAACAGCCGGTGAGTAACTTTGACAACTTAGGAGACAGCTTTTATGAGCCAGGGCAAAACGAACTCACTGAAAGCACTGTTTCTAGTACATGGATTCACACACACAGATGCTTAGCAAAACTTGCACTCCAACAAATACCAAAACCTCCCACATGAGAAAGTGTTAGCAGCAGGGCAGACAATCTAGGTTACGCATCCAAAAAAAATCTTAATCCATTTTTAGAACTCCTTTGTATCCTTAGATTTTTGGTAAAATAGTTACATAATACAGTTACATAATTATGTTGAATTATTTTACCTCTCTCAGTCTCCAATAAATGAACAAAACAATTCAATTTTTTGAATGCTTCCTATTTGTGAGTAATTTTGCTAGTCATTTTGCTGGTGCTGGGAATAATAAAAATAGATGATGCTTATTTTATCCTTGTTATGTGCCAGGCATTGTGTGAAACCCTTAATACAAATTATCTGATAACCCTCACAGGAATCCTATGGTCATAAGACTGTTAATGTCCTAGTTTGGGAAATGGGGAAACTAAAGCCCGAAAGGTTAGTAACTTGCCCATGGTCGCCAGAGTTCTCACTCCTAACCATTACCTTTAACTGCCTCTCTGTGCTCTAAGCTCAGCAGTGTTTCTTAAAGTTGAATGAGCTTATGAGATACCTGGGATCTTGTTACAGGGCGTTTTCTGATCAGGACATCTGCGTGGGGTCCAAGATTCTGCATACCTTGACAAGTTTTCAGGTGATGCCAATGCTGCCGGTTCATGGATCACAGTGTGAATAACAAGCCTCTAGACCTGCAGTTCATACTTGAGTTGGCATATTAGAAATATCAGGGCAGCTTTTAAAAACTTCTTTGTGCAGGTTCCATCCCATGTCACTTAAAATCTCTGGGACTGGAATGGAGGCATGAAAATATATTTTAAAGATCCCTAAATAATCCTTATGTATCATGCTCTAGAAATGAATTTAGTAGCTCAGTGTTAAAAATTAGAATAAAGTGCACTGCATTACTAAGCAATATTACTCTTTGAAATGTTTTAATATCCATTGTGTGTGTGTGCACACTAAATTTACGGTGTAAAATGTATTCCTTATTGTAGGTCAAGGTAAAAAAATTTGAAAGCTCCTTTCAATACTAAATTTGTTTTCTCTCTTTTTCCCTCCCTCTCTCTATTCCTCCTCCCTACCCCCATATTTTGTCTTATTCTTAAGAGGATTTAAGAGACATTACAAATATCCACACTTTTAAAAGATATTTTTCTTGTCTGTAAGAAGCTCATCATCTACTAGGGGAGCTGAATATTTTACCATACAAAGGAGTAGTGTTATACAAAATATATGAAATATTTTGGGAACCCAGATAAACAAGGAATATGGCGATTTACTATTTAGGGGATTCAATGAAGGCGTCATAGAAGAATTGATACGTGACCTTTGTTTTGAGTAGGAATTGGCAAGTTAAAGGGGAGGGTAAGAGATTCCAGCAAGAGGCATTCCTTCTATCTTGTGTAAAGGCAAGGCATGGTCTAGGTTTTACTTGCAGGATTATGATAAACTTGGAGATGAGGACAATCATGAGAGTCCGCTGAGGTGAAGGGCTGTGGGGGCATGTCTGGGGAAGGTACTGGAAAGCTATATACTAGAATGGTCAAGGAGAAAGAGGGAAGCTGCAGCTCAAAGCTGGAGAAGAAGCCCCAAGCATTGGTTCTGAAGGAGAGGAGGAAGGCTTCATGGTCTCAGAGAGAAATAAAATCAGGAACTGGTGGTGGGGATAAGTATGAAATTGGTTAACAAGAATGTTTTCTGATAAAGACCAGGCAGATATGTTGATATCAGAGCTTGTGGATTTATACCCAAATAGACAAGTTTCATGAAAGGACAGCTGAGAGAGTGAATGTAGCCGGATGGAATACTGCGACATAAGGCTGCACATGGTAAGTTGGGACTTTATAGTGGAGGACATTGTATTCCAGGCTAAGGAATTATCTTTGTTTGTTTCTTTGTTTTATAATCTTCAGAGGGAATTACTCCCACTATGAGGGGAGTGGCATAATCATTTTTTAAAAGATAATTCTGGAGGTAAAGTTAGGGTTCAACTGGAATGTAAAATAACTACTGCATTGATTAAGGTAACAGACAACGAGGTCCTGAACTAATCCAATGGCAGGGCTTAAGAAAGGAGAGTGATTTCTGAAGAGGGATTGTCAAGGTTTATTAAATGTGGAGTTCAGAGAGAAGGAGAAATTTTGAGAGCTAGTGTTAAGGTTCTAGCTTGGGAAATGAATAGCTAAACATACTAGGAAATGAATAGCTAAACATACTATTAGCTCAGACTGTTAAGGTGTTTTTAAGGTGGAACGTCTGATATGTAGTAGGAAATACTGAGTCCATTGGAGGAGGAGCATATCATGTAGACAATGAAGGAGGTGGAACAGACAATCTCTGTGACACGAGGTTGGTACTGTCAGATTGTCATTATGAAAGGATGTAGTTAAAACACAAATAAGTAGTATTAGCTTTCAAAAATCTGTATTCTTGAGTCATAAAGGAAATCTGTATAGATGACTACTGAATTAATCTTCAAAAGTCACCTGAGTGATCTTTACCATCATATTTTCTAAGAATATAAGGAAGATGAATGTAAACTACAGCTGTATAATTTCTTCCTGTACTCATATTTTAGGCTAGAATAGTAATTTTAGTTTCATAGCAATCATTTAAAAGTGTTTTTCTTTTTTCCTACAGAGAATGTTGTTAATATAAGAAGCTAACCTACTTTAAGTAGGAGTGGATATGACTACTCATTGACAATTAT
Source organism: Homo sapiens (assembly GCF_000001405.40). Lineage (NCBI taxonomy): Eukaryota > Metazoa > Chordata > Mammalia > Primates > Hominidae > Homo > Homo sapiens. Next base: position 78,287,865 of record NC_000007.14, read on the forward strand.
AATAGATTCAGCAGGAAAAAATCAGTTACCTATTCCATTTTCACAATTTGGGGATTTGAGACTAGTTGTGTCAAACATCTTTCTATCAGGATATGTTCTAGACTTAACAAAGGTACCCAAGTTATCATTTAGACAAGAGAAGAAGAAATGCCTATAAATACTATCATCTTCCTTTCCCTAAAATAAATGTGCAAGATAAATCCAAGTGCCTGGATTTTCAATGTGAGTATATTATTTCAAACGCATGAGATCACTTAATAAGCAGAATAGAAAACATTTCCAGGCCTGTAAATCCAGCAGTGCTTTTGCTCATTTCATGGGATGAATAATTTTAACGGAATTCTTCTACCATGAGACAGGCAGATTTAATACATAAATTTAACATGACAATGTAATAATAAGCTACATGAAAAATAATATTTAAATAATAAAATCATACCTCCTTCTAAATTTAATCGCTTATTTGTATTTTCCCATTAAAACTCAATGTAAACAATATTAACAGTAATTCAAAATTAAAGTAATCATGTACTGTTTAACTTCTATTTGACATTACCTACATCTTTTTTCTCAATGCTTTCTCCTTCCCTAGGTTCCTTGTTTTAATTCTTCAGGAAATACGGTAAGGGCAGTTCAAAGATGCCCAAGTAGGAACAGCTCCAGTCTATAGCCCCCAGCAGGCGCAATGCAGAAGATGGATGATTTCTGCATTTCCAACTGAGCTTTGAAGAGTGTAGTGGTTCTCCCAGCATGGAGTTTGAGATCTGAGACTGGGCAGACTGCCTCCTCAAGTGGGTCCCTGACTCCCAAGTAGCCTAACTAGGAGGCATCTCCCAGTAGGGGCTGACTGGCACCTCGTGCAGCCGGGTGCCCCTCTGAGACAAAGCTTCCAGAGGAAGGATCAGGCAGCAACATCTGCCATTCTGCAATATTTGCTGTTCTGCAGCCTCCGCTGGTGATACCCAGGCAAACAGGGTCTGGAGTGGACCTCCAGCAAACTCTAACAGACCTGCAGCTGAGGATCCTGACTGTTAGAAGGAAAACTAACAAACAGAAGGGACATCCACACCAAAACCCCATCTGTACGTCACCATCATCAAAGACCAAAGGTAGATAAAACCACAAAGATGGGGAGAAAACAGAGCAGAAAAGCTGAAAATTCTAAGAATCAGAGCGCCTCTTTTCCTCCAAAGGAACGCAGCTCCTCACCAGCAAAGGAACAAAGTTGGATGGAGAATGACTTTGATGAGTTGGCAGAAGTAGGCTTCAGATGATCGGTAATAACAAAATTCTCCAAGCTAAAGGAGGATGTTCGAACCCATCGCAAAGAAGCTAAAACCTTGAAAAAAGATTAGACGAAAGGCTAACTAGAATAAACAGCATAGAGAAGATCTTAAATGACCTGATGGAGCTGAAAACCATGGCATGAGAACTATGTGATGCATGCACAAGCTTCAGTAGCTGATTCAGTCAAGTGGAAGAAAGGTATCAGTGATTGAAGATCAAATGAATGAAATGAAGCGAGAAGAGAAGTTTAGAGAAAAAAGTAAAAAATGAACAAAGCCTCCAAGAAATATGGGATTATGTGAAAAGACCAACTCTACATCTGATTGGTGTACCTGAAGGTGACAGGGAGAATAGAACCAAGTTGGAAAACACTCTTCAGGATATCATCCAGGAGAACTTCCCCAACATAGCAAGGGAGCCAACATTCAAATTCAGGAAATTCAGAGAACACCACAAAGATACTCCTCGAGAAGAGCAACCACAACCCCAACACACATAATCGTCTGATTCACCAAGGTTGAAATGAAGAAAAAAATGTTAAGGGCAGCCAGAGAGAAATGTTGGGTTACCCACAAAAGGAAGCCCGTCAGACTAACAGCAGATCTCCCTGCAGAAACCCTACAAGCCAGAAGAGAGTAGGGGCCAATATTCAACATTCTTAAAGAATTTTCAACCCAGAATTTCATCTCCAGCCCAACTAAGCTTAATAAGTGAATGAGAAATAAGATCCTTTACAGACAAGCAAATGCTGAGAGATTTTGTCACCACCAGGCCTGCCTTACAAGAGCTCCTGAAGGAAGCACTAAACAAACATGGAAAGGAACAACCGGTACCAGCCACTGCAAAAAGATGGAAATTGTAAAGACCATTGACACTATGAAGAAACTGCATCAACAAACGGGCAAAATAACCAGCTAGCATCATAATGACAGGATCAAATTCACACATAACAATATTAACCTTAAATGTAAACGAACTAAATGCCCCAATTAAAAGACAGACTGGCAAATTGGATAAAGAGTCAAGACCCATTAATGTGCTGTATTCAGGAGACCCATCTCACATGCAGAGACACACATAGACTCAAATTAAAGGGATGGAGGAAGATCTAACAAGCAAATGGAAAACAAAAAGAGCAGGGGTTTCAATCCTAGTCTCTGATAAAACAGACTTTAACAAAGGTCAAAAGAGACAAAGAAGGGCATTACATAATAGTAAAGGGATCAATGCAACAAGAAGAGCTAACTATCCTAAATATATATGCACCCAATACAGGAGCACCCAGATTCATAAAGCAAGTTCTTAGAGACCTAGAAAGAGACTTAGACTCCCACACAATAATAATGGGAGACTTTAACACCCCACTGTCAACATTAGATCAATGAGACAGAAAGAGAACAAGGATATCCAGGACTTGAACTCAGCTCTGCACCAAGCAGACCTAATAGACATCTACAGAACTCTCCACCCCAAATCAACAGAATATACATTCTTCTCAGCACCACATTGCATTGCACTTATTCCAAAATTGACCACACACTTGGAAGTAAAGCACTCCTCAGCAAATGTAAAATAACAGAAATTATAACAGACTCTCAGACCACAGTGCTATCAGAACTCAGGATTAAGAAACTCACTCAAAAACCGCTCAGCTACATGGAAACTGAACAGCTCCTGAATGACTACTGGGTACATAATGAAATGAAGGCAGAAATAAAGATGTTCTTTGAAACCAATGAGAACAAAGACACAACATACCAGAATCTCTGGGATACATTTAAAGCAGTGTGTAGAGGGAAATTTATAGCACTAAATGCCCACAAGAGAAAGCAGGAAAGATCTAAAATTGACACCCTAATGTCACAATTAAAAGAGCTAGAGAAGCAAGAGCAAACACATTCAAAAGTTAGCAGAAGGTAAGAAATAACTAAGAGCAGAACTGAAGAAAATAGAGACACAAAAAACCCTTCAAAAGATCCATGAATATGGGAGCTGGTTTTTTGAAAAGATCAACAAAACTGATAGACCGCTAGCAAGACTAATAAAGAAGAAAAGAGAGAAGAATCAAATAGACGCAATAAAAAATGACAAAGGAGATATCACCACTGATCCCACAGAAATACAAACTACCATCACAGAATACTATAAACACATCTATGCAAATAAACTAGAAAATCTAGAAGAAATGGATAAATTCCTGGACACATACACCATCCTAAGACTAAACCAGGAATAAGTCAAATCCCTAAATAGACCAATACCAAGTTCTGAAATTGAGGCAATAATTAATAGCTTACCAACCAAAAAAAGTCCAGGACCAGATGGATTCACAGCCGAATTCTACCAGAGGTACAAGGAGGAGCTGGTACCATTCCTTCTGAAACTATTCCAATCAATAGAAAAAGAGGGAATCCTTCCTAACTCATTTTATGAGGCCAGCATCATTCTGATACCAAAGCCTGGCAGAGACACAACAGAAAAAGAGAATTTTAGACCAATATCCCTGATGAACATCGATGCAAAAATCCTCAATAAAATACTGGCAAACCGAATCCAGCAGCACATCAAGAAGCTTCTCCACCATGATCAAGTGGGCTTCATCCCTGGGATGCAAGGCTGGTTCAACATATGCAAATCAATAAATGTAATTCAGCATATAAACAGAACCAGTGACAAAAACCATACGATTATCTCAATAGATGCGGAAAAGGCCTTCAACAAAATTCAACAGCTGTTCATGCTAAAAACTCTCAATAAACTAGGTACCAATGGGATGTATCTCAAAATAGTAAGAGCTATTTATGACAAACCCACAGCCAATATCATACTGAATGGGCAAAAACTGGAAGCATTCCCTTTGAAAACTGGCACAAGACAGGGATGCCCTCTCTCACCACTCCTATTCAACATAGTATTGGAAGTTCTGGCCAGGGCAATCAGGCAGGAGAAAGAAATACAGGGTATTCAATTAGGAAAAGAGGAAGTCAAATTGTCCCTGTTTGCAGATGACATGATTGTATACTTAGAAAACCCCATTGTCTCAGCCCAAAACCTCCTTAAGCTGATAAGCAACTTCAGCAAAGTCTCAGGATACAAAATCAATCTGCAAAAATCACAAGCATTCTTATACACCAATAACAGACAAACAGAGAGTCAAATCATGAGTGAACTCCCATTCACAACTGCTTCAAAGAGAATAAAATACCTAGGAATCCAACTTACAAGGGATGTGAAGGACCTCTTCAAGGAGAACTACAAACCACTGCTCAATGAAATAAAAGAGGACACAAACAAATGGAGGAACATTCCATGCTCATGGGTAGGAAGAATCAATATCGTGAAAATGGCCATACTGCCCAAGGTAACTTATAGATTCAATGCCATCCCCATCAAGCTACCAATGACTTTCTTCACAGAATTGGAAAAAACTATTTTAAAGTTCAGATGGAACCAAAAAAGAGCCCACATTGCCAAGACAATCCTAAGTCAAAAGAACAAAGCTGGAGGCATCAGACTACCTGACTTCAAACTATTTTACAAGGCTACAGTAACAAAAACAGCACGGTACTGGTACGAAAACAGAGATATAGACCAATGGAACAGAACAGAGCCCCTGGAAATAATGCCACACATCTACAACCATCTGATCTTTGACAAACCTGACAAAAACAAGCAATGGGGAAAGGATTCCCTATTTAATAAATGGTGCTGGGAAAACTGGCTAGCCATATGTAGAAAGCTGAAACTGGACCCCTTCCTTACATCTTATACAAAAATTAATTCAAGATGGATTGAAGACTTAAATGTTAGACCTAAAACCATAGAAACCCTAGAAGAAAACCTAGGCAATACCATTCAGGACATAGGCATGGGCGAAGACTTTATGACTGAAACACCAAAAGCAATGGCAACAAAAGCCCAAATTGACAAATGGGATCTAATTAAACTAAAGAGCTTGTGCACTGCAAAAGAAACTACCATCAGAGTGAACAGGCAACCTACAGAATGGGAGAAACTTTTTATAGTCTACCCATCTGACAAAGGCCTAATATCCAGAATCTACAAAGAACTTAAACAAATTTACAAGAAAAAATCAAACCACCCCATCGAAAAGTAGGCAAAGGATGTGAACAGACACTTCTCAAAGGAAGACATTTATGCAGCCAACAGACACGTGAAAAAATGCTCATCATCACTGGCCATCAGAGAAATGCAAATCAAAACCACAATGAGATACCATCTCACACCAGTTAGAATGGCAATCATTAAAAAGTCAGGGAACAACAGGTGCTGGAGAGGATGTGGAGAAATAGGAACACTTTTACACTGTTGGTGGGACTATAAGCTAGTTCAACCATTGTGGAAGACAGTGTGGCGATTCCTCAAGGATCTAGACCTAGAAATACCATTTGACCCAGCCATCCCATTACTGGGTATATACCCAAAGGATTATAAGTCATGCTGCTATAAAGACACATGCCCACGTGTGTTTATTGTGGCACTATTCACAATAGCAAAGACTTGGAACCAACCCAAATGTCCATCAATGATAGACTGGATTAAGAAAATGTGGCACATATACACCATGGAATACTATGCAGCCATAAAAAAGGATGAGTTCATGTCCTTTGTAGGGACATGGATGAAGCTGGAAACCATCATTCTGAGCAAACTATTGCAAGGACAGAAAATCAAACACTGCATGTTCTCACTCATAGGTGGGAATTGAACAATGAGAACACTTGGACATAGGGTGAGGAACGTCACACACCAGGGCCTGTCATGGTGTTGGGGGAGGGATAGCATCAGGAGATACACTTAATGTAAATGACGAGTTAATAGGTCCAGCACACCAACATGGCACATGTATACAAATGTAATACACCTGCACATTGTGCACATGTACCCTAGAATTTAAAGTATAATAAAAAAATATATATAATTCTTTAGGAAATACTTGCCATTTTCTTTAGGGCTTTGTAAATATTTCAATATCATTTTTTCACATTTTAATTTTTTAGCACTGTTTTTCCCAATTAGACTGTGAACTTCCAGTGAGGGAGATACTGTGCCATTATTGCTGAATTAACCAAGAGGCGAAGAATGGCACATTGGATGTAAAATTTTAGGAGAAATAATCTGATTTTTAGTGTATTCCAAAATAGGGAGTATTAAAATAGTTGTAAAAGGGAAAACAAGAACTTTATTGGGTGTTCTCATCCTAGTTGCATTATTTAGTGTAGTTTCTATTTTGATTTCCATATCGAGACCATTACCTTTTTAATACTTTGGAACTCTAAAGGTCTTAACTCTGTTCTGTGTTTCTTTTTCATTTTTGTATGAGAGTCTAGCACTGTAGGGGACTGATAATGTTTGCTGGATAAATAAACTTACCATTTGGAAAAGTTTTCTGCCTAAGGCAGATCTTAGGACACGTGTGGAAACACTTAGCAAATAGAGTCTCTCTTCTTTTAACTTACTAGTAGTGCACTATCTATCTTGCCTCAATGCCATCTATCAGCAAATTCACCAACCAAGCAGCCAACCAACCGATCAACAAGTATTTACTGAGCCTTTGCTGTGTACTCGGTACTACGCTAAGTACGATGATGGCCACAATACACGGTTTCATCATTAGGAACTTACAGTCTTTGATTTTATGGTGGTTGCACTTGTAAGGCTGAATTGCATTTAAAAAAATTTCGGTACAATAGTTACTGAAACTGACTGGATATTTTGTTCCAAATACTGCTGTTTAATGTATTAGAATAACATTGCTGCATGATATGTTACCATTTTCAGTTATTCTAACTCATCAGAACAGAACATATTATTTTTAAAGATAAGGCGTCATTATTTTATCTATGTTGAATATCATTTATCTGATAATGGCAAAATAATGAGCCTCATCTTACCTTGTCTTTGTACCTATCCCCTTTAACCTGTCTATGACTTTTAGTTTTTTGTGCAGTACCTTTAATATTTACATAGGTATAACTGACTATAATTTTTGATAATGTAGTAATAGTTCAGGGATGGTATCCATGCTGCTGGCTTAGAGAAAGTGAGTCCCTGAAAGATCACATTGACAAATGAGGCTTTGTTTTCTTTTCAGCTGCTTCCGCCTTATATCTATATGTTGTGGTCTACTTTGGCTATAACCAGAAGATTGACTATGTGAATAAATCCATCTCTGTGCCTCTGTTTTTCTCTTAGACTAACAGGAGAATAAACTGTAAATTTGTGCATCTGAATGCTTATCCACTGAAGGAAAGATAGCCTCATAACCTCTATTAAGTTTAAAAGAATCTCTCACATGACCTCTGAGGGTGTGAAATCTTATTCAGCGTCCTCAGTATCATCGCACATATATGATCACTATCTTCCTCGAGGAATTTCTTCACTTGGCTTCCAGAATACAGAATTCTCCTAGTTCCTATCACAATGACTGTTCAGTGTGAGCAACTACACTAGCAATTGCTAGTCCCTTGTTCTGTGCCCTTTCATCTTCTTTGTTCATACTTTTAGTCCATAGATAATCTCATCCGATCCCATGGATTTCAATGTCATCTATTATGTCAGTAGCCCTCCCCTAAATAAGTATCTCCAGGCACAGTGTCTCCTGTAAACTTCAGGCTCAACTACTCAATACTAGAATATCCATAGTCATCTCAAACTGAACGTGCATAAAACTGCTTCTCTGTGAGTCTTTCCCATCTCAGAAATTGGTACCGTTATTCAGGACAAAAACTTTACAGCCGTCTTTGATTTCTCCCTCTTCTTACTCCAATAATTCAAAAAATCTACCAGCCAATCCTGTCATGGCTACCTCCAAAATATGTATTTACTCTATGTCTCACCTTTGCCATTGCTATTACCCTAGTTTCAGCTATAACGCTCCCTTTCTTTGGCTACTCTAATAGCTTCCTAACTGGTCGTCCTGCTTCTACTCTTGCCCCAGAGAGTCCATTGTCAATCAGAGTATTACAAACCAGAGTAACATTTTAAAAATCCAAGTTTTATTATTTTATTCCTCTGCTAAATGATTACTCATCATGTTTAGAATGAAAGCCAGAAGATGCCTTACTGTGTTCTATGAGGTCCTACATAAACAGAGGCAATCATCTCTGTAATCTCACCCTAATTCATGTTCCCTAACCAGCCTGTTGCTGTCAGGCCAAGCAAAGCATATCCTTAGGCCTCTGGAGTTTCTGTTCCCTCTGCCTAGTATGCCCTTGCCTCACACCTTTTAGGTCTCTGATCAAATGCCCTGCCCTCACAGACATTTCTTGAGTATTCTATTCACTTATTCTGGTTTTTCTTCATTAGCACTTCTGACATAATATCCAGGAGGGATTTATTTATTTGCATTCTCTCTCTCCCACTAAAATATTCCAAGATGCTGGGGCTTCATTTACTATGGTATGCCTTGTACCCAGAGAGTTTGGTACATACAGATAAATATTTTTTTCGGTGAATAAACTCAGTAGAATATAGAAGCATTTATTAGCTCACTCCCTTTTCTCCACAGCATCCTTCTCCAAAATTGAGTAACTTCTAGTGGTTTCGGAAATGCTTGCTTAAGCATCAGAGGGAAACTTACTTATACTTGCAAATAAATGCATGCTATTTGCTGAATGAATATTTAGCTTTGGAAATGAGCCAATACAGGAATTGATGCCAAACAACCCTGAACAGCTCAGTCAGCGTGGGAAAGGCTCACCTGGCAAAGCCCAGTTAGGTACGTTTACACAAGGAGTGCTTTTTTACACAGGGCAGTTGAGGAGAAGTCATGTGCTATAGCTCGCTATAGTTAAAAGCACAAAACACTATGAAACTAGGGCTACTTCCTTAATCTCTCTAAGCCTTTGTTTTCTCAACCATTAAAAAGGGCTTACAGCAAATTTCTGATGCAGAAGAATTACAAATAATTTATGTAGCTATGTAAGGTGGTGGAGTATAACTCTAAGGTGTGAGACTGTAGGCTGCACAAAGTGACTTCCTTCCAAAGAGTACCGAAGGGAAAGGGAGGACAAAGAGCAACTTTATGGTAGATAAACCTGACAAACACTACACTAGCTCATCATCACTGGCCATCAGAGAAATGCAAATCAAAACCACAATGAGATACCATCTCACACCAGTTAGAATGGCAATCATTAAAAAGTCAGGAAACAACAGGTGCTGGAGAGGATGTGGAGAAATAGGAACACTTTTACACTGTTGGTGGGACTGCAAACTAGTTCAACCATTGTGGAAGTCAGTGTGGTGATTCCTCAGGGATCTAGAACTGGAAATACCATTTGACCCAGCCATCCCATTACTGGGTATATACCCAAAGGACTATAAATCATGCTGCTATAAAGACACATGCACACGTATGTTTATTGCGGCATTATTCACAATAGCAAAGACTTGGAACCAACCCAAATGTCCAACAATGATAGACTGGATTAAGAAAATGTGGCACATATGCACCATGGAATACTATGCAGCCATAAAAAATGATTAGTTCATGTCCTTTGTAGGGACATGGATGAAATTGGAAATCATCATTCTCAGTAAACTGTCACAAGAACAAAAAACCAAACACCGCATATTCTCACTCATAGGTGGGAATTGAACAGTGAGATCACATGGACACAGGAAGGGGAATATCACACTCTGGGGACTGTTGTGGGGTGGGGGGAGGGGGAGGGGGGAGGGATAGCATTGGGAGATACACCTAATGCTAGGTGACGAGTTAGTGGGTGCAGCGCACCAGCATGGCACATGTATACATATGTAACTAACCTGCACAATGTGCACATGTACCCTAGAACTTAAAGTATAATTAAAAAAAAAGAATTGTCTGGGAAAAAAAAAAGATTAACATTAACAAGCAATGTCATGTTGATAGCATATACTTTCGATATGATGTGATGAGAATGCCATTTTACATCTGTGGTCTTCCTCACAAAATTCAATAGTCTCAGTATAATCATGAGCAAAACATCAGACAAATCTCAAATTGGGGAGCATTCTACAAAATTCCTGAACAGTACTCATGGGAATTGTCAAGGTCATCAAAAACAAGAAAAGTCTAAAAAACTGTCATGGCCATGAGGAGTCTAACGAGACATGACAACTAAATGTAATGTGGTATCCTGGATGGGACCCTGGGACAGAAAAAGAACATTAAGTAAAAACTAAGGAAATCTTAATAAAGTATAGACGTTCGTTAGTTAATAATACCACATCATTGTTGGTTCATTAAGGGTAACAAATATACTAAGGTAAGATGTTAAGAAGAGAAATTGGGTGTTGGGTATATGGGAGCTCTCTGTACTGTCTTCACAATTTTTCTATAAATCCAAAACTGTTATTGTGTTTTTGAGACAGAAACTCTGTCACCCAGCATGAAATGCAATGGTGTGATCTCTGCTCACTGCAACCTATGCCTTCTGGGTTCAAACAACTCTTGTGCCTCAGCCTCCCGAATAGCTGGGATTACAGGAACTGCCACCACCCTTGGCTAATTTTTGTATTTTTCAGTATAGATGGGGTCTTGCCATGTTGCCCAGGCTGGGTCTCCAACCCCTGAGCTCAAGTGATCCACTCACCTTGGCCTCCCAAAGTGTTGGGATTACAGGCATGAGCCACCACACCTGGCCTAAACGTTTTTTTTTTTTTTTTTTTTTTTGAGCTGGAGTCTCGCTCTGTTGCCCAGGCTGGAGTGCAGTGGTGCAATCTCAGCTCACTGCAACCTCTGCCTCCCAGGTTCAAGCAATTCTCCTGTCTCAGCCTCCCGAGTAGCTGGGACCACAGGCGCACGCCACCATGCCCAGCTAATTTTTGTATTTTTTAGTACAGACAGGGTTTCTCTGTGTTGGTCAGGCTGGTCTTGAAACTCCTGACTTCAGGAGATCCACCCATCCCGGCCTCCCAAAGTGCTGGGATTACAGGCGTGAGCTACCGTGCCTGGCTATAACGGTTTTAAAATAAAAAGTTAATTTTTAAAAAGAAGGTTTATTGGGAAGGTCAAAGTAAAATAACGTATGGCAAATTCTGAATCCTACCACATCTTAAAACTATTTTTTACTGGTTGCTAACTTGAAGAATGAGTCATATTTCAAATTTGTCACAGATAGAAAATTTAAGCAGTGCTCGTTACATGAAATATGCTATTCATCATAGTAACAATGTTGCTATCTAGCAGGAAGGGTATGGCTAAATGAGATAGAAAATACCACACAATCATTAAAACTTTTAATGGCTGTAAACATTATGGGACAACATGAAAAATGCTTATGATACAAAGCTTAGTTTAAAGTAGATACAAAATTATAAGCACAGTATGATTATGGCAATTACAAAATAATTGGAAAGAAGTACAAAAAAATGCTACAGGGAATATGCCAGTGGGTGTGTTATATATGGGTGATTTTTTTTGGGGTTGCCACTATTCTGTTTTCCAACTTTTAAGTTTAGGGGTACATGTACAAGATGTACAGGTTTGTGACATAGGTAAACTTGTGCCATGGTGATTGCTGCACAGATCATTCCATCACCCAGGTATTAAGCCCGGTATCCACTAGCTATTCTTCCTGATCCTCTCCCTCCTCTCAACCCCCACCCTCCAACAGAAACAGACCTCAGTGTGTGTTGGATTCGTCTTATTCTTTTTGTTTTCTTCTTTTGTGGGTATTGTATTTAAAATGGCAAAAATTAATTTAATACAATTAAGAAGTATATAAAAACATCAATCAAAAAAGTATGGAAACTGCATTTCAGCATACTAATCACAAAACGAGTAAAATTTTTCTTTTTCATCATGGAATTTTTGGGGTTCTGGGTGAAATTCAAGGGGTTTGTGAACTTGGATGAGAAAAAATTACATCTTGATTTTCAGTGAATTCTAACATAAATATTTGCCACTGACAACAGTAGTATAAGCAGAACCTGTGACTTTGTTATCCACAAAAATCACAGACATTTTTATATTATAGTTCTTGCAGATATCTCAAAGTAACTTTTATGTTAATTACTATATTACAACAGCTATTACACTTGCTGCTGGGTCTTAGCATTTAATAATTTAATGAAGAATCGAAAATGTTACTATATCACAAATTTGTGTTTTAAAAATATGTGGTTAACTACATATCAGTGTAATTGTTTTTCTATGTAATCCTCTGATTTTATGCATTTAAAAGCATTATTCTGAGAAGGGGCAACAGGCTTCACCAGACTGCCAAAGACAATCATGACTGAAATAGTTTAGGATTGCTGATTGAAAGAAGTCTGAAAGCACCACCATAAACAACGTGAAATTTCATATTGCACTTATCCATGAATTTTCATATAAGTAAAACAGCTTAGTGGACATCCTTAACAGCCCACGGTGGCAATAGGTAATTAATATCAAGCCCATTCACAGATAGAAATCAATACCGATTAAAGGCACTCAAAATGGGGAAGAAAGTTGATATGCGTAAGTTAATTTCTCTACTTTCCAAATTAAAAATATGGTGCCTAATGAGCTGTGACTTAGTGTCAAGGAAAGAACTGATTCCCCAGGGAACATGGCAGAAATATTTTACATGGAAATCCTATAAATCTGAGTGCTACTACATTATAAACATTCTATGTTGCTATGTATTTGCAGGTTTTCTTTACTTAAAACGTATCTAAAAGTTCCTTGGAAAGGAATAACAAAATTTGACTTCCTGCTTTTTGAAATAGGCTTTCACCTGATCTCAATTGGGAGGCGTGCTTATTACAAATTATCAAAGAGGATGGTAGCCAAAACATATTGAGTCTGGCACTGTACTAAGCACTTTGTATTAATTGTCACAGTAACCCTGTAATGTAGGAATTAATGTTAAATCCATTTTAAGATGAACAAAGTGAGGTGTAAGAAGACATTATACAATGAGTGGTGGAACTAGGGGTCAAACCCAATCACTGTCATTCCAGGGACCAAGCATTTAATGACCATGTCATGCTTCCATGGGTGCTAATTTAGAACAAACATCCCTAGACTATGGAATGGTTTTGGCTTCTACAGCTTTAAGATGCCAGACATAAAAGCACTACATGAGAAAAATCTGGAGCTAGTGACCCGGAGTCAGAAAAGAAGCCAATGCAAGAAATATAAAACTTTCAAGAAAGATCAGTAAATTTCAGAAAAAAAACCCTTCCATATCACAGTTACATCCCCAACAAAATGTCTCTGACACAAACGCTCTTAAGACACTTGGAGTACAAACATGTTCCCCAGAGGAACAATGTGCTGTGAATCCATCAAGTATTTGGTGGAACCAGGCATGCGAGACTCAGGCGACACAAGAACCACTTAAAGACTTACAGTGCACGATGATTTCTCTAATGCTTTCCCTTTGGAATGCAGGAAATTTCTGCCCCAGACATAATTTGAAATGATTCACATGAAACATATCCTTCACACTTCAGTCTGGTTTTTGTCTGTCTCTTTGTTTCTTATTCATTCTCATATTTGACTGATGATTGGAAACTTTTCTTTTTTTGTTTTGTCCTCTGAAGTCTTATGCTAGCTTCCTGGCATTTGCATCCAATACCAATCTCAGCAGCTTTGTACTACATTCAAAAATTGCAATTCATTTTTCTATGCTTGTACATATAGAGTATGTGCTTAAGATCAGGGGTTCCAGAGCCAGACTATGTGAATTCCAGTCATGGCCTCATTGTTCTCAGGCTGAGTGACTTTCAGTAAGTTATTCAAACCTCTTGTTCCTCAGCCTCCCAATCTATAAAATGGGGGTGATAACAGCATGCCTATTGAAAGGGTTATCATGAGGACTAAATGATCTAATGCACGTAGAGCCCTGAGCACAGGGTCTGGCACATAGAGTGCTAGCCAAATGTTAGTGATTATTACATTTACTAGACTGTAAACCCCATCAGGGAGAACATTTATATTTTGATCATTATTGTATTTATAGCATAAAATTAGTGCCTGAAACAAAGTAGAAGCTCAATAAGTTATTGAATTACATTAAATATTAAATGACTTAGCTATTTCTTCCTATTTGTACCATTTCAAATTCCTTTCACATTCTTATTCAGTCATATGCCAAACTCAGTAGACTATGGAAAAGTTCCATATAAATGCCTTGGTCCCATCTTTACAATAGAGAAAAAAAATTCAAAGAGCAGTTTTTAATGCTTAATTTCATCCCCAAACATCTAGGGAATATAACGTGGTCACCGGGTCTGTCAGTGTGGTGAATATTTCAAATTTGGATCTCAATCTGGTGGGCAGGTGACCTAAAACATACTTTATATAGAACAGGTCCCATCTGAGATCAAGTTGTAGTTGAAATATGACCTTTAATTTCACTCTCTGCTTTCTCTATTCTGCTTCTGTGTTTCACAAACCACCTGGTTTACTTTATTACAAACGAATATAAACAGCTTCATCTGGGATCTTATGGCTGCCATCCATCCATCCACTCCCATTTATTGAGTGCCTAATACATTTCAGGCACTGCCCCTGGTGCTGAGGCCCTAGACATGAAAGGCAAAAGGCCCTTTAAGGAACTCAGTGATATCGAATAGGCATTTAAAATTTTATCATCTCTAAAACTCTTAATTCCTACTCCCCCATTCCCCACCAAGCTATTCCTTTCATAGTCTTCCCCAATTCAGCTGATGGCAACGTCATTACACAGTTGTTCTGCCTTAAATTCTTACTTTCCTCTTTGAAATCTCCCTCTTAGCACATCCATCTATTCCTTCAGGAACCAAGTGGGATATGAACAGGTAAAGAGGCAATCCTAAGTATGTGATGGAAGCTATGGCAAGATAGAAACAACCCTAACTCAAACCAGGAGGCAGGGAGGGGAAAGATTTATTGGCAGAAGTGATATTTGAACTGAGTTTTGAAGAATGAATAGGGCTTGGCCTTGCTAAAGAGCTCCCCACGGCCAGACACGGTGGCTCATGCCTGTAGTCCCAGCACTTTGGGAGGCCAAGGTGGGTGGATCATCTGAAGTCAAGAGTTCGAGACCAGCCTGGCCAACATGGTGAAACCCCGTCTCTACTAAAAATACAGTAAATCAGCCAGGCATGGTGGCAGGCATCTGTAATCCCAGCTACTCAGGAAGTTGAGACAGGAGAATCTCTCGAACCTGGGAGGTGAAGGTTGCAGTGAGCCAAGATTGCGCCATTGTATTCCAGCCTGGGCAACAAGAGCAAAACTGTCTCCAAAAAAAAAAAAAAAAAAAAAAAAAGCTCCCTCCTCCTCCTGAATCATCTGGATATCTTTAAAGCACCAGAAACTTACCATGCTCAAAATAATAGTTATCATCATCTCTCTGCATGCTCCCTCCCACCCCACATTTTTATAGTTCCAAATGAAAGCGTTGGAACTGTCTTTAACAACCTTTTTCTCCAAATCTAATCACTTGTAAAGCACTGTGCAGTCAGCATCCTCTCCTATTACCTTTAGTCTTCGTTCACTTTCCTTTTTCAAGCCCAACTTAGATTTTCAATCTTCACTCCCACAATTTTCCAGTCACTATATAAGTGCTTGGTAAATGGGAATGCACTATGCAAATGTTAGGGGTTTATTCTAATTAACACTAATTCCCTTGGTGATCTCATCTACTCCCATGGTTTTAAATACCATCTATACACTGATGAGTTCCAGACTTATATTTCTAGCTTTGACCTTTCTCTCACAATTCAGACTAAAAATCTCGCTGCCTACTCACTATCTTCACTTAGATATTGAATAGGCATTTAAAATTTTATCATCTCCAAAACTCTTAATTCCTACTCCCCCACTCCCCACCAAGCTATTCCTTTCATAGTCTTTCCCAATTCAGTTGATGGCAATGTCATTATACAGTTGTTCTGCCTTAAATTCTTACTTTCCTCCCTGAAATCTCCTTCTTAGCACATCCATCTATTCCATTAGCAAATATTGTCAATTTTACCTTCAAAAACTATCCTGACTCTTACACTTTCATTGCTCTCATACCAATCTAAAGTACTTGGACTATTGCCTTCCTTTCTGTTTCTGTTCTCCTGCAGTGCATCCTACAACTCCACAGCTTTCCAGCTCACTCAGAATAAAGTCCACATCCTTAACAGGGCTCATGCTATCTTTCTGACATAATCTCCTATCACTCTCCTTAGCTCTTGCCACTCCAGCCAAGGATGCTCCTACCTTTTCCTCTCCTGTTCTCTCTGCCTGGAAAGCTCTTTCCTCTGATAGTTGTGTGGCTTGCTCTTTCCTTTTACTTAGGTTTTTATTCAGATGTTACCTGTTTAGAAAGACCTTTCCCAGTCTCCCTGGAAAAGAGCAACACATGATTTGCTTAATCACCTTAACCCTACTTTCATTTTTATCTTATTTCTTCATAGCACCAATATTTCTTGAATGTTCTAGGTACTGTCCTGATGCTGAGAATATAGCAGTAAACAAAATAGGCAAACATCCCTTTGTTTCATGGTGCTTACTTTCCACTTGAGAAAGAAACAATAAGCAAACAAATTAAATAGCATGCCAGATGATAGTAGCTCCTGTGGTGAAAAATCAAAGCCAGGAAGGGGGATAAGACGTATTGGGGGAAGAGTAGTGGTTGCTACTTTAATAATGAAAGCTTCCCTGATAGGAGGCTATTTGAACAGAGATCTTAAAGAGTGAGGAAAGTGAGCCTCGTGAATATCTCAAAAAGTATCTCAGGTGGAGGGAACAAGTGCAAAGGCCTGTGGCAAGGTCATGTTTGATGGTTCCAAGAGCAGTCAGGAGACCAGTGTGTGTGGAATGGAGTAGCACTTCTACCACCTGCCATTATATTATAGATTGATTTGGTTTTTATTGCTGACATCTTTACACCAGAATGTTGGCTGCATAAGGGCAGTGTCTTTTTTATTTCTTTTGAAAACAAGAACAACTTTATCCTGAGAATTCAGAACTGAGCCTTGTTCTAGTGGGGACTCAATGAATTGTCATGCACTATAGACAGACTTCACTATTCGGAACCCCTTAACATGCCCCACGTGTTTTGCCTTTCTTGTCTGATTTTCTCCATCTGGAATGCAGCTCTGTCTTTCAAAAAGCCTACCCTTCAGGACACTCCAATGCTACTGCTTTAATGAAACCTCGCTTGGTTGGCTCTCAGCTAAATGTCATTTGTGCCCCCTTTGTATGGAGATAACTCTGTACTGTCGTTGCTGCTCAACCAAAAGCTCCGTGAGACAGCGAGCGTGTCTACTTGCCTCCTCAGGGTAGAGTGCCAGTGTAGCCTGGTGCCTAATCATATGTGCCAGGTGCTCAGTAAATAATGAAATAAATGACTATCTGTTTAAGGCAATGAGTTGCTTTAAGATTTACCATACTCAATACAGATTGCTACTGTGTTCTATGGTAATATGCAAAGTAACTCAAGATCCTTAGAAGTTGGTCACCATCTCAGAATTTGAAACCCCTTATCCAACTAGCAGTGTAACCATGAGCTCCAACCTCCTATGCAAGGGGGACTCAGGAATCCTCTAGAAGGGCAACTCCCTTTGCATTCTCCAAGGAACTGTATACATGAAAGAGCCTGTTCCTTTTCTTTCCAATTCAGCCATGGATTTTTCTCTATCTTTAAGCATACCTGATTGGTAATATAGTCTTTTCAAAACTAAGACAATTATGAGCTTTAGTTTAAAACATTGTTTTAAATCCACAATACATTTCTAGTCATTTATAAATAAATGTCATATCAAGGAGGAAAAAATACTTGCTGGTAACAAATAATGTGGCATAATTTTTGCTGAACACCCTTCACCTTAAATAACTTGGCCTTTCAGAGAACTCACATTTGTTCAAATTAGGAAGGAAAAAATTCACATTTTGGACAAATTGAATCAGAAAATATGAAAATACCCATTGCAAGTCGTTGTTGTGGTAACAAAGAGAAGACCACCTGTGTTTGTTGAACTGAGCTGAAGTGGATGTGCTAATGTAGTTTCACTTCATTGTTATCAAAGACTTGAAAGGCTTCTTCTTAGTTAATTGAAAGGCTAATTGGCAGGTCTTTTTAAGGACGAGCTAATCTAAGTTGGATTTTGTTTTATTTTCTCATCCAACCCCTTGTCTCCCTCTAGTCATCAGTTATGTGAGTGATGAACTCAAGCAAAGCATGTCAGATGGTATAAAATGGGTTATATGATGTACTTTTCCTAGAGGGTGGCATCTAAAATAACAGCACTTCGATAAGTTATTGTTCATTCATTCAATTTAAATCCATTTTAACTTGGCTATCACTTCACTAGTTGACACTGGTTTGTTGTCCACATTCCAACTATGTGCATAAAATAAAGTGCTATCTAGAGTGTTCTTGCCTTTGAAACTGTCATCAAGTCATTTAAATAAAAGACAAGCTGCCAGATATTAATGAAGCTTATTAGTAAAATGCTATGATGCAGAAGATCCCCCAGGACATAAAATTATGGTTTTATGCACTAATTTCAGCACCAAATGACTGTATTCTTCTTTTGCTGAAATAGTAAATGATGCTCTAAATGTTGGAAGTTCTGGGAAAGTGGAGTGGGCTATCATTTGACACATTTCACATGTTCTCAATGGCCATTTCTATCCTGAATTAATTAACATCTGAGTCCTGAAAGTCATTGGTATGGTTTTAAGAATAATGTTTATGCAATGTCAGCAGATTAAAAGCTAGTGCAAGTAACTTACAAATGAGAAATTTCTGAATACTTTGATCAAAGAGTTTTAAATCCTATTTAAAATAGTCAAGTGAACAGAGAGACGCATATGTCCAATTCAGGTTTAAACATGTTAAACCATCATTGCCATTATTTCCAGAGCACAAAATATACCCTGGAAAATTAAATTTTGTTTCATTTTCATAATTTCTGTAATCATTAGTCAACGTAAGTTGAACTATCGGAATATTAATCCCATACTAAAGAAAAGAAGAGAGCATTGACACATACATGTCATAAATTCGTCTTTGTCAGTTCTATAATTTTAGACGACTTCATGCCCAAAGGACAACTTTTGTAATACAAAAGGTAATTTTATTTACCCTTGTAAAAGTATTTTACATATTTTCACTCCTATTACTGCTATACAAGTTGTTAATTATGCAGTTAATTATTAGAACAATTAAAAACTTGTTACTGACCTTTTGGCTAATGAATTTAAATAGGTGCAGATACTTTGTGGTACAAAAGTACAAATATTTTTACTGTTCTCTGGATACTATGTCTTTGCCAGGTAGTGATAGTGTGGCTTATAAGGCTTAATTATATAGATTGCCTATTGTGAAACTCATATTATATTAGATGTGGTTTTACATATGAAATATGCATGCAGCTTCCCTGTGTACCTAGAGAGCTTATACTACAGTGTTGTAACAGAAAGAACATTACCAGATAACAAAACATGAAGCAGTAATATTGCCCCAGATGAGGTCAGGAAGGTAACAGAGCAAGTTTAGGCAGCAATAATTAGAGAGAAATTTCATTTCAGACATAGGATTTGAGGTAGACCTTAATGAATCTAAGCATAGAGGAGGAGAAAATGCCTTTCCAGACTGGCTAAGAGTTGATAACCTAAGTGCTGAGTATGTGGGAATTAATTGTACTATTTTCTCTACTTCTATATATGATTAAAATTTTCCAGAATAAAAACTTCTAAAAAATCGTTTCAGGAATGACTAGAATGAGCAAAGATGAGAGGAGTCTTTGAAAAGAGGGGCCCTCATTATTTCACCTACCTGCCCAAGCAAGGTGCTAGAGGCAGCTAGGTGAAATAATAAGGGACAATTCAAATGGGGTCAGATTTTGAGAGGCATTGGATAAGAGAATTAAAGACTTAAATTCCAGTTAGGTCATTGGGAATCAATTTGCTGAATCAAAGAGAACCAAGCTCACTTTAAATAATGGGCAATGAATTTCTAATACTCAGCATTTTCCCCTACCCTGTTGATGGTGAAATTCACTGTCAATGTTATTCAGTGCCAGTGCCATTCTAATGGGGGATGTGATATAGGAGAGCTTCCTTGTTGCTGCTAAAACTTCTTTGAGAAGACAGCATCTGGGTTGAGTCTCTGTGATTTAGGTAGGTGGTTCTCAGCCTGTCTGGACACTCTGAGGCCACCTTGAAATGGTCAGACTCAGTGATACTCAGACACTAGGAAGAGAGACCAATGTACAACAAGACTGTCAGCTTAGTCATTCGGAGTGGGGTATCCCCTTTTCTGTTCTATTTCTGCATACTGAAGTGTTTGGAAGAACAAATTAAAAGGCTTCTTATTTAGTAGGGGCTTAGAGCAAGAGAATACATATAATCTTTAAGGAGAAGGCATCTAGGCCAGGGTGAGGTCCGACCCATCTTTTTTTTTTTCTTTTTTTTTCTGGAAAGGGATGGAGGCACAGTAGTCTGCTTCTCTACACCCCATTTTCTTTGCCTACCATTTTTCTTCTGTATTACTCCCTTCCTTTTCAGGTGTTCCATTACTATATTCACACTGAAGTCCACGAGAATCTCAGAGACAGGTAGGTAGCAACCTCCTTAGGTCTATACTTGAAGTCCCTTTGTAAGTCAATATTCAGCTGAGTTAGGCATCAGTCACTTAGGAAACTGCTTCAGGTTTTCATCATATTATGTGCTGTTATTTTAGTATACTTATACTATGGGGCTTAGAATTATCAGATAGACATAATACATAGTTTATCTGGTAATTCACTCATTCACTCAAAATTCATTAACAGTACACTACGTGTAACGTATTACTATACAATTTTTCAAATGTAGTAAGTTGTTTAAAATGATTATTCAAAATCACAATGAGATATCATCTCACACTAATCAGAATGACTATTATTAAAAAGGAAAAAAATAACAGATGCTGGTGAGGCTGTGGAGAAAAGGGAATACTTACACACTGTTGGTGGGAATGTAAATCAGTTCAGCTACCATGGAAGGCATTTTGGAGATGTCTCAAATAACTTAAAACAGAGCTACTATTTGACCCCGCAATCCCATTACTGGGTATATGCCCAAAGGAAAATAAATCGCTCTACCAAAAAGACACATGCATTTGTATGTTCACTGTGGCACTATTCACAATAGCGAAGACAAGGAATCAACCTAGATGCCCATCAACAGTGGTTTGGATAAAGAAAATATGATACATATACACCATGGAATACTATGCAGCCATAAAAAAGAATTACGTAATTTCCTTTGCAGCAACATAGATGTAGCTAGAGGGCATTATCCTAAGTGAACTAAGGCAGGAATAGAAAATCAAATACCGTATGTTCTCACTTATAAGTGGCAGCTAAGCATTGGGTATACATGGACGCAAAGAGGGGAACAATAGATACTGGGGACTACTGGAGGGAAAGGACTGAAAACTAGCATAGTGGGTACTATGCTCACTACTTGGGTGAAGGAATCATATACCCCAAACGTCAGTGTCACACAATATACCAATGTAACAAACCTATATGTGTATCCCCTGAAACTAAAATAAAAAAAAATAGATTTTAAAAAATAATTATTGAGGTCTTTCAATAGCACAATGGAAAAAGCATAGAACCTGGAATTAAGAGCCTGAGGTCAAGTTCTGGCTTTCCGGCTTCCTGGCTGCATGATCTCTGATAAGCTGCTTAACCTCTGTGAGGCTCAGACCTTTCTTCTATAGATTAGGTTGACATTAATATTCTTTTCATTGAATTATTGAGAAGATAAAATAAAATATTCTACATAAAAATCCTATGTAAAGCTTAATGTAGAGAACAAATGTTAGTTATCATTATTATAGTAGTGGTAGCAACATTGGCCCTTTTGTATGATACCTAGGGTTTGTGGCAGCATTTGTATAATCCTTCCTGCTTATTTTCTTAATCTTCCATAAAAGCAAAAAATTATTCTTCTAAAATTTTATCTAATTAAAATAAGTTTTTTATTTTATGCAGTTACATTTTCAATATATATTTTAAAAGTACATTAGTGGCCAGGCGTGGTGGCTCACAACTGTAATCCCAGCACTTTGAGAGGCAGAGGCGGGAGGATCATGAGGTCAAGAGATCGAGATCATCCTGGCCAACATGGTGAAACCCCGTCTCTACTAAAAATACAAAAATTAGCTGGGCATGGTGGCACGCACCTGTAGTCCCAGCTACTTGGGAGGCTGAGGCAGGAGAATCACTTGAACCCGGCAGGCGGGGGTTGCAGTGAGCTGAGATCACGTCACTGCACTCCAGCCTGGCAATAGAGCGAGACTCCAGCTCAAAAAAATAAAAATAATTTTTAAAAAGTACATCAGCTCTGCTATTCTCGGTTATTTAATAATTATTGATACAGTTGATTTTTTAAAATTCCAACTTCTTGAGTAGATGAACACTAAGTAGAGCAGAATATAACATATTGAAATGATGTTTATAAGACCTTGTTTGGTTGGAGTAAAGATGCTGGGAGTAGGGATGTTTACTAAGATGACAAGGATCTGGACCAAGGTGGGAAATTGAAAAGTTACCATGAAGAGAGGACAAGCTTAGTAACAAGATTAAATGGAGATGATAAAAGAGAAATGTTAAATTTGTAGGATATCAAGCTTGATTACCTGGAGGATAGCAATACTAGCAATAAAAAAGGGTCACTTGAAAGCATAAGCTATTTTGATAAGGGAATATAGCCCAAGAAATTGACTTTTGTTACAGACATGTTGATATTTGACATAATGTTGGCAGAATATTCTTAAAAGCACTTGGAAATATGGAATCATACATCGAAGTAAAGATCAAAGGTGAAGATGTAGCTTTGAGTGTGATGAGATAACAAATAATGGTCATGGCTAATGATGACTTACCATGTGACAGGGATTGTTCTCAGTGCCTTCTAAGTGCTAACTCATTTGATTTTTACCTCAACTAGTATATCAAATTTACTGATGAGAAACCAAAGAGCTGCCAAATAACTCACCTTACATTACACAGCTAATAAGTAGCTAAGCTGGGATGACAATGGATGAGCTCCTTCAGGAAATAAAATAGAGAAAGAAAAACAGAAGATGGAGTGAGAAGCAATCCCCATGGTCAGTAGAAAGATGAAAAAGAAACCAGATCCCAGGAGCAGTGGGGAGGGTGGAAAAGAGGAACAGTTGAGCAATGCCATAGAACAAGGGAAGGCAGAATTTCAAGGAGAATTGTGTGGTCCATATCATTAAATACTTCAGAAAATTCAAGAGCAATGACTCGAAGTCTCTGCATTTGGCAGTACTGACGAGACAAGAGTCTGGGTAAAGAGGTGTTTCAGAATCCAGACTACAGAGGATCAAGGGGATGGATCTAAAGAGAGGGAAGTAGTAGGGACAGAATAATTTTTCATGGCATTTTCCTGTGAAAAAGAGAATGACAGTATAAAGAAACAAAAGAAACAACTGAAGCTTTTAAAATTAGAATGTCATCTGATGCATGAGAACATGTCAACGTGGTCATCTTTTCTTGATTATAACTCTAGATCAATAGAGATAAAATATCTTTGTAAGTGCTCACATACTGATAAAACATTTAGACTTTGTCTTTTTAATTAAAAACATTAATATGCAAACTTATGACACTTTCACAAATTCTTTTTTTTTTTTTTTGAGACAGGATCTTGCTGTGTCATCCAGGCTGGAGTGCAGTGGCACGATCTAGGCTCACTGCAACCTCTGCCTCCCGGATTGAAGTGATTCTCCTGACTCAGCCTCCCTAGTAGCTGGGATTACAGGTGCGCGCCACCACGCCTGGCTAATTTTTGTATTTTTAGTAGAGACGGGGTTTCACCATGTTGGCCAGGTTGGTCTCCAATTCCTGACCTCAAGTGATCTGCCGGCCGGCCTCCCAAAGTGCTGGGATTACAGGCATAAACCACTGCACCTGGTGACAAATTCTTAATCTGTTAAAGGAACAGAAGGGACCTATTAATCTAAATACGATTTTACATGAAATGGGCATTTATATATTGGAAAGCAAAGCAAATTTGGTTGAATGGAGGCTGTGGAAAAAAACTTCATGCCAAAAAAAGTTGTTTTATTTTGAAACATTTTTTTTCTACATATAAATTAATATATAGTAACATTTAATTTAAATAGGAAAAATTAGGGTCAAAATGAAATTTACATATTTTAAGAATGAACATCAAACCTAAACTTCTTATGTAGCAGAGACATCCAGTTCTGCAATGAGTATAGGCGAACTGTAAATTTTAGCTACCGCAAAAAGTATCATAAAAACTTATTTAGAAATAATCAACAGGCAATATATAGAATGGGATAATTTGCAAACTATGCATCTGACAAGGGACTAATATCCAGAATCTACAAGGAACTCAAACAACTCCACAAGAAAAAAATAAATAGCCCCATAAAGACGAGAATAAACATTTTTCAAAATAAGACATACAAATGGCTAACAACATGAAAACACTCTCAATGTCACTAATAATCAGGGAAATGCAAATGTTGGTGAAGACATGGAGAAAACGAAATGCTTATACACTGCTGGTGGGAATGTCAATTAGTTCAACTTCTATGGAAAGCAGTTTGGAGATTTCTCAAATAACTTAAAATAGAACCGCCATTCCATCCAGCAATCCCACTCAAGGGTATATACCCAAAGGGAAATATTATATCAAAAAGATACCTGCATACATATATATTGTATATATATACACATATACAATCCCACTCCTGGGTATATACCCAAAGGAAAATATTATATCAAAAAGATATCTGCATATATATATATATTTTATATATATGTGTATATAGATATATGTATATACACACACACACACACATCGCATAGAATACCACTCAGCCATAAAAATGAATGAAATCATAAAAAAGAGCGAAATCATGTCTTTTGCAGTGACATGGATGGAACTGGAGGTCCTTAAGTGAAAACTCAGAAAGTCAAATACTACATGTTCTGACTTATAAGTGGGAGCTAAACAATGTGCACACATGGACTTAGAAAGTGTAATGGTAGATAATAGAGACTCAGAAAGGTGGGAGCATTAGAGTGTGGTGAAGGATGACAAATTACCTAATGAATACCATGTACACTATTCAGGTAATGGTTACACCAGAAGCCCGGATTTCACCACTGCAATATATCTATGTAACAAAATTGTACTTGTATCCCCTAAATATATAAAAATAAAAAATAAAAAAATTTCATCTTGGAGGAAAAATGACATTAACTGTACTGGAAAGTGAAACAAAGCTTAATGACATAAAAAAATTCAAATTCTATCATTGTGGTTGTCAGTTCAAAACATCAAAATGCATTTTCCAATTTGAATAATAAAGAATAGAAACAATGATACCAACACAAAATATTAAAATCTAAGTATGTGTGTAAAAACAGTTACAAACATTAGAAAGAAGAAGAGAAAAATATTTTTTTTGATATATAGAAATAGGTACTTTGCTATTGGTACAAAAAAAAAAGTCAAGAAATTTATGGAAGGGGAAGTATTCTTGTCTGTGTATTATTAAGCTCAATGGCCAGTAGCACATTTTGTTTACTTTTTTGCTCTTAAAACTATATCTGCTAAGCAACATTTCTTTTCAGAGACGGAAAAAAAATCATATGCTTATTTGCTATTTAATAGATTTAAGTTCCTCGGATACTACAATGACTTTTTAAAATGACTTAAAAATTATTGTATTTATGATTTAAAATGAATTATAGGAAGAAAGTTTTGAAACTGGGAAACATGAGTTAAAGTTATGGGTGCCCTGGGGACTTAAGTTAAAATGGAGACATGAATTAACCTATACTAAGTTAACCCACACTAAGATGCTGTTCACTTTGAAAGACCTCTCATTCTCCATTTGCATTAAAAAGATTAATCAAACATAACGTTTCTGTACGATTTATCATGGAGCCAAAGGATTGGTTCCTTGAATACAAAGATAGATTGATTTTATAAGTGCCTAATCTTTAAATAAGACTGTAATGGACTCACACTGCATTAAATGGCATTAGCCCAGAAGAAGGCCTGGGTAGCTCAAGAGCCATATACTATTTTGTTTGATAGCATATATTTTATATGATATACTCATAGGACACAATGCAGATTAAGTATTTATTAATGCCTCTTTATTGCTTTTTCATGACTTCCAGTGGATATAAAAATGATGCCTTACAGCTCTCTAAAAGAGGATAAAACAAATTATATTATGGGATGAAAAAGGAAGTTTGTAAGACAGATAATTTGCTGAGGAATTATCATGCTATCCTGAAAGGAAGAGGGCATGGAAAAAGATGACTGACTTATAAGAGGGCATGGAAAAAGATGGACTTCACTTATAATACAAACTGCCCACATCCTAGCCCTAAGGAGCAATGATCCAGAACTTTGAAACTTTAGCATTGGCTCTATTAGTAACAGTTTAAGAGTGTTAACCAGGGGCATGTGCACACATGGCCCCTGGGGCCTCTGAGTTGATTGTTTTTCAGCCTATTACTTTTTGTTCAGTAACTTTAACCATCATTCTTTGCTCAATTATAATAATTGTGGAGTATACTCAAATCACGCTCCAGGATAATTAAACATTATATGTTGTTGTTATGCTTTTGATTGTGTTGTTTCTTGTATATATTCATGAGAAGTTATAAAATTAGCTGACCATACCTTTGTTGGCACTTGTGTTTTGACTCTATTCGATTGTATTCAATTGATTGTGGTTGTTTCTATTAGAGGATAGGACACGGATATCAGAGTTAACTGTTGGGTATACCCCTTTATTACGGGTGGACTTTATCCAGTTTGCAGATAGGACATGCTATAGAAAGGTCACAGTTTTATACTGGCTAGACCAATATTTGTAATTTTGTGGTTCACAACTGTCCATTTGTATAACTTTAGAGCTGGAGAAGATCTGAGACCTACTGTCACATTTTTTGGCAATAGGTCTGTAAGGAAGAAGTCACTTTTCCAAGTTTCCAAATGTCCTAGTTACCACCTCATGTTGACTCCCACTTGGAATTAAGTGTTTTGCATTTTGATTTCATACAGCTTAGGGACATCAGTAAGCAATATGACCTGGTATTAAGTGAGAGACATCACTTGGGCTCAGGACGTCTGTGGGCCAGAGGGTTAACTCATGTTCAAAATGAATCACACTAACTGGCATATACTTGGCAGGGTTTCACATTTTGCCATTTTCCCAGAAATAAGAATTGATGATGGAGTTCATACATCCTGTAATTCCTTTTATTTCTTATAAGTGCTGCTGTCTATAGAATTTAGTCATGCTATTCACATTGAGTTCTTCCTTGGAGGGTTTTAAACACGGATCAGGGGTATTATTACTAGTCCACTGAGCCCAACTAAATCATATAGCTCCTTGTTCGCATACACCCATCAATAATTATAGGCTTAGAGAAGACTGAACATTATGCCAGAAACTCATTTTAAAGAGTATTATCATTCTCAGCCAATTAGATCAGAATCTATTATATTCAGAATTGCAAACTGTTCAAATAAGAATTAAATGTATAGTAAGAGGCTAAAACATTATCTTCAAAATTAGAGCTTCTTTACTGTTCCATTTCAACCTCGTTTGTCTCTATTCATTTCTATTTTATAGGTAGTAAGTTTCTACCTTTAGAATTCATTTGCAGGTGTATAAACATGTTCTTCATTTACAGGAAGAACTGTGGTCATCTTTGTCTCTCGGTCATTTTCTTTCTCAGTATTGATTTGCTTTGCTTCAACAATTTCCTATACTTTCTCTGGCTTACTCCAAAACATATTCTTCCTTTAAACCTTTTCATGATGGAAGATTTGCCATTTTCTCAATCCATCGGGAGTCTCTGGGTTTGGGCACTTCTTCAAATATATCCCAGAGTCCACTGGGAAGTGTCTTAGCTGTCCGTCTGTGAGTGACAGAGAATGATCTATGATACTTTGCTGTCTCTTTTACAAAGTGTCCTTTTATCCCCTGCAGCTACTACTTTAAATGAAAGTGCTTTCAGATGTAAAGGTGTCACTCAATATTTTTCAAGGTGCATTGCAAACAATGAATAAAGATGTGTGTATTCTTTTCTCTTTCATCAAATTTTAGCCCAGTAATAAAACTGGGTGTATATAAATAAGAATTCATTATTTACACTGCATTTTAGTGCTGATACAGATACAGTGAGTTCCTGCCCTTTCCTCTCCTTTATATTGAAGGGATTATAAATGAAGCTCTTTAAACATTCTGAGATCTTTAAGTTGATTTCTACATGAACTCCAAGTGGTGTTAATGACATTTTCAGAAAAGATGCTTTACTTAGCTGACAAGAAAAAGTACTCTGTAAGCCTTTATTTGTATGTGATAAAACAGAGTTGATAAAATAATCTACTATTAACTTATCAATGCAGTCTTACAGAATCCACCTATTACAAAGTAGATAATTTTGTTTTCTTTCCTTTTGTTTCAGTAGAAACTGTCAATTAAAATCAATAAAGTTCTAGAAAAAGCCATGGTAAACTTGGTTACAAACCAAGAGAGAGTCAACTAAGGTGAAGAAAATGTGAAACTCTTTATTAAGCACTTGAGAAGCACTTAAATTATAACCCTAGAGTGAGTAAATACTGTTCAATCCTTACAGATTTTATAAACTATATAGGACAGCAGATGAGCAATCAGGGATTCTGGCCCATGAGCTGATAAACCATGAATCTTTGAGCTTTGCCAAGTGTTTTTTTCTCTTTACTTACAAATTAGGTAAATTAATATTTTCCCTACCCTTGCTTCACCCGTGATTCTCTAAGGAACACAGTTAACACATCTTAAACATTTTGAGACACTCCTGAAAGTTCTATATATGAATTATTTGCTTATTTCCCAAATGGCACAACACATCTATTTTCCCATAAAAACTGTCAGCCCTCTTGGAATTGAATAGCGCTGCATAAAACAACTATTGCATATTGATTTTTTCTTTTGCATTTATTCAGGCTGATTCCCCATTCCATAGGTTAGTGGCTTAGCTATTATACTCTCATAAAAAGAAGAACTTCTTGAGTATTGAGTGAGAATTCATTTGTTCTTTTTGCCTTTTTCTCACCCTCTTCTGAGGAATTTTCACTCCACTGAGCTTTCAGAAGATGTATTATTATATCCCACCAATCAAGAACAGGAGAATATGGATGATTAAATACCAACAGTGTACTGTTTCTGTACTAAACACAGAATTAGCCATTGGCCTCCACCTAATGAATCTATAATCTAATTAGACAGCTTGACAACCCCAAGAAGGGAAACGATAAGAATGCGCATCAGCATAGTAGGTTAAATGGAGAAAGTGGCATATTAAGATACGTAAGAAGGTAAAATTAGAGCACCTGGGGGAAGGCGCGGCTGTGGGCGCAGCTTCAGCCGACTTAAACGTCTCTGTATGATGGCTCTGAAGAGAGCAGCGGATCTCCCAGCACAGCATTCGAGCTCTGATAAGGGACAGACTGCCTCCTCAAGTGGGTCCCTGACCCCCGTGTATCCTGACTGGGAGACACCTCTCAGGAGGGGCCGACAGAAACCTCATACAGGAGAGCTCTGGTTGGCATATGGTGGGTGCCCCACTAGGATGAAGCTTCCAGAGGAAGGAACAGGCAGCAATCTTCGCTGTTCTGTAGCCTCTGCTGGTGATACCCAGGCAAACAGGGTCTGGAGTGCACCTGTAGCAGAGGGGCCTGACTGTTAGAAGGAAAACTAACAAACAGAAAGGAATAGCATCAGCATCAACAAAAAGGACGTCCAGACACAGAAACCCCGTTGGAAGGTCACCAACATCAAAGACCAAAGGTAGATAAATCCATGAAGATGAGGAGAAACCAGCGCAAAAAGGCTGAAAATTCCAAAAACCAGAATGCCTCTTCTCCTCCAAAGGATCACAACTCCTCACCAGCAAGGGAACAAAACTGGACAGAGAATGAGTTTGACAAATTGACAGAAGTAGGCTTCAGAAGGTGGGTAATAACAAACTCCTCCAAGCTAAAGGAGCATGTTCTAACCCAATGCCAGGAAGCTAAGAACCTTGAAAAAAGGTTAGACGAATCGCTAACTAGAATAACCAGTTTAGAGAAGAACATAAATGACCTGATGGAGCTGAAAAACACAGCAAGAGAACTTCATGAAGCAAACACAAGTATCAATAGCCAAATCGATTAAGCAGAAGAAAGGATATCAGAGATTGAAGAGCAACTCAATGAAATAAAGCGAGAAGACAAGATTAGAGAAAAAAGAACGAAAAGGAACAACGATTCCAAGACATATGGGACTATGTGAAAAGACCAAATCTGCATTTGATTGGTGTAACTCAAAGTGATGGGGAGAATGGGACCAAGTTGGAAAACACTCTTCAGGATATTATCCAGGAGAACTTCCCCAACTTAGCAAGACAAGCCAACATTCAAATTCAGGAAATACAGACAATGCCACAAAGATATTCCTCAAGAAGAGCAACCTCAGGACACATAACCATCAGGTTTACCAAGGTTGAAATGAGGGAAAAAATGTTAAGGGCAGCCAAAGAGAAAGGTCAGGTTACCCACAAAAGGAAGCCCATCAGACTAACAGAGGATCTCTCTGCAGAAACCCTACAAGCCAGAAGTGAATGGGGGCCGATATTCAACATTCTTAAAAGAATTTTCAACCCAGAATTTCATATCCAGCCAAACAAAGCTTCATAAGTGAAGGAGAAATAAAATCCGTTACAGACAAGCAAATGGTGACAGATTTTGTCACAACCAGGCCTGCCTTACAAGAGCTCCTGAAGGAAGCACTAAACATGGAAAAGAACAACCGGTACCAGCCACTGCAAAAACATAACAAATTGTAAAGACCATCGATGCTATGAAGAAACTGCATCAACTAACAGGCAAAATAACCAGCTAGCATCATAATGACAGGATCAAATTCACATGTAAAAATATGAACCTTAAATGTAAATGGACTAAATGCCCCAATTAAAAGACACAGACTGGCAAATTCGATAAAGAGTCAAGACTCATCAGTGTGCTGTATTCAGGAGCCCCATCTCATGTGCAAAGACACACATAGGCTCAAAATAAAGGGATGAAAGAATATTTACCAAACAAATGGAAAGCAAAAACAAACAAAAAACAAACAAACAAAAAAACAGGGGTTGCAATCCCCTCATCACACTTATTCTAAAATTGACCACGTGATTGGAAGTAAGACACTCCTCAGAAAGTGCAAAAGAACAGAAATCATAACAGTGTCTCACACCACAGTGCAATCAAATTAGAATTCAGGATTAAGAAACTCACTTAAAACTGCTCATCTACATGGAAACTGAACAACCTGCTCCTGAATGACTGCTGGGTACATAAAGAAATAAAGGCAGAAATAAAGATGTTCTTTGAAACCAATGAGAACAAAGACACAACATAACAAAATCTCTGGGACACATTTAAAGCAGTGTGTAGAGGGAAATTTATAGCACTAAATGCCCACAAGAGAAAGCAGGAAAGATCTAAAATTGACACCCTAACATCACAATTAAAAGAACTAGAGAAGCAAGAGCAAACAAATTCAAAAGCTAGCAGAAGACAAGAAATAACTAAGATCAGAGCAGAACTGAAGGAGATAGAAACACAAAAAACCCTTCAAAAATATCAGTGAATCCAGGAGCTGGATTTTTGAAAAGATCAACAAAATAGACCACTAACAAGACTAATAAAGACGAAAAGAGAGAAGAATCAAATAGATGCAATAAAATATGATAAAGGGGATATCACCACCAATCCCACAGAAATACAAACTGCCATCAGAGAATACTATAAACACCTCTACACAAATAAACTAGAAAATCTAGAAGAAACGGATAAATTCCTGGACACATGCACTCTCCCGAGTCTAAACCAGGAAGAATTCGAATCCTTGAATAGATCAATAACAAGTTCTGAAATTGAGGCAGTAATAGACTACCAACCAAAAAGAGTCCAGGACCAGATGGATTCACAGCCGAATTTTACCAGAGGTACAAAGAGGAGCTGGTACCATTCCTTCTGAAACTATCCCAAACAATAGAAAAAGAAGGAATCCTTCTTTACTCATTTTATGAGGCCAGCATCATCCCGATACCAAAACCTGGCAGAGACACACACAAAAAAAGGAAATTTCAGGCCAATATCCCTGATGAACATCACTGCAAAAGTCCTCAATAAAATACCGGCAAACCACATCCAGCAGCACATCAAAAAGCTTATCCACCATGATTAAGTCGGCTTTGTCCCAGGGATGCAAGACTGGTTCAACATTTGCAAATCAATAAATGTAATCCATCACATAAGCCGAACCAATGACAAAAAACACATGATTATCTCAATAGATGCAGAAAAGGCCTTTGACAAAATTCAAGACGTCCTCATGCTAAAAACTCTCAATAAACTAGGTATTGATGGAACATATATCAAAATAATGCGAGTTATTTATGACAAACACACAGTCAATATCATACTGAATGGGAAAAAACTGGAAGTACTCCCTTGGAAAACTGGCACAAGACAAGGATGCCCTCTCTCACCACTCTTATTCAACATAGTACTGGAAGTTCTGGCCAGGGCAATCAGGCAAGAGAAAGAAACAAAGGGTATTCAAATAGGAAGAGAGGAAGTCAAATTGTCTCTTCTTGCAGATGACATGATGGTATATTTAGAAAACCCCATGGTCTCAGCCCAAAATCTCCTTAAGCTGATAAGCAACTTCAGCAAAGTCTCAGGATACAAAATCAATGTGCAAAAATCACAAGCATTCCTATACACCAATAACAAACAGACAGCCAAATCATGAGTGAACTCCCATTCACAATTGCTACAAAGAGAATAAAATACATAGGAATCCAACTTACAAGGGATGTGAAGGACCTCTTCAAGGAGAACTACAAACCACTGCTCAAGGAAATCAGAGAGGACACAAACAAATGGAAGAACATTCTATACTCATGGATAGGAAGAATCAGTATCATGAAAATGGCCACACTGCCCAAAGTAATTTATAGATTCAATGCCATCCCCATCAAGCTACCATTGACTTTCTTCACAGAATTGGAAAAAATTACTTTAAATTTCATATGGAACCAAAAAAGAGCCCTCACAGCCAAGACAATCCTAGGCAAAAATAGCAAAGCTGGAGGAATCACGCTACCTGACTTCAAACTATACTACGAGGCTACAGTAACCAAAACAGCATGATACTGGTACCAAAACAGAGATATAGACCAGTGGAACAGAACAGAGGCCTCAGAAATAACACCACATATCTACAACCATCTGATCTTTGACAAACCTGACAAAAACAAGCAATAGGAAAAGGAATCCCTATTTAATAAATGGTGTTGGGAAAACTGGCTAGCCATATGCAGGAAACTGAAACTGGGCCCCTTCCTTACACCTTATATAAAAATTAACTCAAGATGGATTGAAGACTTAAATGTAAGACCTAAAATCATAAAAACCCTAGAAGAAAACCCAGGCAATACCATTCAGGACATAGGCATGGGCAAGGACTTCATGACTAAAACACCAAAAGCAATGGCAACAAAAGCCCAAATTGACAAATGGGATCTAATTAAACTAAAGAGCTTCTGCACTGCAAAAGAAATTATCATCAGAGTGAACAAGCAACCTACAGAATGGGAGAAAAATTTTGCAATCTATCTATCTGACAAAGGGCTAATATCCAGAATCTACGAAGAACTAAAACAAATTTACAAGAAAAAAACAACCCCCTCAAAAAGTGGGCACAGGATATGAACACTTCTCAAAAGAAGATATTTATGCAGCCAAGAAACATGAAAAAAAGCTCATGATTACTGGTCATTAGAGAAATGCAAATCAAAACCACAATCAGATACCCTCTCACGCCAGTTAGAATGGTGATCATTGAAAAGTCAGGAAACAACAGATGCTGGAGAGGATGTGGAGAAATAGGAACACTTTTACACTGTTGGTAGGAGTGTAAATTAGTTCAACCATTGTGGAAGACAGTGTGGCGATTCCTCAAGGATCTAGAACCAGAACTACCATTTGACCCAGCAATCTCATCATGGGTATACACCCAAAGGATTATAAATCATGCTACTATAAAGACACATTCACCCATATGTTTATTGCGGCACTATTTACAATAGCAAAGACTTGGAACCAACCTAAATGCTCATCAATGATAGACTGGATAAGGTAAATGTGGCACATATACACCATGGAATACTATGCAGCCATAAAAAAGGATATGTTTCTGTCCTTTGCAGAGACTTCGACGAAGCTGAAAACCATCGTTCTCAGCAAACTAACACAAAAACAGAAAACCAAACACCATGTGTTCTTACTTATAAGTGGGAGTTGAACAACGAGAACACATGGACACAGGGAGGAGAACATCACACACTGGGGCCTGTTGGTAGATGGGGGGATAGGGGAGGGATAGCATTAGGAGAAATACCTAATGTAGATGACAGTTTGATGGGTCCAGCAAACTACCATGGCACATGTATACCTATGTAACAAACCTGCACGTTCTGCACATGTACCCCGGAATTTAATGTATAAAAAAAAATTAGGTGAACTAAATCTAAACTTATGATGAAAATGTGTTGTTAAAGTTGTATATGAATATTAGTAACTCAGAGTCTTAAGTTGTCCTGTCTTTGGAGTTTCGACCCTAAGGAAATATATACATATATATATGTTTCAGTTTTCTGGTATGACACTGAAAGGTGAAGAATGCTGCCTTGTTATCTTATAACTGACTTGGAAGTCCTATAAAGAAAAATATCAAAAATATTGAGCATTTTCTCATCTAAAAATAAATATGTGTTCATCCAATGAAGAGAAATAAAAACGTCTATGGAAGAAAAAAAAAAAGGTAAAATTACCAAAAAAAAATTTACATTTGAAGAAGGTTTTGCAGTTTCCAAAATGTTTGTTTAGTCACTTCTTTATACTGTACTATGATCCCAGAGGTTTTCTAGGCAAGAATATCAAGTATATACTTGGGTCTGAGGCATCAACAGACTATAATGCAATGTCTTGGTATTGAACTACAAGAAATATCTTTCTGTGATTAATTTTCCTCATAAAACCGAGGACCTCATTCCTTCAGCATCTCAGCAATGTGAGCAAAGGACATTCATACTTCTTTCCTTCAATTAAAAAAGATATGGTATGTTTGGATTGGCATAAAATTCTATGTTGTCTTGAGAAGACATCAACCCTCTTTGGATCACTTCTTAGGTAACACTACATTCTTTCATTTATCACATGCTTGAAACAAAACAAGGGTCCTAAAGCTCTTACCTGGGGGAGATAGTTTGGAATTAGAAGCCTCAGAGACCAGCCCTGGAATCCTGCTTCATTGCCTTGGAATCCTGCTTCATTACGCTTAGTCTAACTAGTTAGGTTTAATTTTTATGGTCATAGTTTTTTTTGTGTTTGTTTGTTCCCCCCGGCCCCATAGAACCTAGTTTCATTTTAACATCAACAATCAAGTGAAATCTTCTTGTAATTCTAAAATTGTGCTTAATTTGGTAATCTAAATGACATAAAAATTATTGCATAGTTCTTATTCTGAGGAGCTTTGAAACACCTTTAACTTAGTACTTCTTAACAACAAATGATACTCACTTATTGATTAAAAATGCAAAGTGACTTCTGGATATATTTGCTGGCTTTTTTCCTCTGAAATCAATGAGGGTTGGGAGCAAAAACCTGGGGCATATAGCAGGGAAATAAACCCATGCTGGTATGAAATTTCTATACGTTCTGTGTATTGATCTTGAAATTTTCTTTTTAGCTAACCAGAGTATTTGGATATACAGACAAGGGTATATTAGTAAAAAGGGAATGGACTTTTATCTCTTATCTAAAACTTTCCCTCAATGTGTGTTTTTATTTAAAAAATGGAGCAAAATAATTGACACACTACACTACACTACACTACACTACACACTACACTACACTACACACTACACTACACTACACTACACTACACTACACTACACTACACTTTAGAAGCCTGACTGAGGGGGAAAAAAAAAACAGAAGGCTGGTGGAGAGTGAGAATTTTATCACACTTTAGAGATGGGACTTAAGGAATCATATGGTTCATCCACCAACCAGAGCCTGAGAGGCAATTACTGAGACTCGTATTAAACCTCCAGTTTAGTCGTGTTGACTGTTCTCCTGGAAGGTAGAACAGCACAGTAGTCAAGACAGGTTTGGATCCCAGGCTTATTGCACACTGCTGGTGTGATCTTGAGCTAGTTTCTTACCTTTCCTAAACTTCAGTTCTTTATTTGTAAAATAATTATACCTATCCTACAGGGTTATCACAAAAATTAAATTAGATATTATATATTAAGAATGTGGCACAATGTCAATAAACTCTCAGTGAATGAGTGTTATTATTAGATAACCCATTCCATTGTAAGGTAGCTCTGTTATTAAGCTATTTTTTAAAATAATGAATCTGCCCAGGTGCGGTGGCTCACAACTGTAATCCCAGCACTTTGGGAGGCCGAGGCTGGTGGAACACCTGAGGTCAGGAGTTCGAGACCAGCCTGGCCAACATGGTGACTCCCTGTCTCTAGTTAAAACAACAACAAAAAACTAGCTGGGCATGGTGGCGGGCGCCTGTATTCCCAGCTACTTGGGAGGCTGAGGCAGGAGAATCGCTTGAACCCGGGAGGCAGAGGTTGCAGTGAGCCAAGATCGCGCCATTGTACTCCAGCCTGGGCGACAAGAGCAAAACTCCGTCTCAAAGAAAATAAATAAATACAAAATAAAATAAAACAATGAATCAAAATCTGTCTCTCTATAGCTGTCATCTATTTGTGCTTGTTCTCCCATCTGAGAAACCAAAAATAACTGATTTAAAGCATGGCTCCTCCACCTTCCTTTTGGTAGCTATTTCATGTCTGAAGCACTTTGCATTCTTTATGTTGTAGACTTCAGCATATATACTTATTATCCCACTGTACCCCTAAGAGTATAGGCTAAATGAATCCTATTGCTATCATTACTTCCTGAAAAGAACCAAAAAGGGAATCATAAAACACTCAACAAAGAAAATATAGCTATGAAACTGAGAACCAATTTGTCTTTGATGGGAGACAGTTTATAGATGCTGAATCTTCCAGACAAACTTTACAGCCTTGTTCACATACTACCTGACCTAACCTTATTCCTTATGACTTAAGAGATATTAAAGCACCTTAATTAGGTGAAAGTGATGTAATGCCTGCTCCTCCTTCTACTATCATAGTCTTCCCTAGTTGCTCCAGCTTGAAACTCAAACAAGCAAACATACTTGACTCGTTCTCCACCCCTCTCTTCTATGCAGACAAGAGGGAACACTAATTCTATGGTCCAGATATTTGTCCTTTCATTCCTGTTTTTCTTCTCATGGTTGTTAGAGCTGACATTTCCAATAGGTAGATGACCAGGATACAGCAAACTAGCAGCAAAGAAACCAATGCATTAAGAACCAGGACCCCACTCTCATCCTGCCCTGTGATCACCTGCTACTTCTTCCCACTGACCCAACCCAAGTGGAAGCCACAGGGCAAGGGAGCCCATTGGTGCAGTGAATAAAGAGAACTAGAAGGGATGAGTCTGGAGAGGAAGATGAACTTGATTCCACACATTTCTTAACTTCTTTTCTGACTTCTGTTTCTCTCTCTCTCCAGAGGTATCTTTTGATCAAAATCATTTTGAATGTTACATGTTTGATCATGTTGCTCCCCTACTTTTATAATCTTTCCATTCCTCTTAAGCAGACTTTATAGTTTCCTCCTGATCAACCTCCTGGCAGCCTTTCACCTTAAGTTCTGTTTCCACTTTCCTTCTCTGTTGTCTCCTAGGCTTCAGGCATAACAGACAAGCTGATGGTTCTCCATGTCTCCCAGATTTAGAGACTCCCAAGGACCACACTGCTTTCATCTTATAAGAAGAGATTGTACCTGACGTAGCCCCAGGCTCATAGTAAATGCTCCACATGTGCCTGCTGAATAAAGGGATGTCTGCACTTTTGCACACAATATTCTCTGAACCTGGATTGCCTAATAAATTCTTAATTTCCCTTCCGTCTCTGAATCATACTTCTGTGAAATCCACCCTGATCTCTCCACATGACATCTCCTCTTATGAGAGACTCATTCCTCTGTCCTTGCTCTGCAGTCTGTACACATCTCTTTTAGCACTTATCTCCAGGTGCCCTTTTAAATTACTCACATTCCTCTGTGGCTTTACCAGACTGTACATTCCTTTATGGCAGAGACTGGTATTACACATCCACAGATCCCCAGGACCTGAAAGGATGCCTGATGCATGGTGGGTACTCAATGCACATGCAACCTGTTTACTGAGGAAAATGGACTCGATCCCACTCATTTCTTCTTCTCTGGCTTCTGTTTGTTTCAGAACGACAGAAGGGGAGGTGGAAGAGGTATAAAAATATAAGATAGTATTTTTTACCAATTACTACTTTCATTCCTTTTCCCCATTCCTTAATGATATCTTGGGAAGATTATTAACTTTTAAGTAACTTTTTGCTATAATATATTCAGTCTCATTAAAGCCCCAACACCAAACTTGATTTAAATCACTTTCCTTCCTCCTCCGTGGAGAGGTATGGTCTGCCTCTGAATCACTGCCTTTCCCCTCCCTTCATTCTTCAAGGTCTAGTTCTTCCAGTGTGTTAGGGGCAGAGAGGAAGATCTTTCTCTCTCTCTCTTTAACTGGTTGCAATTGTATGCTTTTTTATGTTGGCTGTGGCTGCTTGTCTGGTGAATGGTAACTGGCTGGCATCCAGTGGCTGGCTCTTTTGTAGGATGGATCTGTGCATTCTTCCTCCGGCCAGTGTAATATTTGGCTCAAGCTTGACCTCTTTCACCTCTGTCAGCTCCTGCCACATTGGAGCACTGCCCAGTCTGTTGACACTGGGTATTCCTTGCCCAGCAGGCAGCTCTCTTGAGTGGAGGGTAGAAGACAGCTGGCTCAAGTCAGGCTCTATTCTCCATGGCCACTTCAACCATAGAAATCTCACATAGCAACCTCATGCCAAATACTGAGTTGCGATGGCTTCATTGCCATGTCTTCTGTCTCTCCTGCCATCTCTCTCCAATTCACTTCTTTCCTGTTATGACTGGCAAAGGAAGCGAGTCCACTGCCTGAGCAGATGTCCAATTTGGAAACCTGATCTCCATCTTCTCTTCTTACAGGCTACCCCAATTTCAATGAGTGATTCTCCTGTAGCCTCCCCTTTCTTTTTCACGCAGATGGTTGTGTTACCTCTCAAACACAAATCCCACATAAGAAAAATCTACCCTGAAGATTCTGTTTTCCCCTCTTCAGCTTCTGTTTATGGAGGCTAGGGTGAGAGGAGAGGGTTTGATTATAGTAGGGGAGCCCCCACAGTAGCACTGAGGTAGGTTTTTGGGTCCTGGAGTCAATTCTATGAAAAATACCACTCAATATCCCCTGATAAGGTTTGCTGAATAAATGAATGAGCAAGTGGATGCATCTATCTTGAATAGTTGATAATAGATGGGAATACTGATGCTGTGCAATAAGGGGCTAGGTGGATTGTAAAACAGAACAAGATTAGTCGATGACAGAAATCAGATGTAAGCCCTGGACTTCTGACTCAGGGCTAAGTGCCCCAGCCTGCCATCTTTGTATAACCTCTGCTTGTCTCAGCAAGACATGTAGTCATAACATTAATTAATAATGCCACTCCACACATCAATAAGAGCCTTGGAAATTTACCATGAAAAATCAGTTTTGTACTTTTTAGAATTTGCAGCTCTGAATAGGGAGGAAAATGTCATTTCTGCCAGAGGCACAGCATCTTGTTCAGCTCTTATGTAAACTCACTGTCAGGCAATCCTAGAAACTGCCTCCACTTGCCTCTGGGCAAAATGTCTCCTTT
The DNA here is from genome assembly GCF_000001405.40 of Homo sapiens. Taxonomy (NCBI): domain Eukaryota; kingdom Metazoa; phylum Chordata; class Mammalia; order Primates; family Hominidae; genus Homo; species Homo sapiens. The sequence continues at coordinate 78,328,139 of NC_000007.14, forward strand.
TCTTAGAAAAATGTCACCTTTTCTCGAGGAAATGGCAGGTGGTTATTTTTTTTCCAAAGGAAAAATGACCTTTGCATTTTGTTAAAAAAAACCCAAAAACCCCTCAAGGACTTACGCCTTGATGAAAACACTGAAAACAATTCCATATCTTTTACTTTGTACTTGAGGTTCTACTCTGTAAGTTTTGAGATTACATCTGTCACCACTGATGTAGCCTGTAGGCAAATGTCAGTGACCAGAAATACTGAGTTAAATATATAGGATATATTTAAGGATATAAGATGCCAGAAAATCCTGGCATCTTGTTTTCCAGGAATGTTCAACGGATGCTTATATCTCAGCTCTTGTTGCTCCCAGCTCTAAAACACACACACACACACACACACACACACCCCTCTCTCTCTCTCTCTTACTTTATTCTCATTACTTTAACACTTTAAAGGCTTTATATCCCAATCCTGGATCACAATCTTATACAAGTCCATGAAAGACTCCTCTGAAAAAAATGCCAATGTTGCTACATTGCTTATCATTGTGCTTAAAATTATGTTCACTATTTCATATGAAATTTATACCTGTGGCAATCTAAGTAATTTTTTCATACCAAATATTTTTCTTCTCTCATGAGGACACGGGAGAAAATATATCCAGTATTCTTTCCCACCATCCCCCATAGTCAGATAAGAAAATACAAAAGAAATACAACAAAGAAGTAAGAGGAGTGAAAATATTAGGACGTAATACTTTAAAACAAAGAGAGCAGGAAGATAAAAGTGATGATATAAAGAAAGACAGTTCTAGGTTATTAACCTTGGCTTGACGAAACAAAGTTCCCACTTCTTTTGTCAATATTTCATATACGTAGTAGAATTTTTTTCCCTTGTGACAATAGTTCTTGCCATTAAAAAAAGCAAAATTTACCTTACAGAGTTTGATTTTCCAGCAAAGTAGTAAGTTAGATGATGACACTCAAGATTTACCATGTGTACTCTTGTCACTTCATGCAAATCCTCAGCTGGAGCATATGAGAGGCACATTAATTACATTGGATACAGGGATAATGTTTCTGCAGCTGCAGCAGTTTTGATATTTGCAGACTCCAGTGCACTCTATCTGTAATTTCACTGGCAGCTTGCAAAAACCAGCAGAATCACACTTATAAACAAAGGTCTGCATGGTAATTTATCTCCTATTGACTTCAATGAAGTCTCTTTATTCAGAATACTAAGAAATTCATAATTATGAGCTAAGATCTATGACTTAGCTAAAGAAAATGAAAGATATGTTTCTTGCCTCTTGTCACTTATATTCCACATACCTGTGGATGATGACACATATGTGCATATATATACAATTGAACTTTTCACCGAGCACTTGCAAACCCATATGACAAGCTATAGGAATATGCACCAATATCCTATATATTTAATTCAAGGAGTGTTATTTCTCTTAGCAGAAACATTTACTTTTCTTCATGCATACTCCAACTATCTTACCCTCCTCAGACTTTTCTTTTTGTTATGATTCAGAATTGACTTGCTTTTATTTTTGGAGTGGGTTACCATAACAAAAATGGAGAGATCATTATTAAACAAATGAAGATTAGGTTACTGATCTGTAAAACGTGCCTAGCAAAAAGAGATGAGCATCCTACGGCATACTTACATGGCACCTAGCCCAATTTTAGTGTCAGATAATGCATACAGAAGAGGTGAAATGTCCCTATTTCAGCTGCCAGTCTGCCAACAGAACAGTTGTCAACATGGCACCACAATTCTGAAAATTTCCTGATACCTCTATGAAGTCTAAAATGATTTAAAGAAGCAAGAGGTGTCTTTAAATGTTCAATGCAGAATCATTTTGTCTCCAGGATCCAAAGGGTGAACATCCTAAGAGTTCATAAGATCTTTTCATGTATCCATTACTTCTAGAATATTATAGCTTTAATTTATTGGGAGATAGTCTTATGGAGATTCATAATGGCTACCATTTCCGAGAGATTCCATGTGCCATGACCTAAGTATTTTATATATAATAACACATCTGGTGAGATGTTTGGTTAAACTAGACTAAGAAAAGCTTTAAATAATTCTGTAAGGACAACATAATCATAGAAGACTCTATGATGATTACAGCAAATCTTCTGCCTCCATAGTAATCCATGTCAGACTAGTGCTGCATAGAAAGATTCCTTCACGGCCGGGCGCGGTGGCTCACGCCTGTAATCCCAGCACTTTGGGAGGCCGAGGCGGGCGGATCACGAGGTCAGGAGATCGAGACCATCCTGGCTAACACGGTGAAACCCTGTCTCTACTAAAAATACAAAAAATTAGCCGGGCGAGGTGGCGGGCGCCTGTAGTCCCAGCTACTCCGGAGGCTGAGGCAGGAGAATGGCGTGAACCCCAGGGGGCGGAGCCTGCAGTGAGCCGAGATTGCGCCACTGCACTCCAGCCTGGGCGACAGCGAGACTCCGTCTCAAAAAAAAAAAAAAAAAAAAAAAAAAAAAGAAAGATTCCTTCACTTATTTAATCAACAAGTTGAATATTTTCCATATACCTGGTTATGAACTAAGCCTTGGGGATTTATTAACGATCAAGTCAGACACAGGTTTTGATCTCAATGAACTTATTATAGTCAGGTTGGGGAGGCAGGGGCTGGCAAATAAGAATTTCCAATTCAGCTGAGGGAGGATCAGATAAAAATAAGCATCTTTCATAAAAAGCAGATTGTTTCCTGATGAACCAAAGGCTCAGTTCAGAGAGACAGAGTAGTACGAACTGAACGAATCTGACATTGTCTATAAGAGTGCATATGGTGCGTATACACGTGCATGTGTGTACACACATACACACACCATAGAACACACACACACCACAGAATACTATGCAGCCATAAAAAATGATGAAATCATGTCCTTTGCAGCAACATGGATGCAGCTGGAGGCCACTGTCCTAAGTGAATTAACACAAGAACAAAAATCCAAATACTACATGTTCTCACTTACAAGTGGAAGTTAAACATTGGGTACATATGGATATAAAGATGGAAATAACAGACACTAGGGACTACTAGAGTGGGGACAGTCGGGGCAAGGGCTGAGAAACTACCTATTGGGTACTAAGCTCAATACCTGAGTGACAGGATCATGCATACCCCAAACCTCAGCGTCACGCAATATACCTATGTAACAAACCTGCACAGGTACCCCTGAATCTCAAATACAAGTTGAAATTATGTATAAAAAAATAATGCAGATGGCAGTCCAGATAGCAGAATCCGGTAAATCTTTGGATCTAGCTGTGCTCACTTTGGTTCATTGATAAAGCAAGGCAATTGGTGATTTTGGACCTACACTTAAAAAGCTAAAGTGATAATAACTGCTTAAATGCATTTAGTTATTACTTTTAGTTTAAATTTATCTTAAGGTAAACACCTCTCACTAATATAGTCACAGCCAACCACCTACTCCTATACTATTAAGTATAAAAAGATGATGTTAACCCCATATCTTCCAGTCCATTTCTATTATATTTAAATAACAGGCTTTCAGAATTCTTTTTAAAATGCCAATTTTATACCCAGTAGCATACTCTGGTACTCTAATATAACATTCCTGGTGTTATAATGTCTAGCACCATTCTGAGCTCTGCTCTCAGGCCGAGTAGAGGCCCCATCTATATTTTACTTTAGCTCCTCAGAGGGCCAGTGAGCCTTAGTGCAAATTAATATAAATATTTTGTGCAGAATAACTTAAAAATAATAGTAATAAATGTACATTTAAGTGCATTGACTTCCATGACCTTAACAGGTAAAATCATCATGCATATCATATCTCAATTACTGTGTGACTAATCCAAATGGATACCAATACTGAAACTAGAAAAAAATGTGAAGTAGCACACTTCGCTATATCTGCACTAAAATGATACTAAAGTTCTTAATCCTGCAGCAGAGATGAGAACCTAGGATAACATTTGTATAGTTACCCCTTCTCAAGTGAACTTTTATCAAAATGTGATTTTAAATGAAGAGGGAATAAAGAGGACTGTGCAAGGCAAAAAGAAAAGACAGAAATGAGAATAAAGAGGCACCACAATAGCATTTGGGTTACAAAGGCCTCTTTTTAAAACTAAATGTTTTGCTGAAGCATAGCATGGTTTTAAGAATTGATGCAATGACGTTGTTTTTAATCCCCAAGTGGTTGGTCTGTAGCCAAACTCAAGCACTTTTCCAGGTGTGACATCTGTATCACCTATGTGTCATTATAAAAGGAGAGTAGGCTGGGCGCAGTGGCTCACGCCTGTAATCCCAGCATTTCGGGAGGCCGAGGCGGGAGGATCACAAGGTCAGGAGATCGAGACCATCCTGGCTAAAATGGTGAAATCCCATCTCTACTAAAAATAGAAAAAATTAGTCTGGTGTTGTGGCGGGCGCCTGTAGTCCCAGCTACTCAGGAGGCTGAGGCAGGAGAATGGTGTGAACCCGGGAGGCAGAGCTTGCAGTGAGCCAAGATCGCGCCACTGCACGCTAGCCTGGGTGACAGAGCGAGACTCCGTCTCAAAAAAAAAAAAAAAAAAAAAGGAGAGTAGTGGCTAGAAAGTGTTCAGTGCTGCTCTCACCCTCACTGTGAGAGGTCATGTTATTGGTCTGAGAGATACATTACTAGCAGTGGAGATATTAGGTATTTGAACAAAATGAAGTGGAGTTTTGAAAGTTAGGTGTGTTTAGAAAGAACAAAGAGTAAATATATTGATGGGCTAAGTTTATTTCTTTTCTACTGGAAGATACTAGCATTGGCCAGCTGGCTAGAAATTTATTTTCTGACTTTTAGAGAGACCAAAATGTTTTCATTAGCACCTAAAGTTCATAAATGTCTAAACAGGCAAAATGATGTTATGTCATGGCAGTTTTAGAAAATTATCTAACACGATGTGAGTATGAATATTTTGCTAGATTAAAACCTTTTTTTAAAAATTGAATTCCTATAACCACTTCCTTTATTTTTATTAGGAAGATAAAGCTAGAGACCTGGTGGTTTTACTGCTTATAATTTCTGGATGTGGTACTATGATTCACTATTATTTATTGCTAGCACTACAGAGAACTGAAAGGGAAAACATTATCAATGCTCTGTACCAGAAAGATTGTGAGAAGGCAGAGTGCCCATAAAAGTGAAAGGTACTTTCTTAGGGGAGTTTGCACAAACACAGGGAACTCTGAAACAAAGCAGCCACAAGAAGCATACTGCAGCAGATAAAAGATTACTAAAAATTTTTTGCTACTTCTCCACCAAAAGGTTCCCCCTTCTCTTGAGTCTGGGCTGACCTATGACTCTCTCTGATCCAAAGAGTAGAAAAGTTGCATTTCTCTGATTAGATCATTTGGTTTTAGGAATTGACAGACCACCTCAATGATTTATACCACCTAAATCAATGGAATGAGGTGGAAGTGATACTGTGCAGGATCCAGCCTAGGCCTTAAGAGGCCTGACAGCCTTCCCTTTTGCTCTCTCAAGCTACCCTAAGCTACCTTGTCATTGAGACTGTGTGGAGCAATGCCTGGCAAGATCTCAGGTGTCCCAACCATCCCAGCGGAGGCATGAAGCGTGAGTGAAGCCGCCCTGCGCATGCTAGCCCCAGGAGAGCTTCATATGACTGCAGCTGGGTGATGAGTCCCAAAGGAAGTCTAGTAGGAGACAGCGACCTGCCTGATCCTGAGTGAGATCGCAGAATCATGAGCCAACAATCTAGTGTTCTTTTAAATCACTTGAGTTTGGCATAGTTTGTTAGGCAGCAATAGAAAACTAAACAGGTACTTCAAAAGAGTAGAAAAATTACATTTCTCTGATTCTCAGTGTGTGCTCAGGTTTCAAAAGGAAGCCTGCTCTGGATATAGGTTGGTTATGAAGTGGTGGAAAAACAAGCCAGAAAACATTTTCAAATGACTTCTTAGGCTTTCTTGCAGCTCTTTCTCAGGGAATGTTTAATGAACAACCAGGAAATTGTATTAAACTGCTAAGGAGCTCAGAATGGTTAGGAAGGGCCAAAGAACACTGCGCTGGGGTAGAGTGGGAAATCACTGGATGACCATTAACTGGAAAATCAACATGGAATGGCCAGCACTAAGAAGAGAGGCAGTAACTACTCATCGGAGAGCAGGCCCATCACCATGCACATGGACCTCAGGTTAATCCTCACTCTTCCCTAGAGGGTAAAAAGGGTAACTAAGATTTCAGATAATAATGCTATGGGATAGAATTTCCTGAAACAGTGCTAAAACCCCCAAAGTGAGAAACTGCTCATAGTCCAACATCCTAGACTTATTCCCAGAAGCCACTTAATGTGACTGATAAGAAAGATAAATGTAAAGATTAGGGTTTTTTCTGTTGGATAGAAGCCCATAGTCTCCACCCTAAAAGTTAATCCCCACTGTTATTCACAAACACCCCTTCAAAGCAGTTCTGAGCATAGGCTTGGATGGGAGAGGGGGAGGTTAGGATGGAGGGTGTTTGCAAAGCTGTACAGTAGGTGAGAAAGGAATCTTCTTGCTACTACTACAGGCAGTCGTAGCCCAGGCATATCCACGGGGCATATGATGCGGATTCTGACTTTTGGTTCAAGATAACAGACTGAACACACATCTTTCTCTTTAACAAGGACTTTAAAATAGATAAACCCACAGCAATGAAGAGCCCCAGAGAAAGACTGTTATAAGGACAAGACAATGGAAGAGAATGCTAGAATATGGAATGTCAGTAAAGGCATGAGAGCAGAGGTATCATGACTTTGAAAAGTATATTCCAGAGCAGGAGCTGGCAAACTAAGACCCATGAGACAAAACCTGCTGCCACCTGTATTTGTAATTAAAGTTTTATTGGAACACAGCCATACTCTCTTGTTTTTACATGTTGTCTAGGGCTGCTTTCACGATAGCAGAGTTGAATAGTTGTAACAGAGACCATCTGGTCTGCAAAACCTAAAATGTTTTATCTAAGTATTTACTAATATTTGACCCTTTAGAGAGTTTGCTGATTTCGGTTCTAGTGTCTTCTTGGCTGGGAGGGCAGCATGGATAGGAAGGACTCTCAGTTGCTCCACGGAACCCCAGAAGGGCTAGGGATTCGGAAACATCTGATCTGAGTACATGGAAGATCGGCTTGGCCATTTGCCTGCATGCAGAACTCCCACCACACACCCAAGTCAGAGAATGGGAGTGTCTCCAAAACAGAAAGAAAATGCCCCAGAGAACAGATTAGACTTTCTTATTCTGTCCCTGCTTCATAACCCTAAATAAAATCTGACTAGTCTTCAAACTCTGCCACCAACGTTGGACCCCCAAGTATCTTTATAGGATTTCACTCTTAAATATGGAAATCTAGAATCATTAGACATGTGAGCACCACACTCTAGTAAAATAAAGGTATGTGAGAAAAAGAGGATATGGATAGGAATAACAGGGGACTGTGTTTGGGAAAAATATAATGCAAAGTCCCTAAGTGTCAGCCATGCAACCACCCCACTAGACAAGGGTTGGAAGACAAAAAAATGACCAGAAAAAGGGAGATCCTCCATAGTACCTAACATGATGACACTTTTGGGGGAAAATATGATTATTTTAAGAAATATATTGCAATAAAGAAAGAGTATAAAACTCCACAAAGCTGTTTATGGGAAACAATATATTTATGGTACATTACTGGGCTCAGTGAACAAATGTACAAAGCCATAATGATGCAAAAACTATGCAAATTTCACTAAAATTAGTGTAAAACTCCACTGGGAGGATGTAGGAGGGTTACCAGATGCTAAAGCTTCATTTCTTTCTAAAAGAAAGTAAATATAGGTCATGTCTAAACCGTTAAATCAAGACAACTGTATAAGTGTATTTGTTAGAAGTGTGAAGGTAGCTACCAAAAGAATTGTCTAAAAGAATATAAACTAATCCACTGTCTCTGGGATTATAGGTTTAGAGGGTGGGAAGGGACAGGGTGGAGACATTTTAAGCATGATAAATATTTTGATCCTTTTTTATTTACCATGCACATGTACTGCTTCAACAATTAAAAAAATACATATATATACACACATGCTTATTGTTGAACACTGCTTCTAGAAACCTGGAATCAGTAGGTCTGGGGGCACAGGAAACTGTATTTTTAAAAAGCTCTCCAAATGGTTCTGACAAAGTTAATCTTGTGCCCTTACTTTCAGAAGCACAGATATAGAGGTAGCGACCACTGAAAGAGCAGTGATATCTACCTGCTCAAGTGGAGAAGTGCCAGGGGCTGAAGAATTCTAGGATCGGCTGGGCATGGTGCCTCATAACTGTAATCCCAGGATTTTGGGAGGCCAAGGCAGGAGCCTTGCTTCAGGCCAGGAGTTTGAGACCAGCCTAGGCAACAAAGTGATACCTTGTCTCTATAAAAATTTTAAAGAAATTAGCCAAGCATGGTGGTGCAAGCCTGTGGTTCTAGCTACTTGGGAGGCTGAGGTGGGAGGATGGCTGGAGCCTAGGAGCTGGAGGCTACAGTGAGCTATGATTGTGCCACTACACTCCAGCCTGGGTGACAGAATGAGACTCTGTCAAGAAAAAGATGATGAAAAGAAGAAAGAAGAGAGAAGAAAGAAGCAAGAAGAAGAAGAAAAGAAAGAAGAAAAAAAGAAGAGAAAGATGAAGAAGAATGCTAGGATGCTCGCGAGTTTTTCTCTCAGGACACTTTCTTGTGATTTTACTAATAAAATGGATAAATACTAAAGGAAGGCAAATAAAAATGAACGGGTTATGAGTTACTTCTAATTCAACCCCTGCCTATGGAAGCACTTCATGAATAGGTTAGCTCTCTTCTCTCTCGTGTATGCTGCAAACCACAAGCTTTGATTCAAAAATTAGCCTAGGGAAAAACACAAAACATCATGTAAAGAGGGAAGCTTTTTAACTGAAGGATGTTAGATAAATAACTATCTATCAGACTCTGTGGTTTCTGTGTAAGCCATGTTACATCAAACTTGATTTTTAAAATACTTTAAAGAATGTAATCAGGGTCTCTAGTGTTTACAAATGATTGCTGGGATGTGTAGAATACTTAATAACCAGAACTCAGAAGGTTTCTGGGCACTGTGATAATTCTTTCTGAGAAACCTTCTGGAACATCATAGGATCATCAGGGATTGGCTCAGTGATTGTCAATAAGCAGCTGTTGTCAAAAAGCAGCCAAAGGCACACTGCCCTCATTTTCTCCTGTTCTCCATACCTTCCCAGGAGTCAGTGCTGACTAAGAAAGAAATAATTCCCAACTCTACCCTTGTTTCTCTTGTACAGGACCCTGGTTCAAACTTTTTGGTACAGAGGATTTTTCTTTGTGCCTACACAAACTACTGACATCTTTTTGCCTAAATTAGAGATCACCTAGAGCTGGAGAAGTTGATTAAAATACTTTCATGTTGATTTCAATGTCAAATGAGACTGCTCACCTTTTCAATACCAATGACTTATCATTTATATCTGTAGCATCTATTATTTGTGTTAATTTTTGAGGTTCATTTGATATATAAAGTCATTATAAAAAAGAAAATTAATTTTGTCTTTACCATGTACTTGTCTTTTAAATTTCATCCAGAAAATGAAAAACTGGTTTGTTGGTGCTTCAGTGGTCCGCTACATTGTCCAATTAGCATTGACTAGGCTATACTGTAAAAGAGGAATTCAGCCTATTCAAATTTCATTTCTTCATTTATAAAAGCATCCATCCAATCACCATCCATCCATCCATCCATCCATCCATCCATCCAAGAAGTACTTATGAGCACCTGTTATTTGCCCAGCGCTGTTTTATGTGCCAGGAGCATGTAAGTAAAACAAAATATTAGCCATAGAGCAAACCTCTATGCCAAATGGGCTAAAAATTAGTTGAAAAATTCTATGAGAATGGTTTTAATTACAGGTATATGTGTATTTGTGATATTTTGGTTTTTTTATTTGAGGATATATGACTCTATACTGTCTCTGATGTTTGCTACAAGTCTAAGTAGTTCATCTTTACCACTTATGATGATCATTTTACTCCATACTTCACCATAAATCCACACTGAAGGTGAAACATTAATGTACACGGTGGCGGCGTACCGCTTTTTCTAGGCATTTCTCACTACTGTGCCTCTCTGCATGTGCTATTTCCTCTTCCCATGATCTTCCTCACTTGTCCACCTAGCAGATATCTGTTCGTCATCCAAAACTCTTTCAGGCATCATCTTCTCTATGAGGCCTTCCCTAAGCACCTCCCAGCAGAACGGATTCCCCCTTTCCTGTGTACTATTGTTGTACTTATGTACATATTTTTATTATAGCATTGATATAAATACTCATTAACATGTCACTGGTAAACTTCTTGAAGATAGAAACATTTGTCTCATTTTTGCATCCCTAGTAATTTGGGATTTGCTAGTAATTAGCAAAATATCTGGCACATTCACTAAATATTTGCTGAATTGAACTGAAGAGCCATTCCCTCTATTATAACATGTGGGATGTTGCAGAAATGTGTTTTTACATGTCATTTTAAATTATCTCACAATTACAGGTAAACATTTTATATTTTTGAATATTTAACAAGCATTACATTCTGTTTGATTAAACTCTTTTCCAATGAGAGACATTATCATCCCTATAAAAGCCTAATAAAATTATACAGTTAGCAATATACTTTAAAAAATTTCTGTTGCTTAGCCGGGTGTGATGGTGCATGCCTGTAGTCCTAGCTACTTGGAAGGCTGAGGCAGGGGGATTGCGTGAGCCCAGGAGTTTGAGTGCCACCAGCCTGGGCAACATAGTGAGACCCCATCTCTTGAGAAAACAAACAAACAAACAAACAAACAAACAAACTTCTGTTGCTCACTCCTCCTACTCTCCTGACTTTGTGCCAATATTGTGGTTATTACGTACCTATTATATTTTGTTACAATTACGTGTTTATGGGCCTGTGGCCCCTCCTAGATGTGAACTCCTTGAGAAACAGTTCTGTGTTCTTCCCATCTTTATAGCCCTGGTGCACTGCAATGACTATGAAAGGGAGGTTCATAGTCATTGAAGGCTCAGCAAGTTAAATGCATAGAGGACTAAATAGGAGACGGTGAATAGAATTAAATCTTTGGTTCTTTTATCTTGCCTAGGACCTGCTTTGTGATTATCTTAAATGAAGACAATCTGCTAAATTCTAAATAAAGCTTTGACTTTGTGGTTGAATAAAGCTAACTTAGACTGTGTGGGTGTGGCAAACTAGCAAAATGAGTAAAAAAGAAAAAAGATTTTCTATTCAAATATTTTTATTTTGTCTTTTAAGTTTACACTGAAATAAGTCTTTTCTAGTTTTGAAACATGAAATAGTGGAAAGAAAAATAACTACATTTTTTATTCTAAAAAGTAATGGATTTGTGAAATATTTCACTGAAGTTCAAAAGCACTGGGGGAGTCTTTCCCCTTTCCCAAGATGGAATTAGTCCCACAATTTTGTCTTATTCTAATCGTAGGCAATAGGGTAATTTTTATTGAAACATTTGATGTTTGTGAGGTTTTGGCAACATGAAGATGTGGATGCTCAGTAAAATATCACCAAATGAATGGCAGAGTTGGACACCCTCTAACTCACTCTTGTAGAAAATTATGTACACATGACTTTTATAACAGTAGCGTTTGGAAACGTGGTGAGTTAGTTTTGAAACTTCATCTCAACTTTTAAGGAGATATAATATGCATTATTACTCACAAATGAGTGGCAGTGACAAATATAAGGGCACCATAAAAAGTTATTTATACAGAAACTATATGATAAATGGCAATACAGCGTTGGTGATATTTAAAATTAAAAATGTCAGATGAATACCTCAATTTTTTTTGTTTCTCTATACACAAACCACTTTAAAACCCATGGAAGAACAATTCATAAGTGTATTGGTCATAAAAATGGCAGAACTTTTTCTCCAAAGGAATTCTCTAATTTTTGTATCTATTAGAACTGATTGAGTTTATAAAGTTGATATCATGAACTAAATAAATGTGAAAAACATGACAATGGGGATAGAGTATATTCCTTTAGAGATATAGTTATTGTACTTTATAATAGTATTCTAAGGAATTTAAAAATTACACTATACCAAGAAAAATTTCTGAAATTGAGGCAGTAATAGCCTACCAACCAAAAAATGTCCAGGACCAGACAGATTCACAGCTGAATTCTATCAGAGATACAAAGAGGAGATGGTACCATTCCTTCTGAAACTATTCCAAACAATAGAAAATGAGGGAATCCTCCCTAACTCATTTTATGATGCCAGCATCATCCTGATACCAAAACCTGGCAGAGATACAACAAAAAAAGAAAATTTCAGGCCAATATCCTTGATGAACATCGATGCAAAAATCCTCAATAAAATACTGGCAAACTGAATCCAGCAGCACATCAAAAAGCTTTTCCATCACAATCAAGTCAGCTTCATTCCTGGGATGCAAGGCTGGTTCAACATATGCAAATCAATAAACGTAATCCATCACATAAGCAGAATCAATGACAAAAACCACATGATTATCTCAAAAGATGCAGAAAAGGCCTTCGAGAAAATTCAACACCCCTTCATACTAAAACCTCTCCATAAACTAGGTATTGATGGAACATATCTCAAAATAATAAGAGCTATTTATGACAAACCCACAGCCAATATCATACTGAATGGGAAAAAATGGGAAGCATTCCTTTTGAAAACTGGCACAAGACAAGGATACCCTCTCTCACCACTCCTATTCAACATAGTATTGGAAGTTCTGGCTGGGGCAATCAGGCAAAAGAAAGAAATAAAGCGCATTCAAATAGAAAAAGAGGAAGTCAAATAGTCTCTTTTTGCAGATTACATGATTGTATATTTAGAAAACCCCATCGTCTCAGCCCAAAAACTCCTTATGCTGATAATAAGCAACTTCAGCAAAGTCTCAGGATACAAAAATCAATGTGCAAAAATCACTAGCATTCCTATACACCAATAATAGACAAACAGAAGGCCAAATCATAAGTGAACTCCCATTCAAAACTGCTACAAAGAGAATAAAATACTAGGAATACAACTTACGAGGGATGTGAAGGACCTCTTCAGGGAGAACTATAAACCACAGCTCAAGGGAATAAGAGAGGACACAAACAAATGGAAAACATTCCATACTCATGGATAAGAGGAATCAATATCATGAAAATGGCCATACTGCCCAAATAATTTATAGATTTAATGCTATCCCCATCAAGCTACCGTTGGCTTTCTTCACAGAACTGGAAAAAACCACCATAAACTTTATATGGAACCAAAAAAGAGCCCACATTGCTAAGACAATCCTAAGCAAAAAGAATAAAGCTGGAGGCATCACACTACATGCCTTCCAACTATACTATAAGGCTACAGTAACCAAAATAGCATCGTACTGGTACCAAAACAGATACACAGGCCAATGGAACAGAACAGAGGCCTCAGAAATAAACACCATACATCTACAAACATCTGATCTTTGACAAACCTGAAGAAAACAAGCAATGGGGAAAGAATTCCCTATTTAATAAATGGTGTTGGGAAAACTGGCTAGCCATACGCAGAAAACTGAAACTGGACCCCTTCCTTACACCTTATATAAAAATTAACTCAAGATGGATTAAAGACTTAAATGTAAGACCTAAAACCATAAAAACTCTAGAAGAAAACCCAGGCAATACCATTCAGGACATAGGCATGGGCAAAGACTTCATGACTAAAACACCAAAAGCAATGGCAACAAAAGCCCAAATTGACAAATGGGATCTAATTAAACTAAAGAGCTTCTGCACTGCAAAAGAAACTATCATCAAAGTGAACAGGCAACCTACAGAATGGGAGAAAGTTTTTGCAATCTACCCATCTGACAAAGGGCTAATATCCAGAATCTACAAAGAACTTAAACAAATTTACAAGAAAAAAAAAACCCTATGAAAAAGTGGGCAAAGGATATGAACAGACACTTCTCAAAAGAAGACATTTGTGCAGTCAACAAACATAAAAAAAGGCTCATCATCACTGGCCATCAGAGAAATGCAAATCAAAACCACAATGAGATACCATCTCATGCCAGTTAGAATGGTGATCATTAAAAAGTCAGGAAACAACAGATGCTGGAGGGGATGTGGAGAAACACGAACAAACGCTTTTACACTGTTGGTGGGAGTGTAAATTGGTTCAACCATTGTGGAAGACAGTGTGGCAATTCCTCAAGGATCTAGAACCAGAATTACCATTTGACCTAGCAATCCCATTACTATATATATACCCAAAGGATTATAAATCATTCTACTATAAAGACACATGCACACGTATGTTTACTGTGGCACTATTCACAATAGCAAAGACTTGGAACCAACCTAAATGCTCATCAATGATAGACTGGATAAAGAAAATGTGGCACATATACACCATGGAATACTATGCAGCCATAAAAAGGGATGTGTTCCTGTCCTTTGCAGAGACTTCGATGAAGCTGGAAATCATCATTCTTAGCAAACTAACACAAAAACAGAAAACCAAACACCACATGTTCTTACTCATAAGTGGGAGTTGAACAATGAGAACACATGGACACAGGGAGGAGAACATCACACACTGGGGCCTGTTGGTAGATGGGGGGATAGGGGAGGGATAGCATTTGGAGAAATACCTAATGTAGATGACAGTTTGATGGGTCCAGCAAACCACCATGGCACGTGTATACCTATGTAACAAACCTGCTCGTTCTGCACATGTACCCCAGAACTTAAAGCATAATTTAAAAAAATTACACTATACAAATCTTGAATCAGCACTTAAAAGACATAAGGTCATATTTAATTTCTTCATTGTTTTCTAGATAAGGAAATTCATATTTACAAGTTATGGGACTTATCCAAGATCATGGGCCAGGCAAGAAAATTTAAAATCAGACTGTGAAGCCAAACCTTGTTCATTACTTTTTCATTTACTCTGTGTAATTTTTGTATTTTATATGTTTCTGTCCTTAGCAATTTGCCTCTGTATTTCCACAAGAAATAAATTTCAGTTGTAATTTGAGTAGACATCTGAGTAATTATATATGAAAAATAATTTTTAAGGGCTAGAAAAGACTCATATATTAAAACATAATATAGGGACATATACAGACCTAGTCCAGTTTAAAGTTTTCCGTATGAGATGGGCATGTATATTTCAATAACTAACCTGGGTGATATAGCATGAGAATATTATAAGATTAACACAGATTTTAAAATATTGTGGCTGAATATAAGTTAGAAAAGTGTGAAATGTTAATCACACCCCTAAGAACAAACTCTAGAGATAAATTAGAAAAGTGTCAATCTCAAGAGTCCATTGAATCCAGCAAACAGAAGGGGTAGTTTAAAAAAGAAGGCAAAAATTATATTCAAAATTGTTTCCAAATTAATTCAACTTGATATTTTTAAACTTAGGGGAAACATAATTTATGCTTCATGCTTTTCCTAAAGTGAAGTGACCTTTGTCTTTTGAATAAAAACACAAAAGAAGCTCCTTATATTTGCCTTCAGAAAAAAAGATGTTGCAAAACAATTTTCTAAACCATGAAGGACCTTACCTGTTTCCATTTTTCCATCCTGTGCTGCAGGCCCATCCGGAATCACACTTTTCACCTGCAGAAACTCATCAGGCTCGTCTCCACCAATGATGGTAAATCCAAAGCCCATGTTGCTCTTTTTTAGGGTGGTGCTGAGGAATGTTCCCTTCAACTGGGATGCATCCCGGGTGAAGAGTGGTTTTTCTACATTGGCCAATATAAGTTAAAAAAGAAAAAGGCATGTTCAAGTCAAGTTCTCAGACAAGAGAAAGCCAGCCCCTGAGCAGCGACAATCCCAGGGGTAAATGTGGGGGGTCTTATACAGCAAATGCAAGCAGGTGGTGACTGCAAGAGGAGCAAAACTATTAGAACTTCCTACACACGAAGAGCAGTCCCAAGCATCCAGGGAAAGATGAAAAAGCTGTTTGGTTTGGAGACAGACTTTTTGTCAAATCAGTTTCCACTCATTAAGTTAGCCTTCTTGTGCTTAAAAAAGGCTGTGTCAACAGGCTGCCAGAGCCTTCTAAGAAAGAGGACAAGGAGCCCAAATCATCCAGACAACATCTGGATCTGTTCCTGTTGTTATTGTGAAAGATTCCAGGTAGGAGGTATGTGTCAGTGGCCGATCCTAAACTAAGCCTTGAAGAAATAAGGGTAGAGAAATGAAATGGACATGGACTTGTGATTTTTTTTTTAAGTGAATAAGAGCACAATATTTCAGCATGTGCAATATCACAAACAGAGAAACAGTGGAATGTGATCACATACTCAAAGGTCCAGATTGCTTAGAAAGAGTACCTGTATGTGGAACTGACTTTTGTTTACACTGCTCTATTGTGAGATACTATAAAGATAACCAGATAAATAAATTGCTATTGGCTCCGATAGTGTTTAGTATACTCTAAAATGTGAGCAAAAGGCAAGCCAATGTTTTTAGATATAATTATGAATGTAAAGGTAACACATTTTGTCACAATATGTTGATAGATTCAAATCATATGCCCGAATAATCTGAATAGGCACTGCATAGATTTACCTGCTAATTTGTTATATAATATGATTTTCCAGCTATGATCTGTAATAAATATATTCCTAAGTATAGTAAGTGTTTTAAAAAATAATAGTCATACTAGGAAACAATTAATATCTGCTTTAAATTCCATCACAGATAAATATTTTATATGATTCTTTTAAAATGTGTTATATTTAGGTGGTCTGACTTAATATTTTTAACAGCCAAATTGTATATGGTAACTCAGTTAAGTATTCTGCATGATATCTTTGTTGTTACATTTTGGGTGACAAGTAATAAACTCTAAAATAATGAGTCATTCTATTAGACTTCTGCTTTTACTGTCCGCTTACATATCACATGTATCTTTATTAAAAACAGAGGTTCTTTAAAACATAAATAAAAACCACATATAATCCTTTCTCCTATGTTTTCTTTATCAAATTAATGTTTATAGTTGGAGATAAGTTCACCAGGAGACCTTTACATTCATTTAATTATGCTGCAGTATATGGCGTGAAAACTACCAGCAGGCAAGCCTAGGCCTCCCGACTCTAAAGGCTGTTTTGTGCTTTTATTTAGAAGCTCACTAGCTGTGAAAAGTTTGTGCAGCAACTCATCCCACTACGTGGCTCCCAGGTGTAGTCAGGTCCCGCAAGCAGCCCTGGGACATACCGAACAGCCAGGGCCTCCCTGCTGGGTCGCGCTGATAGTAAGACAAGTCATTCACGCTGCGCGACCTCTCCGGGGCAGCACGGGGGCGGATGGATTTGGGCCTAGGTAATGTCCATGAGGAGCTGTCTACTGTCACAAAGGAGAACAAGCCTCATTCTTGTGCTTGGTCTTTTAAGGACAAACTTATGAGTCTCTATGAATCTCTCAGTTTACAGTGCCACTATAAAAATCCATTAATCTCCACGTGGTGACATGCTGTACATTCCTATAAAGTACTGCCTGTGGCTATAACTTCATCTGCGGTTGCTAAAGGCATTAGTTTAGAGAGAATGCAAACATCCAGCTAAAGCTAATAGGAAGGTCTGGAGAAAGCAAATCAATTTTTCAAAATGGTCCAAGCTACAGACATATTTGGAAGAGCAGGCAGTTTGACAGACAATTTTCCCTTTGAAACATCACATGCTGACAGGTATCATACCTCGGAAACCTGGGGCCTGCAGGGGCTTTGTTCCAAGTTCTGTGTGGGGCATGTTATGTTGCTGTAGCTTCCTTTTTGCTTCCAGGACAGGATTTTCAAACTGTGTTCTTCTATTTATGTGGCTAAAAAAGAAAATTTCAGATTAGGATAACCGTGGGGCAAAGTTATTTAAAAGACCATATGTATGGCTCTATGGAGAGCAGGTGATTAAGGGCCACCTTATCTGATTACAGTCAAGTGCCTCACCCAGCACGCGGTCAGGCTCCTGACTGGGCTGGCCTGTGTACAACACACATTTCTGTGACAAGTGCTGAGTTTTCAAAGGCTCTCTCATATGTTATTCTATTTACATTATGCATAATTCAGCCAAAAGAACTAGAATGTGCACTTGCTTTCTGGTCTACTGTGTTCATTTGAGATGAGTTTAATATGCATGAAACTAAGTGGTCAAGAAATGAAATTTATACTGAATGGTATTGAAGAAAAGAGCATCACCTGAGCTTTGCAAAGTCCCCATATCCAACAGGATAAATGTGAGGTAAATTCATTGATAGAGTATAGCAACCAGAGTCTGCACTTTTTAGAGTTGGTCCTGGATTGAGAGACTGGGATCCAGGAGAAAGAGTTTGCAGAAGTTACAGAATACATATGTAGGACAGTTGATGCTGAAATCAAGCAAAAGTAGAGAATTCATATTCTACATGGTGAGAGGGCAAATTTGTAGGTATCAGACGCAGAGTGGCTTGAAGCAACTGTTGCCCAGCTAAACTGAGAGCTTATAGTCCAAGCAAACTGTGAATTTCTGTATAGCAGGCTGTTTGAAATGCAGAGTTCCTTATCTGTGGGGAGAGTAGAAACCAACAAATCTGCTTTTAGTGGTGGGCCTATGCTGCTCTTTCTCTAGGATATAAACATCCCATGAGAGGGCTGGCATATACATTGATACATAGAATTATGGCAGGCAAGCATGAAGAGGAGAGAAGGAATGGAAGAGAAACTGACAAATACTGAGTACTTAACTCTTGGCCAGTTACTATGTATAGTTTTCCTCAGTGAAGTTTCATAACAACCCAGACTTGCATTCCAATTATTCACCTTTTAAAGGCAATGAGACTGACACATGGAGAGATCGGATTATTTGCTCTAAATCACATGTCTCGTAAGTGGAAAGGCTGGACTTGGCCGGGTTTATTTCTAAACTGAATCTCTGCACACTTTTTTCTTTTGGATATACAATTTCACATTGGCATGTGCACACACACTTATTGTGTGTATACACCCTGCACGTCCCCAACATAAACCACTTACAGCTTCAGAAAGGAAAGGAGACAGAAGCAGCAACATCTCAACAACCAATTTCCAATACTATGAATCAGATCATTTCAAAGCAGTTCCCAGAAACATGGTAAGTCAACCGTAAGATCTAATTCTTTCCTCACGGGAGACAGGGTAAGGTAGCTGCCTGCCCCACAGGCTCTGCAGTTAATCAGTCCTGTATTCAAATTCCAGCTCTACCACTTGACTAGCTATGTGACCTTGGTTGAGTTATTGAAACTGAGTCTTAGTGTCTTAATCTGTAATAGCAGCGTAATGCCTCCTTCTTGGGGTGGTTGTGAGGATTAAGTGAAATAATGAATATTAGCACATGGTTTTGAGTACAGACATACTCAATAATTAGCAGCAGCTTGTATCATCATCTTAATCACCACCATTACTGTCATCATTTTTCATCCATAAGAAAGGCTTTACTGGGGAACTTCAGAAGCACTGGGACCTTGCTCTAACTGCCTTTGGTGCTGTTTAGGAAGGGAGTGCTTCTAACAGTGCTCTTTGTTAATGAAACTCATTTGTAAGAGGTTCAAAGTACAACCATCTATGTAAAATTATTTTCCCACTGGAAATAAAACGTTATTGTAATGCTCTTGTTCACCAAGGCCTTGTGCATCATGACTGTGGTGCACAGTGAACTAATAATATCTGTGCCTGTAAAGCATGTGAGCTGTAAACTCTAACACTGCCACCCTGTTTTGGAAGGACCAGAGTTTGATGCCTGTTTTCCCGTTTCTCCATTGTTACATAACTTCCTTACCAAAATCCTTTGAAACCTTCCTATTACTTAAACATATACTGTTCCTGATTTTGCCCTCACTCATTTCTGTAGCTTCACCTTTGGCTGCATCACCACATGTGCCCTCTACGTTGAACATACTTGGAGCTACTTTGATCAGTGACCCTCTATCAGACCTCTTATCTTTCCACGAGAGATTCAGTATGTAAATGGTGCAGCACTTGAAGCAAGACAACCTGGGTTTCAGGTGGCATCTTGGGCAAATTTCTAACTCTCTAAGCTTCAATATCTTTATCTGTAAAATGGGGACATTAATAGCTACATCACGGGTTGCTGTGAGGATAAGAGAATTGTTTACAATGTTTACAATGTTTGTATCTCCCTTAGATACCCAGGGAGAACCCAACAATGAAGTTATGGTTGTTATTTTTTTGAGGTACAGTTATTTCTTATTACTATTATTGAAGTGTTGCAGTGGTTATTGCCATTATTCTAAGGATGTTTTTCCTATCTCTCCTGTGTCTCCTTCCCTCACTCCTCCCAGCCACATTCCCTGCCTGTGTGATATTCTTCCACCTTGGGTTCTCAGAAAACTTTGAACAGACTTCTCTCATTGCAGTTTATTCACTTAAAAAAAATCCATCCACTGAAGCATTTATCCTTTAAGTAACAAATAATCCAATTACATTCTTTAAGTTATTTAAAAATATACAATTAAGTTATTATTCACTATAGTCAGTATTCACTTATTTTCTTATACTCCACTTCATCATTAAGAAGATTTGAGGACAACAACAACAAAAGTAAACAAAATTAGGTTGAAGTTAGTTGAATCAAGGTGGGAGATCAATAGAATTGATAAGATAGGTTCCTATTTATTTACTAGAGTTTTGTTGCAAATTAGCTTTCAGCTTTTAAGCTGCTAATTCAACAGGAGAGAGAAACCAATTATACTATTAAGAGTATTTAAGATGCACCGAAGCCAGTTGTTTAGAAGGACATAGTATTCCTAAGTCTTATTGACATTCCTTTCCAAATTTTGAATAAAGAGATTTCTGTGACGTAGTATACAGCATCCTAAATGATAATTTTACAATAATGAATTTCACAGGCTATACTAACTTTATTAAAATGTGTTTTAATGATTAATTTTCATGCTGATTTCCTTCCCTAGATTGTGTACTTCTATATACAGGATACATGTGTTATTTATCTTTCTGTATTGAGCATCTAATACAGTGAATGGAAAATAGCTTTTCTTGTTAAATGACTAAATGATGAGTGTGTGTTTTAAAACATTTATTTTCAAACATATGTCAATAACTTTAAGAAACCAAGAAACAGCTTTGAAATGTACTAGGATATCAACTTTTCTTGTTTCCTATCTGTTCTATATCCGTTTTGCTAGGTCATTGTTCGTCATATGCATAACTTTATCCTTAGAAAATACATTACAAAAACTTTCTGGGATGCAGTTATGCATACAACCCAGTTCCTCCAACTTTCCACCTGCATGTAATTATTTTCTTAGAAAAGTTAATGTGCAGCCACCTGCTTTATGGTCACTATGTTGAAAATATTCCATTTACCATCAAAATGAGTTTCTAGAGTTCACAGAGAATGAGAATACCAATGAGCTAGTTTGGCATGCCTTGGACCCCACAGACAGCAAAAGCAGGATATGGCTATAGCACCATAAGCTAATTGCTACAGAACATTTCCATTGTCACAAATGAAGTCATTCATTTGAAACTTAAAATGCTCACAAGCTCTAAAAGACTTATCACAAAGAAATGTGATTGTAGCTGAATAGAAACTTGTCTTCCTTATGCTTCCAAAATGAATAGTTTCAAGTTCTTTCAGCAAGGATTTGGGGGTCTTACAATGTGTACAAAAAGATGTGAATGACAAATGCCATCCTTCTCATTGTTTAGGCTCTGTGAGGTAAGTACTAGCTATTTCATCTAGCTTCCATACAGAACAAGAAGCTGGGAAGCTACCAAGAGTTCTTGCTATTTAATTATATCTAGTCTATTGTCATATTTTGCTAAGAGAATCTTGAGCTATTAAAAGCTAAAAGCGTAAGAGTCATATTCTGAAGTGCGTATATCTTAAAGATTCCGTTTTCTCTTTACAGAAGGGAAAGACTACTGATGAGAGATGCTTCCAAATTAAAAGTGGCAAAGGACTCAGGATATTTAAGGATGAGATTCCATTGCCTGATCTCTTTGTCTTTACATTCACTTATCTGCAGTCTGACTCTCTCCTCTCACCATGGAATGGAAACTTAGAGTAAGTTCGTATGTGGCAGTGCTTTGAAATTCCAGATGCACCAGAGAGCTTCAAAAACAAACAGAAAACAGAAGACTCAGGGCTACCCTAAATCAACTGATTCATAATTTCAGAATGAGATCCACAGGCATTGGCATTTTTTAGATGAAAGAAAGCTTCCCAGGTGTCTCTAGTGTGCAGCTACGGCTGTGATCCCCTGAGTTAGAAGCTGAGAATGTGTGAAGAGGTGTTGCATAAGGAGTATCTTGCCTGATAAGATTTATGCAGAAGCCTCTTTTTCTATATGTGGCCTCAGGGAGGATTAGGAAATGCAACTTTGCTCCTGAAGAGGACTTCTGCCCTCAGAAGTTTCAGACAAGCACTGAGGGAAGGAAATATTTGCAGCTGATTAGAGGCCATGCTGCCAAAGGTGGTCCCTGGTCCAGGTCCTGTTTGCCTGCCATTTTCTTCATTGTGGAGAGGAAAGGGAGGAATTAGGAGGAAAGTCTTAAATACTGAGCCCATCAGTATGCACAGGACAGGTAGGCTGAAGGTTATCAAAGCCATTCCCCGACCCTCACCATCAATGCTCCCTGTATATCTATATCTCAGCCTGTTCACAACCCACCTTGCTTCTCCTGGGGTTTTTGGAGACAGGCTCTTTTAGTGCATAGTCGTGGATGACACCTTTGCACCTGCAGGTTACTATCCTGCTATCTTGACTTCAGTTAACATTTAGAAATAATCAATGTGGAAGAGAGAAGGGAGCAGCTTTTAAGTGGAGACTGTGTCACAGATAAAATGTTTCCAAGGTATCCAAGGTGTCTGTGCTAATTATCCAAGACATGAGGTACATAGTGCTCAAATATTTACTGAATAAATACATGAATGGAGCAAGGCCAGCAGGAAAGAGGATATATCTCACTGTTTTCCAGCTTCACTCTCCTGTAAAATACGCATTGTGGGCAGGGAATGGTGACCCATTTCTGTAACCCCAGCACTTTGGGAGGCTTAGGTGGGCAGATTGCCTGAGCATAGGAGTTTGAGACTAGCCTGGGCAACACGGCAAAATCCCGTCTCTACTAAAAGTATAAAAATTAGCCAGGCATGGTGGCACAAGTGTCTGTAGTCTCAGCTTGGGTTACAACAGAAAAGTGTGAATAAGGAAAAGCACTATATTAGGGATGAAATGTGGGAGCATTAGACAAGCAGCAACTCAGCATTGAGAGAGGGAGTGAGAGGACTGGCTTGGGGCTTGGCGTTGTGGCTCAGGATGACCACAATGCAAACTGGCTTCTTTTGGGCTTCCTGAATGAACCTAGTGTGGATTTCATCATTGCTTGGAATCCCTAGGCTTTCTCTAACCCCAATTCCAATTCCCCATCTCTGCACTGTTACCAACTCCCATCTGAACCCCTAGACTACAGCTGAACTAGCAGGCAAACACAGACATTGCACCCTCCCTGACTATATTTTATTCATTTTAATATGAGCCTTGGGAAGACTTCATAATTTTTTCTCTACTGTCATGTTTGAATAAATGGAATAAAAACAACTTCATGCTTTGGAAACTGGGAGGAAAATAACCCTAGAAGGATCTTCTGGAGCCAACCCTCTTCAAAGAAGACAGGATAGTATAATTATGAACTCAGTCTCTGTAGTCATGATGCTCACATCCAAGCCCCTGCACATCCTAGGTATGTAACCGTGAGCACATCATTTACCCTTTTTTTGTGCTTCAGAATTTTTCACCTGTAAAGTCAGATAAAAATAATATTCACCTTACAGAGTTGTTGTGCATATTAAATGTCTTAAAATGGGTAAACTACTTAAGAACAGTGCCTGGATGTAAGTACTCAGTCAATGCTAACTATCATCATTCATCGCATATTTATTTCCCAAAGTCTCTTGACTAGACACTATGGTTGATAGGGGAGGGACAAAGATGAATCAGGCACATAGTCTAGCAGGGGAGAGAAAACAGGGACAAAAAAGAATTATGATGCAAAACAAGGTTACATAATGCAATGTGTGCCTTACAGGGCTTTGAAATGCTGAATTTTAGAAGTACTAGATTAAAGCCTAATGTTTTAAATACGTTATTATAAAATATGAGCTTTGAATAAATGGAAAAATGGCATCTATTTTACTTGGAGCATTTTTTAAAAACAGAATAATTGAATCCTGCCTCTTGAAAGATTTCTTCCCAATTCTAACACTTAAGTGATAATTTTCCTTCTATAAACGTCCATTCATTATTTCCTACTGTACCTGGGGAAATGTCAGTTTGCTTTGTGAATGTGAATGGGAAGATTGAGTCATTCACACGTTAATTTCTCCTGCTCTTCCTGGACATGAGGGTGTCTATGTTGGGGATATAGTATCCAGCTGGGAGGTGGAATCATGGCCAACTGAGAAGAATATCCACATATTGGCACTGAAACTCTTACAGCTGAGTCTGTCCTCTACTCCACACTAGGTTGAGCTTCTCAAAATGCAAATTTTCACATAAATGAGATCTCTTCCCTCCCTCGGTCGTAATGCTAGTTATTTAGTTAAGACATTAACCTGTAATGTGTATTTTATATATAAAGGAAGATTCATCACTAAGCCATTACTCTTCACTAATTCCATGGAAAACTTCGAACTAACTCCTAGCAGACATGGCCGTGTGCACCATCAATCATGTCATGAAGCACCCAGGACCTACAAGGTACATAGATTCAACTTCAAAAAATTCAGAGCCACTAGGCATGCATTAAAAAATGTTGTTTTCTATCGATCCCTTTTCACTCCCATAAAGTATCTCTCTAAAATGTTATTGCTGAGTGCAGGAGGAGATCATTGTTATCAAAGGTATTTCTAACCTTTTGCTTCTAGATTGAGTGAAAGTAGTGAATTATAAGTTCATAGAATAGGCTTTAG
The DNA here is from genome assembly GCF_000001405.40 of Homo sapiens. Taxonomy (NCBI): domain Eukaryota; kingdom Metazoa; phylum Chordata; class Mammalia; order Primates; family Hominidae; genus Homo; species Homo sapiens. Next base: position 78,353,186 of record NC_000007.14, read on the forward strand.
CTAAAGGAAAACTAAAAGACTACACTATTTCAAGATCTTTCTGTATTAGAGACAAGACTAATAAGTCCTCTTCTACTGGTGTCTGACAATCTGACTAAGTAGTTTAAGTCCTTTACGTCTCATATATAATTCCATTGATTCCTCAGTATTCTGGGCACTAAGGACACAAAAGTGAACATGACAAAATCCTTTCCCTCAGGAGGCTCATGCTCCAGTGGGGGAGACACACAAGTTGGATGACCAACCATTTCAGTTTGCCTGGGACTAAGGAGTTTCCTGGGATGTGGGGCTTTCAGTTTTCAAACAGGGATATCCTGCATAAGTTAAGATGAGTTACTCATTCTAGAAGTGGTCAGGAAAATATAACACAAGGCAAAAACTGCTGAAATTTGTATGCATGACGTAAATACTCAGAGGGAGAAAAGACAACTTAGTCTGATGGCTCAGGGAAAGCTTCACAAAGGAAGAGACATGTAAACAGACTGTAGAAGGATGAAAGTATTTTGCTGGTTGGAGAAGGGGGCATTTTAGGAAGAGAGTAGTAGATATAGAGGTGCTCAATAATATTCAATTCTGCCTACCTAGAGTACAAGGCTAGTGCACACAGACATGCATGTGGTTGTGTATGGGTGGCAATGTGGGAGCAAGAGGCGTAGGGGAGCGGATGGAAGCTACAAGACTGGAAGGACAGTTCTGAGTCATGGTATGGAGTTTTGTTTAGTCTGAAGATCTCCCTACTTCCATTGTGACCTTAGTCTAATGGAACTGCAGCTTTTAAGGTCTCCATCTTGGATGATGTACCTTATTCCTGAACTTGGGAGCATTATAAGATGAGCTTCAACACACATCAACCAAGTAGGAAAGCTGTGGTTCTCCCTAGAATTCCCAAGCATTTCTGCATCATTTCCTGGCTACCTTCAGTGTCCTAGGTATTGTTTTCACCTAGGGTATGAGGTTGAATTAGAGATGTTCCATGCGTATGAAAAAGTCATCCAGGGAAATAGCCATTTCTGTGTACAAGGAAGGGTGAGAATAGTCTGACTTGTAACATACTCTATGTTGAACTGGATTTCTATTTCTTAATAAATTACTTATGAGTTGCTAAAATGTGCAGTCACAATATAACTTAATTGAACTCCAAAAATACACATTCATACATAATGGTAAGCATACACAGCCATGGATACAGGAATCCTTTGGAGCTTGACTCTAAGGAGAGTCAGAGAATTACCAAGGACACTCAGAATACCGGGCAATGGCAAAGGCAACATCACTGATGTCTGGGATTATCCAGGAAGGAGGGAATCAGGAGAAGAATGCTAGTGAGGGGAAATTGACAAGACTGGGGACAAGGCTGTGGCAGATTATGAAAGTCACCAGGCCATGAAAATAACTCCAATTCCATATAATACCCAAATTCCAGGTTTCCAAGACCAACATTCAGAGATGAGAAAAATACTGAAAAAGTATTATTCTTGACTACTGAGTCTTTATGACCACATAGAGCAGGAGGAAATCAAATATATAGCAATTCCTTTTATATGCTAGAATGGGATGCAAGAGGGATTAGAAAACACAAAAAATTAAGAAAAAAATACTTTTGACGAGTTTTAGGGAGAAAAGGATATATTGCTGGATACCTAGAATCTGCACAGAATCTTTAAATACCTTGCCACTAAATGTGACCGCAAGGTCTAGGAGTGAGCAGGAGGCTACAATTCTGTTAGGTAAGGACTCTGGGAAGATAGAAGAGGTATGGAGAAAAAGTAGGAATAGAGGATAAAGGTTCAGCAGCCCCAAGAACAGAGAAAGGTGGCAATAAGTTGCTTCAGTGTTGTTTTTAATAGATTGGTTTATTGGGGATAGGTATTGTGACAGAGTTTTATATAATTAACATACTATGTCTAAAATTATGCCATTACTAGAAGATCAAAGCTTTGGACAAATGAGATGATAGTTTCATGTAACTGTAATGGGGGATGTATTTTCAAATAACTTGTTTGTTCTTTTCCATAATACAGATTTATATCCCCACAGTGGGCTGAGTTTGTGTTTTTCATTCTGAAGCTCTTAATAAAGAACAGGAAAGGTGTGATGTTGGATATTTCTGAAGAAAATTCCATTTGTGCACTTTTAAAGTTAATTCCAATTCAGATTTAAATTCTGTTTAATAGATGCCACAGTTTGCTGAAAGAAACAGTTGCATGAAGAATGAATGTCAGCCTTGTAAAAAAACAAAGGAGAGACTAAAGGGAAGATAGTGGATGGCAGAGTGGGATGGGAACTAATATTCACCGAGCGAATACTATATGCTGACCCTCAGTGAAATAGGTTGCATGCTTTTAATTCACTTGCTCTTCCTAGAGGGTAAAACATTTTCTGCAGATCTTACATTAAGCGGCAGATGCACAAACAAAGCCTAGCTCCGTGTACTGCCAACATCCAAGAACACTGAGTTAGGTGATTCTGCTTCAAATATACACTTAGCTTTTATGGTGAAATTACTTATGTATGTACAGACATGGGCTATGTCTGGTAATCTGCAACACACTTCAGCCAGGTGATTCTCAATTTCTTTTTATCAGTTTTCATTACGAAATTGGAAACTTTAAAAACATTGTGAACTACCTGCTTACTTTCTGAAGACAAAAATGTGAAAATACAGATATATTAAATATATTTTTTAAAGAACTCAGTGATCACGTGCATAGAAACAGTGACTGAACGTGTTTTACCAGAAAATGTGTGTGTGTATGCGTTTTACATATTGGAGAAAGTGAGAAATGAAATGGTAATGAGGGCATGAATGAGGAGTCAGGAGACTGGGCTTTGTGTAACATTGCTTTCAAACCAGAAGGATCTGTTCCAAGGGTTGTCTTTCAGCTTCCCTTAGGGCAAGTCCTAACATCAATTTCTTGAACTCTTTGCCCTTACTGACTCTGGAAGTTGAGGGTGGGTCATGTCTCTGGCAATTATGATAATGATAATAAGGTGATTCTGTGCTAATATTCATGAATAAGATTACAGTTCTATGTGAGGGAGAATGGAGGTAGTCAACAATAACAAAACTATGTATGTCTCGTCTCAAACTTATAAAAGAATGCTGCATGTTGTAGGCCAGGTTCAGTTCTTCTGAGGGCCAGTGATCTAAGAAGAAATGGAGGGAGTTGTTAAAGGATATAGACTTACAGCTAGATAGGAGGAGTAAGTTCTGGTGTTCTACACCACTGTAGTATGACTATAATTTACAATAATATGTAGTCTCAAACAGCTAGACGGAGGATATTGAATGTTCCCAACACAAATAAATTATAAATGAGATGATGGATATGCTAATTACCCTCATCTGATCACTACACTTTATAAGTATCAAAACATCACTATATACTCCATGAATATGTATACTTATTATTTGTCAATTGAAAGATTTTATAAAAGGACATGGAAACATGTTAATTAGCAAGGAATTTTTTATGTAACAGGGTGGAACCTTGAGCGCTGGTGGGAACTCTTCCCAAACACCCACATAAAAGTCACCTGAAAGGGGTACACTTCTCACCCCACCTGTGCTATATTCACCACCAAACCTTGGACACCAACAAAGGCAAGGAGGTGCCACTTGACTCTTGGTATCCTCAATCTCACTGAGATTCACCAAAGTGAAAGCCACTTCCAATGAGTCTGAGTGGTCCTTCTCTTCCATCTTTCAGACCAAACCAGCATTTTGGGTTTAAGCTACAATTGAAGATTTTGTCTACCACTCACTATCTTTGAGAAATTCCCCTAATGTTTCTGAACTGCAACTGCCTCATCTGTAAATATTCTACTCATTTCATAGGACTGTTTTGAGGAGCAAACAAGATAAAATATAGAAAATGTTTAAAGATGAAGCACTGTATAAATTTGATTTTGACATTCTTGGAATATTCAGGGTCTGGGAGTCAAGTGCAACTTAAATATGGACAGTGTGAAGTCTCTTAATTCTTGTCCTGGGCTGCAACAATATTTTTATCACCTACTAGCTTGATGGTCTGGCTTCTTTAAGTTTCATTTTCTCTGTTTGTAAAACAGCAGTAATAGTATCTCCCATTAAGCACTGTGGTGGTGATTAAATGAGTTTTACAAAATGCCTAATACATACCAAGTGCTTAATAATGGTAGCTATTAATATTTTTTTCTCTGGGTTGATTAATAGTTACTAAATAAGACCCCCTTGGAGATAAAATTTACATATGAGGTCAGTGCCCCAAAATAAATTACTAAGCCACACTAGCAAAAAAGAAAGACAATCATTCCTGTCATTTTATTTATCTGAAAATATTATTCACATTATTTTGATGCCCAATTAAAACTGGAGAAAGTGAAGTAAGAATAATAGAATGGAGGGGCCCTGTCAACCTTCATAGCTGAGTGTTGTGCTTAGTGGAAAGTTGAATTAAGATCTTTACATGACAACAAACTCAACAAGTAGTGCTTAATAAGCTTTCAGAGATTTGTTACCTTATGATAAGTTTGAGACTAAATTTATGCAAAACTAATTTTATTAGCACAACAAAGAGCCTTTTTTTTTCTTTTGCCTTTAGTAGATCCAGTTAACCTTCTCAAACACAGAATGGAATTTCTTTTCTTTACAATTGTAGTTTGGCTTAATTGTATTAAACTTAAATGTGAAATTTGATGATAAAAGTTTCTATGATTCACCCATTTTTATTATACAATTAACTCAGTCTATGTAATATAATCTTATCTAATTAAATATGAAATCATCTGATAAACACTAGTAATAAATAATGTTTAATGATGTCATTTTTTATTGTTAAAAAAAAGAAAAACAGGTTTCCTTTCAAATGTGTTCAGCTTTGACAGAAGTTAAAAATATATCTCTGGGCTGGGCGTGATCCTGGGAAGTCGAGGCTGCAGTGAGCAGTGATTGCGCCACTGCACTCCAGCCTGGGCGACAGAGCAAGACTTTGCCTCAAAAAAAAAAAAAAAAAAAAAAAAAAAAAAAAAAATATATATATATATATATATATATATATATATATGGACAGAGAGAACTATCTATATCTAGCTATCTATTTTGCCCCCAGGTGGCTGCTGAAGACAGCAGAAAGACAGAACCTGGTGCTCAGTGGCCAAGGCCATCTTGTGGGCCACCCGGCAGCCATCTTGGCCAAGTGGGTTCTGCTGGGAAGGAAACTGGTGGTTGAGCACCACGAGGGCATCAACATTTCTGGCAATTTCTGGAGAAACAAATTAAAGTATCTGGCCTTCCTCTGCAAGCAGATGAGCACCAACCCTTCCCAAGGCCCACCCGCCCCGCCATTCCTGGGCCCCCAGCGCATCTTTTGGTGGCCTTGCAGAACCAAGTGGGGCCAGGCTGCCCTGGACCACCTTATGGTGTTTTATGGGATCTCACTGCCCTATGACAAGGTGGTTCCTGCTGCCCTTTAGGTTGTACGACTGAAGCCTACAAGAAAGTTTGCCTCCTTGGGGTGCCTGGCTCACGAGGTTGGCTGGAAATACCAGGTAGTGACAGCCACCATGGGGGAGAAGAGGAAGGAGAAGGCCAAGATGCACTACAGGAAGAAAAAGCAGCTCATGCGGCTGCAGAAACAGGCCACAAAGAACGTGGAGAAGACAAATGACAAATACACAGAGGTCCTAAGACCGAGGGACTCCCTGTTTGAGACCAGAAAAGACTGTTTATTCCTCATGCTTGGCCTGGCCTACCCTTCTGCCATTGCGACCTTGGGATATGGGGGAGCCTACCCTTCCTGCATCACCGCCCTGGGATGTGGGGGATCCAAGGGCAGCAATATAGGTGCCATGGGCAGCCTGGGACTTAAGCTGGGGGCAAGGGAAGGGCCTTAGTCACTGCCTTTCTATAAGGTTATTTTAAACAGCTCTAAGATTTGTACAGGAATAATTTGTCTATGACCTACTTGTTCAGGACAGAGTTTTAGAAAACCAATAGAGCAACCAGTTACTTTGGTTTTAATATTGGCAAAAGGGACCTGGAACATTAATTGGAGGGAGCCCCGCCTCGTGAAAGGGGCATCTCTTTTTAACTCCCACCTTCTCGTGCTATACTCTGTGGCTGTTATAATATGAAAAAGTGCTTAGGGACAGCATGATCTTACTGTTATTCAAAGGATATTATAGAGAAGCTTAGACTAGGAAGATGTGTGACCAAGAGGTGGCAGGGGTCGCCCTTGCTCCTTCCCTGTATTTTGTGACCAGAATGAAATAAATTACTTTCAAAGAAAAAAATAGTTCTTATCCACCTTTTTTGTTCATAAACTTATCCTTTATCTTTAGAAATGCCCTTTTAATGTTAATATCAGCCCTCATGTCTTTGGATATCAAGTATATTTATATTTTTTTCCTACAGCTTGGTAAAAAGAATCCATGATAATAATTCGCCCTTCTGAGAGGCCTTCTTTCCATAACACTCACATGATGGGATTGTTAAAATCATTAAAATAAAAGAATGGTAATATATGTTACTGTCCAACCAAACAAAAAGTAGAAATGGAAAGAAAATGCTTTAAAAATTTTAAGTATTCTTTGATCAGCAACTGTAATGAGAAAATGCAGAGGCTTACAGAAAAAAGGCCAAATTTATTCTTGTTAACATAAAGTGGCAGTGAGTTAAAAGAGATCTTAGCAATCACCTAATCCAAACCATTCATTTAACAAATAAAAGCCAGAGAGGTTAAATGTAATTTTGCACTAACCTGTAAATTCAAAATTGTGGATGGAAAAAACATAAGCTATTACTAACATTGTGATTTATGACACACAAAAGGAATTTTGAAAAACATTCCCTGCATATTGATAAAGAGATGAATTATAGTTCTCATGTGGGGATGAGGTAGTAATGTATTTTACCCAGTTAGGGTAAAACATCTTCTGTTTCATTATTCAATTATAGGATGCCCAAAGAATAATATCAGTCTGCATTGGTTTGACTTCCTCAGTTTGACTAAGTTCCTTCATACCTTTAACATTGTCGGCATCTCTTTAGGCTGAATGTGATCACAGTTATGTATCTATTAAAGATCTAGAAGATGCAAATGCCAGCCAACTACTTTAATTCCAGAAAGAATTATTTTCCAACACCAAAGGAAAAAAAAGTGGCAGTGTTGTTTAATATGCCAGTCACCAAGAGGATAGGATCTTGAGGAAATGTTAGGGTAATTTTGACTCAGCCATTTTCACTTTATGTGCTAACTTTAGAACTTAATCTCAGTCTAAGATATGATTCCAAAGTATGTAATGATACAGATTGTTAGCATGAGACAATCTGCAGTTCACGCACAAGAAGCAGAGCATGTTTAATCTCGAGAGAGGAAAACTAATAAGCTATATGAGCTAACTGTTTCACAAATAATAGAATAATCATCATCTACCTGTCATAGAACACTGCCTTGGTGAGTGGCAAACAGGATTGTCCAATGAAAGATGCTAGCAGTGTTTTCTGGGTTGCCTAGCAATGAGCTACCTGGGACAGGGGTCCCCTCTTCCAGCAGGAGGGACAGCACTGCTCACGCAGCTCACATCCAGCTCCAAAAGTTGTCTGCAACTCTCTTAATCAACAATTCCCCAAGTTCAGACTGTCTTCCCCGCCTTCACAAGGCCATTCTCGAGTTCTCATGGTCCTATAAAAATGATGGAGTAGAAGGAAGGAGCATGGTCCTTCTTTGGCAGCAGAGAACATGGTGTCTCCAGCTGTGAGCATTCCTGCCCTCTCTTCCTGGGACGTCAAGGGGTCAGGGTCTGTGTACTGCACACTGTTACCTTCTGCCAGGAAGTTTCCCTGCTTCTGTACTACCCTGTGTGCTATTGTGCTATTTGTCTATGCTTAGCCTCTCCAGAAGTGCCTAAACAAGGGCCTGATTTGTTAGATTCATAAAAAATGCTTGGGCCAGGCGTGGTGGCTCACTCCTGTAATCCTAGCACTTTGGGAGGCTGAGGCGGGTGGATCACGAGGTCAGGAGTTCAAGACCAGCCCGGCCAAGATGGTGAAACCCCGTTTCTACTAAAAATACAAAAATTAGCCGGGTGTGGTGGCAGGTGCCTGTAATCCCAGCTACTTGGGGGGCTGAGGCAGAGAACTGCTTGAAACCGGGAGGCGGAGCTTGCAGTGAGCCAAGATCGTGCCACTGCACTCCAGCCTGGGCGACAGAGTGAGACTCCATCTCAAAAAAAAAAAAAAGCTTGAAGACAAATACAACCCCCCTCCCCCCCACAAAATGTGTTTATGTTGCAGTTATCTTTATTTACAAATATATTCTCAAAGAAATGTTGGTGTGAGAGGAATGGTTCCTTTGCTTTTTATTATTGGCTTTAGGACAAAGAAAATAATGTTTGAGAGTTATAAAAATTGTTTGTAAAAAAGAACATTTATATACATAACTGATGTCAAGGTGAATAATTCATTGTTATTTGTAAAAGTCCATCTGCAATTAAACCAATTTAAACTTCTGGGTGCCTAAAACATTCTCTATGTGGAACCAGAAGATTTGTTAAGTAAGGTTGTTGATAAGATGTAAGAGTCGCTAATAAAAGTGTATTTAATTACAGAGTCAAGTTTTCATCCCTTCAGTTTAAGGGTGGCGGAGTATGAGTAGGATAGAGAGCAAATGTCGATTCTGCTAGAATGAGCCAGCAATGGTGAAGTGTCTCCCAGCAGGAAAAACGACCTCTAACTTCAGAAACAGGGAGATGAAGCACCTCCAGATCTTGCCTGGATGGTAGTGGTGAGAAGAGAGACTGGACGGGAGACTTCTTTTCATGTGAAAGGATCGTGGTATAAAAACATTTGAGGGGGCTGGGTTCGGTGGCTCATGTCTGTAATCCCAGCACTTTGGGAGGCTGAGGCGGGTGGATCACTTGAGGTCAGGAGTTTGAGACCAGCCTGGACAACATGGTGAAGCCCCACCTCTACTAAAAATACAAAAATTAACCGAGTGTGGTAGCGCACACCTGTAATCCCAGCTACTCGGGAGGCTGTGGCACGAGAATCGCTTGAACCTGGGAGGCGGAGGTTGCAGTAAGCCGAGATTGCACCACTGTACTCCAGCCTGGGAGACAGAGCGAGACTCTGTTTCAATAAATAAGTAAATAAGTAAGTAAGTTTGAGGGACTCTGTCATGCAAAGTAAAATGGTAGTTGAAAAGAAGTATTGGGAAAGAAATCAAGAGCCAGTTGAAGTTTTCATGAGTGAGTAGTACAGAGGGTCGGGGAGGTAAGTGGGAATTATCAACTATGAACTATCAGAAAAGTTAAGAGCATGTGTGTGGAGCTAGGAGACCCCCTAACTTACTGCTGGGAATCTTAGCGACTCATGTCTCGTGAGGCCTGATGACTGGTTTTATCCAGGCTAGGAGAAATGATGCCCCAAATTATAAAATCAGCCTGAGTCAGCTAGAAGGACGTAAAACGTTAAACCAGTCATAAGTTAAGGTCAAATAAGTTAATAAAAAAACTAGCTCTAGTTCAGTTAGAGGTAGGACACTCAATATTTGTTTTGATATCCATGCTCCTTTTGTTCAACTATAAAGTGGAGTTTACTGATTTATGCTTGTTGAATAGAGGAAAATATGTTGTAAAGTATAAAAATTGAACAAACTTATTAACATAAAAATATAGCTACTCTACTGAGAGGCTGTTTTTTTGTTCTAAATGGCATCAGCATCGCTTCGACCTTATCAGTCATATTCCCTTAGAAAACTCAGTTAACTCCTTAGAGATTTGATCTTCTCCTTTGTACATGTTGTGACTGTCATCCGGGATGATGGATGTAAAAGCATATTAAAATAAAAGTTAAAATAAAAGTAGAAGTTAAAATAATGCCTTACACATTGGTATATCTACTATTATTATAACAAATTCCCAGCTATATGAGATGATACATATTCTAGATAATTATGACAATATAACCTCCTTATGAATGACTGAAGGCTCAACGCCTTTGGAAGCCATTTTCTGCAGCTACGGAATTGTTAATAATTCTGAGGAGGCCGGCCGCGGTGGCTCACACCTGTAATCCCAGCACTTTGCGAGGCCGAGGTGGGCGGATCACGAGGTCAGGAGATTGAGACCATCCTGGTTAACACGGTGAAACCCCATCTCTACTAAAAATACAAAAAATTAGCAGGGCGCGGTGGCGGGTGCCTGTAGTCCCAGCTACTCGGGACGCTGAGGCAGGAGAATGGCGCGAACCCGGGAGGCGGAGCCTGTGGTGAGCTGAGATCGCGCCACTGCACTCCAGCCTCGGTGACAGACCAAGACTCCATCTCGAAAATAATAATAATAATGATAATAATAATAATAATAATAATTCTGAAGAAACACTGTTTTTATTCATTGTGGCATACTCTGGCCATGGGATTATATGTTTCTTTCCAAATCAAAGTTTCTCTTAGAATTGTTCACTTTTTGAAGTATACTGTAATCATGAAAGTATTGAAAAAGCAAGTAATGCCAAAAGGAGAAGCTTTCTACATATTATTGGTATATACAAGATTAAAAATTACTAACATTTATTGAACAGTTACTGAACATACCTATGTTAAGTGCTAAATACCAACTCTGGAATAAGACCGCTTAGGTTCAAATTCTGGCTCTATTATATAGTACTTATAAAAATATCTATAGCTCAGTTTCCTTACCTATAAAATAGGGATAATAAAACAGACTTTCTAGAGTTTCTGGAAAGATTAAATCAGCTAGTACATGTAAATCACTTAGAATAATACTTGGCATGCACGAAGTGCACAATAAGCGTTCCTCCCCTCCCCTCCCCTTCCTCATTTCTTTCTCGTCTTTTCCTCCTCCTCCTCCCTCCTCCTTCTTCTCTATAATCTGCCTACTCAAGATCTCACAGCTGGCGAGCTACAGGGCTAGCACACTGTGCAACTCTGCAGCCCATACTTTTGGCCACTAAGTGGCCAAAATTGATGTGTGCAAATTCTGTTTATAAGATTTAGAGCTTTCCTTAGTGAGATTTTAAAAGGGTATTCTTTTATGTTTATTTCTAATTGGAAATGTTTCATATGTTTACTGACTTTTTATAAACTTTAAAGTTAGGAACTTTTTTTCCTAGAAAATTTAGAAAGCTACTCAAAGCCATGAAGCATTATTAAGATAAGATATTGAGTTCAAGTTCTCTCTAACCACTTCCCAACTTGCTACCTCATGATGGATACTCACCACTAACCATGAAATGAATGCAATTTTCCATTTACATTAAATGTTACATTCAAGATATTATGCAGTATTTTTCATACTTTCTGGAATTGCATACAAATAATGTTTTATAGTAGCAGATGTGTGACATCACATGAAAAACTTGTAAAACCTTTACATGAAAATCACACCTGCCAGTCTCCACTATCATTTTAACTACAGTTATATGGTTTGCTTCTCTGTCTCTGCCAGAGAAGGCAGCTTTGCATGAAAGCTGTCCCAGCAAATCGTGTCTTCTGGACCAGCAGCTAGTTAAGCAAATTGTGTAACTGCCATTAAAACCAAAATGTACCCTGCAGACATAATTTCACTAAAGAGGAGAGAGAACCACATTTGTACAAAAGTCACAGCTGTTCAACTCTCCATTTTGCATATTGTTATTAAAAAATTTTCCTATCTTTATGAACAGTGACAGTTACATTCCTAGTTAGCAATTTTAGGACTTCTTAATACGTAGTGCTAAGTGCTGCACCATCACGGATTTGGTGTCTGTCAGGAAAAATTGGGCTAAGTTCTTTCTGCTGCTACATAGAGTGAGAACTTGGTCTGTTTACACAGACAGCAGATAAAATTTAAAAAGATGTTGAGTAGGGCCCATTGTTTTCTAAAATAGCTGTGTGTTGCCTCTACTAATCCAAATGAGGGCCAACATTTCTATGTTAAGGTCCAAACAATAAGGATTCCCTTTCTTTCACATCTTGCTCTCGGTGGCCATGTTGTCCAGGGCTACTCCAAAGTGGTGGGTAATGGAGCTGGTGGCTCAGAATGCCTGGGTCAGCAGCCTGTCTCATGAGGCTCTGCATGCAGCATGACCTCACATTGTTGGGCATTCTGCTGTAGAACGGTACGACAGGGAGGCCAGGGAGGAGATGTTCTTGAGGAATCCCTCATTCTTCTCCAGGGATGGGTCCCAAAGCCTTGTTCAGACCATTATGGGTTATAAATGCGAAATTTATAGCAGGCATTTTGGGTAAGAGTTTGGAGTCTGGGCTCTGCAGTCAAACTGCCTGGGTCCAAATTTCAGCCCCTCATCTCAATAATGTGTGGTTCTGGATAAGTTACTTAACTTCTTTAGCCAGGGTTTCCTCATCTGTAAACTTAAGACAATTTAGCTCATTATCACTATAGAGAGAATTATAAATGTGATAGAAACTGTTAAGCACTGAGCCCAGTTAATGGCACATACTAAGCACTCAATAAAGGTTAACAATTTCCATGACATGATTATGACCTTTCTGGTTCTTGAATATATTAAACCTACAATCTTAAAATTGAATTTGCAGGGGATAGAACAGTGGCATAGTAGGGTAAAGTCAGTTATAGTGGTCAAAGCCTGCTCAATCCAGGTTTCTCATTTTCTAGCTGTTTAAATTCTCTTCTGCTATTGATTGTTGCAATTGCTATTTGCTTGTCTGTGGCTGAGAGGAAAATGTGTGTTTATGCAACTGTGCTAGAGACATTACACTGATTTCAATCTGATGTCACAGAGCCCAACCTGTAACTTCTGTTCCCAGTTGTTGGTCTATCTGAAGAGAGGTGCTAACTGCTAAATTGGACCTCTTGTGTCCATGCACGTAAGCTTTTTTTGCTACTGGGTTGGAAGGTGGAATCTTTTTCATATCTTGTAAAGAGTACCTCCAATTGTATGAATGGGTGTGTAATTAAACATAAGAATGATAGCTGTACAGAGAATCCACTGCTCATTATCACTAATGGCATTAGTAAATCAACATTTTCTTGACTATATATTAACACAAAAGATATTGCTTGTTATATTAACTAAATATTAATATTACCAATTAAAAATATAATTCCTTAAGATATTAATGCTATCACTATAATTATGAATGGAATCTTAACCTAGACAGTTTTTATTTTATATTTATAATACATATACCGAAAATGTGGAGATAGCAACTTAACTTAGACTAGACATTTACTAATCTTTTATGGTAAGAAATTAGTTGACTTTCTTCTTCCAACAAAAACACTCTACATACTGAAAGTGATGAATAACCTCTATGTTTACATATGTATTCTTATAGTTTCCATAAAGAAGGCTACTATTCAGAACCAATATATACCTTGTGAAAATAATAGTGCAATAGAGATGAGATACAGAATTAAAACAAACCATGTAAATAAGTGTATTCCAATTAAAATATTTGACAAGATTTTTGGGATGATGGAAGATATCCCCCATCTCAAGTAATGTATACATCATATACAATAACAGGTATTTTAGTTATGTTTATGAAGTTTTTCAAGAAGATGTTTCCAATAAATATTGGGATAATATTCTACTTAACATTGTCTTTAAGTTTGAATTATCTGTTTATTTGTCTCAGTTTTCTGTGTGGCCTGCTACACCCACACACCTAATTACTGACACTGGTCAACTCTATAAAATCATGTAATGGGGACAAGACCATGACAAATAATAGAACTGAATGTAACGGGAAGAAAATTAAACTATTTTGACCCACTGTGACCTGTATATACAACCTCCCGATCACTTAAAATCTAAAACTATTAAACATGTCAGCCTGATCTAATTATAGAACACATGACTGACTACATTCTATATAATACTCTGACAATGGCTGTGTTACATGGAAAATGAAGTTGAGAAATGTACACAGAAGTATAATGTAGGCAAACACACACACACACACACACACACACAAATTTGAAGTACAAAGATAAGAAAAATTTTCGTTTAGGGTTACAGCCAGTGTCCAATTTCATAATTAGTTATAAAGGATCTACCAGCAGCAGATCTTCACTTGCAGAACACACATCTCGATGATCAAGAAGGGATGAAGCATAGCTTTCTGACACAGGGGTGTCTTGCCTCTCTGTTAGATGATTAGGACAGAGAAGAAAGGTTTTAGTTAAATCCTCTCCTGCATTGGAAGTTAGCTTGAAAGGAGCTGAAGATATGAAAAAACAACCGGAAGAATTAAAATAGGGCAGGGGCCAGCAAACTACGACCTGCAGGCAAGATTTGACCAGCTGCCTGTTTTTGTAAATAAAGTTTTATTGGAACGTAGCTGATGTTGCTGATGGTTGCTTTCAAGCTACAACAGCAGAGCTAAGCAGTTATAACAGAGGCCGTATTGTCCTCCACCCCAAATATTTGCTATCTGGGTTTTTATGGATTTTGCCAACATATGGACTAAGGAGTGGTTCTTTTTCAATGATTCTGTGAGGAAATATACTAAAGATAAGATGTGATATGCCTCACACTCAGTTCTCTTTCCTTACATGGAATTTCCTTGAATATCGGATGTAGTAGGCTTAGACACAGTACAGTTTGATTCAGTGAATTAAGACAAGCTAGCATTTATTTGAAATATTTAGTGTTATATTTATTTAGGGACCGTAACTATGTTATTTAAAACATGTAGGTACTTTAATTCATCAGCAATCTAGTGGGACACAGAGGCCTTATAACTGTTTATAAATGATGTCCCTTTATTTTTGCAGTTAGAGATACCTCTATGTATTTATCTTACTTTTTTTGTATTTGTTCAGTGTCCATGTGACACCATACATTAGATACTATGCTAGCAGATTGCATGTGGAAAATGAGCTGAATTCACCTTGACTGTGAATCTGGAAATGACTGTGGAGCCAAAATTGGGGCTTTTCCAAATGAAAATGATGGGTGAATGTAGTTAAGACAAGTGCTCCTGAGGGAGATACTCAAGGGCAGAGAGCACACAGATTTTACTTATCTGTACATTTTCAGTGCCAAGAATGGCATGACACCTAATAAAAGCTCAGTAACCGTTTTTGAATATTGTTACAAAAACAATTTAGCACTAAAGCCAACCTGTAACTCTTGACCATCTGTAACTATTAAACAGAATGTGGTTGGAAAAAACAAAGTAGGATCTTGATGAACAATGTGAAAGTCTTTTGTTTTTCAACCTCTGGATTTCTTGGGTAGTATTTCCCATAAGGAATATGTAGGCTTTGTTATTCACCCAAATAACTTTAGGAACATTATACGATAGATAAGAATGAAAAACAATCGTCTGTTTGGAGAGAGTTCTAGAAAAATAAATCACATATTTAACTTTTGAAAATTATGAATATTACTTGATTTCCCAAGAAAAATATGTGTATATAATTTAACCCTGAATAGTGTATTTGTTCCGAATAAAAGGATGCATGGGGGGATAATTCATACCATGACAAATTATTGCAATGTAACCTCCAATAGGTAACATAAAAGTCCAATGTACCGAAAGAATACTGTTGATTTGGAATGAGGTCCCAAAAAAGAAAAAAAATCTAAATTTTATTTTATTTTTCAACTAAAAAATATGTCTGATTCATTTAATTGACTTCGAAATCTGTTTTAATAGAACATCTCATTTGCACAACCAGTCAGCTCCCAACATTTTGATTGCAAAATGAAAGGCATTTACTTTGATATCTTTAATTATCACTCATTTAGAGGACAGTGTGAAACACACTTTTTCAATTGGTGTTTTAGAATCGTTGAGTCAAAGGAAAGGAATGACAAATTAGCCAGCTGGAGAGGAAAGAAACAGCTAGCTAGTGCTGCTAGTCTTGGTGGATACTTCAAAGTAAGATGAAAGGGAAATGAAGGGGCTGTGAGCCACACATGCTCAATAAATAAAATACTAACATAATTTCACAACATATTAATAACAAGTTAATATCACACTTAGAGACTTACTCAACATAATAAGTGCCATAAATGGGATCATCGATTTTTTCCCAGCCATATGGAAGCTCTGAAAAATAAAGAGTTCTTTCAGTAAATAAAGAATATCACAATTTCTAATAAAAAGTAATATAATTTAATTGTTCATGGATTGCAGAAATGGTCTGCCAAAGTGGAACAAAGCATTCAGAGTCAGCAGCAAATTTCAGAACATATTATAGAAACTATAAGAGGCACTGACTTGAAAACTGGCAGTTAAAACACAGAGCTCTCTTCTCTGCAGATACACTGCTCGGTCTAGCCATTTGTCTCATGCCAAATAGTAGGATGGCATGTCATCACGTTATCACCATTTAGTGCAATATAGAAGGCAAATCGCTTTCCTGAAAGTGTATATGTTTCTCTTATTTATTTGTATTGCTAAAGGAGGATTTCAGGACAAAGACCACATTTTCAAAATATATTTCTGAGAACAGCAAATTGTTTCTGATGACTGAAACAAAGACATTATAAATTCTCAATTGATATCCCACTATTTGAGATGGTAGGCTTGCTGTTACTCCACATGGGTCAGAATTTGAATGCTGCCAATACACTCTTTGGGCATATTTTAAAAATAAGGTATAAAATTGTGAACATGCTTTCCTTGATATTATAGTTCATATTTTCAATTCTCCATAGCTAATTTTAATTCACACACACACACATTAAAAAAAATCAACAATACTATAAATCCTATTACAGGCAAAAACATGCTGTCTGAAAACTAGGCTTTGCTTCATAATATTGTTTTCCAAATACACCAAGGTTTTATAATTATTAACTCCTACAAATATGAAGAATGCTGTATTTTTCTTGGTAGATATGAATTTTTACATATATAGAAATTGAAACCTAAGATATATTGACAAGTTTAAATATATTTCAGTGAAGTTTAAAAAGTTTTATTATTATAGCAATAATATGTATCACTGTAGACAAAGCACAGTTATCAAAAGAAAACTGGAATTACCAGCAATCCTGCCACCCAAAAATAACCAGTGTTAATATTTAGGTGAATATCCTTCAAATAATTTTCTATGCATATGTGTGCACATACTTTTAAAAGAAATTACCACATACAGTGCATATTACTTTTATAGCCTTATATTTCTACTTAACAGAATATCAAGGATGTCATTCAATGTGAATGTGTGTTACCGCACAATATCATTTTCAAGGTGGCAACAGTAGTCGGCAGCACAGCTAGAAGCTGTGTAATTCATCATTTTTCTATTTTTGAATATTTGGGACTTTCTAGTTTTTACCTGTCATGTGTCATCTGTATTGGACCTACTAAAATGTAAATCTTTTATCATATTTCTATAATATAGTATGGAAAAATTCCTAGATGTGAAATTTTGGATCAAAGGGCATGCATCCTTTTATTGTTTTTGACATATATTACCAGATTTCTACCTTCCCAACTCATAAAAAAGTACTAATTTATAATCTCACTGAGAGTGTATGAGTGATTTTGTTTCTCTGTACCATCAAATTAAATACAGATCCACAATTCCTCATCCAAAACTTTTAGGAACATATATGTTTTAGAATTTAGAATTTTTGCAATTTTAGAAAGTTAACACAGTGCAAGTGCTTTCTCTTTCATAACACTCTAAGTAGAGTTGGGGAAAGCAGTTTATAATTGAACATATGAGTATTTCTGCAGCCAAAGATATGATTCATACTAAGAAGGATAATTTAAACTTACAACACCAAATTTTAGAGTACCTTAAGAAATCTTTCTTTCAGAAGGATAATAAGAGTAAACCTTTACTGAGTATTGTTTGTGGTTTGAGTACTGATGGATTTTCTAGGTACTAACTCATTTTATTATGCCAGCAACTCAGGACTCAAAAACCCTGTACTCTGGTTCCAGTAAACTTACCCAATTTAAATATCAATTCAGAAACTCTGTTTAACAAGGCATAAACACCACTTAATTTAGATTAAGAAGAATAACTCTCCAGATGGTTTTCACCAAATCCCCCAAGCTATTGGCAAATTCATCTAGTAAAAAGGAATTCATTTGACAAGTATCTATTGAGTGCCTTTTATAAACAGCTCATTCAAAACCCTTTTTTATAAGCAGCTCATCCAGAAGTAAAAGAATATACAGAGGACAGCAATTAATATTATGGATATTTATTATTAATTTATTAATATGGTTCGATACATGGATATGTATTTATAACAGGTTTAACATCATCTTATGAATGCAACAATATATAAAACAATCATGTTCAATAAACATAAAGAGTAAAAGCCTAACGTAGTTAACTTATGAATACAGCCCTACTTCTTAATGCCAATGCCATATGGAAGCATTTCATGGTCAAAGTTTGTACAATTATCTTTTATAAAGTAAATGATTATTTCATTTTAATCTGAGTAAATTACTAGTTCTAAGCAATATATCCCAGAAGGGCAGAGTTCATTGATTCTTTTCTTTGTCAGATTTACAATGCCAAATTTCTTGGGTACAATTTATTATATATTATACTGTCCCACTTGTTATCATGCAGTCCTCATCAGAATTTAGGGAGAATCTACTTTATTTTTCATAAGATATCAACATGTTTTGTGTGTTCGTTTGGTTGTTTCAGATTTCCAAAGTAAACTATTATTTCATGCTGAAACAAAATTATATGTCATACACATTTGTGTTTTAAGAACTGTTAGAGGTCCTAGACTCACACTTTGAGGCAAAATTATACACTAGTTCTAACTTTCTGTTAGAAAGAGCACCATTTGTTTCATTTTAAATATTGTCAAGGAATTGATGGAGGAACCTTACAGGAAACCAATAGCAGATACACGCATTGCTTCATTTGGAGCAGAATGGATGTAAAAATATACAACTAATGTTTAAAAAGTTGTATGTATATGTATATATGCATGTGTACCTGTGTGTATATGTTGGCACATGTGTGTTTGTGTGTATTCTTTTATTGACATTTTGCTTCAAAAACAAAGATTTAACCTAGTATGCTAATGAAAAAACACAACTTTCACAAGTTTTTCTTCACTTGTAAAAAGACAAGTCATCAAAAAAACTTCTTAACATTATACACTGAAGAGTACACATCTAGATGATGAAAAATGAAAAAGTTAAGAATTATCTTTCACTGTGAAAATTAAGCTATTTGGACTTGGATTAGTTTAAAAAAACAAAACAACTGCTGCTTCTTTAAATTAAGCTAACAGATGAGAAAAAGAATTTCCAACATCGCACTATTTGTCCAATCAGGCAAGCATGTAGCTTGGAGCTTTTGAGTCCTAGGTTATTTAGAATACTGTATTCAACAATACTTGACAAATCTGTGGATGATTAAGGTAACACTGATGAAAGAATAACATACATGATGCAACAGGAAAAAATAAACACTTGAGATCAGCAAGGTTAATGTTGCATTAAGAACTGTTTTAATTGAGATTTTCTTCAGGCCATGGAACCATGGGGCAAATTCAGTGATTAAATATTCCTACCATGAAAAAGTCTAGATTAATTTGTAGTCAATAATATCAGCTTGGAAAACTGGAATAAAAACAAAAGATTAAACACGCACCTAGCTTTGCCTGGATTCTGGCATAGTCAGCATGCTATATTTTTTAAATTTAATTGTGCTTCCCAAATATTATTTCATTTATTTATTTAATCTTTAGTCAGCTACACTTTCATTACAGAAAACAGAGACCCCTTTATGGTAGCTCAGTAAGAAGATATCCACATTCTGATATTATGCACTGAGAAGGGCACAGCTTTACCTCTGTAGTATACTTGTCAAAAATAAATAACCTTATGTGTGTGTATTTTTTAACAGTCGGGGTTCCGTTGTGTTGCCCAAGCTGAACTCAAACTTCTGGGCTCAAGGAATCCTCTCCCCTCAGCCTTCTGAGTACCTGGAACCACAGTGCGCATCACTGTGCCCGGCCAGGAATGCCATTTTGATCATGAGAAACATATGACAAACTCAAGTGGACAGATATTCAATAAAGTAGCTGACAAGTACCCTTAGAAAGGGTCAAGGTCATGAAAGAGAAAAACTGACTGGGATATTACCACAGATGAAGGAGAATATGGAGACATGATGACTAAATGCACTGTGGGATAATAAATTGGATCTTGAACCAGAAGAAGGACATTAGTGGAGCAACTGGCAAAATTCACATAAGATTTGTAGATTAGGTAATCGTTTATACGGATGTTAATTTCCTGGGTTCAATGTACTTATGAAAGATGTAAATGTTAGGGGCAGCTAAGTGGGAGTTATGGGGAGCCACTTTGTAGTATTTTTGTAATTTTTTAGAAGTCTAAAATAGCATCAAAACGAAAACATGGAAAAATCTAGGTCACTTACTCTTACTATTGGAGGGCTCCTACTCACACTTTATTTTAAAAACCTTTTCTTTCCAACTTTTACTTGAGTTTCAGTGGGGTGCATGTGCAGGTGTCTTATCTGGGTATATTTCATGATGCTGAGGTTTGGGGTATGAATGATCCCATCACCCAGGTACTGAGCATAGTAGCACAGAGCAGTTTTTCAACTCTTTTCCCCCTCCTTCCCTTCACCTTCTAGTAGTCCCAAGTGTCTATTGTTGCCATCTTTATGTTCATGAATATCCAGTGTTTAGCTCCCACTTATAAGTGAGAACATGCAATATTTGATTTTCTCTTCCTGCATTAATTTGCTTAGGATAATGCCCTCCAGCTGCATCCATGTTGCTGCAAAGGACATGATTTTGTTATTTTGTGTGGCTGCATAGTATTCCATGGTGCATATATACCACATTTTCTTTATCCAATCCACCATTGTTGGACACCTAGGTTGATTCCATGTCTCTGCTATTGTAAAAAGTGCTACAGCAAAAATATGTGAGTGCGTGTGTCTTTTGGTAAAATGATTTGTTTTCTTTTGGGTGTATACCCTGTAACAGGATTGCTTACTCACCTAGTAGTTCTATTCCAAGTTCTTTGAGAAACTGTCAAACTGCTTTCCATGTAAGTGTTCCCCTTTCTCTGCAGCTTCACCAACATCTGTTGTTTTCTGACTTTTTATTAATGGCCATTCTGACTGGTGTAGGATGGTATCCTTTTGTGGTTTGAGTTGTGTTTCTCTGATGATTAGTGATATGGAATATCTTTATATGCTTGTTGGCCACTTGTATGTCTTCTTTTGTGGGGTGTCTGATCATGTCTTTTGCCCATTTTTAAATAAAGTTATTTGTTTTTTGCTTCTTCAATTAAGTTTCTTATGGATTTTGGGTATTAGATTTTTGTCAGATAAATAGTTTGCAAATATTTTCTCCTATTCTGTAGATCTTTTTACTCTGTTGATAGTTCCTTTTGCTGTGCAGAAGCTCTTTAGTTTAACTGGGTCCCACTTGTCAATTTTTGTTTTTGTTGCAATTGCTTTTGAGAACTTGAAGTTGGTTTGCTAGTATTTTGTTGAGGATTTTTGCATCTATGTTCATCAGGGATATTGGCCTGTAGCTTTCTTTTTTCATTGTGTCTTGCCAGGTTTTGGTATCATGGTCACACTATATATTAATGTGAAATCAGATACACAGAACACTGGATTCATTTTGATAGAACTGAAATTTAAATAAAATGAGAATGTAGGATTTTTGCACTTATATTCTTCTTTTACATTGTGTTGATTTTTTTTTTTGAGACAGAGTCTCGCTCTGTCACCCAGGCTGGAGGACAGTGGCGCAATCTTGGCTCACTGCAACCTTTACCTCCTGGGTTCAAGCAATTCTTGTTCCTCAGCCTCCTGAGTAGCTGGGATTACAAGCGTACACCACTACACCTGGCTATTTTTTTTTGTATTTTTAGTAGAGATGGGGTTGCACCATGTTGGCAAGGCTGGTCTCCAACTCCTGACCTCAGGTTATCCACCTGCCTTGGCCTCCCAAAGTGCTGGGATTACATGGGTGCACCACCATTCCCAGGCTTCTGTTGATGTCTTTCAATAGGTATATTCAAGAGAATGACTTTTAATTTTGCTATCTTACCTTTTATTTATTTTTTGTTGTCTTTCTGCTCCCTAGAAAAACTGGGTAAATACAACATTCATGTTTAAATGCAGCTGCATCCTGGGTCCTAGAAGTCACAGATTCAGTAACAGGAGTGTTAAATCTAGAGTCAGGCATTGTTCCTTTCTTGGGAGGCGGTGTCTTGTATGGGCCACAAAGCATTGGTTATGTAAATTCATGTAAGGTTGTATGGAGGTCTATTCTGGTGGGAAGACCAGAATGGGCCTCCTTTTACAGAAAGGCAGCCCAATTTAGGAATCATGCAATGTACTAAGATATCAGAGACAGAAGCAGAAACCAAAAACCAGAAACCATATCCTTCAACCCTATATTATTTTATGTTGACTAGCCTTTTTAAAAAAAAAACAAAATTTGAGGTTCTTGTTTGATTGTTTTAGAGGTAATGACTGTACAAAAGAAAATAAGGAACATAAAAAATTCCCATAGGTTAAGTAATGTAGTGTATAGTGTATTATATGGTAATAGCTACTTATTACAAAATCTTTTCCTCTAATATTTTAGATTTTTGCTATATACTTGTATACAAACTGGGGAATATAACTAAATTTTCTTGTAAAAGTTATACAGCTTTTGCTCCTAGTTGGTCTTTAGGAGTTTGAGGAATCCTTAATATAAGTGAGTTTAAAATATGAAATATGTTTTTAGAATTAACAAGAAAAAGGAGGAAGAGAAAGATCATTGTGCAAGGATAAAATATAGAATAGATGACTTTTTGCTAACAAAAGGTATTATATCTTTGTCTCTTTTTTCCTTTATTCAAAAATGCATTTGATACTATAAAAGTAAATCCTGAATATATTCTTTTTTTTTAAAAGCTAAATCCATACATTAATGAAAGCTAACCACAGTCCCATTACCTCATGTACAGGTAAAGCTGGGGGTGTAACTTTTCAGACCTTTTTCCATGTATCAAGGTTCCAGTTTGCTCCTTTTTACCAGAAATCTTTATTCCATTCAGTCAGGAAAATAAACAACTAAACCAAAACCAAAGAACAAATTAAAAAACCTAAAACTGAATATAGAAAATGTTGCTCCTTTATGTTCCGCTCTCTTTCATCTTTCTCAGATATTGCCTACATGGGAGCACAAACCCAGTCAATATCATGGAAATGTAGGCTATGAAGTCTTTATTTATGAACTCTGGGTATAGGAGATTTATTATTTTACAGTGGAAAGAAAAACTAGCTGAGCTGTATTCTACAGTGATGATATGTAATTCATATTATCAAGTAGAGTTAACCTGAGTACTTAATTCCACCATATTATAATAAAAAATTAAAATACTGACCATGATTTTATGGGCTGGTTGTTGATGAAAGATGTGATTGCAGAGAAAATTTCAAATAAATTTATTCATTAATATATCTTACCAAATTTAATAGAAAATTGAAACAATTTTCTTGGCAGCTATTGATGTATGAAAAAATATATAGTCAATAGTATTTTGGGGATTCAGAATACTATCTGGAGAAAAGCCATGAACTTTTGCAACACTAACTTAAATATGACATCTATGTATTTGAGATGGTGACAAGAAGCGGTGGCAGAAAAGCATGGCACTATAAAGGATGTTGTCTGGTAAAGACTTAGCAAGAGTCGTCCTTGGTTTAAGTTTGCAAGCGGCATTACAAGGTCAAAACATGATGAACCTAGTAGGTTTTTGTCTTTATATTTCTAGTAATCTGTAGAAAGGGCTGGCTACAAAGAAAGATTTGGGAAGCAACTATATATGGAGGACTTCAAAATATGCATCTCCAGCTTCAACTTCTAGAAGCCTGTGTTAATCTACCCATCCAACTATTTATCATCATCATTATCCATTTGAAAATGCTTATGTAAACATCCTGGACTCTATTATAGTGTAAAGGCTGATATATAGATTTTAACCTCTCTACTTACCCCTTAAAAACAGTAAATATCTACTAAGAGAGAAATAAAGCCACCCATAACCTACACCTACAACATTATGAGGAGAAACAAAATAGTATGAACTTCAAAAGTTATATATAAGTAGGGATGTGAATGCTCCAATCCAGTGCAGCCAGCTAGTGCCAGAGTGGAGACTGTGCAGAAAGGAGGGTAGGGTGTAGCAGGTGTGAGGTAAGGTGGGAAAACAGAAAAAATAATGCTCAGAAAGGTAAATTCCCATCCCGAGTGAAGAAATGTTTCTAGCAAACCTGCTTGATTAGAACACAAGTATGAAGAATTGAAAGAAAGGGGGTTGACAGTGAGCAGAATAACATTCTTGGGAAGGCCCAGCTTCTGAAGAAGAGGGGGATGATGTTAGTGGGAGAGGGGGCTGTTCCTTGGAGACTTGGCTATGAAGGAAAAAAGTATGAGGTGAATATCAAATATCTGCAGATAAGTTCATAAGACACACCAACTACTCTGCAAAAAATAATAATAATAATAAAAAATAAAAAATAAAAATAAAAAAGGCATCCACTGAGGAATCTGTACTTCATGAAAGCAACAGAAGGGGGTGCTCATGAACTAAAAAATGTAGTAATCCACCAAGTCCTTTACTTTTGCTTACATGAAACTGTTATCGCTGGTCTAGGAACAAAAGAAATATCAAACTAAACAAAAAAAAAGAGCAGACTATTTATAGAAAGTTACTATAAGAAAATAATCAGAAAATGATAGCCAAAACAATTCAGCTAATGAAAATTTCTCTCAAGAGAAAACAAAAACAAAATTGCAAACAAGAAAGTTGTAATAAAACCTAGAGATATTTTGAAACAAATACTTATAAATAAAAACACCACTTTGAATCACATATTTAAAAGCTTTGAACATTAATGGACAAAGAACAGACAGATAGTAAAAGATAGTTGACAAAAATGATGAAATAAAATTTAAAAAAATCTGAAATGACCAAATTACAAACTGCCAAAGAGAAAATAGAGTGAACCTAAAATATAAGGACTATTGAGGAAAGCCATGACAATAGCCAAGAGAATGTAAATGAAATAAACAAAAAGGTAAAAAGAATCAGAGAGGTCAATAATATAGAAGGTAGGTAGAGATAATCCAGCATATGCATAATTGGAATACATAAAGAAGAAGAAAATAGAATAGAACTAATACATAAAACTGTGATCCAAGAAAAATTTCCAGAAATAAAATAACTATATCTATATATTGAAAAGTGTTGTCATATAGCCGGAAAAATTGTCCCCAGTCAATTCCAAAATACATACCAGTAAGACATTAGACTTTAAAAGGTAGAGAAAACATGGCTAAAAGATAAGCTCCTTACAATGGAAAAATCAAATTAACATTAAATCTCAGGAAGAACGAACACATCTAGAAAACAGTGAAGCAGCATTTTAAAGACTCTCAAAGAAAGTGTGAGCTAAGAATTTTATATCCAGCCAAATTGTACTTCAAGTATTCATTGTGCAAATACACACACCCCCCACCATATAAACAGTTTATTCTACCCAAGATCCCTTCCTGACACATACCTACTTAATTAAACCAAGCTACTTCGACCAAGAGATATTTTGAGGACAGGACTAATGGTAATCATTCAACACATTTAATTGTAGATCTAAGCTTATATGAAAGGTGGGGACAAAGATAGAATAATAATATGTAAATGTCTTATATTGAGACAATATAGAAGTAATATAATTTAAAAAGAGAGGAGAGGGAAAAAAAGTACAATGGCCAATGAGCTCACGTACTATTGCTTAGGCAACAGGTGAGAGTCAATGAATATTATTTAAAATTGACAATTGAATAAGGGCCTCATAGAAGTTACCAGTACAAAGACAAACATTAGAACACAATTAAAAGCCATCCTAAGTACCAGGGACTTATAGAAGTTATCAGTACAAAGACAAACATTAGAACACAAATAAAAACCATCCTAAATACAGAAATAAATAAAAAAGAATAAATAAAGTAGGGCACATAGAGAAATAAACAGTCATATTATAATACGGGCAATAAATAAAATATGATAGAGTTCAAACCAAACATAGAATTGAATGTAATTTATCTTTCTTATTAAGATTTTCTATCTGGCTTATAAAGAAAAACCTGACTCCATCCTGTAAAGATGACACACATTTAAAGAAAGTGACTCAGAGAGCTAAAAATAAAGTTTGGGCAAAGATAGGCCTGACAAGAAAAATAAAACAGAGTTTACAGTCTTCCTATTAGATGGAAGAATTCAAGTCAAAAGCTTTAAATATGACAAGAAATCCCACTTTATAACAATAAAGGTCACAATTCAGAGTGCTCTACAACAGTTATCAATATTTGTGTACCAAATAATATAAACCACCTTCACAAAACAGTAACTACAGGAGCTGTGAGGAAAAACACACTAATAAGAAGCACTTTGACTATTTTCAGTCTAAGACAGATAAAGTTGACAAAATTACAGATATGAAAGAACTAAATATCATAACTAGGCAGATCTTGTGGCTCTTACTCCCTTTCTTTCCATCCATCTTTCTCTTTCCAATTTCATACTACAATAATAGAAAATACACATCCTTCTCAAATATGCATGGAACACTCGCCAAAATTGTTAGATTACAAAAAATTCTTAAGTTCCATGAAGCAGAAATAGTGCAAACAATAATCCTGACCATAATGCAATAAAATGTAGATGTTAGTGTCAAAATTATGATCAAAGAAAATTTCATCTAGAAATTAAGAATTTGAAATAACTCTTGGTCCAAAGAGGAAATGTTAACTGAAATTGCATATTTTCTAAAATGAATGAGGTAAAATATTAAATAAAAAATCTGTAGCACACAATTAAAACAGTGACCAGAAGAAATTTTATAATATATACACATAGGAGAATGGAAATAATAAAAGTAAATTCAAAATTTAAAAAGCTATAAAAAGAACAACAAAGGAACCTCTAGGGACAACACACACACACACACACACACACGAGGAAAACAAATAATAAAAGCAAAAAAATTGTACAAAATAGACTATTTCTTTTTTTAAAAAAGCAAAATAAACACTAGCTAGCTTAAGATTAAAAAGAGTTAAGTCATATATAACAAAGCAAGAAGTACCAAGAAGGAAGCAATAGTAAAAATAGCCAAGATTTGGAAACAACCTTAAGTGTCTATCAACAGATGAATGAGTAAAGAAGATGTGCTATATATATACAATGGAGTACTATTCAACCATAATAAGGAATGAGATCCTGTCATTTGCAATGACATGGACAAAACTAGAGGGCATTATAGTAAGTGAAACAAGCCAGGCACAGAAAGACAAATGTCACATGTTCTCACCCAGCTGTGGGAGCTAAAACTTGAAACAACCGAACTCATGAATATATAGAGTAGAATGATGGTTACCAGAGGCTGGTAAGGGTAGCAGAGGAAGGGGGGATAGTTAAAGGGTACAAAAATATAGTTAGATAGAATGAATAAGATTTAGTGTTTGATTGCACAACAGGGAGACTATAGTCAACAATATTTTATTGTACATTTAAAAATAACCAAAAGAATATAATTAAAATGCTTGTAACACAGACACTTGAAGGGTTGGATATCCCGTTTATCCTCACGAGATTATTATGCATTGCACGCCGATATTAAAATATCTCATGTATCCCATAAATATATGCACACACTGTGTATCCACAAAAATAAAAATAAAGTAATACCTGGCACAAATATATGCTAACAAAATTTTAAAACCTAAAATGGGCAATTTCTTAGGAAAATATAATTGATGGAAATGAGCCCCATCTTTCTAGCTTAATTAGAAAGATTTTTGGTCAATTTACCATAGTAATCTTCAAGTATAAAAGAACAAATGAAACAAAATGAGGCTAGGTACAGTGGCTCACACCTGTAATCTCAGCATTTTGGGAAGCTGAGGCTGGCGGACCACTTGAGGTCAGGAGTTTGAGACCAGCCTGGCCAACATGGCGAAACCTTGTCTCTACTAAAAATACAAAAATTAGCTGGCCGTTGTGGCGCGCATCTGTAATCTCAGCTACTCGGGAGGCTGAGGCAAGAGAATGGCTTTAACTCAGGAAGGAGAAATTGCAGTGAGTTGAGATCGCGCCACTGCACTCCAACCTGGGTGACATATAAGACTCTGTCTCAATTAAAAGAAAAGAAAAGAAAAGAAACAACATGAGTACTAGGGGTAAATTCCTTTATAATCCAAGTATGAGGAAAGGTTTTCTTACTCTGATTCAAGCTCGACAAATTTAACTACATAAAAACAGAAAAGAATATCTTCTATAGCTCAAAATACCATAACTAATACTAAAAGATAACCGATGAACTGGGAGAAAATATTTGTAACATATCAGTGATAAAGAGCTACTCTCCTTAATAAAGAACTTTTTTAAATGGAAGGGAAAAAAACCTAACCACCTAATAGAGGAATATGCAAAAGCCAGGAATAGAGAGTTCACAAAAAGTATATGCAAATGACCCTTAAATGGGTAAAGATGTTCTACCTCCTTCATTATAGAAGAAATGCAAATTAACACTATATTGAGACATCATTCTCTAACAGACACAAAAATTCAAAAGCTTGACAACACACTCTTAGACAAGGTTGTGGGGAAACTGTCCCCTCATACCTTACTGGTGGATGGACAATGTGGTACAACCTCTAGGAGGAGAATTTGGCAGTAGCTAACATAACCAGATAAATTTTACCCTTTGACTCAAAAATCTCTCCTCTGAGAAATTTCTCTACAGTTTTATCTTCAACAATACTTTTTAAGCAAACAAACAAAGTTATTCAATGCGTCATTATTTTAATAGCAAATCATGGAAACAATCTAAATACCCAACCAGAGATGACTGGTTAAATGTACATGATATGTGCAGACAGTACAGAACTATACAGCTGTAAAATCTGTGAAGAAAGTCTCTATGATCTGATATGTGGTTATATGCAGATCATATTGTTAAACAAAAACATTCAAATGTTCGTTTTTTTTAAAAAAACACAGGAAGAAGAGCCACAAACTAAAGAAACTACTTAACTATAAGAGGTGGTATGAACAGACGAGTGGGAGAGATCAGAAAGGGAATGAGACTTCTCTGAGTATATCTTTTTCATATACATTAATACTCATGCTCTCTTATTCAAAAAAAAAATGTAAAATAACTTGAAATCTAATACAAACAATAACAAATGAGCTTACATGTGTACAAAATTGCTAACCAGTCAAAAAAATTAAGTCAAATCTTGAAGAAATTAGAGATTCTAGGACTAGGGTTTCATCGTACAGCAACTCAAAAGGTAAAAGCATTAAAAACTCATTGAGGTTCAAAAGAGAAATAATCATATTTATTTGTGCAAACTTATGGCATACACAAGAAATTTTGTTACACGTATATAATGCATAGTGATCAAGTCAGGGTATTAGGGTGTCTACCACCCTAGTACAATACAATTTTAAGTACAGTCGCCGTACTCTATCGAACACTGAATTTATTCCTTCTATCTTATTGTACTTTTGCACCCTTTAACCCACTTTTCTTCAGCCTCCCCTCAACTTCCACTCACCTTTCATAGTCTTTTATCTCTCTTTCCATTCTCTACCTCTATATGATCACATTTTTTAGCTCCCACATATAACTGAGGACATATGATATTTGTCTTTTTGTGCTGGCTTACTCCACGTAAGATAATGACCTCAAGTTCCATCCATGTTGCTGGAAATGACATGATTTGACTTTTTTATTTATGATTGAATATTATTCTACTGTGTATATATACCACGTTTTCTGTATCAGTTCATCTGTTAATGAACACTTAGGTTTATTTCATATCTTTGCTATTTTGAATAGTGCTGCAATAAACACATGAGTGTAGGTATCTCTTTGATATATTGATTTCTTTTGCTTTGAGTAGATATCCAATAGTGGGATTGCTGAATTAAACGGTGATTCTATTTTCAGTTTTTCTGGGAAATCTCCATACTGTTTTTCATAGTGGCTGTATTGAATTACATTGCCACCAACAGTGTACAACAGTTCCCTTTTCTCTGCATCCTCACCAACATCTGGTATTTTTTTTGTCTTTTGAATAGTAACCATTCTCACTGGGTAAGATGATATCTCACTGTGGTTTTTATACGCATTTCTCTGACGATTAGTGATACTGATTATTTTTTACATATCTGTTAGTGTTTGTATGTCTTCTTTTGAGAACTGTCTATTCATATCATTTGCCCACTTTTTAATGGGATTAGTTGTTTTTTCCTGTTTGATTTATTTGTATATTCTGGATATTGGTACCATGTTGGATGAATGATTTGCAAATATTTTCTTCCATTCAACATGCTGTCTTTCCACTCTGCTGCTTGTTTTCTTTGCTGTGCAGAAATTTTTAGTTTAACATAGTTCACTTTTTCTTTTGTTTTTGTTCTCTGTGCTTTTGAGGTCTTAGTCATAAATTCTTTTCTTAGACCAGTGTCCAAGAGAGTTTCCCCTAGGTTTCCTTTTAATATCTTTATGGTTTTGGGTCTTATGTTTAGGTCATTCATCCATTTGAGTTGATTTTTGTATATAGTGAGAGAGAGGGATCCAGTTTCATTCTTCTGCACACGACAATTTTCCCAGCACTATGTATTGAAGAGGGTGTCCTTTTCCCACCATAAGTTCTTGTTGGCTTTGTTGAATATCAGCTAGCTGTAAATATGTGGCTTTATTTCTGGATTCTCCATTCTGTTATATTGGTCTATGTATCCATTTTTATACCAATACCATGTTGTTTTGGTTACCATACCCTTGTAATATATTTTGAAGTCAGGTAAAGTGATGACCCCAGCTTTGTTATTTTTGCTCAGAATTGCTTTGGCTATTTGTGCTCTTTTTTTTTGGTTCCATATGAAATTTAGGATTTTTTCTAATTCTATGAAGAATGACATTAGTATTTTGATAGGGATTGCCCTGAATCTGTAGATTGGTTTGGACAATGTAGTCATTTTACCAATGGCATTACCTAACATAGCTTTCATAATGTAACATATTTTGTGAGACTTTTTCAAGAAATATTTATTGATAACCTACTATGAGCTAAGCACTGTGCTGGGCCCGAGGTTAGAGTGACAAGTCACAAGATCCATGGATCAGATAGTTTCAGGCAGAGCCAGCCAATAAACAAATAATCTCACTAATTATTAATTCATTACAATTTATAATATATGCTACTAGGAGAAGTACATGTATATTTTACTCTACCTAAACCCTCAGGTAATTTATAAACAGCTTGGAATCATAGGCTATTACATGTCATAGGCATAATTCATCACAATTGATTTAAATAATCCTAATGCAATAAATCAGCAACACATTTATCAATTGAATGTTTTGGGGTGAATTTACACAACAGAACTTATTTTTCTAGTGAAGCAGCCTTTTCAAATTTAATGAATTGGATGTTTACAAGAAAATCCTACTGTTTAAAATCTCTGGGGCCAACTAAATATTAACATCAATATAGTAAGGATTTAAAAAAATGAAATTTAAAATTTACCTTTATTATATTAGACAAACTGAATTCTACTTGGGAATATGCCTTAATTTCATTTTCTATTTAATATGCAGCCTTGAAGCATTGTTTAATTAAAATGGCACTTAGACCAACGGATCAGACTGAGCACAAACCTAGGGCTGCTCACTAAAATTTGCAGATAAGATTAGCAAAGTCTATGATGCTGCTGTCTGAAGCATCTCCCATAACACTGGGTGTAAGCAGCATCACGACAATTTTACATGCTGCTAAATGGTAACATCAGTTTTGCTTTTGCCGTGAAACGCATGGATCCTGAGAGACTTGAATGCTTTATAGATAAGCAAGCTGGGCACTTGTCAAATTGGGGTGACATGGGGTTGTCATAGATTCCCTACTTTATTCTACCAAGCTCTGTGTTTTCCTGTTAGAAAAAGGAAGTAATCCACAGACATTTTAAAAACGGATGCATGCAAAGAAAACTCAATAAAAGTACTGATTGTCAACGTGATTTGGGTGGAAAAGGAAGAGAGGAAAACTTCCACATTTTTAGTTTGTGTTGTGGAATTCTTTTAAACATTAACACAATGGACAAGCTGACCAACCTGACAGTGCCCATCTTATCCTTGTTCCAGGTGGAGATAATATATAATTTTCAGCATTACTTATCACAGACAGTGTCAAAGGCACTGACAGTTGAGAGATAAGGCAGGAAAATGCTTTTCCCTTGACATGAAAGGATGACTATTTAGTGTGTAACTGTAACAATGAAATTTCTGACTCCCTATTTGGTATTAATCTAAGGCATCATTGCTGCTTATTAAAATTTAATGAAAGTAATGTCCAAATTCAACCATTAAATTGAATGTATATAGCCAGATGTGTATGTGGGGTTTCTCAGATGTTCTTTACCAAAATAATTTCCTCTCTAGATTATTTTGGATAATCCAGGTGGAGATACTGAAATCACAATTCTTTCCATCTTGGCAATACAGTATAGTGAACGTTGACTTGAAAGAACATAAGAATCTTTAAATTTGAGGAGTATGAATGATGTAAATGTTACACATATACCTTCATTTAGGTTATAATTAATTTTGAATCATATAATACCAGCCTTATAAAAAGCAACAAAGTATCTATTAACACACATTGTAGTGGGATCTGTTTTCATATATGAGCATCCACTTCAAATATGGTCTTTTGCTCAAAGAGGGAAGTAGTGCGATTATAGTAAAAACCCTAATTTTCCTGATTCAAACAGAGCAAAACTTCCCCCCCTAGCTCAAACAGTGGGCAGGATATTTATTCCAAAGACCTGGCCATTGCAATTTATATGAATCTTTGCCATTTCAGCTCTGTCCCACCTCTGCAGCATTCCTGGGCAGAAGGACTAGATTAAACATCAGGAATAAAAAATGTAATCTCTTCTTAATGGAATACAAAATCCCTTTTGATAAAATTATAAAATACAATAGTGATATATATACATCACTATTTTGCATTACTCTCTCCATACAGCATATATATATTCTCTCTATATAATAATGCAAAAAAAGTAGAGGATTTGGAATTAACAGCATGCATCGCATTACTACTTTGTTTCATGGTAGAAGGAAACGAAGGAACATGGAAAAAGCTGTGGGTAAGATTTCCTCCACAGTAAGTGAATCTGCAAAATATAAAGGGACCTGGAATCGAAAACATGATGCCTGCTGTTCCTGCAAGGTTTCCTGATGCCTAAAACATCAGGAAAATTCTTGGAGAGCACTTCACCCCAGTGAAAAATATTACCCTTATAAAGCTGTCAGAGTCTGTCTCAGCTTCAGTTACCTGGCATGTAAAGAGCCAGTCAGTCCCACAAATTAGGTAAGCCCTGTAGGCTTGTCTAACATACATGCCAAGCTTTCAGGAAATGTTAAAAGCCCAAGTGGAGCTGTGATTTGTACCTCTGGTAACAACTGGACTGTGTGTATATCATATTGAGCAGTGACA
Organism: Homo sapiens; assembly: GCF_000001405.40. NCBI lineage: Eukaryota > Metazoa > Chordata > Mammalia > Primates > Hominidae > Homo > Homo sapiens. The sequence goes on from NC_000007.14 coordinate 78,386,718, forward strand.
GTGTGATGTGATGCAGGACTCAGCAACTTTGGAAGACTCTACATGCAAACACGAAAACTATTCAACAGCACTGGTACCAGACAGGGTAGCCAAACGGAGAGCTTTAGAGGGCCCCAGGCTTTAATATATGGAATCACATAATTTTGTCTTATAATGGCATTTAGAGGCAAAAAGCACTAAAAATATTGATTTGTACCTAGAACACCACCAACTAAATTGTCATTAATTGATACCATTATTGGGTCAAGGTGTTAGGCTACATTTTAAATTTGGTCTCAGATTCTTCTGAGTTTGCATTTTCAGAATTAACCCTGATAGACACAGGGCATATAGATTGGTATGCTACTATAGCGACAATAGTTTTTTAAACCTGTGAATGTACTTTTTAAATTCATACTTCCTTGGGTGTGGCTTTTCTCCTATTTAAGCAGACATTTATTTTAGGAGATTTTGGTCTGCTCAAGTGGAGATGTAAAGACAGAGTCAGAAATCAATGTGTGACATTCATGCACCTTGATTGGGGGTAAGATTTGGAGGTGAGGACTCAGGGTGTGAAGTCTTTACAACTCTAGGCAAAAGATAAGAACTGTTACATGAACAGGTGTAAGTCCTACTACAGCAGAGACCAGGAAAGATAGCAAACAGCAGGCAGACCACAGACCCACTCACATCACCATAGGATACCTATTCCTTTTATTGTTTGGCAGCATCTTGGATGGAAGAGGAGAGGAGAAACCAATTGGGGAAAAGCCTGACAGGGAATTTGAACTTGAAAATTGACAAAGTATTTGTACCCTCCCCAAATAATGCTGATTTAAAGTAAAAGAGACAGGCAAGTCTTTAATTAGTAAGCTTAAGTTTTCTTACCCTCCATCACCACAATGAAGGCTTCAAACAAGATGATATTAATTACAGAAAATAAAAATAGACCGGATGTAGTGTCTCACACCTGTAATCCCAGCACTTTGAGAGGCTGAGGCGGGCAGATTGCTTGAGCCCAGGAGTTTGAGACCAGCCTAGGCAACATGGTGAAACCCCATCTCTATAAAAAATACAAAATTAATTAGGTGTGATGGCACGCGCCTGTAGTTGCAGCTACTCAGGAGGCTGAGGTGGGAGGAGCGCTTAAGCCCAGGAGGCGGAGGTTGCAGTGATCCCAGATCACGCCACTGCACTCCAGCCTGGGCAACGAAGTGAAACTCTGTCTCAAATAAATAAATAAATAAATAAATAAATAAATAAATAAATAAATAAATAAAATAATAAAATCTATTCTTACACCTGAGTTGTAGTTTGCAAATACCCAACGGCTATTAAACAGTATGAAGTAAAAATCAAATTAGGTATTTAGGTAAGTATATTTGACAAAAACATTACTGGCTTTGGGGTCACACAAATATGATCTGAGTGTTGGGTTTTCTTGCATAAGCCTCAGTTTATTTATTCTGCATGATGTTATAAGGAATAGAGATATAGAGTGCCCTACAATGCTTGGCACTCAATAAAGAGTAGGTACTGCTATGATTATTACTAGTACTGTTACTGTTGCTCCACTGTTATCATCATCATCATCATCATCGTCATCATCATCATCATCGGTAGTGGTAGTAACCATAATAGCAGCAATAGTAGGACTTGATGGAATAGTGAATGATGAAGACATTGGGTCCAAACTTAGAGTGTGCGGCAGGTAAAAATCACTAGTGTATGTGTCCCATAATTGTTGAAAGAAAAAGGCTTTCTGGAACTACCTGAAATATGGAAAAGAGCTAATAACACTGAGTGTAGAAAATGAGGATTAGAAAATTATTAAGTAGGAGGAGACTTTATTCTTTTCTTCCTGTGGGAACTTGGCTTGAAGGGGTTGGGATAAAGAGACATTTAGCTAATTGTTAAATTGACATTAGCCATTTGGCCTCAGAAATGGAAGAGAGGACCTGATTTATAAAGAAGGCACTGACTAGTACAAAGGGATTCAACTGGAGTACATTTACAAAACCACCTGAAAGCAAACACAATTCTGATTATATTTTCTATTTAATATACACATAAATGACTATTTTTAAAGATATGGCCTTTTTAAAGAAAAATAGAGTAACAAGCAAGACAATTATTTCATTAGTTCACAAATCAGAATCACGTCGGTACTACAAATATAGTCCGTGAAATAACAACTATAATTAAGATAATAGTGATATTTTCATTAGAACATTCTCCTTGATCAGGTGACTTTTTCAAGAAAAATTTTAAGTAATTAAAAAATCTATTTCTGCTCAAAGATCAATCAGTTATTGTTACTCAGAGATAATACTTGAAAGTGAAAGATAAAATCTGTGTTTTAGAATTACAGTGCTAGACAAAGGATATTTTCCAGTTGGAAAATAAATAAAAGATGAAGAACATGAAAGCTACTTTATCAGTGTTAATAAAATTAACATGTACTCAGCAACTTAATAGAGACACAAATTAGTTCTAAAACTGCTGTGATTTATGGTTCTGCAGTGAGAAGCGAGAGTTGAAAAACTCAGTAGGACCAGATGCCACAAGACAGACTGGAAGGCGCTCCATGGGAGGCAAAGAAAAAGAGAAAACAACGAGGGACACAAAGAATGTACTATTCCATGGAGAAAGGGGACTGCTATTGAGTTCTGAAGAATATATTATGACCATCTGTTTTCTGTCTTCTTCGTGGTGAGAAACTTGAAGATAGGGAGCATATCTTACTCATCTTTGTGTTCCTGGAACCTACTGTTAGGTGCTCAACACGGACAAGTGTTAACGGAATGAATGAGATGATGTGTCCGCTGTGGCACTGGGAGAGATAAAATGTTGTACCTTTCTCAGAAGAGCAACCCTAGACAGATATTTGGGTAGCACACGGAATTTTGGCTTCCTGTGATATTAATACCTTTGTTGTGATTTTATGCTCTTTAATAATTAATTCAGTTAGGTATTCTTATGGTGAGAGTGTTTGCTGTTTGCCCCGCATTTCAGGTATTTTCCAAAGTGTGCTGGTTTGGGGTAGAGGAGAGAAGAAAAAGTTGACATTGGCTATATTCTATAAAGCTAATTTCCTAACCCTTGATTGCCCTAACACAGACGTCAGAAAAGCACATGTGGATTAAAGAAAATGTTTTAGTAAAAACTATGAGCAAAACCATTAAAGGTTTAGTTACATTGCTTTTGGAACATACGTAGACTCTTAGTAGCTTTTATTCCCTCATGTGGACACTGTGTTTTTAACAATCAGACTAATAATACTATACTTTATTGCCTTTTACAAAATCATGAATGAAATAATAATACTTTGTGACATTTCAGAATTTTCTTAGTTTAATTTTGTAAGCAACACCATATTTTATGCTTTCAAACTTTTTCTTTTATATTTGACATCTGGACAGAATCTCTCATTACTGAGACAGATCCCAAATTCCTCTCAAACCATTTTTCTAAGAGTAATATATTTAAACCCCCATTAGACATAGAATTTATTATAAATGAAAGTGCCCAATATCATGTTTTCAGGAAAATACATACAAATCAATAGAAAACTCAAGAAAATTATAGAAATGGAAGAGATTTTCAGATATTATTTGGTTTGTTTCCATTTCTCCTTTCAGCTTTACATATGGCACAGCAGAGAGAAATATGGATCAATGCTTTCGTTCACTGGTAATGAATTTGAACATTATAAAATTTGTATTTATTCAACATTTATTGAAAACTGTGCAGAGAGCTGGGGATTTACATTTTTCTGTGTAAAGGGGTCCATCGTATAGTTCTCTGAAGGCACACATGTAGGTTGTCTTGACTTGGGCATGTTATGGTAGAAGTGGGGCAGAGGTGCTCAAATGAAGGAATGGCCATTTACAGCAGGGATTAGAATGTTGGCAATCTTTACCTGACAATTCTTACTGGTGGGGGTGGGGGGTGGAGGGGAAGCTACTCTATATTAAGAAAAAGGAGTATTTAACTTCAATAGTGCTACTTCTGTTTCTACTGCAACACATTTAGTATATTATCTTTTACATTTTCCATGCCCCTTCCTGCCTCACCTCAGTTATTTAGCACCATAGGAGTACTAAAATTAGCTGTAATTTATATAAGTTATTGATGCTATCTATCAGACACTGATCTCATAAATGATTGCTTTACATGAAACACCTGATTTGATCCTCAAGACAACTCAGTGAATGGAAAACTAACTTTTCCAATGTCATAACTAAAATTTCTTTGGGTGAGGGTGGGAGATGGAAGTGCTGAAATCCCTTGAAATATGCTTTCTGGGCCGTTTTTTCTTAGGATTCCTAAAGTTCTAAATAGCAGTAAGAAAATGTGGAGAGCCACATGCAAGGAAAGACTTGGCCCCTGTATTCAACAGCCATTACGTATCCAGCCTTTATGAAGAATACCCCAGAACTCTGAAATTCTCTCCACATCGCTCTTCAGTCAGAGTCCAAATTCAGCATTCCTAAATCCCTTTGTATTGAATTCCTTGTACTACAGATATAGTGAATATATGCTTTGGTTATACAGAAAGATATCAACATACAGTTAAGTCTGCCAGCTAGCATTAGAGTCATAATTTAATATCTAGTATTTATGCATTCACACAAATTATATTCATGAGGACACTTAGAAGAGAAACATTTAGAAACTTTAAAAATTCTCTGGCATTCACATGATAAGGAAATATGGATATATTTGGAAGCCTATTTCATTTTATTTGAATTGTAATGCCATCTGCCAAAATTCACTCTCTCAAAAAGTACTGCTTTTGACAGCATCAGAAAGAAACTTTGTGTGAGGAATAGGCATCTATTTTTTTACTTAATTTACAAAAGACACATTTTGTTTGTATTCACAAGGGCATTTTGCAAATTAATTTTACCCAATTAATATGTCATTCTGTGACAATGACAGAAATATCAGATTCTTAAGTGAGTTCAAATTCCTTTCAGTTTTAACTTTGCAAAGCATGAAAAAATTATATGGCATAACACAGAATTTTACTCTTTCAATTTATGATAATGCCATCTTTCCCCTATAAAGATGACACTATTGGCATCACCTAGGCATTCACTATAGGTAATTTCTAGTAATGACTGAATTTGTGTTGAGTCATTCTTACCTGATTCCCACTGCAATATAAAGTTTGTATTATTTGTGAAGTGATAAATACATTTACCTGAAGTTAGTGATTGTGGGAAGAATGAAACAGATCAAGTTTCAGAGAAATTGGCTTTAAGATCTTCAATTCCTTGTAAGCAGGTAGTGAGAGCTGAAACTGGCCAGACATCGGCTCAGCTGTTCGACAGACACATCGTTTCGACTCTGCATTTAACATGCTAAATAAGACAGAAGGGATACAAGAGAAGATACGATCCTTGCCTCAAACACTTTACCATCTACTTGGAGACGTAAAAGTATCCACGGGTAAAAGTAGAAATGGATCTGTAAGGGGTATTTATGCATGAAGGTGCAGGTACGACTAGTATACATAAATATTGTATGATTTCACAATAAAGCTGCCTTAATTTAAGATGTCTTCATGACTTTCATTGATTCTCAGGTAGAATCATGAAGAAGGCAAAAAATAGAAGTGGGGGCTGTTAGGGGAAATTGATGAGTTCAGGTAAAAGATGGGGAAAAGTGTGTGAGATAGAGAGATACTTTTGCAGAGAATGGGCAAAAGTGGTGTTTGTAAATTTTAAGATAACTATCCTAGTTGGAATAGAAGACTTGTGTTAGAAAATAATAAGAGAAAAGACTGTATATATAATATAGATCAACTAATGGAATGTTTTTGGATACTAGGTTGAAGAGTCTGAAGTAACTGGAAACCATTACAAGGTCAAAAAGAGGAACAACATAATTGCTACATTTTAGGAAAGACTTATCCACGCACTTGTATTCTTATTTTTTTATTTTTTGAGAATAAATTTATATTTATTTCGCTCCTGTTGCTTAGGCTAGAGTACAACGGCGCAATCTTGGCTCACTGCAACCTCCGCCTCCCAGTTTCAAGTGATTCTCCTGCCTCAGCCTCCTGAGTAGCTGGGATTACAGGCATGCGCCACTGCACCTGGCTAATTTTGTATTTTTAGTAGAGATGGGGTTTCTCCATGTTGGTCGGGCTGGTTTTGAACTCCCAACCTCAGGTGATTCGCCAACCTCAGGTGATTCGCCTGCCTTGGCCTCCCAAAGTGCTGGGATTACAGGTGTGAGCCACCGCGCCTGGCCTGTATTCTTAATATTTACATCATTAGTACATAGCACATATCCATGTCCAGGACAGTGCATGGAATATAATAGTAAAAAAAACGATTAGAACCAGGAGGTGAATGGGTTATTCAAGGGGACAGCTTTCTTTCTGTGGCTGAAACTCAAGTGTGTTACACTGGGGTTTGACTCTTTGATTTGCAGAATGCTCCACAGCACAAGTCGTAGTTGGAGGTGGGTGTTGCTTCTCACCTACGGAAGTTGAAAAGGCCAGATACTTGACTTCTCTGGAAACATAGGAACAAAGGCATGGACCTGTGGCCTAGGTTTGGGCAATCAGACACAACCAGATGGGATTTTGAATCTGGAGCTAGTGATGCAAAGCAGCGGCAACAGTGGAGAATGTTTTCTAGTGGCAGCAGAGACTGCCACAGTTAGTTTCTGTGGGCAGCTGTGGCAGTTTGGCCAGAGACAGCAGTGTCTTTACTCAGCTGTCCTTGTGAGATGACCCTGGCTGGAGTCTGGCTATGGAACCTCTCTTTGTTTTTTCTTATTGTCCACAACTGGTTTTGCCACCTTTCTTGTGATTCTGTAAGCTACTCAGTGGCCTTTCAATGAATTTGTTTTCTTCATAAATCAAGCAGAATCCATTTTTGTTGTTTGCACTCAAGAACTCTGATAAAGCATCCAAGGCAGGCATACCATCTGGGGATAATGACAGTAGGTAGAGAGAGAAAAGGACAACAGTGAGAGACATTGACAAGGAAGAACTGACAGAGTTGGTAACTAGCAAGACATTGCTTTACTATTCTGTTTGCAGTAGTATGTGCACGACATTGCCTAAGGGATGAAACAGAATGAAACAAAATATTTGCAAGTATATACCCTAACAGATTTGTAACAAAGTGCTTGCAGAACATGTGAATATAATGTCTGTAAGTGTGACATTTCTTCGGAGGATAAACTGGGGAAGTAAGTGGTGGTAAACATAAATGATTTTTTAAAATTAAAAATAAATCTTTCTATAAAGGGAAAGAGTAAAGCTAGAGAACCAGAAAAGCTGGCAGTGTAATTCAGTTTGAGTTCAAAGGCCCAAGAACCAGGTGAACTGATGGTATAACTCCCATCCCAAGGCCAAAGCTCTGAGAACCAGGAGTTCTGATGTCTGAGGGCAGGAGAAGATGGAGGACCCAGCTCAAGAAGAGAGAGGGTTAAACTGTTCTGGAAGCACTTCCCAGTCACACCCAGAAATACTGTTTCAGCAACTATCTGGGCATCCCTTACCTCAGTCAAGTAAACACATAAAATTAACCATCACATCACCCTACTTATGACTGCCAGAGTAAATACTGGACAAATGCAAATCCATTCATTCCCTTCCCCTACTAGGAGAGTTTTGGTGCTTTCCCCTTTGCTCTCAGATAAAGCCTAAACTCCTTAGAATGACATTCAGAGTCTGCCATGACCTGCCATGGTCACGTCTTCCCCAGGGCATGTCCTCTGCCACAGAAACCTTTCGTGCTTAGGCTTGCCTTGCAACCCTTTGACTCCTGGCTTTTACACATGTTGTTTGCTCTGCTTGGAGCCCACTTCTCACCCCCCTCTCCCATCTAACTCTTCTCTCTCCTCTACAGTTCAGCTACATGTTTCCCTTCTTAAAAGTGTCTGCTGACCACCATTCTTAGCAAAATAGCCACTGCTACATTTTTATAAGTCTTGGTTCAAACATTATAGCCCTTAACACTTACAGGGCAACGGTTAATTTTCTCATTTTTTTTCACCATTAGACAGTGAGAACTGTGGGACCACATTACTCATCGATCTTTGCATTGCTATTTCTCAATGGTTGTTGCATTCCCAACATCCAGGCTTTACTCTAAGTACATCCTCGATATGTACAGTTGCAGGAATGGAAAGAGCACACATGACTTATAAAACCTACAAGATTTCCATGGCCGCACTTTAGCTAATTTTATTATTAACAAGGAGTTCTTTTTTCACAAAGTGAGAGAAGGTCTAAGGTCTATTAACCTGAACTGGATCTACAACGAAGCTGGATCTTTAAGATACAATGTATTTTTGTTTCCTGAATGTTCAATGGTCAAAAGGCTAGTTCTTATAAAGGAGAATAATTTATTGAGAAACATTCTTGGCTTCAGGGAGAGTCAAACTTCAGAAAGCTGTCTTGTCTTTCCTTCAACTTTAGAGTTTCATAGATAGGGTCCTTTAGTGATTCTTGTTTAATGTAAGTCACTCTTACACTATGGGAAAAACAAAAAAGAAAGCAGAAAGATAAGCACAGATTTTAAAAAGAGGATAAGATATAGTGAGAGAAATAGACTGGAAAAATATCCTAAAATTTTAAAGTCCAATGGAAAAAGAAGAAAAAGGGGGAAGCAAGACAAATGTTCAAAAGTGTAGAGAAAGCTGTAGCTCATGGTTACTGAGATTCAATCCCAACAGAAAATTGGGGTTTCCTTCAGCTTTTGGTTTCTTTACCAGAATTCCTTTGTCTTCATCATCCAGCTCCTTAAGGTCACAAAACATCCACCAGTAATCAGCCATTTGAATAGCAGGCTGAGGGGGTAGTCTGCATTTTATGCATTTTTGCAGCTTAATGTAGGGAGGAGGTAGAAATGACCCAACGCAGAAACCCTATTCTGTAATTCAGCAGTATAGATATTATCACAGTTTACTTAATATAATTTCAACTTTGAATTAACTTGGAATGCTACTCTAAGAGAAAGGTTCTAAACCGGTGCTACTCTTTTTTCTATTTTATACTATAAATTCAGTTTCCTTATGAAAAAAATTTTGGGAGATTTATCATGAAACTAAAAAGAATGGCAAGAATGTGATGAACATGTAGATAGATACATCTTAAATGTTTCTTTTGGGTAAAGTGGATAAAGGAATACAGCATGGGACTAAAAATAGATATTATCCAAGATCCAGAGAAAAGTTCATGGAAAGTCAGGTTGATCCTTACAAGAATGCAGACAATGTTAACTGTGAAAAATTGAACAAAACCTTTTTGTATGAGGCTATGTGTTCTTGGATGCAGAAACCACATGTTTGTCATTGTTAAATCTCCAGCTCTAGCCCAGTGCTGGGAACATAGTAGGCACTCAAGAAACATGAGTAGAATAAATCAGCCTACAGGACAATTTGGAGAGGGTGCACCTGTAGTTTTAAAGCAACCCTTTTAAGATAAATTTTCAGATCACCAGTATAAAATATAATCTTCATAAAGCAAAGCGATTGTAAATAAGTAGAAACCAGGTACAATCATACCCCATTAAAAAATACCCTCCCATGTGATTCAGGAAAAAAATCCAAATTCCACACAGAGACTACAGGGTCTTCCATTCTGCCAGCCTCCCTGACTTCTCATCATACCACTTCTCCTCTCTGTTCTCTATAGGCCAGCCACGCTGGTTTTTTTCCTTTGTGTTCTCTGAATGTGTCAAGTCCAGTCCATTTTTAGGGCTTTTATCTCTGCCCTTTACTTTACTTGGAACGTTCTTCCTTAGATGTTTTCATAGCTGGCTCCTCATCATTCAAATCTCCTTTCACATATCACATGCTTACCTTGCCTTCACCATGCTATCTGAAATAGCTACCGCCTTTCCTTCCCTTTTTCCAACACCTTGCTTTATTTTATTAGCATTTTCTACCATATAACATTTTACTATTTATTTTCTGGTTTTCTCATTCTAATCTTCACTTGAGACTCATGGTACTTTGATACAAAGGAAGTGGTCTCTTATTCAATCAATGGATAAGTGTGAACACTTAGAAATATATAAAATGCTATAAAATGATTCCTAAGTGAAGAGGGTGATGTGATGTCTGAAAGGATCATGGCACATAAAGAATGCAGGAAAGAAAAGAACAGAGAGAGAAATTTCTGTTCTTGACCCTATGAGACAGTATTATATTTATTAGTTCAATATCGGGTCGAGTGGTGCCCTAAATAAATCATGCATATTTTCATTTAGCTTCCTAGTTGGAAATTTAGCTTTTAGGTACAATTAATTTCAATGTGAGCTTAGAGCATTGTTGAACCTGATATCCCAGACCCTGATAACTCTATAAAATGGATATAAAATGGTAGAAAGGGATGGAAATGGTTATTTTGATAGCTGGCAACAGAGTTTTCATGAGAATGTTTATATTCAGGAAACTACCTTAATAATGCTCTTTGGTGGTAAAAAGTAAGGCCTTAGAAGCCTTACTTTTTAAAAAGAAACCAGAAAGAAAAGAGGAATGGTAAACTGCTCTGCATGAGAAATGAAGATAAATTTGGGGATAGGAAAAAGAAGAAGCAGAGAAGGATTGAGTCTATAAAAATACACTGGCGTCAAGGTGGCCAGACCAAAGTAGTTGTGAAAGTAAAAATGTATAATATCACATTTGAAATTCCTACACACACACACACACACACACACACACACACCCCTTGTCTTACATTGCCCAAACCATCAATAAGTTCCTTTGATGTATTGCTTGTAATGCCTCATGTGACAGGTTTCTAGGCAAATCAAGGAAGCAGGGTTGAGTTGCATATCTGGGTTGGCCTGGAGAAGAAAACAGCCATGAAAATTGAAGTATAAGTGAGATCAAGAGTTTGGCAGGCAGGAACTTAGAGCTAAGGTATGACTTTGTGAATGTAATCCTCCAGGAACTCACAGAAACCTGAGTTAGGGCTCAGAAACTCGAAGTCTAACATTTTATGAACATTTACAGACTTCTAAGATTGAGATATAAAAATCAAGAAGATGGTGACTCCAGTTTCGCTTCTCACATGACTTCACTGCTACTTAGGACCAACAATACTCACATATCTATTGCTATAGCAGGAAGTAGTTCCATACGATTCCAGACAAGTTTCTAAATACTAAGAAGCCTTAAAAAAATAAGTAGAGGGCAACATATTATATTTTTCTGTCCTCTTTTATTTCTAATTTATAGAGTACTGAAGTTATTATATTGACCTCTGGTAACACTATAGAGTAGCATGATAAGGTAAAAATTAAACACTGTCTATAAAATATAAGGGACTAATTACAGATCAAAGAGGAAAAAAGGGAGGCATAAATCCTTCAGGAAGCTGAATTATGTGTGTGAGTGTGTGTGCTGTGTGAGAAAAGGCCAAAAAGAGAAATTTCCTATCTACATGCTGTAATCAGCTAGAAGATTCTTCAAAGGAATGTCAAATTGAATCAAATAATCCATGATCAAAGACAAGTCAGAAATCGAAACAGCAGCATTGACTCAGTTGACTCAGATAATAATATCTGTTCTTATAAGAGAACAGCTGAAGTGACTCGATGGTGAACTCATGCGGCTTTTTTTGTCTGGATCTGGAGGATGCTTGTTGAAATTGCACCTCTCAACTTGACTTGACTCTTAACTGTGCCTCATATCAACTGTCTAGAAAAATCTCTTGCTAACTACGAGTCTACCGTCTCTTATTGGACATATATGGAACTTCTGTAATATCTTGGTGACCAAGAAGGCCTTAATGTTCCCCTCAGCTTGACTAAACTTTAGACAGGTTTCTTCCTGACTATAGACCCCCGACCTCCCTTTTCTTAGACCATTTTTCTTTAGAGAACTTGCAAATTGTAAATTCTTTTTTGCCCTTTTGAGATATAAATCTTCTATAACCCAGGAATGTCTTTTTTTCACAGACTTGGGATCCATCTTTCTGAAACGTAGTAAGAAAGGTAGGGCCCCAACTCTCAGTCTTGGTGGAAAGGTAGGAGCCTAACTTTCCTAAGTACCAATTAGCAAACCCAAATGGCTTAATTACACTGACAAAATTCACCCCTCCCACCTCCTCCAGTAGTTTTCCACCAGCTCACCCTAGTGTTTAAAAATCCTCCTGCTTTTTGTTTCAGGGCACTTGAGTTCAATCTCCCTTATTGCAGTGATCTTGAATAAAGTCTTCCTTGCCCGTTTAATTGTAAACTCCACCCAGTGCAAATTTTCTTTGACAATGAACCAATCTTTTTTCTCATCTTTGTAAATCTTTTCATCTCCTGATACCAGGCAATACTTTCCAGTTACTTTTAAATAAGTAAAATGCTTTTCTTTCAAATATGAGATTTAGAATTAATGTGTCTAAAAATGGATATTCATGACAGAGCTAGTGAAGGATAGATGCAATAAAGAAATGAAAAATCCACAGTGCAGAATATGAACATTTAGGTGATTGGATAACACCAAGGAATAATTCAGTGAAAAAACATTCTAAAACGCTTACATTCTACCCTGAACAACACACACATGCATGCGGGTGTGTGCACACACACACACCCAGAAATCCCAGAAATACTAAGATCTTTTCAACCTAATGCTATACACACATACAAAATGCTTAAGGTTGAAAACTTGAAACATTTCTCTGCCAAGTGTAGAAATCTTCGTGTTATATGCTGTGAAATGCACAAAAATGTTTTTGAACACAGTAGGATTTCATCTATAGAATGCTAAGTGTTGATATTCTGGTAAGAAGCACTATTTGCATCAGTCGAGGTAATGGGAGCTAGTAGTTTACCAAAAAAGGCATGATATTGGCTGGGTGCAGTGGCTCATGCCAGTAATCCCAGCATTCTGGGAAGCTGAGGTGGGTGGATCACTTGTGGTCAGCAGTTCCAGACCACCCTGGCCAACATGGTGAAACCTCATCTGTACTAAAAATACAAAAATTAGCTAGGCATGGTGGCACATGCCTATAATTCCAGCTACTTGAGAGGCTGAGGCACAAGAATAATTTGAACCTGGGAGGTGGAGGTTGCAGTGAGCTGAGATTGCACCACTGCACTCCAGCCTGGTTGACAGAGTGAGACTTTGTATCAAAAAAAAAAAAAAAAAAAAAAAGGCATAACATTTACCATGGATAAAAACACAAGCGCATGAACACAGCTCAATCACTGTTGATCAGTGAAGCAAATGTTTAAGATCCAGAACTCTCAAGGTAAAACACAGCAAAAAAAAATAACAAAACAATTCAAAACAAAACCAAAAAACCATGTAGGAACATCTTTGGTTTGTCAGTTTTTCTCTTCTAAGTAAAAAAGACAGTAACCTCTACATTTTGTTCATAAATACCTGATTGCATTTGATTTGTGCAGTTTTCTGCCTCACCATTGTTTTTCTGATGACAAAACCTAACCTGTAAATATAAAATGTATGGACCAATACCATCGAGCTTGTTTGGAAACAGTAGGTTCTCTAAGATTCTCCAGAGAAAATCTTTCACTTCTTTTTCTTCTGTTAATAAGGGCAATTAGAAACATAATGGTCCGTTGTGACTGGAGGCTTTCTACTTAAACTCAGCAGCAGCAGAAAACAATGTTTCTAGGTTCCTCTTCCAACAAAAATACTCTATTATCTACTTACTTCAGTCATTTTTAAGTACATTCAGCTCAAATAATCTCTCACAAAATAGATTATAATATATTGTCAATCTTAATTAACTAAAATTAGTTATTTAGTGTACAGATCTGATTTTTAAATCATTTGTTATTGGGACTTGGGAAATGAATGCAGTGAAATTTAAAAAATGTATAATCAGATCTTGTGTTTTTATTCACACAATTTTTTAATAAAAGAAAAAATGGTCTGGAGACAATCAGGTTCATGAAAGTGGTCTAGTTAAATCATTCAGATTATACTAAAATTCTAGGCAATATTTGATGATGAGCAGCGTTAATTCTGAGACAAATTTAGCCTACTAATGACATCCGGGTCCATCATGATATTTTTAGGTTGGAAGTGACATGTGACATCATTATCCACACATGATTGGGAGAAATATTTTTTGGTAGGACGGCTAACTTATTAGCAGTGAATGTTTAAGTAGTTTTCTGGGCATTTCTGGTTCAGGGAAACAAGATTTAAGTTTATGTATATTATTTCCTATGACATCCTGCTGCTTAATATGATGTCAGTCAGTTCTGAGAACCTTATCTTTCTCGCTGTCATAGTCAAATGTAAACCAGGGCATAAGACTAGGGAAAGCCGATTTCCTTTCTCTGTGTATTTACCTCGTAAGTTCTTACATGACAATTCACATGTCAGCTTCTATCTAGAATGGTTTCTTATTTCCATTCCTTTGAAAAAAAAAATAAAATTTTCTAACTCTCAAGAGCCTTAGCTTTGTGAAACCCGAGGGTGCTTTTAGTCCCCTTCGCAAAAGAAACAAAATTCCTGGAGACTGAAAACACCACCAACAACCAAAAAAAAAAATCAGTACTTTTCGGGATGGATCTGTAGCATGAGGAAAACAAAATGGAAGGACAGAAGGATTCCCCAAGCAGTTGGGAATCATCAATACGCACCAGCAACCTTGACCTTGCCACAGGTATTGAGGATTGCAATCTTTCAACCCCTAAGATGAAATCACTTAATATTTTAACTTGCATTTCTTTGGTAATGGCTTGGCTACACATTTTAAAATTACGTTTACTAGACATGTGAATTCTTCTCTCCCTCTGTCTCCTCTCTCTGTCTCTCTCCCCCTCTCTCTCTCATTTTGTTGAACCAACTCTTGTGCCCTGTTAGTGCTCTGTTCTTTTTAGACAGTCTTTTTGTGTAAGTTCTTCTATGCTTTATTCCCGTTACATATATTCAGAAGTTTTGATAGTCTCTTATTTTTATCTTTTTAGATTTCTTGTTTCACTTTTCATTTGAGGAAGACTTTATCCATGTGCTTATAGTTCCTTCTCCTTCTTTTAATGGGTAAAATTTATTATAGAATACATCGACAGCTGTTAGTAATTTATTTTAAATTTTATAGAATTTAAGATAAATAAGTATTTTCTCCTCTTTAAAAATGGAGACAATAATACCTACCACACAGGACTGAGGAAAGTATTTAAACACCTTGTAGGGTGTAAGTGGAGTATGAGTAAGCAGTTACAACATTCTATCCCTTTCTCCCTTCTTCCCTCCTTCCCAGATAACAGGTTAGAAAATGGCTTTTTTTTTCAATGTGTTTCTACTTGTCTTGTTGAGTCCTAAGTCCTATTCAACCTCTAGAGTGCAGAGGTTCCCCTCTTCTATGCCTTTATCTTGCTCCCGATCCTAACAGAATTACTGCCTCTGCTCCCACGGCATGTTCTATTACAAAGATTCTCTTATATTAAAGTTATTTGTTTACATACCTGTCTCCCATTACTATGTATTCCTTGAGAAGTCCAGCACTGTGCTTGACACCTAGGCATATGTGTGTGTGCCCACCTGGGGGGTGTGTGTGTGTGTGTATCCACCTGAGGTGTGTATGTGTGTCTGCCTACCTGGGGGGTGTGTGCGTGTGTGTCCACCTGGGATGTGTATGTGTGTGTGTCCACCTGGGGTGTGTGTGTATCCACCTAGGGTGTGTATGTGTGTGTGTCCACCTGGGGCGTATGTGTGTATCCACCTGGGGTGTGTGTGTGTGTGTGTCCACCTGGGGCATGTATGTTTCCACCTGGGGTATGCATGTGTGTGTGTCCACCTCGGGCGTGTGTGTGTGCATGCACACCCATACATGTGTCAGTCCCATTCTTTCCTCCAATTTATGCATTTGGAATTTTCAACTAATATCATGCTATACAGTCTTATTCCCAATGGTGTTACAAAGTTTATGATAATATTAAGTATTTGCTGTTGCATTTCAGTAGTGGTTGGTTTCTTCCTAGGCTTTTAATGTGTGAAGCTGATGCCAGATAAATCTAAAAACACAGATTAAACTTATAAGTCAACCAACTAATTTTAATTCTTGCTCAAATTAAATAGCAAACTAGTCAATAATTACAAATGAATATTATTAACTTCATGTATTAATAATTGTTAAGCACATTAATAAATTTATTCTCCATATACTTGGATAAGTATATTGGTATACACAACATATGAAAAATTTCATGCAAATATGTAATATATGAGAAAATACCATTAAAGGCAAGTTTTAAAAATATATTGGTATAAATTTAACATATTACTTATCAAATTTGATTTTCTTATTAAGTCTTTTTCTATGACATATTTGTTTTAAACAATCAAATTAACTTTTTTTTTAAAATTATACTTCAAGTCCTGGGATACATGTGCACAACGTGCAGGTTTGTTACATATGTATACACGTGCCGTGTTGGTGTGCTGCACCCATTAACTCGTCATTTACATTAGGTATATCTCCTAATGCTGTCCCTCCTCCCTCCCCCCATCCCATGACAGGCCCCAGTGTGTGATGTTCCCCTTCCTGTGTCCAAGTGTTCTCATTGTTCAATTCCCACCTATGAGTGAGAACATGCGGTGTTTGGTTTTCTGTCCTTGCGATACTTTGCTGAGAATGATTGTTTCCAGCTTCATCCATGTGCCTACAAAGACATGAACTCATCCTTTGTTATGGCTGCATAGTATTCCATGGTGTATATGTGCCACATTTTCCTAATCTAGTCTATCATTGTTGGACATTTGGGTTGGTTCCAAGTCTTTGCTATTGTGAATAGTGCCGCAATAAACATACGTGTGCATGTGTCTTTATAGCAGCATGATTTATAATCCTTTGGGTATATACCCAGTAATTGGATGGCTGGGTCAAATGGTATTTCTAGGTCTAGATCCTTGAGGAATTGCCACACTGTCTTCCACAATGGTTGAACTAGTTTACAGTCCCACCAACAGTGTAAAAGTGTTCCTATTTCTCCACATCCTCTGCAGCACCTGTTGTTTCCTGACTTTTTAATGATTGTCATTCTAACTGGTGTGAGATGGTATCTCATTGTGGTTTTGATTTGCATTTCTCTGATGGCCAGTGATGATGAGCATTTTTTCATGTGTCTGTTGGCTACATAAATGTCTTCTTTTGAGAAGTGTCTGGTCAATCAGGCAGGAGAAAGAAATGAAGGGTATTTAATTAGGAAAAGAGGAAGTCAAATTGTCCCTGTTTGCAGATGACATGATTGTGTATTTAGAAAACCCCATCATCTTAGCCCAAAATCTCCTTAAGCTGATAAGCAACTTCAGCAAAGACTCAGGATACAAAATCAATGTGCAAAAATCACAAGCATTCCTATACACCAATAACAGACAAACAGAGAGCCAAATCATTAGTGAATTCCCATTCACAATTGCTTCAAAGAGAATAAAATACCTAGGAATCCCACTTACAAGGATTCCTTGTAAGGACCTCTTCAAGGAGAACTGCAAACCACTCCTCAATGAAATAAAAGAGGACACAAACAAATAGAAGAACATTCCATGCTCATGGATAGGAAGAATCAATATCGTGAAAATGGCCATAGTGCCCAAGGTAATTTATAGATTCAATGCCATCCCCATCAAGCTACCAATTACTTTCCTCACAGAATTGGAAAAAACTACTTTAGAGTTCATATGGAAGCAAAAATGAGCCTGCATTGCCAAGTCAATCCTAAGCCAAAAGAACAAAGCTGGAGGCATCATGCTACCTGACTTCAAACTATACTACAAGGCAACAGTAACCAAAACAGCGTGGTACTGGTACCAAAACAGACATATAGACCAATGGAACAGAACAGAGCCCTCAGAAATAATACCACATATCTACAACCACCTGATCTTTGACAAACCTGACAAAAAGAAGAAATGGGGAAAGGATTCCCTATTTAATAAATGGTGCTGGGAAAACTGGCTAGCCATATATAGAAAGCTGAAACTGGATCTCTTCCTTATACCTTATACAAAAATTAATTCAAGATGGGTTAAAGACTTAAATGTTAGACCTGAAACCATAAAAATCCTAGAAGAATACCTAGGCAATACCATTCAGGACACAGGCACGGGCAAGGACTTCATGTCTAAAATACCTAAAGCAATGGCAACAAAAACCAAAATTGACAAATGGGATCTAATTAAACTAAAGAGCTTCTGCACAGCAAAAGAAACTACCATCAGAGTGAACAGGCAACCTACAGAATGGGAGAAAATTTTGCAATCTACCCATCTGACAAAGGGCTAATATCCAGAACCTACAAAGAACTTAAACAATTTTACAAGAAAAAAATCAAACAACCCCATCAAGTTAACTCGTTAATGGTTTCTTCCTTTACTGAGGAACTGCAAACAACTGGGGTTCTTTGACTTCTAAGGAACTGCTTCCCACCAACAGCATTTTTTCCTAAAATTTTGGAGAATTTCAGGCAACAAATTTGCATCAGTTTTCTAGAGTGGAATATAGATTCAACTTTTTAATTTATGCAAACTTAGCTTCCTTTTAGGCTAACAAGCACTACTTACATACTATTTCTGTCCTCAAATTTATGTTAGATACTTTCTGAGAAATCTCTGAAATAATTTCATTCTGAAAGAAAATTGTTTTTGGTTCTAACAGTCATTTCAGTGTGGATAAAATCAATGAGTTAGGCACAAACCTTAAAATAGTTATAAGCCAGATTTGAATGATAGTGTCCTGTCTTTTGACCACTTTCTCTATGAAATTAAGTAAGCTTCATTTGATTTTAAATATGCTTTATATTCAGAACTCACCCAAGAATATTTCAAAATATACAAGGTAATTCTAACTCAAAACTATGGAATTTTAGCTGACTCTCTTCAGCTTGTATACTACATGTGTCAAGAGCAGTTACGAAATACTAGAGATACCTAAGCAATTATAGAAAATCTTACAACATTACCTATTAGAGTTTAACCTTAAACATAAAACCTTTTTAGCTTTTTTAAACCAAAAATATTCTTATTTGGAGAAAAACACTATTCATCTTAATACACTTAAAATAATAGACGATGCCTTCACAAACTCATATTTTTACACATTTAAAAAATTCTTAATTGTGAATAAACCTTACACATGGACTTTTTTGCATTTCTATGTTTGACTTGCAAAAGTCTATTAAGCACAATAAATAGACAATTGTCTACAAAAAACAATAAGCCTTTTAAGTTAGTATCTGTACCATGTGCCTAGAAAATATACATTTTTGATAACAAATTACTATAAAATGCAGAGAAATGGGGAGCTGGTGAATAATTTCATAAAACATCAGAATTTAGTTTACAATTGCCTTCAATCAGAGGACCACAGAAAAAGTGCCTGTTTAGTTATTAGCTTATATGTAAAAGTTTGAAAAATAATTATATGTCTAAATGACCTTTGTTGAAAATGACTCGTCATCCTAGAGATTCCAATGTATTAAAAAGACAGTAAATTATAGATATATTAATGAACAAGAAAAAAATTGAGACCCTCCAAATAAGCATTTTAATTCTCATTTACGAGCAAAACAGTCCATGACCTGTCCTCCGTCTTTTCCATGCCTCCAACTCTATTCTAACACAGATGGTAGTAACTTGCTTCAAATAAATAACAGTATTTAAATTTAACCTTTGTAACTAGGAGCTGTATTTCCGACCTTGCTTTGTAAGTTTGGTTGTGTTTGTAAACTTTAAACACTTATACAGGGCATGCATTTTTCCTTTAAAACATGGACAAAAATTAATCACATATTTTCCCCTTTGGACTAACAAAACATAGCACAGTAAAACAAATTGTGATAGAAAAAATATGATTTTAAATGGTTTCTGCCGGCTGATATTTAGTGATTTATGAGTTTCCTATGACATGAAAGATAGAATGTCATTTTCCTTGGAAATTTTGATATTAGCCACCTCATAGATTGCTATAAGTCTGTATTATGATCAGTTAGCATTCCTTGCATTTCCTACATTATCTAAGCTAGGCTTTACAGTCAGCTACCATGATAGATTCATGTTATTATTCTCTCAGGAGAGCCATTTTACCACATGCCAAACACTTTACACAGCTGTAAACTTATTGTAGCTATGGTAAGGATAAAGCTGTGAGCTCTAACATAAACATCTGGAAGAGTGAAAGGGATGTTCAATGTCTATTGACATATAATACTACATAGCTTCCTAAATTCATGACCATGTTGTAATATTCATTGTCACTGTATAAGATTATACACACCATAAACATTTTCTAAGTGTTTCCTTATTGTGCTGTAAATTCATGGACATGCAGCACAAAAAAAGCCCAAAAAATCCTCTTCTGAAGAAGCAGTGATAACATCCTAAATATTCAGATCCAGAAATATGTGTTTTATACATTGATTTTACAAACACACTTTCAGAAGCAATCATTAAGGTAAAAATAAGACTGTGAATATATTTTTGAAGTAAGTCTTCCACAAACTCAATGCAGGTGCAAATTCTTTGCTTATGAGAAAGGAAGGATCCGAAGTCATGCAGTCTTTCTCCTTTAGGGCCAAGTCAGATTTGGGTTCTGTTCACAGGATGCTCTACTCACTGAGTTCAGTTAAATATGCATCTGTCACAGGATAGCGTGCTTAGTGAAAACAGCTGATCGGTGTACATTTTTACCCTATGTTTAACTTTCCATTAGGTCCCTAGACTTTGAAAAATATCAAATAAAAAAAAAGTCACCTTTTGTTAAAAGGTGTTTTTTTATCTTCCCAAATCCAAGTTATGAATAAAAAGTTTTTGAAGCATTTTCTTTTATGGATCTCACAATATTACAGAATCCCCCTCATGTCATGAGGCTAATGGACTCAAAAAGGGAATGATGCTGATCTTCAAAAGCTTTCCAGTGGAGTTGAGTAACGAATTGGTCAAGTTACCAACAAATGGGTTTGGGGTTAACAAGAAATTGATCTATCAAGCTGCTGCAGCTTCTTCTACTTTTTTTTTTTTTTTAAATTCCAACGTATTTACTCAATATTATTGGCTTTAACATCTTTGAAGAGGGATTTGCATATTGACAAAAACACAAGAAAAGTCCATTGCAGCCAACTGAAACAAGTAGGAAGTAAGTCAGGTCAGGGTGTCTCTTACTGAGGTGCCTTTATGTTAATTCTAATCACAGGAGCTTCAGGGCTGGTTTTCCTCTAGGATGCCAGAGATCATTCCTCTAGGATGCCAGAGATCATTTTTGTTACCAGACAGACCCCTCCTCGGAACCTTGTACTTTGTTGCAGGAAATAAGCCAAGAAGCATATTATTTATTGAAGCAGGGGAACCTGACATAGAAGGGATAGTCTAACTTTTCTGCCTTAAAATGCAGACCATTCCAGATATTTCCAGGTAATTTGCAACTCCCTCCCTTCTATGCTTATCATCCAATTTCATACACATTTTCCCTGTCTTCTATTTCTTCTGTAAGAATATTATATTTATTAAAAATATAAAAACAGTATATATTTATCATGTACAAATTGACACTCTGAACTACTGTGCCATTGTGGAGTGGCTAAATCGAGGTGGAATGGCTAAATCAGGCTAATTAACATATGCATATACTTCTCATTTTTTACGGTAAGAACAAAGATCTGTCAGCAATTTTTAAGAATAAAACACATTTATACTTTATCTGTTTCCAAGCAATTATAATATGTTGTAAGCTATCTACTCATTGGTTTCTCTCCTTCACTGTATAGTGAATTGGGGATGGGAGTGAGGGGCAAGGTCCACAGCCTGCAGTTTATCTTTGATACCCAGTACCTGAGAAAAGGAGGGATGGAGAAAGGATGAAAATGGTGCTGGTTAATTAATTAAAGATCTCTTAGAGGCTTACTACAGTACCTACAGGGCACTGCTTCTTAAAAAGTGTAACCTTGGTCAATTAGTAAGCAGAGACCTGTAGGATCCAATTTGGCAGTCTAGCCACATGTGGCTACTGGGCACTTGAAAGGTAGCTGGTTTAAATTGCGATGTGCTGAAAAGTAGAAAATACACATCAAATTTTGAAGATGGAAAGTAAAATACGTAACGCAAAAATTTAAAAATAATTTTATGTTGATTATATATGATAATCTTTTTGAAATGAGTTAAATTAGATGTATTATTAAAATGCATTTCATGTTTCTTTTTACTTTTTCCATTGTAGCAACTAGAATAAATTTGAAATTACATACATAGTTGTAGCTAATGTTGTATTTCTACTGGATAATACTACTACAGACCATCTATGAATTTAACTTACAGTTAGAAGGCATGAGAGTAGAGGATGAGGTTAGAATATCAACAGAGAGACCAAAGACAACAATTATTATTGAGCATCCACTAAGATGGGCACTACCATACACTCTTCTACATTATTTCATTTAATCCTTGTAATGATTTAATTTTCCTGTGGGTTTGCATAGCACCTTTCTATCACAATGCTTTTTCATGATGTATTAAATTTGTCTGTCTATACCTATTTATATTCCCAACTATATTATAGGTATCATGAGGACTAGGACCCTGTGTCTTTTTTTAGGTGTTAAAATCTCAACACACCGCATGATTTCTACAGCGCAGAATGCTCAATACCTTTCTGTTGAATGAATAAATAGATGCCTGAAAGAATGAGCAAGAAATCACTCTCGTTTTATAGATGAGAAAGTGAAGTCCTGTAGAAGTGAAAGAACTTGCCTAAACTCACACAGTAGTGCTTTAAATCCACGCCCAACAGATTCCAAAGCCTGCGCTTTCGCACTGTACTTCAGGGGCATCACAAAAAAGACCAGTCTACTCAAAGCTAAATTAACTTTGAAGAAGTAAGAGGTAGGTTTAGTGAAGAAAATAAAACCATCAAGACTAATCCATTTACTCTTGAACAAAGACCTTTATTACACACATTGCTCCCATCCTTTGGTACATTCTTTTAAAGAGTCAAACAGTTTTTCAAAATCTGTGTTTAAAGTCTCATTTTTGATATTTGTTAAATGACAAGATGAATGACAGAAAGCTATCATAAAAAGAGTAGTGTGGATATAGATGAGACACGCAGATTTAGGTACATGTTTCTTGAAGGAAGCTTTTGCATATGTTCCCAGACCCTGCCCCGACCCGAGTCTCTGGCGCATTCCTAATAAAAGAACTAAATTATTTTGTAAGCTTTACAAATTTGTTATTCAATTAAACTCTTTTTCTGTCATATTAACAGGAAAATAATGTAAAATGTTAACTAGTTTGCTATATTTGATTAGAAAGAGTAGAAAAGAAGAAAAGTTGTGTACTGCGCCCTGCTGTGCTGGGATCCTGAAAGGACCGTCATCAGCTAATGGAACATGGATTCCATGCAAAGAAGGAAAGCTGATGGTCTCAGTCCACGACCCCCGGGAAAGCTAAAAGAATAGTAAGGGGAGCCATGGGTGCTTCCACTTTGTGCTCTCACATCATGTTGCTTCCACCATTTGAAAACTAAAAGATTTGTTAAAATGTGTGATACAGGCATAAGTAAAATAGGTATTGAAATATAGGAAATAGTTGGCGAAGACTTTACAGAATAAGCGGGATTAAAACTCGACCCTGCTATAAATAATCTGCTGTTATAACTATAGTAAAGTTATGAATATAAAAATAACATTTTACATCTGCAATGCAAAGTCACCAGAATGAATGTCTTGATTCTCTACGACACAGCTTACATTTGTCAACATGTCTTTCTCCCTTCTTAGATTAAATGATCCTAGAAGGCCAGGGTTGTGTTTCAATCATCTTTGTTTCCATGGCAGCATTTCTCATTGCCCCCTTTTCCAGGATGTGGATTCTAAATACTTTGGCTTTAAAAAAATTAGTCTCAGTAACTATGGATACTCTTCCATTTGATTTCCACCACCTGCCTGGTATACAGTTGATGCTCAGTACATAGTTGATGAAGAAATAAATCCATAATAATTAAATGATGGATGATGGATACATTAATTGCCCTTCTTTAAAATACACAGGATGCAAAGCTCAGGGAGAAAAAGAGTAAGATGGGAAAGGAATCACTACCTGGGGGAAAAAAAAGCAAGTGAAGAATTATGGCAGATTCTGTGGGAAAGAAGACCATGAAAGATGATGACTAGACAGTAGTCAGTCAAAAGATCAAAGATAATAAAAATCAAAAAGGGAATATAATATATATAAACCTTCATAATTGCTCGGGAGCTAATTTATAAATATAAGCATAAACAATGTATTGTCATTAGCATATTGGGATAATTAAAGATGTTATCGTTGATGGTCAGTAACATGCCATCAACAATGATAAAAGCTTAATATTGAACAAATAAAATATCCAGAAAAAAATAGCCTCAGAGAACTATACATTATTGTTACAAAATAGCATGTTACTTAAGCATTTCAGTAAAGAGAATTTGGCCATTGACTCACAGGAGACTGAATTTGTTTTTCTTTTAAGTATTAAAGAAATGAGCCCTATGTAGCAGCCTCATTTTCAAAGCCAGTCAAGGGAGGGTTGAGTGATATTATCTAGAATTTGGCATAACACAACTTCACAACACAGCATTTCACTTTACATTATGCAGTAAGATAGCATCTCGTACTGTATAAATTGAATTCAGTTTCAGAAGATATAACCTGGTGAACCTGGGTTATTGAACTGAGATTTCTTACTTTATCTTTGAATTTTCCAGCGTTAAAAAACATGGCATCATCAAATGCAAGAATAAACTTTTCTTAATACTTAGAATGGTTGTCGTATACCAACAATAAAATGATACACATGTTATAGCTAAAGTTTGACAGTAGGCTAATAACTAATACTGGCAGACTGACCAACTAGAATTCACTCTGTCATAAGCTCAAGAAAAAACAAACCAGTTAAAATGAAGGCATTTTTTTGGTAAGCATTCTCAGACGAAAGTGATAATTTATCACTTAGGGTCATTTCTTGCGTTGGGTTTGTGTGGAACAACCAATAGTCTTCATATTTTCCTGTGGAGCTTTAGCTGAAATATAAATTAGAACATGGATAAGTTTAAGTATCTTTTGGCCCTTTAATAGCCTTGGGATGGAAATAGTTCTTAAGGTACTATGCATAAAGCTTTTTGTGTACACTTATGCATATCAAACCCTGATTCTTGACTTCATTTAAATGAATAAGGAGAAAGGAACTAATATTCCAAGTAAGACTAGATATTACCATTTTGGACATTATAATGATTTTACTGGGCTGCAAATCAACATTACATTTTTTAAATGACGGTATAAATTTTGGTCCTAAGGCTTTGGCAATTTAAAACTGTTTTCTTTATTGTAATAAAATCTTACATTAAGTGGAGATAGGTAATTGTTAAGTGCAACTTTAAGGCATTGTAAGAGAATAATATGTTTATCGCTTTCAAGTCTATAAAATTATTGCAACTAACCAAGTGTTATCTAAGGAGATTCCTCTTCCAATGCATTGATAAAACTCTATAATCAATGAAAAGAGTCATTTCAGTATTCCTTGAACAATCGATCCTCTAAGAAGGGTTATGAGTTAGCTTTGGCACTAGGTGCAGGAGCTGTAAGAGCAAATAAGAGCCAGCAGGTTCTCCTTGAGTAGATTCACAGCCTGTGGTCAAAGGGGAAGCAGTAGACAGACAGGCAAACAGCCATCTCTAATGAAGTTGGCATAAATGATCACGGTGCTTGAGGAATTACATGAGGAAGGGATTCCTTTTGCCTGGGGCACTCCAGAGTCTTCACAGAGGAGGTAATGGGTGACATCTGAGCTGTGCTATGCAGAATGAGCTGGAGTTTAGATGTTAGAAAGGAAGGATAAAGTAACAAGTAATGAAATTTAAAATAAAGGAAACAACATGACCAGCATTAGCGGGGTGTGAAATGTTACTCTGGGAAATGGCAAAGAGTTGGATGGAACTAGGGCAGGTTCTAGTCACTGTTTCTCTCACTGGGTTGAGAGAAAAGGGCAGTAACAGAAGATGAAATTGCAACATTAGGTTAGGCAACCATCCAAGTTGTGTATGTACAAAAGAGCACTTCCAAAATATTTGAGAACAGTTTGTTACCTGAGGGAGAAAATACTGTTTTCAAGCTTTTAAACCTAAATTGTTTTATAAGACCTCCTATTTGGAGAAATATCACAAATGTGAACTGCAGCCGTATGTTTCTCTTGATGATTTATAAATTTCCAATTTTTGAAGCCTAAAATATAAACATATGAATGCTTCCGAAAGGTGGCTAACCACCATCTCTACTCTCTGTCTTCCTTCAGAGACTGAAAGCCTTCTCAACAAATGGGAACCTTTTAATATTTCAATAATTTTATTCTGCAGGCAGAGGGAGACAGGGTTTAAAGGAAAAGTCACTGTTATCTGAAGTCAGGTGCCAGGTAGCTGTGTGACTTTGACAAAACCAGTTTTCTTCTTTGGGTCTTAGTTCCCTCACCCGTAAAATGAGAAAAGTTGTATTAGATAGTCTTTTAAGGTTCTTCTCTTTCTAGGTTTTGCACTTAGACATTTTAGGACTCTGATCTGTGTAAAGACCAATTTATATGTCCAAACAAATGACACTGGCCTTATATGTAATTCGGGTCAGCTGAATTTGACAAAAGATTCAATCCATTAGTGGAAGAAAATGGTGTCTGAAATTATCCATATTCATTTATATTTCACAAGTATACAGATTTGCATTTAGAACATGATGAGAAATGGCAATTAAATTATCACAACATTAGAGGAACATTAGAGGTTTGGGTGAAGTAGAATGGAAGAACAGGAGAGTAAGTTCAGCTCTGCATATATTAACATTAAGATCCCATTAGTGGAAATGCCTAATAAACAGTTGGAAGTGTGATTCTGAAGCTCAAAAATATTTTACTCTGGAAACAAATTTGGGAGTCATTCTACAAGGGGTTACTGAGGCAATGGGAGTGAATGAGGAGATCTTGGGGAAAATGTGCAGTTTTGAAAGAGAAGGCAAGGGAGAAGAAAAAGAAGATGAGAGGTAGGAAAAACCAGAAGAGAATGTGCCGGGAGGCTCTTGGGCAATGGTATTGGACATGGGGTCAATCCTGTCACATGCTACACACGGGCCAAGGAAGAGAAGGAATTTTTGGATGTTGCAATTCCAGAAGACGAAAGAAAATCTCCTATAACTGTTTCAGTGGAAAATGGGAAAACAAGATTGCAGAAGGCTGGGGACTTATTTTAATTTTTACTCAGAATCCATGTTGTATTTAGACATAATGAAGGATTGTCTGGCTATTATAAATAGTAAATTCATAATGGCAGATTTTTAAGTTAATGGGAACATATTCCAGCCATCACAGATTTTTAGTAAAAAGCTACATAAATAATAGCAAAATATTAACCAGAGGTGCAAATTTGAGCATCTGTTCCCTCAGTGTTTTACTTCTGAAGGCAGTTGATGTATGGAAATATTTATGTCCAAGAGTATTCACTGAAGCATCATTTTAGTAAGTTGGCAACGACATAAATGCCCGTAAATAAGGGAAAGGTTAGATTGAATATGATAAAATATGAATGACATTGCACGAAATATTTAGTGGCATGGGGAAAAGAATAAGGTATAATATAGAAATATTTATTATTTTATAAAAAGAAAAGCAGAATATCAGACAGAATATCCAGAATTGACTAATTTTGTTTAACAAAAACATGAAAAAATACATATACAGAGAAAAGACTGGAAGGAAATGCACTAAATATAAGGGTAGTTGCTCTGAATAGTAATATTGTTGTTGGGCTTTATTTTATTCTTTGTACTTTATTTTTAAATTTCATATAAATATATATTATGCTTATTAGTAGGACAAAATTCAATAACTCCTAATTTTAAAAGACCAAGAGAGGGGACAATAGAAATAAAACATTAGATTTTTTTTTCCTTAACACACACATGCTGTTGTACACATACATGAGCGTGCACATGTGTGCATACACACACACACCCCTGCCCCCCTTCTTTTAGCTTAGAAGAGGTAGAAATATACTCTATTTGCTGGTATGGAAATGGGGCAGACCCAGCCCTATGCCTCCTGGGTTTGGTGAAAAAGTGACTTCAGAGCAAAAATAGGCTTGACAACTGTTTAAAACTAACCTTGTTTAAATATGCTTTTAATAGTACTCAAATGGAAAATACATGAAATAGGTAAATACTAGGAGTTGGTAAAATCTCTCTTCAGAAATTCCAACTGATAATTATTTCAGACATTTAAATAATGAGTTTTCAGTGATTCTATTATCTAAAAACTGTGTGCCCTGATTTAACCTAAGTGAGACAAGGATGGAGCTATACAATAATAGATTTCATAAAAAGGTCCAACTTAGCAAGTCATGAAACTACCTATCAGTCTTTCAAAAATTTCTTAATGCCTTTATTCATACACATCCAAGAATTATTTTAAGGTTTCATTTAAAGCCTGTGCCTTACCTTCCTTTATGTTCAGCTCATGATAAACAGGAATAAGATTAAGTTATATCTTCATAATTAATTGATTTGGTACTAAGCAGGAAATCTCAAGACCTATAGAGTTGTATAAATTCTCATTGACCTTAATTACATCTAAATGAGCTACGCTGCACTGCTGTGTAGAGCACTGAGGTGGAGAGAAGGCATCAAAATAGGACAGTCTCCAAAATTGGGTAGTGTATTCCAAAAGGTTTATAAAAAAGACAAAAATGAAATAAAGACATTATCCTAACTCTGAATACATAATATACTAAATAGAGAGATTTTAAGAACAATTCTGTCTATCTGTATGTATACACAAAATGCCTTTACATAATGCCCCCAGGTCAAAATAATAAGTCTAGGTTGATGGAAGGGAAATATTATATAATTTAGTATGAAATATATTTTCTCTGCTCCCATTTTCTGATCTGAAGGTATCAAGTGGAAAGAGGCATTTCTGGCAAGTGTCTCAAGCCATCCCCAAGCACCACCAGGCACCATTCAGAAGACATCCTCAGCTTCACACAGAAGAGCAAGTAGATTTGTCAGCAGTGGTGGTAATAGAGTAGATGGGGTTGGAGCCTATGAAGAAGTGGCGTCTTTTAAATGTCTGTAAGCAGATATTCTGTCAGACCTTGAACATGAACCACAGTTACTTTAAAAATGATCAAGTGAATTTTAAATGCTGTTAGATTTAATATTTCAACATTTCATCTTTGCAGCTGGGACACAATCCAATCCTTTGTATGATGATGAGGCATTATAGTTCCAAGATGGATAGAAATTTCTGGGAGGCAAATCTATTGGTGGAAGTGGGTGGGGTGACTCCCAGTTCCAGGGAGCAGAATGGAGAAGAATGGACTGTACAGGTTGGGTAAAAGTGAGCATGGATTTCGGCTGCCTGAGGCATGAACTGGCCAATGTGTGGTGACAGCGAAGGTCTGAAGCAACAACATCAAGGGAGTTGCTGACAAGGTATAACATGGTCTGAAATGAAGTGAATATGTTGGAACAATGAAGATTAGCTAGTGGAATTCCAAAGGAGGGATGCAAATGATTCCTACAGACAATGGTATGATGAGAGGCAGGTGCCATAGGATAGGTGAGTTAGGCAGTGATATGGCAAGCTAGGGCTGAGATAAAAAATGCAGAAGGTATTTATGATGAAAGAGGAAATTGGTTTAGGTTTACATACTAAATAGGTACAATTTATGTTACATACATGATTGGAAAATAAATATTGAAACTTAATTTAATAAAATGTGTTAGCACTATATAAATTATTCATATGAAATGATTGTATTCCAGGGCCTATTACAGTCAAGTAAAATGTTTTATTCTCTGTAGGTTTCTTAAGTTATAGTAATTATAGTTCATGATGTTAAGTTCTAAAACACTTTTTTGCCTCCTAAATAATTTTAAACTTGTAAGAATCAAATGAAGTATAGTTGTAAACCATTGAATGTCTGTGTCCCTCCAAAATCCATGTGGAATCTTAATCCCCATTAAGAGGTTGGGGCCTTTTGGGAAGTGATTAAGTCATAAAGCCTCCACCTTTGTGAATGGAATACATGTGTTATAAAAGAGGCTTTGTAGAGCTGTCTGACTCTTTCATCTCTCCTGCCATGTGAGGTCACAGTATATGTCCCTTTTCCCCTTTATGCCAGGTGAGGACATAGAAGGTGTGATTGATAAGAAACAGGCCTTCACCAGACACTGAATCTGCTGGCACCTTGATCTTGGACTTCACAGCCCCTAGAACTGTGAGAAATAAATTTCTGCTGCTTAAAAACCACATAGTCTGAGAATTTTGTTATAATAGCATGAATGGACTAAGACAAGTGGTCACTGAAAGCCTCCAAATATATCCTCACTTTTCTTGCAAATAAAGGATAAAATCCTAATAAAAGAAGATAACAAGATCAGGAAGTATAAATCCATTCTCTACTATTTCTGGTAAGTAACTAAATAAAGCTGCTTTGAGGAAGGGCCAGAGTGAAGATTTTGCTATCTATCATCTAATTTCTTGAATTACATATAACTGAAAGACTGTTATTTTATTTTGAAGCAAATTAAATAAAGACTCCTGAAGTGACCCATTCTTGCTACTGACAATCCATAAAATAAAACCATTTTCTAAAAAAAAAAAAATATTCATTGCCTCTGCTCTGAGCTGTTCACTCATGATTGACGGGTGTGTGGGAGGCCGGGGGGAAGGAATTCACATTCACAGATCTCTCTGATAGCCTTCCCTGAGCTGCCTTTATCCCTGTCACCAAAAGTTTATCAATCACTCCCTCGTTAGTGCCACATCTACAATCTTTTACTTAGTAACTATAATACTTAATATTCTACAATATACTATTTATTTTCATGTTTGTTTCCTATCCAAGACCATGAGTTATTTGAGAGCAAAAACTAAATCTTATTCATCCAATGTTTCCAACCTACTGCACAATACCTAGTACATGAAAAGTGTGCTTAATAAGTGCTGAGTCATTTACATGTATTATTTTGTTGAAACAATTATCCTGGGGGACAGATATTACTGTGCTTATTTTAATGATTAAGAAATAGGATTCAATAGGTTGGATAAATTGTCTACAGCCACACGGACTTCAGTGGTAGAGTTTAGATTCAACACTTTCACATTTTACCCATTCTAAGGTGAATTTTTCTTTTCATACTTAAAAAGCTCTGAAATTAGGATGTGTCCCCATTGATGGCAAGTTTCAATCACCATCTTTCAGGTAACAGTTGTGATGTGGTTCTCATTTTTGTGTATTTGAGGACCTGGTCATGGCTCTCCACATTGTTTTCACTCCATTTGAGTTAAGGGTATACTTGGAGTTGCACCTGATTGAGCTTAACTGTTGTTTATCATGTCTGCCAAGGGAGAATTGCTTGAGCCCAGGAGTCTGGGGTTGCAGTGAGCTATCATTGTGCCACTGCATTCCAGTCTGGGCGACAGAGTGAGAGCTCATCTCTAAAAATGCAGAAAAATATGGCAACAGAAAAGCAGAACATAACTGGATATTCGTGAAACAAATATTCACTATTGGAAGAATGGCTGAAATTGTGTATTTTCTTGCTAAGCAATAACCATATGCATTTAGAACCTATCAAAGGAACATATACCCACAAATAGATAAGGCTGTGTTAACATTTTTTTGAGATCAGTTTGCAGGATACAAGGGCACTAGAAGGCAGGAAAGGTGAACATAGCAGGAAAACTCAGGGCATTGATGCTCTCAGCTGAAAGGAGAACAGTGGTAAGGGAGAACTACCAGCACAATTCAACAGAATCTTCTATGATGATGGAAATGCTATATAATCTATACTGTCCAATACAGTAGCTGCTAGCACATGTGGCTATTGAGCATGTGAAATATGGCCAGTGCAAATGAGAAAATGAATTTTAATTTCATTTTGGTTAACTTAAATGTAAATAGCCACATGTGCCTAGCAGCTGCTCTTTTGGACAGTACAGAACTAGATAGTGCTATGAAAACCAATCTCCTTCTTTAGGGAAGCTGATGATTACTGTTTGATGGCAAAGTCAGTTTCAGTCTCATCTGAAAAGGGCAAATATAGCCATTTCACAATGCTGTAGGGGGTTAATGAGATGCTATATGGAATGTGCTTAACATAAAGCCTCGTACATAGTAAATGAGAAGAAATGAAGGTAGTAGTAATAGTGAATATAGGAATAGTAATAGTTGTGATAAATATATTATTTTTGTCTTTGCTGACAAACAGCAATAAGGTCTGAATATTGCAATAAGGAGGAGGTCAGCAAGAAATTGCCCCTGCCAAAATGATAATAAATTGCCTGGAAATTAGGAAGTTCATTATAGACAGTTAGGCTATACATAAACTCAGTAAATATTGATCAACCTGAAAATTTCAGAAGGTGAATTACTGCATATGCAATGTTTCCAGGTATGTTTCTGCATTTTAAAAAATCCAAGTTCTAGTGTCTTGGCCCCTCATCTAATTCTTAAAAGAATTCCAGATTAGTCCTAGCATACTATAGTTCTCATAAGGATAGGATCTTTTTCACAAACTACAAAGAGGGGTATTTTGTTTGCCAAGAGGAACCTTGGACAAATACTAATAAGAAAGGATGTCCCTGCTGAGCTCATACTAAGGGCAAGCCTGCGTTTTATAACTGGTGTGTAGCCCTTCAGAGAATTTACCGGCCTATGTTAATTAGTTAATATGCACCGAGCTTGTGTGTGTGTGTGTAAGGAGACACAGGACTAATAAGGACAATGAAGACTGGGATGGGGTAACATCATAGCAACTCTACCCACCCAAATCTTTGATCAAGTTTAAAGAAACTAGGGAGAAATGAGTTAAGAAGAGAAGCTGAAAGAGCTGATTTGAGGAAAGATATCATTCCCTGAGACTGAGTCTGGGATTGAGCAGTGATTTTTTTTTTTTTTTTTTTTTAAGGGAAAGGGCCCAAGAGAGCTAAGCATTTTTTCAACCTTTGCAGAGAATCCAAGGCCACTTAAACATCTGGAAAACTGGCAGCC
The DNA here is from genome assembly GCF_000001405.40 of Homo sapiens. Lineage (NCBI taxonomy): Eukaryota > Metazoa > Chordata > Mammalia > Primates > Hominidae > Homo > Homo sapiens. The sequence continues at coordinate 78,419,708 of NC_000007.14, forward strand.
TTGGGATCAGTGAAAGGTAGCACCTTAAGCATATACGTTAGCAGTTTGATGTATACTATCAGAAAGGGCTGTGGTGAGGCTGCCTCAAGTAGAGGACATGGATAATGGGACACTCAAGTAGCACAGGAAGAACTGAGTTGAACTTGCTTGGAGAGTAGCATTGAAGAACCACCCTGTTTATAGCATCCCAGAAACACTTGTTGGGGGTTGAGGTCCTCCTGATCAGATGAGTTCAGTGTAAGCAGGCATTAAAGTGACCTAATTTGTCCTCACAGGATAGTAATGCCAGAGGACATTGGGGTACACTAGCTGTTTTGTTACTTTGGAGTTCCTGTTATTATTCAAACCTTTTTGAGTTTCTATAGTTGTATGCCACAACGATTTAGGGTGGAGTTAGTCCAGGGTAGCATTGGCACCAATAAAGGGCTGTTTGTTGAAAGCCTGCTCATCATTTGCCTTTTTATTGCTACCAGAACAACAGCAACTAGAATCACTAAATCTAACACTTGAATAAAGGCTCTTCAGAGGGCTTAACAGTGGCAATTACCAAACAGTCCACACCAACTGTTCTTGGCAGGAAGTGAAGAACAAGAAGTAAAGAATTACTCCATGAAGTGAAAAATTTGGGAAGTGCTTCAAATAGAAAATATGTAAATTGACAAAATGGGAGGACCATCAGCACAAACAACTGTTCTCTTGAGAAATAAAAATCCAATAAAGTTTAAGAATATACCCAGCCTCTTTCAGGAGCTCTCTATTCAAAATGAAACCTTAAACTACACTGGAAGATAAACTGCATGCTTATCTGCATTGTTTGACTCAACCTACAATGGTTGAAATGAGATTTTTTTTTTTTTGCCTTTTCTGACAAAGGTCATATTGATGGAAAATCCTATTTCATTGACACTTTCCAATTCTCTGGAAATGGTCAGTTATCATAACATAAGGATAGACAGAGGGACATTGATTTCCTTCCATCCCTTTAATTTAATGTTTCAGTTCTGATGATCACTATGCCAAAATTTTACCTAGCAGTACTGCCCATATCCTGGCCATATCATTTAATTAACAAAACTGAAATACTTAGCTTGGCCATGTAATTTGAGTAACCAAAATGAGAAATGATTGTAAACCGTATTGAGCAAAGTTCTTGAAATGAATTATTTTTGCATGATGACTTTGAGGAATAAAAAGGATTAGAAAAGAGAAAGAAAGGAATAAAGTTCGAGTTGCACAGGTCAGAGGTAACGGATCAAAAGGTAAGGAGTACATAAAGTGTTCCAAGTTGACAAATTGGACATAAATAAATCACTAGGACCAGATGGCATTCATCCAAGAGTTTTGAACGGACTCAAGGATGAAATTGTGGAGCTGTTGGCCAAATGTGGAAACTGTTGTTGCAAACAATCACCTTGTCAGAGTACTGGGAGATTGCTGATGGGATTCCCATCTGTAAGAAGGACTCTAGAGAAAACCCTAGGAACAAGATATAGATCAGCAAGACTGGCTTTCCTGGCATAAAAAGATGAAAAGAATAAAAAAACAGGGTCAGTGCCACTGAACACCTTTATGTAACTCACTTACTGGGGTAAAAGCTGCATAGTTTGGGTAAGAAGAAATCATACAACCACTATGGCCTTGTTGAGTTCTCTGAGGTGGTTAACAATTATTGTGTGGCCAAATTGTAGACATAATTTACTTTTCCTTTTAAGGGACTTTGAAAAGATTTACTTAAAATGGCTACTGAACAAAATATAACTGAGTTAGCATGAGATTATTTTCGTCACATATAAAAAAATAACAATGATAGACAACACAGAATTTGGTCGGGCATGCTGGCTCACGCCTATAATCCCAGCACTTTGGGAGGCTAGGCAGGAGGATCACTTGATCCCAGGAGTTCAAGATCAGCCTGGGAAACATGGTGAGACCCCATATCTACCAAATAAAAAAATTAGTGGTGGTGAACACCTGTAGTCCCAGATACTCAGGAGGCTGAGGTGGGAGGATTGATTGAGGCTGGGAGATTGAGGCTGCAGTGGGCCGTGATAGTGCCACTGCACTCCAGCCTGGGTGATCAAGTGAGACCCTGGTCTCAAAACAACAAAAACATAAACAAAAACATCACAGAGGTCATAAGGAACATTTTCCTTGGTGTAACCTATAGGAGTTGTGAGACAGTCTTATATTCATAAATGGATTTGTGTGGAAATTTTAAATTTATATATCCTCCTAATTTCTAGCCAGCAAGGATATATCAATACAAAATACTGAAAGTGGGAAATTTCAAAAGGATATTTGAATGGGAAGAAATATGTTGGGCCAATTTCAATGTGTATTTCAAAACTACACTTACAACTTGCCTCTCAAGCAGGTCCTGGTAGTCATTGTAGTTTAAAGCTCTAACAGAACTGAGGATGCCATTAGGGAGAATGCCTTAAACAAATCAGGAGCAGCTGCAGGGCACAGGGCTTTGCATGCAGAATGGAGCAGGGATGAACTCACACAGAGTGCCTATACCTTATGCCAGCTGCGGTACATGCGTATTCTCATTTGTCACACTGATTGTAAAGTAGATGATATTATAAAACTTTGGATCCTATAATTAGCAATACTGTATTGTACACTTAAAATTGTAATGTTAATAGATCTCAGGTGAACTGATCTTACAATAATTAAAAAAGGCAATAGACCTGATGTTTTAGAAAATATATATTTCTACAAAACAGGCAAACACTTGTTATAAGTGTTTTTCATGACAACATAAATCTTGCCTGAGTTTCTTTTTACACATATCAATTGACTTCATTATTTTCTCTCTCCTTAGGATAATTTTCTATTATTTCTAGAAGGTGAATGTAATGTGTAAAGGCAAAAAAAAAAAAAAAATCTACTCCTGTGACTGACATGCATTTTCTTCTGTTGCAGATATAAGAGAATAAAGTGAAGAGAAAGGAACTTTCTCAAAGTTGTATTGCTTAGAGGGAGTAGAAATAAGATTAAAAACCAATGTCAGTTTGACACTAAATTCTGCGCTCTTGAAAGGTGGTCATTAATGTCTAATTATTTGATTTAAATTTATTCCCATTAAAAAACCTAGTCTTGCACAAAACAGACTCCCGCTTTTCTGATAGTATTGTTCCAGCTGTTACTACTCAGTCATCTTAGTCTCATGCTTTTTGCTCTCCCAAAGAATCATTAACCATTTCCATGTTAAGCTTCCTTTAGGTCAATTCTGAGAGCTGAAAAAGTAAATAGGTTCAACAAAGATATAAACAATTAGTTTTCCACCTATTGTTATTATTTATCAAAATAAATTAAAAGAAACATTTTTGTTCTGTTTTGAATCAGAATGGAATTTCAGAAAATGTTCACGATATGGTGTGGCTGCATCTCCACCCAAATCTCATCTTGTATTGTAACTCCTACAATTCCCATGTATTATGGGAGGAATTTGGTGGGAGGTGATTGAATTATGGAGGCAGATCTTTCCTGTGATCTTCTCGTGATAGCGAATGAGCCTCACGAGATCTGATGGTTTTAAAAAATGGGAGTTTTCCTGCACAAGCTCTCTCTTTGCCTGACGCCATCTCCGTAAGATGTGACTTGCTCCTCCTTGCCTTCCACCATGATTGTGAGGCTTCCCCAGCCATGTGGAACTGTAAGTCCAATTAAACCTCTTTCTTTTGTAAATTGCCCAGTCTCAGGAATGATTTCTTAAAGTCTTTATCAGCAGCATGAAAACAGACTAATACAGTAAATTGGTACTGAGGTTGGGGTATGGCTGAAAAGATACCTGAAAATGTGGAAGCAACTTTGGAATTGGATAACAGGCAGAGGTTGGAACAGTTTGGAGGACTCAGAAGAAGATAGGAAAACGTGGGAAAGTTTGGAACTTCCTAGAGACTTGTTGAATGGCTTTGACCAAAAGCCTGATAATGACAGGGACAATAAGGTCCAGGCTGAGGTGGTCTCAGATAGAGATGAGGAACTTGTTGGGAACTGGAGAGTAAAGATGACTCTTGTTATGTTTTACCAAAGAGACTGCCGGCATTTTGGCCCTGCCCTAGAGATTTGTGGAGCCTTGAAGTTGAGAGAGATGATTTAGGATATCTGGCAGAAGAAGTTTCTAAGCAGCAAAGCATTCAAGAGGTGACTTGGATGCTGTTAAAAACATTCAGTTTTATAAGGGAAGCAGAGCATAAAGGTTCAGAAAATTTGCAGCCTGACAATGTAATAGAAAAGAAAAACCCATTTTCTGAGGCGAAATTGAAGCCAGCTGCAGAAATTTGCACAAATAACAAGGAGCTGAATGTTAATCCCCAAGACAATGGGGAAAATGTCTCCAGGGCATGTCAGAGGTCTTCATGGCAGCCCCTCCCATCACAGGTCTGGAGGCCTAGGAGAAAATGGTTTTGTGGGCCAGGCCAAGGGTCCCCCTGCTGTGTGCAGTCTACAGACTTGGTGCCCTGTGTCCCAGCCACTCCAGCCATGACTAAAAGGGGCCAACGTACAGCTCAGGCTGTTGCCTCAGAGGATGGAAGCCCCAAACCTTGGCCGCTTCCATGTGGCATTGAGCCTGCAGGTGCACAGAAGTCAAGAATTGAGGTTTGGGAACCTCTGCTGCCTATATTTCAGAAGATATATGGAAATGCCTGGATGCCCAGGTAGAAGTTTGCTGCAGGGGTGGGGCCTTCATGGAGAACCTCTGCTAGGGCAATGCAGAAGGGAAATATGGGGTTGGAGTCCCCTGCACAGAGTCCTTACTGGGGCACCTCCTAGTGGAGCAGTGAAAAAAGGGTCACCATCCTCCAGACCCCAGAATGGTAGATTCATGAAAACTTGCACCGTGTGCCTGGAAAAGTTGCAGACACTCAACACCAGCCCATTAAAGCAGCCAGGAGGGAGGCTGTACCCTGCAAAGCCATAGGGGTGGAGCTGCCCAAGACCGTGGGAACCCACCTCTTGTATCAGCATGACCTGGAATGTGAGACATGGAGTCAAAGGAAATCATTTTGGAGCTTTAAGATTTGACTACCCTGCTGGAATTTGGACTTGCATGGGGTCTGTAGCCCCTTTGTTTTGTCCAATTTCTCCCATTTGGAATGGCTGAATTTACCCAATGCCTGCACCCCCACTGTATCTAGGAAGTAACTAACTTGCTTTTGATGTTATAGGCTTATAGACAGAAGGGACTTGTCTTGTTTAAGATGAGACTTTGGACTATGGACTTTTGAGTTAACGTTGAGATGAGTTAAGACTTTAGGGGACTGTTGAGAAGGGATGATTGGTTTTGAAATGTGAGGACATGAGATTTGGGAGGGGCCAGGGACAGGATGATATGGTTTGTCTTTGTCCCCACCCAAATCTCATCTTGAATTGTAACTCCCACAATTCCTACATGTCTTGGGAAGAACTTGGTTAGAGGTGATTGAATTATGGGGGCGGGTCTTTCCTGTGCTGTTCTCATAATGATGAATGAGTCTCATGAGATCTGATGGTTTTAAAAAGTGGGAGTTTGCCTGCACAAGCTCTCTCTTTGCCTGATGCCATTCATGTAAGATATGACTTGCTCCTTCTTGCCTTCCACCGTGATTGTGAGGCTTCCTCAGCCACGTGGAACTGTAAGTCCAATTAAACCTCTTTCTTTTGTCAATTGCCCAGTCTTGGGTGTGTCTTTATCAGCAGCATGAAAACAGACTAATACAGTTCAGTTCAAATGGAAAGATATGGAAATGTAGGCATAGGGAAAATGTGTTTACTTGAGGTCACAGAGATTATACATGGTAGAGTTGGAAATGGTAGGAGGAGCTAGACATCTGTATGTGCTCACTATTGGTCCTTTTCTAAAGATTGGTCTGCTGATATATAGGGTGAGACTGTGTAAGGCCTAGAAGAGATCAGTTGCTACAGAGATAAGAGATGAATAGTGAAACCAAAGTCTGTATAGTGCTAGAAGATTTTGTAGTCCTTGCTCAGTCAGAATGGAGAAACCTCACAAACTTTCTTGGGCAATAAAGGCATCTGAGATGTCAGAAAGGCCACAGCTTAGAAATAAGAATGATTCCTTAAAGTAAGAGGCATATCATTGGGTTAAGTTCAAAGTCAAAATATACTGCCCTAGCAAATAAATTATTCCAAATCTGACAGGGTCAATAATCTGCTAGTAATTTAACTCCCTGCCAGAACAAACTGAGCACTCTTTAAAGAAAAATAATACAATAATTCACAGTATAATAAAAAAAATTGGAAAACAATACCAAAATTGTGACCTGTAGTTAAGAGAAAAATCAGTCAACAGACATTAACCCCAAAATGATTATAAGTTAGAATGAGCAGATGAGGACTTTAAAGTAGCTTGACTACATTAAGGAAAGTATGACCATAATGAATGAACAAATGAGGAATCACAGAAGAGCAACAGAAGTTGTAAAAAGGAACAAATGTAATTCAGAACTAAAAATTATAATATTCAAAATGAAAAATTCATGAAATTGCATTAGGTTGAAGATAGAATAAAAAGGGCCAATGAATGTATAGACAAATCAATAGGAAGCATCCTATTTCAATTACAGAGAGAAAAACAAATGTCCTTTGTAGGGACATGGATGAAATCGGAAATTATCATTCTCAGTAAACTATCGCAAGAACAAAAAACCAAACACCGCATATTCTCACTCATAGGTGGGAACTGAACAATGGAACACATGGACACAGGAAGGGGAACATCACACTCTGGGGACTGTTGTGGGGTGGGGGGAGCGCGGAGGGATAGCATTGGGAGATATACCTAATGCTAGATGACGAGTTAGTGGGTGCAGCGCACCAGCATGGCACATGTATACATATGTAACTAACCTGCACATTGTGCACATGTACCCTAAAACTTAAAGTATAATAATAATAAATAAATTAATTAAAAAAAAAGAAATGAACAGAGCTTCAATAATCTGTGAGAAAATATCAAGCAGTCTACCACATATGTAATTGAAATTCCTGAAGGTGAGGAGAGAATGTTCCTAAACAATCCAAATTTGGTGAAAAACATACTTAAGAGATTCAAAAGTTCATTGGATCCCAGGCAGGATTAATATAAAGAAAATCTAACCTAGGCACATGATGATTAAACTAGTGAAAAGCAAATACAAGGAGAAATTTTGAAAGCAGCCAGAGAAAAGCAACATATTACGTACAAATAAAAACAGACAAATAATGGAGTTTATATGTACGCACGTGTAATACATATGACAACAGTAGCACAAAAGACATGTGGGTGGCAAGTAGAACTCTACTGTTTCAATGCTCTAACATTTTACATGAAATAATATAACATTAACTCTAAAGTGTGGCAAGTTAAGGAAGTATATTGTAATCTTTAGAGTAACCACTAAAAACAAATGACAAAAGCCATAGCTAAAAATTCAATTAGAAGAGGAATTCAAATTCAAGAGAGCAGAAATAGAGGAAAAAAGAAATAAAAAACTAATGGGGCAAATAGGAAGAATAACAAAATAAGAGATCTAATTCCAACCACATCAGTAATTATATTAAATGAAAATGGACTAAATATTTTAATTAAAAACCCAATATTACCAGGCTGGATAAAAAAAGGCAATCCAATTATATGCTGAGTATAAGAAGCACACTTTAAATGTAAAGACAAAGAAAAAGTGAAAGTAAAAGGATAGAAAAAGACAAGTCATGCATACAGCAAAAGAAAGCCATACTGATACGAGGCAAACTAGACTTTAAGACAAGAAGTGCTACTAGAGATAATGAGGAATATTTCATGATGATGAAAAGCTGAATTCATCACAATTATGCATTTGTATATGCCTTATATCATGACTGCATGACCCAAAATGAACAGAATCAGTCAAAAATAGACAAATGTATAATCATAGTGAAAGATTTTAATACCACTCTTTCAGTAACTGAGAGAACAAAAAGACAAAAAAAAAAAAAAACAGCCAGAATATGAATTTGAACAACATTAAATGAAAGGAAGCTTACATTTATTCTATTCTATTAAAATTTAATTTATATAAACTTCCAAATTATATCCTATTTCCAATCTCTCTGTATTGGCTGTATAATCATATCTACAATGTTTTTACACAACTTTTGATTAATGAGTACTGTATTTTGTGTCTGTCAGTGGTTCAAGACTCCTGAAAAAGAATTATAAATTGGGCTGGTCTAGGCCAAAAGACAACCATGTAGTAGGAAAAATCTGTCTCCACCCCATGGGAATTTTTCATCCTATGCCATCTCCTGTGAACTTCCAGCCACAATCCAAACGCATAAATGAGAAGTTCTCAGAGACCCCCTTTTATTCCCAGAAAACAGGAACGCATCGTAACAGAGTCTTCTGTAATTATATTTAATGATTATTTAGTTGCTATTTAACAAAACATTAAATCTAATAATGGGTACTTCAGGCGAGGACAGAAAAGAGGACAAGTTTATGGAAAGCCAGTGAAGTTGATATTGCTATGGAGGAATTGGGAAAAGGGTAAGAGATAGTAGAAGAAGGTGGGAGCAGGTTCTGGTACTCTCCTTAAAGTATATATGCTTCTTTATAAATACAAAGTCATTATTTGAAAACACACTTTTAAAAAGGAATAAATGCAGATAACATATAAAATTTGTTAAATGCAAATGTTTATCTTGAAAATAAGAATCCTTGCTTATCCTTGTTCCAGTGATGAATTGACCTTATTATTAGCTATCTTCTTAGGATAATTTTAGTGTCTTGGAGCTAGAAAGTGAAGATAAAAATATTTAAAAATTGACATGTAATTTCCTTCACAAACTGGCCTTTTCACGGTTTGTCAAAAAGTATATTTAAAAAATTCATGCTAGAGTCCTCCACATCCAGGTCCTCATCCCGGAATACCTGCAAACACATGCAGCCCATTTAAGGCTGGTGCCTTTACTTGCTAACTGCCTGCCGTGCCCAAGCACTGAGACCCCATAAAAAGCCTGACTTGGCCTCTCACCTTCCATTGGAATTACCTCTGGTTTCTAGCTTATTAGTTTCACACGTATATTTCTCTTCCCTCCATAGGCTCAATTGTAGGACAAACACTCACCAATGCTATAGGTCGCTGCCTATCAGACTGCCAAGCTATTTTCCAAGGGACAAGTGATTCAAGCTTCAGAGACACAGTAGCTTAGTTCAGCTTGTGGACCTCCACATTTCTGGGACAGGGTAGCATGCTCCTGTATACACATTTACCATATAGCGTAATGGCAGATATAATGCTGTGTTACTAACAAAAAGTTAGTGACTAAAGTACAGAAGCATTAAGGTAGCACTTCAAAGCACAATTATTATCATAAGGTATCTAGAGACTGTCTTCCAAATAAAAGACGTGAACTTTATTATTGGTTTCTATAATGAGTACAGGAGGGAGGCCATTCTGTTTCAAAACATAAAGTGGGAAAAGGTACTTCAAAAACCACAAGTGGCTGCAAAACTGTTTATATTAATAAATCGCCACATTGGTTTTTGTAACTGACCCAAACATCATCAGAACTCCCATCCCCTCCTCATTGTTTTCTCTGGTCTTTGGTGCTATGCTTGACAGATTTTTCTTTTCTCCTTTTCTGATATACACCTTTAGGCAATTCCAAGCATTTGTGAGATGGCCTCCTGGGGTCAGAGGTAGGCTGAGGAGGGCTTACAGGCAGCGGTTTCAGAAGAGGGTAGGGGAGGTAGAATTTCTCCACTGAAAACTCCCGTGGAAAAAAATGGATTTCGTTCTTTGTTTCATTTTTTCCTATGAGAAGCTAATAGACTGATAAAGGGATTAAACCCACAGCCTTGGCCTCATTCACACCACACAATTTAAAAAGATAGAATAAATATGTACCTTTTTTCTCTAACTGCTGCTATACTACTATTTTCTTAGTAATTTAAATGCCATTATTCAAGACGTTTTTTCGAAAGGCACAAAAAAGAAGGCTTTTTCTTTTTAAAAATGGTGACTATACCTAATAATACTTAATAATAATATAAAGAAAATATAATTTTATTTAGAAATAAGCAACTAGCTTTGTATAGCACTTGCTATATGCCAGTATGTTTGTGTTTTACTCATATTTATTTTGACCTCATGAGTACCCAAAGATATAGGTATTATAAGTATTCCCATTTTTATAGATCAAGAAATCGAGGTATTGAGAGGTTAAGTAATTTGCCCAAGGCCACATGTCTAGTATAGTGATGGAGTTGGGATCTGAATCAGGCATTTTGGATCCAGAATCCCTTTTCCTAACCACTGTGCTACATTGCCCTTCTTCATTCATGCTCCAGAGTGGCATTTCCCACACTTTAATGTGTGTATGAATCATTTGGCTATCTTGTTAAAATGCAAATGCAGATTCCAATTCCATATTCAGCATTCTGGGGTGAGGCCTGAGATTCTGCATTTTTAACAAGTTCTCAGGTGATTCTGGTCTTTAAGCTACAATTTGAGAAAAATATTACAATGCTCTAACTGTATTACTGTCTGTTCTGGAAAAGCCTTTTTTTTTTTTTTTTTTTTTTTTTAATAAGAGGGGCTAGGATTGATGAGAGAAGAAATACTTAGGAATTAAAAGCCTGCATGTAAATATGCATATATATTCTACAGCTAAAAAATTCTACAGAGGGTGGATTTTATTTTAAGTAGGCTTAATACAATCATAAATTACCTTAGATGTCTGAGTGCAGTTCTAATTTAAAAAGTTAAGTAGTATTCCAGGAAACTTATTAAAAATAGAGAAAAAACACCCCTCTATTTCTGAATATACTTAGTTTTTGAGTTTTAATTATAAACCATTTCTTCTGATAATGAAATCAGAAGTTCATTACTTTCTCTCATATTTGATGAAAGTAATAGTATCCAACACCTTTTAAACAGTTGTTATAGGAGGAAATCCCACAGATAAGGCTGGAAGTGGACAAAAGGGAAACTTGGTAACTTTCTGAGCTGGAAGGGACATGCCCCAAAAGTGTAGTAATTTGTCTATTTCCTGAGATTCCCCCTAAGCAACCACTAGTCCTTTACGTCTTGAAATCTTTAGGCCTTCGAGTTTGCTGTGAAAATACAAATAATGTGTTTACAGTTAACACCGCAAAGGGATGGCTTTCCAACCAGGATCCCTAGTTGACTCAATTCTCTAAGTCCAACAGGAGGGGTTACTAGTGAAAGCCAGAAATTCCTGAGAGAAAGTTCCATCAAGTTCAATGTGTCAGACTTACAATTTTGCACAGGTTTGCCTGAGCATATATTATTTAATTCATTTCCCAGAGACAGGTATTATAGACTTATAGCTTCTCTATGAGCTGAATTGCCTGTTGGAATCAGTGAGGTAGGCTGTGTGTGTGTGTGTGTGTGTGTGTGTGTGTTTTAAGCAAAAGAAAACACCTACTTGGTTTTTGAATACCTTTATTACATTCCCTGCTGATTCAGTGAACTTTTGATTAGCCTCCATGATTACTAACTTCATTTAGGAAAATATGTATGTGAGTGAAGGTTCAGTAATTATTTGAGACACTTGCAGATAGGAGGACTTTCAAAGACTGACTAAAGGTGTGAAGGCAGATCACAGTTTGTCCATTTTCTTTTGACTTTCTTTCGAGCTAATACCTGCTATTTAGGGAGAGGAAGCAAAGCAGTGGTTGGTAACTCACTTTTAAAATTCAATATGATTATCCTATGGAAGCAGACTGTACTTTCTCAAAGGCTAAAGGAAAGCAGTTCTGACTATTTCTTGGGTATTTTATTGGCTTTGCAAATCACATTAGCAGTTTTACATGTAGGTATTTAATCAGAAGCTTATTCCAAAAGTATTTATGCAACTGGTCAGTCAAAAGCAAGAGAAACATAGTCTTGGAAGAAAAAGAAAATGCAGATGGTAAATGGCAAAGTTGATCCCAGAATCTATGGCAACTACCAACGCCATGACCCAGAGACTTTCAGCATGTAGCTTGCATTTTGTTGTGACCTGAAACATTATGTATCTTAAAGTATGTTCTCATAGCTTAAAGCTGATGGGTTGAGTGCATATACTCACTTAAGTTCTTAAGCAGACTAGCAGTGTTTTTTTTCAAGGTGTCTCGTAAATAATACTAGGAGGAGAAAATAGACATAAGTAAAAGTTGAAATCCATAAGAAAATTACCAAAGATTCCATGAAATAGAGTTTTGGCATCATGTAGATAAAATTTTTAGATAGTTAAGTGAACTTTCATATTTCCCACAGACTGTAGCCAATTTTCAAGACCATCAAATAAAAATTATACCAAATCTTAAGCGTTCAAATACTTAATTTAAAGAAAAGCATAAGTGAAATAAAATTGATTTTTAAAAATCAGGTAATTTCTTCATACAACACATGAGGCAGTAGGTTTAAATATTAAATTATTAATTTTTTTTATCTGACAGCAAATTTGGTTGAGCCTAGCTAAACATTCTGTACATTAGAACACATAATCCAGTGCAGGCCTTACAAAAAAAAAAAAGGCAAAACTAGCTTTTCTTTTTGCCAAAAACAATTTATACTTGGCCTCACAAAAATAGAAGCATAATTTTGAAATTAATTGATGTTATTAACTCCTCTGATATTTAGATTGAAATAATTGTAAGGCTGTACAATTAAAACATTTTTCAGATTGTAGTTCTAACCGTGCTTAGACACGTAGTAAACAAATGCCCCACACATTTCACATCTAGTCAGTGAAACCCAGGTTTTGTCATGATTAAGATTCTCAAGAAAATAAGCTACGTGTGATTTTTTCAAATGTCCTAAAACGTGTCTTTCTTCGTTGTTGATTTGTGTGATAATTATGCCTTGTTGACTTCTTTTGAACAGAACATATTAGTATTTTGTATCTAATTAATAGATTTAATAATCAATCACCTCTGGTACAACTACTGAGAATTCCTCAAATGATAAACAGAGTTAATGTCTAAATAGAAACAATCTACCAGATTTATTCCAATTGTTTCTTGTATAGTTTATCGACCTCCTATGAATATTTACTGTATTGTGCCATATAGTTTAAAAATTATACAAAGAAATGGACTGAAAATGTAGCTCATATTAAAAAAAAGAATAACCTACTTAATATGCATATATAAAGCACTCATTTTCATTATTAATGCTACTAGCCAGGGGGTAAAGTATAAACACAATGTGACAAATATCTAATATCAGATAATGGTAAAATCTTACTTTAGTGAGAAACTTTAATATGTCCCCTAAGAGTTCACTAACTAATTATGTATAAAATAACCTGGGTTGGTGTTTTATTTGCTTGCAATTCCCATGTTCACTCTTTAGAGTAGTTGCTTATAAACAGCACGAAAGTCCAAAGATAGAAGGTGGTCAAAATAAGAATTGCCATTATAAAGTCCAAAGTTTTTCTCTCTCACAAGACATTGAATAATCAATGTTTTCCCTTACCATTAAAATTACACATCTGAGAGGTATCTATTTCCTTCTTTTCTCTTAATAACCCAATTACAGCTTAACTACCTAAGTAGTTTTAATGGATACATTTAGCATTGGACAGCTTTGGGGGAAATGAGTGGCTATTAAGTGTGTTTACTACTCCTTATTTGTATAAAATATACCTTTCAAGCATTTAAGGACACCCTCTAATTGTTGTATTGCAGGATTTGGTGATTCAGTCATTGTTCATCTTATCTATATTCTTCTTGGTTTCATAGGTTTGAATTTGTTTCCTCTCAGCCTGCAAACTTTAGGACCAATCTTTCTATCGAAAAATCTTCCTATTTCTTTGTAATTTTAAATATTTCCTCCCCCGAATTTTCTCCATTTACATTCAGTGTAGTAAAGGATGTCCCAATCAGAACAGCATAAAGTGGTTTGTCTGAGTGACAGCATCTGGTGGTTTTGCAGGAAAGAGTGTTTTCTGTTTTATTTTCAAATCTTCTGGATGACATCAGCATTCATGAGTTCTCTCAGTTGCAGACACATCTGGCTTAAGAGCCAGTAGTGTAAGGTACAGAAAAGTACAAAATATTATTTAAGGGGAGAGAAAAAATTTTATTCTGATTCTCTTTTCACCAGTTTTAGAGCCAGAATACGATTTAGAGTCTATGCACATATAGTCCAACAATATAAAATGTGAGGATATTTTACATTTTAGGGTTCCAGAGGGCCAAATATGATACAAATATAATCCTTAGCTAATCATTGAATGAATGATTGAATGAAGCATTGTACCACAGTCTCGTCTAGCCAAATACTATGGTCAAGTGATTACTATGCCATAGGAGGAAAATATGTATTGATAAAAATATCCCTCCATATTCTCTCTTTGCTTTTTGCTTCAGTTGTTTCCACATGCTCTCTTTTTTTCAGATATAGATTCTTAGATTAGATGATGCCAAGATCAAAGCCTAAGTACTTAGCTCTTTAATGCTTGAGCAGATTTGGCTGAATCCAGGCAGATATTCTGTGCATTGGTAGAAACAGTACTAGATCAGAAACACGGTATAGATCATCTCAATTAAACAAATTACAATGATTGTATAGAGAGGAGAACCTGGAAAATTGAATGAAAAGGTCTTTATGGAGGAAAAATAGAACCATATACTCAAATTTAATTGTTACACAGAAGCCTTCAAGGGCATCAGGAAGTCAGCGTATATGTCTAGCTTTTGGAGAAGAGATGACAGCCTGCTGGGATAACTTGCAACAGATAAAGAGATGGATGGAAACAGGGTAGGGGTTCACTGGCTTGGGCAGCTCCCCCTGGTGAGGGAAAAAGAAACACTTCAATTCCTCCCTCTTCTTCATAGGTGAAGGAACATTTCTCTAGTTTCTTATGGAAAGGGAATAAAAGGGGAGAGAAGGACAAACAGGGATGACTCTACTTTACTCCATCTCCTATATTATCCTTTTACCCTCACATAAAATGAGACAGTAGAATTTAGAGTAGGGCAATGAATAGGTTATTTTAGAACAGCATCAAGAAAGATAGTGGGATATAAAGGGTAAAACTGAAAATATTGGAGATATAGAAAAATTGGGGAAATGAATGGAAGTACAGATATATCAACTCTTGCAGAAGGAAAAATAAAGGTAAGGAAAACAAGAAAATAATCTTTGAAGCAAAATGAAAATGCAAGGCTGAAGTCTGACTGAAAATCCACTCCATCCTATGAGGGAGTTGCTGGCTGGCTGGCTGGCCATTCTATCACTCATTCCCTTAGGGCCCGCTGCCTCCTATCCCTCTGCATGGACCAGACAAAGACCTAAACTCAATCCCTAAATGCCTCACAAGTTTAAGAGCTTGGATTCTGGAGTCTGCCTTGGGTTTTCATCCCAGGTCTGCCACTTTGCCACCTGTGTCATCTTGGACAATTGATTTAACCTTTCTGTGCTTGAGAATCCTGATCTATAAATGGGGGTAATCTAAAGCACTTAGCGCCTAGGGACAATTGGGAGAATTAAAAAGAGAGAATGTGTTAAGAAGGCCTAGCATAGTTTCTGGCTTATAATAAATGTTCACTAAATGCCAGTTAGTATTATTATGCTCTTCATTGAACAGATATACTTTAAGAAGAGTTGCTCTCCCCCACACCTTGAAATTAGTGGCATAGACACTTGGTCAGAAATTCAAGTTGTTAACCTCACTCTTCACGTCTGTGAAGGACACTGCCTTCCTTTACAGAGGACCAATGGATTTCAGCTGTGCCTGCTTCTCACCAGTGGACAGCTCTCTGCCAGTTTCCCCAAGATTTCCTTTTAGTCATCTCCAGCTGAGCCTACCCTGGTACATTCTGTGCTACTTTTACAACTCCATAAGCCAAGAAAACAAAACACACACAAGTGGGCTCACAAGCTGAGAACTGCAAGCAGAAGTGATTGGAACCCACATGCCTGCAGGCACCAAAGCTGCAAATACCACCTTGTTCTAAAGTTGTGCCCGAGGTCACAGAGAATCCCGAGAAAGGCTCCTGTTTCAGCCATAAATCTCCCAGCACTCACATTCATCCCCGGACACATTAGGTACATTTGCCTCAACCAGCAGATTGAAAATCTGGAGCCCAGAAAACAAACAGTTCCTTGCTAAAGGCAAAATAAACAGATTTCTATTGGAAAGGGGAATTTTTCCAGAGTTTTTCTGCTATCCCTTGCCTAAAAACACATCCAAGTTGGTAGGTACTACAGACAGATGAAAATGTACTTTCCTCAAGGGTTTTGCACATTCTCAAAGCAGAGGACAAGGTCAAATGGGAAACAGGGAAATGCCATTTTGAACAAGGTCCTTCACACAAGTAGATATCTGGAGATTTTTCAGGGAAAGATCCGGGGTGAGTGCATCAGTTTCACACCCTGGAGGTTTCTTATTTTTGAAAAAGGTACAGGTAAAGAAGTTGGCCTATAATCATGTTTATGTTTATACAGAGGGTCAAACTGGTCAAGGGGCTGCATTTGCTTAATAGGCCCACTTAGGGTTGGAGAGGAAGGCCCTGCTTTAGAAATGAGCCCTTTTTTTGTAGGTTCCTGCCAGTGAGACAATAGTAACCCAATTAAACAATTCCCGAGAAAGCCAGGAGCAATGAAGTGAAAACCAATGAGGTGAAAGCCACTTGGATCATTCAGGGTGAGGCTGCCAAATCAGACATAGAGAGCCCTGAAGAGAAAACATTTTAATGAGGAGAAAGTCCTTGCAACAGACCTCTGTCCTCAACTTTCAATTCTACCTGGAACCATTATTAGACAAGTGGTCTGAGAAGTTTATGCATTTGAAGAGGGTGAGGCTCCTCACCTGGGAACTCAAACCAAACTTTCATGCTCATTGCTAAGAACAAATAAATTTTAAAAACCCAAACAAACAAAAACCTAGAAAAGTTTCCTGCCTATCCCACTTTACATGATTTCATCATTAGCTTTCACTAGTTGATTTTTCCTGGTTGATCCCATCTGGCAGCACAGGTTGCTGATTATAATTGCCCTCTCATACTTCTCCACTCACGGACCCTCTCTATATGCAACACCTCTGTGTGAGCCTAAGACATTCCCCTGATACATCACAACTCATAGCTCCCAGCCGCATCCCCAAGCTGGCCTGTCCTCAGAAGCCAACAGATGACTTTCAAAGCCCAGATCCAAATAGTCTGTTCTGAGATATGCATGGGGCCTGGGTAGTTAGGCTGGTCCACTGCAGGGGGATGGAAATGGCATTTAGGAACCAACTATGATTGTGGGGTGGCAGGGGCATGCAAAGATGCCAGCAGTACTCTCTAAGGCTGATCTATACCAAACGCAGAGTAGAGTCAGAGTGATGACACAGGATTACTTGAGAAAGGTTCAGACTGAGGTGTGGGAGCCTGGAGGATGCAGGAAAATTCCCTATCATAATGGAAATCATACTTCTGGCTCCTGTTAGCGACAGAAATGCTATTGCTCTGTGGCAGTGAGAACATTCTCGTGGTGCTCATGGTGTGTCAGGCAATCCACGAAGCATCATGGCTGCCATTCACAGCTTTGTCTCAGTTGCGTCTGTACCACCTCAAGAGACAGGGCAGCTCACACGTGAGCAGGAGCTCCTTTCAATAGACAAGGTCTTGTTCTTTCTACTTTCTACTAAATGACTCATAAAAGCATTTTGGAATTGGGGGAAGAAGTCATGCAAAAAGAATTTGTACTTTGCAACACTTTCTTCACTGAGGGCATAACAGATTCTAAATAGAAAGCAGTGGTACAAAGCAGGGCAAAGTCTGCTTACCAGAAAAGACTCAGTTTGAAAATAAAATTTTGCTTCCACTCACATGCAGGAAATGGGCCTTGGTATTTCATTCACCTTTTCATTCAGCCTCTGTGCCCTCATCTTGACAGCAGATGGGAGTCAAGGGTATATGAAGAGGTAATACCAGCACCAGAGCAGCAACAATGGAGCCAATTGCATTAGGGTAAACTGTCCTATAAGACGTGACTAGAGCCCTAGGAATAAATTTCAAGAAGATAACATGACATGACCACTGAGTGTTCTCTTAGCATTTGTTTTACATTCACAAGTGACATACCATGGTCCACAGCAGTTAACTGTGAAGTTAAGAAAGGGGCACTTATGAAAGTTTATAATTTAATATATAGGTAGAAAATAATTTTCCAAATATAACCTTTAGAATATAAATATAAGCTTCATTTACCCTTATCATTGACTGCACCTAATGAAAATTCTTCCCCATAATTCCTGAGAAGTTTCAGAATGTCAAATGAAGTAATAAAATGCCAAAAATCACTCAGGAGCAATATCAAAACCAACAGTTTGTTATTAGTTGTTGTTTATGTCACATGTAATGATACTTTGTTCCCTTCATCCTTGGTGGCAGTGTACACATGGTGCTATCAGACACAAGGTAAGGAATCAACTGGTGAGAATAAAGCAAACAGATAACCACTGAAACGTTTTTGAGACTCTGATGTGTAATATTATCTTCTGTATTCTGATAAACTCTATACTATCAAACTTCTCCACTCACAGACTTTTCCTAAAAGCTTAGTCATATAAAAGTGAACCCATGTCATAAGTACAAAAAAAAAAAATCCTGAGCCCATTAGGTTCCTTGAGATATGAATTTTTTAAAAGCTTAAGATGTGAATTCACTTGTATTGGTGACAAGTTTGTGTGTTTAGGCACTCTACATCATCTCCCAAATCAGCCTCTAGAACTTTAATATATGAATCTGGTACGAGTTCCCTGGCTAAGTCACAATGTCTGCAAGGACATTTCACCAAAACACTTCACCAGAATATAGGCAGAAACCAGCTCTGACCTTCAGCATGTGTGTGCTGCGGTTCCTTTATGAGCGTGCTGTTTTACGGTGGAGATGCTAGAAGCGGGGCCAAAGTCATGAAAAATCCGTTGCTGTCCTCTCAGTGATTCTGTACTCACTCCAAACCTGGGTTTTGTCTTTAATTTCTCTTTAACGAACCACAGCCAAGGAGCAGCTGGTACTGTTTACTCACTTGCTGCACCTGTAGTTCTGCTTTGCAAGGCACAGAAATGGATTTTCTCCACAAAACATGAATTTCTAAAGCCTGGATTTTGCCCCATCTTTTCATGGGCGCACAATACATCAAGAGCAGGAAATGGGAAAATGGCATAATTAACGGGCTGTTAAGACGCTTCTATTTTGCTTGCCTTTAAAATTAATCTCTTCCTGCTCACTACTCAGTGATGAAAACATCTTCCTCCGAAGATGAATTAGCTGGAATTAACTGCAAGTGCATCAAGACATCTAAGGTTTATAACGTAACTACCTTGAACTACCTGTTCCTGGTGAACCTGAAGAGTAGCTGGAAGCCCATACTGCCCTCTGGATTACCCAGTTTATGTCAAAAATGATTTCTGAGTCTGCCATTCCAAACACCCACATGCAAATGGAAGCAGTTTGACCATTAGCACTGAGTTAAAGAACAGTGTTTGTGGAATTTTCAGTTCCTTGGATGTGCCTTCATAATTTCGGAAGCTGAAGCTTGAATGTTGCCCGAGTCAGTCACTGTTTCAACAATCATTTATTGAGCACTCAGGTTCTTTGATTCTGAGGTCTGTGGAAACAGAAATGCTCCTGGTTTTCAAGGAACTTACAGTCAAGCTATGAGGACAAAAGATGGTGCCCAGAGTAATTACAGTGCCTAACTGTGTAAATAGTAATTTTATGTACAGCAGGATTTGAGGGATAAGATAAACGTGACAAAATAGTTGGAAAAGCCTTAATGTAAGAAGTGGGGCAGGCCTTTGTATGACAGCATTTGGAGAGGTGCAGAGTAAGATGTGGGACCTTTGAGGAGGGGGCACAGCAAGAGTGAAGTCATGGAGGGCCCCACAGCACACCACACATCACCAGGCAATACTAGTAAGCAAATATTTACTTATTGAGGTGAGCTAAAATTAAAGCATACTTTATGGCTAGATCCTTGGTTTTTGGCTTCTGAAATGTAATCTCTAATTCTGCCTATTTTAGAACTCTATTTCTCACTGCTTATTAAGATATTTTCACCCGAATTGCTTACATACCCTAACCTCACTGTGAGCAGGATAAATGTATCATCTTTTCTTTCTAAGCACCTTCTTGAGGTTTTCTTTCATTGGTTTTGACAATAGTATTCTCCAGTGTCATAATCTCTGTGGCTGCTTGGTCCAGTAATGGGAGCCACCAGCCACATGTGCCTAGTGAGCACTTAAAACGTGTCTAGTGCCACAAGAGAATATTTTGGCTATATTGGACTAAATAAATATTATTAATTTAACGTATTTTTATTTTTTTACTAGAAAATTTAAAGTTATATACACATATATATATAATGGCTCCCATTATATTTAAAGTCACATTTAAATATAAATATATTTATATTTAAAGTTACATTTAAATGTAATGACTCCCATTATATTTCTATCAGACAGCCCTGCCATAGATTCTGACTATCTGGATTCATACCTCGATAAAGCTAAGGCTTGATCATGTAATTTTTCTTCTTCCTCCTATAATTCAGGCATGCATTCATTTATTCATTTAAGGTAGGTGCTTTCATTTTCCACATTTTACAAACAAGGAAACTGAAGTGAATAGAGGTCATATGGCTGATGAAGTGTGCTGTAGAATTTGAACTCGGGCAATCTGACATACACCCACATGTTACACTGTAGTAATTCCTATGAGAAACCATGAGGGTCTGGGCTAAATGAAAGGTGGTGGGTTGGAAAAGAAAGGATGAACTGAAGAGACACCGTGAAGGCAAAATTAACACATCCCATTGGCCAGTTTGCTATATGGAATAAGGACAAAGAAAACAGACCTGATGCCTAGCTTCTTGGCTAGGAAACAGGTATCAACAAACAAATACATAAAAACACATAGAAAACATATAAAAGTATATGTAGGGGGAGAAAGATGAATTTGACAGTCAAGTTTAAAGTACCTGAGAGAGGATGGGCGTGGTGGCTCATACCAGTAATCCCAACACTTTGGGAGGCCAGGGAGGGTAGATCACTTGAGGTCAGGAGTTTGAGACCAGCCTGGCCAACATAGTGAAACCCCGCCTCTACTAAAAGACACAAAAATTAGCCAGGCGTGGTAGTGGGTGCCTGTAGTCCCAGCCACTCGGGAGGCTGAGGTGGGAGAATTGCTTGAATCTCCGAGTTTGGGGCTACAGTGAGCTGAGATCGCACCACTGCACTCCCACCTGGCAACAGAGTGAGACTCCATCTCAAAAAATAAATAAAATAAATACCCGAGAGAAGTCCAAGCGGAAATGTCCAGTAGGCAGCTGGATACATGGATGTGGGACTTGAGGGAGATATTTAGGTTGGATATATCAATTCTTACTTGTTAGTCCTCCTCCCCTTTGTAATTTTGAATTATAATTCATGGTGTAATGAAACATAGTTCCTGACTTGAACATTCAAGATCCTGCACAATTTGGTCTCAAGCTGCCTTCTAAGTTTTCTACTTGTTTGCTTAACATACACTTTGCTCCACCAAATTGGATTACATACATAACCTTGATATTAGTTGCATTCTCTATACACTTGAAGATTGAGGTAAAAGGGATCTGACCTACCATGCCACGAAATGTGGAATCTGTGGCTTTCTCTAAGATTTATAGAAATTTGTGGGGTAAAGCAGAGAAAAGGGTTACATTATCAGAATAACTTCAATTATTAAAAACTTTCAATTTCCACAGATACATAAAAAAGCTCTGCCAGCCATTAACAGATGGCAATAGCAATTACTTGTGTGGAGTCACTTTGGATTTATGCACAATTAGGGATTTTGGTTACCTAAGCTGTTTGTAACTAGAGGAGCATCTGTGATTAGTTTACAGCTCCACTTACCTTCCTGCTAATGTGGTCCCTCTATTACAATTAGTTAACCCAGTCATGGAATTCAGTTCTCTTTCTTAATTTTAAGGAAAAAAAAAAGAAAGAAAAAAACTACAAAACCCAAACAAAAACAAAACAAAAATACCATGACCAAAGCATCCCACCTACACAAGACATTTAGTAGAGGAAATGAAATACAGAGGTCTGGGGAGAAGGAAGTACTCCCACTACAGGAATGAAATAATTAACATTTCCGGTTAGATATACCTGTTGCAGACTGTCTCTCAGTTTTAGCTTTAGCCTCACATCTCTTTCATACTTTCTCTCTTCTTTTCCTCTCGTCCTCCTAGTGGCAAATCCCAAATCTCACATTTCCTTAACCAGAGTAATTCAGCTCTCTCCAGCTCCTAGCCCAGCTGCAGTTTCAGGGTCCCCTCTGCATACCTCTGCTCATCCAGAGCCCTAGGAAAATAAAAGGGATCCTCCTTCTTTAGAAGGCAACTATGACTATGAGCCTTTGCTACACAAACTCTTCTTCCAAAGTGTTTGCTTCTCCTCTGTTTCTTGCTCAATTAAATTCAAGGAAGCAGGACTCCATTTCACCTTCCCCATCTGAACATATTCTCCTCGACAGCCCTTACACTGCTATGGAGACCTCCATTCTTCTTTGTGTTAGAGTTATTGTGCATTTGTTTCACATACTTCCTATCTGATTGAAAATCATTTGATGATAGATTCTATGTGTCTTATACGAATCATCATCTTGGTACAAATTGGTTAAGCTGACCTCAAGTGTGTACACATGGAAAGAATAAACTACCCATATACACTTCTCTTATTTCATTTTGGGTAAACCTACAAGGTGATCCCTAGAATGACCTTCTTTGGAGATGAAAATGGTGAATCAATAATTCTGTAATCATATATCTGAAATCCTATCTAGGCTTGTTATGCCTCATAAGTGGATTTCAGATTTGCATGGGAAACAGATTGTGCTTTGCTGCTGCATTTACCCAGTGGATCTGCTAATAATTTAGGAAGTTTGGCAAATATGATGCAGTGTAACTTGTAATATTTATTTGCTCTCTCGGCTGTGATTTTAATCCCCTAAATAACAAGCTCAGACAACATATTATTGATACGCTTTGTGCTATTTATCAATATTTACTTAGATTTATTTTGGAAAAAATCCAAATGGGGGCTATTTAGCATAACTGAGCATTAAAACTATTTGATTTGGTATTCACTGTTTTTGAAAATACATATTAAACAAACAGAACAGTAATTGATGCAAACCTGTTTGCTCCTGTCTATAATACAAGATTAGAAAAGGCAGTTTCCTCATTCAGGAAAACACTAGTTAGTTAAAATACCATTTGTTTTCTTTCTTTTATTTGAAAGTACATTTTAAACAAGTCAAAGAGATACCAAGTGGCCTGTCAGTTAACTTGATACTAAAGAACAATACATGGTTTGTATCTTATTTCCAGTTATTGCACAGTAAGCATGTGGCCCTGTGCGTCCCTTCTTGTTGACAAATACTCTATCTAGACTTTGAAAACTACTAAGCAGAGCCATATTAATGAAACCATATTTCGTAGCTTAATCACTTGAGCTCTGTAAAATGTGTTTGGGTGGAACATTTTTGATTGTTTCAAAATCTCTGTGGGCTTATTATGACATAAAGAAATAGCACAAGGTAGTGATGATTTACATTTGGCAGTAATACACTGGGGAGTTGCACTGGAGAAGTGGGGTCCTATCTTGGACCTCACATAGTGGTAGCAAGCAGTGTTTGAAATTCGAAACCCTGCTTCTGAGTTAGACACACTTGGTCATCCTTTCTTCTCATCTACAAAGTAGCACAAGCACAGAGCCTAATATTTTCAGTTCATGATGCTATCCCCAGGCTTTAAAAATGTGCCTGAAACATAATAAGCCCTCTATAAACATTTTCTAAGTTGATAAAATCTAATTCACTCATTCCACTATTATTTTTTGATTATTCCTCTGTTATAACATGTAACTAATCCTGTATTATTAAAGCCATTTTTGTATTTTTCTCTTTTCTAGAGGAAAATCACTAGGTATCTTCTGACCTGTATACATCCATCATAAAAACCTCATGAAGACTTTTAAAACATCCGATAATTTTCTTCCCATCTATGTCTTTGACTAATCTGTACATCAGACTATGCAGTCAAGAATTATTTGAGTTAGTGTGAATTGACTCTGGAATACAGACATCAAAGATGTCTCAAAGTTAGACTCCTGGGCTTCAGTTTGACGAGAGGAAGAACATGACCTGTCATTCCTCTTTCTTTTCTTAGGAAGTAATATATATATAGAAGGAGTAGTTGTGGGAGGAGAATATTCTTCAGAGATTTTCTTTATGTTCTTATCACATGGAGGTGTTGTTTACTTGAGCGCCACTAGAGTGTAGACTCTCACATGTTTTTCTTAAGGCCATTTTGTGGGATGAAAAAAAATGGCCCACTTAGTATCGCAGCTCCTATCTACCTGGTGTATGTCACATTTCAACTCTCTGTTCAGGGTTGAGCTTTAGTCAGAACACTGAACGGGAACCTTCAGTAAACTGGGATAATGTACAAAGGTCAGTTTACAAATTTAGTAATCATAAACAACTCAGTTAGTTGGCTATATGTATATGGCTTTAAATCAAGGTGACACTCAGTATTAACCATCACAAATCATAAGTGAAAACTAAAACTTATGGAATAGAGAGCCACGCAGAACAGTGAAAAAAGACTTCCAATCTTAGATGCATTTTGGTCCATCAGTAGGTCCCTCACAATTCATTAATGGGCTTTAGGTCGAGTTTTAATACTCTCTGCTCTAAAGGTGAAAGAAACCCACACTCATACCCAGCAATCTTTTTCTGTTGCTCTGGCTGGGCAGAAAAAGAGGAAGAGACATGTGTTACTTAACTGCATTTCTCATGAAGAATAAATACTTCATTGGCCTAGGATTTAGATTCATCAAAAAACTGATTAGTATTATTGTATTGGAGAGCCAGCTGCTGCTTCAAATAAATGTTAAGTGAGGAATAAAAATTGTTTCATAATATGATCCTGATGTCATTTATTTTATATTAAGTGCTTATCTCTTGAAATTTTAACTTTTGAACTTTCTACTGTTCTGTTTTCCCGGCTCTCCCTCAATTTATATGTATGTGTTTGTGTATGTGTATATACTGTATATACACATATATATGTGTGTACATACAAATATGTACTTATATATTTATATAATGTATAAATGTAAATATATAAAAATATATAAATTTATATTTATATGTATACATATGTGTGTATATATACAAATATATATGTAAACTAATATATAAAAATAAGTATATATATGTAGATATAGTACATATAATACTGTGCATTAAATTCTTTCTCTATTCAAATTCCCCTGTCTTGATACATTGGCTCTATCTGGGCAGGGGGCAAGAAGATCTCCTTGGGTGGTTACATGTCTTCCCAGTGCTTTTAGGAAAATGTCTAAATTCCTTAGTGTGTTTAAAGGCCCTGAGCAATCAGACCTAACGGCTCTAGCTTACACTTTAGTCACGTCTAGTGAATAATCTAGGCAAACTGAATCTCTTCCAGTGCCTTGCAAGCAGATATCATGCAACTATCTGCCCTCCTCAACCAGAATTTTTGATTTTTAAAAATTTTAAATTATTAGGAGCTATTATATTTATATGCTGTTGTTCACCATAATTCACACAATGTTGAAATCAACGAACGATTATAACTATGGATTTTCTATCCTGAATTCTTTATACTGATCCATCTTTTGGCTGGCTGCATTGTAAAATTCAGAAAGATTATGAAAAAAGGGACCTATGTGCTGTATACTTGTTTGAGAATGTCTGTTGGTTGATATATAATCTTCATATACCCTTGCAAAATAATTTGGATGAATACAAAATACTTGGGTCAAATTTACTTTACCTCAAACTTTAGTAGACATTATTCTATGGTCCAATATTGACTGTTGCTACCACAAAAGTTTAGGTTCACCTGGCACTTATTCCTCCTGAAACGCACATATAATTTCATGTTCTGGAAAATTATAATAATTTACTGGGATTCACCTTAATGTTTATTTTATATCAGATTTTTTAGATCCATCTCTTTTTATTTGTAAGCTTAAATGTGACAATTTCAGGACAGTTTTCTATTTCATTTATTAATGCATTTTCTTCCTTGAAAACATCAATTATACATGTGTGAGGTATACCATGTTTCTTACATGTATCTTCTTCATACAATTTTTTTCTTTTTGTATTTCTTTCATATATTTGTTTCCTTAAGCCTATATTGTCTTTTTTATTTTTAAAAATATTTTAATGCTACTTTTATTGCCTTTACTATTGCTTTTAGAATGATTGTGCTTTTTCCTCTTCTCTTGCTTTTCCAAGCTCTGCCAGTTTCTATTTTGTGTTTCTTTTGTCTTGTAATTTCGTCTTTAAAATCTAGTAGGTACTTTTTAAAGATTTTTTTTTAAAGAAATTATGTTTCTCTGAATTTTTTGAATTTGAAATACTATATGTTTAACTTATTTTTTATGATGGTACTTTTCTCCTTCGCATGTATTTATTTATGGCAATTTTTAATGAGATACAAGGAAGGAGAGTGGAATAAAAACCTTTTTACTCGGCCATACTTCAGTAGATGTTCTCAAGACTTAATTTTTAAAATTTTTAAAGTTTTCTGTGATGGAAGTGATCAACTTAAACTGGCATAAATATGATGTGGGACTTTCAATGGTAATCAACATATCCTGGAAGGACATATAAAAATGAGAGAGAGAGGTGTGAACAGAAGGATCTGAACTGATTAAACATTTCACTAGTTTCTCATAAAAAGGACTTGTCCATATATACCACTGAGGCAAATAGTTATGAGTTATCTCAACAGCAAAATGGATACATCATCAGGCAACCTTTTGGTTGTCTTCATAAAGTATCAATTAAAGGAACTCTACCAGATTTTGTTACCAGTAGAAAGCTATGCCTTGGGTCCTGCATGTCCTCTGCAGTCAAGTTCTGATGTTCAAAGTGGGGCAAACCAGAGAAGCAGCACTCTTTACAGATGGTCATTTTAAAAGGTTCATTAATACTCACATATGAACTAAAAATGCTAACTTGTTCATAGTTTTTCCAAGGTTTTGCTCTTCAAATGAAGCTTCAGCAATTTCATCTTATTTTAGGCATTGCAATTATGCTTATAAGCATGAAACAACCAGGCTACAACCATATATCAGCCGAAGAGTTACTAAACCCATCTAAGTTGTGACTATTATACTTAACTTCAGGTCAAACCAATCAACTGTGGCCCGTTTATAGGATGCACAGTTGGCAGTTTCTCAGAAGGATCAGTCATTTTGATTATCCTATTCAAATGATGGTTCATCAGTTACAACAAATTTTTCATCAGAATGATTTTGGAAAGATTGTAGCACTGCCCAGGGAGAGACTATCTGTATATTCAAATACAGGATAATACTTGGTATTAATAATACCGATACATGTTATCCATCAGAAGTGCAGCTAGGAAAATGGATTTGTTTTTATTTATTTACTTAGAGTCTCTTTTTAAAAACTTGACACACAATAATTGTAAATATTTATGGAGTACAGTGCAATGTTTTGATATATGTATACATTGCGTAAAAACTAAATCTGGCATTTGGCATATTCCTCACCTCATAAATTTACCATTTTTTTGTGAACAAATGTCATGTTAAAGGGATTACATTTTTTGTGTTTCCAGATGGCTAAAAAAAAAAAAAGGCTCCCTGGTCTCAAATATAAAATGGCGATAATTTTACTAATCCTCTGGGATTTTTGGTAGAAATTATCTGGGATAATGTCTATGAAGAGTTTAGCATACTGCCTGACACATGATAACTGTTCAGCATTGCACTGGATACCCAATGGGGATCTGGAGGTCAGCGGGGGAGGTATGGCTGGGAAGCATGTCAGTGACATTTCAAGTGAAGTGACATTTGGGCAAGTTGACTAGCTCACCTGGGGACACAAACAGAGCAAAAGAGAAGAGGCCTAAGAAATCATCTGCAAAGACTAGGAGGAAGAATTAGCCAAGGACATTATTGCAAGAAAGCAATGAATAGATACAAAGCTTTTGCCATTCTGGCAGGTACCTAAAGCCAACAGCCTGGGGAAATCCTTCAAAATCCTTTCTTTTTTGAAATATGCAGTGCAATATTGTTAACCATAGTTACCCACTGTGCAGTAGACAAAACTTATTCCTCCGAACTGCAACTTTGTACTTGCTGATCAATCTCTCCCTACATACCTCTCTGCACCCTTCCCAGGCAATTGATAACCACTATTCTTTTCTCTGCTTTTATAAGATCAACTTCTTTAGATTCTACATATAAGTTAGATCACACAGGTGATTTGTCTTTTTGTGCCTGGTTTATTTCATTTAACATAATGCCCTCCAGTTCATCCACATTGCTGCAAATGACAGGATTTCCTTCTTTTTATGACTGAATAGATTCCATTGTGTATATGTATCATATTTTATTTATCTACTAATTCACTGATGTACACTTAGGTTGATTCCATTATCTCCATATCTTACCTACTGTGAAGAGTGCTGCAGCGAACATGGAAATGCAAAGTTTTTTTGACAAGCTGATTTCGTTTCCTTTGAGTATATACCCAGTAGTCGAATTGCTGGATCATACGGTAGTCCTAGTTTTAATTTTCTGAGGAACTTCCATACTATTTTCCATAATGGATAGACTAATTTACATTCACATCAACAGTATAAAAGAGCTCCTCTTTCTCCACAACCACACCAGCAACGAGGGGGCTCACCAGAAAAACTGATTTATTCACAGGCATCTGGAAATGAATTACTCTGAGCAAGAAGTTACTAAATCTGAACTTGGTATGCTACTCCAAATCCCATGGCCAACACTTCTATTATTCCAGCCCACATTCAAATAGGTCATGAGATATTTGGACTTAGCTTTCAAACACAAGGTGCCATTTCAAAAAATTCTCTTGTCTTAAGACAGAATTTGGGTCCTCAAAATGAGACCTTCTCATGTTAGCTCCATTCTCTATATTTTATACAATAATTTAAATATGTATATTTGTATGCATATATATTTATGTGTAGGCTTATGCGCACACTGAAACATACACAGACACCCATACCCACCTCTGCGAGAAAACTGCTCATTGTGTGTATCATTAAAACTCAACATGAAGAGGTTAGGACAGATAACTAAAGACAAGCTTTATCAAGGAGTCAATGACCCACAGAGAAGTAACACACAGTGTCTCGTAGAGCGAAATCTTTTACCTTGCCATTTAACAGTGTGGGCGATTCAGCAGGTGAAGATATGGGTCAAAGGGCATCTGATCTGGCTTAAAAACAGTCACTCAATCTGATGGTTACTAGGAGATATTAGACATAAAACATTGTTATCTCTCAACCCTTTGTTCAGCTCTGTGACATCATTCTGCTGCCCTGGTGCCCCTTTCCATCACTATCATTGGCACCTTGCTTCTGTGGCTAACCTGATAAGGGCTATGGAAACATGTGTAGGCCCCTGAGCACCAGCAGCTGTTGAAAGGAGTGGGACAAGAGAGTTAGAAGAGAGACTGTATGTTTGAGCCCAGAAGAGCCGTATTTCTTGAATTTTGGTCATTAATACACTACCGTCAGGATTTTTGTCACAACTGCATGCCATCTGCACTATTGTTTACTTAATATTTTCTTTGAATTGATCCACAATTAAACTTACAAAATATAAACAGGAAAACTTTGTGCCATTCCATAAAAGGAAAAACAGCATGTCTCAACAGAAAGGGCAAACAACAATAAATATAAATACGATGGAAATAAAACAATTGGACTCAATTTTGACTCAATACCATTGTCTTCAAAAGTTCTAAGCAGAGTCTTGCTCCATTAGTTTAATTGCTGCCTGTGGCTTGGAAGTGTTCCAACATTAAATACTGATTTTGTATAGAATAAGTACCTATTTTTGTAGCCTTCCTGTTCTTCCTATCTGAACGCGTGTGGCTTCAAAATTTTTTTGAGGAGCTTACTGGCCTAAAAACTATACTTCCTAATACTTCATTACAATGAGGGGGCTCATTTGCTAAATATAACAATTGGTAAGAGTTTGGTATAGACATTATCACTTAACCGAGACTTTCAGACCTGAGGTTTGGGATAACCAGGTAATCAGAAGAGAATTAAAAGTAACTTTCTCACTGTGATCTTATTTAATCTACAGCTGCAGTTTCTTTGCACTTCAAATCATCCCTCATAGCATATTTTACAGGCTTTCGATAACACTGTCTTAGAGGATTACATCTATAGCAGCAGTTACATAAATGGAGCTTCATATTTTTCTTGAATAATTATGAACATATTTGATTCATTCAGGACAATATCCTTTGTAGAAGTCAATGGAATTTTTTTTTTAAAATGTGAGAATGTTCCTTTAACATTCCCATGACTTTCTTCATAATTACTTCCTAGTTATCTTTACAATATGTTATTTCCTCCTCCCATGTTATCAAATCATACTAGTATGAGGGCTGTATTGTGATGAACAATACAAAATATTGATGCATAACATTCATATGATTTAAACAATACTAACTCCTTTCAATCCTGGGAATTCATTAAAATGCAAGACATTTTAGGATATATTCTTTTGAATTATTTATAACCTTCACACACCCTCAGGGCAGAATAAAGGGGAAAGAAATGTCTTGTTAGAAATATAAAAGATGGGAAGTTATTCATATCTTGAAATTGCCCCATTTAGGAATAAATTAATCAACTCAAATAAGTGTTCCATAATTTTGCTTTCATTAATAAGATGACTAAGTTGAATGCAGCATGCACAAAGCACACGCCTCATTGTGATGAAAGTGTTTTTTAGACAGGATGCTGAGGCTTCTAGGAGTTGAAAACATTCTTAGGAAGACTGTGTGATTAAAACAGGTCTTTATTAACTTGAGGGTGACAAGAACATTTCTCATCTTCTCTGCTTACTTTTTTTTCTTGCACTTTTTGTCACTTTTGTTGGCACAGATAGCAAATACAGTCTCAGAATTGGAAGGAGAGTAATTTCCACAAGGTGACGAAATGATTAGTGATGCAGCAGGGATGTGGAACTAAGGTCATCCCAACTCTTCATCTAGTTTGTTTTCTAGCATGGGCAGTCATTAGTCTACTCATTCATTCAATACTTGGTCTGGCATAGTGATATATTCAAGCAATAGCGAGAAGAACAGGGACTTCGAGCTTCATGCTCTAATTGCTGAACCATGATACATGTTGTAATAGCGATATGATTTTCACATAATGATAGGGCATGACAAGTAAGAAAAGACAGAAAGCGGCAGGTGGTAGTAGTAGTAGTGAAATGTTGACATCAAGGTCATTTCTAGAAATATTTCTACATGCACCAGCCACAGTGCAACCCGTTCAGAATTAAAGTGAACTCACTGCTTTGCTGAACTTCTCTCCATCAGTTTAGTTCCCACTTGTGGCTTGGAAGTGTTCCAGTGTTAAATATTGATTTTGTGCAGAATAAGTGCCTATTTTTGTGCCCTTCCTATTCATCATATCCAAATGGGTGTGACTTCAGAAATTTTTTGAGGTGCTTGCTTCCTTAAATAATATACATTTCTAATATTGCATTAGAAACGAGAGGGTTCCTCCTGGTGTTTAGAACGCAAAGGAAAAATAAAAAGGGAACTGCTTTTTAACCTACTTAACATTTGAGTGCATTAGAATAATGCAGTGTCAGTCTCCAAAGGGGTTTATAGTTCTTGATGGGGAGATTGAGCATAGAACTAGTAAATTTCAGAGCTTCCCGTGAGAATGACAGAAGTAATATGAGTAGTGGTTGGGAGACCAGAGGCTGGTGCCTGCCTCTTTGGATTTGAATCCTGACATTGCCTCTTAAATAGCTGAGGAATCTTGGGCATGTTATAGTTTACCTATGCCTCAGTTTCCCAATCTGTAAAATGGGGATAATCATGGTACCAGCCTCACAGAGATTTGTTGTGAGGATTAAATGAGTTTCTGCATAAAGCACTGGGAATTGTCTGGTACAGAGTAAGTACTACATGACTGGGCACTTTTGGCAACACTGATGGATGGTAAAGCTTCTTTCCTGGATCAGGGCTTTTGATACACAAATATATGTTGTATCATTCAAAGGGTGACAGGCAGACTTTTCCCACATTATGGACCATGAACTTCCCTTTCTGGAGGATATCATTATAGGACTAGTATGCTTGGGATATGTGCTTGAGGCATTTAAAAATATTTCACAATGGAGAATCACATCTATCACACGATCTTGACTTCAAGGTTTCCTTTATTTCCAAGATCTGGTTGAATCCTGAGGGATACTGATGTAACAATATCTTTGTAATATAATGGTGTTGACTATGATGTTGATGATAGAAACTAACGTTGCTTGGGCCAGGCACTTTACTGAGTGTGGACTGTGTTCTATTTCATTTACTCTAGACAAAAACTCTATGAGGTATTATTATCCATACTTTAAAATGAGGAAATGGAGACTTAGAAGGTAAAATAACTTGATCAAGCTCACAAATTAAGTAGCAGAATCAGTACATAAATCCAGTTTTATTTGACCCCAAAGCCCATACTTCCAAGCAGGAAATGGTACTCTCTCCCTGATTTTGGTGGTAATAACCGGGGAAGTGATAGTAGGAGCAATGCATATTAAAGAGCTTTGAAAACTGTGGAGCACAGTATGAAGACAGGCTATTATTAATAGCACTAAAATTATGCTTATGATTATTTTTGTTTAATTCTAGGATAAGAACACTATACTATCTATGTGCTAATAGTTTTGAAAGGTCCCTAAAATAAATAGTTGAAAATATAAAACCCACAGTTCTTAAGTATAAAAATGTACCTTTTTCTGGGAAAAAAACCAAGTATGCAGTGTTTAATTAATTTTTATAATAAAGACATAATCTTTTCACAGGAGACTTTGTATGTAGAATGTAAAAAGCAACCATCCCTTTAAGAAATATAGAGAAAAATTCAGTTAAACAGGTATACCGGGCCACTAGATACCAAGTACCAGGTACACAGGCTATAAAATGTCTAGTAATTTGAAAATGCCTTTTGAATAAGTACTAAAGTTACTGAAGACTAATACAAAAATACATACTTTTGATGTGAACATTCAGATGTAAAAAAGTTATGTTAGTATTTATTAGCATATTTTTAAAATTTAGAAAATAAGATCATTTTAGTCTCTTGCATATTATTAGCTGATTGGGTTTCTCCTGAAAAAAAAATCACACTTGCTTTTATGTCAAAACTAAAGAAATAATTTTTGAAATTTTTTTTACTTGTAATGTATATATCATCATGTTCACTGTAAGTTGAATGTTAATAGCCTCTTTCCTCTGTTCTTTGTATTCTCTGAGGTTTTATTTTTAGTTTTCAATGGGTAATCTCACAATGTCACAGCTCTCCTGACTTTGCCACATCCAGACCTAAATCTGCCAGATCTCCTTTGCATAATGAACAATGTGAATATTTCTCGACATGTACAGCAGTTAAAACACCAAGGTACTGCAGGGACAGGTGCAATGCAAATACACAGATGGAGAAACTGAAAGACTTCATTAACATCATATAATCTCACTAATGATCAACTCTTTAAGGGAAGCTCTTTCTTCAGGGATAAAAGGAGAGAAAGCAACTGGAACAATTCTGTATAAAGGAATCGCTGTTTCCCCAGGCTCTTGGCATTAGGTACCTGCCAGAATGGCAAAAGCTTTGTATCTGTTCATTTCTTTCTTGCAATAATGTCCTTGGGTAGTTCTTCCTCCTAGTCTTTTCAGATGATATCTTAGGCCTCTTCTCTTTTGCTCTGTATGTGCCCTCAGGTGAGCTAGTCAACTTGCCCAAATGTCACTTCACTTGAAACATCACTGACATGCTTCCCAGCCATACCTCCCCCGCTGACCTCCAGATCCCCATTGGGTGGCCAGTGCAATGCTGAACAGTTATCATGTGTCAGGCAGTATGCTAAACTCTTCATAGACATTATCCCAGATAATTTCTACCAAAAATCCCAGAGGATTAGTAAAATTATCGCCATTTTATATTTGAGACCAGGGAGGCTTTCTTTAGTAATCTGGAAACACAAAAAATGTAATCCCTTTAACATGACATTTGTTGAAATATTTTTATAGATTTCCTTTGTTCTGTTCCTCTTTTACACAACATTTTTTTCCGTTTTTATTGGTATATAATAGTGGTCCATATTTTGGGGATACATGTGATATTTTGATACATGTATACAAGTATAATGATAAAATCGGGATAATTGGGATACCTATCACCCAACACATTTATCTTTCGTGTTGAAATGACTGATATCATAAATACAACCTCCACATCCGGATTAACATGTCAGAGCTGTCACTGTACCATGTGCCCGAAACTGACCTGTCTACCATTCTCTACATATACCCTGACTAACAGAGCATAATGTGATTACTCCATCGCATGAGTAGGAAACCGACAGGATCAACATACCTCAAGGTGTTTTTGGTTTTGTTTTGATTTTTATTAGCATTTGCATCAGGCTTTTGATACATCGAGCTTATGATCCATAGACTCTACCAAGAACTTTTCCCCCTATTTGAGCCATTTCTTAAGGAGATCCCTTCCTTTCTCTATACATGAAACTCATTTTTAAGACCTGATTTCAGTACCACTACACAGCTATTAGAATGATTAAAATACAGAACACTGGCTACAAATGCTGTGGAGCAATAGAAACTCTCATTCATTGCTGGTAGGAATGCAAAATTGTACAGCCTCTTTGGAAGGCAGTTTGGCAGTTTCTTACAACCCTAAACACGGTCTTATCATATGATCCAGCAATCGCATTCCTGGTTATTTATCCAAATGAGTTCAAAACTTATGTCCACACAAAAACCTGCATGTGAATGTTTGTAGCAACTTAATTCATATTTGCCAAAAACTGGAAGTAACCAATATGTCTTTCATAGTTTTAACGGATAAACAAACCATGGTGCAGCCACAGAATAGAACATTATTTAGAGATAAAACGCAATGAGCTCTCAATCCATGAAAAGTCATAAAAGTACCTTAAATGCCCACCACTAAGGGAAAGAAGTCTGAAAGGCTACATACTATATGACTTCAACTATGTGACATTCTGGAAAAGGCAAAACTATAGAGATATAAAAAGATCAGTGGTTAAGGGTTGGAAAGGGAGAAGGGATGAACGGGTGGAGCACAGGGGGTTTCTAGGGCATTGAAACTATATTCTGTATAATACTTTAATATTGGAAACACAGCATTATGCATTTGTCAAAACCGACAGAACTGTACAACACAAACAGGGAACCCGAAAGTAAACAATGGACTTTAGTTAATAATAATGTATCAATATTGGCTTATCAAATGTAACAAATATACCACATTAATGCAAGATATTAATAAAGGGGAAACTGTATATGTGTGTGGAGGGAGGGTGGGGCAGGTATATGGAACTCTCTGCACTTTCTGTTCAAGTTTTCTATAAACATAAAGCTGTTCTATAAAACAGTCTATGAATTAAACAAATTTTTTAGGAAACTTGAATTCAGAAATGTCTACTTATCTGTTGTTATACTGGTTTCTTACTAGTTTCTCATTGGGTAATTAAGAAATATTGATTCTGTCATTTTATCCTATTAATAGTTATTTCTAGCTCTGAGTCATCTACAATTGTAATAAACATACCTTGCTTCTAGCATTCATACAATACAACAATGTAGACAGAATAAGACCATCTTACTTCAGACTATAATCTCTTTAGGTACAACTTTTCAACCAGTTTTAAATATGCCCATTATTTAACCCCAATTTCTCTCACCCACAAAAATATCCTGAAAGATTATGTTAATATTTTAATGAAAATAAAAATATATTATGCAGAGCACATTACCTGGCCCACAGCTGTTACTTATTAAATTGTGGCTATTGTTAGTATTTTCCTGCCATAATATAGTCGCTATACCAACACATAATTGTTAGTTTGTTATTTCTCATGTTCAGTGATGTTAGTCTGGCTTCTAAGGATCACCATATTAGGTGCTAAGTGCTCAAGAGTAATCTGTTTAATTATTTTTTTTCGTCTTTTCTTTCAAAGGTTGACACTAAGTCTACCTATTTTTTGTTTACAAAAGCTACCCACATTTGCCCTTTTAGGAATCAGTAATACCCTAATGTTTTTTCCCATTTCAATCACTTTCAGAACCTGGGTCTGGGCATTTGAACTACTTTAAAGAGACCCACTCGATATTTTCTTTACAGCTCTCAGGGCCATCTTTGTCAACTTGAGATGAAAGATGCACCTAGTCAACTTGTTTCAGTTGCTTCTACATGATGTACTTTTTTTTTTTTCTACTCTTTGCCCTTTGAAGACAATGTCCATTCAAGGAGAAGATGCAACAAGCCAGGAGTCATAGTTCTGCTTTCTATTTTACCTTTAATATTAGAGTAGTGGTGAATTTCTTCCTATACATGTTATAAAGAGTGAGTTTTGTTGTTATTGGTGGTGTGGCATTTGCTGTCAGCTCAGCTTATGCTAAACTTTAAGGCTTTTTATAAGTTTGTGCCATATTAACCCTGGGACATATTCTACCTTCCATCTCCCTTAAACGTCCTTTTAAAACCTCTAATTCTATGTAAGAATCCTTCATTCTCTAATAAACTTGAGTAAAGTGGCATTTTTCAGGGACTTTTGCAGTCATCACTTATGCATTTATTTTTTAAAAAATTACTGAGCACATACTCTAGGCTAAGCATTGTGCCAGGCATTGTGAAAATTGACATTACTAAGACCCAATCTATTTTCAGGAATTTGACTGTATAATCAATACTCCATAAACATTTGTTGAACACCTGCTATGTGCTAGGACTAAAAGACTTGTGTAAATTTATTCCGGTATAATACAATAACTATATCAACAGGAAGACATACAAAATACAGTGGTTTCAGAGGAGGGTGTGATGAACCCTACGGACGTAGGGATGGGAGCAAGCCAGGAAAATCTTCTAGGAAGACAATATATTCAACCTAGGTTTCAAAAAGGAGAAGTTCACAGGTAAGAAGAAAGGAAAAGGGAGTCTAGTGGAGAGTATGATACCAACCATAGTTAAATACTAGGATGGGTCATTTTGCTTTTTGAATTATCCTCTTTTAGTATTCTGAAGAAAGGAGATGGTTTACCTTTTCCTACAGGGAACATCAACCAATGTAAGCGTGAACACATCTGTAAGAGACATACATTTAGCAACAATCTGCAAGTCGGTGCAAAAGTTTTCTGGAAGATCAGATTTCTACAGTTATTAAGATGATTGCTTTTCTGAGCAGCTCTTAGGACCCCTGTGAACTGCAATGAATATCCTCTTTGCTTTCAGTTCACCGTGTTTGAGGATGTCAGGGAGAGCTGCTTTCCACCTACTAGCCCTGCCCCGCTTTAGGTGTCAGCAAACTAGTTGGTTACTTGTAGCAATTGGCACATAGTTGGCTTTCACAGTGTCAAACTCAATCCTTCTTCTCAAACTCTTTTACATCTGCAGACCATGATGAAAAGTTTTCTATGTTGTTTTATTCCCTTATCACAGAGTCAAGAAGGATGCTTTGGGAATTCTTTTGGAGGAAAAGATTAAGAAGTCAGATTCTCCTAGGTTCAAATCCGGGCCTTAGGTTGGAAACCAGAATCTACCATTTACTGGCTGATGGACCTTTGAACAAGATATTTCAGCTCTGTGAGTCTCAGTTTCCTTATTTTCCAAATTGGAATAATAAGGTCTACTGAGGTCCTTCTGAGGATTTTGTAATATAATATATCTTAAAATGTTTAGCAGAGTTCTAGACATATGACATATTAAAACATGATAGTCCATGTTCTTTTAATAAAAGTAATAAAAAGGAGAAAGGGAGAGAAAAAGACCAACACTTGCACAGACCTTTCAGAGGTAGCAGGTGGTATGTTAGACATTTTACATATTATCTCATTTAATCCTCACAGTAATGTAATAATCAATTCTATTTTTATAGACTAAAAATACAGCTCATGACAATGATGTAAATTGTCCCAGGGCACAGACTAGTCAGTGTAAGAGCTGAGATTCAAATCCACTTCTGTATCTCCAAAGCCTATGTGTGCTTTTCAATACATTATACTTAGAAAAATAAAGATTTTTGCACAAGTATATTCAATAATCTCCAAAGCCTTTAATAATATGCACAAACTTAAGAAATTATTTTCATGTTCTGGAATGCTGAATTTATAGTCTACACATAGTTTAAATGGAATAAAAGAGTAGGCTGGGCGTGGTGGCTAATGCTTGTAATCCCAGCACTTTGGGAGGCTAAGGCGGGCAGATCATGAGGTCAGGAGATCGATACCATCCTGGCCAACATGGTGAAACACCGTCTCTACTAAAAATACAGTAATTAGCTGCGCGTGGTGGCACACCCCTGTAATCCCAGCTGCTCGGGAGGCTGAGGCAGGAGAATCACTTGAACTAGGCAGTCGGAGGTTGCAGTGAGCTGAGATCATGCCACTGCACTCCAGCCTGGAGACAGGGCAAAACTCGGTCTCAAAAAAAAAAAAAAAGAATAAAAGAGTAAAATTGAATCAAGTATCTTATGTTCCTGTTGAAACCATATTGTTCTAATATTTTCAACACCACAGGCTTGAAGGGCAGTCACATAGTAAAACTACTAATTTTGAAACTACTGGCAAGATGAAGGATTGCTTTATGAAGTTTATGTATTTGTTTTGATGTATGTTTATGGGTGTGTGCATATATAAGTTTATATATACTTTTCCCATTTTCCATTTTATACAATTAAATAATAGTTTAAATTATGTTACATGAGTAACAAATAATAGTTTACAAAGGTAAAGGTAAATCATCTTTGCTGCAATCTGTTTTTTGTTAGGTTTTTTTTTTTTTGAGACAGAGTCTCACTCTGTTACCCAGGCTGGAGTGCAGTGGCACGATCTCGGCTCAGTGCAAGCTCCGCCTCCTGGGTTCATGACATTCTCCTGCTTCAGCCTCCCGAGTAGGTGGGACTACAGGCGCCCACCACCACGCCTGGCTAATTTTTTGTATTTTTAGTAGAGACGGTGTTTCTCCGTGTTAGCCAGGATGGTCTAGATCTCCTGACCTCGTGATCCGCCCGCCTTGGCTTCCCAAAGTGTTGGGATTACAGGCGTGAGCCACTGGGCCGGGCTCATTACTTTTTTTCTGAAGGAAATAAAAATCTAAAAATTCAAATGTAAGAGCAACCAAAGTTATGATTGTCTTTAACTTAGAAGCTGTTGACTGATAATACTGAGTTTGATAAAAGAGCATTCAAAGTACATTTGCACTTTTTAAACAGTAAAATAATTGAGTATTTTTATATTTCATAAGTAAACATAGAAACTGCTTCTACACTTCTGTCAATCCATGTTTAACAAATGTATACCAGATTGATAATTAAAATCCTTGAGATATGGCAAGGCAACTTTTGAATATAATCAATATAAAACATTTCATTAAGAGTTGCATAATAATCTGCAGTAGATAGAACCATTTAAAAGCAGAATTCTCATCTTGTCATTATTACCTAGATACACTTTGCATAAACTTTGGTGAGTAGAGAGTCTTGAGCAAAAGGTAGTATTAACACGTTTATGGCTCATTTCCTTTTTTAGTTACATCTATGAGGGCTCTAAAAATGGAGTCTTTAAATTAATTATAAATGCAGAGGCTGAATATTTAAAACCTCTTAAGAGCAAAGGTATTTTCAATTACTTCATACTTACATATTTTGGAAAATACACTGATATGGGACATATTCCACGAATTTAATATTCCTCCATTTTCTTGTTAAATGAGCATGGTGAGCAGTAGAGATAAAGATTACTTTAATTAAGTGTGCAATGAATCCCATAAAACTTAATTGAACACTTTATTTTCATGCAGATATTTTCTCTTACTCAAATGTTTTTCAGCTATGCTGTATGCAATCATTTTAAATCTAATATTTCAACGAATAAGCAAAGGTTTTAAGACAATTCAGTGTCTTCAAATTCCTTATGGCATTTGAGAATGACCTTTAGATTCTGAAAAGGTGAGTGTTTTACATTTATTTAAGCTGACAAGAAAAACATAGAAGTACCTCTAAACCAAATCAGTGTTTAGAATAGCCAGAGCCATTTTGGTGAATGCAGAAATAGTGATGGCTGCAGATTTCACAAGTGCTGAATTACTTACCATGAATGGACATCTGTTGGGCTGCACCCCAGGGCATTTATTTTGCCTGTCTTCTAGTGTTTCCCAAAGAGACAACACAAGACAAGAATTTAATATCCAACCCCTGTGTATAGCTGGCTTTCACTCTGCCAATTACTATTCTTCCAATAAATGTGATATGGCATCATGTGATCATACTTATTCTTCCAATAAATTACACAGAAACATCCAGAAACAAATCCTATAACCATCTGAAATTTGGTTGGTTAGCCAAAAGGTCTGCTGGCAGATCACAGAAAACAACTGAGTGCGCGAATCAATGTAGTGAGGTAACTTACGCAGGTCACACATGTTCACTGTGAAACTTCCCTTTAGCTCAGCAATTAGAAAAAGAATTCTACATTTAACTGCATGGTTACTACATTTGGTAAAAACAAGGTACTTGTTCTAAGTGTCAAACTGATAGTTCTTTTGAAAATTCTAACTCAGATTTCCATGTTGTTAATGAATTGTGGCAAAATATTGCCATTTAAGTTGCCAACACATGTCAGAGATAGATGATATACACACACGGTATGGCAGATGCACCTGCCAGCAATAACTTAGGCACACACTGAGAATGACAGTGTGGTCTAAGAAGGGGTGTTCAGAGTTTCAAGTTAAGGAATCTTTGAATGGCCAACCTGGAGGTTTACTCCTTATTTACAAAGGATATCTGAATACCTAGCCCATTTCTTGGAACGCAGGATGTGCAAGGCACTGAGGCCCTTTGCTTTGGGTTAAATGGAGGTTGCTAGGTGGAGGTTGCTAAGTGAAAATGCTATATAACCTGCATACTTTTTACAAATGGTAGCTGTTATCCTGTCCAGCCTGCCACTCCTGGACACTGCCCTATATGTAAGTCCTCAATAAACCTTATGTCTTATTCACTGGCTTTGGGTCTCTTCTTCA
Source organism: Homo sapiens (assembly GCF_000001405.40). Lineage (NCBI taxonomy): Eukaryota > Metazoa > Chordata > Mammalia > Primates > Hominidae > Homo > Homo sapiens. The sequence goes on from NC_000007.14 coordinate 78,460,891, forward strand.
ACCTCTCAGACAGGGTGCCATCACTATTGGAGTCAATAAGGATCTGGTAAAACACACACACACACACACACACTCTCACACACACACCCTTCTTTTTAAAAAATCTTTCCTGGCCTTTCATGCTTTGCCTTTCTTCGTTCTTTCTAACAACCTTTCTATCTACCTATCCTCTTTTCATCCCCCCATTGAGTTTTTTTTAATCTCTTTTACCATCTTTTCTCACATCTTTCTGCCCATATTTCATTCTATGTCAGTTTATCCAGTTATTGTTTTAACATTCAATATATATTTGAGTGCCTACTGTTTGCGAAGAGGTGGACATATTACCTGTGCTAGGTCAATAAAAATATTTTTAACTCTTCGAATAATTTGATAAATAAAAGCACTCTAAGAGAGGGTTTGTTTCCTTATTGGTTTACATTTTGGTGAGTAATTTAAGTGTATAAGTAAGAAAACATTAAAAATACAAAAAAGAAAATAGATTCCTGGACACGTGTGTGTGCGTGTGTGTGTGTGTGTGTGTGTGTGTGTGTGTTGGGATATATTGCTCTTGGTTAGAAGAATCAGATTTATTAGTTTTTCTGTATTTTCATATTTTGTATAGCTTTAATCTTTAACCAGTTTAGAGTACAGTAATTTTATGTTGCTAGTATAGCCTAAAACAAAGATTTTTCCTGGTTTTGGATTTAGAGCTTTTCAAAATTTCACTGAAGAGAAGTGATGTAAAAAAGAAACAGCAGGCCAGACGCAGTGGCTCATGCCTGTAATCCCAGCACTTTGGGAGGCTGAGGTGGGCGGATCACCTGAGGTCGGGAGTCCGAGAGCAGCCTGACCAACATGGAGAAACCCCGTCTCTACTAAAAACACAAAATTAGCTGGGCGTGGTGGTGCATGCCTGTAATCCCAGCTACTCAGGAGGCTGAGGCAGGAGAATTGCTTGAACCCAGGAGGCAGAAGTTGTGGTGAGCCGAGATCACACCATTGCACTCTAGCCGGGGCAACAAGAGCAAAGCAAAATTCCGTCTCAAAAAAAAAAAAAAAAAAAAAAAAAAAAAAAGAAAGAAAGAAACAGGAAAAATTAAATGATTATAATGTAAAATTAAGTGATTATAAGGTGAGGTTTGAACCTGATTTTCAAGCACTTATGATTCAATTTTGTAAAGAAAATGTTGAAATCAAATATGTGACTCCATGGCACTGATGGTGTACTCTTATTTAAAACTCAATTTTTGAAAAAATTTACTTGAATGAAGCATATGTTGTGCCTTGCCTACACAATTTACATTGATTCTTCATCTTCTCTCACAAATGTCTCCCATATCCCACTACTCATTTTTTGTTAAAATTCCAGGAAAAAGACAATAGTCATCAGACAAAAACCAGTATACAAATTAAGTTAATGGAAACCAAGAGTGAAGGTGGCAAAGGTGCATTCAGCATTGAAACTAAATAGCAGGATGATGGCATAAAAATAGAGACAATGAAAAATGTATCGCTATTCTGAAATAAACTTCACATTCTCTTGATCTAAGGGAACCTGGGAACAGGACTTTAAAATCTAACACTAGAAATAATGATGAGAGGAGGAGAGCCCTCAAGGCATTTTAATATTGAAAATCTATTGCCATATCTAGCAGTATTATTATAGGTATGTTGAAATTACTGTACATTCTATTAAATCTAAAGAAGGTGCCTCTGATTTCACTGGCTGATTTAGTGGAAGCAAATCAATGAACATGGTTATTGCAAAACCTTTTTCGCAAAATGTAATTAAAAATCCTTATCAGTTTGCATATTAAATGAATGATTAATATTTTCCCAAATAGGCAGAATCAAAAGCTTCCTAGAAAATCCGGGTAAAATTGTAATGCTGCTGTGTGAAGGTATATTCACAGTCAGCATGCAGCAACGAGGAAGCAGGAAGCCTCCTGCCTTGACAAACCCGCGTGGTTCCTGAAAACGTAGTCTTTTGGTGAGCTGATGGCAGAATTCACAACTTAACATGAAGATATTCTGCTCTCATTCAGCACACGCAAGTGAACCTTGGCTATAACTTTCTACAAGGTTTCTAAAATTGAGAAACAGGTGGATTTAAAACCAGAGATACAGTCAATGGAGTGTAGACTACTCAGAGGGCTATGGCTAGAGTTAAATGGCAGCTTATAAAAATGTTATCTGGGGCCCACCTTGAACCTTTGAAGAAAAAGGATGGTTCTTGATGTAATTTGCCCATAGGGCCTGGTGCCTGTGGTGTGCTCTGAAAGAGAGCATCTATATCCAAAAAGATGTGCCTGCTGAGAAGGGCTGCTGGCAGCTGTGGTGAGCATACATGAGGCTGTACCACGAAAGCAGGAGAGACACCAACGAGGCATTTGCTGAGCACTGCCGTGACAGAAAAGACATGTACAGGGAAACATACATAGTAGACAGTGAGATGATCCAAGAACAGAGTGCATAGATTAAAGACAGTAATGTTTAAAGAAGTTTTGGAAGTTCCTGGGATAGGATGTTAAAAGAACCAACCCAGAAAGAGAGTTTTAAAAAGCTTTGTCTTCCCCACTTTCATTTAGATGTATTCTAATCAGAGACTCTCTGAGGCCTTTTACATTAAGCACAGCAGCCTTTGTGGAGAAATAAAAATATGTATTAATTGTACAGCCCTCATAGCAATTAAATATCTGGGAGTAGATGCTACCATGTGAGGTCCTGGAATATAAGCGGGAGAGCAAAGATGCAAGAATAACATTCTGGGAAACTCCCCCTCGCAAATGGAGGTGGTTTGATATGGAGAAAGTGATGAGCTAGAGAAATTGAAAGTAAACAAGGAAAGGCTTCCGTTTAGGAAGCAAGGAAGAATAAAGACTGTCATTATTTTTCATGTCTACTATGCATACTAAGTAGTGTTTTAGTCAATGTTGGATTTGTTGCATAATATAGCAAAGGACCTAGACTCTAAAAAGAGTTAAATAAATGTTTGCTATAGATAATAGGAAGGAAGGGGGAATGAAAGAAGGGAGGAAGGTAGGTAGGAGGGCAGGCAGGCAGGTAGCAAGTAGGGAAGCAGATGAACAAGAGTGAGTTAACCCATCAATGTCTCATTTATATGTAAAATGGGAATTGTTGCAAAGGTTGTAAGAGATAACACATGTAAATTGCTTATTGCAGTATCTGATATACTGGAGGTGCTCAAGAAATGCTAAATATCATTATCATAATTATTGCTATCTTTAGCATCATCATCCTCACCACCACCATCATTATCCTCGGAGCATTTCTAAAAAGGATATTTGAGAAATGCTTCAGTTTGCTGGGACCTACAAATGCATCTTTCTTGATAATCCTCCCACTCATGCTTTAACCCACTTCTATTTAGCTTCTACTCTGCGACACTCCAAGAATTAATGCCTGCCAAATTTACTAATAACATCTTTGTTGTGAAATCCAGTGGACAATTTTTAGTTCATGCCTTACCTGACTTCACTGCAGCATGTATCATTACTGATGACTTCTTACTTTTGGAAGCCCTTTTGCTTGTCTGGCTTTTGTGTCAACCCTACTGCTCATATCCCCCTATACCTGTAGCCCTTTTAAAGGCTTCTTCCTGAGTTTCTCATTCTGGGGGTTTTCTCCAGGAACCAACAGCAAGTAAGACTCAAAAGTGTTCATAAAATTTAGCTCATTTTCAAGGGAACAGAAAAATTAATATTGTTCAAAAGAACAATATTAATCTACAGGCCAGATTTTAGAAAAAAGTTATTCTACATATTAATGACCCACATAAAGTACATAGCTTGTGTTTTTAAATCCTAGGTCAAATACTTTTTTTACAAAATAAGAACCTGATTTTTTTTTTTTTTTACAACAAATACATGCAAAAAATGTATTTCGTTAAGCAGGGATAGTCAGTCATTCTGGATGGTACTTGAACTTTTCAAATTCCCATACCATTATTCAGCTTTAAGAAATGCTTGATGATGAGCTAAAGGCAAGCATGTGTGTTTTAGTCTAAGAATATTAATACCATTGCTATCAACCCTCAGGAATGAGTTTATAAATTCAATAATACTATCATAGTGCGTATTATAACTATGCTTCTATAATCAGTTTTCCTCATATTATTTCAGAATACGAATTGAAAAAGTTACCTATTATGACATATGCAAAATAACTATAGTTAACCTGGGGAAAATACAAATAATTTATCAGGCAAAAAAACTCACAAAACAACAAAAAAAGTTTTCTGTGTCCTCAGCGTTAATTCATTAAATTCAGTGAATCTGGGCTTCACATACACACACATATGGCATTAGTGAGCTAACCCAGTTTGTACTGATATGAGCAGGTGTCTGTAGGTAGGTCATTCAAAGTCATCATAAACCAGGGCAGGGTTCCTAGCATATGAATCTTAAATTATAGACACTGGTATTACAGAATAGCAATGGGCACATAGAGACTATGTCTAGATAGAGGACTTTTGGCATGTTCCTTACTAGAGAGCATGAGGTTTACCTTGCACAATAGGGTTTATCAAGCCATGTACTATTAACACGTGCATTTCATTATGAGAAATCCTTAGGCTATTCTCTGGAGAAGTTGCTGTTTCAGAAATTTTAGGTGTCCCATATGGCATGGATAAGGATGTAATTATGAAAAGATGTAGATTATCACAGAAAGATATACCTTTAAGTTATTTTGCCCAAAACTAGCAAATCTGAGGTTTCTTCCAGACCATGAGGACCTGATAAATAGTTTCTTTTCTGAAAAAGAAATGGAATAACTCTATGAAAGAGGCTCTAAATGGGAGGCAGAAAATGAAAGAAAAATGTATGTTATTCCATGGCTATGATTTCTCTGCTTAACTTTCAGGGTTAAAATATTAGCTAGCTCCATCATCATCCAGTCAAATCCGTAAACCAAATCCCTTCCTCTTTCAGAATACCTCTTACTTTAGGTTCTCATCTCCTGAGTAGACTATTGCCATCATTTCTCTGCTTTAACTTAGTCTATGCACTTCGGCCGTAAAGCAAGACAGGAAAATACAGTTTGGGATAGATGAATGTTCAGCACCAATCATTTAAAAGGGGCTGTCTTACCTATAGGACACACTTCTAAATATTATCCTGACCTCTTTCATGGACCACTCCAATCCGGCTTCAACCACTTGCTCTTAACATCCTCCTTGCTAATCAGGGCCTGCATCACAGTGAAATGGAATTTGTTAAGCCACTTTGCCCTCAATTTGCATGAAATTCCATTTTCCTGACTGCTTTCTTACCCTTAGGAACAACTCCAGCATCATACCTTATTGAGCCCCTTTTCCGATCTGCTATTTGCTCAGCCCCTACTTTGTGCTCCCTTTCCACTCAGCCTAACACGGAGCACAGTGAACTGTAATCACTGATTTTATTTCTCTAGAAAGAGGACAGATTCTGTGTCCCATTCCACTTTGCACTGGAAGTGCCTCACTTGGGCACAGGTGTGAACACAAGCTGGGAATGCAGGAGGTATTTTAAAATCAGTGATTGCGTCCATTCAAATTTGTCCCAAAGGAGAAAAAACTGTTTGTGAGGATTTATGTGTTTGCATGCGCCTAATTTAAGTGTGTTATTTTGAATATATCAGAGATAAATTGTTTTATAAATAACTAAAATAGGTGGTGGCTGCCAAAAGAGGTGTTAGAAAAAGCTCTCTACTTGCCTTTTGTGCTTTAAAATGACAGTTTTAAATGGTGCTGCTGTAGGGAAACCTGGCTGGAAAGTAAACTGTGAAAAGGTATAGGCAGGAAAATTGCTGGTACTTACTGAGGGCATACTACGTGGTGGGGTGGTTCTAAGTGTTCTGCAGGTATTAACTCATTTAATAGACAGGATAATCCTACAGTGTAGACAAGATCATGGCATAGGGTTGCGTGACTGGGCTGCTTGTTGAAAGGCACTCGGCAGAGAGTGGGATGGGGCAGAAATCCAGCCCTCACTCACTGCATCCTGTTCTGTGACCTTGCCTGGGACTCTTTCTTTGCATCAAGATACCTTTAGGTAGTAAAATTAATGGGTATCTGTCCCGGTGATATACTTTTCCCAAATTCACACAAAAGCACAGAATAAGCAAGTGGCGTTCCTAGTGGTAGGCACTATAAGTATTCAATTTACAGTTGAGGAAACTGAGGCACAATGAAGTCAAGAAATCTGCCAAAGTTTATATAACTAGTAAGGGACAGCGAGGAGATGCAAACCCAGGCTCATGGCTCAGAGACTGCATGCTTATTCACTGTGATATGCTGGTTCTCTGTCACATTTGGAGTGCTTTGCCCATGCTAGTTTACATTCGTTAAATTTTACATCTATTAACTAACTTAATCCTCAAAATAACCTTAAGGAATCAGCCCCTAAGGATAAACAGCTATGCCTTGGCCCCTGTAATCCTAAGAGATGCCCCTTTGTGGGCATGGCTGTCCCTGGTGAAAACAGAGGCAAGGAGATACTTCACTGATCAGAACTAATTGGCTAATTGATATGCTTCAGACATTTTGCCAAGAAAAAGAGAGTTTAATTAAAACAAAAAACTATCAGTAGTACTGGGAGTTAAACTAGTGGGAGCTGAGAAATGTAAGTCAGAACTGAAATTAAAAGAGATCTAGAAAGCTCCAACAATATACTTAGAGGGTATTATTGGCAGAGTGATATACTAGATAAAACATAGATAAGAAAGAGTTGAATTTGTCAATATAAAATGCAATTTGGTGTGAGATAAAAGCAACACCTCATATTAGAAAGGAAAAGTACTAAGATAACTGAGCTGATATTTGAAAAAACAAGTTGAATTCTTATATATGTGTGAAATGACTTACGTACTAGGTTGTTTACTATAATAACATTTTTAATAGCAGAACATTAGGAGAAACCTAAATAGACAAAGAAAGTATGTGAAAATCTCATAAGGAAAACTGCATAGCTATTTAAAAACAAAATTTAAAAAAAGGTCTATATAAATTGTCACAAGATATCTTTCTTTTGCTTTTTTATGCAAAAAACATATCTCTAGAATACTATATGAGAAACCAATAAATCTGGATATTTCTGGAGAAATATTCTGGGTAGCAGAGGGACAGAAGTGGAGGGAAAAGTTTTCACTGCTTATCATTTTGGGCCATTAACAACTTACCTATTCAAACAACCTAGAAAAACAAAACAAAACAAACTTTGGTTTGACTTTTACTTAGTGCAACTTTGGGCTAGTTTACTAAATTTGCAGAGACTAATTTTCTTATTTGTAAAATGACAATTATAATTCCTGCCTCACATAGTTTTATCAGGTTTAAGTAAGATAATATATGGAAAGATTCTATAACATAACCTGACACATAGTAGAGAAATAATGGTTCCCTTGACTATCACTTTTCTTTCTCAGGGGATGCAAACTCCAGTGGCTACTAACTAGTCCAGGCAGACAATATAAATGCGTGACATATGTTGGCTGTATGAGATTAGGGAGTGGTAGGGCATGTGACAACTTAAGGCATTCAAATTATTCTATGTGTGTATATCAAATATAAATTATACATATGCTTATATATTATATATGTATATAAAGTCTTATGGCTGTCATTCTTGCTTTTACATAGGGATCTGCATGTTATAAAATTATTTCACAATGTCTGTTTCAAGCCACTGAAAAATCATTTCAACTATATTGCACAATTAGAATATTATTTTTTTAAATTGGTTTCAAGTTATAATTTTCTCTAAGTTATTTAATATAATTGGCTTTGCTTTTTCATAGAAAAAAATCATGTCCATGGAAATATATAGCTACTGGTTGCCAAACCACAATTGGGAGGTTAAAAGCAAAGGACGCCTCTGATATCTTGGCTACTATTCTTTGTGACAGACTTGATGGATAAGGTGGTGCTGCTTGCAGCTAATAAATCTGATTGAGGTAGGAGTCTGGCAGAGGTGACACAAGTTTAGCCAAGTCAGAAGGTTAATAATAGCAAAATCACACACGGGTGGGCAGGATCATGGTCAACAGTTACGAGAGGAATTTCAGGTACCATGTTCAGATTTAAGGAAGCAATGATTCAACAACATTCCTTGCCTAAACAATCCTTCTGTTTCAAATAAGTCAATGTTAAATAAACAATAAACCAGTGACCAAATTAACATTTATTCTCAATCGTCTGGGGAACTTCATATTCTCAGAAAACAAGTTTAAATACAGTTTATGATATATATCCATTTGACACCTTACACAAATATGTATACTCTCTGTAAACTAAGCACATCATTATTAATTTCCATATGAAAATAAATTAAGACTTGCATAGGCTAACGTAACTGACTACTATTCATGAAATAGCCTAGAACTAGAATCATTAGCCATATGGAGCAAATGGGAAGTAAAGCACTGCATCATTTTATTTTTATTTACTTATTCTGTGTGGACACCTTCCTAAACTCTAGAGAGCAGAGAGAGTCTCAAAGATGAGACAAGGTCCTTGATGCTGTGCCATATGAAATAACCTCCACTTAACATCATGTTTCTTTAGTCAAGAAGAATTGAAGAACATGTGCTACACAACTGTACACAAAGTCGCCTAAGTGAAAAGCTATCCTTAGTCCATACTAATGAGACAGTATTGCTTTTCTCTCTTTGGGATTAGCCCAGGTAAAAAAAAAGACTGGTTATGCCACATGCAAATTTGAAGACTTCTCTTTATGAAATAGTTAATTTTGTTTCTCCCAATTATCTTTTTAGAGGCAGACTACCTTGAATAGTAGTGCAGGTCTGGAGCCTACTATTTTGGCCTTATGTGGGAAAAACTGCATTATATTAACTTTACCTCTGGGATGAGATTCCTGATATTCCAATTTAGAATCCTGAGAATACTGGATCTCAGCCCACTCTCAAATACTCCTGATTTTCCTTCCCCTCATCTTTCCTGTAATCATCGCAGGATGGGATAATAAAACGAAAGGAAATCCTTTCTTTATTTTTGCGTGCATGTTTTTCTTCCATGTCTACCCAGTGCCTAGCACGGTGCTTTTAAACCAAGGAATAGTCAATAAATCTCATGCAGAATATATAAAATGTGGCTTCGCTAAATGCCGTAGACACATGCAGTCTTCCTCCTCTGTGTTCCCTAAGCCTGCTGTGGAAATCAGCCCCTGCATTTTCTTTGAAAGACTCCAGTCATGCATCTTTCTCACTGTCAAGTTGAAAAACCACCTTAAGGATCATTTCTCATTTTTCACACCCAAGTCTCTAGCACAGTGCCTAGCATGACACTGGTGGAGAAATAACTGTTGACCCAAACACAACTGAACTTAGAGATATTGTCACTATCTTTGTAAGTAATATGCTACATTTTGTACCTTTTGTTCTGACCACTGTGGAATCTGTCATTTATATCCAGGCCACCCATTAACAATGGAAACTATGTTTAACCAGCACTGTTTAACTTAAAATGAAAATAACAGGAAATTGGGACATAAGTGATAATGACAAATTGGTTGGAACATTTTAATATGAAACAATGCATTGTTTCTCCTTTATTTAGTGGTGGGGATTATGAATGACTGACTGTTGAAAGATGTTTAAAAGATCCTGTATGTTTTTATTCTTAATGGAGTAAAGCTAATATAATTCACCTTTTTCGTTCACCATTTCCTTCTGATGTAACATAATTAATGCTGTAGATCATTTTTGGGCATGCAGTGATCAAAAAACAACATGAATTTTCCACTTTTAGGATGCTACACAGTATACATGGGCTTATAAAGTAATTTGGGCCAGTCACTAAAATTATTGCTTCCACAGAAAATAGAAACATAGAGAAGTGATAATTTTTCAATGCTTATGTGAGCAAATTTTGAAATGAAAAGAAAATTCCAATCTATTGGCTGAGCACAATGGGTCTGTTATATGGACATCATGTAACTAAGACATAAAGCTGTCATTTCAATGAGATAAAATACTTTACAATAAGGTTAGCTTTACTGTCAAGCTCAGGATATGTGAAATTAACATAAAATATATGTTAACGTGCCTTTGAGGTAAGCCATTAGTGGCAGGAGTAAATTTTAGTGGTTGACCAAAATGACTTCACAAGTCCACACATATCTTGTTCTTGCCTAAGAATGAAACATTTATATTGTTTTATGTATGTTTCTCATGGCCAAAGTAAGCTAGAGTGCCAATTATATTGTGTTAGAAGTGAATATTTTTTAAAAGGTGAATTATGCTTATCAGTTCTATTCCATTAAGAAGACCATACATAGGATGATACCATCTGTTGATCTTTTATAAGAGGAAATTTATCATGCTGTTTCAGTACTACTATCAAAGACAATTAAAGTGGAGTGAGACATGAGAAGAAAAGTCTGATGTGAATGGAGCTATATTTTCTTAGATTTAATTTTCAATGCCTTCTTTCCTAGAATAATTAACTGATCAAAAGTTTATTTCCCTGTTAAACAGTGATAGCACTGGGCTGTTGTGGAGATTAAAGGAGACAATATATGTAATACTCTTAGCACCCACAAATTACTCAATACATGGTAACTATTAATATTAAATACAGTAACATAAAACTAGTGATGAAGTAGAGAGCAAGAATGTATTGAATCACCTCTGGGGATTTTATTTATGATTAGACATACTTCTATGTATATTTCAAAGTATTTTCTTCCATATCGGAGTCTAAAGAAAAACAGTTAAAAGTTAAATGATACAGTTTACTTAATAATAGTAGGAGGGGCTGGGCTTGTGGCTCATGCCTGTAATCTCAGCCATTTGGGAGAACGAGGTGGGTGAATCAATGAGGTCAGGAGTTCGAGACCAGCCTGGCCAGCATAGTGAAACCCCGTGTCTACTAAAAATACAAAAATTAGCCAGGTATGGTGGTGTGCACTTGTAATCCCAGCTACTCAGGAGGCTGAGGCAGGAGAATCACTTGAACTCAGGAGATGGAGGTTGCAGTGAGCCTAGATTGCACCACTGCACTCCAGCCTGGGCAACAGAGCAAGACTCCATCTCAAAAAAAAAAAAGTAAGGGGAATTACAGAACAAGTTCACACACTCAGTAAGTGGCAAGTTCACACAGCCAGTAAATGGCAAAACCAGGATCTGAATCCAAGCAGTGTGGCTCCAGAGCCTATGTTCTTACGGACTATCTTGGTTTCCTCTCTGTAGTCACATGGCTGAGCACTCTCTGGATAGTATCAAGTGTTTACATAAACTAGGTTTGCAGATGATCATCTCTTATCCTTTTAAATGTTGCATCACAAATTTTTGCTGCTATTATGAATTTGCTGTCATGTAAAACTTTATTTTTCCAATCTGTATTAATGTCTTAAAACTGCTATCTCACATTTAGTTTAAAAAATAGTCATTTCTTTGCTGGATTTGCCTGCAAATTTATATACATATACCATACACAAAAGGAAAACATCCTTTGAATAGAAGTCAACAACTTTCAAGATAAAACAAATGTAGACAATAAATATTAATAACCTAGAAGCACTTGATAATATTTACTAGATCAAGAAAGTTACACTCTGTTTTCCCCAAGGCAGTAAAGGAGCCAATGAACATCTTTTTTAATAATAAGAAAAAAATTTAAGGATTGCACATTGCCCTTGAAGAAAGCTAAGCATTTAATAAGTTGAAGACACTTTTTACCATTCTTTAGGGAATACTGTATTTCTAAGAATGGCAGGTAACATGTGCTCTGAATGATACTAGCAAATGGTAACTGCAATATCATTCCTCTTAAAGTGATGTTATAAACCCAGTGGAATGTTGGGAGAGCACTCAAGCATTCCTCTAAGCATGAATTCCCAAGTTGCACAATAATGCTAAGTGCATCATCCTAAACATATGCTGTTGTTTGTGTTTTCAGTTTCTGCTTATGATAGCTATAGTGGTACTGATGCTTGGGTATCTTCTAGGAGAGGAAGCTGGTGAGCATTATAAATTCTAGGGACTCCTGATGGTTGTCTATCCCTGGGCTCTGCTGCATGCCTAGTGGCGAGGTAGTATAGGGGAAAGGTCACCAACTGAGGAACCACAAGGGAAGGATTCTAATTGCAGTTCTATCAGCAATTAGTTTGGGGGAAATTATTATACCTCTCAGAGCCGTGATCTCTTAAATGTGAATATTAATTTTTATTATTTCACAAAGTGCTCATTAAGATAACAATTGACATCTGTGAAAGTGCTTTAGAAAAAAAATGTTTTGTGAACAACAGATACCCACAAAAGCAACTGAGCCACAAGATCACAGAGCCCATAAAGTGACTCAAAGTGTTTCTGGATTGCTACCATCTGATCCCATTACTTAGCTATTTTTCAACTGACCTGCAAGCTTCTTGGCTGGGGCCCAGGACTACATTTTCCATAGCTTAAGACCATCATATGTAGGATAATAAATTGAATCTACAGATTTTTTTGATGGCACACAAGTGTTTGCCTCTGTTCTCCTACAACTTTGTAACATTTCTGCCTTTCATCTTCACTATGCTCATCTATTTTTATATTTACATATGACAATACACTTGCTTCAACCTCAGCTTTAGTCATAAAAATCTACTGTTCTCTCCCATCTATAACCTTCCTCCAAGTAAATCCACATGTAAAACAAGTTTCTTTCTCTCTCTCTGGTATGACGTACTTCTTCAGCCCTGTAAAACTCAGTGCAAACATCCATCTTCTAAATGAAGTCCTTCCTAATTGATCCAGGTGCATTTACCATGCACACTTTTTCATCATGCCCAATGATGTATAATACACAGACACACCTGACATACATACACACATATTTCTTCCCTTATGCAGTTATACAAGGATGCAGTGGTTTCCTTCTGGAGATCTAAACACAACACCTCTTCAGCCTTCCTCATTCCAAATAAACTCACTCATAGAAAGCTCTAAGTCAGACACAGACCAAATGAAAAAGCCCAAAAGTGGGAGGGAATAAGCTAGGGAAAAAGGAGAGTGAGGACAAATCTTAAACGACTTCTCTGGTCAGATACCTATAAAAAGTGAACTAGCCATGAAACAGCTACAACCTCCCCTAACTCAATGCTTTGGGTTTTCGTTACCATCTGTGCCCCTGTCATCACCAGAGAACAGTCTCTGACATATATCAGGTTACATACCCTGCAGCCCCACAATAACAACATTAACCGGTGTGTTTTAGGCTTTACAGTTTACAAAGGCTTTCTCAGACACTATCCCATATGCTGATATGACTATAAGATTAAACCAATGGGAACACTATCTTATTTGAGAAAAAAATTATCACGTATATCTCTATTTATATGCAAGTTGGGCTTCCTGTCTACAAATCGTGTAAAGGAAACTGTTGGCTTTACAGAATCAGGTATCTGGTAAGTTGCAAGTTGTGTAAAGACAGTGAAAAAGGAATCTATGTGATAGTGCATCAGCTTAGGAGATGGGATTTTCATTCGGCTATGCTCCCAAGAAAACCCACAAGCTGAATTTCAAACTGGTTGGGAAAGGTAATTTCAAAACCATGCTGCACAAAGAGCTAATATGACACAACTCTAGGTACTAGGATTATAACAAATTAAATATAATAGTGATTGAGGATTGCCAAGCCCTATAGGTGGACAAAGCAAAAGGCAGTACACTTTCAAAATTCAGAGTGAGATCTATACATTTTAAATAAACCTCAAACAAGCTTCCAATTCTATGAAGCAAAATTCTCTGTACAAAATAAAGTTTCCAGTAGAATCTGCATGGCAAATAGACAAATAAGATCAGGAGATTGTCAACCCATACATATACTAATGAAGACATAATCTTCTACCTGTAGAAGTTAATGAAAACTTCCCCACATAAAGGTGAGAAACAAATAAAACAGATTTGTTTTTCTAGAAAATATAGTGTATATATTATTTAAATAATATTTAATTTTAAATATTAACTTAAAACGTGCTCTCACAAACATAGGGAAGTCAATTCAAAGGAGAATACTCTAATGTTTTTGCTAAAAACTCACTTAAACTATTGGAAAGCTATTATTTTTTGTTGTAAAATAAAAAAAAACCCTGGAAGTCCACATCATGGTACTTCAAGTTTTATGTTGTTCATCTATCCCTTTCTTGGGTCATAATCTTATCAGGAGTTCCCTCAGTACTTGGGATTCAAATACATATTCTATCAACATACCAAGTTGGCGTTTGGACCTTTTTGAATTCCAGCCCTGAGGAAGATCCATGAATGCTACTATCTGAATCTTGTGTGTATGCTTTTTAAATGGGAACAACACAGTTTTAGTAATCAGAGTGGAATAAAGGAAACAATAGCAACAGCTGGCTTTGCTCTCAAGAAAAAAAATTAAATGGAGTGATACAAAAATCATGCAGCATCTTGAATGCAAACACATACACCATGGATTTATGCTGAATATGGAAAGCAAGGTAAAAGAATAGCTGGATAGTAAACTATTGTGAGCAGTGAAAGGTGACATCCTTTTAGGAAAAGGCAGTTTTAAGAGAACATATTTTATTAAGTATAAGAAATATTTTCCTCCATGAAGGATTTCATAGAGAAAAGTATAGAATAAAGATTAGAAGAACACAGGTAAGAATATAGTTTAGTAATAGAAAGAACTTGAAAGGAAAGGTAATATAACAAATACAGACCTGGCTAGAGTAGCAGCAGAAGATGGAGTGAACTGAAATTATCTAGAAATAATAACATCATAGAAATAAAGCTTAATAGAATAATGAGAAATGAATATAGCACTTAAATGTATTCATAATAGCAGACGGAATAAATCAGAGTTGGAAGGAAAAAGAGAGTCATCAGCATCTAGATGGGAAGTAAAGCCACAGGATTGGGAACAATAACATAGGGACAAGGGGTGAGGAGAAAAGAGAAGGTCACCAAATGAAGCAATCTAGTAGAACTTGAACATTTAGGAGTGACTCTAAATCCAGCCCATCTTTAAAATTCTGCTCAAATTCCATCTCTTTCACCAAGTCTTCTCGGAACATGCCTGGGTTCACAGTCAGTTGTTTTTCATTTCATTCTTGTTCGGTGGATGACTCCTCACATCATTGTTAAACTCTCCTCTTCATTTTTGAGGAGCTTAGCATACTATCTTCCCCACTATACTGCTCTTTGAAAACTGGGTTCAGAAGTTGTATTCATTTGCATTTTTCATGGCAAATAATTTAATTCTACAAGCAGAGAGGTTATCCAACAAGTGTCTGTCATATGGACAACCAGATCAACTTATTTTGTTTGCAGATAAATTGCATTAAAATGAGTAAAATGACTTACGATATCATGTAAGAACTAAGTACTAGATTGGAAGGAAAAGGCCACTCTTTTTTGTAGCCTCGAACCACTGGGCTGGGGTTGAGAGTAAATCAGCCTCAAAGGAAAAGTTTAGGTTAGTTAAACCAAAGTGAAGGCAAAGAAAGAATATAAATTAGAAAAAGTTGAAAAGATAATGCGGGAGAAAGTAAAATATTTCTTAATGAACACAAATACTGGGAAATCAGTAAAAAATGTCAAGGGTTAATTTTGTTGGCCAAATATGGAAAATAATATAATCTCCAAGAATTACAACTTAGTAGTAAGAAGTTCAGGGACAAACACAATCAACACAATTTCACATTGATTTTGCATTGCTGATTTGAAGTAGTACCTTGGGAATTGTGGTTCTAAATCTATTTAGGTTCTTTACATAGTTTAGGTATCAAAACACAAAATAATGTTTGCTCTTTGTTGTCTGAGGGCAACTTTATGTTCAAGGAGTTCCCACAAAGAGCACATAAAATCTTAAGCTGTTGGAAAGATAATTCCTGGTAGATATGGGTCTTTAACAGTAACATGGATAGCTGTGTGACTGGCATCACTCAATCGATATTATTCCAGACACTTTGAGAAGCTTGGTGGTTAGGTCACAATTATGCACTGAATTGTATCATAAGTGCTCATTTTTTATCTTCACTAGTAAAAAAAAAAAAATGCTTTTTAAAAAATCATCATCAGCCTTGGAATGCACTGTTTTATGATGCATAGCATTTAGGAAACCTCAAAATTACATGTACTGAGAGGGAAATCAGATCGTCTCACTTCAGCAACTGAAATTAAACCCCTCTTCTTTTTTCCAACTAAAAGCCATAGTTAATGTTCAATTACTTGGCTTTGGGTTGATGATCTGGATCTGTTTCTCCCATTTCTGAGAGAACTTTATATATTCAGATCAGTGCTTCACCTTTCTATTTTGCTTTCTGCATTGTTGAGCAAACCTAACCACCGAGGGACACTTAATGCCTGGCAGTGTGATTGACAGAGACTCACATTTAGCACTTACAGAGATTGTTCCAACATTATGTGGACTACAGTGAGCATTTATTTTTAAAAATTGTGAAGGCATAGAAAACAACAGAAGCTAATTCTTTTTTAAAATGTTGTAAGAACACTGAATGTAATACTTATTTTATAATACCTTTCAGAGAGGTAAATTTACCCTGTAAGTTTAAGAATTTTATTAGTCTGTTCTCACGCTGCTAATAAAGACATACCCGAGACTGGGTAATTTATAAAGGAGAGAGGTTTAACTGTTTCACAGTTCCACATGGCTGGGGAGGCCTCACAATCATGGCAGAAGATGAAGGAAGAGCAAAGGGGTGTCTTACATGGCAGCAGGCAAGAAAGCTCGTGCAGGGGAACTCCCATTTATAAAACCATCAGATCTCATGAGACTTATTCACTACCAGGAGAACAGTTTAGGGGAAACCGCCCCCATGACTCAATTATTTCCACCTGGCCCCGCCCTTGACACATGGGGATTACTACAATTCAAGGTGAGATTTGGGTGGGGACTCAGCAAAACCATATCAAGCATGTAAATTATATGACAATTAAAATAATTATAAAATTATATTGATCTGCCTATTTACTGATATGATGTCCTAGGGAAAACACTGAGAATATTTGAGAATATTTCCTTTCTTATGGGTTTTAAATACAAAGTTTTAAAGGAAATTTTATTTTTATTTTTTTATTATACTTTAAGTTCTGGGGTACACGTGCAGAACGTGCAGGTTTGTTACACAGGTAGACACATGTCATGGTGGTTTGCTGCACCCATTAACCCATCATCTACATTAGGTATTTCTCCTAATGCTATCCCTCTCCTAGCTCCCTATCCCCCAACAGGCCCCGGTGTGTGATGTTCCCCTCCCTGTGTCCATGTGTTCTCATTGTTCAACTCCCACTTATGAGTGATTTGGTATTTGGTATGCGGAAAACCAAATATGTGGTATTTGGTTTTCTGTTCTTGTGTTAGTTTGCTGAGAATTATGGTTTCCAGCATCATCCATGTCCCTGCAAAGAACATGAACTCATCTAAAGGAAAAATATTTAATCTAGTTTCCCTTAACATGTTTTTAGGCCTTAATGTCTCTAGTTTAAGCGTCTTGTGGTATTAAATGGTGGACACACATTGATATCCATTTTAAACTCAGATGACTTGGATCCAAGCCTCATTTTCTATTTATATTTATTAGATCAGACCCCTAAATCCTTTGGACTATAAAATAATTATCTGAAAAATGGGAGTTCAAAATCTCTACCTACATCACAGAGTAGATTCAACAGAGATAATGTTACGTGAGAATATTTTCAAGTTTTAAAGTACTGTTATCAGTTGGTACCAAAGGTCATATTTAGACATCTGGTTCCAAACAAGATGGTGTAGACCCAATTTTCCCATTTCCTCCTCTCCAAATACAGCTAAATACCCTGGAAACAATTCAACAGACATTCACAAAAGACCCTGAAAGGTGGAAAGAAGAAGGCAGGAATTAGGAAATGAACCACAGCAAATGTGTAGGATTTTCTTTTCTCTCCCGTATATCTTAGAGAGCACACCAGGAAGACCTTCAGCCTGGAATGGACAACAGGCATCAACAAACAACAAAAGCAAGAAAACAAAAGAGAAAAGCCTACTCTCCCTGGCCGAAGGGCAAGGAAAGGGGGAGAGTAACTGGGACGTGGGGGCAGCCTTTTTCCTGACCCATACCTAGAAGCAGTGTAGGTTCCTTTAACCTATAAGTGGTGGCATCAGTAGATCCCAGAAAGGGTAACACATCTTGTGTCCATAGTGGCAGCTGGAAGCACCTGCACTGGTGATGTCAGTGAACCCCTGACATCAATCCTGGTCAAATTTGGAAAATAATATAATCTCCAAGAATTACAACTCTGTAGTAAGAAGTTCAGGGACAAACACAATCAATACAATTTCACAGTGATTTTGCATTGCTGATTTGAAGTATTACCTTGGGAATTGTGGTTCTAAATCTGTTTGGGTTCCTTAAATAGTTTTTGTATCAAAACACCAAATAATGTTTGCTCTATTTTGTCTGAAGGCAACATTTATTATCAATTGGTACCAAAATCCCATATGGGTGACCCATCCTCTTCCCCGTACCTGCCTATATCATGTGGGCAGAGATAAGAGGCCAGAGAAAATACTTTCCATCCTACAGATCCAGTGTCTAACATCCCTACTAGTAATAACAGGTGACCTAGGGAAGTGCTTTCTGTAACTTGCAAGTGGCACCAGCAGGAATGTATCAGGAGCTCCCAAGTCAGGAGAACTAAGCAGACCAAAAATAGCATTGGGAAGAGCTCTGCAAGCTAAATGCATCTGAAACCACAGCCTACGAAACAGGCCAGAACCTACATACCAAACCAAAACAGGGACATTCTTGGCTAAAATGATAGATTTTATTTTAAATGTCCATTTAAAAATGGTCTGTATAATGAATGTCCAGGATAAACATAAATATAGGCCATGAGCCAGGAAAAACAAATTGGATGAGAAAAGACAATAAACTAATCCCGATAATCAAGAAAAATCAAGTATCAAATTTATCTGACAAGGATTTTAAATCAGCCATCATAAAATTGCTTTAACAAGCAATTATGAATTCTCTTGAAACAAAAAATCTCAGTAAAGAAATGGAAGTTATGAAAAAGTACTAAATAGAAATTACAGAATGGAAAAATAAAATAATAGGAATTAAAATCTTGCTGGGTGGGTCAGTAACAGAGTGGATATAACAGGGCAGAACAATGAAATTAAAGACAGATCCACAAAGTTTATTCAAAAAATTCAAAAACTTGAAATTGTTTCTAATTCACCAACTTGGAAGCAATGAACCAATTCCTATAAAACTATAAACTACCAAAACTAACAAGATGAAGTGCATAACCTGAATAATCCTGTAACCATTAAAGCAATTGAACTTGTAATTAAAATCCTCTTGAAAAAAATCCCCAGGACAGTTGTTTTACTGGAGAATTTTACCAAATATTTAAAGAAAAAATTGACACCAATTTTACACAATCTTTTCCAGAAAACAGAAGATGAAGGAATGCTTATCTACTCATTTTATGTGGCCAGTATTACCCCGATACCAAAACCAGATAAAGACAGTACAAAAAAAAATTACAGACCAGTATTTCTCAATAGACACAAAATCACAAAACATAGACACAAAAGACATAGACACAAAACACAGACACATAGACACAAAAATCCTCAATAAAATATTACCAAGTTAAATAAAACAGTATATGAAAAGAATTATTTACCATGTCCTAGTTGGACTTATCCCAGGTATGCAAGGTTGATTTAATATTTGAAAATCACTCAATGTAATCTACCATGTCAACAGCTTAAATAAGAAATATCTTATGATTATATCAGTTGAAAATAGTCTATGTAGAAATTACAAGAAATCTACCAAAAAATTTCCTGCAAATAAATGAATTCAGCAAGTACATGAGATCTATGACCAACACATGAAAATCAATCTCATGTATATATTCTAACAACAAACATACAGAGACTGAAATTAAAAACACAATACCCATTTACATTGCTCAAAGAAAATGGAATACTTAGGTATACACTAAACAAAACGTGCCATATATTTTTGCTGAAATTACGAAATGCTGATGAAAGAACTCAAAGAAGGCTTAAATAATTGGAAGGGCTTATCATGTTCATGGATTGGAATACTCAACACAGTAAAGATATATATTATTGTCAACTTAATCTGGAGGTTTAATACAATTCCTATGAGAATCCCAACAAGATTTTTGTAGTTCTAGAAAAGCTTCTCCTAAAATTTATATAAAATGGCAAAAGACCTAAAATATCTAAAACAATTTTGATAAGAGTAAAGTAGGAACTATCACTGTATTAGTCTGTTCTCACACTGCTATAACAACTTCCTGAGACTGGGTAATTCATAAAGAAAAGCAGTTTAATTGACTCACAGTTGTACATGGCTGAGGAGGCCTCAGAAAACTTATAATCATGGCAGAAGGGGAAGCAGACACATCTTACATGGCGACAGGTGAGAGGGAGAGTGTGTGTGAGTGCAGGAAAAACTACCATTTATAAAACCATTAGATCTGTGAGAATTAACTATCATGAGAACAGCATGGGGCAAACTGCCCCATAATTCAGTCATTTCCCTCTCTTGACACATGGGAATTACAGGTCCTTCCCTCGACACATGGGGATTGCAACTCAAGGTGAGATTTGGGTGGGGACATAGAGCCAAACCATATCAGTCACTCTACCCAAATATTAAGGTTTACTATATAGCTGAAAAATCAAGACAGTGTGGTACAAGTGAAGGGATAAACCCATAGATGAACAGAATCCAACAGTTTATGACAAAGGTGCACACACAATTCCATGGAAGAAGAATAGCCTTTTCAACAAATGGTGCTGGAACAGTTCAACATCCATAGGGAAAAAAAAATAGAGAACCTTAACCTAACTCTTATACATTTAACAAAAATTAACCCAAAATACACAACAGACTTAAACATAAAAAATAAAACTATACAATATTTAGAAAAAACATGAAAAAAAATTGGGACCTGGGGCTAGATTGAAGAGTTCTTAGACTTGATACCAAAAGTCTGATTCATAAAAGGAAAAATGATAATCTGGATTTATCAAAGTTAAAAATATTTATCTGTAAAAGATCCTGTTAAGGGGATGGAAATACAAACTGCAGACTTGGAGAAAATGTTCGTAAGCAACATATCTGTAAGGATATGTAAAGGAACATGTATACATAAGGAACTTTCAAAACTGAGTTTAAAAAGCAAACAACTGGCAAAAGACATGATCAGATTTGCCACTAATTAGGATATAGATATGACAAATAATCATATAAAAAGATGTGCAATATCATTAGCAATTAGGGAAATGCAAATTAAAACCAAAAAGCAGTATCTCTACACACCTGTCAGAATGGCTAAAATTTAAAAAATACTCATAACCTCAAATGCTGGCAAGGATGCAGAGGAATTGGATCACTTGTTCACTGCTGGTGGGAATGTAAAAGAGTATAACCATTCTAGAAAATAGTCTGGCAGTTTGTCCTAAAACTGAAACGCACTTAGTATATAATCCAGCAATTGCACTCTTGGGTTCTTAGAGAAGTGAAAACCTATGTTCACATAAAAACCTGTATGCAAACATTCATAGCAGCTTTATTCATTCATATTAGCCAAAAACTGGATACAACCCACAAGTCCTTCAATGGGTACCCTAAAACAGACTGTGGTACCATCCATGCCATAGCCTACTGGCATATTATACTGCAATAAAAAGTAGCAAACTATTGATACACACACTAGAATGTATTTCAAGAGAATTATTTTGAGTGGAAAGTCAATCTCAAAAGTTTACACACATTGTGATTCCATTTATAGAATATTTTTGCAACAAAGTTACTGAAATGAAGAACAGATCAGTGGCTGTCAAGGGTCAGGGATTGGTCAGGAAGAGGAGATAAGCATGGCTATGAAGGGGTAGCATAAGGGAGCCCTGAGGTGATGAAACACTTCTGAATTTCTATTGTGGTCATACTTATGTATAACTACACATGTGATATCATCACATGGAACTACACACACACACACACACACACACACACACACACACACACACACACGAGTACTTGTATACCTGGCAAAATATGATCTTGTATATATGTACTTGTATACCTGGCAAAATACAATCTGTAATACAATACATGTATATTGTATATATGTACTTGTATACCTGGCAAAATACAATCTGCAGATTGTACCATTATCAGTTTTCTAGTTTTGATATTGTACTGTATTTATATAAGTTAACATTGAGAGAGGCAAGTGAGGGGTGTCTAAAACCTTCCTGTAAATTCCTTAGTAACTTCTTGTGAATTTATAATTATTTCAAAATTTAAAATGTTTTTAAAAAGCCATATTTGAAAAATTTTGAAATCATTCTGCTACTGTGCAAAACAGATTTGATGATGTCAATATTATTTTAAAAGTTGTATGCATTGAGGAGAAATGATAATATACAATTCATTGCTCTACATGCAAGTAACTTGAGCAACTAAGAAACAAAGTAGGACAGAGTTTTGTAATCCTTACCTAGGCACTACTTTATAGCCACATGAAATATTAACAGGTAGAAGGGTAAAATACATAAATCATTGGTGCAGGAAGGATATTTAAAATACTTAATATCTTTTATGGTCTGGACATCAACCAATCAATAACAGATTCTGGGACCAACGAGAACAGATGCCAGCCACAACCCAAAATTTGGTACTGGTGCACGACAGTGGAATATCCATCCTACCTGATTTATTTTGGATAAATTGTATTATTTCCTCCACAAAAGATTTATATTCCTAAAATGTTGGTATTTCTGAGTACTTCTGACCCGAAAAGACTGGAAAGGGCACTATATTATTGGATGAAGCATATCTCAAAATGTTGCTAAAGCACATCATGATTAATACCAGTCAGCTACAAAAGAATTGTTTCTATTAAGATATTTGAAATTTCATTTTTTACAAACATATATGAAATATCAGTACAAAAACAAAATCAATTTTTGAAGTTTTAGTACTTGAATAGTTAATACTGTTAGGATCTTTTTATGAGTTCTTCCTTGAGGAAAGATTCCAAGGTGCTTTGCAAACATAATCTTAGCAGGTTTATCAGATTAGAAAGATAAATACTGAAAGGTAAAATTAATTTGGTCATACTTAATCTTCTTGAGAAATTAGGATCACTAATTATCAAAACAAATTTAATGAGAAAGGCCAAAGCTCCTATTTAAGGGAAGATAAACAATGTAATTTAGAAACAGAATCTGAAATATGAACACAAAAGTATGAATCTTTTAATCTGTGTGTCAGTTTTATAAAACTCATTTAAGAAATGAATTGAAACTAATTAGCGTTTTCTACTATTTCAGAAAGGCAACTTCCTTCTCCTGAAAAACATCCTGTTTAATATGTATTGTAAAGCATGGCGTATGCTGTCTTTGTTCATGCACATTTTGGACACTTTTTTAAAAAGATAGATTAATTAATTAGTTCAAAGCATTAGTTAATTCTAATTGAAATGCACTACTCATGCAGGTGAATGGGTTAAGATTATGTAATTTTTTTTCCTGTAGTAACATAAGAAAACTCACTTAAAATTCATACATATTGAATACAGAAACAAAGCCACCCAGTTCATGCAGATATAACTTCATGAAAATTTAGAGACAACTTAACAGGTTGAAGGGGGAAACCCCCCAGTGTATTACTCTCAGGCTGGAATAAGCTAGATGGATAATTTTAGCCTATATGGATTTGTTCATTTCCATTTTGCAAGGACATTCTATAGTAATTCAAAGTTGTTAAGGTAGGATAACTATTCTGAATTTTTTCCCAGTCATCTTCTATAGGGCTCATTTACTGTCTCAGAGTTTTACCTGAAGGAAAGAAAATGAGCAGTTATTTAGAATTTATGGTGCTAGTCATTGTGCTTCCAACATGTGAAGGTAAATCTGCATGAAAGAGGTACAACTCCCATTTACAGGTAAGAAAATCTGGGCTCCCAAAGATTAAGTACCTTGCCCAAGAACCCACAGATTAGGGTTTGGAACAGCTTTTCCTGACTCCAAATCTTAAACAATTTCTATTTCTTCTCCTGTACATTATAGTGTGATCCTACTGGGTTTAATAACATTTCAACGTTAAGAAAAGAATGGTCCTACAAGGCTTAATTCACTTTTGATATGGATTCTAACCCAGCAATGCTCATGGGATGTCAGCACAGAAATGGTTGTGATTGAAAATATCTCAGGAGGATCCCATATTACCGACTCTGAGAGGAGAAATATGATGGGGCTTTATACACACTTTAACCAATCTTGCATCCAAGGTATTTAGTGGTTAACTGCTGTTTCTGTGGCATTTTAAAAAAGACTATATTGGCTTGCTAAACAGCACTCCCCCAAATACTAATATTAGAATCCAGTAGTAGGTGGAGACATTTTTTTCTGCCATGTAGACTGCTGCTAAAACTCCAAAAGTGTACAGAGCTATGACAAATGCACAGAACATAATGACTTCAGTATTTCCAACCCTATTGTGAGAGAAGGAAGTATGTTTTTATGTTTAGTAGCAGTATTATCCTTTAAGTAAAAAGGCAAAATGATTGCTTTACTGTCAGTAGAATAAGTGCTTGTTTAATATATATTTGTACTGAGCCATCCATGTCCTGTTTCTCCTTAATACCAATGAGAAAACTTTTGTTAGTTTTTTCTCTAGTCTAGTTAGTATCCCCTCTCATCTCTCTTTCACTTGTATTCCTCTTATATTAATTTAACAGGAATTAACTTTACTCATTTATGTAAACAGATCTGAAGGTGCAAACATTTCCAGATACATATCTACACATACACTACATACCTCCATACATTCATAAATAGTAAGCACACATATATGACAAAATAATATATAATCTTCAGTTATTAAAATATAAATTAGGATAACAGTGAAGATTTTATGACATCCAGCCCAGTAACATCCAAAATGTACAATTTTAAAATTACTGCACTAAAATTTCTGCTACCAGATAGGATGGAGTAGCTTATTAGACATGAGAAAACAGAAAGCCTAGATAAAATGTAAAAAAATAAGCAGTTTAAAGAAATCAGAAACTAGCTGAAGCAGCGTGGTCTAGAAGGTCTAAGATTCTCAAAAGGGAACCCTGGAGAGGTGAAGGAAGAATTTGCAGCTGCTCTTGTTGTGTCTGGGCTCTTAGAACAGTATAGACTTGGCCTGGGAAGAAGGCCGCTGCTGGACATTAAAGAAACCAGAAGAGTGAGGAATCTTGAGGGACTGGAGTGACAAACATAGATGTGAGAGATTTCAAACAGTCAGTCAGTTATCTCCTGACATTTGTCAATTCTGGAGCTGCAGGATCTAGAGGCAAAAGAGTTAAGCTAAATCTCCTGAAAACCACCTCCGATTTTTGGGAGTCTGGCAGTCCTGAGAAGAAAAATATTTAAAAATATTGGTGTTCAAGACCTGCCAAGAGTAGAGTCCCACACAAACATGGTAGGATAGGGTTTGTCCTGTGGATCAAATTCAGCCCGCCCCAATTTTTGTGTGGCCAATGGGCTAAGAACAGTTTACACATTTTCGAGTAGTTGAGGAAAAATCAAAAGAAGAAGAATATTTTGTTATGTGAAAGTATACAAAACTCGCCCTGGCCCAAGATGGCAGATGAGGCCACCTGACATGTTGTGTCTGAGACTCTGGCACTGAAGACTAATGCAGGACCCCGAGATTGGGAGTTGTGGGTGCAGTGATTGAAGGAGGAATATCAGTCCCTTATCTGGTATGTGGAGAACAACAACAATGGCGACAACGATGGTTCCAACTGGAGTCCAGCAAGGTAGGGACTCGGTGGTTTGGAAAATGTTGGTATATCCATGGCCTCCTGCAATGTGAGTTTGACGTCAAGTTTGAAATTCCTATCATGTATCTTACTACTGCCCTAGAAATTGCTGTCCCTGAGCTCGACAGAAAGACAGCAAAGATGTACAGAGGTGGCACAATTGCCTGACAGATCATTTCAAATCTTTGTGGGCCAGGAACGTACCCAAATTTGAACTAGCTCATTTCATGGCTCTGGGGCCGGGTCCATGGCTGGCAGTGGAAATCCCTGATCTGATTCAGAAGAGGGTATTCCAGCACAAAGAGAAATGTAACCAACGAAGGACCAATACACTGAGGCAGGGCAGAGGGACTTTTGATAGGCTACGGTCCTGTTCTCCTGTGTATCACACTTAACTCATCTAACTGCTTCCCGGGACACCTTCCACCTCTAGTTGACAGGAAGTAGCTGCAGCAGGATGGGGAAAAAAAAAAAAAAAAGCCAAAATACCAAATAGCATTGCTACGGAGTTTCTAAGGCTGCACAGGGAAGGGAAAGACTGGGCTTTGGAAAATCAAGAGGCAATTTTTATCCTCCCCTCAAGTGGAACAACATGTGGTCCTGGAGGCATGGGGGTAACTGGAATAGAGTACGTAGTCTTTCTGGTTTCAGGAGACAACCCATCAATAAAACCTGCTTCCTCTGCTTAAAAGAAAAAGAAAAAGAAAGTATACAACACTCAAATTCTGATGTCCATACATAAAACCTTATCAGAACACATGCATGACCTTTGTATATTGACATATGGTGCTTTTGCACAGTGAGCGCAAAGAAACTGGATGACCTGCAAAACGTTTTCTAAAATCTTTATCACCTGGCCCTTTACAGAAAATGTTTGCCAACCTGCACTAGGATGTTAGCTGAAAACTCTGGTGGCCAAACACTCAAAGAACAGGGCAAACTCAACCCAACCTCACGTTGGCTCAGTTCTGGTTTGGATTAGGGTAATTAGCTTTCACTCTATCTGGCTAGCAGAGGAAGGGCAAATCTTTGCTGGAAAAAGATATCATCATCGGAGCCTCTACATTTTTAAATACACATTTTATATGTATTCCTGCATTCAGAAAATTACTGTACTAACTTTTGTCTGAGCCGAAGTGTGGCACATATGAAGAATCATGACTTAACTGGCAAGTTCAATAGCAATCCATTAACATCCAGTGTTGTAAATAAGTAATACTAATCTATGTCATTTAAAGAAAAGTAAAACACAGGTAACAATATTACCTAAAAGCACTTTTCTTGGCAAGAAAACTTAAAATAGGTGTCCAGAATAATAACATTCTAACAAACTAGATGTTAGTTTCCACTGTAAAAACGGTCCGATAATATAAAGAATAGAGTCTAGGAATTATTTATTTTGTAGTGAATGAAAACAAATAGCAGTTGACCAAGTTACAAATCATCCTGATCTATAAACTGAATTCTAGAACTTGTTTCTCAATGACATTTGGTTCAGAGGACACCAGCATCATATTTTAGGCACCTACCATCCTGTTAAGTCTGATAAGCAGAGATGTGGGAAAAACAAATAACATTGAAATATTATAATTATGCAATATGTTATGCTTGCGTCTCTCTCAGGATTTTAAAATTGACTTTAATAGCTTTTTATAATAAAAAGAACAACTCAAAGGTGCAAGACAGCTGAGAAGTTCCATATGTCACAGAACTGCAAAATTGTTAAATTCACTTTAATTAGGATATATTAAGGTTTTACAACTGTGGCATAAGTAAATCATAACTCCCAGTTAGAACAGGTCATGTTAATTTTCAGACTATCACATTTTGTAACACGTTTCATTGGTGTCAATGAAATATAACCAAATCATGCTTTAAAGTTCTGATCATACAATAATTTTATGGGATTCAACTGCATACAGTTGTACTATTATACAGAAAGGTACAGATATGGCTATGAATACAAAATTAAATATAGACTAAAACTGGATATTTGTACATTTATATATGTTCATATAAATTACAATCTCTAATTTTTAATTTAACTCAGTCCCTAGCCTGTGAACAGTTACCTTATAACATAGGAATGTGGACAGTATCTGAGAAAGTCAGAATTATGCTTGAAAAGAAAGGCCTTTTAGAATGAGACACTTTTTTAAAAGTTAACTTTTTAAAAACTTTGTTTAACGTTCAAATATTCTCTGCTGTTTTCTTCACCTTTAAGAGCTCCTCAGTGACAGAAACCTCTGAACAGAGCTCTAATAATTTAATCACATAAAGTATGTGATTGTGGTCAAATAATAAATCATCAGAGAGTATGCTATTGATCATCTTAGCTAAACTGTAAGTGCTCCTTTAAAATTAAACTCAATATTTTAAAAAATTAAGAGTATCATCAGTAACAGACTTCACCCACATAATTTATGAATTTAAAAACAAGGTTTACATTCATCTAGTCCTCAAAATTATTTTTAAAAGATTCTTCACATGCACGAAAACGGTCTATTTTAAAGCAGGTCAATATTAGAATATTGAGAACTGGAAAATACTAAGGATAATCTAAGACATTCAGGCAACTGGTTATTTTATTTAAATGCTTGATTCAAGGAAAGCATGTCTTTATATTTCTGAGTCCTTAATAACTGCTAGAATGCTAAGCCTTTCAAAACAAAATCAAATATTATAGTGCCACAAACTGTTTCTCTTATGCATCATATCTGACTCCAATTAAAAGATCAGAGTCCTCAGAGCGACGTATTGCAAACAAAAAGTCCTTAGTAGGTGGTGGAAAGTCAGGCCAGGAGTCAAACAGAACCAACAGAGATGACAGAGATGTGATATTCAGCACAGTCTCCTCAGAGAGAAAAAGCAAAACCACATGGCCCTGCTGAAATGCCGAGTTAATTCTCTCTCTTATCTGAGCATTAAACATTACATCGTTAAAATTGTTTCAGCTAGATTATTGCCTCTTCAGGTGAGACTCTCATTTAAGAAACACAAACATTCTCAAAGCACATTGCTGAAACACCATAAAAACTTAATAACCTACCATTTTCTTTGCACTCTTCTGGAGGTTTAGCCTTTTTCGCAAGTCGTGGATCCAGCCATGATGTTGTCTTTGTGTTATGGCTGAAAAGAAAAGAGATCACTCTGAACAGACACATACTAAAAGGAATCAAGTTTATTCCTTAAGAAAAAAAAAGCAGGGTTAGTCCAACAAAATTGCAATCGATACACTTAATTTGCTTACTGGTTCTAAGTAGCCCTGAAGGAGGTGTAAGAGTAATTGTGCAAGGCAGCTGTAAATTTGGCAACCTCAGCTCCCTGTCCTCAAAGCAGCTATTTTTATTAAAATCAACTAGAATGTTGCCAAGTTAACCTCATTGAAAATGCAGAACTCATCCAGAGCAAAAGGAATTTATTACAAATACAGGATTCTCCAGTTGGAAGAGCACAGTCCACAGGCTCTGATAATGTTTCCTGAGTTTTGCAAAAGAATTATTTTCATCTTAAACCTACCCTTTTCATAAACAGTTGTTTTGTTACTCTTTAGCTACAGAGCTGGCAGAGGCAGTACAAAAGTGATGCAGATTATAGCATGTTCTTGGGATTCCTGCATTTTCTCAATAAGTGATTAATAGCAATTTTATTAACTCACATTAAACTATCTTTCATCCAAATACTTTCAACCCAGCTCAGAAGGTAGGGGATAAGACTGCCTGCATTCTAATGTTTCTGAAATGGCATTTCCAGAAAGTAATGATAAAATAATATTTTTGAAAAAAATGTTTTCTTGTAAGAGTTTTGCCAGAAATTTAAAAAGTAAAGGAGAGATATTCTTAAAGTAGTGTTTTTTAAAGTGGTTGTGAAATAACCTGCATTAGAATTACCTGGTGGACAACACATATTAACAATGCATATTCTGAGTCCTCAAAGAACTATCAAATAAGAATCTTTGAGGTGGGGCTACACAATCTCCATCACTGGCAAGCACTCCCAGTACTTCTTATGCACATTACAATTCAAGAACCACTCATGGCTCACATAACTGCTCATTGGAGCTAAAATGTTTACTGTGTACAGCTGTCTCAAGGGATCTCATCTACCAATGGACAAATTATCAAGAATGTGACATTTATGAGGGGTTTGGGAAAAGAATGAGCAAAGGCACAGGTGTGGGAAAGTGTGAGGTGTTTCTAGGGAACAGTCAGAAGGCCAATGAATGGAACATGAAAGGAAGAATAGAAGAGAGGATGGAAATAGAAATCAGAGCCAGGTAATAGGCATACTTTACTACAGTTGTAAGGAGGTCAAAATGATAATGATGATATAAATTTCACATGTATTCTCTTTCTTTAATGAAATTTAACTATATGTTGCCAATCATAACCATAAATGTTAGCTAGATAATCTGATAAACCAATCTGTACTTACAATGAAGTTTAGACAATTCACCCAGGCAGTATATTTAATCACAAGTGTGTAAAAACCAAGTTCCTTCTTAATGGAGGAACTTTCAAGCCAGGAAAGAGGGAGGATGGAGTCAAGATGAGTAGCAGAAAGCTATTCCGAGGTGTTAAATCACTCTTCAAATAGCATTTTCTGAATGATAATCCATCCCATCTGTCTAGGTATAGAGCTATCTTTAATTTGAGAACTGTGACATAACGACCCTTGGGTCATGAAGTTTCTGCTCCTGAAGAAGACGCCATTTTATTTCTGACTTTCACATGGAATAAAGAGAAGGTATTCTCCATCACATTCTTAACATTTAAGGGCTCTTCGATGATAAATGCCTCTCAACAGGGCTCTAATAAATTGATCGGATAAAGGCTGTGAATTTGATCAAATAATAAATCAACAGGAGAGCATGCCAGCTTTTATTTTTCCTCAATTTGACCCTTGTAAAGTCTGGTGGTGCTTCATTATCAAGTTTTAGAAGGATATAAAATATTGCAGACACTTTCATCTGGTTCTGGCCCTCGTTTGCATGTCAATATAAGCTAGCTTTTCTTCTGAACTAAAGACTTGAAGCTTGAGGATGCAGGTTCTGACTATTCCTAATGTGAGGATAGGGGCACCGGGTTCAGTGTTTGCTGCTCTCATTTTAAAAAAGAAATCACTTAAAAATGCCCTTTATAGACATGCCTCCGTTCAAATTGTGTGTGTGTGTGTGTGTGTGTGTGTGTGTGTGTGTGTGTGTGTGTGTTGATGTCTATGTTTCTATGAGGTGGGGAGAAATCTTGGGAAGTAAGCAAGGAAAATACATTTCTCTTCCTTTTGTCCTCACCTGCTTCTTCCAAATCCTTTCCTCTTTTCGGAGAAAAGTCATTTCTAGGCTCCTTAGATATATTCACAAAAGCAAACACATCCATGGGTAAGTATTAAGGGAACATTACTAAGCCACTGCAGAGAGTCAAATTACCATTCCTATTGCACACCACCATGGGTCTCAAATACTGGCTAATTTAGTAGAGAACTGTGAATTTTCCAGCTTTCCTGAGTTTATATAAAGCATTTCATTACAGGCTGATTTTTTTTAGGTTGAACCAGTATTAACGGTGTGTCACTTTAATACATTTTGACAGATTGAGTCTCTTATAGTTAACACCATTTTTAGCTGATCTTCAGAAATGATTCTGAAAGCAATGTGGGTAGCAGTTACCTCCAGTAATTGTCTTAAACATCACATGAAGATCCAGCACAGTATTTTTCAATAGTGGTTCTCACCAGCCTTGTAATTTGCATGCTCCTCCAAGATTCCTTGCAAAGAGGATTATTTTTAATGCATTGGGAGACAACAGACCAACCAGCTCTTCTACTTCCCTTAAATTACATATTTTAAAGCTTAATAATTCCATTTGAAAACCGAATTAAATGTCAGGCAGGAAACTGTGTTCAGAATGGGATAATTGAGGGATTCTTCCACATTCTGCGTACTATCTTTCAAGTTTAAGGAGGGTATTTCCTTTCAGTTCCTAGCTAGGGCAGATTCAGGTGCATGACATCAGTTTTCTGTATCTATCCAAACTGTGTGTCACATAAATACCAGGAAAAGAAAATGCCAATGCTATATAATTTTCTATTTCAATTCAAGTTTCTTTAACAGAGACACATACACATACATAGGCTACATTTGCACATAAACTTTTCTTATTCCAGCTGGACAATGCAACAGATATTTTTTAGGAACTTTGAATCATACTAATATACTACTTCATGTATTTTTAGGATAAAGCTAATGTGATGATCATGAAAAGTGAGAGGTCAAGTGAAAAAGCCAGTGGATATTTAAGTTCAGTCACTGTCATATTTAAAAACCTGGATGAAAACCAGAAACAATGGTTTATCATATGGGCATATCCCAAACTCTTCTCTGATGTTAAACTAAACACTGGGTCTGTCTAGAGGACTAAAGTAAGCCAGAAGTGAAATTTCAGTCAAGTCCGCATTTCTAGTTTAAATTCATATCAGAATGGCCTTGAAAATATGCAATAGGTGGATCAGCAATGAGCAGACATTTCTGTACAATTTGTAAGCTTAACTTTTGCCAAACTGACAGAAGCAGCAGGTTAATATCCTATCTTCTGAGAAAACATTCTTCTCACATAGAACATGCTTCATTTCAACAAGAAAAGCTATTTACAGTGCAGCACACCATTGCAGAGTTATTCTCACTATCCCGTGTCATTTCTCGATTGTCTACTGTGTCAGGGAAAGCAGCAGGACTTTCAGATATGTCCCCTCATTTAATGCTAATGAGCCTTTGTGGCTAAGCATTATGAATTCCATTTTATAGATGGAGAAACCCAGGTTGGGGGAAGGTGGGTAACTTGCCCAAGGCTAAACAGCTAGTGCGTGAAACTGAAAGAGCCAGCTAGCATTAAACCCAGATATATCTGGTTTCCAGGTACAAGGTTTTTTTTTAGTGGTCTGAAACCAGAGGCATCCGGAACCTCACACTTGGCTTTTTATACTGAGGTGCTTCATTTCACTCCCTGGAATAGTAATCAAGAGTCTGTTTCCCAGCTTCTGCCAGTAGTTTAGAAACAGACTTTTACCTACTGTTTATGGATAGTTAATCACTACTTAAATTCCTTTTTAAGTGTAAATGCTTTGCACTTAATAAGTATGATATTAAAGTTCCATGTGCATAGAGACAAAAGAGAGCACTGTGATTGAGGAGGCATTGATAATACCACTGGAAAGTTTTCTCCTTACAAACCTAAATTCTGTATTTGAATCACTTTCTTTTTCTTTCCTATTCTTTTTTTTTTCTTTTCTAGACAGGATCTGGCTCTATTGCCCAGGCAGGAGTGCAATGGCATGATCTTGGCTCACTGCCACCTCCACCCCCTGGGATCAAGTGATTCTCCCGCCTCAGCCTCCCAAGTAGCTGGGACTAGACTACAGGTGCATGCCACATACCTGACTAATTTTTTGTATTTTTCTGTAGAGATGGGGTCAAATTCCTGAGCTCAAGCAATCTGCCTGCCTTGGCCTCCAAATTACTGGGATTACAGGCATGAACCACCGTGCCTGGCCCTGAATCACTTTCAAATCAAATTTTCTTCACTCAAATCTGAATATTTTTCTAAAATGAAGTCTTTTTAGAAACCTGATTCATATAATCTACATATGAATATTTGGTCTTAGAAGCTATATTAAAGAATTATGTTATTAAGAAATGCTATCAATGGATGCAGTATGTGTTAGGAGCAAAATTGAAAATTTTCTTATAGATCATGCCATATTCTATTCTTCTGTTCCAGTTTTTCATTCACTCTAGTGTTTGCCCAGTCAGGGTACAAACCTTTTTTCCATTTCTTAGGTATATACATAACTAGATCTTCAAGGGTAACCTAATTCAAACCTAATATTAAAACATGTTCTCCTTTCCTTTCTAATTTCTTTCTGTTTTCTTTTCTTCTTTTCTTTCGTTCTTTAATATTGCCAGAGCAAAATGTTTTCACTGCTGTACAACTATTGGAAAAATTCAATTTCATCAACTGAAATTTTCTTAGTGAAATGAAAAGCTTTTATTATTAAACACATTCCTTTCCTTTGCTCCGTTTTCTCTAAAACTAGAAACAGACTTAAAACAATGATTAATAAGTCCTCCAAATAGCCAATTCTGAATCTCAATCTTAAACTGATAGTTAAATGGTATTTCCCAGCCTCCCCGCCCCCGGGAAATACTATGCCATAAGAATAACAAGAGATTAAAGCCAATGACATTTGATTGCATAAAACAATCTTCTGAAGAAGATAAACAAGGTTCAGGTAAATATTCTGGAGTCAACAGCAACTCAAAATGTCTGTGGATGACAAGGTTTCAATAGTAGTAGTGATATAAGTTCAGAGACAGTAGTAACAGATTGATGAATTGACTTTACGTTTACAAAACACTTTTATTATTATTATAAGTTCTGGGGTACATGTGCAGAACGTGCAGGTTTGTTGCATAGGTATACACATGCCATGGTGGTTTGCTGCACCCACCAACCTGTCATCCACATTAGGTATTTTTCCCAATGCTATCCCTCCCCTAGGCCCCTATCCCCCAACAGGCCCTGGTGTGTGATGCTCCCCTCCCTGTGTCCATGTGTTCTCATTGTTCAACTCCTGCTTATGAGTGAGAACATGCGGTGTTTGGTTTTCTGTTCATCTGTTAGTTTGCTGAAAAACATTAATTTTTAAAGGTATATAAATTGAGTAGATTTTACACCATAGTCAATAAAATCATCAGGATGATTGTAACATTTTCCAAAAGACTTTCTCTTCCTTCTATATCATCATTTCAAAATAATTACTAAAGGCAATGATCGGATATATCTAATTGGTGATAAACAATAGAAACTTGTTCCTTCAAGACTCCATTCACCCAAAGTTTCACTATGTTTTTCTATCTATACATAGGTAATACACAAATAAAGCTACTGTCAATGAGTTCTTTAGTGGTTGTTTCCTAAATAATTTTCCTACAATTTCTCTTAAGCATATGAATATTTGCATTTGCCATTTTATCTTTCATGTGTTTAGAAAATATTTTTAAAGAAGTTTCATTACAAATATTGTTTTGGATATTGTGGATGTGTATTGCACACTGTTTTGTCTAAAACATTTATTTTCTGTCTGGAAATTACACCAGAATCTTGTGCAGGCACAAGAAAAAAAATATATGAAAAAATATTCAATGTATCTCCTGTCTTTGTAATATGATTGACAGTAAGCCTAGACCAGATTTTGTGACTAGTACGATATGTCAAGTATAGAATGAGAAAGTATATTTCTGGTGTTGCTGCATACCAAAAATTTGATTTTATATTTCTCTCCAATAAATTTCCAAAGTATTTTATCTTTTCTTTAATAAATGTTGTTTAACGTTTTTTGGAAATGGTAATTGGTAATTTAATTAAAACTTAAGGAGGTACAGAAATAGGAACACAAAAAGAAACATAAACTAATTGTGTGTTTGTTTAGAATTTAAAAGCAAATTCAGCCCTGACAAATATTTGTAAACCATACACAGCTATGACATTTTTCACAGATGTGATTTTCGGTTTCAAAAGCCTGCATTTAAAAATCTGTCATTTAAGATGACATAGTGTTCACTGCCGTTTGGGAAGATGGCAGTAAACAAATAGGTTCTTGTTGTCTTTTTGTTTTTTGCCAAAGCAATAGCAGTCTCTTTTGTGTCACTAACTAAACTGACTCCCAAACAAAGAAGTAATTTAATGGGATTCCCAAAGCACGTCAATCCAGATTAACCCTGTGGCAGCTCTTCTTTTATGGAACATTTAGCCTCTGGAGTAGTGAATTGCTGGCCAAGAAACTTATAAAACAAATACTATTTGTAATATAAAAGTTTACTTTTTTTCTCAGCCAATGTTTGTTTCTATTGGAGGTAGTATGAGATAATGGGAATGACTCTGTAGAGTGAAAGAGCTCTGTGACCTTGGGAATGTTAATTTGTCCAAGG
This sequence comes from Homo sapiens, assembly GCF_000001405.40. Taxonomy (NCBI): domain Eukaryota; kingdom Metazoa; phylum Chordata; class Mammalia; order Primates; family Hominidae; genus Homo; species Homo sapiens. The sequence goes on from NC_000007.14 coordinate 78,496,694, forward strand.
ATGCCTCAAAGTCTCGTCTATGAAATGTGGATAAACCAGACACTTTATAGGGTGGTGATGATGTGAAGTAGGCATCACAGCAAATTGGTTAAGAACAAGGACCATGGAGACAGTCTACATCGCGTGAAAGTCTGAATCTTGTCAGTTTTTTTGACTACTGTATTCTCAGGGTTTAGAATGATTCCCAGGACATAATACATGACCAATAAACCTCTGTTGAATAAACAGAATCAAAGAGCCCTGGCTATGTCTGACTTTTTGGCAAGTATTTACCTCTAAAAGTCTCAGTTTCATAAAGTAAGGATTAAGTGAATGGAGTAAAAACGCTTAACAGATGAACTATTGTTGTTAAGGTAACGCGAATACACCCTTAAAAAGGTGGGTCCTTGATATGTAATAACTCATTTGAATTCACATATTCTCATTTGAATTTACAATTAATATACTGCCTATTTCAAAGATAATGTTAATGAAGATGATGAGTCAAAGAGATTACTGGTTTTACACAGTATTATACATTTAAAAGTCTCCTGAAAATTATGAAACATAAGACATTATTACTATTTTAAAGCATGTTTGGAAGAGTGTGTTCACTTGAAATTTAAAATTATGCTGCATAAAAATATTTTCTCAGCAATTCTCCTTTTCCAATTAAATGTCATTCTATAGGATAGAAGAAATCTGCTTTTATCAATCATCAAAAGAAGCAGTTTGAGTAGTGTGGGAAACATAGTTGGCCTGCTAGTTTACCAGGGTTGCTGAGGGCAGAAAAAACCTTTCCCTCTTAAATGCAGAACCTCTAAAACTTCACCTCTTAAATTCAGAACTTCTAAAGGACTCAGCCATATAACTATTTTGCAATATCACATAAACCAATAAATATTTCAAAACATTATTGCATAAAAAAAGACAAGTAAATGGAATTGCTTGTTACCTTAACTCAAAACCTATACTGTTTAATACGTCTTTTAAAACTACATATCTAATGTTTCACTGTAGAGTTCCTTTATGCTATTCAGAAATAACTATTCTATCTATCTATCTATCTATCTATCTATCTATCTATCTATCTTTCTATCTTATACACAGAACCAAAGAATCATTCTCCTTTGTTTCACTTATTTTCTGTTTTGTCATGATCTTCATTTCAAAGGATACAGACTTCAGCAAAGTCTAATTAAAGGGTGGGACCTGCCAGAGGAGAGTTTCATTACTGTAAGCAGCTCTCACAATATCTGTACAAGAGAAAAGTTTTTACTGATGTCAGCACTTCTTCCCTCACAAATCTCTCTCATTTTTCTTCTCCTTTCTTTTCCCTCTGGTTTACCTTCCTCTTACGGTATTCTACCTTTCCTTTAAAAAAACTTTTTATTTATTTATTTACTTAATTGATAAACAAAAATCATATGTACTAGACTTTTGAAAATGGCTGAGAGTAGATTTTAAGTGTTCTCAACACAAAAAACGACTAGTATGTGAGGTAATGCATATGTTAAGTAGCTTAACTGAGCCATCCCACAATGTGAACATATTTCTACTTTCCCTTTCTATCATGCTTTCTGGTACATAACTACTTCAGGACTACCTCTGAGACACATGGTGGCTTTGTCCTTAAGACATGTCTTATTGCTCAACCATGCTCCCTCCCCAATCACTGTCTCGTATTCTACAAGATCTGCTTCTACGGGCCTTTCATAGTATACAGTTTGTTAGTTACATAAGAATTCTTTGTCATAGAAGCAAAGGTTCTCACAGATCAATGACAATGGGTGGGAATGTTGATTTAAATGTAATTAGGAAAGGAAGGAATATTCCAGGGCAAAGAGTGAAAACAGACAGGAGAAAATCAGTGAATACTAAAGAAAAAGTAAAGCACAGTAAACCATAGGCAGAGAGAGAGGAAACTGCAACGTTGTTGGTGGTGATGGTATGGACATGAAGGACCAGACAAAAAGACGCTGATCCACTGCCCGCTCTGTGATACCTGCGTTCACCACACCGAATCTTGAGGTTCAAAGGTAACCTTTATGAAAGACAGATGAATCACAAACTGGGGGTAAGGTGGAGGGTGTTGGGGAGCAGGCGGGCAGGGATGCCTCCAGTCTATGGAGGAACCTTAGCAGGCGTCGTAGACTACCTCGATCCTGCCTCCTCTGTTAATCACCTTCCAGACACAGTCACTTCCACCATGACTCCAGGCTCCTTCTTTCACCTTAGTCTCCCTCAGCATCAGCTCTTTCGCCACAGATGAAATTGTTTCCTCCATTTTGTTTTAATTTTCCACCTCCATCCATTTCTGCTCCTAATACTGTCCACCAGTCCTTCCCTCCAACATTAGGAAGATTAAAAAACTACAAACTCAAACAACAACAACAACAACAACAACAACAACAAAATGCCACTCCTTTGCTTGCCTTTCAAAAGCACTAATGATCCAGTGAAACGAAAACTAAGATTTACCAACTAATACATACTTCTCTAGTAGGGTCAGGGGCTTCCTCACCATTCCTAATACACCTAAGGACTTCGTCTTTGTAATGACAGCTCCCATACCTGGAATGCTCTATCTAGCCATTGTTAACTTCTCAAGTCTATGTTATCTCACCTTCTCTGCGGTGCCCCTTTTATATCTTAAATCTATTGTAAGCTTTGGCTTCCCTGAATAGTATCACAAAATTCAGAAATTGTTGACCAAGTGTTTATAACTATTTGTCTCTCTTCCCCATCTTGCCAACAAGTTTGAAAGCAAGGACAAAATCTTACACATGTTTGAATGCCAACACTGGCTGACTGACGAGTCATAGAATCATTTTGCTAGATTCTCTCAAGCCCTGAGCCAGCCTCACTACTTACTATATACCTGGAACATAAGTTCTGTCTTTTGAAGTTATTTTTCTTCACAACCTCAAAACCTGATGTAGTTAAAAGAGGAAAGTTTACTTTATAATCACACACAAAAAAGGTTTTTATTATTGCATTATTGGAAACATTGTAAGAAAATAGTCTTTAATCAACTTGTCATGCTGCTTTCCTTTTATTATTTTCATATAGCCTTACTCCCCTTGTCTTATATAATAAAACTATGTATGTCATCAGCTTCCTTATTCCGAACATCAATTGTTCTGAACATCTATTTGTGATCTCATATCTAAGATTTGTATTTTGACTTCTGGTCCGCAATGATGTCATGCTGTCTTTACCAATATCAAAATTATGTTTCTAGATATGATTATTTTTAATAGGTCACTTTTTTAAACATTCTTTCTATTTTCCAATTAATTGATAAAAGATGCCTTGGTCATTGATTACAGCAATAAGAAATAATGTAAGAGATTCTTATTCCTTTTAAAATTAGAACATTTGCTGAAAGGTGAATGCTATTGATTCATTTTCTGCAAAACATTGTGTTTCTCATCTATGTTGGAGTCAAGCAGAGCACTGAGTAATTACCTGATTATGTAGTCCCTTGGTCGCATGATTCAGAGTTTCCAACTTCACGTGAGAATTAAATATTGGTATGTGGTAACATTTCAATTTCACAACTGAATTCTGCCTATAGAGATCTAAGTTATAAATCACTCCAGGTTGGAAAAGAAAATCCAGTGTTAATGTATTTCTTAAATAATCAGAGTTTTCATATTTTTATCCACTGTCAACACTAAAAACTTCAATTTCTATTATTTTCTCTCTTTGAGGCTTATACAACTTTGAGAGGATAAGGGTTGTTCATTCACATTAGTTTCAGTTTTTACTCTTACTAATGAACATTTTGGTTGTCTTGTGCAAATCAACAATTTAATTTTGTGCGAAGATTTTCTATTTTGGAATTTTTAAAAAGTTGTTTTAATCCTAGAAGCTAAAGAAAAGAAAAGCCTGACATTATTAATAACATGTATACAAAAATTATATTTTTTAAAAATGTCCTAAAAGAAAGATTAGGTTGAGTATTACCAAGAAGTTCAGGATTTGCACTACAGTTTCCTTAGCAAGTCATAAAAATTGTAAGCAACTAATATAATGGAATATAGTAAAAGGGAGCATAATGAACTATACAAAGCCAAATTATTTTACTGACATCTGACACTGGGGTCAAATGCTAAAAGCATTTTTTTTGGCTGGGCGCAGTGGCTCACCCCTGTAATCCCAGCACTTTGTGAGGCCAGTGTGGGCAATCACCTGAGCCCAGGAGTTTGAGACCAGCCTTGGCAACAAGGCAAAGCCCCACCTCTACTAAAAATACAAAAATTAGCCAGGCATGGTGGTATGCACCTGTGGCCCCAGCTACTCAGGAGACTGAGGCGGGAGGACTGCTTAAGCCTTGGAGGTTGAGGCTGCTGTGAGCCGTGATTGTGCCACTGCATTCTAGCCTGGGCGACAGAGTGAGACCTTGTCTCAAAGACAACCAACCAACCAAACAAACAACATCAATATTTTTTCTTTTGTGACCTATTACTTTAAATAGTTGCATTTTATTAAATTCCTGGACTTGATGGTGAATATTCCTCCAACTAGCTTAGATAATAGGAAAAAAATTTCATTTTGACAAGACGGGGGTCTTAGGAGGAGCTGAGTAAGCACTTTCTCATGATATCTAGACTATTCCTAATTCAATAATAACATCACATGGAGATTTGTCTTTTTTAGTCATAATTATAAGAGATTGTAGGGTGCTATTATTTAATCCATTATTTGATTTATAGCTGTATTCTAGGAGGCTTAACTGTATTAAGGCACTATCCCACTATTCTCTCACAAATAAAAAAGCTGTTACCAGAATTTCATGTTTTTTTCTTTTTTTTTTTTTTTCCACGTCTAACTTGCTACATCATTTATATCCCGCTATGACCTTTTTGGCACTGTTGAAAGAAATGTGTGAAACTCACTCAATGAAGTAGACTTCGCCCTTCTCTGTATAGGCCATTTCCCAGTTATCAGGCAATGGGTCTGGTTCCTCATTGTCTTCAGGTTTAGTTGGCTTTGTGTCATCCATCTGCTCCTTCAGCTCCTCAGGCTGACTGTACACTGGTGCAGGATAAGGCTGGGAGGGCATCTCCCCTGAGGCACCTGCACTTTTGTCTTCATGTTCACTGGATTCTATAAGAGAACAAGAGCACGTGGTTAGTCACTCCAACCATGGTAACTCTGGACTGAGTATGGAGAATGCTGTACCAGGGAATAAACGTCATGAATAACTTCTATGAAGGCTAACAGGAAACATTTCTGAAAAAGCATAATGATCACTAGGCCTATTTGAGCTCTCCTTTCACTCGTCATTGTCATCTATCTTTCAGCTAATTATTATTGTTTACAGAATTGGAGGTTTAAAGGATGTAATGTAAGGACCATTTCATAATACAGGTATGGTGAGCAGAATAATGGGCCCCTGAAGATATTCATATCCTAATGTCTAGAATATGTGAATATTACCTTACATGGCAAAAGATGATCTGCAGATGTGACTAAGAACCCTGAGATGGGGAGATTATCTTTGATTATCCAGATGGCCTCATCTGGATGATTATGATTAAATGTAATCACAAGAGTCCTTAAAAGTGAAAAAAGTCAGCAGAAAAGAAGGGTAAAAGGGAGAATTGACTACTAAATCATGGTCAAAGAGATGCAATGTTGCTGGCTTAGAAGACAGAAAATGACCATAGACCAAGAAATATTAGTGGCCTCTAGAATCTTTAAAAGGAAAGGAAATGGATTATTTCCTGGAGAATCCGGAAAGGAACACAGCTCTGCCAACAAGGAACACAGCTCTTCCATAGTTTCAGTTACCCATGGTCAACCATGGTGCAAAAATAGATGATTACAGTACAGTAAGATAGAGAGAGAGAAAGACCACCTTCACATAACTTTCATAATAGTATATTGTTATGATTATTCTATTATTTGTTGTTCTTAATCTCTTACTGCATCTGATTTATAAATTAAATTTTATCATAGTTTTTTTGTATAGTATATATAGGATTTGGTACCATCTGAGGTTTCAGGCATCCACTGGGGGTATTGGAGCACATCCCTCGTAGCTAAGGGGAGCTACTGTACAACAGAGCAAAAACTACCTTAACAGAAGTGGTAACAGGCTTGGAGGACAGACCCAAGATCCCCAACATATAAACAGTATGAGTTCCAGAATGAGAAGAAGGAACGCACAAGGAAGAAATAAGTCGACAAACAATAGAAGAAAATTTATCTAAGATGAAGAAACACCAGTCTGTAGATTGAAATAGTTCACTGAATCTGAGGCCAGATTAAGGAAACATGCAGACACCTGGATACATCTAGTTGAAATTTCCAAACTACAATGTTAAAAGGCAACTTTAGCAGCTTCCATACTGAACAGATATGATTACTTACAAAGAAAAGAGGAACAAAAGAGCATCAGACCTTTTATCTGTAATACTCTAAGCGCAAAGAGAGGGTAACATCTATAGTAACTTGAGAAAAAAAAAGATATAGTAATCCAAGAACTTAACTCTACCAAGATATTCATCTATCTGGGAAAAAACAGTCACTTTTGAACATGCAAAAGTTCTGAATGTATGCTCTCCAAGTATCTTATCTGAGGGCAAAATTTGAAAAATTACTCTAACCATATCATGATGATTGAATCAGAGCAGAGACCTCAAGATACGGGGAGAAAATAAAAGGTAGGAAGATGATATGGTTTGGCTGTGTCCCCATCCAAAATCTCATCTTGAATTGTAATCCCCACATGTCAAGGGCAGAACCAGGTGGAGGTAACTGGATCATGGGGAAGGCTTCCCCCATCCTGTTCTTGTGGTAGTGAGTAAGTCTCACGAGATCTGATGGTTTTATAAGTGTCTGGCATTTCCCCTGCTTGCACTCACTCCATCTCCCCCTCCCCCTCCTCCTCCCCCTCCTCCTCCTCCCCCTCCTCCTTCTCCCCCTCCTTCCCCTCCCACTCCTCTCCCTCCCCTCCTCTTCTTCCCTCCTCCTTCATTCTCTCACCCTCCCCTGTCCTCTCCTCTCCTCCCTCATTCTTCTCTCCTCCTTCCCCTCCCCACCCTCCTCATCATCTCAGAAGTACTTGGGTATTTCTTGCATCATATGAATAAGTGAAAATAAGGTGGGCCGTTATGATTGACCTCATAAGTATACATCCTGTGAACAAGGTGCCTGCTTCCCCTTTGCCTTCCACCATGATTGTAAGTTTCCTGAGGCCTCCTCAGCCATGTGGAACTGTAGGTCAATTAAACCTCTTTCCTTTATAAATTACCCAGTCTCAGGTATTTCTTCATAGCAGTGTGAGGATGAACTAATATGGAAGAAATAAATTCTGGATAATATAGTTAAATATAAATGGAAGATGATCACATTTCTGAAAATTTGTAATATGTGTTAAAGACAGATTCTGGAAAGAAGAAAAATACATGAAGACCTAGTAAGACCATGGGTTTTAGACTTTATCTTAGGAAAGCTCAGGTACTAGGAAGTGGAGAAAAGGTAGGAAAATAGAGACATTCTAAAGCTGTCATCAGTAGGCACTTCAGAGAGTGAGTATATGAGATAATTTTAAAGGCCACCTTTTCATGGGATGAGATTATTGGGCAAATAATTTGGTCAAGGTGTAGGCTTAATTGTATAATGGGGATATTTTTGAAATATCTCCTAATGTGTATGTTTACTGAGCTATTCATGGATTCATTTACCCCACATTTAGTTTTTCTGCTGTCAAGGATAAACAATGAGTCTTATTTGTTGGGGAAGAGTAGAGCAGGTACCATCAAGAGAAAGAAATACCGTTAGGGTAAATACGAAGGAGAAGTTCCTTAACTCAGAAACTAGAAGGAGAGCACTACTGAGATTCAGAGGGGCTGAAAGGTAGTGAGAGGCAATGTGAGGATAAGGTGGCCATCTTGGAAATATAAAATTCTACAATTGTTTGGGAACATAATGCCTATTAAAATAAAAAAATACAAATACACAGACTTTGAGTTATCTTACTTTGAGAACATATCCTCTAGAAATAAAGGCAGTATTATATAATGATGCCTATATAATACTATTTTTTGCAATATTGTTTGTAGTAGTAAAACCCTGGAAATGATATAAATGCCTATCAATGAGATTATAATTAAATAAATAAATAGTGTTTGTCATTACCATGGAAAACTATGTAGTTTAAAATCAATGAATATCTATTGACCTTGAAAGGTGCTTATAATTGTTAAAGAGTAATCTAAGCTGCAGAGAAATGTATAGTATTAATCCTATTTTTCTAAATAAGCATATATTAAGATCTCTAAGTGATATATAGTTATATCTCTATATAAGCATGAAAACAGACTGCAAGGATGTACAACAGATTGTCAACTTTGATTACCTCAGGATAGTAAATTTGGATGGGGGTGGAAGAAGTTTCTTTTACATATCTTTGCTTTCATTGGGTATCTATTATTTTTATAACTTCAAAAGTTAATAGATTTTTTAAATGAGTAAATTAGAATATCATCTTGCTGTCACTATTAATTGCATGGGCCAATTTTTCCCCTCTCTGCATCAATCTAGGAGAGCAATATTAAAGTATCTATTAGAAATACTTATCTAATATCTAATAGAAATAAAGTATCTATTAGAAAAACACAAGAATACTTTACAAGTTGTCACTGTATTGCCCTTAAGAGGGAAATTATGAATATAATATGGCCCTTAATGATAGAGTCTCCTAGCTGATTCCTTATAAAGATTTGATCTTTGTAAGTTTTGTAGGATAAAAGCAGTAAAAACAGGTACCACTGCTAACTTCAGAGTCTCTTTTCTGTGGCATATTTCAACATGTAATTATACATACTGTGGTACGCACATGGAACATACAAAATGTCACGTTGCACTGAAAAGTTCAAATGCAAGGTCATGCTCTGAACATGTTCAGTTATACAATATTCAGTTAATCAATATTTATTATGCACTCAACTGGTGCCAGACACTGAGGACAGAAGAGTGAACAAGAGATACATTGATCCTTTCTCTCATGGAACTCCAAATATGTCAAGATGTGTAGTCTTTATACAATAATTTTAAGTGTGATGAGTGCTGCCTAAGGGAATCGTATGTATATGGGATCTTCTGTATGTATATTCATCTAATCTCATATAAAGAGTCAGGGAAAACCTCTTTTTCAATGTGCTATAACATCTAAGGGTTCTTTCAGAAGAAGGTAAGGGAGAAATAAATAAATGAGGGCTGGATTAAGTGAGGCTCTGAAGGTAAGGGAGAAATAAATAAATGAGGGCTGGATTAAGTGAGGCTCTATCAGGCATGCTCAGGATTTGGAAGTGTGTCCTGAGAGCAAAGATACTGCTATGTTCTACTGAAGCAGATGACAAAATTAGATTTTCATTTCCCACAAAGATCTCCTTAACTATTCTGGGGATTTGAGGGTGGCAAGAGTAGATGTTTATAGAGCAGTGGAAAGTTATTTTTGTGCTCTCAAAAAGTAATGATGGTGGCACGGAGATGGAAAGAAGCAGATTAAAAAAATATTTAGAGGGTAGATTTTATAACCTGCCATGGTGGGTGGCAAGGCTTTTCACTGAGATTGGAAACAGGGAAGGAGGAGTAGGATTCTGTGGGGTAGGGGTAGGCTATACATGTGGTTTTGGGCACACTGAGTTAGAGGTTCATGGAGACGTCAAGTCAGAGAATTCTTAGATGGAAAAAAAATAAACCTGAAAGAAAACAGCATATGGCTAGATGGTACTATAATTTTAGCCATGAGTAAATGAAATTGCCAAGAGACAGGGTGAGAAGTGGAAACAAGAATCTGGAGCAGCTGTCTGATGAACTTCAACATTTAAGTCACTGAAACAATGGACTGGTAAAAGAGAAGAGGAAAGGGCAGCCATGGAAGCAATGAGAAAATTAAAAAAACTTCATGTTGCAAAAGCCAAGCAAAGGGTGTTGAAGACAAGACACTTAACTGTGGCCAAAGCTTCTGCACAGTCCAGCAAGACAAGGACATAAAATCTGTAGAACCGAATGATGTGCAGATCACTGGTGACACTGGCTGCCAGTTACGGCAGTATTTACGGTGGAGTGGTTGGTGAAGCCAGATTGGAATAGGTTTAAAAATGAATGAAAGGAAAATACAGAATTATCCTAATAGAGAAGTCATTCAAGAAGCTTGGCTTTGGACAAATGAACTTTCCTTCTACTGTATAATACCATTAAATTCTCAAGAGAAATGTAGGACATCTCTTAAAAAAGGATCTAGTCTTTGGAGAAATCTATAATCATATTTGTTGATGTATCAGAGATTACTGGACAAAGTTCTCCCAGTTTATCTGTTTATTCATTCATTTCTTTATTCTTAATTAATCAAGCATTAAAGTAGCAAACATGAATTTAATATCTATAGTGTGTAAGATACTTGACAAGACCTTAATGGGGGAGATTATAGACCTTTTTATCAGGCTGCTGTGAACTAAGCTGAGAGGGAAGCAATAAGTAGCACCTACCTCTCCCATCTTAACAAAATAAGACAAAAAAAATGAATAAGGCAAATAAAGATCCATAACATTCCCATATTTATTACTCACAAAGGCTCACCTAGGGATACGGTTTAATGTGAGAATCAAGGGCTTCTGGCAAAACCCAGAGGACCAATTTATTCATTGGCAGTGTGGAACCAGGGCAGGGCTTCCATGTAAGGGTAGAATCTGTTCCCAGAAGGGCAAAGTAGAATATTTAGGGGAAGAAAAGGGGAACTGAGCCAAGAAGGTCCAGGTTCATCTTCCAAGTTGTGTCACTCAGATAAATCCCTGCACCTCTTCTGGGCAGAGTGAGTAAAAGAGATGGTAGAATGCAAATTCAGTACTCTCCTAGACATTCAAGGCAACATGGAGGGTGGAGAAGACATGTCTCCCCCAACTCTGAGCAACTATATAGAGTACTACAATAATGATTTGTTAAGTGATACTCAATGACATAAAATACCTGAATAAAATTTTCTAGGAAGACAGTGTAGCAATTAGAAACAAGGGTACCTAAAGCAGTTGTCTGAGGAACTCCAATATTTGTCAGTGAGAGAAGAAACTGGTCTTATATTTCCTGCATTATTAGAAACATTTATTTAGAGCATACTAACCATCAGGCACTAAGCTAGGCAGTGTACAGTCAAGGAGAATGTGGTCCAAATGATATGTAATAATTTTCTAGGGCTGCCATAATTAAACACCACAAACTGAGTGGCTTCAATCATAGATATTTATTGTCTTACATTCAGGAGGTTAAAGTCCTATATCAAGGCGTTGGCAGGGCCAGCTCCCTCTGGAGGCACTATGGAAGGATCTATTTCAGGCTTCTCTCTTAGGTTCTGGTAGCTTTTTGACCCATGGCAACATAATTGCAGTCTTCACATGGTATTTTCCCTGTGTGCACATCTGGGTTCCAATTTCTTCTTTTTATAAGGACACCAGTCATACTGGATGAAGGGTCTACCCCTACTCCAGGATGACCACGTCCTAACTAATTATATCTGCAATGATCATATTTCCCAATAAAGTCACCATCTGAGATACTGGGGGTTTGGACTTCACCATATGAATCTGGGGGTGGGGGCACAATTCAACTCATAAAATGGTGTACTGGATCAGTTCACTGTGCAGTCCACTGAACCAATATTTAACATCTCAAGGACTGCAAATTATTGTTTCATGCTATATCATATTTGTTTCCCTGATTAATATGGAAAATAGAAATTAACTTTGCTGCATTTTAGATAATATATCTTTCTTCTGTATCGGCTTAAATTTTTTAAAAATGACATATATTGGATATTGTGTAAGTTGTTAAGAAATTACCCGTTAAGAACCGAGCAAACTTCGTAATAATGGGAGGGAAATAACCAGACCTTACACGCCAACCAAGCTTGCCTGTGTCAGCTACTCCTGCGAGTATTCCTAGTCCCATGCAGCCTGATGAGAAAAATGTGCATGTAAGCATGCTCTCGCACACATCATATATATATCAGATCTGTGGTTTGAGAATTTCTGGACTATTTAAATTCTGACTAGGGAGAAGGAGCCAAATAACCCATGCATGTTTTACCTTTTTTATAGTGGCGTGAAGCTATATTTGATTAGGAAGTGGCTAAGTAAAATTGTCCTTTTTGACTTTTAAGATGCATTTCTCAGTATGCTTTTATTGTTAAATTGAAAAATAGTCTTTTTTTTTTTTTTTGAGACGGGGTCTTGTTCTGTCACCAGACTGGGTGCAGTGGCGATCTTGGCTCACTGCAACCTCTGACTCCCAGGTTCAAGTGATTCTCCTGCCTCAGCTTCATATGTAAAATATAATGTTTTCCTTATTTACTGCTAAAACGAACAGACTTTATCAAACACTGACATTTTTTGTGCATTCCCCATTGCGTTTCTGTGTCTCTTAGATGTCGTTCAAACCAGAACAAGAATTTTTTTTTTTCACTGACAATAAAAACAAAGAATATTTCAGTAAAGAAGAAACACCTCTTCTTAAAGGATGCTAATGATGTAAAAATTTTCTGTGGGACTAGGACTGTTAAATAGAATTCCTAGAAATTCTATAGAAACATTGGGGCACGAAACAGACATTTATAACATATAGTCTTATAAACAATGATCTATAAAAACATATTTTATTAATACCTACACTTTAACTGTTGTGAAGAATTAAGAAATTTAATTCCTTTCATCTTGCCTGCCCTGAGGGTTTTGTTGAATTCAGTAAATATAATTTTCTCCTTTCCATAAGAAATTCAGAAGGGCTCAAAGATCTGTACATAGTGCAGGAACTGAAAGCGTTTAATTGGGAGAGAATAAATGTATGTATTTGTGCATTTAGTTCAGTCCTTATAAATTCTATGGTTCTGGTACAGTCTAAGGTTTTGATATTACAAAAATATGCATGGCAGCCATTCCGTTTGCTTTCTTGTTTATTGCCCTGCCAGTATCTAACATGTTGCTTCTCAGGTACAAGACCAATGATAAGTTAGAATGTCATGGTTTTCAACGTTCCCACCCAGTTTCATTAAAGAATAACCAGAAGCCAAGATAAAACCATCTCAAGAAGAAGAATACACATTTAATATCTTATCCATATTTTCATGTGACACAGTCTATGTATACAGTTAACATGCAGCTTTCTGTAACTGCCGTCTTTTGAAATGAGGGAAAATAATTGATTTGTTTTTAAGGTAGATAGAAAAATTTATTCCTTTAAACTGTCATAAAGTTTGAATTTCCAAAATTTATTTTACCCTGTGATTTATATTTATAATGGCTATGTGACAACTTTTAAGAAATCCAATAATTTTTTCTCCTTGTCTTCATATTATTTCTTTGGAAGTAGGCATGGCTGGAAAACATTTAAGCTGAGAGAAAAAAAGGATCAGGGAACATATTTGTAGTTCATAAAGAGAATAGGAATAATTTGAAATGTAAACTTTTTTTACGTTTCCTTTAAAAATTCCCCGATAACAACAGTCTCCATAAGAAGCAGTAGAACGTAATAGTTAAGGCTTGTGTCAGGCCACCTAGGTTTGAATCTGTCCTTTAAAGTGGGAGGTTGAACAAGTTATTTAATAACTCTGTGGATGCTTCAATTTTCTTAACTGTACAATGGGGATAATGAAGTTACCTACCTATAAGGATTAGATGAGACTTATCTATAAAGTGCTTAGAGTAGTAAACTGCTAGAATATAGTAGGTGTTCAGTAAATGTTGTATATTATTACCACTGAATTCTATTATTTATAATACTAAATAGAGTAGTTAAATTGGTCAAGCAATTTAAATGATTTCTGCCTACAGAAACAAAAGGTATGGTCAATTTTCTATAATTTTTAGATTAGGGGTTTTCAAAAAGTAATGCAAATGTCAGAAAAGGATATACATAAAGGTGGTATTTCTTCTTTAAAAGGTGTTTGCATCAATTGAGCTTTTCTTCCTCAATAGAGACATGTAATGGGGTTAAGTAATTTAAAGGAGGAAAAGCAATCTTCAGAAACCATGCATTCTTTTCAAGTTCTCTATTATGTTCTCTAGAGTTCTGCATTTGCTTTTGTTGGGCACCAGGGGCTGCTACCGAGCTACAAACTTGGCATCACTTTGGCACCTTTGAGAGCAACTGATTTAAAGCAAAATCAGAAACGCAGCTCCCCAATTTTATACTGGTCCAAAGCTTGGTCTTCTCATATACCCCCAGAGCAACTTTGGCTTTCTAGTCTGCTTATAACTGACTCCTCCTCACTCTGGTTTCTGCTCATTTGTGGTAGTGGCCACTGTGTTGGATGTGGTGGGGCTTAAAGATTTCTCCATGCTTTTGTGCAAACCCAATAATCCCATTAAAAAGTGTGTTTGTTATATTGATCTAAGGTTTTATTGGATTGTGGTGGGAGGACTGTTTGCTTCACTGCTGGAAGCTGGCTTAGAATTTGAACTACAGGCTCTTGTAAATAAATCAACACTTCAGGGTTGATATTTGGACAAAAGAAAAATATGATTGTGTTGATTTTTATATATGGGAAATTATGATTATTTTATTTCTAATATAATTATTTGTAAACTTATATAATTGATTTTTCATCGTGGCTGTACTATAGATTATACTCTGTAATGAAAAGTGTAGGACACATTTCAGTGTCTTCAGAAAGGGAGCAGTCACGCATTCTACACAGTCAGTTCATCAAGAAGTCCAGATTGTCAATTATTGCTCAAAGAATGCTCTTATCCATTTTCTTACTTTTCCTAAACCTTCTAAAATGAGAAGAATTCTAATATGGGTACTAAAATATTTGCACATTGTATAGTGACTTTTTTTTGCTCACCATCTTTTATATATATATATATAAATTTTTTTTTTTTTTTTTTTGACACAGTGAAACATGCACATGGTACAAAATCCAGAAACACAATGGAGGAAAACAGTGCAAAGCAAGCTTTAAAATCCAGGGCTCTAGCCATCAAGTTAGCAGTAATAATTATCTTTGTGACCCTTCAGAGATTTTTCTATGCAAATTGATTATTGACTTTTAGTCAGTTTTTGACTCTTCGTGCTCTGAAGTGGTTCTAAGTGCTAAAAAAAAATTCATTATAATTAATATATAAGATATGAGGCTGGGCGCAGTGGCTCATGCCTGTAATCCCAGCACTTTGGGAGGCCGAGGTGGGTGGATCACAAAGTCAGGAGATCGAGACCAGACTGGCTAACACGGTGAAACCTCGTCTCTACTAAAAAAAAAACACCAAAAAACAAAAACAAAAACAGAAAAACATTAGCCGGGGGTGGTGGCGGGCACCTGCAGTCCCAGCTACTAGGGAGGCTGAGGCAGGTGAATGGCGTGAACCAGGGAGGCGGAGCTTGCGGTGAGCGGAGATCGTGCCACTGCACTCCAGCCTGGGTGATGGAGCGAGACTTCGTCTCAAAAAAAATAAATTAAAAAAAAAAAAAAAGGTGTGAGTATAAAGAGGGTGTGGCCTTTAAACAGTGTGGCAAATATATCTATACCATATTTTTGCAGATGTAAACAACCGCTTCCCTTTATTATTTGAGGCCAGGGAGAAAACGTAAGTCTAGAAGGAGATATTAGAATTAGGGAAAGTTAGTGTAATGGTTAACTGTGCTTCTGATTTTTGGGATGATACCTCAATCCAGGAAGCAGAAATCCCCAAGCCTGTGAAGAAATGATTTATATATGTAATTTTTTAGAATTTATTTTATTTTTGAGACAGAGTCTTGCTCCATCGCCCAGGCTGGAGTGTAGTGGTGCGATCTCAGCTCACTGCAACCTCCGCCTCCCGGGTTCAAGCGATTCTCTTGCCTCAGTCTCCCGAGTAACTGGGACTACAGGGGCGTGCCACCACGATGGGCTGATTTTTTTATTTTTAGTAGAGACAGGGTTTTGCCATGTTGGCCAGGCTGGTCTTGAATTCCTGACCTTGTGATCCACCTGCCTCGGCCTCTCAATATATATGTAACATTTATAAGCAAATTACATCTCTTCTATTCAGGGTCTAGCCAGGGGTATGTGAATTACTGAGAATGCATATTTCGTGCCTCACAATTATTTTTCTTCTATATCTAAAACCCATAATTAGTTACAAATTGTTTGAAGTACTAAAAGAACAATATGGAAAATTATGAAAATAGAAAATTCAAAGTCTGTGGGTAGAAGGTGACAAGGAAAACATTTCCTAAAACTAAATTGAAAAGAATCACAGAAAGATTAGTAGAGGAAATTATTTTAGATTAACAGGGGAGAAGAAAATATCTAAAGATATTTATCATAAAGAAACAAGTCCCCCAAATTCTTAACAAACTTTGGGGTGAAAGAAACTGATACAAATGTTGACATACTTAAAAAACCACAGCAAGGTATGAAATAAAGAACATGCACATACAACATTTCTTAGAGCTTGCCTTCAATTTTTTTTTTAATCAGGAGCATAGTATTATATAAAACAGGAGGCCACTTTCTGAAGTTCCAGGAAATTCAAAGGAGATGAAAGAGAAAATTAGGAAGACTTTAAATTTGATCTTGATAATTCAAGAGCTATTCTTTGGGGCAAAATTGGAGTCAACGTATTTTTTGATGAGGGCAAAAAGTCAAACGGGAAAAAACATCACAATACTGTTCCCATTGATAGAGTCATGTAGAAGCAATGGGTGCTCAGAGAGACCTTATGCCCTCTTCAAAAAGAAAGGCCAGTCCTCAGCCAGAAATAACTAGAGCCATCACTGACAATAAAGTAGCTGTGATTTCACACCAACAATCATAATCACTTTCCTGAGGAGAACTATAAGAAACCCAGGGACACAGGTGAAAATCAGACCTACAGAGAATATATGACTGTGATTAGAAAAAAAGCTTAGATTCTAAGAAAGCCTGGAGAACCTGAAGAAACTTAAACATTTTCACAATTCCATGGGCTTTCTGTAACTGCTGGAGAAACCTGAGGTGCTACTCTGGTTGTCCTTGTTCTGCCTTCCTCACTCATGGATCAAATCTCCCTCACACACAAATTACGTAAACTTGCAGAGAAGTAGAGAAACACTCTCCCCAGAGGTTGAGTGCATGCAATGCTGAATCTGTTTAAGAAATGAAGAGGGCCGGGTGCGGTGGCTCACGTCTGTAATCCCAGCACTTTGGGAGGCTGAGGCGGGTGGATCAGCTGAGGTCAGGAGTTGGAGACCAGCCTGACCAACATGGTGAAACCCCATCTCTACTAAAAATACAAAATTAGCTGTGCATGGTGGCACATGCCTGTAATCCCAGCTACTTGGGAGGGTGAGGCAGGAGAATTGCTTGAACCCAGGAGGCAGAGGTTGAAGTGAGCTGAGATCACTCCATTACACTCCAGCCTGGGCAACAAGAGTGAAACTGTCTCAAAAAAAAAAAAAAAAAAAAAAAAAAAGGACTAAAGAGGTTCACATCCATTACTTTCAGTTTAACTGAAACATGACTGTGCCTTGATTTAAAATGACACTTCTAAAACTAGTCCTGATTTCCCTTACTAAAATGGTATGTTTACAATCACTATAATAGTTTAATATTAATAGTAATATAATTACCATTATAATTATAAAATTATTAATAGTAATATTATAATTACAATCACCACAAACTCTAAAGTGATATCATTACTTTTTAATTACACCTAGACAGTCAGAACATTTTACAATTAGGGCAGTTATAACTTTCAAATAATTCTTTCAAGAAAAGATGGAATGCTGGTCATTTATAGATGGAATATCTAATTTTAGAAGGCTAATTTAAACTAGCCCCAGAAATTTTCCCATTCAATGGAGAGATAAAACCCAGTACTCTGGGAACAAGATCATAAAATTAAGCCCTTCTCACCCCGCTCAAAAAAGATAAATATCTGGGTAGATACACAAATCGCAGTCTCTGTGAACCCACACAAAAATAAGCAGGGCATTGGCGTTGGGGTGGTTTCAGAGTGGGGCATTATTCACAGGAAAACAGCGAGATTCACTAGGGAGGACATAATTCTTCTGACAGTGACAGGGTCTCATTCACAGAACCAGGACTGATGGTGCATGCACAGTCAGCGTGCCAAGCAGCACAGGACCTGGATGCGGGTCCCTAATGGTGAACTGAGATCATTGCCGAGGACACTTGGTGATCACATAAGGGACACTCTGTTTGCTCTCTGGGAGATGCAGTTCATTTGCACTAATTGCAGGCTTGGGGGCCTGGAGAAGGCAGCTCTGTGTACACATACTGTATTCTCTTTGTTGGCGAAGGTAGCTCTCATGGGCCCTGTTCCTCTTGGCATTGTGTGTGTGTGTGTCTGTATTAACAGAGAGATTTAAATGCTTTTAAAATATATGCGCATTTCTAATTCTTTGCACTAGGCTTACTAATAGCTTGTGAGGGGAAGCTACAAGATAATAGTGAATTACTTTCCGGAAAAGTTTAGCAGGTAACTCATGAAATAAAAGAAATCCAAGAAAGCTTAACCTAATTACTCTGGTTTACATGATCTTGCTTTCCTGAAGGAGAGTTCAATCTTTTAAAAAATTCAATTGACTTATCTATTAACCATCTATCTATCTTTGGTATTGCCAAAGCTAGGGAGGCTGGCTAATTCTCATCTCTAAGAATATGTATTTTAAAATGCACTTCTGTATACTTTTTTTTTAGTTATACAACTTTTGAAGGAATATAGGATCAGGGATATATCCTTCAAACTTAGGAAACACTGCATATTGAATATACTGAATAGTGTAAAATGAGCATGAAAGGAATGTAATCAGTTGATACAGTAAAACTGACATCCTCTAGAGATTAGACAAGATTGACTAAAAAATAAAGATTTACTAAGTACTTGAAATATTTAAAGGTATATGCTAATCGCTGAACAGGCAAACAGAAAAATAAAAAAAGTCCTTGTTTGGCCAGGCGCTGTAGCTCAAGCCTGGAATCCCAGCACTTTGGGAGGCCGAGGCGGGTGGATCACCTGAGGTCAGGATTTCAAGACCAGCCTGACCAAATGGAGAAACCCCATCTCTACTAAAAATACAAAATTAGCCGGGTGTGGTGGCTGGCACCTATAATCCCAGCTACTTGGGAGGCTGAGGCTGGAGAATGGCTTGAACACGGGAAGCGGAGGTTTTGGTGAACCGAGATCACACCATTGGACTCCAGCCTGGGCAACAAGAGTGAAACTCTATCTCAAAAAAAAAAGGTCCTTGTTCTAATAATGTTTACAATATATATATGGGGATGCCAGACATGCACATTATGAAAAGTTACCAACAAGTACCAGGCTAATACCTTCCAAACACATGAAAAGTGCAAATTGTATTACTGTCATTCAGAGATGATCAGTTTTTACTTTTCATTGTGAAAAGTCAACAAGGGATTCCCAGGAAATAAGAAAAATTTTTATTGGATTTTGAATAAAGAGAATTCAAATGTGGGAATGGTCTGATCACACAGGTGAAAATGTTTTGCGTGTGTAGTGTGGATGAGAGAAAGGAGTTTATATACGGGATTAATGGGAGCCCGTGCTAACAGAGATGTTCTTGTCAAATGTAACAGGACCTGAGTTGCTACCTGAGGAATTTGAACCAATGGAAACAGAAGCTCATTCAAGTTTTGAGGATAGTTGCATGACCTGTTTTTGTTGTTGTTGTTGTTTGTTGGGATAGGGTCTCACTCTGTTACCCAGGCTGGAGTGCAGAGGCATGATCATGGCTCCTTGCAGCCTTGACCTTCCTGGGCTCAAGTGATCCTCCCACCTAAGCCTGCCAAGGAGCTGGGACTACAGATGTGTACCACCAGGTCTGGCTAATTTTTATATTTTTTGTAGACACAGGATTTTGTCATGTTGCCCAGGCTGGTCTTGAATTCCTGACCTCAAGTGATCTACCTGCCTCAGCCCCACAAAGTGCTGGGATTACAAGTGTGAGTCATCACGCCCTGCCATGACCTAGTTTTGGTTCAGGAATTTTTACCTATGGTGGAATAAAAGGTAATTGGATCAGGAAGGATCCTGGAGGCATACAGATCCCTTAGGGAACTATAGTCCACAAATGAGTTAGTAAGGCAGTGCTCTAGGATGGTGCAGTGATATTTCGAAGGCAAGGATGGGAGCCAAAGGCCCTTTTGTGCCTAATAAACAATACCAAGACTGGGGGAAAGAAACAAAATGATAATTCTGAGGAATATGGGTGAAAAGTAGAATTACAGAAATCAGGTAAAGGGCTTTGTGAATTGGTTTGCTTGCTTGTTCTGTGGGAGAAGAGTTTAAGTGAAATGTGTTGCATTTAAGTTGCAGAAGTAATGCTTAGGTGATGCTGTCCAGTGGGCAGCAGTTAGAAATATACCTTAAACACAGGAGAGCAGTGAAGGGTGCAGATAAATCTGTAGAATTTGAAGCCATGGGGCTGACATCAACTCTAATAAGATAAACAGAAAGATGAAAATATCTAAATATAGGTGATGTTAATGTTAAGGTTTCCGGGGGATATAAATTTTAAACATCGGTTCAAAAACAATCTGTAAGATGATGTAAGGATACATCGTACTTGTCATTAAATCTAACATCACTGCTATGAGCCTAGTAAAAGACAAATACAATGGAATACAATGTAGACTAAATCCTCTAAGCTGCAGGATTGCGATTTACTTTGGGGAGGTCAGAAGTCCCTTTGTCTTTGGCATGGTTAACAGTTCTGGGACATGTGTTGGAGAGCGGATGAGTTCAGGTATTACTAGATCCAAATCTCAACTCGCCAGTAAATAAACTTTTACTTTAGTTAAGGACTTTAAGCAAAATTTCAGTATCTCATTCATAAAATAAGTATAGAATTATTATGGGATTAGAGATAATATATGTATTATATGCCTGGTACATTGTTTGTATCCATTAGAGGAGAGTGGCCATTATTATTTATTTTCATGTTTCTCATTTTTTATTATTGACAAGGATAAAACTACATATCTAAGGATAGAATTGTATTGATTTCCATTACCAAGGCAATGTGTGACAGAGGGAGAAATATTTCTGTCCTGACACTGAAAAATCATTATATGGTTTTACTAGGTGCCATGGGCTAACTCTATGTGTCTGGTGCAATTTTGAGCAGAAGGAAAGAACACTCAGTAAAATAAATATTCACATGTCATGTGAATTTCGATAACATTGATAATGTTAGCAGAACTTCCTGGAGAACTTATATATTTAAAGGTGGTCATTGAGTTTAGATAGATAAGGTCTGAGAGAAAAAGAAAACTGCAGTTTAAGTATAATCTCTAGTTCAAAGGAGAAAAGATGAAAAAAAAAAATAGGAATCAGATATAAACCGAGGAATCACCTACAAGCTTTATTTACTTAGAGCAAAGTTTTGGTTAAATATATATAAAGCCAAATATTGGTAGATTTAATGCTTATACATGCACAGAATTTTAAAAACTAGGAATTTTTTATACACAGAGAAGGATGTAAGTTCACTGTACATGATTTCAGGAAATAAAAGCAATATGAAGTTTTTGGTAACTAGAAATTTATAATGCCACTTTGAAAGATATACAGGTAAAATAGTGGTTATATGTTTATATATCACTAAGAAATATATTTATGCTTGTATTTGGTTATATAAGACTCAGGATAGCATGGCAGCCACACATATGGATTGTGGACCAAGTTTTCCTACATATGAACTCCAGTTACTAGGCAAAGTATCTCAGTTTCCTAATCTGTAAAGCAGTACCTAGTTGATGGGACAGTTAAGATAGTTAAATGAACTAATACCTATAATGAGGTTAGGCCACTCCTAAAGCATGGTAAGCATTCAAAAGAAGTGAATTATTTTATTGCTTATTACTATTATCAATATTCCTTCGTAATGGAATAATGTTACCTCAATATGTTTTTTATATTCTCCAAATGTGCCTCATTGATTATAATATTTATGCTCTGAATTGAAGTTTGATATTAATTATTACTATAGTTAGTTGATATAGGGCAGTGTTAACTAAAATTTAAGTGACATGTTTCTCTCTCTCTCTTTTTGTTTGTCTTAGACGAGGTCTCACTCTGTTGCCCAGGCTGAAGTGCAGTGGCACCATCACGGCTCATTGCAACCTTGACCTCCTCGGGCTCAGGTGATTCTCCCACCTCAGCCTCCCAAGAAGCTGGGACTACAGGTGTGTGCTACCATGCCTGGCTAATTTTTGTGTTTGTGTGTTTTGCAGAGATGGGGTTTTGCCATGTTGCCCAGGCTGGTCTCAAACTCCTATGAAAGTGATCTGCCTGCCTTGATCTCCCAAAGTGCTGGAATTACAGGCATGAGCCTCCGCACCTGGCTAGGAACATGTTTCTCAGTCTTCTTTGAAATCTGGTGTCTGGTGAATGTGAAGAATGTGAAGAACACGAAGGCAGGGCAGAGACACTGTGCTAAAAAAAAAAAAAAAAAAAACCAATGTGATGAGTTTCAAAAGGTGAAGAGTTGGGAAATGTATATCAGAGGAGGTCAAAGAAACTCCTAAAGTCTCTACTCAATAAATGTAAAGAGAAACAAAGACATTTCAAGGACTGGGATTGTCAAAGGACTTCTAATACTGGATGATGGACCATTTTTTGGTTTGAGACTGTTCGGCTCATTTTTGAACAGTGGGTGAAGGGCTGCCTGATTTGTATATCTCTCATCTCCCCATAACAGGAAAGAAAAGCACAGTATAAGGGCCACTTGTCCAGCAGGCTTATTTACAGAGCCACTGTTGGCAGTATCCATTGACTGTCTTGAAAACCTAGAGTTGGCTAACAATTGTTCTCTACTATCATCAAGCTGAGGAATCCAGAGATATGGCTAGGGTTGATCAAGAACAGTTCAGTTTTATCCAGTTTCTCTGGGGGTGATGAAGACCTCCTAACCATAAAAGCACATCATCCTTATGCATAAGGTATGAATAGAAGGAAATTTGGCTTTCTAGATTCAGTAAGCCCCATAATTAAACAAGTTTCTAGTTTAAAAGTCTGTGGATCAAGAATACTTCACTTTATTTGCCCTACACAGATAAGAAATGAAATAGGGATCAATGATCCTGGTTTAGCAGGAATATACTTTTTACATTTTTAACCACAAGATGTTAACCAGTAAGAAATTTTGCAAATGTTATATGACCCCAGCCTCTGCTTCTTTTGTGGTTATTGCTTCAACCCAGCTGAGTTGTTCGGCTTCTCATATCAAAGATCAGCTAAGAAAACGATGTACTATCGATGTAATTCTAATGAAATTATATAATTAAAAGCAAATATTTTGACACAGATACTTAAGAATCAAAAAAGAGGAAGGTATCTAATTGCTTGAAAATTGCCACATCATTTCATAGGAGACAAGTTACATTACTTATAGTGATTTTTAGCATTTGTATCTAGAAATCAATGATGCTAGAGTCCATTAATATATTTTAACTCACATATATTAAGGGAGGAGGTTGTCCTCCTCTGAGTAATCAAGATGAAAGCACCTTAGGTTTTATACCTTGATTAGCACAAATTCGATTTTTGGTCTCCTTATGTTCATCTTATGTTCAATGAAGAACACCTTTATAGGCATTTTGAAAAAGGAAGATAAAAAGTAAGCTTATGAAGTTTTTCGCTGATAAAAATAACAGCATAAAAATTCCAATACTATGTTAGTTCCTTGATAAAAATAACAGCATAAAAATTCCAATACTATGTTAGTAGAGAAACAGCACAATAAACCTGAAAATATAGACATCAAAGTGGTAATAAGAAATATCTTAAGAATAATATGTATGAAAGGTACACACACTAACAGTTTTTAAGAGCTTTAAATACGGACCTTAGATTTTTTTAATGCCCACTGCTATGCTACCATTAAAAAATAAATAATAAAATGAAATTTTGGAACCTTACTCCAAGAGGCTACCAAAATGCCACAGTTTTGTTGTTGTTTTGGTAATATTTAATTATGAATAATTTTATTTTAAAAATCTATTTCTGATGCTCTATTAAGTAATAAGAAAAATGCAAATCCATACTTTGCACAAGCACATTTTATATTTGTGTCTAATTCTTCACATATGTGGTACAATGATCATAAATCAAGGGCACAGCTATTATTTTGCTTGTACAAGGTAGTGGCTTCACATTGTTAATGTATAAAGATACATTCTTCATGTTTCCAGATCAGGTGGTAAGGAAAAAGAAACAAATATATGGGCATTCTGCAGTTGTAGCGATTTTGAAAATTATATTCATTGAAGTTGTAAACTAAATCACATGACATAACCTCTACTGAGAGAAGTGCAAGCATAGCAAGATTTCGAAGAATAGATTTTCTCTAATATTAATTAACAGAGAGCTCAAAACTTTACACAACCATATATAAGACTTGCAATATCTTATAGAAGTTTCAATCATTCACTATATTGCTACTAATATTATATAATTGAAATAAAAAATTAAAGTAGTTGAAAAAATATGCCAAAAATGTTTTTGGCATATTCTTTCAACTTCTTTAATTCCATGTCCTTTCCATTTGATATCATAATCTTCTCTCTTTGAAGATAATTATAATAATTACACGTGAACACACAGATGTAAGAAATATATATGTATATATTTATCTTACTATGTATCTGTATATATATCTTACTGTGTATATGTGTACATATATATCTTAGATCTAAAACAGTAAATTTATGAAGCCATAAAAAATGTAAATGACTAACCTGGTGTTACTACTACTCCATTTCCATTGACCACAGGCCTCTCTTCCTCTTCCTCCTCAGGAGGCTCTATACTGGCTTTCTCCATGTTGCTCACTGATTTATTCCTCTTCCGTTTTCCTTCAGCACTTGGAGTGGCTCCTGGAAGTATCTGGTCTGTTACATTTAACAATAATGGTGCTGGTTCTGCTGGCGGCTTTGGGGTACCGTAGTAATTGTCTGCAAACAATACCAAAACATTCTTGGAGTTAAATATTTCTTCTACCATGTACATAATTTGTGAAGAATGGAAATTATATTAACACATTTTTATCCTATTTTATATGTACATACATAGACACATACATATATATATATGGTTTTCTATCTATGTGTCTCTCTATATATATACATATTTATTTGTTCCTTCTGTTGCGTTGGACTTTAATGCTTAGAGATATAGATCTATCTTTATTCTCATCTTTGTGCCAAACCAAAATATAGTCTTATGTATTATTCCCAAGCGGTACATAGTTAATTTTAAAATTATCCGAATTTTTTATAACAAGACTTGATTATAACCTTTTAAAAAATAATTATGTTAAGAGTACAGGTAATTTTTTTGTAGTGGGGTAATCTCACACTATTCTGAAAAGGCAAAGCACGTTCTGCTATTCTGTAGCTTTCAAAGGATTATGGCTATTGTCCTTGATGTGCACAGCATCCTGCCTAGAGCTGTATCCCCGTGCCAGTCTAGTGGTTCCCATGGCTGCTGACAGTGCGCCTGCTGCTCTATTCACTCTTCAGATTACCACAGCTTTTTTTTGCCCATAGCTCCATTATCTGAGCTATGGAATCATCTGTTTCACCCAACCATCTGCAGCACTTTTTTGAAAAGAGAATCATTCTTATTTATTCCCATATTAAAACCTAGCATATAATCATGGAATAAATGTTTATTAAGTGATCATCTTTATTATTTCATTTTATTGAGACAGAGTCTTGCTCTGTTGCCCAGGCTGGAGGGCAATGGTGCAATCTTGGCGGACTGATACCTCCGCCTCCTAGGTTCAAGCAATTCTTGTGCCTCAGCCTCCTGGAGTAGCTGGGACTACAGGCGTGCGCCACCAGTTCTGGCTAATTTTTGTATTTTTAGTAGAGATAGGGTTTTGCCATGTTGCCCAGGCTGATCTCAAACTCCTGACCTCAAATGATCCGCCTGCCTCGGCCCCCCAAAGTGCTGGGATTACAGGCATGAGCCACTGCATGCGGCTGTGAACATCTTGATATGTTCAAGGTAAAACACTTTATTTAAAATATCCTAAAATTTAGATTGGTAAAGAACGTAGGTCATATTTTTTTGAAATCAATCTTATAGCACCAACTTTGAACCTATATCAGTGTTTTCAGTTAATTGAGTAATTTATGCACTTACTTGATCACTCATTAAAATCTTTATTGGTACTAAGTTATGCACCCAGGCACTCCAGTATATGTTTGAGAGAAAAAGGATGAATACAATAAAATCCTTGTCTTCCAAGATGCTCAACAGTCCACTAAGGGAGACCAAATTTGATGTCAAACAGAAAAGCATTATAACAGGAAATAGGAGAAAGCACTGCAATGGAGGAGATACACAGGAGGAAGGAAGCACACCTCACTGTCTGCAAAGGTCACTAAACACATCTGGGTAAAAGGTGTGCTGTGAAAGGAATGACCATTAACCAGAAGACATAGAATTTAGGCTTGGCTTTTTTATATAACTACAAGCAAGTTACTTAACCTCTGTAAGGCTCAATTTCTTCATCTGTAAGTTGGGAAGAGCAGTAATTGTTCTAATCACCTGTGTTCTGGGCTGCAAAAAACCACAGCCTACTCAAGTTAAATGTGATAGGGATGTGCTATATAAATATATAAGATGGCTAGTTGAGAGATAATTGCCCGACGCCCGTAGTCCCATCTATTCTGGAGTCTGAGGCAGGAGAATGGCGTGAACCTGGGAGGCGGAAGTTGCAGTGAGCTGAGATCGCGCCACTGCACTCCAGCCTGGGCAACAGAGCAAGACTCCATCTCAAAAAAATAAATAAATAAAATAAAAAATAAAAAATAAAAAACATTGCCCAAGACTGGGTAATTTAGAAAGGAAAGAGGTTTAATTGACTCACATTTTCACAAGGCTGTGGAGGCCTCAGGAAACTTACAATCATGGCAAAAGGGGAAGCAAGCCCCTTCTTCACAAGGCAGCAGGAGGGAGAATGAACACAGGAGGAACTACCAAATACTTATAAAACTATCAGATCTTGTGAGAACTCACCACTATCACCAGAACAGGATGGGGGAAACTGCCCCCATGATTCAATTACCACCACCTGGTCTCTCCCTTGACATGTGGGGATTATGGGGATTACAATTCAAGATGAGATTTTTGGTGGGGACACAGCCAAGCCATATCAAGGGGAAAGGCCGAAAAACCATGAGAAAAAATGGCAGAAACAAAGGAGCCCACTCCAGACACTTATGTTGCCTTTGATAGCCCTGAAATCTCCAGATGGTTCTACTAACAAAGGGACAACCCACAGTGCAAACTGCCTCCATGAGAATGGGCTCCAAACTGTCCTCAGCTGCTCTGATTCACTCATTTCTAGGGAAAAAAAAAAATCCCAGGCAGGATCATCTCATTGGCTGAGCCTCCATCACGTGAGAGCACCTGGGCTGCCAAGGAAGCAGAAGAGATGTGCACTCTCCTTTGATTTCAGTAGAGGGAGAGGGAGGGGGAGCCCTACCGTCCACTGATTTTATCTCAGGGGCCTCCCCGGGTAGAAAGAGCCTCTCCCTGCCCCTGCTACCCCGCCCCGGCAGAAAGGGCCTTGGAATGCTGGCAGGTAGAAATGACAAATCTCCACTCCATTTGCCTTCTCACTGGGTTGTTGTGAAGACGAAGTAAGAATGTATGAGAAAGAGCTTTATTAAAAAAAACTGTAAAAATTGCAGTGGTTTTAACGGCAGTGTAAACTTCATGCTGGCATAAAGTGAGCAAATATTCTGAAGGCTAGCTGTGCCAATAATGCCATTGCTCATCACTATAGATATTCACAGTAAGAGAGTAATGCAAGAAAAAAAATTAAGTTGTAAAGTGGTTCTTATCCACATACTGTAAGTATATAACTTTTTTCTTTTACAGTCGGCAAAGTGGATAATATATACACGTTGCTAAATGTTACTATGTAATTTGATTTAGAGCATTTAAAATAAATCAGACCTCTATATGTACCAGACAAATTCTGAGCAAACAAAAATGAACAGTTGCTCCCTGGTATCAATGAACTTTTATATTTCAGCATTCCTAAAGGGTAGCACAGCTTTCAGTAAGTATGTTGCTATGCTTTCTATGGAATCTCAACACATACTTCTTATCTAATAAGCATAATGTAAAACTAAATAATCTATGCATATCTCAATAAATGATACATGATTTTAAGGTAGTATTCTAATATCTTTAATACCTTTAATACATAGTACTAAGCAAAATGGATCACACTTCAGTGTTTTTTTTCCCTATTTGTCTTGTCAATTTAAAATTTCCCTGAAGTAAAAAAACCTTTTACTAATTAGACATAAATGCATAGCACAGGCTAAAAATAAATACTAAATAACAGATCCTGCTAAATTTATATTACTAATTATACCTATTGGTATATGATATGACTATAAATTATACAACAATATTCTATTTCTATAAGTGTATGAAATACATCAGATTAAATTTTATATGTAAAAATATGAATCATTAGTTAAGACATTAAGATTATCTTTATTGGCAATAATAGCAATATAAAGGAAGCACATAAATAATCCATACTCTTACTACACTTGACAAATGTAATTCATAGAGAATAAGGTACCCTAAGCCAACGTTTTTATCTCATTGCATAAGAACCAGGAAACCAGAAATACCTAGACCAATGGTTGAAGAATTAGCCAAGCAGTCAGGCAGCTAACTCATTGAACTGACTCCCTGAATATAAGTGTATACAAATAAATGTATCAAGGATAAAATGTGCCTTTTAGGTAACGTACCAGTATGTTTTCAGAAAAAAATAAATATCAAAACTGTTTTAAAATACAATTTGGAAAAATTGTTCCCTAAGGATGAAGTGCCTATATGCATAGTGCCTGGATATAGAAAATCTAAAATTAAAACAGACGAAAAAACAAAACCTCCACAAACCCACAACAATATGGTGTAATGCTTAACAGCATAAATGCTAGTGAGATAAACCTGACTTTGAATCCTGTGTCCCCTAATCTCAATACCTCTTTATATCCTTAAATCAATTCAGTTAAAGTGGGAAAGTGGGGATGTAAGATGACCACAGTCACAAAAGCAACTATAACTATTACTACTGTTATTACCACTATGACTGCTACAACGTGCTAACCTGCACACCGTCATGGGCATTTTACATAAGTATTCTTGTATCAAATGGGGAGTAGAGTAACTCTTTCCCCACAGTGCTGTTATATAGATTAATGATACTAAAAGGATATATGACGTGACTAGATCAGAGTAGATGCTCAAAATAGGGTGCTACTTTTGGTATTTATTCATCACAATATAGCATGAAGTCATTCTGCCTATGCAGTTAAGAAAATAGAGACTAAGACGTTAAACTATTTCCTAATATTATATATAAAGCGAGTGGAAAACTTATATCTCTTTGACTTAAGAACCTCATCTCTTTTGAAAATACGCTGTTGCCTTTTAAGAGAAAAAAATGTGTGATGCAATCGCAACCTGCCCAGAACTCATAGAGGAGAACTTCATTCAAAGCCACAGTCAATGAACACAAATGCATCAGTTTCAAAAGGGAAAGGCAAAATTGCTACCAAAGCATACAGCAAGGACATTTTAGGAATTTTTTTCCATCCAGTCCTTTAAAAATAAGTGTGTGTGTGTTTGTATTTTAAGGAGAGTACAGGCTTTTCTAGAGCACTTTTCACGGAATATGTTTGTACTTGTGAAGAATCATCTATACATTAGCAGTTTCTTGTAAGTTTAATATCAAATTCCACTAACTTATTGAGTACAACAAAATGATACATAAAATTGTCCCCTTAATTCTGTGATATTTGGAAAATCTATAAATTTACATAGTCTTCTTTGTAATCAATGCCTGCAAAATAAGAGAGAAAGTCATTTCAGGACCCTGACTTATTCTTCAGTTTTTTAACTACCTATGAACAGATTCTTTTTTTCATAAAGGTGGGGCTATGAAAATGTGGAACAGGATGAATGTACTCTGTTATACAAATAGAAAAGTTGGCCGGGTGCCGTGGCTCACGCCTGTAATCCCAGGACTTTGGGAGGCTGAGGCGGGCAGATCATGAGGTCAAGAGATAGAGACCATCCTGGCCAACATGGTGAAACTCCATCTCTACTAAAAATACAAAAATTAGGTGGGCATGGTGGCATGTGCCTGTAGTCCCAGCTACTAAGGAGGCTGAGACAGGAGAATCGCTTGAACCTGGGAGGCAGAGGGTGCGGTCAGCCGAGATCACGCCACTGCACTCCAGCATGGTGACAGGGCAAGACTCCATCTCAAAAAAAAAAAAAAAAAAAAAAAAAAAAGAAAAAGAAAAAAAGAAAGAAAACTTTTCCAAAAATGTGAATAAAAAGAATAGCCCATTGTCAATAATTTATTTTGTAATAAAAACATTTAATAAATGCCCATTTACACAGGACAGTCACACAATTTATTGCAAAGGGAGAGAGACTAATTATGAGCTAAACCTGCCAGGCAAAGTCCTTGCAAAACCTAATCCCTTACCCATTTTTAGGCAGACCTGTCCCTAGGTCATCTGAAAGCAGTGAGAATAGCTTTCTAAATAACTTTTCATGTACTGTACTTGAAACCATTGTGGAATTATTCTTCTGCTTTCTCTGTAGTCAATTGACCTTTGCATAAAAGTTGTATTTTAAGTTTCTAAAGTGATGATTTTACCTTTCTTCTGATTCCTCTCAGATTTTTTCACATTGATTTAGTGGTGAGGCTAAGGGGAAAAACAGGAATATGAAACGATTTCAACGAATTTAAACTGTTTCCTTTTTTGTACCTCCAGTCTTCATTGAATGATAATAGATATCAAAATATTATTTTCTGAGATGCACCATGTTCTTTATGCTTTTAAATTCCAGTATTATGACAAGAAATAGGAAAGACACTGAAAACTAATTTTAGGTATGAGGAAATGTAAAAATGCTAGTAGCAGATACTTTGAAATACTTTCACTTACTTCCAACACCTTTTTTCTTTAAACAAGATCAGTTTTCATGATGGAAACATATAATTTGTTATTACTTTAGTTTATTTGGCTTTTTAAGTTGTAGACTCAGATGCTTACTCTGTTGTTTCAATCCTTTTGGTGTATAATAATATGTGTAGGTTTTATATCAAATAACGATAGATCCTTCCATATGGCTCCCAAGTGGAGATGGGTTTTACAAAGGTAATAAATATACTTGTCTTCAAGATACCACACAGATTAAGGTCATGACTTCTATTCCTCCCCAATATTCTCAGTCCTTTTTTCCCCGTTTTGGTAAATGGAAAGAATGAATTTTGGATAGTGGTTCAGCAGAAGAGAGATGATTGCCTGCAGGAC
Organism: Homo sapiens; assembly: GCF_000001405.40. Taxonomy (NCBI): domain Eukaryota; kingdom Metazoa; phylum Chordata; class Mammalia; order Primates; family Hominidae; genus Homo; species Homo sapiens. The sequence continues at coordinate 78,528,069 of NC_000007.14, forward strand.
CCACGGGGCATGCAAACAGCGCAGCTCATCAATGGTATTCCCAGAGAGCTTGAGGATATGTCTTCGTGTTGGAAACAATATGTGGCAAACTTTAAATGGTTGAGAATCATATTTGTTTTTATAGTTTTATAAATGAAGCAAATAGTTTGATGCTTGGCCTCTTTAATAGCACCTGCAAAAATTGACTCTGACGTTAAACAGAGAAAAGATTTAGGGTTCCAGCTGATCATAATTATGTTAGAAAACTTGCCAGATTGTAAGTAAACAATCATTTTATACACATCAGAGATTTAGATGTATATTAATAGAAATGGATAAATCATCAAAGGACCCCAAATTCAAACTTTAAGACATGTTTAACATATTAAACAAGGGATAGTAATGAGTTAAAACTAGTACCAAAAACCATTCTAACTCATGTCACCCATGGCAAAAGAATCATAGTCATATAGCTATAGTTAGTAAATTAGAAATTTTGTAAATATAAAATGACGTGAGTAAATATAACCCAGAAAATATTCTACTTTTCTAAAACTGGATTTTCTACCAGAAAATAAGACAGAAATTCTTACTGCAGAATTCTTTTGTCAACCAATTTTTGAAATTATTTTTGTAAGCAGCTCTGATGCTTACATTTGGTCCTGAAAAAAACAAAAATATATCATTTCCTCATCATGTCATATGTAGTTAGCAGCTTGAAACCAAGATGCAGAAACTCCCTGACCTCGAAAGATAATGTCTTTTTCTCTTGTGGTGAAAAAGCATTAATCTTACATGTGTCAGAAATAAGAAAAATATACCAAATAGCATTTTGTCATCAATACTTATACTGAACAGTAAATTTCTGAATTTTTAGAAATTCAGTGTTTAAGTGACTTTCAGGAAGTCCACAACTGTACAAAAAGTGGGAATGTTTGTTTTTTTTTTCATACATGGAATTGAATTATTCTTAACAAACCCCACCTAAGAATTTCAAATTTGTTGTAAATTAAATTAACGCTGGTTTCACAATATGATCTCCAATGACATACATTCTGAATTTACTGTCTTTATTATTCACCAGTGCTCTCCGGAAAGTCATGCAGATAGTTAAATTTGACTAACATTTCCTGAAACTTGTTTGCAAGTCCTCAGAGGTCACTCTGACTGAATATTCATTTATTCACGTCAGCTAATGTAGACAGGCACAGGATAAATCTTTGCTAAATGTAATTGTCCACAGACTGGCTAGGGAAGGTGGTTTGTTCATGTAAAGGAAATTGGACACTCTTTCCTTCAGTGGCTCTTCCCTTCAGGTGTTATCAGAGTAGCTCAGAACATTTCCCACCTGCGCCAGATAGCAGACGGAAAGAAATTATAAAGAAGTCACACATGATTTGTTGATGTCAAATATACATCTGCTTCCAAAAGAAGGCATTTGAACATTTGTAACTATAACATAAACTTTAAATTCATGAGTATATCCCATTTAAAGAATGTATTAAATCCCTTAGAATAGCACTATCTAGTAAAAATGGAATGCAAGCCACAGATATGAGCCACATATATGGAATTTAAATTTTTTTGTTTTTGCTTTTCTTTTCCTTGCTAAAGGAGATGGTTTTTTTTTTTTTTTTTTTTTTTTTTTTTTTTGGGACATGGTCTCACTGTGTTGGCCAGGCTGGTCTCGAACTCCTAGCCTCAAGCCTTCCTCCTACCTTGGTCTCCCAAAGCACTGAGATTACAGGCATGAACCACCACACCTGGCCAATCATCTTAAAATTTTCTAGTTAGCCATATTAAAAGAGAAAAAATGTGAAAGTAATTTTAATATTTTTCTTTACCAATATATCCAAAATATTTTAATAATTAATAAAAAAGTTACTGTAATATTTTATTATTTTAATACTAAGTCTTCAAAATCCAGTGTATAGTTTACATTTACAGCACACCTTAATTGGGACAAGCCCCATTTCATATATTTAATGGCCATATGTTACTAGCAGCTGCTATACTGGACAGCACAGCCTCAGATAATCCCTTTCATCAAATATCATTTTAAATTACTATATTATCACCTGAATAACTCATTTTTCTCACAAACAATAAACCGAACATCTCTGTCGTAAATAACTGAGAAAACTGAGTAAACACCAAAACACAATAACAACTGTAGGTGACAATGTGTCAATGATATTTCTCTTGTTTGATTGCTTTGGTCCATTGAGCACCTGTAAAATGTTATTAAGCATCTAGCAGATGTACATGTCTTAGCAACACTCTCTCATTCTGCTTCCTACTCATCCATTTTTATCACTTTATCTTGTCTTAACTTGAAATATTCATTTTTAACTTTATTATTAAGATATAGGATAGAAGGTAAACAAAAAAAGAATGAATGTTTTAGGCAAATAAGCATGGACTTGTGTGAAGACACTGTTCTTGTGTTCACGGGTAGGACTGAAGCGCCCTCTTTATAATTAGTCATAGCTCACAGACAGAGGGATTGTTGACTCATGGCAGCAGTGTGGAAACAGACAATACTCATAGTTATCCTTTTCTCTCTTGCATTTCCTCTATAACTCCCTCTCACTTTGATCCCCCATCGTGTTCAGTACCCAGTGCCTCATGCTTCTCTTTTCATTAGGCTCCTACTTTCGCACCTCATGCTCATAACAATTCCAATTTTCTTTTTTTTTTGGACATATGATATGTGTCCCATTTCCAATTTCCTTTCAGTCTTGCCAAGTGACTGGGTTACTACTCTGAGAAACTAAACTAAGATGTCAAGGATTAAAATAGGCTTCATAGGCTCCATATGATGCTTGCATTTTAATTAGAGTTAAAACTCTAATCCAAAAGGTTAATCTTAAAATTTGGGAAATAACTAGTCAACCACTGGAAGAACTTATTTTTCAGAAGAGCCTTTGGTGCTCCTCAAATCACAGTGGAGGTGTTATCCTGAGTAGTAAGGGCTCCTGGGAGGGTAGATATGATGACCCTGCTCCCTCAGGGAACTCAAGCAAAATGCAGATGCAAAGATATTTGGAAAACGGTACTGAATAAAAAATAACTTTAGTATAATTCCAGTTAGTAACAAACTTATAAGTCTATCTTTTTGAATGGAAACCTTTTGCAATTGTGTTATTAATGTAATTATTAATTAAGTTTTTTTTTTTTTTTTTGAGACAGAGTCTCACTCTGTCACCAGGCTGGAGTGCAATGGCATGATCTTGGCTCACTGCAATCTCTGCCTCCTGGGTTCAAGCGATTCTCCTGCCTCAGTCTCCCAAGTAGCTGGGGCTACAGGCATGCACCTCCACGTCGAATTAATTTTTGTATATTTAGTAGAGACGGGGTTTCACCATGTTGGCCAGGATGGTCTCGATCTCTTGACCTCGTGATCTGCCTGCTTTGGACTCCCAAAGTACTGGGATTACAGGCATGCGCCACCACACCTGGCCTTATTTAAGATTTTTAAGTGTCTAGTGAGCTCAATGCTTAAGAGACAATCCCGTCATGGCTCAGTACGTAAGAAAAGGAAAGTGAAATTTTGACAAATTTATAAATGGGCATTTGTACAAAGCTCAGCAGATTCTTGTGATAGTCATCTTAATTAAATTTACTTCTTCAAAAATTGATAAAGAAAACTGAGCCTTTCAAGGACATTACTTTCTCACACAACATTTATAGCTTGTCATATAACTTCCTTCTCCCAATGGTGCTTTCAATTGTGATATTATAAAATTGCGAAGAAATTAGGAGACCTCTACGACTATTTTTAGTCCCTGTCTTGTAAATACAATACCCAGGGAAATTTCTGATTAATTTTAATTTGATTGTTGGTTAATGATTAAAGGAATTTGCCAAATATCAAATCTCTAACCCTCAGTTGCTAATAAAAGTCAGAAAAACAATAAAAAAGAAATTTCATTTCTCCTTGAAGAATATGACTGCTAGATTTTCCCAAGCTTGACATGGTAAGAGCTCTGACACAGAGTCAGAGGATCTAGGTTCTAAACAGGGTTCTACCACTAATCTCCTTAAATGACTGTGAACCGGGCAGCAACCTCCCCTGAACCTCAGATTCCTCACTGTGAAAATACAGAATTAGGACATACCTCTAAAATGCTCCTCACCTCCAAAATTCTGTAATGAAAAATTTTAAAGGATGCAAGGACAACAGGTTTTCTTTTTCATCATATTAGAAAGCCCTGAATTGACAATGAATAGAGAATAACAATAAACTAAAGTCAACAATTTCACTTACTTGAGAACCTGGATGCATTTGCTTTCCTGACATAATGTGGAAAACTGTCATTTGACTGTATCTTTATATGTCTTTGCACAGTCCCTTCTGGGAAAGTGATTGTGGTTGCAGAGTGTTTCTATTTTTATTCCAAGCCTTTCATTTGCATCCATCCCTGTTGGTGAATTAGAGAGTCCCTAAGTATATCTCCCATAGGATGTAGACTATGATTACTTTGTGGAAGGTCATATATAAAGCACTTCGACTTTATATTTTAGTCTATGTGATACTTTAAAATTTACTGACTTTTTTGGAGTTGACATTTTTATTGTAATCACCTTGTGATCTGTGTGACACAAACATAAAGCCTACGTGTTAGAGTATGGTTAACATTAGCAGCAATTTAGATGTAAGTAGTACTAACGCATAAGTCAGAAAAACAACAAACAAACCAAAAAGCTAAATAAAATTTTCTTTAGCCTTTTGGCATATAACCCTAGGCTTTGACTGCATGATGCTAGCATGTCTTACTTAACCTGGATTTTCTTTTGCCTCTGAATCAATATACTGACTACCTATGAAAACCAATCTAATGACAAAGAAAACTCTGAACTCATTTTATATTTAAAACTCTGGAAATCAACTAATTCTTTTTTTTTTTTTGAGATGGAGTCTTGCTCTGTTGCCCAGGCTGGAGTGCAGTGGCACAATCTCGGCTCACTGCAAGCTCTGCCTCCCGGGTTCATGCCATTCTCCTGCCTCAGCCTCCCAAGTAGCTGGGACTACAGGTGCCCACCACCACACCCGGCTAATTTTTTGTATTTTTAGTAGAGAGGAAATCAACTAATTCTTTAAAGGTGTAAAGGTGTATATTTTACTGAGGTATACCTCTTCTACTCATCACATTTTTATGTAACTTGGCCTTTCATACCATCCTTCAAATTATATAGCAAATTATGAAGTGTCACAAATAAGAGTTTACTTAGAAAACCTGTTGAATTACTGAGAAACGAGCACAGTAGGGAAAGAAATGTGTGGGTCAAAAAGACCAGAAAATACATAGGAATAAGAAAAGTAAGGACAAGGAGGCACTGGAAAAAGATGAGGAAAAGAGAAGATGAAGAGGAGAACACAAAAGAAGAGGAAGTGTCATGTGTAATTTCATGAAGTTGTAAGGTTCCAGTGTAATCTCTGAGGAGACATTTTGGCCCAAAGCCACACACACATAAGGTCATCTGTGATGACCCAGTATCTGAGAAGGTACTAGAGCGGCACTATCCAATATGGCAGCCACTTGTTACATCTGGCTGTTGAGGACTTGAAATGTGGCTAGTTCGAGTTGAGATGTGCTGTAAATATAAATTGCACACTAGTTCTTAGTACCACAAAAGAAATAAAATATCTTAGTAATCATTTTTACATTGATTATATGTCAAAATGGTAATATCTTCCATCTCAATTCCTGGGCTAGTTCTTCTGAAAAAAAGTAAGACTCAATAAGTAGTCAACTACTAGTAAGTAATGATATCCATAACTAATAAGAGTGAGTGAAGGTGAGAAGGAGTCAACCCAAGGATCCAGGACAATAGACATTTGATAGGCAAGAAACTCAATCAGAAAGAGTATCAAGAACCACGATTGGGGTTGAGCTGCTTATTGCCTGACCAAGCCAATGACAGCTGAGTGATGGGCAGAGGGGAAGGTTATCATACATCTAATCATCTTGTCATTCATGCAGCAAACATTTACTGATAGCCTATTATTTGCCAGGCACAGGTTAACTCAAGGAACAATGGTGAATGACATAAGCACAGTCCTCTTTGAAACTTACCTTCTCCTGAGGGAGATAAATATTAATCAAAAAATCACACAAATACAAAATTATAAATTCTGACAAGAGCTAAAAAGGTCAAGTGGTGGTGTTTGGAGAACTCCAAGAAGAGTTCAAGTTAGGCTTTTTAAGAAAAAAAATTGGAATTATGATTGAATACCCAGCCTTTCTCCCTCAATCTGGGCCAAAATATTTATGGATAAATACAGATCTTTAGGAAATGCATGTGGTTTAACCACAAGAAATAAAATTGCTCCAATGTTCTTAAACTTGTCCTAAGTAATTTTCTAAAAGCCAAATGGCTAAACTATATGGAAATGTATATATGTGTGTGTTTGTATATATATGTGTGTGTGCGTGTGCTCCCAAATAAATCAAGTTGCTTGCCAAATCTAAAATTAGCAACATTTCTGCTGATTAGCCAGATAAGCTCTTCTTTTCTCAGTTTAACCCAAGACATAGTCTCTACTGAAAAGACCTCTAACATTCACAAATCCAAGAGCTATGCAGTTTGAAATGAAGTTTTGTTTTTTACTACATAAACCTAATTGAAGGTAGAACTGATAGCAGGTTTAACTTGATATTGACCTTTGTTTCTAGACTGATGACCAATGTAGTCTGGTCATTTCCTGCTTCTGATAGTGGGGGAGCAAGTAGAGTCAGTGAAGGAAAGGCTCCTCCATAGCACTGATGTCTAAAGTGAAATTAGAAAAAAAAATGAGTAAGGCCAGGTGCAGTGGCTCACGCCTATAATCCCAGCACTTTGGGAGGCTGAGGCAGGTGGATCATGAGGTCAGGAGTTCAAGACCAGCCTGGCCAAGATGGTGAAACCCCGTCTCTACTAAAAATACAAAAATTAGCTGGGTGTGGTGGTGGGCACTTGTAATCCCAGCTACTTGGGAGGCTGAGGCAGAGAAATGCTTGAACCCAGGAGGCGGAGGTTGCAGTGAGCCGAGATCGCACCACTGCACTCCAGCCTGGGTGACAGAGCGAGACTCCATCTCAAAAAAGAAAAGAAAATAAAAAAATGAGTAAAATGAAGTAAAGGCTCAAGAGGTACAGAGAGGAAAAAGCATTCCAGGCAGAGGAAACAAATTTACAAAAGCCTTGAATCTGGAGAAATAATAGTAACTTGGAAGAACTAATAGGAAAACACTCAGGCTAGAGATAATATGGAACCTAATAGGGTTTGTTAAAGATTTGGGTCAATTTCCAAGAAATAAAAGGAAGCCCTTAGGGGTTTTAAAAGGCATTCAGATTTGTTTTTAAAACAGATGTCAGGCTGCAGGGTGTAAGATGGATTGGAGGCAGCAAGAGTGAAAAGTCTTGAGGTCAATGAGGGATATTTACAAAGGTAAAGATGTTATCTTTGAAACTGCCTTTGTAAAAATTATAACTGAGGAAATCATGACAATGAAAGAGCTCTGTCCTGACTCCATCTTGCCTTTAACATCCAAACTGTTTTTTTTTTTCATACCTGGGTGCAGGCTGAACTAACTTTGGGAGGAACTTACAGTTTAACAAAGATGAAAACAGCCCTTTCCCAAAACAAACCCCCTTCTTGCCTGGGGAGTAGACTGTCTTTGCAGGACTAACAAATTAGCCACAAAATTAACAATTATGGTTAAAGAGTCACCGTTTTAAAACCTGAGATCAGTGCTTGAGATATTTTGCAGACCCTGCATTTCAAGGCATCAGCTGACACCACCTAGATCGAGAACCTGGCTCATCTAGTCTTGTGTACACCCCCCCCGCCCACCGCCTCCCCCCAACACTCAGGAACTGACTCAGCACAAGAGGACAGCTTCAACTCCCTGTGATTTATCTTCCGCCGGACCAATCAGCACTCCCTACTTTCTGACCCTCTTCTCACCAAATTATTCTTAAAAACCCCGATCCCCAGATTTTCAGGGAGACTGATTTGGGTAATAATAAAACTCTGGCCTCCCATACAGCTGGCTCTGTATGAATTAAACTTTTTTTTTTTTTTTTTTTTTTTTTTTGAGACGGAGTCTCGCTCTGTCGCCCAGGCTGGAGTGCAGTGGCGGGATCTCGGCTCACTGCAAGCTCCGCCTCCCGGGTTCACGCCATTCTCCTGCCTCAGCCTCCCAAGTAGCTGGGACTACAGGCGCCCGCCACTACGCCCGGCTAATTTTTTGTATTTTTAGTAGAGACGGGGTTTCACCGTTTTAGCCGGGATGGTCTCGATCTCCTGACCTCGTGATCCGCCCGCCTCGGCCTCCCAAAGTGCTGGGATTACAGGCGTGAGCCACCGCGCCCGGCCGAATTAAACTCTTTATGGTGATTCCCCTGTCTTGATAAGTTGGCCTTGTCTGAGCCCCGGGCAAGGAGAACCTGTTGGGTAGTTACAGCTTGGGCTAGTGGAAGGTGATGGAATGGAGACAACGATGGTACCAATTAGGTTCCAAAGGAGAAAAACAGAAAACAGAGTAATGGTTAGGAAGGAACTAATATGAGCAGCTTGTGCTTGAAGAACTGGAAGACTTTTTCTTGATGACCTCCCCTTATCTCATTTGGAAATAAGCAATCTTGGACATATCTAAATTTGCTCCTAATACTCAGGATTTCTTTTTAAAAAATTTCAATAGTTTTTTTTTTGTTTTTGTTGTTGTTTTTTTTTTTTTTTTCTGGAGACAGAGTCTTGCTCTGTCGCCCAGGCTGGAGTGCGGTGGCGCGATCTTGGCTTGCTGGGAATAGGTAGTGTTTGGTTACGTGGATAAGATCTTTAGTGGTAATTTCTGAGATTTTGGTGCACTCAGCACCTATGCAGTGTACTCTGTACCCAATGTGTAGTCTTTTATCCCTTGCTCCTCTTCCATGCTTCCCCCTGAGTCCTCAGTCCGTTGTATCATTCTTATGCCTTTGTGTCCTCATAGCTTAGCTCCCACTCATAAGTGAGAACATACAATGTTTAGTTTTCCATTCCTGAGTTACTTCATTTAAAATAATGGTCTCCAACTCCATCCAGGTTGCTGGGAATGCCATTATTTCATTCCTTTTTATGGCTGAATAGTATTCCACTACACACACACACACACACACACACACACACACACACAGACACATTTTCTTTATCCACTCATCAATTGATGAACTTTTGAGCTGGTTTCATATTTTTGTAATATTTTTGTAATTGCAAATTGTGCTGCTATAAACGTGGGTGTGCAAGTGTCTTTTTCATATAATGACTTATTTTCCACTGGGTAGGTACTGAGTAGTGGGATTGCTGGATAGAATGGTAGATCTACTTTTAGTTCTTTAAGAAATCTCCATACTGTTTTCCATAGAGGTTTTACTAGTTTACATTCCCACCAGCAGTGTAAAAGCATTCCATTTTCACCACATCCATGCCAACATCTATTAGTTTTCAATTTTTTAAATTATGGCCCTTCTTGCAGGAATAAGATGGTATCACATTGGGGATCTGATTTGCATTTTCTGATAATTAGTGATGTTGAGGATTTTTTCATGTTTCTTGGCCATTTGTATATCTTTTTGTGAGAACTGTCCATATTCTTAGCCCATTTTTTGATGGGATTATTTGTTTTTTTCTTGCTGATTTTTTCCTTGTAGTTCCTTGTAGATTCTAAGTATTAGTTCTTTGTCAGATGTATAGTTTGCAAGGATTTTCTCCCATTCTATGAATTGTCTGTCTACTCTGCTGATTTTTATTTTGCTGTGTAGAAGCTTTTTAGTTTAATTAAGTGCCATCTATTTATCTTTTTGTTGTATTTGCTTTTGAGTTCTTGGTCATGAAGTCTTTGCCTGAGTCAATGTCTAGAAGGGTTTTTCCAATGTTATCTTCTAGAATTTTTATGGTTTGAGGTTTTAGATTTAAGTGTTTCTTCTATCTTGAGTTGATTTTTGTATAAGGAGAGAGATGAGGATCCTGCACGTATCTTGCCAATTATCTCACCACCATTTGTTGAATAGGATGCCCTTTCCCCCTGTATGTTTTCATTTGCTTTGTTGAAGGTCAGTAGCCCATAAGTACATGGCTTTGTTTCTGGATTCTCTATGCTGTTCCATTGGTCCCTGTGGCTATTTTTATGCCAGCACCATGCTGTTTTGGTGACTATAGCCTTGTAGTATAGTTTGAGGTTGGGTAATGTGATGCCTCCAAATTTGTTCTTTTTGCTTAGTCTCACTTTGGCTACATGGGCTCTCTTTTAGTTCCATATGAATTTTAGGTTGTCTTTTCTAGTTCTGTGAAGAATGGTGGTGGTATTTTGATGGGAATTGCATTGAATGTATAGATTGCTTTTGGCAGTGTTGTCATTTTCACAATACTGATTCTACCCATCAATGAGCATGAGATGTGTCTCCATTCATTTGTGTTGTCCATGAGTTATTTCAGCAGTGTTTTGTAGTTTTCCTTGTAGAGATCTTTTACCTCCTTGGTTAGAGATATTCCTAAGTTGCTATTATTATTTTTATGTTGGTGGTTGTTGTAGCTATTGTAAAAGGGGTTGAGTTCTTGATTTGTTTCTCACCTTGGTTGCTGTTGGTGTATAGCAATGCTACAGATTTGTGTATAGTGATTTTATATCTGAAACTTCACTGAATTCATTTATCAGATCTAGGAGCTTTTTGGATGAGTCTTTAGGGTTTTCTAGGTATTCAATCATATCATTGGCAAACAGCAACAGTTTGACTTGCTCTTTGCTGATTTGGATGTCCTTTATTTCTTTCTCTTGTTGAATCAAAAACAAAAAACAAGAAACAAAAAAACCAAGATATTCAGGCAACAACTAGCACAATGAATAGAATACTACCTCACATCTCAATACTAACATTGAATATAAGTGGCCTAAATGCACTACTTAAAAGATACAGTGGAACATGACAAGAATGCCGTGGCTAAGACTTCCAGTACTATGTTGAATAATGGCTAGCCAGTACTATGTTGAAAGAAGTGGAGAAAGTGGACATCCTTGTCATGTTCCAGTTCTCAGGGGGAATGCTTTCAACTTTCTCCATTCAGAATAACATTGGCTGTGGATTTATCATAGGTGGCTTTTATTACAAGGTATGTCCCTTCTATGTCAATTTTGCTGAATGTTTTAATCATAAAGGGACGCTGAATTTTGTCAAATGACTTTTGTGCATCTATTGAGATGATTTTTGTCATTTTTGTTTTTAATTCTGTTTATGTGGTGTATCAAATTTATTGATTTGTGTATGTTAAAACATCCTTTCATCCCTGGGATGAAACTCACTTGATCTTGGTGGATTACCTTTTGGATATGCTGTTGGATTCAGTTCACTAGCATTGTGTTGAGAATTTTTGTATCTATGTTCATCAGGGATATTGGTCTGTAGTTTTTTTGTTTTTTTGTTTTTTTGTGCCCTTTCAAGACATTTTGATGTAGGCATTTAATGCTATGAACTTTCCTCTAAGCACTACTTTTGCTGTATTCCAGAGCTATTCACAGGTTGTGTCATTATTATCATTCAGTTCAAAGAATTTTTAAATTTCCATCTTGAATCAATGTTGACCAGGCTGCAGTGATTGTTATTGCTCTTCTGGGTCTAGCCACCCAGTGGTACTGGGTTGGTACTGGGGAATGTCTGCAAAGAGTCCTGTGATGTGATCTGTCTTCAGGTCTCTCGGCCATGGATACCAACACCTGCTCTGGCAGAGGTAGCAAGGGAGTGAAGAGGACTGTGAGGGTCCTTAGTTGTTTTATTTACTGTGCTGGTTTTCTTGAATGCTGATTGTGCTGACAGTGAAGGTTTCACGTGGACAGACTCAGGGCCTCGGGTTCGCCAGGATGTTACTGGTGGTGGAATTAGCTGCTGTTTTCTCCTTTCTTGGAGCAGGGTTATTCTTTTATGAGTTGCTGTAATGGCTTGAGTTGGTTGGCCTCCAGCCAGGAGGTGGCGCTTTCAAGAGCGCATCAGCTGTGATCATATAGGGGGATATAAGCTTGCCCTTAGGTTGCCTGGATAAGTATTCAGGTTTCTCAGGCAATGGGCAGGGCCATACAGCACCCAAAAGTTTATGTCTTTCGTCTTTGGCTACTAGGGTGGGTAGAGAAAGACCATCAGGTAGGGGCAGGGTTAGGCCTGTCTGAGCTCAGCCTGTCCTTGAGCGGGGCTTGCTGTAGCCACTGTTGGGGATGGGGTGTGGTTCTCAGGCCAATGGAGTTTTCCTCCCAGGCGGATTATGGCTGCCTCTGTTGTATAACACAGGTAGCCAGGAAAGTGGGAGAAAGCTGGCATTGACAGGCCTTCACCCAGCCCCACGTAGCCAGGCAGGCCAGTCTCACTCCCACTGTGCCCCACCAACAGCACCAAGTTTATATCCAGTCAGCCGGTGAGCAGGGCTGACATCTTGCCCCAGGCGACAAGCCTCTGGACTGAGAGAGAAAGCAGGGGTTTCAGGCTCTGCCCCTCCCCACCTGCCATGACTTATGTGCTCATATTTCCACTTGTTTGCCACCCCCACCAGATTCTGCCCAGGAAAATTTGTGCTTGATCAAAATGACTACAAAGTTCAGCTGAAAGTTTCCTTCTCTCTGTGGTCCTTCGCCAATTCTACTGGCAGCCCTCCCTAAGGAACCCTGAGAGATAAAGTCAGAAGTGGCTTCCCTGGGCTTCTTTAGGGGCCGGGAGTGCCTACAGGACTCTCCCCGCTGCTTCTTCTACTTTTATATTTGGCTTTCTAAATTCATTTCAACTCTAAGTAAGGTTACACCCTTCTCCTGTGATCTGGATTTTCGGGTTCCCCAGCGAGATGTGTGTTTGGAGGCAGACTTTTCCCCTCTCACACTTTGGGCACTCACAGTTTTTCAGCCATCTCAGAGTTTGCCGTGGCAAGCCACTTCTTTCAAAGGGTCTGTGAATTCTTTCAGTTTTCCTAGTATGTTCCTGCAGTAGTTCTTGGAGCAGAAGTTCATGATGTGAGTCTCCACATGCTGTTCTATCTGTCCAAGGGGCTGCAAGTCAGTCCTGACTCCTATCCACCATTTATTTTCCTTCCCTGATACTCAGGATTTCTTTATGAGATGCTGTGGGCTGGCAACACCAGGCTGCAATAAGGATTTTTTTTTTAAACATTACAGCATCCTATAAGTCTTAATTTTTTGAAAGAATTACCCTTTTAAAAAGTCTTAATAGATATCAGACACTGATTGGTAGCCCAACAGCAGTTTAAATCTCTTGTCATAGCCCTTCTATTTTCCTGTAATTATTTATTTGATGTCTGCAAAGCCCTAAATTTTGGCTCCTCAAAAGGAGCCATTTATCATTAAGCTTTGTTTTCCCAGCCTCTAGAACAACACTGGCATATGGTCAATACTGAGTAAACGATTAGTAAATGAATTCTTACACAGAAGAGACACTCACATCCTGTAAAGAAAGATGCAGTCCTGGTGGTATTTCTTGACTTTCATGATGACAAGGAGATTTGGGAAAAACCACACATTAGAGCTTAAGCTTTCAAAGTGTAGGCCCCAGAGCAACAGCAGCAGTGTCACCTGGGAGCCTATGAGAAATGCACATTCTCAGGCCCCACTCTGCACTTATTAATCAGGAGCTCTGGGCATGGGTCACTCTAGGTCATTAGAATGCACGTTACTATCTAAGAACCACTGTCTTTGAAGATTCCCTTAATGAGAGACCAATTAAATGAGGTTTATTTTAAAAGGCCGGTAAAAGAAGGATTCAAGTATTTTATGATCTTCTATCATTCCTTCCTTCAAATAATCTTTATGAAAAGACTGAGGACAATGTAGTTGTTTTTAGGTATTACATTTCTGATATGCTAACTTGTCTATGTTAGGAATTGACAAATATTTTCTGTGAAGGGCCAGAGAGTAAATATTTTAGGCATTTCAGGCCATACAGTCTGGGTCATTGCTACTCAATTCTGCTGTTGTCGCATGCAGGTAGCTACAAACAGTCCATAAACAAATAAGTGTGGGTGTACACCAATAAAACATTATTTATGATACTAATATTTGAATTTCATGTGATTTCTATGTGATATCATTATTCTTTTTCATTTAAAAAATACTCTTTAAAAATGTAAAAGCCATTCTTACCTTGTTGGCGACACAAAAATAGAAAGTAGACTGGACTTAGTCCACAGGTTATAGTTTTCCAACCCCCAGTCTATGTAATAATCAATTACATTGAGGTTGATTTTTAAATTTTTCATTAGAAATTACACAAGAATTTCCAGGTATAGGTATCATTCATTAACTGAATACTTCATATGTACCTAGCAAATAAGCAATATAGACAAAGCTTTTGTCTTCAGGGAGCTTAAGAGCCCAGAAAAGACATCAAAATTAATCAAATAAATAAGTGAGAAAGAGAACATAATCAGAATACCGTAAGAGAGGGTAACAGAGAGAACTCCCTTAGACAGATTGGGTAAGAATGGCCCATCTGAAGCGATGCTATTTATACTAAGATGAAAAAGCTAATGAAAATTTGCCCACTATATGAAAAGCCAGAAGAGACTTTATAGGCCAAAGCACAGCAAGCATGAAGTCCCTGGGAAAGAAGGAGCATGTAGGCACCGATGAAACCTAACGTGACTGAAGCATAACATGTAAGGGGAGGAGGGGCAGCATTTGAGCCTGAGAAGATGACAGGAAGCAGATCATACAGGGCCTTGTCAGTGAAGTCAAGGATTTTGGCAAAGGTTTTATGCAAGGGGCTAACTGGATTTTATTTAAGGCTTTAAAAATGACTTCCTTCTTGTTACGCTGTGGAAAACAGATTTGGAGGGGACCAAGAGAACAGGAAGACGGTTTGAAGACTAGATTAGAAGTGTGCATGTGTGTATGTGAGAGATTCACAAGCATGCATTAGATATCATTAAAACTGAAAGGCTTACAGTAGAAATTCAGTAAAACAAAATGATTTCCTAAGCCCAAACTGATGATCTCATGATTGCAGATTAAAACCAATTCAACTAGAGACTCTAAGAAGTCTTTTGGAGGTTGATGTAATGGGATTTGATCTAGATACAGAATAAAATCTTCAAGGAAAAGGACAAAAGCTTCATTCAACATTATCCAGCAGCTAAAGAATGATATTCTTTATGTGAATGTAGAGAGAAAAAGGAACTTTGAATAGGTAGGTGGACGTCAAGAATGAATAAGCTTTGATAGTTTACTTCATCACAATGAACAGCTATTCAGTTCAGCTCCGTAATGACATTACTAGAGACATCTATCTAATAACACAACCCTATTAGCAGATCTGTCTAAATTGATATTGAAAGGACAATTAAAATTGGCACTCAGGCTACAACCAATGTTGTAAGTTGGAATGTATCAAACATCATTTTTAAAAAAGGTATATTGTTAACATTGGGACATAAATGCAAATTAGAGTAATGACTTCATTCAGCAATTTCCTTTATATGAGGCCATTCGAATCAGACTCTCTCCATAGAAAAGGGCAAATCCTTAGTAATTTAGATGATTACCTCATAGGAGTGAATAGTAAGTGAAATCAATACCATAAGGTCTGGCCTGCCATTTCCTTCCCGTTACTTCATGTCACTATGACAATGATGAGAACTTTTAAAAGTTTTCTTGCATGCTGGTTCATAAGCATTCACTAATCTCCTCCAACAATCTTCTTGTGCTCGGAAAAGAAATCCAATGTCATATTTGGAAGTTTTATTTTAAAAAGGTGAGTGCTGATACAGAATATTAATATGAACTTTTTAGTCATATCTTTATGTAGAACACTGGGAATCCATTGCCACTAAGGTAGATAATTATTCATTTAAGTTTTATGCTAATCATTCTAATTATTGCTTAGAAAAATAAAAGTGCCATATAGCAAATCCTTATACCATTCTCTTACATTCATGCCATAAACAACCAATAACCCAAGTGTGACTATGAGTTTCAGGAAACAATCTCTATGCTTTGGGCTGGAGGTAGTGTGCTGAAATTCATGAATTACAGCTCTTCCGACAAGAGCCCTTAGTGGCTCCAGGGACTGGAAATGGAATATGAAACTTCTGACCCAAAGGTCATTGGCTCCAATTTGGCTTAAACTGGTAGTGACTACAAGTTATTATCAACAGACAGCTGTTCAGCAACTGCTACAAAATGAATTGGTGATTTCAGTGTAATTCCTAAAAGACAGGTATCTGTGTCAGGAACACATGAATCCTTCATGCCCTAAGGTGGATAGTTCTAGACAGGAGTCAAGACATTGACTAAAAGGAGTTATCCTAGCACTTTCCAGCCTTTATAAAATGGGTCTTTTTAGATGGGAGCAGCCAAAAGTTTTTTGGCAACTGGCAAGAGTGTTTGTTACTTAATAGTTTGTCATTTGTAAGGTGGGGATACAATTATATCTGACTATAATCTCTCTGTATATCTATGTTTATGTTTAAATAAAATATAACAGATCTTAGTGGGAAATGCTTAGAGAAGATGTTAATAAAATAAGACTCTTGCTACTCAAAGTGTGATCTGCAGTCCAGTAGCATCAGCCTCACCTCGAAACATGTTGGAATTGCAAACTCTGAAGTATATGCCAGACATTGAATCAGAATCTTCATTTTAACAAGACCCTCAGGTGACTCAGTCACTCAATAAAGTTTGAGGAGTATAATCTGTCTTGAACCCGGGAGGTGGAGGTTGCGGTGAGCTGAGATCACGCCATTGCACTCCAGCCTGGGCAATAAGAGTGAAACTCCATCTCAAAAAAAATAAAAATAAAAATAAAAACAAAAAACAACAGCAACAAAAAACCTGACTTCAGGTGATTTGCCTGCTTTGGCCTCCCGAAGGGCTGGGATTACAGGCGTGAGCCACCGCACCTGGCCTGTATCTTAATTTCGTAATCTAGTATCCCTGGCTGTTTACATTACTTATGTTGCCACTTATAAAACTGCCTGCCTATTCATTGTCTCGGCATCCCTATTAGACTTTAAGCTCCTAGAGGGCAGGTATCCAAGCTGGCATTCCTTTTGAGTCCAATGTAGGTTTTATCAATAGAACAAAGGAACTTGAAATTATAAGTCTTCAGCACCTTATACTAAATTGAGTCATGCCAAATAATCTGATAATAACCTGATTCTTTTTTTTTTTTTTTTTTTTTTGAGACAGTCTTGCTGTCATCCAGGCTGGAGAGCAGTGGCTCGATCTCTGCTCACTGCAAACTCCACTTCTCAGGTTCAAGCAATTCTCCTGTCTCAGCCTTCTGAGTAGCTGCAATTACAGGCACGCACCACCATGCCCGGCTAATTTTTGTATTTTTAGCAGAGAAGGGGATTCGCCATGTTGGTCAGGCTGGTCTCAAACTCCTGACCTCAGTGATCCACTCACCTCAGCCTCCCAAAGTGCTGGGATTACAGGTGTGAGCCACCGTGCTCAGCCCCAAATAAACTGATGCTTATGCAACATTAATTTAAACAGATTGTGTTTACCTGAGAGACCTGAAGGGCTATCATGATGCCCTGGATCATTAGCCAGCAGTAAATTGCTAACCGCTATTTAATGACATTGTTGGTAGAATACATGGTAAGAGTATTTTGTCCACTCTGCTAAACTTGTAACCACAACATAATGAAATACTCCGGCTAATTTTCAAAATGAGTTTGTGTAGAACATATTGATATTTCATACATTACATTAAATTTAGTCAACATGAGACTGATTAACTGGAATTTATTTAAAATTTGGATTATGATTTTGTTTGTATGGTGTTTATAATCCCTACCTTTCAAAGGAAAAAATAAAATGCATTAACTTTATGGTACTAACAAATCAATTTGCCTGAAGTTCAGCTGTTCCTAGATCAGAGGCTTCCATTCTAAAACTAAGCCAAAAACGTTAAATAATATATTGAATATTTTCCCCAACACATATTTTATCACCCTATTCAAATTATCTAAAATAAAGATGTTCATGTATTTGGGTACCCAAGGTTTTCATAAGAGGCTCTCTCAAGTCAGCTATATGTGTCAGTTTGGGCAAGTTTCCTAAGTTCTTTGAGTCCATATTTTAATAATTTTTGGCTTTTTAGGAGAAAATATTAAGACCAAATTTATAATGCTATCTTGAACATTTAATGAGATAAGCTTGAACAAGATTTTTGGCAGATAGGTACTCCCTAGTTATTTGTACTGCTACTACTTCTAGTACCTCTGCTACCACCACCACTATCATTATTGCTAACTGGCATTCCTACTTGCAGCACAATATTTGCTATAAGATCGTTAGGTAGCATACCAGATTTAAACATAATTGAACATGTAAGATCCACTCTTACATGGTTCACCAGGTAACATCAAAACATAATACTCTAAATTAAAGAAAAGCATAAGAAAGATAGACAAGCCTGCAGGTCTAATTATCTTTTCTATTAATTCTAAAAATTCTAAATTATAGCTTAATCTAATCGTGGCCTTTCTTTAAGCCTTGGAAAATTAAACAATTGACTGTGTTGATTAGTATATTGCCAACAGCTGTGTCCCCCTGTGTCCTCTCCCTTAGTAGAAAGAAATGGTCCTTTTATCACACCCGTTGTCAAAGATCCTCATCTCTCTCTCTCTCTCTCTCTCTCTACCTAGAAGCAGTATAATTTAGGATTAGGAGTATAACCTATGGACTCAAATAGAGGCTTAAAGCTGTTTTGTGCCACATAGTAGCTATGTAAGTTGAAGCATGTTATAACGTCTATAAAACAGGGATAATAACAGTGCCTACCACACAGAGTTGTTCTGAAGCTGTTAAATGGGATGTTGCTTACTTTTGCATAGCACTCAACTTTGTGCATTGGACATGGTTAAGCAACTAGTAAATACTATTATTGCCAAGACTTGAAGTATTAACAAAGGGCATAGTCTCTGCCCAGGGACCATGCTCACTTAATTGTACAGTAAGTTCTCACTTAATGTTGTTTATGGCTTCCTAGAAACTGCAACTTTAAGCAAAATGACATTTAATGAAACCAATTTTACTACAGGCTAATGGATATAAAGAAGAGATTAACTCCCATGACCTATTTCTGGTCATAAAAACAACACCAAACTTCCAGATAAAGACCCCAAACACTTCTAATACTAAATATTGAAATAAATGTGAACTATACATACATTTAGGAAATATTAATTAAAATAAGTAAGATTATTTACCCAATTTCTGGTGATTCAGTGAGAGACAGCATTCATAGTGGTGGTGGATTAAGGAAAAAGTGTTTACAAGCAACAACTGTAAAAAGGACCTCCTATCACCATGCAGTTCATAAACAATAAGAAATATGGCAGGTTCGCTGAGTGCTTTCGCACCTCATAGTTTATTGCGGTGTATTGGTATGATTGTTCTAGACTTTATAAATGGTTATTTGACAACAATTTGTATTCATTCATTCATTCTTCATTCATTCATTCGTTCATTCAATTTTCCAATCTGTATATTCTATTTCAGGGCTGAGGATGGCTGGAGCCTATCCCACAAGCTCAGGGTGTAAAGGAGGAACCACCTTGGACAGGATGCCATTCTATCACAAGGCACGCGCGCACACACACACTCACTCAGATTACGACAATTTAAACATGCCAACTCACATAATGTGCACATCTTTGCAATGTGGGAGGAAACTGGAGTATCCAGAGAAAACCCACACAGACAAAGGGAAAATGTGCAAACCTCACATGGACAGTGGCTTCAGCCTGGAATACATTTTTTCTGACATCGATGTTATAATAAAACAATATTGAGTGAACTGATGTTATCCAATGACCTGCTATATTCCCAATAGAGGGCACATTTCAATGGACTGACCTTAGGAACTGGTGAGTACAGTTTGCCTTAACCTTTTAAGCTTCTTTTCTTCTCACCTCTAGAATTGGATTCTCTCAGAATGCTGATTAATACAATATCTTTAAATTGCCCTAGCTCATGGTAACCTATCAACTTCCTAACCCCTTTCTCAAGCTCATCGATTTTGCCTTCAGAGTTAGAAAGAGCCTTGACCAACTATCTAGTCAAAACTCCCATTTGAGGCATTACAGTTATGCCTGCATTCCCAGTGTTCACTCAGCATCAGTTTTCAACATTTCTAACGTTGGAAAGTTCACAACATAATTAAACAACCTATTCCATTTCTGGATAGCTCTTCATTATGAGAAACTTATTCTTTCTTTGGAGCAGAAATCATTGTTCTTTGTTACATGAAGCTAATGATACTGGTTTGAGCTTTTGGAACAGAATAGGATAAGTCTAAAGGCTACTCCACAGGACAGACCTCCATGTATTTTAAGATTGCTTTCATGTCGGCCAGGCACAGTGGCTCATGCCTGTAATCCCAGCACTTTGGAGGCCAAGGCAGGAGGATCACTTGAGGTCAGGAATTCCACATCAGCCTGGCCAACATGGTGAAACCCCGTCTCTATTAAAAATACAAAAATTGGCCGGGCGTGGTGGTGCATGCCTGTAATCCCAGCTACTTGGGAGGCTGAGGCAGGAGAATCCCTTGAACCTGGGAGGTGGAGGTTGTAGTGAGCTGAGATTGTATCACTGAACTCCAGCCTGGGTGACAAGAGTGAAACTCCGTCTCAAAACAAAACAAAACAAAAACAAACAAAAGATTGCTTTCATGTCTTAATGCTTAAAATGTAATGTTGAACACAACTGAATACAGTTTTAGAGACCTTATTTTACCAGAATAGAAAACAGTGGGACAATTATTTTTTCTTTGATTTAGATGTTAACTATTAATAATCCAAAGTCTATATTGAGTTAGGTAAAAAGAATTCACTTATGGTTGAATTTGCAAGATGAGATTGCTTTAAAAAGCATACTGCCTTTCAAAATGTATGTGCCCTTTTTACTATTCATCCATGGGTTTGTTAAACCTCAATTCATTCAAGGAAAAAGTTTCTCTTCTTATTTTCTATAAATAGATTGCTAATAAGTTTAAACTACTTTTATTAGCAGCATCATGTCTTACAAAAGTAGGTTTCCTGTTTGAGAGGCTCAGTTTGACAAGCACTCTTGGTAAACAAAAAATTGTGGACTTTGAGAATAAGAAAAGTTGATAGATATAAGTGGGCCTGGAACTATTAGCTAGGTATTATGGATAGGAGCTGGCCTGCTATTCCCAGCTAGGCTATGGTGTTCTCCTGTGGAACATCAATAGTTTCACAGAACGCCAACTTCAGACAAGGCCATTGTGTGACCATAGTGGATCAAGACAAAAGTAAGACTGCCTTCTTTTGCATATTTCCCAACTACTGCATTCACCTTTGTTCATTCATCTGCATTCTAGATAAGAATTATAAAAACCCAATCATAAAATCACCCGATTCCTCACAGCATCCATCCAATCTGGAGAAGAGTCCTACTGCCTTGAGCTCTCTTCAGGATCACCTACTATAAAGCCAAATCCTAAATCTTCCTACTGAGATGGCTCATAGTGCTCCATGGAGTGCTCTCTTCCTCATTTCTCAATAACGAGTTAATAAAATCCATCTTTCTTTGACTATAGGTGTGTTCCTGGTGACCTTGGCTGAAGGGCATTGCCATCTTGTTACTGATGTGACACATAAAAAAGACTACCTGGATTTTTATCAAATGCAAAACCTACTATATATTTCCTATGACCTATAAAACACAAGTATAATATGTCAATGTATTAATAGGATGATGCAAATTTGGACATTAAATCCTTTAATAAGGGCCTATTTGTGTGTTTGTTACCATGAACTGAAAATCATTTTCTGATGGAAATCTTGCTTTTGGCTTACCTAGAGTTTCACCCTTAACTTCTACTATGATCTGAGTATTTGTCCCTCCTATCCTTGATAGTGTTAGGAGGTGAGGCCTTTGGGAAATGATTGGGTTTTCAGGGTGAAGCCCACGTAAGTAAGATTAGTGCCTTTACAAAAGAGGCCCAAGTCAGCTCCTTTGTCTCTTCCATCATGTGTGGACACATAGAAAGCACCGTCTACAAACCAAAAAGCAGACCCTTAGCAGATACCCTATCTGCCTCGATCTTGGACTTTCCAGCCTCCAGAACTTTCAGAAGCAAATTTCTGTTGTTTATAGGCCACTCAGTTTACAGTATTTTGTTATAGCAGCCTGAATGGACTAAGGTAATATCCTTTAGAACAGAAGTTAGATGATCTTTTGTTCAGGCACCCATTCTTTGGGCACCTCAGTTTTTATAAGAGAATCAATCCTATCTGCCACTCAGCTGATAAAATATTTAATGCTCCACTTGACTGGCAAAAGGGCGCCAGTACATCAGGTTTGTGCCAGAAAGGATAAGCTTGGACTTAGGATGGCTCAATACACTTCAGAAGCTCAGCCAAGAAAAACAATATTTGTAAAAATTAGGGGAAAGAGACAATCCATATATTCCTCTAGATACTCTAAAATCTACTCCTGGAATAAGCCAGACAGATAGAAGACTGTTAATACCTGGACCTTGGAATACTGACACTCCAGATAAGAGCTTTTACCCAATGGCACTTCTGCATAACTCCACTGGACAAGGTTGAGGACATTTTAAAATAAAAGTTTTGTGATCCTTGATACTGTTTTTTACATTAATGTCATATCCCCTCCATGCAAACTCATGAGAGAATACTGTTAGTGTTGAGCATCCTCTGAACAGTTTTTTTTTTTTTAACTCATGAACATTGTGACTCTTATAGCTAATCATCCTTTCTTAATGACCAATTTCCATAGAGACAAGTTAATGGTTTAGTTTTAGGAATATGTACACTGCACATTGGAATTATACAGAACTTCTTCTAAGCATGCATTTAGTGTGTCTCTTTGTATCTTCTTTTAAAATTGATTTTTTTATTATATGGATCCTTGTAAGCCATCTTAAGTCATTTCAGACTGAAATAGGGGAATAAATTAATAAATAATAATTACTGAGAATAGATTTAGTGAGTTGTAGAAGTTCAGATACCAGTCAAAATATGGGATGCTCACCTATCTTAACTTTATAAATGAAGTTCATTTGATTCCAGATTCACTTTCTCACTGTATCTTAACAATGCTTCCTTGTATAGTACAATTTTTATCATTGACTTAGCCAAATCAGTATATATTAAATCCACCTTGCAGTGTTCATTAGCAAGTTGCATTGTTAATTACTTTAGTGGGTTGTTTAAATGGCTGTGGTTAATTGGGAACACTCTCAAATTTTTTCTGGGCTAATGCATAGCAAGTTTACACTGTTTTTTTGTTTTGCTTTGTTTTGATTTTTGCACTCACATTATAGAAACTTACAGGCCTTGAACACTTCTGAGTCTCTTCCACAAGATTTATTGTCAAGCCAGATGTCTTGCTTTTGCACTATTTCAAGAGATCTTATTGCTTGCTTACTTAAAATGTTCCTCTTTACACTTACTTTGCATCTGAATTATATTCCCAGCATCAGTAATTTGAAAGCCACATACATGAATAATATACCCACTGCATGTCAACCCTGAGAGAAGACAGTTCTGAGGAGACTGTCCTAAGGGGGAAACTTCTAGGCAGGCCCTAAGAGGGTAACTTCTCATCCAGCTGTTGTGCTTGAATTATACGAAAGTTTAAAATAAATTCCAACACGAAGTATAAGTGGCTTTTACCAGTTTGCATTGTTTTGTTTGTTTGTTTGTTTTCAGAGGGTGTCTTGCTTTGTTACCCAGGCTGGAGGGCAGCGGTGCGAACCTGGCTCACTGCAGCCTTGAATTGCTGGGCTCAAGTGATCCTCCCATCTCAGCCTCCTGAGTAGTTGGAACTACAGGAATGCGCCACCACGCCCAGCTAATTTTTGTATTTTTTGTAAAGACAAAGTTTTGCCATGTTGCCCAGATGGGTCTCAAACTCTTGAGCTCAAGCAACTTGCCTGCTTTGGCCTTCCAAAGTGCTGGGATTATAGGCATAAGCCACTGCATCCAGCTCCAGTTTGCATTGTTAATGAAATAAAAGGTCAATATACTTTCAGCAATCTTATTGGGCAATTCGACTTGAAGAAAAACAAACATAAGGTATTTTTAAATAACCATAGACTTTTAGGTAGACATTTGTTTTCCTTTTTTTTTTTTTTTTTTTTTTTTGAGACAGAGTTTAACTCTTCTTGCCCAGGCTGGAGTACAATGGCGCGATCTCAGCTCACCGCAACCTCCACCTCCTGGGTTCAAGCAGTTCTCCTGACTCAGCCTTCCAAGTAGCTGGGATTACAGGCATGCATCACCACGCCTACCTAATTTTGTATTTTTGGTAGAGATGGGGTTTCACCATGTTGGTCAGGCTGGTCTTGAACTCCTGACCTCAGGTGATCTGCCCGCCTCGGCCTCCCAAAGTGCTGGGATTACAGGCGTAAGCCACTGCGCCCGACTATTTTCCTTTTAACTCAGAAATACATTACATGAAAACGTGTAGCCGGCATGATAGTAAAAACAGCCTTATTAAACATTTGTAAAGGTAAAAATGAGAAACTATACAAAGAACTGTATAGTGGTGTGGTGGACAAAAATGGTGTCTGTAGATGCCGTACTGTAAATTGCTTATTTTAAAAACTGCAGGCCTGTGATTCGTCCCAGCTACAATGGACGGACATAGATTACTTGTGTTGTAGCACTACAGAAGGTCAGGGTTGATCCAGCTAGGGTGCCCTGAGCCAAAGAGAAACATGAAGCCAGTTTCTAAGGGGTGAAGCAAGGTTCAAATTCTGGGCATTGCAAATACAAACAACAAATCCAAAGGGCTAGAAACAAGTTCGAAGGCAGAGTACGGGGCCAAAGGTCTAAAACTGAGTAAGGTGGTAGAACGAGAACAAATTGCCCCCCCAAGGTCAGTGAGCTCCAGGCAATTGCTATGGATATGAATGAGAGTTTGTGGCTTTTAAGAGTTGTGGCTAGCATGGAGTGGAGGAAGATGAGATCGTCTTAAAAACTGTAAGAGGCAGAGAAGGAAAATTCAGAAGTTGCCTGTAAAATCAACTTTAAATTAAAAAAAAAAAAAACAAACACCAAAGTGTATTCCAGAGCCCAGATTTGTCCTTTCATAAAAGGGTAACGGCCTAGGTTTTACAAGGTAGCAAAATGCTGTACATTCCCATCTGTTCGCAGTCTTACAATTGTAATATACTTTGACTACATAAGCATTTTCGTAGCTTTATTTTAATGATCACAACCCAGTTAATCATTTAAAAGTTTTCCGTATTACTCTCCACGCTGCCCAAATTTTTCTCATCAATGAAATAAATATGTTTATGGCAAACTGTAAAATGTTGCAGGTCACCTTGGAAATGCAACTGAGTTCTAACAAGAAAATAGTAAGGTAAATGTAACTGTCCTTCAGATAAATACGTGATTTGAAAACCTCTGTCATTAAAGTGTTACTGGTGAAGGAAGACTTGCACTTATACAAACAAAATAAAACCTGCTTTCTTCAAACTTCATCCCCAAGCCTGACAACTCAGACTAAATGATCCCAAGTTAGTTAGATGATTATCTCATTAGAGCTACTGAGTATGAAGCCCCAACAATGTTCTAGACACTGTCCTGGGTGCTAGATACATCCATTAATATGCTCAACAGTTCTGTGACACAAGCGTTTGTGCAGACAAGTAAACCAGAGCTCAGAGAAATCATATTGCCCCAAATCACACAGTTACCAAGTGGCAGGGATAGGATTTGGATTTTGGAATAAATCTGGAGTTTTAATTGTGTCTGCTATGACACATTGCTTCCTATGATATGTATTTGTCCTACTCCAGGAAAATGGAAGGGAGTAGGGCCCGGGGTAGTGGAGGGGAGTCCCAAAAGAAGGAGAGATGTGGGGTGAAGGCCCAACCTGAGTCTGACCTGAAGTGGGATTTGTATTAGGTTATGTCTGCTCCATAAAATCTGTTGGTTATATGTATTTTCCCCCATTTCTAGTTCTAAAAATGTGTTCCCCTTTATTAAAAAACAATGATGAAACAATAACATATCCTTGGAGGAAAATGCATTCTGAGATGCTCTCCAGGAAGTGAAGGTAGATTGGTATTGATTCACTGACCCAAAGTTGGTCTCATAGGTGCTTCCATTTTTGTTAAAATAGGGAAAAATTGGAGAAACCACACTGTCATGATTACACACAGCAAAGCTGTCTGTGAAGTGAGGGTTAACAGTCACCAAGGCTTGTGTAAGCGCTTGTGAAAGTGCTCCATGGGGCTGCAAGCACCATCATGATCTTGGTCACACTTCTGAGCTAATCAAGTTTGAGTCTCATATTTGTGAACCTTACATAAATCTGAAAGTCCATGTGGATCTCCTCATTCTGTCAGTCACACCTCAGAAGATAATTTTCTTTATATGCAGAATTTTAAAAGAACACAAAGCTCTATGCAATAGTGCTGATGGGATTCAGGACACATTACCCCAAAATATAGCACCGTGGCATTTGACAACAGCAGAGACAGGAAGGTCACTCTTACCTTCTTCTCGCCCATCTCCCCGGAAGGCGGCCATAAATCCCAGGAAGAATTTTCTAACCTTCCCCTGAAGCAGGTCATAGGACCCTCATTCAAGAGGTACCCTCCCTACATCCAGAGGAAAAGAACATCCTTATCTCTGAAGACACAGGGTCACAGAGAGGAACTTGAACAGACAGGCTTTGCTAAGTTCTGCCAAGTTATTATCATTAAATCATACCCCCTTTGTCCAATTACATTTTTCCACGACTCTCCCATTTCCATCAAACTTAGCATAAAAATACATAGTTTGGCCGGGCATGGTGGCTCATGTGGGTAATCCCAGCACTTTGGGAAGCTGCGGTGTGAGGGGTGTGAGAATGGCTTGAGCCCAGGAGTTAGAGACCAGCCTGGGCAAGATGGTGAAACCTCATGTCTACAAATTAAAACAAAAAAATTAAAATCAGCCAGGTAAGGCAGCGCAGCCTCAGAAGGCTGAGGTGAGAGGGTTACTTGAGTCCAGGAGGTTGAGGCTGCAGTGAACTATGATCACTGCACTCCAGTCTAGGTGACAGAGTGAGGCACTGTCAGAAATAAATAAATAAATAAATAAATAAATAAATAAATAAATGAATGATAGAGGACGGTTGGATGGATGGATAGATAGATAGATAGATAGACAGATAGATAGATAGATAGATAGATAGGTTTAACTACTTCTTGGGACTTTGTTTCCTTATGAAGGCTTCCATGTCACATAAAACTCAACCAGGGACCCTAAGAGGGTGGAGGAATATCTTTCATTCCTTTTAGTACAAACAGGCCCAAGTACATATCAAATTTAGTTTCATATGTAGATGATAAAATATCAGAAATTTCATATGAGATATATGGACACATATAAAAAAACTATTCTGGCTGCAAAAGTTTGTGGGCATAAAGCTGCAATAAGAAAAGTGATAATATAATGAATTATTATGAAATAAAGATATTACAAAATTAAACTAGCCCCAATTAAGCACAACTATGGCAATGATAATGAAGTTATTTCTGAAGGCTTATTGTCTGCACTTGGGAACTGAGTTTATATTACCTATTTATGTTGCTACCTGCTGATAAAACCACAACACATCATTATTTATAGGGTGCTAAAGGAAAAAAGCTTACCATTACCACATTTGAGAAAGTCAATAAACATTTTTCATGGATGGATTTTAGTCAATGACTACACTTAGATTGAGCATTTTAAAGTACTCAGCCCAAAGATGTGTTTATCTAAACACTCATTTCTAACTGCATGTTTCTATTGCATTTATATATTTTACAACCTCCACTCTTACCACTAACCACTACTGGGTGGACTGAAGTCTCAAATACTAAAAGCACATAATAATGCAAAATGTTTTGAGAAGAGTATTGCAATAAAAATCAGTAAAGCTATTACCATGTTTAAAAAAGAAAATCTAGTAACTATTAAAGGCCTTAAATTCAATATATGTTAGCATATCTGGAAAGCTCTTCAATCATAATGCCCTATATTTGCTTACCAGTTTATATTTTTCCAAAAAGTATATATATATATGATAGCTTATATTATGCCTCACAGGAAGCCAGAGTAAGAGGCACAGAAGATAATAATCTTGTCACATGAAACATGGATAAATCGAATCTCAGTGAGATTGAATGACTTACAGGGGTCAACTTATGGTTAGGGGCAAAACAGGGTGGGACATAAATGTCACTCTTCTGATACCTTTGCCCAGGGCCATGTGCACTTTGCTGACAAACTTGTCCCAATAGTCACCAAACATACTGGTTTGGGAAGTGTGTGAAGTCTCCTGTTGGCACCAACATGGGCTGATTTCACAGGCTTCAGGACTGGATTCATCCGTTTACTTATGGGAACTGCATATCTTCATATCCTGAAGTTGTGATGACAACTCTAAAATGTTTGCAATGGAAGCTTAAAAGAACCTTGTAGGAAGATGCAGACTAAAATGGGAGCACTTGAGGGAATGAGGAGAGTATGTGAAGCAATACCCTCTCTATCTATAGGTGAGAAGAGCCCTGGGGATGAAGTTGTCTAGAACCAATGCTAAGAACAAGCAACCGTTTTGCTCACTATTGTCTAAGTATCTTCACATATTCCCATTTCCATGCCCTTCTCAAGCTTTCCCCTTACAGAAACACACTCCCTTCTCTTTCCTGTGTGAAAGCCACACTTCCTCTTTTGGAATCCTCCACTTAAAGAATTGTGGGTTTGCCGCCGGGCATGGTGGCTCACGCCTGTAATCCCAGCACTTTGGGAGGCTGAGGCGGGCAGATCATGAGGTCAGGAGATCAAGACCATCCTGGCTAACATGGTGAAACCCCGTCTCTACTAAAAATAAAAAAAAAAATTAGCTGGGCATGGTGGCAGGTGCCTGTAGTCCCAGCTACTCAGGAGGCTGAGGCAGAAGAATGGTGTTAATCGGGCAGATGGAGCTTGCAGTGAGCTGAGATAGTGCCACTATACTCCAGCCTGGGTGGCAGAGTCTCAAAAAAAAAAAAAAAAAAAAGAAAAAGAAAAAAAAAGAATTTCACAGGTGAGGAAACTGAGGCTAGAAGATTTTAATTTGCCCAAGTACACACAAAATAAGATTTTGGTTTCCTAACTCAGTGATGTGAGTTTTACCCTCTGTACTGAATTGCCAATTTCTGCATTCATCTTTCCTTTTACAATTAGTTATATTTCCATATGTACTGTATATATCTTGCCAGAACAACAAAATTGGAAGCCCCCCAAAGGAGCCAGTTAGCATTGTTGTATTCTCCTTCCAAGACCTGGTACCATTTCCTGCTCATGACCTGGTGAGCTGAAATGCTAACAAAAGGCTGCCTTTCTTCCAGAGCAATTTTAGAGAGAAGGAATTTTTTGGCTATTCCCTTCCCCATCTTACTTAGAAGTATTCCCTAGTCTTTGGGTATCTGGCCCTCTAGCCAAGTGATGGTACTATGAAACACATATGGAGGCTCCCAGGGCTTCTCCACTCTTCTAGCAAGCTCCTGACCCACTACTATGAAACAGGATGCTGACTTACAAAAACTAGAGCGAAAACTAGAGGAATGTCACTACCCAGAAATACTTTCTAGAAGGTCAGTGACAACCCCATAGATATGGAACAAAAGTTTTCTTGTTACAGCCCTCCAAGGAACAAGCAGTAATAAAGGTTTTTCTTTTTCTCCTCTTAAAAATTAATAATCCATTTCAGAGCGGATTTCAGTGTAATCAGAGGTACAGTTTTTGCTTATTGATTATTTAAAATACAATTGAACATGTACATGTAAGAAAAGGATTTCAAACTTAGAGCACAAATGTCATCTCTATAAAGTCATCCTGGCTACTCTAGGTGGCCTCTCTCTACTGATCCTCTTTAGTACTTTATTGGAACTCTTTTTTTTTTTTAAAAAATAGTTGATTGTGTATGTGACTAAATTCTCCTACTTAAATATAAATATTTTGAGTGTTCTATTCTCATTTGATTTTCTCCTCTAAGATCATGGTGTGTGATAAATCCTTAATATATATCAATTGAATACAAATAAAATAATCAGAGTTGGCAATTATCTGATGTTATGAAGTTGCTATGAAATAAACAAAGTTTCTCACTTTTAATATATTTATGTATTCCCATTTAAGGTGAAACAGAGAACAAAGAAAGAGACAAACGTTAATTTAAAAAGAAACGTGGGTCTTCTGCTAGCAAAGTGTGCTAAATCAGTGTGTGAGATCTCAGCTGATTCACTGTGGTTCAAATTCACAGTAGCAAGAAAGGAAAGTAAGAGTTTTTATTTTGATCTTAAGTATTCCTTTAGTATTATTCATGATGACAATCTCTTTCCTAAAAAAGTAATAATTTCTAAATTTCCAAAAAAGAAGAATGAAACTTAAGATTCACTTTTGAAGCTATTTCTAAAATAAGGTGCTTTTAGAAACATGAGGCAGTGAAAATGGTTACTTTTGACTCTGCAAGGTGTTAGTAACATTGAAACTAACCTAAAGCCCTAGCCCAGGAGGCCAAAATGTAGGTTCTGTGATAATTTACAACCCTCCATCCTTCAGTTTCTTCACTGCCTTTTTGGGTCCTTATAATCACCTAAGAGGTCATATGATAAAATGACATTCTCACAAGTGTGACAGTAATTGTAATAGTCCCAGCTGTGACTTGGTCTCAATAACTATTCAGTTGGCCCACGTGAGGGTGATCATACAGTGCTTTTGCAGCTATTCTAACAATGGATCCTTTGAGACACCGTTTTTTTTTTTTTTTTTTTCTTGCAAAGCCTTGTAGTCAACACACCAGGATGACTTTAAAGTGCCATTTATTTAATAATCGAGGTCATGTGCAGGGTGCTATTTTACAGTCACTTAAATATACATGAGACTAATTTTAAATTTCAGGAACCCAATTTCATTTTTGCATCTTAACAAAATGTACAGTGTTCTCTGGTAATAGAGGAAAGGCTTCTATGTGTCCCTAAGTTATTACCCAGAATATATGCATGATTACAATCATTACGACTCTACTTTTAGGAGCTTGCAATCTGAATTTCCAAAAAAAAAAAAAAAAAAAAAAAAAAAAAAAGCCAAAAAGAAAAGAAAAGAAAAGAAAAGAAAAACAATAGTGGGGCTCAAGAGAAAGAAATTCCTTTCAGGTTTTTTTTTTTTTTTCCAGTTGTAAAGATTTATAGGTGTATTTTGGACTTTCTTCTCACTACCCCTTGGTTGACTTGTGTATTAAAGAGTTTGCTATCTATTTTGAAACTACTGTATTAACAAATTCCTCACACTTTGGGAAGAAATAAGAAAAATGAAAAGGGTCAATAATAGGTACATAACTCAGAAAAGATTAGTTTGTTATAAGCAATGGTATTTTCTGTGGAGCTCATTTAAAGCAGTTAGTGATTTTGTAAATTTGATATTAATGAGTATAAAGAATTATCAAAGGGCATGTACTATTTGGTCTTATATTAAATATTTCCCATGCCGATGCTCGTGAGTATTAAGCTTAAAATTGTCCTGCTGAAAGGGAACCCACAGAGTAGAAAAAATACCCGAGAATCAGAGTGCTGGCTTAAAGTCCTATATTCTCCTCTACACTGAGCTTTTGTTGTGATTCATTTTTTCTGTGCCTCCATTTCTTCATCTACAAAATATATGTGACTTTATACTCATAGTCACATCCCTGCCTTGAGAAGTGTTTAATTTTTGATAAAACTGATATGGATAATTCATTCAAGTTTTATATACATACAAACATGTATGTGTGTGTGTACACATATATTTGCCACCCACTGTCACACCTGGGCAACTTCAATATTGGAAAACAGTCCTACAAGGAAGAAAATGAGAAAAGAATAAGAAAAAATAGGGACTAAAGTAGAGAAAGAATAAATAAAGGTATCTACATGGGGACTTACAGACAAAAGGAAATATTCACCAAAGGCATGCAGCTTGAAGGATGACAAAAGAAAAAAATATTACATGTTCCATGCCCACACAAAGCAGGGACAAACAAGGGAATTATGAGTGTGAGAAGGTTGAAGTTGAGAAAAAATTTACTGAGAGGAAGAAAGGAAAATGAAGATCCACATTAATAATTGAACTTGAGACAGAGATATTAAAATCAGCAAACAGATTTAGATGGGGTTAGGACTATACATTCATTTTCAACATGGTGAGTTTGAAGTGACAGCAGAATATTCATGCACAGATGTCCAACTGACATTTGGACAGTTGGGACTGAAGTTCAAAAGAGAGGTGAGAGTTACAGATTGGTTTTGAGGAGTATTCTGGAGGTGATAATTGAAGCCATGAAAGTGGATAGAGTTTCCAAGGGAGAATGAATAAAATAGCATGGAAAAATGTCAGATCTGATGTGGCAAAACGTAATCATTGGAACACTTAAATTATCATCTTCTAAGATAATTTATGATGTAAACGTTAATCTAAATACTTTAAAATTTTTTTAAAATTATGTTTAAAAACATGCAAAAAATTATTTTGTAGTTTCAAAAGACAGGTGTTACAGAAATTGAACCTTTATTTTTATGAGAGCATCAACAATAATATACAACTAGAAATTATTTGTGGGCTTCAGCGGTAGGCAGAGCTGGGTTTGAATTTCTGTTCTTCCCTTTGATAGCCTTTTGTCTGCTTTCTGATAGCATGCTCTTAACCATTACACAATCATCCTGCTCTTATAAAGCTGGATTATCTGCTGAGAGCATCAGGAATTGACATCTAGGATAATGAGAGAAGGCTGATCATGGACAACATATAGCCTTTCTAGTAGATGCAGCTGAGGCATAGCTCAGGATTTATAAAGATTTTAGGTTGCATCAACCTGGAACTTTCTCAGGCATTATACACTCAGGTGTCCTAGAGAAAGGTAGAGGTGGTAATTTGTAGTTGGTGATCTTGGGTAGGTGTTGCAGAAAAATAGAGGAGCAATGTTGGAACAGGGATTCACAGAGGTGTAGCAAAAACTTAGAAAGCAGTGATACGCATAAAATCTTTGGAGTAAATGAACACACACGTGTCAGGATTAATAGAAGGAAAAGAGACAAGAAGCAGACAAACTAGGAAGATACTGAGATCAAGAGCTGGAGGTCTCTGTGAAATGGGAAAGAAGGGATGGTAGGTAGGTGTGGGCTCACGAGACAGATGAATTAGTGTTTGTTCTAGCAAGTACAAGATTCTGGGCAGGTGAGTAGGTAGTTGAAATAGAATGGCCAATGGAGTTAAATAGCTTAGTAACTGTGAGACTAGATTATTTGTCAGGTCACTTATATGCATGTTGAAATATAGGTTAGCATGAAAGAAGACTACAATTTAGCCTCCAAAGTTTTCAGTCACAAAGAGAGTGATCAGAAGGCAGGTGACAGCGAGAGATAGATGACAGTGAAAACAAGTATCATATTAAGTTGGTGCAAAAGTAATTGTGGTTTTTGCAATTAAAAGTAATGGCAAAAATAGAATTAGGAAAGAAGACTTTAGACCAAGGTGGAAGACTAATGCCTAGAAGAAGTGGGGAGGTCTCCTGATCTGACATCAGGGTTGTGGGGTTTGAGAGAACGAGCTGCCTCTTTTTGGAATGAATGAATGAAGCAGCAGCACCCTCAGGGGTTGGGCAGATTTCAACCAACGCAGGAAGCAAAGAGGTCATTGTCTGAATTATTAACTAAGAAACATGTATCTGGGGGATGGCAGGAAAGGTTGCAGGGGATAGGCTAAAGTAAGAATGAAGTAGCCTTAGAAAAGTAAGGGCACGAAGGTATAAGTGAGTTAGGAGGGAGAAAGCTATGGATGGTGTAGGATTTGGGGCAGCTGATAGAAAACCACAAGGAGGAGAGGCCTGCTGTCTCAAATACCATAGCATGCTCACATGCTTCAGGACACACCTGCTCCCCTCTCTGGGAAGTAGTAATGACCATGATGAAGTTTGTGAAAGATTCACAAACGCTCTATTAGGGTACATGCTTCCATGGAGTTCACAGAAGGGAAGGAAGAGACCCAGTTGGGATGTGGCAGTGATGTACATAAAGATGTTCCATGTTACTGAGAATTACATGTACACATTCTACATTTTTCCTACTTAAAAAAATCATCACTATGAGAGCATTAAAAGGAGTGTTTAAAGTGAGTGTTATTTGTATTAACTTTTCTTGTTTTATTAATTTGTGTTCCTTCTTCATTCACTCCCTATTCCTGATGTTATGTGTCTTTCTGTAGCAGACTCAATGTGGCACAGATGTCCTATACACTGTAGTAGAAAGGAAATGGTTTCCTTAGCAACAATAACCACACAAAAGCCAGCAGAATTTTCTTTGCTGCTCATGTGCCATTTTCACAGTTTAAAGAATCCAAACAGTAGGAAAGAATAATAAACATCTGATTGGAACATATTGCAATGGAGACATATAGAATGAATGCAAAAAGGCATCTGCTATTTATAAACAGTTGATGGTGATTTTAAGTGACCCAAACTTAATCATCATGATTCATTCTTTTTCTCAGTGAAACAGGTAAAAAATCATACTATATCTAGTTGAGTGGAGTGAAATATACTCCTTCAAGATACTTTCACTGTCACTGAAATCTGATAATTGTAAATACGTTTTTGAGCCACTACAAGATAATGTCCTGGGCAATAATTGGATGTGTGCTAGGCAGAGAAAGATTTGTTTTGTTGTTCAAAGAGAGCCTCCATGAATTTACTGTTCCTAACTGCATCTCCCTAGAAGGGATTCTTGGGATTTATGTCTCTTCTAGTCTTCTGCTACTGAATTTTTGCTTTGCACCTTCCCATTTTAGCAGTTCTAAAGTGAAGCTTGAAGGCCCCATAATTATGTATGAAAATACATTCACTTTCCCCTCCATCTCTTTGTCTCTTTGTGAGTTTCTTTTTTGTTGTTTTTTTTTTTTAATGAGTGGTCATTTGATTGTAATTTCTTGCCAGAAAGTTCGCCTGCTGACAACATGGTAGTAATGGTAATAAGAGCCTGGTAAAGAAAAACAGAATTTGCAAATATGTGCAATTATTATAAATTGGTAGGAATGTTTTTAAAGTCTCTATTAAAGTCCTAATGTCCTGCTGAGCCATCCTTGCAAGATGACAGGGCACAACTGAAAAGGTTTTATAATTTGAAAGAGGAAAAATTCAAAGATGATTGCTAAAAATGCAAGACAATTACTAGCTTGGGGAAATTTTATTTGGGCTACTGAAAGGACTGCTTCGCAGAGACCATGGGGGCTGCATTCAATGCTCAAAGGTCACCTGGGGCAGCATGCACCTTCCCGTGCCTGGCTACAGTGATGATTAGTGGTCTCCTCAAGCACTTGGCCATTAGCTTTATGATGCAAAGCCACATTGATTCTAGGATTACGAGTTTTTGGAAACCAGGAGTGTGAAAAACGACAGACGAGAGCCACTCAAGAGATTCAGGAAATGAGCCAGAGCTGAGGTCCTAAACAGAAATTAACTCAGTGCCATATGACCCCAGTCATCCACAGCCATGTTTTAAATCCCCTGGCAGATGACTTTTCTAAGAGGCAATCCTAAGAGCTATGATAAATTCTGTTGGTAGAAGTAGTTGGTGCTGCTTCAAAGACAAAATGCCCATGTGCTTTTCCATATCACACCTTACAAATAAAAATACCCAATGCCTATGTCAAGTCCAATCTCCACAGGTTCAGAGTTACTGGAAAGAGAGTATCCAATGAACAAGATTATAGTCAAAATATTACGCACTAACGTTATCAAAATCAATCCATAGTATCTTATCACAAATATAGTGTTTGAGACTGCAAACAAGTCTAGGAAGTCTGTAAGACTCTTAAATTCTATTTAATTTGAGGCCTAAATTAAATTGGATTAGATCAAAGTCATATTTGAATAGGTATTTTTTTTAAGTTGCTAACACATATTACACAGAACATGATTAATTTCTATGATAAAAGGGAAACTGTAAATTTTCAAATTTTGTAGGTATGGGAGACACATCAACTCTAAAAGATCACAACCAAATATGCTGTACCACGCCAAGGTTAATTGAGCAGGTAAGGATAACTGTGGAAGAATCCCGCACAACTGCCTCATAATCTGACTGGGTGCTCTTCTGGGGAGTGAGGCTAGGCTCATGGATACCAGCTTTAATGTTATTCTGCTCAGCGTTTTAGTATTATAGGCATTAATCTGATT
Organism: Homo sapiens; assembly: GCF_000001405.40. Taxonomy (NCBI): domain Eukaryota; kingdom Metazoa; phylum Chordata; class Mammalia; order Primates; family Hominidae; genus Homo; species Homo sapiens. Next base: position 78,564,286 of record NC_000007.14, read on the forward strand.
TAATCTGTCACCTTGGATCAACCCTGAGCGTCAACACTTCACAATTAATATATTAAAATATAAGAAAAACATTCTGCTTTAGATTAATTTCATAACCACTAAATACTTGTACATTTTTGTGGTGATGCCAGGAATCTGAAGTCTGCTCAATGATCCACTTATTTATCAACTTCAATGCTGACAAAGTTTCAGGTTAGCAAAGAAAGTTAGATAATTTTTGAAGTTATTTGCAAGTAAATTTATTACTTTTTGATTATAATAAGGTTTTTAACGTAAGGAGTTAGGAGCCATAGTCTTTATTGTCACCAAAAGCCTTAACTGTCGTCTCTTATATAACTGTGATTAGAAAATGACCTCAAAATATGTTACCCTCTGTCTATACAACCTTAAATATTCAGTTAAAGCATATGGGTTTGGCGATCATTTAGCTCTGAATTCCAAGTATAACATTAATGTTCAGTCCAGGGCAAGTTACTTCATCTCATCTCTTTGACATTCTTTTTTTTTTTTTTTTTTTTTTTTTTTTGAGACGGAGTCTTGCTCTGTGGCCCAGGCTGGAGTGCAGTGGCAGGATCTCTGCTCACTGCAAGCTCCGCCTCCCGGGTTCAGGCCATTCTCCTGCCTGAGCCTCCCGAGCTGCTGGGACTACAGGCACCCGCCACCACGCCCAGCTAATTTTTTGTGTTTTTAGTAGAGACGGGGTTTCATCGTGTTAGCCAGGATGGTCTTGATCTCCTGACCTTGTGATCCGTCTGCCTCAGCCTTCCAAAGTGCTGGGATTACAGGTGTGAGCACCGCGCCCGGCCTCCTTGACCTTCTTTTCTTCAACAATAAAATGGTTATGGTAATACTTAACTTGTAGAATTGATATAATGGTTAAATTTTAAAAATTAGCACCAGGCACGGTGGCTTGCACCTGTAATCCCAGCTACTCAGGAAGCTGAGGCAGGAGGATCACTTGAGGCCAGGAGTCCAAGACCAGCCTGGGCAAAATAGCGAGACCCTGTGTCAAAAAAAATTTTTTTAAAAATTAGTGGGGCATGGTGGCATGCTCCTGTAGTCCTAGCTACTTGGGAGGCTGAAGTAGGAGGATCGTTTGAGCCCAAGATTTCGATGTTACAGTGAGCCATGATTACACTATTGCACTCATGGTCTCAGTGACAGAGTGAGACCCCATCTCTAAAACGCTAAAAAAAAAAAAAAGATAAGAATTAATATATGTAAGATGTTCAAAAATGTCTGGCCTATACTGAGCACTTAATAACTGTTCATCTAGGTTATTTTCAAATACTTTTAAAAAAATCACACCATTAAAACACGTAAGATTAAATAAAACATTTGCTTTTCGTTTTCTTGTCATAGACAACACAGCCTTACTATTGGCCTTACTTCAGAAATTTCCCAAATTTTCTCCATTTTTCAGCTCATGGCACGACTAATATACTTTATTCTAGTCCTGCAAGACTCTTACTGACAAAGAAGCATCATTTAGTACTTTCCAATTTTGAATTAAGAAAAATGGAAAATGACACATTTATTTCTTCATGCAGTCAAATAGCATTTAGGAAGCAGCTGAGTACCTGAAAATGGCAATAATTTTGGCATCCCGGGCTGCCACACATTAGTTCTGGGGTGCGGGTAGATCATTAAACCTCCCTGCCTCGGTTTAGTCATCTGTAAAATGAGGATAATGCTTGGGCTGGGTGCTGCAGAGAACAGTGTGTAAAGATAACTATTCCAGGAAGCAATCATCAGGCTGAAAATGAGCTGACATTTGGGTTGGTGCTTTCAAGGAGCAGGGGAATTGAGAAAGTCAGAGGTGTGAGATGGCCCCGTTGATGACATCTCTTGGAAGTCGTTCCTTTATCTTATGCCTCACAGAACCATGTGAGCAAAGGCATGGAGTTGGGAAAGCTGAGAGCGTGCTCAGGAAATGGGAAGAGGGAAAGACCAATTTTCCTGAACATTCAATGTGAAATAGAGAGTGGAGTAAGAGAAGGCTGGAACAGATCCTGAACGGTGGAAGGATGCTGAGGGCCTTGAAAATCTGAGAATTCTATTTTTTAAAGTGTGAGAAAGGCATGGAGGTGAGAATGGCGGTTGGAACAGGAAGAAGAAAAATGCTTGAAAAATATGCCAACAAGATTGATCTGACCCTAATAAAGGACTGAATTTCACTGGTGAGAGAGTGCTAACAAAGCAATCTATCCAGGATGATGAAAGACAGGGCTATCAACAGACACAGTTTAAAAAAAAAAAAAAAAACAGAGGAAAACCAAGGTTCAAATGGATTTGTCCTCCAGGTACATACTCAGAGGTCAGGAGAAAGGAGATGCTTACATTAGCAAGCTATGTGTAGTAAAATCTATCAATATATAATACCATGAATACTTTCATTGTCCTAACACTTTATTGAGAGGTTCCATCAGATAACTTACTCTTTTCAATCCTTATCTTTTCTTCTATAATTTCAGTACCATAGCTGATTTTAAAATAGTAGCTTTCCTCATTGATAATAATATATAAAACTATTATTTATAGCATCAAGGCCTAAAAAAATTCATGTAATCAGCCTGAGAATTGAAAAACTATAGCCTAATGCCTAAATCACAGGCTGAGATTTTATTCTGCTTCTGTCATAGATTTCCTATTTTAGATATGGAAAGTAATCAACTCTGAGCTCATGTCTCCTTTTTACAATATGAGGTTTTAAAGTTTGACTTACTAGCAAACATGCAGTTTACAATATTAAAATGAAACTGATATAAAATTTGAGAAAACACATAGTTTACAAAAACAAAGAAACTTTGTCCCCGTTATTGTCCCCATTATTCTAATATACTAAATAATTAACTCTTTTGAAAAAGTAAATTCATAGTTGATAGGAAACCTTGACATTCAAGTTTTTAATTGCTGTACTTTTCTTCTATTTCTCCTCTTATTTACCATTTCAGAAGAGAGGAACTACAAACCAGGCTCTTGAAAAATCAGAATTCAAATGGAATTGCTCTATTCCAAGTAATAACTGAATCTGACACACAAAAAAAGATGCAGCCATACCTTCCAAATACCTTGAAATCCTCAATAACAAAAGAGAGCCTACACACTACACACACACACACACACACACACACAACCGCAATGCATGACAAATGAGTGACTTTTTTTCTCTCACACAGACAGAAATATTTCTGGCTTAATTGGTAGCTTTTGTATCAACTACCCAGTAGGATACATAGATGTAGAGGAAAAGAAATCAGAGAAAACCAATCCTTTAATTAGCTTGCACCTATATGTACAAGAATAAACATTTTGTAGATGTTCCTGACCTCCAGCTTCCTTCTCTCTCTCCCCTACTCAATAACATCACTCCTGCAGTGGCTGCTCTTTCCCCTGCATCGCCAGTTTTCCTCTCTTTACTGGATCATTTCAATCACATATACATACGCTAGAATATCTCCAATCATTAAAACAAAACACAACAAAAACCTATTTTCACCCCCCATCTCCCAACAAATACCCAATTCTCTGCTTCCTCTATGGTAAAACTCCCTATGGGAAGTCCACACTCAGCTTTCTCTAATTCTTTTCTTTAGATCATTTTCAAAACTCACTCCAATCAGGCATTTGTCCACACCATTACATTTCTCTTGTCCTATTTACCAAGACATCCACATTGCAAATCCAGGGGTCCTTTCTCAGTCTTCGTCTTAGCTGAGCTGTGAACAGCATTTGAAACAGCTGGTAAGTTTCTTAAAACACTTTCTTCAGTTAATTTCTACAAACGCACACACTCCTTGTCTTCTTACTTCACTTGTTAATCCTTTTTGGTTTCTTTTTCTGGCTTCTTCTCTTCTCTCCAAACTCTAAATGTTTAAGTTCTAAATGTTTAAATCTGAGGATTGGTCTTTAGACTACTTCACTTCTCTATCTATACTCATTTCCTATATGAAGTCATTCAGTCTTATGGATTTAAATACCATCTAGAATCTAACAGCTTTCAAATTTATGTCCCTAGCTCCAAGCTCTGCACTGGACTCCAGATTCATGTATCCAGCTGCAGATCCACACCTGAATGTGGACGTCTCACAGTCATCTCAAGCTTTGCATGCTCCACCCAGAACATTTGATTTTGCATTTCGCCTCCTAACCTGCCCATCCTACAGTGTTCTCCTCCCTAAATAGTAACTTTATTCCATGAGTTGATCAAGCCCCAAATCTTGGAGTCATCTTTCATGTATTTTCTTTTGCTTACACCTCTTATCCGGTTTTATTAGTAATTCTGTCATTGTATTTTTAAAACATAACCTATGACCACTTCTCAGTGGTTCCACAACCAGCTTCTGAACAAGTTACCACACGACTGCTTCCTCGCCAGTCTCTCTGCTTCCACTATCGTCCCCACTCCCTAGTCCAGTCTCCACACAGAAGCAAGAGTGAGGCTTTAAAATGTTGTACATATAAATGCATACAATCTGTGTTTGTAAATTATGCCTTAATAAAGCTGAAAAAAAAACATGTAAGTCAGATCAGTTACGTGCATGCTCAAAACTCTCCAAAGTGTTCCAGAGCCCAAGTCCTTGCTGGGTTCTGAGTCTCTCTTTTATTTCCTGCTCCAGGCAGCCTGACTTCCTTGCTATTCCTTGACCGTTCTGCACATGCTCTTCCCTCAGGCCCTTTCACTTGCTGTTTGCCCTAAATTCATTTTGCCCCCGACACCTGCTTGGTCACTCCTTCACTTTCTTCAGGATTCTGCTCAGATATCTTGTTATCAGAGAGGTCTTCCCTGACCATGCACCGTGACCACAGTAGGTGACCCCTGCCACATATGTGCATGCCAACACACACACACACACACACACGTCACTATTCCTTTGCTTTATTTTCTTAAGAGCCCTTATCGCCACCTGACATTTGTTTTTTGTTCATTTATTCATTTATTTATATAGTGTTTCATTTCTTACATCCATAAAATACAAGCTTTATGAGATCAATAACTTTTTCTGTTCTGTTAAAACATATTCTGAGGGCATAGTACATGGTTAAGGAATAAATGAATGAATAATACTTGAATGGATCACATGTTCCCATATTTCACTTGAATTTGCTACATGCATGTGCAAGGACACACAGACACGCTAAACACCCCACACTAATGGCAAGCCATCTCTAGCTTCAAAATGCACGTTATATATCTAGGCATATGGAAACTCAGACTTTCTTTTGGTAGATTTGTTTTAATTTAAGTCCTGCCCAATATCACTTGCGTTTAAGAAAACAATTTTCTGGCAAAAAGGAAAGAAAAAAAAGTAAAACATTAAATCATTCCAACAGTAATATTTAAAAAAAATAAAATTTAAAACTTTTTACTTATTCAAACGATTATTTTTGTGCATGCAAAAAATTACACAATTATTAAGCATACAATTTGACACATTTTCACAAAGGAAACACCCACATGAAAACATAGAATTTTATTAAAATCTCAGAAGTCTCCTCCTGATCTAGTCATTATGGCCTACCCAAGGTAACCACTATGTTGATTCCTGCCACCACTGATCACTTTCATCATTTAAAATCTTAAACTTTAATAAACGGTATTATCCAGTACGTAATCTTTTTGCCTGAATGTTTTTGCTCAGCAATTTGTTTTTGATATGATTCTTTGTTTTTGTGGATAGTAATGTTTTCATTGTTCTCATTGCTACAGAGTATTCTATTGCTTAGATATTTCACTGTTTTTAATTCTTTTGTCAATGGATATTTGGCTTATTTTCACTTCATAACTATTAAGACAGAGTTGCTATACCCACTCTTGTACACGTCCTTTGGTGAACAGATATGTACATATTCCAACAGGGTAGAGTGGAATAGCCAGCTCACAGGGTAGACATATGTTCAGCTTTAGGAGATATTGCCAAACAAGTCTTCAACGTGTTTCTACAGTTTATCTTTTGGTAATTAATTCTTGTCCAATTTGCTAAAATCTGGACTCTGCTACCTCTAAGTAGATCTTGTAAATATGATTGAAACATTAAAAACTGCTTATTGATTTTATATTTAAAATCATCTAGACAGACCAGGGTTCCTAAAGTAGCGTGGGGAACATTAATTCTTAAGATAATAAATGGAATGAAGGAAGTGGGGAAGAGAAGAGAGAAAGTAAGTTTCATGGCCAAATAAAATGGGGAAGCAGGACGAATCAAGTAAAAGAACAGCCTTTAATGCAAGTTCTCAGATCTGCTAATATCTGCTGTGCATTGACAGTGACAGGGGGTGGGACTACAGCATGCAGTTCTGTGATAGGAACATGATAAAAACCTTTTTTTTCCTCACAGAGTATCTTGTAGGGCTATGGTTCCACAAAATTTACTTTGAGAAATGCTGGGCAAGAAAATTTGCTCAGTGATTACCAGGAATATCCGTAATCCTTAAAAATTGCTCCAACTGAAGCATTAGCAGCATGTAAAATGCAATAAAGTGCTTTGTTCCAGATTATATATTTCTGTGCTTCTTTGTTTTGATTTCATCCACCTTTGAGTTCATTTTTCCATTGTTCTGTGCCCTAAATACATTAACAAATTCAATGTCTGTGATGGTTCTTAGTTCTTGACATTGCAAGTCTAGCTGTAACAATTCAATATTGATCTCTTCTTTTTAAGTGAGTATTCTGAGGCTGGAGCAAAATTAGGTTACTTAAGATTGCACATATTTTAGCTTGAGTAAATAAAATTGCTCAAGTTTTTATCATATATTCATCTATAGGCTGGCTTTACAATCAGTGTTATCTCCTCGAAGTGAAATGCTCTCTGTCATGTTGATTTAGTTTAAATAAACTTGTTTCCCTGGTGTGTATTGGAATTATCATCACCTTCATTCTCCAACATGCAAATTATAAAGAAGCCTCTTAAGTTTCCTGTAGAATAGCATTACATTTGAGAAAGAGAGAATAATCTAATCAAATGTGAACTCCTGGATCTCATTCTTATCATTAAGAAAAGAATGACTAGGGAATGGGGCCTCTTTGGCTCCTGTTCTCAGTTAACTTGAATTCAATGTAATACCCTTTGGAATGAATATTGGATTTCAATAAAGAACATTTGGGGAATATGAAACTCAGAAAGCAATGACAGCATCCAAATTTATGACGGCTCAAAGATGCTTGAAATAGCAATTTATGCCAGATCAAATACCATTTCAATGGGTTGTAGGCTACTGGGGAAAAGTGTTTATAGAACATCTTATATCTGCAAAGTACTTTCAGTCATTTTTAATAGTCATGTTGGATGGATGGTTATAATTTCAGGTGACAAGGACAACTCAGTGAGACAACTGACATTCAACAGATTTTATGGAAAATTAAATTATCTTGAAATGTTAGGTTTGATCATGGAAATAACAGCAATAATAAAGAGAAAGAAAAATAGGAGGAAGAAAAAGAAAAAGTGGAAGAAAAATGAGTATGAGAAAGCAATGATAATTGTTGATATTAAAATTACAATTTGTGCTTTGTCTAATGAGTTAGTTTCTAGCCTCAAACATCTGGTATCAAAAGCAAGACCTGGAAATTTTTCTAAGAATAGAATATTTTTCATAGTAACTTAAAATTTTCATTTTGTAGACATGGGCTCTTTCCAGATATTTCTAACATTCAATTTCTGATATGGCAAAGTCCTGGCACGCAGGACTTACCACTATTTGTCTACTTGTTTTCAAAACATTTGGAAGTGTATATAGATTGCAAATTTAAAAGATGAAAGCATTATAACAAATGGTTTCTAATACAACAAATTAAAAAAAGAATTCTAAAACTAAATAAGAGGCAATAGCAAATCATCGATGGGGAAAATAAATGTCTTTATTTTGCTGCTTGTGGTCATTTCGTGGTTCAGCAAAGACTTTCAGTGGCGTTCATGTTTCTTTTACTAAGCTCCTCAGAGATTATGACTGTTTTAATGCTATTTAATTGATTATCGAGGAAATCAGGGTTTGTGATATCCTTTAAGTCATGCCAATCCCAAAGAATATTCAAATAAATATTGAAATGCAAATTTAACACTCTCATCAAGTAAGTCTAACTTTCATCCTTGGTCAAGTAGGTAAGGCATATCAGACAGAGGCAAAAGTTCATAGATGTGGGGCTATGCTGTTAAATTGGCGGCCCTCAGGGAACCATGCCTCCCAGTATTCATATAATTGTTCAGAACTTTCCCTCCCTGACTCTGTTGAAAGTAGTATATTCACATATTTTAGACAAATTGTCCTACAAGGTATAAAAAGGTAACAGAATTCCCTTACCTACCCCCCAGATTCCTATCCCTGGATGCAATCATTATCTACTCTGATTTTTTGTTTTGGCTATTTACTTTTATATTTATTTATTTATTTATTTTTGAGACAGAGTTTCGCTCTTGTTGCCCAGGCTGGAGTGCCATGGTGCGATCTTGGCTCACCGCAACCTCCGCCTCCCAGGTTCAAGCAATTCTCCTGCCTTAGCCACCCAAGTAGCTGGGATTACAGGCATGTGCCACCATGCCCAGCTAATTTTGTATTTTTAATAGATACAAGGTTTCCCCATGTTGGTCAGGCTGGTCTCAAACTCTCGACCTCAGGTGATCCGCCTCACTCGGCCTCACGATTACAGGCATGAGCCACCATGCCTGGCCAATTCTTGTGATTTTAAAGTTTCTGTATTAGTCATTGTTCACTAGAGGAACAGAACTAATAGGATATATATATGCATATGTATGTATATATATATATATATATATATATATATATATATATATATACACACACACACACACACGGAGAGATATACATATGGAGAGAGATATATATATACACACATACACATATATATATAGGCTATATATATACACACACACGTACCCTGGAACTTTTATATATATATATATAAATATATATATAAATATATATAAATATAAATATATATATATAAATATATATAAATATAAATATATATAAATATATATATTTATATAAATATATATATTTATATATATAAATATATAAATATATATATAAATATATATATATAGAGAGAGAGAATCCTGGAAATATATATATATATATATATATATATATATATATATATAGGCTGCCACTGACACCTCAAGCACCATTTGATCTGCTGGGTCATATGGCCCAAGTGGCAGAGCAGCAGCCTGGACCTGTTGCAGAGCCTTCTCCTCCTCTGGGCCCCATTCAAAAATAGCAGCCTTTCGGGTCGCTTGATAAATGGGCCGGAGTAACACAATTTCTTTGAAGCCCTTCATTTATTCCCAATTATTTGTTTCCTTTGGATTTACCTTTTAGGTTTTGTCTTTCGGGTTTGAGACTTCATCCAGTATTTGGTAATCCTTATTATGCTTTTACATTTAAAATTGGATTAGAAAAAAAAAATTTGATTGTATGATCTGTGCGAGTGGGTGGGGCTCATCCACTGATGGGTTTCACTGCACATTGAATGGTGAGTTGGGTTTTTATTGGAGGGTTCCCATTGCCAAGTACCCGGAGCTATTTGCCTTCTCCATAGAAGAATCCTCCAGTTTCTTTCATGAAGGGTTTCAGTCTGGCTAGAGGCATCCTGAGATCTGAGCTGAGTACAGACTTTTCCTTAATTCTCCTATTTTCAGCCTGACATCAAGCCCTGCCCCTGGGTATGCCCATGGCTATGTATACAGGTGGCCTTAGTTTCTCCATTGATATTTCTCCAATTTCTCCAAAGAATAATCATCTAACATTTGGCTAGATTGAGTAAGAAAAAGGGTAGTTGGTTGGATATATATGGTGGACATGGAGAGCTGGTGCCAACTGATCTATCAACCATGTTCCCTTTTTGAGCTCCAGGTTTTACCCCACCTTCAGCAAGCCCCAGTGCCTCCAGTTTCCGTGACTTTCCAAGATCCTGTGAAAAGGTGACAGGGTGGAGGGCGGTGACATTGCTAACTGGCATTTCTTACCACAGGCTTTCACATTTCATTACAATTTCTGTTGCTCCCATCAGTCAGATGTATTCCTCCATCCCCTTTCCTGATTCTGAAAATGTGTTGGCCTCTCCAGTCTTCTGATTCCTTGCCCATTTCTTTTTCTGCATGGATTTATATATTTTACCATGTATACTGTCATTTTAGTGATGTTTCAGGAATAAGCAGAAATTAAACACATGTGTTCACTATGTCAAATTAACTCCAAGACTTCTATAATTTTAGATACAATTGCCACTGATAAGGATGGCATTGTAACTCATTAAGAACGACTTAATGTAATGCTTGACTTGTTTAACATATAGTTAGATCTTGATGCTGGATAAGTATTAGAGTACATAATCAAGCAATTGGCAACCACTATAGTTTTCTAAAGTAGAAAGCGTTCTAGTCCAATTTGAATTCTTCTAAAATAGAATTATAGTCCTCACCACAAGTGGAAAGTGATAAATGTCATTTACAATGTACTGTTATGAGACACGTTGATTACAGGAAGGTTTGAAATTCAATTTCAAATGTTAGGCATTGGCAAGGTGATGACGGTGAATAACTGTTTTGTATGCAGTGAATAGTTATCATCCAAAAAATCAGCTTTTGTAAATGTATTAAGTGTTATCTTTAGAAAATATTCAAGACCATGCTTAAATTCCACTTTCTCTACCATGTCATCTCCCTAACTTCTTAGCCAGAAACCATCTCATCCTCATCCTGTAAACATTTGCTGTCTACACCCGCAGTTTCTAATGTTTTTAATTTCACTGAGTGAGAACTGATTGCCCACTGGGTCCCTCTCTTCCAACTGAAGTAACAACACAGGGTTGCCACATTTCTTGGCCCTCTAAGGATATTAAACAAACAAACACTTTAAAAAAAAATCTCACAAAATAATTATTAACTATCACTATCATTCCATTTAAAAGGAGCTACTAGCTACAGAACTAGCAACCAAAAAATAATAAAGTATTGGATTATAGCCAAAGTATAAAATATTAGGTTTGAAAGTAACGGCAAAAACTATGATTACTTTTTGCACCAACCTAATGATTGATTGAATGAATAAATGAGGTAGAATAGAAAAATCTCCCGTATAGAAGAATTCTATTTAATGTATATAGATGCTGTTATATAATGTATATAGATATCAAGGAGGAGAAGCATAAATCCCCACTACTTAAGTGTGGGCTGCACATAGTGACTTTTTTCCAAGGACTACATAAATGAAAGGGGGTAGAGTGTGGGGGAAATCACCTTACAGTAAAGAAACCCCACAAGCATCACTCAGTTACATGATGAAGCTTAATATCGATAGTGATAAGTCACATTGATCACACATCCCTTTAATAAAATGATGAGAATGGCACTTTATCTCTATGATCTTTTTCTCCCAAACCCATAACCCAGACTAACCATGAGAAAAACATCAGACAAACTCAAACTGATAGTCATTCTACAAAATACTTGACAAATACTCCTCAAAATTGTGAGTCACCAAAAATAAGGAAAATCTGAGAAATTGTCACAATCTAAGGGACATAATAATTATATGTAATGTGGTATCCTGGGTGAAATTCTGCAACAGAAAAAGAATATTAGGTAAAAACAAAAGAAATGTATGGACTTCAGTTAATAATAATATATCAACATAGGTTTATTAGTTACGACAAACATACCACACTAATGCAAGATAACAGAGAAAATTGGATGAAAGTTAAACATAAACTCTCTGTACTATTTTTGTACATAAATATAATCTATTCTAAATAAAATATAAATCTATTCTAAAATAAAAAGTTTTCATGAAAACTACCACAACAGTAGAATGAAAACACTTCTGTAAATTCAGGGCTTTATTTCTGAAAAACAACAAAAACAACAACAACAAACCTCTCTATAATGCTTTTTTTTTTTCTTGTTTTGTCACAGTTTAGAACTTTTTCAAGAATCCAGACTACTCAACTGGCTTTTGGGACACATTGGTCTCTAGCATTCTGGGTTACTCATTTGTGGTATTATTGTGACATGCACAATCTACCACTTCCTTTGAGGAGATTTTAAAAGAGATTTTATGTTTGAATCTATTGGAGACTGGGAGGGCCTCAGAAGCAAGGTCTCTCTGATTGCCTCTGGCCCTCCTGTCTGTCATTCCCCTTTCTCCCACAAGGCATGTCATAGAAACCAGAATTCCTCTCTTCCAAGGCAGGTCATATAAACCAGAACTCCCCTCTCCCAGAGCAAGCCATAAAACTTAGAAAGGTCACATTCTGACCTACTTTTCCTGAAAGTCCATCAGAAGACCACAGAGGAAGGAATGTTACACATAGACACCAAGGAAAATCTGAACAGACAGGCCTTGCTGGGTTTCCTTCAATTTATTATCATTAAATCATCCCCTTTTGTCCAGTCACATTTCCCCACAACTATTCACTTCTTTCATCAAACTTAGCATAAAAGTACAGTTTTTCCTGGGTCTTTGGGTCTCCATTTCTGAAGTCTTCCATGTCATGTAAAACTTTTTTAAATAGGCTGGGTGCAGTGGCTCATGCCTGTAATCCTAGCACTTTGGGAGTCTGAGGCAGGCGTATTACTTGAAGACAGGAGTTCAAGACCAGTCTGGCCAATATAGTTAAGCCCTGTCTCTACTAAAACAAACAAGCAAGCAAACAAAACAAAAAACCCACACAACTTTGTTAAAACAAAGTTGTTATGCTTTTCTCTTGTCAATCTGCTTTTTTGTTATAGGGGTGTCAGCCATGCACAGGATATTGCTTTCCTCTTCTATACTTAACACCGTGCTTTCTACATAATAGATTCTAAAGAAAAAGGATATTTTTTGTGTAATTTATTTGCATTATTTTATTTCACTAATTTGGAAATAATAAATATACAGGCAAAACTTAAATAGGTGCTACTAATTTTATGGAAAATAACTAAAATTCTAAAATAAAATGAGGTGATAAAAGTAATTCTAAAGCATGGGAAAGCCATAAATATGAAAATTCATATCTCTGTTCAAAAATGAAAACAACAACATATAAGGTATGGGGTCCTAATTGAATTAAAAGATTAATATGAGTCAGCAATATGTTATTGTTATATATTTGAAATAAGCAATATCATAAAGGTTGAATTGTTTTATGAGCATTTTGACTGTTTTCATTACATTTTAGAAATTATGCTGATTTTCATGCACGTCCGTGTGAAGAGACCACCAAACAGGCTTTGTGTGAGCAATAAAGCTGTTTATTTCACCTGGGTGCAGGTGGGCTGAGTCCGAAAAGAGAGTCAGTGAAGGGAGATAGGGGTGGGGCTGTTTTATAGGATTTGGGTAGGTAAAGGAAAAAGGGGGGTTGTTCTCTGGCGGGCAGGAGTCGGGGGGTCACAAGGTACTCAGTGGGGGAGCTTTTGAGCCAGGATGAGCCAGGAGAAGGAATTTCACAAGACAATGTCATCAGTTAAGGCAGGAACAGGCCATTCTCACTTCTTTTGTGGTGGAATGTCATCAGTTAAGGCAGAAACTGGCGATCTGGATGTGTACGTGCAGGTCACAGGGGATATGATGGCTTAGCTTGGGCTCAGAGGCCTGACTCTGATCATGTAATATTTCCTTAATTAGAAGAATTTAATTAAAAATTAGATTTCATGACAAAAAATTTAAACTGAAGTTATTCAGAGGAGATATTTTTATCCTTGTTTTGGGGTTCATTAATATGAAAACCAGTTATCACTGTGAAAAAGACCAAAAAAAAAAAAAAGAGACCTTCAATTGTATTCTCTATATTTGTATATTTTATTGGTTTTCACTTTAAGTAGGGAAAATTTGGCAGGATATAATTATATTTTTGGATGATCATAAAACATGTTTATATAGGTTACTAATCTTTTATTCTGGTTGTATTTAAGAATAAAAAACCTCAAAATCCATAAATACCAAGAAAGAGGAGCCTGAGAATGTAAGAACCCTATGGAAGAAAAGCTTTATATTTTTTATTTTTTTGAGAGAGAGCTATGAAGATGAAAATATTACATATAATAAAGGACAATGTACATAGTACATGTATATTACATAGAGCAAATGGAAACCAATGTAAACCCATCAGTATGTTAAACATAGTTGTGTGGACAGGGAAAATGGGTGCATAAAGAGATAAAACATAGAAAAGAGAATAAATGGAAAAAACATAGAAGTAAAAATAAGAAAGGGTAAATGAAAAAGGCAAAAGAGGAAGAACTGAGGAGTGAGAATAAAAAATGGAGGATTATTTTTTATTTTTATCCTTCTCTAAAGCTAACTAGAATTATGGAGGATATATACAGAGAGAAATAGAAGATACAAAAAGGAAGGGAAAGAGAAAGGAAGAAGGAGGACTGCTTTGAAGATTCTAAATTGAATGCACTGTCACACTGTAAGCTTCTAGAGCTGTGGATGTGAGTGTGTTAACACCTTGTATTCCTCTATTTGAATTGCTAATGAGCTCATTAACCACTGTTCATGACTCTCAGTGGAGGCCAGGGCATTATCCCTCGGGGTTGACCTGATGCCTGAACAAAGCAAAATACTCCCAGGCCTTCAAAGAAACTTCTCCTTTCCCCACAATACCCTCAACCCCTTTGTTGGATATTTAAATATTTGGTTTTCTGGAAGCTTTTCCCAATCACTTTTTGTCTCCATTGTGAGTCCCAATGCCTGGAAAACCCTCACCGGGGGTTCTACAGTCAGCCTTCTATTCCCATGTCTCATCTGTGTGGCTCACTCCTTTGTGAAGCTTTCCTCAGGTACAGCCACAATCACATCCCATCTTCCTGCTAGACTATAAGCTCCATGCTACTTAAAGGAAAAATAAAAAGCAACAACAAAAAACAAAACTGAGGCAAAATTAAAACAAGTAGAGACTTTATTTGGACCAAGTTTGAGGAGTGCAAGCTGGGAGCACTAATCTTAATCACAGCTATATTCCAGTAACTAACAGTGACTGACCTAGAGAAGGTGCTAAATACATATCAGATGGGTGAATGAATACAATGAATGGATGGATGAGTAGTGTGGGAGACCAGGATATACCTCCCCAAAATATGAAGGAGGGTTGAGCTGAAGACAAACAAGAAGCAGCAGAGGCAGGAAAGCTCTTTGCCTTCCATTTACCTAAAAGCAGGATATAGATTTACAAAAACAAAAGGTATCCCACCTCCCCTTCTACCAGGGAGAACAAAGATTAACCACTGAAGACAATTTTAGACCCTTATTGACCTGGAGATGGTACCAGAGGAATCTGCGTTAACAAGCTTCACTAACTAGCCTTTTTATGCCATTATTGCCTTTTCACAAGTTGCTTCCCCTAGAGACTCAGAGTCTTTTCCTTTGTCTTGCCATTTCTTTAAAAATTTACTATTCTATTCTTAGTTGAAGATGCTATATAAGCCACTTCTAGGAGAACTACTTTATTTCCTGTCTCCCATGTATATATAAAATATTCATGTTAATAAACTTCTGCTTTTCTCTTGTTAATCTATTTTTTTCTTACAGGGATCCATTCTAACTAAGAACCGATGGGGGTTACTCTTCCCTACACTAGTCTAAACTACCCACTTGTCTGTTTCCAACTTGATTATGATATTTGACTGCAGCGACCAACTGCTCGTCTATTGATCTCTAATATCCAGTATTGTACACCTGGCATATACTTAGACTTGCAACTGAATGAATGAACTGATGGAACTGCCAGAGATATTCTCAACCAAACAATTTATAAAATGTAACTTAGAATGAAGCTTTTTGAAGTAACTTTTTTTATAATATGGTGAATGTAATGTGTTTATGTATATGTGAATATGTATGTGTGAATTTTATGATGAGATGCTCCTCAAAAATAAGGGAAATTATTTTTCCCTTTGAAATTTAAAAATTAATAAGATAGATCAAAAACACACATGCTAACTTAAAAAGAATCTGACAGTACAGAGCAATATTATCATGTACCCATTTAAGAGAGGAATATCAATGGATTAAAAGAAAATCAAGGGGAAAATGATGACTGGCCCTCTGTGCTACAGTTCTTGAAAAGGACAATAGGTTCTTCTAAACAAGGTAATGATGTACGTGTTCAGTCACATGTACAATCCATGTAGAACAACTCACAAATGTTATCTGATGAGTATTTCCTGTTGATGTGTATTGTACAATGCAATCTACACAGACTGGTGAGGCAGAAGAAGAATCATGATACCTCATCCCAATTGGGGCACAGGCAGGTTTCAGAACATTAAATTTTAACATAATCCATAGATACAAAATTGAAAGTGATTTAACTTCCTCATGATCATTCATAGCCAGCCAAACCTAGTTAGAAAAAACTTGAGCTAGTTCAGCAAATGACTCTCAAAGTACTCTGTAGGAATCTTAAGTGAATTCTGATGCCTACGTATAGCCCATTCAGATCAGAAAGACTAAAGAGAATGAGTTTTATCTATTTCTATCCAACATTTGATGAGGACAAATTTTAGTCATATTATTCATTCTTGATTTGAAATTATTTTTAAACAAAAACATAAAGTTCTGTCTGTCCTGTCTGGGTCTACTGAGTAGACAAACAAACATCCCACACCCTTCCCCATCCCAATCAAGATAATGACATCACAAATGCAGATGACGACAGATCTAATTTCAATAGAATTTTGAATTTAATGCCATATAAATAATTTAGTTCTCATTTATAGTCTTTTTGAATTATGATGGTGAGTGACTAGGGATGCATAATTTCAGCTTCTACTTTTCAATAAAATTCTCAAGGAAACACAGAGAGATGTAATTATACCATTTGAAAAAACTCAGTATTAGCTTACAACACTTGGTGAGTGCCAGCAGAAATATCTGCTCAGAGACTCTGAGGAAGAGCTGCAGGCCCAGGCTTGGGGGAGGGAGGATATGTATAAGCACCTTGACTACAACTGCTCCCCTCAAGGGTGTCTGGCCTTCTTCAACCAAAGGAAGCAAAGACCTACCTCTTGCTTCTCTCCAAGGGAGTTGCTTCTTGATGCTATCAGGGCCATTTTATACATATACATATGCCATCACTGCCATTAGTATTCATTTTTATCCATTCAAGGTCCGTGCTTTCCAGTAGTTTAATACCACCAGGGTGGGTACAGATATGCATAGCAGTATATGGTTAGAACTTTGACTGTAAATCAGCAGTAGGGAGGGTAGAGACAAGAGCAATTCTTTAAGAGCAGTAACTTCACACATTTTATTTTCTAGAGAAAAATCACACACTACTTGAAATAACACAAAAATGAACTTCCTTCCCATATTTACATGATTAGGTAAGTAGGGGGAAAGAAATATCTTTCTCTCTCATTGCTAGGATTATCATTGAAGCCCCTGTAATAAAAGACAGATTAAGAGAGAAAGCATACAAATTTGGTTAAGTTTTGGATGACACAGAAGCTTACATAAGGAAATGAAGACCCAAAGAACAAGGAAAACCTGTGCATTTTTTTTTCTGTTAAATGAAGAAGAGGACTGTTGTGGAGAGGTGTGATTGGGCAAAGGGAGTATGAACTAATAGCAATAAACTAGGAGGAACTTAGTAAGGCCTGTTTGTTAAGATTCTCCTCTGTGTTCTTGTGCCTTCAGAAGTAAGGACATTCCTTTCCTCCGGGTATATGGAGAGCACCTCTTACATGAGAATCTTAGGACCTGCTTTAGGGGAAGGTCAGGAACTCCTTCCTAGGTTTTATAACTTGCTTTAGCAGAAAAGGGGTAAGGGGATGATGAGAGTGACTTTCCTGCTTCTGTTGTTTTCTCAGATGCAAAGGTACCATGTTTTTGAGTAGTGTGTCCTGAACCCCATCAGGTAGCAAAAGCAGTTTTCTGCTTAGTTCAGCAGAGTAAACTGATTTTTGAAAATGGCTTGGTTTTAAAAATGTGACATGTAACCATGCCCCTCAACCAGTCTTCAGGTATAAGGCAGGAAAGGAGTCTAAGAGCAACCACGTGGGAAGTGAAGGAGAATGGGAAACATCTGTGGTTGAAAAACATTAGATCTGGATATTCCTGTCCTCACTGAACAGAAAGTCACCAACTGAGATCTGTAAAATTGTTATGCAATATAAAAGAAGGGAACAATTGCACCTGGAATTGCACCAAAGCATACTTTGGAAATGAAATGTTTATGGAAGTGATATATGTGATTTCCAGGCCTAAGTCATAGCAATTTGCTAGACCATCCTTTACCCTTTTCCCTGACAGCCAAAGGGAGACAATTCCAGTTAGGAGCCATGTGCCAAGAGGCAATATGAAGGAATCTGATGCCTGAATGAACACTTGAAAGACAGCTACCTACCAGAAGCACCTGCATTTGACTGTTGCTTGAGCAATAAATACATTTTTATTGGGTTAAAACATTTTCTTAACACTATGATTTCAGGACACATTTGTTACGGCAGCTAGCATTAAGTTAATTATAACATAGACTCCTCTAGAAAAATGGGACCAGTTACATTGTTTGGTTTTGGAAGGGGAATAGAAAATACACCCACCTTACCTGATTTAATACTTTAGAAAGACCTATGTTTCCAAATATAGCCCTGCCATTAACTCATTGAGCTTTGGGAAGCCACTTAAAATATAGGAGCCTCAGTTTCCTTATTCGTCAAAGTATTTTCAACAGCTACCCCTAAATTAGTTGCTGCTTACCTTTTCCCAGATTTAAAATTCTGTGATTCTTTTATTATAAGTGAAAATTCTAAGTTAATGTCAGATACCACTCAAGTCAACACGGAGGAAGTGTGAGTATAGAAAAAGACTAGGGATTATTTATTAATAATCCACCTTGAGATGACTTGCTAACACACTTTATAACAAAACACATATAAAAAAGAACTGAGCCTTGACAGAGTAAACATAAGCCTCTCTCACCCCTTAAAAATTATGAAAATAGGCTGGGCCTGTAATCCCAGCACTTTGGGAGGCCGAGGCGGGCGGATCACGAGGTCAGGAGATCAAGACCATCCTGGCTAACATGGTGAAACACCGTCTCTACTAAAAATAAAAAAAATTAGCTGGGCGTGGTGGCGGGCGCCTGTGGTCCCAGCTACTTGAGAGGCTGAGGAAGGTGAATCGCGTGAACCTGGGAGGCAGAGGTTGCGGTGAGCCGAGATCATGCCACTGCACTCCAGCCTGGGCGACAGAGCGAGACTCCGTCTAAAAATAAAAAAATAAAAATAAATAAAAATTAAAAAATTATGAAAATATATGTTTTAGAAGTGAATAAAAACAAAAATTTCCCCCAAAATATATCAAGAAACTGTAAACACATCTCTGTAGAAACGTCAGTAAGAGAACAAAGTGAAGGACAAGATTAGATCCAAGCTGAATACTTCAAGCAGTAGCCAAAATGGGTGACAGTAATGATATTATCCTTTTGGGGAATACTGTAAATGAAGACCTGTTGCTTGATTGATTTATAATTAGAATCAGCAATATTCTAGACAGTACTGAAGAGAACAATCATGTATTGGCAGGGGAGAATGAGATGATAACCTAAAAGTCAGTTTCATTTCTCTTGTCTATGGTAATTGAGTCCTTATAATGGAGAATTCAGGGGAAGCCAAATGGAGACAATTTCACCTTCTTCATTGTCACCCTCTGCATTGAGCTCAAATACCCTTCTAGAATAAATTACACAAGTGCTTCTAAATAGCAGAGGTCAGTCACTAAGCAGTTTTATAAGAAGCTTATGTAACCCATGTGTGATGGGAAAAAACCAAACCAAATCAAACAACAATAAACATTTAAACTTCAGAGTACTAGCTCAGAGCGGGAGTCAACCTTAAGAAAGGACACTGGGGCCGGGCACGGTGGCTCACGCCTGTAATCCCAGGACTTTGGGAGGCAGAGGCAGGCAGATCACAAGGTCAAGAGTTCGAGACCAGCCTGGTCAATACGGTGAAACCCTGTCTCTACTAAAAATACAAAAAGTAGTCGGGCATGGTGGCAGTCGCCTGTAATCCCAGCTACTCAGGAAGCTGAGGCAGAAGAATCACTTGAACTCGAGAGGCAGAGGTTGCAGTGAGCCAAGATCGTACCACTGCATTCCAGCCTGGGTGACAGAGTGAGACTCCGTCTCAGAAAAAAAAAAAAAAAAAAAAAAAAAAAAAGAAACAAAGACGTTAGACTAATGGAGTTTTCTAATCAGCACTCAGAAAGGAAAATACTACTTTCCTACATGAAATGATGAAGGTGTTAAAAGCTTTCTGCATGGCATCAGCACAGTGCAGAGCACACGAAACATATGTGTGATGAAGACCAAGTGCAACCTAGACCTAATGCAGTTGTAATTCAGGGGCAGTAGCAGGCTTGAGAAATACTGCTGCTGAGCTGTGTGATTGAAGAAGGTGGCTGGCACCTTATAAGCCCTGCACTGAGCTTGGGAGGTATGGCAGGAGGTGGTGATAAAGTGCCTGGGCTTCGGATATCAGCCAAACCTTGGCTCAAATCCTGATTCTACCACTAACTAGCTGTTTTATTGTTTAATGTTAATGGCTTAGCTGTTTAATGGCAAGTTACTTAGCCACTCAATTTCCTTATCTATAAAATGAAGATAATAATATGTACCTCACAGGGGTTTTGTAGGATTTAAATGAGACTGAAATTTTGTAGTAGGATATCCAGGTGAGGCCTAATCTGTGCCTGCTACTAGGATTTAAAGATGTTTGAAAAAGTCTGATGAAATGGTGAAGTAGGCTACTCAGGATACTATTTTCACATAGGATAAAAGGGGTTCCAGAAAACAAACTTCGGAAGGAAGAATTACTTTGAGTTGGTAATAGTCTCAAAGTCAGTAGGGAGGAATGATTTTTGTATATAGTTTGGCCTGCCATTCAAATCTATTGTGTGTCAGCTCCCTAAATTCATTTCTGCAATTTAGGGAGACAGAGCACTGTGAATACATCCTGAAAAGGTGCTCTCACTAAAATTGTGTTAGACTTCGAGACACCGGTAACTTCACTTTGGTACTCATCTTACAAGGGTTATCAGAATAGAAGAAAAATTTTTCTCTTCCAAATAGGCACTGACCATCATACTCAGGTATCTGAAGGTTCCAGTGCAATAGTGACTGTACCCAGGAAGAACTGCAGTCTCTACCTGAGACTGAGATGAGATAAGGTGTCTCTGCCTGATACGTAGTTGAAAGTGGAAATGGCAGCAGCATAGGAACCGGGGGGACTGTGGCACCTAGTGAAAGAAGAAGGGGTATTTAAAACCAGTGGCAATGTGCAGCTGAGAGAGCAGCACCTGTGAAGGGTGGCTGGTGGCTGGTAGTGCCATGGCAGCTGGAAGACAAACAGCAAAGGCAATGGCAGTGATAACAAGAGGTGCCCAGGGGAAGCAATGGCAGCATTATGTCTAGCAGGCACCCTATAGCTGACTTCACTGGTTGGAGAGCATAGATGTGACACCACATATCAGAAATACTTTGGGAAGGGAATGGGAATACATGAAAGGGAACTGAGAGGGTGGGGTTACTTTACAGTCTTGCATGATCAGATGTAAGCAACTGCTAACTTCATGAAGATGATCACCTTTATGGAGATCACGTAGATGAACCCCAGAGAATGGCAAGTCTGGGAAATCTGAACCAGTAATCAATACACCACAGGAGCTCAATTCGTGATAACATTCTGTCTCCTTTACCCTCTCCTTTCTATTTTAGGTAGACAAAGTAGACTCATATACTGGCTGTATTACCTGCATTAAATGATGACCGAGTGCACCAAATTGTATAATCATGGTTGTCTTTCTCAACCTGTTACCTGATTAGCAAAATGGGAATAGCGTAGCGTGCTCTACAGCTGAGAGATTGCGTAAGTAGATCATTGTTGCAACACTTGCACATCTTCAGCATTCAGCAATGTTAGTTTCCTCCCTCTCTGGATAACTGAAGAACTCTATGCAATTAGTGTCTCAGAACTGACAAGGAAGGAACTTTGGCTAGCTTAGCTGTGATAACTAGAAAAGTAGAAAAGACTGTGGACTTAGAGCAGGAGTTCCAGCTAAGAGTCCCCCCCAAACACCCCCACCCATAACATCTAAGAATTTATTTGATCCTTTCAAATAACTGTGATTCTCTCCCTATGATTAACATTTTATATAAGAAGAAGAAAAGGCTCAAAGTTTTAACATGGGTAAATTCAAGTCTGGGCAATAAGGCAGACTGAACTAACACAATCTGTTATGTTCTTCTCTCCTGCCCAACTTCCACCTTTTTTTCAGATGATAAAATATGCATAACAAAGAATTTGCCATATTGTTTTTAAGTATACTATTCAGTGACATTAAGTACACTCCCATTGTTGTGCAACCATCACCACCACCCATCTCCAGAACCTTCTTCATCTTCCCAGACTCAAACTATACGAATCAAACCAGAACTCTCCATTCTTCTCTCCCTGCAGTCCTCACAACCACCCTTCTATATTCTGTCTATGAATCTGACCACTCTACGTAGTTGACATAAGTAGAATCATACAGTATTTGTCCTTTTGTGACTCGCCTTTTTCACTAAGTATAATGTCTTCAATGTTCATCCATGTTGTAGCATTTTTCAGAATTTCCTTACTTTTTTAAGGCTGAACAATATTCCATTGTATGTATATACCACATTTTGTTTATCTGTTCATTCACTGATGAACATTTGGGTTGCTTCCACCTTTTGGCTATTGTAAATAATGCTGCTATGAACACGGGGGTTTTACAAATGTCTCTTCAAAATCCTGCTTTCAATTTTTTTGGGTATATACCCAGAAGTGAAATTGCTGGATTGTTTGACAGTTCTATTTTTGATATTTTGAGGAACCACTATACTGTTTTCCATAGCAGCTGCACCATTTTATATTCTCACCAGAAATGTACAAGAGTTCCAACTTCTCCATACCCTCACCTTATTATTTTTCCTTTCCTTATCCCCCCTTTTTTTCTCTTTTGATAATAGTCACCCTAATGGGTGTTCTGGCTAAGAATTTTTACCAGGGCTTTCATCACTGTCTAATGAGGAGTGAGGGGAAGCTACCAAAGAATCACAGAGCACTTACAGCTATTTGTTGTTTGCAAATTGCTAGTTATATTTAAGTTAACTTATTCATCTAAATGCAGTTCATTAAAAAAAAGTGGTTCATTTTGTCCTATTTGTCTGTAGATTTCCAGTTAATAGTATCTGTTTCAGTTATTGTTTTTTAAAAAGGTATCTGAAGTGGATATATTTTTCTGGATTGCATTTGCAAACAAAATTTAATCACTTTATACAGTCCAACTGAGTGTTTCTGAGGTGGGACAACCCAACCAGTAGATGACGCTCGTGCCATTTGATTACATTTTACTGGCTAATGTCATGTATCATCCTCCACATTTTGTCTGGATTTCAACTGTAGAGAGCAAATACTCGGCCGTAGCACATAAAACCTTTCTCCAACCTTAAATCATAAGAATATGGTAAATTCAAGGCAATTTTACCAACAAATATGACATCTCTTCTTATAAAGATTCAGAATTTATAATCGTATGTTCATAAAGGTATAAATAAAATGGGTATTCATTACATTGGTTACAGATGAACAAAATGGAATTTAAAAGAATTACAAGATGGATGTCTTGAAGACCTCCAGAAAGCATAGTGAAGTGTCCTCTGGTAATGTCACATTCCAGAATGCCAGCTGTTTACTGGCTGTGTGTGACTCTAGACAAGGAATCTTTGTGAAACTTTTTGGGAAAAAAAGTAAAGTAGGGAATACAATGCATATCCTCTAATGATGAAATAAAACATTGCTGAACAACATCGAGTGTCACAGGCCTCCCAGAATAGGTGCTTGTTCAACGTTAGCCCTCTTTTCTCTCCACCCGACACTTTATCATCTTTGTTATGTGACAATTAACTGGAGGAAGATTTCATCTCAATTATCGTATTTCTTCCCTTTTCATTTTCTTTGGCACAGAAAAATTTAATGTTTACCTTCAAAGCATGAATTGGTGTGTATGTGTATGGGTTCTCCCCAGGAGACAATTTAATATAATTAATAACTTCAAAATCATTTGGGTGATGTGAAATATGCATAGTTATTACAAGCCAGTGTGTGGCAGGGGGAGGGGTAGATGGCTGTTCAGTAGGAGGCAGAGGCAGATAACATATGTGCAAATGGAAGTTAGAAACCAGGCAACCTTCCGAGAGTGAAGGCTGCCAAGTCAGTCTCAAACAACTTGCACCACTCAGGTGCATTCATGCCCAACCCAGAGAGGACTGTGGGCTTGGTGCAGATGACTGGCTGAGCTCCTATCAGAGCCTCTTACTTCCAGCTTCAGGCATTTGTGGAATAGCAATGTAGGTGTGCTGGCTGTGAATAAACTTGGGTTTTGAGCAGCCACATTAACAAGCTAGAATCAACAGGGAGAATTTGCCATAATAAAGCACTTTCCCAGTTGTCACATTGTACTTTTTAAAGTGGCAAGTTTTTCCCAGTGTGCTCCAAATGTGATCAGATTTACAAACAGCTGATTAAAAAGATAGGATTTTAGAGCTGAAAAGCACCTCCGAATTCATCTAATACACTATCTTCATTTTACAAATAAAGAAATAGAGGTTCAAGGGGAGAAATGACTTGCCCACTGTCAGGAACTGAACAAGTAGGAATTCCCAAGCTTCTTAACTATCAGGAAAGGGCTCAGTCCAGAAGGCCACACCAGTGATTTCTTAAACCAGGATTCCTATGTGGTTTATCTCAAAAAGAATTGCTATTGTATTCCCAAACTCCTAGCCTATCACAGAGCTGTTTCCTGATAATTTTACGGTCTGGCCATAAATGTTTTGAAGTAGATACTCAAAAATTCACCAAGCAAATCTACGTTTCATCATCATCATCATCACCATCACCACCATCATGTTTCACACTTACACGGTGCTGATTATGTGGCAGGCACTAACTAATGTAAGAATTTTACATAAATTAACTCACAAAACCCCAGTGAGGGAGGTACCATTCTCAATATCTTGCAGATAAACTGAACACAGAGAAGCTAAACAGCTTGTCCAGAATGTACATGGTTGATAAGTGATGGATTTGGGATTTGGACCCAGCCAGCCTGGCTCTGGAGTCTATGCACATAACTGCTATGCCATATTTCCTCTCAAACAACTGCTATCCTATATTACCACTCCACTCTATGATTAGGATGAGGAGATTTTCCTGATGGTCATATTAAGATAATTTGTTGAATCTGCTTTCCGACCCTAATTCCGTGAGTGAGAGGTGTGGCAGGGAAGAATAGAGCCCCAAAGATACCAGGTGTGATCTACACTTGATCTTAGCCAAAAGGCCGAGAAGCAATACCAGGTGTGATCTAAATTGCATTGCAAATGCTCCATGCACGTAGCCATGGTAGAAAGGGTACATGTCAAATTTGCTGGGGTTTTATTACACTTCAAGAAATATAGCATTCTTTGATTACTTTAAATATAGGTCTTCAATATGGAAAGAGTAATGCAGTCTAAGTAAAACTGAGCAGTTACTTCAAGTCAGGTACAACAAGCAGGTTATTATTTCAAAAATGACATTTTAATTACCACCAGGAGGCCATTAGAAATGCATTCTGGCAGTTTGCTTGGTTCCTTTGGAAAGATAATATTGACAAACTGCTATGAAACTGGAGTTCAGAAAACAGTGTAAATTGAGATCAGGAATAAAACAAACATTTGCTTGTGTACCCTAAAGCAATGATGAACAATTTAAAGAGAGAAGACAAAGTTGAAATTATATTTTTCTTTCTTAGGGAGAGGCAGAAGAGGGAGTAGTTTTGCAGGAAGACTGTTGTGTTCCTAAATTTATTACCTATGTGAATTACTTGATGTATTTAGCATAGCAATTTGAAGCTTCAGCCATCCAAGCACAAGTCACTGAGGAGCTGAGTGCCCTGGAACGCTAATTCTGCCTTCTTCTCCATGCTAGGAGATTGGCTTCTTGTGACCTCTGGTGTGGAGGGTTTCAAAAGAACAGTTTGGTCCTGGAGCTGATCTCCAGTCTCATCAAGGATGACTGGCATAACTCCAGGAGCTTGGGTCATCTTTACAAATTCCACAGCTTTGTCCCTTGGTGATCCCAGGACATTGGGAAAATTTTTCACATTTAGCTTCAGGCATTTGCGGAATAGCAATGTAGGTGTGCTGGCTGTGAATAAACTAAAATATAAAAACCTAAAACATAAAAGGGAAAGACCAGATAAGTACACCTAAAAATCAATGCTCCTATTGCTTATCATGGTTGGTTTTCCTTATAACTAAAATCAGTACAAATGCTTTTTGCTAGTCACGTGGGTTGTCACTGCAGAAGCCACAGGAAAACCATTCAAGCCACTTACCTTTTCTCTCTTTCCTCTAGGAAATACCTTTTGTATTGGTCTGTGTGGTACTTAAACCAAAGGGGAAAAACTGTGGTGACTGATTCTACTACAGGTTAACCATATAAAATAAAGAAAACTCTTGAGATGCCCTATTGGAGCAATGTAATTTACTTTCCTTTCCCTAAAGTAGTTCCAAAGGTGGGGATATTGCTAGGATTTGGGGTCACTTTTATTTCTGAGAAAAAAGGTAAAGATGAATGGTACTTAGATTGCAATACACTAGCCAAATAGCAGTCTCTGTCAGAGACTCCTCCCTCTGACTTTCCTCTCTATATTTATTAATTTATTCCTTTGACAAATATTATTAAAGAGAGTACTATACATGCCTAGATTTATCTAAACTCCAAAGAGATTATGGTCTAGAGAGGAAATAAAATATGTATATGAATAAATGAACACGAGGAAGAAAGAAATAAATACCATGAGAGCAGCACATAGGAAATGCTTTGGGAGATTTTACATGATTATCAAGAGAGATCCAGCAATTCTATTTCAAGAAGTCATATTGACTATATCTCTTCTCCTTCCTGAAACAGACCTCATTGAGAAAGCCACAAGGGATTATAAAAGGTTTTAACCTACAGCAATAAACAAGAGCGGGTTAGAGATCTCATTAAAATACTGCAGGTGAAATTGATGCAGTGGTATCTAATGTAGCCACATCTAGCTGTAGACAAGAATATATTGAGAAAGGGATGAATCCAAGCTGGAGGTGCGGGGAGTACTCTATTCCACAGAACTCCAGAGGCTTGGGACTCAGAGACACTGTGTAAATGAGGTCAGGATGATATATGATGCCAATGGCGGAGCCCTAACATCCACGTAGCCTCTAGCTAAGGAAACAAGCAAATAAGCAGGACTCCCTGATCAGAATTAGGAAGGTAGTCTCTGAGTTGGAATATGGGTAAACCTGTCCTAATGGAAGCATTTGGGACTTGAAAAATTGAGTCTGGCTCCTCACCCACTCTCCCTAAAATGAGGCCATCAATGTGTACACAGAGATCACAGTCAATGTCTCTATTGCTTCATTCCCAAATGTAAATAGGCTATAAGGAATAAACCTTCTTTTCACAAAAACCTAAAACATAAAAGGGAAAGACCAAGATAAGAACATAAGAATCAGTCACAAAAATATAAGAAGAGCAAGATGTTACAAACAATAAAAGCTGCAGCATAAGAGAAGACTCTTGAAAACTTTTTTAAAAAATCTGATGGAAAAAATGTAAAGACATTTTATTAAAGAGTTGTGTGATAAGAACAAGGAAATTCCTTATATTGAGGAGTGAAGTGATAAAGAGAAAAGAAATATGAGGGAGGACAGGTGACTCAGAGGATTAGTCCAGAAAGATCACATCTCACTAATAGGGGTTCCAGACAGAACAGTGAACACAAGGAAAGAAAGTTGCAAAGAAATCTTTTAAATATAGCACTTTCCGGTGCTAAAAGCACATCTTCAAATGGAGAGATTTCATTGCATATCTGAAACAAATATATTTTTAAAAAGTATTCTCTATATAGGTATTGTTGTGATATTTCAGAGCGCCAGGACCAGGAGTCAGCAAACATTTTTTTCTGTAAAGGACCAGAGAGTAAATAGTAGACTATTTTTTTTTTTTTCCTGTAAAGGACCAGAGAGCAAATAGTGCAAGCTCTGTAGGCCATTCAGTATCTGTCCCAACTGCTCTGCTCTCCTGGGTTAGCACAAAAGCAGCCATAGATGTGATTAGAGCAAGGGGATAGAAGGCCCTAAAAGGGCAGTATTTGAAAAAAATAAGGAATTTTATTGAACATATTATATGATGGAGCATTTGAAAGAAAACAATAAAGATACAACAAAGGCAAAGAGTGACGGTAGAAAAAATCAATTAGAAAGAAGAGAAAAACTTAAAACTCACACAGGAAATATAATGATATTACAGCACTCTATTTTGTCTAAGCAATGAACAGATGCATATTTGCATGAACTGTCAGGGGAGGGAATGCGTGTCCATGATTTGGAGACCTGGGAAAGCAGGCACACTGGGGAGGATAGAGCACAGACTGTACACATTGTAAAAGCCCTTGCATGCCCTCCGAAAAATTACTGATTCTCTTTTTTTTTTTTTTTTTTTTTTTTGAGACAGGGTCTCGCTCTGTTGCCCAGGCTGGAGGGCAGTGGTGCAATCTGAGCTTACTGCAACCTCCACCTCCCGAGCTCAAGCAATTCTGCAGCCTCAGCCTTGCGAGTAGCTGGATCACAGGTACTTGCCACCACACCAAGCATTTTTGTATTTTTTGTAGAGATGGAGTTTCACTACATCACCCAAGCTGGTCTCTAACTCCTGAGCTCAAAGCCTAGCCTCCCAAATTGCTAGGATTACGGGCGTGAACCACCGCACCTGGCCCCTGATTTTTTTTTTCTTTCTTTTTTTTAAAGCAATTAGATGAGGGCGGATCACGAGGTCAGGAGATCGAGACCATCCTGGCTAACACGGTGAAACCCTGTCTCTACTAAAAATACAAAAAATTAGCCAGGCTTGGTGGCGGGCGCCTGTAGTCCCAGCTACTCGGGAGGCTGAGGCAGGAGAATGGCGTGAACCCGGGAGGCGGAGCTTGCAGTGAGCTGAGATCGCACTACTGCACTCCAGCCTGGGCGACAGAGCGAGACTCCGTCTCAAAAAAAAGCAATTAGAAACTACTGACAGTTTGAAACGCAGAGTAACAAGATTGGGGTGGCATTTGTGACACATGGGTCTGGTGGCAGTAGTGGACCAGAGGAAGATGAGACGGAAGGCAGGGAGAACCTACATGGGAAACTCGACTGGGCTTCTTGTTTTAGAAGTAGAATATTTTGTTAACCAAGAAGGAAGCATCCACACTGTGCATCTTATAGCTCTTCCATGAATTTTTGTCTGAAAATGACTAACTCTTATTTGTCTTCCAGATGGGATGAAGAGTGCAAAAAATATTATTTGGGGCTTGGTGTCTCTGAGTACAACATGAAAGCAAAAGATACTTGCGTTGGAGTAAGCAGAGACATTTTTCATACATTGGCATTTAAAAAAATTCAAGTTCTTATATAATCCCCAAACTTCCATACTTCCATTTGACTAAAAATTGTCCAAGGTACGGGAACTTTTGTTCTTTTTTGGTCAATATAGCTTTAGAATAGATGTGTTAAAACCGTGGTTCTGAAATGTTAGCTTAGGGAAGCTGCTCTTGTTAAAGATACATATTCTCAATTTCAACTCCCAAACATATCACATTCAAGGGTTTACAGTGAGGGGGTATTGAGAAAATGCATTTTGAACATGCTCACAGATGTTTGGTAGTGCCTGGCTTAAATCATCCTGTAGGAATGTACCTAGTCAACACCATCTCCTTCAACCAACCTATATCCCACTTCACATTTCTGTCTTGTCCTCTTTGATACTCCTCAGAATGTTGAAGCTGCTCTCAGTTTGCCGGAACTATATAGCTTTGGCAGAAGCTTGTCATTTGTTAAGATAATGTTGCCCAATTCTACAATTTAATTCCTATTCTCTGCTACTGTGGAAGGCCAGGTCTCACTAACACAGGCCTCTGTAACAACTATTTCAGCACTGACTGAGTGATTAACTATTAAAAGCTGAAAGAGCCAGTGACTTTATACAAAGGCTGGAATGTAACAAAAGCCCACCAAGAGTTTTGTCCAGGCTTTTTCCGGGCCTTGAAGCATGACAAGATAACAAAGGAATTCTATTTTTTTTGTTGTTTTTTTTGAGACAGAGTCTTGCTCTGTTGCCAGGCTGGCATGCAGTGGTGTGATCTTGGCTCACTGCAAACTCTGCCTCCCGGGTTCAAGTGATTCTCCTGCCTCAGCCTCCTGAGTAGCTGGGATTACAGGCAAGCACCACCATGCCCAGCTAATTTTTGTATTTTTAGTAGAGACGGGGTTTCACCATGTTGGCCAGGATGGTCTTGATCTCTTGATCTCGTGATCTGCCTGCCTCGGCCTCCCAAAGTGTTGGGATTACAGGTGTGAGCCACTACGTCCGGCCAGCAAAGGAATTCTTAAAAGGACCTGTTTAGGATGAAACAAGTTTTACTGGGGGCTAAAGGAGCTCCCCAAACCTCCATAATTTAGTAGGAAACAAGGGTAATCACCCCAGTACTTGGTCCCATTAAGTAAATTTACTAAGGCTACAGAGAAAGGTCTTCAGGACTCAGATCTCAGTTATAGATTAATTATGTCTTTAGATGAATGCCCGCTTACACACAGACATATAGCTTAGAAGGTATATAAGGTCTGGAAGACTTTGTAATTTTGAGTTGGTCTGGCAATATTTTCTGGGCCTTTTCTCTGTAACCGGTTACAGAAATAAAAACTCCCTCCTTTCCAAGTTCATCTGCATCTAGTTACTGGGCCACAGGAATAAGCAGCCCGACCCTCAGTTTGGTCCAGAACACTATGTTTTGCTATTTCACTTGCTAGAGACTTTGGACAAGATGTTCCACAACTTTCCTCTCCCAAATTGTTGCCATGCTGCTTGGAGTCAGAGTAAAAACAAATTATCTGAATATGAGACAATATATAACCTATGGAAAGGCAAATATTTAATTGTGCCTGAATTTAAAGTGGTATTTGACTTCAGTATAAAATTAGGTTCAAGAAATTGTACTGTTTTCTGAAATTATCTTTCTTTTTAAACTAGCTGCGATTTCTGCTTACGCTCTCATCTAACAAGTTTAATTATTACTTTTAAAAAGCAAAGCACTTCACGTTTTGCCCTCTGCTACCTAAGCTGCTAAAGAACAAGTTTCAGAGATATTATGATCAAATGTGAGTTTGACCTAGAATATAAGAATTCGTTTAATTTCTATGCTACTTTCCTCTGAAGAAAACTACGCACTCAGTTCAGAAATATTTTGGCATGACAATCAGCATAATGAGAATTAGTTCATTTTTATTCACTGTATAGAACCAAAATTCAATGGAGAATAAGAAATGCAAATAGAAGGATGTATGATGAGGTCCTCAGAGCCTGGTGGGTTACGGGGAGTAGAATGCTGGGAAGCACAGGAGACCTTAAGTATTTTGAATGTATCGGTAGACTCTCAGAAGCACACAGGTGAGAGACACTAAGATATTCTTGAGTAGAGGGAGAGGTCAGAGAATTTATTTGTTCCTAGAGTTTTTCCAATACAAAGGAAGTATAACACCAGAATGTCTTTGTAATTCAGCTCTCTTTTGGTAGATTTTGAATAGAGATCAAAAGAAATATGCATGAATTGGGATCAAAATTGAGAATTTTCCCTATGATAAAATATGCTTCATAAGAACAGAATCTTTGTCTTGTTCACTGTTGTATCCTCAGTTTGTAGATCAGAAAAAATGCTCAATAAATGTCCATATTAGGAAGGAAGGAGGGAAGGAAGGAGGGAAAGAATGAAGG
Organism: Homo sapiens; assembly: GCF_000001405.40. NCBI lineage: Eukaryota > Metazoa > Chordata > Mammalia > Primates > Hominidae > Homo > Homo sapiens. The sequence goes on from NC_000007.14 coordinate 78,596,151, forward strand.
AAGGAAGGGAGGGAGGGAAGAAATGAAGGAAGGGAGGGAGGGAGGGAGGGAAGGAATGAAGGAAGGGAGGGAGGGAGGGAAGGAAGAAAGGAAAGGTGAAAGGGAGGGAAGAACTGGGATGATACCACACTGGAGAGTTAAGCTGTTAGCAAGAATGGAGCCCTGAAGATGAAGTGTAGTTCCTTTTTATTTAGGTATTGACTGTCAACCCAGTGGTAGATGCTGGGGCAACAAGAGGACCACCATCAGTCCTCTGGCCCCAAGAGCTTCTATCCTGAAGGAAAAAAACATGCAAAATATAACGTGGTGAGTGCTTTCAAGGATGTGGGCTATGATGGGAACAGAGCAAAAGGAGCTTTCAGTTAGTAATGAGTAAAACTAGGATTAAGATCCAAGTCTTCCTACTTTAAATCCTATACTTTTTACGTGAAAGCTCTGTATTAATTAGGTCCACCATGGTAGGAAGGTTCTTGGTGGTGTTAGTTTTGATTCTCAACTGCTTTAAGTTTTAAATACAAACTCCAGGTGATATCTAAATGCCTTTTGGGAAGTTCTTAGGACAGCCTAGTGAGAAAGAATAAACTAGTATATTTTCTTCTTACTTACCAATTACTTCCAGAGTCCTGATTGTCATCCAAATGTCATCAAGACATCCTCATCTTGACCCAGTGTCCAATAGTGTAACAGTACTCAGCTGAGGCATCACAGCAGATACATGAATGGGTCTATCACATAAAATAATTAGCTGGAGTGGAGCATAAATTAGCCCCAGGGAGTTGTACGGAGCCTATTTTAATCTATGTGGCAGGCAGATCTGAGTGAATACAGGTGTGTTGCACATGTGCACATACCTCTCCCACGTTTGGAAGTGGGGAAAAAAAGTTGGAGAGCTGCCACATTAGAGAAATGGCTATTAGGATGCAATAAAAGTTAGAGAAAAAATTCTTTAAGTAGGAATTGTTCCTAAGTTGTTGGTAGAAAGGAGGCTAACCAGAAAGACAAGCTTGAAAAACATGCTGGCAGAAGAGAATATCTGCCTTTAACTAGTTATATAAGATCCAATAAATTTATCTATAGCACTGAGTTATTTCTGAGCATATTCCAATTTGAGAAATGCCTATTTAGCTACTTTTATTTAACATTATAACGTATACTTCTCAGCATACTTGATACATAATAATTTTTGTGAAAATACATAAAAACAGTAAAATAAATGAATTCCTTGGGGGGGGGGGTCTTATAAATAATTTTAGATTTGGATCCCAATGCCCACTTAATCCAGACTAACTTGAAATACGGTCAGAGGCACAAAGTGGTTAACCAATTCAACTCCACATGCAGAAAGCTAAAAATTCTAGTTTTCATAACCCATAAGATTTCAATGAAAGAGCCCAGGCAATGAAACAAGAAATAGAGAAATAAAGGGAAAGGCAGAGATCATTTATACATCACTAAATGGTTTAAATATGGGTAGACTCTCGAGATACATAAACTGCCCTTATCCTTCCTGCTTTTACCTAACCATGAATGCGACTGACCCTGGGAAATGGTCTCTTAATAGTTAAATTGACAATTATTGCAGTAGGGATTTGGGAACTAGGCTATTAAAATATCAGGCTATTTTGGTTTTGCTTAAATATATCTTTACAAGGTTTCTTATAGAATCTTCAATCCGATATTTCCAGAATCTTTGTTGCATCTGGCAAACTGTTTTTTTTTTTCCCCATAGAGTGATTTACTTGGTAAAATTTGCATAAGTCTATTTAATAATAAAAGAAAAATAGGCATGTGACATTCTTCATTTTGTAATCACTATAGTAAGTGACACCAATACAAGGTAAAAACAATATATTCTAAAAACTGCCTCTGAATATTGAATTATTTTGGACTTAACTATCTTCCTGGGATGGTCCTCAAAGAAGAATGGTTCAACATTAAATAGCTAAATCTGCTTATGCATTAATTTAAAATTAAAATATATTTATGGAATGCTTTTTATGAGTAAGGTATCATGTTAAACTCTAGGGATATCATTGTAAACAAAATAATTATATTCTTTCAAGGATTGTATAGTCTAGTGGCCACGGAAATAAATAAATGAAAACTTGCAATAAAGTGTGGTGAATATAATAAGAGGGGATTAGCAAAGGGAGCTCTGGAAATATATTAGACGGTGGGAGAAAGGAGTTAGTCTGGTACGGGGAGGTGCTGAGGAGGAGATTGTAAGAGAGGAGTCCAGGAAGAAGGAAAACCTTGAGTTATGAGAGGGCATGGCCTATTTAGGTAAAGATGGTAGATTAAAATCCAGGAATTGAAGGGAAAGAGGTAGAGAAAAAGAAGTGACACTACAGAGACAGACAGCCAAGGAAACTCTTAAGAACTTTGAACTTCATTCTTAAGGCTAGAAGGAACCCCAAAGGATTTTTAAGCAAGGAAATAAAATGATTGGATTAGTACTCAGATCAGTTGGGTGATAGCATGGAGAATGAATCAAGGAAACCCGTTGGGAGGGGTTGCTTTGATTTGGATAAAAATGCTAATTGCCTGTACTAGGTAAGCTACTGGGAGGTGACACTGGAAACCGTAGACAGGTCTAAGGAATAATTTAGTAAGTACAACCAGGATATAGTGTTAGGTTATTTGGAGTAAATAAGTCAAAGTTAGTAAACATGTTTCTGGCTTGAGAAAGTAGGTACCGTTCATGGAGACAGGTAAGTATCCCTTGAGAGGTTTGGAAGAAGATGAGGAACTAGTTTCAAACATACTGAGTTGAATGCTTATGGGACATCAAACAGACGTGTCAGGAACGCATTGGATTCACGGGTTTGGAGCTTAGGATATATCTGGGGTCAAAAGATAGATTGTGTATAATTGTGAATACTGTACCACTTTATACGCAACAAATTTAAGGGAGATAAAGATGCAGATTTATCATTTACATGCACTTCTAGAATGTGACCTTGTATTTTGGCACCACTAAAATCTGTTCAAGTAAAAATCAATTTTTAGAAATTAACGAATCATATGGCTTCCACATGACCATTCCATACACACACACAATCTTATTTCCTACCTTTTCATTACCCAGTTCCATTTTTGTATACTTAAAAGGCACATTTTCACCTTCATTAAAATTATTTCTGTGCCTCGTATTAAAAATTTTAAGAAGATAGATCTCAAGTGTTCTTACTACAATAACAATTATTTTTAAGAGCCATTCATAATTTAGCATGTGACATAAGCCATGTTTACTTTCCAGAGCCTCCCTAATGTGTTGGAGTGATTATCTGTTCTTCCTTCAGTCTCTGTGAGAAATACCCATACCCAGAGTCCTGGAGCTAAGAAAAGCCAGAATGAATAAAATAGGCAAGTTCGGATTAACAGAAAATTTTTTGAAAGCCAGAAATACCGATTTCTTAAAAAACTTCATTGGTATCAAAACAATGTATCTCTTTCACTCTACTCTTCCACTGAACAATAACACTGACCTGTAAAATCAGAGGTAGTCATTTGGAACCTCTGGCTTTGGAAAGACTATTGCAATGTGCCATGTCTGACTTCAATTATTTCCTGCACTAGGTCTCAGGTTCTCCCCTAATTTGGTATCTTGAGTCCTTCCCCAGCAAGGTACTAGGGACGTGCCCAGAATGGTCAGGTTATCTATGCCTACCAGGAGAATAAGACCTCACTCTGCTGCTTGTCACTCCTATCTGGGGATGTCATAGGTCATCTTCTCTCTGAATTCTGCATTTGCCAGAGAGAACCTTTCGTGTGAACTTTGGAATGGTGCCTCTTCCTGTATCCACAGGACTTGAGGAATGAATCAAACCCTTTAAGCAGAATGCTTATACACCCAACATTCCATCCTCACTCTTCAATGCCTAGTTGACCTTGTAAAATGTTTGTTCTTGGTCTTTTTTTCTTAAAAACCAATAAAATTGGATACCTTTTTGTAAATATCTCCATAAGTTTCAAAAATGTGATTATCTTAATAATCTTTTAAATTTACCTAAATACATAAAGAATTAAACACATTTTTATCCCCTCTCCTGTCTCCAAAGCCCTACTAAAATGGTAATGAAGGAATTTTTAAATAATGGAATAAAGAATCAGAAAGAAAATAGGAGAGAATAGCAAATCAAGAATAACACAATTTTAGAAGAAGACATATAGATGGAGAGTTAACTAGACTTACCAAAAATAAAAAGCTGAAATCTAGAGCCTGCATACAGTTAGCAAAAAAAGGTTTAAAATATAGATATTCTATCCATGAAATAAAAATATGATGCCATACAAAAAATGATTAACAGATTGAAGTAAGAAGGGGAAAAATAACTTATAAATTATCCTATGTGTTTGTGTAGAAAATAGCATTCACTAGCATTTTAAAGATTATCGATGCATTTGGGAAATGTGGCAATACATAATTAGAAAATTAAGCAAATAGAAAAATGAGGCAACTATTAATTCACAGGGGAAAAGGGCATATAAAACGATAGTACACTGGAGTGAATAATATTTACATAATTATAATTAAAGCATCGGTGAATTTAATAAAAACTGTGATTACACACGAGGGGAGGTGTGTGTGTGTGTGGGTGCATGTATGGAAAGGAGAGCTAAATATTCATTAGATTAGGAATCAGGTTAGAAATCAAAGTGAAATGTGTAAAATTGATAAATCAACAAATAGTAGTATAAAATTACTTTTAAAATGTGAACTGTATTTCAGAATAAATTGCTAAGGAAGTTGAAAATGATTGCCTCAAAGGAGAATGTGGGTTGGTGACAGGTGTAGTGGGACACTCTTGTTATTAAATATAAGCCTTTTTGTGCTACTTAACTTTTAAAAATATGTTATTTTGTCAACATAAAAATAAAGTAAAATACATTTATCTGACAATATACAGAAAGATGTGAGCTTAACCTTGGATCTGATTCACCCCTCTCACATTTTAGAGTAAAACAAATGTGTATTTTCAATACAATAAATATTCCTCTTAGTGGTTGGTCCCTCCATGCTTATTGGGTACCTTCTATGTGCCACACACTATTCTAGGGACTGGAGAAACAGCAGTGAACAAAATGAACATAAATCCCTTACCAAGTGTACATGTATAATGAAGAAGTTAGAGAATAATGACATAAGAAAGTAGAACACAAGTTGGTTAGATGTTAAGTGCTAAGAAAAAAAATGAGGCTGGAAATGGGTCCCAAAGATTTGAAAATGTGACTTATTTGGTAATCACTTGTAATTTTTTTCTTCATAAGAATGTTCTTAGCATTCTTTCTGAACTTCGCATTCTGAGAATCAGTATGTTGCATATTTTATATAAAAAGTCTTAAGTCTTAGAATTCCTGTCTGCCTTACCTCAGGAAATTTTGGTTGTTCGAGATATTGCAAAAATCCTGTTTCCTTTCAGTATTTACGGGCATTTTTATAAGGTACTCAAATTTTGTATTTCTACTGGAGGATAGAGGAATTTGTGAGCTTTGTGGGTAATTCGATGGCTCAATGTTTTGGGCAAGGATTAAAAAAATTACCACATTCCACAACTTTTACAAATCAAAGAAGTCCAAATCTGTACACTTTGCAATGTAACTTATGAGACATAGTAACAGATTTTGAGGTATTTATATTGCAAAGAAACAAAAAATAATAATTATTCATAGAAAATACTAAGTTTGGACGGCTTGTATATCATTTGGGGTGGTTTCCATCAGCACACAGTACAGTGGACACGTGGTATAAATCTGCCTTTGTCTTTTGATGATGAGTCAGGCAAGCCAGAGTCCTACTTAGCTGAGTCTATTAGGTTTGAACATGAGGAATCATCAGTAGAATGAGCCCCACATTTCAAAGCTACATAGACAGTTCTACTGCCCAACTGTTTTAAGCATTTCAGAAGTCTACTATTTCAGCTTTTCTGGCCCAAGCTCTGGAACAATTTCTCTTCTTTCACTCTCTCTTCTCCATACATTATAATTTCAGGAGATTAAGTACTTTTTTTTTGAGACGGAGTTTCATTCTTGTTGCACAGGCTTGTTGTTTCACTCTTGTTGCAATGGCGCTATCTTTGCTGACTGCAGCAGCTGCCTCCCGGGTTCAAGCGATTCTCCTACCTCAGACTCCTGAGTAGCTGGGATTACAGGTGCCCGCCACCATGCCCAGATAATTTTTGTATTTTTAGTAGAAACGGGGTTTCACCACGTTGGCCAAGCTGGTCTCAAACTTCTGACCTCAGGTGATCCACCCATCTTGGCCTCCCAAAGTGCTGGGATTACAGGCATGAGCCACCATACCCGGCCGATTAAATATTCTTTTTCTTCTTTCAGAAGATTTCTTGTCTTGGATGCTTTGAAGCCAATTCCTTGAGAATATTTGAATAAGTCTTCATATCAAAATTGAGGTAGAAATGCTATGTTCTTTTTATCTAAGAGCATTAAAAAAAGCTGAAAAGCATTTTTACCAGAATAAAACAAATGAAAGGAATAGGAAATGCCAGAAAAGTAATGTATGTAAGATTGGCCACATTCGCAAAGAGCCATGTATGTGATTATGTGAAATGGGGAAAAATATCTCCCCATAGAATGCTTTTAATGCTTATTATGATCATTTAAATAGAAAAACCTTTTCCACCAAATATATTATTAGAAAAAAATAAATCTACAAATAGGCCAGAAACCATTTTAAAAAGAAAATCATCATATTATTGCATAGACTTTGTTTATAAGATTTTATTCATTCTTTGATTTCAGCTTTGGGAAAGATGCTACAGTTAATTGACTAAATAAGAATTACAATAATGGGGAAAGTTAATGGTGACTTTAAGAGAAATACGATCAAAGCTTTAGCTCCCTGACTTTAAAAAGCAAGCTCCTTACACAATAAAAAAGCAATTCTGGGCACTGGTTGCTAGGTGTTGGGACTCATTCTTTTTGTCATCAAAGACCTCTTGTATTTTTTTCAATTAAAGTGACAGAATTACTGAGAAGTGCCAAGAAAACTGATAATGTAAAGTACTAAAATCTTTCACAAAATTTTGAGCTTCATAAGGAATAGGATCTGGCTCAAAGGCAAAATAAACATTAATTTTCTTGTACATAATTAGCTTACATGTTTCTCTTAAAGGAGGAAGTAATGAGAGGAGATGTCCTAATACAGGTTCCTCTTAAGTTAACATCTCTGTTGCTTTCTGGCTCTGTTAGATGACTATCCTGAGGAAACGTTTTCTAGGCTGGTAGCTCTGATGTCATTTAGGATGAGACAACAAGACCTGTATGAAGGCCACATTGAAAGAAGAGTGACCTTGAAATGGATTAAAACATTCAAGATTTGAAGCTTTCTTGATCTAGGCATATTCTGGCAGATAATATTTCTATTTTCTTTTGAGATGGAGTCTTGCCCTGTCACCGAGGCTGGAGTGCACGACGCGATGTCAGCTCACTGCAACCTCTGCCTCCCAGGTTCAAGCAATTCTCCTGCCTCAGTCTCCTGAGTAGCTGGATTACAGGTGCATGCCACCACACCAGGCTAATTTTTTGTATCTTTAGTAGAGATGGAGTTTCACCATGTTGGCCAGGCTGGTCTTGAACTTGTGACCTCGTGATTTATCCGCCTCAGCCTCCCAGAGTGCTGGGATTACAGGTGTGAGTCACCCCGCCCAGCCAATATTTCTATTTTCTTATAGGCTACCAAGAAACCTATACAATGAGACCTATTTGTTCAAATGGCTAACATTTGTTGAACACCTACTATATGACAGGTACTGTGGTAGGGACCAGAATTAGAATAATGGTCAGAATAAGAAATTGTCCTTCATATTTTAGAGCTGATAGGCTGGTCGGATTGGCACTAATGAAACATAAAATCAAACATACAATGACAAAATTAAGATATGTAGATATTCTGATGAAACATAATTATGAGATTCCCTGGCAGCACTGAAGACTAAAGGAGTCATGACCATTTTATTGATGAAACAGTCATGGAGCTGGTATCAAAACGATGAGTAGGATTTAAGTAGGGAAAGAATATTGGGGACAGGGAAGTATGAACAGGAAAGTTCTTTAGACAAAGAGAACAGTAGGTAGGATGGCCCTGAGATGGAAGAAGCATGGTGCATTTGAAGAACTGGGAGCAGGTGGCTGAAGTATGTTGATGGGCAAGGAGGGCATTTGAAGAGATGATGCTCCAGAAATAGATAAAACTAGAATAGAACTGGGTGGTTTTGAAACTCATCTGAAGTGGTTTGCCCGTCCTTTGTTGATTTGATTACTTTACTGGCCGCCTTTTATCCCCATACTGAATCCCATTATCTCCCGTCCCAGACAAATGTTCTAATGTAATAAATGAAATTCATTCACTAAGCAAATATTGAGCATCTCCCATGTGCCACACACTACTCTAGGAACTGGAGAAATAGCAGTGAACAAAATAGACATAAATCCCTTATCAAGCTTACATTTATAATGAAATTAGAGAATAGTGACATAAGTAAGTAGAACATAAGTTGGTTAGATGTTAAGTGCTAAGGAGAAAAATGAAGCAGGAAACAGGCACCCGGAAGTATAAGAAATGTATTTCTCTGTTTCAATATATTGTTGCTAATACCAATTGTTGTTTTACATGAAAACATTTAAATTCATATAAATGGCATTGTGCTATCAATCTTGTTTAGTTTTTAATTCTTTCTACTTAGAGCTATTTTCTTAATATCTATTCATGTAATTATGAGTGTGGATAATCTGTTGCTTCTGAATGTTGTGTAATACCCCCATACATCCCCCTCATATTTTATGTATCCATACTTCCAATAATGGAAAACAAGATTACCTCCATTTCCTTGCTCTCAGAGCAAAGCCAAGCCATGGCTCCATGGACTTTGTATGCATGTGAGAGGAGGTGGCAGTGGAAGAGAAATAAGACTGGCTTCGTATTTTCAAAACATACCTCTAGATGCAATGTGAAAACTGGAGTGGAGGGAATCCAGATTCTATTTAGGAGAGTGATTGCAGCAGTCTGACAAGAAATGTGCATTTTAGACTAGGTTGATGGCAATGGTAGAACTAAGGAGAAATGGAAGAATTCAAATGATACTGAAAAAGTAATGTTGATTGGCCTTGGTGATAAAATGGATATGGAGATGCAAGAGAGGGATGTGTCAAGAGTGACTCAGCATTCTAATTTAGGCAACTGGGTGGAGAAGAATTTTTGCACTAAGGTGGTGAACATCGGAAAATGACCTCTTAAAGAGAAATATTACATGGCTGTAACACTGATTAACATGTAGAATTTAATGAAATCTGTAATATAACCACTTTAATCTAACCACACCATGAAGGAAAGATTCACTGAGTACTTATTATATGCTATTAACTATGCCAGGATTTAAAAGTCCAGTAGAGTGACAAAAAAACTGCCAAATCAAAATATTATAATTCTGTAATTATTATGATGAAGCCTATCGGGGACATAGAACACAGAGCATGCTGAAGTCTGTTTGGAGATGAATGGAATTTCACTAAGAGGAATCTGGAAGGAGGGCAGAAGGAAATCTAAGCACAAAGAGATGGAAATGTAAACAAATATAATATTTTAGGGGAAGTTCAAGGAATCTGTTTTTGCAAGGAAGGAGTTAGTGGTTTTCAGTGGGGCGTGGGGCCATATAATTCTCTGGCATACAAAGGATTTTATGGAGACTGTGACGGGAGGTACTCGAGCAGAAAAGTAGTGATTAGATTCGGACACTAGAGAGATTACTCCAGCATCAAGAGAGAAAGACAGGTAAGGACACTACTCGTTGGCGACCTCTGAAATGACGACTGTATGAACTATGGCAGGGACATAGGGATTGGATAAGAGGGGCACATGAAGGAGGTGTTCAGAAAGTAGACTTGAAAGGACCTCATGATTAATTGAATGTTCTGGGGAATCAAGGATGACTCCCAGGTTCCTGGCTTGGGCAGTTGTGTAGATGGCTGTGATAGTTACTGAGCTTGGGTGTACAGGAGGGACAGAAGTTCTGAGAAGGTCATGTGCTCAGTTGAATTTTAGTTTGTTTTTTTAAAAGGTCAATCCAGATGGAGGATGTATATGGGTTCAGACCTAAGAACTAGGTCTGAGTTAGGGATGTAGATTTTAGACTGGGTCAGTTGACTGGTGTATGTGGACACTGGGAAGGAAAAGAATTAAGACCCTCTTTGCCCAGAGGCCTCTTTGCATATGATGGCCTACTTTTGACAAAAACTCACTTTGTGAAGCCAAGCAGAGCCACAAATATAAGAAAAGGTGAAAGAGACTAGTCAAAGATAATACAAGGAGAGGAGAACCAGGAAGAAAGAAGAGAGAAGGTGAGGAATATAAGTATTCCAGTGTCTGCACTATTTTTTCTTACATGTTTTTCCTTGTGTGCTAGTTTTTGGAATGTTCTGAAAATGCTATTTGTGTATATATTCTATAAAATGTCATGATGGTTTACCTCTGGTTTCTCTTTTACATATGGCTTCAATGTATCTTTGCATATGATGGCCTACTTTTGACAAAGAATCAGGTTTATAGTGTTTGAATTTTATGGCATCAATAAAGTTTTAAAATATATTTAAAGTGACTGCTGTATAAAATTTCTCCTTGTCTTGCAGTTAACATGCCCTTGTATTCTGTTTACCATGCCCTCCCACAATTTTCTTTATGTTTTCTGCTTTCTGTGTATCTGTTTTTCATCTACATGGGCTGTTTCTTCCATCAAAAAAAGACCTCCCAATTTCTAATTTTAAATGTATATTCCTTTCTCCATTCTTTATACATACTTCTAAATGTAACTCAAATTTTCCAAGGCCTGGCAAGCCCCTGGATATTAATGGAATTATATTAACAATAGCCCAAACTCCATTGCTTTTTAAACGTAACTGTTACAAGGACCTTTGTTCCTTGTTATGTATGTCTGTTTATTATACTAGAGGTGGGCATTGTTTGGCCGCCAAACATCTTGACCTTTTCCCTATGTTTGAGGAATCCACCATTGTGTGACTATTGTGAGAGGGGGCATCTTCTGCAGAGGTGAGAGAAAACATCACTCTGATTTCTGGCTGCTAGGGGGCAGTCATGTCACCCAATCGCAGATAATCAGATAACTCTTGCCAGGGAATTTGAATCTGGGTTGATTGACCTATAGAAGCAGAAAAGCCTGGGAATATTATCTAGTATTCAGTGGCTATGGTCTAGTGGTAGGGTCCAGTTTCCGCGGCTGGCAGGCCCAGTAGTTGTTAGAAGTCAGAGACGCTTAACAAAGTTCCCTTGTATGGAAACAGAACCACATGTTCCATCTCATTAGAAAGAAGTCAAACTTAAAAAAAAAAAAAAAAGAGAGTCTCTGTAAAATGTACTGCATTGTATTGAGAGGAATTTGTGTTAAAAACTAAATAATGGGAAAAGATCCACCCTACCCTATGACCTTTGTGGTGGTTTAGCTGCTCAAATTTCCTTGATTAGTCTTTTCAGAACCTGGTTCTAGTTTTCCTTTGATTGTGTGATGTACAAAATACTGGTCCAATAACTTTCTTTTTTGCTAAAATAACCAGACTACAGCAAAATGCCTTTGTGCTCTATGTTACATCCTCATGGACAATTTCAGTTTCAGAGGTGGCACACAGATCCATGAGAGCTCTGAATCCCTTTGTGCTGGTAGCATCCCGCCTCTGGTACTCTCCAAGTTGGCCCACTCTTCTGGCTCAGCTTGGCTCTCAGCCTCCTATGACCTGGTCACTTCAAGCTTTTAGACAGGAACCTCTCAAGAAACCTCTCAAGAGGACATAAAACAGTTCCATGTTGGCTTCTCTTGAACATGTTCCAATATGGATCATGAAACACACAGCATTGTGCCAGCAGGCTGAGAGAGCAAATTAATTTCCTGTTTCAGCTATCATAGGCCGCTCAAGCCCAAGCATGGCCTTTTGATTTCTTAGGCTCAATGTAGATTCCAGTCTATCAGGCCACACACTAAGGTGACACATATTAAGTCCCTCTCTTGACTTAATGTAAAGGGGTAATTACCTTTCACATCTTTGCTTTGGTGGGGGTGGAGTCATAGCATAACCCTTCAAATCAATCCTCTTCACAAACCCTTTCTCCCCATTCACACTCTTCTACCCTTCCATGCCTTCCCCTGTCCCCAACTGGCTTTGAGATCATTTGCTGTACCTTTCTGGGTATCAGTGTCCTCATATGTATAATAGAGATAATAATGGTTTCTACTTTGCAAGGTTTTTGTGGCGACTGAATGTGTGTGCATATATATATGTATATATATATGTGTGTGTATGTATATATATATATATACGTATATATAGAAGCATATATAATGTGTGTCTGTGCATGTAGCTTAGAATAGTCCAGCTCATAGTAAACTCTATCTAAAGTTTTCTTATTGCTATTATCATTATTATTCATGCTGTTGTATCCTAGTAACTGACTTGAGAGTTACAATTTAGTCCCTGGTATGCCTATGTTGATTTATGTAATAAAATGCCGTTTTGAAGGGGAGGATTTAAGAGATGTTAGGCACTTTAATTTATGCAAAGAGAAATTTCAGGAAAGTTGTTCTAGAATCACATAGTTACATGGTACTGAAATTGAGGGCAAAACCACTTTTGTCCTTGTTATCACCCCTTTTCTCTGCTAGTTAGCTGACTGGCTGTTTTAGTCAGGGTTCCCTAGAGGGGCAGAACTAATAGAATGTCTATATCTATCTACATATGGGAGTTTATTAAGCATTAACTTACATGATCACAAGGTCCCACAATAGACTGCAAGCTTGAGGATCAAGGAGAGCCAATCTGAGTGTCAAAACTGAAGAACTTGGAGTCCAATGTTTGAGGGCAGGAAGCATCTAGCATGGGGGAAAGATGTAGGCTGGAAGGCTAGGCCAGTCTTACATTTTCACGTTTTTCTGCCTACTTTATATTCACTGGTAGCTGATTAGATTGTGCCCACCAGATTAAGGGTGGGTCTGCCTTCCCCAGCCCACTGACTCAAATGTTAATCTCCTTTGGCAACACCCTCACAGATACACCCAGGATCAATGCTTTGCATCCTTCAGTGCAATCAAGTTAACCATCACAAGTCCACTCCTTGTCAACTTGAAGCCATATATATCTCCTGAGATCATAATCTTCAGTAAAGACAATAATAAGGTCATAATTATGCCTAACATGACTATGCTTCATACAACAGGAAACACACCAATCCCCAACCCAAATACTATTACATACAGTTAACAAATACTATTACATAAAGTTGATAAAAAGTCAATAAATCTTATGTCACGTGATGAAGGAAAAGAAAATAAAATGAAGGTATTTTCTTAGTATGAGTGCCTACATGCACAAACATGTTTTTAACAAAAGGAGGAGGAAATACTCATGACGGTTACAGTCCTTGGTTCTGCAGCTGCTTACCTGGTCATAGCTGTTATTGATGACTACCTTCTTCTACTACCCACCCAAACCTTCATTCCTGAGGGGTATGGACCATTTGTAGTCCTGCCTGGATTGGGCTGATGTAGTTTCCCATTGACCTTAATCACAGAGCAAGGTAATACTAAGAGACACCCTAATGGATCTCCTGTATTCCATGCATACTCTTCCTTACCTCTGTTATGTAGTAGGCTGATTTCAACTTGATAAGTCCAGGCCAATCACCCCAGCCAACACTGTAACTCCTCTCTTAGCCTCTTGAATTAGGAGGAGCCCAAAGTTTCCAGGTGGCCATCTTAACTTCTAGTTTAATGTAACTATTGTATCTCTTGGTGGCAGCATTCCTCCCTCTGGAACTAAGACCTCTAGGTCAGCAGAATGTAATGTGGGAACTGGAAGCAAAATTTTGCTAGTGGATCACTAGGGGTGATGGTGAGTGGTGCCACTTCCACTCTACCCCTTGATTCCTGGATCTGTGAATCTTGGCTATGGGAGAAATGGTACCACATATTGGATACTAATTCAGAGCATACATGGTCTTCTGGAGAACTTTGCCCCAGCTGTGCAAAGTATTGTCACCTAGTTGGATTGTAATTGTGACTTCAAAAGGCCATTCTACTGTTCTATCAATCCAATTGCTTCAGGGTGATAGGGAACACTGGCCTTGGAGGAGGACAGGCTGACTTGGTTTCTAGAGGCTGAGTCCTAGTGACTGCTTGTGGCAGAGTTGGCTGTGTGGACAGAAAACCATCACTACATAGTATAGTGCTGGTAGAACTCTTAAAGGGCATCCAGCTCAACCACTTGGCTTTACAGGGAACACAGTGGAGACCTGGAGGGTTGAATGATATTGTTGCTTTCCAACGTGTGCTCCAGAACATGAGTCCTGGGGAGATGTTAATAGAGCTCCATGACAATTGGTTCCACGGTCTAAGAAGTTTGAAAAATGCTGGAAGCACAGATTTAAACAGGCTTCTTTATTGCAGAACTTAAATTTTTAAGATTCAATCCGTAATATGAATTTTCCAAAGAGAATATGGTAGGCAGTATATTTTCCAAACTTGTTTGACCACAGGTTTCCTCCCTCTTTGGGGGATAGAATTTCATATGACTTATGTTCTGCCAAGCATACTTTAGGAAACACTGGTTTAGAATGATGGATATCATGGTTGGAAGGAAAGTGAAGTCAAGGAGGCACAAATAGAAGAGCAAAGCGAGTCATCCCGTTTTGGAAAGGGAAATAGGGTAAATCTAGACTTTATTTGACTGAATACATTCCCAATGGGAAACAGGTCTTCCAAGCACAGACTATGTGTCAAAGAAGGCTGGAAGCAATTTCAACTTCTCCCCTTTCTACTTCAGAGACTTCCTTCAAGTTACTAAACATCTTTACGCTTCAGGTTTCTCCTCTGTAAAAATGGTTAACATAATACTTTCATTGAAGAAACATTGTAAAATTGGAGATTGTGTATGCAAAGTATCAAGTCTGGTGTTGTTTTGGGTGTTTTAGTTATCATCAGTCCAAATGTTTAGCAGGTGTGTATCCCCTTTAGAACAACTCTGACAAGAGAGTTCTTAGTCTGTGCTTGGCAACTAATATCAATTTATTATTTCATTGGCCCTGGCTATGATAAAGCATTTCTTTATAACAGGCCATAATCTATCTTTCTTCTTTTTCCTTGTTTCACTCCTTAAGATCATTCAGAACAAATCACATTCCTATATCCTGTGAAACTTAGTCATTTAAAGACAGGGTACATAGAGCCCTCTTAGTAAATGTCCAGCACTAAGTTCATGGCAAATCCAAGACTGGCATTTGAACTTATGATTTCTAGGCCTCTATTACATACTCAAATAATTCTGACATTCCCTACCAAAGCCTTGGTTAACTGGAGCACTGAGACTTTTTACTATCTTCTGCATTTTAATACAGCTGTAGAAATTGTTGTTTTTGCTGAAAATGAGGACAGATTCTGTTCCAGTGCTGTTTGTTGGAAAATGTGATGTACACAGTGGTATGGCTTAGTTGACATCAAAGAGATAAAACTTCCTACAACACACACGTACAGCCTGGGATGCAAACAATTCCATTAGACAATCACTCACCTCTGAACAGTGCAGTAGTATGATTGTATTTAGTTTCTTCAAGTGTACTGCCAACAATTCTTATGCTTGAAAGTAGACATCCAGCACAAAAAGGTTGTAAATGATTGTCCTACAACTGACCTGAATCCACTCTGTCCTAGCAAGGCTGGTCAAGGTTGACTCTTCCTCTAGTAACTGGACCACTCCAACTACCCCCAGAAGCTTCTGTCTATAATCCAAACTCCAGCTTCTCATCCTTCTGTCTTGATATATTTAAGTCCAAATTTGATACCACTGTTATTTTGTTATTTTGAGGCAAACATGATCTACCTTCATTTATTATTAGATATACATCTCTACTCTCTTATACAATTTCTACCTCTACTATTGTTTGTAAAAATCGTATGCTATTAGGACACAATTTTTTTTTCAGTAATAGAAGAGTTATAAACATTTACATGAAACATGAAAAGCAAAAAAATGTTTTGAGTAACTGGAAACCTGTATTGGAGAAACATAAGCAATTCTGTGAAATAACTATTATTTCTTTTGTCTAATTCTATAGTAAGGAATTACAGGAGTTTACCAAAAAGCAAGTGTGGTCTCAAATTTTATGTAATAGAATTAAATAAATAATAATTATAAAGGCACCCAAGAAATACAACATAAGAAAAACCACGAATAAAGGGAATGTAACCAGCTAACATGAGAATGAGTATTAACGGGATGCTTTATAAATAAAGTAAAATTTTAAATTAAAAAATAACATTAGAAAACAAGAATAAATGAAAACAAATAAACCACATTGTTTTTCCTCTGTTAAGGCAATACCCTTATATACTTAGAGACAAACATTTGTTTTCCCCTACCAGCCTCCTAATGACAAGGGAGGCCTGGTCTCATTAACGGAATAAGGATCTGAAGATTAAAGAAGCATAAAAGAGGAAAATCACATTTTATTTTTTTTAATTTTTTTTTTGAGGCGGGGTCTCGCTCTGTCGCCCAGGCCGGAGTGCAGTGGAGGGATCTCTGCTCAGTGCAACCTCCGCCTCCCAGGTTCATGCCATTCTCCTGCCTCAGCCTCCCGAGAAGCTGGGACTACAGGCGCCCGCCACCACGCCCGGCTAATTTTTTTGTATTTTTAGTAGAGACGGGGTTTCACTGTGTTAGCCAGGATGGTCTCGATCTCCTGACCTCGTGATCCGCCCGCCTCGGCCTCCCAAAGTGCTGGGATCACAGGCGTGAGCCACCGCGCCAGGCCGAAAATGACGTTTTCTAAACTACAAGGGACATAATTTATTAAATGATGAAGAGAAATGAAATAAAATGTCATTTAAATGATTAGTTTTATTCACACAAACTTCAGGCAAATATAAGTACATAGTAAGACCCATTTACTAAGAGAAGACGCCAGTATACCACTAGATTTACTGAAAAACATGTAAAGTGTGAAGAATCAGGGTACATTATATCAGTTTCTGAACATATAACATGCCAAACTACACAATCTTCATTTGAACAAAATGCCCATGAGCATGCCCCTTTCTAAGACAGTGTAGCTTCTCTTACAGGACAGATAAATCATTTTAGTTAAATTTCCTCTGTAGTTGACAATGAGCCATTGCCTTGTGGGTACATTAGTAAATGTCATTTCCATTATTCTCACTGTTTTTCCCCATAGCTCTACAGGAAGAAAAAACATATTAATTTGTAAGAGCCAGAACCAAGAAACAAGATCAAGTGAAGTAAAAAATGAAGCATTTCCCAGTAGAGGAAGCTTTCTAGGATATAAAGTTGAACTATAGTAGAGAATTCACAAAGGACTCTTGATTCTCAGAAGAAAGCAAAGCATAAAGTAAAAGTACAGAAAGCAAATAATGTCAATGAGCTTTTGGTAGAAACAAAACACGTGAAAGCCTAGTAAAAAGAAAATCTTTTAAATTGTGAGAGAATGGCAACAGGAGCTAAATATTAAAAGAAAGAAAAATAAGGAGTGTACTAAAATGAAGGTTATGGCAAAGACAGGACTATGAACATGAGTTAAAAATGTGACAATATAATAGGCCAAATGTCTTTTACTTTTGATTTTGTTTTGCCTCTAAGACGAATATATACAGAGGCCTGGTGCAGTGGCTCATGCCTGTAATCCCGGCACTTTGGGAGGCTGAGGTGGGTGGATTACTTGAGGTCAGGAGTTTGAGACCATCCTGGCCAACAGGGTGAAACCTCATCTCTACTAAAAATACAAAAAATTAGTTGGGTGTGGTGGTGCATGCCTGTAATCCCGGCTACATGGGAGCCTGAGGTAGGAGAATCAATTGAACCTGGGAGGCGGAGGTTGCAGTGAGCTGAGATCATGCCACTGGACTCCAGCCTGGGTGACAGAGTGAGACTTCATCTAAAAAAAAAAAAAAATTAGTATATACTGCAAACTGTGAATGTGGGCCTTTCAGGGAAATCAACCAAGATAGCGATGTATTATTTCCTCTCCAACTAAAAACATAGGCTTTGAAGCAAGTGTACTGCAGCTTTTACTCCTTAGAACTCTGGGGGACAGGTGAGTGTCCCAAAAGTGAAAGAAAAAAAAAAAAAAAAAGAAGCAGAGAAAACATTTCCACATACTATCATGCTGAGGTTTCTAAAAAAAATGGATAAACTTGTAAATTCACATTTTATTAATACATCAATTTTAACAATTTGGTAATGCACCAATAGTTTTACACATCTATTTTAAATCCAGCACATTCATTAGTTGCTTTACAAATATGCCACATACAAGATTTCTGACTTCATAAAAAACATTATTGGGGCAAAAGAATATGCAGTTTTTAACTTTATTATAATTGTAAAATATCTAATCACTTTTTAAATGTATATTTATATATACTTAGAATGTTTTAGGCATGTAAGAACATTGTCAGGTTTGTTTGCATTTATAGAATGCATTTCTGATATAATTGTTGAGACAATTTAGTCAAATCTTAATTTGAGTATAAATTTGAATATATATAATAAATTGTTTCCAAATAGAAGGTAGTTAAAATATTTTATACCAAGAGTTGCATTACATTTGTCTGGCATTTTCAAGGAATGTAGTATTCTAATTAGGTGAATATTCTAGCCTTTCCCTTTCAGAAGTCCAAACTTTTGAATTTTAATTATCTTTAAAAGAAATCTTTCTTAAATATTACCTTTCTGCACATAACGTTTTCTGGATAGCTCAGGGTCATTATTAGGAGAATCAATAGCTATGCGGGGTTGCAATATTTTGATTACCTCTGCCAGACTGATAAGCACTTCCACTGTAAGAATGACCATGGATGACTCAATTTTCGCATTCCTCTGTCAACTTTCTGTACTTTCTCTCTGTCCTCCTTCACTGTCAGGCTGTCAATGTGCCTGTCTCCAGGAGTCTCCATCCCCACATCTCCCTAACCTGCATACACCATTATACACATTTTCTTTTAATGGTTTGCTGCTACACTTTACCATAAATGAGACCCCTATTAAATTGAAGGGGAATAGGGGAGAAGGGAGAAGTTAAAATTATCTAACCTGTATACACTCTTTGAAAATTAGTATTCCTAGATATCCTTGAAGTTAGAAATGCTACCAACTGCCCTTGTTGCAATGTGTTACATTTCATCCCAGGTATAATAAAACTTGTTTCATCTCCAGGGAAACCAGATGGCTGCATCAAAAAGGTGTTCTCTGGAAGTTTCATGGAGACCATTTACTCTCATCCTTAGAGAGCAGGGGCAGAAATAGCAAGTATTTAATCTGTCTAGAATTGATCCTGGGGGACCTGGCATGGAGAAATCTTTCTGTTCCTATGGACCAGCCAAAAGGGAACAGATCCCTTTGGGAAATGGCATCCTCCAATGCCAGATCCCAGTGCCAAAGGGCAGGTTTCTCTCGCCAAATACATGCCCCTTGTTTACATATGGCATGGAGGTAAAAGAGAAGAAAACTCATTGGAAAATTTTAACTCAAATATGTTCCTTTTATCTACCCATCATTGTCAGGATTACGTCATTTTGGGCCTATTGTATATCGTTTAAAACTTTTTGTTTATTGACACCACACATTGTGTTAATTTGGGTTACTATTAGTATTCATACTTAAAATACACATTTTCAGGTTTATAATTTTACCCATTAATCAGTGAAAGGAATCAAACTTTCACATATTATAAAATAATTTAAAGTCACTCTAACATAAAAGGAAAAAAGAGAAGGGTAAGGTGAGGTGGAAATCTTAGCACGGAACAATTACTAATTGATAAAAATATATTTTCAGTTTTTCCATTAATTATCCTTAGAATAAAGGAATAATAAACAAACCTATCCTTCCTTATAGTTTATCAAAAAGCAGCCAGAAAATGTTAGTGAATTAGCTAATAAATCCCAAGTCCCACATGTCCACATATTTACAAAGCCTTTACATTTCTTTAATGAGA
The DNA here is from genome assembly GCF_000001405.40 of Homo sapiens. Taxonomy (NCBI): domain Eukaryota; kingdom Metazoa; phylum Chordata; class Mammalia; order Primates; family Hominidae; genus Homo; species Homo sapiens. The sequence continues at coordinate 78,616,168 of NC_000007.14, forward strand.
AAACACACATTCTAGTTCCTTTGTTTTAAAATAAGTTTTGGAATTTGTATATTTTGCAATATATTGCAGGACCTTTCTACCTCTTTCATACGTTTAACCTCATTACTTTTTTTCTCTAACTCTCCACTGACTTTCTGTATTGAAAGCAGAGAAATCAAGGAAGCCTTCATAATATTTGGGAGAAAAAGAGAACATGAAAAAAGACAGAAATTTTAGGGAAGGGTAATTATCATTAATTCATAGGTAGTAAAATACATAGAACTTTGGGGTGTGTGTGTGTGTGGAAGGAGTGATTGAAGGTATAGTTTTGTTGACCAAATGTACTGTTTTGAGTTTTAGCGATTTGATATACTATGAATTAGTGTAGGGAAAACCACACTATGGGAATGGCCATAGCAAGATAAGAACTACATCCCAGATAAAGTGAGAGGGAAACATGTGAGAGAAAGAGACTCACAATGTTAATGATGAGAATTAAGATAAAGACAAAATTATCACACTTAGGACATGTGGTTAACTTAGGACTAGATTCTAAGGCCAAATGGATGCTGCAGCTTCAAAGTATTGGCCTAGAGCCAAGAAAGTGGATATGCCCCAGAGTCTTGGGTCAGGCTAAATCTCTAAGTAGGGGTAGAAGGGTTCTCATTGTTGGGTTAGAAGAAGAAACTTAGGTATTCATCCATTCATTCAACCCACCTTTATTGAGCACTGCTTAGGTGCCAGTGATTATTCTAAGTTTGAAAATGAACTGTGATTCAAACAAATTTTCTGACTCTCTGAGTTTACTTTCTAGTGAGGTACACTGACAATAAACAAATAAATGGATACAGAATAAATGGTCAATTATAAGTGCAATAAAAAATAAATAATTGGAACAGAATAGAAAATGAGGGCAAGTCCAATTTTGGATAAGGTAGTCAGGTAGGAGCTCCCTGAAGACCTGATTTTTGGATGAATATCATAAAGTGACAAAAAGGAACAGATGGATATTAGGAAGAAAAGTAGTCCAGGAAAATGACAAATTCAAGATCCTGTGTGGGTAGGAATGTGCTGGTTATTTGAGAAACAGAAAGCAGGCCAGTATAGCTAAAATAAATAGGTTGAAGACAGTGTAAGTCAAACTTTCCATTTTGTTGTAACTTATAATTTAAATTTGTGCTTTCTGCTGGTCCCGAAAAATTCATATTTGTAGAGTGTTTCAGAATTTCCTTTCATGGAATCAGTTCTCTGCAGCCATCTTATGTGGACAATTGATCCTGATTTTGTCTGGTTGCTACATATAGATACAACCTATAACGGATCTAAGAGAACTATTAGTCAAGGAAGTACTGATACTAAATTTTAGTCTAGTGTTATGAATGATTTGCCATAATCATGAGGGTTTCCAAGCCTTCAATAAGGAGAAGCTTTCATACAGTGTGAATATTCTATAACATGATTGCTTTTAAACATAAGCAGCGGAGTATTTTGACAAATATTACTTTATAAATTTTAATCAAGCTGCTCAGTATTTCTGTTTACAGCATGGTCAATAGAGGCCTCAAAGTTTCAGATATTGTTTTTGTGCAGTCTGAATAAAAGTTGCAGTTTATAAAATAATTCATAAAACCATCTACATCTGTCGTAACTTGGTTGGATATCAATGATTTAAATAAAGTAGCTACTTAGCAATAAAAATGAGGGCATTGGTTTTTCCAGTATTGATGGTTTCTATTTCCCCTGAGAGAAATAACAGACCTGAGGTCAACTAGATTTTACTCTCCTTTGTCCCCCAGATTAGGAATATAGAAGATATAAGGAAAGAATGTCTGCGGTTTTCTTTTTCAGATTTTAAATTCAAATACAAAAATGACTTTTATATAATAGGACATCAGGTTATAGCTTTCAAATCATTAATGCATAGAACAAATCTCTGAAAAACCTCTGTCATCACATTAGGGCACCATTGAGAAAGACTAGGGTAAATAAAACATTTGCTTTATTAAGGTCTATGTGTTAAATCCAAGACTTAACATGCAAGAGCCACTGCTTATATCTATGGGGATATTTCAGAGAAACATGGACTCTTAAGTTAAAAACGGTTGGAATCAATTTCATCAAGATTCTCTTGTGTGCCTCTTATAGAATGAGGAAATTTACTGTATTTGAAAGTCATGGAGTTGTCAGATCCAGTGAATATATTACAATATATATTCATAGCTGCAGCAATACACTCATTAAATTATGATATATTATCAGTTTTGTTATCCAATTTTTTTCCACTCAGAAAAACAACACAGAGGGTTTGAAAATATGCACCTAATTATTCAAGGTAAATAGGTTCTGTTTGTTAAAGCAGTAGGGAGAAATATAAGTAAAATTTTTGAAGTCATGATTTTTCTTCTTCCCACTCAAAGGACATGATTTTTTTCTGGGTGAATTTTTGACGTGTTTCAGATTAAAATGGAGACAACTGAAGTGTCAATCATTAGATAATGGATTTTTATATTGTGGTATATACAATAGAATACTATTCAGCCTTTAAAAAGCAGAAAATTCTGTCATTTGCAACAACATGGATGGACCTAGAGGACATTATATTGAGTGATTTAAGCCAGGCACAGAGAGACAAATACGACATGATTTCACTTACATCTGGAATCAAAAAAAGTCAAATTCATAGAAGGAGAGAGTAGAGTGGTGGTTACCAGAAGCTGTAAAGGACGGAGGGTAGACACATCAAGGGGAAATGTTGGTCAAAGGGTACAAAGTTTCAGTTAGAAGGAGGAATCGGTTCTGGTGATCTATTACTCAGCATGGTGACTATAGTCATCATGGATTGCATACTCCAAAATCGCTAAAAAAAAAAAAAAAAAAAAAAAAAAGAATTTCAAATGTTCTCATCATGAAGAAACAACAAATATTGAAGTGCTAGAGATGTTAATTAGTTTGACTAGGTCATTCCATAGTGCCATGTTTTGAAACATCACATTATATCCCATAAATATACGCAATTATTATGGGTCCATTAAAAATAAAGCAACATAAAAAAGAAAAAAGTCACTAGGAGATGTGTACAAGAGTTAGTAAATCATTGTAATTAAAGACATGAGTGTAAGAAAAATGAATTAAACTGTGAACATCACAGTTTCAGAACCCTAGGTTTTACCTAATAATATTATGGATTGTGAGAGAGTCAAAGAAGTGAATCCTATGCCCATGCATACTGACCTTAATTATATTTCCTTCAGCTACAATGGAACAAAAAACTTACAGAACAAACAGTAAACAGGTTAATATTGTAGTTAAGGTGTCAGAGCAAGTCACTTCATTTTCTGTGATATTAGTCTTTAAGTTAATAATTTTATATGATTTATATGATAATATTAAAATCATTAGTTGCTTATGTCAGTCCTTCTAGTCTCTTTGGGGAGAAAAAAGTGCTTAGAAATAGGCATTTACATTGCATATTTCAAAAAAGCTGGGCTCAAAAAATTCCTAAACTGAAAGCGAATTGTACTTCATTATAGAAGACAATGACACTTCCATTCTTAGTGCCTTACATTGGACCAACATAGCATGCAAAAACCGTACACTATCTGTTGATAACTCTGAACACAAATTGAATCACTCACCAAAAAATTCTGGCATTATAAAACCTTAAAGGGGTATAAAACTTCACTATGTTTTCTTCTACTGGTCAAATAAACATTTAGTGAGATCAGTAAACGGTCAGTGTTCCTAAAAAGTACACCCAAATGCATGGCCTAGAATCTTCCACAATAGAAATATTACCAGAAACAGGAATCAAAAGACAAAAATGCTATAACCTGGATATGTAAAAAACAGCTGGACCCTTTTAACTTTAAGTGCCAAGAATCTACTGCTGTTATGAAGGTTATTACTTACACAGTAAAAATTTCCTCTTGTAATAGTGTGCAAAGGGGAAAAAATGAAATCATTTTGGTCTTCTAAAATGACAAAAATCTTAGCATCAATCTAAGCATTGACATGCCTTTCAAGAAATATTATTTATATTTCAGTGGATAGAAATTTGAACTGATAGAAGAATGGTTTTGCTCAAGATGATCTGTGGTGCCAATAATGATTTTTTATGAGTATCTCTTTATCACCCAATGCTATCTTGATTGCAGATTCAAAATCTGAGATTAAAAATTTCATCAATACATCAAACTATGCTAAAATAAAAGCTGATTTTAGCTAGTAAAATGAAATAGATTTGTGTAGAATTTGTTATACATCTTCTGTCATCATAGCAGTGTTTAGCTTAATTGCCTAGAAAATTATTTGTATTTAATACTTAAATTTCTATAGGATTTTATGTGCTACATCATGAAGTACAGCACTCCTTCATGTAGTTATGAGAAAACTTGAATTTCACAGTCCTCTTAATAAAATTGCTCAAGAAACCTGGTGTGCTGTTTGCAGTAGGCTCAAGTCTATGTGTATACTAGGGTCCACGATTATAAGAAATCACATCATTAGGAGGAGGGAAATGTCGTATTTGTACTATGTTGTGTCAGATGCCTAAATAACTTGCTGGTCTTGATTCGATCCTCTTAAAAATTGGGACAATATTACAATTGGGCTTATGTCCACTTAAAGAAAACATTTAACTCTAGGATCAATGACCTTTTCAATAGATAGAAAAATAGCTTTATTTTAAAAACAAAACAGCCTAATATGGTAGCAGATGTTACAACAGAAGTGGTGTTCTGGAACTTAGTTGTGGATTATCTCAGTAGGTGAATTAAATGAAATCAATCCAAGCACAGATCAGGGGAGGTAGGTTTAGTTAATGATGACATTCAGAACACAGGCTGAGGAAGACAACTGCTGTAAGTGGTGAGTGAAATCACGAATGTAAAATCACAGACACCTGGAAGAAGTAGGTCAGGCAGGATTCGCTGACTTAGAGGCCTGGTTAATTCAGCACTTTGGACAGTTCCCAAAGACCTGTCTTCCTTGCAGGTACTTGGAGTACCTAACTTTTAGAGTGCCATACTTACTAATTTCATTCCACCTCTTGGCATCTCACCTTTACCTGCAGGTGACCTTAAATCCAAGGGAATTATCTGCATTCATCCAAAGAGCTCTGTGGTCTGTGTTCACAGGAAGTCAACACCTTCAGTCCTAACATGAAGGTTCATAGTTTCTATGTTACTTGAGAGTTTGTCAGACTCATCAGTAGTGCTTATTAATCAATAATGGATTATTAATAATCAATTTATTAACAATAAAATTCGTCAACTAAATTTTAAACCTGATTCAATATGAAAAGGTGAGGATGAAATCATCCGAGTCATGGAAAAGAGTCCCTTTACCAACACCTGATGGTTACTATCATGGCCAAGTCCCCCAGGCAATTCACATGCAAGGCTATTCAGCAGATGTTCTATATCAAATTCAAATGAGCCATTCAGAATTGGGGGGTGGAAGCAGAAGAAAGGCTTTAAGAATCAACTAAAACCCTACCTACAGCCATGTGGCATAGCTATAGATGGTAACTAAAGCACATTAAGCCCTTCCTTGCAGGCTCCAGGAAGTAACAGAATTGCTCTTTTGGAACAAGGACTTTAAGTTAATTTCTTAAAAGGCTTAAGAGGCAGGACTACAAATCAGGACAATCTATCTGATTTCTAACCAAAGGACAAATTATGCTTTAGCCACATCTATCCACAAAGTTTAAAATGAGAATTAGCAATAATAAAAAGGCACACATATAAAAATAAAAGTAGACTTTCCTCATGACTATTTTTCGGATGAGTGTTTCCTGTTCTAAAACCCAATGGTGAGGCTGAAGCATAGAAACACCATAAAATTGGCTTTCTCTATGATGAGCAGCTTAAACTAGACATTTTATAAAGGACTCTCTTGATCTTTGTGAATAGAAAACACAAATTAAGTAGTTTCTAATATCCCTGACAATAAATGCACCAATTTTGGAAGCATTTCAGATGAGCAAGAAGAAACAGGGTTTATGGCTCTACCTCCAGTTACATTAGCAGTCTTGCTGCTCTGGTTTGTGGGTTAGATTCTGGGACCCCCTTTCAGTCTTATGGATCCCACATAGTTAACAGAAGGTCTGTAATCTTAAGGCTGAGAGTAACTCAATTCCTTCTTATTTTCTTTGGTGTATTCACAGAATATCATAGATGAATTTTCTGGTCTGACCTAGAACTCTAAACAATACTGCGAAGGCATGAGACTGCAGTAGGCGAGGAGGAGGAAAGGGAACAATGACCTAAACACTGCAGAAGGGAGAATGTGTAATTTAAATAAATGAGACTTTTTATTAAAGGAACCATTAATTGCTAGGTTTTTCAACATAAAAGTTCTCAGGTCTTTGTCTAGTTGAGTAGCACAGAATTCTGTATATCCTGAAAGTACCAACAGTGCAAAAAGACATTCCTTAGTTTTCCCTGACAAAATGAAAACAAAAAACAAAACTCCCAAAAAACACATTAAGTGGTAGCCCTAGGTCTAGAGCTTATGACAAGTAGTGAAGAAATGCAGCAATTTTTATTGGGTGAATTTTGCTAGTTCCTCAGCTGTAGTTACAGGAAAATCTGAAGATCCTGAGGTTTGAGAACATTCCCTAAGTGTTTACCCAGGTCATTATGTGACTTGAGAAAAGAGATTCTTATTAATCCATGTATACAATGTGTATTTGTAAGCAATGGTATTGATACAATTGTCAAAGTCTTATATGGAAGTCAGCCTCACTCTCCAATAATCAGCTCTATGCACACTAGGCCAATTAAGATGGCACCAAACCCAGCAAACTAAAGTGCCAGTACTGAAAAGGTGTCTGAAGAAGATTCAGAGTAACCCATTCTGGCTCACAAAACTTGGTTATGTTCATACAGTTTCAGGATATTACTTTCAAAAGTGAATTGGAACCTAAAGTTTAAGCTGTATTTTAAAATACTGATATTAAATGTCATGACATCTAGTGTATCATGAGAACAATGGAAATTTACCATTAACATTTGACATAATTTTTCAGCTTATATAAAATCAGTTTAGAGAGTCTTTATTTTTACAAACAAAAAGTCATATTGTTAATCATGTTACTCTTTTAATGATCTGATATGTTAAGCCATTGGTTCATTCTTACATAAGTGATATTTAAATAAGGTTGTAAAGCATAATACATTATATTAAAATGTGTGCAAACTAATGAATGTTACTAAATAAAGTCACAAAGCCCATGGGAAATTATTCTGTAAAATGTATTATTTAACATCTTTGATAAAGTTATTTTCTATGATTTACAGTTTTTTTCATATATAGTTTAAGGCAGCTTTATATTATGAACACAACTTCTTTATTTAAAATGTTTTCAATAAATCTCTACTATCTTTTATTTTTGACAATATGAAGAAGGTACAGCACTAATGCATAAAACTGTTTCCTTTTCCTGGGTATTTTTGCCTATTTCCTGTAAATGTGGCAAGAAGCAATTAAACATCTCAGCCGCAATTTAGGCAAATGTCTCCACCTAGATTGCCTTATAAATGCTAATGGAAGAGATTTTAATACTTTTAACAACTTCAAAATATTGAGTTCTTGAATAACTACAGTTCACTAAACTAAGAACAGTCATGCATTGTGTAACGACATTTTGGTCACTGACAGACCACATATATCATGGTGGTCCCATAAAGTTGTAACGGAGCTGAAAAATTCTTATTGCCCATTGACACTGCAGCCCTTGTAATATCATAGTGCAATGCATCACTCATTTGTGTTTGTGGATGTTAGTATAACAAAACCTACCGTTCTATCAATTGTATAAAAGTACAGCAACCTCACTAGCATCTGTTGTTTTTTGACATTCCAATAATAGCCATTCTGACATGTGAGATGGTATCTCATTGTGGTTTTGATTTGTGTTTCTTTAATGATCAGTGATGTTGAGTTTTTTTCATGTTTGTTGGCCACTTGTATGTCTTTTGAAGTGTCTGTTCATGTCATTTGCCCACTTTTTAATGCAGTTATTTTTTTCTTGTAAAAATTTTTTAAGTTCCTTGTAGACTCAATATTAGATCTTTGTCTGACAGATTGAGACATTTTCTCCCATTCTGTAGGTTGTCTGTTCACTCTGATGATAGCTTCTTTGGCTGTGCAGAAGCTATTTAGTTTAATTAGATCCCATTTGTCAATTCGCTTTTGTTGCAATTGCTTTTGGTGTTTTCATCACGAAACATTTACCCATGCCTATATCCTGAATGGTTAATGAAAGACTGGATAAAGAAAATGTGGTACATATATACCATGGAATACTATGCAGCCATAAAGAGAAATGAGATCATGTCCTTTGCAGGGACATGGATGGAGTCGGAAGCCATTGTCCTCAGAAAACTAATGCAGGAACAGAAAACCCAACACTGCATGTTCTCACTTAGAAGTGGGAGTTGGTTGATGAGAACACATGGACATAGGGGAGAAAAACCCACACTGGGGGCCTTTTGGGCGGGTGCTGAGAAGAGGGAGAGCATCAGAAAGAACAGCTAATGGATGCTAGGCTTAATATGTAGGTGATGGGGATGATCTGTGCAGCAAACCACTATGGCACGTATTTACCTACGTAACTTAAAAGTCGAAGAAGAAAAAAAAGTATAGCACATACGGTTATGTATAGCGTGTAATACTTGATATTGATAATAAATGACTATATTACTGGCTTAGATAATTACTGTATTTTACTTTTTATTGTTATTTTAGGAGTGTATTCCTTCTACTTATTAAAAAACGTTAACTGTTAAACAGCCTCGGGCAGGTCCTTAGGAGGTATTCCAGAAGAAGGCTTTGTTATCATAGGAGATGACAGTTCCATGCCTATTATTGCCCCTGAAGACCTTCCAGTGGGACAAGATGTGAAGGTGGAAGACAGTGATACTGATGATCCTGACCCTGTGTAGGCCTAGGCTAATGTGTGTGGTTGTGTCTTAGTTTTTAACAAAAAAGTTTAAAAAGTTAAAACAATTTTGTTTGAACATTTTAATTAAATGGATTCATTTAAAAATACTATAAAATTTGACATCGAGAGATAAAAAAAGAACCATAAGATTTAAACTGACAAATATAAAAATGATTGGCTACAATGTAAAAATACATTTCCCAGCCCCCAGAGAAAACATAATTTAAGTATAGTAATTATAAAATTAAAACAATTTTAAATAGAAAAAAGCTTATAGAATAAGGATACAAAGAAAGAAAAAATCTTTTTGTACAGCTGTACAATGTGTTTGTGTTTTAAACCCAGTGTGATTACAAAAGAGTCAAAAAGTTAAAAAAAAATGGAAAAGTTTATAAAGTAAAAAGTTACATTAAGCTAAGGTTAATTTATTATTGAAGAAAAAATAGTTTTAAGTACATTTAATATAGCCTAAGTGTACAATGCTTATAAAGTCTACAGTAGTATATAGTAATTTCCTAGGCCTTCACATTCACTCATCACTCAGTCACTCTGGGCTCACCCGCTAATGGACTCACCCAGAGCAACTTACAGTCCTGCAAGCTCCATTCATGGTAAGCACCTTATATAGCTATACTGTTTTAATCTTTTATACCATATTTTTAACTTAACCTTTTCTATGATTAGGTGTGTTTAGATAAACAAATCCTTACCACTGGGTTACAATTACCTACGTATTCAGTATGGTAACATGCCATACAGGTTTGTAGCCTGGAAATAACAGATTACAGTACATAGCCTAGAATGTGTCAGGCTGTAGCATCTAGGTTTGTGTAGGTACATTCTATGATATTCACTCAATGATGAAATAGCCTAACCATGTGTTTCTCAGAAGTATCCCTTTCATTAAGAGACACATGACTATAAATCAAGGAGAAAGTAGAGGGCCCAACTGTTAACGTGGCAAACCCAGCTTATTTGATGATGTTTGGTGAACTTTGCATGTATGATAGGCTAAGCAGCAAAGTATATATCATGAATTTTGTTTTTAATATCACTATTAGTTGCAGGTTAATAAAACTAATCTTTCAACTTAATAATAGCATCTGTACATATACTTTGTAACTGTGAAGTAGGAATGAAAAATTATTTTCTACTTTTTTAGTTATAATTTCATTATATATATACACAGATACATATTTTCATTAGATATAAACTAGATGCATATAAATGTTACCCAAATTGATAAATGCAATCATATCAACATACTGTTACTTATTTGTATTTTTAATGCCATCATTCCACTTTTACAGATGAGACAACTAAGGTTTAGTGACATAAACTGTTACTTAATTTTTATAGCAGATAAATAATGAAGCCTAGTTTGAAACAGAGATTTTGGCTTATGTTTCAGTGCTTCTTCCACTGAGGCATATTTCCTGCATTCAAGGTTTTGGTTTCATTTGCTGTTCACATTTGATTTGGGTACACAAGGAGATTTCTATTGTGGTAGAGCTTTGGAGTTCATTCACAGATCATATTTTTTTCTACCCCATAATTTCGTGTAGGAGGAAACTGAAGGCCAGTGAGGTAGAGTAATTTGAGAAAGCCACACAGGGATAATGACAGGACTAGAATTCTAGCCCTTCCTTCTTTTAGATGACATCTTGAGATAAAGACGTTTTATCTGAGAGATCACAGCTTAACCTCAGGAGACAAGCACAAGAATACTTCAATGTGTGTGTGTGTGTGTGTGTGTGTGTGTGTGTGTATAAAATAGGTATATATATAATAGGTGTATATATATAAAATATAAAATATTTAAAAATATATATTTTTCTCCAGGCATATTAAAAGTACACTTAATTGAGATGTATTTTAACTTTTTTAGGATACATTTCTAAACTCATCTTATTAAAGCTCTCAAACCCAAAACAGCCCATTAGTAACCTGGTGTCCCCGTGCATTTCCATCGAATGAGAAAAATGTGATGCCAACAAGAAAGATTTCTCAGGAACGTTGTGCTTACCTTCATAAGTCCCACTTTCTAGGAGAGCACCACTTTTCTCCAATTCCATAAAATCTTCAACAGTGATGAAAATATAATCCACTCCAGGGACCTCACCCTCCTTATGTGGCCTTGTGGTGCCTGAATAAAGAAAAGTAAAAACAAAAGAAAGACGCTAAGTGATTTGTTGTTGAACTTTAGAAATACCACCATACTTCTGAATATTCAGTGCCACTTGTTTGTACATCCTGCAAGTTGGCAGTTTGCATTTGTCCTTCTGTTTGTTTGGCAACAGAAAACAGCAGGGGGTAAAGATTAAAGTAAATGTACAAAGCACTTTTCTTCATCAAGCTTATAAAGAGTTCATTGCCATGGGATATGGCTGCGTATATTTTTCAGTGAAAAATTCAGAACATTGTGCCCTTTTTGAAGAGGTGGTTTGGATATTGAGCCAGCAGTCTGCTAGTTCAGGAATTTATATATTTCACTCCATGAATGAACCTCTATTGTCCTGCAGACTGCTGTGCTATGACATAAAACACAATGGAAAGTAGCGATCTTAGGAAAATGTCAATTTATCTTTTTAATTTCATAATCTGCTTTCTTTTGGGAGGACTGTTTGTTGGTTTTCATTTGTTAAATTTGCACCCAGAGCCATTTTTATTTGATTTAAAGGATCGCAAAACCTTTACTATTACTTAAAATTAAATAATTAGAATTGTGTAATAATTAAATTGCAGTAGTGTGAGGCTGGGAATATAGTATCTAATCTGACAGGAGAAAACTTTCTCTGACTCCATCACACAGGCTCTCCCTTATGCGGCCTTCCTTCTTTCATTACTGCCTCTAATTCTGACTGAAGTGACTCCCAACCAAGGGTTACTGCATGGGACCACTGTTCCTGACTCCTCCATCACCCACAGAGGGAATGGAGCTATGACGGCCAAGGTGGCAGGAGTATCAGCTACTCAGACTGTAGCTCAGTCCAGCTCTCCTGAAGAACACAGCCTCCCAGGCATGCTGTCCAGTTTGTGAGGCAAGAGCAGAAACAGAGACATCTTCAAGGCTGCAGGTTTGTTTCCAGGTAATACTTCCTCCCTTGAATATGCCCTAAGCTTCTTCCTTTTTCTATGCCACCTACATAGGCATTTTGCATGGTCAGATTGGAATTTACATAATGCATACATGCAAAGAAATATATAGAAGCCAGATATATAAGGTAGTACATTGGCAGGCTTCATATATATAGACTCCCCCATATTGTCTATATGCTAAAAAAGTATTTTAAATCCTTAAATTTTATTTTTGTTCTCTGCATTTGAAATCTTTATCAACTAGGTCATGAAAATAGCCAGTCGGTTCTCCTTTTGGTCTATTAGAATAAAATCTGGACTGCAACTGAGAAGCAGAAGGTAATGTCAGAATGTATAATATGCCAGGGAAATTTGATTTTGGATAAAAATGAATAATTCCTATTGAAAACATTTTTTAAGATTTGAAGTTATTATTTTCTAAAATCAAGTTTTATAACTCATCTTTGGGGGCTGCAAAAACAATTTTTTTCCATAATCATGTTTAATGGCTTTCCCTGAATTGGTTATTTTGTTTAGCTGAGTCACATTTTGCAATATTTCCTGCTGCTTTTATGCTATAAAATATAAACCACCTACATCTAGTATGCATAATATTGTCAAGTTAATGTTTCTATGAGAACCTTAACTTTCAATATTCTGACTTTTATGTGCTTAACCCTTGTGAATTAAAAGTGCATTAACATGGTTTTTGGCAATCAATTTGTTTTTCTGTTTATTTAGAACACACTCCAATCATTAAGAAAAAAATCACATAACAAAGACTCAATTTTCCTTACTAATTTATCTGCATATTTCAGAAGCTGCACACTTTAACTGCTTGCAGTATGGCAATGCATTCCTAGCACCACGTGAGCACCAGGATCACAAGATTGAGGGCAATTTCCAGGGCTGCTGACTTGTTTGGAGTAACATGGCTGTACCAAATTTTAGTGAACATTTGTAGTTGTGCTCTTCTTGGGAGGCCCATCAGTACTTTCGGTTCACTAAGTGGCTTTCCATCTCCATCTTGCACTTCAGACCTCTGTGATTGAGTTCTTCCTTCTGTGACAGGCAACATCAGTGAGTATCACCTATTGCTATTGACCCAACTGATGCTGGCTGCCTACTTGGACTGGCAGTTCACCTACCTCATTGTGGCTTGAAGTTCTGCTCTACAATCTCAAATGCTGCAACCTCCATCTTTGACATCAGTTTCTGATCCTTTTTTCCTATTCTGTTCTTCTTTCTAATTATGATCTCTAGTCCCTGATCTCTTGTAATTTCCCTGATGTTCCCCAAATCTGGCTTTATTTGCCTCCCTAACTACTAAAGGACTATGAAAAAACCAGAATCTCTTCCTTCCTTTAGTTCACCTTCATGATTACCCCACTCATAATTAACCCCCATGTTCACTGTTGGTTATTTCATTACTGACAGCAGTTGCTATAAAAAAACAAAAACTTTCTCTGACAAAGTACTCCACAAATTCAGATTACTTAATGTCAGTTTGATCCTCCTGATGCTTGGTAATTCTTTTATGTGTGTCTTCTTGTCTCTCTCTCTTATATTCCCAACATTTTCTATATTCAACTGCTTTGACGTTTTGCAGAAGACATGAGCTCATTCTTTCTTGGTAAAGAGACAATCTGAAACCAAATTTCCTAAAGTTTCCTAATTTTTCTTATCTGCATTACTCTCGTATTTTTCCTTCAAAATTAAGCCTTTATTGGAATTATCATCCATCTTGCTAAGACAAATTTCTTTTCCTTTGCTTTTAGAATTTTATATTTTAAATCAAATAATTTAAATTAAATAAATATTTTATTTGTCAAAGTTGCATATACAGATATTTTAAGTCTTCAAGCAATTCTATAAGACTTCTGATTTTTAAAAAGCAGACCCTCATCACCACCCAGCCCCTGGAAGCCCTTTCTTTTTATCCAGAGAAAAATACACTGATTTTAGCTGATTACTTTGTTTAACCCCCAAATCTCTAAATACTTTAAGATGCCTCTTGATTCTTTACTTTAGTAATTTTTTCTTGATTTTTTTTAAAAAATGAGAGTTTAACTCTTTTTTTTGTCTATAATTCTAACCCTACTGCACATACCACTTCCTGCTTTTCTTCCATTCTTCTAACGGAACAATCTTGTGTTTAGATTAGTGTGAAGTGTTTACATTATTAATTCTATGTAAATCTATTCCCAGCTGAAATGTGGTGTACTGACTTTTTGTGTTTAACTTTTTTTTTTTTTTTTTTTTGAGACAGAGTCTTGCTCTGTTGCCCAGGCTGAGAATGCAGTGGTGTGATCACGGCTCACTGCAACTTCTGCCTCCAGGGTTCAAGTGATTCTCCTGCCTCAGCCCCTTGAGTAGCTGTGACTATAGGTGTGCGCCACCACACCTGGCTAATTTTTGTAGTTTTAGTAGAGACTGGGTTTCACTGTGTTGGCCAGGCTGGTCTCAATCTCCTGACCTTGTGATTCCCCCACCTCGGCCTCCCAAAGTGCTGTGATTACAGGCATGAGCCACTGCGCCCGGCTGTGTGTAACTTTTTGATTACTCTATATGTAATATGTTTTCATTTCCATTTTCCATTCATTAATCATTAAATAAACTCTCTCCTTGAGAGATAAATCTCCTCTCAAAATTCACAAATACATTTTATATTTTATCAAGTTTATCCTATTGAAGAAATCTTTCCTGGAGGCTTCTGACATGCTCCAGTCTGGACTCTCAGCTGCCATCCAGGGATCATCCTTTGCCATCATCCTGGGGAGTCACTTTGCCTCTGTCTTGTGCAGTTTCTCCTCTTCCCTAGACCCCATGTCTATTTTTGTGGTCTCCATCCTCATGGTGGCTGAGCACATCTGTTGGAAGCTTCCTGTCGAAGGTTGCATGGAAGCCACATTGTTTGAGATTTTCCAAGCCTGAAAATGTCTTTATTACACCCTCACTAGTGGCAAATCTGACAGCATTTCAGGAAAATGTAATCATGAAAATGTATTTCTTCATCTTGCTCCCCTGTTCATGCCACCACCATTCTTCTAGTTGTGCTGGTTTGAAACTTTCACCTCAGAGTCACCTACCTTTGAGTCCTCCCTCACTCCTTTATCCCATCTCCAAATATTTGGCAAGTTCTATGTCCCATATCTCCACAACATCATCCTTCCGATCTGTACTGTCTCTGATCCCAGCACCTCCCTCCTGGACCAGGCGGTGGCTCTGTCACTGGTGTGCCTGCCTCCTTCTTTCAGTTCATCGCTGCTCTTCCTGATGAGCCCTGGTGAAGCACCAGGCTGATCACATTTCCTCTCTAAAGGCTTACCTACCCAATCTATGGTCAAGAGAGTGGGTTGAAAAAGGGAGGGAGAGAAAAATACTGAGAGTCAAGAAGAAACAGAGAACGCCATGGTTCTATTATTTACAATAAAGCACAACTCTCATGGTATGCCAGCTTGTGCAGTTTCTTTACATGGGCTTGCCTTGATGGAAAATGTGAGAAGACATAATGTAAGAATTTTCTGTTTCTGTACTACCCTCCTTTCTGGCTCGTCATGTGTCATTCTACTTTCTCTTTAACCTAAAATTTCCACCATTAGAATTACTCTTTGGTTCAGATGAAGGAGAAACTACCTTTAAAATGTATGATATTTTGAAAGTAAGCTGCTTGTGCTGTTTGGGACTCAGCCACTTGTTATCAGTATTACCTCGAGCAAGGTTCTCCACCTCTGTAAACTCTAGTTTTCTTATCTGTAAAATGGGAACAATAGTAGTAGCATCTTCATAGGGCTAATGTGAGGAACAAATGGGATAATTCATATAACATACTTAAGACAATGTCTGGCACATTTTAAATACTCAACAAGGATTATTGTATGTTAAGTACTATTGCCTCGAAGAGCAGAAATGATTTTTTTAATGAAGTCTTGCCATAAATATTAACTGAGCACTTACTATGTGCCAAACACTATTCTAGATGCTTGAGCTATATCTCTGAATAACACAGACTAAGATTCCTGCCTTCATGGAACTAATATTTTAATAGGGAGAGGCAGATAATAAATAAAAAATAAAAAGTTATATAGTATGCTATAAAGGGTTAAATCTTATTAATTGACCATAAATCAGACTGTTAGAACCTATGCACAAGTTAGTGGGTCAAATACTGAGATTTCTGTTAGCTTAGACAGTATGGAGAAAAGGGTGGAGGAGAAGAGACTGTGAGAAAAAGACCTGAAGGGGAGCAGAGACCCACAATACTTGTAGGCTGTACACTACCCAGGTGAGTGTTAGCTAAGTGGGAGACTGCTGGAAGTCAACAGGGGATCCAGAAAGAGCCTGGTTATATTTTAGAAAGAATCACTACATCCTTAAAGAGAAATTCCACTTATTTCACATATTGCTTGGATTAGCTTAGGTCATTTGGCTTAACATCTTGGCGCCTCATACAGGTATTTCTGAACTATCAAAATCATTTTCAAAGGATAAACATGGCAGTGCATGGTGTGTTCCAATGACTGGTGTATGTGCATATACACAGACACTTACATGTCAACCCTCATTTTTAAAAGAAGAAAATGACGAGGTTGTGGGAAAAGGGAACACTTACACACTGTTATTAGAGTGTAAATTAGTTCAGCCATTGTGGAAAGCAGTATGGCAATTCCTCAAAGAGCTAAAAACAGAACTACCATTCAACCCAGCAATCCCATTACTGGGTATATAACCAGAGTAATATAAATCATTCTACTGTAAAGACACGTGCACACGAATGTTCACTGCAGCAGTATTCACAATAACAAAGACATGGAATCAACCTATATGTTCTTCAGTGACAGACTGGATAAAGAAACATGGTAGATATACACCATGGAATACGATGCAATCGTAAAATGAACGACAGCATGTATTCTATGGGAACATGGATGGAGCTGGAGGCTATTATCCTTAGCAAACTAATGGACGAACAGAAAACCAGATACTGCGTGTTCTCACTTATAAGTGGGAGCTAAATGGTGAGAACTTAGGAACACAAAGTAGGCAACAACAGATACTGGGGTCTACTTGAGGGCGGAAGGCGGGAGGAGGGACGAGGGACAGGAGCAAAAAGATAACTATTGGGTACTGGGCTTAGTACCTGGGTGAGGAAATAATTTGCACAGCAAACCCTCATGACATGAGTTTACCTATGTCACAAATCTTCACATGTATCCCCAGAACCTAAAAGTTTTTTTTTAAAGTGAGAGAATGGCTGGGGGCGGTGGTTCATGCCTGTAATCCCAGCACTTTGGGAGGCCGAGGCGGGTGGATCACGAGGTCAGGAGATCAAGACTATCCTGGCTAACACGGTGAAACCCCGTCTCTACTAAAAATACAAAAAAATTAGCCGGGCGTGGTGGCGGGCGCCTGTAGTCCCAGCTACTCCGGAGGCTGAGGCAGGAGAATGGCGTGAACCCGGAAGGCGGAGCTTGCAGTGAGCAGAGATCGCGCCACTGCACTCCAGCCTGGGCGTCAGAGCGAGACTCCGTCTCAAAAAAAAAAAAAAAAAAAAAGTGAGAGAATGCTGTGGTGTGATAAAATGGTGCGATAAAAAGGTTCTTAGATTAAAAATTGAGGACATCTACATTCCATTTTTGTTTTAATGTTTTACATATATGATTCTAGATAAAAACAGTTCATCATCGATTTTCTTATGCACTGAGGTAAATAATAGACATAAAAGGGCATTATAAAAAGTAAAAGCATAAACACCATGCCAACAATATCTGCATTACTTTTAAGTAATATTAATAGTGCTACTAAGAAAACTACAATTTCACAAATATCATTGGTGGTATCTTACTTTTGGAGTGTATTATAATCAAAGCTTTAAATCACTTAACTTCACTCAGGCTAACACTTATAATAAAGAAAAAAAATTTATGCTTGAAGAAACAAATTGTCTTTTTTACTGTTTGAGTATGAAAAAAACATGAGTCAAGATATAAATCCATTTTGTCTGATTACACAGTAAGATGTAGTACACAGTGGCTTGGTCACTAGTTACAAGGATCCTTTTGTCTTTTGTAGACAGTCATGTAAAACAGCTAATGCCTATGGCCTAGGCTGCTAGAAGGTTTTTGCCATTTGCTGAGTCATTTGAAAAGTGTGAAAGTGCTCACAAAACCTGATTAGTAAGTAGGTCATTTAATTTTACCTGCAGGCATAGCACCTACAAGAGTCAGAAAGCATTTTAGATCTATGTGTCTGGGAAGAAAGGATATTAGTTGATGTTACGTCAATGGGCAAGGCAGTGGCTGAAGAAGGAGAAAGCAATTGGAAATCTGTGAACACCTCTTTGGAAAGTAGTATGATTCTAAAAATAAGGAAAATATATGTGATATGAAATGAAGTGTTGTACAATGGTAATTTGCAGCTAAAGGTAATTAATATCTAGACTGGGGAAACAAGTTAAATTTCTTGAAGTGGTTACTTACTTTTATGCTGAAATAATTACAGTTGCTTTTGCAACTCAAAAGATGATGAATAGTTGACAGCAAAGCAAGACTCAACAGTAATAACAAGTAATTATCTAGCACTAGAAATAGGGTGGAAGATGTGGAGAATAAAAGAGGGAATATAGATGATTCATCATATAGCTGAAGCTCACCTTCTTTTATTGCTCTTCTGTTTTGGTTGGGACTTTCCTAAGTGGTGTATAGGAAAGTCCAAAATAAGTTTTATTATCCAAATTATAATTTATATATTTTATTCTTATTATTTATTCCAGACCACTCCTCCAAAGGAAAAATAAATAGAACTGAAAGAGCAAAAATGCTAAGTTGAGGCTTTGTTTCATCTTTTAGTAATTAATTTCTTAAACAACAGCTTATTTATTAATTGCTAAATTAAGTACTGTATGAACAACACCTCCTTCATGAGTTAATGAAAGCATACAGCGTTTCTGCTCAAAAGACATGTCTAAACAAAATGCATTATCTCCCAAATGGTTAGCTTATTGATACACAGTGAAGTCACATGGAAGCGACTTGTCATTTTGCTACCATGGCAACTGGGAGTGCCAATGGAATTTTTTTATTAACCTACTGTTTAAATGAAGGAACATTGCTCTTTTTTGTCTTAGGAAGAAAAGGGCATTTGTGGTAAATATAATTCTAAAGCGTATTTCCCCTCAGCTTTCTGCTATTTCCTAGTTTGAGTAAAATACTTTTCTTCAAAAGAGTCACCAGCTTGACAGTATTATTACTTAGATGATGGCTCAGTGCAGTCATCTATTGTGATCTATTCTGATATATTAAAAATTCCATAGTGCTTGCCGCATGGCAGGTACCCAATACATATTTGCTAAAGAAACAGACTTGGAATTAATCATTAAGTCAATGTATTCTAAGCAGATGGGTCATTGTGTGAGAATGTGAGAAAATGAATTCTGTTCTTATTCATATATTCCCCCTTTCTTCTTCCTGGTGTTTCTCAACTGCAAGCTGGAAAAAATAGATCTTGACAGCTAGGGTGACTTCCTCTGTATTTGACCTTTGATTAACTATCTCTTAGATTCTTGAAGACACTTAAGTTGGTCACAGTTACTCATCAGCAAGTAAGAACACAATCATCAGATTTGTGTATGCTGCCAATAAAAACATACATCCGATAGATTCCTTTGGCCAATGCCTGTAATCAATTTTTACACAACCAGCCTAGGCCTTGGGTTTTATTATACTCATTTTCAATCACATAAAATCCCAAAGTATGGTTTTATACAAACATAGAGCTAAAGTAAGCAAAGCAAATAATATCGTTTGGGTCACTGAATTGTATGTGATTGACAGATTATAAAGTAATGTAGGCCTTATAGATTTCCTGTTAACTGATGGGGTGGATTGGTTTGAGGTAAAAAAATTAAAACCTACAATTCAATGAAATAAATCACTTATTAAGTATAAAAATTATTAATAGCCTCAATAAAACACTATGCACATTTTATAAAATATTGAAGATTTGACAAATCCATTTGTAAAATATTGGTAGTTAATTTGACTTATTTTCTTAACAGTGTGTTGCTTTAAACCTCAGTAATTATTTCAAAACTCTCTTCCCCTAAGATAACATGTTGTCAATTTTTGTTTAAAGCAGCACTGGCATATACTAACAATGTTAGGTATCTTCCAAAAACAGGCTTTTTTTTTTTTTTTTTTGAAGAAGAAACCTCACTGAATATCTTGGATATAAAGGTTCAAAATAGTGCCCCATATGGCATCAATTACTGTTTTAAATTTTAACAGTTTGGATTGAGGAAGCATCGGACCCAAACTTGGTGTTTCTTAAAACATAGGCTGCATCAAGGCCGGGCGCTGTGGCTCACGCCTGTAATCCCAGCACTTTGGGAGGCCGAGGTGGGCGGATCGAGAGGTCAGGAGATAGAGACCATCCTGGCTAACACGGTGAAACCCCGTCTCCACTAAAAATACAAAAAATTAGCTGGGCGTGGTGGCGGGCGCCTGTAGTCCCAGCTACTCGGGACGCTGAGGCAGGAGAATGGCGTGAACCCGGGAGGCGGGGTTTACAGTGAGTCGAGATCGTGCCACTGCATTCCAACCTGGGTGACAGAGCAAGACTCCATCTCAAAAAACAAAAAAACCAAAACCAAACAAACAAAAACAACACACAAAAAACATAGGCTGCATCAGAACCATGTGGAGGACTTGTTAAAGCACAGATAGCTGGTTCTCACTCCCCAGAGTCTCTGAGTCACCCTGCTGCGGTGGGGCCTGATTATTTGCATTTCTAACAAGTTTTCAGGCGATGCCTCTGACACTGCGGGTCCAGAAACCATAATTGGAGAACCACTGCTCCAATTTCACTCATAGCTCAGGGAACCCAAAATAAAAACAGTGTTAAATTTCCTCATCAAATATAACTACAACAATCCATAAAGCATGCAGGTCATGACTTTGGCATTGGCCCTGGAGTACTCTATAGCCATGTACCGGATTCACAGAAAATAAGCCATCCTTCATTTTCTGGTGCATAGATGAACAGAGTCATGAGGAGTATTTTTCATAGTGAAGTGTTCTTTAGAAGTTAAATGAATTTGGGAAATAATGCACCTATCTTTATTTATGTGTCCTTATAAATATCTTTATTATTTGAAGTAATATAAATTATTTTGGCTCTATCTATGCAACAGTATGGCTGATATTGGGAAAGACTTAGGAGCTTGACTATAGCTCACCAGCAGTGATACATGATAATATGTTAAAAAAAAAAATAAGCATCTAATGCAGAAGATCTCTCATGAAGAAAAACTATGGTGGATGTCAAAAAATAGATGACAAATGAAAAATCTGTAGATCTCCAAAAAGTAAGAAATAATAGCATTGCATTATTTTCATATACCAAGCTATCTGATTTGCTAAATGTTAAAATTACAGCTTGTTTACAACTATACTTATCAAATGAAATCAGGTGATAGGTAACATACACTTTGGAATTAGTACTCATAAAGCTCTCTGTTATAACAAATTATTTAGGCCACCATATTGTTTTATTAATTCCATAGTTTTATTTGCACAATTAAGTCCCTGGTGTAAACACTAGAGTAAATGAGGGGTAGATGTGAGAAATATCATTTAAAACTTGAACTCAGCCAGGTGTGGTGCCTCACATCTGTAACCCCAGCACTTTGGAAGGCTAAGGAGTTTGAGAGCAGCCTGGGCTACATACAGAGATCTCATTTCTACAAAAAATTTAAAAATTAGCTTGGTATAGTGGCACACATCTTTAGTCCCAAGTGGAGGATTGATTACTTGAGCCCAAGAGGTCAAGGCTGCAGTGACTCAAGATCATGCCACTGCACTCAGCCTGGGAGACAGAACAAGACCCTGTTTCAAGAAAAAAATAAAAAGAAAAGAAAAGAAAAAAAAAAGAAAGCTGAACTCATCACCTGAACTAAAAAACCTGTCATACTGAGCAAGAAAGAAAGACAATGTCTGGGGTGATCACTTTTGAAGTTGATGTATATGCAATATATTTTCAATTTTAAGGCTTCTACAGTAAATGACCAGATTTAATTACCAACAGTACCAAGATTCCTTGACCACTGATATACAAGCACTCTACACTGAAGACAAACTAGGGCAAAGTGAATGATTTCATTTATTCATACATTTGAATCATCACTACATTGGAAACAAAAGATTTGTACCCTAAATCTTATCCATTCCTTCACACCAAAGTCCATCTCCTCTACCCAGCAGATTTCCAAAGAAACTTTGGTTGCATAAATTACTTTCTTCATGATATTTCCATCTTTACCTCACTTGCATTCACAGTACAGAATTATTCACTACTTGGATGCAGAGACATAAATAAAATGACTCACCCCAATAAAATCAGATTCCTTGGTAGCTATAGTCTTGGCTTTTGATCCATTCTTACAATATACAGGTATAACATACCTAACTAACTCCAGGACAGATCAACACTGCATTCTCACCAATAAAGTAGGGCAACCAACCATAATTCCAAGATTCTTGACTTGACTATTAATTTCCTGAATTTTTTAAGAGACTGGAAGAAGACAAATGACCCTTTTGTTACCAATTAATTTATTTTTGAACTTCTGATTTTAATTCAATATTTAATTTAGATATGTTCTATATTTGGCATTCTATAGAATTAATAAAAGGAGGCTTTTGATTCCCTAATTTATTATTTAGCAGATAATGTTTCAAGATTACATATTGAGCTTAAGGAAAAGAAAGATCAGTGACTTTCTATAGAAACAATATATATTTAGTTTGAAGCTTTTATAGTCTCCTCATGTAAAATTAATCTGGGCCAGAACTAGACTGTGTGGATACCACCAGTCCTCTAAGCAATGCAGACACACTACTCAGTGACCTTCATCGCATGGAAGGTTTAGTGGATCATAACTTTATCATTTTATCACTGTTAGAATCTTGCAATGACATTAACTTTTAGTATCACCATTATGTCCCTATGGCATCTATATTCTGAAATGCCCAAGGTAGATAGTAGAATACAGAGTCTACAGAGTATCAGAAAATCCAGATGAAAGAAAGAGGGCAGTTAACTATCCAGGGATTTCAATTATATTGAAAATGCTTTTCAGATTATATGGCATAAATCACATGTCTGAGTGATCAACTATTTTTTTTATTGAGGCTCTCAAGTACACACATACCAAATTATCATGGAGGGAAGAAACAAAGAAGAGAGGGAGGAGTGAAATATTAATGAGTACCCACTAGGAGCTTTGGATGAGGTGCTTTTATTCTTGCTTTAAATCTTGAGTTGAAGAATACCCTGTGCATCTGATTTATCTTATGTTCACGATACTAGCTATTATATTAGTTGATATTTTATCACACTAAATCTTATTATAAAGTTGATGAAAAGCAGAACAAAAATTCACAACTCAGCTTCCTTACTTTAAAAAAATTACAGAATTGGGGATATTATAACAGAAATATACTCGGCTATAGCTGACAGCCCCTTAATTCCAAAACCCACGTCTGTGAGCATTCATATGTAGAAAACATCTGTACATATTACAGGGAACAGGAAATTCTCCCCATTCAGGCCAGTGTGACTGTGGGCCAGACACTAAATGTTGAGTGGCATGGCCTGGCTCCCCCTCAAGAAACTTAGGAAAAAAGAGAAAAGTGACTTGTTCAAATCAAATAATCAGCATTCTGATAAAAAAGAAAACATAAGTATCCAGATTTTCAGCCTGTAGATAACTGCATGCCTCTGAAGGGATAAAAAAGCGGGGGTGCAGGAGGCAGACAGAATATGATTTCTGCCTTTTTTGAGATTTTAGTATTCGACACACAACCAGCAGCCCCATGGCCTAGATCCATATGGTCTTTTAGGCATGAAGGGCAGCAGGACTCAGTTTCTATTCAATTGTCATAATCCCCAGAACACTGTGGTTTTAATCTCAGACTACTGTATTTCCTTCCTGATTGGAGAGCAAATTAAAAGTGATACAATATAAAGGAATGTGTATTGTGAACTGTCAAATAATCATTTGAGACTCCTGCTGGAAATTTTTCCATAAAACTATCAGAATAAAACTATCCTGTAATAAAAAAACAAAAAACAAAAAACAAAAAACAAAAAGCACTTGGCTCTACAGACTCTCAAATCACTGTTGCTGAGAAATGCAATTATCATCAGAGAGTAAGGGAAGTTTTAGGAATTAAAAATATAAAAGAAAATTTTAAGGAAATTTTAAAAGAGAGCTAATTAAGGCACTTCTGGCATAAGAGATATTGAGTTAATAGTGAGTTATCAAAATAAATACTGGATTCTTCAGAGAAAATGTTTATAATTTTAGATAAATCTTTACCTCCTTTAGAGAGATCAAGACAACACACTTATTTGCCAGGACTAATAGAGACATAATACAAAACAGAGGGGTGAATACCAACCAGTAGCATCAGCCCAGCAGCTGACTCAGCATCCTACCCCTCACGGGGAGCAACTGGCTGGAGAGTTCATACCTGGTAGGGTGATGGTGCTCTGACTTTCAGACCCAAAGTATTAAGTATCACTGCCTAAAAGAAGGGGCAGAGCATCCTGTATTTGAAAAAACTAGAAAGGCTGAGGCTGGCCAAACTAGGCTATGGGGCATTAGTGAATCCATGTTAGAATAAAAAATGTGCATGATATAGTTTGGCTGTGTCCCCACCCAAATCTCATCTTGAATTGTCATTCCCATAATCCCTGCATGTCATGGGAGGGAACAGGTGGAGATAATTCAATCACAAGGGCAGTTTCCCCCATCCTGTTATTGTGATGATGAGTTCTCATGAGATCTGATGGTTTTATAAGATGCTTCCCTGTTTGCTGGTCACTCATTATTCTCCTTGCTGCCACCATGTGAAGAAGGACATGTTTGCTTCCCCTTCCGACATGATTGTAAGTTTCCTGAGGCCTCCCTAGCCCTGCAGAACTGTGAGTCAATTAAACCTCTTTTCTTTATAAATTATACAGTCTTGGGTATGTTCTCATAGCAGTGTAAGAATGGACTAATATAGTACATATGTTTAACCTCCTGGAAAAAGGCTGAATAGCTATTTATCTCCCCATTTAGATCCAAACTATTCCTTTGGATTAGAGTTCAGCAAATTTCTAAAAGAACTAGATAGTAAATATTCTAGGCTTTGCTGGCCATACTGTCTCTGTAATAACTACTGTTATTAGAGATAAAACTGGACACATAATACATAAACAAATGAGCACAGCTGTGTTCTAACGAAGCTATATTTACAAGGTGGTGGACAGATTTAACCCGTAAGAAGTCGTTTGCCCACCCCTACATTAGGTTTTCGATGCTTTGTGTCTTCATGATCTTGTCTCCTAGATTTGTACTTGTAAATCAACAAGATGCAACTTCAGTGCCAGCATTTGAGTGCACTACCTCAAGAGAGAAAAATATGACCATTTCTGTTGGTGTGGCCAGCATTAAGTGTAACATTTCATGTGTCAATTTTTTTTTAAACTTCTTCAAAACAACCAACCAGGTAGCTTTCTAATACACAGAAAAAAAATGGGGGAAAATATCTGTAGAAGGATCATAGATATTTGGTCTCTCAAGAAGCAAGAGAGGATTGTTCTTATGCAATCTTTGAAATAATATGAACAAGAAATTGCCAGGGGAAATACGTGTTTTGTGAGGCTGATCAAGAGTGGAAACACATCTGTTCCTATAAGTGAAGGAGCTTCTCCTTCAGTATTGACTGAGGGCATTGCATCTTTTAGTGGTAAATAACAGTATCTTGTTGACCTTGCTTCCATTTTAGGGTATAATTATATAAGCAAATCTTCTGTGTGCTAAGGAATTTACCAGACATTTCATACAGGGAAGAAACATGGAGTCTGTAAGTGCTCCTGAATATTACATATAAATTTTACGCTGTTGTATCTGTAATATCCCATGTGTATGTTACATGGTCACCATAGAAATCAAGTTACTTATCATTTATTGGATAAAGCAGTATTCACAGTAATATTTTATGTTTGATAGAAAATTTGTCATTACCTGACATAAAGATTAGCAGTTACATGATAAAGTTGTATATGAACAATATGCATATACACATAGCTTTTAAGTTTAGGACCATGGTTCAGTAAAACGAGCACAGCATATGAAAATAAGGCAAAGAAAAAGAACTATCTTAGGTTAAGCATTCCAAGATATTTGATTCTGTGTTGCATTGCAGCAAAATTTTGAAAATTGATTCAACAGGAGAGAGCCCTCTAGCAAGACTATGTGCTAATTTTTAATATATTCAGTAATCATTTAGGAGCCCTCAATTTTTTCTTTTACAAATTTATCATTTGTCCAAATATATATGAAATGTTTCAGAATGAATATCAATCTAGTGGAAAAGAGAGAAAGACATGGCTGACGAATATGTCAAAGTAAGGAATTATATGAGAAATTTTTTTATGTATATAATATTCACAAGCACTAATACTTATTGAGCTCTGACCTTATGGGAAGCATTGTACTCTGCTTTTTGCATGCATTATCTCTTTCATTTTTCTGAACAACTGGATATGGTAGGTGGCATTTTACTCTTTTTATACCTTGAGTAACTTGCCCAAGTGGCAGCACTAGGATTCAAACCTGGGCAGTCTGGCAGTACAGGCCAGGCTTCTAAGCAATGGTGCACTCCACCAACATCCACAAAATGTTCTAAAAATTTTTGTTGTGGGAGATAGATGAGAGCAGCAGGTGGGAGTGTGGGTGTGCCTTGTGAATGGGATGTGGGCAGCCACCACTTGGCATTCAGATAGAATCTCTGCCAGGAAAGAATAATGAAACTGGGAATCAAATATCCTATGGCTATCCCAGTTACTCTGATTTGATCATTACACATTGTATACATGTACCAAAATAACACAAGTACCTCTTAAATACATACAACTATTACATATCAATTTGAAAAATATATGGAGAAGCAGAGGGAAGTAAGATAGTCTCTAAAGTGTTGTCAAGTTAGAGTAAGGATATTCAGAAAGGTAACTAAGAAATGCCAAGAAAGTAGCTGGGGTGCACCAAGGACTGATATCTTTGGAATGAAATGTCCAAACTTGTTGAATTAGGAAGCTACAAATATTTAAAAAGAAATACAAGTGCTCTGAGCAGATGAAAAAGTAGTAATTTTCTAAAAATAGAGAAATGATAAAATATTAATAATTAGGTAAGGCTCTAGTTTGCCAGGTCATGTGCCCCCTTTACAAGTCACATAATAGAAATGACTTGTAGAAATTTCAACAAATATATATTTGAGGCCTATAATGGCTGACAGACAAAAGTGAAATAAAATCTATTTCATCATCCTGGAGGACTCAAGTTATTAAGATACACACAATTGCAGCCACCTGTATAACAATTATTTTGAGACAGTTCTCAAAATGATAAATATAAAATATATAGCTTAATCCCTTTAAAAGATAAGAGATGGTTTAAAGTAAAAGTAATAACAATATAGTGAATTAAAATATATGACCACAATGGCACAAGGGGTGGGGGATGGGAATGGTGGCATACTATTGTAAGATTCTTACCCTATATATGAAGTGATGTATCATTTGACGGCTGACTGGGATAAGTTAAAGATGTGTAATAGAAAGCCTACAGCAACATCTACACACACACCCCCACACACACTATTGAAAAATGGATCATCCATTTAAAAGAGCAAAACTCACCTATATGCTGCCTACAAAAAACTTACTTTAAATATAATAATGCAAAAAAAGTTAGAAGTAAAATAATTGAAAAAGCTATGCTATGCAATGAGCAAATGAAATTTATAATAATATCAGAAAAAGTAGATTTTAGAGCAAAGAACATTAACAGTGATAAAGAAATTCATTTCAAAATAATAAAGGAGTCAATTCCTTAACAGGAAAAAAAATACTAAATGTTTATGTATTTAATTAGAGATTCAAAATACATGAAGCAAATACATGGAGCTACAAAGAAAAATTGATAATTCCACAATTATACTGAGAGATTTCAACACTTCTCTTTTAATAATTGATAAAACAAGTAGACAGAAAATTAGTAAAGTTATAGACCTGAACCACACTATCTACCAAATTAACCTAATTGACATTTATAGAACACTTAACAATATACACTATTTTTAATTGCACATGAAAAATTTATAAAGATAGACCATATTCTTGGCAATAAAACAAGTTTCAATGCCTTTATACAAGACACATCATAAAAATGATGTTTTCTGACCACAATAAAATTAATTTAGAAACCAATAACAGAAATATATCTGGAAAAGCCTTAGATATTTGGAAACTAACACACTTTCAAATAGCTCATGTGTCAAGGAAGAAATAAAAAGGTAATTACAAATCATTTTGAACTAACTAAAAACACAATATATCAAAATTAGTGGGATGTTGCTAAAGCAAGAATTCAAGAGAAATGTTTAACTCGAAATACTTATATTAGAAACGCAGAAAGGTCTCAAATCAATGACCTCGGAAACTGGTAAAAGGACAGCATATTAAACTCAAGTTAGGAAGAAAGGGAATAATAAAAATCAGAGCAGAAATTTTCTAAATAAATAGAAAAAAAATAAAATCAATAGCTGGCTAAGAGAAAAATCAATAAAACTGATAAACCTCCAAGCTAGACTGACCTCAGAAAGAAGAGGGAATATACAAATTATCAGTATTACAATGAAAGATGTAAGTTCATTACAAGTTTGATGGATATTAAAAGGATATTAATGGTATATTATAAATTTATGCCAATATATTTGACAACTTAGATGAAATGAACAAAATTTTTGAAAGATATAACTAAAGCATGTTTTATGTATAATATCCAGGCTCTCTGTGTACAGTAGATAGCCTGTATATGTGTGTGCGTGTGTGTGTGTGTGTGTGTATGTCAGTGTGTGTCTACCTGATATTTTAGTTAAAAACTATCACTTATAGGAAACTCCAGAGCCAGATAGCTTCACTGGTGAATTCCATGACATATTTAAGAAAGAAATAATGCTAATTCTATACAAATTCTTTCAGAAATCTGAAAAAGAAGCAAAAACATCTAATTCCTTCTATAAGGCCAATATTACCATGATATCATAAAACCAGACAAACATTAAAAGAAAAGAAAATTGCAGGATAATATTCCTCATGAACATACATACAAAAAACTAATAACATTTTAGCAAATTGAATGGAACAATATGTAAAAAGGACAATACATCATGAGCACGTAGAGCTTTTACAAAGTATGCAAAGTTGATTTAATATTCAAAAATCAATCAATATAATTCACCATATCAACAAACTAGAGAAGAAAACCCAGTTATTTTTATGGATACAGAAAGAAAATCCAACATCTAATCCTACTAAAAACTCTTAGTTAACTATTTTGCAGATATAAGTGTGGTGTGTGTGTGTGTGTGTGTGTGTGTGTGTATACCATTTACGTGAAGTTTTTAAGTGTGTCCAAGTTGTTTATAGACACAAACACAAATAGCAAAACTTTTTTTTTTTTTTTCCCCGAGACATTGTCATTCTCTGTTGCCCAGACTGGAGTGCAGTGGCATGATCTTGGCTCACTACAACCTCCGCCTACCAGGCTCAAGCAATTCTCATGCCTCGGCCACCCAAGTAGCTGGGACCACAGTTGTGCACCACCATGCCTGGCTAATTTTTCTATTTTTAGTAGAGATGGTATTTCGCCATGTTGGCCAGGCTGGTCTCGAACCCCTGACCTCAAGTGAGTTGCCCGCCTTGGCCTCCCAAAGTGCTGGGATTACAGGCGTGAGGCACTGCACCTGGCCCAGCAAAAGTATTTTTAAAATGTATGCAATGATGAACACCAAACCAAGTAAAATTGTTATTGCTGGAGGATGAAAGAGGAAAATAGGGTCAAGGAGGGAACTTGAAGAAGGGTATAATGGAGGAGATTCAATTGTATCTGCAATATTTTATTAAAAGTGAAAAGATCTGGGCAAAGATAGAAAAATATTAAAATTTATTAAATCTGAGTGGAATACACTCAGTTGTTATATTATTTCTTCTCTGTTTCTGGAGTCTTAAAGTATGGTTGAATATTAAGCAATCATTAAAAGAACACTTATAATCATATAAGAGTATGGAAATGTTTATGATGAGTAATGCTGCTTTAAAGCAAGAAAAAATTGTATTTAGGAATATAGGAATTTTGTAAGTGCATGTATATATGTGTATAATATTCGACTATGTAAATTTAGCATGTTTTCTCTCCTACCAGTGAAACATTAGTAACTTTCATATTGTTTTCAAATGTTCACTATTAAATACAATGCTACAATTAATGTTCTTATATATAACTCCTTTGCAAATATTTTTCTACAAAAATATACTTGGCAATACAATCACTATGCTATCTATACTTGGCCTTTATAAAGCTATAGGACAATATAATGGAAGATCCCATATCATGTCCAAAGAAAGATTGTTGAACTTAGCTTTTTCTCTTTGCCTGCATCAAGCAGCCAACTGCTACCTGAATGAAAATTTGGGACAAATCTAAAACCATCCTTTAGCGCTGACCAACAGTCACACAACATCACCTCACTTCATCTCTCTCTACATTCTTTTCAAAAGTATTGCTTTTCCTTCAAACCTCCTTCTTTCTTAGAATCTTACACTCTTGGTTATTCACTGTCTCCTTTGTATGTTCAACCCACTCTTATGATTAGACACAATTGAGATACAGGCTACTTGAATATAAATTACTATAACCGCCTTGGTGGGTGGGTGACAGTAATTACATATCAACACGTAAAATGCATAAAAATACATAAACATATTGACCAAACAATTCTATTTCTAGGAATTTATCATAAAAATATTGTCATGCTAAAACACCAAAAGCAATGGCAACAAAAGCCAAAATAGACAAATGGTGTCTAATTAAACTAAAGAGCTTCTGCACAGCAGAACTATTATCAGAGTGAACAGGCAAGTGAACCTACAGAATGGGAGAAAATTTTTGCAATCTAAACATCTGACAAAGGGCTAATATCCAGAATCTACAAAGAACTTAAACAAATTTACAAGAAAAAAACAACCCCATCAGAAAGTGGGCAAAGGATGTGAACAGACACTTCTCAAAACAAGACTTTTATGCAGCCCACAGACATATGAAAAAATGCTCATCATCACTGGCCATCAGAGAAATGCAAATCAAAACCACAATGAGATACCATCTCATGCCCGTTAGAATGGTGATCATTAAAAACTCAGGAAACAACAGATGCTGGAGAGGATGTGGAGAAATAGGAACGCTTTTACACTGTTGGTGGGAGTGTAAATTAGTTCAACCATCATGGAAGACAGTGTGGTGATTCCTCAAGGATCTAAAACTAGAAATACCATTTGACCCAGCAATCCCATTACTGGGTATATACCCAAAGGATTATGAAATAATGCTACTACAAACACACATGCACACATATGTTTATTGTGGCATTATTCATAATAGCGAAGACTTGGAACCAACACAAATGTCCATGAATAATAGACTGGATAAAGAAAATGTGGCCCATATACACCATGGAATACTATGCAGCCATAAAAAAGGATGAGTTCATGTCCTTTGCAGGGACATGGATGAGGCTGGAAACCATCATTCTCAGCAAAATATCACAAGGACAGAAAACCAAACACCGCATGTTCTCAGTCACAAGTGGGAGTTGAACAATGAGAACACATGGACACAGGCAGGGGAACATTACACTCCAGGGCCTGTTGCAGGGTGGGGTGCTGGTGGAGGGGTAGCATTAGGAAAAATACCTAATGTAAATGACAAGTTGACATGTGCAGCAAACCAACATGGCACATGTATACCTATGTAACAAACCTGCAAGTTGTGCACATGTACCCTAGAATTTAAAGTATAATAAAAAAATTACACTACAAAATTTCCAAAAATAATGCAAGCTCAATGCAGAAAAACAGTACAATAAATAACAATTCAAAGTCAAAAAAATTCTGTCATGGTTCCCAACATACACATAGAAGGATGTTCACTGGCTCATCCTTGTAACAAGGAAAAACCGAAAAATAAAACAATTTCTTCCCTACTACCTTGAATAAAAAATGCTCAGTACGTTGCAGTAATAGGAAGAAGCCTTCATATACCCAGGCTTACACTGCTATGCCTATTTTTGTTAGCCTTGCTTCCAAAGATACAACAGCTGAAACCTGAAATATTGTTGATCCTTATGATTTTCTTTCACCATCTTATCCAACACTTTTTTCTTCACTTGTCTTTTATTTATTTTAGCATCATCTAGCATATGTGCTCTCAACTTTGGCTACACATTAGAAACATCTGGGAAGATTTTAAAATTAGCGGGTCTACCTTGGATGAATTAAATCAGAATTTGGGGGTTAGTATCCAAGAGTTGCTTTTTCAGAATGCTTGTCAAGTGATTTTAATGTCTACCAGGGTGGAGGACCACTGGTCTTGGAATATAATCAGCATTGTGTTTTTACATTGCAAAGATAAATTCTTTAATAGACTTCCAATTAATTCCTATCTATTCTGAAAGTTGAGAAGATGGTAAAATTTATTTTAGTTCCAGGAATCCTGCTGCTTGCCTCTTCCCATCTGCTCTATAGTTTTAACTCTGCTGATGTCAATCTAAGATATTTTGCTATAGAAACTTGTTACATTGCAGGTCTACAACAATTTTCACCCTGGGTGACCAGTCTCATGGCTTCAAGAGTTCTGAAGCCCATACCCTTAGCCATTTCAACATTCTTCATAATACACTGTCAGGTCAGCACCAATGTGGTGATTAATTTTCTTCAGCCGCAGCATTCTGACTGGTTGCCATTTTGTGATCTTGAGTGCCTTGTTAAACCGCATGTCTGTTGGGTAGTGGCACTTTTTTATTTCCCACAATGACTTGTTGAAAGAAACAGTAATCTTCACTGTTTTATGCCTGTTTCTTTTTTGGGATGACTTGTGGTAAAAAAAAAAAAAGAAAAAAAAAGAAAAAAAGTAATGACACTTTTTAAAAATTTGCATTTTTATAAATTTTTTAAAACAAACTTGCCAGAACTTGAACATGAAAATGAGTATTTACATGTTAGGAGACTATACACTAATTCTACCCCTGTTTTTTATTTTAAAGAATTGCTTTTGGATTCAGTGGCACCTTTTTGGAACATCTACAATCATGGCGAAATTTCAACATTGGAGGCTGAGTTTGGCATGTGGAGACAGCCGCTAAAAGTTGTTCAGATCCAAATCTTATGAATATTTTGAGTTGCAAATTTAAAAAGTTAGTATCATTTGATTCAAAATAGAAGTGAGACTAAAAATAATAAAACTATTTTCTTTGTGACTACACCTGGCTATAAGAGTAATTGACAAAAAATTTCTTTTTTTTTATAGCAGTTGGTAGCTACTCAGCTGTCAAATTATCCCTAGGTCTATAAAGCCCCATGTTTTGGCCTGGTCATCCCTGTTGTTATAGGTATCAGGTCATACAGATGGGAACATTGGTATGCAGCCAAGTGGTGAGCTTCTGGGTTAGGTAAGTTATTTAACCTCACTCGTCTGAACAGTCCTCATTTGTAAAATGGGAATAATAATGCTAATCGCATGAAAGTGCTGAGGATTAAATGAGAAAATATTTTTAAATGCTTTACCCCAAGGCTTCTTGCATTCTGATGTGTGTAGGACTCTCCTTTAGATCTTGTTAAAATGAAGTTTCTGATAAGCAGGCCTGGGTATGGCCTGAGATTGTGAGTGTCTAACAAGCTCCCAGGTGATACTGATGTTGCTGATCTACAGACCATAATTAGAGTAGTAAGGTGTTAGTCTAGCCTGGAGTAGGTAACTCAGTAACTCAAAAACGGTTTTCTTTTTTCTATACCTTCTTGGTTATTCAGGGGTTTGGAATTTGGTCAACAACCGCAAGCACTGATACTACATGAGAGATCCTGGATACAGCCACAAAGAAAGTAACTCACAAAGCACGCATTAGAAATAGGATTAGCCTGCATGTTTATGAACTTCATGTTTTCACTCAATCATAAAAATGTTCTTGGTTCCAATTGCCTGAACTTCCAGTCCAGGGGAAGGATAGACAGGCATCCAGGGCTATAGAATGGGTTGGGTGGAGAAGTGGGAACCAAAGTCTTTCTTATGTGGGAGTGGCCTTCAAAAGCAAGGGTCCCATGTGTCATTTCCATGGGAGTAAGCAAAGGAAAAAGAGCTGGGTCCCAAAGAACTAAACCAGGAGAAACAGGCTTTCAAAAGGTCAGGAGATTTAACTTCAAAATATGTGTTCAGTCAACTGCAAAAGAAGAGAGAGCCTTTAATGAAGTGGTTACAGGGGCATGTATAGACAGAGAAGAAGTTGGTTTTGTTAGGAAATTTATTTTATGGGCAGTTATAATGAAAATATAATCATTACCATTCCAAGTCAATAATGATATTCAGCAGTAGTCTTTGTCCTCCCTTCACTAAGTATTTCTGCTGACTATTAATCATTTCAAACACAATAAGATATAACCAATCCAAATATGTTGAAAGAAAATTAAGTGCTACTCGGCTGTAAGTAGTATTCTGTTTGAGGGGACATGATGTCCAGCTAACAAGAACAACAGCATGCAATAGTCACTTTATTTCTTTGTATCCGAACAGATAGTGTCACCTCACACTGCAAAACAGCTCCTCAAAAACTATCAAGAAACAGATGCTTTCTCAGTGGTGATTTGAGGCGTTCTTGTGAGTAGGCTTTTAGCAATCCTTGACATGGTAACTTCATCATTTTTCATGAAGCTTGAAAAATACTCTGTTATCCTTGAAGATTCTTAGTAGTGTCTCTCATGTCATGTTATTTCAAATCAATCATTACATATCCTGGAAACAGCCCCTCCATGAGGCTTTGAAGTAGTTTTGATCCAGTAGTAGTATTTCTACTGTAATAGAGATTGATAATACAGACCCTCCAGCCTCTTGGTGAACACTTTAAGTTGCTTTCTGATAATTCATGTAACACACAAAATATAAACACAGATACACACACATGCCCTATAAACTTTCTGCCTTTGTGCTTGTCTTACTTGGATAATAGAGATGAGGTAAGTTTTTTTTTTTCCATTAATTCCTTCAATGTCTACATTGTCCTGATTCATTGGATATTCACTCTATTCTTTCAGCGCACCCACTGAAGCACCCCCTGTGCTTTGTTTTTAGCTCCCTTTCTTATTAAAATGCAGTCTGGGTTTACCCATTGTTTTTACAGTTTACCTTATGAAGTAGAGAACTCATAAATGTTATTAGAAACCCTCCCAGAAAATAACTTCCAATAATATGATTCTTTTGATAATCAGATATCAAAGAATTAGCATTCTATCCTAAAAGCAGAATAGATTATGTATATTCTATATGTATAATTATTGAACTTAATTAGAATAAAATGATGATCTAAGGCAATGAGAGGTCTTGAAATACCCTGATTCAAGGTAATGCTATAATTGTTCAGTGTACTTTGAAAGTCAAATATATTTTGAGTATGAGGGTCCTTTTAAAAGTGGTAATTTTGATGTGGAACATATCCCCCTGCCTTCTCTGAAATGTAAAAGTAGAAAATACAACAACAAAGACCTCAGAAGCTAAAAGAGAAAAGAAAAAAAGCCTATGCCTTGACTAGACCAGACACATTAACCACTACTAAACAAGCATTTTGTGGTGTAAACACCATTGAAACATCAGAACTATGTTCTGTATGCTGGTTGTATATGTATATACTTCTCCATGTGAAGAAAATTTAGAAAACCTATGTTTTATTTCAACAAACACAACTGTCGAATGAGTTAATGGGGCAGCCATTGTTCCAGGTAATGGGGAGATATTTACCCTCAAACGGGGAGAGAAATAGGCAAGCAAATAGACACTGAAGGTTAGCATTTAAGATTTTACATATGTGAATTTCCGTTATAGATCTCCAGTCTCAAGTGATTTCCTCACTTGGATCTATTGCATCCATCAAACTAATCTACAAATAAGCAGACTTTTGCTTACATGGTGTTTGACTTCCAAATAGTAAAGGGTAAGACAATAATCTATTCAATACAATAATATCAAGGGTCGCTACCTGACTTCAAACTACACTACAAGGCTACAGTAATGAAAACAGCATGGTACTGGTA
This sequence comes from Homo sapiens, assembly GCF_000001405.40. Lineage (NCBI taxonomy): Eukaryota > Metazoa > Chordata > Mammalia > Primates > Hominidae > Homo > Homo sapiens. Next base: position 78,652,418 of record NC_000007.14, read on the forward strand.
CCAAAACAAATATACAGACAAATGGAACAGAACAGAGGCCTCAGAAATAAAGCCACACATCTAAAACCATCTGATCCTTGACAAACCTGACAAAAGCAATGGGGAAAGGGTTTCCTATTTAATAAATGGTGTAGGGAAAACTAGCTAGCCATATGCAGAAAACTGAAACTAGACTCCTTCCTTGCACCTTATACAAAAATTAACTCAAGATCAAATTAACTTAAGTTTAAAGACTTAAACCTAAGACCTAAAACCATGAAAACCGTAGAAGAAAACCTAGGCAATACCATTCAGGACATAGGCATGGGCAAAGACTTCATGATAAAACACCAAAAGCAATAGCAACAAAAGTCAAAATTGACAAATGGGTTCTAATTAAACTAAAGAGCTTCTGCACAGCAGAAGAAACTATCATCAGAGTGAACAGGCAACCTACAGAATGGGAGAAGATTTTTGCAATCTAACCATCTGACAAAGGGCTAATATCCAGAATCTACAAAGAACTTAAACAAATTTACAAGGGAAAAAAAAAACACCCCATCAAAAAGTGGGCAAAGGATATGAACAGACACTTCTCAGAGGAAGACATTTATGCGGTCAACAAACATATGAAAAAAAGCTCATCATCACTGGTCATCAGAGAAATGCGAATCAAAACCACAATGAGATACCATCTCATGCCCGTTAGAATGGCGATCATTAAAAAGTCAAGAAACAACAGATGCTGGAGAGGATGTGGAGAAATAGGAACACTTTTACACTGTTGGTGGGAGTGTAAATTAGTTCAACCATTATGGAAAATAGTGTGGTGATTCCTCAAGGATCTAGAACCAGAAGTACCATTTGACCCAGCAATCCCATTACTGGGTATAAACCCAAAGGATTATAAATCATTCTACTATAAAGATATATGCACATGTATGTTTATTGGAGCACTGTTCACAATAGCAAAGACTTGGAACCAACCCAAATGCCCATCAGTGTAGACTGGATAAAGAAAATGTGGCACATATACATTATGGAATACTATCCAGACATAGAAAAGGATGAGTTCATGTCCTTTGCAGGGACATGGATGAAGCTGGAAACCATCTTTCTCAGCAAACTAACACAGGAACAGAAAACCAAACACTGCATGTTCTCACTCATAAGTGGGAGTTGAATAATGAGAACACATGGACACAGGGAGGGGGACATCACACACTGGGGCCTGTCAGGGGTTTGGGGGCTAGGGGAGGGATAGCATTAGGAGAAATACCTAATGTAGTTGATGGGTGCTGCAAACCACCATGGCATGTGTACACCTATGTAATAAACCTGCATGTTCTGCACCTGTATCTCAGAACTTGAAGTATGATAAAAAAAAAAAAAAAAACAAGGATAAAGAATATTTAATCAGTTCAGTCTCTGAATCTTCCCATACCACTTGTCCATCCTCATTAGACTTTTAGTACTCTGAGGTCAAAAGATTCTTTTTATTTATCTTTGAATAAATGCAAGGAATGTGCAAGAGATAGTTATAAAATAAATGAGGAAGTATTCAATAATGAATATTGCTCCTTACAGTGATACCCTGAAAATTACAAGAAATTGTTCAGCTGGGAAGGCAAAATAATAGTATTTTAGCAACAATGGTTAAAACTAGGATGTTTAATTATCCAGAATTATCCTAAATCCCTAGGATTAAGGTTAATAGCACTTACTTTGTGTATCTGCATAGAAATAAAGAGCATGAATTCTTGAGACAGCTGCCTGGGTACAAACCCTGGCTCTATCACTTACTAGCTGGGCAAGCTTGGACAAATTTCTTACTCTGTGTTTCAGTTACTTTAGCTGTAAAACTGGGATAACATACTACCTTCCTCATATGAGGAATTATGAGGATTAAATTGGTAACATTTATAAATTGCCTAAAATAGTATGTGGCACACAGTGAATATTATTTAAATTATGTTAAATAGATATATCAGCACCTCCCAACCTGAGTCTTGAATGAACCTGGTCCCACAAGATGCTCTCTATAATTACATATCAAATAGGTTTGGGGAATGTTGCATTTTCTGGAGTCATAATATAAATTTATAAAGTTTTGAAAGGTCATATAGCCAGAAATTCTTGTTTAAATGTAATTATGCCAACGTTTCCCAAGTTGAGTTCTGTGCTTAAACACTTTTCCCCTACCTAACAGATGTTACTAGCCCATAGCCCCATTTCGAGTTAATACAATTTTAATTGTTTACCTGTTACTACTCTTTGTAATTATTTGTGTGTACTTTTACATATATGTATATATATATATATATATATATATATATATATATATATATATATAGCATATATTTTGCATCGCAACTGGAACGAGGTTACAAATTGAGATTTTAATAACATTTGTATTTATTGCTCTACTGCTCTCTTGTTCTCTGTTTTGTCAGAATTCCTATACAGGGTTTCACATAAATACCAAGTGTGCTGATTTCAATGTAATAGAAAAATGTTATTTAAAACAACAAATTCAAGACCTGTGCCTTGAACGGGTCTGTTTTAGCTGCTACAAAGCCTCTAGCCACACCCATAAAAATGCTGTTTCAGGATAAATGCTTGAGGTGATAGAAACCTCATTTACCCTGATGTGACTTTTATATATCGCATGCCCGTAACAAAATATCTTGTGTATACCATAAATATAATATACCTACTCTGTGCCCACAAAAATTAAAAATTTTAAAAAGAAATTTTAAAAATGCCATTCAGGCAGAAAAAGGCTAAAAAAGTGATAGTATTACTAAAACGCAAGACAACGGAAAACCTATTGTCAAAACCTGGAAAATTCTCCTTTCAGTTATCAAGGCCCTGAGGCTGACTTTGTCACCTCCAATATGATCTACCTCAGCATGGAAGGGAATCCCCTGACCGAAAAGGAGTCGGTAGAAGCTTCATCATTCTCTCCTTTCTTTCCTACCATGCAATCTCAGCCTTGGCTTATACAAAAAACAAAACAAAACAAAACAAAACAAAAAACAAACAAAAAAAAACAACCAAAAAAAAAAAAAAAAAAAAACCACCAGAAAAAAATGCAGGTAACCTGCTCTTACAGCATAGAGAATACGTCTGAAACAGCCAGGAAATGTCTCTCATATCCTTCAGGGCGGCATCACCAGAAGGGAATGAGCAGTAAGTTTGCCCCTTTCCATGCACAGACTCCAATATGTATAGCAATTTAAACAATAATAAAAGGAGCATCACAAATCAGAGAAGATATGTGTTTAGAAAGAAAAGAGGTTTGGCCGGGCGCAGTGGCTCACGCCTGTAATCCCAGCACTTTGGGAGGCCGAGGCGGGCGGATCACGAGGTCAGGAGATCGAGACCATCCTGGCTAACACGGTGAAACCCTGTCTCTACTAAAAATATAAAAAATTAGCCAGGCGCGGTGGCGGGCGCCTGTAGTCCCAGCTACTCGGGAGGCTGAGGCAGGAGAATGGCCTGAACCCGGGAGGCGGAGCTTGCAGTGAGCCGAGATCGCGCCACTGCACTCCAGCCTGGGCGACAGAGCAAGACTCCGTCTCAAAAAAAAAAAAAAAAAGAAAAAGAAAAGAGGTTTGAAAAAATTGCTATTGCACTTGAGGGAAAAATAAAAGTGGGGATCCCCATTAAACTATACATCAAAACACATTACAAAAAACAGCCTAAGAGGCTGTCCATTATACTAGAGTGGTCAAAAACAAGGACTTATGTACCTGACAGACTTGGGATTGATTCCTGACTCCATCTTTTCCTAACTGTGTTGCTTTAGGCAAGTTACATGAATTCTGGACCTCTGTGTCTTCTCAGGTACAATGAATAGAATGGTATTTTTCTCATTGGAATCAACCTAAGTGTCCATCAACAGATGAATGGATAAAGAAAATGTTGGGTATCCATATACAATGAAATGTTATTCATCCTTTAAAAAGTAGATCCTTGCATTTGCAACAACATGGATGGACCTGGAGGACATTATGCTAAGTGAAATAAGCCACACACAGAAAGAAAATTACTACATGATATCTAGAGTCTTAAAAAGTCTAATACACAGAAACAGAGAGTAGAACAGTGGTTCTACTCTACCAGGGGCAGGGTACTGGGGGAAATGGGGAGATGCTGGTCAAAGAGTACAAAGTTGCAGTTATGTAAAATGTAAATCTAGAGATCTAATGTACAGCATGAGAACTAATTTGCTAGAGAGTAGACTTCAGGTGCTCTCACCAGAGAAAAAGTAAGCAAGGAGATGAACATATTTGACTGCTATAATTTCACAATGTATATCAAAACATTATACACCTAAATATATACAATTAAAAATAATCACGTTTTACATCTTAAGTATATATAATTTTATTTGCCAATTATACTTCAATGAAATAAAAAAATAAGTTTAAAATTTATGATATGCAAAAAACACTGTCAAGAGGATGAAAAGACAAGCCACAGACTGAGAGAAAATATTGGCAAAAAGTGTATATGATAAATAACTGTTATTTAAAATATACAAAGAACTCTTAAAACTCAACAATAAGAAAACATAAAACCCAGTATAAAAAAAAAAAAAAAGGAAATAGGCCAAACACATTAACAGATACCTCTTCAAGAAGATACAGGAGATGGCAAATAAGAATATCAAATGATGATCCATATCATATGTCATCAGGGCAAAGCAAGTTAAAATAACAATGAGATACTACTACATGTCTATTAGAATGGCCAAAATCCAGAACACAGACAACAAATGCTGCAAGGATGTGGAGTAAAAGGAACTCTTATTCATTGCTGGTGGGAATGCAAAATTGTACAGCTAGTTTGGAAGAGTTTGGCAGTTTCTAATGATACTAAACGTACTCTTAGCATGTGATCTAGCAATTACACTCCTTGATATTTATCCAAAGGAGCTGAAAACATGTCCACACAAAAACCTGCATGTGGATGTTTGTAGAATCTTTATTCACAATTGCCAAAACTTGGAAGCAACCAAGATGTCCTTTAGTAGGTAAATGGATAAACTGTGGCACATCCAAAAAATGAAATATTTAGTGCTAAAAAGAAATGAGCTGTCTGAAAAGATATGAAGGAAATTTAAATGCACATTACTAAGTGAAAGATGCCAATGTGAAAAGGCTACATACTGTATGATTCCAACTATATGGTATTTGGGAAAGGCAAAAGTTTGGCGACTTTAAGAAGATCAGTGATTGCCAGGGATTGGGAAAAGGAAGGCATAAATAGGCAGAGCATATGTGATTTTTAGAGCAGTGAAACTGCACTGTATGATGCTATAATGGTGAATACGTGGTTACTATACATTTGTCCAGACTCATAGAATATACAACACCAAGAGAGAACCCTATGTAAACTATGATCTCTGAGTGATAATGTACGTGTTCAGCAATTATAACAAATGTATCCCTCCAGTGGGTGACGTTAATCATGGTGGAGGGCTATGCATATATGAAGGTGGAGGGTATATAAGAAATCTCTGTACCTTCTGCTCAACTTCACTGTGAACCTAAAACTACTCTAAAAATTAAGTCTATTAAAAAAAAGAAATCAAACAACCAATTGGAAAGTGCTCATTCCTTTTCTATTTTCTGAAGGAGATTGTGCAGAACTGATATTAATCCTTCTTTAAATATTTCATAGATTTCTCCATGAAACTATTTTAACTCTTGGAGGTAATCTTTTCAGGAGTTTTTGTACTACAAGTTCAATTACACAGAATAGAGAACAAAAATATGTCCAATAAATTTTTGACACAGGTGCAAACACAATTAAATGAAAGGAAGAGCTTTTTCAACAAATGGTGCTTGAGCAACTGAATATCCATAGGCAAAAAGTGGTTTTTAAAAAACGACTTTGGCCTTAACCTCACGCATTTTACAAAAATTAACTCAAATGGATTATGGACTTAAATGTAAAATGTAAAACTATAAACCTCTTAGAAGAAAATCTTTGGGATCTAGGACTAGGCAGAATTCTTAGACTTGACACCAAAAGCACAACCCATAGAAGGGAAAATTGATAAACTGGGCTTCATATAATTAAGATCATTTGCTGTATGAAAGACTCTGTTAAGAGCACGAAAAGACAAAATACGGCCTGGGAAAAAATATTTGCATATCACCACATATCTGACAAAGGACTTTTATCTAGAAAAATAAAGAACTCAAAACTCAACAACAAAATATCCAAATAACCCCCTGGTCAAACGGGCAAATGACAGCAAGAGTAAGTGGATATACGGATGGCAAATAAGCACATACAATAATGTTCAACATCATTAGCCATTACAGCATTACAAATTAGTACCACAATGAGATATTACTATACACCTATCACGACAGCTAAAATAAAAAATAGTGACAATGCAAAATTGTGGAGAACCTGGATCACTCATAGATTAGTCGTGGGATGTATAATGGTACAGTCACTATGGAAAACAAATTGATCGTTCTCTAAACAAACAAACAAACAAAGTTAAACATACAACTACCACAAAAGCCAGTAATTGCACTGTTGGGCATTTATCCCAGGGAAATGACAAGTTATATTCACACAAAAACCTGCACATGTTATAGCACCTTTATTTGTAATAACCCCAAACTAGAAACAACCTAGACGTCTGTCCTTCAAGAGGGAATGCTTAAACGAACTATGGTACAACCATACCATGAAATACTAATTAGCAATGAAAAGAAACAAGCTATTAAAAACCTGTAAGAATAGGCCGGGCGCGGTGACTCACGCCTGTAATTCAGCACTTTGGGAGGCCGAGGCAGGCGGATCACGAGGTCAGGAGATTGAGACCATCCTGGTTAACATGATGAAACCCCATCTCTATTAAAAATACAAAAATTTTAGCTGGGTGTGGTGGTGTGCACTTGTAGTCCCAGCTTCTTGAACCCGGGAGGTGAAGGTTGCAGTGAGCCGAGATCGTGCCACTGCACTCCAGCCTGGGCAACAAAGTGAGACTTCATCTCAAAAAAAAAAAAAAAAAAAAAAAAAAAGCAAAACAAAACAAAACAAAGAAAACCCTGTAAGAATCTAGATGAATCACCAGAGAATTATGCCAAATGAAAAAAACTGAACCCCAAAAGCTTGCCTACTGTATGATTTCATTTATATGACATTCTTGACATGAAAAAATTATAGAAATGGAGAACAGATTACTTGTTGCCAAGGGTAAAGGAGAGGATGCAGGTGGTAGGGAAATATGGTGGCTATAAAAGGACAACATGGGATCTTCATGATGAAAAACATGTTCTGTATCTTGACTCTGCCAAGGTCAATATCTTGGTTGTGATATTGTACTATTGTTTTGCAAGATGTTATCTTTGTGGACAACTGGGTAAAGGATAAGTAGGATCCCTCTGTATGATGTCATACAACTACATGAGAATCTCCAATTATCTCAAAATAAAAGGTTCAATTTTAAAAAAGTTAACTGAAGGTAGTATTTAACAATGACCCTATTTTCACCATGGAATACTATGCAGCCATAAAAAACGATGAGTTCGTGTCCTTTTAGGGGCATGGATGAAGCTGGAAACCATCATTCTCAGCAAACTATTGCAAGGACAAAAAACCAAACACTGCATGTTCTTACTCATAGGTGGGAATTGAACAATGAGAACACTTGGACACAGGAAGGGGAACATCACACACTGGGTCCTGTTGTGGGGTGGGGGGAGGTGGGAGGGATAGCATTAGGAGATATACCTAATGTAAATGACGAGTTAATGGGTGCAGCACACCAACATAGCACATGTATACATATGTAACAAACCTGCACGTTGTACACATGTACCCTAGAACTTAAAGTATAATAATAAAAATAATAAAAAAAAAGACCCTATTCTTTTCATTTGTGGCAAGTATACCTCTTTAATATGCCAATGTTAACTTTTCTTAAGACAACATTATCTTAGGAAATTAGCATTAACCCTAAACTTACTTGAACTATTTTATAGTGCTTCTCATGAAAATATCAACTCGATTCACAGAAGTCTTTAAGAGGAAAATGCCTAATATCAGAGGAAATGAAGTGCTAAAAGCTCAATTAAATTAAATATTAAATAATGCTCACAGAAGATTATGGATTCAAAAGAAGGCAACTATTTCAAACAAAAAAAGGAACATTTAAGAAGTAATGAAGAAATAACATGCTATAAATGATATGACATATTGGTGGCATTTTTAAAACCCGCTTAAGTAAAATGGGTATATTCCATTTCTAAATGCTTTAGGAACTTGAATATCTTTTTACTTAGAACATTTCTCCATGTTAACCTTGCTTAAAATACATTAACATGCCCTAATTTCCACCTCCCCACTGTAATTGTCTCTCTCCTCATAAAAATATATGTAGACATATTTTAAAATATATTCACTATTTACATTTTCCAATTGTCTGTTCATTCTTTTCAACCTGATGATTCCTGTCTTCATAACTCTGTTTATTGAAACAGCACTGATAAGGCATCAGTGACTTGCAAATCTTAACACCCAAGGGTTCTGAGAATCTTGTTTCTTGAGACTCGTTTCCTTTGGCCTCTCTGACAGTGTCCACTCCCGTCGTTCTATTACAGTTTCTACTTCTTGGTATCACTCACTAGACCTTCTTCCTTCTCCCCTTAATAGCAACAACAATGGCATTTGTGAAGCAATATTTCTGCATACCTTATTTCATTTGTATTTAAGAAGTTTATCATCACATTTTTTATAAGAGTAGACAATGAGACACAGGTAAGTAATCTGATCCAGATTATGCTCAAAGTCATGTAAATCCTAGTCCTCACTTCTTGCTATTCTTATTTTTCATTAATCTTGTCTATTTTTATCAGTTTGGGTGTCACCTTTATGGAGATACCTTTAAACCATACTGATGATACACAGATAGTTTCCAAGTTCTGCATTTTTAACTGCCTATTAGATAGCTTGGCACAAATGACCCAGATACAAAACTCTTCAGGTCCCTAACTCAGCATTGCCCATAGAAGTCAGCAGCTCTTAATGTTCCTTTTAATGCCCTGACCATTTCTCTAGTCATCCAGATATGAAGCTTGAATGTTAACCGTTTCCTCCTTCACATCAAGTCCACTATCAAATCTTACAGATTCCATGTCTTTCGACTTTGATTCTTTCTACCCATTCTCTCTCCTCTAGGGCTCTGTCATCCCTCACTCAACTAGACCAGTGTGTAGCTGCTTAGCTGGTCTACTGGCCTCAGAACTCTTCCTAGTTACAGTCTATTCTTAAATGACTGTCTGGTTAATATTCCTCATTTGTAGCCTTCTGCTTAAAAGAAATACCTCCAACTGCTTGATCACCTGCTGTCAGCTACTTCTGCCAACTCATAATGTGCTTGATGTCAAAACTCAAAAGAAGACTCAGAGTGAGTCAAAAATACTTTTTAGAGTATTTTTACATGCAATTATTTGAAGGGAGTCTACACTTCAGAAGAACTAGTCTTCCAGTATAAAGGACACAGCAGGTATTTAAAGACAAGAAACAACAACACAAGGCTACCAGCTTGGAGTAGGCTGTGTAGGGGTGGGAAAATCCACATGAATAATCTGCTTACACGGGTCATCACAGATCTGCAGACATAAACATCACAAAAATGTCTGAGATGTAGAGTTTTCTTTAAAAACTTACCAACTTAAAGGGCCCAAGGCTTTATTTATTTGGGGGACTAGAACTAGACAAAGTAGTCTTCCTTTTTGTTTATTTTAGGGTGTAAAGTACTTTATTTATAAATGAAATTCATGGTGTGCATAGACACATGGTGACAGGGCAAGATATTAGCTTTGTTTTCTCATCTACTATATGGAGCCCTTCTACCTTTCCATTATCTTTTTCCTTTAAACTAGTAACTAGTTGGCTTAGTGGGTTCCAAAGAATCTTGTAGTATTTTCTTACTTCTATGTTGCTTTTGCCTCAAATACTTTAGTTACCAACAATCGAAACACTAGCACTTCCTTAAGGTCTATATAAATTCTATCTTAGCAACACTTTGCTGATACTACTTTTCTAAAATTATTATCATTTTTCTTTAATAACACTTATGAATCTTACTTTTACTGAATGTATTTTGCTTTGCAGAAAAGTGTGTATTATCATCTAATTGCCAAATTTTATTTATTTCCATTTATTTTATAATGGAATTCAATTCTATAGTGTGTCTACACCATCATTGCACTTCTGTAAAATATATAGGCAAAGACAAAAAAGAAATGGGGAAAAATTAAGGTTTCATAAAATAAAATTATATGTTAGTACTGTATATGACTGGTGAGGGTAACTACTGGTGAAGAGAGAAAATTAGAATGGTTGTGTGTATACACATGTGAAATGCATTTGTATCTGCCTTCAAGCAGCTTACAATAACTATAAGTGCTCAATAAAGGTTTAATAATAATAAATGCTGACATTTACTGAGTACCTACTACGTACCAGTCATGCCTTAAATAATTTAATTCCCAAAATCACTTACAGAATAGTAATCTAGACACAGAGTGGTAAATGAGCAAGGTTACACAGATAATATATAGTAGACACAAAATTAGAAAATCTGGCCATCTGGTTCTAGAACTCTAACCATTAAGCAACACTGCAAATTTGAATGGAACTAAATTAGCACACATTTTGAACACACAAGCATGTAAGCATTTAGTCTCTTCCCATTTTCTTCTATTTGGTTACCATGGTTACCTCTTCTACCTTCAGTTAAAGCCAAGATTTTATTTGTACCAACTCTTTTTTTTTTTTTTTTTTTTTCCAGACACAGTCTCACTCTCTCGCCCAAGCTGGAGTGCAGTGGCCTGATCTCTGCTCACTGCAATATCCGCCTCCCGGGTTCAAGCGATTTTCCTGCCTCAGCCTCCTAAGTAGCTGGGATTATAGGCACGCGCTACCACACACAGCTAATTTTTGTATTTTTAGTACAGATGGGGTTTCACCCTGTTGGCCAGGATGGTCTCAATCTCCTGACCTCATGATCTGCCCATCTCTGCCTCCCAAAGTGCTGAGACTACAGGCGTGAGCCACTGTGCCCCGCCATTTGTACCAACTCTTTCTGGCTTTGAACAACTTTTGCTGAATAGTTGGAAATATGCTTGTAAGGCATAACTGAGATGACCACAAACTATTTTCTAATAAAAACTGATACTTTATTGAGGTTTCTTTGTTAAATAGGTAGCTAAGAGACCTTAGCACGATTACCATGTCAATGGGTAAATTTCACTGATTCAATGGAAGGAAACAGTTAACACCACTACTGACTTAGAATCAGTAACTTAAATATAGAAAGAAATAGCCTTAATGCATAACATGTTGTTTCCAAGAGTTATATAAATGTGGATTAACCACACACTTGATTTAAATCTTCCTAGGTGTCATGACTAATCTCCCTTTTACTGATTATTACACTACAAAATTTATTCTGATATTCCTAATGTTTCCTTCAAAATAACAAAGCCACCAGCAGCACATATAATACATTGCAACATTTTTTTGACATTTTCATGGAATTGATACTGCAGTAATCACTGGGTGCTATCAGGGATGAGCAGTGCATTTCAGGAATTATATTTCATAGTTTTTCAGTCTGTAGCAACTGGAGAACAAAATATGCAAAGGCTACCAGAGAGTGTCTATTTAGTCATAGAGTCTATTAGTCCACCATCTCTCATTCCAAACCATGAATAATTATATATTATTGAGAAGTGACACTTACATATTCATTATATATGTGTGGACCCATGTTGATATATGTATATACACACAACCATTCTACTTTTCTCCTTTCACCAGTAGTTATCCTCACCAGTTATATACAGCACTAACATTTAATTTTATTTTATGAAACCTTAATTTTTCCCTATTTCTTTTTTGTCTTTGGCTATATATTTTACGGAAGTGTAATGTTGGTGTAGAAACACTATAGAATTGAATTCCATTATAATGGAAACATTCTCCAAATTATTGGCAGTCATAACTTCCATTTTCGTTGATTATGTATCTTTTTTTAGATCTTAATCAGTAATTGAAAGAACTTTCATAGATAATTTTAAGATAAATAGCTTTATGCACTAGTATGTTTTTCTACTTTTGAATAATTTTCTTGGTATAAATCTTGGAATCATTAGCATTCAAATTATCTTGAAATGATACATTTATCATTTTAAAAAACAAACTTACTTTGCATTGTCAGTGTTAGTACCTTGATTACTACATTTTTTCAATAAAAAATAGCAAAGTATATTAGAAGATTCTCTTTATTCTATTCTAACAATTATTAATACGTGCCTAAGTAAAAACAAAAAAATAAGAAAAGGGAAGGTATACTGAGTTAAGCTATGCTTGAAACTTTTTAAAAGCACTTTTATTTAAACTAACTTTTATGATTTCAAGAATATTAATTCTCATAGTAAAAAATACTAAAAAACAAAACAATCACTCATGATTCATTCTTCCTTACTTTATTCTATGTATAAATTTCATACGTAGATATAATAAAAACCCATGTGAATTTCTCTGAGGCATAATGTCTTGTTATAAGCATGATTTTGGTCACTGCATTTTACTAATATATTCTACTTTACTTAATCATTTGGTTCCTGGTATACATATTAGTGTAATTTAAAAATTTTCAGCTCTTAAAAACAGTATTGCAATGAGTGAGGGTCAAATTTGTATACATATCTATGATTATTTTTCCTAGAGGTGATGTTACTACCTACGATTATAAGTAGTTTTAAGGTTCTTGATACGTGGTATCAAATTTTTTAAAAAGCTGTATGAAAAAGCTTGGATAAAAAAACAATTTTCATACATGAAGTAAAATCATTATATGGAATGTGTTACAAATAGCTAACATATACATATAGGATAGTTACTCTTTAACAATGGATAATGAACTCCAGAAATGGGAAATAAATCAAATGAAGCAGAGCAGAAATAGAAGGTAGGCAGTGCAAAGGATGGAGAAACAATGAAAACTTAATATACATCGTGCTTTGCCTGATCGCACATTGTACACTGATAAGCTGGTTAGAGAAAGGAGCCAGAAGTGGTCCAAGGCTTTAATTTCTTTTCTAATCTTTCTGGACATATATTAGAAGGTTGATTTGGATTATTACTTGAAAACTATGCTGTTTGGCTTCTATGGAGAACATAGTGGTTCTTAAAAACAAGAGTGAAATCTGCTTGAGAATTAGAGTAGCCTTAGAATAGTCATATCAACAAATTAATAGAGGAGAAAAAAGAAACCATATATCTAGGATAAAATGCCAAAATAATACATGGAAAGAATCATACTTTATTGTGTTAATTCATGTCTTCATGTATTCATTCATTAAACTAATCTTTGTTGAACAACTATTATATGCCAGGCACGTCTCTAAATGCTAGAGATATGATAATGAATCAGAGATATAGTCTGTATCTTTATGGAGCTTACAGTTTAGTGAGAAATACTGACAATTAACCAGGTAGTTATAGTAGGGTGATGTCAAGCTTAGTGGGATAAGGAAACAAGGACAACCAACCCTGTTCGGGCAGTTAGAGAAAGTATGAGGCCAGTTTCCAACTGAAAACTGAAAGGTAGTCAATGGAACAGAGTGAGCTGAAGAACCAAAATACTGCTTATGTAACTTTTGCTATCCAACGTAAGTCTCAAAATAATAGTACACCTGTTTGGAACTTTATAGCTTCCCATTATGTTCTGGTGGAGAGAGCTAGACGACTTTAAAACTGCTGAGATCATTATAGCCATGGACAACCTGTGATACTACTAGCCAAATTTTAGCAACGCAAATATGGGGTAGGAAAAATAAAGAATTCAAAAAGACAGAAACAAATATCTTAATGAGGGAAGAGTAAGAAGTAAGACTAGAACTGTGTAATAAACATTCTGTCCAGTTACAAATGTGCCTGAGTTCATTGTATAGTTCATTGTATAGGCTTGTTTGGGGGTTTTTCTATTTGTTGCTCTTGTTGTTTTCTCTTGAGACCTGACAAAGTACCCCTTTGAAAGTTGTAGAGAACAAGTCTCAGCTAGATGGACCCAAGTCAAAATCTAGCCATTATATTGGTGCTAGCCAGGAATAAACTTGATTAGATTGGCCAACCAGGGGGACACTGGCAAAAGCTCTCATCTTCAGCTGACATCTGTGAAGAAGCTTGACTTGATGATACCTGGTAGCTTCACAGGGATCATCCAAAGTATGAGGGAACTTTTCACAGACTTTTATGAATAATACTCAATTTGATTCTTACCATAAGGCTATTTGGGGCCAGAGAAAATACTGCTCTCTTTACTTTTCAAAGAAAGAAACAGATTCAAAGGTAGCGAATGCTTTGCCTAGGGGCACCCTTCTAGTAGCTGTCATGGCTAAAAGTGAAGTCTTCAGATTCTTAGTCTATTGCTCTTTCTATTAACATCAGTTTCTTCAACACCACTGGATTGCCATTCTTTATGAAATGTGATCAGTAAGACCTACTATATATGGGAAAAATTCTTAAAGACTATGGAGACTATATTTTAACTCATTGCAAACATAGAGAGTTGATCTTTTTTATTTTAATTAAACTTTTTATTTTAAGATAATTGTAGATTTACAAGAAGCTGTAAGAAATAATACAGAGAGATTCCAGGTGCCCTTTACTCATTTTCCCCCAATAGTAACATCCTTCAAATAAATACAATGTCATAATGAGAATACTGGAGTTAAATATAGAACATCTTCTTCACAACACAGATCTCTCATGTTGTCCTTTTATGTCCACACCCCTGCCCAATCCCCTCATTATTCCATGGCTACCACCGATCTGTTCTCCATCTGTATGATTTCATTTCAAGATTGTCAAATAAAACAAAGCGTGCAGTATTGTAACCAATTGGGTTTTTTTTTTTGAGATTCTTTTTTTTTTAATTTTTTAAAAAATTTTATTATTATTATACTTTAAGTTTTAGGGTACATGTGCACAATGTGCAAGTTAGTTACATATGTATATATGTGCCATGCTGGTGTGCTGCACCCATTAACTCGTTATTTAGCATTAGGTATATCTCCTAATGCTATCCCTCCCGCCTCCCCCCACCCCACAACAGTCCCCAGAGTGTGATGTTCCCCTTCCTGTGTCCATGTGTTCTCATTGTTCAATTCCCACCTATGAGTGAGAACATGCAGTGTTTGGTTTTTTGTCCTTGCGACAGTTTACTGAGAATGATGATTTCCAATTTCATCCATGTCCCTACAAAGGACATGAACTCATCATTTTTTATGGCTGCATAGTATTCCATGGTGTATATGTGCCACATTTTCTTAATCCAGTCTATCATTATTGGACATTTGGGTTGGTTCCAAGTCTTTGCTATTGTGAATAGTACCGCAATAAACATACGTGTGCATGTGTCTTCATAGCAGCATGATTTATACTCCTTTGGGTATACACCCAGTAATGGGATGGCTGGGTCAAATGGTATTTCTAGTTCTAGATCTCTGAGGAATCGCTACACTGACTTCCACAATGGTTGAACTAGTTTACAGTCCCACCAACAGTGTAAAAGTGCTCCTATTTCTCCCCACATCCTCTCCAGCACCTGTTGTTTCCTGACTTTTTAGTGATTGCCATTCTAACTGGTGTGAGATGGTATCTCATTGTGGTTTTGATTTGCATTTCTTTGATGGCCAGTGATGGTGAGCATTTTTTCACGTGTTTTTTGGCTGCATAAATGTCTTCTTTTGAGAAGTGTCTGTTCATGTCCTTCGCCCACTTTTTGATGGGGTTGTTTGTTTTTTTCTTGTAAATTTCTTTGAGTTCATTGTAGATTCTGGATATTAGCCCTCTGTCAGATGAGTAGGTTGTGAAAATTTTCTCCCATTTTGTAGGTTGCCTGTTCACTCTGATGGTAGTTTCTTTTGCTGTGCAGAAGCTCTTTAGTTTAATTAGATCCCATTTGTCAATTTTGTCTTTTGTTGCCATTGCTTTTGGTGTTTTAGACATGAAGTCCTTGCCCATGCCTATGTCCTGAATGGTAATGCCTAGGTTTTCTTCTAGGGTTTTTATGGTTTTAGGTCTAATGTTTAAGTCTTTAATCCATCTTGAATTAATTTTTGTATAAGGTGTAAGGAAGGGATCCAGTTTCAGCTTTCTACATATGGCTAGCCAGTTTTCCCAGCACCATTTATTAAATAGAGAATCCTTTCCCCATTGCTTGTTTTTCTCAGGTTTGTCAAAATGTAAAAGTACGGAAATTATAACAAACTGTCTCTCAGACCACAGTGCAATCAAAGTAGAACTCAGGATTAAGAAACTCACTCAAAACCGCTCAACTACATGGAAACTGAACAACCTGCTCCTGAATGACTACTGGGTACATAACGAAATGAAGGCAGAAATAAGATGTTCTTTGAAACCAATGAGAACAAAGACACAACATACCAGAATCTCTGGGACGCATTCAAAGCAGTGCGCAGAGGGAAATTTATAGCACTAAATGCCCACAAGAGAAAGAAGGAAAGATCCAAAATTGATACCCTAACATCACAATTAAAAGAACTAGAAAAGCAAGGGCAAACACATTCAAAAGCTAACAGAAGGCAAGAAATAACTAAGATCCGAGCAGAACTGAAGCAAATAGAGACACAAAAAACCTTTCAAAAAATTAATGAATCCAGGAGCTGGTTTTTTGAAAGGATCAACAAAATTGATAGACCGATAGCAAGACTAATAAAGAAGAAAAGAGTGAAGAATCAAATAGATGAAATAAAAAATGATAAAGGGGATATCACCACCGATCCCACAGAAATACAAACTACCATCAGAGAATACTACAAACACCTCTATGCAAATAAACTAGAAAATCTAGAAGAAATGGATAAATTCCTCAACACATACACTCTCCCAAGACTAAACCAGGAAGAAGTTGAATCTCTGAATAGACCAATAACAGGCTCTGAAATTGTGGCAATAATCAATAGCTTACCAGCCAAAAAGAGTCCAGGACCAGATGGATTCACAGCCAAATTCTACCAGAGGTACAAGGAGGAGCTGGTACCATTACTTCTGAAACTATTCCAATCAATAGAAAAAGAGGGAATCCTCCCTAACTCATTTTATGAGGCCAGCATCATCCTGATACCAAAGCCGGGCAGAGACACAACAAAAAAAGAGAATTTTAGACCAATATCCTTGATGAATATTGATGCAAAAATCCTCAATAAAATACTGGCAAACCGAATCCAGCAGCACATTCAAAAAGCTTATCCACCATGATCAAGTGGGCTTTATCCCTGGGATGCAAGGCTGGTTCAATATATGCAAATCAATAAATGTAATCCAGCATATAACAGAACCAAAGACAAAAACCACATGATTATCTCAATAGATGCAGAAAAGGCCTTTGACAAAATTCAACAACCCTTCATGCTAAAAGCTCTCAATAAATTAGGTATTGATGGGAAGTATCTCAAAATAATAAGAGCTATCTATGACAAACCCACAGCCAATATCATACTGAATGGGCAAAAACTGGAAGCATTCCCTTTGAAAACTGGCAAAAGACAGGGATGCCCTCTCTCACCACTCCTATTCAACATAGTGTTGGAAGTTCTGGCCAGGGCAATTAGGCAGGAGAAGGAAATAAAAGGTATTCAATTAGGAAAAGAGGAAGTCAAATTGTCCCTGTTTGCAGATGACATGATTGTATATCTAGAAAACCCCATTGTCTCAGCCCAAAATCTTCTTAAGCTGATAAGCAACTTCAGCAAATTCTCAGGATACAAAATCAATGTGCAGAAATCACAAGCATTCTTATACACCAATAACAGACAAACAGAGAGCAAATCATGAGTGAACTCCCATTCACAATTGCTTCAAAGAGAATAAAATACCTAGGAATCCAACTTACAAGGGATGTGAAGGACCTCTTCAAGGAGAACTACAAACCACTGTGCAATGAAATAAAAGACGATACAAACAAATGGAAGAACGTTCAATGCTCATGGGCAGGAAGAATCAATATCATGAAAATGGCCATACTGCCCAAGGTAATTTATAGATTCAATGCCATCCCCATCAAGCTACCAATGACTTTCTTCACAGAATTGGAAAACATTACTTTAAAGTTCATATGGAACCAAAAAAGAGCCCGCATTGCCAAGTCAATCCTAAGCCAAAAGAACAAAGCCGGAGGCATCACGCTACCTGACTTCAAACTCAACTACAAGGCTAGAGTAACCAAAACAGCATGGTACCGGTACCAAAACAGAGATATAGATCAATGGAACAGAACAGAGCCCTCAGAAAGTTGATCTTTAACACAAGTTTGAAAAAGAAAACAAATTGCTTTTTGTCTGCTATCTAACTTTTCAGTAAGACTCAACAAAAGCAGTAAGTCTGTGAACATTCTACTTTATCATTAAAAATTTTATAAAAATGCTTAGAACAATGGGATTCCAAATATGTATTCAACTACTTAAAGTATCACATAATGAGTAAAGCCAAAGCCAACTCGAAAATACTTTAAGACTCTATGATACCAGCACTTTCTAATACAATTTAACATTGATCAACTGATCCTAATTCCACATAGTGGCCATTGCGAGAAAACACCAAATGACAAATCATTTGTAGAGTAAGATTATCAAACCTATGAACAATATCATCCTCAGGCACTTACTTAATTTGCTTTCTGTTATTATTTCCAAATTTGGTTATGTTGACCCTCAAATTTCCATATTCAGAAAACTGAACAGCACTTTCCAGGCCAAGCCTTGCTGCTTCTCCCACAGGCTTGCAAAACATAATTTAATTGTGTCTCTCTCTCTCTTTTTTTTTTTTTTAAGATAGCCAGTAACTTGGTTTTCTTCCCCTAAGGAAACATTACGCACCTCAGAGAAACAAGGAAAAATTTTAAACAGATACTTTGCAAAAATAATTACAGTTGACTCTTAATTTTCTGTGGTAGAGGAAAGCAGAGATAGCATGTGTGACTGAAATTCATGGACATGCCCCAAATTTCATTTTGAAAAGCAATTTCAACTTCTCATTTAAACAAACCTGTTATTTGCTGCAAAATTGGTTGATGTGAGCTTTGCTTCTTTTTTCGAGCCAGCCAGAGGGTAAAGCAGGGAATGTATAAAATAGAAGTACCCTCAAACTTGATAATCAATTCCCAAGGAAATGAAAGTTAACCATAATCACTTGGCACTGCATAAAGAAAGAATTCTACAGGAAATGTAAACACAGCTAAAACCGTCTGATGTTTACTGTTTTCAGAGTCTAAATGCCCTCTTTAAAACCAATATGTAAGAAAAGTCATTAGATTTTCTTTACCAAGTCTGTGATTATTTAAAACCAAATCATGAAGCTACAGATTTAGAAGTATCTCTAGGAAATATAAAAATGAAGATATCACGCTTAATCTCTATATTTCTATGTGATGACATTAATTGGGAGGCTAAATTGAAGCTGTGCATAAAAAGCAGCTTCTCTGCTTCCAAAAAAGTGATTCATAATTCTAATTGTTTTTAAGTGCAAAGTGACTAAAGAGGCAAGTTTAAGCTTTAGCTTGTAAGGCCCAAAATGCATTTTCCCTCTATAGAAATGTTCATTGTTCTTTCTGATCCTTAAATGTTTGAAGGATCTTTAAAGAAGGTGATATCCTTTGGATGTTTGGCCC
The DNA here is from genome assembly GCF_000001405.40 of Homo sapiens. Classification (NCBI taxonomy): domain Eukaryota; kingdom Metazoa; phylum Chordata; class Mammalia; order Primates; family Hominidae; genus Homo; species Homo sapiens. The sequence continues at coordinate 78,672,135 of NC_000007.14, forward strand.
CTCCATATTTCATGTTCAATGTTCAGGGTGGGGCCTAGTGGGAAATGTTTGGGTCATGGAATTGGATCCCTCATGCCCTCCTCATGGTAAGCAGTTTACATTAGAACTGGTTGTTAAAAAGAGGCTGGGACCTCCCCCCTCTCTCTCTTGCTCCCTCTCTTGCCATAAGACATGCCTGTCCCCTCTTCATCTTATATCATGAATAAAAGCTTCCTGAGATCCTAACCAGAAGCAAATGCTGGCATCATGCTCCCTATACAGTCTGCAGAGCCATGAGCCAAAAATAAATCTCTTTATAAATTAGCCAGTTTCAGGTATTCTTTATAGCAATACAAAATGGACAACACAGAAGATAAGACAGATGAAGGCATGCTCTTGTTCTCTGGATACCCATTCAACCAAGGATCTTTTTCCAAAATGGCTGGTTTCATCTATCTGAATAAACTGTTGAGACATGTAATAACCATGATTGATGATCTCCACAGTTGTTTTTAGGAAACACCCTCAATTAAATAGCAGTTCTCAAAGTGTGGTTCTCACAGGCCAGGAGAATCAGTTTTATCCAGGAATTTGTTGGATATTAAAAATCCTGTGCCCCATCCTGGGGCTGTTGAATCAGAAACTCTGGATTGAGGCCCAACAAACTAAATTTTAACAAGCCCTTCAGGTGATTCTGATGCATGCCAATGTTTGCACACACTCCCTTAGAAGGCCTGACCTCTTACCATTGTCTCAAACTTATGAGAGCCTAAGAAAACCAGAACCTCTGGAAACATCTAGGGGGTTGCAACAAACTTTCATCAATGGCTTTTATCATGCTTAGCCTATAAAAGTTTGGAATAAATGTTTAGCCTTCTTCTGAAGTATTAGATCACTAAACATCTATTGTCAATACTCATCTTCAAAAATGTTTCTTTTCATCTTTTATCAATACCTTTGTTTTACCACTTTCTGATCACCATCGATTACATAGAATGTTAAAATTCACATGTTGTATGTTTCTTATTTCATTCCTTCAGCATCTTTATAATTGGTGAGTAACTCATTTCGTTAATGACATTTATAAATTTTTAAATACTTTTAGTCACTGTTATTCATTAAGATTCTCCAGAGAAATAGAACCAATAGAATATATGTGTGTGTATATTCACACACACAGACACACACACACACAGCACACACACATATGTATATATAAAGAGATTTGTTATAAGGAATTGGCTCACACAATTATGAAGGTTGAGAGGTCTCAAGATCTGCAGTCAGCAAGCTTGAGACCCAGGACAGCCAAGTACCAAGTACTTGGTCACAGTCCAAGTACCAACACCTGAGAACCAGGAAATCTGATGGTGTTCAGTTTCAGTCCAAAAGCTGGCAGGCTCCCAGACACAAGAGGAACCAATGTTTCAGCTTAATGACAAAGGCCAAGAAGAAGACCAATGTCCTAGCTCAGAGTATCCAGGCAAGAGGAGTTCCCTTTCTCTTGCAGGAAGGTCAGACATTTTTGTTCTGTTCAGAACTTCAACTGATTGGCTGAGACCCACTCACATTAGCCTGGGGGCGGCGGGGAGGGGGGCAGGCGGTGTTTATGGGGTGGGCAACTTGCTGATCCAAATGTTAATCTCATCCAAAAACACCCTCACAGACACATCTAGAATAATGTCTGATCAAATATCTGGACAATCCGTGGCCTGGTCAAGCTGGCATATAAAATTAACCATTATAGTCATTTTTAAATTACTACTTTTATTTTCCACAGAATTGTATAAGTGTTCTGACTAATATGTTCAATATGCTCATCACTTTGCTCTTATTGGACATGATGTAGTTAATATTATGTATAAAGCAACTATAAATCAAACACAAACACAGTCTATGGAAGACACTAACAAATGACCCACTGGCTTAAATTAAAAGAGACAATCATGATGACATAGTGCACTGCTGATGTTGAGCAGTCAACAATTTTTTGCTATACAGTGTACCTTTCATACATTAATAAAAGTTTGTAGTTGAAAGTTAATCAGGAGAGAGGCTTTTTTTTGCATAGTGCTAATTCAACTGCAAATACATGAAAAATCCATCCAAATAGCAAAGCATTTTTTTTTTTTTTACACCTGATCATGCAGCAGAGTGTTTCATTAATTGGCTATTTTGGCACCAGGCAAACTGATTCTAAATCAGAAGAAAACAATATTTCTTTGAGGTGGAAGGAATTTCAAATAATGAACAGCAAAAGCAAATACTTATGGCATGCCTATTATGCATGAGGTACTAGCTACATGTTAGGCCCCAAGTTTCCCAAATTAATGCTTCAAAACTAAACATTCCAAATCAGGCAGCTAAAAAAAAAATGGTAAATGTATCTATTCTATACTTTAAATGCTTCTATTGGGCAAGTTATATAATGTGTAATTTTTAATATTTTGTCTACCTCATTTATTAAATCAATGTGAATAAGAAATTCTTTTGTTTCACCTTTGTTATTTATAACTCTGGGAAGATGAGTTACACCTGCCCAATATAATGGACTAATCAAATTATTGTACAGAGAATTAGAAATACAAATTAACCAAATCAGGAAAGAGATTATATGCAACTATTCAATGTTAAGGCCCAAGAGAGCCTATTTTTAAAAGACCATGGACAGTTACTAGAGTTTATGTAATGTAATTATAAGTTTAAGACCAAAGAAATTGAAATGGCATGACTATATAAAGTTTTGAACACATACATAGAAAAGTATGGAGGAAAAAAGTGATTTGGCATTCCTGAAATATAAAAAGCTCTTAAGAAGAGAAAGTAAACATGTTCAAAATTTGAATAAAGTAAGACAAGATTAGGACAAAGCTTTCTCTTTTCAATTAGATTAAACTGAAACACTGTTTATTTTCATAAGTGTCCAAATCTGGGTCAAAAAACTTCAGAACTATAGATGACTGTCAGTAAGTAAATGTGATATAGTAGTTACATTCAGTATTGCTGGGGGTTACTGCAAAGACCCAAACACATACTCTTTAGTTTTTATAACTAGTTCCAAATTGACTCCACTTCAAGGCTATAAAAAGATCCAGGGATCTCTTCATGCCTACAAAATTGAGAATTATGGGTTGCTGTTGTTGTTGTTGTTGTTGTTGTTGTTGATGTATTGTGTGTTTGAATGTGTGATTCCATGTAGTTAAAAAAAGAGTAAGAAGGTAAGAAAGTTAATGATACAGACAGCAAGAATAAGCTAGTGCAGGTAAGCAGAGGTAAGAGGAGGAAAGGAAGGAGGGAGAGAGAAGGCTACTGGTTTGTATTGTTACTGATAAATACATTTATCAAGATGCGGAATTTAAAAGCATCAAGGAAGGAGGGAGAGAAGCTATTGGTTTGGATTGTTACTGATAAATACATTTATTTTATCAAGATGCAGAATTTAAAAGCATCAAGGAGAAATCAGAGTCAGGCTTTGCTCCGGATTCTATTTTGTTACAGATTTACATAAGACATTGAATCTGAATCTCACCTAGAAATTCCTATGTTGCCGCCACACAGATGAGGTAATATAAATGAAATCTGTTTAGAAATTGTAAGGCACTAAATATGCAGGACACGCCATGAATCATGACCTCAGTAGGTTGTAAACAATCCTGTTTTGATAACCATCATCCTTCTTGTTTTCCAAATGGAAATGAAGTTAAATCAGAGGTGCAGAGCCAGTTAATGATGCACCTGAGGACAGGATTGTAGGATGTGTCCAAAACTCAACTAGTGTTCCATGCACACTGGCCTAGTTCCTTCTTTAAACAAGAGATTATTTTACAGACCACATTGTGTCTTATGAATCAAGAATATGGTATATCCTAAAACACCATTTAAAAGTTAAAAGGATATTGTTTTCACTGATTCTAAGTCACCAGTGACTTGCTAGCTTTGGACAAGGGCAATGTCAATAGCAATGCCATATATTCAGTAATAAGAAGTATATGCAATAGAATAAAAAATTAGAAAAGTAATATTCTCACAAAATCCATTATAAAGAATGAGGTAATTTCTCTTCTAAATGATTCTATAGTCCCAAAAGATATAATGCCATTATAGAAACACATTTAAACAAACATAAAGCTAAATGAACTCATAATATGTGGCTTCTGCTAAGGCAAGACTGTATAAAAGGAGGATAAGAAAAATACCTCAGTGCTCAAGACAAGAACAAGTAAGAATTGTTTAGATTCTCACACTGTTTTCTTGGCGATTCAGACCTTTTCTAATTTAAGCAGCCACCTCATATTTCTAAGTGCTTGTTAATTCTATACACTCCAGGAATTACTCTTTTAACCTGAAGAACTGTTTTATTGGAAAAGCCAACTTACAAAATTAATTCTCCTCTAAAACTATCGATGCTTTTTTAAAGTATATATCTGTATGGCCACTGTTGTCAATGCTAAAGAAGTGAGAATTGAAGGGAAAACTACAGATTATTTCAGCTCAATCCAGTGTCACAGTTGATTAAAACGCAGTCTGTATTTGTTACATTTTTGAAAAACCGGTGTTTTCAGTTTATTTTTATTATTTTTAAAAATAATCTTATTACATTATGGATGAATAATCATACCTAGTATCTTTAAAGAAATGCGGTTCTGTGATGAACGTGGATATTATACTAATGCTAGCATCAATGCATTTTAATTTTGTGTCTTTTCAGAACTACCGTAAATAATGAGTATGTATTTAATAGCTGCTTTCTTGCCAAATACATTGAGGCATTTTCTTACTAAACAAATAAAGCATTCCCTTGATTCAAAATTTTATGCTCCATGTAGTACTCATGACAGGGGATGAAAAGGCCTGTTAGGCTGTTATCCTAACTGTTTTAAGATAATTTCCCCAAGTTTGAGTCAACATAACTCAGTTTAAACAGTTTTTTTCTTTAACTTCCCATTACTCTTTCCTTTCTTTTCTCTAATTTTCATACCTTCTTTAAAAGTAGATTGACAGGAAAATGTAAGTTGAGGTCCATTACATAGGGCCTGCTTTGAACATGGCCCAAAATATTATTTGCAGTTACATAGTAATATCAGTCATACTGCTTTGCTATACTGTAGGTGTTATAATTTATCAATTGTGTTGATCTGGCTCTACTAAGTCTCTTAATACTTTAGTACATGTCAGGTTTTTATATAAAAGATTTATATATATAATTATATAAATGTATGGAAGCCTATCTTTTTTCTCTATTTTATAGTAACATAATTTAGATTTACAGAAAACTTTTAAATGACATATATTAAAGTATATTTTTTATGCTTTCTTTTCAGTTAAAGAAAAAATTTTAAAATGAAACATCATTTTATAAGAATGGTACTTAAAGTTTAAATGAGTCAGGCACATAGCTATGTGAAGATTGGTCTTTCCTATCATTAAAAAAAATAAGCATTTATCAACCAATTACCATGTCTAAGGCATTACATGCAAGGCTTTGTGTTTGATGACCATGACTGGCATTTGCAACCTCACATGATTTCTTCTGAGTTAAGAAGTCTTCCCATAAAAATTATTATGGATTTACTGGGGATTCTTCTACTAGAAAATTAGAACTCTTTGGCATTTATTACATAATTTCGTCCAATCCTCTTAGTTTTTGGAATGAGAAACAACATGGCGTCCAGTGATATTAAATGAGTTGCCTGAAGTTAACACTTTCTGATCACCCCTTACAATCAAGCAGAAAAGCTAGTGCTCTGCATAGTACAGCGTCTGGGGGAGCTGTCAGGAGACAGGGCTGGTGCATAGCCTCAGGGCACAGACTGAACCAAAAAACAGAACCAAAATCTAAGTCCTAGTCACGGGCAAGTGTGGGATGCACAGAAAACTTCCAAGAAAGGGGCAAAGGAAAAATTCATATTCAAGTTCAGGTACTGGAGAAGTAGAACTGATCTAATGAAGCTTAGGGAGGCAGTACCGATCAGAGAGAGAATGCTTTTTATTGGGTAGCTGGACTAAGAAGACAATGGAATAGTGGAAAACTAACTAGTGGAAAACTAATTTCGAAATCCAAAGGGGTTTTCATGAATTTCACCTTTTATTTATCTTTTAAAATGTTTATTGGCAATTTTATGTAGCCTACTACTCTGTCCCTCTAGAAATATTCTCTATTTTCCAGAATATTCCTGCCTTCAATACTTATGCCCATGGTACCACTTACTCATGAAAAGGGCTCATCATCCTTTAACCAGTCAACATATTGCCTGCTTCCCACTCAAAGTCATCTTCCCCTTTATCCCCAGAGTTTTTATTACATGTATAACTCATTTGGAGAGGGACTCTACTCATTAGTAGGGTGGTAAGGTTTGCTCAAGATAAACTTAATTTATTCCTGTTGTTCTGATGTAATTATTAGTCAACCCCCTTCCTTCTGTAATGGTTTGGATGATAAGTTATATGGTCATTTAATTCCTTTAGTATTTAGTGTTTATCTCCTAACCTAACCTATATCTTTCACATTAGACCATAGCTGCATGTAGTAGATGCTTTATCAGTTTTCCTGTTGATTCCTTGAGTGGTGAGTTACCACAGTCCTTATCAATATAAAGTCCTACCAATCACAGGACAGCTTTAATAACTACAATTTTTATTTAGACTCATTATGTGAATTTTAACCATGTTGCCCAAATGACTATAGAAATAAGAATAAAATGGCAGGGGTGTTTTCATTGTCTCTTGTTTTATTTTTGAAATTTATCTTTCTGAAATATAGAGAACATTGCAAAAAACAAAAAGAAAGTAACATTATTCCACTTTCAAAAAAGATCCCTCTCCTTCTCACCAAGTCACTTATTCCAAGTGAGCAATTTATCTGACCCAATGATATAACTGATAAACTTTCTAAGTAATTTCTATCATGAATGCCATTTCATTCATTCCTGCTTAACTCCTAAACAAAGACAATTTAGACTAACACTGAAATATTAAGTGTGTCTACTTTGCCCTCACCCATGAAATACTATGAAATTCTACTTTTCAAATTCCAGCTCAGATGTCACCTCCTTTGTGCACCCTTTCCTTTCACTCTTTTCTCCTCCTTTCCCTTCTCTGAGAGAGTGAGGCATCCCTACATCTGTATTCTTACAGCATCTTGTACATATTGATATTATAGCACTTACCACATTGTACCATAATTGTTTACATGCCTATCTGCCCCATTAGACTGATCTCCTAGGAGTCAGAAACCAAATATTTTTCATTTGTCAATTCCCAGCTTCCAGCCAAATGTCCCAATGCCTAGAACATATCACGGTTTTAGCAAATATTTGTTAGGTAAATGAATCAGTGATTCAAACACTTTTAAAAAGTTATCAAAATGTTAAGTAATGTTCTGTATATAAAAGACATTAATATCCTAAATGAGCACAGCTCTAACCTAATAGTGACACATATGTACTGTTCATAGAATTTGTATTAAAGAAAGATCCTTTCAAAGACAGAAAGTGTTCACGATCACAAAGTCATTCTGACGAAGTGACAGGCAAATGACTTCCAAAGAGAAAATGCTATTCTGGAGTTTACACGTAGAAAAGACAGGTCGGAGGAAGCACCTGCAGCAGTGTGAAATAATGTCACGGAACCATTAACATCTAGGAGGCAATACCAATGAAGGGAAACTGATCAGAGATGAGGTGCTTTCATTTTAACAAAACATAAGGAAATTGTGCCCTAGATTAGGGCCTAGATGTGTCAGTTCTCTCTACATTTTGCCCACCACAGAGGCAATCAACAAAGCAAACAACAAAGTCAGCATAGTCAGCTTTGCTCAGCAACCAGTGAGAAAATCAGTCCAACTGGTGATGAGACATTAATAAAACCAAGTCAAAAGCAAAATCAAAATCAAAAGCAAATAGTTGCATTGAGGTCTTCTTCATCTATCTTTACATTTTATCCAAATAGAGACATAAAATAAAAACAACTAGATATGTATATTTGATTGCATTTTTTAGCCATAAGTTATCACAGTCCTTTCTTGATGACTGTGCCACACACAGCCTCTGAAAAATAATGACGTGCTTACAATTCCCCAGGTCCTTTTAATAGAAAGGAATAACTCAAGAACCATTAACATGGATTAATGTTTATGTGCATAAGCTTCTATGTATCTATAATCTTCTGTGATATTATTTGGGTATATAAAGCATGTATTGAAATGGAGTATAATGAGTTATCATTATATTATTTCCCACTAATTGAATGCTAGGGTTCCTTAGGGGAAGTACCTAATAAATGTGGTTACCCTCAAGAACAAAGTAAGCTCTCTTAGGTTTGGGGTTTGTAAAAGTGGGAAGTAAGGAGCAATAAAAGAACAGGATTGAGAAAGAGAGGCTATATTTTACAACATCCTAGCTGGCCTTTTAGGGTTCATGTAATAGAACTAGAAGGAACCATTTAAGACCACCTTCTTATCCACTTCCTGCTTCTAGACAGGATTATATCCACAACATTTCCAGTATGAGGAGTAATTCTGTTTTTAATAACCTCTGAAGGAGATTTAAACACTTTGATTTGTAACCTATGCTGAGTTTTGACAACATTCATAATCAAATCATTCTTTGTAGAGCTGACCTAAATCCCTCTTAACCCAGTAGGATTTCATTTCCTATCTGTGCTCCTTAGAGGAGTAAGCTTATCACCTTCTTCCATATAGTCTTTCAGATACTTGGTTAATAAATCTTGGGTCTGGAAAATGCCTGAGAGGGCTGGGATAAGCACTAAGCTCAATGGATCTTGATGGAGGCTCATGCTTAGAGGGTGGTCCTAAAAGTGACTCTTAATTCTCAGGGCCTTACACTGACAAGTCATGGCTAAGGGAGGGCGACACTGCAGGATCATCTCATTGGAGGTGCTACTGGCATCCTGGACAGACAAGTTCTTTGTTGGTGGGATTATCCTGCTCATTGCAGGACATTTAAAATGTCTTCCTTCACCCTCAGACTCCCCCGACAAGATGCTAATAGCACAACTCTTCAGACATTACAGCAACCAGAAATACATTCTCCATATCCACATTTCCAGGTGCCTCATGAGGGGGTGAAACTGCCCCTGTTTGAGACCCACGGGTCAATAACCCCGAGATGTACACTTATCAATTAGGCCAGAACCAATCAGTTTGTATATGCGGAAGGGAAAAGTCAATACTTTTCTTTGGTATATTTCAAATAGACTTATACTTTCTTTCATATTCCTGGTCTGTTATAAGCCATAAAGAAATAATTTATAATAACAACAACTGTCACTTACTATTACCCAGCAGATTCTGTTTGCCATTTTTATATATTACACAACCATATTTAGATAAAACTAATAAACTCATTTTAAATATGAAGAAAATGAAGATCACAGAGATCAACTCCCCTGTTTGAAGTCCCCCAGATTAGAACCAATAGAACCAAATCTACATCTTTCCACTTCCAAGGCCCTTACTCTTTTCAGAACATCGATCTGTAATATATGCTGCCATATACTTGTAGATATTTTTCTAGGTGGGTCCCATGCACAGGAAGGAGACCTGGGGAGAAGATAACACTACACATGTGATAAGCGAAGTCACAAACATGAGGAAGGTTACTCAGAGACTTGACAGAGTAAGGAGAGAAGGCAGTCAGCGTCACAACCCTAGAAAAATAGCAGAGAGACTAGAGTCAGGGAAAGAAGAAGAAGAATTTGCATAAATGTGTTTCTCATAAAAACCTAAGGCATTAATTTAGAAACTTCAGAATCACAACCTTTATATGACAACCTAATTACACCAACATCTTACTGCAATGGTGAAGATGTGCGAAAGAATAGTCTTTAGGGCAAAGACAAAAATGCAATGACCAAGTAAATTTTTTTTTTATCTCTGTAATCCTACAATTTTTTTTATAATTTAAGAAATAGCAATTTTAATTCCCAACACAGAATTAAAGTATTAATTCTAAAGTGTAGGTAGGACAAATTCCAGTTTTAGTCTATATTTCTATCTTCCAATAAATAAATATTTTGTTTCAGGAAATAAAATCGTGGAGTCAAGATATACACAAAACTGTTCAATATTTTAGGTACATAAACATGAAATGCTTAAACTTCCCCTTGTAAATAGAATTTTCTGGGATACATGTGTAGGATGTGCAGATTTGTTACATAGGTATACGTGTGCCATGGTGGTTTGCTGCACCAATCGACCCGTCATCTACATTAGGTATTTCTCCTAATGCTATCACTCCCCTTGCCCCCCACCCACCAGCAGGCCCCAGTGTGTGATGCTCCCCTCCCTGTGTCCATGTGTTCTCATTGTTCAACTCCCACTTATGAGTGAGAACATGCGGTGTTTTGTTTCCTGTTCCTGTGTTTGCTGAGAATTATGGTTTCCAGCTTCATCCATGTCCCTGCAAACGACATGAACTCATCCTTTTTTTGTGTGGCTGCATAGTATTCCATGGTGTATATGTGCCACAGTTTCTTTATCCAGTCTATCATTGATGGGCGTTTGGGTTGGTTCCAAGTCTTTGCTATTGTGAGCAGTGCTGCAGTAAACATACATGTGCATGTGTCTTTATAGTAGTGGAAGACAGTGTGGTGATTCTTCAAGGATTTAGAACCAGAAATACCATTTGACCCAGGAATCCCATTACTGGGTATATACCCAAAGGATTATAAATCATTGTACTATTGATGAACTCTTAAGGGTAACTTTTCCTTTTCTTTATGGGTATTAAAACAAAAGGGAGACGATAAAAACAATCCAGATTTTCAAAATGTAAAACTGTTTTGCTTTATTGTGTGTTAAATATTCTTTTCAACCACCTGAAATCTTTTGTGGCTCTGTATAAGAACAATAATAAGTAGATTATTGCTAAATTTTGAGAGAATCTAGCTTGTAATAAATCCAGAAGTGAATTATGGAAGAAAATATGGACAGGCACTACTGACAAATTCGGCTAGACAAGGATCCATGAAAAATGCAATGGTGATAAAGTTGGTTGTGAAGAACTTGGAATCTGAGTCCTGAAGTGTTTATAGTGAGGAGGGCCATTGAGTTTTTGTGAGTAGAGCAGTGACTCTTGATTGTCTTATCCATTGTAAGGGCAATACCAATCAGGAGGACCTATTTAGAGGCTATTGCGATAGTGCTACAAAGATGATATTAGGATGGAAAGAGCTAATAGAAACCGAAGAATGAGCAGAGGGTTTGCATACATGTCAGGAGACTTGGTACCATATAAGGCAAAGAAAGGCAGCCTATGAAGAAAGATGTCAAGGGCAGAGTATGAACAAATAAGAAGTGGCAGAGGAAAAGTTATTGGATTTACTGATTAGGGGGCCACTGATGAGTTTTGACAAAGTTTGTAAGGGCTTTTGGAAGACGGAGTTAGAAAAGGGATACAATTTTCATTGTTGTCCAGCCATCCTGGTTTCCTAATCCTGCTTTAATGAATTTAGCATTGATTCTACATCCTGAAATCTTCAAGTATAGACTATTCTACAAGTAAAGTGTTCCCTCATCTTTCCACATTCTTTCCTTATCCCACATCCCAGGCACTGCAGTTATTCTCAGTTCTTGGACTATTATAATTCCATATCCTGTCCCTAATCATAAGATCACTCATTTTTTCCACATGATCCTATTGCTCTGCAAACAGTGTCTTTGTTGGGGCTGTTACTGAATACTAACGTTTCTGTCTCTTTGGTGGAGAACAGTACACTGTAACTTGAAAAGTAACAAACAGCTGATAAAATACCAGTTTTTGCCTGGCTCTTGTTTTGACAAAAACACATTTAAGATCTTTGTGTTAAACTTACAGATAATTTTAAATGTTTAATAAGATTAACGGGGCTTCTCCCAGTGATACAACAGAAGGGGCAGGTTTCAGAGCTCTGAACCCTCTAATCACGTAAGGTTGTTTTCATAGCCTTCATGCCAGATGCTCTTTTTGGACTGGCTAAGCCCAATATAGTATGTATATAATAAGGATCCATTATGTCATCCTCAAAATACTAAACATTGTCCAGAAAAAGAGCCTAAACATAAATCTGTATTATACTCATTATCAATAGATTCTCCAAACATATTTCATCTTATAAACTAGGCCTTGTATTTTTTTAAAGCACATTAATTACTATAAGCCTTCTAGGAAAGTATCAAAGAAGAGAATAATTAGTGACTTTCAGGTTTGCTGTGTGAAGCTAGGAATCACAGCCTATGATCCCCCAGTTAACACTCACTTGGAATGGATAAGCTTCAAATAACAAACAGCCACTACTTTGGGTCACTTTCCTTTGTATGACTGGGTGGGAAGCACGTCTTTGATCTCTAACACAGACCCAACTGCAGAACCCAAATAAGGACTCTTTGGGAGCCACTGGTTTTCAGAGTTTCACTTTAATTGTCTAGGTCTATAAAAGAAACACTTATGGATATAATGTGTTTCTTAGTTAAAAGATAAAATTCACATTACCCTAAAGTTTCTGGTTGATATTTACTTCTGTATTATTAAAAGAGGTGAGTGGATAGCTGAGGAATGGAATGAAAATAAAATGGAAATGTATGAACAAGAGTCAACTTTTCAGGTGCTTCCAGGAAAAAAGAAAAAAAAGCATTTTTTTTCTCCCTAAAACTTTAAAGATGTAGCTATGATATCCTCGGCAAAACTAACATTCACTATGTTCCACACGTATACAAAATTATTCAGAAATTCTACCTTGGCCAAAGAAATTTCAGAACGATGGCAAATTATGCATATGAAAGCAAGCAGGTAATTAGTACAAACAAATGCCATTACTATAATATTGTATTTTTAACATACAGAGGAGCCTGTGGTACCAATACAGCCATAATTTAAATTAACAGGCTTCTCATACTACATTCATGAGGCTGCATATAGCAGGACCGATTTAACACATAAAGTATTTTATTTGTGGGCTGGATGTCCCATCTCAGCCTTAAATGTTTCTGTCAAAGTTTTCACAATGGTGTCTCTTGACACCTGTTTTTAATACCTTCTCCTGTCTGATTTTCTTTCCTAGTGGGTTTAGAAAACATTGTAAAAGCTTTTCTAATGTTGAACCTCACATCATTTATTCCTGGCAGAGTTTAAGGCTGTCACCCCAAGAGCTGTCCTTTTTGTTAATGAGAATAATTGATTTCTGTCCCAGTGTATATTTCATTGTATATTTTGGATCATTCTCAAGTGTCCCTTAAGTTTTTTTTCCTTTCTTTCCGGCTCAAAATATCAAGTTAGGTTCACCTTTTCTGACAAACCTTGTTTTCTAAGAATTTTATCATTTTTGTTTCTCTACACTCCCTTCAATTTGTCATTGTCGTTTTTTTTTTTTTTAACAGCCCCACGAGTAAAATCCTCTAGAGATCATTTTAGCAGCAGCTAGAGAACTACAAGAACATAACTTTTATTTCATTTCCAGTTTTTTTGCTTAAACAACCAACAAAAAAGCACACGTGGTTCCTTTTGAACTGAAAGTCATTATATATACGTAACCTATATATATATGTGTGTGTGTGTGTGTATATATAGGTTAGCACATAGTATGTGTTCAACAATACTTGCTATTTTTTAAATAATATTGCTGTAACTGATAGGTGATAGGGAGACAAAGAAGGGGATAAAGAGAGACAAGGAGAGAGAGGGAAGGCAAGCAGAAAGGTTCTGTGGGCAAATGTCATGATCATCATTGTTATTCTGACCCCTTGGGCTACTGTGAGCACAGATGACACTCTACCTCCAAAATATTAGTACTTACGTTCAAAAAATTTCTCAAAGAAAAAGAAGTTGATGGGTTCCTGCTCTTACTTTCTTTTTCTTTTTTTTCTTTTCTTTTTTTTTTTTGTCAATAGCATGCTTTTATTCAGCATGCCATGTTTTGGTTCTTTTACCTATTCACATTGGAAGGTGTGCTTTTGCTTATTTTCTTAAGAATTCATTCTGAGAAGGTCATTATACATTGAAGATGAAATGTGATTTTTTTTTTCAAAGAAAAATGAGCCCATAGGGGAAAAAACAACAATGAGGACTGAGGTAAGCTTTTCTTTCATTGTCTCCTCTCCCTTTATTTTATCTTTTACCGAGATTTAACTAGGCACCTTTGCGAGCCATTCTCCTTGCTTTGGTTGATGGCTAATGGAAAGGAATCCACTGCCATGATTTTCTCTGACAACTCCAAATGGCTTCTGACACTTTCCCGTTCACGTAAGTGTGGACCTCTCCCCTCCTTACACACCCATCACCATGGCTACCTTTCAATCAGCCCTTCTTCATTAATATTAGCAGGGGAAACCGTTTGTGTAATTTGTGTCCCTATAATAGCCGGATAGAGGTAAATCATGCAGTTACATGTGTTTTCATCACAGGCTTCTCCCCATCCCAAGTTATAGCTGTTAGCTTCCCAAAGGAGGAAAGTGGAAAAAAAAAAAAAAAAGGAACAGATGAAGAATTTCATAGATGAAATTGTATCTGAAGACCAGGTGTATTTATGTCTCTTTAGCCATCATAATGTGATCCGAGGCTATGATGTTCAAAATATTGTCGAGCTGAGTGCATATTTCTGAAAAAGAGCAGATTTAGCTATCTTCATATGACAGCCTACGGGAGGACTATAATAAAGAAAAGAAATTAGTTTTATTCTGTGTAAGTCTAGAAGGCAGAAGACACAGAAAGCAAGCGCATACTAACTCAGCAAAGGGAAACCTTTTCTAATCACTAGAGGTGGCTAAAAGTGAAACATTCCCCTTCAGAGGTACTAAGTTCTAACACCAGTAGCATTCAAGCAGGGGTGAATGAGCTTCATTATTGCAAGATGTAAGTAAAAGTTTTATATTATACTGGAGACTGGGCTAAATCACTGGTTTCCAAACGTTGTTACTCAGTCCAGCGCATTGCATTAGAGTTTAGTTAAAAAGTAAATACTGAATCCTCCCCTTCAAGGACTGACCCACACCTTTGTAGGTGAGACTAGGGAAATTGGCATTGAACACATACCCCTGGTGAATCCCTGAACACAATCAGGTTTTCTTCTCACTCCTAAGCAGAGATGACTCCTGAGACCCCCAGCTGACCCAAAGCTTTTCCTGTTATTGATTATACGATCAGGAGTATATAAACGCTATATACCACATGACTCACCCCTCCTTTATTTCATGTGTCAACTCTTTGGGTCTCAGAGTCCCCCTGTTAAGGAGCTAAATATAGTCACATAGAGATAAACTGTATTTTAAAATACATGTGTGAAATGTTGTTACAGGATTCATAATGTCCTAATGAAAATGTTAATTCCTAAAAATTGGAAATGCTAGGCATAATTTTTAAACATGTAGAGCATGGAACTCACAGAAGAGATAGATACTCAGCTCAGCAGAGACAAGACCATACCTGCATAATTTCCTAGTACTTTGTCCAATGTGTAGCACAGAAATGTTGTCCAATAAATGTATGTTGAATGCATTAATAATTTAAAAGGTTGCCATGACATCCAATTTTTCTGGATAACTGAAGGAAAAAATGAGCTTCTAAAGTGCAAAATGAGCTTATAGACTGGGCGCGGTGGCTCACGCCTGTAATCCCAGCACTTTGGGAGGCTGAGGCGGGTGGATCATTTGAGGCGAGGAGTTCAAGACCAGCCTGGTCAACATGGTGAAACCCCTTCTCTACTAAAAATACAAAAATTAGTTGGGCAGTATTGGCATACACCTGTAGTCCCAGCTACTCGGGAGGCGAAGGCAGGAGAATCACTTGAGCCTGGGAAGCAGAGGTTGCGGTGAGCCGAGACTGGGCCACTGTACTCCAGTCTGGGCAAGAGAGTGAGTCCTTGCCTTAAAAAAAAAAAAAAAAAAAAAAAAAAAAAAAAGAAAAAAGAAAAGAAAAAAAGCAAACAGAAAAACTTATATTCATATAGCAAATAAGTGTGGGACTGACAAAAATAATGTGTTAATCACATTTAGCATATTAAAGAGTATGTAGCTTTGAAAAAACCCCATGTTCATTTAGCCTCTTGATTGATTTGTGTCTAGCCTCATTTTACAAAGGCTTTGTGGTAGCTGTACTAAATTACCCAATGTAATGATAAAATGAGCTATCACCTATTTTTTAGCCTTTCACCAGAAGGTCAAGGTGTCATTTAAAATTATATTGCTGGTCTCTCACTTAGCCTTTGGCTGAGGTTGTCTGGCTCACTACGATAAAGGAAAGGACCAACCAATTATTTTCTTCCTACCAAAAACAGATTCAAGTTCTTATTAAATACTATGTTTCAATATGTTTAGTTCTGGCAGGCTTAACAACTGGTTTCTTTTTTATGAAGACAAAAAAAAATGTGGTCCTAGATTAAATGTCTGAAATAGTGCAAGGCTTTTAAAAGAAAAAAAGAAACACACATTAGAAGAAGGGACCACAGAGTCTTGACCTTTTATCTCTACTGAAAGGATCATTTAAATTCACTTAATCCTTGTGGTTCACAGAAGTGTAAGAATGTACAATGAAAAGCATGAACACTTTTATCAGTGCGAGGTGGAAAGGAACATGAACAATAAGCACTGGCTCCTTTGAAGTGAGAGGTGAAGAAACACGTCCTATCCCCAACATGGCTAAGAAGTATGAATAGAAATAAATGCTAATACAAGATTTACAAAGATCTTCTGCTTCTCAATTTTTAGAACGCTAAAATACAACTGACAAATGTGTCTCAGAGAAAGATAAAATAGAAAAGAAGAAATAATTATATCAATAATTTACTGTGACGGATCCCTGTTCCCATAATATGCCTAGGGTTTGTCAATAGAAGTCTATGAAAATATAGTAGTCCAGGAAAGTTAACATTATTTTTCAGTACTCTCTTTCTTTAAACAGAAGTTGAGATATCAAAATTGCTTTCACACTGTCAATTGGAGTTTTCTATCTAGAAATATCTTTGGAATTAAGCCAATATTCTTTCGCTTTGGTCTTTCACAATACAAAGCAGTGTTAACCATAATTTGTGGAATTAGAGATTGAAGTTGAAATATGACATTGAAGTGTGAGAAATTTTAAAATTTACATATTACATTTTAGTAAATGTTTAAAATTATCTATCCTATTGCAGAGTTTGACCACTCTAGTTCATAGATTATAACCACAGTACAACACCTAATAATTCCACGATATATGTTGAAAATTCTGTAATATTCTCAAAACTCAATATATTACCTTTAGAACAAAGAGCATTTATCATAATTATTCCATATTCTATAAGCTGATATTATCAGAAAAAAACCATTCTTTTAAATTTTCAAATCAAGGTGCAATTTAAATAAAATGCTCCAAGTTTGATTTGTTTTTCAAATACATACATCTATGTAACCTCCAATCTAATTACGATTGATAATATTTCCATCACCTCAAATGCTTCATACTCCTTCGCAGTTTTCTCTCTGTCTCGCCCACATGACCGTCAGGCAACTATTAATCTGCTTTCTGTCACTATAGATTAGTTTTGCCTGTTCTAAGATTTCATATCAATGAAACTACACAATGTGTATCTTTTTGGATCTGGCTTTTTTTTTTTTTTTTTTTTTTGCTAAGCTTCAGTGTTTTGCTAAAATTTATCCATGCTGTTATATGTATCAGTAATTCATTCCCTTTTATTAAGTAGTATTTCATTGTAATAAGATATCACAATTTATTTGTTCACTCAATTGTTGTATTTGTGTTGTTTCCAGTTTGGGGCTCTTAGGATTAGAGCTGTTATGAACTTTCTTATGTAAGTCTTATTGGCAGTATTTCTTTTGGTTAAACCAATTATGCAATTTTAACTACATGTTTATCTTTTTAATAATTGAAAAGCCATGAATGTGGTATACAGAATTCTCATGCAAGTATAATAATTGGGTATGAAATCATGTTTTGCAAGAGTTATTAAATAAGAACTTTTCCTCTATCAAAACTTTCATTTGGCTTTAGACCATTTTCTTAGAAAAAAATCCCAAATATTTAAAGAATTTGAACATACTACATTTTGTAGTTTTTATTTTCCTATCTTTTAATTCTTGACAAAATTCTATACAATTTTAATATACATTAAAATATAGAATTCATTCATTCAAAGACACACTTAGCGAATGTGCTAACCACACTGCTCACAATGTGGTGAACTTGAGGCGGGAGTGAATCGTACATGTAAATCACAGAGCAGCATATGAGTTTCCATAATACCATGTATGTTTCACAACAGGGAAGGCTGACAGTTTTGCTAAATTCCCATTCCTCTCTGACCGCTGCTCCCTGCTTAACTGTCATCATAGCATTAAGAAGCAAAAATATTTATAAAATTTGAAGAACTGTAGACATTAGCTTGAGAATGTGAGCCACTCACCAGATACTTTTTGTCCTTCTTTAAACATTTCTAATCTATATCTAGGAATAGAGAGTAATTCTAGCACATTGGGTGAACTATATTTGTTTATATTGTTGTATAAGAGAGAGCACACAAAAGATACTGAATATAGGAATTACTCATGTTTTGTTTCTACTCAGGGCTTTAGATTTAAATTCTGTCCCTACAGATGTCTCATTATTTCATTGACCATAAGAGTAAAAACATTACTACTGGCCTCTCAGGAAAGTGGGAGAGAGGATGAAAACTTTTTAATGATTGCTTAAATACAGGTCCCTCAAAAATATTTCCTGAATAGTCACTCTAAATGGAGTACTCAGCAGATGAGCAAGTAGAGTAAAAAATGGTATCAGAATTCCTTCCCGATCTTAAATCCTGTGGGTTTAATGTAAAATGACACTGCATGCAAAGCTGCACTAAACATGCACATTCATAGAGCACAACATTTTCACATGGCTTGCAAGGGTCTTTACAATGGCCTTGACTTTTCTTTTCCATATTCTTTTTAATTCATGAGCTCATATTCTACCTTCCATTTCTTTTAAATGATTCTTAAATCCTTACCTCTGTGACTTCTCACATGCTGTTCCCTCTGCCTAGAATACTTTTTAACCTGGATAACCTTTATTCCTTTTTGAGGACATGTAAAGACTTCATCTTATCCAAGAAACCTTGAGCCTGGGTTAGGTACCACTCTTACGTGCTTTCATATGGCCCCTCTAGTTGCTATTTATTTCACTCTGTTATTGTCTCTTGACATCTTAACATTCCCCACTAAGTGCAAGCTCTGTGAATGCTAGAACCATGTGTGGCTTGATTCCTGTTTTACTCCCAGAGTTTATTGCAGGGTCTGGCATGCAGTGGACATCTTATGAATATTTGTAAGATAATGAATGAATGAGGTTGAATACAGCAATTACTGAGAAAATGGAAAATAACAGGGTACTTAGATGAATTAAAACAGGCTCCCTGAAGTGGGTGAGAGCCTTCATCCTGATTTTAAAGAGAATGAAATCTAATGACTGATGCAGAACAGATTGGTGTATGATATTGTATAAAAAGGAATGTACAAAAGTCATATTCTAGGAACTGCAAGAAGTTTAGCTTGACCAAAAGAGCAGACTCTTTTAGTGAAAAACTAGAGAAATTGAGTTGAAAAATTAAAAATCAGTGGTAGGCAAAACTATGGAGACAGTAAAAAAAATCAGCGGTTGCCAGGTGTTAGCAGGGAAGGGAAGATCAATAGACAAAGCACAGAGAATTTTTAGGGAAGTGAAACTACCCTGTATGACACTATAATGCTGGATACATGTCATTATACATTTGTCCAATCTCATAGAATGTACAATACCAAGAGGGAACCCTAATGTTTACTATGGACTTTAAGTGATAATGATGTGTCAGTAAAGGCTTATCGATTGTAACCAATTACCACTCCGGTGGGCATGTTAATAATGGGAAAAGTTTTGCATGCGTCGGGGCAGGGGAAAGTCTCTGTACCTTCCTCTCAATCTTGCTGTAAACTTAAAACTGCTCTAAAAAAAAATAAGGTCTTTAAAAAAATCAGTGGTGGTTGGTGAAGCATTTGAAGAGCTGAAAGTTAAAGATTTGTATTAAAAGCCCTATCAGTAAGCAGGTTTTTACATGGATGGATATCATGCTGAAAATGATCTTTGAAGAAGAAACACTAATATGTAATCATGTTTGTAAATAAACATACAAATGAAACTATGAGTGTGTACCTGTAGACTGCAGGTCATAAAAGAAGAGACTGAATGGTATTTATACTGCAGAAAGCAGGCAGTTTTTGAGCCCTGTGTCCACGGCTTCCCTCTAGACGGTGGTGTGTGATACCTTAGGGAGCATCCTCAGGCTGCCACTGAGACACTTCACAGCAATACAGTGTCGATTAAATTGGACACTAGTAAGGCATGGGTTAGTGGTCTGGAAAGAAACATTCTGTTCATTCAGTAAGTCTGCTCTCGTTTCATTTTAAGTCTTTAGGATTCGATTAAGTGTTAAGAGCTGCAAAGGGAGAAGTCAGGGTTCTGGTTAGACAATAACCAGGTCATTAATTTTCCATATTTACATATAATGTTCCTCATAATACAAATCTAGCTTCCGAAAGCTCTGAAAATCATCATGTATTTAAGTATCACATTGTGTCTCTTCAGTTTATCCTTTGTGATCAAATAAATCCGGAACAAAAAACGCATGCTCTAATCATTGAATTAAATAGCACACGTATGAAGTGTGTGGCTGTATTGTCTAAATAATTAACCACTACTTAGTGATTATGCTAACCAGTGCATACTGGAATGCATAAGATTAATGAAGCCTTTGGTTACAATTTAAAAGCCTCCCTATCAACGGTTTCTTTCACCGAACTAAAGAAAAAGGATTTTGCAACTTTTACTTACTAGTCTTATATTGGAAACATCTGGATCATATCCAATACTCATGCTTAGAGGCCGCATCAGAGATCAGTATCTAGTGAGCAACATGTACGGTGAAAATCTGAAAGGATAAAAAATGAAGTGCACCAGGGAGGCAGCATGCTATGGTAGAAAAGTGCGCCTCTAGAGACCTAGAAAGCTGATTGTTTATCCCATCTTTGCCACTTGCTGGTTGTGAAAGTTAGGCAAAGTCTTTAATCTCCATCAATCTCAGCTTCCTTGTCTGAAAAGGATGGAGAAAAATGCCTGTCACATAGTGCTTTGTGTAAAGCACATAATATAGTGCTGGGGACAAATCAGGTGCTCAATTGGCATTTACTATTAGTATTGGTGGCAGTTGTAGCATTGTAACTTCTATTATTTTCTCTACTCCCCTTGGGCCAAAATATATAGTGTTACTTACAGTATGCTTGTATAAAATATTCTTACGATGTGTACAATCTGTTAACAAGTCTCTGCATTACGGGTCAAGCAGAATCAAAAAGTTTCAGAGCAAGAGAAAATCAATTAAAACATTTGTATTTACTACTGGCATCACAAAAGAGAAATTTTTCTTCCTGTCTACAGATATTTTCAACTCCTCACTATTTGCTTCTTGCTAAATACAAATGTTCAGAGGCTTGGGAAGGAATCATGGCAAGGTATTAACTCTTCTTTGGGTAGATGAGATTGTTGCCTTCTGCCTTTGGATTGTTTCCCCAAATAATGAGCCAGGATGCTAGAACAGTGCTCACTTAATCCCCAGATGAGCTGATCTCACCCATCCTTAAGGTGATTCTTTTTTCCACCTTATGTTAGTAGTTCAAATGGTTTCCCTGGATCATTGCATTTCCTTCTATCTTTTCAAGGAGTTGGGTGCTGCCCACACCCACCGCTGGCTCCACGGTGAGACTGTCTGCTTTGTATTTCTTTCACTTTGGATATCCTTAGAAAAGTGTCTGCTGCCATGATTTTGCTGGTCAGGATCAAAGCTGCCATAGTTCCAAGCACAAATGTTTATTGAAAGGAAAGGATTGGGGACAGTGAAAAGAGCTTTGGAAACAGACAGATTTAAGGGCAGATCCTTGTTCCACAATATAGAAGCTGCGTGACCATTGATAATTTCCTCAGCATGGGAAACTGGGAGCCTCAGTTTCCCATGCTCAGATAACCATTTTGTAGGGTTGTCAGGAGGAATAACTAAAACAACAAATCCAAAGTACCTAGCATAAGACTATTTTTCTTCCTGTCCCCATAGGTCCAGGTCTCCCTAAAAATCATTCTCAGTTTTTGTTAGCAAAGTCATATAGTTCTTTTCAGCCAAATTATACACCTACACACCTAACACATATGTACAATCATGGAAAGGTAAATAATGCTAAAGTTTTCATCTTTTAAACCAGGTGGAATCCTACAGTAGCATCGCTCTCATGAGTTCTTCTGTCTCCCATTTGAAGTAGTCCTAGAATTAAGGATTTTCTTTCTGTCTCATTAAGGAACACAGTCTAAAACCATGCTCAAATGATAAATCAGAGAAACTGAGTTAGCAGTACACACATACACACTCATACACAGAGACTCTGAGTTCTAGTCCCCAAGCTCAACTAGGAGTGCCCACAACTTACTTTAAAGAGTTTCATCTCCTAACAGTACATTTTAATATAAAAGACCCCTTCCATAATAATGGAAGCAACATAACATAGAGTAAACATTGAGACAGCCACACCTGGATTTAAATCCCAGATTTGTCATTTACTAACTGTGCAACTTTGAGACATAGCTTATAAAGGCCAATACCGCTTTCTCCGTATGTTAAAAGCTGGTAATATCTACCTGTTATTGCAATTAAGTCAGGACTTTATATAACATTTAATACAGTTCCTGGAACATAGGAAGTGCTCAATAACCATAGGTATTTATTATTACTTGTTGGTGTTTTCTGGTAATCAGAATACTAGGAATACTGGTTTCCTTATAAAGTCTCCTGGTCCAGGCGTGGTGGCTCACGCCTGTAATCCCAGCACTTTGGGAGGCCAAGGCCGGCAGATCACGAAGTCAGGAGATCGACATCATCCTGGCTAACACGGTGAAACCCCGTCTCTACTAAAAATATGAAAGATTAGCTGGGCGTGGTGGCGGGTGCCTGTAGTCCCAGCTACTCGGGAGGCTGAGGCAGGAGAATTGCTTGAACCAGGGAGGCAGAGGTTGCAGAGAGCCGAGATCACACCACTGCACTCCAGCCTGGGCGACAGAGCGAGACTCTGTCTCAAAAAAATAATAAAGTAAAATAAAATAAAATGTCTCCTGAATTGTTCATAAATACATATAGAACACATATGCAAATAATCTTAGCCTGCCTTCCCCATGCCTTTTCTAGGACTGAACAAGCACTGACAGTCACATTTACAATGCTTCCAACATGCACTTATTTTAAACTGAAATCTTCCTCCTTGCTCTGTATCTGATGTCAAACAGAGCAAGTGTATTCCTCCTTTCACAGAGAAGCATTTCAAATATCCAGTGGCAGCCTTCACATACCCTTAAGTCTTTCCTCCAGGCTAAAGAGTCTCAGTTCTTTCAATGTAGTCATATTTTGGGGTTTCTAGACATTTCACCACTGGTCATCCTTCTATGCAAGAGTGAGTGACTGAATCTCAGCAGAGTTTAATGTCTAACTTGTTAGGGAAATACTAACTTGGTATTTAAAAAAGACAAACAAACAAAAAACCCATATGGTCATCTAAGAAAAGGAGGATTTAGTGGGGGGAAAAATTCCACCATGCTAATAATACACCATCTTTTATTACAGGAATGGTTTGACAATTTTTTAGAGCTAAGAAGCAAGAGCATTTGAAGCCCAGTGGGCTTGTTTCTGCTGCCCCATCAGGAGGCTTCCAGAAACAAGATTTCTGGTATTCTCTTATCCTAGTTTTTAAAAGACTTTTCTGTCTTCTCATTGTATACCACATAGTTCATTTTTTTTTTCTTTTTAAAAGCATGACAGTGTTTTGCTCTGCTGCCCAGGTTGAAGTGCAGTGGCATTATCATAGCTCACTGCAGCCCTGAGCTCCTGGGCTCAAGTGATTCTCCCACTTCAGCCTCCTGAGTAGCTGGGACAACAGGCAGGCACTGCCATGCCTGGATAACCTTTTTATTTTTGTTTTGTAGAAAGAGGGTCTTGCCATCTTGCCCAGGCTGCTCAAATTCCTGGCCTCAAGAGATCCTCCTGCCTCAGCTTCCCAAAGTGTTGGGATTACAGGCATGAACCACTGCACCTAGCCTCATTTCTTTTTTGATATGACATAATCACTCAATTTTTACAAGTTAATTTTCTAAGCAAGACAACTTCTTAAAAGCAAATTTAAGCTCAACTGAATTAATGTTGTTCATCTTACCTACTCTGGAAATGATTAAATGTAGCCTAACCCTCCTACTGTGGCAAAATTTAATATCCTTGGCTGTGCTATCAACAAGGAGTACATTAATCCCAAATTACTATTACTTCATATACCTAGAGTTATATACTTGAATTAATCAGTTGGTATGTGCCACAATTGCTTTTTTCCTTCATCCACAGATGAAGGACAAACATGTTAGTTTGCACAAGTTAAGTGATACAAATCTTGCATCAGGTTTCCTAAGACTTTCTCATTATTTTACACATTTTAACAAAAAGTAACAGGCTTCTTTTATTCCAAGCACTTGTCATTACTATGCAAACTGATGAAAAAAAAAAGATTGTCAGTTTTCTGATAAATAGACTGATCAACAGAATGTAAGAGTTACTTTTCATGTCCACTTTAACAGGCAAACCACCATTCAGGATGTGTTGAGTGGTTTGATGCTCTCATTACTTCATTCTTCTTTGAGATTTATTTTCATCTAGTGATCGAACTAGAGAGGTTGCTTGAATAAAGCAGATCAATTTTAGACATGATACATGGGAGAACACTCCAGTTCTAGAGACCACCAATCCAGCCTTTATTTTACCACACTGCAATCAAAATGACCCTTATTTTGCTTTCATCATTCAAAGCTTTTAAATAGTTTACACAACTACAACATGTGCTATGTGGATCATGTATTTTTAAATGCTGTTATCACAAGGTGAAACTATAATTTGCCAATTGGCTCTCCACTCTCATTTCTACTATCTTTTTCCTTTTCATCTCTCTAACATTTTTGATATTTAGTGTTTAATCTCTTTTCACATGTTTTTTCTTTTCATTTAGGGAGAGCTTTGGAAGTTTGTCCTCTACATCACTGAGTTGATTCTCCGCAGTGTTGTCTGTTATTCTATTCATGGAAATTTAAGCCTGTTGTTTATTTGTATGGTGGTCTGGCTTATTGAGGCTTGGTCTATTTCACTTCAGACTGCTTCTCAGTCTGCTTTCTCATTTTGATAGGAAGTATTATGAAATAAGTTTTAAATACTTTAAACTTTTGAGACTGAGTGCACGGACTTAAATTCTAGCTATGCCACTTACATTATTTTTCCTCTTAACCAAATTATTAAATTTCTGAAAGCTTTGGCTTTCTCATCTTTACAATGGATATGCTACTAGTATTTATCCAAGGGCTGTTATAAACATTAAATGAGATCATCCACCTATTATACTTAGCATAGTGTCTGACACATAATAGCAATACAAAAAAAGATTGCCATGAATACAAATAAACCTCCATCCTCATCTCGTAGAGCAAATGTCTTTTTTAACCTCACTGTAAAAAATACAATGGACATTTCCTAAAATGCTCTGCCATTTCCTGTAATGAATAATTTTGTGAGCTTTGCAATTTTTTTCAGGTCTTTAAGATACTATTTCTCTCCCTTTTTATTATGTCTACATTGCCTTTCCCCATCCTCTCTCATCCTTAAATGATGAATACACTTTTTGAAACTCTGAGATATACTATAGTTATTTTCTTCCAGCTATAGAAAAAAAGTATACCTATTCACTTCTCCTTATAAGATTGTTAAAGGATTTTCTATTGTACATGTGTACAAGTTCATTTCTTTAGGATGTTAGGAGGACTATTAAGAATTCACTATTAGCCTGCCTCTGTTAGATTAATCTAGAAATAATTTCCATGATTACCAAAGTGCCTTAAGTTTACCTTCAGAGAATCTGAGTATTCCTTTTTTAAAAAATACTAATACGAATGCTTTCCACTACAGTGAAGTTACAGGAAATTATATTCATATTTCCAATAAGCTATATCAGTGAAATCAAATGAGTTTGTCAAAACTGTGCTGATCAAATAAAATCTTCCTTTGATATTATACTGGTTGATCATTCCTAATCTGAAAATTCGAAATCCAAAAGGTTCCAAAATCTGAAAAATTTCAAGCAAGAACATTATGCCACAAGTGGAAAGTCTGGCATCTGCCCTCAAGGGACAGGTTACAACAAAGGTCCACAACACAGTTTATTCCGCATCCCCTAAGGAAAAAAAGATCCTCCCAGGCTCATTCATTTGGTGATGCCACTGTGCTGCTTAGTTACCCTGAATACATTATCTTTTCACTGTATTTATGGCATGTCATGTTTTTCACCATTAGGAACTTATGTGTCGGTACGTTTAAGAAAATAATTGCTTATATACTATCCTGATAGATACTTATTTATCCTGATTGTATTAGCCTGTTCTCACACTGTTAATAAAGATATACCCCAAACTGGGTAATTTACAAAGGAAAGAGGTTTAATTGACTCACAGTTCAGCATGGCTTGGGAGGCCTCAGGAAACTTATAATCATGGCAGAAGGGGAAGCCAACACGTCCTTTTTCACGTGGCAGTGCGAGAGAGAAGTGTCAAACAAAGCGGAGGGAAAGCCCCTTACAAAACCATCAGATCTCGTGAGAACTCACTATCAGAAGAACAGCATGAGGGTAACCACCCCATGATTCAATTACCTCCCACTGGGTCACTCCCACAATTACGGGAACTACAATTCAAGATGAAATTTGGGTGGGAACACAGCCAAACCATATCACTGACAGTATATAACTTTAACTTTACATACAATATACTTTTACCTTTATATACTATTTAGAGTCAGAAATGATGGTGATAAACAATCACAGATTGTCCACGTGGGTGACTGAGAGTGACACCTTTGCTTTCTGATGGCTCACTGTACACAAACTTTGCTGCTGTTGTTGTTTTGAATCAGGGTCTCACTCTGTCACCCAGGCTGGAGTGTAGTGGCATGATCTTGGCTCAATGCAATCTCTGCCTTGCGGGCTCAAACAATCCTCCCACCTCAGCTTCCTGAGTAATTGGGACTACATGCCACATGCTCAGCTAATTTAAATTTTGTGTAGTGATAAGGTCTCACTGTATTACCCAAGCTGGTCTCGAACTCTTGGGCTCAAGCCATCCTCCTGCCTCGGCCTCCCAAAGTGCTGGGATTACTAGTGTGAGCCACCACATCTGTCCACAAACTTTGTTTCATGCACAAAACTATTTAAAATATTGTATGAAATTACCTTCAGGCTATGTATGTAAGGTGTATATAAGACAAATAAATTCCATGTTTAGATGTGGGTTCCATCCTTAAGACATCGCATTATGTATATGCAGATATTCTAAAATACAAAAAATTCCAAGATCTCAAATACTTCTAGGCCCAAGCATTCAGGATAAGGTGTACTCAACCTGCTTATTGGGTTCATCCTTGCATTTGAAGTCTTATTTTGTATTTTCCTACTTTACTTGGCAATTGTGTAACAAGGTTCCTCATATAACATTAAGTCAGTATCTTGTGGCTTGTTTTTATAATCATATATAACACTTTGGCATCTATTTGTGAAATTTCTTGTCTTTAGTTTGAAAGTCAAAAGACCCTCCAACCATAAAAAGTGAGTACCAAGAAACTTTCAAAACTTAAAAAATATCCATATAACTTTTATATCAAAATAAAATTCAGAAAATTAGGCCACATGGAAACAAAATAATGTAAGTCCCCCATTTGAGAAGAGAAACTATGAAATAAAAACCATGAATTTCTCTCTAAGCAAGAAATTAATTTTAGTTAAATAGAAATTATGAAGCAAATCACTTGGACCTAAAATTATTTTATTTATCTACTGTGCTATAAATTGTTTTCTCATACTGAGAAAAAGCCAAGCAATCAGTAATTTGTATGACCCGCCAAGCTAAGCAAATAACAGATTTATTTTGCTATGTAATGAGGTTGATAGAACAGTTTCAAGTCAGATTACATTTGACTATGCTCTGTTTCTATTACATTTGCCACTTAATGGTAGGAGATAGAGATTCTCCTCTTGATAGACTGTTTTCCTCTCCAATCTGTGTTTGCCCATTGGAATTGTTATGAAACATGTTGTGGATGTTTGTGAAAAGCATGGTCAGTGTAGGAGATAGTTCACATACTATGCTTATTAATCAATTCAGATAAGACTCAAATTAAAATGAATTTGGAAGCTTCTTGTTTATCTTCTTCCTAAAACTAAGTTCTTTATTTTTCAGCTCCACAAAAACCTTAAGAAAATATGTGGTGTTTGAGAGAGAGGCTCAACCTGCTAACTCTCATCTTTTAAGGTTTTAGTAAAAGTCCATCTGACAGTGTTTAAACCTGAAACATAATTTAAAACTTTGTTTCTTCTAGTCAATTCTTCTCAACCACTTTGAACAAATCAGTATACCTACCATATATATTGGCAATTTTCTGTTTGATCAAAGATTGAAGATATCTGACTGTTAGGATATATATTGCTTGTGATGGAATAAACAAAAAACATGATTATGAATTGAGTTGAATTTACCCTAAAGTCATATCACCAAATTGAGGTTTATCATTTCTCATCGTGACACTTTTCAACAGTTCTCTGACACCTTTGTATAGATTCAACTTCTCTTAAATACACTCTGTCAAATGGGCATAATTTTTACTTAAGCAAATGGAAAAAATACTTAAAAGTAATATATTAAATTTAAATAAATTTAGTATAGTAAGTGTGTTACATTTACATATAATTTAAATATATGAAAGTATATTATAAATAAAATATTAAATTTTAATATAAATATCTAAAAAGTAATCCATGAAGTCTACAATATATTTTGTTTCTATAACATTGAAATGTGGAGACTGATAAAAATCCATGTTGTCATTTCTTCAGTTTTTCCATTATAAAAATTTTACAGTAAGAAAGACTGAACATTAATTATAAATTAGAATATAAAATCAAAGGTTAAATCTATTTTCACCTAACGATATCAATATCTGGGGCCTTCATTAGTATGTTCACTATATAAACATCTGGTTGGTTTGATCAGACTCTGTGATTTTGACTGTAAACAAGATTCCAGGAGGTGAATTATTACACTGGGTACATTTGGCATGGGGTTGGGAAAATTTGAGAGATTTGGTTAATAAAATATTGTTTTGTTCAAAATGTGGAAAGGAAATGCAGATCATATTTGTAATAAAATGTAAGGTAGAGTACATGTGGGACCACAGTTTTTAAATACATTTGATGATGATTTTCTTTCTTTTGCTCTTCAGAAGCCAAGGGATACATAATTCATGTTTGGAATCTTACGTAGGGTGTAGGAACACTAAGTTCACAGAAAAGGTGGTATTTGTGCTAAGAATTTCTCTAATCCAGGTTAGTTAATAGGAATCAAAACAAGCTCACCCTGCCTTTTTCCTTTTCTTTCTTCCTTTTCTTCCTTCCTTACTTTCCTCCTTCCTTCCTTCATAAACTTTACTTTTTTGGAAACTGGCCTTGGCCTCATACGGGTTAATAAAATGTCAATTTACAAACAGCTATACTTGTTTATTCTCCCAAACACTTCCAGTTAAAAGGCTTTCTTATAATCACGTTTTCACTTTTCCTTAAACCATACTAAATTTTATCATTTCCAATCCCCTGCAACCTTTGAGGAGAACTAACTTTTTGGAATTTCCCTAAGGTTTCAATGAGCAACAAATGTCTTCAGGAGAATATGATGCATCATATCTATTTAGGATGTGCCAGGATTCTCCTGCTGATGAATTCTCATAATTCTAGACAAAGTTAATAGAAGAAGGGAACTCCCCTTGAGAAAGGAATAAATGGTGGAGAGTGATCTGAACACAAATGGTACAGTTCAGTGCAATTATGTCTAGAGTTCTCTACTGGATATCAAGTACAACTGTCATTTGGTATTTCAAAAACATTCACAGTACACATGGTTGGTCTAATGGGAAATACATTATTCATTTGCCAAAGTTTGATTACTATTTGAAATCATTTTCCACAAATCACTTATGTGAATTGTAGAAAAAGGTATGCAGGAGAGCAAGGTATACATGCCAGATTAATTTTCCATTAAAAATAATTTATGCTTCTCTTGTGACTTAAGTAATAACTTCTAAGAGCTGTAATGTATAAAACATTACAAGCAAGAGTAAGGATTCCTAATACTTCTTGATTTACTTAATTGAAAGTTCTTTTTATCTTGTTTATAGTCACTAAATAGAATAATGTCTCATGTTACTTAACTTTGAAATGAGGATAATACTAGCACCTTCCTCACTGGTTAGTTATAAAGATTAAGTGACTTAATACATGTGAAATAATTAGAACAATGATAGAGATTAGCCCCCCAATAAATAAAAGTTATAAAAATATTATCTGCTATGGTCATTAAAGCTGTTAATAAATATTCCATTTCTTTCTTCTTTCCAGACAAGATGATTGCTCTTCCCCACCCCTTTCATGTGGGGTGATTAGATTTGGAGGTAGAAAGGAAGCATCTATTATAAATTCCAGGAGCATTTATTGGATGACTAGGTAGATAAAACTGGTCAACAAAGAGCTGAAGAAATGATAAATTCAATTTTGGACACAGAGTGTTTGTGAGTATTTGTGAACAATTGGGTGGAATTGTCTGCTATGCAGTTGGTTAAATAAGTCTGGGGCTAGAGGCAGATTTGGAGTCACCAGTTTATAAGTGACTGTTGAGTCATGGGTTAAAAGAATCACCCAAGAAGAGTTTGTGGAGAAATCTTGATGAGTAATGTATGAGGAATAATGTTGGAAGATTTTCAAAACTTGGGAGGTAACTAAGCAAGGGTGAGAAAGAAGACTGAAAAGGCATGGCCAAAGTTAGAAAGAAATGCAGAAGTAAGTGACATCATAGAAGTCAGTACAGAAAATAAAGTTTAAAAAAAATCCCAGAGCCAAAGAAAATATTGAGTTACTGCCTAGGAAAATAGTAGCTTTCAATGAATATGTATAGTGTTCAATTTATTCTTGCAAAAGTTTATATTTCTTAATTTCATCTGTAAGAAGACAGTGTCTGTTTTGAATATGTTACCATTTAAAGTGCATAACCCCCTGGCTGGATTACAATTCCAAGTTGTATCTAGTTGTAGAAGCAGACTGTAACACAAGTAAGAGGGTTAAAGAAAGAAATTAATATTAATGGTGCAGGTTTTGTGGCAAACATTTTGAGATTGAACGTGTGAAGTTTCAGAATTTCTCATCTGCTATCTAAAGAGGCTAAATCATTTTGCGTTGAATGGATACAGATACAGTTTTTCATCTTCATAACTCTGACTGTAAAGATAATATGACTGTTCTAGATACAACAGTGGTTGTCCATGAACTAATGCTCCAAAAAGCACTTCCCTATAGATATGAATCACAAGCCAATTGCTTCAAATATGAGGAGTGTGGTAAAACAAATGCATAAACTCTGCATTTCTGATGCTATTTTTAAAAGTAATTTATCACTTGTGTTTTGTTACCTGAAACTTAGTTTATATACCATGCCACCATGGGTTTATTGATTTGGTCTTTTTCTCACATTAAATGGAATATGTGATATTCAAGATACACACACACATACACACACAAACACACACACACACACTTTTCTTCAATGAACAGCTTAGAACTAGAGGAACAAAATTAGTTAATTAAAGAATACCATATGTAAAAATCAACTCGTTAGATTAAAGGCTTAAATGTAAAACCTGAAACTATCAAAACCCTGGAAGATAACCTAGGAAATACCACTGTGGACATAGGCCCTGGCAAAGATTTCACGACAAAGATGCCAAAAGCAATTGCAACAGAAACAAAAATTGACAAATAGGACCTAATTAAACTAAAGAGCTTCTGCATATCAGATCCATCAACAGAGTAAACAGACAACCTACAGAATGGGAGAAATATGTGCAAACTATGTATCTGACAAAGGTCTAATATTCAAAATGTATAAGGAACTTAAACAAATTACAACAAAAAACCAAGCAACCCCATTAAAAAGTGAGCAAAAAACAGGAACAGACACTTTCCAAAAGGAGATATACATGTGGCCAAGAAGCATATGAAAAAATGCGCAACATCACTAATCATTAGAGAAATGCAGATCAAAATCACAGTATGATACCATCTCACACCAGTCAGGATGACTATTATAAAGCAGTAAAAAAATAACACGCTAGTGAAGTTGTGGAGAAAAGGGAACACTTACACGCTGTTGGTACAAGGGTAAAATAGTTCAAGCATTGTGGAAAGCAGTTTGAAGATTTCTCAAAAAACTTAAAATGGAACTGCCATTCCACCCAGCAATCCCGTTATTGGGTAAATACACAAAGGTATAGAGACACATGCATGCACATGTTCATCACAGCACTATTCACAACAGCAAGGAAATTGAGTCAACCTAAATGCCCATTAACAGTAAACTGGATAAGGAAAAGTTAGTATATATACACCGTGGAATACTATGCAGCCATGAAAAACAAGAAGATCATGTCTTGGCTGCAACATGGAAGGAGCAGGAGGCCATTATTCTTTTTTTTTTTTTTTTTTCTGAAACGGAGTTTTACTCTGTTGCCCAGGCTGGAGTGCAATGGCATGACCTTGGCTCACTGCAACCTCTGAGGAGGCCATTATTCTAAGTGAACAAATACAGGAACAGAAAAACAAATACTGCAGGTTCTCACTTGTAAGGGGGAGCTAAACACTGAGTACATGTGGACAGAAAGAAGGGAACAACAGACACTGGGGCCTACTTGAGGGTAGAGGGTGAGCGGAGGGTATATTTACACCACAGAAATTGGCAAACACTGTAAATTGGAGTTTCCTTTCCTTTTTGGGGGAAGAACTGGTTTACCAGTTAATATAGTTTGGCTCTGTGTTCCCATCCAAATCTTATCTTGAATTGTAATCCCCACATATCAATGGAGGGACCTGATGGGAGATGATTGGATCATGAGGGTGGTCCCCCATTGCTGTTCTCATGATAGTGAGTGAGTTCTCACAAGATCTGATGGTTTATAAGGGGCTCTTCCCCCTTCACTCTCTCTTCTCTCTCCTGCTGCCATTTGAAGAAGGTCCTTGTTTCCTCTTTGCCTTGTGCCATGGTTGTAATTTTCCTGAGGCTTCCCCAGCCATGTGGAACTGTGAGTCAAGTAAACCTCTTTCCTTTATAAATTACCCAGTCTCAGGTATTTCTTTATAGCAGTGTGAAAATTGACTAATATACCAGTGCACCACTGCTTTTAATTCCAGGGTAAATCTAAAGCCAGATAACCACTGATTTTCTCCTTATTAAATGTATATAAGGACTGCTCAAGTGATGCTGACAAACTTTCCTTCAGTGGACTGAGAAGAAGCTGATTCCAGTGGACTGTGAAGAAGCTGATTCTCATTTTGTTTGCAAACCTGGTGTTTGGGTACATCGTTTTGTGTCATGTAGGCCAATATT
This sequence comes from Homo sapiens, assembly GCF_000001405.40. Taxonomy (NCBI): domain Eukaryota; kingdom Metazoa; phylum Chordata; class Mammalia; order Primates; family Hominidae; genus Homo; species Homo sapiens. The sequence goes on from NC_000007.14 coordinate 78,705,695, forward strand.
TTCTGGGAGAACTGTGAAAGAAACTAGAAACAGATAATTTTATATTTTTCCTATGAAAAAATAGCTGACTGGATTAACGTCCTTTTGACTTAACATTTCCAGGCAACAAAGAGTGACTGGAAATGAACTTTTCTAAAGCAAATTCTTATAAAGATGCCTTAAACTGTTTGTTCCTAGTTTTTAACAAATGACAGTTTCCTGCTTTCATTGTCTTTGACAAATACACTGCCAATCACAGCAAGACTGTCCATCAATTTTCTCAAATGGGCAACAAGCACAACTAGCTGAGTTCTAGTGGAAACTTACCATAGAGTAGCTATGTGATATTGAAAACCTGAAGTTTCTAGTTTTTATATTAAATGGAGTAAATGGTATCTCAAGCATCATGCCCATTTATCAAAAATTAATATTCTGGTTAGGAGTCATTTAGTAAATGATATGGTTTGGCTGTGTCCCCCCCCAAATCTCAACTTTAATTGTATCTCCCAGAATTCCCATGTGTTATGGGAGGGATCTGGGGGAGGTAACTGAATTATGGAGGCAGGTCTTTCCTGTGCTATTCTTGTGATAGTGAGTAAGTCTCATGAGATCCGAAAAGTTTATCAGGGGTTTCTGTTTTTGCTTCTTCCTCATTTTCTCTTGCCACCATCATATAAGAAGTGCCTTTCACCCCCCGCCATGATTCCGAGACCTTCCCAGCTATGTGCAACTGTAAGTCCAATTAAACCTCTTTTTGTTCCCAGTTTCGGTTATGTCTTTATCAGCAGTGTGAAAACAGACTAATACAGTGAACTATATGAGAAACTTAGTACTTTGAAGTCACATTAAGAAATTTAAATTTTTATAAATACACACAAAACCAATATATTTGTATCTATACTGAATAAATAACCCCTGTCCTTACATAATTTATATTAACTTTGGGAAGCAAAATTAATGAACACAAAACAATTAGCCAACAGTGTAATCCAATCACATTTAAATTATCGACTCCTATATTCAAACTGGAGATCTGTCTAAGAGGGAAATGTGGAGAACAGAAGATAGCTTGGCAAAGGTAGTGAAACTGCAGCCAGCCCTGAAACAATGCATAGGACTGTTTTTGGTTTTTGTTTTTCTCCTTTGAAGGTCTAGGGTAGGGCATTAGAAATGGGAAAATAGCAGTAAGGGAAAAAAAAGAACACCGTGTGAATACAACAGACTCAGGTCAACAGGACTGTGAGTCAACAGGCCTTGGTGTGGAGGTACCCTGGAGAGCAATGGGAATGACTTGGCCCTCCAGAAGTACATTTCAGCCTCCTTTGTACTGAATTCTCACTTCTAGCTCTGGAATCTACATTGTGAAACTATCAAAGAAACTAACAACTACTAAAACCCCCACCTGTATCTGAATGCAGCTGGGTTTACCTCAAGAGCCACACCCTTAACTTAATTAGGGGAATAGGAACCTAAATGTTTTGAGGACTGTTAGTGAATAAGATATCAATATTAAAGAATAAATTAGCAAAGAATAAAAGAACCACCCATTAGACCAAGGGAAGGGAAAAAAATGAAGAAAGGATGATGGCAGATAGTTTTTAAAAATTATATACCAAATCACTGAGGTTTTCTAAAATTTAACATTTAATTGGTGATGTGTTATTAACAAAAATTCCTTAAAATATGCCTGAAAGGTGAATCTGTGACTATACTTATTGGATATGCCTAAATATGATTTTTAGTGTAATTATAACTTCTGACTCTAAAACATTGCTAAGTTGTGCCAGACACTACTTGAAACTTCACACTTAACACTCATTCTAAAAGTAACAATAATACCTATAGGCACTGATTCCCAAATAAACATTATTATTTCTCTACTTAGAAATTCTTATGATTCAAATACAAATAGTTTAACAGATTGTATTTTATGTGTATGTGTTTTCATGACAAAAGCAACTACACTTAAATGTGCAAAAACTCTACTCTGGGTGATTTGCATTCTTATATCTCATTATAGAGTTTCCTATTTGAATTTCCATCTGGTCCCTAATATCTTTTTGTGTTTATTGCTTTAATGAGATAATCTTGTTTTACATACCTAGATTTCATTACTATTTGGCAAAAACATTCTCTACCCTGATTTTACTCTCATAAATACCTTAGCCTTAACCTTGGGGCTTAGTGCAGTCTGGTATGAGATACTTCTAAAATAGTAAAATGGAAAGAAAAAGCATTCAAAGTAAAATGTAAGTAAAGGTTAGTCCTTTATCTCTTAAAATCATAACAGATAGACTGTTTCCCTTTATAAGATTAATCTATATCCACCCATATAATGCCTCATTGAAGATTTACCATGATAAAGTAATATATTGGTATATCTTACATTAAAGCAGAATTTGGAAGAATTAAACAGATTCCATGAAGATTTTCCACTGATGGGGACTGACAAGGCTTAAAGTTGATAATTCAGTTCTTATTTAACAGTCATAAATGTTATCTTCAATCTGTGCTATCAACTAAAATTTTCTTCATTCGAATGCATTCATATTCATGCAGCTTCCTTTGAAAAGACTGAAAACCATTCCTAAAACTCAGACAGGAAGAGCTCAATGAAAAGAAATTATGACCTATATCCACTTTAAGATTTATTCAACTGATAAGCTCACTTCACTATAGGTTTAGGTTGCCAATAAAATTCTCTCTAATTCTGAAGCCATCATCTTTCAAGAATAATTCAGAGCCTTTTCTGATTTCTCAGCATGACAGAGTAAATTGGCAAAGCACAGTAAATGATAAGGTATTTACTTATTTGTTTATATTAGTGAACACACAGTGTTTATTGTATCCCAGGCATTCTTCTAAGTATTTTACACATGTTAATTCATTTCATTCTAGATATCATATAGTCCCCTTGGGACTTAATGGGAGAATATGTTTCAAAAAAGAAGTGTAATGAAGTGTCTGTAAATACAAGCTCTCTATATTTTGCTAAGTGCATCTTTAATAACACTAACAATAACTGCTACTTATTGAATGCCTCCTAAGTGGTAAGCTCACCCTCACATCAACCCTTTAAGATAGGTATCAATAACTCCATTTCATGAATGAGTAACCCCTAAGTCTCATAAATAGTAATTATCAGAGGCAAATGTCAAGGATTCCAAACACTTTGACTCTAATACTCATTTTTTAAAGTACCTTATAAGACATTTTTCTCTTCTTAGTTCCTATATTCTACTTTTCTTAATATTACTCAGTCAAACTCCTTCATATAATAAATACCCTTCCAATCTGTCTCCTTCTCTCCATCCCCGCTATTAGCCCACTAGCTATGCTCTCATCATGCCTCACTTGTACTTCTGCAAAAGATTCTTAACTCTCCCTCTTTCAGTCCACTCTCCACACTTCCAATGAATTGATCTATAGAAAACATAAATCTGATTATATTACTACCTGTTTAAAATGCCTCACTGCTTTCAAAATAAAATCTGACGTCTTAACTATGTCATACAAAGCCTCTAATGAGATAGAGCTCATGGCCAGTGCAGCTTCATTTCTCCCAACAATACCCCAGGCCTCCCTGTCCCCACCTGCAACATACACACCCCCACCCCCACTCCACACACACCTCCCTCAGGCTTCAACTAGATAAACTGTTATTTTGCTTCCTCTGTGCCTCTGCAAATTATCATCTCTCTAAGGAAATGCCCTTTATCTCCTTCTTTTCTAAGCTTCTACATATCCCTCAATACTTACCTGTGATTTCATCTTTGGTAGGAAGCTTTCTTAGACATCTCTGGCCTAGGTCAGTTGTCTGGCCTGTGTTTCACCGTTAGAGCATTCATCATACTTTTCCCATGTCTGTGGCCATCACTTCAGTTCACGTTTATTTTGTGACTATACTGAGCACCATATAAGCTAGAACACACAGTACAAATTACATTTACTATCCCAGTCCTCAATGAGTTTCTTAGGAGCTTAGTTGAAATAGGCCCTGAAGATGGCTTGCCATCCGGCAGAATTTATATGTGTTTGTGCCTTAGCTAATTCCTCATTTCTCATCTTCAGCTGCTGTCCTCAGCTATATCTCTTAGTATCTTCTATGCTTGGCTCCTGGCATTTACACATGATCTTTTGGTATTGACTTTTTGCCTGGTCTATGTTTGTAGGATCACAGATTAAATACTCTGCTCCCTCATAACTTCCCAGTATTTACCCTGTACAGCATGTTTCTCTTGTGTCAATCCTACAGCCAGCCAGGTCAGCACAGTCTTTTCATGACTCTTCTTTTAGATCACAAACCTAGAAGTCATCAAACCTTCAAACAGAACTTTCTAAGTTACTAACATATCCAGGAGGGTAAATGCAGCCCTCAACAGGGAAGGGACCTTTCACGAGAGTTGCCTCATGTTAAATAAGCATTGCTAACAGAATGGTTATTTCTGTTAATAAGTACATATTACCACATACTAAGTACATATTACATTATTTAATCCTTATAGCAGACAAGATTACACACATTCTACTAAACAGGAAGCTGAAATTCAGATAAGTTAGTACCTAGTCCAAATTCACACAGCTAGATAACCATCAAAATCAGGACTAATGCTAATTTTAAATCCTTTGCCAGCCCTGCATGATCCTGATTGAGTCCAAGTACCCTGGGGATTCCCAGGTCTTAGCATAGGTGGTGCAAAGAACCCTATGTTTGGGGAGAGGGTGTAGGTAATGGATACCAAATCACTCCATATTAACCCCATCAAAGAATGTGACTCTTGACCCATTCTTAGAGAAGTGAACTACAACATAACAAGGAGGAAGCAAGCTTAATCTCTGAATGAATCTGGAGTTTTATCTGTCCATGGCACGATAATACCAAACACATTCCTCAGGGGGCTATTGCAAGGGTGGGTACAATATCCTATTGATGAACCGTAGTGATCAAAGGAAGGCATGAGTTGAGAGCTTAACAGAGAGAAATGCTCATAAAGCTCAGTATATTGCTACTGATGGAATGATTAAATGCCGCTTGACACAAAAACATATGCAGTTCTTGAAAGTCAAAAGATACAAAAACTCTAGAGTCATATGGTTTGTCAATCTACAGGCAACCCCTCTGTACCTATAATTTCACAGTTTCATTTATGCTTTGCAAAATTGATGATTATTACCAAAGGAATTTGAGTTTAAGCCTGGCAACTAAATCAAAAAGTAATGCTCTTACCATCTAGAAAATACTTAAACAACTTTAAAATGGAGTCAATGAATGTTTGACTGTTTGACAGGTAAGCTCTGAGTATATAATTAATCTGGCAATTGAAATCAGCTAAGTCTTTATAAATTCTCTTTGTAGTCTAGTGCATGATGATCACAACATCACTTGTAAGGACTTTGCAATATTCAAAGGACTGAGGTTCATACTCACATTTAGTGATATGAAGTTCACAGGATATATGTGTGTTAAACTTGCACATCATTGAAGTTTACGTATATAATTAATTAGACTCAACAAAGGAAACATTCATTGTCTATTTGAGGTCTGGACTGTGCTGGCATCAGCATGAGCCCCCTACTAGGTCTCAGACTAAAGAGGTGTCAAAGACAAGCAAATAGTTTCAGAAGAGTATATATAATAGTAATAATAAGGTAACATTAGAAATATGAGCAAGGAATGGAGGTTGCAGAGAGGAGGGATGTTATTACCTAGAAAGGGTGATTTCATAACGCTTATGTGTAAAATGGGGGCAGGAATAAAATGGGTGAATTAGATCATCTTTATAGTCTGCTTTTGCTCTCTAATTTTGTCCTGTCTATATACTTGTCAGATTATTTCCATTTTGTTCTTTTTTCCCCTTAGAGCCATATTTTCTGATTATGACCATTGGAAATGTTATGTTCAAAAATTTCCATGATCAAGGACTGACGATGGAGTCTTTAGGTCCCCAGCTTCTCTTCTTACCTCCTTCCTAAGAGCTTTGTAGGATACTGTTGCTCTGGCATATCTTCTCCAGAGACTGAGTAGAGAAAGGAGGTGGAATTACAATCAGTCAGCTTCACTTACTGAAGTTCTTGTGAAAGTTTGATAGAAGAGAGCGTTGATGTTTAAGAAAATATTTTTCACAGAATAAGGCAGCTCTTAATTACCTGCAGTAATGGAGAGCAGTGGTGTGTATAATCCAAAATGGTGGATAATCCAAAAACTATTTCTATTTGACTTTGAAATGTATTTTTGAACTTGCATTTGAATAGAAATATGGCACCAACAACTTAAAGAGTCCTAAGCTTTCTATCTTTCTTATACACATTGGTCTTTAGAAATTGCATGTTTGAGTTTTAAGACCTTCCTCCACTGGACTGCAGGTCAACTCTAGGTTAAAAGGAACAGTGCTACTGGCAATGTCAACAAAAATAGCTAAGCAAGACATTTCTAAAAAGAAATTAAAATAAAATGTATCTTAGATGATGTAGAGTTTGGCTACATATTGCTTGATTATATACACTCGTCTATGAACCAAGTTCCTACTTACAGTAAATCATTTAAGCTGGATGTGATGCACATCATTTCAAGCTGATGGAAAGATGACTAGATAAAGTTTGTTCTGTCTGACTCCCCCACTGAATGCCTGCCTGGCACTCTGAGGAAGCCACAGCAGGGTGTCTTCAGAAGCTATTTCCAAACAAATTTAGACTTGTCTTATACATGATGAGAGCTATTTATAAAGATTGTATAACAAATAGCTTATAAAAGACACCTCTGTCAATTGCATTTATAATGAAAAAATCTAACACAAGAAGGCGTTGATTCCCAGTGCAAGCTAACGCTGCAGTATCTTTGCTTTTTTATCAGCTAAACTAACCGGGGAAAGGGAGCATGACAAAACTCACTGCACTTCATTGAAACTTGAATTGAGATCTTAAAAAGAAGTAGAGTTTCATCAAAATATACAAAAGAGTAAAGGGCAGTAGGTGCATTTTAGTTGGTAAAGTCAGAATCCAGCAATCATATCGAATGACAAGATCTACTCTCAGAAATGATAGGTAATGACATTATTATGTGAGGATCTTTAATAACTTCTACTGTTATCTGTTTAATTGATGTACAAAAGGCAAAAAGATTTAAAGAATTGAGAGAAAAGCAGAAGAAAACATCAAAAATCGAAGAATTTAAATCTTCCATCCCCAAGACAAATGGAAAGCAAAAATCAATACATTACAAAAAAACTAAATAATTTTAGTGTGAATGTTTTGAAACTATCAGCCATCTGTAGTAATTGTACAGGCAAAGATTTTAGCATCGCAACAATCTAAGATGGGAATTTACATACGAAAATGAAAACATTAGACCTTTAATCAGAAGAATTGAAATGAAAACCAAAATTACTTAATATTTTTTCCCCAAAAAATATGCTTTTGGAAATGTGAGACTATGTTTGAAAGCCTGTGATTTTCTTATTTTATAAACGTGAAATGTGTTCAGTGATGACTATGACATGACAATTTGGAACCTTGAATTTAGTCTCCTATTTTACTCCTAATTTGTAATGTTACCTTGTGCATAATGTTTATTCCTTTGGGGTAAAGTGCTAATTAAATAATTCATTCATTTTAATAAGCATTTCTTGTGTACTTATGTACTAGGCCCTATGCTTGGCATAGGAGCTATAAAATTGAATAGGCCCTGGTTATAGTTTTGGCATATTTGATAAAGTCAGTGGGGATGAAGGCAGAAAGACAAACATGTGGCGTAAGATGGCACTTTGACTAAAACTACATACAAGTGGAGATGGCACTAACAGAAAGTGACCATTTCTACATGGGATGAGATATATCAAGGAATTCATTGACAGACTCAGTCTTACAGAATCTCTATACATCAAAGGTATTTGCCAACTATCCCTCTTCTGAAAGGTCAAGAAGTCAAAATCCCCATGAAACCTTGAATGGCGGTACATTAAAAAACAAGAACCTTCAAAATATGTAATAGCTCTTTTCAGAGCTGTCATACACAAATAAATACAAAATCTACTCTTACTTGCTTTCCTTCAATAGTATCACAAAAGGAGGTACTATGTTGATTCAGTATATAGTTTGTATACTCACAATGCATGGAAAAATGCATGGAGAACCATGCATACAGAACGTTTTACCTCACGTATTCTCAATTGATTTTCTAACTTTTGTTTTTAGCAACCATCCTTCATCAAAAAGATCCAAGTGTTAAATAAACAAGTCTAGAATTCACAGTTTGTACTCTCCTTGTGCTTCCTCGTTTTCTGTTATTTCTTTTCGGCTTGGGTAAGCAAACTCTGTTACTGCCACATTCTTTTTTTTTTCCACTGAGAATAGTTTCCCATGTTTTCAAAAGAGCACAGTTGTGTGATATGTGTTGTGGGGGGAAGAGGTGAAAGAAAGAGGGGGGAAGAGAATATACTTGTGTAAATATGAATAGTGTACATAAACATATATGAAGACATGGTCTTCTAGACACAGAAGAAAAAAGATACATAAATGAACACAAAGTGTGGAAACACATGTGTAGTCAGATGGATCAGTGTCCTTAGGGGGCAAGGTTTCAAAGCTCAGTCTACAAAACCATTCTAATTAAAATAACATTTTAATATCCAATTCTGCTTTACTTTGTAAGCATTTTCTCCCTTCTGTTTGTTTTCTTTACTAAAGTCACAGCAAGGGCTGTGCTGAGCCTCCAGTTCATCTAAGCTACTCGGTGCATGCCCAGACAGCAAGAAAATGGTTTCTCTGGCAACAGGAATTATGTGAAATCTCTGTGTGTTCTCCCCCACCTTCCATCTGATTCCTATTCACTTAAGCTCTTCACATATAGGCAACAACGAGGCATTGGAAATCTAATGAGCAATTCAAATTTATTGAGCTAGTTCATGGAGGCGGGTACTGTGAGCATCTTCATTTCCTGTGTACCAGGGAGCAGAGTGTGTTTGTTGTACGTTATCTGTATTATTCAAGAACCATGCACTGTCAGCAAATAGCCCAAACCAGATAAAATCAGATGAATATCTAAAATAAGAAGCATATGAGGAATTTACTTCCATCATGGTAGGAGGGAAATGCAAAGGCTTTCAGGTGCCAAACACAGCTTTGAATTTTCCAAAGATGCTGAGCGATGGAAGTCACAATGATTTAAAACAGCCTCATATTGTGTCTGAAACCCAAGAGGGAATGGCAAGAGCTTTGATTAAATTGCTTTGAATGTCAGCTTTTTTATTTCTAAGGAATCATACTGTTCCTCCATGACTAAAGCGCTAGAGTTTTCAATTTAGGCCTTATAAACATTCCCTAATAATAGTTCATGATGAGACCTCTTATATATGTTTTTCTCTGTAGCCTTTGTTAAGGAGAGAGTCCTGTGTTTAGCATTGGCACTAAGGCTGATATTTACTAAGAGAGTTTAATCAAATGGGAATTGATTTGCTTGGAGGAATCAGGACTAAGGCAAATTAGCTTTATTCTTTAGAGATTGGGAGAATGTGGGAGGGAAGGATCTATTTTTCTTCGGTTCCAGTAAGGATGAAATAACAGCAAGAAATATACTCAGTAACATAAAGTAGAAAATAGAGTGAATTGGAATGGACTCCTGAACCGGTTTCAGAATCATTGTCCTGGAAGTTTAAGAAGAATATTTGCTTCTTACTGTCTAGAATATTTTAGTAAACTCTACCTGCAAGGAGGTATATTTTTAAAGTTTCCTTGGTTTTATCATTGTATATCTTACCTGTTAAAAATTAAGGACTTTGTCACCAAAAAGCAATAGGAAATGCCTCTTTGCATAAATCTTTAATCTCAATCTACATGATATAGATTTAAGTAATAACTCAATGAAAGCCCAATTTAAATAAACTTTAACTTCCAGTGAAAGCTGTAAGAAAGCAATGAGCAGAATGATTAGCCTAATGACACAAATATAGTAAATGATTAACTAAAAAGCATAGAAGGGTGAAGATACCAAAGACAGATGACAGTAAAATAATAGTAGCATTATAACAATGACTTCATTCATTTCATGGTTAATCTTTAGATAATAAGAACATATTGTTTTAGATAATAAGATAGTTTAAAAATTCTCAAATAACTGGCATTTTTCCTGGGATATAAAAGTGCCAATAAGTACAGCCAAAATTTGGAAAATAAATACAAAATATAAGTCCTACACAGAAGAGACACCTACTGAAGCCATAACACTCGGAATTTTCAATCCAGTCACAGAGCTTTTAGGAAAAGAACATCTTGGAATCATAATTTCATTCCAGTTAGAAAATGGAGATTCAACACTCATACCTAAAACCAAATTGCCCTTCACGTGGTAAGTCAGATAAGCTGAGACTAGGGGCTTTGTGTATGTAGCTAGTGCTTGCTTCTGGGAACAGAGAAATTGTTCCTGTGTTTCTAAATGTGGTACCCCACTGCAAGTAGTGTGTAGTAGAACGCATAAAGATTTACTGAAGTTTTCAAGGAATTTCTAAGCTCTGGTCTGCAGTTCTTTTCCCACAGAGCCACCTTTCAATTGTGACTTTTGCTATGTTTTATTTTAATTTTATTTAATTTTACCCTTTCTTCCAGGAAAAGTTGAGATGGCTTACTATTATAGTGTATGCATGTATCAATCCTTGAAAACAGTATTTCTTTTAAAGAGAAAATTGCCTAGAATCAGGAAAATATCTTGATAAGGCACTTATGGTAGAAAGCAGAAGATGAGAACATGTGTTAGTAGGAGAGAAAGCAATGAAAAATAGCAAAACTGTTCCTAAGTTAGAAATTAATGGCAATTAGTGGGTGGTGGGGAATACAAAAAAGAAGAAAGGAAAGGCAGAGTGGCCTTTAGAGGGAAAACATTAAAAATTTTAGACATCTAATATTCAATTTTATGTTGTTGCTGTTTTTACAAAATCTTTCTCATAATTCAGAAAAGTGTGGTACATTCACATTGCTGAGCACGCTGATTTTTATGGAAATGTGTTTATCATGTGTGCTTAAGAAAGATCAATTTCCCCATTTGGCTATATACCAGAGCAGGGACACAGAGTAAAAAACAAAAAAGTTGTAGAGAAAAGTGGTTCAAGACAGAGGTGTTTATGAGGATGTAAGACCCACTGGAAGTTCAGAGAAAACTGAAGAACTATATTGGGCTTTTCATGGGGCACGGAATCCAATCTTATTTACAGCTTAAAAGGTAAGAGGACCTCAGGTAACTGTTAGCCCAAGCCACAGCATTTTGCAGACTCCCACCTTTTATAAACTCCGGTCAGAGTGGAAAATTCCACCAGAGACTGAACCGTGAAGAAACATCTTGTGGGACAGGTCCCAGGCCTAACCCCTAACCCAGTGAATTCCTTCCTTATCAGCAGCCCAGCATACCATTCCCACCCCATTTCACAGCAACCTCAGACCTCTCCCGCCTGGACCTACAACTGCCCCAGCCTGCAAGCGGGAAAGGAGGCTCCTGCGCTCGCTGGTGCTCCCCCTCCGCAGGTCTTTGTCCAATAAACCTGTGTTACCGTCGAGCCGCCCTCCTTGTCTTTTTTTCTCCATCTTAACAGTAACATGGAAGTTATACCACACAACACAGCACACACACACACACAGAGTGAAAAGGTAAAACGTTACAATTTTTAAAATCAGAAACAGGAAAGGTATATAATTAAGCAGGATGCAACATCTGGGAGAAGAAAAATGCCATATATCAATGAACTGTGTACACTTGGGCAATGTAACATTAGTGGGCCAGCTTCAGGACCTTACTATGGTGAAAATCTGCTACAAATTTCCACTCTCTTTGAAGTCACATGGATGTGAATCGTGTGTGCTTTCAACGTACTAGCTGTGAATGAACTTAGGCTAGAGGGTGAAAATATCGGAGCCCCAATATTCTCCTTTCCTGTAAAATACAGATAGTAGTATCTACTTTAAACATAAATAATAATGGCAAATTTTTATTTACTGCAAACTATATGTCAAGCTCCAAACTTACAGCTATTATTTATTTAGTTTACTCCTTGCAACTATTCTTTGAAGTATTATTATTTTCATTGTACAAATCAGGAACCTAAGCCTAATAGAAATTAAATAACTTTCCTAAGCACAGAGCTTGTAGGTAGTGGAGCCATTAGAGTGGTTCACTAGTACTGACAATAGCAGTACTAGTATAAGTATTAGTACTAGCATAAGTACTAATATAAGCAAATACTGTGAAAGTCAGTTTCAACTTGAAATTTTCAATTACTGACTTCGTTTTCTACAATGGGCAAACCCAAGATAACTCTGTAATGATGGATCCTTTGTAAACTTTACTTCTTGTCATTCTGCATTTTTTTCACTATTTCTTTATTTAACAAGGGTGGAACGCCTTGCTCATTTATCATCATAGCTGAATTCTTATTAGAGCACCAGCTAATTCATGCTTATTAAGTAGAAAAGCAATGGCAACTAGGCTTGATGCCTAAGTAGGATTCAAGCCTGTATCTAAAGTGACAAAAAACTTATAACGCTGTTTCAGATCAACTATAGAGTGGCAGGAATAAATACCATTGTATATGCTCACTGTAAAGCTAGATTATGTTTCCAGTGTAGTCACACCAAGTAGGAGCACATACCGTCCATCTCAGCACTTTGTCCTCTAGACCAGGGGTCCTCAACCCCTGGGCCATGGACTGGTACCATCCTATTAAGAACTGGGCCACACGGCAGAGGTGAGTGGCAGGTGAGTGAGCAAAGCGTCATCTGTATTTATAGCTACTCCCCATTCCTTGGATTACCGCCTGAACTCTGCCTGTCAGATCAGTGGCAGCATTAGACTCTCATAGAAGCAGGAACCCTATCTTGAACAGTGAATGTGAGGGGTGTAGGTTGTCCGCTCCTTATGAGAATCTAATGCCTGATGATGTGTCACTGTCCCCCATCACCCCCAGATGGGACCATCTAGTTGCAGGAAAACAAGCTCAGGGCTCCCCTTGATTCTATGGTGCATTGTGTAATTATTTCATTATATATTACAGTGTAATAATAATAGAAATAAAGTACCCAATAAATGTAGTGTGCTTGAATCATCCCGAAACTATCCATCCCCGCACCCCCAACCCCTGTCCGTGGAAAAATTGTCTTCCATGAAACCAGTCCCTGGTGCCCAAAAGGTTAGGGACCACTGCTCTAGATGATTCACTGGGGACATACGGTTGCCAGTGACACTGTAGGGTCTTACCAGGTCTGGTAAACCCAACCTTTGTTATGTCACTGTGCTTTTATACTTTTCACTTACATCACCATTTGGAAAAGTGTAGACTAACAATACAATGAGGGTTTGTGTGTATGTATTGAATAACAGACTTGGCATTAGAAATGTTGCATCCTTATGTCTGTGGGGAAAATAGGATGAATATCTAGATTTACCTGAAGAATTTCTCTGCCTCCAGCTTTCCAACATTCTGGAGAGCCAGTTTCCCTATACCTTCTATGTGAACCAATTAATAGGATGTTAAAGAAAAAGGTAAGAATTTGTTTGAACTCAAGGATCTGACACATGCTGTTCCAATCAATTTTACATTCTAATAAAATAAACAATTGAAGTCTTACAAATACTGCATGTCCAAATAAAATAATACCCATTTTTTGTATAATAAACTAAAGCTTATCAAATAGCTTCCCTTAAGGTTGAAGGAAAAAAAATAAAGAAAAAAAATCCAACTGTAAGTGACCTTCAAATAACCTAAGCATTGTGTTGGCAAGTTTAGTAAGACTATGTTCTCCAAAAGTTTACAGAAGTGACATTGTCATCAGTATGTCTACTGAAAAAGGAGTGAGTGATAGAAACCACTACGTTTAAAAAAATCATTTAGTTAGAATTATGATCGTGTATTGGGGTTTATGCAGGATCTTGCACGAAGAAAATAAGCAAGTTGCAACCCTCTTTCTTTTACTTTCAACGACAAAGGTCATGCCAAGGGTTTGGAATCCTATTGCTGCTATTAAGAGCTCTTTCTATGCATTAAACTTGTCTCACCAAAGCAGGTGTTTGACATATGAGGGGCCTGGCTGCAGTACTATCAATAGTTTCATTACAGGGGACTTACTCTCCAAACATACCTTTCCTGTGGACAGAATTTAATTTGAACCATCTTTTCTAGAGGGTAGTTGTTTGTGATTATTTTCTTGAAATAAGTAAAAAGTTTAAATAGAGGTGATATGCAACTCCAGTTTAATGTGTGCACTAATCTTTCACTTTATATAATTTATCATCTATAATTTTAGTTATTATAAATATTTAGTTAAATCTACTCGGTTATCTTTCATTAACTATGAACTCATAATCTACAAAAATATATCAAATGGCTGCATTTCCACATTTTCCAGAATCATATATCATAGTACTGTGGCTAGATAAGATTACCTAAAATGCAGATAAATTCTTTTGTAAATATGTCAAAATATATCTAATTAACTATATATAAAATTACAAATAAATCCTGCCTTCCTAAGAGGGATAAATTTAGAAGCAACATTTGGAGAAACACAGTACTGACATCTGATAAGTATGACTTTGTTTTTCCCCTAAGCTATAAATAGTAATAGCTAACACTGAATGCTTCCTATGTGCCAGTCATACAACACTGAGTGTGTACTAACTCACTTAATCCTTATAATACACCTATGAGATTCAAACTATTAGGGATCTCATCTTATGGATGAAGAAACTGAGGTACAGAATAATTAACTTGCTCCTAGACACAGCTAGTAAGTGAAGCTGACATTTAAATCTGGACAGTATGGGTCTAAAATCAGTCATCTTAACCATTAGTTGTATAATTTATTTAGATATATAATTTATAATTTATAAAATATTATTCATTACATGTCAGAATAATCTCTTACATTTAATAATGAAGACCACGAGAAATGGTCCATTTGTGGTACAGGACACCACCATATACAAAGCAGCTTACTAATGTACAGCTGTCGTGGGAAAAGATGTTTCTAAATCATTTGTACCCTGGGGACACTACATGCCATTTTATTCAAAGTCCATGGAGATTAATTTCTCAAAGGATAAGTTGAGAAAAAATCATCTTTTCCTTCATCAGAAAACCAAATAATCAACTTTTATTTCTCAAAGGTAAGAAAGATCAAATAGACAACCCTTGGATCTAACCTGTGGTTCCACAAAGGATATAAAAATAGCAAGTGTGATGAATGGATCATAAAATTGTTCCTTCTGGGGAAATTCTGTGATTTAATGCCACACAGTATGTAAGGAGAATCGCAACATAATTGATTGAAATCTGAAATGGAGATACAGGGGGCCTAATCATTTTTCTAGAAGAACTCTGAAGAAAGAGTTGGACCTAACGTTTAAAAAGCTAACATCTAACATTAACTCTAGTAAGCAATTATACCAGTGCTTAAACCAATATTACATAACCAAGAAAAAAATAGGAAATCTATGTATTCTGTTTACATTTTTACTCACCCACACTGTACCAGTTCTTCCTCATGGCTGGGTCCTCTCTAATAAATGGAATTTTTGTATAACATCTTTTAGGTCACCTAAGCAGTGATGTATAAAATCACTGTATATGTATGTATATGCCCAGAATGTATATGCCCAGAAAAATAATGAAGTCTCTCAGCATATAGTTAGCTATCACAGAGTGACTAAGGTAGCATAAGAATTAATCTCAAATAATCCTACTATTTGTAGGTTCCTTTAAAAAAATCAATATGCCTGTACCTTCAAGTTACCAAGGGCATATGTATGACATATGTGGGTTACCTGATACTTTAGAAAGCAGAGAATAGATATCCCCTTATCACAGAGGCAGGTCCCGGGTAGATGCAGAATTTTGAAAGGAACATATTGAAATCTTCTAATTTGTGCTTATCTTGAAATTAAATTCAGTCTTCTAGTCATTCCAATTTTTTCCAACCTATTAAATTGTGAGAAATCTGCAAAGAATTTATTGAGAAGGTTCTCAAAGAACTAAGATGGTAGCTTTTTACTAAGAAACTGATTATATCAAGGCTGAAGGGTAAGATTTGTTCAGACAAGCTTTCCTAGCTAGCATCCAATGAGTATTAGAATTTCCAAGTCTAATTTATAAACCCAAACATAAACAGATAAAAATAATAATTTTTATTTTCTTCAAGAGAAGAGAAAAATGTAAGGTAGAGTGAAGTAACATTTAGACTCAGAAAATTTAAATCAAAGAACTGACATAAACAACTAGCAAACTTGATTGTTTAGATTTTAATAAAATGTATTGTATAATCTATTATTACTTTTAGTGAGAGCAAAATATTATAGAAAAACTTTTTTATTTGTAAAATATATCTTGTTCCAAGGAAATAAGTATACGTAATTAACTAACACCCATAAAAGGTATGACTCTTTAATGTTGTCAATGAAGATTTAACATAATATTCTATAACAAATATAGCTCATTCTGCTCTTAAAACACATAATTCATTACCTCATTTGAATGTATTGTTTAATCTAGGAAATTGTATAATAAATAGCAGTAATAATATGGGAATAAGCAATGTAGTTTTACTTTCAAAACTAATATCCACCAGTAAAACTAAAATTTGAACTGTGAGAAGGCGATATATCTAATCATGACACTCTCAGGAGGAAATAGCACAACAATTTTAACCCATTATTTGTCATATTTCTGCATGGGAACATGTTTCAAAATAGGTTTCATAGGCCTAACACATAACCCAGGAATAATCGCACAAGTAATTTTGAGGGTATATTCATAGTCACCTTTCCATATTCAAATGTTACAAAATGAATTTCTACCAAAGACACTATTTTCATTCTTATTAGAGTTATTTGCTCAAGACTATAGCCAAAGAAATATAGATCTTAAATCTCATCATCAAAAAAGCCCAGAACTCTGGCTTCATTTTCAGGCACAATACCACAATGGCAAAACATCAGTCTCAGTGTGATATATCAGTTAATAACGTAAGCAGTAAGACACGGGCTAAATTTAACACATACTCAAAACAACCTCTGTTAAATAATTTAACATGAATGATATTAAGGACAATTAAATACATTTGTTTCTTAGACAGTTTGTCTAAGAGTCTTGAACTCTTTTGTGAGAATCCCTGGGGGAACTTAAATGTGGGTACTTATGTTTTATAGGATTGACCAGGAATAGTCTAAAATCAGAAGTCATAGCCCTCCTAAAGCCATATAGCTTAATTATAGAATAATATAATCATAGAATTATAGTTGGCTTATCTAGTTGATGCGATTCATATTAAAGGAAAAGGAAGATGTAAGAATGTGGAAATTATTGCCAAAGAGCACTCAGTAAAGTTGCTAAGAGAAAATGGTTAGTAAATCCCAGGCCACCTTAAGATATTAAGTTGTCTGTTAAGCATTGCAGTGATCAAGGAAGCATCCATACTTAGAAACGCATGATTAATCTTTTAAATAATATCCTAATATTGTTTAAATATACTTTGATTTTTCTTCAAAACAAAAGAAAAATGTAAACTGTTATTTTCTTTGGTCAATATATATGTTTATAAGATGGCCTTATAAATTCTATTGCTCATTGGATGCTGGCTAATAAAATACATTCATCCATTTTCTTTCAATCAACCATATTTATTTAGCACTTACTAAATTCAAGAAGGCCTGGGCCCTAACACATTTGTAAGTGTGGGCAGAGGCCTAGGAATTTGCATATTTAATAAGAACCATAAGTGATTCTGAAACAAGTAAGCTTCTGACCAAATATTGCAAAACATTGATAAGGGACTGCTTCAAGGGGGAGAGGCAATGACAACATCATGAAGGATGCAGTATTTGAGGTATTTCTAGAAAAATAGGTAAAATTAGGGTATGTAGAGATAGTATGAAGGGCAATTAAGAAGAGGAAAGAGACTAAGTTAGGCACAAGAGCAAGAGGGTGTAGAGTGAGGAAATAACCAGTGGCCTAGATTGGCTAACAATAAGAAAATTAGAGAGTAACAGAAGAGATGACTATAGGTCAGAGGGAAATTGATTTGGATCAGGAATGTCAAAACCAGGGAGTACTGACTCTATTAAATACATGACAGGGAGTTTCTAAAATTTCTTGAGCAGGTAAAAGCTTAATTCAAAGTATAGGGAGATAGATGTTGTGAAAGGTAGTTGAAGCCATGGGAGGAGGTAAGGTTGCTGGGGAGGCAAAACAGAACATGACGAAGCCACACTCGGGAATAACATTGAGGAGTGTCTACATTTGATTGCCTGGAGAAAGAGGAAAAAAGAAGGAAAACTGGGTGATAATGTTACCAAAATAGCAGGGGTGTGGTCTAGGTCCTGCTGCTTGCTGCACAGAAAGTCAATCACTGAGACAATGAGTACTGCCAGGGAAGAAGGCTTTAATTGGGTGCTGTAGCTGAGGAGATGAGAGATCACAATGAAATGATTAAAAGGATAACTAAAGGAAATGTATAGAAGAATGAAAAGGTTGAGTCAGGGGCACAGCATAGTAACATGTAGGAAGAGAGGATATAGACATTACATTGCCTGGGGACATCTCTTTCCCTCTCTAGGCCACTAGCATAGGTTCAAAACAGAGACTAAATTGCAATGCTTATATTCTGTGTAGACTAAAGACTGAAAAAGTAATGGAGCTTTACTAAAAGATGGGTTTCAAATGAGAGAGTCAGATGAAAGTGCAAGGGATTTCCAGCACCTATGATGGTACCATAGTTGTAGATGGCAGGAAAGCAAGGAGCAGAAGCTTTCAAGTCGAGTGCACAGTCATTTTAAAAATGAGAAGGTGCAGGAAATTGATGAGGGAGTTTACAGAACCCAACTGTCTCACAATTTGCATTAAAGTATGGGCGCCCTTATTTAGTTTGTGGAGTTCTCTATTCTGGCCCTTAGTTCTATTGCTCCTGTTGAGGAGGAAGGAGAAGAAAGGTTGCCTGCTCCTGTGTGCCTCTTTGAGGTGCCAGGAGATTACTCTGAAATGCTTTCCTAGCATGTAGCATGTCTTGTACAGCAATTCCAGCACTGAGACATGTACCCTGAGATATGCCAACACACTTCCAGCTGGTCCAAGGCTAGACCACCTAACTTTTGAGTTTCAACTTCTAATAACAATGCATAACAGCACTTGCCAGTTGCACCATTTTACTTCAGAAGGATGTCACATGAATCATTGAAGGAGTGACTTTAGAAGACCTTGAGCCAATTGGAGAGAAGCGCTCTAAGTGCCCAATAATTTCTCATTTTTAATATTCAGTGAAGATTTTTGAAATGTTAAAGAAAAAAATAGAGGAACTAGGAATAACAAATGGCTAGCAGGACACATTTACTGGAATGAAGGAGGATTGCAAAGCTATTTTCTCAATTATATTTTTTACATTAAAACAACGTTGCATTTTTAAGCCCTGCAGATAAAATGTCTTTTATGAAGAAAAGCTAATTAAGTTTCCTGAAAAATAAGGCAGCTGGTTAACAATTTACGTCTTTTTTGAAGCGTTAACGCTTATGGTTTTTAGGGCCCAAGTTACTAAGTTAATCTATAAGTGAATCCAAAGGTGAACTAATAGATCGAAAAATGGTTCATGCTTAGGTGTGGATTTCTGAGCACTAAAAAAATTTAAAAAATGACCATAGAACTATTTTGATCTTCACTTTTGAACAAATCAGGTTTATATGTTGTTTCCTTTCTAAACCTTCCATTGTACTTTTTAAAAATAAATCCCCATCACAGCACTGAAAACACGCACTATGCAACTGTTTACCAAGTATTAACTGTGGGTCAGGCACTATGCTGAATGACAGAAATGAAAAGTTAAACTAGGCCAGGCACGGTGGCTCACGCCTATAATCCCAACACTTTGGGAGGCCTAGGCGGGCAGATCACAAGGTCAGGAGATAGAGACCATCCTGGCTAACACGGTGAAACCCTGTCTCTATTAAAAGATAGAAAAAATTAGCCGGGCGTGGTGGCAGGCGCCTGTAGTCCCAGCTACTTGGGAGGCTGAGGCAGGAGAACGGCGGGAACCTGGGAGGTGGAGCTTGCAGTGAGCCGAGATTGCGCCACTGCGCTCCAGCCTGGGCGTCAGAGGGAAACTCGGTCTCAATACAACAACAACCACAACAAACAAACAAACAAACAAAGTTAAACTAGACACTCCCTAGTCTTGGAAGCTCATGACCCAGCTCTTTTATTAGTTGTAAAATGTACTGGATAGTCGTTATACTCCAAACCCCCTTTACCTAGTATTTTGTCATTGTCTTTATATGTTTATATCCCAGGCTTTTAATATAGTTGCTCAAAAAAAATGTTAAATTGAATGTTTAATATAGCTGCTCCAAAAATGTTAAATTGAAGTTAATATTATATTAAATTATAAAGATAATTTGGATAGGGACATACCTTTGTAAGATGAAAAATTAATGTATTCTCCCTTATTGTTCAAAAATAATTTTAAGTGGGGGTTAATATTATAGTTAGAATTCACAACCTATGTAATCTTTCAGAGAAATAACAAAAGGAACCACTGATAATTTACAGTACTATGTTTTCTGTTGCCATTTATTTGTAACTTAAATGTGTGTAAAACATTTGTAAAACTAAATGTTATCAAAGGTTTGGAATAGCTTCAAGACTTTTGAGTATTTATCAAGTCATTATATCTAAATGTGCTAACTTGAAATGTATCTTTGTCTCCACCTTGTTTGAGCTGAATAAACTGGAAGAGGTTAACTTCATAAATCTTTCCTATAGCATCTATAGCTGAAGTAATAATTCAAATGAAAATAAGAGGTATGGAAAAAAACATGAGCCAAATTAGTAAACAACTCTCTATCAGTTTCCTTTAACTGAAGTTAGATAAAAGATAGAAGGGCAAGGTGGGGACAAAATTACTGTTGGCATTATCATCGTTGAAGTCACATTTTTAAAGGAATAAATGGTTTCAACATTAATATAACAGAGAATACTTCTCCCAAGTAATAATCTAGAATGCAGTTTTTAAAATTGATGTGGTATAATATGCTAGTTCAGCTTAAATATTAATTTCAACTAATTTACAGCTGTATAATATTGCTACAAATTATGAAACAAATGAAAATTTAAAGATCTATGTAATATGTAGCAAAAATAGTTGATAAGAATCACATCTTTTTAGGCATCCTTTTAAAATCTGGTTTTCATTTTCTATTTTCTTAGATGGTTACTAAATTCTCAGATGCATGGGTTTTTTTTTTTTGAAGTATTTATGTTAACTTTAAAATAACTCCATTATCTTAAATAAATGTCTTTGAGCACAGTCCTTGAGACACCTGATCAGTGCACTTTGTATCAGCATTTGCTAGTGTACCTATGTATCAGCAGCTTTTTCTTGTCAGACTGACATTGACTTACCTTGGCTCAAATCAATTAATGTTCTGACATCTGGCAGCAATAACAGTTTGATAAGCCAGTAGAAACAGAGGAGAAAAAGCAATGGAAGTAGACACAAAAAGATGGAAGGAATAGCAGAGACATTTTAGAGTTTATCGATATATAAGTTGACCGATATTTTGTGTGGTATGGAAGAGAGAGAGAGAGTCATGCGCTATTAGCTCTGTGATGGGGCTGAAACTGTGTCTTATGTTGCAGCAATTACCTGGCCATACATTACTTGATTCTCAGAATATGCAAATGTATGATACTTGATAGCAGACTTTACTACACTCTAAGTGCCCATAGAAATACTACAAAATGTAATATGATCCTATTCCTTAGAGTTTGCTGTGACTATCAGAACTTTCAAGGCAATTGTGTAGTTCTTTATTAATGAAGAATTTTCATGGATGCAAATGCACAAGTCATCGTCTGTAAAATACAACAACAAACAAGTGAACTACATTCTTATTTTAAGATCCAACTGAAGTATATACATCAAATATGGAAGTCACAACATGAAGGATATTGTGAGGTTTTCATTTTGACTTTTTAAATGTGAATGGTAACACTTGGTCAAACGCTATAGACAAGAAACTTGACAGCTAATCACATCAGGCTTGCTGTGAAACTAATGCTCAGTTGGTTAGTCGCTAATAAAGTCTAGACATCTGTTATCTTTGAGTCTGTTTATTTATTTTACACTTACTTATCAAGAGGCATATATGGACCAGTCATTATTTTACGCTCTGGGGATACAGCTGAGAACAAAACCAAGTCCCTGCACACAAAGAGCATATTGTCTAGTGACTGAGAGTAAAAATAAACACACAATATAATACCAGGTTGTGATGCACACTAAGAAGAAATAGAGAACAGGTATGGAGATTGCCAGTAATGGTGATGGAGGGGGCAATTTTTAGATATGATAGTTAGGGAATGCCTAAGAAGGTAAAATTGAGTGAAGTTATAACTAGATACTATCTTATTTGGCCCAATCCACTCAAACTT
Source organism: Homo sapiens (assembly GCF_000001405.40). Classification (NCBI taxonomy): domain Eukaryota; kingdom Metazoa; phylum Chordata; class Mammalia; order Primates; family Hominidae; genus Homo; species Homo sapiens. The sequence goes on from NC_000007.14 coordinate 78,728,119, forward strand.
TTGTGTGTATGAATATAGATTATTTGAGAATAATCTGCATTAAGGATGTTCATTCCCTGCGAGGTTATGGTAACAGTGGGTGATGATAACTGAGATATTAAATACAAAGTAAATCGTAGAAAAATAAGAAGGATCTTTATTTTAGATTATAGATTATTATATAAACAGCCCAATTTTAAGAATTTGTCATCAGGTATTCACCCTTTCATTAAAAAGCTTTTTAAAAAATGATCTATCATATGCTATACCCGCATGAATTAGCAGTAAACAAAATGCACATTGGTTCTTACTCTATGGAACTCAAATTCTAGCTGGGAATTCTATTCACATAGATGAGATAGAGCCATCAAACACTCTTGACCTAGTACCATCAAAGTTTGAATTAAAGATTTCAAAATTGGTATGTCCATCTTTCTCTGATCTTTTTTTTTTTTTTTTTTTTTTTTTTTTTTTTTTTTTTTTTTTGAGACGGAGTCTCGCTCTGTCGCCCAGGCTGGAGTGCAGTGGCGGGATCTCGGCTCAGTGCAAGCTCCGCCTCCCGGGTTCACACCATTCTCCTGCCTCAGCCTCCCAAGTAGCTGGGACTACAGGCGCCCGCCACTACGCCCGGCTAATTTTTTGTATTTTTAGTAGAGACGGGGTTTCACCGTTTTAGCCGGGATGGTCTCGATCTCCTGACCTCGTGATCCGCCCGCCTCGGCCTCCCAAAGTGCTGGGATTACAGGCGTGAGCCACCGCGCCCGGCCCCATCTTTCTCTGATCTTTTTATATCTGAAAAAATGATTCATCTTACTCTTCCTTTCTGTGGCATAGCTCCTAATATTTTCTCACAGGGTACAACTAGTTCTTAGGCTTCTGCTCACTGAAAAGGGGTAAGAAATGAGGGCATACTATAGATGCAGAGTTTTGTAATCATGTGGATATCAGCCACTTGTAATGGTATTAGGCTATATCTATGATAATGATCATATGACTTAAGTCTTTACAATGTGTTAGATATTTTACTCACTCAAGATCTTGTGATTAAAAATAGGAATGTCTGAATTTGAAGGCACATTGGTTTAGTGCCAATATCCAAACCACTGGGATACAAGTTAAGAACAAGAAAAAAAGTGAGGATTACTCCCAGTCATTTTAAAGTTAAGATAAATTACAAAACTGGCATATAATATGATACAACACATTAGGGGTTCAGCAAATTTCTTCAAAGGGTTAGACTGGTTCTTAGGTGGGATCAAAGACAAACAGAAGACATTCATCTATCTAATGAAACTAAAAGTCAATCAGGATGGAGTTGGCATAGTACTGAAAGAATAGCAAAAAGAATTCCAGAAGCACACCTTGGCAATGCCCACTCAAACACTGTTAAGGGAGAAGGCATCTTGGCCAACAGACTCAGAGAATTACAGTCTCATTCATCTATTCAATATTTTTTGAACACAGTATGTTCTAGCTGTCAGACTAGGTGCTAAGGATACAGTGGTGTACAAGAACCACAATGGCCCTCATCCACATGGAGCTTGTGTCTAGCAGGGGATTTATATCCAGAGAGAATTCTAGATAGATGCTTCATACTGTTTTGTCAGATGCCAGTAAGTGTTTGAGCCATAGGACTCCTTTTATTCTGAACATACATTGGTTTGGTAGTCTGACTATAATTGGCTTTCTACGTAGATCTTTTATAGGAGAATATAATGTTTTTGAGAGACCAAGAGTTCTGATCTACCTCACAATTACTTATCAGGGAAAATAAACAGTTTGATTTACATCAAGAAATCAGTCTACTATGAGTAAGCTGACAAAAATAAAATTTAGAACTTCTGAGTTTGAGGAGCAGATTTAGGCCCACTAAAGTAATGACACCTTGTGAAGCCTCTTGGGGGATGCACAGCCAGGCAAGCACCCCAACCTCTCATTTGAGTATTCCTCTGTTATCTTTGAAATAAACCAAATGCAACTCAAATTACAAGATAAGCATAGAAGTTCAAAGCTAGAAATGTTTATTATTCCAAATAATTAAAAATTATCTGATTAGAGACATTTATATTTTCCTATTCATAAAGTAGTCTGTGCAGTCAAAACAATTTTTAAGATATATACCTTAAATTTTTATCCCCAGAGTTACTATCTTGTGTAATATAAACCATGATAAATACATTTCTCTCTGTTATGACTTCTTCCAATGACTCAAAACAAGTTAATAATACTTTGCTAACCATCAGGAATGAATTCCACGAATATAAAATGCTCAATGGGCCCTAAGTACCTTTCTTCCAAGCCACTAATACTAAGCCAAAAAAAAAAAAAAAAAGAGGCATAACTGGCATCAAAATCAATCAGTAGGCTTTATAGAAGGATATCTTTATTGATTATTCATTAATGATACATCTGTGACTGCTTCTATTTTTAGTGCTATGCTATTGAAAAAGGTGACTTTTAATATGCAGAACTTTAGAAGTCATTGAAATAGTAAAGATGTACAGCGCAAAGACATGCTAAGTTCAATAATAAATGGTCACATGAATGAGGCCACATGTATTCCACGGTAGAGTTGACTTTTAAGGCAATACATTAAAACAAACATAAAGTAGTACCATATATTTATTATATAGTGGTCTCCGCTGGGAAACACAGACAAACATTAAGATATATTATATACTTAAATATGCAGAAATGATCAGCTAAGGACCTGAAGATAATATAACAAGATTTTAAGTTTGCCAACTTTCTCTTTGGCTTTCTCCCTGGGTAGCAGAAAGATATATTCACTGAATCTTCTGAACAGCCAAAACTTTGAGGTTGAAAACAACCTTAAAAATCTCTCCTTACACTACAGCTCCCTCAGAAAATAGCTTTCTGTTTAATACAATTTTCCTCAAATTTTCACAAGGCCAACTTTTCTTGTGAGAAACAAATTCTTTCTTAAAAAAAAAAGCTCCTTACAATGTTCTACAATCCATTTTCTCTTTAAACCCAACCTTTCAATTTATAACAAATTACTTCCTTTGGGTGAATCAGAAGTGCCATTGAAGTCTTTTTTAGGTAGCATATTTCTGAGCACTTACAAATAAGAGTGTATTTATAGAGAATGAATAATAAGAGGAAGAATTAGTTCAGGTAAACATGACATTAGAAACAGTAAAAGAATTAGAACTGTAAAAATTGCTTCTGAAAACCACTGCTATATCCTACACACCATCTGTGTCTACTTTATTGATCATCAAAAGCTTTATCTCTACTTGGTTTCTCCACTCTGGAATACAGCCTGAGAATAATTTTGAATAGGCAAGAAAGCAGTGAAAACAAATAAAAGGTTACATTCATTACCAGACATTTGAAGGAAGAAATGAAATATTTGCACAAAATTGACCTGTGGCTGAGCAACATTATAATCCCCAAATCCCTAATATATACTAGCTGGTTGAAGGAGTAAGAGAATCCCATTGAAATAATATTTTCAATGAAAGTGCTTCCTATTAAAGTGACATTTAGCAGAAGCTCTGGAAGTCACACATTTCCTAGCTTTCTTACTAAAGAATGTACTTCAGAAATAATGAAATACAAAAATCTTCCACTCTTCAGTATCCAATTTTTGCTGCTCATGAAATGAGTGGGGGACCATGACATACCTCTCTAAGCACTGGTTCTATTTTCTTTGAGCCCCTGTATATCTATGGATTTAAGTAAGTTGTTCTCCCAGTTTTGGGGGTTGGATACCCTTTAGGATCTGACAAAAGTCATACACCTTCTTCTGCATACGTGTACTCACACAGTTGAATGTAAAATTTCAGGAGATTCACTCTCTTTAGAAGCTAATCCACATACTCCAGGCCAACATTCCAGGCTTGAAGTGAAAAGGTGAAGGAAGAATAGATATTTTGTATTGCTGAATTTAAAAATAAATTTAAAAGCAAGCAATAAAACAGGCAAAAGAAAGAATGAGAGAGAGAGAAAAGAAAAGAAAAGAACAATAAAATCTTGAAGGTATTCTGTGTCTGAATCTGTTAGGAAGAGCACCTCCATCATCATCTCCGTCCTGCTGTTTATGTTGTCACCAACTAAAGGTAGGTGGGTCAATGATAAAAGAGTACCTTCTGTTTATCTCCCAAGAATTCAGCTTGCCTGAGTGAGAATGGCCTATATTTCATCACCTAGTTTTTGAAGACTCTGAGCCCCAGATATGTCCTATGAGGACAGATTTCCAAACTAAAAATCAGGACATATAGTCTGACACCTTAAGTATATTTATGGAAGCATTGGTACTATCTAGGAAAGCCTATGATATCAGATAGATTGTGTCCCTTTTGTGATGGGTCTCCTCATCTCATCTAGAACTTTTAACTAACTCGTAACTGCTCTGTAATTACACATACTAAATCTGCAATTTACTTTGAAATGCACCAGAAATAGGATGGATTGAAAGAAGAATATAGGAGTGATGTATTTTGGATATGTGATAAAGCAAATATAGTAAAATGTGAGTGGTAGAATCTGAGTATACAAATGTTTATTGTAAAATTCTTCCAAATTTTCAAGATGTTTAAAAGGGTTTATGATAAAAATTTTGGGAAAAGTACAATGAAGAAATGAAAATTTTGCAGAAGAAATACTCCAAGTAGATGGCAATGATTATATAGCTGAGGTAGAATCATAGGTGATGTTTTTATTTGTGGATTTTTTGTATTTTAAAATTTTCTATGGAGTTTTTTAGGGTGTAAAGTAACAACACCTTTAATAAAGGATTTAGAAATCAGACCACCATAAACTGGACTGCTGGAGCAGAGGATTGTTGTTGGAGACTGATAAGGGAAGAGCTTTGCAAAGTTGATGTGGGACTGTTTATTCTAGGAATCAGACTTTCTCTTTGAAGGTAACCAGGTAGAGGAGGAGTAAGAGCCTTAAGGGGCTGTGCAAGGAAATGGCGCAACAGGATTAGAGCTTTAAAAACATAATAATAAATTCTCAAAATAGAAGATTAAATTGGGGTGAAGGAAAAGGTACAGAGTACATGTGAGGTTCATGAGGAAACTCAGCAATCCACATAGCAAAATCTTTAGTAACACAAGCAGATTTCTTCTCACAGGCAATTACTATAAAAGCCTTTACTAGTTCTTACTAACATAAATAACTGCAAAATATCGTAGAATATATCAGGGAGTGGGGCCTTATTCTACTTCACTAGCCAAATGATTTCCCAATACTGTCTTGTCCTACTCCTAGGAGAGAAGCAGGAGAGGAGAAAATTTTGGGGGCAGTTTGATTTTATAATGCATGTGAACAAGAGATGTATGTTGTTAAAAATATTTACAATTGTGTGGACACATACACACTTAGCCATAATTGCTTCACCTGAGCCTCTTAAATACATATTAACAGCAAAAATATTGTAATAGAATCATTCTAGTAAAATTCTCTTTCTGAGTTCCATGTTATTTTCCGGTTAAATAAATTCAGTGAAATCAATAATTTATTTTAAGAAAAATGCAGAGAAGTATTAAAAGTATCCTAAAATAATACATACAGCATTTACATTCTAGTAAGGGTTTTGTCCAAATAATGTTGTGTTATACTTGTCTGTAGGAAATCAGACAGCAAAATCTTTATATTGTGTTATAATGTCAAGCCATCAGTAAGACATTCATGCCTTTAAGGAATAAACTCAGTATTTGTGACTATAAGATCAATTTCTTACCACTAATATAAGTGAAGTGCAGGTATAAAGGAGCATTCTTAAAACAAGAGGAAATAAAATATTTGTATTTAATACAATGCCCCAACTGTAATGGTCACATATCTGAAAACGGTAATTGACTGATAAGCAACAAAATAGCAAAGAACAATAGTATTTGTAGTCTAAATTAATATACTGTCTCAGTAAATGTAAAATGCATAATCGTAAACATAACAACTATATGGATTGAACCTATTTTCCTCATATCATCTAAGAACGACAATAGATGATATCATATGTTGCTTATGAATGAGAATTTGGACAAAGCAATCAGATGCAATAAGACAAAGACAACAAATTATGTTTGACAGATTATGATTTTTCTCTATTTCTCTCAATACAGGCATCAAATATAGCAGCATGTGATCACTGCAGCTGCACAGAGGCAAATGGAAGTTGGTACCATCATCTGAATCTATTTTCCTTTATTTTTGTAATAGGTAGAAACTAGAATATAAATGCAGCCATTCAATACCACTCAAAAGCCTCTGAATGGACCAAATTAGAAGGAAGCACTAAAACCTGCCTAAGGAACCACTGAGAAAGCAGTTGCCTAAAGAGGCTTATGTTCTTGACCTACCTCAGTGAGCCACTATTTATAGGACCCAAGGCAATACAGTGTGGAATATTAATTGCATTTATGGCCTCAATAATTCACCCCCTCTGTAGTCATTCCTTTGTCAAGTGAATTTTGAGTACTTCCTGTAAGAGCAAAGTACATTTGACCACCCTATGTGACCCGCTTCAGACAACAGGACAAATCAGAAGTGACAGCATAACAGTGACAAACATAGACCTCAAGAGGTCTTGTATGTTTCCGCTTTCCTTCTTGCACTTTTGCCATTGCCATGAGAAGAACATGCCCAGACTAGACTGTTGGTCCCAGGAAAAGGATGAAAAACACGTGGGGGCAGATCTGTCAAAGCTAAGGGATGCCAACCAAGCCCAGCCTAGCACAGAGCCTGTGGTCATCCTGAGGTCAGTGAGTGATCCCAGGAGAGATCAGCGAAACCACTGAACTAAGCCCAGCCTAGTTCAGTGAACCCTGCACACATATGAGAAACAAATGTTCTTTGTTGTATGCCACTGAGATTTTTGTGATTGTCTGTTACAGAGCAGCAAAATCTAACTGATACATAACTTTTCTGTGTCGAGTTTCGTTACGTATAAGTAGGTGGTAAATTTTTTAAATTGGCTTTTTGTAAAGACTATCTAAATCTACAATACATGAAACATCTTGCACTTCCACTGCCTATTTTGAAAATTATTGACAAATTCTTATCTTTCCATGTGTGTACAGATTGCCCAGTAGTTCTGCCATTTTTTTACTGATATTTTTAATATGGTAGAAAAATTACATTATAATGTATATCAGAAGACCTTATATTTCTTTGTTTTACCTTGTAAGAGAAAGACAAGTCACTGCATTATTTGATGGCCTCACATACAGACAACCCTGAAGGACTTTCATAGAAATGGGTGTCTACAGATCTTCCCAGAAGTTTTATGTCCTATTCCAGGATACAACAACAGTAACAGCTAACTGGACTATGAGATAGGAAAAAATAAATTTACTAAGTTGTCCTTTTCAAATATTTCATGCAATACTTTCATTAATATACTTTCTAAAAACCATTCAACCACTGAGCAACTTATTAGAACATTGGCATTGGTTTTCCTTGTTCCATCTTAGAAATAATGCTTCCAAATTATCCAACAGAGATGACTACAATTTTGGATGACTCACACTCTTATAGAACAAATCTTTGCAAAACATATTGTCACTGATGAGTGCCTTTGTGTGTTAGGTGAACTTTTAATAAATTTAAATAAACCTAAATGAGTTCTGATTTATTTTCCTTTAAAATGTTTAATCTGATTATCTGAAATGGAGGAGAGCAGCCTCAAGGGTTTATAGGTCCCATACCTAAACCATACTATAAATGCACATATGTGCACCAATCTAATAGATTTACTTTTAAAACACCATTTCACTTAGCTTAATATTAGAAATTTTGTCTTTCTAGTGTATACAACCAACAATTTGTACAAGAAAGTAGACCGAATGTGTGTGAGGTAATAGGGAGGAAATAGGTTCCTTATAAACATAACAATCATTATTGATCAAGTACTGTGTACTAAGTGATGTTCTGAAAACACATTTTTGAGTCAAGATGCTCAAGATCTAATAGGAAGAAGACGTGAAATATTATACGAATTCATGAATAAGCACAAAGAGAGATAAGATCACATATTGATAAACCATCTCACATAACCAATGAATATCAAATGTACCAATACCTGAAAAGAATCACATATTCAGTTAAATTGGTACTCTAAATACACTTCCTGAAATTCTTCCAAAGTGAGAAAATACACCAATTAGTTTTCCAGAGAGTATCTAATAACAGTTTTTTTCTATAAAAGAAACTTAGAGATATATTTTAACAGATTAGATTCATATTCTAAACGTAAGAATAACTAACATTACTTTAGCGACGCTCTGCCTGAAGAAATACTGGCTTTGTTCAGAGGTTAATATTTGGAAAACAAGGAACAGAAACTTACATTTTTAAGAACCATACTTCCAGACTTAAATGTCCAAACAATATGCAATGCATATATCATTATTCTTATTTTCATTAGTGAGGCAACAATCTTAAAGAGGTCATAACCCTAGAATAGATGTTCTTAACATGTAGTGTGTAGACCCCTGAGGGTCCCTAAGAACCTGAAGAGGGCTCATTAGGTCAAAATCAATTTCATAATAGTATTAATACTAATACTTTATTGTCCTCCCTTTTCTATGTTGATATTTGCATGCTGGTACAGAAGCAGTGGCAAGTATAACTGCTGGTACCTTATCACAAATCAAGGCAGTGGCAGCATCAGCTGTGCTAACAGTACACTGCCAGAAAACTGGGGGTGGGGGGAGTGTCAGAGTGTCGAAGTCTTTTAAGAATGTCCCTGACCAAACAGTAAAAAAAATGTTAAATCATAATTCTTGATTATATATCTTTTTAATATTCCATGTGACAAAATGAAAAATGCAAGTAACTTACTTCATACCTAAATATGATGTTTGTGAAAGCACCTGTGCAATTGTTTGAGTTGCAAGCTGAACTAGACACTTTGTGCATGAAGTACTGTTTTTACTTGAATGAATGACTGACAGATAAACTATGGCTATTCAGACTTGAGTATTTGGCAGACATTTTCTTGAAGATAAAGTAAACCTGACATTTCAAAGAAAACAATTGACAGTGATTGTTACCAATAAAATTTGAGCTTTAGAGCTAAATTATAATTTGGGGAAACTTTTATCTGCCACTGCCCATTTGATAAGCTTCCCAATATATAAAATCTTCTCTGAGGAAAAGAGTGGCAAAATTAAAGAGGTAACTGTTATAAATGTGTCAACATTAGAAAGATTGGCATAATTCAGTGAAACAATGAGCAATGCATGATGTTACAAACTCGTGCATGCAAAAAAGATTCATTCAAAATGCAAGATACACCATTGGAATTAAATTTAACTGAGTACAAAAAATAAAGGTTCATTGATATGGTTTTCGATTCTACATTGCAACTAACCTTTAAGAAACTACCACTAATCAAAGTTTTGGTGTAGCATTAAAGAATATTCACAATTACTTAAAAAGGTATTAAAATACTCCTTCCTTTTCCAACTGCATATCTGTGTCAGGCAGATTTTCTTCATATACTTCAACCAATATAACATATTGCAACAGACTGAATGTAGAAAGAGATATGAGAATCCAGCTGTCTTCTATGAAGCCAGAAATTAAATAAGTTTGCAAAAAATATAAAATAATACATTCTTTTTACTATTTTTTGTTTTGGAAAATATAGTTATGTCTCATAAAAATTGTTTTTTTATGGCTTGTTATTGTAAATGAATAAATATTTCTAAAGTAGTTGAGTTTTAATTTCAAACATAGTAAGTATTAACAGATATGACCCACATTTAAAAAAATATTTTTGGGGTCCTCATAATTTTTAATAGTGCACCTGAAACCAAAACATTTGAGAATGGCTATCACTTAGTGGTAAGGAGAAAATATTAAAACCCTGCTTACTCTGACCCAAAGGCCATGCCTTTCCCACTTAACTGCAATACATTTCATTACAAATAAATTTCAGAGATTGAAATTTCCAAAAAATAGAGGAATTATTCTCTAACAGAAAAAAGCTTTGGTACCATAAGTTTATTATTATTGTAAATTAATTTCAGACTTTCATAAACTATATAATATATGCATATCTCATATTAAGATACTTTAAGTCACATTTATGACTATTATTTAAGTCACAGAGGGCTGAAGCAATTTCCTCCATGTACCTGCAAGTTTTCTTGAAAGACTGGGGATGTAGTATTAGAGGAAAAGTGATTCATGCTTTAAGAATCTGTTCAATTAAATTAAGAATTGTCATAGCCTGAAAATCTGTTCTTTTACTTTTTGATGTAATATTTTAAGACTTTTTTTTCTGGTAATACAGGCACTTAATTTTATTTCTACAGATATAATTCTAATTTAGGGTAATTTATGTTATTTCAGGTAAAAACATTTGACTTCCTAAACAAGTCACATTATGGTATTGATGCCCTTTATTTTCCATTGTCAAGATATCTTTCTGCTTAGTTTGCTAACAAATCATTAGTCTTTCCTGCCACAATAAAACTGCAGGCTAATATTATATTTCAAAGGGTGCATTTTATGATATTGGTATGATTAAGGATGGTGTAATGAATTTATTAGCAGTTGCTCCAGCTTCATACCCAGTGAACTCTAAAGGAGGATGTTCATGATGAAAAAAGGATGGCTCAACTTCAATATTGAGAATAAAATAAATGTGTGAAATGTGTTGTTGAAGAATGTCTCATATGGCTTACAAACGATTGTCCTTTAGATGGAAGATCATGTATTTCTTTTGGGGGAAGAATAAAAAGAAAGGGTGAAGAAATCTGTAGCATGGCAGCCAAAGTGAGTAAATAAGAAAGAAGAAACTACATAAGAAAAAGAAAAATATAGATACATAACTCATTAAAATACTTACTGCATGTGCTTACAGCTCAAAGCAAGAATAAATTTAGGTAGCACAAACATAGAGAATCTAGGAAACAGAAAACTAATTTGGACAATGCATGAAAAGAGATACTCAGTTTAGCTGATCTCATTTTCAGTGTCTACACCTCAAAGGGACTTCAGAGAGCATTGATTGTTTTCAAGTATTAATTTTTTAAAGGCAGGTGAATGCTTTTTTCCCCCTCAGTGAATTTATATATGGAATTATAATCAACAAAACAGAGAAAAGTCGAGCTGCTATGTTTCAGTTGAGGGGAGAGCTTTCTTTTAGCCATTTCTACAGCCCCAAATCCATGGCAAAAAACATCTCTGGCCAAAGGTCGTCAAACACCGAACTTGAATATAGGAATGCAGAGCAGTTGGGGTTGCGGGTAGGTAGCTGGCAGCGTGATAGAAACTTAGAAACAAAGATAAGGCAAGCTGGCCAATGTTTTAAGTGCCATTCTGAAGGCAATGGTAGAATTGAGAATGTGGTGATAGAACGAGGTGCCACTACTGAAATGAGAGATTTTTCTGGAGTTTTGGAGAAGATTAGCACTGTGAAACCAGATAGATCAACAGAGAAGTCATAAGTTGCCCATGTAGGAAACACGAGCACATGACAGAAAGCAAAATCACTACCTCTAACAAAAATAGTATTAATTTATCTTTAAAATTCTTTAGTTGAAAAAGCTTCTATTGGCTTATAATTATTACCCAGAATCATTCCTAGGGCTTAAACGGTGTTTTCTTCTTAAAGCCTCGTGAAAGCAATTTCTTAGTTCTCTACGTAGGCGCACACCTCCTCGGCAAATGGTTTGTTTTTAATAGGCGCCGCAAATCAGTAAAACTGACAATGAACTTGAACGGGTTTCCCTCTTCACGTCGGTAAGCAGAGTGAAATGTGCAGCCCACTCTTAGTAAGCGTGTATGATAACCTGGCCAGGCGCGGTGGCTCACGCCTGTAATCCCAGCACTTTGGGAGGCCGAGGCGGGCGGATCACGACGTCAGGAGATCAAGACCATCCTGGCTAACACGGTGAAACCCCGTTTCTACTAAAAAGAATACAAAAAATTAGCTGGGCGTGGTGGCGGGCGCCTGTAGTCCCAGCTACTCGGGAGGCTGAGGCAGGAGAATGGCGTGAACCCGGGAGGTGGAGCTTGCAGTGAGCCGAGATCGCGCCACTGCACTCCAGCCTGGGTGACAGAGCCAGACTCTGTCTAAAAAAAAAAAAACAAAAAACAAATATTGTATGATAACCTGACATCTATCTCTATTACTGGCCTTATTCTGGGGTCTCTTTTATTCCCTTATCCTTGTTATCACCTAACCTCATCTTTGCCATTTGGTTAAAATTGATGTTTTCTTGTTACAGTACATACCTTGATATATTTATAAAATTGTTAAAATCTTTTTTACAGCAAAGTAGGTTATCAGTAAATGGACAATAGTTTAATCTTGTTTGCTAAATAGTAACAGAAATGGGATGTGAGTCAAGTTTTGAGTTCTAGGACTAACATTCAAAATCTTTAATCGCAGTATTATCTTCCTTCGTATACAGAAGCGATGGTACTTGTACTGTCTGATTGTCTCATTAAATAACAGCACAGTTATGTCAGATGACTGTCCAGTTTTAGGTGTGCAATCTATAGTCCTAGAAAAAAGCACAAGCAGCTAGGGAATTATGCTCAGAAATTCAGTTCAGTTTTTAGCATCACTGATACTAGAGACCAGTCAATTAAGTAATTCAGACCAGACTCTTTTTGCTCAATTGTGTAAACAAAGTATACCTAATTATGTTCTTTATCTGACAGAATGAGCATCCTAGAGTCATTAAAATGTATACTGAATAAGGATATGTGAAAGCAAACAAAGAAAGCACCCCCATGCTAATAGCAACATTTTCTCAAAAGTTTTTAGTCACATAATTATTATAATATTATTTTAAACCTGAGAAGAATATTATTCTCAAGAACAGGCCTTGGAAATAGAGAATGATGCCGCCCAATTCAGACAGAAATTGGTTACAAGGAAGTTAGACTACTTAATCAACATCGAAAAAAGTGTAGATTTGTGGCACACTGTGCCAGGATTTGAAGATAGAAAAAAAGCAAAGAATGCAGCCATTTTTTTTCCATCCGGGAGTTTTTAACTTGATTGGGGAGATTCTATACACATAAACAGCAATTATAACATTGACAAATTTCTCACAAGTCATACAGGAAGTAAGAGCTATAGGAATTCTCATGAAATATCTTCTTGTTGGGTAATCTAAGAAGCTTCATAGAAGAGACAGCTTTCAAACAGGTTTAAATACTAGAAAGAACGTAATGAGAGTGAGGTGACAGTGTCTGGTAGAAGAAACAGCATGAGAACTACCCATTTGGCTAGAACAAAACAGAGAGGCCTGTTTTGGAGGAATAGAAGAAAAAAGTTGAAACACACACACACACACACACACACACACACACACACACACACACACACACACGGGAGGGGGGTTAGATCATAAAAGGCCTTGCATACCAGATAAAGGAGCATCTGGCCTATACTTTAATGACATTGAGGGATTCTGATTTATAAATTCCAGACTGCAGACTTATTTGAAAATACAGTAGAAACTTAGAAAGGAAGATTGAGTACTCATTTCACTGTTAATAATAAATAGTACAGTACCTTGTTCAGCAGTGAGGCTCTAGAGTTAGTGGAATTTGATTAAATCTTAGCTTTGCCTCTTTACTTTGGACAAGTTACTTAACTTCTGTCTGCCTTATTTATATCAACTGTGAAATAGGGATACTAACTATACTAGAGTTGTTTAAAATCAAATCAAATAATGCAAGTAAAGCAAAATATTTGGTACCACTTAACCTCTCTATATGACGACCTATACATATAGATACCAATGCACTTATAAACACAAAACTATCATCCATAGATAATCTGTTACTTGCCTTGTCAGTCATGCCAAAAAAATGCCTTAAATTATAAGTTATCACGAAGGATAATTATCCTAATAATCCTGATTACTGTCCTTTGATTAATAACTAGAAATTAATCATCTAGTTATCTAGTTATTATCAAAGGACAGTAATCAGGATCTGGAAAGCCCTTTTGGTAATTGCATTGGGTAGAACCGTACATGTAGAAAATTGGAACTTTTTTTTATGAAACATAGTGCTCAAAATAAAGAATGAATGATAAAGAAATAAATACATAATATAAAAACAAGCCTTTTAATTGACCAAAAGACCTTTCCAAGGTTACCCAGACAATCTCTCTATACCTTGTGAATTCAGAAGAATAGGCCTAAAAAGGTTACCAATCTCTCTCTTTCCTCCAGCTGGGACTACACTGACAACAAGTGAGATTCACAGAATTCCTCTACCATCAGTTTTTAACCTCCAGAGAAACTGATTCTTCTGTTTCCTGTGGTAACCTCTTCTAAGGGTCAATGGCTAAGCATGTCAGAAAATCCTTCCTCCTTGCCAAATTAATTTCTTCTTATCTATCCTATCGTGTTTTTATCTGTTTTGTTAGAAAGTGGCAGGTACTGAAATTTTAAAACTCAGTTTAAAAACAGGTAAAATTTAGTAATTTCCCTCTGGCTTGGATAATTTTCTGATAAGATCCCATGCCATCTTTGTTAAAAGAAGAATAATTTATTTACTCAAAGCTTGAATGAAGATGTAAAGATGTATTTTCCAAAGATGCCCACAAGAAAATCCCCTATCTCAAATGTTCTTCTAGAACCTTGCCTCTCATCCATCAAGAAGTTAAATCTAGTTCCCTTCCTCTTAAATTTGTAGCTTGCTTGTGACCAATAGATAGTGACTCAACTGATGCAGTGTGACTTCCAAAATAAGGCTAGAAAAATCGATTCAGCTTCCACCTTGCTGGTAAGGGACCCTGACCCAGGATGCAAGTAGTCTGATTGGGCTTCCCCACAGCATGGTGGCCTCTGACCAAACTAACCCATGTGGTCAGACCACATGGAGAAGCCCTAACACAACATGCAGACAAAGAGATTCTCAGCCAGCCCATGCTGCTCCAGCCCTCTCTTGTCCTAGCTCCAGTCAGTGGGACCACAACTGTGTGAGTGATCATGAGTCTGAATTATCCAGCCAAGTGCTTCTCAAAATCTTGACCCACAGAAATTATGAGAAATAATGAAATGATTATCGCTGTTTTAAATCATTATGTTTTGAAGTGATTTGTTATGCAGGAATAGTAACTAGAACATCCCCTCCTCTACTAGAACCCTATAGAGATATAGGTCTAGTGCCTATAAAGACAAAATCAATAAGCTGCAATCAAAATGCCTAAAAAGGAACTACTGTTTAATAAAATGTACTTTATGTTTAATGTGTCTGAAGGCACTTTGTAATCTGTGAAGCACTACACAAGTGCTAAATGGTTTAGCTAATGAGACAATGAATCGTACAATAAAAATGCAAAGCATTTCACCAAAAAAAGAACCTTCCTTGTTCAAGACACACCTTTTAATATCTTCCCTGGTACAGCCAGAAAGGGTTAAGTGTTCTTTCTTTTGTGCCTGCAGTACATTTTGCACTTCTAGTACTCCAATTATGAGATCTAATTCTTTATTTTTGCATGCCCATTTCTTCTACTGGACTGTAACCTCCTTGATGACAGGTATTATTTTTCTTTGTGTCTTTAGACTGTAATATAATATCTGTCACATACTAAGCATAAATCCATATTTGTTAAATGAAAAAATGGAGAGGTGTCTACAGGCATGGTCATGCACCAAAAGGCTTTATAAGCATAGGTGAACAATTCTGTTTTTCAAAGACTCATCAGCCTCTGAAAGACAATGTGAAGGAAATCTGTTTTTCCATTTTTAATCTCCATACTGAACAGTTCTCTATTCCAATGAACCATTTCTGGGAAGGCCTTCTTACCATTCCATTTTTTTTCCTTCTGTCTGAAAAGTCTAACCTTCTATCTGAAACTTTGAAGCCCCTAACTTCCTCTTTGATCACACATTCTTTTTAATCTACTTTTTGTGTATGAGTATTTATTTTTGTCAATCTAAAGAGCATGAGCCTTCTTTAACTTGAAATGTTAGAAAATTACTTTACATAAAGAGAAGAAATGCTAAAATTTAATTTTCTTTTTGTCTTTTAAATCACCATACATTTATGTATGTATTTTTTTAACATGAGTAGGTAAAAACAATAAAGATATATTTTCAAGAGGTCAAAAAACCCATTGATATCCTCTTTCGTCATAGAATTTCTTTATGAATGAGTCAAATTTTTTCCACGCTAATTTTATAAAGAAAAAATAGTCACCATTAAACTTTATCTTATTTGAATAGCAATATCATCCTTGTTTAGTATCATTAGTTTTCATCCCATTTGAATTTTTTTGTTTATCTCATTTTTAACTTCTTACCTCACTGGCTAATTTCTGTTTTTACTGGCATTTTCCAGGAATTCCACATTTAGTTTCATTTGCAAATTTTCTTATTAATCTGGTTGATTCATCTTATGGAATATGAATTTAATTGTTTAAATATTAAAACATAGTATTGGTTTCTTCATTCCCTGCTAGTCCCACTAACAAAAAAACGTATCTCATTTAATTTGGTACCTTGTTTCTCGTTGTGGTTTGTATGAAGTTGTGACTGCTGGGAACTTTGCATGAGTCTAATTCTATGAAGTGAAGGAAAAAAAATCTCTTCTACTTATAGATTTGTGCTTAATAGGTAAATTTTTATTTTAAGTACTGTTTTGGATTAATATCACAGTATGCAAGGAGGACAATACTCCTGCCTTCACTTTTAAACTTTAGCAGTGATTTGGTTTTAAAACTTACAGACAATTTAGTCATATAGGCTAAATAGAAAAAATAGACATGCAAAAATCAAGAACATAGTGCTTCCGGATAGGAACTAATAGCAGAAACAAACCACAGTAATCACAACAGCTTCCTTTTATTGAGAATTTACAATATGTTAAGTATTTTCCCAGGTCCTGTTTGTAATAATAGTTAGAGCTGACTATGTACCAGGATGGCTCTGGTGCCTAACAAACATTAACACGATTATTCAACGCTACAGCACAGGACCAAGAGAACTTCTGCATTTTACCCAAGAAAACAAAGGCACCAAGTCAACCAACTTATAAACATTTGAGCCAAGATTACAACCCAGACTATCTGACTCCAGAACTTTAATCCTGTGCTTTTTTCTTCTCATGCATACTTCATAACAATCCTATTGGTTTGTTATTTCAGCCTCATTTTACATATAAAATAAGTCTCAACTGGAATGAAAAATGTACCACAATGCCCACAGCTGCTAAGCGGTAGAGCTCAGATTTGAACCTCTGCAGTTTGATTGCAAGGCCTGTGCATTTCCCACAGTACCAGTGAAAAGATTCAATGAGAGGTGAGAGCAGAGGCCCAACTCCTGCTGGTCCTTCAATATGAGGCAAGCTTTCTGTTCCCAACTCTACTATCCTGATTTGCATCATAGCTACTCCAAATCTGTGTGTTGTTCTCTCCACATGTCAAGGTGGTCAAGGTGTGTGCTTTCTAATAATTGAAATATAGTTGATCTTGATTTAAAAAAAAAAACAACAACAACGTTATTTCCAGAGGATTTGGTAAGTTGTGTCTCATGCAATATTCTGCTCCTAAGTCCTGTACACTGAAGAATTAATGAGTCAAGTCTCAGAATTGGCAGTTAATCATAATCAGTCAGAACAGCTGTAATAAGAACAAGTTGCCCATTTAATTAAAGATATCACTTCTTATCTTATTTTATTAATGACCACTTACTATTTCCCTTATTTCAAGAAGTGAATACAACATTACTGGGATACTCAGAAAATCATTTGCTTGGTATTCTAGGCATCTTTTCTTTGAGTATTGTCTTACTCTCCCTATCCTGCTTTATGAGTTGATAGTGGTATCAGTTAATGTAATTTTTCAATGGATCTCTTCTGCAGTCACCTGTTGAACAGAAAGAAAATACTGTCTTGTCAGGAGTAATTCCGTATAGCTCCTAAGTTCTCATTCATTATCTTGGCAATATTTCCTCTATATACCATCTGAGCTCAGCTAGGCTGTAGAAACCAGCCACCATCCAAAACTTGTCACATAACAATCAGATCTGTCGAAACAATTCTGAAGACTATGAGCTTCACTTTGTCATAATTAAATGATCCCTTTTACCCATTGCTAAAAATATTGCATGCCTCCTGACTTTGTTTAATTGTTCTCAAAGAGCAATTTTGTAGACTGTCATTTCACTTAAAGTTTTTGAAGAGCCAGCTCTCAGGCAGAAACTGAAATGATGAAGCTCAAAAGATTAGCATACAAACCAAAAGAGCAGTAATACTAACGAAGTCAAATACACTGCTCTTGGCTTGATTTCCAGCTGTGAGATTTGAACTCTAAGCTCCCTCTCAAGCTCCACCCTTTCTGAGAATCTTATTCCGGGACAGAACATCAACTTCTTAGCTGCTCAGTTACAGGAGCTTATAGGCCCTGAGGTTAATTTCTGCCTGGATCATGCTCTATGGCTTTACTCAGTCTAAAATCTGATGCCAAAGAATGTTTAATGAGTTCCAAAGAGGCAATCACCAGCACAGAAGTGAATTTAAATTTCATACTAATGCCAGCTAGTGCTTCATGGGCAGAACTGCAGCCAACCAACCTACATTTCATAGCTGTCTCCTCATCATTTGCATTTGGACTTTCTTCCATGCCACTAGCACCTCAATTTGTTTTTAAAGCACATTGTTCCAAAGTACAGGTTTTAATGTTTTATACAGGTATCAGGTTTTGATTTAGTCTGAGAGTTTTCTAGTTTTTTTTACAAAGCATATTAATTATGTGCTTCCCACCCCCAATTCTCTCCACTTTCACTAAGGAAAAATAAGAACACTTAAATGCATAAACTATAATCTGGCATGGAAATATCTAATTTTTCCTGATTACAATAAAAGATGAAATAACTATTATTGTGTTTTATTTTGCCACTGTTGATCACTGTGGTTTAAAGACCACTAATCAATTTCTAAGACCTTCAAATTGTCAAAAAGGGAGTCCAAATGATAGATCAGAGGAAATATACCAAGTGCACATACGCATCACAGCCAGCCAGGTCAGCGCCAGGTTGATGATAATATTCACTATGCTTAAATTGGGCAGTTTTCCTAATTTTCAGAATTCTCGTGGCTTGTGCAATTGGCAAGGTGGTAGCAATGCAAATAAGCTATCTTTATAATACTGACCTGGTACTATTGATTTCTCTCAAAAGGGATTAAATAATGCGGTTTTATATAGTGATCCCATAAGGCATGAGCTGAACCTAAAAATAGTATAATTCTACTACCAAAGATCTTTGGTTTTTATCTAAACCAGTGGAAAGAGTCATATAAGAAATGCATTATTTGAATCATTTATTCATGTTTGTTCATAGACACAATAAATATTTATTGAATGTCATTGTGCTCCAGACATTTTAGGTATCAGATGAGGTGATAAAACCCTTAGAAACAGAATCCATTAACAAGAGGTTACCAATTGCAAGCATAGTCGACTAAACCAGAAAAAAAAAATCAAATAAAGGAAGTTAAGGGATATCTAATTTTGTGCTGGTAAAATATCCTAATACTGCTCCTCAGTAAGTTTAAGAATCAAGGGAGAGTAGTCCACTCTCCTAGGAGCTGCTCAACTAACGCAGAATCTCTCCCTGTCATACCAGCCCTGATCTCACTAGAAGGTTTGGTCTGTTTTACTCAAAGCTGCATCCGTGGTGACTGAGTGAGGTTGGGCACAGAACTGAAGAAAACAAGCATGAATATGTGTCCCTGGGAGTTAGCACAGGGCCTGTTTTCCTGCCAAAGGCTTTCATGGGACAGGTGGAAAGGGAGGGGGCTCCTGGTGTGAGCCAAGACTGTAAGTTTCTACGTGAAGAGTTTGGAAACTACATTTTATTACATACCACCATATGGCTACTCCACTGACATAACTTCAGAATTCTGTGGTACTATATGCACTCAATATCAATGATTCTCTGAGACACATTCACTTAACACTTTGAGCATAATTCTATCAGAGTTATAATTTCTTTTAACATCAGCTTTTAACCAGCTTCACAAAAGAGACCATACTAATTACCACTTTTCCACTGAGTAAGCCCAGGTTTGATTACTTTGAAAATACTTTTACCTTGAGGATTTAAAAAAAAAAAAAACTTTCTTAAAACAAGTATTCAAATCTTCCCTCGTTGAGGACTTAGTGATGAATATTGAACTTTGGAATTATGAAACTTTCATATAGAACAGAGGGAGCCATTTTTAGTTTGGTAATTGGCCATGGATATAAGGAAAATGACTGTAAAAGAAACTTTTGAAATCAACTATAATCCAGTGATAGAGGTTTTTTCTGGAATTCCATAAAAAGGAAAGAAGGATAAGATCCTCATCAAATTGCTTTCAGTCTTCTGTCTTATGAGCGCAGTCCTATTATCGCTCCCAATTCTGTTTAATATAAGGTGATTCATTAATGCCAAGACATACACTATGAAAAAGTGTAAAACCCAAGTGACAGCAAATCTACATTTACTGCTTGATATAAATCCTATGTTATTTGTGTCTTTAATTATATTTTCCTTAATTAAATTACAAACCATTTCGGGTAGCTGGACATGACATTAGTTTGTGAATAAACAATTTGTATGGCACAAATGCTTTGAAAGAAGGAAATTACTCTGATGTAAAAAAGATATCGATAGGACATAGTCTGGGTTCTGAATATAAAATGAAAGATTTCAAATACATTTTTTTTCTTATTGGATATTTTCACTCCATTAAGTTTAAGACATAATTGGATTTTCCCCGAAAATAATCAAGCTCAAAAATCAAAATACCTTTTCACATGGGTTTTGCATAATTCAAGAATCTTGTTCATATATTTCTTTAGAAAGTTCTGTGTAAGCATATTCATGCTGCTATTATTCAACACATATTTGTCAAGCATTTACTACATACATGGAGTACTAAGTACTACTAAAATTGTAAAGATGAGCTAGTGGTGAAACCTATTTTTAAGGCATGGTTGTGGGAGAGATAAGAAATGCACATAAATAGCCAAATACAAGCAAGAAAACAGTTTTTCAACAATATAAAAGCAGTTTCTGGTTAAATGATGCCAATGTTCAGAGAAGAAGAAATGATCTTCACCCAAGTTCAGAGGAGTGGGGGAGTTTTTCAGCTGAGATAGCACTGAAGCTAAGCCTTGGCAAACAGGTAGGATTTACATACATGGAGTTCAGGGAAGGGAAATCTAAGTAGAGGGAAAAGGTGTCCAAGCTATAGAGGCAAGGCACTATTCTAAACAGTGGTGATATTAAAGAGACCATAACAGGCACAAAGTCGTGTTTTCATGGAGCTTATGTTTTCGGGAGGAAGCAAGATAAATGTAATTAGTAGGTAAATCATATGGTATATTAGAAGGTAATAAGCACGTGGAGAAAAGGAAATCTAGGAAAGGGAGATGGGGAATGTGGTTTCCATTAGAAATAAGGTAATCAGCATAGGCCACAAAACAAAGACGACATTTAAACATGTCAATGAGAAAGAAAGCCCAAAGATCACACTGGAAAGAGCTGAAGCATAAGGGGAGCGTTGGTTGATGAAATTGTTGGCAGAATAAGGATAGATTGCAGAGGGCCTCAAATGCCAAGCTAGGGAGTTTGGATTTTATTTTATAGGCACTGGGGAGATGTTAAAGATTTTTGAGGAAAGATTAAAAAAGACCTGGACTGTGCTTTATATAGATGATGCTGGCAGATAGTTTAAAGGGAAGAGAGAGAGGAAGGAGGCAGGGAGAACTCCTGCTACTTCCTCCAAAGAAAAATTTGATTTATATAAACAATTTTTCTTCATTCATTTAAGAAATACATATTGAGAATTTTTTTTCATACTTCAAGTTCTGGGATACATGTGCAGAACACGGAGGCTTGTTATATAGGTATACACGTGCCATGGTGGTTTGCTGCACCCATCAACCTGTCATCTACATTAGGTATTTCTCCTAATGCTATCCCTCCTCTAGCCCCCAACCCCGACAGGCCCTGGTATGTGATGTTCCCCTCCCCATCTCCATGTGTTTTCACTGTTCATCTCCCACTTATGAATGAGAATATGCAGTGTTTGGTTTTCTGTTCTTGTGTTAGTTTGCTGAGAATGATGGTTTCCAGCTTCATATATGTCCTGGCAGAAGATATGAACTCACCCTTTTTTACGGCTGGATAGTATTCCATGGTGTATATGTGCCATATTTTCTTTAACCAGTCTATCATTGATGGGTATTTGGGTTGGTTCCAAGTCTTTGCTATTGTGAACAGTGCTGCAATAAACATATGTGTGTACGTGTGCATGTGTCTTTATGGTAGAATGATTTATACTCCTTTGGGTATATACCCAGTAATGGGATTGCTGGGTCAAATGGTATTTCTGGTTCTAGATCCTTGAGGAATCACCACACTGTCTTCCACAATGGTTGAACTAACGAATTGACAGCAATTTTTATATGCCAAGACTGCTCCTGTCTTACAAGATAACTTCTGGAAACAAAACAGGCACTTCTCTTTCCAGATCCTGCATTCTAGTAGGGGGAGTCAGACAATACACATAACAAAAAACACAAGCAAATACATTAGGAAGATAAACTGTGGAGGGCAGCAGTGTTTCCTCTGGAGAACAGATATGGTGGGCTAGAGAAATCATAGGAATGTTGGGAGAATTGTGAGGCTGGAGGGCAGGTTTAGTATTAAATTTTCGCTCTTGCAAAGCAATATTCACACTTCTAAAGAAGTGTTATAAAGGTTTCTATAATATGCTGATATACGACAGATATAATGAAAAACAAGAAAGCACTTAAATTTTACATCAATATAATCCAATGGCTAAAGAAACACAAAAGTATTTCCAAATCTCACATCTTGTCTATATGAATAATGATGTATGTTACTCATAAGTTAGAGAGAAATCCTAAGAGTAAATAATGTTAAAGATTTGTCTCTCTAGACAGAACACAGACAAATCTAACCCATGGGAGAAATACACTGGACTTTAAATGATAGAGAAAAAGAATATGCTTCTAGAGGTCTTGATTCCCATAAGAAATGAGATAACCACTTGTTCCCTGATATATAATGGCTAAGTACAAAACTTTGTAAAAAGTTTCAGAAAATTAATGATTACGTCAACTTTAATTTCAAGGCATCATTGTTGTTCTAATGACAAAGTATTTCCCCAAAAGCACTGGTTAGAAATTTTTCAATATTTTCCAGCAAAATAATTACAGGCCAGATCAATACACATATTGTAATGATTTTCATCCATGAAACTTTCACATTATTCCTAAAATTAGACTTGGAAATGGACAAACACGTTCTTGTAATTGTATTGTTTAGAGAAGTCTTTTGACTCACGCTCAGCAAAAGGACGACAGAAGTCCAGCAAACCTCACACGAATGACCTAATTGGCCCTCTCAAGCTTCCAAATTTAGATTACTTTATTCATTTAGCAATTACAATTTAATGCTTCCCTACTGCAATGAAATATGATGGCTACTACTCAATTGTGGTATCACAGAAAGATTGCCCACCTTAGGAACAGACTGCATGATACCAAGTAATATATTTTAACAGCAACAAAGGGAATTTCTGCTTTTGATAATGGTGAAGTAATTCACAACAGAACAATTTCCTGGAGATAACAACTATCAACTCAGGACAAACTATAATATATGATTATCTGGAAGCACTGGGAAACAACCAAAAGTACACAGAAACTAGAAAAAAGGTAATGGCACCAGGTAAGTATCCCAGTGTTCTAATTTTTTGCCACAGGGCAGACACACGTGTGGCACCATGCAGAATGGCTTGAAGTTGCATAGAAGTTCTATTGTTTTATGGCTTGAACAATGAGAGATCAGACTTATAGTCTACTACAGACAGTAGAAAGTAGAGGAGGAAATCCTGTGTCATAACCCTTCAATCAAAGATCACCAGAAAACAAGGAAGAACATATACCACAGGGAAACAAGGTGAGTCTGATATATGCTAGAATTTGGGCTTGTGTTATGTTCTTTTGGGGACTCTTCAAGGAAGCAGTGTTTTGCTCTGAATTCAATGGTAAGAAGTGGAAGTAATTCTGTGGTTGGGTATCTTACTATTTCTTATCTAAAGACTGCTAAAGAAGTAGCAGTTGCTTATATCAGCAGCAGAGGGGAAGTTTAGTCATTCTTGTGGATTGGATAATGTTCTTGATTTTGTCTGTTTTTGAACATGATGATAGAATGATCTTTTTGTCTTGATTCATCATGGTCACAGAGGCTGGGCTTGGTGGCTCATGCCTGTAATCCCAGCACTTTGGGAGGCCGAGGTAGGTGGATCACCTGAGGTCAGGAGTTCGAGACCACCCTGACCAACAAGGTGAAACCCCGTCACTACTAAATATACAAAAATCAGCTGGGCATGGTGGTGTGCACCTGTAATCCCAGCTACTTGGGAGGCTGAGGCAGGAGAACTGCTTGAACCCGGGAGGCAGAGGTTGCAGTGAGCCAAGGTGGCACTGCTGCACTCCAGCCTGGGCAACAGAGCAGGACTCCATCTCAAAAAAATAAAATCTCATCATAGTCACAGAAAGACCCTGTCTAACAAATGTATTCTGATAATTTTTTTAGTGTGTAATGGAATACCACAGCCTATTGTGACTGCCTGGCTAACTTCTAACAACATCAAGGCCCACCTGTTAATGCCAGGCTAGCTCCCAGCTGCCAAGGTCTCCTTTTCTCTTTCTTGTCTGGAAAGGAAAGAGCCACAGAGGGCAGCCTCAAATTCTGCATTTAAATTCTGTCCAAATATCTGGCTAAGTCCTGAACTACCTCTGTCTATGCAGAGTCCAGGCAGCCTGGTTAAAGTTAAAAAGGCTCAAATATTTTAGCTGCTGCCTACTATAGATAAGACAGAATTTAGACATGCCTGCTTTTAAACATGTCACTCATTTAGAAATTTCAGGGATTAACCACCTGCTAAAACAAAAAATAAACATTTTTCAGAAGACACAACAGAAAGCAAAATAATATCCAGGACAGAATGAGACATATGAAGAAACAAGAAAATATCACTCATACTCAAGAATAAAAGAAATCAATGAGAATGACCACAAGATGACCAGTATGATGGAATTAGTTAACAGTTATTTTAAGGCAGCTATTATAATTATGATCAAGGACATAAAGGAAAATAGTAATCAATAAACAGACAGGAAATCTCTGAAGAAAAATACAAATGAAAATATAATAGAAATTCTAAGAGTAAAAAATTTAGTATCTGAAAAAAAAATTTGCTAGCTGGGCTTTGTAGCAGATAATAGACCAGATAATCAGTAAATTCGAAATAAGATTAATAAAAACCATCCAACTTTAAGTCTTAAAAAAATCAAAGAAATAAACAGCACCTCTGTGACCTGTGAGACAATATTAAAGATATGACATATGGATCACTGGATTCATAAGAGGGGAAGAGAGAAAGAATGTGGCAGAAAAAATATTTAAATACATAATAGCCAAAAATTTCCTGAATTTGTTAAGAGACATACATTTACAGGTTCCAGTATCTCAGGAAACTGCAGGAAGAGTTTCTAAAAATTCAAATCAAACTAACTGATTACAACTAGTTACGGATTTCTTTGTTCTTTCTTCACTCCCACTGCTTCACTTAACTAGCAAAAAAAAAAAAAATCAAATCATAACCAATTCAATCTCAACTTTTTGAAAACGATAAATAAGAGAAAACTTCAACACAGAGAAAAAGACATATTATACAGAGGGAAGTATGGTACAAATGATGGCTAAATTCTCCTCAGAGACAATGGAGGCCAGAAAAGTCGGGTGATAGAAAAAACTCTATACTGAGAATTTTATACCTAGTAAAAGTATCCTTCAAGACTGAAGGTGAAATAAAGACTAAGTAAAAATCATCACTTGTGGTATACAGACCCACACTTTAAAATATGGTAAAGGAATTTCTTCAGCCAGAGAAAACTGATATCTGATGGAAACTTGCATATTTAGGAAGAAATGAGCACAAGAAATGGTACATATATATATAAATATTAAAACTGGCCTGTAATCCCAGCACTTTGGGAGGCTGAGGCAGGTGGATCGCTTGAGCCCAGGAGTTCGGGACCAGCCTGGGCAACATAGCAAAACCCTGCTATCTACAAAAAAATTAGCTGGGCATGGTGGTTCATGCCTGTGGTCCCAGCTACTAGGGAGGCTGAGGTGGGAGGATCACTTGCACCCAGGAGATTGAGGCTGCAGTGAGCCATGATCGTACCACTGCACTCCAGCCTGGGCAGCAGAGCCAGACCCTGTCTCAAATAAATAAATAAATAAATAAATAAATAAATAAATAAATGCTGAAAGTTAGTAACAAAACAGTTATTAATAAGCCCAAGTAAAACAAATTACGCTTTAAATGTCCATTATGATAAACATGGACTCACTGACATTTCCACATTAAGTTAAAATGATTTTGCAGAGTATAGCCTGTACACATCAAAATTCTTAGAGGCTCTAAAACTGTATCAAGTTGAGCAGCAAGTATTAGCTTTAAGGACATTGCTTGTTAGCATCAGCCAATTAGATATTCTGGACACAAATAGGGAACACACTTGGGCAATCAATATAAAAAGCATCTCTTTTGTGAAATTAATTGGAAAATTAGATTTTGTGCCTAAGTATAAATTCTAAACGATTCACTAAAATGGATCAAAACAGCTTTCAAACTAACCACTTCTGTTGACTAAGTCAGCTTCCTTCACCACTTGCATCTTAATTTTAAAACAAATTAAAAGACACCAGAGAATGAAGGCAAATATCCTGATATTTCAGGTCTGCTTCCTGAGGAAGTCCTTTTATATTTTAGTTACCAAGTTATCTGCTTTAATGTCCCTCATTGCTTTAGCATGCCTTTTTTCACCTTGACGGATGGTCTCTATTATGAAAAATGTATTATAAAGCTCGGAATTTGCTTTCATATGCACTGAAATTCAACCTTTGCAGGCCAAAGTAATATCATTTACACTATGTTCCACATATTATTACTTAAGTTAGCAGAGCGTTTGAAGATGGGAAGTTTAAAAATATGCTTTTCTGAAAGGGTAAGAATTTATCAGAACGGGAGAGACACTAAATGATCCTGAGCTCAAGAATAACTTTTTGTAAGTATGTACGGTGGAAAAAAACACTAGACAGAAATTAGGAGTCTTGGATTCTAGTTTGGCCTCAGTGGTAACTATGGCAGCTTAGGAAAATCATTTGGTTTCATTTGTTTTTGGAAACATACGTACTCGAGTATTTTGAATATTCATTCATATAACGCAGTGGTTTAATGTATATTTGCAATGGGAAAGCTGAATTCTATGAAAATTTTTTTGATTTCACTTTTAAGCATGTTTCAAAGAGTCTATGGGCTTAAATACGTGTTTCATTTAATGTAATAAAAGCACCCAGAATATGTGAAAACAAAAATCATGATTTTGGGGCCAGGTGTGTCTTCAAGGAAAAAGGCTTGTGTATCTACACAGCAGACAAATACCTCTGAAAGTCTGATCCACAAACAGCATGAAGAAATTCAACTGGTGATTTGACAAAATAATTTCAGGCACCAGTTGATGGTATGGTTGGTGGAACTTGTAACTCCTGATTCTGCCAAAAATGTAAGTTCATATGCCAAAGGCATATAGTTTGATGTAAAATTTGGAAGTATAGCTGCTTTTGTTTGATCACCCAAATAAGTATGTTCCCCTATAGAACACCCCAGCTCAATAAACAAATTTGCCATTAGCAAAAATTCAAGCACTGTCAAAATTGTGTTGCTTCCTCCTATTGCCAAAGCTTTTGCACTGTGGGTGCAAGAGGGTTGTAGCTTTTTATTTTATTAAATAAATATTTCCTTTTTATTTATTACCCCAAACACCATTATTAGTCTGCATCATAATTTTAAGAGTGTCAGAAACAACCAGAATCCATGTGAGAATTCTCCGGGATACTATAGGAAGAATGTAACTTCGAGGTCACTTACACTCAGTGTCAGGCACAATTCACATTTCTCAAACAAGATATATATCAGGTGGTGCTTGCCAGATAATGGAGGATGTGAGAAGCAGAGCTCAACTACCCCTGAAGGAGAGCACTGGCATGAGTCAGGCAGGAGATCAGAGCTCTAGCCAGCCAAGTGGGGATCCAAGTCTGGGATCCATTCATGTAAGCATAAATTATTCCCCACTGTAATTACTGCAAAGACTGAAGTGGTTCTATCATTGCAAAAGTAAACTCAAGCATCAGTCTGGTAATATTAATGATGTGGATTAATAACAACACACTGTAAATAACTGTTTATTCTGTCATTTATTAATATAATATATTTAGTTATTTTTTTTTCTCTCTGGAGGCAATTGGGACTATAGGAGCAGCTGCAACAGCAGCATTTGCCATTTTGCCAGTTGTTCAGAGAATGAACCGATTAGTGGGAATGGGCAGCAATACACGCATTTGGCAGCTATGTTTGCACAAAATGAGGGTACTTTTTAAAATAAGACACTTTGATGCGACATCATGGTACCTAAGAGTATTGTGGAAGAATCTGACATCAAATACTTTCTAACAGACAACCATGGGATTCCTGTCCTCTACAATCCCAACTCAGCCCTTCAATCCTGCTGAGATCTTCAATATGCTGATCTCTCATCACACTCTTGTCACCTCATTTCTTACCCACCCAGCTTGAATTCTCCCATTTATCAGTGCAGTCACTTTAACGTATTCACCTTTATTTTTTTGCTCCTCTTGCTTCATCATTCACACAACCTTGATTAAATCCAGCTCTGTCGTCTTATCTTACCAACATTGCTCAAAGTGGCTAGAGAAAAATGACCACTGATTTCAAGTGAGCCCTTAAAGCTACCTGCCAATTATTCTGTAGACCACTCCCTTTCCCACTTTCCTAGACTTGAGAACTTCCCATTTCTCCTTAAAGTCTCTAATACATCTCCCACCATAATCTTGCTTCCTTCTTCACAGAGAAATTGCTGCAATCAGAAGAGAACTTTTAGAAGTTCCCACCACCAAATCTCTCCACCTAACTCCTTGTTTGCCCATAAGTGCAACCTTGTTCCTGTTAATATGAATGAATAGACCACATTCCTGGAAGAGGACAGCCTCTCTGTTTGTGCTCTGCATCTTATGCTCTAAGACCTACTTAAAGACATTGAAATCTCCCCTCCTCCCTCCCTCCCTCCTTCTCCCTCCTTCTCTCTCTCTCTCTCTCTCTCCATAATCATCAATTTCCTCTTCTCTCTTAAATCATTCTCTTTAACACACAAGCATGCTAAAATTTTTCATTTAGCTTAAAAAAATTCCACCTCTTGGCCCTCTTTCCTCTCTGGCTCCTGCCTTATTTCTCAAATATTTCTTCTTTTTATGGTAAAAAACAAAAAAATAAAGCAAAATAAAACTTAAAAGAATTATCTGAATTCTCTATCTCCATTTCCGTTTTATTATCTTGAACTCTCAATGTCACTAAAGCCAATGGACATTAGTGAGTCCTCATCTTATATGACTTAACAGCTGCACCTGATACAGTTGATCATTCTCTCTTTGAAGCACTTCTTCATTGGCTTTGAGGACACCACTCTCTCTCTTCTTCCTCCTCTCATTCTGGTGTGACTTCTTGGTCTCTTTTGCATATTCCTTCTTATCTCCTCAACTATTAAATACACCCTGGAGTTTAGTACAGAAAGTGTTCTTTTCTCTCCACACTCAGTCCTTAGATGATGCCATTCATCTCAGGGCTTTAAACACTATAATAAGCAGTTGACTCCCAAACGTGCATTTTACCATAGAGTTTGCTCCTGAATTCCAGAACGATACACCCAGCTGCCTACTTGACCAGTACTCTTGGATGACAAATAAGCATGGCAAACAGAGCATATTCTATCAAAGGTTTCTGTACCTTTCCACCCCACAGATAGCTCTCTCACTTCTCTTAACACTTGACTTAGTCATCTTAGTATTGCCTGCTCTGGCCTCCCTTCTAAAAATCTCTTTCCCCCTTCCTCTGATTTGGGACATTTAACGGTCCTTTTTCCTACTTATTTTATTTTCCTCTTAGTAGTGATCACCACCTAACATTATAAATATTACATAAATATGTATATATTTTTACTGAGTTATCTTGTATCCTATTGGTCTCCCTCATACAAGACAGGGTTTTTTTTTCTGTTTTATTATATATCCCAAGCACCTGGAACAGTGCCTAAACTATAGCAGGCATTCAATACGTACTTGTAGTACGAATGAAGTATGCTAGAAATAGAATGCATGGTTTCCATTTAAAAATCAAACAAACTTCAAAGCCTCAAATTCACAGAATTGAGTGCACTTATGATTATTCTGATTTCCATTTTTCAGGACTTCTCTTTGATTAGTCTCCACACTTCAATGTGTTTGCATGTGTTTAGATGTACTTCAGAAAAATGATATATGTATCAAAGTTCTTTCCATATTGTGAACTAGGTACATATCACATGCACATCTGTGTGAGAAGAAACAAAC
This sequence comes from Homo sapiens, assembly GCF_000001405.40. Lineage (NCBI taxonomy): Eukaryota > Metazoa > Chordata > Mammalia > Primates > Hominidae > Homo > Homo sapiens. Next base: position 78,758,610 of record NC_000007.14, read on the forward strand.
AGCTTCATGACCACAGAGCTTGCCACATGAAGCCTCTCCATCACAAAAGGGTCTCATTCTTTTTGCTCTACACATTGCCTCATATCTGTGTTGACTAGGCCACCATTTTTTTGGGCAAACAATGCTCCTTATGCATCTCAGACAATACAAATTCTTCTCCTTGAAGTATCCTATTCTCTTCTACAATTGAAAGAGTAATATTCATTCTTCAAAATCTTATGTAGGTTCCTCCACACCTTAAGTTACACCCAGGTAGAGTGATTTATTCTTTCCCATATATTCGCATTACTCTGGTAGTTAATCTGTCACATTCAAATAATTTGTTTACACGTCTATCTCCCACACTAAATTATGAGCTTCTTATGGGCCTAAATATATCTTTATCTTCAGCATCGAACCAAAATCTGGCACATAGTAGATATTGAATCTTTGCTTAAGGCACTCATCCACAAAGTGATGACTTCGTGGAATGCAAATACAACTCTACCTATATAAACATATTTTTGGGAAAATCACTGTCAGAAATACATTTTTAAAGCGATTAATGTCAATAAAATAACAAAATAGTCTCCATATTAAGTAATCAAGTCTACCAGAGTCAGAAATAATAAAAAAAAACTATAATTATTTTAATATTACACTAGAACTTCAAATTTGAACATCTGGCCTACCTAAAATTATTTGTATAGAAATATAAATGAATTGCTTTATTTTTAAATTATAAATTTGTTTCTAGATTAAGACACATGGCACTAAGATGCTTACATAATCCTCATTTAAACCCAAGAAAACAGCTAAAAGTAATGAAATCACAAATAATTTTTTTTCACAGCATGGTTGGGATATGCCTTGTATTAAATCTTTAAAATTTGTGTAACCAAAAGGAGAATTTTTAAAAGTTAATTAGAATCTCTTATTTTCTCTAGATGTGAATGTTAAAATGGCAAATTTAATGTGACAATGTTCATTTCAATGTAAGAATTTGAATGTCATGTTGTTAAAACCATTAGTTGTATTAAAGAATGATGCTAATATAAAGTTGTGAGCAAAAATTGTTAATTAGAAAAAAATACCTATTATTTTATTTCATATTGCTATAATGAAATAACATGCAGATTAATAGTTGAGTATCTTAATGTGTAAGTTTTATGTGATTCTTTTATCACACATTTTCCCTATTTTCTAAGGCAGGTTTCTCAATTTTATTTTCAAGTTAGTTCTTTAAGAAAATAAAGGAGGCTGGGGATGGTGGCTCACACCTGTAATCCCAGCACTTTGGGAGGCCAAGTGGGCGGATCATGAGGTCAGCACTTCGAGACCAGCCCGGCCAATATGTCTCTACTAAAAATACAAAAATTAGCCGAGCGTGGTGGCATGTGCCTGTAATCCCAGCTACTCAGGAGGCTGAGGCAGAAGAATTGCTTGAACCCTGAAAGGTGGAGGTTGCAGCGAGCCAAGATCATGCCACTGCACTCCAGCCTGGGCAACAGAGCGAGACTCCGTCTCAAAAAAAAAATAAAATAAACAAATAAGGAAAGAAAATAAAGGAGATTGCTTTCAACAGTTTCTCTGAGAGCACCTGCCTTTTATAACCTGTATTTTTTTCATTATATAATATTTTTAAGGCTACATTGTCAGCTGGAGTGTAACAATGGTGTAACAGTTCCTGTATTAAAATTTCCACCCTGATAAAACAAAAACCACCAGGTAATGACAGTTCTTAGAGTCCTACAACTGGACTTTAATTCTCTCTTTTTTTTTTTTTTTTTTGAGATGAAGTTTTGCTCTTGTTGCCCAGGCTGGAGTGCAATGGTGTGATCCCAGCTCACTTGAACCTCCACCTCCTGGGTTCGAGCGATTCTCCTGCCTCAGCCTCCCGAGTAGCTGGGGTTACAGATATGCACCACCGTACCTGGCTAATTTTTGTATTTTTAGTAGAGATGGGGTTCCTTCTCTATCTTAGCTAACGAAGTAACCCCCTTTCCTAGCAAATTCTGACATTAACCTTCCTTGACAATCTTATGGAGAAGTGGCCTAAATTTGTTTTATTAGAAGAAGAAAGAGATTATGTGGGACACAAGTTTCCTCTTTTGCTTTGTATGTCCCCAGGAATATTTTATCCCGATATGTAAGTGTGTGTGCAAGAAACATAAGGTATTCATTAGCTTGTCCTCTTGAACTCAGCTGGCAGGAAGTCAAACAAACTGAAATCCTCAGTGTCTACTTCCAAGAGGTACCTGAGGCAAACACCTAAAAGATTATATTGGAAAAACGAGATTACCTCTCTACTCTCACCAAGGAGCCAGGAGGAACTCCAGTAGCCACAGCGTCTGTTTATTTGTTGAATGCCTACAATGTGCCAAGCTATAGGAGATAATTTCTCATCCCCACCTCTAATGTCAAAACATTCTTACCAAGAATTATTATAATTTTCATCTTACAGAAGAGGAAAATGAGATGGAAAAACCTAAGGAAGCTGTCCAACTTTTATATGGTTAATGTGGGCCAGAGGCCAGACTCAATTCTGGTCTATCCTGTTACACCTCATTAGCAGTCAGTGTATATAATAGAAGTTGGTCTGGGAAGAGGTAAGATATTAACTTGTAGTAAGCGTCATTTCCCTCTCTTTCCCAGGACATGCAAGGCATGGGTGACTTGAAGAGAGAAATGATTCCATTCCATAGCTTGACAAAAGAAATAACCTTCCATAGTCATAATTTGTCTCTGAGTTATTAGCCAGGCTGAAGTCTACAAAATTGACCATAACTTCATAAAAAGGTTCTCTGTAATAGTGTTTCCCAAACATCAATGAAGAATTGAACCATCTGGGGGTCTTGTTAAAATATGTAGATTCTGATTTTTTTTTTTTTTTTTGAGACAGAGTCTTGCTCTGTCCCCCAGGCTGGAGTGTTGTGGTGTGATTTCAGCTCACTGCAACCTCTGCCTCCTGTGTTCAAACAATTCTCCTGCCTCAGCCTCCTGAGTAGCTGAGATTACAGGAGCCCATCATCATACCTGGCTAATTTTTAGTAAAGATGGGGTTTCACCATGTTAGCCATGCTGGTCTCGAACTCCTGACCTTAGATGATCCACTTACCTTGGCCTCCCAAAGAGCTGGGATTACAGGTGTGAGCCATCATGCCTCACCTAGATTCAGATTCTGTAAGGTAGGTTGAGGCCCGAAATTCTGCTTGTAACAACCTCTTAGGCAATGCTGATGCTGGTCTATAGGCCACATGCACAGAACAGTGAAGCTCCAGGCAAAGATAAGACATCTCTCCTCACCTCCTCATTGCAATAGTGGCTGGAGTGTGAAGGGGCACCAATGAGGAGCTCTCCACATGAATTTGGGCAAAAAATACTGACATGAGGCATGGACTCTATCCGGAATTAATTTTTCCTGTATCAAATTATTTAGCCCAATTTTCTTTCATTGCTCACATTTGATACTTCATAGTCTCTTAGAGAAAAATATTTCTGATTTCTAGTAAAATTAACTTTTGTTTTCAGCTTCAGTAAAATGGAGACTGCCAAGAACAAGTAGAGATTTTTGGCCGGGCATGGTGGCTGGCACCTGTAATCCCAGCACTTTGGGAGGATGAGGCAGGCAGATCACCTGGGGTCAGGAGTTCAAGACCATCCTGGCTAACATGGTAAAACCCCATCCCTACTAAAAATACAAAATTAGCCGGGCGTGGTGGTGCACACCTGTAATCCCAGTTACTCAGGAGGCTGAGGCAAGAGAATTGCTTTAACCTGGGAGGCGGAGGTTGCAGTGAGCTGACATTGCACCACTGCACTCCAGCCTGGGCAACAGAGTGAGACTCCACCAAAACAAAACAAACCAAACAAACAAAAAACAAAGAAAAGAAAAAAAAACAAAAAACAACTAAATAGAAATTTTGAATCATTTAATTTCAAAAACTCACATTACATTCTTCCTTTCGCTATGTGAACAAGAAGAGGATCATCTCAAATCATAACTAAAATATACAGGAACTATGTCCTACAACCTCTATTAGGTAATGGACATAGGAAGATAGTCAAGAAAATGACTCCGTTTTGGGAAAGTATAGCTAGTGAGAGAAACAGAATTGTAACTAGAAAAGCATAATAAATTATGTGGTATGAATATGTGTGAACAGTTTTGGGGAACCACCTATTTTTCCTAGGATTACTATCCAGGCAGTGACCTTCAAAGATACAGAACACCTGTGTCTATAACTAGCATTCTCTTAGAAGAAAACATTCCAGACAGTGAAAAAAATGGGTAAATACCCATGGGCATAAAAGAACACAGTTTAGTTTGGTACACTGGCTAGAATGGTTGTTGAGACAAGTATGAAAAAACTTCTAGCCTTCTTCAATAGAACTTAATTCAGGCAATCTCAGACATAGAGCATTCTATAGCTTGGGGAGAGAGAAACACGAGAAATGAACAACTGATAACTTTATCAAAGGCCTGCCAGTCACTGGTCATGGTTAAATGTGTTCTTTCAGGTTCAGGGGATATGTACTACTAATAGATATAGTAATAGTTTAATACCAATTTCTTTGCTCCTGACTTAGATAAATGGAATTAGCAAATACTTTTCCTAAACTCTAATGAATCAATCATAAAAGAAAGACTTATGATTCCCAGAGTAGCAACTATATATTAGGAAATAAAAGTTACCATCTGCAGCACCATACAAAGGCTTGCATGCACAATGAGACTGAGTTATTGTAACCTGGGGATCCGCACAGAACAGATTTTCATATACTACTAGCCAATCCCAGCTTCTTTTCACGTTTTCACTTTTGAAATAAAATAGGGGTAGAAATATTTTATTTTCTGAAGCGTTTCTTTACCTTAGCACACACTGAGAGAGTAATTCACACAGGTGTGTGGAAGGGGTTGTCTATGATATTTCGAAGGGATGACTTATATACTCTGGCTTTTCTTTTACAACAGTGAGAACACCTAAAGGACTGTGTGTGCAAAATCTTCCTCCCAAAGCATGATTATAGTAACATAGCTGGCAAGAAGGCCTAAGCGAAACCCCGCTCTTTAGACAGACATATGCTGAATTACCCTAAAGAGTCCAATTATCTCCACCTAAACAAGGAAAGTACAAAAAAATAAGACATATAACTTTTCATAGGCTTTAACAATTCTTGCACCTAACCTAAAACCCAACCACTTAAATGGAAACTGTATCAATAATTTATCTAGAAACCTAGTTATAGGTTACCTGCCCTACTTACAAAATCAATTAATTTCAATTCTCTCATTGCTTCCTTACATGTATGCAGCTTGATATTTTCCAGCTTCTGAGTTTTGTTTATTCTTTTCAGGGTTCTCAACAGAGAACCTTCAAGCCAGACACAGGGCTGAAACAGGAGGTTTAGTACTACTAAGGACATACTTTAAAATGATTCTTACATAGTGCTGTGGTTTAAGGACAACTGGAAGACCAGAGGAAAAGAATGTTTCTTCCTCCTCATGCTCTGGTGTGAACTTAAGGTTTCTAAAAAGTGTTAGGCTGACTGTAATGAAATGGAAATTCTACTATCTATCAATAAGATGATGCTATATTTATAGAACATGAGCCACAAGAGAGCTATACTGGGCACTTTCAATAAACCTCAATTAAAGTGATCAATATTGCTAAAACAATCTTTAAAAGCACCTCTGACAGAAAACTTCTTTGAGATTACTTTTAAATGCTGAGATAGACTAAGTACTTCAAGATATAATGGGAAGTGAATTCCAGTGTCCAGGAATATGATTGCTAACTGTCCTAACTTCTAGGGTCTCAAGGTTATGATTTAAATGAATAAAATCTCGATGAATTTGTGAATAAAAGGTATTTTTGCCTTTTATACTTAGGAAAGGAAATGTGAGTAGTATCTTAACACAGCTTGTGCTAAGTCCCATTGACCATTTAATGATTTTTTCCCCCCATCCCAAATGTTAAACAGTTCTTCTTCCTCTCTGACAATTCAGATGCCACTTATTGGTCATAGTTTGCTTGAGATCCCACCTCTTTACAAATCCTTTCCTTTGTGCTCTAGTTTTATTAAAATCTGTACAGCCAAATACAGTTCTTGATCATAGGCTCTTAGAGTAGTTGCCAATTGTTTTTTATAAGTCTTAGCTCCACAACCGAAAATAGCTTCCTACAGGCAAGCTTCGTGCTATGTTATGCCTCACAGCCTCCATATTAATAAGCAGAGTGCTAACCACTACATGATAATTTTGCTCAAAATGCAAATAAAGCTCACACCTTAGATGGGTTTTCAGGCCTCACAACTTATTACCAGCTTAGTTAGCAAAGCATAGCCATCTTCGGATGAGACCTAGAAGGGCCTGGATGCAAAGAACTAAAGGATGATCAGAGTGGGAGATTCAGGAAAAGAGGTACCTTAGGAGGAACGGAGAGGGAAAGACAGACTATGATTTTGCCAGACTGATTCTAAATACTTGTTGATATGGGTAGTAAATTTCTTTTTTGAAATATTGTAATAGCAAGCACTCAAGTGTGATTTCTTACATGGAAAATCCTGACAGAAGGGAGATCCTGGGACTGTCCTAGTGTATCCACCTATTAGGTTTCCAAACTAGCCAACCCAGTGAAGAGAATTGCTCTTTGTTGAGCCAGGCTAGTTACACTATCTTTTCCCACTATATTGCTGCCTTAGTATTCATTTATTCATTCAGTCAGTCATTTAACAAATGTTTAGTGCACATCTTTTTTTTTTTTTTTTTTTTTTGAGACAGAGTCTCGCTCTTGTCAACAAGGCTGGAGTACAGTGGTGCAATCTTGGCTCACTGCAACCTCTGCCTCCCGGGTTCAAGCAATTCTGCTGCCTCAGCCTCCTGAGTAGCTGGAGTTACAGGTGTCCACTACCACACCCGGCTAATTTTTGTACTTTTAGTAGAAACGGGGTTTCTCTATGTTGGCCAGGCTGGTCTCGAACTCCTGACCTTGTGATCTGCCCACCTCGGCCTCTCAAAGTGCTGAGATTACGGGTGTGAGCCATAACGCCCGGCCCTAGTGCATATCTTATATCTGAGTTGACATGATTTGAAGTCCTACAGATAGATACGGTTGTGAGCAAAATGAATTTGGACCCTCACTTTAGAAGGTCCTGCCTCCTGGCAGAGAAAGACATTAATCAAGTAATAACACTAACATAAAACTAAATATTGAAAAAAACCCAAAACACCCGAGAAGTGTAATGAAGAAAAAGCATGAGAAGCCTGGAGCACATTTTATAGAGAGAGCCAATTAAATGGCTGAGCAAGCAAAGTGGGTAGAAATGTGTTCCAGCAGAGGCACCAGCATGTGCTAAGGTCCTGAGAGGGAAGGAAATATGATGCTTTCTAAGATCTGAAAGAAAGGCTCTTCATAAACAGCTGTACGAATCCAAGATCAAGAATCCTCCCACACTTGGCCAGCAGTTCCTTAGCTCGGCATTTGAGCTTTTGTGGCCCTTTGAGTGAAATAACCCAGAGGGTTTGGTTCTCTGCTACAGACCAGAGAAAGCTCTCATCCCTGTGCCTTTATTTGGCCGGGGTTGTGCTTTTGTGGAAAGTGCTTGGCAAGATCAATCCAAAGTTTTAGAACAAATCTTTGAGTGGCTTCCAGAGTCAGTTGAGATTTGTTGCTTCGTGGAGAAAGATAGAAACTTCAGACTGAGAGGATCTTAAAGATGCCTGAACTGCTTGCAGGACTGGTGTATTAGAGAGATTGTCTTATAACAAAAGTGATCTCTTATTTAATATATTATTTCCTCCCCCAGCCCCAGATGGCAAAAAGGTGAATAAGTTGAGTAGCTGGCTCTGGAATTTGAGCTGAGGTCCTATTAATATGGGAACTTCCTGAGCTACAATGCTTCAACTGGAGTCATCAGTTAAGCTTGTGTCTTCTCCTCCATTGGCTAACTGGCTGGCAATGAGCCTCTTACTTGACAGTACACAGTATTGTTAGTTTCCTTAAACACTCTGAAGTTTGACTTACTTTACTGATTTAAAGAGAAAAACAACTATTCTAACTGTTCCTCCACATGGTGAATATCACCTAAATTTTCAAACACCAATTAAGGACACTTTTTATATCATCACACTTATTGAATTTGATGTATTCTTAGTGTGCCTAGGGAGAATGAGTAAAGAATCTGTAGGAGAAAACAGAATAATGCACTTCTTCTGGAAAGCAGGCTTGTGTGACAGAAAGCCATCCTTGTGATGAGAACTAGGGAAAAAAACTAACCGTCCTACTGTTGACTTTGTGTATTTTATAGGTCTTGACATGCTTGAAATGTACAGTACATGTATACTTTAACCTCTGATATCTGTGAAACGCTTACGTTGAGAATTCACATTATAATAAAGTTCTTTTTTTTTTTTTTGAGATGGAGTCTTGCTCTCCTTGCCCAGGCTGGAGTGCAATGGCACGATCTCAGCTCACTGCCACCTCTGCCTCCCAGGTTCAAGCAATTCTCCTGCCTCGGCCTCCCGAGTAGCTGGGATTACAGGTGCGTGCCACCACACCTGGCTAATTGTTTTGTATTTTCAATAGAGACGGGTTTCACCATGTTGGCCAGGCTGGTTTCGAATTCCTAACCTTGTGATCCGCCTGCCTCGGCCTTCCAAAGTGCCAGGATTACAGGCGTGAGCCACCACACCCAGCCTATAACAAAGTTCTAACCTTTGTTAAGGTACACCTAATGCAGTCAAAAAGGCAACACACTTTTTTTTTTTTTTACAATTAAAATTCTGTTATCTTCAGAGTAAGCAGCTGAGATCTTAGAAAGAGTGCCACAAGCTGTGTGACTAAGAGCAAAAGCTGATTGCAGACAGTAGAAGAAAAATGTTCCTGAAATTGAACATAAAATTAAAGTGTTTTAAGCTCAGTCTTTTATCATATCTGCTTATTTAATGTCATGTTGTCACCTAATAAGGCTTTTAAAAATTGAAAAGAGAGTTTAAGGTAGTAGGGTTCTAAAGTGATAGAGAAAATGGATGTCAGAAAGCAGGCCATTACTACTTAAGATATTCTCAGAAAGTTAGTAGCTTTGTGATTAAAAATGTTTCAAGAAGAATTCAGTTAGAGTAAAATATGTTTGCCTGAAACTTAATTGTTTTATCAAGTTTTCCTTTACGTGCCACAGGCATCTTACGAATAACTAATTTATTCTTGGGAAATTTTGTGTTTTCCAAGCTCAAAGCTATAGGAATACAGGAATACAGACACTTATTTCCAAATGTGAATTTTTCTTTTTTAGCTCTCATTAAGAACTCATCGGCATCTTAAATGTTGTTCAGGTAGCACATAAATCTCACTGCGAAAATTTTGTTATTTCTGGATGTTCTCATTTCTCCCTTGATGGTTTCTGAGCTGTGAACTATTTTCTACAGTTTAGTTATTTTGCAACTTTTAAAACAAAATTCCATTGGTGGGAAGTTTCTAAGATTGTGATTCTTTTATATGTACACATTATCTGGTTTAAATATGAGTGCCATCCATCTTCTCCAAGATCCAGCAAGCTCTGCTCTTAGCTTTACAAACATGGTCCTCTAATTCTGAACATCTGAAATTTCTCTGGGTAAAACCACCTCACCTGTAGTCATTAACAATATTTAAGGGTGACTTGGTAATCCTCTTAGGAACTTTGAGATCCATGTTTTCATTATATCACCTCACCTATTGTTTTGTTTGCTGTTCTACTATAATTGCATCAATTTCCCCAAAGCACACCATGTACCATAGTCAGATTGTCTACATGTATAAAAGCAGCAATCGGATCTACATGCTGTATTAAAGTTCCATTTCCATTGTTCTACTAAAGAGGCAAATCTTATTGCCTCTGTAAGGTCTTAGCTTTATCAAAATTATTCTAAACAGACACCATGAAAATCTGTGCTCTAATTCTCAGCCTATGGGAAGGTGCTCACGATGAAAACCCTTGGAGGGTTACCCTTCAGTGGAGCAAATATTATTACACTTAAAACACTTACGAAACTGTTTCCATCTTGTTAAAAGTATTGTACTCAAGTCTTTCTTGTCCTAGTGTGGAGATGACTCCATGTCATTTTGCAGAAAGCATCTGAAGTGTTTCCAAATTTCTATAATTTGGAAACTAGCATAAAATTTAAAGAATTATTATTTTTTTCTGCACAATGCACATACTATTGCACTATTTTGCATCCTCATGCTCCCCTCTCTAGTGGATAGTGCCTCAACACTGTACCTCTTGCCTAAGATTTAAACCTGCTCTGTAGTCACACAATCATCCTAAAATGCTATACAATAGAGAACCGATTTCGCACACCCCCAAACAACACATGCTCTTAATCAGTCCCTCAAACCAGAGCTCTCTGCTAAAGCGCATCCTGCCTCTGCTGGCTGGAGCTTTCACAAACCAAAGCCCAAATAAAGGAACAGTGTGGCTGCTGTAGCACCTCCACTCCCTGCTCAGTACAGGAATTCTTTAATAAGCACATGTGTAGTACAGGACAGTAGTACATTCCCTCCCTGCATTCTAGCGCGGGGACACATCTTTTTCCTTGCACAATGGATCACAATGCTAAAAAGGGAAAACATGATAAGATACAAAAACACAGCTTTTTACTTTCAGAGATGGACGATACAGGCAAATATCTATTTTTTTTTTTAACCTGTCAGCCCTCCCGAAAGTCCAAATGTAAGCTGCCACACATGCATGGGTCTTTCCTTAAAGAAATTGTTTGATGAGCCCACTTAACAACAAAGTGCTTTAGATCACGTCCGAAAATATATGTAATCTACCCTTTTAAAAATGGAAACCTATGATTGCCAGAAAGATATCTTCTGCAAGCTTTGCTCTGGGTAGTTTGTACTGAAGTAAAACCGTCACCACCCACTCCCCATTCAAGCGAGATTTAAAAAGGCAGGCGAACTGAAAGGAACCACAAGTCAGTCCGTCCCCATCAGAAAACAGAGATCAGAGCAAATCACAATGCTGAGGAACGGCTCGACTACTCAAAGACCATCTCCCTCAGGACGAGACAGAGATATGGAGCCATTTTTCACTAGGTTCACAAGAAAATGTCAGCTCACAGCTGCTAGTGCACTGCCAGAGCGCATCTTAATTTGGTCCAAAGGGACTCAGCCAGTCACCCTCACAGAACATTTTCTTAAAGAGTCCCCATTACAAATGTGATTCCCTCAGCTCCGAGCATCTTCTTGTTATAGTCTGTGGCAACTGCATGGCACCGAACTGCATCCTATTCAGAACTAAATGCTTCCCCCCATTTCCTCTTAACATCATGTGAATTAGACACTTCTGAGTCAAAGGGGAAAAAAAAGAGGAAGAGAAAAAAGCATCTCTTCCTACTCCCCACCCTTCTCCACGTTCTTGACTAATACCTCTGGGCAGTTTACTTCAGAATAGAGCAGATTCTTGACCAGGGCACAATGGCAAATTGGCATACAAGCCCCTTGCTATCACGGAAAGCACAAGCAATGCTTTCTTTGTAAAAACACAGGAAAATACACATGCTGGAACAAAAGACACTCTATCTGCACAGCAAGAAACAAGAGAAATTATGTGTTTGTTTTACACACATCTGTACCCACTGGTTGTAAAAAAGGCTTTAAACCTATTTTAATTATAACACATTGTATTTTTTTCCCCAAACCAGGTCCCCATAAAATTAATTTTTTAAGCTTCGGCTCCAATAGGAGGTAAAACACACTCTGCTGGAAGAATACCTGGTGTGTGTCTTTGTTGATGGGGTGCCATTTCAAACTTATTATATTTGAAGTCAATTACGTGGGAAATAAAGATAAGGCAAATGCACTTGGTTCTCTGAACTATTCTGACATTAGAAGAAATGCCAAGTCAGCAGATATCTGCTGTTTACATTTCACAATAACCTAATCATGCATTTGCAGCTTTCTGGAGCAAAACACTAACTGTTCTCCAAACAGCCACCTGACAATCTAAGGCTGAAACACACATTCTGACTCAGAAGGAGACATCATGATGGCTCTCCACTGGCTGTATTAAACAAAAGCTCCGCAAACAAACGAGAGGCATTTGGCAAATGAAGTGAGAGTCGAATCAAGTTTAGGTTCACATCTGGTGGAATATGGCACTGCTTTCCCCAGGGGTTGAGGAGCAGAAGGGTTTGGAGGCTATAAATAGAACACACACACATATGCACATACAGATATTTAAGCCAGACCCGGGTCAGTTTCAGCTTACTAACCTAGAGCTCTGTTCAAAGGAAGCAGAGAAGCCGCACGTCCTCTCCCACCTTTCCATGGTCCTCAGTCAGTGTCTTCTCAAACCACCTGTACTGATCCAACCCATTCGCAGATAAAAATAATTTTCTTGATAGAAGTAGTCTCAGCTGAGCTTTGATTTTTCAACATGGATGTCTAGAATTTTCCTCTTTAAGCCAGACACAGCAACACAAAACTGCCGCTGAGCTCTTTTGTTTTCCCTCCTCTCAAAGATGAAGCATGCAGCACTTCTCTCTCTCTCTCTCTGTCTCCCTCTGCCTCTCCCTCTCTCCCTCTCCCTCTCTCTCCTTCTCCCCTCTCTCGCTTATGCTCTCTCCCTCCGTTTCCCTTTCCCCAACCCCCACCAGCAACCTCGCTCGCTTCCCGGTCAGTCAGGGGCATTTACATCTCTCAGCACAAGAACCTGTGTTATCTACGCGCCTGTCTCTCACTTTTGGGTTTCCTCTGGGAAAGGGAGGGGGGCGGCTCTAGGTGAAGTCAGGTGACCCCTCCATTAAAAGCCAGTGAGATGGATGGAGTGTGTGAATTTTAATATACACACAGGCACATTTACATTACAAAGCAGCGAGGAAAATCTAGCTCCTAGAGATTAAGCATTTTTGTTTTTGCTTTCATAGTCCCCTTTTACCAATTAAGAGAAGCTAGTATAGTATAATGAAATGTAATTAAACTTTTCAGTGTTAATAACAAGGCTGTATCCTTTCAGAATCATCCAGCTGAACAATTCTTTTAAACTTGTAAGCATGACTGTTTCTTTTCCTTTCAAGGGTCAAAGAATCAGTCATTTTACTACTTACACACTTTTTCAAATTGGTCTTTTCTTTGACATCCATTTAAACTTATCTTGAAGTTAAGGACCATTGTAAAAGACAATAAAAATAATAATGTGAAAGGAAAAAAAAATAAGTGACAAAAACACCAAAGCACATAGCATAGGTAGAAATCAATAGTTTGCTGTTGTGGAACTAGATTCAATAATGAGTAATGCTTTGCTCTGAGACAAATAATTTTTCCCTTCTCTGTTTCAGTGTCTCTGTCTTAAATAGAAAATAAATGTAATAAATATAGCAAGTATCCTCTTCTTGCAACCCAATCAAGCAAGCCTAGTAGAGAAGGGTGTCCAGATGCTAAGACCACACAGCACCCCAGAGACAGAAACAACTGGAAAAACTTGTGCTAACCTAGTATAGTATTGAAGATACATTTATAGTCTATGGACCTAGGCCCTAAAGAGTAAATTTGACACCATCTTCTCCTCTGCTGCAAAGTTTTTAATATCCAGTGGAGACCATCTCTTCTATCTCTACCACTGAATAGAAAAGATACGTAATCTGCTGTTAGGAATACTGTAAAGAAAAATGAGATAATATCCACTTTCTTTCAAGGGTCAAAGAATCAGTCATTTTTTTGAACACTCAGATAAAAAGTACTTTGTAAGGCTAGGTGATAAATTATTAGAATGAAGACCAACAAGCATCAGAAGAAAACTCTTATTTGGCATTTGGTGTTCTGTCCACGGATTCTTAATTCAGGAGCATGATGATACTGGTGCCTCAGCAAAAGAGGAAAATAGAGGAAGAGCTGACATAGAATCACATTATCCTTGCCACAAAAGATAACATTTCAAACTCTTACACAAACAGCCTCTCCCTCCTTCCAGAATGATGTTGGAAGAGTGTTGCATTTGCTGCTGGGACTGAGGACTGCAGCCGAAATACACCCAGTCCCCTCCATCAACACCTAAAATGAATAAGAACTATTCACTGTTCTTGCTGGCTTTGTATTTGCAAAGCTTTACCTTGCATGGAAAAGATCCCATTTAAGCTTTTAAAATAAATTATATGCTAACTGGCTGCAAATTTAGCTTCAGTTTGTGCTACAAAAATTGGCACCAAAACATTGGACAATAAAAAAATCTTCCCTCGAAAAGTAAGTCGGCTTAGGCAAATTTAGAAAGACCTAAAATGTTATAGGAAAAAAACATAAAAGATTTCACTTTATAGCTTCTAATAACCAAATCTGCTGTTCTTTCACCTTTTCTTTTTTCCCTCTAGCATTGGCTGTTTTCATTTTGCATTTATTCAGAGTTTTGTTTTGTTTGTTTTCCCTACTTCACCCACTGGCTTTTGTTCTTTTGGCCATGGAGTCACTTTCCTTGAATGTGCAAAATGTAGGCAAGGACAGACAGTGAGAAAGACATATTACCTTAGATCAGATAATTTGTGAGCTTTAACCCTAACACTAGTGTATTTTCTGAGAAGACCACAGGCAGGACAGACACACCTAAGCATATCCAATACAGACACAACTTTCAGGCTCCAAGCTATTCTAACAGAGACTTGATGAACATGGAATATGGACTGCATGTATTTTCTATTAAAAACAGAAAGATCATGACTTAAAGAAGCCTATTAAAACTTACCAAAGACAGGCCAGTCCCAAAAAAAAAAAGATTGATATAAATTGGCAAAAACAGTATAGCAACTAACCCTAGCCAACTTTTCAAAATGCCTTCCATTACTCAAGGAACAAACTGAAGTGCTGACAGAGGGTAGAATAAATGTTTACTAATGCACTCATTTATTCAACTAATGTTCACTGAGCACTTCTTTTGTGCTAGGCACCATACTAAGCACTGAGGGGTACAAGAAAAAGAAAACAGAGTGTTTTTCAGAAACTCAAAACAGGTACCCATTAACATGTAATAGATGTTGGTACAAAGTGCTATGGAGTGTCAGAAAAAGAAGAAAAATTCTCCTTAAGGCGAGGCAGGACAGTCACATAGAATAGGTAACCCTCGAACTGAGCCTTTAAGTATGTGTCAGTTTTCTAGGTAAGTAAAGGCAGGGGGTTTTCAGGCAGAGACACAAAGAACACGAACAAACCTAAAGGGCTGCGAGTGATCTTAAATGTTCTGCCAAGGAATTTGTGCTTCATCTGAGATGTAATGGCAAGTTATTTAAAGTTCTTTGGCTAGACAATTACATGTTTTACAAAGATTATTTTAGCAGCAAGGTGAAGGGCAGATGACAGCAGTGTTTTCCAAACTTTCCTAATTATAAGAATTACCTGCAAGTTATAGTAAATATATATATCACTGGGTTCCACTCCAAATCTAGAGAAGTCCAAGAATATCTATTTTTAAGCAGTATCCCAGGCAATTATTATTATCATAAAATTTCTGGAAACACTGGTTTTGTAGTGTTTGCTGAGTACCAGAATCACCTGTAGAGATTTTAACCAATCAAATGCAGGCCACCTCTAAATTACTTGAATCAGAACATCTGGGGATAGAAACCGGAAACATTGTTGATTTTAATCTTCTAAGGTGGTTCCAATGCATCCGAGGTTGGTAATCATTGGTTTGGAGAGAGGCAAGACAGAAAAAAGACTATTTAGAAGCTGTTGTAGAGGATATTTGGGTGAAACAACAGAATTCAACTAGCTCAAGTAAAGGAGTACTCGTGCTACAAAAGGCAATATCATAAACATAGGAAACACAGTAACGCTGTACGAAGCCTCACAGGAACTGGGGCTAAGAAGCCACTAAAAACCAAGAATCCTCTTCTCTCTCTCAGTGGCTGTATAATTCACTTCTTTGATTCTTCCTGTCTCTTATCCTGAACCAGCTTTCTTTTCTTGCATGCTGTCATCTCCAGGGCCATGTTGCCTTGTCAGTTCTCATGTCAGCAGGCAAAGACTGGATTGGTTGGGCTGATTTCCTTAGTTTGCCACTGATCTCATCAGTTATAGCCAGAGTGTCTCACATTCACTTTGCAGGAGCTCTGGGCAAAGATTTTCTGAGAAGACCACAGGCAGGATAGACACACCTAAGCATATCCAATACAGACACAACAGTTCAAGCAAAAAATGCTTAAGAAGACTTGAGTAGGCTAGTGGTAGAAGAGACTAAAGGTCCCAGATGCTTTTCAGAGGTGGAACTCACAGAACATGGTGACTAATTGAATATGAGGGTGTGGAAGAGAAAAAGTCACCGCAGAAGAATAAATATATTTTCATTTACTGCAGATGCTACATTATAATACAAACACCACTAAGTGACTATCCATTTTACTAGTCAGTAGAGGATATATATTTGGTTTTGAACTCCACACTTACATATATATAGAAGCCTAAAGGTCAGGGCCGGGCGCAGTGGCTCACACCTGTAATCCCAGCACTTTGGGAGGCCGAGGTGGGCGGATCACGAGATCAGGAGATCGAGACCATCCTGACTATCACAGTGAAACCCCATCTCTACCAAAAATACAAAAAATGAGCCAGGCGTGGTGGCAGGCGCCTGTAGTCCCAGCTACTCGGGAGGCTGAGGCAGGCGAATGGTGTGAACCCGGGAGGCAGAGCTTGCAGTGAGCCCAGATTGTGCCATTGCACTCCAGCCTGGGCGACAGAGCGAGACTCTGTCGTCTCAAATTAAAAAAAAAAAAAAAAAAAAAAAAAAAAAAAAAAAAGGAAGCCTAAAGGTCAAAGGCAGGCCAAAAATTAATCGGGAAATTTAGACAAATGGAGATATTTACATAGAGAGTTCTATACATACCCAAGATTGTTATGAAACCAACTGAGAGACCTATTATCTCTTGCTGACACCAGGGACTTTTTCACATCTGTGCCTTTGATTCCCCTTCCTGAAATGACCTCTCCCTTCTTTCTCTATCTATACTTTATCTATTTTATCTGTAACTGATAACATTATGCATATGAATCTACCCCATCTCTAATACAGTTTAAATCTAAGGCATATAGCTATTACAACAGCAGCAGCAGAAATAAAGGTACTAATATAAGGTTCTTATATTAGTGTTAAAGGATTTAGCTTTTTTAATTCTCACAATAACTTAGAAAGTGAAGTCTGGAAAATCTAAAGAATTCACTAAAGGTCAGAAAACTAATAAGTGCAGTTTCTGGATGAAGACCCAACGCAACTGGTGCTACACAATTAACACTGTATTGTATCTTATTCTCTAATCAGCTGGAAACCAAAATTTAGTTATTGATTATATTAGTAGAGAGCATTGTTACTGTTTTGCTTTCTACTCTCGTGTGAACCTGCAAAAGGCTCAGTCTTAGGAACTGGACTCTGTCTCTGGGTTTAAAGCCTTTCTCTGTCATTTGTGGGCTGTGTGACCAAAGGCAAGTCATCCAAACTCTCTGTACCTCAGTTTCCACACCTATCTTGTAGATTCACCATGAGGATCAAATGAAATTTTATGTTTAGCATTTAGTACAATGCCTAGAACTATTATGTTCTCATTAAGTGTTAATTATTATTTTATTACCACTATTGTTGTCATTAGCAAGTAAGAAGCAAAATTTCTATGTATCCCTCAATGACACTTTCCTTGTCCAGATAAAGGAGTGTTTACATAGCTTTCAGGTAGTTTATGTAGCTTTCATTCATTCTAGTTTTACAGAGCTCCTGTTGATTTGATCAAATTAGGAAGCTACACTTACTACTATTTAACTAATCATAAACTACATGTATTTCTTTATAATTGATCCATAGTAGATGGTCTCTTGAGACATTTATGATCTCCTTTTGGCAGGCAGAAAGTAGAAATTGCATAATTTCTAACAGCACTTGCATTTTAGCAATAAGCTAATTATTCATTTTTCTTAAAAAACAATTATATCTGCTTTACCTATAAACAAGTCTTTTTTCCAATTAATTATTTTCAATATTTCCATGGAACATTTCTGCACATTCTGAGATAATTCTACTGGCAAACAAAACTTCTTTTAAATATGCATCACACTTGTCAGTTAAGTGCATGTTTAGTGTAGATAGGGTATTGTGCTCATGTAAAATCAAAACCAAATAAATACTACATCTTATCTGACAGTGGGAAAAATTCCGCATGGGAATTATGATGGTCGCATTTTTGCAAACTATAGGCAAGCATAACCTTGAGAAAATTATCTTCTTTTTTCAATGAAATAAGTTGTTGATCCTAACAGGTAAAGATTCTACTCTTGATGGTTTTGTGAGCATAAACTAAATGATTGATATATGATTGAATATTGAGTGTGTGTATAGATTACTTTTGGGCTGGCAGCTATGGTGTTTGCAGAGCCTGGATCTATGGGAACTTTCTCACCCTGTCTCATAGGCTACTCACCTCTTTTTGACTGTTTAGGTCAAATTAATACATTTTCAGTCACTGTCAAAAGTGTACTGCTCTACTTGAAGATAGTTATATGTGGGTGCATGTATAAATATGATAGGAAATAGTTAAAGTTTGATTACCCCATTCTAAGAGAAGAAAAGCAAAAAGGAGAAAAATTATGCTTTGGGTTTTTCTCTAGTCTTAACTAACCAGCCAAAGTATATGTTTTAAGAAAAGCTTTTAAATACAGCACAGTGTCAAAGAGGCAGAGCTTCAGCGACCTTGACTTCACTATTTCCTAGCTGTGTGGTACCACATAAATTACTCATTTGTAAAACAGTCCTCATATCAGTTGTATAGTTATCAGGCATTAAATAACATAATGCATGTAAGGAGCTTAGCACAGTGCCTGGTACACCATCACCATCATCACCACTACCACCACCATTATCACTGTCACCATCAATATCATCATCACCACCATCGTCATCATAACTACTACCATCACCACCACTATCATTATCTTCACTACTATCACTATCACCATCATCATCTTTCTCCTACTCATCATCATAGCCAAAGCTTGTCATGTACCAGACACTGTTCTAAATAAGTACAAAGTAAGTGCTAGCTTTCACCATTATTATTACAATATTTTCTTTTACTGGCTTCAAGTTATGAAATTGCATATTTTGAGCCAATTACCTTGATATAAAACACACTATCATATTATAATGGGCCGAGTGAAAGTAAAGGCATCCACTTAAATACCTTCCAGTACATAAAGTAAAATGGAACATAAAATGCTTTCTCCTTAATTAGTCTTTCTTCACCATAAACAAGTCTCAGGATCAGTTGTTGCACACAGAAGGACCGCTCTAGATGATTTCTAAGTCCTCTGAAGGTAATTCATCATATATTAACAATCCACATGAGAATATGCTTCATATGACTGAAAGGACCAAAGCACAAGTAGAAGGGCTGTCTGTACCCAGCGATCATGAATAAATTCCTTTCTTGAGCTGCTCTTTATGGATTTGCATTTCTGATCTCATAATGAATCATCCCAGTTTTGATTTCTGCAAGCCAGGCTGAATTGTGATCTTTTATTTTCACCAGAGGATCATGCTTTTCCATAATCCTTCATCTACATTACCTTGTGAACCCAAGCACATGGGCATAATGGGGCAAATAGAGAGTCTCCTGCTTAATGAGACAACGTTTGCCAGAGCTGAACCTGGACAAAATTTTGAAGTGAATGCAGTTTATTGTCCATACCTTCCACCTTCTTTTCTCCACACTTTAATCCACTCAGTGTCACTTTCCCCATTCCCTTAGAGTCCTTCCTGCTTTTGATTCTCACCTTATAACATGATCAAAATTCAGTAGAATAAACTGTGCAAATTAGTATGTGTTATCTAAAGTAGGGCTACTTTTTGTCTTGGTGACTGGATGGTTTGTATAATCTTAAAAGTTAAAAACATTCCTTAGAAGTAGAAACTAAAAATAATTTATAGAACATCTAAACTATGGCCTAAAATGTCTATTTAAAGGGACTGAATTAACCAAGCATATTCCCCATAAAGTCCAATTTCAAATTAGAGTAAAGGAAAATGAAGAGCATGGAAGCTATATACTCTGACTTCAGTAACCTAGCACTGGAAAAAGAAACACTGGACAGACACCTTAGTTTTGAATCAAATTCTACCACAAACTGTGTGACTTTGGGCAAGATAACTTAATGGCCTTAAATCTTAATTTCCTCACCTGTAAAATAGAAAATACAATATCTAATCTCTCAGGTATATTGTGAAAAATACATATAATTATAAAATAACTAGCACAGAATCTAGCATATAATAATTTCTCAGGAAACAGGGCTTTCCTTTTCAGCCTTTTTTTTTTTTTTTTTTTTGAGATGGAGTCTTGCTCTGTTGCCCAGGCTGGAGTGCAGTGGTGTGATCTCAGCTCACTGCAACCTATGCCTCCCCGGTTCAAGCGATTCTCCTTCCTCAGCCTCCCGAGTAGTGGGGACTGCAGGCACATGTGCCACCTTGCCTGGCTAATGTTTTGTATTTTTAGTAGAGGCGGAGTTTCAATGTTGGCCAGGGTGGTCTCAAACTCCTGACCTCGTTATCTGCCTGCTTCGGCATCCCAAAGTGCTGGGATTACAGGCGTAAGCCACCACACTGAGCCTTCAGCCTTTCAAAGTAGTCATTCACCCACCAAACAGCAACTTTTTTTTTCCCCCAGGCTTGATCATTGTCCATGTGTCACCTGATCTGCCCACATCTCCTTAGTTCACCTGACATTTGCCTGAATGGCTTTCACTATTTAAGTAAGATGTGCTCTTGCAGAAGATCTAAATTTTAGTCAAGTGAATTACTTTCCTGAAGGCACCTGAGCAACTTAATAGAACCAAAATCAAATTCAACTGGATTAAGAAGAAGGGAAAGATGAAGAGAGAATAGAAAAGACGGAAGAAAGAGAAGAAATAGTTACCTGGTCTACCTAGAGACCAGAAGTTGGTACCACAGAATAGTTGAGAAAGTTTTGACTGAATCACTCTGTTAGGATTAAGGAGACTTACCCTGGATAACTTATTTAATGTCAATGACCTTCTCTTCGAAACACAGATATTGAACTTTTTCAGGAACTCATCAGGCTCATAGATTTTGGTTGTAGGAGATTAAGAAGTTAAACATTTCTTGAGCTTTCAACATCAAACCGTATTAGTCCATGATACTGGGAAGTGAGCTCCCATTACCTCAACCTGACTCTATGACAGACTCTGCTATGTGCAACATCCCTTTCAATCCCCATGGTGATGGTGCTATACCCATTTTAGAGAGGAAGAATTTTTGGGTCAGAAAGCTTAGGTGACTTTCTCAAGGTCAAAGAGCCAAAGGGACAGAACAGGGATTAACACCTTTCAATACAAAGCCCCCAGGTACTTTTTACTGCACTATGCTGCCACCCTCTGGGACAGAAATTAGAAAGAAAGATATTAAGAAATCAAACCCTTAATTAAATGACTCTGCAAAACCATTGCAGATAAATGTGAACAGTCCGCAACAGTCATGGAAACTTGAGAAAAGAATGCGTGTTATGACAATGTGTACTGCTTAATGTTTAAAAACTGGCTCTATGAAAAACAAGCAAACACATTGATTTGTATCCCTTGCTCATTTTTGTAGAGTAAATATGCCCATTACGGCAAATTTCAAGCTATCAAGTTAAAGCCACTGAACTGGATTTGGGAAAAGATATGCACAAATGTCTCTTTCAAGACAGTGCTAGCCACCTCCAGCACCCCACTCTATGTGTAGATTTGTGTGTGTTCATGTGTGTTTGTACCTGAATTTATAATGCCACTTTCTGTAAATATATTAAAAAGCAAAATATCAGTTGAAACATTTTCCTCATTAGTAACAGTAACTATGAGTATCAGGAGTTTCAATTATGCCCTAATCAGTACTCCCACTTGTTTTCAAATTAGGCAGATTACTAGTATTTCTCTTTCAGTTCCGTAATATAACTCTCAATAATCCCAGCAAATAAAAGAAAACAAAACCCCATGCTCCCGATCTTCACCTCATTTTCTACCACATACTGGATGGTTCTTATGTAACTTTTGAATGAATACTTTTCAAGATTTCCTATGAGATGTGTGAGGCTTTCAAAGAACCCAAGGCGGGGCTCCTCCAGTAAAACCAACAGGTGTTAATTGTAGTATTTGTCAGTTCTGTTTCAGTACCGGGCCATTAGGGAAACCTGAACAGAAAGGGAAAGTAAACTTTCCTATGGCCCGGCCTTTCTTATTCCTCACCTTCTAAAAGTGACATAACTGCTGGAATTCCTCTAGAATAAAAGTAAGATGACTGAAAAGTTGTAGGAAAATTGCATGCATAATTTACATTACTTGCACCTTGAGCAAGCAATGGAGTTGTCATTTGTGTAGATGGCCTCACAAATGATATTCAGATAGATTGTTTGGGGAATGACTTCTGATTACTGAAACAATTTACTTCATCTTATTCATTTCTTCTGATTGTGAGATACTGTGGTAAGAATACAGCAGAGGGATGGCCGGGCAGGGTGGCTCACGCCTGTAATCCCAGCACTCTGGGAGGCTGAGGCGGGCAGATCACGAGGTCAGGAGATCGAGACCATCTTGACTAACACGGTGAAACCCCGTCTTTACTAAAAAATACAAAAAATTAGCCGGACATGGTGGCGGGCGCCTGTAGTCCCAGCTACTCGGGAGGCTGAGGCAGGAGAATGGCATGAACCCAGGACATGGAGCTTGCAGTGAGCCGAGATGTCACCACTGCATTCCAGCCTGGGCGACACAGTGAGACTCCGTCTCACAAAAAAAAAAAAAAAAAAAGAATATAGCAGAGGGTTAAATGTGAAGAGCCTACTATGTAAAAAAAATTTGCATAAAGGCTTGAATTATTGCCCACATAAATGTGCAGAAATTTCTCCCCATCTACTAAATAAACAAAAAAGGAAAAGATGCTTAAAGCATCTATGCTATTGAGGGAGAAAATGGGAACTAAATTGAGGAACAACTTCCCTCTTCAAGATTTATGATAAAGGGGAGAAAAAGAAATAACCTACATATTCAATTGTCACCTATAGGACAATATATTTCTATGGGAAAGAAATAGCTTACATAGTAAAAAATTATATTAGAAATTTTAAATGAGAAATAATGCTTTTATAATAGAAGAAATAATGCTTTAGGACAAAATTAAAGTAAAGAATGTTAACATCAGAAAAAACATCCTAACTATTAGCGAGGTAGGCACTGGAAGAGGTCACTGTAAGAAATTGGGTATTAAAGACATTGCTGAATTTTTGCTTTGAAATCTTTAAGAACAAAATGTAAATATCTTCCTTCAATTGTTATATTTCTTAACCCCTTGGAAGTTCCTACGTAATTCTTTAAAATTCTACATGTTTTAGGCAACTTCATAAATGATGAAATAGTGAAAGTAAAATTAAAATCAGTGTAGTTCAGATTTTTCAAAATTCAAAACAATTTCTAAATATTAGAAGTTACCTTAAGAAAAAAGGTTCATTTCTAATGAGGTGAAAAAGTAGCACAAAATGGAGTCAGAGGTGAGCTTCCTCCAACTCAGGAGAACGTCGGCAATTAAGCGATAACTTGAAACACGTCAGCTGGAGTTGGAGGAGTGAAGAGGAAAGATTCACCATAAATCCATTAGGTAGAACAAACAGGTCTTAGTAAACAAGTGGATGCAAAGTCATGGGCAAGGGCGATTTGAGGCGGACTGGCTTCTAGCCTCGTCTTTCCATTCTTCGCTGTTCTAACTTCTTTTTGCCTACCCACAGTAGGCCGAGAGTCAGTGCGGGGCAGGTGAGTCCTTTGATAAAGGAGTGGGGAAGAAATGAGTTGGATGTTAAACATTTTGAGTGTGGAATCCTTGACAGAAACTGAGTTGGAGAGGTTCAGAGCTGGGAATGCAGATTTAGGGATCCCCTAGGGCATAACTGAACCCTCTAGCTGAAGTGGGTTTAATGGGTGATAACAGCCAGGAAGGGCCTAGGTGCAAAGAAAGAAGAGAGGGAACATCAATAGTTGAGAAGTGAGAAAAGATTTGAAGCCATTAAATGACACTGAGAAAGACTGTCAGAAATAAAGAAAAATAGGGGATGGTGACTGTGTCACATACAGACTGCCTGTGGGCCAAGCAGATATGGCCTGGGCAAAGCTGACAAACGTGGTGCCGAACAGCTTTTTTGTAAACTTTGACAGTACTAAGCAGATCCCTCTGATGAGAGACTGTAAGGAAAAAAGGCAAAAACACATATACTTCAGTGCTTCTAAACCTTGTGCATCTCTCAGACTTCTTTTGGGAACTTTAAGAATACATATTATTAGACTCCATCTCTGGAGATTTTGATTTGGTAAATGAGATTCCTTATCTCATGTCATTTCTTCAATTTTGACAATACTTGAAAATGATTCTTACCTTTTTTTTTTTTTTTTTTTTTTTTACATTTTGTATTATCTTCCAACTAGTCTGCAAACATCTTGATGGCAAAGACTGATTCCTCTCCATTTATATTCCCCACAGCACGTAGCAGAGTGCCCAAGAAAAATATTAGGTGCTCAGTAATATTCACTAATATGTGGGAGTTAACTGATCATGCTATCGCTCTTCAAGATAAAATCCTCAAGGTTGATCAGTAAGAATTTTGAATGTAGAGATTTAGACACATACTTGAATAAAGATTTCAGTATCTTTTACTAACAAAACAAACAACTTTTAATGCTAAAATAAAATCTGAAATGACCAGTCGGAGAAAAAGGACTGTTTTCCTGACATAAAGCCATGTCAGCGTTATTTTTGGAGGATGTTGATTTAACCTGGAGATGGTTAAATGTGTCAGTCTGAAGGTGTATGTGTGTTCGTATGATGAGAAAAAAGAAACATAATTATAGATGTCTCTTGATAGCCTATTCATTTACTATGCTATTTTGGAAACAGTATGTTTTTAAATTGGTTTCTAGTGTTTTTGGATGGGAGTTCCGCTGTACAGGAACCTGGAGCTTTGCCCCCTGTAGATTTTCTCCATTGGAAATCAATAAAGTGTAATTGAATTACAGTGGGTGAATCCACAAGGTGTCAATTTCTGGCTCTCAGGTTGAGGAACTCTCCTTCCTCAAGCAACCACATCCACCAGTGCTGAGTTCCTGACCCCAGTTTGTAGACAGCAGTGCTGTACTGACGAACACCTGTGTACATTGTTAAATAGCAAAATAACTACTGTAGTGAAATCACGTTTAATTTTAGGAATTGAAGAAAAACTCACCATATTTCTATTTTAGCACACAGGATGTGGCCTACTTCTTTAAAATGTCAAGCTTAGAGACACACATATTTTATTTAAAGAATACGGAAACACCCGTTTTCTTCTTTGACTGAGTCTGGGATATAGCCCTTTTTTAATCAGGAAAAAAAGAAGTTGACATGTTTTTGGAATGGTCATACTAATTGCGTTGACATAGTGTATCAGGGAGCTTTCAAAGATGTTATCTCATCTGATCATTATAACCATCCAATTAGGTAGATCAAGCAAGTCTGATCATTCCAGTATTTCAGATAAAACTGAAGCTCAGAAAAGTTCAGATCAAGTGTAAACCATGTCAAATGTTTTAGGTTTTTTTTTTTTTCTTACTAATGTTGGGGCTCAGGAAACAATATCCCAAAGTATGGCATGTTGGCATGCTGAGTACTTTGGAATAAAGGATCTCAGAAGACCTCAGAAGCAGCCTCAGAACCAGGGCCTCTCTGACCTTCTCTTCCCCTCCTGTCTCTTGCTCCTCATTCTCTCCAGAAGTAAGTCATAGAAATCAGAATTTCTCTTCCTCCAAGCAGGTCATAGAAACCAGAACCCCTATTAGCCAAAGCTAGTCATAAAAACTAGTTATCACTCTAACTTTCCCCACCTTTCTGTCTAGGGGTTGGCCATAAAGACATTTCTCTGACTTAACCTCTTCCGATAGTAGGTCATAAGACCCTGATTCCGAAGGGTGCTGCCCTATACCCAGGAGGAAGAAATGCTATAACAGAGGCCAAAAAAAATCTGGACAGGCTTTGCTGGGTTTCTCCACTCAGTCTATTAGCGTTAGATCATACTCTTTTTGTCCAATCACATTTCTACATGGATGTCTATTCTTCATGAAGACTAAGCATAAAAATGGATAGTTTTCTCTGTATATTTGGGTCTTTCTGATGGCTGCTGTGTCAAGTAAAGCTTTGAATAAATAAATCTGTTATGCTTTTCTCTTGTTAACCTGTCTTTTGTTACAGGAGTGTTGGCTGTGACCCTAAGAAGGTTGAGGAAAGGTATAATCTTTCCATCTCTACACCCTTAAATAATGCAATAGCTTAGAACTATTTTTTTGCATCATTCTAAAGGTTCTTGTTAGGCGTGCATGGTGCCTGGCTAAGATTAACAGGCCTTTCTTCATGCGTATATGTGAAGTTATTAGGGGATAAATGTTTATATTACCCTGTCCTTATAACTATATGTTCACTAAACAAAATGAACAAAATTCAAACGAAACAATAAAGTTATCACCCTAGAGCTTTGTTATAACATAATTTGAAGCTATCATTTAACTTCAAAAACCCAAACAAAATGAAACTAATTAAATATTTTAAAATGGGAGAAAAATCTACATCCAAGGAATGCTTTTAATTTTGTTCTGCTTCAAGTCAGTTTGTTTAAAAGTCAATTAGATTTATGCAAGCCAGGATTTGCAAACAAAATGGAGATTGGATCATTTTATTTTAGAAACCATTTTTATTGGTTTTTACAGCCCAATAGTACAAAACTGTGTAAGTATTCTATTTTAATTTTTACAAATTTAGGAAAGTATTGAATTGAAAAGCTGTTAAAAGCTTTGTAAAATGAATTGTCAATTTTGCCATCATGTCAGAGGTGCTGCCTTTGATGCCACTCACTTTTCTGCTCTGGGGATATGTGTAACATTTTTTTTATTTTGGAACTCTGTTATTTGTTTCCTTTTTTGGGATTTAAAACTATGTCATTTACTCACATAATTGCTTCTCTCACGGTTATATCTTTACTCCTTGCTTTTGAGAAAGCCATACTATTTATTTCTCCTCTTTCCTGTCTTCTAGGTGTATCATCTAACTTATTTGAGCTAAGTGTCCTTATCTATAAAGTGAAAAGTTGGACAAGATATTCTTTATGATCTCTTTTGATTTTAAAATGTTATGCAATTTTAGAGAAAAGCTGAAGGGTCACCCAATATGGTGTGACACCAAAAGACAAATATGAGGACAGTCACTTTTTCACTCTCCGCAAACTCTGCCTGGACACTTCCTTGGTGAGACTTCATACACTAGACAAGAACACACTATGAATGTGAGACAGAGGGAGACAGAGGAATGAAGGAGAGAGATAGTGAAGCAGGCTGGGAGAGAAACAGAGAGGAGGTGTCTACTGGACATTTATGGATTGCATGTGTATTAGAGGTGGTAATCAACCAGGATTATCACCCCCCACAACCCCTGATAGATTCTTCCCTCTCTGTTAAAAGGAGCTCCATGTTTCTAGTGCTCAGAAAAAAAAAACAAAAAAACCTTAGTATCATCCTTGCCTCCTCTCTGTCTCTCACTCCTCGCAGCAAATCCTGCCAGCTGTACCTTCAAAATAGATCAGCATCTAACCCCTTTTCACTACTCCCACACCCAGCAGGCGGGTCCAAGCTACTCTCATGTGTAATATGGATTATAGCAGTACCCTAACTGTTCTCCTTGCTTCTGCCCTTCTTAGCTAGACTAGTGAATCTGTTAAAACCTAAGTCCAATCCTATGGGTCCTTTTTAATCCCAAAGAGTTCCTATTTCATTCAAAATATAAGCCAATGTCATAAAAGTGACATATGAGGCCTTTCAACATTTGCTGGCCACTTCTAAGCCCCCACCTCTCTGAACTAGTACCTTTTCTCTTGTTCACTGGACTCTGGCCACAAGGGCTTCCTGACAGCCCTTCTAAAACAGCAAGCAGAGCCCACTATAGGGCCTTTGTGTTTGACGGCCCTCTGCCTAGAACGGTCTTCTCTTAGGTATCTCTATGGCTACCTTCCTTGTTCTTTACCTTCTCCCTCCTCTCCTGACACACATACACTTTCTAGTTCTCAGGAAGCTGCTTTATTTTTCTTTAGTGCTTATCAGTATCTGACATACTGCTTACTACTACGTATTTCAATTATTCATCTTTTTTGTTGTGTGCCACCCCACTAGAATGGAAGCCTAATGAGGCAGAGATTTGAGTTGCTTCCGCTCACTTCTGTATCTTTGGTGCCTAAAACAGTGCCTGGTACATAATCTGCCCCCAATAAGTATTGGTTGAAATGAATTGAATTGTTTCTTTCTTTCCTTTTTTTGTTTTTAGACAGAGTCTCTCTCTATTGCCAAGCTGGAGTGTAGTGGCGCGATCTCGGCTCACTGCAACCTCCGACTCTGGTTTAAGCGATTTTCCTGCCTCAGCCTCCCGAGTAGCTGGGATTACAGGTGTGCACCACCAGGCCCAGCTAATTTTTATATTTTTAGTAGAGAGGGGGTTTCACCATGTTGGCCAGGCTGGTCTCGATCTCCTGACCTCATGATCTGCCCGCCTTGGCCTCCCAAAGTGCTGGGATTACAGGCGTGAGCCATTGCGCCTGGCCTCGAACTGTTTCTAACTACAAGATGGAAAGGAAACCTTGAACTGTGTCTTGGGGAGAAGGTAGGACTGTGGATGGGGATGAGAAGTATGGAGGCCATTTTTTGGAACAGGGAATAAGCCACTTGGGAATAAAGATCTGCTTTGGGAGTATCTCATTAAGTTATCTCAGGGTACACATGAGAAAATAGAGTCACAAGAGCAGTTAAAGTCACAAAGACAGCAAGAGCACAGGGTTAGAACCCTGTTCTTTAAACTCTCCTATTTCAGGATTCTTGTAAATGACACAAAATATTTAAATTTCGAGTTTAGCCAGGATGAAATACAAGCCAGATAAAAAAAGTATTTTTCTGTTCTACCCCCGTTACTGCCAAAACCATCAAGTTAATATTAGCCAGCAAAAAGCTAATGCTGAATAATATCACTTATATAGTTATACTCCCTTAGTAAGAATTAGCTTTGTGTAAGCATAAAAACAGATTTTAAACTCTCACATTACAAATAAATCATCAGAAAGTGCCTAGAAGTATAGAAGATGAAAGAATGGCGGAGTTTTAACATTTGATGGAGCCAGGTGATGGTTATATAGAGTTCATCATATGATTTTGTTAATTTTTCATTTTGACATTTTCTAGCATAGAAGTTTAATTATTAAAAATAAACTGAGAACAAATCCCATAGTTTGATTTAGTCTTATTTTGTTCCTCAAGAAATGATTATAACATAGTCAGCTACCCTTCTCTTCATTCTCTGCTTCTTAATTTCCTCTTCACTCCAGAATCCTGTTCTACTGTGTGTGATGCCAAGGCACAGACATGCCCTGACAGATCCTGGATGAGCTTGTGCAAAGCAGTGATCAATTTTAGAATGGTTCTAGGTGACACCAAATGGACTTCTGCTTCTTGGGGTCCAATCACGTGCTTTGGGAAAGGAAAGACCTGCATATTCCCTTCCCTTCTCCAAGTTAGTGGCAAAATAGTAATAAAAAAATGTATGTATGTGGGACAATCTTTTTTATATACTGAAAAAGAATTTCTACTCTGTGAATTGTCTGTAACTGATGTATTTTTGTAGCCTTACCTATTCCAGATTCCCAGCTTTCCATCTTTTATGAGAACAATCAAAATGCATTTTCATCTTTCCCATAGCTTTCAGGTTACTCCATCCAACATTTCCATTTTATTTGGTCTTTTTATCCTTCATATCCTAACTTTAGGGTTTTCCAGATGTAGATAATTTCACAAATTCTCTTCATTTTGCCTTTGACTGCCCTTTTTCTCTAATTCTGGATCTCTTCATTTTTTTTTAAAATTTGAATTATGGGCACCTATCTTTGCTTATCAAAAAAAAAAAGCACTGAGTATAATTTAGTTTAACGTATATGACTCACAGATGTGCAATCCAGTTTAGATTTCTGTAGTTTAGAACTGAACTAGGAAAGTACTACACCTCACCCTTTTTTATTCAGGGATTCTCTTTTCCCTTAGGGAATACCTCCCACTAATAACTCCGTTTAAGTCCTATTTCCTCTTACTGTCTGAATATCATTGAGATGTTCCTTGAAACATCTTTATATGATGTTACTCCAATGATTTAAGTTTTAAAGACCTTCCCATTACAGCTGACATAAAGTACAACTCCTTCCTCCCTGGAGACCATGTAAGGTGTGGCTCGTCTGCCTCTGTACCCCTACGAGAGGCCCGCTCCTTCTCCTGGGTCGCTGTCCAGATCTCATTGGTCTCCTCTCACTTTCTCCTGGCATCCTGTCTAGGGTAGATTTCCCTGCACATTCTTCTTCTCAACCCTTTGTGGGTTTCCTTACTAATACTAATAACAGTTCACTTTACATATTTTATTCATTTTATGTGCTTCCATTTTTAAAAAATATATTCATTGCATTGTAAGCTACTGAAGGACAAAAATCTCCTCTTTGTTCCTGTTCTCTCCTCTCCCTAAGATTTAGAATTAAAAAAACCAAGATAAAATGGTTATGAGGATCATTTATTTGAGCTACCCAATCTCACAAACATATATTTGATTAATCCTTTGCTCATCTTAGGGAAACAAGAAATCTTTCAAGTTTGGTTAATAGCAGAATCCATTAAATTCAACTTCAATTATCTAAGTAGCCAATAATTTCCTCTTACTGGTGCATGCTTTCTCAGCAAAGATGTAAAATCCACAGACGATGAATGATATTGCCTGCCATGATGATTTCTTACCCTTCAAACATTTTGCATATTCTTTTAGGACTAAAGAGTAATTCTTTCCAGCTCTTCTCATTTTTATTTTTTTCTTTATTTTTCAAAATTCATTTTTATTTGTAAGTTTGATGGATACATAATAGGTATATATATTTATGAGATATTTTGATAAAGCATACAATGTGTAATAATGACATCAAGGTAAATGTGGTATCTATTGCCTCAAGTATTTATCATTTCCTAGTGTTACAAATATTCCAATTATACTCTTAGTAATTGTTAAATGGACAATAAATTATTATTGACTGTAGTCACCTTGTTGTGCTATCACGTACTACATCTTATTCATTCTATCTCTAGCTCTTTTTAGTTAGCATATAAAATCCACCTGTGGTCTTTTACAAATATCAAAACATGGGTACTGAGGTCATATGCAGGATCCATTTTGAAATAAAATGAAAATAGTTATAAGTAGGTTCCATTTGAGAGGCAGAAATGGACACCCAAATTGCTTGTCAATTGCAAACAAAATATACTTAAGCATATAAGTTCTGTTTACACCTAGATAAAGCAATAGAGTGATCAACTGATAGATCAATATACAGATCAATTGATTGTTAGATAATTTAGGATAAATTATATATTTTTCATGAAATAATATTTTCACTTGTCCAATAAAATAAAACAAATGTATATTATCACTTTAGGAAATTAGAAACTCTTTGCTAGGTGGTATAATATAAAATATTATAGTTATACATAATTATATGTATGAGTCTATCATACACATAGGCATGAAAGTGGCTGTCTTACTTGGCAATATCTGAGATATGATATGATGCCTTGCTCTTTTAAAAAATACCAGGTCCATTATTTATTTATTTTATTAGAATTTTATTAGAATCCATCCTTTAACAAAGCAAAAGGGGTTCATAAAAGTGAAAGAAGATTTCTGTTGAAATTTAGATCACTTTGCCTTCCTGGAGTTCAGATTTTTTGGTTTTTGGAGACAGAGTCTCCCTTTGTTGCCCAGGCTGGAGTGCAGTGTTGGGATCTTGGCTCACTGCAAACTCTGCCTCCCAGGTTCAAGTGATTCTCATGCCTCAGCCTCTCAAATAGCTTGGATTACAGGCGCCCACCACCATGCCCAGCTAATTTTTGTATTTTTAGTAGACACAGGGTTTCACCATGTTTAGCAGGCTGGTTTAGAACTCCTGACCTCAGGTGATCCACCTGCCTGGGTCTCCCAAAGTGCTGGGATTAGAGGTGTGAGCCACCGTGCCCGGCCCTGTCATCATATTTAATATTAAGATTAATAACAATACAAGCAATAACAAAGCTTACTCTGAGTACTCACTATACACTTACTATGCCAGGTACTATGTACGTAAGTGTCATAGGTAAAAATTATGATGCATACTCACAGAAAAAGAAATTAATCTTTGAGGAATAAAGTGACTTGCCCAAGGTCCCACAGCTAGCACAGTATCTGAGCTTGGATTTAATTCCTAGATGTCTGACTCCAAATAATACAGTCAAACAGTCTATAAAACAAGAAGATTAAATGAAATAAACTCAGAAAAACACAGCTGTGGTTTTCTAAATGTTAATCAACTATTATACTGGAAAGCAAAAATGGTATGTTGAGAAAAACAACAGGTTTGAGTAGAATGCTATAGTAAAGGCCTCTGGAGAGGAGTCCTCCGTAATAGAAAAATGGGCAAAGAACAGGAAACTGGTAACTCACATTGAAGAAATACTCATAACCACAAAAAGAAAAAGAGAGAGAGAAAAGTTTAACTTAACTAATAAAGAAATGCAAATCAAAACAAGATGACATTTTCTGCTTTGAAATTGGAAAAGTTTTTTGAGGAGGTATAATTTTTTTCCCTTATATTGGAGAAATAGTTGAGAAACAGGCATTATTATTAATGGTATAATTTAGCAAACTTTTCTGTAAGATAAGTTAGAATTACGAATGAAAAGATTATCTTCTCTTCTGGAAGTTTATTTTAAGAAAACAGAGTTGGGCAAAACTGTTTATTTGAGGATATCACTACAGCATTACTTTTAATGGCTAACCCTGAGAAACAATCTTTTTTTTTTTTTTTTTTGAGATGAACTCTTGCTCTGTTGCCCAGGCTAGAGTGCAGTGGCATGATCTCGGCTCACTGCAGCCTCGGCCTCCCGGGATCAAGGGTTCAAGTGATTCTCCTGCCTCAGCCTCCCGAGTAGCTGGGATTACAGGCACACGCCACCACGCCTGGCTAATTTTTGTGTTTTTAGTAGAGACAGGGTTTCACCATATTGGACAGGCTGGTCTCGAACTCCTGACCTCAAGTGATCCACCAGTGTCAGGCTCCCAAAATGCTGGGATTACAGACATGAGCCATTGTGCCGGGTCAAGAAACAATCTTGATGTGCAAACACAGTAGGGGGTAGGTCAAATTATTATGGAGAACCCTCAAAGTAGAAAATTACATAGTTATAAAATTATGTTTTAGAATTTAGAAAATGATCTTTATTTTTAAAAATATGCATAGGATGCTATACACTAAATTTTCACAGTGCTTATCACTTCACGGACAGATTTTGGCTGAATTTCTTTATATATGGTAAAATTAGTCATTAGGAATAAGCCTAGATTCACTATATTACCTAGTAAGAGACATTAGAGAAGAAACATGGGGGAGTTGAACAAGTTTGGCCTAAGTTCAAACGCAGACTTTATCCCTGCTGGCTGTGTAACTTTCAGTGATTTATTTATAAAACTGTCATAGTGTTACAGCACGGAGGAAGACACGTAAAGCCTTTACACAATAAACACTTAGGAAATGTTTGTTGTCCACGTCATATTTCCAGTTTACAGTTTTAAAATAATGTGAAAATGCAATTTTATTTTGTACCACTCATATGAACAACACCTTATATAATTATTTAAAGCCGCACTTTTTATTAGCAAGTGAGCTATACTACAATAGCACCGCTATAGAGATTTATCAAAAGATGATAAAAGAGGCAAGGAACCTCAGGCTGGAAATAAGTGTGAGAAGCCGATCATGGTTACAGAGTGTTGAGAGGAGCATATCCTACACACCCAGCCTGTCAATTTGAACTCCCTATAATCAAGTATAAAATCATTCCAATAAGTACAGATTGAGAGTTCCTTCTTCTATTATTTTATGGTTTATTTGCTTTTTATATTTCTCACACACATTATTTAAATAACCCAAACCACAAATATTGATATTCTACTGTGGATTGCACAAGTGTAAGTGGTTAACTGAAAAAAAGAAGTAATTCATATAGTGAAAGAGCAATAAAAAATACATCAACCCAATACAACCACCCTGTAGGTCTGTAGGCATGAATAACAAAGCAGACTAAATGAGAACATTCTCGGCATGCAGTGTGCTGTTTACATTCTTACTAAGAAAATGTGCCTGAGTTAGAATTTATACTTCAAAACAGATTCTCAAATAATATTTTGATGTTAATACGTCAGCACACCGATATGACTGGCTCCATGTCTTTCAGGCACATGCTACATTTCCCAATTTCCTTTGAATTTAGGGGTACCCATGTTATTTGTTTTGGCTAAATGTATAAGCGTGGAAGTAAAACATCACTTCTGGGAGGCAGTTTTAAGAGTTGGTGTGCAATTTGCACATCCTTTCTTTTTCCCTTTGCCACTGTATCCAGGAAAGCTCTAGATGGTGGCAGCTCTATCATCCTGAATCCCAGAGAGAGGGGTGTAGAGGAGAGACTCCAACTGATGTTTGAGAGATATGCACTGTGAAGGAAAACAAAACCTCA
Source organism: Homo sapiens (assembly GCF_000001405.40). Lineage (NCBI taxonomy): Eukaryota > Metazoa > Chordata > Mammalia > Primates > Hominidae > Homo > Homo sapiens. The sequence continues at coordinate 78,793,262 of NC_000007.14, forward strand.
CTGATTTAAAGCAATGGCCCTTGACTGGAGGCAATTTTCCTTCCCAAAAGAATATTTGGCAATATCTAGAAACATTTTTTGGTTTTTACAACTTCCGCAGGGGTTGCACCTATGGCATCTAGTGGGTAATTGCCAGAAATGCTGCTAAACATCTGACAATACACCAGACAGCCTCCCACAACAGAGTTATCCAATCCAAAATGTTAGCGCAAAGTCTGAGAAATTCTGTCAATCATGGAGATAGAATAATTTTTGTTGGTACAGCATCATCTAGGATACTCTGACTGATAGATGGTTCAATATTTGGAAATCTGTTAATATAATCTTACCATAATGATGGGGCAAAGGAGAAAAAATGTGATCTTCTCAATAGATTTAGAAAACTCATGTGAGAAAAATACAATATCTATTTGTTAGTAAAAAGGAAATAATATCTATTTTCTTAATATCATATTTGAATACCATAAAACATATTTCTCAGAACAAAAGTAAAAATATCTGATTAGTATTTGGTCAGTTCAAAGAGTCTGTAAAGCCAAAAACTGGAAACAGTACAGTTGCTTAGTTGGTGATCGTATATCTCATGTACTTCTTGCTTCAGAAAATATGTGCTCATATCCATTGATAGAATCCATGAAGATCTCTTGGGGACTCCTGTCTCATGTAGGTATTTAAACAAAATATGCTGTATCTTCTGTGCAGTTTTAAATTAGGGTTTTTTGAAAGATGAATTTATTACAACAATTGTGACCTATAAAGTGACTAGATGGTACTTGCATCTGAAAAATCACTAAGTACTGGATAATAAAGTAGTCTAAATTATGGTGGCCTCCAGTTTATAACTAGTGAGTTACACACTTATATCCTTTTTATCCCTTTGGTAATAATAATAACTTAAAATTACAACTGACTAAGAACTGGGACCAGTGAGAACTCACACACTTTGCTGTTCCAGTGACAGCACTGCCTGGTTAATCCTGAGATGCGGGCTCAGCTGAGTTTGTTGGTAGTTGCATTCTAAGAATCCCATGAATTCCCAGGAGCTGAGCAATGAAACTCTAACTGAAATGGGGGAGCAAGAGATGCTTAAGAAAGAGGAATTACGATGGCAACTGCCCTTCTCCACATAATTTACCATTCACAGACTTGTGTGGTTATAAAATTGTCAATGGAAATTTTTGAGACAGATAACATAAATTTTGGAAGCAGTTCAAATGTCTTTGGTAAATGAAAAATGCCTGTTTGCCATAGGAAGATTTACCAGGTAAAGAGATGGTTTCTTCAGCTTAGATTTTACTGATTTTATTTTGAGAAGCCTTTACTTGTCCTGTTCATGCAAAAGAAAAAAAAAAAAACAATCCAAATTCTAAAGGAATATTTAAATGTTGTTTTTCACGAAAATTTGATTTTATACACTTGAAAATTATAAACATCATATATTTGTATCTTATTTTCTCTACTGATCAATTGGAGTGTTTTATGGAATAAAATAAGTTTTCTGGAAATGAAATTCCAATTATGAACACTGAAACTATTGGAAATGAGGAGTTAACTTATGTTGGCTACACGCATAACCAAGATCAGGGGCAAATTGAAGGAAAGATGCATCCTATTTTCACTATTTATTCCTAATGAAAAAAAAATTGATTTTACAGACGAGGTCTCACTATGTTTGCCAGGCTGACCTTGAACTCTTGGGCTCAAGCGATTCTTCTATCACAGAGCAGCTGAGATTACAGGCATGTGCCACCATGCCAGGCCACTATCTCCACTTTTATTCAACATAGTACTAGAAGTCCTACTCAGAGCAATTGAAAAGAGAAAGAAATAAAGAGCATTCAAATTGGAAAGGGAGATTTCAAATTATTATTGTTTGCAATGATCTTATATTGCAAATATAAATATAAGATTATTATAATGATCTTATATATGAGATTATTTGATCATATGATTATTTGATTATTATAATGATCTTATATATGTTTATTTGATCTTATATTTAAGATAATACAATGTAACAATCTTATATTCAGATCTTATGCAAAATTTTTTATTTAGAAAAAATTAAAAACATCACCCAAAGATAAGTTTAGTAAAGTTACAGGATATAAAATCAACATACGAGAACCAGTGGCATTTCTATACACTAACAATGATCAATCTGCAGAAGAAATCAAGAAAGTAATTCCATTTATAGTAACTACAAAAAACTAGGAATAAACTTGAGAAGTGACACATCTCTACAAGGAAAATTATTAAAACATTGATAAAAGAAGTCGAGAGGACACACAAAAAAGTGGAAAGATATTCCATGCTCATGGATTGAAATAATATTATTAAAATTTCTATCAAAATACCAATGACATTCTTCACAGAAATATAAAAAAAATCCTAAAATTCGTACGGAATCACAAAAGGCTCCAAATAGGCAAAGGAATTCTGAGCATCTGGAGGCATCACATTACCTGATTTCAAATTATGTAATAAAGCTATAATAACCAAAGCGGCATGGTACCGGCATAAAAACAGACATATAGACCAATGGAACAGAATAGAGAACACAGAAACAAATCCACACACAGCCAACTCATCTTTGACAAAGGTGCCAAGAACATACAATAGGAAAAGGACAGACTGTTTAAATAAATGGTGCCAGGTAAACTGGATAACCATATACAGAATGAAACTAGATCCCATCTTTCACCACGTACAAAAATCAACTGCAAATGAAATACACACTTAAATGTGAGACCTGAAACTATGAAATTACTAGAAGAAAACACTGTGGAAATGCTACAGGTCATTGGTCTGGGGAAAAATTTTTGGGGTGAGACCTCAAAAGCATGGACAACAGAAGCAAAAAGAGACAAATGGGAATACTTCAGGCTAAAAAGCTTTTACACAGCAAAGGAAATAATTAACAAAGTGAAGAGATAACCTACAGAATGGGAGAAAATATTTGCAAAGTATGCATCTAACAAGGGATTAGTAACATGAATATATAAGGAACTCAAACAACTCAGTAGTAAAAAAGCAAATAATCTGATTAAAAAATGATCAAAAGACCTGAATAGACATTTCTCAAAAGAGACATACAAATGGCCAACAGGTATATGAATAAAAGTTCAACATCACTAATCATCAGGTAAACACAAATCAAAACCACAATGGGATATCATCTCACTCCAGTTAAAATGGCTATTACCAAAAAAGACAAAAAATAGCCAATGTTGGTGAGGATGTAGAGAAAGGAGGATGCTCATACACTGTTGGTGGGAATGTAATGTAGTGCAGTCATTATCGAAAACGGTATGGAGGTTCCTCAAAACTTTAAAATAGCATATGATCCAGCAATTGCACTGCTGTGTATATATATTCAAAAGAAAGGTAATCAGTATATCAAAAAGGAATCTGCACTCCCATGTTTATTGCAGCACTGTTCACAATAGCCAAGATATGGAGTCAATCTAAGTGTCTATCAACAAATGAATGGATAAAATGTGGTATATATACATAATGGAATATTACTCAGCCATAAAAAAGAATGAAATCCTGTCATTTGAAGCAACATGGATATAACTGGAAGTCACTGTGTTTAAGTAAAATTAGCCAGGCACAGAAAGACAAATATTGCATGTTCTCACTCTTATGTGGGAGCTACAAAAGTGGATTTCACAGAGGTAGAGAGTAGAATGGTTATTATCACAGGCTAAAAAGGGAAGGTGTGAGTGAAGAATGAAGAGAAGTTGGTTCATGGGTACAAAAATACAGTTAGATAGAAGGAATAAGTTCTAGTATTCGATACTACAGCAGGAAAATTATAATTAACAATGATTTACTGAATATTTCAAAATAGCTAGAAGAGAAGAATTGTAATGTTCCCAACACAAAGAAAAGATACATGTTTGAGATGATGGATATGCCAATTACCCTGATTTGATCATTCAATATCGTAGACATGTATCAAAATATCATATGTACCCCCACAATATATAAAACTATATCAATAAAAATATAAAATTAAAAAAGATTTATGTATATCATACAGCAATAAAAAGCAACCTATCCTAGACAATGATCAACTTAATTATTCTTTTTTCTTTTAATATATTATGTGTGAGCTCTAGAAACCCTAAATTCCATAAGTAGATCAATAGGAAACTGGGGAATTCAGCTTCAAAAACTGTGATGTATTAATCTCAGGTGTAGAAGCAGAGAATGGAGCTTTTTATTTCTGCAACATCCAGTGTTTCTTTATTATGTGAATGAATTTTAAGAAGAGTAATTGGAACATTATGTCAGTAATGTTTGCTTTTCATAATAGAAATAGAAAACTTCAGATATGTTAATCACATACAAATGTAAATCAGTGAGTATTTAGTACCAAAACACAGGAAAAGGTTTTTAATGTTCAAAAGTTTTATGGTTATATCTTTGCTATACATCAGGTATAGGTTTTATTCAAACAATTTCAAAGTTCTAAGGAGACAACTGCCAAGCCCAATGGATTATATATTCACGCTAGGGGTAAGGGGAGAGTGGTCAGGCAAAACTAGAACCCTTAGAGAGCTGGTCTAGTCTTGCCCAAAGGGAAAGAGTGCCCAAGAGCAGTTCAAATAATAGGGTGCATGGGTGCATGGCAATGAAACCTGTCACATTAATAATGTCCATTCTAATTCCAGAGGGATCTAGAAACATACTTTGCAAAGGAACAGGGTCACACAATGGCACAAAATACAAAGTGCTTGTTTTATTATTTCTGTTCAGTTTTCTCTAGGTAAGTGGAAAGGAGATACAAATGAACAAAAATATGTAACAGGTTGTTTTTGAAATACAGAACAAAGGACCAGGAGAAAAACTTCATTCTTTACCTTTGAGAATTGCTTAGATGTAGTATTTACGCAGGCTGCATTCTGGATTGGCAATAAACCAATTAATAGTTGTGAAAACTATGTATTTCTATGATCATTAGTTCATCTTACAGGAGAAATTGCTCTGAAGAGGGGTTCAATTATCCAATTTTGTATCAAGCCTGCATTACAAATGACTAGTCAATTCAGTCAATGAATTATCTCAGATGAAAAAAATTCAGTGATATAAGTTATTCTTATCATGTTGGCAACCACAAAATTAAGCCAAACAGAAAATGAAATGGGTTGGTTTGTCAGATATTCATTTCTTGGTAAATAAATTCATTGGTCATGCCTGCACCCATGGTCTCTCCTTAGGAAGGTGTGGGCTGGAATGGGCCTGATGGGCTACATGGTCCTGCTGCTCCTTGTTCTTTTATTTATTTTGTTTCTTTTCCTCATTCTTCTCTTTGAGATTGGTCTTTGGGAACCGGGCTTCAATCTTTAGGCTTCAGGATGAATACTGAATGAGAGGCCACAGTCCTGTGGTCATTTCCCAATGGAGAACGGCCCATTCCTTTCTTTGACATTTATGGACCACAGCTATTAAACAATAATTTTCTCTCTGAGCTATACCCAGTAAAATGTGCAAGTAGAGAGCTCTGCAAACTTCCATGCTGAGCTCAAGTTGCTCATTTGTATTCTAACTAAGGCAAATCTAATATACAGTTTGTACAAAATCCTCAGGCTGGAAATGTATATCATGGCCTAGCAGGTGAATTCCAAAGGCCTTTGCCAAACATCCGATGTCTCCTCATGGTTACTACCTTGCAAGAAGATCAAGAAAGAAAAGACATAAATGATGCTATTACAACAGGAATTTCTATGTTTCATTGATGACTGCCATATTGCTCAGTTTTGGGGCTATGAGATTGTTGAGGGTTAATAACTGCAGTGACTTTTAAAATTTATTCTTTCTTTGGTCAGGACAGGTCATCATCTGTCTTTGCTGGTGTCCCTTTTATGTCTTGCTAACGATTTGCTGAACATGTGCCTGATATACTACAGTTTTCATGAAATAGGCAGCGGACAACTATTGAGATATGCTTGGTGTTGATAGCATACAAGGGGCTGTATATGACTATTCTGTACACTGGCAGAAGTAAGCATTGCAAACACAAAATTCTGTAAGCATTACCTGGTTTGGCCTTTATGAGCACCAAATGTAAACTCTAATAATAGAAGCAGGGGAGAGTCCTGAATTCAGGAGATAACATGAATGTCAAAATGATTTACTGAAAATAACTGAAGCCGTACTTATTAATGAGAATATTTTCTACACCATTGTGTACACATGTAAGGAAATCCAATGGGTTTCGTTATCAACCTCTATTTCCTCCTTTCTAAGGAAGTGGTGAAAACCTTTAATCCATGTGGCCAAGGATATAGATTTGTTCCACTTGGGACCCTCTTCTGTGTGAGCTGCATTACTCTTTTTCTATGAGGTATAATTTGAGGAAATAAGTTTGCTTCTTATGTCAAGGCACCAATATTTGCTTTTGTTCTTCCTTCAAATTCAGTTTTAAAGTAGTAAGTCTTAATTCCTCAGAAGTGCTTTACTTCTGTATTTTTCAAGTTCTTGGTTGAAGCTGTGCAGTGCTGTAGCTCTCTGCCTTTCTTACCTGAGTATTTTGAGATTTTTCTGCCAATTACCAGCTCCCTGTGGGATCACCTTTTTTCCATAGAACATTTTTAAAGTATTACCATCTTTGTGGAATATGTGCTACAAAACGTCAGCTATAGTGATGGAAAGCAGCATTTCTTTTGGGCAGAAAGATTTTATTTTACCATTTAGAACACCTTAAAATAGATCTTCCATTACACAAAATGGATATTTTAACACTTTATAGGCAATTTGATTAAACTTGCCCCTAGCAGCTCTGTGGTATGATTCATCTTTCTATAGTAAATAATTTGGAAGTTTTACCACTATTTAGTTTCCAAAAACCCACGGACCAGAAGCTTTAATATCCATAGATTCCAATTAAACTCAGTAATACCAGGGTTATATAATCAGTTATTGAATTGGTCCAGGTAGACTAACTTTTATAACAAACAACCCTAAAATATCTGTGGTATTGGGCAAACAAAGCTTATTTTTACTGACAATTCAATGTGGGTAGGCATGAGGGGTGATGTAGGAGTGGGGAGGATGAATTGTGATCCACATAGTCATTCAGGGATCCAGGCCTTCCATATTGTGGCTCCCTTCTCCTCTAAGCCTTTGTTATCCTCTGTATTCAGATGGAGGCTTAATGGAAGAGGCCTAAAAATGACTATTTCAGCTCACAATCAATTATTCAGAACTGACTGCTATGTGCCTAAGAAGAAAAGGAGAACATGAATATTCCTTATAACTAGCAATGTCTCATAGATATGAGATGATTTAACATCACTGCCCCAAGGACAAAAATAGAACAATTTTTGGTCTATTATACATTTACATTTTTTCTTATTTTTAACATTAAACTTTCATTTTATATTTACATGTGAAAGTGATGTTATAATGACACCACTCTGTGGCTAATACTTGAAAATGATTCTATTGTGTCTTGCTCAGTAGGACTTTATGTCATTTTCTTAATAAGAGTAATGAATTCACACTTAGTCATCCATATTTCCTTGCTCAGTTTTTGTGATCAATGGCAGGAATTTGTAAGATGCTTGAATGGGGTTTCAGGTTCCAAGTGAAACAATAGAGGAAATTGAACTTACCTGACCATGAATGGCAACCTCTAGTTGAAGGGATGAAATTAACAGCCATATTTAAAGAAATAAGAATATAAAAATGACCTATGAGAACGTAATTTCATAGAAACCAGGGAATATATTTTTATTTTAGCTACAGAGTTTAATGTTTTATTGTTTAATAATTTAAGTGATTGACAAAGTTTGAGGATGTTTGATCATATTTGGGCAATGCATTGTATTGCTGGTTAAGAAAAATGAATATGTGTTTCTGAGTAGTTTGCTTAACATTTGGCAAGAGATTTAAAGACAGGATAATTCAAAAGAAATTTTTTCCTCAGCAACAGGAAACTTCATAGGTTTATTTAGAAACAAGGAAACTGCAAATTGCCTGATTTGAATACAGACCCTTACTTCAATAATCAGAAAGCAAGTACTTCATGTCTGCATATCAGCACTGTTAGATTTGGTCTTCCAGAGCACAGCCAAGATGAATGATCTGGGAGAGCTTCAGAATTGTGCTTAAAACTAGGTTTATAACTGGGGCTTTGACATGTTTTGATATACAGAAATGAGGCACAAGGTTTGAGTCCATTGTCTATCCCAAAACCATTATTGATAATGTACTGTCTACCAACCATCCAAAAGTATGTGTGTCTGTATATGAAAGGAAAGGAGTGTTACCTCTGCAAACCATGTAGGAACCACAGAGGAAAATACATTAATAGCATGAAACCCAAATAATAAAAAGGGTTTTTTTTGGTAGTGCACAGGGATTATTTCACTTAAAAATTGTAAAATTAGTTTGCCTTCCAACATTTCATGTAAGTCATTTAGAATAATTCAAGTGTAAAGCAGGGACTTCAATTTTTTTAAGTTACCATATATCAAGCACTTTCTGTGTGTCAGGCTCTGAGATCAGCAGCTATTATGAGTGATCTCATTTATTACTCACCATCTTATAAGATAGATGCTACTATTATCCCTTCTCCTCCTTTATCTATTGTTACCATTAAACTTGTTCATTCATTAAATGTTTAATGGTCATCTAACATACACCAAATACTATGAAATGCACCGAGGAAACACTGAGGTGAGCAGAGAATATCTGCAACTAATATAATGTCATTTTACTACATTATGTCATTCATTCTGAATAATCCATTATCAAGAGTTTTCTGTTCTTCCAGATCAAGGGCTTTCCTTTCTCAGGCTCTTACACAAATGCTTCCTCCTCTGGAACGCTCTTTTCTGTACTCTTCTCCAGGCCTCCGTACCTACGATCTTAACCTAAATATCACTTCTTCAAATAGATTTTCCTTGATCCACCAGTCTAACTTAAATTCCTTAAGTTAACCTTTTTCATAGTCCTTCTTCATTCTCCTTTATCCCACTGAACACAATTTATAACTGTACATTCATGAGTGTTTTTTTAATGCCTGTATTCTAAATTTAACTGTAATCTCCTTGAGGGCAAGAGCCATGCCATTTAGGTTTTTTATGTGCAAAGTTTAAGGGTTTGTATTTTGTTCTAAGTGCAAATAGAAGCCATGTATCTGGCTTTTTAACAGTTCAGTGAAATGTCCCAATTTACATTTTAAAAAGACCTTTTAAGCCCCAAGACCTCTCATCACGCACTTTACTGGATAAAACTGTGTGGATTCATGTGGGAAAGTCCCAGCTAAACTAAGGGAAACACAGGAGTGGAGCACGGAGGACTTTTAGGGCAGTGAAACTACTCAGTATAGTACTACTATATAATGGTAGATTCATGACATTAAAATATGAATTTACCTGACCATGAATGACATCCTGTAGAATGTACAACACCAAGAATGAACGCTAATATGAACTACAGAATTGAATGTACAGTATTAAAAGTGCAATCTCATGTAAAGTATGGACCTGGGTGTCTTGTAGGTTCATCAATTGTAACAAATGTGTTGTGGGATGTTGATAGTGAGGAAGGCTATGCATATGTGGAGATAGGAGGCATATGAGATATCTCCATACCTTCTGCTCAATTTTGCAGTGAACCTAAAACTGCTCTAAAAACAATAAAATCTATTAAAAAAAAAAAAGAGACCTCTGACAGCTGTGATACTAGATGCCTTGGAGTTTTTTTCAATTTAGCTTTCTTGTAAATCAATATTTTGGTTTTGACTTTTAATATTAATGACCATGAAGTGTCCATTTTTATACACATGCACGTATTTGCATATCATAATATATATAGTTACACAGGACAGATAATCTTCAATTTACATGTGCGATTTGAAAATATGTTCTCCTTTTGTCCTAAATTAAACACTAGTATATTATCAGTCAAAACAAGGTTGCAATAACAGATGTCAGGAATTCTACATATGTTCTACATAAAGTGTTAACTGCTAATAAGAGCAAGTCAGGAAAAGAGTATTAAATGCAATATATCTTGGGCTGGCATAATTACGGAAGAAAAAAATATCAAAGCCATAAAAATACTTTGATGTTGTATGAAACTCAGGTGCTAGCAAATATAATATTGATGGATTATATGGCTTTTCAAAGTTTTTCATTCACAGTTAAATCCAAACCGAAACATCAGTGCATTAAGGTCAGAAAAATCTGGAAGCTTACATTTATTTATTTTTTTTTTTTGCAATGAGCAGAGTATTTTAAGGTATCCTCTAAGTGAGCAGTTCTTTTGTCATTCTGATCCCTGCTCCTTGAACTGATTTCCTGTTTGGAGTCTGAACCAAGGATTATTTAAATTTGATTTGAAAAATGTCACTAATGAAACATCAGAAAAGGGGGAAAAAGGAAATGCTGACGCGTGTGTTGAATAATATTTATGGCTTATATTTATGTATATGACTCATATACTTAAAAGTAAATTCAACCCAAGTGAAAAAGAAAATTGCTACTTTATGTGTGACTAAAAATTTACATAATATTTGCAGATACTTATAAAACTCTAGACTATTCTTCAAGTTTGTCATCGAGAAAGAAAGTCTACTTAATACAAAATGACAAACCATTTAGTATTAAAATTGTGATAGCTGGGACACGGAATAAGAAAGCCATGCTTAAATCAAGCTTCAGTTATGTCATGTCCTGTTACCAATTTCACATTACAGATTGAACTGAAATTGTATAAATTATGCTCTTGCATATGCTAAACTTGGGAACTACTATTTCATATTTATATTGCATTTCTCACTGCATTCAGAACCCTTTCTAATAATAACTAATTGATTTTTACCACAGCAAAGTATTAAATCCATTATTTAGATGAACAGATACACACAGACAAGTACTACGTTTTCCAATATTTTCAGTGCAGTCTGAGTCAGTGACTGGAAATGGCTTCTGATTGGAAAAAAGGCTTCGGCTTTCTTGTTCCCTTTGGCATAGTAGTATAAGTGGGGACAAGCTACCGTCTTGCAATATAGAAACACATTAACGGTGTCAAGAATAAGGGGGAAAAGTACAAATATCTTACTTTTCATTGGTACTATAAAAATACGGAGAATTATTTCTAACTGTATTTATAGAAGACACAGGTAAACTGGAATATTAATAAACAAAATAAAACTAAACTAAACTAAAAAAAAAAAAAACTTTGGGCCAGGCACGGTGGCTCACGCCTGTAATCCCAGCACTTTGGGAGGCCGAGGCAGGCGGATCATGACGTCAGGAAATCGAGACCCTCCTGGCTAACACGGTGAAACCCCGTCTCTACTAAAAATACAAAAAAATTAGCCGGGCATGGTGGCGGGCGCCTGTAGTCCCAGCTACTCGGGAGGCTGAGGCAGGAGAATGGTGTGAACCCAGGAGGCGGAGCTTGCAGTGAGCCGAGATGGCGCCACTGCACTCTAGCCTGGGCAACAGAGCGAGACTCTGTCTCAAAAAAAAAAAAAAAAAAAAAAAACCTTTGGCCCTTTGGCTGGGCACGGTGGCTCCTGCCTGTAATCCCAGCACTTTGGGAAGCCGAGGCGGGTGGATCACCTAAGACCAGGAGTTCGAAACCAGTCTGGCCAACATGGCAAAACCCCGTCTCTACTAAAAATACAAAAATTAGCTGGGTGCGGGTGTGGGCACCTATAATCCCAGCAACTTGGGAGGCTGAGGCAGGAGAATCACTTGAACCCAGGAGGTGGAGGTTGCAGCGAGCCAAGATCACATCATTGCACTCCAGCCTGGGCGACAGCAAGACTCTGTCTCAAAAAAAAATAAAAAAATAAAAAAAAATAAAAATAACCTCTAAAAAATTGACATATCACCTCATTCCATGGAGCTACGACTCTAAATATCTAGGCAGGGGGATAGAGATGCTGTCAAAGTTTTGACAATAGATATTTTGTATTAAATGCATTTACTAATTAGTTTCACCTTGTACTTTTTGAAGGAAGAGTAAAAAAAAAAAAAACCCACAAAACAATTGACAGATTATTTAATGGAACATAGGACTAATATTTCTTATTATCACTTATGGGTGCTCATTTAATCATGTTCTTTCCTCTTTGTTCTCTACCCTTCCTGATTTTTAAATATACCTCAATAAAAGATATGAGGTAGGAGAGAAGGGAAAGTGCTGAAGAGGAAGAAAGTGGGTAGAATGATAAGAAATACAGTAGAAGAGGCAGAACTGTCTATAAGTTAAAGTTTAGCTAAAACTTATGTTTAAAAAAATCACAATAGATGCACTAGACAGCCTCCAAATGGCCCCAATGATCCCTACCTGCTAGTATTCACGCCCTTGTATAGTTCATTTGCACACTGCATATAGCTGACCTGTAAACCAAAAGGATACCGTGGAAATGATAGTATCTGTAACTTTCACCTTGCTTTCTCTCAGATCATTCACTCTGGGAAAGCCAATCACCATGTCATAAAGACACTCAAGCAGCCCTATGGAAAGGTCCATGAGGTAAGAAACTCTTGTGAATAATAGGGAACAGCAGGGAATGGAGGTCTCCAGCCAACAGCCATGATGATGAGTGAGCCACCTTGGAAGCGGATCTTGCAACACCAGTCCAGCCCTCACATCACAGCAGTCCTGGCAAACATCTTCCCTACAACCTCATGAGAGGCCCCAAGCTAGAATCACTGTGGAATTTGTAGCAAAGCCATTCCTGAATTTCTGAACTAAATTGTCAGAAAAAAAAGGTTTATTTTTGTTGTAAACTGTTTGTGTTATATAACAATCACGAATTCTTAAATAGGAACACACAAGTAACTGACAGCTGACTTGTTGGATAAAGTCAATAGTACACTTTGACTTTATATAAGCAGTATAAGTGATACTGCTTATAGAGGAAGAGCTTTGAGTCTTAATGCAGAAAAGACATGAGTTCTAAAGCAGGTTATATGAATTTCTACCTGTGTGACCTCAGTTAATTTTCTTAATTTATTGGACTGTAGCTTCTTCATAGATAAAATGTGAATAGGAACTTAATCTACACTGAAAGATGTTTGTGCAAATGAAGTAGAATAATATATTTAAATTTCTTAGAGAAATGGCTGATATATTAAAAGTGTTCAATTAATATCAGCCATAACATCATTATCATCATTATTATTATTCAAGGCTCAGTGGAATCCTGCCAAGAGTTAGAGCATTAGACCCAAAGATCTTTTAACTTTTATCAATGAGAGAATCACATGATATTATACAATGTTTATATTTGTTTGAAAAATGTTTTATTTATGACACAATTTTACTTCATAAAATTTATGATGGGGCCATCAAGGTGACTCACACTTGTAATCCCAGCACTTTGGGAGGCTGAGTGGAGAGAATTGCGTGAGCCCCCAGGAGTTTGAGACTAGTCTGGGCAACAGAAAGATCCTGTCTCTACAAAAAAATAAAAAATTAGCCAAGCATGGTGTTGCATGCACCTGTAGTCCTAGCTACTTGGGAGGCTGAGGCAGAAAAATCACTTGAACTCAGGAGTTTGAAGCTGCAGTGAGCCATAATCATGCCACTGAAATCCAGCCTGGGCCACGGAGCAACACCCTGTCTCAAAATAAAATAAAATAAAATAAAATAAAATAAAATAAAATAAAATAAAATAAAATAAATTCGTAATGGTTCCTTATTAGAAGATAAGGGAACTAGAAAATATAATAGTAAAGTATCATTAAGAAGGAAAGGACAAACTTAGGACAAACTATGGAGAAATAAAATGTCAACTACACTTCATATTTGGTATAACACATATTTGGTACAGATGTTTATTGCAATCCTCTGATTAAATGTATAAGCCCATTACAATCCAGAGACAGTCAGCTATACCAGCAGTTCTCAAACATTTTGTTCTCATGATCCCTTTGCACTCTTGTAAATTATTAAAGACTCTACTCCAAAGAGCTTTTGTTTATGCAGATTATAGCTATTGATATTTATAGTATTAGACATTAAAACTAAAAAACTAAAAGTATTTATGAATGCATTAAAACAGTTATTATTCTATTGTGCTAATATAAATAATATATTTTATGAAAATTTAAAAAGCTATTTTTCAAAACATATTTGAAAAGAGTGACACTGTTTTCTGAATCTCTTTAATGTCTGGGTTAATAGGAGTCACCTGTATTCTCACATCTATTTTTTTCATTCAGTCTGTTGCAATATCACATGTCATATAGCCCCTGGAAAAGTCCACTGTCTACTCATGACAGAATGACAGTGAAAAGGGCAAACAACTTTTTATTTGTATTATTATTAGTATTACTGGCTAGTTACCTGCACTATTCTGGGAGTTGAGTAGTAAAAAGCCTCAATGGCTCTTCCTCATTAGTCTTATTTTTGCCCTTAAGGCACTGAGGGTACTCCTGGAGCCTGAAAATTTTCCAAATGAGTATTGCATATGCTTCTATAGAAAATAAAATATAAATTACTTCATCAATAAGTGAATCCTAACTATAAACATCCATTGAAAAATAATGGTAATAATAGCTAACCTTATTGGATACCGTGCTTCAGGTATCACACTAAGGCCTTTGAACATTTCATCTCATCTTATCTTTACAACAGATGAAGAAACTTAGGCTTAGAAGTAACTTATTGGAGCTTACGCAGATAGTAGATGCTAGTGCCTTGCCCCAGACTTAGGTCTGGCTGACTTCGATACTCCTTAAGCTACTGACTATTGTGGTTTATACTCTAAGGAATAAAAAAAGAGGCACATAGTTTCGGGTCTTGAGCTGTTAATGATCGACTAAAAAGTTATGAAAAACACCCACAAAATAATAGAAAACTGATTTAAGTGATGTGGTTAGGTAGAATTTATGGTTTAAACAAGTGTTTAAAGGTTTCTGGGAATAGTTCAGTAGGTAGTAAGCTGGAGCCCTGGTGGATATTTTCAAGGAGAAGGACCAGCCTTCAGCTGTATTTTTATTTATTTACTTTTTAATTTATTATTTTTTTTGAGACAGAGTCTCGCTCTGTCACCCAGGCTGGAGTGCAGTGGCATGATCTCGGCTCACTGCAACTTCCACCTCCCAAGTTCAAGCAATTCTCCTGCCTCAGCCTCCCAAGTAGCTGGGACTACAGGTGCCCGCCACCACGCCTGGCTAATTTTTTGTATTTTTAGTAGAGACGGGGTTTTACCATGTTAGCCAGGATGGTCTCGATCTCTTGACCTCGTGATCCGCCCGCCTCGGCCTCCCAGCATGCTGGGATTACAGGCGTGAGCCACTGCGCCCAGCCTCAGCTGTATTTTCATGGCCTAGAATAATTAAAAATAATGACGGAAAGATAAGCAAAAACAAAGGAACAGAATGTGAAAATTCAGTGAAGTAGAAAAAAGCACAGCACAAGGGATACACTGAGGAAACGCACTTCACGGAAATGAAGGGTTCATGTGGTGAGTTAAGGAGGATTAATTCAAATAGGGTGAACCACACAGTCCTTTGCTATTGGTGGGGGAGATATGGGAGCACCCCACTTCCACATCAGCAGAGGCAGCCCTGCCACTGTGGAGGTAGCTCACCCAGGTAGGGGTGCAGGAGCCATGATGTGATAAAGCTACATGACCCTAACTTTTAATTAGCAACACGCTGGCATCTTTTTCTCAGTCCACAAACTTAATTTCTGTCAGGAACACAGTCACTGCCTACAGTCAATTAAACATGGCCCAGATTCTTTCATGTTCTAAGGAGTAATATTTCTCCATTGTGAATACCTGCCTTAAATAGATTAAGTATAACTTAACATTGATGGTGAAAATACAACAATTTGTCTTCGTTTGCAAGTGGTGTGGATGGTGTGGAAGGGATTTCAGACTATGGACTTGCAATATAACACTGGATCTGGTCACATCACTGACTCCAGTTAGTCGTGAACTCTTTAGGATGATACAGTTCATACAAACTATACACTCCACAAATGAAGTGCCACTGGATAGACATCTCAGTACTTTATAGATGATCGGTTTCAAGATTACAGTTGATTAACACAGAGAATACAATGGTGGATGGAATGCTTCATCTCTACTGTCAAGTGTGCTTCCATGTGGAGGGCCACCCAGGAGCCTAGCATTATTTCCTCGGGAGAAAAGTGACTAATGGGACAGAGGATCTGGAAAGAGATTATGTGTATGTGCAATGAAAGCCCTTCCTTGTGTGTCTTGGAACTACCCACAGGAAACTGGTTCTGCTGTTGGTGAGTCTATTTAATTCTGGTACTCAGTATAAGGAAGCCCACTTACCTACAGATGTGAGCCATATTTTCCAGTGTCAGCTTTATCTGTAATGAAGGTGATATTTTGGTTTCCCAGTTGCCTTACTGTTTTTTTTTTCCTATTACTAAATTTTTTCAGATTGTGGGCACAGAAAATCGATGTTATTTATTGAGGTCTCTAAAGGCTTCAAAAATATATTGATGGTTTTTTTAAAAGAAGGAAACAGCGTGTGAATAAAGTAACAACAATTTCCAGAATAATCATGTACATTTGGCTCTAGGATACTTGACTTAAACAGATTGTTTGGCATAATGTCAGAAATATGATTTTCAATCTAAAAAGTAAGTAATTGCCTGAGATTTTGGAAATGGAACTATGAAAACAATTGGTAAAGCAATTCCTAAATCCTTTTAATTACTTCAAGTTTCTTGTGAAATTCACAGTTTTATTTGAAATCTCTCAGCTCAAGTACATTACTAAAAAAATATAATTATGTAGGTTTTCCTACAGTTTTCCAAGAACCATAGAAATGTTGAAAGATATGTAAGAAACATCTTTAGGTCACATGGAAGGTAACTGTGTTTTTCTTTTTTAGGAAAGGCTGGTTAATGAAATTGGTATATTGTTTTCCTGATAAGTTATAGATTTTTTTTTTATATAACTATTCCAAGTATTGGTGTTTAGAGGTTTCAAGTTCTTTTAAACTGTTGGCAGCATTTCTGAGGGAGGTCAATTAAAAAGTATCCAGGAAGGGATATTATTTTGCTGATCATATTCACTCTTGGAGAAGAAACACCACCAAACTTCTCTACTCGAAAGAATCTAGAATCAATACCTATGTATTAGGTTAAAAATTACAATTACAACAAATTCACTTGCCAAAGTATAATCTTATAAAGACTTGCTCAGTTATTATCAGGCCAGATTTTATCAGGTGAGTTGTTTCATTAATATAAACAGAGTCCTCAGATTATGAGAATACAATTTAATATATTAGTGCATTGGTAGGAAATATTAACAGTGATAGCTGAACTCTTTTTTGTTTTCCCAAGAAATATTTAACTCTGAATTATGAGTTTTGCAAACATCAAAATGGTACTAGAATGGGAAAATTGGACTAGAGGTTCTTTTTTCTCTTTATGCCTCTAGATAATGACAACATGACTCCCAATACAATTTTAGTCCTGGCTTTTTCTTATTAAAAAACAAACTCACTTATTTCTCTACCAAAATGTGAAGAATTGTCTGTTTCTTTCTATGAACTAAACTCATAGTAATGTCATGTAAAAATAAGGGAGTGAAAAATAAATAATTATTTCTTAATAAATTATAGACATGCTGGTAATAATAACTGACATGAGCTTTAGGAATAATGAGTCATTATTTCTTCTAAAACTTATTTCAAATTATAAGATATAAACATATATGGCAACTTTTAAACAAACTTTTTATTTTTGATGGATGTAGGCAATAAATTGAAATCTTGTAGTACTTTGTTTTATAGGATTTATCCTTGCTATCAATTAATGAGCTGAAAATCCATAATTCCATAGCATTTAGAGTCTGGTTGTTTTAAAAATTAATATAAAGTATTAGTAATCTGGAAGAATTTTCCAATAAGAAAAGCAAACTGATTATGTCTTCAGGTTTTATAGAAAATTGAGTAAATTTTATCTGATTTTAAATTACCAATACACTGAATTTATTCTGCTATACAAATAAATATGCTGTTTGCTGTTAATGATTTGGAGAAAAAGTAACTTTTGTATTTTAATTTATAACACTTAGAGGACCTAAGAAGATGCTGATAGAGCTAGAAAGTGACAAAAAGTTTGTAACATAAATGAATAAACTCTTAAATTATGTGATTGATGTGTATATTAATATATATAATAATTAAATGATTTTTGAATTTTATCCGGAATCTAGCAATTCAAGCAAATTTTAATAATGAATATGAATATACATTTTTCTTAGAATTTGGGAAAAAATCATATATTCTTATTCTTTATAAAGGTCATTTATTTTCCACATTACTAAGATTAAAAACAAATTTTCGCCTTCATTTTCCGCACATAAGGTGTTTTCATTATCTAGCTTCAATTATTAACATGCAAACACAAAAGGAAGTGGGCTTAAAGATTTCCCTCCACATTAACTAGCTGCAAAGTTTAGAGAAGGCCAAATTTGGCCCATGGCCTGTGTTTGTGTATCCTCTGAGCTGGAAGATATATCTTTAAAGAGTGGTGTGGTAGGCTGAATAATGTCCCCTCCTCAAAGATATCCATGTCCTAAACCTCAGAACCTGTGTATCTATTGCCTCACATGGCAAAAGAGACTGTGCAGATATGATTAAACTAAAGATGCTGGGATGAGGGAAGTATTCTGGATTACCTGGTTGGGTTGAATCTGGTGACATGAATTCTTAAAAGTGGAGAACCTGAGAACCTGTCCTGGCTATGGTCAGAGGGAGATGGGAGAATGGAGGCAGGGATGAGGAAATGTAACCTTGCTGGGTTTGACAATAGTGGGGACACCATAAGCCAGGGAACATGGGCAGCCTCAAGAATCCGGGAAAGGCGAGGAAATAGATTTTCTCCCAGATCCCCTAGAAAGGAATGCTGTCCTGATGACAACTTGATTTTAGTCCAATGAAACCCATGTCACACCTCTAAACTACAGACCTGTAAGATAAAAAAATTATGTTTTTAAGCTAATTAATTTGTGATTATTTGTTACAGCAGCAGTAAAAAACTAATACAGGTTGTAAAAAATTTAAAAAAAGAATATGTGGTAGAAACTACATGTAGCCTGCAAAATCTAAAATATTTATTATCTACACTTTTACAAATCCTAGTTCAGAGGTTGAAGCTTCTTAGCCTGGAGTTTTCAGACACAGAATCACAATGCACACGTCTTCTGGCATATTTAGCAGGTATCTCTTGAAATAATCCAAACATAACTTAAAACCAGCCCAATATGGTAGCATGTGATTATTAGATCCATGCGGTGTGCTGGGACAACATTTTACAGTTATCTACCTACATATATGTATGTATGTGTGTGTGTGTGTGTGTGTGTGTGTGTACATATATATATATTTGCCGATAGATTGGAATTTATTGCAGAATAATACTGGAATACTTGATGCTTTCAATATAGTGATTGTTCTAGCTCTATTCTACTAGGCATTGTTGGTAAAGAATCATATGATGACAATGAAGTAAAACTCTAGTAATAAATCCAGTATGAATATCATATCTTTTAACTAGGTTGAAATGGGACTGATGAGCCCATTGCTTGGATGTGGTTTTAGGAACAAATCATGCTAGAGAAAATGTGTAACAGTTATCCAACCTGACCATTTCATGACTTCCAGCAGAATACTTCCATCATCAAGAATTGAAACACATATGAGAGCTCACCATAAAAATACAGGCTAGAGGTTCTGGTTCTGGATAAGACACAGTAGGCACGTCCACCCTGTCTTTGAATGCAGCTATACAACTTAGACAGAATACATGAAACAACTCTTTGAGAACTCTCAAAAGTAAACAGTGGCAGTCCCAGATGGTTTCACGGGCAAATTCTCTCAAATATTTTAGAAAAAATAACACAAATTTACCCAAACTATTCCAGAAAGTACAATAGGAAGGAACACTTTCATTCTTATTTTATGAGGCCCAAATTAACATTATAACAAAGTCATAGTTCAAGAAAACCACAGACCAGTATCCCTCATTAATATAGATGTGAAAATCTTTTGTATAATATTATCAAATAAATCAGTAATAAAGAAAAAGAATATTCTACTGCAATCAAGTGAGGGTTAAGCTGGGAATGTAAGACTAGTTCAATATTTGAGAATCTATTAATGTTACCACAACATTAACAGTCTAATATATGAGATAACTGATGCAGTAGAAAATATTCAACTGTACTCAATTTCAATTTATGAGCAAAACTATCAGCAGGGGCCGGGCGCGATGGCTCACGCCTGTAATCCCAACACTTTGGGAGGCCGAGACGGGCGGATCACGAGGTCAGGAGATCGAGACCATCCTGGCTAGCACAGTGAAACACCGTCTCTACTAGAAATGCAAAAAAATTGGCCAGGCGTGGTGGCGGGCGCCTGTGGTCCCAGCCACTCGGGAGGCTGAGGCAGGAGAATGGCGTGAACCCGGGAGGCAGAGCTTGCAGTGAGCTGAGATCGCGCCACTGAACTCCAGCCTGGGTGACAGAGTGAGATTCTGTCTCAAAAAAAAAAAAAAAAAAACACAAAAAGCAACAAAAAACTATCAGCAGGAACTGAAGGAATAGAAGGAATAGAAAGTCACTACCTCAACTAATAAAAACATGCGTACAACACCTACAGCTAACAAGATACTTTATAGTGAAAAACTGTTTCCTTCCTAAGGCTTGAAATGAGACAAGAATGTTTGTGCTAACCCCTTCTATTCCACATTACACCAGAAGACATGGCTGGTGCAATAAATCAAGAAAATGAAATCAATAAGTTTTCTCCATTTTTGGATGTTATTGTCTTTATAAAAATATTAAGAGAGAGATATATAAAAATCAATAAAAAAGCCAACTTGTAGATCTAATAAGTGAGTTTGGTAATGTCATAGGATACGAGGCTGTGGTGGAAAGGCACTCCCATGATCCCACCTCCTGGAGTTTATGCCTTTGTGTTTTATCTGTGTCATATTTGGGGGTGCTGTCACTATGACTTGTGATTCATCAACATTGTAAATTATAGCACTACAGCACTATATGTTCACATTGTAGGAACTAGAAAAAAATAAATATAATAGCGGTATAATCTGTATGTTCACTGACATTCTGACACTTGGTTTAGAAGATAGTCTACACCCGTATCTACCACTTGCTAACTGAGTAATTTAGGATAAGCCTTCTGAGCTTCAGTTCTTTTAACCAGTAAAATAAAAATACTAATGCCTCAACTTGTCTACCTCAGAAAGTGACTTAAAGGTGAACTGAGTAAATTTACGTGAATTACATTAAATTGTAGAATATTATTCTTATTTTTTGATACAAAATGAAATATACAATTTTATGTCTTTGTGTGTGTGTGTGTGCACAAACCCTGGTGAAACTTAAGGATGCTTTTAACCAAATCTCTTGAATAACACATAGCTTATCTTACCTCTCATGGAATTTTCCATTTAATTTTCTATTATTATTATTTGAGTCAGGGTCTCACTCTGTCTCCCAGGATGAAGTGCAGTGCTGCAATCATGGCTCACTGCAGCCTCAACCTCCTGGGCTCAAATGATCTTCCTGCTTCAGCCTCCTGATTAGCTGTGATAACAGGTGCATGCCATCACACCAGGCTCTTTTTGTTTGTTTGTTTTTAGTAGAGATGGAGTCTCACTTTGTTGCACAGGCTGGTCGTGAAGTCCTGGCTTCAAGCAATCTTCCTACTTCAGCATCCTAAACTACTAAGATTACAGGTGAGAGCCACCACACCCAGCCTGATTTTCTATCATTATTGAACATGGTTTGGTTGCTTATTTCTATATATATATGTCCCAATGATCAGATATTCAGTCTCCCACATTTCCAAAATATCTATGGCTAAATGGCATGAAAAAAGCTGTAAGTAGAGATTTAGATGGTCAATATTTTTGCACTTCAAGGAGCTGCTCATCTGCATATATATCACTCAGGGGTAGTTTTAATGCAGCAAGGGTAGTCAGCCAGGTGGAACTACTGGAAAGTGATTATCTAATGTGAAAGGATTTTAAAATCATTTTCTGCTCATCCTAGGGAGGTGTGTTTGATGATACCATGGCAAATAAGCTGGATTTAAAGAGTAACTTTACTGAGCAGAAACTGAGAGTTAATGGAAAGAACTGAGAACTCAGAGACTAACATTAGGATTAAAGATTTATTTCTAATTGGCTTTTCACCACCATATAGGCTATCTCATTTCATTGCACTTTGCTTATTGTACTTTTTTTTTTACCCAAATTGAAGGTTTGTGGCAACTTTTCATGAAGCAAGTCTATTGGTACCATTTTCCCAACAGCATGTGCTTTCTTCATTTCTCTGTGTCACGTTTGGTAATTCTTGCAATATTTCAAACTTTTTCATTATGATTATATTTGTCACGGTGATCTGTGATCAGTGAGTTTTGATGTTACTATTGTAATTGTTTTGGGGCATCACGAATCTTGCTTAAGACAGCAAAATTAATCAAGAAATGTATATATTCTTACTGCTCCACCAAATAGCTGTTCTGTCTCTCTCCCTCTCTTTGTGTGTCTTTATTCTCTAAGACTTAACAATATTGAAGTCAGGCCAATTAATAACCTTACAATGGCTGCAAAGTATTCAAGTTAAAGGGAGAGTTGCATGTCCTTCAGTTTAAATCAGAAGCTAGAAATGATTAAGCTTAGTGAGGAAGGCATGTTGAAAGACAAGATAAGCTGAACTGCAGGCTTCTTGCACCACATAGTTAGCCAAGTTGTGAATGCAAAGGAAAAATTCTTGAAGGAAATTAAAAGTGCTACTCGAGTGAACACAGAAGTGATAAGAAAGCAAAACACCTTAAGTGCCAATATGGTAAAAGTTTGAGTTGTCTGGATAGAAGATTCCACCAGCTACATTTGCTGAAATCAAAGCCTAATCCAGAGCAAAACTCTAACTCTCTTCAATTCTATGAAGGTTAAAAGAGGTGAGGAAGTTGCAGAAAAGTGTGAAGCTAGCAGGGGTTTGTTAATGAGATTTAAGAAAAGAAGCCAACTTTATAACATACAAATTCAAGGTAAAGCACCAAGTGCCGATGTAAAGCTGTAGCAAGTTACTCAAGTGATCTAGCTAAAATAATTGATGAAAGTGGCTACACTAAACAACAGATTTATAAAGTAGATGAAACAGCCTTCTATTTGAAGAAGATGCCATGTAATACTTTCATAGCTAGAAAGGATAAGTCTATGCCTAGCTTCAAAGCTTAAAGACAGAATGACTCTCTTATTAAGGGCTAATCCAGCTGGTGACTTTAAGTTGAAGTCAATTTTCACTTACCATTCTGAAAATCCTAGGACCCTTAAAAATTACATGACATTTACTCTGCCTATACTCTAAAAATGAGACAACAAAGCCTGGATGACAGCACATCTTTTTACAACATGGGTTACTGAATATTTTAAGCCCACTGTTGAGAACTACTGCTTAGAAAAAAAAAAGATTCCTTTCAAAATGTTACTGCTCATTGACAATGCACTTGGTCACCCAAGAACTCTGTTGGAGATGTACAAGGAGATTAAAGTTGTTTTCATGCCTGCCAAGACAATATCCATTCTGTAGCCCATGGATCAAGGAATAATTTTGACTGTCACATTTTATTATTTAAGAAATACATTTCATAAGGCTATAGGTGCCATAGATAGGGATTCCTCTGATGGACCTGGGCAAAGTAAAATTGAAAATATTCTGGAAAGGATTCACCATTAAGAACATTCATGATTCATGGGAGGAGGTGAAAACAGTGACATTAATAGGAATTTGGATAAATTGAATCCAACCGTCATGGATGACTTTTAGGGGTTCAAGATTTCAGTGGAGGAGGTCACTGCAGATATGGTGGAAATATCAAGCAAGGTACAATTAGAAGCAGAGCCTGATGATGTGAGTGAATTGCTACAAACTCATGACAAAACTTGAGGATGAGTAGTTGCAAGCAAAGAAAGTAGTTTCTTTCAGAGATGGAATCTACTTCTGGTGAAGATGCTGTCAACATTATTTATATGACAACAAAGGATCTAGAATATTACATCAACTTAATCGACAAAGCAATGGCAGGGTTTGAAAGGATTGACTTCAGTTTCGAAAGAAGTTCCACTGTGGGTAAAATGCAATCAAACAGCATCACATGCTAGAGAGAAATCTGTTGTGAAAGAAAGAGTTAATCCATGTGGCAAACTTCGTCATTTTCTTGTTTTAAAAAATTGTCACTCCCATCCCAAACTTCAGCAACACCACTCTGATCAGTTAGCAGCCATCCACACTGAGGCAAGAACCCCCATTGGCAACCAGATTATGACTCTGAAAGCTCAGATGATGTTTAGCATTTTTTAGCAATAAAGTATGTTTAACATATGTACATTTTTTAGACATAATGCAATTTCACACTTAAGAGACTACAGTATAGTGTAAACTTTTTTTTTTTTTTAGCTGGAGTTGTATTCTGTAGCCCAGGTTGGAGTGCTGTGGTGCGATCTTGGCTTACTGCAACCTCTGCCTCCTGGGTTCAAGCGATTCTCCTGCCTCAGCCTCCCAAGTAGCTAGGATTACAGGCATGCACCACCATGCCCGGCTATTTCTTTGTATTTTTAGTAGAGACGGGGTCTCACCACGTTGGTCAGCCTGGAAACATAACTTTTATACATATTGGGAAACCAAAAAAATTGTGTGACTCATTTTATTGACATATTCATTTTACTGCAGTGGTCTGGAACTGAACTCATATTATCTCTGAGTTGTGCCTGTATGGTAAAATTCAGCAATGTGCCAGATCCAGTTCTATTCTAGGACTAAATAAATCTGCATAGTTTTTATTTTTCTGAACCATCATTAATATTGGTGATGAAATTAGGAAGAAACCTGTGGCCAACTCTTTGTGAAGCTTTGTATTTGAAGTTTATTAATGAGTCTTGGCATGTGTTTTAAGTACCTTATATATAACAAAGAACAGAAGCTTCTGTTTGAAATTTTGTTTTAGAGACTGAATTCCATTAAACGTATTCCACAGAGGGAGGAAAGGCTGTCTCATTCTTGAGCCTCTATATTCTGTTTTTTATTTGAGAGCTCAGTAAGGGCTACAACTTTAAATATTCTTATTTCTGAGTATGAACTGCCAAACATGGCTGCCTAAGACATGGCTGAAATAATTTCTACTTATGCTATTTATGTGAGTGGATGAGTTAATTGTTGATGAGTTTAATAAAGTAATTATAAAATTCATTAATTTATTTCATTTTAATCCTAATATATTACCAACCTTAATGCTATTTTCCTCATATTACACAAATTATTCTTGAAGTAAGGAAAAAAGAAGAGAAACTACTTTGGTATGTGTGTACATCCACATTGTTGGTTTAGTTGACTGTCTTAGAATATGGATGTTCCCTCGTTGGGCAAGATAAGATGACTTCACCTCATGTCTTACTACAGAGTGTGACTTTTTAAAACTCTTTGCTTACCTTTCTTTCAATCAATCTTATCCTTTTGTAGTTATCATCCCCAAATGCACCTTCTTGGAAGTTCTGTTACTAAAAACTTGAGACTGAGAAATTATGTTTTCATGACATATGAGGGGTACTATTACACAGCTTACATCAATTCTCAGAACACTACAAAACTTAACTTAGTGTCAAATGGTTCAGAATACATAGAAAAATAGGTAAGGCAGCTATGGTAAAATGTTCATAATTTTTCAAATGAGATATGGTTATTCACTTTACTGTTCTTTCAGTTTTTCTATATATTTGAAATATTCATAATAAAAGTGTGGTGAAAAATTCAGCTTTAGATCTAGCCAAGCCACCAGAGACCCACATACCCAGATCACATTGCTTTGAACTTTTTCAAAATTGATTTTGTATTTTATAAACTGTTGGCTGCATTTATTGTAGGATTATATAAAATGATCTCCTACATCACAAAGTGTTCCTTTCATAAGGACTCATGGGAGAGATTTCTTACAGGTTGAAGGATCAGGAAGCATCTCTTGTTTTTATGTTTTGGACATTGTGACTCTTGTATGTAAATTTGTCTCCTTCATGGCTTTTGTGGTTCAGAAGTTTAAAGTCAAATTTACAACCTATCCCCAGTACTTGGTGATGTCCTAAGGGCATGGAATTTATATCTTAACCTTTTTCTAGGTTTATCGGGAAATATCTCCCATTCCCCCATTTCTCTCATGTATTTATTTTTAAACTATTGGGATTTATGCATTTTTGTTAGACGTCTCACATTTTTAAAAATTGAAACAGACTAAAAATAATTTTTAAAGATTTGTATGTGTACGTGTGTGTCTGTATTAGAGAGAGACAGAGGGGAAAAGAGAAGACAATGTGTATGTGTGTGTGTGCAAATTGGTTTAAGTTATATGAACAATTTCTCTACTTCATTTTCATACATAAATGATCTAGGACATACGTCTCTATCATAAAGATCTTAAAATGTTCCTATACTATTTAGTTCCATTAACCCATACATGAAAGTTTTATAATCATCTAAAAGAGCACATACTGAAGATATTATACAAAAAAATTTAATAGGCTTTCCAGTAATGAGAACTGTTAGAGTATTTCTAATAAATAAATTAATTAAATAGCTATTGACATGAAGCCTGGTGGTCTACAATCTAATAAAGAAGAATCTGTGCCATTTCAGTGGCCTTATCATGAGACACAATACATCTATTTAGTAGTTTTCAGCTAAGTCCATGTATGTGGGCAGGAAGAGTGAATCAGATAAATACAGAGGAGAAAGTTTGATGTGACTTGGTCATCGATTGTTAGTGGGGAGTCAAAAACATCATAAGCTTGAAAAAATGGTGACATTGGAAGAACAGTAACATCACTGAATATTTAGATTTGCTATAAAAAAGTCACTTTCAGAAGGGGAAATGATGCATTTATCTTTCAATTCTCATTGGGTATAATGGAGCTTTAAAATAGGAGATTCATTCAAGGAACTGAACTTTTAGGTGGCAGAAGTAATTAGGGGAGATACATAAATATATAATTATAATCATAAGAATGATGAGTTCTTCAAGGATAACAGCAGGAAAGCAAAGGTTGAATCTCGGAACAACAGTTACAAACCTGAAAGAACATTTAAAATGAACAAACCTGAAGGAACGGAGAGACATAGTCATAAATTAAAAAAGAGAGGAGTGATTTTAAAATGAAGTTATGAAAGTCTCTATGTTATTGTACTAGTAATTTTTATTTTCCATTTTTCCTGATTTTAAAAAAGTGGAATAATACAGTATGCTCTATCAGAGCATTTTAAAAGAAAATGTTAAAAACTAATGGAAATGTAAAATTGAAGTTTGACTCAAATGAATAAAACAAAGAATAAAGATGATATGCTACTTGACCAAAGTTTTCCCAAAATTGGTTTCTAGAGGCAATTAAAGTCAAAGTATTTCTTCTGTTTTCAATGATGAATAGGTCAAAGTCAAAGAAATATTGATGACTTGTTTCAGACAATGTGATTAATTTATTTTAGAAATTAGCTTATGTTTAAAGGATCAACACTTCAATCTATTTATTTTATACTTAGGCTACAGAAATAAGAATAATATAGTAACTTATTGTGTTTCTTCAAAATTTTTTTCTAAGAATAAATTAATATAATTTGATAAATTTTTAATTGGGATACAACATGTCATTTATTTCATAATAGAGAGATAATGTGCCATTTTTCAATTAAGTTTTACACAAATGTGAACATAATACTAATCAGACATGGAGAAGTAGTGCTGAATGCTGCAAGCAAAGATAGTATTAGAAACAGCATTTGATTAGTAATAAGCAGATTTTATGTGTGGTATGTAGCTCCTAGCTGGACATTTTATTCGAGTTGGGTAACTACTCCAAACCTCTGTTTTCTCTGTTCTAAAACAGGGAGAGTACTATGAGATATGTTACGAAGAGTATCCATTCAATCATTTAACAAATATTCATACATGCCTACTATGTGCCAGGCACTGTTTTAGGCAATTAAGATAGAGTACTAAAGGAAACAGCCATTGCTTTCAGGGGTTGTCTATTTCTCTCTCTATTGGGAGAAATAGACAACAAATAACAAAATGAACATGTAAGTCAATAACAGGTTGATAAGTATGGGAACAAATAAAGCATAGTAAGGAATGGAGAATGAGGGGCTATTTTAGAAATGGAGTAAATGAAAACACACGTTTTAAATGCATAACAAAACTACAGACTATAGAAGCAAGTATATTGTATTTACTGACCATTATAGTCAAATTTGAAATACCTGACAACTTTTAATATTTTTAAAACAAATATTTAAACATGTCATGTGAAAATAGTATGTATATGATTAAATTTATAAAACTATTTAAAGTGTAGTTTAATATAAATAACTCTTTTTCTATTTTTATTTCATTTCCTCTCTCTAATGTCAAACAGTTATTCTGCCTATTGGGAATTTGACTTCTATTCATTTAGAATAAAACTAATCAAATATATCCCAGGTGTGTTATTCTCATTTTAAAATATTTAACCTTTTAAAGTGTTCATCTGACAATGATAGATTTGGGTTAGATTTTTTTCATAAAAGAAAGGCAAAGAAAATTCTGTAGGCAATGTCATTACCTTTATCTGAATTTGGAGTATTGAACAGTTCAGATGGAGGATGAAAGAGAATCATCTAGTTTGACAATCAAAATATACATTTTAAGTTGGCTGTATCCACAGATATTCAATTTTACACTGATGAATATGCAACATGGGCAGATATTTTCTTAACAGAACTGACCATATATTGAACAGTTGGTTTACTATTTTATTCTATCCTGACTGTATAACAAAAGATTTAAAAAGATCGATTCCCATGGTTTTGCTTTAATGGAAATAGACTGAGTTATAATCAGAACAAAGTTTCCATCCATGATAGTAAATAAATGGTCTCAGTGAAATGAAGATTCAGAAGCACTTATTTTAATAATTTTCATAACGCTAGTCAAAGGTATATACAAATATACAGCAGTAGGATAGTAGTATCTTCTATTGGTATCTTTCAATTTTGTTAACTTTTATGGGAAATTTTGGTTGTACTATGGAGAGAATAATAATTTAACTCATCTTTGGTTCTTTTAAGAATTGTATAAGGTGCAGCAATTTTACTATTAAATTGTATATTTTCAATTTGTTTTTTGTTATTGCTCTTCTAAACTGGATTTTGCTCATGTGGGTGTTGTTTGCTTTTTTCTTGCCTTCCTTCTTTTCTTCTCTATCTTCAATAGTTTTGTTTAACAGTTTTAAAAGACATTTTCCAAAGTTTCACAGACATATGCTCAACATATATAATTAACTTCTTTCCAGTAGAAAAATACAATGACAATATAAGGGTAGGTATATACTACTAAAAAGTTTTTCCCCACCTACTGCCTGTTTTTTTTTAACAAGACAGCATGCCTGAAGTATTCAGTGAACAAGAACAAAAGCTATTAAAATCAGAGATCTTATGTGGAGGAATGCAAATGCTAAGTTTTCTTGTAACTTTGTAAGTCAAATAAGTTATGAGTATACAATGCAAGCCACTAGAAAGTTAGAAGTTCTTGGATAGTATCTGAATTATTTTCCAAATGGAGTTATTTTCAACTACAATAAACTATGGGCATTACTCAAGTCAGTATAAAATATTTTTACTGTTTGAATAACTTACTGAAGAGCCATGAACAACATATATAATATTAGAGCAACCACCATTCCTATTTTGAGGACAGTGGAGAGCACGGTCATTTCACAAAATGTGGCTCATTAGTTAGAATTTTTAGTTCATTTTAAGACTTAAATTGTAAGGTAATTTTAAAAGGTTGTCTGTCAACTTAAAGGATCTTATTTTAAATAGATAAGTTCGTAGTAGGTAGATCCCTACCTTGTCATTGCAGAGTGGAACTGGTGTCCCATGTGAAGGATGATTTGACTGAGATCAAAAGCTGTGGGTTGATAGTCTAAAAAAATCAGTTTGAAATACGACACTGTCGGCCGGGCGCGGTGGCTCACGCCTGTAATCCCAGCACTTTGGGAGGCCGAGGCGGGTGGATCACGAGGTCAGGAGATCGAGACTATCCTGGCTAACATGGTGAAACCCCACCTCTACTAAAAATACAAAAAATTAGCTGGGCGTGGTGGCGGGCGCCTGTAGTCCCAGCTACTGGGGAGGCTGAGGCAGGAGAATGGCGTGAACCCGGGAGGCGGAGCTTGCAGTGAGCCCGGATCGCGCCACTGCACTCCAGCCTGGGTGACAGCGAGACTCCGTCTCAAAAAAAAAAAAAAAAAAAAAAGAAATACGACACTGTCTATTTCAGCAGCCAGTTAAACAAATCATTTTTAGGTGATAAAGAAGTAGCATGGTAGATGAAAAGGTTAGGTAGAAGAATAAGAGCTGTCAGGTATCAAGAGAAAAAGAAATATTTGTTGCTTCTAAAAGGTAAAATTTCAGCATATGCTAAGAAAATGTGAAAAATTTTCTAGTGGCAAATAAGCAATCAAGTCCAATTGGTGCTTTTTCCAAATATTCATTGATGTTATCTAATAATTACCTAGAGTTACTGGTATTATCTTCTCATTATCTTCTCTTGGATTTCACATCACACACACACACACACACACACACAAAATGCATTGTCAATACTGCTTTAATACATAAAGACTAAGTTCCTATTGAAATTTCTCAGATTAGTCTTTTTGTTTTCCAGTGATTATGTTAGCTAAAAGGAATAAATTTAAAAATGTAATGTCCAATAAGGTTTAGGCATTTGGTTATTGATAAACACATTTAAATGAAAACAAATGTAAAGTGCCTGCTGGATGTTACATATCTCTCTTAATGATGATTGTGTAAATAAATATAAAACAACACAACAAATTAACTGAATTCAACACACAAGGTATAATCAAAGAGAAGATAAAAGTGATGGAGATTCATGTGTGTTTATAGTAGAATGATTTATAATCCTCTGGGTATATACTCAGTAATGAGATTGCTGGGTCAAATGGTATTTCTGGTTCTAGATCCTTGAGGAATCGCCACACTGTCTTCCACAGTGGTTGAACTAATTTATACTCCCACCAACAGTGTAAAAGGATTCCCATTTCTCCATAGCCTCACCAACATCTGTTCTTTCCTGACTTTTTAATATTCGCCATTCTGACTAGCATGAGATGGTATCTCACTGTGGTTTTGATTTGCATTTCTCTGATGATCAGAGATGATGAGCTTTTTTTCATGTTTGTTGGCTGCATAAATATCTTCTTTTGAGAAGTTTCAGTTCATATCCTTCACGCACTTTTTGATGGGGTTGTTTTTTTTCTAGTAAATTTATTTAAGTTCCTTGTAGATTCTGGATATTAGACCTTTGTCAGATGAGTAGATTGCAAACATTTTCTCCCATTCTGTAGGTTGCCTGTTCACACTGCTGTTAGTTTCTTTTGCTGAGCAGAAGCTCTTTAGTTTATTTGCAGCACTATTTACAACAACAAAGACTTGGAACCAACCCAAGTGCCCATCGATGATAGACTGGATAAAGAAAATGTCGCATGTATACACCATAGAATACTATGCAGCCATAAAAAGAATGAGATCATGTCCTTTGAAGAGACACGGATGAAGGTGAAAGCCATCATTCTCAGCAAACTAACACAGGAACAGAAAACCAAACACCGTATGTTCTCACTCATAAGTGGGAGTTGAATAATGAGAACACATGGACACAGGGAGGGGAACAACATACACCAGGGCCTGTTGGAGGGTGGGGGGCAAAGGGAGGGAGAGCATTTGGACAAACACCTAATGCATGCTGAAACCTAGCATGCATCTAGGGCTTAAAACCTAGATGACAGGTTTATAGGTGCAGCAAACCATCATGGCACATGTATACCTACGTAACAAACTTGCACATTCTGCATATGTATCCCAGAACTTAAAGTAAAATTAAAAAGAAATAAATAAATACAAGAAAGAAGGTTAGAGGTCAAAAAACATTCCTCCCTTTGGGAAGAAACTTAGTTTTAGCTCCCAAATTACAAAATGAACTACCAAAGTTTATGCATTTATTTTAGCATTATAAATATATGTTACTAGTTTGACCTCCTTTGCAATTCTAGGGTAAGCTAACAGTGTTTTAATTACAATAGTGATTTTGTAGTACGTTTTAATAAAACTGCAGTGTTTCATACATTTCTCATTTGTGACATCATTTTAAGGCACTATTTAATGGGCACTTTATTAAATTGAAGGATTACAAAATTAGAGCTCATTTTTAAGAATAAAAAACTAGTTTTTTTAAAAAAAGTGATGGATAGTCAACCTAAACCCATTTTCTTCTTTCACTCTTTAGCTAAGATTCAATCTTATGTGGGAAAGTGAAAGTCTCCTCTTCTAACTGGCTAGATCCTCATTTACCTTTTCTGAAAATAATGCATGTAAGCCTGTCAGTCAATATTTACTGAAGGCCTACTATCTGTAAGCAATGGTATTGGCCACTGGTCACCTTGTTTCTTCTCTAACCAACTGAAAAATTGAGATGTCTCCAACCGATTTGAAAATTTATATCCACACAATAAACTCTGTGTGGATGTTTATAGAAGTTTTATTTATAATAATCCAAAGCTAGAAGTAATCAAGATGCCTCTCAATAGGTAAATGGATAAACAGAGGTACAACCATACAATAGAATATTATTCAGTGATAAAAAGAAATAAGCTTTCTTGCTATGAAAACATATGGATGAGTTTTAAGAGCATATTAATAGGCCAGGCACGGTGGCTCACACCTGTAATCCCAGCACTTTGGGAGGCCGAGGCGGGCAGATCACGAGGTCAGGAGGTCGAGACCATCCTGCCTAACACGGTGAAACCCTGTCTCCACTAAAAATACAAAAAAAATTAGCCAGGTGTGGTGGCAGGCGCCTGTAGTCCCAGCTATTCAGGAGGCTGAGGCAGGAGAACGGCATGAACCCGGGAGGCGGAGCTTGCAGTAAGCCGAGATCGCGCCACTGCACTCAGCCTAGGCGACAGAGTGAGACTCCGTCTAAAAAAAAAAAAAAAAAAAAAGAGTATATTAATAAGTAAAAAAGAAAACAGTGTAACAAAGCTACATACTGTAGGATCCTAATTTTTTGACATTCTGGAAAAGGCAAACTATAAATAGTAAAGCAATCATTGGTTTCCAGAGTTTGGTGGTAGTGGGGGCAGTGATGAATTGGTGAAGCACAGACAAATTTTGTAGTGGTGAAACTATTACGCGTGATGGTGTAATGTTGGATACATGACAATATGCATTTGTCAAATATCATGGAATTCTACAGCACATAGCATGAATCTTAATTTATGCAAATTAAAAAATTGTTTAGGAGGTCAGGAGAGTTCTAGGATGAAATGTAGAATGTGACAAAACATTTAACTGCATTACAAAAAATATGAAACAGCCTCACTGACGGAGGTGTGGGAAAAGGTGATGACCTAAGTGACTGAAATTGAGTGGAGTCTAGGACTAAAGGCAATATAGACTACCGTGATACTATCTAGTTCGCGAAAGTGTGCAGGTTACACACATACACACAACTCCTGGAATTGAACAATTAAATAAATGAATTGCAAATAGTAAAAGCCAGATTTCTCACTGTTGAAATGAGAGGCTACAGACATGCAAGGAGAGGAGGCTAGAGTAATTGATGTGGTGATAGGATTAGAGACATCGGTATAAATTCATGTTAGCTTCATATAGATACAGATACATATAGATACAGATACATATAGATACAGCTTCATATAGATACATTAAAATATTTATAGATGTTTATATACACCTAAGTCAGTGTACACACATCTATTTTCTTGCTGTCACCTAGAAACAATACTCTATTAGCAAGAAGCCTACCTAGGGCACAAATATTGGGTTCTAATACCATTCTTAATAAAAGGAACCAGGACTCCTTAGGGAAATGTATTTTTTTTCTTGATTATTTTTATTTTTTTGAGACAGGGTCTTGCTCTGTCACTAAGGCTGCAGTGCAGTAGCATGATGATAGCTCACTGCAGCCTCAAACTCCTGGACTCAAGTAATCCTCCTGCCTCAGCCTCCTGAATAGCTAGGACTACAGGTGCACACCACCATTCCATGTTAATTTTGAATTTTTTGTAGAAACAGGGTCTTGTATGTTGCCTAGGCTAGTATTGAACTCCTGGACTTAAGCAATCCTCCCGCCTTGGGTTCCTAATGTGCTGGGAATACATGGCGGCTCACCATGGTGCACCCAGCCTCTTTAGGAAACTGTTTAATTCTAGAACTCTAGAAACATATAAGATGAGCACATTTCATATTGTCAGAAAATAAGGAAGTGCTAAACATATAAATTCACACTTACAATTTGAGCAACATAAATATAATAATATTGAAACACAACCAAAAGTATAAAATAAATATCCATGTGTTTATGTTGATATAAATAAATGATTACATTAGAAATAAATAGGGGAGAAAAGAACAACTATATACAGAAGAATTCAAAATAAATTATGTTGGTATATCACCCTTGAGGAGGTGAAGCACAGCTCCCCACCTCTTATTTTATTTTATTTTTTGAGACAGAGTCTCACTCTTTCACCCAGGCTGGAGTGAAGTGGCATGATCTTAGCTCACTGCAACCTCCGCCTCCCAGGTTCAAGTGATTCTCCTGCCTCAGCCTCCCAAGTAGCTTGGACTACAGGCATGTGCCACCATGCCCGGCTAATTTTTGTATTTTTAGTAGAGACAGGGTTTCACCATGTTGGCCAGGCTGGTCTGGAACTTCTGACCTCAAGTGATCCACCCGCCTTGGCCTCCCAAAGTGCTGGGATTACAGGCATAAGCCATCGTGCCCAGCCTTCCCCGCCTCTTAAATGAGTTGCATACAGTAGCCTCTTTTTAAAAGGTACAGTATGGCAAAAGGGGTAATGAGAGTAACTTAACAGTGGAGAAAACTAACAAACATTACCTCAGTTGTGTGATCAAGTCAGCATCAATACTGATAAGCCATGTTGATAGCATGTCTTTTGGATCTGATGTGATGAAAATGATGTTTTACTTCTATGGACCTTTCTTCCCCAACACACAATTCTACCCTAACCATGAAACAAAACAAAACCAATCAAAACATCAAAGAAATATCATCTGAGAGACATTCTATAAAATGCCTAACCAGTACTCCTCCAAAGTGCAAGTCAGCAAAAATCTAAATATACATGATGACTAAATGTAATATGGTATCTTGGACAGGATCCTGGAACAGAAAAAGAACATTAAGTAAAAACTAAGGAAATATGAATAAAGTGTGGACTTTAGTTAATGTTATTGTATCAATATTCGTCCATTAATTATGATTGATGTACCATATACTTGTGATGTATGATGTAAATAATAAAAGAAAGTAGGTGAGTGGTGTGTAGAAACTCTCTGTACTATCTTCGTAAATTTTCTGTAAAACTAAAATTATTCTAAAATAAAAGATTTATTTTTTAAAAAGTAATTTCACACAGCCAAGTTGTTATAAACATTCTAAAGTAATTTCTAGTAACAATATAAAATTGGTTCTTTTTAAAATAAGAATTGATCTGACCCTTTGAAACAAAAGTATATCAGGTTCAAAAACTGTCTGTGCAACTGGAGTAAATTCACTAACTCTTATGTCAACTCAGTAACATTGAATTCAAAGGGCAACTGCATAAATTTAAAACTTTAAATTTATTAATCTCAACAAAGCTTCCTTCATATTTTTGTGTATTTTGTGCAGTTACAAGACTGACATGATGTTTTTGATAGCAATTAAACCTGCATATTCACCTTATAAAAATGTACATTATTTGTATACATTCATATTATCAAAAGCTTCAATTTGAATATAAATTTTTATTAGTGTCCATCTAGGTTACAAGATTTTTCTTTTCTGTGAACTTCAAATTTATGTTGTTTATGTACTTTCTGATACTGGTGAGACAAGGCAAAACATATGCCTTTTTTGTTTTTGTTTATGAATATCTGGCAACTATTTCTTTTTTTCTTGAAATTTTTGAATTGAAGTTCATGATACAGTAAATCTTTGTGAACCTTTTTCATGGCTCAATCAAAGATTTTTTCATGGCTCAATTAAAGAGCACTGGTAGGATGCAAAATCAGTATGTTTATTGTATTCTGTTTCTTTGAACAATTCCATAAACTATTGATTATTCATCAATTTATATATGTATACTAAATGATTTTAACAAGTATATCCCTGACACTTATCAAAAAGCCTGCTATAGATAACTCAGTACAAATATTTCTGGCATCATACAGTGAAATAAAGCCATAAGAAAGACATCGGTCTCTTGTTTTAAAATTCCAATCTAGAGCATCAACCATCATGATTGAAACTACTAAATTTTTCACATAGAGCTGACATTCTTTTTTGACATTTGAAGATTCAAAAATATATATCCAAAAGTTCAATTTTTTAGTTCACAAAATTGATATTTCTTCATAAATTCTGAAGTTCTTTTTGAGAAGAATGTATCCAAAGTGTTAACTGGGCTATGTCTCTAATGTTGTACGACTCAACTAAAGCTAAAAAATAAGCACTTGTGATTTTTCAAATTTTGGATTTATTGATATTTGGTGTTTGTTAGAAAGTTCCTATAGACTATAGGAAATTGTTTGGTAGCTTGAATTAAAATCTTTACTTTTTGTAAAATATTTCAAAATTTGTTTCTTCATAATTTTCTATTAACATTTCCATAATCA
Organism: Homo sapiens; assembly: GCF_000001405.40. Lineage (NCBI taxonomy): Eukaryota > Metazoa > Chordata > Mammalia > Primates > Hominidae > Homo > Homo sapiens. The sequence goes on from NC_000007.14 coordinate 78,830,076, forward strand.
AAATAATTTTTCTTTTATAACTTTCATCAAAATGGGTTTTTGCTTTTGGTGCAAGATTCCAAGCAATTTTATAGCAGTTCAAAGTTACAAGCTCAGAACTTAAAAATTATCTAAAAATTTTTATTGGACATTTAATTCTTACATTGGGCAACTAACTTCATTGATCTTTTGCTACTGTTGAAAGAAAACTATTTATGAAAATTCCTATGTATTTTCTGACAATGTCTCTTACTCATGACCACTTTTTTATCTTTAAGAATTGTTTATACAACAAACAGCTTTTCCATTTTGCTTTGCTTCAGGAAGTGGTAATTGCCAGTCATGATTCATTATGTAATATATCTTATCCAATCTCTTTTTTTCTTTAGTGTTCCCCTTGTAGTACTATCATCTACATTTCCACTCCATTCTGCATCCATTCTATAATTTTGTTTTAAATTTTAAAATTTGCTCATATTCACTTTTAAACTAGAAACACAATTTAATTGTATTCTGGTTAAAATAATATGTATTTTAGTTTTCCTGTGATTTTCAGTTATCTCTAAAATCAGGGCTGTCTGCATAAAATATTCAAATAAACACATTACAATGAAAAAAAATGGGAGTGAGGGGTAGCTTGGAACTTAGAGTGTGATTCAAGAATGCTAAGTGAAGAAAGGATTGCCTTCTATGAGGCAGAAAAGCTCAGAAAAGGGATAAAGAGTTAAGGGAATCCCTGGATTCCTAAGCAAAAAGGGGCCAATTGGCAATCTAGCTAGCCTTGGGCTATGGAAATAAGATTCACACTTCCTCCTGAGACTTGAATATTACGTACACAGCAAAGTCTCTTGATATATGGGATGAAGGATTCACCCACATTTCATTGATTTTGGGGAAGAGTATGGCAGTCTTTAGATAAAGGGGGACTAAGATAGGACATATAAACTTTTCTTCTTTTTATTAGCATAATGTACAATATAACATTTGGTTGGAAGTAGAAACTTGCATTTCTTATCAACATTTTTTCCCCAAATTCAGAGCAAGGACATAAGTTTGGAAGATATCTCATCAATACAAGCAAAACTGTGATATGAAGCCCATACATTATCAGCCACACCATAGTTTCATTAGTAGATTCATGCCCTATTAGGCCCCATCCAATGGCTCATGTTTTTCCACTCTTCAAAACTCCTCCTTCCAAGAATAGGTTAGATTTCCACATACTATTGGTCCCTCTGAATATGAAATGCCTTACATTTTTACAATTTTCATCCTAAAGATTTTCTTCTTTGAGTAAGAATCCAAGTAATTTTACAGCAGTTCAGTTATAAGCTCAGAACTTTAAAATTATCTTTTTTTTTTTTTGAGACAAATTCTCTCTCTGTCACCCAGGCTGGGGTGCAGTGGCACAATCTCAGTTCACTGCAGCTCAAGCAATCTGCCCACCTTGTCCTCCCAAAGTGCTTGGATTACAGGTGTAAGCACCCAGCCAAAAATTATTTTAAAATGTTTATTAGAGGTTTAATTCTTACATCAGGCAACTAACTTCATTGATCTTGATTTTTCAGAACAATGTAACAGTTACTGATTTGCCCCATTTAACTTCTGTACTTTCTACTTCTCCCAGCCTCCATTGTTTCAATTAGTATGTTTTAAAACATTCACTTCTTTTATAAATAAAGTTACATATCTTTTTTCTTCTGAAAAGTTATATAGTGAATTTACATTTCATACCTTCATTGTACAGCAAGATAAATTGTTCTAATTGATAGAATGAGGTCAAGAGAGTAAAACACTTTAAACACTCTCTGAAAAGAGAGTTATAATTTTCATGTGAAATTTATTTATACTGGTGGTTATTTTCACAACTGAACTTTAAAAGGAAGGGTCCATTTGGCTGCATTTGAATTGGTGACATTTTTAGGCTGTCATTACCTGCAGAAAGAGCGAATCAGTGTGTCAATATGAATGAGTGGTAAGTGACCTTTTAAAATGTTTTTCAGAATAAGGGTTTCTTTCTTTCTCTTGCTATTTTTTTTAAATAAAATATATCTGAATTAGAAACATGATGAACCCTAACTAAAGCTGCTCAAAGTATTCTCTGAAGAAAAAAAAAAGCCAATTATTTTCTCTTAAATATTCCTTACAGATAGAAATTCTAAGAATTGGTAGTTAAAATGTAAATTATATTTCTGTTTTTTGACTACTAAGAAAGGAAAATAATACTAATTTTTTTTTCATTTTGTATTCAACTAATATTCATTGAATACATGACATGTCTACCATGCAGTTTTTAAAGTAGGGTTGGAAATACATGAATACATAAAATCCAATCCTCCTTTATAAGGAAATTTTATTTTATTGGCGGTGACAAAATGCATGAAAATAATTCAGTACATAGTAATTGTAAGGGCGGGTGGAAATAAAATAGTTTAGGGGGCCATCTTTCATTTGTCCCAGCAGATACACTATGCCATTCTTCACGCTACTCTGTTTTCCTGAAAATCTGGCCCATATGAATGCCAGTTATAAGCTTCGGCTTCTGTTGAGTTTGACCGTCAGGGAGGACCTGCATAATCTCATGATACAAGGGGGAACTAGAAGAGTAAAATGTAAGGAGACCCCTGAAACTATTGCTACGGAATAAAAGATGAAATGCTCCTGATTATTGTAAATACAAAGTGGCATGCAGGATTGTGTAAAGACAATGCCAGGTTGGACTGCCAGAACGAGCCAACAGCATGTGATGTGCTTCCCCCTGCAGAGAGCCTATGAATGGACGTGCAGTCAGGGGGGTTTCACATCACCAAGATTCCTATCCCAGAAAGGCAGATGTTCATAGCTCTGGGAATGGAATGTGACCCTTGTGGAGAGCCTATAAACCGACGCATGAGGGGCACCTGTTCATATGTATAAGATAGGGCTATAAATGCCCTCATCTTGCCACGGCTCTTCTAGGCCTCTTTAGGGTTAAGGCATACTGCCTTCTGAGAATTTCTGGTCTAACCGGTTGTCTAGCTTCACATCATGTTTCTATGGATTGTTTGTAACCAGCTTTTGCTACAACTGTTACTGCTGATTAATATCTTACTAATCATAGGTTATGGAAAGACTGTGTTTCTGTTTTAAGGCTCTGTTAGAAATTACTGATGCACACACTATATTGTAAATTCTTATCTCTGTATACTGTACTTCTGCATACAGATGTTACATTAAAGAATTACTTCATCCCCATGTGACCATCTCACCTCATAATCAAATGACCCTAAATCCCTCACTAAACTATCCCTGCCCTCACTAAACTTAATAATAAATGCTGGTATATCCAGTGCATTGGAGGCATCAAGGGACCAGAAGGCAGTGACCCCCCTGGACTCAGCTTTCACTATCTTGTGTGTGTCTATTATTTCTCGACCTGCCAATCTGCCTGGGAACAAAGAAAGAGCCCCGCTGTATTGCGGGCTGTTGGCCGGATCCTGCAACAGTAAAGTTGGAGTACTTAGGGGTATTTAGTCTCCTAGCTCCCTGCCTTTGACGGCAAAGTGGGCTTGGGTGTGTCCCTGAACCAAAAGGCTCAATGCCTGACCAGGTGTCTCCTCACACAGCCCTCTCTGTTCATATCCTCCTAACTTAACTCTTCCATTGTTCTCTAAAGCCTAGGGGCTTCAGAAGCAGCGCTGAAGCACCCCAGGGTTCTGTAATATCCTTTGTTGTTGTACTATACCCTGCCTAATATACAAATGGGAGAGTGCTACCTGCTTCCTATCCAGTCTGAAATGGAAGTTTTTGAGAACAAAGTGATCACTTCTAGCTGTTAGGAACAATTTTGTTATCTTTGATTATGTAGTATATAATGGTTAGAATAGAAAACTGAAAGTTTTTTCTATACTCCATAGCCAGAAATCATTTTACTAACGTGAAAGTCATTATTATGTCCCCTATACTTTAAAATTCAGTTTTTGGAGATGGAGTCTCACTCTTTTGCCCAAGCTAGAGTGCAGTGGTGTAATCATAGCTCATTGCAGCCTTGAACTCTTGTATATCCCTTATTTTAAACAAAAATTTGAATATTAAATTTACAGTTCTCTGGACAATATGGGCATGGCTTCAACTCTATTTTTATCAGAGCTTTAAAAAACTTGAGATGTATTTCATGTACTGCAAAATTTACCCTTTTAAAGTGTACAGGTCAGTGATTTTTAATATATTTCACAAGTTTGGGTTACCATAACCACTATCCAATTTCAGAACATCTTCACCCCGCAAAAAGAAACCCCACATTTCTTAGCCTTCTCTCTCCAATCCCGCATCCTCCTTAGTTCTATGCAACTACTAAGCCACTTTCTGCCTCTATAGAGCTACCTTTCCTATAAATTTTCTATAACTGAAATCATATGATATGTGGCTTCTTTCACTTAGTGAAATGTTTTCAAGTTCATCCATGTCATAGCATGTATCAGTTTTTCATTCCTTTTTATTGCCAAATAATATTTCATTGTATAAATATACCATATTGTATTTATTATCAGTTGATGCATTTAGGTTGCTTCCACTGTTTGTCCATTTTGAGTAATTCTGCAAATGAACACATGCATAAAAGCTTTATGTATAATGCTTTTGTTTGTCTTAGATATTGATATAGTTTGGGTATTTGTCCCCACCCAAATTGCATATTGAAATGTAATCCGCAATGTTGGAAGTAGGTCCTGGTGGGAGGTGTTTTGGTCATGGGGTGGATCCCTTATGGCTTGGTGCTGTACTTGCAATAATGAATGAGTACTCACGAGATCTGATTGTGTAAAACTGTGTAGCACCTCCCCTCCCCTTGCTCCTGCTTTCACCGTGTGAGATGCCTGCTCCACTTCACCTTCTGGCATGCCTGAAAGCTCCCTGAGGCCTCCTCAGAAGCTGAGCAGATGCCAGCACCATGCTTGTACAGCCTGCAGACTGTGAGCCAATTAAACCTCTTTTATTAGAAATCACCCAGTCACAGGTATTTCTTTACAGCAGTGCAGGAGCAGTCTAATACAGGTATATACCCAGAAGTGAAATTGCTAGGTCATATAGTAACTCTATGTTTAACTTTTTGAAGGACTGCCAGATTGTTTTCCAAAATGGCTGTGCCATTTACCTTCCCACCAGCAACGTACAAAGTTTCCAATTTCTCCAAATCCTCACGAACATTTATTATTGTCTGTCTTTTTTATTATAGCCATCCTAGTGGGTGTTAAGTGGTGTCTTGTGGTTTCTTCCATTCTTTGAAATTTATGAATATAAAGTAATTACATAATTCTATAAGAGCAGTTAATCAGCAACAGATGTAGCATGTAATATGTGAATATGATTTGGTTTAGGCAGCCTGCAAGAACAGAAGATAGAAATAAATTTGATCTTATATATCCAAGACCTTGAATCAAAAGGAAAATATTATTCTCCCATAGTCAGAGAAGGTGGGAATGCTTCCCTGAGGAAGTGAATCTCCTATCTGTGAGAAGCAGATGAGGTTGCTTAGGGTGCTCCAAAACCATAAATGTGTAACAATGTGATCACAAACAAAACTGACAGGGTTTGCCATATCATTCCTCACTCCCAGGAAGGAGAAAATGGACAGGGTTTGCTGTATCATTCCTCACTCCCAGGAAGGAGACGTTAGCATAAGCCAGAAAGGATGGAGGGATAAATGTGGCAGGAGGAAAAAGTGAAGCCATCTTCTTAATACATTTATGGTTCCATTTTATTTATGGAAATAATTTCCTATGACCAGAAGACAAACGTTGGTCTGAGCCATACAGAGGAAAGCATAGTTATGTTTTCTCTCTTTCTTAGAGACAGTTATGTTGGCCGTGGGTCAGCTTGCTTATCCTCTATTCTACTGTATAATAGACTTCCTTCTGCAATCCGACAGCACCCACAGATCTTTATTTTCTCATTGCCTTGGCTTTGTTGTTTTCTAATAAATGATCACAACATGGCAAAAGGAACAGTAATGGGTATTCCCGTAGAATTTTCTTTCTTTGTGCAGCCACCATATTAGCAGACGTCAGCATATTTTTAATAGATGTGTTGGTAACTAACTCCTATAACGTCACAATGATACAATACTCAGAAGCAGGATAAATTTCCAACATGATGCAAATGAATTCCATTTTCTCACCTCCACCTTTCTTACAAAACTGAAGCACATGGAAGTCAATAAATATATCTAAAGTCAGGAGACAAGGTAGTTCAAAAAGTTGGACTTGAACTGGGTTTTTAAACTCTTAGTCCAATGTTTTTCTTGTACAACAGACTGCATATGCATTATGGCACAGTATCAGATCTTTTCAAATATTAATATCAATATTATTTTTCACCTCTATAGCATAGCTAGCTTAATATTGGTTTCTTAAAATGTGAGTTTTTATTTTTAATTTTTACCTTGAGTTACTGTCAATGCTTATTGATAGAGAGTACTGAGTAGCGAAGTTCAGATTCATAAAAATTAAAAGAATAATTTACATAATCATAAAGCTATTTTAATATACATCTTTCCATTTATTAGTGATAGCTTAACTTCTTTTGGAGAAATCACCATTTGTTTTACAACTTACTTATTTCAATTTAAATAAATAAATGAAGAGATTTCTACTAATAAATGTATCAAAGTGATGATTTTGGCATTTTCTAGACTCCTAGTGCCAAAGCACAGGTACAGACCTGACAGTGTCCACATTACCAGTCCCCTGAATCATTTACCTTCAGATATTTAAGGTGCTGAACCCTGTATGCCGATGCCCATAAACTCAGCTTTTCTAGCTTATCACAAGCACTGTAAGTACAAGTGATTTTTTCTTAGAAATTATACTCAGCCTCAGCTGTTCGTACTTTGTGTTTACATAGGTGTCTAGGTAGTTATTTATTCATGCAGGTAATAATAACTAGAATTCTTGCTGTGGTGAATTATAATTTATCATAGACCTTCACATAAACAAATTCATTTCGTTTTTCAAAATGCCTGTCTAAGGTGGACATTATTGTTACTTCTGTTTTTTATAGTTGAAGGCCAAATTAATTATGTGATCAGCCTAAACAGCAGAGTCAAGATGTGGGCCTCAGCCTTGTTAACTCAAAATTCTCTGGAAAAATCTCTCTGCTGTACCCTCAGCCGCCCAAGTGCCAATGAAACACATCTTACTAATTCTGTACTTCATGTTTTTGTACATTGATTCTAGTTCAAAAATAGTTTTTTCAAAGAAGTCGTCTTTAAGCCTATCCTACTCTAGCTTCTTGCCATGATATATGCACTCAATATTTATGCTTGGTTTGATTAAATCATTTTTCATGTGTTGACATGCTCTTTATAAATTTTCTTATGTTAATTAGATGTATTGCTTTACAGACATAAAGAAATTTTCCATTTTTATTATGGAAGATAGAACGAAAATAGTTGGTCATTTTGGTGACTACAATAGCAAGCTTATTTGGAGACAAGTTCTCCATGGTATTCATCAGGTAATTAATTTCTTTTAAAAAGGAACTAACCAGTATATAGCATATGTAATATTCTAACAAAAAGCAACACTGAAAGATTTTATTGTAAAAATTAAATATTTCTTAAAAGCTTTGGCAGCTGGTTGGGTAATATTTTAAATGTAAAACGCACACTTAAATTTTATCAATGGATTTAAGTTACAAAGGAAATTCCAACTACAGTTTTAATGGAACTGAATTTTATGATTTTAGGAATGCTTAATTTTGTGTTACTACCTCTTTTTATTCGTACTAGAAGCATTACCAAACTATGTTATTTGAAACCTGCAGTATGTTCCATTTGAGGTTTTTCACTAGCAAAGTGGCTTTTGGAAACATCACCTAGATGAGAATTCAACATCTCAATAACAGCCATTGAAAAACAACTGCTTCAGAGTCCTAGCCTTTTAGCTGGGTACTGTAGATTGTTTGAAACCTGCACAATCACTCAGGTCTCTTTGACATTGTAGATTGACTCTCCTCATGCATCTTTAATGCATCCACTTTTTTCTGAAAACTGCTCGGAAAGCTTGACCTTTGAGATATAAATGAGTAACATTCTTATAGGAACTTGTTCCAAATAATGGTCTATGCTGGGTCTAGTCAATTAGACTAACACGTCAACCTTTATCTTAAATATCTGCTTAGTCGCTGTCTTTGTAGATGTTTTTTTCATGAATGTAAATCCTAAAAGACAGATATAAATCTTGAAAACTTGAACACGGCATGTATTTGAAGGTTGCCACTGGCCTTCATCACAGAATCATCTAATCAGGTTCAGGTTAACTTGGAGGAAGAATGCTGGTGAAATAGAGCAATTGATCATACATATCACTGTTACACCAACTGGCTTGTCAAATCTACCAATTCATTTATCCTATTCCATTTTTTTCTCTCCAAAATAGTATACCTAAAAATTAATTAAATAAAAGCATTATGTGTGTGAGTGTGTGTGTGTGTGTGTGTGTGTGTGTCAGATTTCTAAATTATGGAAACTATATTAGTGATGTGTACTGTCAGAATAATAGGAAATTCTTATGGCCAAACGTTTCACTGTCTATATTTGTATGTACAAATATATTTTTGATACTGTTCATGAACACCTCAAATATACATTGAATATGGAATATTTTTCTTTTTTGGATATTAATCCAGAAAGGCTACAATTAAAATAATAACAGAAAGACATACAGAGTCACAAAACTAATAGAATCAATTAAATAGTTACAGAATACACAGACTATCAAAGTAAAATGTAATTGTTTCCCTGTTAAGCAAATAAAACAATAACTAAGCAAGAGTGATTTATATAGGAGAATCAGATTCCAAGTGTTATAACACTTAATGTAAACACCATGAGATACTCTAGTATTTAATGATTCCAACTATATTGTTAGCACCTCTCAACTTATGTGCATATGTTTGAAAGTCATCCAGCTTTCTTTTTGTACAAAGTTGTGAATGAAAGTAAGGGATGAAAGGGAATAAGACAGCATAGGGAAGAAGAAAGGGATTTAGTGAGGGTGGAATGGGAGGAAAGAATGGGAAGGAGTGATGGAAAGAGAAGCATAAAAAGAAAGAGAGTAAAGGTAGAGACTTACAAATTTATAGGCATATGAGGCATAGGATATGATTTTCTGATACCCATGATTTCTCTAAACTTCAGAATTTAAATGCAAATGATTAACATAAAAATGTAGAATAGCTGGAGGTACATTTCTAACATGGACTTAGTGAAAACATGCTGGGTGGGCCCAGCTATTTTAGTGCATTCAACTTAAGTCAAATTGTGTTTTCTTTAAAATCTTTGCGATGCTAAAAATAATAACCATGTTTACTAATGTGTAAATTTATCAAAATGGTCAAATAATTAAGGACTTAATGCTACATATTAATCCCTTTTCACACTGCTATAAAGAACTTTCTGGCACTGGGTAATTTATAAAAGAAAGAGGTCTAATTGACTCAGTTCTTCATGGCTGGGGAGGCCTCAGGAAACTTAAATCATGACAAAAGGGGAAGCAGGCACCCTCTTCACAAGATGGCAGGAGAGAGAAGAACAAAGGAGGAACTTCCAAATACTTCCAAAACCATCAGATCTCGTGAGAACTCACACACTATCAGGAGAACAGCCTGGGGGAAATTGCCTCCCATGGGGATTACAATTCAAGATGAGATTTGGGTAGGGACACAGAGCCAAACCATATCATGTTATACTACAGTTTATAGTCAACTAAAATCTATGAACCAATTAACTGTTCACTCATAATGAAAATGGAAGAATCAAAAATACCCTAAAAAGTCTGGTCTTTTCTTAGAAACTCTGTAGTGCTCTAGTTTATGCCATAAGTTAGTTTATGCCATAATTGTCAAAGATGTCATTAACTCTACACACAGGGACACTTTTCTTTTATTGCTGCCATAATTTTATAGGTCAGCTACCGTCTTTTATTTCCAAAATAAACTGATACATTTTCAAAAGTGTAATTAGTAATTTCAAGTAGTAATTTTGTTTAGTTCACTTAATTTTTTTTTAAATTTAGGTGCTTATAGCATAAAGTATACATTATCAATTCAACATTTGGCTCCCCAATGTTTACCAAGTGGGAATTACCAAACATAAATTAGTCTAAGATACCTTTCAACATACAGCATTCTGATAGAACTAAATGGTCCTACATATTTGTGCTGTTTTGGAACTTTAGTTAGTTAAATCTATATAATTGGTTTTTTAAAATTGCTTTCAAAGGAATACTCATACAATACGTTGAGTATGATCAAGCCATGTAGAGTTGCTTATGTTTTAGTGCATATCAGAGTCTCCTGGAATGCTTGTTAAAACACAGATTCCTAGAGCCCAGCCTCAGACTGTAACTTCATAAAGTCTGTGGTGCGCCTGTGAATGGGACTTTCTAACAAGATCCCAGGTGATACTGATGCTGCCAACCTGCTGACCACACTTTATGTGGAGTCCAGAGTATGATTCAATCTATTTAGAGAAATGTTTTCAGCTGCTATCTAGTTTATTCTTTAGTTGAGGAGCAAATAGTGAGATGCTGCATCTGAAAATAAACCAGGACAGTTTCTCCTTTTTGTCTTGGGGGCTCTGTAATTTGTAGGTGAATGTTACCAACATCAAAGAGCTGAGGCTTGTCAGCATTACTTAGTGGGAAAGAATATGCGATTTGCAAACAGACAAGAGTTTAAATCTCAGCTTTAACATTTATTAGCTGTGTACCCTTGGGCAAATTATTAAAACTTTCTGAATCTCCTTTGTTTTTTCATTTGTATGGTAGAAATAATAAGACCCATGTGAAAATGTTATCATAAACATTTAAGAAATTAACTGACGTAGATACATTATGAAAGCTATAAAGCACTTAACCCATATCCTTTGAGACTTCGTTCCATTCGTTATGCCCTCTATTTCTCCTACATTTTCAACTTCTCCATCTTCACTGGCTCTGGCTCTATGCCAGAAAGCATACTTTGTCCTCCATTTTGAAAATAGTTCTCTATGACACCATGTAACGGCTGACTTCTCCCCCAAGTCTGTCTCATAAGTAACCTTTGAAAAATTACCTACACTCACTGTCTCTAGTTCCACATTGCTTAGTCATACACTGAAGTACTATAGCTGAAATTCTGCCTCCACCACTAAAATGAAGTTGCCTTCATAATGATCACATTGACTTTGTAAGTGTTAAATTAATCCTTATCACATGTGATGTCTCCCAAACATGTGACCCCTGGTCCTAAGTTGGGGTGGCATGGCTCACCAATCACTTGCCTTGGAACTTCCTCGCAATCTCAGCTCAAGCAACACTGCTTTCTTGGTTTCTCTTTTCCTCACTCTTTGCTGGCATTTCTTTACATCTTGCCTCTATTTTCCCTCAGTCTGCACACTGTTTCTGGGAGATCTCATCCTTACACATGCCTTATGCATCCCTCTCATCCTTACACATGCCTCACACATCCCCTCTTGTACTTTGACAACTCCTCAAATCTACACATCCAATTCAAACTTCTCTCCTAAGTTGCAGATCCACCCAACTTCCAACTGAATATCTAACTGATGCCTAACGCTAAATTACACAAAACTAAACATTATGACATACACAGAATATGCTCTCATATTTTCTGCATATTCACAAAGGTGAATAGAAATTCCATGCTCCAGGTTTAAATGGTTATCCGGGAGAATTCCTGTTGTGTGGAAGATGCTTTGCCCTTTCTTCATCTGGAAATCATTTTTCCATCCTTTAGGTCACAGCTTAAACATGATTTTCCCAGGAATTTTTCTCTGACCACCCAAGGAGCTTCTACTGTATTTCCTTAGAGCCCTGCACCTCACCTATGGCAGAGTTCCCTGGACATTGCCCCCATTACAGTGTAAGTCACATGGAGTAAGAGTCCAAACTATCAGTACATAGATGAGCATACGGCATATCATAGGTGCTTAAAAATGTTGTTTGACTCCCTTTTCCAAAATCATTCAGGCATTCAACCAGTAATAATAATGCCATTGTTCTTCTGGGTAGCAGGTAAGCAGAACAAAGTGCCTGCATCCCGTGTCAGAGAAAGATAATAAACAAGTTAAGACGAACAAGTAATAAATAATCACAAAATTTCAGTTACTATGAAAGAGAAAGTATTGCACTGAAAGAACCTCCTGTAAGGAGAGATGTGGGGAAGTCCAGAAAGTGAAGGAAACTATAGCCTGGGGCAAGGCTGAAGAATTAAGCCAAGTCCACTCCTTGAAGAGACAGGCTGTCAAATACAAATACTTTTCTAAATTGTATCCAATAAGTTTCAATGTTCTAGTAATTGTTCAGGAAAGAGTCTCACCCTTGTATTTTTTTCTTCAGTCATCTGAATTCTATATGGCAATGTATTTTTAGTTGTACTTTAATAATACCTGTATAATTTCTAAAAATTAACTTTTACATATTAATATTTTGCTAGTAATCCGTTTGTTTATATCATTTTTAACAAAGCAAAGAGCCTTGAAGATATAGCCATGTTTTTTAGTAAATACATCAGAATAGTCTGTCAATATAATTTACATATAAAATCTCTAGTAGATGTATAATAAATTAGATTTATGTGATCACTTTAATGAAGAAAAAAATCCTATATGCTTATGGTGTCAATGAGAAACTGAAGTACAAAAATGTTATTTTCCAAAAGTAATTTATTTCAGAATAAATTTTCATTAAACAATATTGAGTATCAAAATCTAAATTTCATTTTTATTGTAAGTAGTACAATAACTTTAATTAGTACCAGCTGTAATCTAAGTATCACTTTTTTTTTAACTTTGCTGTAAAATTTACAATATAGGTTTATCTTACACATGAGTATCAACTTCAGAATAGGACATTTCTAAATTGCAAGTCCAAAAAAAGCTTTAAATATTTAATGACTGTTGCCTATTTAAGTCATCTAAGTTAATGAAATGATTGATGGTTTAAAATAGGCAATTTGTATCAGGATTTCTCAATTTTGGTACATTTTGGGCTTTCTAACTGCTTGCTGTAGGAGTCTTGTGTGTTATAGGATATTGAGCTACGTCCCTGGCCTCTATCCACCAGATATTGTTTGCAACTCCCAGGCCCCCAAGTTGTGACAACCAAATGTCTGGTTGACAACTACATGTGGATGTGTTTCAGCAACTTGAGGCTTCAGTTTTGAAATATAGCATTTCATTCTTTCTTAAACAATTGGATGTCCCTATTTTATGCCATTAGTATCCAGTACAATCCTTAATGAGATCTGTTGTCTTTATGTGTCTGAACACTGAAGTTGGTTGATTCTTTTTTTGAAAATGACTCAGGTTTTGTTGAATTCACTGGTTGTCTGTCTTGATAACAGCATGATAAGGACAATTTTTAAATTATTGTTTTTCCTTAATTATATTTATAATTTGTGATTGTATGAAATTTAGAAAACTAAATAAAGCATAAAAAAGCTTCCACAAATAACTACATTTTAGCATTTTAAAATATTTGGCTTGTCTGCATATGTTATTTATAAAATTGGGAAAATGCTATATGCAATTTTGTGTTTATAGGTTGTAGTCTTCTATTAGACTTAATGTCATATTTTGTGCATTTGCCTGTGTCATTAAATATTCATTGAAAACATTAATTTATTGCCTTTTTATATACTATAATTAGGAGAGATGATTTATTAACCTACCCTTCTCAGAGGGTACTTTTTCTCATTTTTTAAACGACAAAAATCTAAGAGCATTATGCAAATAGTTTAATACATAATCATCTAATGTTCAGTTTTTGAGGGTTGGCTTTCTTATTTCTATGTAAAAAATGCAGATTTTGAGGCAGCTTTCCTTACAATTCATTTTTGATTATTTTCTTTTTGGTCTAATATTGACCACAGCTATATAAAAAATAATATATATATTATTTATATATATATATTTATTATTTCTGTGGCAGAAAAATCTGAAAGGAAATCTACACACAGACACACATTCACACGTTGCCTCTAATTTCAGAATTTTTTTTTCTGCATTTACAGGCAAAAGAGATTGGAAAAAAGTTTTTCTGTTTCCTAGTCACAAATTCTTAAAAAGTGACCAAAAGAGCAATAGCTTCCCTAATGAAATGATGAGTTAGTTACAGTCTTCCAATAATTGTATATATACTGAAAGGTAATTTGATCTGCTTTTCACTTAAAATTAGTGTACGAGAATCATCCATCTATCCACTCCTAGGTATATACCCAAGAAAAATAAAAACATATGTCCACACTATTGCTTGTATGTGAATGTTCATAGCATCATTACTCATAATAGTCCAAAGGTAGAAACAACTCAAATGACTATCAGCTAATGAATGGATACACAAATGGGGAATATCCATACAATGGAGTATTATTTAACTATAAAAGAGAATAAAAAAGGACAGAGTACTGATCCATGCTACAACATGGATGAACCTTAAAAATATTATGTTAAGTGAAACCATATTGCATGATTTCATTTGTATGAAATGTCTGGAATAGGCAAATCCATAGAGACATAAAATAGACGAGTGGTTTCCAGGAGAGGGTGGAGGGTTGGTTGGAGAGTGACTGCTAACAGGAGTGGGGTTTCTTTGTGGGGAACAGGGGGTGATGAAAATGTTCTGGAGTCAGAAACTGATGGTAGTTATACAACACTGCAAATATAGTAAAACCCACTGAATTGCACACTTTTAAAGAAGCAGATTTCATGGCATATGAATTGTATCTCAATAAAAATAAACAAAAAAAATCCATCTATTATTAATTTTCCAATAAATACCTGAGGTGGCTATGCTGAAAGAAGTAGAGAATCATATTGATGCCATCTCCAAGAAAGGAGAAAACTCTAGTTGATAAAGAAACTAGAAATCTATCTCTCAGTTCAGAAGAAAATATTTTAAAAACTCTCTGAGTCTTCATTTCCAATGCTTTAACCAAAGGAGCTTGGTAGATTATTCAAAGTGCCTATCTATAAATATCTCTAGAAGTAACTGTTCCCCCTGGAAACTTGAGGTTTTAACCACAAATTAAAGTCTAGCATAAAGTTATATCAGGAGCATCACCTTCCATTTTCTGAAAGAATATATTTCTATAAACACTGTCTCTGGGGCAATCACATGACCATTGTCTTTCAAATACAGTATGAAAGCAATAGTGCAATATTTCCATTTTACAAATCTATTACTTTATCATCTGCTAATATTATTCTGGTTACTCTGGGTCAGAATATAAACTGCTCTCCCTTGCCAGGATTTATCTCCATTTTAGTGAAAGAATCAATAGTAGTTCTATCATTTTAATAAATTATGGGGGAGAGAAGGTCAGCTCTAAACACATAACAAAGCAATTAATACTCCCCTCTCAGTTGAAGGCCTTGGATGATACGAAGTTATTTCAGTTTCTAAATCATTGTAATGTATTGTTGAAAAATTCTCCCAAGGATTTAAATGCTGTGAGAAAAAAGGTAACAGTATAACTTTCAAAGGATGCAAAAATAAAACATAAGGCCTATTGCTGTCAACTAACCGGTATGGGAAACCACTGTGGATAGCTGAAGAAAAATATCATATTAATGTGAAATGTCAAAGGGAATGGATAGAAAAATCTTTGATCAACCTGTTGTTAAACACAGAGTTTGAACATCTTTCCAAACCCCATTGCTGACCTTGTCCTTGACTGATTCCTCACATTGCAATGGGTGCTATACCTACACAGGAAAGGACTAATGAGCTATAGCATTTAAGCTGACATTTAAGAACAGATTGGGTCAGAGGGGAGAGTGACATCATTTGCAGGTGTACAGTAGGGCAACGTGAAAAAGGAGATGTGGAAAGATATGGAAAGGCAACAAAATGTGGCAAAGATACTTCTGGAAATTTTCAGGTAAAACCGTTGGTAGTATGAGTGATATGAAATATTACTGAATTGTTTACAACAAATCTTATTTACTATTCAGTACTTTTTAGGTTTTAGAAGTAGTGAGAAATGATAATCTTTAATATAATATGCCATTTTGACAAGGTACCATGATGTGTTTACATTTGTCATGCTATGCCCCAGTGAACATGGGGAAGTAATGTCAATCAGATTTCAAAAAGAAAAAAAAATGAAGAAAAAACAAGTTCTCCATTAACCGTACAATCTGGAAGAAAAGAATTGGAGATAAGCTGGAAACAAATATGCCTTTTTCAAAGTGGACTAAATTTAGTTATACTTGCATCTCATTTCTTAGGCTTAATACACCGCAATTTTTAACACACTATTCATGTGTTCTAATCATGTCAGATGGGTGGGTATATAGCAAGTCTTCATGAGAAATATAGAATGCAAACAGTGTGGCTGTCTTCACGCTCAGAGTTGCCTGTACTCTTGACTCCCAATTTATCAGCTTTTAATTGAAATAGATAATGTTTATTGCTGTAGGAATAGTTTATCTTGTGAAGATAACATTGATGTTACCAAGAGAACAAGGTAAAAAGCACTTCACCAATGACTGGGTTCCTAGACGTTCTTCTTTGAAGTGATAATTTCCTAAAATTCATTCAGCTTATTTATCCTAGCACTACTGTTTATTAAACTGCCATGTGGAACTGACGATAACTCTGCAAAAACGAATCAGTTATTTAGATATAATTTACAAGATGGTCTCTCAGCATTTTTCTCCAGAGTCAAAACACTTGAGTGGTAGGGAATATTTATATCAGTAATAGTGGCTCAGGAAAGTACTGAAACTCTATGGGATGAAGTAAAACTCTTTCCAGGTGCATATATTAAAAGCTTTTCCTTTTATTTTCCTGGTAGGGGAAGGGTTTACAGAGAAGAGGAGCTTAGCTAGCCTGGAAAAGCTCCCCAGGTGGTCCTTATATAGGTCCCAACCCCAACTTTCTCCCTTCTTAATGATTCTCACTTTAGAATACTTTGTTAAAATAGCACTTCTGCTATTTATAATTGACATTCTTATAGACAAAAGATAATAGGTAGTTCAAAAGTTGTTTTAAAAAGATATTTATACAATGGTAACTCTCCTTATAATTATCTGCGTTGAAAAGAAGAATCAAATAATAAAATCAAAAGTAATTTACAAGACATCTCATAATTAATATATTCATTTATTGAGTAACTTCCGTATGCTAGATGCTATTTTACATATTTTAGGAATACAAATATGCCTCATACATGGATTCTACTTTTGTAGACATTATAGTTTAAGAAGACAGCTTATAAATGCACATAAATGATCACTCCATAAACTAAAAAGGCTCGTGGCTTGCGAGGGGTACTAGTAAAATAAAAGTTTAGAAGAGGAAGAGACTATTAGATAATAAAGGGTTATTTTATAGGGCAGACCTTAATTCATACATGTGTCAAAATAATGTTAGTGTTTTTAGATCTTGTCAAAGTGTTCCCAAATTGAACCCATAATAAGGCAAAGTATGTGAACTGAGCCAATGATAAATCCATGTAATGTGAACTGTTTACAAATGATTCGAGGTACAACCATGAAATTTTATTTTGCATAGTAGAGTTAAAAGATCTTGTACTGGAGATAAATGTAAGACATTAAACATATCTGTGATCTTATCTATCTACATCACAAATGTCACCTATTTACAAAGGCCTTTCCTGATCACTCTATCTAAAATGGCACCCTGTGTCATTCTCTAATCCTTCTTCTCACTTTTCTTCAGTGCATACAGGTATAATTTTATTTATTTGTTTGTTTGTTTGTTTATTGACTGTCTCCCTCCAGAGAATCTAAGCTCCTTGAAGGCAGGGGATTTTGTGCTTTGTTCACTGTTATGTCATCAGTATCTGGCATATGGTAAGTATTTAATAAGTATTAACTGAATTACTGAATAACTTGCTAACTTACCAGCAAAATGAACACAGACTCCAGAATCTCAAATTATCAAGCACTAAAAATGATGTCATCTAGGTGATTTCATCCAATGTCACGGCTTTAAATGGAATCTGTAACTCCCAGATAAGTACCTAGAGTCCTGACCTCTCCCCCTGAACTCTCTCTATTTGGCATCTCTACTTGGCTGTCTGAAAGGCACTCCAAGTTCTCCAGGTCAATGACAGAAAGTTTGATTTGCCCTTTGGGGCTCATCTTCCTCTAGCACGCTCCATCTTCCTCTAGAGCTCTCCTGAGCCACTGCCGTCCACCTAGTTGCTCAAGTCCCAAAGCATCCTTGATTCTCCTCATTCCTTCACCCTCCACATCCAATACATCATCTGCCCAGGGACATCACAAATCTATCCACAATGTTTTCCATCTCAGATGTTCCTATCCTAAATCAGCTTTATGTCTTGATTTATTTTGCTCTCTTTCTATCCTTGCCATCCTTTGAGCCTTTCTCCACATAACAAACAAATATACATTTTAAAGACTTAAATTAGATCATGTTGTTCTCTGAAAACCTGAAAGGGACTCAACCCTGCACTTAGAATAAAATCAAATCTCTGACATGATCAAAAAGGCTCTTCATGACCTACTTCTACTGATCTCCTCTCCTACAATCCTGTCTCCTTGCACCCTAAAATTCAATAACATGTATTTCTCTCCATTCTGTCAACCCCAAGCTTAGTCCCTCTTTAAGACTTCTCTGCCTGCTGTTTCCTCTAGTTTCAAGGCTATTTTTCTTTGTCACTACTTTTTGACACTAAGGTCTCTGCCAAAATATATCATCCTAGAAGTCTTCCTCACCACCTATGTAATGTCATCATCCACGACCAGCCCTGTTTATTCTCTTATCTCTTATCACCTTATCACCAAATCACTTATGTATTTGTTTGCCCACATTTAAATATAGACTCCATGAGAACAAAGACTCATTTGTCTTAGAAATGGCACAATGCTTGGCTAATAGTAGAAGCTCATTAAATATTTATTGAATCAATGAATGAACTAACCAATTAATCATCAAACAAATGGTTATAAAACATTGCTTTTTATGCAAATTCCAAATTTATTTCACCTTAAGGATTTAGAAACTCTATTCTAATTTAGTGTTATTAATATTTATTGTAAACTTCCTACACATAAGAGACTGAGATAAGATCTGAATACGCAAATATTGATAAAACATGGACTTGACTTTTTAGACGCTTACTGGCTAGCTGAAGAAATATCAAAACAATCACAGTACCTGAGTACAACAATACAAGTACTCAGGATGCAGAAATAGTAGAGAAAGGAGAGTGAGCAATATCTTGGATATGGAATAGCAAAAACAAAACAAACAAAGCAAAGCCAACCAACCACCCAAACAAAAATCCTACCACATTCCAGCAGAGAGTTGGATACATACAATCTAATAATTCACCAGTGTACTAAGCAAATCCACTAAGTAATTCCAGCAGAGTGAATGCCATGCAGAAGGTAACACATGAAGGCTGCAGAAGCAACACACGTTCCTTTTGGATTTGGAATTTAAAGTATAGGAAATAGGGGAAAAAAATGGTTAGAGTGAAAGGCAGCAGGGCTAGACCTTTGAGAAACCAGGTGTGTCATACTAGAGAGTTTAAATGCTGCTGTGCAAGAGATAAGGAAAAGGTGAAGAGATTTCCTCAAAACATTCTCAAACACTAGTCTTATCAATTGTGAAAATGAAAGGAAACCTCTCTAAAGATGACGTTTCTGACACTTAAGATTGATATAATACTTAATAATGTCTCAGAAATGATTTTGGGGAGTGGTATATAGACATGGTGCTTTTATTCTTTATTTTGTTATTTTTCCATAGCAAGGATTAAAATTCTACCTAAGTAAATTTTTTTCTCATGGAAATACAATAATTTCTATATAAAAATTCAGCACTAAATACTTCATCTTGACTTACTCTTAAACTATAAGAAACTTTGCAGATTACCAAATTAATATTTATGTTTAGTGCCTGACCTGGAGTAGGTAATAAATAGTTGCTGAATTTAATTACTTTCCTTGTTTTCCCAACTATACAATAAATTGTATAGATGCTTGTCCTACATTAATATTTGTTAATAGATCCATGAAAATTTCAAATTGAATGGTAAATGTCACTGCAAATGAAGCTGAATAACAGAACTAGCATTACTTGAGTTTTTAGGTGCTGTTTTACAAATGATAAAATAGAGACTTACAGAGGTTAAGTATCTTGCCCAAGATCTGTCATCCAGCAGTGGATGGAGCAAAAAGTCAAATGAAAGCTTCAGTCTAAAGTCCATGTTTTTAAACTGCTGCTGTAGTGCAAAGTCTCTATTTCAGAAGGAGAGTATAACATCCTGATTACATATAATAGGGATATACATCACTAAAAAGAAGGCATTAGGAAACGATGGCATTATTATAATTAAAAGTGAATACACAGTATTAAACTGGTTTGCTCCAAGTTTTGCTAAATTTAGCAGCTGACAGCTGGCTAACTCTGTTGTGCTGAGGAAGTGGCTATTTCGTATCCTTTTAGTGATACACGTTCCCAGTATAAATTCATCTTTCATGGTGGCCTAGATGTTCTTATCCTTACTTCCTTGAAATTTTGAGTTTTTCCTGGATACTCCTGTAGTATCATCAGACCCATCCCTCACCCTTTCCCTCAGGCACTGTGCACTGGGGAAAGCAGGACTTTGCTTTGAGGGAGTCCCTGTCTCTGACTTATTTGTTTAAAGCAGTCTGTGCTACAAAGTCTTGCTATGCCCCCAAATTATCAGCCAAAGCACTGACTGGATTTGACATTTTTAATTGCTCATTAGCAAACAATGAAGATTTCAAAACAACAGCAGCAAGTCTACGAACAAAGATACTGAATAGGTAGAACTTTAATTAATTTTTCCTCAGTGACTTTTTTTAAAGGAAAAAAAGCCATTTTCACTATATTTTAAACATAAAATGAATATCACATGACTGGATGTCTTTTTTGATTGTCTCAGTACACAGCAATGATATTGCTTAACATTAAACTTAGAGATTTATTTTAATGTTTATCACCTCCTTATAGTTATGGCTAGGTATTCATTGCAAATAGCTTTAAAATATATTATTTTTTCGTAGAGAAGATAAGAAAATAATTGAGCAAAACTAGAAATAATAATAATAAATACCGTGATTACATTTTCTTTATTTAGAAATGAATTCCCAAAGGGATTTTCTTGCCACCTTCAATTTTCTCATTGTTAGTCCATTTAACAAGCATATCTTAACCACAAACAACAAGATCTATGCTAAATGTCAAGGGCTTTAAGAGTACGGCAATATTAATTTACAGCACATGCCCCTCCTGGAGTGCTGTGAGGGGCACAATGTTCTTTGGAAATTCCGACAGAGAGTAACTGTCTCAGACAGTGACATATGACATAAGTATTCTTATGAAACATAACAATAAAACAAGCAGGGTGAAGTTACCACTCAATTTAAAAAGATAACATTCCCATTACAATGGCAACTCCCTGTATATTCCTCCCAGATCTCACCCCTCTGTGGTCATCCCCAAGGTTTGTTTCTATATGCCCTTGCTTTTTTACATTGTTTTTTCTACCTAGGTATAGCTAAACAAATATTGTTTAATTCTGCTCATTTTTGAGCTTAATAAAAATCATATCACACTGTAGGAAGTCTGATATTTGTATTTATCATTCAATATTATGTCTGAGATCCATCCATGTTGACGTCTGTAGTTAGAGTTCATTCATTTGCACTTCCATATGGTTATAGAATCTGTTAAACATTCTCTTGTTTGTTTCCAGTTCTTTGCCTTTGCAAACAGTGCAGCTATAAACATCCTTGCCCATGCTTGATGGTATAGATATACAAATTTTCACATGCTTAACTAGTAGAGTTGATGGAACACAAAACACATACCTGCTATCTGTGTATTTTACCTAAAAATAAGAAAATCTTACCCAAATTTTTTGTACCAGTTTACACTCTCACTAGTAGTATATGAATGCTAATTGTTCCACATCTTGACAGATATTATATTGCCATATTTTTAAAGTCTTGTCGATATAATTAAGATAAACTGTTTATATTATTGGGGGTTTATTTGTATTTATTATTCGGGGTTAATTTGTATTTCCTTAATTACTAATGCATTTGAGCATTTTTTCATATTTTTATTGCCCCATTGCTTTTCTTCAATGAAATCTATTCATTTTGTCTACCTATATTCCAACAGAATTGTTTGCTTTTGTCTTATTCTTTTGCAGGAGGTCTTTGTATTATTATGAATATCAAATTTTAGTCAACTATATGTGTGACAGATATTTCTCCAGTTTTCTCATGATTTTTTTCACGAACAGGAAACTTAAGTTTTATATAGTTTTGTTAATATTTTCCTTTATGGTGATACTTTTTTGTGTCCTGTTTATGAAACATTTCCATACCAAGAGGTCACAAAGATAACCTTCTATGCATTCTAAAAATTTTAAAAGTTTATATTTTCCTCTTAAGAATTTGATTCACCTGGAATTGATGTTTGCTGATGGTGTACAGAAGGGAGAGATTCAATTTTTTTCCATATGCAGAATCATTTGTCTTAACATTACTTAAGATTTTAACACAACACTAATCTACAAAGCTACCTCTATTTTAAAATATGACACTTACATATATGCATGATAAATTTTTCCAATTTGTACTATTGGAAACTACAGACCCTAAATGATGCTTAGCCCTAATTTGGGGAACGAAAAGAGTAGAGAGCTCAATGGCTCTGCTTAAGAAATTTAAGTGATTTAGCAGTGGAGGGTGGCAACATAAAAAGACAGGAGTTTTGATTTGGATTATAGTCAGTCTCAAGAAAATGGAGAGGTCCAGACAAGATAAAATTCCTATAAAAGCAAGAATGATGGATTTTTAGAATAGTGATGTATAATCTTCAATACAAAGTTGCTGTTTGAATTAGCTATTCAGTTTTCTGAATCTCCAGTAAATGTCAGCCACATATTAGTGTCTGGGAATTTGGAGAGCTTTTCATGAGGAACAAAGCAACCCAAGAAAAAATGAGTCATTTTAGAAGGCAAGATGGAGATCAGGGGTCAAGAATGCAGCAGGAGCAGGATATTCGATCAAGAACGGGCCAGGCACAGTGGCTCATGCCTGTAATCCCAGCATTTTGTGGTTGTGAGGAACAACATAACTTTTCGTTTAACAGTCCAATAAAGAGATCTGGAACTATATAGGAGGAAAAACCTAATATCAGCCTCCCATTAACCCACCGTGTCTAAGAATAACGCTCATATTACTCTTGTCCATTCGTTCTTTTTTTTTTTTTTTTTTTTTTTTTTTTTTTTTTTTTTTTTGAGACAGAGTCTCACTCTGTAGTCCAGGCTGGAGTGCAGTAGTGTTATCATAGCTCACTGCAGCCTCTATCTCCTGGGCTCAAGCCATCCTCCCACATCAGCCTCCTGAGTAGCTGTGACTACAGACACATGCCACAAAGCCTGGCTAATTTTTTAATCGTTTGTAGAGACAGGGTCTCACCATGTTGCCCAGACTGGTCTCAAACTCCCGGACTCAAGCAATTCTCCTGCCTCGACCTCCCAAAGTGCTGTGGTTATGGGCGTAAGCCACCATGTCTGGCCCATTCTTGATGTAATATCCTGCTCCTGCTCTGACTGCTGCTCTGAATCTTGCCTTCTAAAATGACTTTAAATGAAAGTAAAAAGTTTACATTAGTCGTCTGTGCAGGACCTGTGGATCATCACTAATTTCCACATTCACCCCTCTCTTGGTGGTGGACAACAGCCCTGGTGGAAGAGTTAGTCCTACTTTGACACTTGCAATACTAGAGTCTAGGGTTGAGGATAGGCACCCTGCAATGCCATGGCAAGATAAGTGTCCTGATAAGGGGACAGAAAATCTACTGCTGTTATGTTGATATGTTTCTCTCTCTCTCTCTCTCTCTGTGATTTAAGAGTTTCTATCCAAACAAGATAGAAATATATTCAGCAGCTGAGATGGCTATTGGAAATTCATCTACAATCCTTTCTGGGGATCAACTGTCAGATACATTTAGTGAAATAAAAATTAAATTTATTGATAAAAATCTAATTTCCTTCTATTTAAAAGCCTTTCTAAATTTGCTTCATGGAAACTATGTATACTCTAGAAAAATAAATACAACAAATATTTTTGTTAATTTTGTAGTTAAACTTTAGATTATATATTTAATGTAATTTTAAAGCATTTCTTAAAAAGTAGTAGGTCAGTTAATAAAGTCTGTATGTAAATATTAAGATATTAACAATGTATCTTATGAGATAAATGACAGGTGTGACAAGATAGGAACCTTGTTTTATAATTTGTTATAAAACTTATACTTGTTTTATAATGAGTAAGGAAAAATTTAGAATTTTGTGTAAATGAAATGTATAGAGTTACAAAAAATCATAAATAAGTGTATAAAAACGTTCTTTGGATCTATAGTAATGTAACTGCTTTATATTTCCTAAAAGTAGAAAATGTTGAGTGTTGAATGTAACAACAGCCGTTATAATTATGAGTGATTCATATTCAGTTCCTTAGTAAAGTCTTTGTTAATCTTTGCAGGCTAGGTTGGTTTCTTCTTCTGGATTCCTTTTTTTTTTTTTATTACAAGATATTTTATTAGCTCAACATCTGAAATTTCCATTTTCCCAAGTAATGCTTGGCATAGTTGTGGTTTTACTTTGTCCAATGCATTATTTTCTCTGTACTTCTTGTTACAGATTGGTATTTATTTCGATTCAGTAAAACATGTTTAAGCAACAAGCTTTGGTCAACATTCTACTAGTGATGCATTACTCTTTTATTTTTATTCTTGAGACGGAGTCTCGCTCTGTCACCCAGGCTGGAGTACAATAGTGCCATCTCGGCTCACTCCAAACTCTGCCTCCCAATTCAAGCAATTCTACCTTACCTTCCTGAGTAACTGAGATTACAGGCGCTTACCACGACGCCCAGCAAATTTTTCTGTTTTTTTTTTGTAGAGATGCGGTTTCGCCATGTTGCCAGGCTGAATTACTTTTTAAAAAATAACTTTTACTTAAAAAATATTTTTGTAACAAGGTCTGGTTCTGTCACCCTGGCTGAAGTGCAGAGGTGGAATAACAGCTCACTGCGGCCTCCTGGGCTCAAGCCATCCTACCACCTCAGCCCCAAGTAGCTGGGACTACAGGAACTCAACACCATGCCCAGCTAAAATTTTTTATTTTAATTATACTTTAAGTTCTAGGGTACATGTGCACAACTTGCAGGTTTGTAACATATGTAGACATGTGCCATGTTTGTGTGCTGCACCCATTAACTCATCATTTACATTAGGTATATCTCCTAATGCTATCCCTTCTCCCTCCCTCCACCCCATGACAGGCCCCAGTGTGTGATGTTCCCCACCCTGTATCCAAGTGTTCTCATTGCACAATTCCCACTTATGAGTGAGAACATGTGGTGTTTGGTCTTCTGTCCTTGAGATAGTTTGCTCAGAATGATGGTTTCCAGCTTCATCCATGTCCCTACAAAGGACATGAACTCATCTGTTTTTATGGCTGCATAGTATTCCATGGTGTATATGTGCCACATTTTCTTAATCCTGTCTATTACTGATGGACATCTGGGTTGGTTCCAAGTCTTTGCTATTGTGAATAGTGCCGCAATAAACATACATGTGCATGTGTAGTTATAGCAGCAGGATTTATAATCCTTTGGGTATACGCCCAGTAATGGGATGGCTGGGTCAAATGGTATTTCTAGTTCTAGATCCTTGAGGAATCGCCACACTGTCTTCCACAATGGTTGAACTAGTTTACAGTCCCACCAACAGTGTAAAAGTGTTCCTGTTTCTCCACATCCTCTACAGCACCTGTTGTTTCCTGACTTTTCAATGATTGCCATTCTAACAGGTGTGAGATGGTATCTCATTGTGGTTTTGCTTTACATTTCTCTGATGGCCAGTGACAAGCATTTTTTCATGTGTCTGTTGGCTGCATAAATGTCTTCTTTTGAGAAGTGTCTGTTCATATCCTTTGCACAGTTTTTGATGGGGTTGTTTGATTTTTTCTTGTAAATTTGTTTAAGTTCTTTGTAGATTCTGGATATTAGCCCTTTGTCAGATGGGTAGATTGAAAAATTTTCTCTCATTCTGTAGGTTGCCTGTTCACTCTGATGGTACTTTCTTTTGCTGTGCAGAAGCTCTTTAGTTTAATTAGATCCCATTTGTCAATTTTGGCTTCTGTTGCCATTGCTTTTGGTGTTTTAGACATGAAGTCCTTGCACATGCCTATGTCCTGAATGGTATTGCCTAGGTTTTCTTCTAGGATTTTTATGGTTTTAGGTCTAATATTTAAGTCTTTAATCCATCTTGAATTAATTTTTGTATAAGGTGTAAGGAAAGGATGCAGTTTCAGCTTTCTACATATAGCTAGCCAGTTTCCCCAGCACCATTTATTAAATAGGGAATCCTTTCCCCATTGCTTGTTTTTGTCAGGTTTGTCAAATATCAGATGGTTGTAGATGTGTGGTATTATTTCCGAGGGCTCTGTTCTGTTCCATTGGTCTATATCTCTGGTTTGGTACCAGTACTATGCTGTTTTGGTTACTGTAGCCTTGTAGTATAGTTTGAATTCAGGTAGCATGATGCCTCCAGCTTTTTTCTTTTGGCTTAGGATTGTCTTGGCAATGTGGGCTCTTTTTTGGTTCCATATGAACTTTAAAGTAGTTTTTTCCAATTCTGTGAAGAAAGTCATTGGTAGCTTGATGGGGATGGCATTGAATCTATAAAGTACCACGGGCAGTGTGGCCATTTTCACAATATTGATCCTTCCTATCCATGAGCATGGAATGTTCTTCCATTTGTTTGTGTCCTCTTTTATTTTGTTGAGCAGTGGTTTGTAGTTCTCCTTGAAGAGGTCCTTCAGATCCCTTGTAAGTTGGATTCCTAGGTATTCTATTCTCCTTGAAGCAATTGTGAATGGGAGTTCACTCATGATTTGGCTCTCTGTTTGTCTGTTATTGGTGTAAAGGAATGCTTGTGATTTTTGCACATTGATTTTGTATCCTGAGAATTTGCTGAAGTTGCTTATTAGCTTAAGGAGATTTTGGACTGAGACAATGGGGTTTTCTAAATATACAATCATGTCACCTGCAAACAGGGACAATTTGACTCTGTCTTTTCCTAATTGAATGCTATTTATTTCTTTCTCCTATCTGATTGCCCTGGCCATAACTTCCAACACTATGTTGAATAGGAGTGGTGAGAGAGGGCATCCCTGTCTTGTGCCAGTTTTCAAAGGGAATGCTTCCAGTTTTTGCCCATTCAGTATGATATTGGCTGTGGGTTTGTCATAGATAGCTCTTACTATTTTGAGATACTTCCCATCAATACCTAATTTATTGAGAGTTTTTAGCATGAAGAGGTGTCGAATTTTGTTGAAGGCCTTTTCTGCATCTATTGAGATAATCATGTGGTTTTTGTGTTTGGTTCTGTTTATATGATGCATTACGTTTATTGATTTGCATATGTTGAACCAGCCTTGCATCCCAGGGATGAAGCCCACTTGATCATGGTGGATAAGCTTTTTGATGTGCTGCTGGATTTGGTTTGCCAGTATTTTACTGAGGATATTTACATCGATGTTCATCAGGGATATTGGTCTAAAATTCTCTTTTTTTGTTGTGTCTCTGCCAGGCTTTGGTATCAGGATGATGTTGGCCTCATAAAATGAGTTAGGGAGGATTCCCTCTTTTCCTATTGATTAGAATAGTTTCAGAAGGAATGGTACCAGATCCTCTTTGTACCTCTGGTAGAATTCAACTGTGATTCCGTCTGGTCCTGGATTTTTTTTGTTGGTAGGCCATTAATCATTGCCTCAATTTCAGAACCTGTTATTGATCTAGTCAGCGATTCAGCTTCTTCCTGGTTTAGTCTTGGGAGGGTGTATGTGTCGAGGAATTTATGCATTTCTTCTAGATTTTCTAGTTTATTTGCACAGAGGTGTTTATATTATTCTCTGATGGTAGTTTGTATTTCTTTGGATCAGTGGTGATATCCCCTTTATCATTTTTTATTGCATCTATTTGATTCCTCTCCATTTTCTTCTTTCTTAGTCTTGCTAGTGGTCTATCAATTTTGTTGATCTTTTCAAAAAACCAGCTCCTGGATTCATTGATCTTTTGAAGGGTTTTTTTGTGTCTCTATCTCCTTCAGTTCTGCTCTGAACTCAGTTATTTCTTGCCTTCTGCTAGCTTTTGAATGGTTTGCTCTTGTTACTCTAGTTCTTTTAATTGTGATATTAGCGTGTCAATTTTAGATCTTTCCTGCTTTCTCTTGTGGGCATTTAGTGCTATAAATTTCCCTCTACACACTGCTTTAAATGTGTCCCATAGATTCTGGTATGTTGTGTCTTTGTTCTCATTGGTTTCAAAGAACATCTTTATTTCTGCCTTCCTTTCGTTATGCACCCAGTAGTTATTCAGGAGCAGGTTGTTCAGTTTCCATGTAGTTGAGCGGTTTTGAGTGAGTTTCTTAATCCTGAGTTCTAGTTTGATTGCACTGTGGTCTGAGAGTCAGTTTGTTATAATTTCTGTTCTTTTACATTTGCTGAGGACTGCTTTACTTCCAACTATGTGGTCAATTTTGGAATAAGTGTTATGTGGTACTAAGAAGAATGTATATTCTGTTAATTTGGGGTGGAGAGTTCTGTGGATGTCTATTATGTCTGAGTTCAATTC
Source organism: Homo sapiens (assembly GCF_000001405.40). Taxonomy (NCBI): domain Eukaryota; kingdom Metazoa; phylum Chordata; class Mammalia; order Primates; family Hominidae; genus Homo; species Homo sapiens. The sequence goes on from NC_000007.14 coordinate 78,858,781, forward strand.
CTGGATATCCTTGTTAACTTTCTGTCTCGTTGATCTCTCTAATGTTGACAGTGGGGTGTTAAAGTCTCCCATTATTATTGTGTGGGAGTCTAAGTCTCTTTGTAGGTCTCTAAGGACTTGCTTTATGAATCTGGGTGCTCCTGTATTGGGTGCATATATATTTAGGATAGTTAGCTCTTCTTGTTGAATTGATCCCTTTACCATTATGTAATGGCCTTATTTGTCTCTTTTGATCTTTGCGGGTTTAGAGTCTGTTTTATCAGAGATTAGGATTGCAACCCCTGCTTTTTTTTTTGTTTTCCATTTGCTTGGTAGATCTTCCTCCATCCCTTTATTTTGAGCCTATGTGTGTCTCTGCACGTGAGATGGGTCTCCTGAATACAGCACACTGATGGGTATTCACTCTTTACCCAATTTGCCCATCTATGTCTTTTAATTGGAGCATTTAGCCCATTTACATTTAAGGTTAATATTGTTATGTGTGAATTTGATCCTGTCATTATGATGTTAGCTGGTTAGTTTACTTGTTAGTTGATGCAGTTTCTTCCTAGCATCGATGGTCTTTACAATTTGGCATGTTGTTGCAGTGGCTGGTATCAGTTGTTCCTTTCCATGTTTAGTTCTTCCTTCAGGAGGTCTTTTAGGGCAGGCCTGGTGGTGACAAAATCTCTCAGCATTTGTTCGTCTGTAAAGGATTTTATTTCTCCTTCACTTATGAAGCTTAGTTTGACTGGATATGAAATTCTGGGTTGAAAATTCTTTTCTTTAGGAATGTTGAATATTGGCCCCCACTCTCTTCTGGCTTGTAGAGTTTCTGCTGAGAGATCCAGGGTTTGTCCAATGGGCTTCCCTTTGTGGGTAACCCGACCTTTCTCTCTGGCTGCCCTTAACACTATTTCCTTCATTTCAACTTTGTTAATCTGACAATTATGTGTCTTGGAGTTGATCTTCTTGAGGAGTATCTTCATGGCGTTCTCTGTATTTCCTGAATTTGAATGTTGGCCTGCCTCACTAGGTTGGGGTAGTTCTCCTGGATAGTATCCTGAAGAGTGTTTTCCAAGTTGGTTCCATTCACCCCATCACTTTCAGGTACACCAATCAGACTTAGATTTGGTCTTTTCACCTAGTCCCATATTTCTTGGAGGTTTTGTTCATTTCTTTTTACTCTTTTTTCTCTAAACTTCTCTTCTCTCTTCATTTCATTCATTTGATCTTCAGTCACTGATACTCTTTCTTCCACTTGATCAAATCAGCTACTGAAGCTTGTGCATATGTCACGTAGTTCTCGTGCCATGGTTTTCAGCTCCATCAGGTCATTTAAGGTCTTCTCTACGCTGTTTATTCTGGTTAGCCATTCGTCTAATCTTTTTTCAAGGTTTTTAGCTTCTTTGCTATGGGTTCAAACATTCTCCTTTAGCTTGGAGAAGTTTGTTATTACCGATCATCTGAAGCCTTCTTCTCTCAACTCTTCAAAGTCATTCTCCATCCAGATTTGTTCCATTGCTGAGGAGGAGCTGCATTCCTTTGGAGAAGAGGCGCTCTGATTTTTAGAATTTTCAGCTTTTCTGCTCTGGTTTATCCCCATCTTTGTGGTTTTATCTACCTTTGGTCTTTGATGATGGTGACATACAGATGGGGTTTTGGTGTGGATGTCCTTTCTGTTTGTTAGTTTTCCTTCTAACAGTCAGGACCCTCAGCTGCAGGTCTGTGGGAGTTTGCTGGAGGTTCACTCCAGACCCTGTTTGCCTGGGTATCACCAGCGGAGGCTGCAGAAAAGCAAATATTGCAGAACGGCAGATGTTGCTGCCTGATCCTTCCACTGGAAGCTTCGTCTCAGAGGGGCCCCCGGCTGTATGAGGTGTCATTCGGCCCCTACTGGGAGGTGTCTCCCAGTTAGGCTACTCAGGGTTCTGGCACCCCCTTGAGGAGGCAGTCTGTCCATTCTCAGATCTCACACTCTGTGCTGGGAGAACCACTACTCTCTTCAAAGCTGTCAGAGAGGGACATTAAGTCTGCAGAAGTTTCTTCTGCCTTTTGTTCAGCTATGCCCTGCCCCCAGAGATGGAGTCTACAGAGGCAGGCAGGCCTCCTTGAGCTGCAGTGGGCTCCACCCTGTTGGAGCTTCCAGGCAGCTTTGTTTACCTACTCAAGCCTCAGCAATGGCGGGCACCCCTCCCCAAGCCTCGCTGCCAAGTTGCAGTTCGATCTCAGACTGCTGTGCTTGCAGTGAGTGAGGCTCCCTGGGCATGGGACCCTCCAAGCCATGCATGGGATATAATCTCCTGGTGTGCCGTTTGCTAAGGCCATTGGAAAAGTGCAGTATTAGGGTGGGAGTGTCCCGATTTTCCAGGTACCATCTGTGAAGGCTTCCCTTTGCTAGGAAAGGGAATTCCCCGACCCCTTGCACTTCCCGGGTGAGGCGATGCCCCGCCCTGCTCTGTGGGCTGCACCCACTGCCTGACAAGCCCCAGTGAGATGAACCCAGTACCTCAGTTGGAAATGCAGAAATCACCCGTCTTCTGCATCGCTCATGCTGGGAGTTTCAGACTAGAGCTGTTCCTATTTGGCCATCTTGGAACCTCTCCTGTAGAATTTTACATAATGCTTATTCTGGGCTTTCTCCCCTTGAACATTCTTATGGATTTAAGGACCTCTTCTCACTTACTCTTCTTCATTATTTATGTCACTTTCAAATTTTATATATGACTCCCCCATACAATTAGACACACAGATAAACTACAACCACTTTATACTATTTTCCAGAAGAGTTGATACACACCAATTAATATCTAAGTATCTGGCTTCCAATCCTCCACCTACCATTCACTAGTGATGTCATCTCAAGCTCTCTGGCTACATTTATTATTTTGTGCAAAATAAAAATAATGATAATGGTCAGGGCATTTTCACATGATTGTTTTAAGGATGAAATTAGGAGAATATATGAGAAAGTAATATTTGGATACTATAAAATGTCACATAAATGATTGGAATTATTGTGGCTACCACGATAAACTTGTTCTTAATGATTAAATAGCATTGCTTTTCAATTCCCTGTTCACCTACTTTTGGAGAATCAACTTTCTATTTTATTTAAAAATTCATCTGTTTATTCTTAGAATACATGAATATTATTTAACAATCAACAGAAGTGTGGAGCTGTTCTTACTGACCTATTTATTAATGTGGAATACCAATTAAACCAAATGTACAAATAACAAAAATTCAGAAGAAAGGACAGAAATATTACTAATAAGCCTCCATGATTCTACTCTGATTTATCCTGTGCCACATATATTACTGTTTATGCTAAAGCAATCTATGTATTTGCAGTTAATTTTTTATTCATATTTGTTTCTACTGATCCTGAACTTAATTGTAAATTCCTTGAGAGAAAGGTTTTCTTTAATATGTCCTTGCTTCTCTCTCTTTTACAACAGAGTGCTTAGAATATAACTTCTTCGTAAATGCTGATGAAACCAACAGAGTTTAAACACAAAGATGATCTCCCACATTCTACAATGTGGACTTTAGGTCTCCTGGTCCTGACTAAAGACATGTGCGAATAAAAATGAAAACGTATATGGGAAAATTTGCCTTTCAAATATTTGGCAAAGATTTCTGGGTGCTTGTCCAAGATATTTTTGGTTATACATTCCCTGTTAGTCCTTCACATTTCTTGTGACTAGTAAATTATGGAGTTTGTCCAGGAAGGGTTTTCTTAGTTGATCCTTACATTGGATGACCAATATTTATAAATGAGGAACCTCAACTGCATCATTTCCATAGCTACAGACCAAAATATATCTATTTTCTAATTTCATTCATGAACTTTTTCCTAACCACTCATGTTCTCTCAAGCATAGAGTTAATTCGATGTTTCTAACTAACCCTTATAAACATTGAAGAGTTAATAATGCTCAGTGTTTACATAATCACTTAATTTAGGAAAAGATGTTTATTTTGTTATGGTCCATTACCATCTGGGACTAACAGGGCGATTTTGCTACGATACCACAGACTTGGTCCCTTTTTCTCTCACAAAGCCTCCATAAAAGGTGGCAATACTTTACTAGAAGATGCCTAGAATAAAGAAGTTATTTTAATATGTTAAAGCAAAGACAGAAAGGCAAAGTTAGACAAGACATTTTAAAACATTATCAACTTTTTTCTGCCAATTCTAACAATGCTAGAAGTAACAAACTGTAAAGTGTTTGCAGTCTGGAGTATTGAAAATCTCAGCCTAATCCAACTTTTAAGGAAAAGGTCTTTATGTGGATCCAAATAAACTTGTGTAGAGGTGGCTATAAAGAAGTTCATTAATTACAAATGACTTAAAACATGATAGCAATGCTTCCTATTTAACTTTGGATAAAAAAGACATGGAACACATAAGAAACAGAACTGTGAGAGGCAATGGAGGGAAGGCCTCCTGGCTTCTATTCCCCAGATTCTGCAAACCACTTGTCTGTTTAGTGTTGCTATAAAGGAATACCTGAGGCTGGGTGACTTGTAGAGGAGTTTATTTAGCTTATGACTTTTCTGGCTGAAAAATTGTGCATCTGGTGAAAGCCTCAGGCTGTGTCCACTCATGGCAGGAGGCAAAGGGGAGCCAGTGTGTGCAGAGATCACATGGTGAGGGAGGGAGTGAGAGAGAAAGGGGGAGGGGTGCCAGGCTCTTTTCAACAACCAGCTCTCAAGGGAACTAATCAAGTGAGCACTCACTCATTACTGCGAGGACAGCACCCAGCTATTCATGAGGGATTTTCTCCCATGATCCAAATGCCTGCCATTAGGCCCCACCTTGTGCAGTGGGGACCAAATTTCAACATGACAACTAGGGGTACAAACATCCAAACTATAGCACCACTCTTTGAGAATTGCCTGATTAAGCTCTGAACTTTGCTCACAGATAAATATAGGATCACTAGTTATAAGATCAGTCATTCTTTGAGCTGATAAAGGCCAGAGAGTCCTTTTGTGTAAAGCATTCCACTAAGTCCTTAAGGAAATGCTCAATGTCAAGTGTCTCCTGTTTATCCACTTTTATCTTAAAAGCAAAATGTGCCCTTTATACTCCCTTTAAATTTGTCCCATTTCTAAGACAGCAGAATTTTCAGAATTCTCTTTACAATCATTGAAGAACAGCTTGAATCCCTGAAATGTGTCAGTATGCATATGGGGACCAGGCATGGAGGGAAGTACAGTGTTCATTTGATGGGAAAAAGCTGTACAAGGTAAGAGTTAAGCTTTTGATTTAATCATGCCAAACATTCAATCTTCATAATTTCAGTTACACAATATATTTTTGTCTGAATAATCTCTACTTGGCTTTGTGTTCTGTAAATATGATATTGCCAACTAAAAATTACTATCTTTTAAATACTATATGTGCTGGCTGACATTAGCAAAATATTGCCTGGCAGGTAATGGGCTTACCCTTACAACAAAAAATTTAAGGTGCCTGAGGGAATATCTAAATGGTTTAATGTGGCATTATGTGTGACTCTCAAATGCAGACACCTCCTACTTTCACTTACACGTATACCATTCTACAGCATTGATGAGAAATCATGTTTATAATTCATACATTAGCCATTGAAAATTAATTGTACATTTTAAATATATATTGCCAAGCTAGAATTGGCATCCAAATAAATGCTTAAATCACTAGTCTTATAAGAAGCACTTTCCTCTGGTGAATGGGTTAAATTGCTGCTGTGAGATTGAATATAATTAGTCCTGCTGATATGCAAAGAATTGCTCTGTCAGGAAATGTCACTGCCATTGAGTACTGTTCCTTGTCTGCATTCCATTTTCTGTCTGGCTCAGAAAACTTTAATAACAGGTTGGAATTCACATGTAAAATTTTAACCAATTTTCATAAAAATACCTTATTTCATTTTCATTTTGCTCTCATATAATCTTTGGTTGTCATAAAGTAGGATACTAAACACATCTGATTTCCTTAACTTTTATTGCCTTTTCTCCTTTGAAGGTAGACATTTAGGGTTCATTTTTTCCCTTAGTACTTTTCAAATTTTTAATGGAAGTTTAAATTTCATTGAAAATGACAAAAGAAGAGAAAGGGCAGTGAGATGCAGAAAGTTGAAGAAACACATGTGAGCAAAGTTACTTCCCCTATGTCTTCAAGGAGAGGAGACTACTTTAATGCCCCAGGAACGCGCAACTAGTTCCTAAATTTTTTGAATTGCCTCTAAACCGTAGAAATTGTGCTTTATAGAGTATTGCTAATCAGGGCCTAGTGCTGTCAGGAGAGTCAGATGTTTCTATTACATAACCTGCTTCCGTATAAATCTAGAATCTCTCTCCAGTGACTTCAAAATCCTTTGTAGGAAACTTGAGGTCTGAAGAGCAGAGATATTTTAATCTCATCTTTTAGTTAAAGTATATAATTTTGAAAAAGGAAAGATGATATTGGGTTTGAAAAATTGGTTCCACAGAGTAGAAGAAAAGGACAACACTTCCTACATTAGGTTCATGACACAAAATTAAGGACTCCTGGCAAGTGGTAGTGAAGAATTAAGAAGAGTGCTTTGTGAGGAAGACCATTAGTCAAGGAGCTCTTAAAGGAAATTTGAGGGACTGAGGGAAATATAGAGTTGGAATTGTGAAATGTTGATGGACAGAAACAAAAGGGGGTGGTTGCTAATATTTGGATATTCTGGAAGGAATCAACAAGAAGGTAGATAGCATGTTGTCTGTGGTTTCCAATGTTTATAAAGTAATGCACAGAGAATGAATAATAAATGGCCTTGAAATTTTAACACAAGAAGAGAAATTAAACACAAAGTTTCATGGAGACTTAGAGGGATGTAATTGACTGGGATATAGCAATGGGAAGGTGAATCTTGTTCAAAGCAAAGTGCTCTAATTGATGAGAAAGAAAATAGCATTTTGTTATGAAGAATGGGAAAACAGAATCTTATGTTTACAGATTTTTAGAAGTAAATTTAGCCAATTCTTTTCAAATTCTTCATATTACAGAAGGTAGACTAAAGTCTAGAGAGATTTACATGTCCCTTAAACAAAACTATTATAGTCAGGGAGGGAGGGTGGATAATTATAACTTCACAAGGACCATATAGGAGCAGTATACACTGGTGAAGAGTGAGGTGAGACAGGGAACAAGCTATTTAGACATTTTCCAGAAAACATTCAATCTGATACAATCTGAATTTAACTTTTTGACAATTTGTTTCTTAGAAGAGAGAGAGTACAATCAGGAGTGCTGCTGCTTACAAGTTAATTCTGACCAAGAAAAAAAAATGAACTGATAATTTAATTGAAGTCCAGAATTACTTAGTACATAACTTATTATTACGGACTGCTGAAAAACAGAGAAATTTGTTCCATGCAATCCACTTTTCCCTGCTTGTGCTAACCTTACTGCTTAGAAGCATCATCATCTGTCTTTAGTTGGAGAGTTGATTGATATACCATTGTGTTATCTCTTCAGATATTCAGCCACTTGATGGAATGGGAAGGAAGTCCAGATATGGGGAGGGCCATGTAACTTCTCATCTAAACAGAGACACTTGTGAAAGTGAGTGAGTATGCTAACTGAATAGACATAATCTAGCTTGTCCTGGACAAATCAGGAAATATGGGCATAGATATTTATGGGTGGGGGAGGGAAACATGTTTTCTATTTCTTCTCTCATGTGAAATTAAGAAGACCATTAGTCAAGTTTCTATCTCTACCTTTCTGCTTGTTCTAGCCTTCACACTAGTTTGTGAGTCCCAGGATTCTTCCATAGTCAATCCCCTATGGTCCTGCTAGTTTCCTGCTTATCGGGGCTGCTGGAACCACCCTGTGCTGCTGCTTTAAAATGCCAGACATTTGAGGGACTGAGGTCAAATAACACATTTCCCATTTGCCTCTCAGCTAAATAATGGAAAAGATAGTATAAATTTACAGGAACCAGATCTCCTGCTAAAGATAGTTGAGGAAGACTCCACATACTCAGATGGACAGAAAGGGGGACAGAGAAAAACAACCTACATGATCCAGAAACTCCTTTTTCACTTCAGAAAATTTGAAAAGATCAGAACAACCCCATCAAAAAGTGGGTGAAGGACATGAACAGACACTTCTCAAAAGAAGACATTTATGCAGCCAAAAACACATGAAAAAATGCTCACCATCACTGGCCATCAGAGAAATGCAAATCAAAACCACAATGAGATATCATCTCACACCAGTTAGAATGGCAATCATTAAAAAGTCAGGAAACAACAGGTGCTGGAGAGGATGTGGAGAAATAGGAACACTTTTACACTGTTGGTGGGACTGTAAACTAGTTCAACCATTGTGGAAGTCAGTGTGGTGATTCCTCAGGGATCTAGAACTAGAAATACCATTTGACCCAGCCATCACATTACTGGGTATATACCCAAAGGACTATAAATCATGCTGCTATAAAGACACATGCACACGTATGTTTATTGCGGCATTATTCACAATAGTAAAGACTTGGAACCAACCCAAATGTCCAACAATGATAGACTGGATTAAGAAAATGTGGCACATATACACCATGGAATACTATGCAGCCATAAAAAATGATGAGTTCATGTCCTTTGTAGGGACATGGATGAAATTGGAAATCATCATTCTCAGTAAACTATTGCAAGAACAAAAAAACCAAACACCACATATTCTCACTCATAGGTGGGAAATGAACAATGAGAACACATGGACACAGGAAGGGGAACATCACACTCTGGGGACTGCTGTGGCGTGGGGGGAGGGGGGAGGGATAGCATTGGGAGATATACCTAATGCTAGATGACAAGTTAGTGGGTGCAGCACACCAGCATGGCAATGTATACATATGTAACTAACCTGCACATTGTGCACATGTACCCTAAAACTTAAAGTATAATAATAATAAAGAAAGAAAGAAAGAAAGAAAGAAAATTTGAAAAGAAGGTGGTGATTGTCATGGTGGGAGAGCTGGGGAGACAACAATAGACTGTAACATAAGAGTAAGAGACCGTAGCCCTTGGGATGCGGAGAAGGCAGCAAATTTGGAAAGGGTCTACTACAGCCTCCAGAAATAGATTTTTGAAAGCATATGTTTCGGGCTTGAAATACATTTAAACATGGCTTTCATGGGGAAAAAGGAAAACACAGCAGGAGTGATAATAAGAGGGGGACCAACGAAGAGTGAAAAAATGTAAGCTGAGAAAAAAAAAGAATGTGTTGATACGATTTTTAACAAATGGAGAGCAACTAAAATTCAAAGCAGAGTATTAATCTTCACTGGAAATACTGCAAAAAGATAACATAATACAGAATTTTAATTGGTGACATAGATGACGACAATGGAAAGTAAACTATAAATATAAAGAATGCATAATATGTTAAAACTATGGAAAATGGCATACTTAATTAAGAATGAGTAAACCTTAACAATAGTCAAAAACAAACTTAGAAACAATGAAAATAACCAACACTGAATGCCTACTACATAATAAACACTGAAGCTCAAAACAATTCTATTTGTTGTTACACTACTATATGTACTTTATAAAGGAGAAACCGAGGAACAGAGAGGGCAAGTAATATCCCTAGGTTCACAAAGAAAGTGGAAGAGCAAGGTCTTCAACTTAAGCAGTCTGGCACCAGAGCCCATGCTCTACCTGTAACCATTACGTTATCATGTCCCCCAAAGGCAAAAGAAAAATTCTTAAACTATAATAGATTAAAATTTAGCTATTGTAAAAAAGGATGAGAGTATCTAATATAAAACCTTTTAAAGGATATTGTGTAAAATTTATGATGAGATTAGCAAACATTTCTTGGAGAATAATTGGAGTTTTTAGGACACAAAAACTTACATTCGGACAATAAAACAAAATAAAATAAAATATATTGTCTAACTAGAACAAAGTTCTGGTTGATTTCACATTTTCCTGAACATTAAATTGTAGAAAAAAAGGAAGTAATACATACTTTTTTTTTGAGACAGAGTCTTCCTCTGTCGCCCAGGCTGGAGTGCAGTGGCGAGATCTCGGCTTACTGCAAGCTCCGCCTCCCGGGTTCACACCATTCTCCTGCCACAGCCTCCAGAGTAGCTAGGACTACAGGAGCCCGCCACAATGCCCGGCTAATTTTTTGTATTTTTAGTAGAGACGGGGTTTCACCATGTTAGCCAGGATGGTCTCAATCTTCTGACCTTGTGATCCGCCCGCCTCGGCCTCCCAAAGTGCTAGGATTACAGGCGTGAGCCACCATGCCCAGCCCCAATACATACATTTTTAAAGGATTAAGATTGTCATCATTTTTTCAAATGTCTTAAGAAGTTACCTTTTGTAGATTTTGGCTATTAGTCCTTTGTCAGGTGCATAGTTAGAGAATATTTTCTCCCCTTCTGTGGGTTGTCTGTTTATTTTGCTGTGCAGAAGCTTTTTAGTTTAATTGGGTCCCATCTATTTATTTTTGTTATTGTTGCATTTGATTTTAGGTTTTTGGTCATGGACTCTTTGCCTATGCCAACATCTAGAAGAGTTTTATTAATGTTATCTTCTAGAATTTTTATGGGTTCAGGTTTTAGATGTAAATCTTTGATCCATCTTAAGTTGATTTTTGTGCAGAGTGAGAGATGAGAATCTAGTTTCATTCTTCTGCATGATGCCTTGCCAATTATCCCAACACCATTTATTGAATAGGTTGTCTGTATTAGTATGTTTTCACACTGCTGTAAAGAAGTACCTGAGACTGGGTAATTTATAAAGGAAAGAAGTTTAATTGACTCACACTTCTGCACGGATGGGGAGGCCTCAGGAAATTGACAATCATGGCATAAGGGGAAGCAATTATGTCTTCACAAGGCAGCAGGAGAGAGAGTGCTAGGAAGAGCAAGGAAAACTGCTTTATGAAGCCATCAGATCTCATGAGAACTCACTTACTATCACAATAACAGCAAGGCAGAAATCTGCTCCTATAATCCGATCACCTCCTACTAGGTTCCTCCCTCAACACCTGAGAATTACAATTCAAGATGAGATTTGGGTGGGGGCACAAAGGCTAACCATCAGTGTCCTTTCCCAACTTTATGTTTTTATTTGCTTTGTTGAAGATCAGTTGGCTGTAAGTATTTGGCTTTATTTCTGGGCTCTCTATTCTGCTTCATTGGTCTTTGTGCCTGTTTTTCTACCAGTACCATTCTGCTTTGGTAACTATAGCCTTGTAGTATAGTTTGAAGTCAGGTAATGTGATGCCTCCAGATTTGTTCTTTTTGCTTAGTCTTTCTTTGGCTGTGTGGGGTCTTTTTAGCTATAAGGAACTCCAACAAATCACCAAGAAAAAAGAAATAACCTCATCAAAAAGTGGGCAAATGGCTGAGCCTGGGCAACATGGCAAAACTCCATCTCAACAAAAAATACAAAAATTAGCTGGGCATGGTGGCATGGACCTGTCCCAGCTACTTGGGAGGCTGGGGTGGGAGAATCACCTGAACCAGGGATATTGAGGCTGCAGTCAGTTGAGACCATGTCACTGCACTTCAGACTCTTGCCTGGGTGACAAAGTGAGACCCTGTCTCAGAAAAAAAAAAAAAAAAATAGTAGTAGGCAAACGACATGAATAGACAATTCTCAAAAGAAGATATACAAATGACCAAAAAATATACAAAAAAATGCTCAACATCACTAATTATCAGGGAAATGCAAATTAAAACTACAATGAGATACCACTTTACTCCTGCAGGAATGGCCATGATTAAAACATCAAAAAATAATAAATATTGGCGTGGATGTTGTGAAAATGGAACACTTTTACATTGCTGGTGGGAATGTAAACTAGTACAACCACTATGGAAAACAGTATGGAGATTCCGTAAAGAGGTAAAAGCAGAATTACCATTTGATCTAGCAATCACTCTACTGGGTATCTACCCAGAGGAAAATAAATCATTATATGAAAAAGACACTTGCACAATCATGTTTTAGCAGCACAATTCACAATTGCAAAAATATGGAGCCAGCCTAAATGCCCATCAACCAACAAATGGATAAAGAAAATACGGTATATATACACCATGGAATACTACACAGCCATAGAAAGGAACAAAATAATGGCATTCTCTGCAACCTGGGTGGAGCTGGAGACTATTACTCTAAGTGGAGTAACTCAGGAATGGAAAACCAAATATTATATGTTCTCACTTATAAGTGGGAGCTAAGATATGAGTACCCAAATGCATAAGAACAATCTAATGGGCCGGGAGCAGTGGCTCATGCCTGTAATCCCAGCACTTTGGGAGGCTGAGGTGGGCTGATCATGAGGTCAGGAGATCGAGATCATCTTGGCTAACACGGTGAAACCCCATCGCTATCGAAAATACAGAAAAACTAGCCGGGCGTGGTGGTGGGCGCCTGTAGTCCCAGCTACTCGGGAGGTTGAGGCAGGAGAATGGCGTGAACCCAGGAGGCGAAGCTTGCCGTGAGCCAAGATCGCGCCACTGCACTCAGCCTGGGGGACAGAGCGAGACTCCATCTCAAAATAATAATAATAATAATAATTTAATGGACTTTGGGGACTCAGGGGGTGAGGGATATAAGACTACGCACTGAGTACAGTGTTCACTGCTCAGGTGATGGGTGCACCATAATCTCAGAAATCACCACCAAACAACTTACCTATGTAATAAAAAACCACCTGTTACCCTAGAACTGTTGAAATAAAAGTATTTACATAGTGATAGTAATTTAAATGCTGATTATTGGTTTTAAAGATTTAAAATGATTCTGTGAACAAAAAAAAGAGAAAGACTTAGTTCTTGTTGTAGATCAGACTAAGAATGCTAATTATTGAAAATCTAAAAGAAAAAAGACAATGGTGAGAAAAGCTAGAGGAAAGGATAGGGATATCATATACCTAACTTACGTAAGAGAGAATAAAATAATTGACTACCGTTGATGGAAAAAAAAGAGTTACCATTTGCATGTAAATTTAGCAGGAAGACAATTTTAAATGAACTCTTTAAGAGTTTCATAATTATATACCTTTCCATTTAAAAAAAACTGAGTTCAGTTTAAGAAACACTGAATAATTAGGAAAGATTGAGATTTTAAAAATGATGGTAAATATAACCAACATATATTCACATATGGTTATAAAATATAATATACATATTAAAATTCATTTTTGACCTTGCTTAACATCAACCACAAACACATATGCACATACATACAAGAATCTCTTTGTTCTTCCTTTGAACAACCTTTTTTTTTTCTTTCAGTTAGCTTTTCTCAAAGTATACTTATGGAATACTTTTACCTTCTTTCCTCCAAAACAAACAAACAAACAAACAAATAAAATTCAAAGGGCAATTTTTTTCTCTAGAGATTCCTGTGCTAGTTGGTAAAAAACAGACACAAAATATAAAGATTGAAAAAAAAAAAGAAAGAATACTACTGACAAATTTACATTCAAACCTCACTAATAAATGCAAAAAAACCTAGATAAAATATTAGTAAATAAAAATACAGCAATTTATCAAAAGAATAATACATGATCAAAAAGTAGGGTATATTTTAAGAACACAAGATTGCTTAATATTAGGAAATATATTCATAAAATACATCTCATCAATAAGTTAAATAAGAAATTGTGAAAGATACTAGAATTGCATTTGCTCAATTCAACATACATTCTTTGAATCTTAAGTTAGTAATTAAAACATTCTTCCTTTTTATGATAAAGAATTTCAATCTCAAACCATAAGTCAAAATAATACTGAATAGTAAAATATTAGTGATAGTCCCGTTTATATCAGGAATAAGACAAGGGTAACTGTCCTTACTGAGTTTTTTTTTTTTTAGATTCACTCTCAGAAGTAACTGATCAACAGTTTTTATTTTGTTTATGCTTTTAGTTGTTTGTTCTGCTGCAAGACATCTACCTACTTTCTACCTCTGAGGGAAATATTTCTGGCCCGTGGGTGAAATGGTGCTTAAGACAGAGAGAAGAAGATTCTTAACATAAGAGAAGTATCTATTTTATGTTATGTTATGAGAATAACCATATATGAAATATAATGAAAAACACCTGATTCATAGCAGCAATAACCATTATCAAATATACAGACATATACTAATCAAAAATATGTAACACTGTGAAAACAAGTACAAAATTTTATGGAGAGAAACAACTTGAGTAAATTAAGGCACACAGTAAAGCTAGATAAAATAGTTATAAATTTCTATTTCAAAATTGAAAAAATAGAGAAATTTGCATACATCAGAGGCAAATTAGGGAGTAAATGCTCACAAGGAAAAGATTGTGAACACAGGAATGAAAGACTAAGACTGTAAATCTTCATTTAGTAACTTAGATGACGATTTTAAGAAAAGCTGCTAAATAAGTATTTTTTATGTGTAAAAGGCAGTCTGCAATGCAAACCTCCTACTAAGGCTCCCCTATGAAATACTATACAACAGGGGTCCCCAACCCCTGGGCCATGGATTGGTACTGGTTAGTGGCCTGTTAGGAATCTGGCTGCACAGCAGGAGGTGAGCTGCGGGTGAGATTCGTCTGTATTTACAGCCACTTCCCATCGCTGGCATTACTCCCTGACCTCCATCTCCTGTCAGATCATCATCAGCATTAGATTCTCATAGTAGCGTGAACCCTGTTGTGAACCCCACATGTAAGGGATCTAGGATGTGAGCTCCTTATGAGAACTGAATGCCTCATGATCTGTCACTGTCTCCCATCACCCCCAGATGGGACCATTTAGTTGCAGGAAAACAAGCTCAGGACTCCCACTGATTCTACATTATGGTTGGTTGTATAATTATTTCATTATATATTATGATATAATAATAATAGAAATAAAGTGTACAATAAATGTAATGCGCTTGAATCATCCCGAAACCACCCCACTCCCTTGCCCTGTCTGTGGAAAAGTTTTCTTTCATGAAACCTGTCCCTGGTACCAAAAAGGTTGGGGACCACTGCTATGCACCAACAAAGCTAAGTAGAATTTCTTTTGGGTGGGTGTGCAAAAAAGTGCTGAGTACTACTTCAAGTGCAGCATAGAGCAAAGGAGAGCTTGCTCACAGGGGAGAGGTAATGATATGGTCACAATGATGTAGAAAAGAAAAAAAAAGTCATTAATTATTTCCAGATAATCACTACCTACTAGAAAAACCCAAGAATAAATTGAAAATCAATTACAATAATAGAGTTCCACGAGGTGGCTGTTGATAAAAACTACAAAGAATCAGTATCTTTCTTATGTTAATGAGAATAACCATATATGAAATATAATGAAAAACACCTGATTCATAGCAGCAATAACCATTATCAAATATACAGACATATGCTAATAAAAAATGTGTAACACTATGAAAACAATTACAAAATTTTATGGAGAGAAACAACTTGAGTAAATTAAGGCACACAGCACAGCTAGATAAAATAGTTATAAATTTCAATTTCAAAATTGAAAAAATAGAGAAATTTGCATATATAGATATTAAGACAACAATAATTTAATTAGACTAGTATAGTCTAGAAATCCCAGCAGTATACACAAGTACATACAAATATTTAGCATCTGATAAGATATCATTTCAAATATTAGAGATAGGGTTCTGGCTTTTGGTAATGGCGGAATGAAATGTCCTGTGAACCCTCCCAAGGATAATCATTATAAAAACTGAATAAAATATGATTTTCAAAAACTGATTTCCTGTATGTTAAGTGAAAGCCAGGAACAGAATGAAAAATTCCACATGATCTTATTCATATGTGAAATCCAAAAAAGTTGATCTCATAGATGTAGAGAGTAGAATATCAGTTACTAGAGGCTAGAAAGCATAGGAGGAAAGGGAAATCAATCTATTAGTCAATGGGTATCAAATGATAGTTAGATAAGAGGAATAAGTTCTAGTGTTCCATTACACAGTAGGGAGAATACAGTTAACAATAATACATTGTATAGTTTAAAATAGCTAGAAGATCTCAACACAAAGAAATTATAAATGGTTGAAGTAACGGATAGGCTAATTGCCCTAATTTGATCATTACACATTGTAACAAGTATCAAAACCTCACATTCTACCCCATAAACATGTATAATTATTATGTGTCAATTAAAATGAAACTATTGGAAGGAAATGTAAAGTGACTAAATGCAAGCAGAAATCAGAGATTTACCCTTGAGAGACTATAACTATAATGGATAGTGGCTGAGTAGAGAGTCTAAGTATGACAGAACAGATAGAAATTAGGGACAAAATTCAAGAAGCAAAAAAGCTGCAGAAAAGAGGAAACAAAAAATCTGAGTATGAACTCTGTCCATATCCCTGGCTGTTCAACAAGTGACAGATGTAAGGGGACAGCTGGGGCAAAGAAAAAATAGGCAGGATAATAAAGAAATCTATCCTCAAAAGTCAGAATTTCACCAGGTGAGATCTGAAAGTTAACTCCTTTATTGATTGGGTGCATTCCAGAATATGCACTCAGCTCGGGAGGCAGAGAGCTGAAGTCTTACAAGGAGGACAAAGCTCAGGGGTGGAAAAGCAACTAAAATTTATGAATCAATAGAAGCAAGAGAACCACAGAAAGAATGTCTCCAAATTTGCATATAAACCCCGTCCATATCTTTGGCTGAAAATAAACTACACAGGCTCAGAAGACCCTCAGGGAGTCAGACTATAAAATTGGCGGCTTGACATTTAAAAAGCTAAGCAGACTATCAGCTACTGCATACCATGTGTAGACAAATAAATAGTTTGGCTTTAAGCAAATTAATTACTTATCAGAACAAACAAAGAAACAAATAAAATAACCCCATGATTCTACAAATGACAAAACAGCACATATTGCCACTATATTATATAAAATGACCAATTTCAACCCAAAATTACTAAATATGCAAAGAATGAGTAGTGACCCACATTAAAAAAATAATGAAGCAAATGTAAAGTGCCTCCAAGTGAGCCTAGATTTTGGGCATAGCAAACAAAAACTTCAGCAGCTGGTCTAAATATGTTAAAATGTTTAAAAATATGATCTCAATGAGTAAACAGATAGGAAATAACAGAAATACAACTAAAAAGAACTGAAAATTACAACAAAAGTCATTAGAATCATTCTACAGATTAGATGTGGGGAAAAAAATCAGTGAGCTTGGTGATGCATTAATAACAGCTGTCCAATCTTAAGAACAGAGAGAAACATGATATTACAAAATAAATGAAGCTTCAAAAATTTGGGACATGCCGGGGGCAGTGGCTCATGCCTGTAATTCCAGCACCTTGGGAGGCCAAGGCAGGTGGATCACAAGGTCAGGAGTTCAAGACCAGCCTGGCCAACATGGTGAAACCCTGTCTCTACTAAAAATACAAAAAAATTAGCCAGGTGTGGTGGTGGGCACCTGTAATCCCAGCTACTCAGGAGGCTGAGGCAGAGAACTGCTTGAACCCAGGAGGTGGACATTGTAGTGAGCCGAGATCACGCCACTGCACTCCAGCCCGGGTGACAGAGCAAGACTCCGTCTCAAAAAAAAAAAAAAAAAAAAATTGGAACAACATCATTTGGTCCAATGTATATGTAATTGAAGTCTAAGAAGAAAAAGGGAAAGGTAGAAGAAAGACAAAATAATCATTTGAGAAATAATGGTCTAAGCCTAGCCTTCACTTGATTTTAAAAAATCACACACACATTAACTTACAGATTCAAGAATTTCAATTAACCCAAAGCAGGAGAAAATAAAGAGAATCGTGACCAAGTTATATTGTAACCAC
Organism: Homo sapiens; assembly: GCF_000001405.40. Taxonomy (NCBI): domain Eukaryota; kingdom Metazoa; phylum Chordata; class Mammalia; order Primates; family Hominidae; genus Homo; species Homo sapiens. Next base: position 78,876,568 of record NC_000007.14, read on the forward strand.
CAAAAGGAAGGAGGGAGGGAAGGAGGAATGGAAGGGATATGAATGTTGAAAACAGCAAAAGAAAAATGACACATTATGTACATGGGAACAATGATATGTTTCTTGATTTATCTTCAGGAATAGTGGATGCCAGAATAGTTTAAAATAACACATTCAATGCTGTTTGTTATAGGACATTCAATTCCATGCTTTTTAGAAGAAAGGTGCAATGAATGGTCCATGCCTAAAGGCTATGGAATTTTGCTCCCCATCATTGAAGATGAAATATTTACAAATATTATTTGGAAATCTTTTGTACATATGTTTGTCTATTCTTCCTCATTTATTTATTTATAAGTGTGGACTTACAGAAATTTATTTTATACTGTGGGTTATATTCCAACTGTTTATTTTACTATGGTGCTCAGATTGCTCCAGCTTTGGTCATCTGGACCCCCCTCAGTTGGTTCCTATGTCATATCTCCATCTTTGACTGTTTTGAGCTCCTCCTTACTTTCTGGCACTACAAGATGATCCAAGCTTACCTGTTAACTTTATCAAATCTTTGTTTAGGGAGTGTTATAAACGTCACCTTAGAATACACACTTTTCGTGTACTGATTTATTTTCAAATTCTCTAAATTCAGAGGAATCTGGTTTCTTCATTGCTCCAAGCTAATATAAAGTGGTGAGAGTTTTGTTGTGTTATGTATTCTAATAAAATACTGTACTTATCTGCTAGACGTTTGACTAGTCTGGTAACCGAATGGTTACTAATTGGAAGTCTACAATTGATATGACTCAAGTGTATTCAAGTAAGCTATTTTGGAAATAAATAATCTTACATGTATAAACCACTGTGTGCTAACAACATAAATCAGCAAAGAAACACAATTTTTTGAGGTAGTTTTTTCATTAAGTTATTAAAAATGTTACTTGTTTTTCTCTCCATCCTGGCACAATGGGCCTCGGCTATGGAGAAAGAGAAAAATCTAATAGCACTTGCAAGACTTCTTGAGGGGCAAGGGTTGAAGGCTGTAGTCAAAGGCACTGCTATTAATCAGCTTTGCTTCACTCCCACACCATCTTGTACTAGGGAAGCTTAGGAGGAGGATGGTTGGCTGAGCTGTCAGAAATGGCAATAATAAAAAAATTAAAAAGTTTTAAAATGTAATAATTAGATCTTTCCCACAAACTGTCAAATAAAAAATATGACCCATCTCTCCCCTCCACACTATTGGCTGATTACATGATTGATTTAATTTAACATCAGGATAATTGCGTTTTTCAGAGATTATCCTACATCATAGCTTTTTTGAGCTGACTTGCCTAAAAGTACTTATTGATTAAAACATTTAGTGAATACACTACTCAGACACTGAACATTTAGCACCTTATAAATTGATTTACATTTTTATACATATGTCTTATATCCTCAAAATGAGGGCTTGATTAGAGTCTGATCTGAAGTCAGTGACACATTCTTTAACCTCTGTGAACCTGGCTTTCCTTTTCAATAACTGTGGGTAACAAGCACCCACAAAGTCATGGTGAAAATCAAGTGATATAATTTGAAGTAAAGACCTTACCACATTACATCTGTTACAGATAAGTAATCAATATATGTTTATTTTTGCTTCATATATGCCTGACTCAATGAATGAATGTGACTTGTGCAGTCATACAAGGCCCTCTCATACTTAGAAAAAACCTGTGCTTGGTTTCATACTCTTCTATTGCTCTACTGAATTTCCTAATAATTTTAAAATGAGGAGTCCTGCGTTTTCATTTTACACTGGACCTTGTGAATTATGTCCTGGGTCCACCCAACTAAATTGTAAGCCATTTGAAGTCTGAGATGCTATAGATGACATTATATCCCTAATGTGTTTCTCAATTCTTAATTAGTTTCCTGTATGTGGAATGTAAAAATTCACATTTATTGAAAATAATAGTAGTGATTTGCTTAAGACAGTCAATATAGAGTTTCAATGGTAGATATAGAAGTCCTGCCTGAAAATCACATGCCAATATTTCGTGCCTTGTCATCCATATGTCTTTTATTACCAATAAAAAATATTCTATTCCAATCAAAGTACTGTTATGCATATCTAAAATAATGCCATGATTATAAGTCTAGAGTGTGTTTTTGGTTATACATTAACAGAGGCTTAGAATTTTGGGTGGAGAAAATTCACTTAAAACAAAATCGTGGTGCAGTGGGGCCTTCTCCACTCCATGCCCAGGCAGATCTTCATACATCTGAAGCACCTGCTCACCTGGACCAAAAGCTGGAATCACCTATAGTTCCTTTGCATAGATCATGGTTTAGCAGGGCCCTCTCCATGCCATGGCCAGGCTGATCTTCAGGCATTTAAATCACCTGTTCATCTGGATCAGCAGCCTGATTCACCTCATTCTTCCTGTGTAGAGACTATAGTTCAGTAGGGCCCCTATGCTTCATGCCTAGGCAGATCTTCAGGCATTTGAAGCATCCACTCTCCTGAATTAGGAGATTAGGCATCCCCCACCCCCACAGAGAACTTGGGGCAGAAGAACTTCCCTATCTCCATGCATAGGCCCAACTCTGGATGCTTAGTAGCCACCCACTGGAGCCCCCATTGGCATAAATGCTTGTACTTGCCACTGAGTGACCTAAAGATGAGCCTGCCTACTCTGGCCCCACCCATACTGGTGCCCCACAATGGGCTGAGCAAGGAGATCAGAGCTAAGACCTCTGTGCACTACATGGATCAGCCCATTGCCTGGGGCAACAGAGACTTCTCTCAATCAACAAGAATAAATTATATACCCATCTATGTTGGCTGCCTCTCTGGCTCTTACCCATCAGTGCAATCTACTGGCCTGTAGGTTGAACTGCAGAACCCAACGTAAAACTGGTCAATGGAAGTGCATAGGCTATAGAAGCAAAACCAAAAGACCCTACCCAACATTCTCTACAGGCACTCAATTAGGGAGGAGGGCAAGAGGAAAATAATGATAATAATAATAATAATGGGAAAGAAAAAAAGTAAAAAATCCTAACCACATGAAAATAATTACAAAATTAGTAGTGCCATAAGCGCCAGGTGAGAAGGAGCCAGCACAAGAATTCTGTTACCATAAAAAATCTGAACATTGTGACATGACCAAAGGATCATATTAGCTCTAAAACAATAATCCCAAACTGGAATGGAAACTCAGAAATAAAAAATAAAGAATTCAAAGCATGTATTGCAAAGAAGCTTAATGAGATTCAGAAAAAGTTTGAAAATTAACAAAAGGAAACTTTTAATCAATCCAGAAAACTTCTTAACATATTTAAAAGTAATCAATCAGCGCTTCTGGAATTGCAAAACTTCACTTAAGGAATTTTAAAATACATTTGAAAGCTTTATCAATAGGCTACCAAGCAGAAGAAAGATTTTCAGAGATTAGGGACTGATCTTTCATACTAACACAGTTAGACAAAAATAGTCAAAAGAATTTAATAAAATGAACAAAGTCTTTGAGAAATGTGGGATTAGGTAAAGCAACCAAACCTATAAATTACTGGCATTCCTGAAAGAGAAGGAGAAAAAGTAAACAATCCAAAAAACATATTTGAGGAACTAATCCAATAAAATGTTCCTAGTCTTCCTAGAGAGGTAGATATCCAGGTACAAGAAATACAGAGAACAATTGTGATATACTATACAAAATAAATATCAACAAGGCACATAGTCACCAGACTGGCCAAGATCAGCACGGAAGAAAAAAATCTTAAAAGGCAGCTAGAGGAAAAGGTCAGATCTTGAACAAAGGGTACACCATCAGATTAATAACAGACTTCTCAGCAGAAACCTGATGAGCCAGAAGAGATTGGGGGCCTATTTTCAGCATTATTAAAGAGAAGAAATTCCAAACAAGATTTTCATGTCCCCCCAAACTAAGCTTTGTAAGTGAAGGAGAAATGAAATCATTTCCAGACAAGCAATTGCTACAGGAATTTGTTACCACTAGACCAGATTTACATGAGATCTTCAAAGGAATTCTAAACACGGAAACAAAAGAACAATATCTGCTACCACAGAAACACACTTAAGTCCATACTCTATAGTCTCTATAAAGCAACTACACAATGTAAATTAACGCAACCAGCTAACAACTCCATGATAGAATCAAAACCTCACATATCATTATTAACCTTATATGTAAATGCTCTAAATGCTCCACTTAAAAGGTACATATTGGCAAGCTGGATAAAAAATTAAGACCCATTTTCCTGCTATCATCAAGAGACCCATTTCTCACATAATGACACCCACAGGCTCAAAGTAAAGAATTGGACAAAGATCTATTACAAAAACAGAAAAGATAAAAAGAGCAGAGGTCACTATTAATCGGAAAAAAATGACTTTAAACCAATGACAGCACAAAAGGACAAAGAAGGCCCTTATATAAAGATCAAGGGTTCAATTCAACAAGAAAACTTAACTATCCTAAATATATATGCACCCAACATTGGAGGACTCAGATTTATAAAACAAGTACTTCTAGACCTACAAGAAGACTTAGACAACCACACAGTAATAGTGGGGGATTTCAATACCCCATTGATAGCACTAGACAGATCATCAAGGCAGAAAACTGACAAAGAAATTCTGGACTTAAATTTGACATTTGATGAATTGGACCTAATAGACATCTATAGACCGCACCACCAATCAACCACAGAGTATACATTCTTCTTACCTGCACATGGAACATACTCTAAGATGGACCATATGTTTGACCATAAAGCAAGTCTCAATAAATTTTAAAAAATCGACTCATAGATGAGAATTGAACAATGAGAATACTTGGACACAGGAAGGGGAACATCACACACCGGGGCCTGTCGTGGGATGGGGGGAGGGGGGAGGGATAGCATTAGGAGATATACCTAATGTAAATGACGAGTTAATGGGTGCAGCACACCAACATGGCACATGTATACACATGTAACAAACCTGCACATTGTGAACATGTACCCTAGAACTTAAAGTATAATTTTAAAAAATCAAAATCATTTCAACCATACTCTCAAACCACAGTGGAATAAAAATGGAAATCAATAAGATCTCTCAAAACCACACAATTATGTGGAAATTAAACAACTTTCTCCCAAATGACTTCTGAATAAACAACAAAGTTAAAGCAGAGATCAAAAAATTACTAGAAATAAATGAAAAGAGGGACACAATATATCAAAACGTGTGAGATGCAGCAAGAGGAGTGTTAAGAAAGTTTATAGCCCTAAAGCCTATGTCAGGAAGTCAGAAAGATTTCAAATTAATGATCTAACATCACACTTAAAGGAACTAGAAAAACAAGAACAAACTAATCCCAAAGCTAGCAGAGGAAAAGAAAAGAAAAAACAAAACTAAAATCAGAGCAAAACTGAATGAAATGGAGACCCAAAAACCCATACCAAATGATCAGGGAAACCAAAAGTTGATTCTTTGAAAAGATAAATAAGACTGACAGACCTCTAGCTAGATTAACAACAACAACAACAACAAAAAAAAAAAAAAAAAAAAAAGAAAAGAAAAACAAAAAAAAAAGAGAGAGAGAGAAGACCCAAATAAACAGTCAGAAATGATGAAGGTGACATTACAACTGCTCCCACCGAAATTAAAAAATAAAAAATCTCAAGGACTGTTATGAACACCTCTATGCCCACAAACTAGAAAATCTAGAGGAAATGAATAAATTCCTGGTAACATACAACTTCCCAAAATTGAATCAGGAAGAAATTGAAGCCGTGAACAGACCAACATTGAATTCTGTTATTGAAATAGTCATAAAAAACCTGCCAACCCAAAAAAGCCCGCGACCAGATTGATTCACAGCTGAATTCTACCAGACACACACAGAAAAACTGGTACCAATTCTACTAAAATTATTCCAAAAAATCAAAAAGGGACTTCCCCCTAACTCATTCTATGAAGCCAGTGTCACCCTGATACCAAAAGCTGGCAAAGACACAATGAAAAAAGAAAACTATAGGACAATATTCCTAAAGAATATTGATGCAAAAACACTCAACAAAACACTAACAAAATCAATGTGCACATCAAAAGTTAATTCACCATGATCAAGTAGGCTTTATTCTGGGATGCAAGGTTGGTTCCATGTACACAAATCAATAAATGTGATTCATCAAATAAACAGAATTAAAAACAACACCCATATGTTCACCTCAATAGACGCAAAGAAAGCTTTTGATAAAACCCAACATCCCTTCATGATAGACACCCTCAATAAACTAGGCATAGAAAGAACATACCTCAAAATAATAAGAGCCATCTATGACAAACACACAGCCAACATCATACTGAACAGGAAAAAGCTGGAAGCACTCCCTTAAGAATAGAAAGAAGATAAGGATGCCCACTCTCACTACTTCTATTCAATGTAGTATTGGAAGTCTAGCCAGAACAATCAGGCAAGACAAAGAAATAAAAGCCATCAAACAGGAAAAGATGAAGTCAAATTATCTTTCTTTGCTGATGATACAACTCTATATGTAGAAAATCCTAATGTATCGAAAGAAGTCTAGAGTTGATAAATGACTTTAGTAAACTCCTAGGGAACATAATCAACATACAAAAGTCAGTAGCTTTTCTAAGCACCAATAACACCCAAGCTGAGAGACAAATCAAGACGCAATCCCATTTGTAATAGACACACACACAAAACAAAACAAAACAAAACCAAATAAACAAAAAACACCAAGGAATACATGTAACCAAGGAGGTGAAAGATTTTTGCAAAGAGAACTACAAAACACTGATGAAAGAAATCAGAGATAACACAAATAAATGGAAAAACACACAATGCTCATGGATTGAAATAACTGATATCATTAAAATGCTCAAATCAATGTACAGATTCAATGCTATTCCTTTCAAACTACCAATGCCATTTTTTACAAAACTACACAAAAACCATTCTAAAATTCATATAGAACCAAAAAAGAGCCCAAATAGTCAAATCAGTCCTAAGAAAAAAGAACAAAGCTGGAGGCATCGCATTATCCAACTTCAAACTATACTACAAGGCTACAGTAACCATAACAGAATGGTATTGATAAAAATCAGACAACACGGGCCTGTGGAACCAAATAGAGCCACACAACTACAGCAATCTGATATTTGCTAAAGTATAAAAAAAAGCAATGGGGGAAAGGACTCCCTATTTAATAACTGGTGCTGGGATAACTGGCTAGACATAGGCAGAAGAATAAAACTGGACGTTTACATTTCACCATATAGAAAAATTAATTGAAGATGGATTAAAGATTTAAATGTAAGGCTTAAAACTATACAAATCCTGGACATAAACCTAGGAAATATCATTTTGGATATAAGCCTTGGCAAAGAATTTATGACTAAGTCCTCAAAAGCAATTGCAACAAAAACAAAAATTGACAAGTGCGACCTGATTAAACTATTGTGCTTTGGAGCAGCAAAAGAAACTTTCAACAGAATAAACAGACAACTCAGAGAATGGGAGAAAATATTTGCAAACTATGCATCCAACAAAGGTCTAATATTCAGAATCTATAAAAAACGTAAAGAACAAAACAAGCAAAAAACCAATAACCCCATTAAAAGTGGGTAATGAGGCTAGGCACTGTGGCTCATATCTGTAATCCCATCATTTTGGGAGGCAAAGGCAAGAAGATCACTTAAGCCCAGGACTTCAAGACCAGCTTGAGTGACTTAAGCAGACCCAATCTCTACAAAAATAAAAAATAAAAAAATTAGCCAAGTGTGCTGGCACATTCCTGTAGTCCTGGATATTTGAGAGGCTGAGGTGGGAGGATTACTTGAGTCTGGGAGGTCGAGGCTGCAGTGAACATGCCACTGCATTGCAGCCTGGGTAACAGAGCAAGACCCTGTCTCCAAAAATAAATAAACATATAAATAAGAGGCAACAGGATTTGAAAAGATAGTTCTTAAAAGAAGACATACAGGCAGCTAACAAACATGAAAAAATGCCCAACATCACTAATCATCAAAGAAATACAAATCAAAACCACAATGAGATACCATCTTACACCAGTAAGAATGGATATTATCAAAAAGACAAAAAATAATAGATGCTGGCAAGGCCATGGAGAAAAGGGAATGGTTATACACTTTTGGTGGAAATGTAAATTAGTTCAGCCACTATAGAAAGCAGTTTGGGGATCTCTCAAAGAACTAAAAAAGATCTACTTTTCAACCCAGCAATCCCATTACTGGATATACACCCAAACAAAAATAAGTGTTTCTACTAAAATGACACCTATACATGCATGTTTATCATAGTACTATTCATAATAGCAAATACATGGAATCAACCTAGGTGCCCATTAATGGTGAACTGGATAAAGAAAATGTGGCAACAATATGCAGCCAAAACAATAGCTCAAAATCAGGTCCATTTGCAGCAACATGGATGCAACTGGAGGCCATCATCCTAAATGACTTAATGCAGAAACAGAAAACCAAATACCATGTTCTCTCTTATGAGTGGGAGCTAAACATTAGGTACATATGGATATAAAGATAGGAACAACACACACTGGGGACTACTAGAGAGAGCATAGGAGAGGGGAACAGGGGCTGAAAAAATACTTATTGGGTATTATGCTCACTACCTGGGGGTTAAAACCATTCCTACCCCAAACCTCAGCATCAGGAGATATACTCATGTAACAAACCTGCACATGTAGCCCCTGAATGTAAAATAAAAGTTGAAATTACTAATAAAAAATCAACACGTATGCTAATACTATTGAAACACTACTCTCTAAAGTGGGTTAACTTTGTTGATAAGTGTACAGAGTTAATGATGCTCCACGATGATCCTTTCAATGTGTCTTACACTATCCTGAGGCTTTATACTGTGCTAAGGCTATGAATGACAATGCCTCAAACCAGATATTGTACATGAACTTTAAGTGGAACAATCAAAGGAACTTTACAAAGAGCACAGGCCAATGTTAGAACCAGCCCTATATCTTAAAGTCTGCTCAGAGGGCAACTGAGCATCCTTTATTGAAAGGAATAGTGTGTGTGTGTGTGTGTGTGTGTGTATTTTATATAAAATATATTTACACATTTCCATGTTTAAAATGTATACATACTTTGAAATTTTAATTTACTATAATATATTTTGAAAACCAGCTACTTTTTCTCTCATAGATGTGGAGTAAAACTAATTTAAATCAGCATTCTTTACCATCTGCTGAGTATAACTCACTACTTGCTCTAGGAAGAGAAGCTAGTTCTAAGTCCAGCACATAAAACCTTTACCAAAACACATTTCAGCTCTTTGGCATCATGGCTCAAGAACAGACTGTGCCTGCTGATCCTCTACCAAATGATTTGACTCCAGTTTATTGATTCTCTTTAAGGGTAACAAACCAATCTACTGCTGTAAGACAGCAAAAATACAATTGCCTAAAATCTCACAAGGCAGCTTCTCCTGAGATGTGAAAATAAAGGAGAAGCAGTCCATGTATTTGCATCAACAAATTGCCCAAAGCAATTCTGCATCAGACCCTTCCACATCCCCTGCAGATGTATTTCATTCCACCTTAGAATGTGATCAAGTTGACTTACCTATTAATGAGAAACAACTGAAAGGAAGCAATTAGGCAGGTGAGGTTCCAGTTTAGGGGACAAATATTTTAAATACTGTTAATGGAAATCCAGAGCAATCTAAACATAAATAGACTTTGTATTCATTGTCTCCTTTAACCTGGGCTGCATTAATAAGAAATTAATTGATTCTTGACAACTTTAATGAGTCTTTATTAACTGCATAATTGACAAGAAAAATCCATGGATGTAATAAGCATCTAATTTCTTAGAGCCAATGTGATTGACTGATTGACTGACCAAGTCATGACTTACTTTGAGAAATCCCTGCAATGTGCTGAGCCATGTCTCCACAAATATCTAGGCAAGGGGAAACTTCTCTGGTCTATGTTTCCTTCTTTCTTTACCTATCTAAATAAGAGAAAGAAACTGTCTGGAGGCAACATTTGGAGTAGAATCAGCACTGGGTGGATAATCCTAGCCCCATTTTTATTAATAACTTTCTGTGTGACTTTTATAAATTTTTATGTAATGTTTTTAGTAATTCTTTGTCACTTATTTCTTCCTGACTTCCACTTTCTCATCTGGAAAACGATAAGGATTAACTCAAAATTTCCTTTGAGCTCTCAATTATATGTTTCTAAAGGTAAATTACATGGTGATATGGTTTGGCTGTATCCCCAGTCCAAATCTCATCTTGAATAAGATGAGGGAGGGACCTTGTAGGAGGTAACTGAATCATGGGGGGAGTCCCCACCATGGTATTCTCATGATGGTGAGTTCTCATGAGATCTGATGGTTTTACAAGGGGCTTTTCTCCCTTTGCTGGGCACTTCTCCTTCTTGTCCCCATGTGAGGAAGAACATGTTTGTTTCCCCTTCAGCCATAATTGTAAGTTTCGTGAGGCCTCCCCAGCCCCATGGAACTACTTTGAGTCAATGAAACCTCTTTCCTTTGTAAATTTCCCAGTCTCAGGTATTTCTTCACAGTAGCATGAGAATGGACTAATACACATGGTGACTTCTGTATCTTAACGACCAAATCAGTAATCACCATCCTGTCATCTAACTCCAAATAAAGTCTCTGCTTAGCAAAGTAAATGCCAGCTAGTCATTATCATTAACATTCTTTAAACATTCTTTTTATTCATAGTTTAGGTCAGTTATCTTCAAAATGTGGTAGTTTCAAGTTCACCAGAGAACTTTCTAGAAATGTAATTTATCAGCCCATTCTGATTTGAATCAGAAATTCTGGGAGCAAGCCGCAGTAATCAGCGTTTTAACAAGTCCTCCTGATGAATCTGACAATGCTAAAGTTTGAGGTTCACTGGTATGGAGAAATATTTCCTGTTTCACATCTTTAACTCATTTTGAAAAACAAAACATGCTTTATGAATGGCTATATCATCGTAGGTGGCCATTGTCCATAAGACTAACCAACTGATACTGTGTGGGTCTTTGTTCAGACACATATCCACCCAACTCCCATTTCTTCTTTCATCTCTGCAATATAATTATTGTTTTATCAACTGGATTCACAGAAGAAAATGTAGACTTACAGAGCACTTTAGAATTTCCAAATCAGGGTTGAGCCAAGATGGCCGAATACGAACAGCACCAGTCTACAGCTCCCAGCTTGAGCAACGCAGAAGATGGGTGATTTCTGCATTTACAACTGAGGTACCAAGTTCATCTCACTGGGGAGTGACGGAGAGTGGGCGCAGGACAGTGGGTGCAGCGCACCGAGCATGAGCCATAGCAGGGTGAGCCATTGCCTCACCTGGCAAGTGCAAGGGGTCAGGGAATTCCCTTTCCTAGTCAAAGAAAGGGGTGACAGATGGCACCTGGAAAATTGGGTCACTCTCACCCTAATACTGCACTTTTCCAACGGTCTTAGCAAACGGCATACCAGGAGATTATATCCTGCACATGGCTCAGAGGATTCTACACCCACAGAACCTCGCTCATTGCTAGCACAGAAATCTGAGATCAAACTGCAAGGCTGCAGGAAGGCTGGGGGAGGGGCGCCCACCATTGCTGAGGCTTCAGTAGGTAAACAAAGCGGCCAGGAAGCTCGAATTGGGTGGAGCCCACCACAGCTCAAGGAGGCCTGCCTGCCTCTGTAGACTCCACCTCTGGGGGCAGGGCATAGCCAAACAAAAGGCAGCAGAAACCTCTGCAGACTTCAATGTCCCTGTCTGACAGCTTTGAAGAGAGTAGCGGTTCTCCCAGCACCCAGCTGGAGATCTGAGAATGGACAGACTGCCTCCTCAAGTGGGTCCCTGACCCCTGAGTAGCCTAACTGGGAGGCATCCCCCAGTAGGGGCAGAATGACACCTCACATGGCCGGGTACTCCTCTGAGACAAAACTTCCAGAGGAACGATCAGACAGCAACATTTGCTGTTCACCAATATCCGCTGTTCTTCAGCCTCCACTGCTGATACCCATGCAAACAGGGTCTGGAGTGGACCTCCAGCAAACTCCGACAGACCTGCAGCTAAGGGTCATGACTGTTAGAAGGAAAACTAACAAACAGATAGGACATCCACACCAAAACCCCATCCATACATCACCATCATCAAAGACCAAAGGTAGATAAAACCACAAAGATGGGGAAAAAACAGAGCAGAAAAACTGGAAACTCTAAAAATCACAGTGCCTCTCCTCCTCCAAAGGAACGCAGCTACTCACTAGCAATGGAACAAAGCTGGATGGAGAATGACTTTGATGAGTTGAGAGAAGAAGGCTTCAGATGATCAAACTACTCTGAGCTAAAGGAGGAAGTTCGAACCCATGACAAAGAAGTTAAAAACCTTGAAAAAAAATTAGATGAATGTCTAACTAGAATAATCAATGCAGAGAAGTCCTTAAAGGACATGATGGAGCTGAAAACCATGGCACAAGAACTACATGACGAATGCACTAGCCTCAGTAGCCAATGTGATCAACTGGAAGAAAGGGTATCAGTGGTGGAAGATCAAATTAATAAAATGAAGCGAGAAGAGAAGTTTAGAGAAAAAAGAATAAAAAGAAATGAACAAAGCCTCCAAGAAATATGGGACTATGTGAGAAGACCAAATCTACGTCTGATTGGTGTACCTGAAAGTGACGAGGAGAATGGAAACAAGTTGGAAAACACTTTGCAGGATATTATCCAGGAGAACTTCCCCAATCTAGCAAGGCAGGCCAACATTCAAATTCAGGAAATACAGAGAATGCCACAAAGATACTCCTCGAGAAGAGCAACTCCAAGACACATAATTGTCAGATTCAGCAAAGTTGAAATGAGGAAATAATGTTAAGGGCAGCCAGAGAGAAAGGTCGGGTTACCCACAAATGGAAGCCCATCAGACTAACAGTGGATCTCTCAGCAGAAACTCTACAAGCCAGAAGACAGTGGGGACCAATATTTAACATTCTTAAAGAAAAGAATTTTCAACCCAGAATTTCATATCCAGCCAAAGTAAGCTTCATAAGTGAAGGAGAAATAAAATACTTTACAGACAAGCAAATACTGAGAGATTTTGTCACCACCAGGCCTGCCCTAAAAGACCTCCTGAAGGAAGAACTAAACATGGAAAGGAACAACTGATACCAGCCACTGCAAAAACATGCCAAATTGTGAAGACCATTGAGGCTAGGAAGAAACTACATCAACTAACGAGCAAAATAACCAGCTAACATCATAATGACGAGATCAAATTCACACATAACAATATTAGCCTTAAATGTAAATAGGCTAAATGCTCCAATTAAAAGACACAGACTGGCAAATTGGATAAAGAGTCAAGACGCATCAGTGTGCTGTATTCAGGAGACCCATCTCACGTGCAGAGACACATATAGGCTCAAAATAAAGGGATGGAGGAAGATCTACCAAGCAAATGAAAACAAAAAAGGCAGTGGTTGCAATCCTAATCTCTGATAAAACAGACTTTAAACCAACAAAAATCAAAAGAGACAAAGAAGGCCATTACATAATGGTAAAGGGATCAATTCAACAAGAAGAGCTAACTATCCTAAATATATTGGCACCCAGTACAGGAGCACCCAGATTCATAAAGCAAGTCCTTAGAGACCTACAAAGAGACTTAGACAACCACACAATAATAATGGGGGACTTTAACACCCCACTGTCAACATTGGACAGATCAATGAGACAGAAACTTAACAAGGATATCCAGGAATTGAACTCAGCTCTGCACCAAGTGGACCTAATAGACATCTACAGAACTCTCCACCCCAAATTAACAGAATATACATTCTTTTCAGAACCACACCACACCTATTCCAAAATTGACCACATAGTTGGAAGTAAAGCAGTCCTCAGCAAATGTAAAAGAACAGAAATTATAACAAACTGTCTCTCAGACCACAGTGCAATCAAACTAGAACTCAGGATTAAGAAACTCACTCAAAACCGCTCAACTACATGGAAACTGAACAACCTGCTCCTGAATGACTACTGGGAACATAACGAAATGAAGGCAGAAATAAAGATATTCTTTGAAACCAATGAGAACAAAGACACAACATACCAGAATCTCTGGGACACATTCAAAGCAGTGTGTAGAGGGAAATTTATAGCACTAAATTCCCATAAGAGAAAGCAGGAAAGATCTAAAATTGACACCCTAACATCACAATTAAAAGAACTAGAGAAGCAAGAGCAAACACATTCAAAAGCTAGCAGAAGGCAAGAAATAACTAAGATCAGAGCAGAACTGAAGAAAATAGAGACACAAAAAACCCTTCAAAAAATCTATGAATCCAGGACCTGGTTTTTTGAAAAGACCAACGCAATTGATAGACTGCTAGCAAGAATAATAAAGAAGAAAAGAGAGAAGAATCAAATAGATGCAATAAAAAATGATAAAGGGGATATCACCACCGATCCCACAGAAATACAAACTACCATCAGAGAATACTATAAACACCTCTATGCAAATAGACTAGAAAATCTAGAAGAAACGGATAAATTCCATGACACATACACCCTCCCAAGACTAAACCAGGAAGAAGTTGAATTTCTGAATAGACCAATAACAGGCTCTGAAATTGAGGCAATAATTAATAGCTTACCAACCAAAAAAAGTTCAGGACCAGACGGATTCAAAGCCTAATTCTACCAAAGGTACAAGGAGGAGCTGGTACCATTAATTCTGAAACTATTCCAATCAATAGAAAAAGAGAGAATCCTCCCTAACTCATTTTTTGAGGCCAGCATCATCCTGATACCAAAGCCTGGCAGAGACACAACAGAAAAAGAGAATTTTAGACCAATATCCCTGATGAACATCGATGCAAACATCCTCAATAAAATACTGGCAAACCAAATCCAGCAGCACATCAAAAAGCTAATCCACCATGATCAAGTGGGCTTTATCCCTGGGATGCAAGACTGGTTCAACATACACAAATCAATAAATGTAATGCATCATGTAAACAGAACCAATGACAAAAACTACAAGATTATCTCAATAGATGCAGAAAAGGCCTTTGACAAAATTCAACAACACTTCATGCTAAAATCTCTCAATAAATTAGGTACTGATGGGACGTATTTCAAAATAATAAGAGCTATCTATGACAAACCCACAGCCAATATCATACTGAATGGGCAAAAACTGGAAGCATTCCCTTTGAAAACTTGCACAAGACAGGGATGCCCTCTCTCACCACTCTTATTCAACATAGTGTTGGAAGTTCTGGCCAGGGCAATCAGGCAGGAGAAAGAAATAAAGGGTATTCAATTAGGAAAAGAGGAAGTCAAATTGTCCCTGTTTGCAGATGACATGATTGTATATCCAGAAAACTCAATCATCTCAGCCCAAAATCTCCTTAAGCTGATAGGCAACTTCAGCAAATTCTCAGGATACAAAATCAATGTGCAAAAATCACAAGCATTCTTATACACCAATAGCAGACAAACAGAGAGCCAAATCATGAGTGAACTCCCATTCACAATTGCTTCATAGATAATAAAATACCCAGGAATCCAACTTACAAGGGATGTGAAGGACCTCTTCAAGGAGAACTACAAACCACTGCTCAACGAAATAAAAGAGGATACAAACATATGGAAGAACATTCCATGCTCATGGGTAGGAAGAATCAATATCATGAAAATGGCCATACTGCCCAAGGTAATTTACAGATTCAATGCCATCCCCATCAAGCCACCAATGACTTTCTTCACAGAATTGGAAAAAACTACTTTAAAGTTCATATGGAACCAAAAAAGAGCCCACATCACCAAGTCAATCCTAAGCCAAAAGAACAAAGCCGGAGGCATCATGCTACCTGACTTCAAACTATACTACAAGGCTACAGTAACCAAAACAGCATGGTACTGGTACCAAAACAGAGATATAGATCAATGGAACAGAACAGAGCCCTCAGAAATAATGCTGCATACCTACAACCATTGGATCTTTGACAAGCCTGACAAAAACAAGCATGGGGAAAGGATTCCCTATTTAATAAATGGTGCTGGGAAAACTGGCTAGCCATATGTAGAAAGCTGAAACTGGATCCCTTCCTTACACCTTACACAAAAATTAATTCAAGATGGATTAAAGACTTAAATGTTAGACCCAAAACCATAAAAACCCTAGAAGAAAACCTAGGCATTACCATTCAGGACATAGGCATGGGCAAGGACTTCATGTCTAAAACACCAAAAGCAATGGCAACAAAAGCCAAAATTGACAAATGGGATCTAATTAAACTAAACAGCTTCTGCACAGCAAAAGAAACTACCATCAGAGTGAACAGGCAACCTACAAAATGGGAGAAAATTTTCACAACCTACTCATCTGACAGAGGGCTAATATCCAGAATCTACAATGAACTCAAACAAATTTACAAGAAAAAAACAAACAACCCCATCAAAAAGTGGGCAAAGGATATGAACAGACACTTCTCAAAAGAAGACATTTATGCAGCCAAAAGACACATGAAAAAATGCTCATCATCACTGGCCATCAGAGAAATGCAAATCAAAACCACAAGGAGATACCATCTCACACCAGTTAGAATGGCAATCATTAAAAAGTCAGGAAACAACAGGTGCTGGAGAGGATGTGGAGAAACAGGAACACTTTTACACTGTTGGTGGGACTGTAAACTTGTTCAGCCATTGTGGAAGTTGGTGTGGGAATTCCTCAGGGATCTAGAATTAGAAATACCATTTGACCCAGCCATCCCATTACTGGGTATATACCCAAAGGATTATAAATCATGCTGCTATAAAGACACAGGCACACGTATGTTTATTGCGGCACTATTCACAATAGCAAAGACTTGGAACCAACCCAAATGTCCAACAACGATAGACTGGATTAAGAAAATGTGGCACATATACACCTTGGAATACTATGCAGCCATAAAAAATGATGAGTTCATGTCCTTTGTAGGGACCTGGATGAAGCCAGAAACCATCATTCTCAGCAAACTATCACAAGGACAAAAAACCAAACACCACATGTTCTCACTCACAGGTAGGAATTAAACAATGAGAACACATGGACACAGGAAGGGGAACATCACACCGGGGCCTGTTGTGGGTTGGGGGCGGGGGAGGGATAGCATTAGGAGATATACCTAATGTTAAATGACGAGTTAATGGGTGCAGCACACCAACATGGCGCATATATACATATGTAACAAACCTGCACGTTGTGCACATGTACCCTAAAACTTAAAGTATAATAATAATAAAAAAAAGAATTTCCAAATCACTTTTCTTAGGTAATAGTCTCTGATTTTTACTCACTATAATATAGATAATGAAAGCTCAAAGTTTAAGTGATTTTACAAAGTTATATGGCCAATAAATGCAAGAACTGGGACATGAAATTATCACCGAAATGCACTACCTTCAGTTTTCAATGACATTTTCAACAAGTTGTAGGAAAAGAAAGTAACCAGATGATTTTTAAAAACTGTTATTCTTGGCCGGGCGCTGTGGCTCATGCCTGTAATCCCAGCACTTTGTGAGGCCGAGGCAGGCGGATCACAAGGTCAGGAGATCGAGATGATCCTGGCTAACATAGTGAAACCCTGTCTCCACTAAAAATACAAAATTTAGCTGGGCGTGGTGGCACGTGTGCCTGTAGTCCCAGCTACTCCGGAGGCTGAGGCAGGAGAATGGCGTGAACCCGGGTGGCAGAGCTTGCAGTGAGCGGAGATCGCACATGGGCGACAAAGCCAGACTCTGTCTCAAAACAAACAAAGCAACAAACAAAAAAAAACTTTTATTCTTAAAACATAAGAAAATTGGGGCCCAGGATTAAAAAATAACATTTTCTAAAGGAAAAATAATTAGTCTTCATGTACCTGTGCCATAATGCTTTTATCTGTAAAACTGATGTCAAAGTTTATAAGAATGATTAATGGTAACACAATTTATAAGAAACTCATTTCACTCATAAGTCATCATACTAATGCAAATTTTTACAAAATCCCCAAGAAACCAGTTTAAATTTAAGATTAAAAATAGATTTTTGAAAGATGATAGGCAATACGAACAAATAAGAAAAGTGTAAAGCATAAACAAATCCAATAATATATTTTAAAAAATATTCTGAATTCAAGTGTTCAAAGTAAGAGTAACAGAAAGACAATATTCTGGCTAATCCTCACACATTCGACTTTTTCTCTGCATTACTGTTTAAATCAAGATATCTTCACTACTTCCAACAGTATTTAATAATTGTTACCCTAAGCAACAAAATATCTAAAACTTTGAAACAGAGATCTTAAGTAAACAGAAAACATCTGCTATGGTTTGAATGTTTGTGCCTTCTGTAACTGACACTGAAATTTAACCCCAATGTAACAGTATTAAAAGGAAGGGCCTTTAAGAGGTGATAAGAGTTATGAGGCCTCATGAATGGACTAGTCCATTCATGGCTTCATGGATTAATGGGTTAATGAATTAATGGGTTAATAGGTTAATGGATTGATGGACTATCACAGGAACAGGTTAGTTATTATGAGAGTTGGACTGTTATAAAAGCCAGGCTGGCTCTCTCTTGGTGCTCTCTTGCCATGTGATGCCCTTGGCCACCTCAGGACTCTGCAGATAGTATCTGTCAGCAAGAAGGCTCTCACCAGATGTGATATCTTGTCTTGAGATTCCCCAGCCTCCAGAACTGTTAGAAACAAATTTTTTTTCTTTATAAATTACCCAGTCTCAGGTATTCCATTATAGCGACAGAAAATGGACTAAAACAGCATCTAACATATATATTTTTTCTTTTCAGCAAACAGTTCTTCAAGACTGTAATGATGAAGAACTCAAACTAGGGCACATGTTAACCAGAGTTGCTTTACAAAATGTTTATGTAGAGCTTTAAAAAAAAAAGTGGCTTTACTCAGTGTAGAAGACAGCAGTGCTATAAATTAACCCCAAGGCCCACATCTCGTGATGCATTTGACAGTTTATCAGTTCTAGGGAATGTGTGCAGGCAATTTAAATGAAAGATGAAGGCAAAGGCTCCAAGGGCTCGCTATTAAACACAGAGCATTATTTGCTGTAAATATCTGCATATTCAAAAGGTTGAGAGAGCATGGTCAACTCGATTCACTTGGTTTCATTAGCAGAAACATCACTGTGGAAATCTCTGTTATTACTGACTTAAAAGGTTTATAGTTTTGAGGAAAAAGGGTGTTCAAAGTTAACAAATTATTTAACTTAAACAATGTAACTTTATAACCCTTCTAAAATATATACGCATGATGGATTATAAGTAAGTGGATTATAAATAAATATCAAATTATATAAGTAATGATATTTGGCATTTGGAAAAATTTTCAATCAATTTTTCTTATGTTTTAAACTTAAAAAAAGAATGATTCTTTTTTCAAATCAGATTGTTAGGCTTCAATAAGAACTAACTTCTCAAAATGAATGGAGTTTAGAATAAAATTTACTTGTCAACCTATATGACAAATCAAGTTAATTTGGGATATAATTTTCATTCAGCATGCAGTCTTAAGAAAGACCCTGTTTATTTCCTGCATTTCTTTGAGCACCTTTATTATATTTCAGAATCTATTTCACTTTCTATATAAATATATTTCTAGCATCTGGTGTACTTGAAACTATCTTTAGGCTCATGTTTAGTTGTTCTACCTAGAGTTTTTAGCATTTTCCTTGTCCTCAAAACTTGTCAGCACAATACAAAATATCCACAAAAGCCATACAATGAGGCTGCATGAATAAATTAATCTGGTCGCTTAAACAGGTAAAGCTCCTCATTGTAAAATAATATAAATAAGCATATACGACACTAAATAAAAATGTCTTCTGTTTTGAATCTATGGAAGTGATTGAGGAAACCTATCCTCTAAATGGGATATATATATATAATATAATATATAAAAATATAATATTAAAAATTATATGTATATATTTGAGACAGAGTCTCACTCTGTCACCCAGGCTGGAGTGCAGTCGTGCAATCTCGGCTCACTGCAACCTCCACCTCCTGGCTTCAAGCGATTCTCGTGCCTCAGCCTCCTGTGTAACTGGGACTACAGATGCGTGCCACTACGCCCGGCTACTGTTTTGTATTTTTAGTAGAGAAGGGGTTTCACCTGCTTTATAAAAATATAAACTGCTCTAATTGGCTTTTACCAGTTAGAGCATAACAACCTTCACTTTAGTATGAAAAGCTGTATTTTCAACGATATTCATTGCCTCTTTGGCGTCATTGCCACCAACTATGATAACAAATAGAAAATGTAATCAATAATCACTAACAAAAATCACCAACTTACTAAGTAGTTTTGTTTAAAATGCTCATTTCTAAGAAGAAACCCAGAATACTTGTTCAAGGAATATATTTTATAAATGGCCGTTGAGTTTCCAGATTAGTTGGCCAAATCCTATTTAAATCATGATATAAGTGAGCCAAAATACTCACAATACAGCCCAATGCATTTAATGGAACTCTCTAGTTTTAGAAAAGTTCACCTTAAACATATTTATCATATTTATCTAATTTCATGTATAAGGAACACTTCTGAAGGAAAAAAGCAATCATCATTTTTAACCCATATCAAGGGAAGCATGTACTTTGTTTCCCAAGTTGAAGGATCAAAAACTCATTAATCTCTCAGAAAGTCTGCAGGATCTTAGGCTTGATTCTTTTTATACTGATGGCACTCATACCTGTGGCAGTAGCCACTGTTCTTAGAAGGTTTCTTACCCTTTTTCTGGAGCCTCCAGAATCCAACAGTGTCAGAGGCAGTGGTGTGCTAGAGTCAGCTGAAAATGGCTTTCAAGAGCCAATTAAATTTAAGAATTTTGACTGTGTTAAACATAACCATTATTAAAAATTAAATCATATGAACTTATAATTAAACACACTATATTAAAATCAAAGTATCATAATTCCTCCAGCTTTGTTCATTTTGCTTAGGATTGCCTTGGCTATCTGGGCTACTTTTTGGTTCCATATAAATTTTAAAATGTTTTTTTCTAGTTCTGTGAAGAATGCCACTGGTAGTTTAATAGGAGTAGCATTGAATCTATGAATTGTTTTGTGCAGTATGGCTATTTTAACAATATTGATTCTTCCTATTTATGAGTATGGAAAGTTTTTCCATTTGTTTGTGTCATCTCTGATTTCTTTGTCACTTAAGCCACAAGCAATCACAATGAAAACAAAAATTGACAAACGAGATCTAATTAAACTTAAGGCTTCTGAAGAGCAAAAGAAAGTACAGACAACCTACAGGGTGGGACAAAATATTTGCAAACTATGCATGTGAGCAAAGGTCTAATATCGAGCATCTATAAGGAACTTAAATTTATAAGAAAAATAACAAAGAACCCTATTAAAGAGTGAGCAAAGGACAGACACTTTTCAAAAGAAGACATACATGTGGCCAACAAGCATATGAAAGAAAGCTGAATATCACTGATCATTACAAAAATGCAAATCAAAACCACAATTAGATACTATCTCACACCAGTCAAATGGCTATTATTAAAAAGTCAAAAAATAACAGATGCTGGTGAGGTGGCAGGAGAAAAGGAACTCTTATATACACTGTTTGCAGGAGTATAAATTAGTTCATCCGTTGTGGAAAACAATGTGGCAAATCCTCAAAGACCTGAAACAGAAATGCCAAATCAACGGAATGTAAATTGTTCTATCATAAAGGCACATGCATGCATATGTTCACTGCATCACCACTCACATTAGTAAAGACATGGAATCAACCTAAATGTCCATTAATGTTAAACTGGATAAAGAAAATGTCCTACATATACACCATGGAATACTATGCAGCCATAAAAAATGATGAGATCATGTCCTTTGCAGGAACGTGGATGGAGCTGGAGGCCATTCTCCTTAGCAAACTAACACAGAAACAGAAAACCAAATACTGCATATTCTCACTTATAAGTGGGAGATGAGTGATGAGAACACATGGACACATAGAGGGGAACAACACACACTAGGGCCTATCAGAGGATCAGGGTGGGAGGAGGGAGAGGATCAGGAAAAATAAATAATGGATACTAGGCTTAATATCCTGGTGATGAAATAATTTGTCATCACACTCCTGTGATTGTAAGTTTACTTATATACCAAACCTGCACATGTACCCCTGAACTTAAAAGTTTTTTGAAATAAGTAAATATTCAAACTCATAATTTTCTATTTATTTAATAACATTTCCCTTCTATTTTTACTCTTCAGCATATTTTACCTATTTGATTTGTATGGTGGAAATACTACATAATAATATGTTATTGCACGTATTTTTTCAACTCCTCATTCAATGATGTTGGTTGAATTTGGCCATGTAGAAGTATTTGCACCATGGGAATTAGGAAACACTATTAATTAGGGGTTTTTTCTTCTGGAGAGCTGGCTTCTCCAGGCAAACTCTACCATTTATAGCTAAGAGTGATACTTAACCAACAAGAAGATTTCACATTTAAAACAGAAAACAAGACACTTCTCCATGACATTCATATGACACTTTTTAATATTTTCATAAGAATGAAATTGAGACAAAATGAAAAACAGGAAGTATTGAAAGGAAAAAATGTCACCACATTGCACCTGAATAGGCATTATAAAGGAGAGTTGAGGAAGAACAAGTAAAAATGTCTGGAGTTGGTTATATATACTTAAATCGTTAATGTTATTTCTTCTTTCTCCTGCTTTTGCAATACTGACCAAGCACTTGGTCCCAAGATACCGACAGGATCCCAACCTTGATGTGATGGAAGGAAAATAGGCACTACAAGCAATGAATCAGAGTCAGTTTACCTCTGTTAAAATCCTACCTTGGCTATCTGCCAGCTAAGTATGTATAGCCTTCATAAGCTTTAGTTTCCTAATCTACTAAGTAGTCAACATAAGAGTACTTTCCTCATAAAGCTGTTGGGGGTTTAAATGATATAATGTGTGTACTGCAGAGGTTGTCAAACCTCAGTGAACATTGGAATCCCCTGGGAGGTGTGAAAAACTACTGACACTCCGGGTCTCAATCATACAGATCCAAACTTAATTAATCCAGAGTGGGGCTGAGTGTATTTTAAACAGTCTCCAAGATGATTCTGTCATATAGTCTGTGTTGAGAACTACTGTTAGCCATTACTACCAGTAATCCATCACACCATAACTGTCTAAAGAATTACCAATGGGCAAAGGTATACATACAGGAAAAACATGTTTATTAATTTGTTCACTTGCCAAAAGAGCTCAGAAATTAGAGATTTCTTTACTCTCATCACTCAACCCTTCAATGAGGGTGGAGCCACCATTTAAAATTTTTATCACACTCAAGAAGGCCTCCTAAAAGTGGATGCATTCTGAGATCCATTTACTAAAGTGAAAGGGACCCAAATCCTTTCTAAGCTTATTTGAAAGGAGCCTCTTTGCTTTTGTGTTACTTTGTGTGCACAATTTAGTTAAAGCCTTGAGTGAATCCTCATTTCCACCAAGTTCCATTGCTGCCACTCACGTCCAAACCACTACCATATCAAGATGGACCCTTACTCACTAGTGCTTCCTGTTTGGACTTCCTGCTGCCTCATATATCTGACCTTCAGTACATATTTTTGCATTTGTCAAGGATATTTTTAAAACACACAATTTATCTTCTTATTCTTACTCTCGAAACTCTCCTTTGATGTTTTCCTATCACCTTTATTCAAAGTCTCCCTACAAGGCCTTTTAGAGCTGGTCCCCAGCTTCCTCTCTGACTTAATTCATATGCTTCTATCACTCACTCCACTCCAGCTTCTCTGACCCCTTTGCTATTCCTTGAACACATCAAGCAAGCTCTCTATTTAGGTCCTTCACACTTGCTCGGCCCTCTACCTACAATATTCTTCCACTCCAAATGCCATGGTTCTCTCCCCCTTCCTTTGGATACTTGCTCAGATATCATCTCAGAGATGTTTATGATCACTCTAAGATTATAACCCCTACTGTTGTCACCCCTATGCCAACTGTTGTCACTCTTCATTCGTTTATGAAACTCTATGTTCCTTTACTGCACTGATTAATCCTATTAATTATACCATATATTTATTTTTTAATGTATCTTTTCTCCATGGAACTTGAGCTGTATGAAAGGAGAAACCTTAGTTCTTTTGCTTGCAGCTGTATACCCAGCATATAAATATGAATATAGAGTGGGAACTCAATAAATACTTGTTGTGTAGATAAATAAATAGGTAGTCAAGATGAGTTGCCTACAAGTCCTGTGAGTCCCAGAAAATTCTAGAATTCTTTCAGTTCATTGATTAAAACTGCAAGACCAATTAGCTTCACAACAGATGGCGAACCTAAAGCCAAGCAGCCATCTTGCTAATTCTGGCATCTGTCACAAGACGAATTAGGAGCATGGATAGATCAGTTAAGATTCAGCAGCATTATAGGAAACACCTCAAACCCTTGTCCTTCCAGCATTTGTGTTTTCATGAAATGTGAAAAAGACCCCACTGTAATATCTATAAGTTTAAGGAGCAGGGATTAAATCAACTTAAATTCTGTTGTTAGTGATTTAACAGAAAAAATTATCCTATATTTATATGTGATTTGAAAAATTCAGACCAATACACTAAACACAGTTATTTAACAATTTTCTTTTTAATAAGCTTATTGTTTATAAAGCAGACAATATTACAGAGAGCTCAATATATGAAATGTAATGAATGCAAGTGTGTGATAGAATGATTTAAAAAATAAAATTTCCCTCCACGGTACCGATGATAGCTGCTAAGAAGTTTGGAAATAGATGCTATCCAATGTTATTATCATTATATCATCATTGTTAATAAGCAATAATGAAGCTAATGTTTCTTCCCTGGAAGTGGTAGAACAACAACAAAAAACCTGTCAGAAATATTCAAGCAAGCACTTTGGTTATTTTGGTGTTCAGTGACACCAGAGATGGTGAGAATCATTGTATGAATTCATCAATTTTGTTGGTGTCATGTAGACACAGCCATGCTCAAATGAAATATACTTTTTTTTTTTTAAGTAAAAGGGCTTCTATTCACCGTACAGGAAATTAAGTGATCGGTTCTTGTCAAACAAAAAGTAAATTGTTTTAAGGAAAAAGAATTCTTTTGACATTTAGTCAAATTTTATTCTTTCAGGAAACAAGCAATTCTTTGACAGAAAAATATGTTATTGCCAGAGGATATGTATTCCTCTTTTATATTTTGCTAGTTTTCTATTTTCTCAGCACATAAGGAACAGATGGAAATAAAGCCGATCCAATGAAATAATTTCTTTTACATCCCAGCAATAAGGAAAACTAAAATTCAATGAAATGATCTAACCAAATTTCCACATATATGTATACGTATTTTGGAAACTTTATAGGAAGTGTAAAACCAAAGAGAAATCATGGGAATTATTAAAATAATATTTACTTTTTCATTTCCTTTCAGACAACTTTATAGTTGTTATTTGTATTCTTCTGTAAATTCTCATTTTCCCCTAGATATGAATGCAAAAAGCTATACTACTTGCTCCAAAATGATGTTTAGTTTTCTTAGAGAGTTTTTCACACTCAGAATAAATTATACTCCCTAGGACTGGGCCTAATCATACAACTTTAGAAAGAGAATATGAATACTCTCATATTGCTGGCTGGTAAACTAACTTTTTTCCAATGCACTTCCTATGTTTACCTCATGACAGTCTATCACTTGGATTTTAAAATAAAATCATTTTATAATAAAATTATTTGCTTTCAAACCAAACCATAGTACCAATATAAGCAAATAACCTGGAGCAACATTGGGAACAATTAATTTGTCTCAAATCAAATATTTAACCTACCTCAGATCATATTCATAGAGTCAAACTCATGGTGATTAAGAACCATGGCGGCCATTCACATGAATTTAGAACTCTTTTAGAAGCCGGAGTTCTACAATTCATATCCACATGAGAAACTGAAACAAAAATTAAGGCAAATTTCACATACAGAAAATCAATAGAACTTTTCAGTGGGTTGCTTGTGTGAAACATGCAAACTTTCCTTTTACCTGGCAGGGATATATCCTGTAATCAATGACGCTTAATATCCTTTAGTTAATGACACTAAACACAAAAGCTCAATTGGACCCCTGTTGGTAGTTCTCCCGGGCAACCAGCAGAAACAAACCCTAGGAAGTATGAAAAGCTAAAATCGAGGGAAAAAGTAGGGAAGATATTGTAAACAATACATGACACATTCAAACATTTTAGAGACTGGATCCTGGAAAAGAGCAGTTCTAGCACACAGCTTTCCCAGCTTAGCTTCTTCTCAGATTCCCCCAAATTACCAGGGTCATTCTATTACTAGCTGACCTGAGTGAAGAGTGACAGAGAGGAAGTGAGAGAGGAAAGAGAAGGCAGTCTGAACTCATTGTCCTTAAAATAGCTTTTGCAAAATTTTCTAAAACATATGAACATGTGAACACATTGCTAGGGCCACTTTCTCGGGATTCATGCAAGTGGGAGTTCCTGAATCTTTTTTTTTTTTTTTTTTTTTTTTTTTTTTTTTTTTTTTGAGACAGAGTCTCGCTCTTTCGCCCAGGCTGGACTGCAGTGGCGCTGTCTTGGCTCACCGCAAGCTCCGCCTCCCGGGTTCACGCCATTCTCCTGCCTCAGCCTCCCAGGTAGCTGGGACTACAGGCGCCCGCTACCACGCCCGGCTAATTTTTTTTGTATTTTTAGTAGAGACGGGGTTTCACCATGTTAGCCAGGATGGTCTCGATCTCCTGACCTCGTGATCCGCCCGCCTCGGCCTCCCAAAGTGCTGGGATTACAGGCGTGAGCCACCGCGCCCGGCCGAGTTCCTGAATCTTAAGCTGTGTGACTTTGAAGGTACATTTCCCACAATCACTGGAACACAATGGTAGTACAGATTAAGCAAATAAGACAATGGAGTGAGAAAGTGAAGTTAAAGCCATAGCTTTTATTCTTTATCTTGTTTTTAAGAATTTGGTGCCATATATTTAAAATGTCCCTGACATACATTTTGACATACAGAATTTTTTTACCACCTCTCTTTGTCACCAAAGGCAAAAGTGTGTGTGTGTGTGTGCGTGTGTGCATAGAAAAATACGCAGTTATTAGCTTTGAATAAATTGTGGAACTGACTGAACAACTTGAGATATTTATGGCTAACTACTAAGTATTTAAAGATGTATAACTATCCTCTTCTTTATTCCCTGTTGCACAGTGAATCAGCGGCACCAAATCATTGTCTATATGTTTTTTAAATTTCAAAACCCTTGAGAGCTGCACAGAAATAAATCCTCTGTCATTTACAAATGCCATTCTTGTCTTATTTTTAACTACATCTCTAGGACTTACTTCATTTGGGGCTTGTAATAGGTGGGACAGCTGATTCAAAGAAGTACAGGCAGATTCATCAGTGCTCAGCCAGTGGCTGCAGCTCCACTACACCTTCCCAAGTTCTCAGACAATGACATAATCTGATTCTAAGTGTAGAAGAAAGATAAAATTCATGCATGGGGAAATATGATTTTGCCAGAGGAGCGAAGGATGCTAGAAGACGTGTATGAAATCAGAATAAAATTTCAGATGAAGAAGAAAGACAATAGAAGAAAATTTCCAAAAATATGGAATATAACATTAGGCTAAGACTTTAAAAATTCTATGAAAAAAAATCAATAATACTAGTGGTCCTGAAGAATGGAAGAAAACATTTTCCTTTTTACCTTGGGGAGGATAAAATCAAATGTAAACTCTGTGTCCTCTAATACTGTTAGAAGATCATACATTTGAAAGCTAATACAGTTCTCTATAACTTGTGGTTAACACTGCATGCATAGCATACTAAATAATAACGCAGTTCTTTTTTTTTTTTTTTTGAGACAGAGCCTTGCTCTGTCACTCAGGCTGGAGCACAGTGGCACCTTCTCGGCTCACTGCAGCCTCTGCCTCAGCCTCCTGAGGACTACACCTGGGACTACAGACATGTGTCAACACGCCCAACTAATTTTTGTATTTTTAGTCGAGACCGGGTTCCACCATGTTGGCTAAGCTGGTCTTGAACTCCTGGCCTCAAGCAATCCACCTGCTTAGGCCTCCCAAAGTGCTGGGATTATAGGTGTGAGCCACCCCTCCCCTGGCCCCCGGGCAATAAAGCAATTCTCAATGTTCACTGTTTACAAAAGTTTTAGGAGAAAGAATGAACCATAAGACAAACAGGTCTTCAGTTCGATGGCACAAAGCCTCTTTGCTTTTTTCCTATTTCTTCAAACTGTTTATTTTCTTTCTATGATTTTTCTTCCTTCATCTACCTGTCAAAGAGTATTGTTCCTCAAGGATTCATTCCCATAGGTAGGTATTATCTTTCTTTTCTGTATGCTCTACCTTATAACCTCCCTCTCCCCATCATTTTACATATGCTCTTGCTGACTTCCATAATCTTATCCCTAGGCTTACTCTCCCTGAGTTTCAAACCTTTATCATTATTTACAGAATGTTTCCAGTTGAATATTCCATGGTAACTACTTCTTCAGCATTTCTCAAATGCATGTATACTCTCTCCAAACTCTTTCCTACAATGTGTTGCAATTTTCAGTAATGACACCGTGCCGTGCAAGCCAAAACATTTGGAAGCCATCTAGAATTCTCTCTCTGTCTCACTCCTCTCACCTTGACCCCAAGGTTAGGAGCAACTTAAATTAGTAATCAGTTGCTTACTTCAAAGTCTGCTTACACCACTTACCTAGTTGTATGACCTTGGATAGGGCACGTAGCCTTCTATACCTCTGTCTTATAAGGTTAGGATGATTAACTGGATAATGCATGTTCAGTATTTAGTGCATTGCCTGGCATTTACTAAGTGCTCAATAATTTGTTATTGCTCAGCTCCATGCATTCACACATGTTGTTTCTTCTGCCTAGAGTGCCCTTTCCAGGATTTTATTATGATTTAGATGTCAGGCTGATTGTAGAGAGCAGAGACAGCTGGAATGCTGTCTTTGCTGATAGATGGTCTTCTGGTTGTAACAAGTGTCCTTTGAATTATGAGCAATAAATCTCCTCTAATTTAATTTAAGGTACAGGTGATTTGGATTGTTGCTTTTACTTCTGAAGGGGAAATTGAATGCATTTAGTTTGGTGTGGAGGTAAGGGGTCACATACCAAAAACATGATCTAACCCCTAACAGTGATTCTCTAGGACTTGAAAAATTTGTCTATGAGTTTATAGAATGAAAAAATAAAAGATACCATAAAGAAAAGTTTGTCTTACCCACATTCAAACTTTCAACACCTAAAAGAGTTCCTGGACCATAGCAGCAAGTCTTCAGTATTTATAGAGGAAAAGAAAGAAGAAAAGAACTAAAGCAGAAGAAAGACAGAAAGATGGAAGCAAGGACATGAAAAAGAATGACATACATAGGTAGGAAAAGATATTTCTGAATGTAGTCAGCTACTACTAATATAGAAATGCAGTTACATAATAAAAATGTAGGCATGTTGATTGTTATTAGTAAACTGTATGTGGGCCCTGAAGTGTCTCCACTATAATCGTGGGAACACCCACACCACCATGTCCTTTGTGGTGGGTAGCTGATTCTGTCACCGCTAGAAAAGTTCTCCTTTGGTACCTGAAATGGCTAATACTCCCTCTTCATTTTCTCTTCCGTTTCATTGCTTTCGTCTAGTTACATTTTGAAGATGGCTGAAACTTTCACTGTCTTTGGGGTTTGCAATAGGTAGTTGAGGTCTCTCGTCTATCATCATCCTTATTTACCTGCATACTGATGTTGACTTGGTTTTTATCACCATAGAGTAATTTTAGCCACATCTGTGCTTCAATAGTTACCATCCCTGAGAGTGGAGAGGAATCTCTACCAACATGGTTTATAATATTTTATCCAGCCTTGAAATTCAGTGATTTCACTGTCTTTTCCTTATAATGTTCCTAGTGATGCAAACATTTTCATTCACACATTCTCCAAATTTGATAATTCTCTTTTATAAGTTATAAAGGAGGCTGAGTTGTAGCCAAGCAGGTAGTGCTATTTTTGGTCAAGGATGATATGCTATAATAAAGCTTATAGAAATTATAAACATCTCTAGGGTCAGTTTCTAAATGGGAGCTTCATACACACACACATACACACATATGTATATATGTGTATGCACACATATATGAATGCATATCTATACATATGCACATATATGTATATTTAAAAGTAATGGCATTAATTGCTTTGCCTTAAGCCATGTGGAAGGGGGAGGAAAAGCTTAAGCAGGGCTGAGTGTTGTTACTATGGGTGAGTCTCAGCAAGTCCAGCCGACCTTTGATCTCAAACAAAAACTAGACAATGGGTGTATGCATTTGAGAAATCATTATTGCTGAAGTTAAGGGATTAAAACATTTGAGAGTAGAGGTGGGTGAAATAGTGGGTGGGAGGAGGCTACTGCAAACTACTGAAGACAGGGAGAAACCCTGGGTAGAGAATGTTCCGAAGAGAGGACAGAAGCCCAAAAGCCCTCTTTAAATGGCCTGAGACCCTTTGTTCCAAAAGAAGAGCTAGCTCAGGTGCAAGGGGTCCCTTTGTTATCTTTGGTCAGATTCCTTAATACCAGATGTTAAATCATTCTTCTGTTGGGCTTAAGGTAGGATGAGAATTTAATAGGGAATATCATGTTTTCTCAATGCTTGATAAAGATTATCACCCTGGGGTACACATGTTTAATTTTCCCTCAGACCATATTATTGGGTTTCATATCTTTTCCTAACTTGGATTAAAATCTGGGTGGTGAATCTTGTAGGACTGGGGTTTATTATAATGATTTTTCCAAGCTCGCTAAGTGAAAGGGCAACATAGTAGCTAAAATTCAGTCTGATTTTTTCTAGTCAAACCTTGTTGACTTTTGTATACTAAATACAAGATTAGGATTTTACAATGAAGCAAATAAAGCTCAGTTCTGCTATCAAATAGAATTCCCTTTTTCCTTTGGCTTCCTGAAGGCTCTTAAAATCTAAGTATATTCATTTACCTGACTGTCACAGGATTTGGAATTACCTATTTCCACTAAAAAATTAGGCCTCTATTTTTCCCCAAATTCATTTTGCAAGCAGAGAGATAAACCGTGTCTAATAAGCCAAAATGTTTCAGAAAGGAGGTGTGGGGTCTTTCAAAAGTTAATTAAGATAAAACAGGATACAAACAAGTAAACAACTAAACTAAAATATATTTAACTATTTAAAGCACTGAATAAAATAAACTAGCTTTATCTGAGGGATGTAAAGAGACTTTATGAAGAAGGGAATATTGGAGTTACATATGAAAATACAAAACAAATGTTCTAAAGAAAGAGGAGGAGAGGAGATGATGTCCTACCTAAAAGCAACAGCATATGCAAAGACAGTAAGTTAGGGGGGAAATGTGGTATATTTGAGAGACTTGGTTTGGTTGGAACATCAGGTATATTGTAGAGTGACAGAAAGTGAAGTTGGAGTAGAATGCTATAAGTACCTGTGGGCTATGCCATAGTTCCCAAAATTATTATACCATCAAGTAAAAAGGAGGGAAACTAACTTCAGAATCTATTTGGTAGAAGAATGTTGTCATTATATTTGTTTTACAGAACTATGACACCAAAGTCTCTGAAATAGGAAGTATACCAGTGTTTAAATTTTGGCATTTCATGGAATTGTCTCTTTTGTTGACACAGTTGACAGTAATTCTTAAATACAGCTGGGTGGTGAACTCTGGGGAGTTGGCCAGACAGAAAGATTTATTTAGTTTTCTCAAATTACATCAACGAGTCAGGCTTCAGGATCCTGATTGTGACCTAAAATGACTGGGCTGATATTCTAAGACAAGAAGAATGGATGAAGGGTGAGAAATTCATTACAAATAATATTTAGAGGTAGATTAAATAAGCTCATTTGTGTAATATGATTCATGTTGGTGTTTTTGAAACCAAATCAACTGAGAAAGAAAATAAGCTGATGCTGAGAGCACTAAGAACAGCCTTTAGATTCCAAGAAGCAATTTCATCAATGAATGTCATGTGAACTTTAGAGCAACTAACTGAATATGTCTGGAACCAATTAACATGTACCTATTGAAAACATATTATGTATTCAATATTTTGCTAGAACATATATGTAGATCACTACTATAGAATGTTGTGCAGATAGAAAATAGAAAGAAAAAAATAGAAGAAAACCTAGGCAATACCATTCGGGACATAGGCATGGGCAAAAACTTCATGGTGAAAATGCTGAAAGCAATTGCAACAAAAGCCATAATTGACAAATGGGATCAAATTAAACTAAAGAGTTTCTGCACAGCAAAAGAAACTATCATCAGAGTGAACAGGCAACCTACAGAATGGGAGAACATTTTTGCAATCTACCCGTCTGACAAAGGTCTAATATCCAGAATCTACAAGGAACTTAAACAAATGTACAAGAAAAAAAAAAAAAACCCCATCAAAAAGTAGGCAAAGAATATGAACAGACACTTCTCAAAAGAAGACATTTATGCGGCCAACAAACATATAAAAAGAAGCTCAACATCACTGATCATTAGAGAAATGCAAATCAAAACCACCACAATGAGGTACCATCTCATGTCAGAATGGCAATCATTAAAAAGTCAAGAAACGGCTAGGCGCGGTGGCTCACGCCTGTAATCCCAGCACTTTGGGAGGCTGAGGTGGGTGGATCACGAGGTCAGGAGATCAAGATCATCCTGGTTAACATGGTGAAACCCCGTCTCTACTAAAAAAAAAAAAAAACAAAAAAAATTAGCCAGGCGTGGTGGCAGGCGCCTGTACTTCCAGCTATTCCGGAGGCTGAGGCAGGAGAATGGCGTGAACCCAGGAGGCGGAGCTTGCAGTGAGCCGACATCATGCCACTGCACTCCAGCCTGGGCTACAGAGTGAGACTCCATCTCAAAAAAAAAAAAAAAAAAAAAAAAGTCAAGAAACAACAGATACTGGTGAGGCTGTGGAGAAATAGGAACACTTTTACACTATTGGTGGGAATGTAAATTAGTTCAACCATTGTGGAAGACAGTGTGATTTCTCAAGGACCTAGAACCAGAAACACTATTTGACCGAGTAATCCCATTACTGGATGTATACCCAAAGGAATATAAATTATTCTACTATAAAGACACATGCACACGTATGTTTATTGCAGCACTGTTTACAATAGCAAAGACATGGAACCAACCCAAATGCCCATCAGTGATAGACTGGATAAAGAAAATGTGGTACATAGAGACCATGGACTACTATGCAGCCATGAAAAGGAATGAGATCATGGCCTTTGCAGGGACATGGATGAAGCTGGAATCCAACATTTTCAGCAAACTAACACAGGAACAGAAAACGAAACACTGCATGTTCTCATTCATAAGTGGGAGTTGAACAATGAGAACACATGGACACAGGGAGGGGAGCAACACATTCTGGGTCCTGTTGTGGGGTGGGTGGCGAGGGGAGGGAACCTAGATTATGGGTCAATAGGTGCAGGAATCCACCATGGCACACGTAGACCTATGTAACAAACCTGCACATTTTGCACGTGAATCCTGGAACTTAAAGTAATTCTTTTTTTTTTTTTTTTTTAAAGGAAAAAGAATTGTAAATTATAACCAAGTCAAACTTTGGAATTAATAAAGTGAAAATTTTTCCCCAATTCTTCACTTGGTATCCATTATGCCATTTAAAAACCTTAGGTAGTAATATAAATGTAAAAGGCCTTGGATAATAACAGAAAGGTAATAAATACAATTTCATTCCAGAAAATGAGTAAAGTTTATATGTAACTTGGTTCTGTGAAATAATGGACATATCTCAAATCTTTTACAACCACTTATGAAAGATTTTTTTCCATTGATCTTGCAGAGAACAAATTTTAAGTTAGTAAAAATTGTGGTGCTTTTCTCTTGCCCAAGTTAACTATTGCAAGGTTTCAAGTACAACACTAGTCTAATATTCCAACTTCCTAACGTGGGAAAACGGTACTGGTTAGTTTGGTAAATGTTATACTTATCCTTTATATATTTTCTAATTCTTTGGATTTTACATCTTTCTAGAAACAGCTAAACATAATTTGATAAAATGTCTCTAGTTCCTCAGGGAAAGGTTCTATTCTTGAGCAAAGTAAAATCTTGACTTGAATGTCTTATTAGGAAAGGAAATAGTATTTTCATGTAGCTTGTTTTATATTTCAGATTCTGTTCTAAATTCATTTCCTTTGCTACATACACACATTTGCACTCTTGACCAATAATCTCAAAGAACTGAGGAATTCTATGGCCTATGTTTTAGTAAGTTGCCTTGTAACTCCCCTTTCAAAAGTAACTCCCCTTCCAAGTTTGTAATAACTGACTTTACTTTTCTCTGCTTTTGCTTCCCTTGTCTGTGTTTATTTACTTTTTACTTTTAGAATTAGTTATGCCACCTAAATCAGATGTTCTTTACCATGATTACTGCAAGCTCAGAATATCCCTAAGAGGTGAGATACAGTGGAATAAGCCCTAAATTTCTAGAAAATTCTTTAACATTGAGGGTGACTTTTTTTTTCACAGATAGTGGATTATAAAAGTTAAAAAGTCACAAATTGATTGATTAACCAACTGTATCTGAATATTTGTATTCTCCCCAAATGTATATGTTGAAATTCTAACCCCAAGGTGGAGGTATTAAGAAGTGAGGCCTTTGGGATGTGATTAGATAATAAGGGCAAAGCCTCAGGAATGGGAGTAGTGCCTTTACAAAAAAGGCTTCCAGGAACTTGTTCGCCCCTTCCACCATGTGAGGAGGCAATAAGAAGATGCCATCTATGAGTCTGGAAATTGTCCCTCACCAGACACTAAACCTGTCAGCATCTTGATCTTGAACTTCCCACCCTCCAGAATTAAGTTACCCAGCCTCTGCTATTTTGTTACAGTAGCTCTAAGGGAATAAGGCAGTATCTAAATTTTAAATTATAAAAAATTATGTGTGTATATATATATATATATATTTTGTTATAATTGTTTTTGCTTAACTTTTATTTTAGGTTCGGGGGTACATGTGAAGGTTTGTTCCATAGGTAAACTCATTTCATGGGAGTTTATTGCACAGATTATTTCATTATCCAGGTATTAAGCCCAGTACCCAATAGTTATCTTTTCTGTTCCTCTCTCTCCTCCAACCCTCCACTCCTAAATGCTCATCAATGACAGAGTAGATAAAGAAAATGTAGTACATATACACCAGGGAATACTATGAGGCCATAAAAAAGAGCAAGATCATGTCTTTTACGGGAACACAGATGGAGATGGAGGATATTATCCTTAGCAAACTAATGCAGCAAACCAAAAATTATATTTTTAATTTAAAAATGAATAAAGATCATCTTTTATAATGGATTATCATATTGTTTCTTAAAAACTTCCAATGATATTCTTAAACTGCAAGTTTAGCACTTCTGTGCATTTCAATAAACATTAAATTGAACAGCTACTATGTTCCAGGGAATATAAAATTGCTAGGAGCTGCCCTTGACCCTATACAGTTCATAAGACACAACAAATATGAAAATGTAGGATTACTATATTCTGTGAAAAATGACAAAACAGGTATGTACAAAGTATAGTGTGACTTCAAGGAGAAAGCAATGAACTCAGCTGAGTTGGTGTGATGGTTAATGCTGAGTGTCAACTTGATTGGATTCAAGGATACAAAGTATTGATCCTGGATGTGTCTGTGAGGGTGTTGCCAAAGGAGATTAACATTTGAGTAGGTGGGCTGGGAAAGGCAGACCCACCCTTAATCTGGGTGGGCACAATCTAATC
Organism: Homo sapiens; assembly: GCF_000001405.40. Lineage (NCBI taxonomy): Eukaryota > Metazoa > Chordata > Mammalia > Primates > Hominidae > Homo > Homo sapiens. The sequence goes on from NC_000007.14 coordinate 78,912,498, forward strand.
AGCTGCCAGTAAATATAAGCAGGCAGAAAAATGTGAAAAGAGAGATTGGCTTAGCCTTCCAGCCTACATCTTTCTCCCATGCTGGATGCTTCCTGCCCTTGAACATTGGACTCCAAGTTCTTCAGTTTTGAAACCAGACTTTCCTTGCTCCTCAGCCTGCAGAAGGCCTATTGTGGGACCTTGTGTTCGTGTGAGTTAATACTTAATAAACTCCCCTTTATATATATATATCATTCATATATATATCATTCATATATATATATATCATTCATATATATATCATTCATATATATATATCATTCATATATATATATATCATTCATATATATATATATATTCCACTTCATATATCCATCATATATATATGATATGACTAATTCTGTCCCTCTGGTGAACCCTGACTAATACAGTTGGGCAGGGGCTGGCAAAGATTCCCAGAAAGAGAGATAGTTAAGCTGAATCCTCAAGAAGAGAAATACAGTTTGGGGGTGGAGATCAAGAGAAAGCATCTGAAGCAGAGGGAACAGCTGTTTTGGAGCATGGAGGCAAGAAGCAATGTAGTGACTTGACTGGAGTGCACAGTGTTCAGGACAAGATTACATCATGTGAAAAGCCTTCTATATTGGACTAAGCATTTTGAATATTAGCTAGAAGAAAATTGATATGGTTTGGCTCTGTGTCCCTGTCCAAATCTCATGTTGAATTATAATCCCCAATGTTGGAGGTGGGGCCTGATGGGAGGTGATTGGAGCATGGGAGCACATGTCTCATGAATGTTTTAGCACAATCCCCTTGGTGCTGTTCTCATGATAGTAAGTGCATTCTCCTGAAATCTGGCTGTTTAAAAGTGTGTTGCACTTTTGCCTCTCTTGCTCCTCCTCCAGCCATGCACAGTGCTATTTCCCCCTTTGCCTTCTGCCGTGATTGTAAGTTTCCTGAGGCCTCCTCAGAAGCTGAGCAGAAACCACTATGCTTCCCATACAGCCTGCAAAACTGTGAGCCAATTAAAGCTCTTTTCTTTATAAAGTACCCAGTCTGGTATTTCTTTATGGCAATGCAAGAATAGCCTAATGCAACAGTGAAGAGTAACTCCTAGAGCATCAGTTCCTTTCCTATCATTCTGTTTTGTCTGTCTAAAGACTCTGTTTATTCTTTCCATGTTTGTATTTAATGTCAGTGTCAACTAATTTGACTTGCTGTTATGTTCCATGGTGCATAACAAGTTAGCACTTAATTAGCAGTAATGATTTTAGTTGTGTTTCTGTCTGTACTAGGTGGATCTAAGTATTTTATAAGTAGACAAAGGACATTTTTTTAAAAAAGGAAATGACAATTAAAAAGTGCAATATGCATTATGCAAAGTCTATTTCTTAAACTTCCCAGATCAGTATCACCTGGAACACTGATAAAGATTCCATGCTCCTACCCTCCCAATAAGAATCTCTGAGGGAGAAGCCTGCTACATGTGTATTCAAGGTGACATGAATGCCTGGGAAAGCTTGGGAAATATCACTTATTCCAAGTATATTTCTTCACAGAAAGCCCAGAAAATTTAAGCATTTTGTTTGCAGATTGAGCTAATGCTAATAAAAGTTCAAATTACTCACAAAGCCTCAGCAGTTATGGTGAATTATTGGTGGTTTACTTGCCCCTTCAAATGAACTGTAAACTTTTTAAGGACAGAGGATGTATCACTATTAGAGTCTCAGCTCCTAACACAGATAAAGGATTCAATAAACATTTAATAACATATGAACAAACAACATTGTGACCATTCTCATTTTTAAAAATGGCTCTTCCTGTGTGCATTTCTAGGTGTTCAACTACAAAGAACAAATGTAATTTAGTGAATTATTAATAAGACTAAAAATTCAATTAATTAGACTTACTTTGGAATGAATGGTGTACTTTTAAATTATTAGTAAAGTCAACAAAATACTTTTTCATTTCAAATATATATTTGTCAAATATCATAAAGTATAATGTTTGTGTGAAATAATTTGATCTGTCTTTTGTGCCCTGGAGTAACTAACAATGGTTTTTCATTTCACATATATTGCATTTCACAGAAGGAACACACGATCAATCAAATTGACACCTGAAATTAAAGGCATTGGAATTGATTTCCTTAATAAATACTATTCTTCATTAGGAAGGAACTCCTGATTCATGAATTTTCTCATATGTACAGAAATATATTGTTAGAGAAAATAGAGGAGTGAAAACAGAGAAGACAGAGGAGTGAAAACAACTGGACAAATACTTAAAAAAGTGTCTCAGTATGGCAAAAAATATTTTTTTAACAATTGACATTTAAAGGACAAAATGTAGCAGGGGCCATATTTTTCATTAACTTGACAATGTCAAAGAGACGGCTCAGTTTCCTACAAGTTAAAGCAGAAGATCATGTTAATGAGATAATTTTATTTCCTTGGAAACTATCAGAATAGCGGGTAGAAAATACAGAAGTCATTTATAAAATATTACTTTTCAAATATAGAAAAAATGAATTTTGCTATTTTCAAAACATACTTTGTTTTAAGCCATAGCTGGAGGAGTAGGTAGAGAAAATGCCCTGGAGAAAACTTTCTGCATTATCTCCACCTGAATAGAGCTTTATATCAGGAGGTTACTATTTGCTCCCGCTATAATAATTTCAGAGGATACTACTCATGATGGAGAAAGCAGAGGGCCCACGGTGTGAATCTCTTCTGGTGATTTAATCACAGTCATTAAAGAAAGCAGGATTATGAACACTGCCAGCCACCAGCTGCAAATACAATATCTGAAATTTATTTTTGCAAATATACTGGCAATTTTATAGCAGTTTGAATGAATACTAGGGAGAGCCTATTCAGTTGGTACATTTACTGAATTAGGCATTGAGTTCCAGAGAGTGCAATTGCTGCTAGAGTTCTATTTTAACATTCTCTTGAAAAGATGCATATAAATAAAATTATATTTTAAGCACCCTAGAGAGTATTTACACACATAGGAAAAACCTACTCTAAGTCCCTTTACAAAATAAAATTTTACTGAATGACCTCTAGGTATAAATTTTTTTCAAATTCCTATGAATTTATAATTATTTCAAAATAAAAAGTTGTATAATAATTTACTCTCTAAAGTATCATATAGCTGGGCTTTCGTAATTTTTTTTTTGTTTTATTTTGTTTTACAGAAGAGTACACTTGTTTTATCTCTTCATGGTTTCATCTTTTTTTTTCTTTTTTTAAGAAGAAGAGTACACTTGTGCACCATAGGTAGTATGGTGACCAGCTTTTCACTCATTCAATAAATATTTATTGTGTGGATATAGATAATAATATGGCAAGGAGTGGGGGACTGCTTTTACATAAGGTCATCAGAGGAGGAGGGTCTCTCTGAGAAGGTGGCGTGAGCAGAAACGTGAAGGAAGTAGGGGAGAAAATTATGTGGATATCTGGGGAAGGAGCCTGACAATATATCTCAATATACTAATTAAGAATCATCATTATTGTAACATACGTTTTTATATAAGAGAGATGGATTATGCATAATCCTTGATGCATAGTTCACATGTGAGCATATGGTTTAGAATTGCAACTAAAGAGTATAGCAGATGTTGTTCAAAACCTACAACTTAACAATCTTTTAGATTGTCTTTTAGACATGGAAATGTTGTTTATTTCAGTCTTAGTTCCTCATCTGTAAAATAGGAACAACAATATCTTGGGGTTTTTTTAAATAAATGAAATAATATGTGTATAATGCTTCACACAAAATACGTACTTAATGTAGTAGTGATTATCATTTAAAATAACAAATAAATGTAAATTAGAACTCTATCCCGATTGCTTTGAATAGCATTCATTTATTTATTCATTCAACAATATTAATTAAGACCAGACTATGTTCTAGGCACTATTATAAGTGATTCAAATAACAAAATTTTTGAAATTTACAGAAGACCAGTGTATTTCTTACTGCATGGGATATAAAAATATATCATTTATAAGATAATGCAATAATTGTCACAATAAAGAATACAAAGTAAATTCACCCTATTTGAGGGTCTGAATGAAAGTTTCGCAGAGGAGGGGATGCACAAAATTAAACCTTTCAGGATGATGAATAAGTGAAATGAAGAAACCACAGCAGTTAGAGCAGAAAGGATGGAGTAAAGTCAAATGGAAAGAAATAAACAAACAAGATAGTCACTTTTGGAGAACTGTATGTCATTCTTTGACAGCCTGTCAGTGTACCTGTAAAAAAAAGAAGTGAAGTTAGAATTGCAGGCTGGAAGGAAATAATGCAGGCTCTTTTATGCCTGAGGGCTTATATGCCACACCCAAGAACCTAGACTTTGTTCTGTGACATTCTGAAGGCGAATAGTTGGCTTTCCATTTCAAAAAGCTCATTTGGCAGCAATGATGGGAATGGTGTGGATGAATTTCTGATATTGGATCAAGAGACTTTAATTATACATAGTGTTTCAGAACATCCTGGCTCAAGATTTGGTGAGAAGGAGGTAAAGAGAGATACCCAAAGGTAGGAAGACAGACGTAATAAATTTCCAATTCAATTACTTAGTCTAAAAAAATTAGTGATCAGTTACACACCGCTATTCAAGACATTGGCACAATGTCAAATATCAATGAACTAATACTACTTGGTGGCTGGTTAGATATGGAAAAGAGAGGAAGAAGAAGGAGTCTAAGGTATTTTTTAAAGAACATAGGCTAAATGAAACTGAAAAAGGAAGTAGAGTAAGAGGAGTAAATCTGGAGAGGAGGGTACTGAATTCAGTCCTGCAGAAGTGAACATGTGGACCTGGTTGTAGGAGGTATAAGTCTGCAGAAAGAGAGACATTAATTTCTGCCCTGGAGGAAGTGACACAGGTAAGGGTTGAATGTGGTCTCCCCTGGAGAGCAAGTAGGAGTGGGCCAACTGGATAGGACTGTGAAGAGGAATAGATGGGGTGGGATAGATGTGGTGGAGAAGAAATTGTCCTTGTGATGTCTAGGATGCATCTGTTCTTCCCGGTTTTATCCTTGGCCATTTTGATGTTTTCTAACACCAACAACTAATTCTTTTGAGACCAACTGAGTGTCCAATAATTGAATTCAATCCTGATGCTATCTACCTAGAATTAAAGTCAGATCCCACAAGATAAAAGGCTCAGCCCCACAAGACTGCCCTCAGTACAAAGGCCAATTGCAAGTCATGGGCCACTTACATATCTGACAGACACCGGCCATAAATTGGGGGTGCTCACAACCTCCTCCTCAGATATGATAATTTTCTAAAGGGTTCACAGAACTCAGAAAAGCACTTTACTTATGTTAATGGGTTTATTACAAAGGATACAACTCAGCCACAGCTAAACAGAAGCGATTCATAAGGCAAGGTGTGGGGTAAGGGGGAGAATGGTGCATTGAGCTTCCATGCCCTCTTAGGGCATGCCACCATCTTAGTACCTCTACGTGTTCACCATCCCAGAAACTCTCCAAATCTCATTGTTCAAGAGTTTTTATAGAGCTCAATCTCCAGGACTCCAACTTCCTCGAAGGTGGGTGGCTGAACGGAAAGTTCTAACCCTCTGATTACTTGGCATCTTGGTGACCGTCCCTGTCATGAGTACAAACTTGGGTATGATTTAAAGGGGCTTGTTATGAATAGCAAAAGACACTTCTATTACTCAAGAAATTCCAAGGGTTTTAGGAGCTCTGTGACAGGAACCAGGGACAAAGACTAGATATCTATTTCTTACTATGCCACAGCCATATTCCTTACTTGTTTAGTGTATTTTCTTATCAAGGGCTCTCCTATTTCAATACCATATCTATGATGATAACTCCTGCAATTGCATTCCCAATTCATGGATGAATCTAAGCTTTTAGTCTTGGCCTGAACAAAGTGATCTTTAAATGATCTCAACATATTTGACATCCACAACACAAATAAATCTGAGACAGGCATTTGAAACAATGAAGTTTATATTTAACATCCCCAATATGATATTGTGCCCATAGTAGGTGCTCAATAAACATTTAATGATGGAATATAAATCCAGCTCTAGCTTACAGATTTATCATTTTGGCCTTAGATAAAATAGAGAACCAAGGACCAATATTTATCTCAAACATCACCACACAATAGATATCAACTTTGTATTACATTTTTGAAAAGGTTATATAACTACTGGAGACAAAGTTAAGTTTTTCCATTTGAAGATTTGTTGACAGTGTAAAAGAGATTAATTATTAATTACTGAGATTATTTTTGTCTTCAAAGTCATATAACCTCATTCATTAAGGCCCAAATAATTGCATATAAGTTTAAACATCATATATATACGATGAAACTCATTTTACAACAAATACTGAAAAGAAGGATCAAAAATAAAGAGATGCCCAAAGTGCTTATCTGCCCTTAAAATAGAACTATTTCAATTCGGCAAGAAAAATAGTGAATTCTGGGATTATACATCTAAAACAGTTCCATAAAAATGTATATTAGATTCTGATGCAATAGTTGTCCCTCTTTTAAGAAACTTTGTTTGGATATATTGACTAAATTGGACAGGTTAAATAATTTTACTGTGGAAACCACTTGTCAACATTGCATAGTGGAAGAGTCACACATAAACCTACCCAAGCCATTATTTCTCCATTTTCACTGTGTCTTTGTAATGTAGTCTTGTTAAGGATGGGAACAATTCTTCTCACTTATGCTTTTGTTGGACAAAATCTAACAGTGAGGTACTCATTCTATAAAGCAGTAGCAAGTCTTTAAGCATGTAGAAGAGTAAGCAAGTGTATGAATTCATTAATATAGAACAATAAATCAGATCAATAGAGGCTTGCCTATCAGTACCTCATGTTTAAAAGAAATAGATTATATATAATTTAATAGAGATCAAATTACCACAACATGATGTTATGTGCATACAATGCTTTGCTATCAATATTGCATGATGTGTTTAACTATTTACGATAGGAGAAAAAAGCATCAAATAATTAATAGCATAATAGCATTTCAACAAAGTTGTTAAGAAAGTGTTAAATAGCTTTGAAGCTATTAATTCAGTAATGTATCACTTATTCATATTAATTGGAGTGGGTCCATATAAATTAGTGAAAAAATGGACTTGTAGAACATTTTAATATACGTGTAGTTTTATAACATGATATTTCAAACTATGGAAATGCTATCAAAATTACTAGGCAGAGGTTTTGCTGAGCTTACACTAAAGATAGATATGACTCACTTATAACAGACCTATTAATTGTATGCAAATGTATGCTTTTAAAATTCTAAAACATAATATGCATCTTAATGAGTAGGTTAAATATTTCTCCTTGAAATTTTATTCATGCCATTCATTCACTTCCATTCTTTCATGGGTAGTGCACAAGGAAATGTTAGCCCCATGATTATGTATGCAGTGAGGTTTAAATTGATGAGATTTCATTTTCTACTTAAGAGGGATCATATTTAGAGCCATCTCTACTATTTTTGGTACTCTTACAAGAAGTTCCATTGCTTCCAACATTGGGCAAGTCCATGGCTCCGAACTTCCCATCAAATTCAGAATTCAGCCTAAAATTTTTACTAAGCCTCTATGAAGAATCATAAAGATGAGTCCCAATGACTCCATGAATTTCTACATCATTATTTTCATGTCATGGAGACTGTATAGTGTAGTGTGGACTCTGGGTTCAAAATGATTGGATGTGAATTCACATATAGACCATGTCCCTTTGGGCAAATTATTTAGCCCCTCTGTACACCAGCTGTAAAATGAGAAAAATAATAACAGAGAGTGATTGTTAGGATTAAATCAATTAACACATATCAATGTCTTAGAATAATTTCTTGAACATGGTGAGTACTCAATAAATCTTTGTATTATCACAACATTTATTGTTTTTAGTTTCAAGTTAATTTCACAAAAGCTTTCCTAATGATCCACACAGTTGAATACTTGTCTTTACTGCATTACATGGGTAATTATTTTTTCTTCTCTTATATAGAGGAGTTAAAACTGTATTTGTTGTTTTCTAATAAAAACTTAATGAATTAACTGAAATTTTAGTATGAGGAAATAGTCTCTATGTTCTGTTACCTACTGTGTCTGGTTTAGTTCTACATTCATTATGGTCTTATTTTATATCCTCCAAGCTAATTTTTTCCTATCTTTCACCTTTTTTCCTCTTCTAAGCAAATCTCACCTTAGATAATTTGAAAGAAAAATATTAGTCTCTATTTACTTGCCTCTTCATACCCAGCCTAAAATAAAATGCTGAACAGAGTATGCAGGACGAACCACACCTGATCTACCACAAAATACTACTAAACATTAAAGTACACAATTAAGAAACAAAATTGAAATGCCACTTGGTTAACCATTGTTTTTATACAAGACTTAATTCCTTGAGGGTTTCTACTGTCACACAACTTCTCCTTGTGAGGTGTACCTGAACAGCAAGAGGCTTCCTTTGTTCCTAACTTTCCTGATTTCCGTCAGGAATACAGCATGATATGGACTCAGGAACAGGCTGATTGTCTATTCTTGACATTCCTGAAGATGTTTAGGTTATGAAGTTGATTATAGCATGAAATCTTGGGTTCTTGATTCTTGGAGCTCCACATCTCTGTCTCTTTAGTCCCTCTTCCTCCACTCTCTCTCTGGGGAAGTGGAGGATCACTGGAAAGAGGCTAAAGGAGGTAAATTTCTGGCTATAGTCTTCTGTTAATCACTTTTATGTAGTCTGTGTTTATGCTTAGGTGCTATGACCTTTCTATTCCACGTTCCTAAAGATATGAGTAAAAAATGGCTTCTTGACTTTATCATGCATAAAAACCATTTGGGATAATTTATTTGAAATGTAGATTCCTAAGTTCATCCCTCCCGCCCCCTAATAGATTCTAACTCAGTACGTTGGGTGGAACCACAGAGTCTGCACTTTAAATACGGCTCTTCTGTAGATTGTGATATAAGTGGCCTTTGTGAATAGTTTCAGAAACGCTGCCTTACAATGCTTCAATCAATAAAATGCTTCCAGATTTCTAGTAAATTGAAAACAGCACAGGAAATCACAGCTAGTCAAACTGCCAATTATTATATGAGATTTATCACTTTTCAACAGTTTTTTTTTTTTTCTATTGAGATAGAGTCTCACTCTGTTGCCCAGGCTATAGTGCAGTGGTGTGATCTTGGCTCACTGCAACCTCCACTGCCTGGGTTCAAGCGATTCTCATGCCTCAGCCTCCCGAGTAACTGGGACTACAGGCACACACAATCACGCCCAGCTAATTTTTTTGTATTTTTATTGGAGACAGGTTTCGCCATGTTGGCCAGGCTGGTCTTGAACTAGTGACCTCAGGTGATCCGCCTGCCTTGGCCTCACCAAATTGCTGGGATTATAGGTGTGAGCCACTGTGTCCGGCCCAGATTTTAATATTCTAATACCATTGCCTCCAGAGCCATCACCTTTAACTACATGGGAAAAACAAATTCTTCCTTTGGCCATGAAGAAATATGATTTCCTACGTTAGACTGAGATTATCACCAAGAAAAAGCAACAGACATGCTTTATCAGTTGGTTCTTAGCAAAGTTATGCCATGGAGTACACTTGATTCTTTCTTTCTTTCTTTCTTTCTTTATTTTTTATTTTTTATTTTTTTTTTTGGCATCAGATTATTTCTTTTTTTTATTATTATTATACTTTAAGTTTTAGGGTACATGTGCACAATGTGCAGGTTAGTTACATATGTATACATGTGCCATGCTGGTGTGCTGCACCCATTAAGTCGTCATTTAGCATTAGGTATTTCTCCTAATGCTATCCCTCCCCCCTGCCCCCACCCCACAACAGTCCCCAGAGTGTGATGTTCTCCTCCCTGTGTCCATGTGTTCTCATTGTTCAATTCCCACCTATGAGTGAGAACATGCGGTGTTTGGTTTTTTGTCCTTGCGATAGTTTACTGAGAATGATGATTTCCAATTTCATCCATGTCCCTACAAAGGACATGAACTCATCATTTTTTATGGCTGCATAGTATTCCATGGTGTATATGTGCCACATTTTCTTAATCCAGTCTATCGTTGTTGGACACTTGGGTTGGTTCCAAGTCTTTGCTATTGTGAATAATGCCGCAATAAACATAACTGTGTATGTGTCTTTATAGCAGCATGATTTATAGTCCTTTGGGTATATACCCAGTAATGTGATGGCTGGGTCAAATGGTATTTCTAGTTCTAGATCCCTGAGGAATCGCTACACTGACTTCCACAATGGTTGAACTAGTCTACAGTCCCACCAACAGTGTAAAAGTGTTCCTATTTCTCCACATCCTCTCCAGCACCTGTTGTTTCCTGACTTTTTAATGATTGCCATTCTAACTGGTGTGAGATGGTATCTCATTGTGGTTTTGATTTGCATTTCTCTGATGGCCAGTGATGATGAGCATTTTTTCATGTGTCTTTTGGCTGCATAAATGTCTTCTTTTGAGAAGTGTCTGTTCATATCCTTTGCCTACTTTTTAATGGGGTTGTTTGTTTTTTTCTTGTAAATTTGTTTGAGTTCATTGTAGATTCTGGATATTAGCCCTCTGTCAGATGAGTAGGTTGCAAAAATTTTCTCTCATTTTGTAGGTTGCCTGTTCACACTGATGGTAGTTTCTTTTGCTGTGCAGAAGCTCTTTAGTTTAATTAGATCCCATTTGTCAATTTTGGCTTTTGTTGCCATTGCTTTTGGTGTTTTTGACATGAAGTCCTTGCCCATGCCCATGTCCTAAATGGTAATGCCTAGGTTTTCTTCTAGGGTTTTTATGGTTTTAGGTCTAACGTTTAAGTCTTTAATCCATCTTGAATTAATTTTTGTATAAGGTGTAAGGAAGGGATCCAGCTTCAGATTTCTACATATGGCTAGCCAGTTTTCCCAGCACCATTTATTAAATAGGGAATCCTTTCCCCATTGCTTGTTTTTCTCAGGTTTGTCAAAGATCAGATAGTTGTAGATAAGCGGCGTTATTTCTGAGGGCTCTGTTCTGTTCCATTGATCTATATCTCTGTTTTGGTACCAGTACCATGCTGTTTTGATTATTATAGCCTTGTAGTATAGTTTGAAGTCAGGTAGCGTGATGCCTCTGGCTTTGTTCTTTTGGCTTAGCATTGACTTGGTGATGAGGGCTCTTTTTTGGTTCCATGTGAACTTTAAAGTAGTTTTTTCCAATTCTGTGAAGAAAGTAATTGGTAGCTTGATGGGGATGGCATTGAATCTATAAATTACCTTGGGCAGTATGGCCATTTTCACGATATTGATTCTTCCTACCCATGACCATGGAATGTTCTTCCATTTGTTTGTATCCTCTTTTATTTCATTGAGCAGTGGTTTGTACTTCTCCTTGAAGAGGTCTTTCACGTCCCTTGTAAGTTGGGTTCCTAAGTATTTTATTCTCTTTGAAGCAATTGTGAGTGGGAGTTCACTCATGATTTGGCTCTCTGTTTGTCTGTTATTGGTGTATAAGAATGCTTGTGATTTTTGTATATTGATTTTGTATCCTGAGAATTTGCTGAAGTTGCTTATCAGCTTAAGGAGATTTTGGGCTGAGACAATGGGGTTTTCTAGATATACAATCATGTCGTCTGCAAACAGGGACAATTTGACTTCCTCTTTTCCTAATTGAATACCCTTTATTTCTTTCTCCTGCCTGATTGCCCTGGCCAGAACTTCCAACACTATGTTGAATAAGAGTGGTGAGAGAGGGCAACCCTGTGTTGTGCCAGTTTTCAAAGGGAATGTTTCCAGTTGTTGCCCATTCAGTATGATATTGGCTGTGGGTTTCTCATAGATAGCTCTTATTATTTTGAGATACGTCCCATCAATACCTAATTTATTGAGAGATTTTACCATGAAGTGTTGTTGAATTTTGTCAAAGGCCTTTTCTGCATCTATTGAGATAATCATGTGGTTTTTGTCTTTGGTTCTGTTTATATGCTGGATTACATTTATTGATTTGTGTATATTGAACCAGCCTTGCATCCCAGGGATGAAGCCCACTTGATCATGGTGGATAAGCTTTTTGATGTGCTGCTGGATTCAGTTTGTCAGTATTTTATTGGGGATTTTTGAATCAATGTTCATCAAGGATATTGGTCTAAAACTCTCTTTTTTGGTTGTGTCTCTGCCTGGCTTTGGTATCAGGATGATGCTGGCCTCATAAATGAGTTAGGGAGGATTCCCTGTTCTAGGATCAGTGCCTATTGCCCAGGAAAAGCCCAGTCGTCTTCTCATTTGTTGAACAACAGTTCCCCCTACTGGAATACTTGCTGAAATCCCTTCTACATTATTATTATTATTACTACTATTATTATTATTATTATTATTAGGAACAAAGCACTGGATTTTAAATTTAAAGTCCCCTACTTTTACTTCGAGGTCATGCTTTAATAATTGTGCTCTCCAGGTTGGAGGAATCCTTCAAAAGTTAGATAGGGAAAGGTGCTTTATTTTGACATGTGATTTGGCCACTGAAATTAACCCTAAAAGATAATTAGAGTCTTGGTTTAGTGGCCAGGGGTCAAGTCTCAAATTTCATGTCTGGATTGAACACATTTTTATTTTAAGTAATTTAGCTGTGCTCCCTTTTACGCATCCCAAAATATATTGGCCAGAACTCCAGTGGGAAAGCGACCTTGAGTTTGCAATGGCAGTTCAGGATTCATCACACTAATTTTTCAATCCCTTTGATATGACTTTAAGCCATTTTATAAAAGATGAAACTATTTGATATAAAGGTAAATGATTTCTGCCTACCAGATATTTATCAGCACTGTCTGAAAAGCCAGGTTACAGATATTTGATATACTTTTAAAGTTTGGGAAATTGGTTCTATTTCTACCAGCATGTGGAATTTGTATGCCTCTCTATTAAATATTGTAGATATTAGTCATTCTGAACTTTCCATCATTCATCTTGCTATTCCCCTTCTTATATACTAACCTCGAATCCAATAGGTCTCAAAGTGTGGCCTAGGGGACTCCTGTATGGTCAAAACCATATGCATGCTAAGATATTAATTGCCTTTTTAGCTTTTATAAAAATGGAATTTTCCAGAAGTGTGTGATGAGTGGTATCTCCACAGATTAAATGCAGAAGCAAAGGTAAGAATCCATTGGTCTTGCTTCTATTAATTTAGACATTAAAGAGAATTGAAGAAAATATTTGTTTTACCTTGCAAAATGTATTTTTCAAAAAATATTTATGTTAAAATATAATGGCTTATTATTATTTAAATAAATTAGTAAATATTTTAATAATGCATCAGTTTTAATTTCTAATGTGGCAAATATTCATTAGTATAACCCATAAAAGCCAAAGCTTATTAAAGCCCTCCATAACTGCTAAGAGTGGAAAGGTGTCCTAATACCAAACATTTGAGAATGATTGCTGTTCACATTACATGCCCATTGCTTTTTTATGACCCTGCCTAGTCACTGTTTTTGACTAAAATACTGTTCTCATACTTTTCATTTTGTACATGTAAATCTTCACCGCTATTTCAAATCCAGCCGAATTTCTACCACTTTTGTAACTGTTCTGTTCACCCCTACCCCAATGTTTCTCTCCCTCATCTGTTAAGAGTTCCAATGAGCTTCTCTCACTCCATTAATCCTTTTTCAACTTTTTAATTACAGTTTATTTTTCTTTATGACTGCTCTTTTATGTTAGCCTTGAAGATCCTTGAAGAAATTAAAAAGCAGAGTCTGCTTATTATTTGTGGATTTTCTCTCCCCATTTCCAGAACTCCATATAATGCCTAGTAAAAGCAGGTAGCAGATAAATACGTTCTGGGTATGCATCCTACAGATCTTCCTCCTGAGTTCAAAGAATTCTTTCTAAACCTACTGCAGATTTGATTCAGTGCAAACAATGAATACAGAACCATCTCTAAGCACAATCATGAACAGACAGAATTGCCTGTAGTTGCCTCCAGTCTCCCAGTTGCCCTATGCCATCCATACAGTTCCTGTCTTTCTTTCCTCTTCCCATCCCCTTCAAGATTCCAAATGCCCTTCCCAAGATTCCTCCTGCCCAAGAACCTCGTTAAATAAAGTTTGAAAAACACTTCACATAAATTGGCCAAAAAACATAAAGCCTCTTTTATGGTCTCAAATTTTTATGGAATGAGGATGGACATAAAGAAGAAAATAAACTAAGAAATGAGTTAATGATTTATTTTTTCTCTGCAGTACTTACATTTTAAATAGAGACCATGGGCCAGTCTCCTTTTGTAATTTAAACTGTGTAGGAGAAATCTTTGTGTTTGGTGGGGAAAAGGTTTTTTTTTTTCCTTTTGCAAAAGTGGAACATGAGTACCATTCTGACTGTAATTCCTGGTAAACTTGTCACTGAGGGGAAACAGTGAGAAAAACCTACAAGCTAACCTTGGCCTGTCTTCCCAACTTCACTGTTATTGTACCACTAATGAAGACAATAACTGTAATACTAAATCTCATCCCCTAAACAGTGGTTTACAGGAAAAAGGTTGTATGGCCATGGACATTTCAAAATGGGACGTAGCATGTAATATCTTTATGTATATCTACAACAATACTTTTCATCATGAGAAGCACACTAAAGTGATGAAAAGAGACTGAAGTTGGGCATCAGGAAACCTAGAGTCTGGTGTCTGTCTCCCAGAAAATAGCTATGTAGCCTTAGTTGGGCCACTTAAATTCTCTAGATCTCAGTTTCCTCACCATTACCCAATATTTTTTGAGCTTTCTTCTGGAACTGATTTAGTAAAATCAAAATACTAACCTAGATAACCTCTAATTTATTTCCAGTTCCATGGAAAATAAATCAATGTTGACTCTAGGTATTAAGCACAGCTAAATTATGAATAGCTGGTTCAAGTTCACCAAGTTCATTTAGGAAGTTAGTGGTGAAATCAAGGCAAAAATCCAAATTCAGTGAACGTCATTTTCTACACTGTGAGATTTTTAGCTCTAATATCAACCCAGTATCAAGGAAAGGGTAGAGATAAGGGTAAGGGCTCCTAATGGTGACAGAAACACAGGTAGAACTTTATTAAATGATTTCTTAACCTACCTTCACACTAAGTAAATCTATGATTAAAAAAAACTCTTTCCTTTTTTTAGCCTTTTTCCCCTCATTAGATATCTCTTACACAACTCCAAAAAATCTTTTGAGTAACTTGAGAAAGATAAATATTATCAATATTAATTTAGTTAATATTAAATTTGTTTATCTGCCCTTTCTTCTTCCTCCATTTCTGAATTTTGTCCAGAAAGGTCAAAACGTGATTTTCAAAAATTAAATTTTCCAATGTGTTCAAGTGATAAGGAAGTTTGTAGAATCATATTCCTGTTTGTTTATGACTATGAACTATAGCCCCCTGGTGGCTTATGCTATCCCTAAGGTGCCATATGCTAAAATTTTAGAAAAATACTGAAATTGTAAATTTTTGCTGATTCTGTTTGGGAACATATTTCAAAAGTTCTGAAGTCAAATATTTATTTATTAAAATTTATTCTGAATTATGCTTCCCCTTTTCCTTCCCCTGTGGACTTTTCTGGCATTCATATTTATTTCCACTTATTAATAATATATAGCATAGGATTTTCACATTTCAAAAAGTAAACATAACAAATAGTTCCTTCCACAGGAATTAGTTCATAAAAGTGCCTGAAATTGTATCTGCTGTCTGAAACTCTAAAGAAAAATTACTTAAGTGTACTTATCAAAGGCAGATGGGGCTCATCACCAGCCAGCAGGAAAAACCCACCAACTAAGGTTATGACAAAGAGAGTCCCTTTTAGAATATTAATTATGGGATTGTTTGACAAGTGCAGTCATGAGGTTCCTTCTAGTTTTATTCAGACACTAATTAATTAAAAAAAAAACCCTCAAGAACTGGAGATACCATGTCAACTTGAAGGCTCATTCCTTTTAAATAGAACATTGGTTAATTAATATTTATACACCCTTTTTAGGTAACTAGAATAAAGTCACCAGGGACTGCTGTCTCACCCAATAGCCATGTCTAAAGATGCTTGTACTTCTCAGGCACTTGAAACATTAGCAAGCCAATTAAATAGAAGCAAGGTGCTTAGGTAGGCCCTCAATAAATACTTGCTGAATGATTAAACCTAAAATGGGTATGATGCTTCTGCTTTGAAGATTACATATGATATCTTCCCATTGAAAATTTGTTTTTCAGAAAATTTCTGCTTTAACAAGAAATGCACCGGAGAGAACAGCAATGGTCATTATTTATATTGATAGGAAAATTCAACAAAGAGAAAGAAAATTTGAAAGTGAAATTAACAATATGATTCCTAAGCACAATCAGAAATTCACTGCAATATTTTCCTCCTGTATTGAGGTCATGGTTACCAGATGGTCCCTTTGATCTACAATGAAATTAACAGATACCATCCAAATGCCCTATAAATTATTAAATGCTAATAGTTTTGTTATCTTAAAAAGAGCAATGCTATAAGCTCTCTCAGAGGTTAAAAAATTCCAATGGAATATTAAAGAATAATGTTATAAATCCAGAATTTAATGGAATAGAATAGCTAATGCTAAAACATAAAATGTGTGTTAAATATAATGATGATAGATAATTGACACTGAGCAGTTTATCTTATAAAAAGAATAACATTTTAGATGCAACTAAAAGTAGTACAGAGAAAATAAGAAAGGTGAACATTTTAAAATGTCTACAAAGCAGAAAATACTTTTAAACCTTGAATTTAAGTTATTCTGGTGATAAGTGAATTACTTTAACATCATAAATTTATTCTTCTTGCAGTAGATTCTTATCTCAACTTACTATAAAAAGGCTGTAGTAATTTACCATTGCTGCTGTAACAAATTACTAAAAAAGTGATAGCATAAAACAACACTGATTTATTCTCTTACATTTCTGGAGATCAGAAGTAAAAATCAAGTTCACCTGGTTAAAGTCAAACGTCAGCAGGAGTGGTTATTTTGGAGGCTGGAGGGGAGACTCTCTTGCCTTTGCCTTTTCCAGCTTCTAGTGGCTGCCTGTATTTGCTGATCTGTGGCCCAGTTTTCCGTCTTCAAAACACATCACTACAATGTCTGCTTCCATCATCACGTAGGCTTCTTTTATGGTTCCTTCTGGGTCCCTCTTATAAGGACTGTTGTCATTACATCAGTCTCACCCAGATAACCTCTGATAATCCCCCTATCTGAAGATCCTTAATTTAATCACATCTGCAATTCTCTTTTTGCCACATAAGATAATGTATTCATAGCTTCTGAGATTTAGGGCATAGACATCTTGGAGGGGCTATTATTGAGCTTACCAGAAAGGCTAAGAAGCAAAATAGACCTTCTAAACATATGCCTACAAACCCAGCTAAAAATAAGCTTCATGTATTAAGTGAATGTGTTTATCCATTTCTTAGGGCTTGCTTCTCAAGACAATTTGACTTCCTTTTAATTTGGGGCTGGGATTTTAAGACGTCACCAGTAGAATACCTGGCACTGGATGATGTTCATTCTCATTGTTAGTTCAATGAAAGCAAATCTTACTAATAAGTAAAGCTATGTGTTAAAGAAGAAAATGTTTACAAGTTTATGGTAATCCATGAAATTTTCATGATCACAAACCAAGCATCAGTCTCCAAAAATGCAAGAAAGCAGAAGCAAATTACTCAATTTGGCTAATACAGCTCAGTAAGTATTTTGATTTTCTAGAAACTTAGCACCACTGAAAAGGGTTAAGATATCAAACAATTTCCTAAATGCATCAAGCATGCTTGAAAATTATTGTAGGAACTCTAATTGTCTTCAGTGTTTCTTTGATGAACTCACAACCAGTAAATTAGCCCATGGATCACAGCTCATTAGCATCTACAGAAATAATGTTAGTGAGAAATTTAAAAAGCAAACAGCAGGTGCAGTTCTGTCTTTTCTTCATGAAGATCTCTCAGAAACACAAGGTCAGTCAGATTCAATGGGTTAATCTTGCCTCTCTTTTCAAATCCCCAACAAAGGCTAGAAATGGCATTTAGGGACCTTCTGGAAATAATTATAAACATGTACTCACTGAAGAGTACTTTAAAGATCTTATCAGAAACATAAGAGAATCCATTCATTACTTCTAACTCATTATTTATAATTTGGTATACTATCCATTACTAAATCAAATGTCTTTCATGGGTTCCATACTAATATACAATTTTCTCTCATGATCTCTCAAGGTGCATTGAAATTCTGTTAATCATGTTTCTTTGAGAATGGGAGATCCTAACAGGAAAGCCATTCCAATTTCTGTTTCCTATTCTCCTCACTTAAGTACCCAAGGTATGAATAGTGGGGTTGAAGGTTTTAACTGAGCAGTTAGTACGGAAATACAGTAATTTTGGATGGGCACTGAAACATATCATTGTAAAAAATGCCACTGCGAAACGAATTTCTATTTTGCTATTTAGGAGGATGGAAAATATTGCTATCTTTGCAGATAGGAGTAGAAGAAAAAAAGTGATCATGAAGAATTAACGCAGAAGCAGTGACAGATTAGTTGGGAGGAAGGGAAACTCATGAGATAAAACCAAACACAGAAATAAAGCTTCAACCCACGTCAAGGATGTGTAATTGTCAGCCAGACTAGGATGGCTATGAGTGAAGAGTGGCAGTCATTCTTATAGGTAGTTGCAAAAGCAGAGACCTGGACTGATTGTGGATTTTCACTGATTCAATGACTGGATTTGATTTTTTTTTAAAAGGGATGGTAGGCTGTGTTTAAGATATGTAGTCGACATTACCACTGTACATAAATTTTAGTTCCCCTCTTCCTCCTGGAATAACTGAAATCACGGTTCCTTGCTCTCTTGAAGTTAGGTGTACTTCTTGGCAAAAGCATTTGAGAGCCAGTGAGCAATTGGCCCTGCCCGCTTCCTTTTCTACTATGACAGGCAATGTTCTGGACAGTGGGACTTCTCTGAATTCAGATGCCAGAGTGAGGTCTGCATTGAAACAGAGCCTTCTACAGAAACATGATGAACATGTAGAGTAAATAAGAAATAAAATGCTGCCGTTTATGCCACTGAAATTTTAGAGTTGTCAACCTCAGAATAGCCTATCCTATTGATAAGGAACACCCAATAATTTGGATTCTCAACTATGTTAGTAGCTTGGATTCTAGATGTGGCAGAAAGATTAAAAGCCAGAAGAATTACTCCTACACCACAGGGTAACTTGCTTGTAAATTATTATATCATAGCAACAAAGCTATTGATCTTTCCTTTCACTCTCAATTCTGAGTTAAGTTTTTAAAATTGAAAAGTTAAATGTTTTCTACTTTTAAGTACAGGTTGAGCATTCCTAATACAAACATTTGCAACCTGAAATGCTACAAAATCTGAAACATTTTGAGCACTGACATGATGTCATAAGTGGAAAATTCCACACCTGACGTCCTGTGATGGGTCATAGTCAAAAGGAAGGCAAAAAAAAAAAAAAAAACCCACATGATTTATTCAGTGTCCCCATGAGAATAAAGACCCTCCCCTCCTGGCCTCCTTTGGCTGTATTGCATCTTTTTCATGTATGCCCAAATTCCCCCATGGAAGCACCCTCACAAAGCATAATAAAATGACAGTGTGCAGGCCTGATACACCAATGTCAAGTTTCCCACAATGCCTCACATGTGGCCAAGACCTATGTGCATTACTTATTCTTTTGTTGTTCTATTCTTTGTGGTGTAAAGATATTGTTGATAATGTCAAAAAGGCCTGCAGATACCCCTGCGGGTCATAGTAATAAGAAAAAGAGGAAGCACTTATATTTTTCTATAGCACAGGAATTCAAGTTGTTGGAGAAACTGGGAAGCAGTGCAAGTGTGAAATGTCTTACAGCAGAGTATGGTGTTAGAGTGACCGCCATATGTAACCTAAAGAAAGAGAAAGATAAATCATTGAAGTTCTGTACTGAAGGTAAAGAACAGAAGTTAATGAAAAATAAAAAAAAAAACACTGCATAAAGCTAAAATTAAGGTCTCAATCATGTATTGAAACAGTGGATCTTAGTGTCACAGTGAACACATGCCACTTAATGGCATGCAGATCATGAAATAAGCAAAGATAGGTCACAATGAACTGAAAATTGAAGGAAACTATGAATGTTTAATAGGATGGCTGCAGAAATTTAAGAAAAGACATAGTATTAAATTTGTAAAGCTTTATGGTCATAAAGCATCTGCTGATCATGAAGTAGTGGAGAAATTCATTGACAAGTTTGCCAAGGTTATTGCTGATGAAAATTTGATGCCAGAACTAGACTATAATGCTGATGAAACATCACTGTCTTCATGTTATTGACCAGGAAAGACACTGACTCCAAATGATGAGACTGTCCTTACAGGAATTAAGGATGTTAAGGACTGAATAACTGTGCTGGGATATGCTAATGCGGCAGCCACGCTAAGTGTAAATTTGTTGTGACAGGCAAATCTTGCATCCTTGCTATTTTCAAGGAGTAAAATTTTTACCAGTCGATTATTATGCTGACAAAAAGGCATGGATCAAAAAGGGATATGTTTTTTGTTTGGGTTCCCAATCCTTTTGTTCCAGCAGCTTGTGGTAGAAAATGCAGGAAAGCAGGACTGGGTGATGACTGGAAGATTTTGTTATTCCTTGACAACTGTTCTCCTCACTCTCCAACTGAAATTTCATTAAAAATAATGTTTATGCTATGTACTTTCCCACAAATTTGACTTTATTAATTTAGCCATGTGACCAGGGTATCTTAGATCAATGAAGAGTAAATATAAAAACAGTTTCTTTAACAGCATGCTAGAAGCGGTGAACAGAGGCATGGAAGATTTCCCAGAAGAGTTTGGTATGAAAGGTATCATATAAACTGTTGCTAATGCTTAGAACACAGTGACTGAAGACACAGTTGTGTATGCTTGGCACAAACTCTGGCCTGCAACTTTGTTCAGTGATGATGATGAACAATATGCAAAAAATTATACCTTTAGAATTCATCATAAGCTGGAAGAAATAGATATCAGAGAAATTTTTCTGTAATGAGGTTCCAGCTGCTCATTCATTGACCAATAGATAAATAGCTGAGATGGTTCTAAATCAAGGTGATCATGATAATAGTAATGTTGAAGATGACATTATTAACACTGCAAAAAAAGTGCCTAGAGATGACATGGTTAAAATGTGTGGTGGTTTATTGGAGAAAATAAGGAATGTGCATTCATAAGAGAACAATAAATCATGTCAGTTTATAAGATTGAAGAGAGACTCGTAAGACAAAAAATATTGTTAATGAGGCAGGTAACGCTGGAGAAAACATTTTAAAAAGCCATCTAGTAGATTCCCTCCGCATCCCTAGAGGACAAATCCCTGGTCCCTCAACTGCTTCTGGTGTTTCTTCACACCTAAAAAATAAAAATACAGTGTACAATAACCTTTTAATAAAAACACAGCATCATAGGTGGAAACTTCAAGCCTGCCATTGTCTGTTGTTGCTGTTGTTTAACAGCTGATGCAGGTTTTCTACTAATGATACTGTGCTGCTTAGTTATCCAGAACACATTTTATTTATTTATTTATTAAGATGGAGTCTTGCTCTTGTCACCCAGGCTAAAGTGCAATGGTGCAATCTCAGCTCACTGCAACCTTTGTCTCCCAGGTTCAAGCAATTCTCCTGCCTCAGCCTCCTGAGTAGTTGGGATTACAGGTGCCTGTCACCACACCCAGCTATTATTTTGGTATTTTCAGTAGAGACAGCGTTTTACTACGTTAGCCAGGCTGGGCTCAAACTGCTGACCTCAGTTGATCAGCCTGCCTCAGCCCCACAAAGTGCTAAGATTTCAGGCCTGAGCTACCGTGCCCGGCCAGAACACATTTTTTTCCACTGTATTAATGGTGTCATATTTTTTACTGTAAGTACTTATGTGTGAATAAATGTAAGAAAATGATTGCTTATCATTGGCATATAAATTCAGTGTGAGGAATGATGGCGATACCAAACAACCACAGACTGTCCACATAGGTGGCCGACATGGGGACACCTTTGCTTTCTGATGTTGTTTCATGCAGAAAATTATTAAAAATATCGTATAAAATTACCTTCAGGATGTATATAAGGTATATATAAAATATAAATGAATTTTGTGTTTAGATTTGAGTCCTTTCCCCAAGATATCTCACTATGTGCATGCAACTATTCCACAATCTGAAAAAATTTGAAATCAGAAACATTTCTGCTCCCAGGCATTTCAGATAAGGGATGCTCAAATCTGTACCTAACATGATCTGTTTCAGTATTTGTCTAGACATCCCTAAGTCATCCACTAAACATAATTTTTATGCAGGTATATTAATGGAGGCTTGACTAACCACTATATAAATTAGTTGAATTTTAGCTGATTTATTTCCTGCCAAAGTACATAGTTTTAATTGACAAGAATCCTTATTCAGCTTGACTAAAGCTCCCCAGGTATTTGCTTCAGTTTAAAAAGAGACACTTACAAAGATCACCATAATGAGTAAATAATTACCTGTTGCTAAAAATGCTCTGTAAGGATTACTTGAAAGGTATCACTTGGGTTGAATTTTCTCCAGAATAAATACCAAAAATATTTAAATGACAAATCACACCACAAATGTATCTGGATAAGAAATATTTTAACTTGTTTTCATCATCACTGTTAGGAATCCGTATTATAATAAATAGTCTTTTTTTATTCAATGAAGTTTTTCTAATGTACAAACTGACAAGTCTCAGTTGAATATGTTTATAAAATTTATGATTCTTTTCTTCCTTCAGAAGTGTCTGATATTAGATTCAGTGATGGCAGATCAAAAGGTTTAACTTTGAGCTTACATGACTAAAAGCCAGAGTGGAGGAAAAGACACTAGTTTCCCACCTCTACAGACCTCTGCTTAAGCAGAAGTAGAAGTAAAAAGACAAATGGAAATATGTGGTGTTTCCACAGACTTGGGGAATTTATTGTTCCTTATGTTCATCTGAGAGATCTAACTGCAAATAATAAATCAGGCATGGAATGTCTACCTATAACAACTCCTAAAGGTTCCCATCTTATTATGTTTTTGGATGGAAAGTTGACATTGAAATTAGAATAGGAAGAGAAACAGCAACTAGATTATTCATGGGATCGTTATCTCTTTCTGCCCTTTACCAAGCCACATGGATGTAAATTTTTAAGCAACAACATAATCATAAGAGTCAAAGATCATTGACTCTCTGTAAACTGTAAAGTTATATTGGTTGGTAGGAAGGAGACCATTAGCTTTGAGTTTCTCTTGAGTGTGCTCAAGTCTGGCCCTACATGTCACTGAGACATGTTATAATGTTCCAGAATTGCCCATTATTGCAACCATCACATCCAACTTAAAAGAGACACCCAGCTGTGCTGAACTTTTCTATTAGCTGCCTTTTCTAGATGTAATTTTTTAATATACTGATTCCCCAAATCAATACATTTCATGTCTTCCGTTACAAGTTTCCTCAGTTGAATCAAAGTCTATGCCTATTAAATATCAAATATGTAAATTACATGAATATTAATTATTAAAGACAATAAATAGAAACCAAATGAATCAAGCATTCAACAATGTATGTAAGGAAAATGAAAACAAAGCAAATCTAAAGTAAATAGGAAAAATGAATTTATAATAATAATGACAAAAATAAATTTGAAAATAGAAAATAATCAATAATAATTATTCATCAAATGATCATTACTTGGCACCATGCTAAGCATTTTGTATGTATTAACTCATTTAATTATCATAAAATCATAATAAAGCAAGAATGGAAAACAGACTTTCCTACATATACTCTGATTTCAAAAACAAATATAGTTGAAGGAAAATCTAAAATAATATGTTGATAATCCATAAAAGATAAATCTACAAATATATACGTTGTAAAATGAAAAATAAGTTAAAATAATATATATGTACTTTTGGCATTAAAAACATTTTCAACTAATATATTTGAAATGCTTATGCTATATATTTTGATGCCAACAAAACCTGAAAAGAATAACACTAAAAATAACACTATAGCCCATTCCTATTAATGCATACTCATGTAAACATACAAATTAAATTTCAAAAACCACCTCATAATGATAGCTTAGCAATTCTGAAACTATATAATGTGTATATTAGGATTGACAAGTAAATATAGTGTGTATAAGTAAAGATAGGTTCCTCTACTGTCAGGGAAAATAGTTAAAAATAAGGAAAGAGGGAAGGCAAGAATAACTATGGTGTTGGATTGCAATCAGAAATATCAAAAGGAACTGATGGTTTTTAATATGCTTATAAATGGATAGCTACAGAAATGAATATAAACATATATGCCTGCTTGAGTATACATACATCTATTTTCTAGCTCTATATACTGAAAGGGCCCAGAAACAAAAATGCCCCAGTAACAATGAATACATCTAGCACCCAGGTCTTGAATTCTAAATACCACTCTCTAAGAAAAGGAACCAGGGTTCCTTAGAAAAATGGCTAATAGCAGTTCCGGGGAAGAAAAAATACTAGATGAACCTAGAATGGCTTTCAGTGCCAGAAAATATAAACGTGCTCCCCTAAAAGGAATGTGATCATGTTCAAGGGGTACAGAAGCCAGTAGTCTGAAGGAAATCCCAATGTCCAAATCTGGGACAATTTAAGCAATAAAATACAGAATGATAGTAATGAGTTATAAACCATTGAAAAAAAGAAATCTGTTAGTCCATACTGACACAAACAATTGAATAAAAACATAATTGGGGAAATCAAGACACCTATTCCTTTTAATAGAATTCCAATTACTAAATGAAAGACAAATGATAGAAACAGAAAATCACCATTAGGCAAATTACTAGAGGAGTAATAGTTGCAGACAAAAATTATTTATAGATGCTAAAATTAGTGGAATAATGTTTACATAAGGTATTTTCACAGTCTCCAAGTGTTTTTCCATAATACTTATCAAAGAGGAAAATGGAATCTTTTCTGTGGAAAACATGGAAAACATAACATTAACCAAATGATTAAAGTTAACGTCACCATCACAAAGTAGAGATCAATGCAACGATACTTATATAATGGGGAATTATCACAAGCCAGTGGAAAAGCAACAGATTATTTAGTAGTTACAGTGCAGTATACTAGTTATAGACATGGTCTCTGGATCGAAACTACCTGGGAATTAGTCCCAGCTCTGGTGCTTGGGTAATCACAGGCAAGATACTTAACTCCTCTGTGCCTCTGGCTTTCTATCAGTAAAATGGGAGCTAGTAAAAGGATTAACCTCCCAAGATTTTGGTGGGAATTGAGAATTCTCAAATAGAAATTGTATTTGAGAATGCAAAGACTACAAAAGAGCCTGACACATAGAAACTGCTCAATATTTATTATGTTGCAGAGTTTTCAAGAAAATTGATAGAATGATGTGGACGATAAAAAGATGAATATTTCATCATCAATATAAATTCTAGACAGTTTAAATATTGTATGGCAAAATATAAGTGACTGTTAAATCTCTAGAGATGGTGATGATATTTCTACACAAAACAACAAAAGTCGGGGAAAAATTACCATTTAATCAGAGAAAAGAATAAAATTTACATATGTTGAAAAAACAAAATAGACTTGTACAAAGGAAAAACTGGGAAAAACTCTTAACGGCAAATCTGACAAAAAATTAATGTTATTAACATACAAAGAGATATTGAAAGAGAAGAATCAATGTTTCAGGAAGTTTTCATTCATGGGAAAAGATATTATATAACGATTCAAAGTTGTGTTCTTGACAATGATAATGTGAAAATAGTCACCATATTGCGTATAGTAAAAAAAAATTAGGATTCAGAATTAGTTATGTAGTATGTCCTATCTATGATGCATATAGAGATGATATATATATTTTTGTTTATATTTCTCAGGGTTTTTCCTCTTAAATTTTCTGGTATCACCAGAAAGGTTATAAGCACACAAAATAAGAAATGATACATGATTGAAACTAAAGGCTGAGTGGGGAAGGAAAATATGAGGAAGTCTAGACCAAGCTATTAGTACTAACTAAAACTAACTGACTGAAATTTACTAAATCCAAGACTGGGCTACTTAGATATCACTTAAAATCTCACCGACAGCTTGTAATCTCTTTATGCCATGTACAAGCTTTATTAGCAATTAAGACATATAATTTAGGCTAATTCAACCAGAAATTTGCAAATAACCTATTATATGAGAGATATAAAGATGAATAGGACATTGTCTTTGCCTTTATTGAGTTTACACTTCAGTGTGTGGAAGGGGTGAGGATAAACACAATAGAATAACAAGAATATAAACAGAAGTCTTTAAAATTTTTTGGAGATTAAGAGAAGAGAGCCTACCGGTTGGAGTTAATCCATTCATGTATGCAAAACATTCATTAAGATCCCCACATATAATCGTTATTTTATTTTATTTTGAGACAAAGTCTCACTCTGACTCCCAGGTTGGAATGCAGTGGCATGATCTCAGCTCACTGCAGCCTCCATTTCCTGGGTTCAAGCAATTCTCCTGCCTTGGCCTCCCAAGTAGCTGGAACCACAGGCACCTGCCACCACGCCTGGCTAATGTTTGTATTTTTAGTAGAGATGGGGTTCCACCACGTTGGCCAGGCTGGTCTTGAACTCCTGACCTCAAGTGATCTGCCTGCCTTGGCCTCCCAAAGTGCTGGGATTACAGGTGTGAGCCACTGCGCCTGGCCATAATGGTGATTTTAGATATAGACATCAGGAAAGTCTTCTTTGGAAGAGGTGGCATTTGAGATTGGCTTTGAAATGTGGATGGGATCTTGCCATAAAGAGACGGGGCTGAATGGACATTCTAACATAAGGATTAGCATGGAAATTGGGTTGACTATGGTAGGCAGCTCCATTTGTAAGTAGAAAAGGCTACATAGAAGAAAGAGCAAATGGTAAAGTTGTAAAGGCTCATTGCTCCCATATTGTGAAAAGATGTAACTCTGAGCCTCAGGCATTTGTTCTTAATTTCATGAGCAATCAGGTAGTCTGTTCAACATTAATAATAAAAATATGTTTTGGAATCAAATAGATATTTGTCACTCTCTGGGAAAGAATCTATTACCTCTGAAACTTTGTGGGATGGGGATCTCTCAATGGGATATCTGAGACACTGCACTGAGTTTGTAATCACAATAATAAACAGTATCATGTTTCTTGCATCTAACATCAGCTCAGAAAAGCTCCTCGGGATTCACTGTTGCGACAACGTAAAGCAAAGTGATACAGCCACTGGTGGATGGGAAGTGACAGCAGCAGACACATCATGCTGGCAGGTAGCTCACAGAGATGAGAATGCACAGTTAATCTAAACACGCTGTTGCCTGGAAGACCAAGAGGGAGAGTCATAGAAAATAAACACAGGCAGCCACTTGAGCTTAGAAGAGGAGAGACTCTATGTCTTCTTTGAGGAAAGGAAAAAACAAAACCAATATAAAAATTGCCTCATCCCCATGTGTGCCATGCCAAAGCACATTTGTACATATTTCTGTCCATAGATACACATTTCCAAAGATAAAACATTGTATTATAATAATAATACATATCACTTTGCAGATAACAAGCCCTTTAAACTACATTTACCTTTTGCTGATTTCAAGAGTTCAGAATTTATTACAATTTGTGTAGAATTTAGAATGACAGGTATTACTTTAAAGGCCTTGTTATGGTTGACATTGGAATTCAAATAATAATGATAGGGTCTTCATGGATTAAAAAATACACAGTCATGTATAATTATTTATCTATGTCTGCTTGTGAGGCCAAAATTTTTTTGAGAGAGTAAAGAAGAGTTTTAGTAGATGTCACACTTTAGAGATTGAGTGATTTATTTTCTCTATGTCATTTTAGGGCACATTTACTGTCATATTGGAACGGAGAGTTGATGTCATATTACAAGCTGAGTAAACCTAGCAGCTCCTTCTCTGATATGGTTAATCAAAAAGGAATCAAGCCCCCAACTGCAGGGCTTCTGAATTAATGATGAATTGAAGGAGAAAAGAAGCAACAGCAACAGCATATTTGTAAAGCCAAGGCTTCAAAGTAACTCAGGACAGCTCATTTAGATAAGTCATGAACCTAAATGGCTAAATTAAAGCAAGACTGTGATTACCAACACAGCTGGGATTAGGCAAGCTGTGGCACAAGAATTAAGCCACATGAAGGGGAAGAGCCACAGGTCAGAAGGTCCCCAGAAAATGTCTAACAAGAGAAGCAAGTTAACCGGAAATCAGCCATGTGCCTTAACCAGAAGTCAGCTGTGACTTTTAGGCCTCTTCTGGAAGTGGATTATAAAGCTATTCCCTTTGGTTTTGAAAATGTGTCTTCATTCGTACATAGAACTTTAGAAAGATGAAAGGCTTTAGATATAATGGAATGGGGAAGCCGCTTTCATATTACAAGGAAATTGATACCAGTGTAGATGGGAATCAGATGCTCAGGCTTTATACTTGGCTATACAGCCAGTTAGTTAAGACATAAGATAATTCTTCCCTCCTGAGATAATGTCTATATAGCACAGTTGGAACTGTCCTCACTGCTCCCCAGCATCATTTTGGTAGGTAGCTTCCCAGATCTCCAGGTCTTCCTTCAGTCCGTGAAATTTAGCATTGACAGGTTCATCTATTGTGTCAAAGCACTGCCTAAAACTTTCTGTTGGCTCCTTCTGCCTTCTCAAAACCTAACAAGATCTTTTGCAACAAGACACCTGCTCAACACATACAAGGTAATTTCTATTTCTTTTTGTATTTATTTATTTTTGAGACAGAGTCTCAGTTTGTCACCCAGGCCAGAGTGCAATGGTGCAATCTCGGCTCACTGCAACCTCCCCCTCTCAGGTTCAAGTGATTCTTGTGCCTCAGCCTCTCGAGTAGCTGGGATCACAGGCCTGACTAATTTTTGTATTTTTAGTATATACAGGGTTTTGCCCTGTTGGCCAGGCTGGTCTCGAACTCCTGGCCTCAAGCCATCCACCTGCCTTGGCCTCTCAAAGTGCTGGGATTACAGTCATGAGCCACTCTGCCCGGCTGATAATTTCTAATCTTTTAGACTACTATATCCCAGGGAAAAACCTCTCATCCAGCCTTCCTTGTTTTAAAACAGTTTCCTGAGCCTATTTCATCACACACACACACACACACACACACACACACACACACACACACACACTTCTCTTTACTCATGCTTTTCCATTGTTAATAAACATGCTTATTAAAAAACACCTGTTTTCCCCCTACCCCTCCTTTTCTTCAATGGTCAAATTGTCACCTTTCAACACCTATATCAAGCCTTATCTTGGCATAAAACTCATCTCCATCACATAATCCCTTTGACTTCTCTACTCCATCCCCCAAACCAGACTTGCCTATTAAGCTTCCAATTTCATATTTTGAGTAATGTGAAAATTGTGAAACTAAAATTGAATTTGAAGTTATGTTGGTGCAGATCAATATACCATATGTTGGTGGAAAGAAAAAATGTTATATTTGTTTCAGTTTTCAAAGTCCAGTATATTAGCTACAACATCCTCCTATGTAGCTTGATCCCAACAATAGAAGCCTCCAGATTCTGTGGGCCAGGTGGCAAGATGATATACCAAATTTTGCCTGGCTCATATTTGATATTATTCTTTTTATTGGTTATGAAGTTTGACTCTCCCTACTTCCTGTCACTTTATTTTTTTAAACTAAAATAGAAAGTTTATCCCCATTATTCCCTGTTGATTGTAAACTTTCTGGAAAAAAAATCTTGAAAAATAAGTAGATGTACCTACAGTCATGGTTAGACTCAAATAAGTTTATTTTTGTTTAATAGTTCTTGCATTCTCTTACCATGATATATGTGGAAACTTAGATATAAATGGAATATATTTATAGTCTCTTTGCCAAAAACTACAGCTGCTCCCTTCAAACTTAGCATTTACAAAACTTCTGTCATTTCGGGAATATTGATTATTAATAAAATCAGGAAGTTGTGTTGTAAGATTTCTGGGTAGTTCATCATGATTCCATGGATTTCAACAAGATAAATTTTCTAGCAAAAACTGGAAACTCAGTTTTTATTTTTCCTTTTTGTAAAGTGGCACAAAATATAACTAAATACTTAGAATATATGTAAACAGGAAAGTACTAAAATATGCATTTGCTTGTTAAAATGTATTTGATCTAATTTATCTCTGGCAATGTAAATGTTACATAGACTATAAGCTCATGAAAGAAGGGACCATGTCTAAGTTGACTTTCATTTTATTGTAGTGGATAGTGCAGAATCTAGGGCGTAGTAAGTGAAAAAAAAAAAAACAAAAACATTTATTGGATTCATGGATGAATGACTACATGAATATATATCTTGTTATCAGCTATTGTGCCATTTCCTCAATATTATCATACTTAGCTAAAGTATAGGAAACTAGTCCTAATTTGCCAAGAAATAGTTGAATAAGCATGGGCATGCTATTTTACCACCCTGGGTCTTAGTATACTAATTTGTAAAATAAGGGAAGGTCTGCACTGCTTACTTCAAGGAGCAGTTTTGAGGATTGAATGAGAGCTTTATGAAAAAACATCTTGCAAACAGTAAAGTACTTTAAAGAAGGTAGTATTTGAACACTATGGGATATTTGAAGAACATTAAATTTATACCTGAGTTATTGACCCGATTTTTTAAAAAAATTGGCAAGTAGAAAAAAATAGAACATGTAACAGGAGGCTTTGGCAAAAAGCTTTACTCTTGGGATTTTCATATGGGTTATACTTTCACAACTGTCAAAGCAGATCATGAAGAATTTAAAGATATAGAACACTTACTTAAGAGAACATGGCCTAAGGATGCGGTACTAATTTTGATTAATTTTCTGTGTTCCTAAGTGGCTTGCTAAAGTGGGAGGACCAGTGAAATGGCCTCATTATACAGCTTTGTGTACTGGCTGTTGCCCATTATTGTACTTTCTGGTAACTGATTTGCAAAGTATGCTTTTAATGTTTTGTTTTAAAAACTCATTTTAGGAAGATTAGGAACAGAGAACATTTCTTGGAACAACTACTGACAATGTTGAGTGGAGAAAAAAAGGTATCCAATTTTCCTTTGCATACTATAAAGGAATGATTTATTGCAAGTAGCATTTTGTTGCCTCGGTGGAGATAATTTCCTTTTCTTTAACATTCCAAACTATATGGGAGATATTTCTATTCCATTCTCCCATTTAAAATATCATGTCTGGAAAATAATATTATCAAGACTGACTTCATTCATTCAACAAATATTAACTTGTTATTATGTGCTAGGCACTATAAATGTTTTTTCCTAGTATTTTAAACTAATACATGTAATTTTACTCTATTTTCACTGCAGACTTGTGAAAATCATTCAAAAGTTCCCAAGAGAAAGTTTCACATCATTTTTACTGTTATATTTTCAGAACTTGGCTTATAGTAGGTGTGACACACACTAAGTACACAGGTGCTAAGTAAATTCCCAGATGGAGAATAAACAGCATTAGCCTATAAGCCAGAGCCACAGAACTTAGACAATATGGTAGGTTCTACTTTCATCTCTGCTCTGCCTTAATTCATTTTCTCACCTACACTCATACTATTGCACTCATACTTTTATAATGATCCCCCTGACTCTGTTCTCTCTCCTCCTCACTTCATCCCTCACAATGTGACCAGAATGTGACATAAGTTCCATGATTTCACTCCTGTGCTTCAGGCCTTTCAGTGGCTGCCCCTCATTGAGTAGCATTTCTTCATCTTTTCCCCCAAGTTTTCCTAATGGTGTGTTAGGATAGACATAAGCTCACAGAAGGCAGGCTTCACTGGGTCTCCTCTGAGTAGCCAGTCACAACTATGGCATTTCATTCAAGTCTAATTGTAGTTAAAAAGGTATATAGGGTCTGCATTCCCCTCCATAAAATACCCAAGCCTGTTTCAATTTCAAGTTTTTCTTTTCTTTCAAATCATTAAATAAATAAAAGTGACACTCCAGGAAAAGGCACCACCATGTGTATCTTGTCAATTTATTACACTTGGGTACATATCTTTGTACCACCCGCCCACTAGCACCCAGGGATATATGTATGTCAGTAAGAGAAATAGACTACTATTTATTTATTTATTTATTTATTTATTTATTTACTTATTTATTTATGAGACAGGGTCTGGCTCTGCTGTCCAGGCTGGAGTGCAGTGGCACAATCACTGCTCACTGCAACCTCCATCTCCCAAGCTCAAACGATCCCCCCACCTCAGCCTCTGGAGTAGATGGAACTACAGGTGCACGCCACTATGCCCAACTAATTTCTGTATTTTTTTTGTAGAGATGGGGTTTCATCATGTTGCCCGAGCTGGTCTGGTACTCCTGGGCTCAGGCGATCTGTCCGTCTTGGCTTCCCAAAGTGCTGGATTTACAGGCATGAGCCACTGTGCCCAGCCTCATTATTAAATTAAATTAATTAATTATTTTTTTGAGATGGAGTATTGCTGTGTTCCCCACACTGGAGTGTGGAGTGCAGTGGTGTGATCTTGGCTTATTGCAACCTCCCCCTCCCCGGTTCAAGCAATTCTCCTGCTTCAGCCTCCCAAGTAGCTGGGAGCATAGGCGTGCATCCCCACACCCAGCTAATTTTTGTATTTTTAGTAGAGATGGGGTTTCACCATGTTGGCCAGGCTGGTCTCAAACTCCTGGGCTCAAGAAATCTACCCACCTCGGCCTCACAAAGTGCTGGATTACAGGTGTGAGCTGCCACGCCTGGCCCTCTTTATTTTTAAATAGATAACATTGTATGTTTTTTCTTATAATGTACAAAATAATATTTTGAAGCACATATACATTGTGGAATACTTAAATGTAGCTAATTAATAAATGCATTACCTAACATAGGTGTAATTCTTGTGGTAAGAACAAATAACATCCACTCTTTACATTTTCAAGAATACAATATAACATCAACCACAGTCACCTTGCTGTACAATAGATTCCTTGACATTTATTTTTAAAATCTACCTGTAGTCACTAATAAAGCAAACAAGGCCCTTTGTGATCTAACTCTAGCAATTTTTTTTTGCCTCATTCTATGAAATTTCCCATCCTTAACTTTCTCTGCTGCTTTGCCACTTCTGATCTTCAGAAGAGTCTCTGTTTCTCACAAACCTCTACATCTTTGCACATACTGTGTGCGTCACACAGGATACCTACTCCTTGGCTCACTTAATAAACTCTACATCCTCAAAATCCCAGATTAAATTTGACTTCATCTTCGGGATCTTCCTCATCTGTCCCAGAATAGCCCAGAGATAGTCCTGCTTCTGCATTTCCATGACATTTTGTGCATTCCCAGCATTTATAATGTTATCAGAACAATCCTTCTGAGCAGGAGTTTATTGTTACTCAACATCTTAGTGTCTGGTGTCTTAAAGATGATGATGTTAAAATATTTGTAACTAGCATAATCAAAGAAACATGAAAAAATGGTATAATCATATCATCTGAGGACCATTGCTGTAGAAATATTTTAAATTGTTGTGAGATTATTTGAAAGAAAGCTGTTTAATATAATTGTTAGTTAGCATATTTAAAATACTATAGAATTTTAAGTCAGCCTTTGGTTGGTTTTCAGAATGCAGACTTCAGTCTTCAGGCTTTAAGTAATCATGTAAAGCAACTAAATATACTTCTTTCTTCCTAGATAGTTAATATGATTGTCATTACATCAACCAATGTAAGAATTTGCTTATCACATACAAAAGAAAATTAGATTTGGCACTTGAACCTATCATATGTAAACAGTTGATCTCTTATTGGTATATTGCAAAGAAGAAATGAATAATTGCAAGGTCTAAAACATAGTTCACCATTAAAAATAAGTATCTGAATTATAATATTATGATTGGATGGTACCTTATATAGAAAGCCTCTGGCTTTGACACAAGAAAAATTGAATGTTTCTAAGTGTATTGAAATTGTAGTCATTGCAGCCTAAACTTGTCTTTCTGGCAGATAATTGCTTTTCATGCACCTTAGAGGTGGGTATAAACTGAAATTTCAAGTACTGCTTCTGGGTTATGTTTATTTCCTGAAAAATGGAACCAATAAGAGGCTTGTTTCAAAATTCCACATGTCAATTTTATAGTGTTAGAATGCCTTTGACACAAAACAAAATATTTGACTTGTAATTCATCTGTTTATATTGGGTCTTCAGTTAAAAAATATATTTTTATGTATTGAAGAAAATTCCATCACCCAAAGGAATTTGTTCTTGACTCTTATCTTTATTGATTGAAGTGGGATTCTAAAAATCCATCTAGGTGAAAACACATCGTCCAGATTTTCCTGGCCATCATATTCTAAGAGACAAATGAATTTTATAATTAACCATGGAAATTACCTATTCAGTAGCTAAAATAATCTTGTGTGGGCTATGGTTTTGATAAAAGAAAAATTCTGGCCTGAATTATGTTTATTACTTATGAATGACTTTCAAATGCTTCCAAAATTTGCATTCAGACCATGGACAGTAACTAACTCTCTTCTTGGTTTAGTAAAAACAAAACAAAACAAAAAAAACAAACCAAAACAAACAAACTTAATAAGGATGGAGCGTTCACTCTAAGAACAGGTACCATGGGTAAAAACTCTGTTTGGTAACTCCTCCATCCCTCAAACTCCCTCCTCCCCTCACCTCACCCAAATACGTGACACATTTTCCTCCATGTACTAAGTAGATACTTACTGATTGCTGTGATTGATAAGACAAACCATACCCTTAAAAACATTACTTCTTGCAGTTTGATTGACTCTTGAGATTGAAACAAAGGAAAAGAAGAACTGTGCTCATATTAATAAGCTACTTGAAAGTTACAGTGGATGATATAATTTCTGATGAAATGTTAGCCCAGATGAAAATATGCTTAAGTATTTACATATTCAGTATAACATGGCCCTTCTCAGCTCTGTAATCATGGTGTACTTCTATAGGCTGAATTTAGAAATAGATATTAGTTACGATATGAATTCATGAGATTCATTTTTAACAAAGTAGAGTTTATATTATTAAATAGCACTTGGCTATTCTAAGCTATTACTTTTGGAGATGAAACACATACACATGAATTACAGAATTGACTTCAGGGTCAGTTGCTAGCTTGGGATAAAATAAACCTTTTGATTAACACACATTATTTTTAAAATCAAAATAATGGTAACATTTGTTTGTTTGTTAGGTCAACTTGCTGACCAGTATTGGCTCTAAATGACTTTTGGCCATTTCCTAAAATTGCATTTATCTAAGAATTATATAAATTTGTCACCAATGATGATATTCAAATAAACTTTCCTTAGATCTTTTCTGAATAGGAACCCTAAAACTGTGAGTGACAATGTGCATTTGATGGAAATATGGAATAACCAGAAGTTAAGTTAAAATGGGACGTTGAAGATAGTATTATTCTAGCTTATATTTCACTGATAGGAAAAGTGAGACTAAAATGATTTATGTAGGGCCAGACCATTGAGGTACTAAACCAAATGTTCATGATATTTGGGCTCACTGTCCTCTGCCATACTGCCTTGAAAATTAAATATATGTTATTGACATATTTTGAACACCTGAGTCACTTCATTTTACATTTATACATTTAATATTATTTCTTAAAAACAGAAGTATATACGATTATTTTAATGCAACTTTTATTTCTACTTTTTTTTTTCTTTTCCTCAAAGAAAACAAACACAATTGTACTTAGCAGCATATGATTAGAGAGGATTGACTTGAGTCCCAGCTTTTCAGATAGCTTTTCAGATTATTCATTTTCATGTGAATTTTTATACTCTGATATGAAAGGTAGGATGCTCTTCCCTGAGATTACTTTGGTTCACTGGAACTGTCACTGCTGGCTGGTAGGAAATAATGGCTTTGACTTTAAGTAGCCACATCTTGTAGACAGTTAAAAGTATTTATTGACAGAATGTTAAGTGATGCATTTCATAGTGGAGACTCATTTTATAGAACGACATTAGGCAGAAGTATTCTTAAACTAATGAGTTATTATTTGTACATTAGAATCAATAATAGAAAACTTGTTAAACATTCTATAAATAGTAAATGTAGAACTCAAATCAAAATTTTCCTTACTTTCCTAAATAACTTAGAAGCATGAAACATGAAGGAGAGTTTTGAAATTTTAAAAAATGTTAATTTGCTCAATACGAACATATCACATTGATAGTTTATTATACATATTTTGATGTGTGCTTTCCATAAGTACCCCAGTTTCTCCTTTTTATCCTATAAT
Organism: Homo sapiens; assembly: GCF_000001405.40. Lineage (NCBI taxonomy): Eukaryota > Metazoa > Chordata > Mammalia > Primates > Hominidae > Homo > Homo sapiens. The sequence continues at coordinate 78,948,897 of NC_000007.14, forward strand.
AATCTGAATGGAAAAACAGACACATGCTCCTAAATTGTATACTGAATTCTAAAGAGAAAAAGTTTCAGTCAAAAGTTTTAATTATAGCAATCAGTCACAAAGAAAGTTCAGAAAACTTATAAAAAAACTTCAATATTTTAAAATTATAGTGGCCATAGGGAACACTCATATGAACATTGTGAAATCAGGGAAAAATAAAGCCTTAGTTTTATTGTGAAAGCAACATTCTGTGTATATACAATTGCAGAATTACTATGAAATGTGGAAAAATAGAAGGATTTGTGTTTGCAACAAACAGTGTTTTAAACAATTTGCTTTACAATTATTTAGAAAAGTTCTATGATGGCATAATGCCTGATGTCTAGAGCATAATAGAGTGTTATTATGCTTATTATTGCTTGCTGTTTTATTTTGTATTTGAAATTACAAACCAAAACACTGGCAATGATACAATTAATACCTGATCAATGGAATTCTTCATCTGGTAAAAAGTCTTGGCCTGCTCTGCTTTACCCACAATAACTATTAGATTAAAGACAAGTGAAACTACGAATAACAAAACCAGAGTGATATCTAGCACAATGGCCATTGATAAGAAGGGTTGCATATAAAGAAAGCATGCTTGAAATCAGAGGCTAAAATACATTTCTACATTGAAGCTCAAAGTGAAGAGGAGTATAGAATTTGTCATTCTATATTTACCTAGTTTCTGTAGACAAAAAGTTTATTATCAAAGTTTTTATGTTGTATAATGACATACAAAAATTATTGAAAACCAGCTACCAAGTGTTATAGCTAATCTAATTTCATTTCATTGTTGTAGAGATTGTTTGAAATACAACCATCCAGAAATAAACACTGAGTTTCTACCTGGTGACAGCCATGAAGGTGCATCTCTCACATCTCCACCTATAGGGAGCATAATTGAACCAGGATCTAGCTGTTTCACTCGGAAATCCATGTTGGCATTTGCATAAGGCCTTGCTCCCCTTCGGCTTCTCCTAGCCAATGCCTGAGCACATCTTGGAATATTAAACCAGGCTTGTTTCTGGGAGATACTGGCCTCCATTGACAGGCAACTCTGGCTTGGAGACTCCTCAACAGTCCTGCCAAACTTTCCTTAGAACTCATCTGTAGTCTAAGACTCTTCTACACCTTCTTTCCCCTCCTCTGCATCTCCTCCCCTGCCTCCCCTCTCTTTTCCTCCCTTCTTCATTTGGGGTTAGACATGCATTTCAGGCTGATGATTCTCCTGGTCTTCCCCAGCTGGCTGCTCATCTTATCTTATTGGTGATTCACCTAATACATTTGTTGTAAGTTTAACTTCATTTTGATGTGTGTTGCTTGGAAGACCCCTGCTAACACATATCCCTATCTAAATGATTCCTATGATTGCAAAAATTTTCTGAGTGTAGCTCTTAGATATTTCATCTAACTGAACTAGCTTACATTGCTGTAACATATATTTGGATTATTGCTTTAAAAAATGCAGTTAGTATCCATATTTATTAAGACTTTAAAAAACATTAAGACACTGATGTTCTTTGAAAACTCTCAGCAAAGTCAGATTGCCATGAACCTTACACATTTTTAGCACTGTTTTATTCTGAAAGCAAGTGTTCATACATTTCCATATGCCGGTTTCTCACCATGGAATAATCTCCTCCCTTTTCTTTCTCTTGTAAATGCCTATATTTTTCAATATCCAATTCCACCTTCAGCAAAAGTTAGTTTCTTCAGCTGGAATTTCAATATACTATAATGATAATACTAAAACACAGCAGTCTTTATGAGAAAAGATAAGGACTTGTTCATTTGTAGATATAGTGATTTGCTTATGTAAATTCAAAACAAAATTTGCTAAATTCAAAAATGGGAAAAGTAGCTGTCTAAAAGGCAAGGAATTTTGGGGGTACAGGGAAAACTTTTTATTAAAATTTTAGAACAGGGAAAAATCTATGAATAAATACAAGTGGATATAATGTGAGTGACCCTATAAAGTTAACATTGTCCTCTATTCTTAGAATAAGATGCTTGCCACTGAGTCTTTGTCTCTCCCACCCTAACGTTAGCTTTTTTTTTTTTTTTTTTTTGAGATGGAGTCTTCCTCTGTCACCCAAGCGGGAGTGCAGTGGTGCGATCTCAGCTAACTGCACCTCCCACCTCCTGGGTTCAAGCAATTCTCCTGCCTCAGCCTCCCAAGTGGCTGGGATTACAGGTGTGCACCACCACGCCTGGCTAATTTTTTGTATTTTTAGTAGGGATGGGGTTTCACCATGTTGGCTAGGCTGGTCTTGAACTCCCAACCTTAAGTGATCCACCACCTTAGCCTTCCAAAGTGCTGGGATTACAGGCATGAGCTGCCACACCCGGCTGATGTTAGCTTTTAACTCAGTTGCTGTATTAGTCTGTTCAAATGCTGCTATGAAGAAATACCTGAGACTGGGTAATTTATAAAGAAAAGAGTTTTAATTGACTCACGTTCTGCATGGCTGGGGAGGTCTCAGGAGACTTACAATCATGGTGGAAGGGGAAGCAAATACATCCTTCTTCACGAGGTGGCAGAAAGGAGAAGTGCCAGCAGGGGAAATGCCAGACGCTTATAAAACCATCAGATCTTGTGAAAACTCACTCACTATCACGAGATCCAATCACTTTCCAACAGGTCCCTCCCATGACACCTGGGGATTATGGGAACTGCAAGTCAAGATGAGATTTGGGTGGGGACATGGTGAAACCATATCAATTGCCTGTTTTTTAAGAACTTAGTTTAAACTCAAATGTATATCACCAAACTTAACTTTCCCCTTTATCTCTTCATCCAACCAAAAATTTTCTTTTAATTCATGACATTAATCAGGTAGGCTTAAAATTTCTTCTGACCTCTTCCTCTTTATGATTTCTTATATTCAGAAAATTACTTGTGAATTCTCTGAAATACATTGTAATCTATTACTTCCTTTCTGTTATCACATCCTCTACACTGATTAGGGACCTTACAGCCTTGTATTCCACCAGACTATTTCTTCTCTTCTAATATCCTAACATTTCACATGCCTGCAATTTAAACTTCTCAAAGTATCTTTTGAATTGTGTGCTTTTCATACTAAAGTTTTTCAATGGCTCTTCCTTCCTCACTGAATAAAACCTAAACCTCTTTGCCTGGCATTTCCATTTCTAAAATCTGGCTCCAAACTACCCTTCCAAATTTATCTCCCTCTTGAAAATATTGTGTGACCCTTTGGTTCTGAAAAGCTAAAAGGTATAAAAAATTAGGGGAGCTGGTTAAAAGTTAAGACTTCTGGTCTTACAACTCCAGAGATTCTGGAACAAAAGTTTGAGGGTGGGGTCATTGTCTCTGCCATTTGTGTATATTTTCCAAGTGACTCTGATATGGGTGGTCATCATATTACACTAGGAGAAACACTTACATTTAGCTAAAACTGAATAGTTTTTCTTGGTGAGCACTGCTTTTTCTTTTCTGTCTCTTTAGATGGGTCTATATTGCCCTCTCATCAAGAAAAAACTGTTTTCATCCATGTATTTTTTCATTAATTCATTAATTCATTCATTCATTTATTCATTTGTACAAGCCTACTCTGAGTCGTGCTGAAAATAACTGCCCCATTCAGCGTTCCATAAAACAAATGTTCCTATTTTCTTTTAATAAATAATTGCTTAAGCAGTTGAAACAAATATTTTACACCTGGTGATATTCATTTGTTGCTAATTTAGTTATGTCTTATATGTAACTATGAAGAAAAGACTCATGAAATTGCTTTTGGCAAATCCTTCAGCTACCTAGAAAATTCATATGGTTCCCATACGCAGACTTTTAGATGGATTTAGAAGCTAAAACTATTTTAATGTAAAGTTTCCTTACATGGTTTGCAAAACATCCTGATATTTTAAAATTCTATTTTATTATCAAATGTGTAACAGGAAGGGGTCATCCAAGGATTGAAACATTGTACCTGGGTGTGAGTAGCAAGGTCCCTTAACCATGTTCTGGAATAGCCCATTAAAATATTTGGCAACAAATGTTTTTGGAATGCTTATTGTTTGGACCTACTAAAGTGAAATATTTGTTAAAAATGGTTAATCAGCAAGTACTCTAAGGAGAAGAAGCCATCTGTGAGCCTGGATGCTCACTTCTGCCCTTGTAATTTCTGCAGGTTGAAGAACCTCTGGAGTAGCCTGACAGTTACTATCTGAAACATTCTTCATATAATACATCCACACTTCTAACATGTTTCCTGAACCTCTCTCCTAACTGAAAACATCACCATCTTCCCCAAAACCTGAGCTGTCTCAAAAAACAATTTTCTTTCTGATCTACTTATTTGGCATCTGGTATCCATCTGAATGCACATGTGGTGAACGTGCATCAGCAACCCAAGAGGGCAGTAAAAACTTACCCACAAAGATGATTTCCTTGTTTGACTTCCTCCCTATTTCAAGGTGTAAATCAAGTGTTGCTCCAGAATGGATAGCTTCTGCCACAATGATGGAAATAAAGTTTCTGTGTGTGGTTTTGTGTGTGTCTCTGTGTATGAAATAGAGTTAAATGGCTTGAGAGTATATAAAAATAAAACAATAAATGGGGAAATAACTTATAATAACATTATGACATTTTCCTTCCAAATTCTTTATTGTCATATTTAAATTATAACCCAGTAGTTTAAATTGTGAATTCTTAGATCAATATGAAAGTACATAAAAAGAAAAAAATTAATCTTCGTAACAACAAAGATTTTCTCCTCTGTCTTTGCTTAGTATCATGAATGGTGTAAGATATCAATTCTGCTTTAAAAACAACAGCTCTACAGACAGCTTCCTAGAGTTGAGATCGCCGATCATTTTAATTTTCTTTAAAGCTGATTCTGCAATCAGTGCTCACTATACAAAGATGATGTTCTAAGAACCAAATGAAATTGGGCTGTTTCTAACTTGCTACATTTTTCATCCTCCTCCTTAAACACAATCATGAAAGTATTTAAGTGAAAAAGAGGAATGATGACTTAAATGTTTGAGGATGACTCATAGTGTTGAGGGGCTATGCTAGATCTAAAATTTTCATTTGAAATTTTCAAATGGAACAATCCCTTCCTGTAGTTAATAAATCATTAGACATACTACGCATTTTTCACTTGACATCAGAGTTTTTATGTTGAATTTTCATTTCAGTTTAAGGTTCGCCTTTGTCATCTTAAAATGTATCCTATTACAGAGAGAGAAACCTGGATAATATGCCTCCTCATTTAATATTCAGTCTTTCCTCAAGCTTACAGACACTGTAAGCCCCGGAGAGCACTGCCAAATGTCTACTTCTTATGGAGAACCCCTTTTCAGCAATAAGTTTTTATCCATTTGGCATGTTTCTGTAATATGCTTCTTTTTCAAAATTATGACCTCCCACATTACAAATGTTCTTTTTCTTTTTTTTTCCTCTGAAGATAAGAATTTTAGATAGTATTCCTGTCTGTGAAACTACTCGGAACTCCAAAGAATCACTGGAAAAATAGCCACAGTTAAGGAGGTCAGGGTATAGTGAAATGAAACAAGGTAAGTCATACACTAATTGAGCCTAACTGCTTATGCTATAGAAAATACATTAGTCTTCTGATAAAATATGTCCAGCCAGTTGTTCCTGGTCTGGCAATAGTGTGGATCGACAATATGCCCTGGAATTGCTTTGTGATGCCTCCTTCCCCTAATTTAGACTGTACCTACACTTAATGCTCACTTTTAAAGTTCTGGCCAAAGGTCTAGAGAATAATTTTTCCCTGCATACTGCATAACATTTAAAACATTTAGTTCCTTGAAAAGTGCTATTGAGCTGTTTTACTGCGTGTTAATAGATGAGGGAGTATGGTAGTTGTGATCATTCTTTTTTTAAAAAAGGAGTCAGTTTCAAAGCATAAAATGATTTTATTCTTGTAGGTTTTGCTTATAATTCAGCATTAAACATAATTTGAATCAATATAAAAAAAGAGGTCTGGTTATTATAGATGTGAGTTTTAAGAACCTTACACAGTACAGTCTATTATATCTGGCTCAGCAGTGGTGGTGATATGAGGTGTTTCACTTAATAACAAAAATAATATTGTAATAGGAAAATGAGACTCTATAAAGAAGTCCTGTTGGCACAAATGTACAATAGCTTATGTTCAAAAGAAAAAAAATACACTAAGCCCCTTATTGTCTCACTATTATGCAACTCTTTAGACAGGGATCACTTAATGAGACCATTTCATAATGACGGTATTTAGTATCTTAATAAATTATAAATAGTCCAAGATAATTCCTGCTTCATTCCAAATTTTATTTTGTAGTTAAAAAAACTATAGTAGAATATATGTCTTTGCATTTATACATATATGATAGGAGATATATGTATATATTTACATATATCATGGGACATATGTATATATATAAATAAAATGTAAGTACATTGCATACATGCATGTAATATGTAATAAAGCACAGCCTGTACTCAAATGCTGAGCATATATTTGTAAGTTATTTGCATATTAAAAATTAGCATAAAGGTACATATTACAAAAAGGAAAAATTAATGGATGAAGATGAATTGTCTGAAGTCGGAAAAAAATAAGACTCCCTTCTTTGGTGAAAACATCTATATTTCATTGTTCAAAGTGTCCCACTTATGTGGGTAGTACATACTTTCATACTCAACCAAAATTGCTTCCCTCCCTCCCTTCCTTCCTTCCCTCCCTCCTTTTCTCTCTCTCTCTCCCTTCCTTCTTTCCTTCCTTCCTCCCTCCCTCCCTTTCTCTCTCCCTTTCTTTCTTTTTCTTTCTTTCTCTTTCTTTCTTTCTTTCTTTCTTTCTTTCTTTCTTTCTTTCTTTCTTTCTTTCTTTCTTTCTTTCATTTCTTTCGTTCATTCTTTCTTTCTTCCTTCCTCAGTAATAATTTTCTGAGGTCTCACAGATTTTTGTTAAATTGTCTTTGCTCAACTCTTTTACATTAGAAACACAGTATTTGTTCACTTTATAATATCTAGAAACTACCCAAAGATGCCTTTTTTTTTGTTTTCAGTAATTATAAACTCCTTGCTGTTTGTGGTACACTCTGCTAAGTTGTATGAATTTTTAAAAAGTTAAAAAGACACAGTTCCTACAGTAAGAAACATACAGTACTAGTGGTAAAGAGGGACAGGTGATGAGGTATTTAAAAGTCTGTGAAGCAAAGGCCAGTGCAAGAGGGGCACCAACCTGCCCTGGAGGTTGAGGAAGAGGTCCTGGAGAAGGTTGCACTCTGCAATGTCTGAAACCAGGAGGTCTATTAATTTTTTCCACAGTGTAATTTATTAAAATGATGTATTTATGTAAGTTTGTCTCATCATATTTGCATTATGTTAATAAATGCAGATTTTATTTTTAAAAATACCCCTCTCCTAGCAATTCTGTCTCTGAAATGTTTCCCATCCATGCTGCCTGATTCTCTAAAGGGCATTATAGTCTCTGCATGCATATCTCATAGGACCTACACTAAAAGGTCCACCTTTTATGGAGAAACAGTTAGAAAGTCAACTTCCAGTCTGGAGAACAATGTTACTGTGGGAAAATAATCACAAAAATCCTTTTCATATTATCTTTACTTCTGTTTTCTAAGTTGAGAAAAAAAGTGCTGATTTCTGACTATTTCCTACATTCTATTTTCTAAGTTTCTGTTTTTCCCTTGTAGTGTGGCTAAGACATTTTGGTAACAGTGTAACTTCTGTGTCACACATGGAGATGAAGAGGGAACAACTGTAGCAGGGTCATATTTGTAAAACAAAGAGCAGGGCATATACTACTATTCTCTAAGTTCTGAAGATAGTGCCCGTTTTTTATGTAATACATCAGTCCATTGACTACTGTTTATTATACCAAGGCAGAAACTAAAAAGTGATCTGAGGACACTCCTTTAAGAATGAAACAAACAGCAACATACTATCAAATGTCAAAGGCACAGGGCTAAAATGAATAGATGAGATGTGTTTTTGCTAGCTCAGGGTTTTCTGCTTCTTTATCGATGGGCCAAATGAAACATTTTGATGGCTATTATTAAAGACTTAGGGGTCAGGCGCGGTAGCTCACGCCTGTAATCCCAGCACTTTGGGAGGCCGAGGTGGGTGGATCACCTGAGGTTAGGAGTTCGAGATCAGCCTGACCAACAGGGTGAAACCCTGTCTCTACTAAAAATACAAAAATTAGTCGGGCGAGGTGGTGGTCACCTGTAGTCCCAGCTACTTCGGGATGCTGAGACAGAAGAATTGCTTGAACCCGGGAGGCAGAGGTTGCAGTCAGCCAAGATTGCGCCATTGCACTCCAGCCTGGGTGACAGAGTGAGACTCCATCTCAAAAAAAAAAAAAAAAAAAAAGAAAAGAAAAGAAAAAAAAATTTAGGAACCCCTCCTAAATGCTCCTTATAAGTAAAGGAGCATATTTCATTGCATACATGTTTTCTAAAATGTTTTTGGTTTGAACTGAGCTTCTAAAACTATAGTATAATTTGCCTCAATTACTGATAATTGTAATTTTCTAATGTAAAACTAATAATTCAGACTGATAAATTTACTATATGTAATCGTAAGTACATACATAAATTTACTATATGTATATGTAAGTACATACATAAAATGACAGTTATAATAAGAGCTTAGCTTTCTAAAACAATAATAGACCAAAACCTGTTTGAAATGCTTTTCATAAACTCAATTAATCCTTATAAGGAAGCTATAAGATAAATTCAGTTATAATTTCGTTTTTACAGAAGAGAGAACCAAAGCATAGAGAGGTTAGGTAACTTACTCAAGATCACACAGCCAGTCAATGGTATGGTCAGAATTCAAACCCACTCAGCCTGGCTCCAGAGTTGGCATTCCTAGAAACCCTGTTGCTACCTCTCAACATGTATATACCTTGCTCTTTGTTTTTAAATTCCAGCCTGATGCTGCTGCTCCCTCTTCATTTCTCTGTGTGACTCAGAGGTTCCACAATTACCAAAAAATCTTACCCACACTACATGCAAAAATTAGTACATTAGCTGTAGCTTTTACTTGTGTGTCATTGATTAAGGCAATACCTGTAAGACCCCTGTTCTTTTGAGTATCTTTTCTCCGACTAAGCCACCCAATTAAATCAGTTGCTATGTTTACCTGGCAGGGGAATAGGAGCCACTGCTGTTTCCCCAGCAGTTCACAGTGTGTTATCTTCTTTGAAGCCCTGCTCTCCTGTTTATTTCCTTTGTCCTTCCCACCTGAAGTCCCTCCTGCAGCAGCTATTTGATGGTCTTGTTATCAGCCACTCTGCTCCTTTGTCTATGCCAGAAAAAAAATTATAGTAGCAGGCAGCTGTGCCCTCAGTCATGGTGGAGTGCTTACATCCTGGGATAGGTCTTCTAAATTGGGTGAGATGACATAGGCTTTCAGTTTAGCAGTGAACTTTGTGTCACATTGATGCTGCAGCCTGTTTCTAAGACTCCCCAGATGTGTGTGACAGTTCTTATTATGCTTCTCCAGAACAGGGACCCTCAACATCATGGTGTCATTTGTAGAGTTTGTTATGAGTAATTTCTTGCCAATCATAACTCAATGAAAATTGTGAAAATTATTTTTAGACATTATACCAGATTCCCATGGTATTTTGATAATTTTCTTAAGCAGAAAATTAAATGTATAAAAAGTAATTATAGTTAGCTAGCCAGGGATTGTGCTTAACATTTCATCTGCCCATGGGAACATGCGGTTCATGTGTGTCAGAGTGGAAAAATGGTGAAGTGCTTCTCCATTCGTTGGTCAATGAATGGGGTGAAGCCGTTCTACCTGGAGGCCCTAGTGTACCAGAAATGGCTTCCAAGCAATTGGATTACCTGGTAATCCACCGCAAAGCATGTGATATAATTTACTGTGCCTAAATTTGTGCTTGATATAGAGTTCACTATTTTTATAAACAAAAGCTTAAAAGAGCACTGAAGATAATATTTACAAAGATATGTGCTGTCTGATATTTAGTGATGATGTTTACTTCTCTTTTACACAAGAAAATTCTTTGTTGCATGCTGAATGCCTCTCATACACGGTGGGGTGCCTCTGAGCTTCATACTGATCTACAAACCAACCCTGGCTCTGCAACTCGGCCACGGGCAACCTTGTAAGATCTTTTCAATATGTCCATGCACAACTGGAATCCTCTTTTTTATTTTTTAATAATCTTTGAATTGATGGAATTGCTTTTACATCATTTATGTGTTCATAATTATGGTTGCTGAAAATATATTGAAAGAAAAGAGACACCTTAGGCAACTCAGCTTCACCACTTGGTTCATGCAAAGTTAGTCAATTCCAGCTGAACATTACTTTTGGTTATAGAATAGGGGCTTTGGATTACTCTAAAATGGCATTGTTCTTCAGGAGTTAAGCATTGTAGTGTGCTGCCAAACCTATACCATTATTTTTCTTTAGAAGACAAAGGAAAGGTAAAAAGTATAATAAATTAAAAAAAAATCCCCATAGAAATGTAAAATGCATCACTACAATTTTTTCTCCTACTGAAACAATAATAGCTTCAATGGGCCATTATCATCTGAGGCAAAGAGAATGAGACACTACCTGTCAATGAGTGTTTAGGGATTAGTTAATACACAGGCTACGTCATTGAAGCAATACATTATAACATCTCTTTCATGATGGTGACTGTCTGATGTATAAATGTTTACTTAGGGAATCATTGATGTATGTTTCATTACAATGTTAGCAGTTTTTGACATTGTGTCACCGTGTGGTTGATTACTTCTGAATCTGTGAGCTCACTTTGACTTTTCGAGCCTGGATTACTGACCCCATAAATTGTTATGGCTATTTCTAATTGTTTTAGTATGCTGTATGAAATTGACTTATGAGTTAATCATGTATCATGGGCACCGGCAAACACGGATGTGAGCCATTCCAAGGTTTCTGGAGTTATGGAGTGAATCACTGTGCAATTTCGATACCTGCTTTATGTAAACATACATGTAATTAATTATTATAACCCAGTATGGCTAATTTCAATATGTAACATGGCCTGCCTATGTAGAAAATATTATGGCATCATATAAAATAAATATTTACTGATAAATACAGGAAAATACCTAGAGCAAGGATTCTAAGTAGATACCAATACCACTTCCAATTCTGATCTATTGGAACTAGAATCCTAATGCACCATGTTATGAGTAATTCAGAAGGTGGTACTCCCTCAGAGGAGACAGAGAAATGATGTGTTAGAAAACCTGATAAAACTGCAGGAAAGGGATGTGTGGGGAGGCAGGGATGGCAGCACACAAACATTTACTAACTTGGATTGGAATTTATTTGCAAAAAAGTCACATATTATTTGTTACCTATGTTTATTAAATATATATGGTATAACGTAGAACAGGTAATGTGTTCATTCATATAACGATACCATGTTACGTCAGCGTAGACTCAGGTTAGGAGTTGAAGGGAGCCAGTAGGACTGTATTTGTCTCTCCCCAAGTCTGTTCCCAGATTATAATAATCATGAATATTTTCTACTCCCTAAGGAGTGAGTACTGCTAGAGTCTTTCTTTAGTGGCCTTGAGACATAATGTTTGCAGAAATCATATTCAAAGAAATGTAAAACAAATAAAATGATGGTACTATTAATGATGGAGGTTGAGTTTTCAGATATTTTCTGCTAGAATCCTGTACTAAGTACTTATCCTAAACTTGCCATTATTTAAACATATTGAAATTCCTTCAGGGTAAGTATATTATCAGTCTTTTACACTGATAATAAGAGAGGTAAAGACAGTTGCACAACATTGCATAGTTAGTGAGTTAGCTAGAATTTGAACCCAGAACATGGAACTAACTCCAAACCATGGTCTTTCCACTTCACTCTGATTGGTTAAGGAATCTAAGTACTTTCAGGATATTTAATCCTCATTAGCCCATATTTTAAACTGAAACCTTAATTTGGCTTTAAGGAATGAAGACCTGGAATGATTCCATACGACCTATATCCTTTTCAAAGCTCTCCTAAGTAACAGAAACTCCAGGATAGGGAATTTGGGGATAAAATACCAGTTCTGATTTCCCTTGCCATCTTTCTAAATGTTGCAGCTCCTTGGAGGGATTCTTGGCATTTATTTCAGGCCTTAGCTCTTGGAATTAGTTTAATTACAATTCAAAAGAGAGTACTTTAATGTATTTATTTTTATGTACTTAGGGATCTTTATTGCAAATGAAAGGTAGGACTTTTAGCTTCAGGCAAACTTTATTGAGTAGCTCAAATGAAGTCACCAATGACCTGATCTCTCTCCTTCTTTCCATTACGTGATATAAATGTAATCTTCAGATGCCAAATTGGGCTTCCCCATCCCTGCCCTGTGCAGCCCCTCGAGGCTCCCCTGTTACTGATCTGAGCCTCACAGTCTCACACCACACCATCTGGAGAAGGAAATTCTCTCTTCTGGTAGAAGAGAGAAACAACTTCTTTTCTATCCCAGAAAAACATCTCCTTTGGCTCTTACTGGATTACGTACCCTAAACTAATCGCTGTAATCACAGTTGACAGATAACCAGTGATATCTGGATTCTCCAGTGACAAAAAGAAAAATTTTAATTGTGTAACTAAGTGGTTTATGTGGATGTGCACATAGACAGCTTGCTGTTTTAATAATCCTCATTATAACTGACTTGTACTGTAATGCCAGCTGAATTTTTTTCATTTTGCAGATACCAAAAAAGGTGACTCTTGAGCCCTCTAAAACAAACTATATCTGCTAGTTTGGTGTTTAGAGCTAAGCTTTCTCCTAATTCATTGGCCTAATTTTATCGTCTAAATACAGTCATGTGTAGCTTAACAAAGGGGATATATCTGAGAAATGTGTCTGTAGTTGATACTGTCATTGTGCGAATATCGTAGGATGTACTTACACAAACCTAGATGGTATAGCCTACTATACCCCTAGGCTATATGGTATAGCCTACTATACCCCTAGGCTATATGGTATAGCCTATTGCTCCCAGGCCATAAACTTATACAGTATGTTACTGTAGTGAATACTCCAGGCAACTATGACACAATGTTAAGTATTTGTGTATCTAAACATAGAAAAGGCACAGTAAAAATATGATATTATTATATTATGAGACTATCATAAGTGCTGTTGGTTTATTGAACTCTCGTTATGTGGTACAAGACTGTACATTCACTAAACAGAATGATCTTCCTCATTCCACTCCTAGTTTTCTATCTGGAAACAAATCTTTGAAGGAATCAAAACTTTTTACTAACAACATGATTTTTAAATAAATGATGGATTATCATAAAGCAATCAAATTTAAAATGTGACATGCTAGAAACAAACTTGATTTTCAGAGGTCCGGATCCAAGTCATATTGTCATGCTTAGTTAAAACTTCGTCTCAAATGGAAAAAGGCTGAGCTTTTTTTCTTAAACTATTTAGTATGACTTTTGTTTTGTTTTACTTAAATATAGTTGAAAGGAACAGATCATCATAGAGAGACCAATTATCATCTCTACCACCTGCTCACCAAGAATAATTTAAATCAGGCCAATTCTGCAATGCTTATGTTTTTTTTTTTTTCTTCCCAGATAGGTACATGCTGTGCTATAACACTTCAGAAAATGTAATTTAGGTTCCAAAATAAAAAACTCAACTGAAACTGGAAAATTGTAGAAAAAAAAAAGATTCTATGAATGTAATGGTTTCTTTGATCTAATAATTTCTGGATAATATATTGGCATTGATTAATAAAACCTGATTAGGGAGGCAATAGTCATTATTCAATTCATTTAACTTAGTGGCAAAGATATATAGCTTAAAAATTATAGACTTACAGAGAAAAAATTTAAGTGAAGAATCATTGGTATGTGATCTTTGTTCTAATTATCAAATTAAACTCTTTTAAGTGAAATGTCTTTTCATAACCTTCAAACACTAATAATGAGTTTAACTGGAAAGAAAAAAAATTACCTGCACAGGATTTGTATGGAGGACAATGAAATGTTTTAAGTCTTTAGTTCCCTAGAAAACTTTAACTGTTTTATTATTTATAAGCTTTAAGTATTTTTGGGCATAGAATTTATCTTCACTTGCTCCCTCAAACTTGGAAGTTTTCTTACTATCCTCTAACTCAAGTGTCTGTAAACTATGAGTTATGGATTATTCACCTACTTTAAAAAAAACAATTTTACTTGAACATGGCCACACTTACTAGTTTACATTGCCTATGGGTGCTTTTTCACTATACTGGCAGAAATAAGTAGTTGTGACAGAGAATGTCTGGCCCAAAAGCCTAAAATATTTACTATCACATCCATTAAGAAAAGTTTACAGACCTTGATCTAATTTCCCTCCAACAACTTAATATAGGGAAAGCACTTTATCTGGCAAGCTTTTATTATGAACTTCTCTGATATTTCAATTGGAGTAGTATTGTCTTAGGGTACTTAGCCAACTGTCAAAATGTGCTAAAATAAACATCCTCAAAACATCTTTGTAGAAAATGCGTGAGATCTGAAAGAAAAAACATAGCACCATTTCTTTCTTTCATATTGGTCCTTTTTTATATTTTCAAAATATATTTGACCATTGGGTGTTCCAAGTTCTAACAACATGTAAACTGGGAGAGCTGGAAGTGACACTGGCCTGGAGATCAGAAAGGGAAGCTGGCATGTGAAGTAACAAAACTGAAACTCCATACTTGAGCAGAAATTGCTCAAACAACAACTCCTGAAAGCTTGGCTTAATGCAAGACGCTCCATATATATATATTCTCCTTTTTTTTCCTTAAAAAAAAAGTGTGCCCTGGTTTATAATGGAATAGGTATACAGATAAAGAACAATAGATTAAAACTAGGAGACCTAATTTCTGGTGTTGGCTCGGTTCCTAATATTTAAATTATCAGGGCATCAGAGTTTTTATTACATTAATAAAATGTGGTGATTTTCGAACTCAGGGTTTTTTAATTTTGGTTTGCTGCACTGTGTTCCACAGAGGCCATGATGTGTCTCATTAGCTCAGAGATTATGAGTCTGTTTGGGAGGGGAATGAGGGAGGAGGCCCAGCCTCCAAAATCCTAATTTTGCTTGTTTGATAATTCCACTGGTGTTAGATATGTTTTATCTGAGGGAAGGGTTATTTAGTTTAGCCCTCCTACTTTCCTTCTAATACATTTATAAAAGGGGCATCTACGCTCTTTTTTTTTCTTTTAATTTTTTTTCTGTACTGTAATAATACATTATTTATTCTTATTTTGGCAAATGAAATGATTTAAATATAAATCCTGCTAACATTATAGTTTGAATTTTGCAGATTTTCTAGTATTTTTCCATAAACATTTTAAATGTAATGTTAATCATTCAGCACATATACTTTTATAGCATACTTTTAGAAGCTTAGCTTATATCATTTTCACTTTTTGTATTACTACATCATCTCATAACCATAATTTTAATGGCTGTGTTTTATTTTATCAAACCACTAACTCGTGGTTTAATGTTTTGGTGAACCAATTAAGTTGCTTCCTCTTTTGTGATGCAATAAAAATCTTTATACAAATTTATGTGAATAGCCTTTTTTACAGACAGCATTATTTACTTTGAAAGAATTTTTGAGAGATGGAAGCACTGGGTTCAACAGGAAGATATATACTTCCCACCTGCTTCCTATGGATAATGTAATGATACAAATATTATTCACACATGCAACAACATACAAAGATGTCTGTACTAATTTTTAGTATCTTGTTGATCACTTTTGACATAAAGGGGTTAGAGTAAAAATTACAATAGGAATATACAAGGAGTAGTTACCAGCTTAGGAACAGAAATGAAATGACTTTCCCTAGAACTTATGATGACTTTACTTCCCATTCTATAACAAAGTGTCTTTATCATTGACTTTTTCTTTTTAAAATATTCTGCTTTTACACCAGAATATCATACAGTCTCTCAAGTCTTCAGCCTGTTCTTTGATTCTGGAGTAAAGGCTTATTTCTTTTCATCAAGAAAAAGAATCATAGAGATTGAACTGTCCTTTATAATTAGAATAACTTAAAAACCAGATTAGTGGATAAAAAAGAGAAATCAGTTAGGGATCTTCTTTTCTATAGCAATTGTTTAGGTGTCATTGAAATTAATATATTAACTAATATAAATTATTACTTTGTATTCATATAATTTAAAATATTTGTATAAAAACAAGTACTTTCTGTTAATCTAAATCTAAATCTAATTAATTAATATAAATCTAATTAATGTTATTGTTAATAACAACATATATTATCAATGTATGATAAAGAATAAAATTAATTTAATAAAATTAAATGACATAGGGATATGCATGTCACAAAGACAAACGATTAACTTGTTGAAAAGTTATGTCAAAAGGTAGAATTTTTTTTTTTATATTTCAGAAAGATCTTATGACTTTAGGAAAATTGTTGGAGCACATTTCTTGGAGGCAGTTAATTATGTTCCCTTTGCTAGTCTTAGGTGGAACAGGAGGAAGAATGATAGAATGTAGGAGAGAAGATGGGCTATTTTAAGTGAGGGTATAATCATTATAAATATCTCAGTCTCTCTGTACATTTCGTTAGCCTAGAGATTTTTTTTTCATTTTTACTTAGCTGTTCTCCTAGGAAATCAGATTATTTTATCTACAAACACAGAATTTTGTCTTCTTTCAGTTTACCAGAATATCAGAAACCATCCCTTTTAGATTAGTTGAAGATATATTTTAAACTATGACGTACAGAAATCAAATCCTAGGTATCAAGTACTGCTACACATGTAGGATATTAGCTTGTTGCAATGATTCAACCTGATTATTGCCCTATAAAGCAGAACTTGAGCTTTTAAAATAACTCTTGTCTGAATGTTCTGTTGGGTATACTTACCTGGAGATCATTTCTTCCAGGTCATGACATTTCAGTTCACCTAGGACTCTGCGGAATCAAAAAATAGCTTTTGGAGGCAACCTCATCCCTCATCCCTCACCTTTGTTTTACAGATGAAGAAACTGAGGCCTCTAAAGTATTCAGGATATAAGGCCCAAGTTCCATCTACAGAGAATAATAGAGTATAGTTTCCCCAGATGTTGGTGGCATTCCCTGACTGCCTTTCAGCATTTGTCCAACACACTGACCTAGGTTAACCTGAATCTCTCTACAATGTGCTTAGGAGAGATAGAAATAACTGTTTTACAAAGCAAATATAAAACTTAATTCTTTAAAATTGTGGTAAGAATGTTTACCATGAGATCTATCCTCTTAATAACTTTTTAAGTGTGCAAGGCAGAATTGTTAACTATATTTACAATGTTGTATAGGAGGTAGGCAACTTATTCATCTTGCCTAACTGAAACTTTATACCTGTTGAACAGCAACCCTCCATTTCCCTCTCCCTCTACTCCTGGCAATCGTCATTCTACTGTGCTTCTGCAAATTTGCCTATTTAAGATATCTCATGTAAGTGAAATCATGCAGCATTTGTTTTGTGACTGGCTTATTTCATTTAGCATAATATCCTAAAAGTTCATCCATGTTATCCTATATGGCAGAATTTCCTTCTTTTTTAAGGCTTAATAAATTCCATTGTACGTATATGCTACATTTTCTTTATCTACTCATCTGTTGATGGACATTTAGGTTGTTTCCACAACTTGGCTATTGTGAATAATCCCTCAATGACCATGGGCATGTGAATATCTCTTTGAGATTTTGATTTCAATTCTTTTGGATAACACCCAGAAGTGGGATTGTTGGCACATATGGTTGTTCTCTTTCAATCTTTCAAAGAACCTCCATAATGTTTTCCACAGGGGCTGCACCATTAAACATTCCCACTAATAGCATATGAGTTTTCAGATTTCTCCAGATCTTTGCCTACACGTCTTTTTTTTTTTTTTTTTTTAGATAATAGCCATCTTAAGTGATGATTAGTGATGTTGAACATCTTTTCAGATCCCTGTTGGCCACTAGTATGTCTCTTTTTATTTATTTTTACTTTTGTTTTTATTTTGAGACATGGTTTCACTCTGCCACCCAGGCTGGAGTGCAGTGGTACGATCATTGCAGGCTTGAACTCCTGGGATTAAGCTATCCTCCCACCTCAGCCTCCCGAGTAGCCAGGACTACTGATGTACAGCATCTTGCTGGTCTAACTTTTTTTTTAAATTTTCCTTAAAGACAAAATATTCCATGTTGCCCAGGCTGGTCTCAAACTCCTGGACTCAAGTGATTCTCCTGTCTCTGCCTCTCAAAGTGCTAGAATTACGGGTGTGAGTCATAGCATCCAGCTTGTATGTCTTTTTTTGAGAAATGCCTGTTCAAGTCCTTTGCCCTTTTTACTGGGTTATTTGTTTATGTGGTATTGAGTTGTAGGAGTTCTTTACATACTTTCAATATTGACTCCTTATAGGATATATGGCTTGCATGCATTTTCTCTCATTCCCTAGGAGGTCTTTTTATTGTGTCAATTGTTCCCTTTGGTGTGATTTTTAGTTCATTGTAGTCCACTTGTCTATTTTTGTTTTTGTTGCCTGTACTTTTGGTGTCATATTCAAGAAATCATTGCCAAGACCAATGCTAGAAAGTTTTTTCCTTATGTTTTCTTCTATGAGTTTTATAGTTTCAGGTCTTATGTTTAAGTCTTTCATGCATTATGAGTTGATTTTTTTTTTATATATATATAGTGTAGAAGTCCAATTTCATTCTTTTGCATGTGGATATCCAGTTTTCCAAAATGACTTGTTAAACAGACTGTCCTTCCCCTTTGTGTATTCTTGGCTGTCTTGATAAAAATCAGTTTATTATATACGCATGGCTTATTTCTGGGCTCTTTATGTTGCACTGGTTTTTATGACTATCCTTATGTCATTGACATTTGTTTTTTGTTTGTTTGTTTTGAGATGGAGTCTCGCTCTGTCACCCAGGCTGGAATGCAGTGGTGCAATCTTGGCTCACTGTAACTTCTGCCTCCTGGGTTCAAGTGATTCTCCTGCCTCAGCCTCCCAAGTAGCTGGGATTACAGGCATGCACCACCATGTCGAGCTAATTTTTGTATTTTTAGTACAGAAGGGGTTTCACCATGTTGGCCAGGCTGGTCTTGAACTCCTGAGCTCAAGTGATCCTCCTGCCTCAACTTCCCAAAGTGCTGGGATTACAGGCGTGAGCCACCGCACCCTGCCTCCACTTGGTTTTAACTACCATAGCTTTGTAATGTATTTTGAAATCAGGATATGTGATGCCTACAAATTTGTTCTTTTTTTCTTGATGCTTTGGCTCTGTGGGGTCCTTTATGGTTTCCTATGAATTTTAGGATGGATTTTTCTATTTTTGTGAAAGATGCCACTGAGATTTTGATAGAAATTGCATTAAATCTGTAGATCACTTTGGGTAGTATGAACATTTGATCAGTATTAGGTCTTCTAATCTATGAAGATGTCTTTCCATTTATTTATGTCTTCTTCAATTTTTGTCATCAGTTTTTTTTTTTTGGTCTTAATGTACAGGTCTTTTATCTCCTAGGTTAAGTTTATTTCTAAGTATTTCATTATTTTTGATGTTACTATAATGGGATTGTTTCTTAATCTCCTTTTCAGATAGTTTCTTATTAGCATTGATAAGATTTCTTCACATTTGTTTGATCTTCATAGTATAGCACTTTTCAGCTATTGTTATATTACATACAGCTTTCTAGAAGTTGTACTATATCACATTAAGCAAATATGTTAAATTCCAAAAGAAGTCATTTTATTTATCAATTATGAGATCCCCATACATAAAATTAAGCACTATAAATCCAATTTATTTCTTCTTTTAATTATTATGATGTAGTTTATTGAGACAGGTGGTGATTTCTGAGAGTTAAGGGGAGAAAAAAGATTCACAAGGACACGGCCTTTATTTTCTTTGCAAATTCAGCTGCTAATACAGGAGTTATTAAGAAATTATTTTGCAGTTAGAAAGAGTAAAAGAATCCTTGGTGGAATTTTCCTTCAATAAAAAGCAGCCTCCAAACCATTTCTTTTCTAATATAAAGCAGCCTGAAAAGTCTAGCTGCAAGTATAGCTATGTAAGCTAGAGGCTTGCATATGTAAATGCCAGCAGCTGCACCTGGAAGCCAGGTACATTCAATATGGCGATTCCTGCTCCCTTTTCCTTGTTGCCACGTGTGTCGGGGTCATGGCGCAGGACAAGTAAAGCCATCTGTGCAGGTGTACTGGCGACCACCTGGTAGTAGCTGTATTTGCACAGTAAAAGATTAGGGTAGGAGGGCCAGTCTTTTCTCGAGCTGTGTAAATGGCACACCTGGTCAAACCAATCCCCTGGGCCTTATGTAAATCAATCACCGCCTCTTCAAGCCTCTGTACTAAATCGATAGCGTTCCGCCCAAACGTGGAAACCCCGCCTTGGGTAACCTACTTTCTCAACATGAGGAAGCTTTGTCTCTCTCTCCTCTTTTTTATCTGTTAAATTTTCCGTTCCTTAACCCACTCCAAGTGTGTGTTCGTGTCATTAATGATCTTGGCGAGAGACAACGAACCATGGATATTTCCCCGGACAATGAAGCCGATTCACGTCTACAATATTTAGTTCACACCTCTAGTTCGATGACTTCTCTAGTTCAGTAATTTCTCCAGTTCTTCTTTTTCTTTATGCAGTTTATAGCCAAAAACATTCTTCCTTGATAGCCTTAATTCACTTACTTTGAAGTAAACCTTAAAAGTGATACTTAACCCTACATTTGTGCAGTAGGGTTCTCATTTAACACGTTAAATGATTTAGAAAAAGCAGTTGACTCGAAATTACTGCCTACTTTTTCTAAAATAATAGTAAATAAAATATCACTACATATTACAAATCATAGTAACGGTGATAATGTTAGCCAATATTAATCAGTGTTTACTCTATGCTAAATATTTTGCACGTATGAATCCTCAAAGCAAACATTTTTTTGTGTATGAATACCAATATCCTCACTTTAAAAACGAGGAGACTGAGGCATGGAGATATTATAAGCTGCCCAAGGTTGCATAGCCTGGAATTGGTAGCACCACAGCTCAGACCCATGCATGCTGCCACCATTCCCCAAGGCTAGTCCACATTCCATCTAATATCCCTGATGAGTTAATTCATTATGGTCTTCCAAATTCCTCATTTGTTGATTATCCTATGTTACCTGGCATTATACAATTTTTAAATAGCTTCATAATCAACTAGATTATTAAATCCTTGTAAGAAAACTGTGACCTACACATATATGAGGGTTATAAATCACTAATGAATATTTATAAGTGACAGATACTTTGTTAAGCAAGTGACTTATTTTATTTTATCCTTACTACAACCCCCTGAAGGATAATTTTTCCCAGCCCCTTTAAGAGATATTTGTTGAGATTCCAGCAACTTGCCTATGTCTTATTTTGCTTGATAAATATCTCTTGTTCATAATGATCATGACATGCAGAATCATAAAGTCATTCTTCATATTTTGAATTAAAATAACTTGAGATCCCCTATGCTGACTCTCATTTCACTGAAAAGCCTATGAGATAAATTCCTATATGATAGTTCATCAGAATAGAGCAAACAGAAATTAGCAATTATGGAAACTACATTTTTTTTTCCTGAGTTGCTTGCTATAAATTCTCCTTACATTGGCAAAGGATAAAGAAGACTAAAGAAATAGTTCATAATTTTGGCAATCTGGAGAGAGAGGTAACAAGAGCTAATTCATCCTGGCTGACTCAGAAAATATTGTGACTGTGGGTCTGCACTATCACAAAGTTGAATTGTCAGTCAGGCTCACAAGAAACTAAGTTTTACTAATGGTTAGCAAAGGATATAACAAAGGAGTCACAGCTTTCTTGTATCCTGTGCTAATGCTACATCAGTGCCTGGGAGCCCAGAAATCAGTCAAGCACAGCTTCCTAAATCCCTTTCTAACACTGTGATGCATTTTGGGCTTGGAGAGAGGAATGCTAACTGTTTGACTTCCATCAGCGCAGGGAAGCCCTTTAGTTTTGGGGTCTCGTACTTTCCAAATGACTTAATGAGAATGACCATTTAATAACTTCCATTCTCTGGTGGGTTTGTGTCTAATAAATTAAAAAATGATAGTTTACTTACAATAAGCAATCCAGACAAACTTACCATATATCTGGCTAAAAATATTTCATACAGTAGAGCCCCCAGAAGACCCTCTTTTATCTTGTAGCTCCTGAAATCAGTAAGTGTGTTTACAAGAAAGTGTGGTCAAGGTCAAAATGCCTCAGCATATGGGAGGAGGGAGAAATCTGCTTATACATACATATGCTATTAACTCATTACTTCCCATTGTCTCTCTTCAAAGAGATATGGAGATAAATCTATAAGCAATTGGGAATAAAAATATTACTAATCAATGACTATTAGCATCTAATAAATGTCATGCAAATAAAGGAAAATAATTCAAGTACTAAAATACATATATTCTATGGTAGGTACAGCAATACTTCCTTACAAGTATTGCACAGTGTAACAAAATATTCATTTAGGGTAAAGGTGCTAAATGAAATATAGGACACCCAGTTAATTTGCATTTCACATAAACAACAAATAATATTTTAGTATAAGTATTTCCTATGCAATATTAGGTCTTGTATTTTATCTGTCAACCCTAACTATAAATCCTGTTTTATGTGTTAAGTTTGGCCACCCTACTTTCAGGTCATACATTGGATGTAGTACAGCTCAATGATTAGAACGTGAATTTGGGAGCCAAATTTTGGGGGATCAAATACTGACTTTGCTATTTACAAACTGTGTGACTTTGGGGACATGATTTAATCTGTCTCAATTTCTCACCTGTATAATGGGGGTTTCATCAGGCTAGATGAGAAAATTCATGGTAATCAAGTTTCCAGTTCTGATTATAAATAGAAAATTTCTACTTTAGTATGGCTATGCTTTATGTATGTAGAGCTTATAAAGTAGAAATGTATTCCTAGTACATTTTAAGAGCCATATAAATATTAAGTACTACTTTTTTGAGTTCTACAAATGTTTGCCTTTCATACATCACAAAAAATAAGAGATGAAAAGGGCCTCAAATATTTCATAACTGCGCCTGCAGCATGATCTGCTCATATTTACTTGAATATTTTAGCATTAACATGATATTTAAAAATCTATACTTCTAAATAGCATATAATTTTCAGTCTGTAAGCAGGAATATAAAAAGAGCCATCAGACTTAATTAGTAAAACATACCTGATCACTGATTTAAAAAATGCATGAATTCCTATAACCTGCTAAAATATACTTCTCTAAATATTTTTAAAAAGGAAAGCAAACCCAAAATCCTCTTTTCAGAAAATATTTCCTTCCTTACTATCAAAAAAATTAATTCTTGTTCAATATTCTCTTAAATATGCATAGTGAGCATATTATATTTTTTATAGGTTTAGTTTGGTTGTTTCTTAAATATCCTTTTATTTTTAGAAAAAATTGATGGCACTTTCTGGTATGTTCTAATTGTGAAACTAAAACATTAGATTTTGTTATCAACAACATAAATTACCACCTACTGACTTATTCTACCTATCATTTGCAAGAATGCTCTGATTTTCTGAGGTTTTAAAATAGTGCAGAATTGAGGTAGATTTCATAGTAATTATTCTCTCAATAGAATGATGGGTAAATAGATTAAATAGGCATTATATAATATATATAATCCAGGCACAGATAATTGTAATTGACTTTATCTACAAATTTTGTTATAAAAAACCAAGTAAAGTTCTAATGCTTTTAGCAAATAGTGGTATTGTATAACCATAGCAATCAGGACAGATATACAGTATTTGGTCATTTTTCCTAAAAAATTATATTCATAAAAATATCTTTTTAATGTTTGCCAGAGTAGGGGCATATGCTTATTTTGGGAGGTATTTACGGCTAAAATTAACTGAAGTAAAGAGGAGATAGTTTGTGATTCTGTGCTCTTGTTGCTTTTACACACACACACACACACACACACACACACACAGAGTTTTCTTTTTAAACAAATCTGGGCTATATATTTATCATTTCCCTCAAAGTAGTTACAGGTACAAAAACTGAAATACTGAATGGTCACTGTTGCTCTTTATAATTCTAATTAAACAAGGGTTTGCCAGCTGTTCTGATTGTCATAAGGCTTCCCCAGGATACAATTATGCTCTGGGGTGTTTTAATTCTGTAACAATATTAAAATATAATCTGTACAGAAGCACATTTTCCACTCCATTTTCAAAGCACACAATTAGATTTTCCATGATTTTACTTAACACAATTCTGTATGTCCTTCTAGGTATAACTATTGTTTAGCTGAAACTTACTTCTTTTGCCTTGATTGGGTGTTGCTCCTTCTGTATTTATATCTTGTATGTCTATTTTTGCTTAAACCAAATGACAAATATCACAGAGGGACTTCTTTACAGTGTCATTAGTTAGATTGATGGGAAGATAGATTGATGGATAGAATTTCCATTCCTCTGTGCAAGGAACCTGACTCTGTGCAAACAGCCTTAAGTTGTAATTATAGATTCACTGTGATGGACTCTAGAGAATTTGCTGCAAGAGACTTTTTTTTTTTGTTATGAATTGTTCCCTTGAATGTAAAACCTATGATAGAAGTAAATTTTCTTAACTGGAGAAGCCTTATTTCCTCCCTTTCTTTTCTAGTTGTCTTTCTTTCCTTTTCCCCTGCAAATGAGGCCTGCGGAGAAAAGCACCAGAAATAATGGCATAACAAGAAGGGACACTCAACTCCTGAATAATGGAATATGTATCTTTCTGGTTGCCCTGCTGTATGCTCGTAGCTTGAAATCACAGATTGCAAGGCATTTCTCAATTTTACCCCGTTACAATAGTCACCTTTGGCCCCTCCTCATTTCTTGGGATCAGCTCTTCTCCTGTCTCTACTTTTGAATATCTAAGTTGCGCATCTGGAGTGTGTTGCTGCGTTTGGCTTGTGGGAATCACACTACCAAAGTAGTTAGGGAATGCTAACTACATCAAGCCCTGAACAGCATCTTCCCTTTCAATTTGGGATACATATTGCTTTTCTCAAAAAATAAAACTCTTTGACCTGCTCCATACTATTAGATTAGCACCTACCTCTTTCTAAATTTGAAATGAATTCTACATGTGTTTTTTGAAAAACTCCCTTTAATTAATTACAGGTTCAATAAAAGGACAAGTGAGAATGTACCTTGATGTATTTTCTAGAGAAAAAAAAAACAAAAACCCTATTGAATCTTTCATCCTGCTTTGAACTAGGAGGGTTTAAATATCAAGCCTCTTTCGGGATAACAAAAAACTAAACTGAGAAAGGCCAGTTAGAATAATTTTTTCTCTAGTGTGGCTAATTTTTAGCTCTAATGTCTGACTTCTTGGACCTTAGACACTGAAAGATCTATGCTTGTTAGCCAATGAAAAGAAGTACAGTATAATTCATGAGCATGCAGTATTGAAACATATTCAATTCAATCACACTTAGTAAAGTAAAAAGTTTCATAATTTTCAGTTCCATTTATTTTAATAATTGTGAAACAGTTATAAATCATATGTCATGTAGAAAGGTAACATTTTCTCCTTTAATGTAGTTATTTCTAAATTTGCTAACTTAAATATTAACTCTTCATTTTTAGCACATTGGAAAATATAGAGTATGTCTTCTGGGAATTTAGAAATTTTTATTGTAATCTCATTTATCTTCCTATTTATAGTGTACAATATGCTCACAGACATCTAATCCTTATTAATCAGTCAAAAAGCTTTTATTACCAAGCATTCCCATGCCCAACAGTATCCTAGACACTGTATGGCTTAAAAATATAAATCAAGTAAGAACATCATCCACCTAACCAAAACACCTATAATCTAAGTAGTTAACAATTATCGAAAGTTTGACTACCTATATTACTTTTAAACAAAGTTGACTTCAAAACAAGGAAGATTACCACAAATATAGCATTAGATAATGACAATGGGGTCGATTTTTAAAGAAAACATAACAGTCCTAAATGTGTATGTACCTAACCAAAGGCCATCAAAATATATGAGACAAAAATTAATATAAATGAAAGGAGAAACAGGGAGTCCACTATGAGAGTTGGAGACTCCAAAATCCATCTGCCAGTGATTGAAAAACCAAGCAAGCAGGACATCAGTAAGGATATAGTTGACTCGAATAGCACCACGAATCAGTTTAACCTAATTGACATTTATACAATAGTCCATCTAACAAGAGCAAGCGATATGTTCTTCTCAAACTCACCTGGAACAGTCATCAAGATAGACCACATTGTGGGCTATAAAATGCACTTTAATAAAATGATAGAACTCATGTAAAGTATGTTCTCAGATCACCAAGAAATTAATCTAAAAATCAACAATATAAGACGTTTGAAAAATCCCCTAGTATTTGGGCACTGAACAACACACTGCTACATAATATATGTGTCCAAAGAAGAAGTCACGGGAGAAATTTTAAAATACTTTGAACTAAATGGGAATGAAAATATAATTTATCAAATTATATGAGATGCAGTGAAAGTAGTACTTAGAGGGAAATTTATAGTAACAAATGCATATATTTGAAAAGAGAAAAGATCTAAAATTAATAAGCTAAATTTCTCTCCTTAGGAATAGAGAAAAATTAAGCCTATCCCAAGAGGAAGAAAGTAAATAATGAAAATTAAAGCAGATATCAATGACACTGAAAGTAGGAAAATAATAGAGAAAATCAATGGGAACTAAAGCTCGTTCTTTGGAAAGATAAACAAAATGAACAAGTCTTTTACCAAATTAATCAAGAAAAAAAGGGAGATGATACAAATGGTCAATATCAGAAATGAAAGAAGTTTCTTTACTACTGATTGCATGAAGATTGAAAAGATAATAAATGAATAATACAAGTAACTCTATCCTCACCTATTTGAAAACTTACATGAAATGAATCAATTCCTTGAATGACATAAACTATCAAAACTCACATAAAGAGAAATAGCCAACTTGAGTAGATCCATATTTATCAAAAAAGTTAATCAGTAATAACTTCTCAAAAATGAAAAAACCAGATTAGTCCAGATTAGCACTTTCCTACTGTTTCTATGAGAGGTATCACTCTAATACCAAAATCAGATGAAGGCGTTACGAGAAAAGAAAACTGCAGATCAATATCTCATTAACATAGATGAAAATATCATCAACAAAATATTATCAAGCCACATCAAAAATGTATAAAATAAGTTATAAACTACAGACTGGTAAGATTTGTTTCAGGTATTTAAAGCTGTTTCAACATTAGACAATCAATTAATGTAATCTAACATATCAACAGGCCATGGAGAAGAAAATCTATGATATCATCAGTTATGATGGAAAAGCATTTGACAAAATACAACATCTATTCATGACAAAAACTCTCACCAAACCAGGAATGGAGAATTTCTTTAGCTTGGTACAGAACATCCACAAAAAATAAATAAGTAAATAAATAAATAAATAAATAAATCACCTAACATCTCATGTTTTGATGAGAGATTGGATGCCTTCCCTCTGAGATTATCAACCAGGAAAATATGTCCTTTTTTCACCACTCTATTTAACATCATACTGGAAGTTCTATCTAGTGAAAAGATGAGAAAAAGAATTAAAAGCCATATAGATTGGAAAGGAAGAAATAAAACTGTAATAATTAACATATGACTTTTTTTAAAATGTAGAAACACCAAAAAAACTACAAAAAAAAAACAAAAACAAAATAAATAACCAAGTATAGCAAGGTTGCAGGATTAATGGTCAACATGCAAAACTCAATTGCTCTGCTTTATACTAACAATAAAAAATTGGAATTTGAAATTAAAAAAATACCATCTACAATAGCACAAAGTGAAATACTTACATATAAGTATAACAAAATATGTACAGAGTCTGTATGCAGAAAATTACAAAGCAATGAGGAAGGAAATCAAAGATCTAAGTAAATGGTAACATATTCTGTGTTCATAGATTAAAGGACTCAATATTAAGTTGCCATTCTTTCCCAACTTGGTCTATAAATCCAAAGCAATTCTAATTCAAATCCCAGCAAGCTATTTTGTAGATATTAAGAAAATGTTTCTAAAATTTATTTGGAAAGGCAAAAGACGTATAATAGCCAACAAAATAATGAAGAAGGACAAAGTTGAAAGGACTCATGGTAGTCAATCTCAAGACTTACTACAAAGCTGTAGTAGTCAGGACAGTGTAATATTGGCAAAAGAGAACACATCACATATAGGTCAATGTAACAGAATAGAAAAACCCACATAAATGAGGTCAACTGATTCTGACAAGGCAAAAAGGCAATTCAATGAAGGAACCATCTTTCCAACAAATGGTACAGGAACAATCAGACAGCCACATGCAGAATGAAAGACAGAAAGAGAGAAAGAGAGCGACAGAGAGAGAGAGAGAGAGAAACATAAGCAAAGACCTTACAATTTACAAAGAAAGAAAGAAAGAAAGAAAGAAAGAAAGAAAGAAAGAAAGAAAGAAAGAAAGAAAGAAAGAAAGAGCAAAGACCTTACAATTTACACAAAAAGTTAATCTAAAATGTAATGAAATAAAAAACTATAAAATTTATTGAAAAACAGGAGGAAATCTATGTGAACTCTTGTTTGGTGATGAATTTTTAGATACAATTCCCAAAGTACAATCCATGAAAAAAATTAGACTTTATTACAATTTAAAACTCCTTATCTATGAAAGACACTGCTGAGGATATAAAAATGCAAGCTACATGAGACTAGGATAAAATGTTTGCAAAACATATATTTGATAAAGGATGTGTAACCAAAATAACAGAGTTTATCTCTTAAAACACAACAATAAGAGAGCATGCAAACCAATAAAAAACAGGCAAAACACCTAAACAGATACATCACCAAAAAACTTACAAACAGTAAAGACGTTCAACATCATTTGTCATTAGGGAAATGCAAATTAAAACAACAATGAGGTACCACTATGCAACTATTAGAATGGCTAAAATTCAAAAAACTGACAGTAACAATTGTCAGCAAAATGTGGAACAGCAGTAACACTCATTCATTGCTGGAGTAATAAAAAATAATACGGCCACTTTGGAAGACAGTTTGGCAGGTTCTTTAACACTAAATGGTCTTACTATATAATTTGGCAATTGGAGTTCTAGGCATTTACCCAATTGACTCGAAAACTTATGTTAACACAAAAATTTGCATACGATTGTTTATGGCAGCCCTATCACAATTGCCAAAACCTGAAGCACCCAAGATGCCCTTCCATAGCTGAATAGATAAACAAACTATGGTGCACACATATAATAGAATATTATTTGGTGGTAATGGAAAATGAGTTATGAAGACACATGAAAGACATGCATGAATTGTCAACCCATTTTTCTAAGTGAAAGTTGGTCAGAAAGCTATGTACTCTACATGATTCTGTTTCAATAACATTCTGGAAAAGACAAAACAGATGAGGGGTTCAGGAAGAGGGAGGGAAATGATCAAATAGGTGAAACGCAGGAAGAGTTTTAGGGCAGCAAAACTATTTTGTATGACATTGTAATGGTGGTACATGATATGACGCATTTGTCAAAACCCAAAGAATTTACAGCAGAGAAATGAATCTTAATCCATGCCAATTAAACAAATAATTAAGTAGGTCAGAGGATCATAGGACTATATGCAGAATGTGACAAAAGTATTTAACTGTTATTACAAATGTATGCAACATCTTCACTGAAGAGATGGCGTGGGGTCGGGGAGCAATGAGCTAGGTAACTTGGGAAATAAGGGCAGTCTGAAAGATTAAATGCAAGGGAACTCTGTGTCAGCTCTGTACTCTAGTTGATAATATTGTTATTCATTGGAATACAGGTTAACAACTATGAAACCACTATACACATATACAGGAACCGAACAACTGAATAAATGAATGGTGGATGGTGAGAGCCAGGTTTTCACTGTTGGGATTGAAAGTAACAGCAGAGATAAGCAAGAGAAAGCATTAATAATCCATGTAGTAATGGATTCGAGTTGGAGACATCAGTAAAAACTCAAGTTTCATTTAATATAAATATACATGGTTACACATAGAAGTATTTTTAGATGTGTGTATGCATGTGGATTAGAACATACAGATTGGTTTTTGCTCTGTTATGTAACAGGCTTAGAGGAAATGACACCCCAGTAGTAATGAGCATACCAAGTGCCCAGGTTTTGACTTCTAACACCATCCTCCAATAAAAGGAACCAGGACCCTTTGGAGAAATGGCTGATTGGGGCAGGAATTATATAAGACGAGCTTGGAGCATCTTGATTTTCCAGAATTTAAGAAAGAGGTCAAAAAAGTCCCCCCCCAGCCAATGCTGGGATTATATCAAAGTGACACAAAAGCCAAATGGTCAGAGCTAAACTGGTCACCTTCTCCTCTGTGCTCCCAGGGACAAGGTCTCCAGCCAAATAACTCTCCTCATCAAACAGACCAGGTGAATTTCTTGCTTCTCCCTGAGCTGGGGGTTTCACTTCCCTACCAGCTCACAAAGTTATTCAAACAAACTATTCCCATGGGAAGTAGAAGGCATTCCACCCTCTCTATCCTACAAAGCCTTTCTCCCACAGTCCCTGGTTGTTCACTCTGTTCTCAAGTTCAATTCCCAGGTGGTCTTGCATGGTGTGCAGTGTCCTTTGGGCTCATCTGACCAGTGTTGGGTCTTGTGTGTTTGGCCATCCCATAATCCTAGAGCAGGAATCCCTCCTTTACCAAAGGGTTGAATAGGTGGTAATTCACATAGAACACACTAACGGAAAATGTTAAAAATTAAATACATAAGTCATGGCATCCCATGAACACTCTGTAATATCTTTGCAATCTTTCTGTAAATCTAAGACAATTTCAAATTTTTAAAATGTTATTTGAAAAATCATAACACTTCAATAACCCTTTTCTCAGTATTTTGTATCCAGATTCTCTAAATTGCCTTGGGTCACTCAGCTCATAAATGAAGGTATCTGGATTTGTACCCAAGCAATTCATACCCATGAGAGGAAATTTAGCTTAGTGATCAAAAGGACAAACTTTGGAGCTGGACTACCTAGGTGTAAATTCTGACTCTTCTAGTTATGAGCTGTATCATCCCAGGCAGGTTAGGAAATCTCTCTGTTCTTTGTTTTTTTTTTCTCATCTGTAAAATGAGATAATGATTATATCTTCCTCACAGGATTAAATGAGTTGAGTCAGGTAAAGTGTTTGTACATTATTTTGCACAGAATAAATTTTAAAAATCAGCTATAATTATTATTACACAAACAAAGTAGAGTTAACAAGGCAAACTGCAACACAAATTTATACATCCAAGTGAATTGTCCTGTGATCCAAATGATTGTATGAAATTAAAACTAAGTGACTTTTTGTGGTACAGAGCACGTACTTGGCCATCAGTATCACCAGTATCAAGGCTTGTCAGTGTCAGGAGAGCTGCCTGTTATGTAGAGTCAAATGAAGTGAGAAGGGAGTTGAACTCAGAACGAAGGTATATTTCAACGCTAATGACATCTCTCCATTTTAGATGCTGTAAATACCTAGTGTTTAATTCCATCTTATATTTAAACATCTCAAAGTTAGCCATTATTATTGTTGTTACTGTTGTTTTACAGTTAGTTCCTATTTTAGATTTAATAATTTCTTAGTCCATTATCATTTCTTGTATCCTCACATATCTTGCAAACCACACCTTGGTTCTGGGTTCAATTTCCTTCTTGGTTCAGTTTCGTTTTTTGTTTTTTGTTTTTTTAAATATTGGAGTATATTGTTTACTAGTTATTTCAGAGAAGGTGTATCTGTTAAATATAAATTCAGTTAGTCTTTTAGTCTAAAGAGTATTTTGGCCTAATTCATGAATCACAGGTTAATTGTGTATAGAATTCTCAGCAGGAAATTATTTTCTTTCAGGGCTTTTTAGATTTTATTTCATAATCTTCTTGTCTTTGTTGTTGTTGAAAGTTTTGCTTAGTCTAATTATTGTTCTTTTGGGAAGGGATTTTTAAACTCTTATTGCCTTTAAGAATTTTTTGCTTGGCTCTTCTGACTTTCTTCTATTATGTATACTAGTACAAATGTATATGTATTTATCTCACCCAGGCCTTGTTGGACTTAAATAAATATAAGAATTATATTTATTATTATTATTACTAGACACTGTCTCATTAAATGCTGTCTGCCTGCCAGTTTTTACCTAGTGTCTCCTTCTAGAATTCCTAGTAGATTATAACTGAATTTCAATTCCTCTCCTCTCCTTGTCGTAACTTCCCTTTCATAGTTTTCGTCTCTTTATCTCTCTATGCCACATTCTGAATGATTTCAGCAGACAAAACCTCCATGTTATTATCTCTTTCTTCTGATGGATATTTAAAGCCATTCACTGAAATTTTCATTTTAATGATTATAATTTTCTGATTTCAATCTATGTCTTTTAATGTCACAATATTCTATTTTTTCATTATAATTTTCATTTCACATTTCCTTTCCTTAATTAATTTAAGCATAATCATTTTATATCTTTCAGATTATTCTATTAATCTTAAATTCTTAGATATATTAATCTTGCCATTTGTTGCATCCGACTTTTTCAGAGGTAGATTGTACCCTTGTATAGTTTATAATTTTTAGCTTTAAAGAAAATTTTTCTTTTTCCCATGTGGGAGCCCATGGCACCCTGGATCATAGAGGTGAATTACAAATTGTGTATTTGTTTCTACAGATAGCTCTGTCTAGAACCAATCTGAGCTTGGGATTTCTGCATTACGTAGACAGTGTAAATTCATACTTTGCAATTTCATGTAGCACAAACTGAAGCATATATTTCTCATGGAAGAAATTTTTCCTGCCTAGAGCCTCAGACCAAGACGATATTCCTTGACAATTCCCTGGCTCAGCAGGCAGTGTAGTCTAAATCTCTTTCACAAGTGTAGGTAATATTTTTAGCATCCCAACTTCATTTAGTGTCTTACTTTACCTTCCCACCTCAGGCAGGTCCAAAACCTGGTATTCTTTCCCTGTGAAGAATTAGGATCTCATCTTCTGGCGACGGGGCTTTAATTCAGATCCCATATCCTCCCAAGCTGCTATATAAGCTTAGGTGCTTTTCATGTTGTCATCCAGTTCCTACTTATTTCTGGAAGCTAGAGGTTTTAAAACATTCTTTTGAGTTCTAAATATTACTGTTAAAAATTATATTTTAACTAGCAATTAAAAAATTGTCATTAAAAGGATTTCTACTTTGGCTTTGGCCACCATGAAACCAGAACCACAAATTCTTCATCTATCTAAGCTTCAGTTTATTCATGATAAAGTTTGGACCCATACTTTAGGTTTATAGTGGTAATTAAATGGGATATGTCTGTAAAGTTTTTGGCTAATTATACTTGGCTTTTTGTAAGCACTCATTTGATGTTAGTGATTATTATCATCAATATTCAAAACCAATTTTTTTTTAGTTTTTCATTTAGCAGTTAATTTTTTTTAACAACTGACAGGTCACAGTGAACCTTGATAAGAGAAATAAATACTTAAACCCTCCTTTTGACATGTAAGAAAGTCTCTTTGCCCTCCTGACTTAGCCTCCAGAAGTCATTCTGGCCTAGATCATCCAAGAAACACAAAATCCCCTCTAACCATAATACACTTTTTTATTATATACATTTATGAAAGCCAGGAAGGAACACCTAATGGAAAATGCCTATTTAGAAGGGAAGGGAAGGTACTACTACACCAACTTATTTGGGTCCTCTGACTTGCTTTTTCTTCTACTTTGTCTAAGAGTAACTAAAAAGCCAAAGAGGATGAAAATGGAAAGGAGAGGCTGGTGCTAGCAGTTAATTTGTTCTGTGAAAAAAAATTGTTTTAATATGATTATAGGACAGGGTTTCCCTGTCCAAAAATATGTGGCTAATGAGCACTTGAAGTGTGGTTAGTCTGACTTGAGCTATGCTGTCAGTCTAAAATAAATATTGGATTTCAAAGACTTACTACAAAAATAATGTAAAATATCACAATAATTTTTAGAAATTTGATTACATGTTAAAATGATAATCTTTGGGATATATTAAGTAAAATATGTTTTAAAAATTAATGTCATTGGTTTCTTTCTGGCTTTTAAAATGTGGTTAGTAAAACCAATGAAAAGTACATATGTGGCTTGCATTGTATTTTAATGAACAGTACTTTAGATTTAGGGAATAAGTTCAGTACAAAAGGAAAAGTGTCAGGAATGAAACATGGAAGTTCTGGACAAGAGGTAAATACATGTGCTTTTATATAGACTATAATTTTCTAAGTATTATAAAACTACTGTTCTAAATAAGACTCATGTCATATTTTTTTTAAGAGTGGGGCTCTTTACTTCCTCCATGTAAATCCTTTCGGATAAAGGAGATTTTCTTGGATTAGAGTAGAATGTTCTCTTTGGGGATATTACAATAGTACTTTTTCTCTCTACAATCTTAGGACAGTGTCAAAGGATAGGTTGGGAGTACAGAGTGACTAAAACACTTATGCCAATAATCTCTATCAGCCACTAACAAGACCATCCTAAATAGTCTTGCATTCTATATAAAAAAGCCTTCAGTATATAGCATAGCTTTAATACTTGCCCTCTAATAGTTGATTCTCAGTTCCCATCATTTTTTGACCAATCAGCAATATTTGTCACTGATTATTATTTCTTCATTTTGAAACATTTTATTTAATTATTTTATTCTCTGTTTTCCTTGCTGGTTCCCTTTGCAACTCTCCATCTAAAATTGAAGTACCTAGGGCTCATTCCTAAGATCAATTTTCTTGCTCATCTGAACTCCAGGTAATCTTATCTATTTCCCTGGTTTTACATATTACTCAATGGTGATGTCTCCAAGATTCCTATCTCCAGCCTGTACTCTAAACTGAACTCCAGATTTATAGCCTAATGCCTATGTGTTATCTCCATTTAAATGTCCTAGAGGCAACTCAAATTTAATATTTCCCTCCTCAAACCTGTTTCTCTTGTAGACTTTGCAACTCATTAGAAATGGACTGCATTAGTCCAGAGACTCAGACAAACTGATGTCATGTTAACTCGTTACTTTTTCTTCCACTCAACATCCAGCCCATCAGGATGTCTTTCACAATTTATCCAAAATCTGACCACCTCCACTGTTGCCCCTTGGTGTAAGCCGCCATCCTCTCTGCTTACAACAGCTTCCTAATCTAACTGGTCTCCCTGCTTCCATTCCGACTCCTGTTCAGCATTCTCCATACACAGCCAGAGTTATCCCATTAAAACATATGTCAGATAACATCCCTTCTGTGTTCAAAACCATCCATCTCACTCAACATAAAGTCAAAGCCTTTATCACCACAGCCTATGTGTCCCTACATTGCCTCCCTCCCTCACCCTTCCTTTAACATTATCTTCTACCACTCCCCTTCCTTCCCATTAATTTTATTCCAGCAAATCTGGCCTCCTGTCTATTGTTTACACCCACTACGCCAAGTATGGTCCTGCTGGAGGGGTTCTGTCCACTCTGTTTAGAAGGTCCTGCCTTCAGATATAATCACAGCTTTTGTTGTCTTCCTTTCTTCAAGTATCTGCTCGTATGTGATACCTTCCCTGACAGTCCTATTTAAAATTGGACACACATGCACACACGCCCTTCATCCACACCCACACTACCCCACCCACACACACTCAGCACTATCACCCCTGAATTTGCTTTATTTTTCTTTGTAGCACTGATTTTCATTGCCAAATTATCTATTTTTCTGTTTATTGTCTATCTTGTCCCACCAAAACATAAGTTTCACGAGGATAGAAATTTCATATGCTTTGTTAATTGCTTTACCTCCAGTACCTAGAATAATGTTTGGCACATAGTGAGCACTCAATATACAATTTCTAAGTGAATAAATCAATCAATGAACCTCCAAATGGATTTTTCTTAAACTCTTTCTTTCTTCTTTCCTTTTTTTTTTTTTTTATTTAAATGAGTTTGGGTCTTGTTCTGTTGTCCAGACAGGAATGCAGTGGTGTGATCATAGCTAACTGTAGCCTCAACCACCTGGCCTCAAGTGATCCTCCTGCATTGGCCTCTCAAAGTGCTGGGATTACAGGCATGAGCCACCATGCCCAGACATATATTCTTTAGAGACATAAAAGTCAATACTTTTGTAAATGAGTTGTAAGGTAGCAATCACCTCAATCATTATTCAAAATTACTTTTGAAATCACACTATACTCATGGTTTTATTTTTACTTCAGTATATTTCTGTCCATTTATTAATTTGTTCATCAACTAGAAGTATCAAATGCTTTGAATTTAGTAGAATCAATTATACAGTTCAATAGAATTCTCTCTTTGAGAAAACTATTTTTAATCTACATATCATCTTAAAAGAAAATATTTATAATACCCAGTTCCAGTGTTTGAGTTGCTTTATTCATGTCCTATGAACAATAAAAGAGAGTTAAATCAAGTAATAAAGTACCAACCAACTGTGGGAGATGTGGGCTTTCACCATTTGGGGAAGATTATCGCCATAACTCAGGCAGTAAAATAGTCCTTTTTCACTTGGTAAGCATTATTTCTTTAATAGTTTCTTTACCATGGTTCACTAGTAAGTCACTTAATTTTGTTTAAACTAAGTCTAAACTTTTAAAGCGCCATCTACCGTACACTGGAGTGGCTTTGTCTGCAGCATTAGAGGAGACCTTCTATAATTCCATACTTTATCCTTGTGACCCAAATAAAATATTCATCTTTTAAGTCATGGCAGAATAATTAGGAGAGGATATGACAGCTTTCTGGATATGTATTTGCCTTTAATTTAATTCTGATTTGTAGAACACTTAATCATTATAGATAGGAAGGTCATCTTTGTTAATTCAGTGAAAATATTCCTATAGAAGATTCCAGGTAATGCTTTCCATGCAACCCAATCAATCTTTAAGGATGACAGTAACACATTCTCCACACTGTATTTTGTCACATACTATCAGTTACTGCGCTGTGTTTATAAATTCTGTGATGCACATCAGAGGGCATTTACAAAGACTAATGAAGAGTTTGGCAATTTCAGAAACCAAAGCTGAAGTAACACTACTTAGCACTTAGCTGACATTTTTCATTTTCAAATTACTTTTGCATGAATACTAATTAATCTTAACATTTCCATGAAGAATGTAAATAAAATTATGATCCTTATTCTGAATACGGGAAAAATGATGTAGAAAGGCTAAATTGTTTTTGTATTCCTTTAATTCTACCTATATATCATGTATTTAAGAATCTATTTTTCCTTAAATAATACACAAATGATCAAACAAACAAAAACAACACAAAACCTTCTAAACTCAGATTTCATCTGTTTGAAATACCATCCCTAGGAGATTAGTCTGTTCCTTCTCAATAAAACCTATTATCCTATTTGCTCTATCTCTTGTCCATTCAAACCGGTCTTTTTTTTTCCAATCTAGTAGCTTAGAGCTTCAGAAAACTATGATTGTACAATGGCCTTGTTGTAGAGATGAGCAAAGTAGAGGTGCAGTGGTGTGATCATAGCTCACTGCAGCCTCAACCTCCTGGCTTCAAGTGATCCTCCTGCCTTGGGCTCACAGAGTGCTGGGATTACAGGCATGAGCTACCATGCCCGGCCATATAGAGA
This sequence comes from Homo sapiens, assembly GCF_000001405.40. Classification (NCBI taxonomy): domain Eukaryota; kingdom Metazoa; phylum Chordata; class Mammalia; order Primates; family Hominidae; genus Homo; species Homo sapiens. The sequence continues at coordinate 78,986,696 of NC_000007.14, forward strand.
ACCCTAGAGTTGAAGTGATTTAGCCAAAGTTCCAGAATCAGCATTTGACCTCAGATATATACATATATCTACCCTTTGTGTCTTCTACAGCAAAACTAGTTATCACAATAGGAAGATGATTTTACTGTTTTTATTTCCCTCCATTTTCTCTCTTGCTCCCCATCAGTTAATCCTCTCTTATACCATTTTCTGCTTCCATGGTACAAAGACAATCAAGAACATACTCACCTGTGAGTAGCTAGGAACCAGGGAAAGAGAGACGATGGACAGCAGGGTCAGCCCTTCCAGGATGGGGATTGCAAACAAACATGTTCAGAGCAAGAATAAGCAGCAGCCCCCAAATTAAGAGAACTTGCTATGAAACCCAAAGAAAATTCTCAGAGTGGAAACTTGGAGGGCATTAATTTTCATACAGAAGGTCAATACAACTGGTGTGGTGGATGAATAATGTGGTATTTCTTCTAAACAAGGCAAGGAGGTGAAGTTTTATTTTATAAATTTACACTGCTTCATGACTTTAGGCAATGGAAAGTGAGACTCATATTAATGAGTTGGAAAAAAGTGCAGATATAGGTGTGCAAATGAATACAACGTTAATTGCAAAAATCTTTCAGGAAAGAGCATCTGCTTATAATGACTATTATGTTAATTTAACGACATTAATGCAGCCAAAATATGACAACTTAATGCTGATTATTTTCCGTACATGTTGATAACTAATGCTTTCTAGTCCTTGTATGGAGCCTAATTGAAAAATAATTATCTTACTTTGAAGGTTTATCATCAATACAGGATAAAAAACACTGTGGTACTTTTGTTTAATCCATAATGCACCAACATTTCAAGTCACGGATTTATCTAAGTGATGAAAGCGATCAAGTTCAAGGTGCAAAAGAGACAATAAAAAATTCACAGACAACTATGGAATATTTATTTCATCTTCTGTTTTCCCATTAATCTTGTTTGAAAATCTTCTCTACTATAGAAAAATGAATAGCAATAAGAATTTTATTAAAAACAGTTTCATTTATTATTTTTAATAAAAGAAATAACCAGCATGTCAAGTTGATGTGTTTTGTTTGCACTGATTAAAAATGCAGTTAACATATTCTCTATATTAAATATTTTACGTTTTTATACACACACACACACAGGCACACACACACAGTAAAGGAAAAAAGATTTATAATTATATATCTTACTATTTTCAAGAACTGAGCAAGAGGTTAACACATTTTGTCTCAGGATTTGCTTTTATATGAAGGACGCTTTGGTTCGTATTAGTTAAAATAATGCTGTTCTATGCAGTGATATAACAAATGAGCGTCCAAATATTAATATAATGCTAACATTGCAAAGCTATAATCTGGCTTGTAAATTCAACGTGGGCCAGGACAGCCTCCATATTTTGTTGGGTACTGGACATGTGACTGTTAAGTTTCCTATAGAAGGGGACGAGAGATGAAGGAAGTTCACCAACTCCCTAACAGCCTTATTTACATCCATGTCCAGAACTAGTCACATGGCCCCAGCCCAACTACAAACAAAGCCACAAATTAGAGAGGAACACATGATATATGTTGAGGTCTACATTGAGGTCTATCATAATTGAGATTTGATTATTTTCAAGAAATTAAACCCAACCCAAACCATAAATTGGTTTGATTAAATCTGGATTGTTTTTATTTCAGGTGAGCTAAATTTTCACCATTAGCACAAAACAAAAAAATATAGTCACTAAATCCACCAAAATCCAGGAAAAAGCAGCTATTTCAACATGGAAGGTTCATTTTAAACAAAAGCAGAAAATATCTGAAAACATGCTCACTCTCTCTTAATCTTGCAATTAAACCCATTAATTAAAGCCCTGTGTTATTTTGCAGTACTCTAGCATATAATTGATCTTCTGTAAGCTAGCTATTGAAAGAGAATCAATAAACTTAAGCAAAATTTTACAACTTGGTGATATTTTACATGGTGGTGCTGAAAGCACTCTTTATTCACCGTGAACCTCTATAGCCCCATAATTACAATGAACTGACCACCGTGTAATCACCCCTCAGTGGAAGACGCAGAACTTTTATTCTTTTGAGGAGGATGACTATTTTTGAGTCTGCAGCAAGGTATTTCATTAAAACCAAGATATGGGGAAGGATACGTTAGCGCTAGGAGGAAAAATAAGATAAAAGGCCAAGATAGACAGATGATGACATAGAGTAATTGATCTGAATCAAGGTGAATCAACAACCCACTTTCAAGATGTGAAATAAATAACAGAAAATAAATAGTTGCATAACTCTGTAGTAATGTATATGCAGAGGTGCTTCGTGTATTTTTGTTTGCAACTATGTCCAGAATAAGTATGCATGGACATCTGAGTGGAAACTGTACTAGTAGAAAAATGAGCCAGAGACATTTTATTTCATTGACTAAACATCTAGATTAATTACATCAATGCTAATTACATTGTCTAACAGTAGCTGTCCTGCTGCTACTCTCATCTTTCCTGTAAATAAAAACTACCATTACCCCAAAGAATTGGCTATGAGATAAATTTCATTATGCTAGTCAAGGATTAACCACCCGTCATACTTTTATTACAGAAATATTTTGGATTGTAATTACCTGTGATGTCTTATACACCAGTAGGAAAAGTGCAAGATTCTCAAGGGAAGAGCTCTGATTTACTTGGCTGCTGCTGAACGAAGTTTTTGAAACATTTTATTCTACAGGGTTGATGGAAGACATGATAGCACAATGGGGCAAGGAGGAAAAGAAAACTCCAGAGGCTTGATTTTCAAAGATGTTACAGGCTGTGAATTTGAGATTGTTCTCAGGATTCTAGATTGAGAATACAACTCTCAACACACAGTTGATTCTGAATGCATCTTTTTCTACTCTTTCTTGTATTCTTAGCAGCCAGTGCTCCTCCCCCTGTATCCGAGAGTTCATACCTATATAATTCCAACCTGTTTTGCCTGCATGCCAAATTCTTTCTTTCTGCCTTTAAATATATACATAGGGTGAAGAAGTGGGGGAGTAACTGGTTGAGTCTCAACATGAGGCCTTGTTGCATACCACCGTTTTCAGCCTACCCACTATCCTTAGCTCAGGTTGCACTGATCCAAATAACTGTCACAGAACAACTCAGCTGCTGTTGCCTTTCTTGCTCTACTTTGCACTCTATTATCTATTTTATATAAATATTTATTCCATCCATCTACTGAAAAAATGTTCGCTCAACTCTTAAGGATGACCAAATTGGGTAGAATTCCAGAAGGTAGCTTCTAGCTTAGTTCACCAAGTGAACTTAGATTAATCTTCCTAAAATACATGTTTGTTTCCTTACCATCCTACATAAGGACTTGTAACAACCAAATTTATTGAACATTTACTTTCTGCAAGGCATTGCTCTGAGCATCTTAATTCATTTAATACTCCCAGTGTTTCTGTGAGATAGATGCTATTTTATTCCCATTTTACAAATGATGAAACTGAGTCATAGAGAGGATACTAGTTTACTAAGGCCACCTCATTAGAAAATAGTACAGTTGTGATTTAAATCCAGTAGTTTAGTGTGTTATGTTACATGACCATTCTTGGTCTAGTTGAGCTTTACTGGAAAAAAAATAGTAAGAAGAATATAGTTCAAACCTTCTAATCAAGTTTAAGACCCTCTGTAATCTTCACATCCTCTACTTATCCTGTCTTACCACCCAATTCCCTGAAACGTAGAAATTCCACCTCTATTCCTCTTACGCTCATTACAAGAACTGAGGATTTGCTCAAAAGGTCTTCTCAATCGGAATGTCCTTCTAGCTGCTGCCATCTATTCAACCCCACCTGGTTTCTAAAGCAACTTAAAATGGTTGCCTTTTCCCTGGAGGTTTTTCTGCCACTTACTCCAGCTTATAAGAATCTGTCTTCTACACTGCTCACTATTTTGAAAAAAATAATTTGGGGCTTTAAACATTTATTTTGTGATAGATAAAATAATAATAGAAAGGTACATTGATATGAGATAAACAGATATAAATAAAAGCATATATTTGAAGATAGACCCAAGCTGCATTAAAAATCTGTGTTCTATCATTTACCACCTATATGTAACCTTGAACTAAACGTAAGTTTTCCATCTGTAAATATCCACCTGCACAGGTGTTATGTATGTCCTATTATTTTACTGAAATAAGAGATTTTATATGTACATACACACACACACACACACACACACACACACACACACAGAGATATGGTTTGGCTTTTTGTCCCCACCCAAATCTCAACTGGAATTGTAATCCCCATGTGTCGAGGGAGGGATTTGGTGGGGGGTGATTAGATCATGGGGGCAGTTTCCCCCATGCTGTTCTTGTGATAGTGAAGGAGCTCTCACGAGATCTGATGATTTAAAAGTGTGGTACTTCCTTTTTGCTTGCTCTCTCTCTCTCCTGCCACCTTGTAAAGAAGGTGCCTGCTTCTCCTTTGCCTTCCACCGTGATTGTAAGTTTCCTGTGGCCTCCCTGGCCATATGGAACTGTGAGTCAACTAAACCTTTCTTTTATAAATTATTCAGTTTCAGTATTTTTATAGCAGGGTGAGAATGGACTAATAGACACACACATACACACACACACACACACACACCCCTACATATACACATCATATTTCATATAGACATAAATATATAGTTGTCTACATCTATATCTACACATAGAGACATATATAAACATATATACTAAAATATATGCTTAAATATACATTATAACATATATATCTATCTTATGTTCAGATATATATGTCTTATAATCAAGATAAAAACTGCATTTCAACTCTGGCTCTGCCAGTAAGTTATATAATCCTGGGATACGTACTTAATTTGCAAAGCTTCATTGTCCTTTTTTTTTTTTTTTAAATAATGAGGAGAACACTCATGAACTAATAGGCCATGTGCTTGATATAGCTAGGCTTTTTGGGAACACAGGTAAGGATGTACCAATCCAACTGTCCCTAATTATCTTAGGCTCTATTTACTAATGGATTTCCACTGAGAAAGCTATGGATCCATTTTTCTCAGTCTAAAAGTTTTGCTCAAAGATGCTGGAGACTTCAAACCTTTTATAGGGTTAAAAATGTGTACTGCTAACTAGCAAATTGTGACTAAGTTTTCCACTACAGGGGAACCCAAGAAAACCTTTGATATTTCAGGGATTGCCACAATATTTTTCCTTCTTTCTTTCCTTCCTACTCTTCTCTTAATCATAAGAAATCTGGAGCATGAATATACAAGAGCAGGGGTGAGCAAAATTCCAAGAACTATATTTGTATTTTTCAATTAAATCTTTAAGTTTGAGTCCTTATTAGTCTATGTCTTCATCAAAGCAACTAATCTGGTCATTATTGTTAAACAAAGATGAAATAATTCAGGTTTTGTAACAATTAAGCATTTCTCAAAGTCTTGAGGCTGGCTATAGACCTTAACTGTGATACAGAGTAGTTAGTTTACATTAGTCAGTTGTATGTATTCTGTTTACCCATCTGTAAAATGAGAATAATAATATATACCTTACTTGGATTTGAACTTGCAATAAAGATACATCCCTAGAGAATAGGACGTATGTCTTAATCACTCTGTATTTCCAGCACCCAGCCACTCATGTGTACATAATAGCTCTCATGTTCACTAAACTGAATTAAACTAAGTTACAATATATTAAAGTTTATACATTTTTAATCTCTTTAAATTTAATGGGTTATTAAGTGCATTGCTAACTGACCATTTTTTTTTGCATTAACAACCACATTTTTTATAACCAATGAATTTGGAAGATAAGTTGTTATAAAGATAGCTATATTCATAAAGAGAATAACATCTGGCCTATTTGGATACCTAAAATAAATTTTTTATTTTTGTATCAGAAAACCAGGTGTCTTTTTTCCAAGCTAATGTTAGGTCAACATATAGGCTTAAATACAAGTTTTCCAACTTGCTTGTAGTCATATTTTATTTGTGTGTACATTTTTAATGTATTTTATTCTACCTAAAGACTCATATCATGATTCTTTAATGAGCTTTGAGGCAAAGAAATAATGTTAGAACCTACAAAAAGCTACCCAATGTTGACCTCTGGTCACAGATGGGCCTTAGTGATGAAAGCATTTTACTTTTTTCAAACTATAATTAATTTTCTATAGTGCTTCAAATAATATATTCAACTTCTCATTTTTAATTAAGATTCTTTTTCTTGCTCCAAATTTAAATTATGTTCTGAAAGCAATTTTTGTCAATTGCTTTTTCATGTGAGAAATATGATTATGAACTAAATTTTGTTAGTGTCACATTCATACTTTTAAATAATAAAGTTGTGAATAAAAAATGAACAAAAACTCATGTACTTAAAGTGTCTCATACTATAAGCAGAACAGAACAATTACAGAATACACTGATAATGCATAACTATCCTAGTTTTCTAAAGAAAAAATACATTTCTTAGTAGCTTATAACCAGTTAGCATAATATGTATGTATAATTAGGAGCCAGAGTATAAGTAGAAAAGTAAAAACATTAATTAATAAATACACTGTAAATCTTTTAAATAAAATCTGATAACAATTATTTATGTTGTTAGTCTTTGACAACATAAAACAAGGCATTTAAAACTTAGAGCAGTCTTTTAATAAATAATTTTAAGGTGCTGGTACTATATGTATATTGGATTATCCATAAAAAGAAACATGTTTAAAGGTAAATTTCCTTTCAAAACCAAAGGACTTACAGACACAATGTTTTTGCAGGAGGGCTCTACTGTTCATTTCCTGGCTTCTTAGGTGTCACAGGAAGTTGTGGCAATTCCAGCCACAGTAGCAGTTTCTCAATTAAGTCTTTGTGACATCTAGATCTTAGTTGCCATCCTCAGAGGCAGCAGTTATGCTGGTGGGGCAGTTCTGTATTGTTTATTATTCCTGGGGATCTAGTCTGCAACCTTCTTCTGTTGTTCTTTCAGCAACTTTCTAAACAACTATTCCCCTAAACCTTGTCCTTCTTAAAACACCTTGCATGGTTTTATTACCTGGGCTGAATCCTGAATAACACATTACTTATACTGTTTTGCTTCGTGAAATAGAAAGAAAAAATAATCTTTGACATTGAAAGCAATAAAAAAAAATAAGAGCTTCGCAGAAGTTAAGCTTGGCTGCACGCTCAATGAATGGCTCCCTAATGGTTTAATTTGCTCAGTCATCCCAGATATCACTCTGCATATTAACCTGAATCCCCTGAGCCAGAATTGGGGCATTTTTCCAGGAACCAGGGAGGAAGCTGGAAGGTCACGTGTGTATATCTCGATTCTGTATGTGCCTAGTGAAGGGATCCAGCTTGTAAGTTTTGTCAACTTGTGTCACCATATTATTGCGCCCAAAGAAAACCAGTAGGAGTCTTGGAGATCTGAGAAGCTGTCATTACACTGAGTCTCAAGTGACAGCTGAGTCAGTACAGAGCCAGCTATGCTGAGATGGGAGACTGTTGCTTTTCTTCATCAAAAGAAGGGCTATTTGTTCTATTATAATGACAGGAATTCTGAAGTGAACAGCACTGCTGTCTCTGTTTTGATTACCTCCAGATGAGAATGAGAGGAGACATGCTGCTGTTAAATATCAGCTACTAACCTTGGTCTTTTTGGAGTCTTTGGGAGAATGACCTCAGTGGTGCTTCTGAAGAGCAGTTATGGAAATAAGTGTGCAATTTAGAGGTCTTATTTAACCCACTACCATTTTCATGATTTTTTCCCTGCTTTTGTGGAAACATTAGACAGTAAATATAGATACACGTTCATGTAGTCTTCTATATTCTGGAGCCTCCTAAGATTTGCTCAAAGAACTGTCAGAGAAACCAGACCTATAGTGACTAAGGAGGTAACATAATACATCACACAAATGGATATAGGCATCAGATAGACCTAGGTTTGAATTCTCCTCATCCATTTACTAGCTATGTGGGTTTGGGGAAGGGTTTGTATAACCTCTCCAAGCCTAAGTTTCCTGGTCTGAAAAATGGGAACCACAACACATTTCTCAGAGGACTAAAAAATGCAATGACATGATAATACTTGCACGTAGATGTTTGTTAAATGCTGGTTCACTTTCTTCTTTCCATTCTATCCCCATCACCCCCACCCTGATTTGCAAAATAAGTGTTTTAATGAAATGCAAGGATGAAGAACTGGGGACTCTTATGAACACCTATTTATAAAATTTTATATCGTTAGAATTTTAGATTTAGATTAGAATTCAGGTTATGAAATGCAGGTAGAAAGTCTAGTAGAGCTGACATCAAAATGTTTGTGCAAGAAGAATTCAGAAAGTTAAAAAAATAAAATAAAAGGTTTGCAGGGATGTCCAATCTTTTGTTTTCCCTGGGCTACATTGGAAGAATTGTCTTGGGCCACACTTAAAATATACTAACACTAACAAAAGCTGATGAAAAAAAAAATCACAAAAAAATCTCATAACGTCTTAAAAGAGTTTACAAGTTTGTGTTGGGCTGCATCAAAGCTGTGTTGGATTGCAAATGGCCTATGGGCTGTGGGTTGGGTAAGCTTGGTTTAGATAATGTAGATTCCTTTGTATATTTAATCTTTCTTCCTATATCAAGGTAATAGCTTTAATTACTGAAATAATATAATTATCAATTAACAATTTCTTTTTCTCCCATTAGATATATTACAATATTTCTAGCAATTATGTGCTAAAGAAAAGATAATTTGGAACCTGATTGATTAGTGACCAATCAAGAGGTTCATGTTAAGATGAAAATAACTGACTTGAAGCTAGTCAGTCAATCGACCTTCACTCAAAAACTTCCCTGATAATTATCCATATGTTTTTTCAATTGTGGGTCAATTGAAGATACGTTCATATCTTCTTCACAATAAATATACATCTTCTATTACTGGAAATAGACTGTAATAGTCTAATCTATTTAATTTTGATTCAATGTCTGTTGCTGGTAGACTTCATTGCTTTTCTTTTCTTTTCTTTTCTTTTTTACCATAGGAGCATCTCTGAAACTCTTCAGAAGCATGCTTATGGTTCTGACTTTCCAGAGCTTCTGTTACAGAGCTGCTTTCATGTAGTGCGAACTGGAAGCCTGATCCACCTGGGATACACTCCCTCTTTCTCTGCTGACTTACTGCCTGGTATCAGTCTGGTTAAAAGACCTCAGAGCCTCAATTTCCCACATGTCTTCAAAGATGGGAAATAACACTCACCTTATGGGAACACTATGAGAATTCAATGAGATAATATCTGAAGAATATTTCTTGCACATAGGAAATGCTCAGAAAATGGTGGCTGCTATTTACATACTTGTTTTAGTTGATGTTCAGGGAGTTTCATACTTAGGAATGGCCCTGGCTGGAGACCCACCAACCATTCTCCCTCTGGGAACAATAAGATGAATTGAATTCAGGATATAAAGTCTCAGGTTTCCTATAAATATGCATATATCTTACTGATCTGTAGTTTTTTTCATCAGTGTCAACAAATTAAAAAGATAAGAAGAGCTGAGGTAATGTGTGTTGTAAGATGTATGTCACCTAATGTTAACTTTGTGGTCTAAACTGTTGAGCTATCAAGCCAGATTCCCAAATCTTTTGTCACTGAAGTGTTCTGAGATATACCTTGATGTTTAGAAGAAAATAGCAAGCTCACACAGGAACAGAAAAGCAAATACCACGTGTTCTCACTTATAAGTGGGAACTAAATGGTGAGAACTTAGGGACACATAGAAGAGAAAACCTCACACTGGGGCCTTTCTAAGGGTGGAGGGTGGGAGGAGGGAGAGGATCAGGAAAAGTAACTAATGGATACTGGGCTTAATACCTGGATGAATGAAATAGACTGTACAACAAACCCCCATGATACAAGTTTACTTATGTAACAAAACGGCACTTGTATCCCTGAACTTAAAATAAAAGTTAATAAAGAAAAATAAAACTACAAAAAGGAAAGTATGTTCTACCTCTTCTAGGATCGACTTTAAAAACTTTCCATTCCCTGTAGTTGCCAATTCTGCAGGTACTAGTCCTCTGGAAATAAGTATGTTAAACTGAAGGAATGGGAGGAACGCTCCACAGAGTTTGTTTTCCAAAGAAAATTATTGTTTAGAGAAGCAAAATTAAAAGTCTAGCTAGGTGTGGTGTAAAGCTGTTCAAAAAGTAACTCAGAGCAAGACCTGTAAATTGAAATGTAGTGCCCGAGTCATATTCTGCTTAAAAAGGTTGTAACAAATAAAGATGAGTTTAAAAAATGACAAGGTAAATCAGAATTCCTACTCAAAATGGGAAAGGACAAATATACATAGGTTGACATTAGCTCCCCACATTAGTCTTGTCTTTGGAGGACAAGTTAAAAAGTTATTATTGATGCATACAAGTGGGTCTTGTTGAGCAGCAAGTGAAACTATTGTCTTTATTAGAATGGAGATATTGTGCAGATATTTGCCGATTTTGCATGCAGAAAAAGCAACTTTCTTGCCTTTAAGTAGAAAAGATAACAGCTTAGAAGAGAAACTGGGAAACTGAGAATTGATCCAATTCCAAACTTCTGATTTTTGTAATAAAAGCGGGATCCAGCCAGGCATGGTGGCTCATGCTTGTAATCCCAGCACTTTGGGAGGCCTAGGCAGGCGGATCACTTGAGGTCGGGAGTTCAAGACCAGCCTGACCAACATGGAGAAACCCTGTCTACTAAAAATACAAAAATTAGCTGGGCATGGTGGTGGTCGCCTGTAATCCTAACTACTTGGGAGGCTGAGGCAGAAGAATCACTTAAACCCAGGAGGTGGAGATTGCGGTGAGCCGAGATCGTGCCATTGCACTCCAGCCTGGGTGACAGAGCGAGACTCCATCTCAATTAAAAAAAAAAAAAAAAAGGCAGGATCCATGTGTATTTCTTAAAACAGAATTGACTGTTGATCACATATCAGTCTTACCTTTTAATTAATCTGTGTGAAAAATCTGTTGATTCTCCTAAATTTTTCATCTGTGCTCTAAAGTCCTTGATTACACTAAGCATTGATTTAGCCTCCCTTTAGCTATATCTATTTGGGCTTCCAACCAGAGTCATTCACTTGCATAAGTGACACTTATTAAAATTCAACATTAGAAGGCACTATATTCAATGTTAAATATCATTTCATAAAGATTACAATAACATTTTTATAACAATACACCTCATGCTTCAGAAGTCTTTATGTCACATCTCAACTCATTCCATCTTCTAAAGGAGGAGAGCAATTTTAAAAGCTTTGTATTTCTCATTATGTTTATTTTCCCATCCATTTACTAACGCTGGACCATATTTCAGAGTTTCATGAATAGTGAAGGCAGATTTCAAGGGACATCAGAGTTATGATGGCATCCTTAACTTGACATTCATAGAAAAATCTGAAAGTACATGCATGGCTGGTTTTATCCAGAACTGCACTTAATTTAAACGCACCTCTTTATGGTTTTCTTTCCCTAAAGTGTCTGCTGTATTTGATATATCTTCAGTTTCCATAAGCTGTTTACACCTGCTCAATATCAAGGACATTCCATACTCAGAATAATTTAAGCCAATTTGATGAGTTGAATAATGATAAAATACAGAAAAGTAAGCCAGCAGAATCAGAAAACCACAGGATTTTAGAGCAGAAAGAGCCATTAGAGTTCATTTTACTCCCCCCTCCCTCCCCTGAGTCCTAAAGTTTAATACCTTTGCCAAGGCCCTATAATGAGTTAGTGGCAGAACCTGTTCTAGAACCAATGGCTTCCAATTCTTGGATGAGTGCTCTTTTCTTAGTTTCATGTTACAAATAGATAAAGCCAAGGGTAGTTGCTTCTTACCATACTCTAGCAATGCTATACTGCAATGTGTAAATAACTTGGACAAGTGATCTGGACATTAGAATAGCAGTGACTTTAATTAGTATTCCTTTGTCATTGTTCTTTTGGCTAGGCGCATTTAAATCAGAAATTGATCACCCTAATATAAACTACCGTCTTTAAGTCCCATAAGAACACTGTTATCCATTGCCATCTGTCTATTCCTTTCCTTCAGCAATGTAATCATCTAATAGCTAAGACTCTGGAAACTTGGGTAGGTCTGAATCTGATGGAATCCTATTTTTTTCTATTCAAAATGTGCAGTGGTGTACAGTAAGATGTGTTGACCTTCTTACGTCCAGCAAGGCTATGATTTTGGAGCCTGCAGGGAGCAGATTCTGAGTTCCCTGAAAGGTGCGTTATTTTCCATCAAAACTGTTGACTGGCTTTTCCAGAGACAAAATATAGCCTCAGAACTCTCTCCCCATTTATTCCTTGGGCAGCTTCTAGGACCACTGAAGTCCAAGGGTGTATATTTCACCTGCGTTTATGATCAATAGCCCACAAACCAATTTCCTATGGAAAGCCTCCCTCCTATGAAAAAAAGGAAAGAGAAATACAAACTAAGAGGGAAAAAACAAAGGAAAGATTGTGTCACAGCAGCAGAAAAGCCAATCAAGTCAGGGCAAAGGGAATTTTATGTGGTTGCGAAGATCAGTAAGATCGTATACTGTTGGTGCTTATTCCTTTTTTTTTTTCGGTGCCAAATATGTTCCTTTATTCTCAAACTAGTGTCCTGTGGTGTCAAATTGATAAATCAATACAATCACTTTTAATGTTCCTTGATTTTCCATCTTAAGCAACATTTTGAAGCCATTTATATTCTGTAGAGCACTCTGTCAACCAAACCAATGAATGTTACTCTGTGACCAGGAAAGATACATTCATTTTGTTTAATCGAAAGAAGAAATAAATCTATAATACTTTCACATATATGACATGAAACTAGATCTTAATGTTTTCAGTAAGAAAGAAGGTAAACCTAATATAGCTTTCCGTAAAGTAATAACACATTTAATAACTATGCCAAGGGCATACATCGAGATGAGTAAACAAGTAGAATACTTTCAAGTATATGCTACTGTTTAGAAGCTTTTGAAGTTTTCCCTTGGTCTAGCCTCCCAGGCCAGTTTATATGTCTCCCAAGAAATTAAGTTTCGTTTGTTTACAGACTTCCTTTCTTTTTGGTTAACACTGCTAACAACCATATTTATTCTCTAATAACCCTTATTCTTCACAACACCAAATATAATTAGTCTATAAATATCAAATTCATTCTCAAATTTTCAAAGAACAAAAATCTGGCAGCTTCATTCTGAAGTAATCACAAAAGAATATGCTTTACACTCTAAAAGGAATTTCAAAAAAGAGTTGCCAAATTGATGATTCTTATTTGAGGCAATAAGATTAATGTAGAAACAGATGTACGATATACAGCTGTTGCAATATGTGGGTTGAAAGTTGTAGTTTGCTTTAAAATTCAGTTGGATATATTGCTTCTACTCCTCTGTCTAAACGTGGAGCTACAGTTCAACTTAACATCCCAGAACTCAAAGCTATATTACTTAAAGATACTCTCAATACATACCATTTTTGATCATTTTTAACTCAGGGAATTTCTTTCCATTGGAATAAGATGATTGCTTTTTTGGTGATCTAATCCACAGGTTGATGTCACTCTCCCTTCTTACAACATGTTTAGAAATAAATGTACCTTCATAAATAAAGTCACAAATAATTAGATTCATTCATATCCACAAAAACACATTGCCTTGTTAGATGTTAACACGTATTTTTACAACCTTTATAGTACTAATTTTTGCTTGAGAAATAAAATTATTTTTCCCACAAAGTATACTAGAAAGCTCTGCTCTAATTTTAGACATTTTATTAGATATGTGGCCAACGAGCCTCACTCTAACAGTCCTCTGTGATCATAGTCTTCTAGGGATTATATAATTATGAAAAGGGGATGCTGACTCCTTGCATAGCTATACCTTTTGGTGTGTTAGTAACTGCTATTCTTAACAGGAGATGGTTTCTCATAATTTTTGAAGAGCCTGCTTTTCTGTGAAACAAATTTGGCATAAATATCAAAAATGTTAAAGATATATTAGAAACTTTACAGTTTTACCCTTGATAATGCTTCTTTTTAGTGTGTTTTAGTTTTACTAACTTAAAGGGCTTAAATATGTAGAAACACTATTGTGAGTTACAATCAGTGTAATTCAGCGTAACTCAGTGTAATTCAATCAGGTCTTCCACAAAACTAATTTCTTTCATATCCCAAATCTATGTTCACCTTATTCACTGTTTTTTGAGATGGAATCTTGCTGTGTTTCCAGGCTGGAGTATAGTAGCATGATCTCAGCTCACTGCAACCTCCGCCTCCCGGGTTCAAGCAATTCTCCTGCCTCAGCCTCCCAAGTAGCTGGGACTGCAGGTGCACACCACCATGCTCATCTAATTTTTGTATTTTTAGTAGAAATGGGGTTTCACCATGTTGGCCAGGATGGTCTCGATCTCTTGACCTTGTGATCCTCCTGCCTCGGCCTCCCAAAGTGCTGGGATTACAGGCGTGAGCCACCATGCCCGGCCACTTTATTCACTTTTTATAAAACAGAATTAGAGTTTAGTTTTGTTGATTTTTGTCTTTTACTTGGTATACACTGGTATTTGTTCTGGCTTCAAATAAATTTTAAATATTTCCCAATAAAACTGTCTCACCAAATGACAAAGAACAGTCTTGGGAGAGAAGTTTAATTTTAACCACCTTCCTTTTCATTTTGAAACTTTTAAAATTGGTCATTGAAGTCCTTCTCCACATTCTTTGGTATAATGGAAAATAGTGTCTAAAATTTATATCTGTTCTTATACTTGCTTCAAAAATTAATTTGTGTCTCTAATAAATATCAAAGCTAGAAAGGACTAGAACTTTACCAATAAACAGCCGTGATTATTTTTTCCTCATATTTAAGAAGCATGTCAGTTTAATTGTGGTTGATTAGACTCAAGAGTCAAATATATGCAATCATTATGCTCAGTAGCATATTAAAACCAAAATAAACTCCATTTTTGCTCTTTAAACATTTGCAAATTAATCCAATATTCTTCCGTATTAATTCTATTAATTTCTTTCATATATTTTCGAATCCATATTACCCAAGAGACAATGCATGCTGCCTTAACTTTGCACATTTAACATGCTGTGATGAAACAATCCTGTTTAATCATCTCTAAATAAATGCTGCTAACTTATTGCTTCTGGAATTGCCTTTTGTGTACTATGAGGGTAATTGAAATCCCATGTGATGGATGTTCTAAACTCTTTCAAGACTTTTATCTATATATGTTTTTCATGGTTAGTCTTTATCACATTCTAGATGACAACGGTTTTGTCTCATTGTCATTTTCTCCCTTCTCCTGAAGTTCAATTACATACAAATCTTAAAAATCTTATATAGCCTGAAATCTAATCGTAGAAAGATTCATTCACAGGCTTCTTCTTCTTCTTCTTCTTTTTTTTTTTTTTTTAGACAGAGTCTCACTCTGTCACCCAGGCTGACATGCAGTGGTGCAATCATGGCTCACTGCAGCCTTGACTTCCCGAGCTCAAGTGATCCTCACAAGTAGCTGGGACTACTACAGGTGCATGCCACCATGCCCGGCCAATTTTTAATTTTTTTTTTGTAGAGATAGTGTTTTCTTAAGGGGTCTTGTAGAGATGGGGTTTCCCAGGCTGGTCTCAAACTTCTGGGCTCAAGTTCCTAAGGATCTTTTCCTTAGGAACTTACTGTGGAAATAATGAAGAATCAATCTCAGCCTGTGTATTTGCACACACATGAGCATACACATGCATGCATACTCATGCTCTCACTCATTATGTGCCCAACAATTCTTCTTTTTTAGTAGCTATAAAATAAGTTTATTATCAGTTAGCTACCAAAGAATAGTACGATAGTAGGATAGTGAAATAATTATGAAAAGTATATCTGGGAGATAAAATTAGAACTTGAAAATTCCCCCAAAACTGTAAAATAAACTCAACATTTACAGGCTTCAATGAGAAAAAAAAAATCTCCAAACATTTCCATTGAGAAACTGCACAATTGTCTTCTTAAGATGTAAGTTTTGTTACAGAACTCAATATATAGTAGTTTCATTACAGAACTCAATATATGCCCAACAATTCTATTTCTGTGACCATCTCCTTCTATTCTAAGGGATGTGGCTTTTATTGAAAAGTGTGTGTGTGTGTGTGTGTGTGTGTGTGTGTGTGTGTGTTGTTTGCTTGTTTTTTTTTTTTTTAGAATTAGGCGGGCTCTGAGATAAGGTTCTAGGGAGACAAAATACAAGGCTAAATACAGTCAGTCCTTGTTTATGGGGCATGGAACAGATTGATGGGCTTTTTGTATTATTTGTAGTTAAGGGTCAGTGGAGACCTAGACTAACCACCTTCCTCCCCTGCTTAGCTCAGAAATCAGCAAGCAGCAGGAAACAGGCTTCCTACCAAGGAGAGTGCAAGGACCAACTTGTCCACAACTAGATTGACTGAGTATATGTATATGTGTGTATGTAGCAGGTGGTGGGGGGGAGGTCTTTGGAGCCCTAGCTCTAGAACTCTCTCTTACTAGGCACCAATAAATTCCAGCTCCAAGATGTGCCTCCTTTCCTTCCAGATGTAGTTGGTGGTAGAGTAATGTAGTGGTTGTAAGCAGAATTACTCAGTTAGGTCTTGTTTTGTGAAAAAAATTTATTTACTCTTATATAGTTATAAGTCACTACAATTTTGTTTCAATGGAGTTATCAAGGACCTATTCCTGATGCCAATGCTAGATTAAACAAGGAGTGAATGTATCATTAATGCATGCATGTATAAGAGCAATGATATAGTCTTCAGTAGTCTGTTTTCCTTCTACGCTGCTGGGTTCATGAAAACCAATGAGAATTTCTTTGACCAAGGAAAATGTGTAACAAATGTGATTCCATACTCAATACCAACAGATATGCTGGATACTTATTTAAGTTTCTAACAATGGCAGGATTTTTCACATCATGGACACACTTCTACTGCACCCTTTCTGAACATATTTGAAAACTTCATTAAAGGATATACTGAGTGAACAAATAACCCAACTAAGAAATCAAATAATCCCATTAAAAAGTGGGCAAATGACATGAACAGACATTTCTCAAAAGAAGACATGCAAATGGCCAAAAGGTATATGAAAAAATGTTCAACATCCCTAATCCCCAAATAAGTGCAAATCAAAACCACAATGAGATATCATCTTACTCCAGTTAGAATGTCTATTATTAAAAAGAGCAAAAATAACAAATGCTGGTGAGGATGCAGGGAAAAGGGCACTCTTACACTCTGTTGGTAGGAATGTAAATTAGTGCAGCCACTAGGGAAAACATATGAAGATTTCTCAAAAAACTGAAATAGAATTGCCATATGGTTCAGTAATCCCACTACTGGGTATTGTTCCAAAGGAATAAATATAGGAGATCAGCATATCAAAGAGATTCCTGTACTCATATGTTGATTGCAGCACTATTTACAATAGCAAAGACAAGGACTCAACTGAAGTGTCCATCAAGGGACAAATGGATACATAAAATGTGGTATATATAGATGATGGAATACTCTTCAACCATAAAAAAAATAAAATCCTGTCATTTGCAGCAACATGGACAGAAGTGGAGATCACTATGTTAAATGAAACAAGCCAGGACCAGAAAGACAAAAATAACATGTTCTTACTCATATGTTGGAGCTAAAAAAGTTGATTCCATGGAGATAGAAGGATGATAGATAACAGAGGGTTAGGAGAGTGAGGAATTGGGAATGAAGAGAGGTAGATTAATGGGTACAAATATACAGTTAGATAAAAGATAGAAGTTCTATTATTTGGCAGAAGAGTAGACTGACTATAGTAGACAACAGTGTATTGTATATTTCAAAGTAGCTAAATGAAATAAATAGAATTGTTCCCAACACATAGAAATGATAAATATTCAAAGTGATGGATACCTCAAATACCTTGACTTGATCATTACACATTCTATGCATGTAACAAAATAAATATGTACCCCATAAATATGTAAATTATTATGTATCAATTAGAAATTCAAAAAAGATACAGGAAGAAAAAAATTTTTTTAAAGGTATACTGAGTTGGGCCGGGCGTGGTGGCTCACGCCTGTAATCCCAACACTTCTGGAGGCCAAGGCAGGTGGATCACCTGAGGTCGGGAGCTTGAGACCAGCCTGACCAACATGGATAAACCCCGTCTCTACTAAAAATACAAAATTAGCCGGGCATGGTGGCACATGCCTGTAATCCCAGCTACTCAGGAGGCTGGGGCAGGAGAATTGCTTGAACCTGGGAGGCAGAGGTTGCAGTGAGCTGAGATCGCACCATTGCACTCCAGCCTGGGTAACAAGAGCAAAACTCCATCTCAAGAAAAAAAAAAAAAAAAGATATACTGAGTCAAGATGGTGGATCATCCAGGTCAATTAATCAGTATAAAGCAATTTTTATAATATAAGTTAGAATCTCTGTATTTTTGTTCACTTTTTTGCCAAGTTAAAAACTTCATTAGTCAATAATGTTATTGGAATTGGCTACTAGGAGAGATGGCTGAAAATTCAAAGAATAATTGTTTCATCGTGATATTCAAATTGAGTTTCTAATCATCTCCTTTATAGGAGCTATCCAAGGATTTCCAATTAAATTTATGACCTTGTACTGAAATTACATCTTGAAGCTCTTTATGTTTACTCATATAAGTCTAGCTGTTTTACCCTTATATTTACTTTTCCTTCGTAGTCTTCTTTGGTACTCTAAAAGGAGATGCTCTATTTAAGAAGTTAATTAACTAATGCAAAATTTACTCCTATTATCTTCATATTTAATTAAGACTTTCTTATTTATGTCATCGCCTTAGCAAGGACTACATGTATTCCTGAATGTCAGCTTCTTATCTATTTTTCTCAGCTTTTAAACATAATAAACAGCCTGGTTTCTTTATTCAGTATTTCAGATCTCCTTTCTTTCATGTCACAAAAGATAAATTCACATTGCTGCACTGACAACATCATAGCTTTGAAAATGCGTCCACCCGTTACCTTATAAATAGTTCAGTCACTTACTTTAATCCATCTTCCTTTGTCCATCACTCTAATGTCAAACTTACAAGTTTAAGAATGCACTTTTCTCAACTTCCAGAGTTAAACCATGGGTCCAAAAGCCTATTCACTTAACTAACACACACTGACAGAAGTATCATTTTGACTGACAAAATGCCAATCATCAAGTATTCTCATTTAGGAAGATTTGATAATGGTGTCCTGGCATTGTCGTTTTGATGAATATTTAGTGCTAACAATGGCAAAAGTCCACCTCTCCTAAAAGGTGGGTAGGTCAATAGGGCTGGGTGATAACCTTTCCATCTTGACATCTCTGTGTGTTTTCATTATTTCAGTATAATTATCCAGTATCTATTCCAGATAATTATAGTTACATAACTCTGGTGGTTCAACCCTACATAATAATTTTTTTTGTTTTGCTTATTTGTTTCACTTATACCAGCCAACTTTTTCTTTATTTAATGTTATCCTTTCAGGACTCATAGCTTTGAATTTATTTAGAACGGAACTAAAAGAAAAGAAACTCACACAACATCCACAGCCCAGAATTTCTAGAGAGTGGAAAGTGTCTGAAGTGCATGGAATCTGCCTTGAAGAAAATGGATTTTTGATATCAATCTAAGATCTAGAACCTGAGTTTAAAAGTCCTTCATTTGTCTTAAAGTTAATAGAGGATTTTCAGGTGAGCTGTAACAGACACTAAAAATTGTATCATTTTACCAATTCCTCTCCTTGGAAGGATAATCAGAAACGATTGTTTATGGATATCTATAGGTTACATATAAGAAATTTACCCCAACATGCTTTCTAAGCATCATTGCTTTCTAAGACTTGCAGAACACTCAGCTTTACTTTCCAATGTGCACTTTTCTTTTTACTTGTGAGACTCTCCTGTTGCAAACAAGAGATGAGGTTGGGAGTCACTGTGAAGATTCTACTCACAGAATAGCTGTTTCAACTAATAAATTAAATTTGCATTCTCCTGTCTCCCAATGTGGAGTTCTATCTCCATCATAATTCATTCGGAATCACCAACAGTCTGGACTAGAATCAATATTTCTCAATACTAACTTCAGAAATGTAAGTTAGATTTTATAGCTTGAAAATCACAAGTTTCTTCTGGCTACAACTTCATCATAAACCATACTACTGCAGTTATAAGCATTTGCACTTAAAATTGCCACATCTCAAATAAGTTTTCTGTTCCAAAAGCCCACTATAAAAAATAAGTGCAATTTCACTTTCTTTTAATCAATGAATATATAGCTAAACATTTATCTCTCAACATAAAAATATTAATACTGCCCATTGTACTCACATGGCACCGTGCGGAGGTAGAGGTTGTCACGAATGATTTGCTGAAGCTCATGGTCCACAGAACCCTTTTGAAATCGTAAGTTGAGGTAGTGACGAAGGTCTTTATCAACAATTCCTCCTAAAAATAAAAAAAGTTTCTTGGTAAGGGATGTTGGAAAATATTTTAAGCATGTAATTTGATTCTGTCATCAATATACTCAGGAACCCATTAAAAAGATGCATTATTTCAAAGTGTTCTTTTGATCTTCTCAAACATTTACTGCCACAATGATAACAGAGATAACATTTACTGAGACAATAATTGCCTGCCAAGTCTGTGTTCAATGCTTTGCATG
Source organism: Homo sapiens (assembly GCF_000001405.40). Classification (NCBI taxonomy): domain Eukaryota; kingdom Metazoa; phylum Chordata; class Mammalia; order Primates; family Hominidae; genus Homo; species Homo sapiens. Next base: position 79,007,424 of record NC_000007.14, read on the forward strand.
TATTCCTAAATTTATCCTTCATTTAGAATGAAGCCTATATCATGGTAAAAGATATGTTACTCTTGAATCATACTGAAATATTATAGTACATCTCATTGCATGGCTAAAAAGACTATTTACTCATTTATTCATTCCTCCCCATTCCATCCTACCCCAAATCCTGGAAACCACTTTTCTGTCTATAAATTTGACTACTCTAGGTACCTCATATAAGTAGAATATATAATATTTGCCCTTTTGTGACTGGCTTATTTTACTTAGCATAATGTCTTAGAAGTCTGAAAAGATTTTTAAGTTATTGAAAGTTGCTCTAGATTTAGTTAAGTAGGATGGTATAAAAAGTTAAAGAAGAAAAACCTACACAAATATTAATGATTTTACTCCTTTTATGCAATAAATAAAAGGAATTTCTTTATTTTGTAGTATATCTACAAATGTTTTTAGCAAGAGACAAGGTTTGAAAGAATGTAGGGTTTTTTTTTCCTTTTTTCAATTCAAACAATTTTGCGACTGTTTGACCTTATAATCTAATAAAAAATAAACTGGGATATAGTTAAAAAGCCAATAATGTAGATCTATCAAATACTTATTTGATATTTAAAGATGACTTGTTAACTTATAAAGATTTATCTTAAAACCTTTCCTATTTCCATACTGGAAAGAATTAATTATAAATCAAAATACCAGTAAAAATGTAAGTAAGAATTCCTGAAACTCTTATTATTTCAATCAAATATACTAGGGAAATTGAGCCAAGACAAACAATTAAAGATAGAAGAAACAGGAAATCTGCAATAATCATAAAATTATATTCCTTCAAATCCTTCTGAGTCTCAGAATTAGAATTCATGAATCTATTTGCACTACCATGATCACACAAACTAGCATTATGTAGGTGTGCACAGGTGCAAAACAAACAGCTTTGACATAAACTGTAGCTAATAGACTTACATATTGTAACATTTCTAAAGTTTTCAAAATCCATCATTTCAGTTGCCTCCTAATCTGCAGGTATAGTCTCAATAAGATGCCATTTTTAACTGCAAGATATCATTTTCAACTGAATTAACTGTCAAAATTCTTACCCTCCAGATGATGTTTCTTTCATATTTGAGCAAATGGTCTCTTAATCTATTTTTCCACCCAATATAATATGATAGTGGAAATCAAATGACATAAAAGAAAAACATTTTTTGTTGGGTGTACATAAATATTACATCCGGAATGGCTGAACATATAATTTTCCAAATTCAAATCCATTTTCTCAGCCAAAGAAGCAGAGCAGTCAGAAATAAAAGTCATTTGAAACTGCCATTACACAATTGCAACAATTACCTATTATTTACTTCTCCAAATGCCCTGTGTTTCCATGTGTCTTGGACTTGCTGGCACCACACTAAAATAGCTAATAGTTTAGAAATCCTGAAATTCTCTTTTTCTTCTTCTTCTTTTTTTCCAGTCAGCAATACTTGCTTACCCTTGCTAATTTATCACACCTACTGAGTAAGCATCATGCCTGTGACTGCTCTCAGCTGTCATTTCTGCCGGATTCTAAGGCTACAGGTCCTTTGGCAACTGCACCCCCTCTTCCTTCTCCTTTTTTTTCAATCTAATATGTGGGACATACCAAGTGATGAGATCCTTTCTGGCATCCTAAGAAAATGCCAACTATAGAACAACAGATGTAGTCTCCTTATTAAGGTAAGCCAGAATCACTCACCTAATGTAATGTGGATAAATTCACATTTTGTAGTTCAGGATGATTCTTATCCCTAAAAATATATTATCAGTTTAAACCTTTTTTTTTCTTTACTACAGATATACTGAATTACATTTCTTGAAAGTTATCTACCTCAGAAAACAACAAAAAAGTCTATTTATTCATTTCAATGACTGTATCTTTTTTTTCATAGAAGAACTGTCGAAACTTTTAAGAATCAATATAAAATTTCCTTCACTAATTAAATGAGTTGTCATAAATTATAACAAAATTTCACATACAATCCCCTTTGTTTTGGAAGGATTTCTCTTTCCTCCTATTTCCCAAATGCTTTATTATCCTTTACAATTTATCATAAGCATCTTTCAAGTCAGGCAATTTTATTAATCCAGTATTCTTACAGCAAATTCTGCTAGTTGCCTACCCAATATTCCTCCCATTATTCTTTCCTTTTAAAAGAGCTCTGATTTAGTTTTGGGCAGAAACCTGCTGAGCCTCAGGACATGGATCACAGTGGTCTGGAAAGTCATTCAATCATTCTCCACTTTCCTAACTGCCCTTGCAGCTTCTAGCAGCTATGTTCTGGCCATTGACACTTAGCCCAGAAGGAAATGGACATAATATCTGAGATGTAGCAGCCATATTCTGACCATGAAGTGAAGTGACAAGCACAAGGAAAAATTCACCATGCTCAGGATACTGGAGTAGAGGTTAGAAACAGCCTGCATTCCTAATGGCTTTACTAAACAGCTAAAAACAATGTCAGTAACTACATATCTTAAGATTTCTTGTTATATGAGAAAAAGTAAACACTCATTAAAAAAACTATTTTGATTGAGCATTCTTTTAAAACTAATATAGTTGAACAACTGTACCTGATCCTAAAACACACATATATATATACACACACATGTTATATGCATATGTATATATACACATATATTTTTGTGTATGTATATATACACATATATACACATATATAGATGTGTATAATACATGTGTGTATACACAGTATGTGTGTATAACACATGCATGTATATGTACAGTATGTGTGTATATACACGTGTTATATGTATGTGTGATACATATGTATATGTATGTATGTGTGATACATGTGTATATGTATGTATGTATGTATATATAATGTATACACATACACATACATAGGTATAAAGGCATATTTATCCTCAATTAGAAATTTCAATTAGAGAGGAATTAAACAACAGACATTGGGCAATGATGTCCTCAAAAAGTAGAGTCTGAGTCTCAAAATGATCTGATTTCAGGTTTAAAAGTTAGCCTTTTAAAGCAAGCTAAAAAATACAGAGTTCTAAAAAGTGTACAATAAATGTTATCTATTGTTAAAATAAATAATTTGCTATCTTATTTTCCATACTTATAAATTTTTTATTTTATTTTTAGTGTTTGTAGAGTTTCTGCTCTATCATTTGTTAATGATTCCTAGATTTGGTAGTTCATAGGATGCACACATCAATCGTTTTGTTGAGCAGAGCACTGGCAACATTAATGTCTCGTTGCATGCTTTAGCCATTTGTACTTTTTCCTTCAAAAAAATCAGTGGCTCTTACTTGCCATTATATTTGAATAACTATTGACTTATTTAGTTATGTGAAAAAAATTTTATTTCCTGTATTTTTAAAAATAAGACTGTAGACAAGTATTAAATGCCTTCTGAAGTGACACTTTCAGTAAATGAGAGAGCTGGAAAGGATTTGAAACCTACAGTTCCAAAAAACATGTACCTAATTTTCATCCTCTATAGTCTGAAGACCAAACTTCTTAGTGCAAAGCAGTCAAGTCTTTTCTCAACATGACCCCAATCAAGCTTTTGAACTTAACATCAAAATATAACTTCAGAAGAACGTTTGGAATAGAGCTCAGTTCAAACTCTTCCTATTGCAAACGAGGCAAGTGAAGCTCACACAAAGAGTATGGTACTGGGCTTAGAACAATGGTGGGGTGGGGAGTGAGGGAAGCACTGGGGAGCAACACCTATGGTCTATTTGAGGAGAAAACACCAAGTCCCAACGTTCAAAACTGGGCTGCATTTCTAAGGTTTCCATCATTTTCAGGAATGCCCTCAGTAGAAATTGACTGCTTTGTCATTTCTATTACTTGAATACGTAGACTGAGGAAACAAAGGAAGAAGATGCTGCTTGGATTGGAGAGACATAATCTCCTTGGTATATTCCTTAAGGCAATTTGTTAGCTCCAGCATTGTAGCAAATGCCACTCTTTCAAAATTTGAGGGAGAAACATGCTAGGGTCTATAATGTTTGTGCCAAGTGTCTGGTTGCTAGTAGTCCCATCTAGTAAAGTAGTGTCATCTCTCACTCAGACATGACCATCAGCTCAACCTTCCCCTCCCCTTGAGTCAACTGCTTCTGGAATGAAAGCGTACCTTATAAACTTTTATCAGTGTAAACTGGAGAAAGCAGTTCACTAATTGGGATAGTAGGGGTTAAATAGAGAGGGGAAAGGTGGGGATGACCACCAGGGTTTGGCTCATTTTGATGTAATCTACTCATCCTGTGCTTCAGTCAAAGCAAACTACTCTAATGTTCTAATCATCTTATTTATTTTTGTTTGTTTTTCAATCACACTCAACAAAATACTGTGGTGAATATTTAATTTTAGTTTGTGCTTTACTTTTTGCATTCAACTTTGCTCTTTATCTTGTACCACGTTCTTTTGGTAGAAGATCCTTCCTTCCTTCCTTTCTTCCTTCCTTCCTTCCTTCCTTCCTTCCTTCCTTCCTTCCTTTCTTTCTTTCTTTCTTTCTTTCTCTGTTCTTTCTTCCTTTCTTCTTTCTTTCTTTTTCTTGTTTTTTATTGAGTAGCTATATCATTCAGTACATGTAGTGGGTCTTTGTGCTGAGCTACTCTGCCCTTACTTAGTCAATCAAAATGTTTCTTCCAGGAAATGGCTATAGAAGCAGAGTGCCCAAAGAATGCGAATGCAACTGGCTTCATCTTGAAAGCGACACTCTGAAGAAATTACCCATAATTTCTCCCTCTTGGACATGCAGAATTATCCTGTTCTTGTATTTTTCTGGCCAGCTTCTCCAACTTTCCCTTTCTTGTTTGCAACTAATTAAACTTTATGGATAAGAATGCCTTCCCTTTGCTATTATCCATGGAATTTCTGTCCAACCTTCAGGCTTAAAATTATTCTGTAGTTGGCCTTCCTATGATCTTTGAGCCGGAAGTCTTCTCTCTGCTCTGAACTTCCACATCTTGCTCATTTCTCTTTAGTACTTTGCGCATTATAACAGGCCAAACTGTAATTTGTGGACCTGTTTTATATTTTCTATTATGTTACAAGCTTCCCAGGAGAGAGTGTTTCCTATTCATTTTATATCTTCTCCCCTCTTATATCTTCTTCCACGTCTAAAGCAATGTGTTTTTAACATACAAGGCCATGAAACGTATGCTAAATAAATAAATCACAAATGCTGTAGTAGAAAGAACACTAGGTTTTCAGTCAGGTAAACAAGTTTTAGTTACCATCCCAACACTTATTCATTAAGTGGTCTTGCACAAATCATTTCTGGACCTCATTTTTTCTCATCTATAAAAGGAAGGTGGCTTAGTTACTTAAAGCTGCTATAACAATACCATAGATTAATCTGTATTTCTCACATTTTTGGAGTCAGAAAGTCCAAGATTAAACCAACAGATCCGGTGCCTGGTAAGGGCACTCTTCCCGGCTTGCAAATGGCCATCTTCTCATTATATCCACACATGGCCAAGAGGAAAATAATGTTTCTTTTTATAAGGGTACCAATCCCATTCATGAGGGTCTCACCCTCATAATTTAATTACCTGTCAAATAGCCCCACCTCCTAATGTAATCACCATGGGGGTTAAGATTTCAATATATGAGTTTTGGACAAACATTCAGTCCAAAACAATGGGTGTAGGACCAAATAACATCTCCTCTAGGTCTAAATTTTATGCTTCCCTATAAAATATTTGCTAAGTGCATCTTATAATTTGGGATTTCTTTTGGTAACAAGACAACCAAATTATTTTACTATTTACTTATAGTTTACAAATTAGCTATACTCCATAAGAAATAAAACTATGAATAATCTCCTTTTGATATTGTTTTCTAGTTGTGGAATTATTCAGGAATCTTACATCATCAGTAGACAACTGACTTCAGACCTTATCTTCATCAAATAAGTAGGAAAGTAGTTAAGCAAAGCAGTCTGTGAGGAATTAGAAGAGAAGGAAATCTACCCATATGCTGTAAGATATTTTAATGAGTAACCGCAAATGTACCTTAGGTTAATTGATTGGATGGTGGATAAGTTGAGGAATAGACAGGAAAGTATTATAGGGCTGTGTTGTTAAGTTCCTTTTTCAAAAATAGTTTCTGCTTGGCTCACCTCAAAAATGAGAAATAAATCACAAGAAAGTTGATTGATTCTGCTAAGAGCCACAGACACAAAACAGGTGACAGACATATCTAATCTAGCCTGCCAGAACAGCCTCCATTCCCTTTTTAGGTAGAAATTGTGTCTTTGATTTCTGATGATCTAGAGGCCCATCTCATTTTCAGGTGGCCAGAGTACTACACAAAATCACTGCATGCATTTGATCTAGACTAGACAGTCTATAAATTATGAGGCAGTAAAATTCTCCTTCCCCTAATAATTCCCAATTTGCCTATTTTAAATAGGAAAGCCATAAAGCTCATTGAAGATGCCCTGGTTTGTTAGTTTTTCCATAGCTGAAAATTTTTACTTACATGACAATTTCTATCCCTTCAATATTTTATTCATAATATTAGAGAGTATAGACAATCTTTTTAATCATGCTTTAATATCTGTGCTGTTTCTTCAAAATCTTTGTGGTATTGCATGTTTTGTATAAGAAATGGAATAAGAAAGACAAAATATATTAAACATTTGCAGATCATTAGAAGATTTAAAACTAAAGAGAATAATTGCTATTTCAGAGAAAATGACAGAGATAAATGTAAATGGTTTATAATATTCTCTAGCTCAATTGAAAATAGCTTTTTTATTATTTCCTTTCCCCTACTATTGTACAGATGGGATATTATTATTGAGTTTCATTTTTCATTGTTAGCCTTGGTCTCAAACTAAATGTTAGAGTTGTTCCTATAGTTATGATATTTCCTTCCATTGAGAAGAGAAAATGAGTTCTCAGTACATGCCAGGCATCATAGTAGGTACCTGAAATTTTATTATCTGAAAATATGAACTATGAACCCAAAGTTGAAAACAATCTCAAGTATATCAAAATTTTTAATAATGTACCAATGGCTAATACAGTCTAATAAGAGCATATATCCTATTAGTTTCTTTAATTACCTAACTCTTACAAATTAGATGTTCTTCATACAAAGCAGGAAGTCACACCAAATTCAGCATAATGAAAGGAAAAATATATATGGGTAAAAGGGACATAATAATCTAACCTAAATTCAATCCATTTTTTTTAAAACTAGAGATATACCACTCTAAATTTAAAAGGGAAAAGCAATCTATTAGGATAGTTATGAAGGAGTTTAAAATTATTGAAGGTTAATAAACCTCATAGGTATAAGGCTTCTACATAAAACACTTACTAAGATTATTAAACTGAAGAAAAGCCACTGTTGTCCAAAATATCTAGATAATTTAGCAGGCAAAATTTTTTCTTCTTAGAGTCTTGGTTTATTGCCTCTCTAACTTCACTCCAAAGTTTCAGTATAAAAATTTTAAAATGTAATGATAAAAATATCACAATTGTTTTTGTTCTTGGTAAGTCCAATTTAAGAATGCATCCACATTAATAAAAAAGCAAAAGAAAATGCTCATACTTTGGTATGCTTGAAATATCTTCATTCATAAAACTAAAAGTGAACATGTAAATGGTATTTAAACAATGAATATTTAAGCTTATTTCATTTTATATTAGCAAGGTCTATCCCCAAGTCAACTGAAAAACATTTGACATTATTTTGTGTTTTAAGAACTATAAAGCCAGGTCAGGCCAGCCATACGGTGGCTCATGCTTGTAATCCCAGAACTTTGGGAGGCTGAGGCAGGAGGATCACTTGAGGACAGGAGTTCCAGGTCAGCCTGGGCAACACAGTAAGACCCCATCTCTATAAAAATGAAAAATTAAAAAAAAATTCTTAAAAGCCAGGTCAGTCCTCTAATATTTTTTTTCAACCTGCTGACACTTAAAAACTCTCCAATGATCTGGTACAATACATGGTTCACTCCAAATGGCTTTATCCTTAAAAGTATCACGACACAGAACACCTTGCCCAAATCAACAAAAAAGAAACTCCAGCTTTGTTTTTGATTGCATTTTACAATGGAAACACAAAGAAATTCCCTGGCAAATCTCATTCCAAACAACAGACTAATATAGCCTGCATAGTCTGTGTTGTGATGGATCAGTACTAATGAAGTTATAACAATTATAGGGTCATGATTTGAACTGCTACAAGACTGATTTCAAATGCGGAATGTGTCCCAAAGGTTTATTTTGGAATGCAGAATGGTTTTTACTGTAGAAAAATGTTGTATATTATAATTATGTCCTCGGCCCACCTATAAGTCTTTTCATTCATTAGGCAACTGAAATGCACAATTTATGGTATGTTGGAAACAAATTGTTGTTATACATGTACAGCATCCCCATGAGAGATGGGGACATTGGGAAGACTGGCATACTTCTAGCAGATCTTCAGAGGGAAGATCCATTGAAAATGGAGAGAGGGAAGACACAGATACTGGGTCAAAGGGGCAGGAAGCAGGGAACCCTGCAAAGGGAGTTATTTCTAGCCCTCAATGACTCCTGGAGAAGCGGGGGGGGGGGGTGGGGGTTGAGCAGGCAAGGAGCAACACATTCTCCCTGGGGGCCCCTGGAATCCTGCCAGCAGGAGACTACATGAACCCCATGGACAACTGAGCTGGCAGAGAGAGCTGCTTAGAGAAGTAGTATGGGCAGAACTCCAGCCATTGTGGAACCCAGAGAGTTTGGTGTGGGAGCATCTGGAGTGGAGCACTACTAGGGACACCCATCCCCCAGGGCTGCCTTGCACCCTTAGGAAACTTAAGGCCTAAGAAAACTGTTGGACCTGAACATTGCAGGGTGATCTTGCTCATGAGGCTGGGCCAGTCCGACCAGAGCACCTTTGGTCTGCTGGCCTCTCCTGTGACCCCAGCTAGGCCTGATTGCAGTGCAGCCTCAGAAATCTAGGTTGTGGTAGCCTCCTGGTGGCACGCATCATAGCTCCTGCACTGACAGACTGTACTTGACCAGTAAACAGCTCCAGTAGGGTGCCCCAATAGAGTGTCCCTGCAAACATGCACCTGTCCACCTATGCCCTTCTCCTACCACAGTCTCCCCTGAGTTGCTTTGCTGGCACGCACTTGTCCACAACCACCCCCCTACATTGCTTTGCTGAGGCAGGTAAGCTTGGGTAGACCTTGCCTTCCCTTCCCTGCCAGATGCGTGTGCACCATGCTGTGACACAGCTGCCAGTGTGAGTGAACCCCAACCCTCCAACACTCCCCCAACAGTGCTGCCATTGCTATTGGAGCATTGGCTAGCATGGAAACTGGAGACTGTCAGCCCCACACCCACCTGCACCCCACCCCTATGCCAATATTGCCACTGGTGCAAAACTACAAAAGTAGACCAACTGATCTGCCCCCAACCCCAGCAGCAGCTGCCATCTACGTTAATGCATGAACACAGGACACACAGTCCCATGCCTGCCAGTGCCACATCCCTATGCTAACATTTTTGCCCATGCAAATGCATGCACGGACACTGGCGAGGCCCCGTGCATCTCCACATAGTGGTGCCCTGCCAACACTGCTGTTGCAAGTGCCCCAACAAAGGCCAGCACATCTGTTCCCATCAACACTCAGCCATAGCTGATGAGCATGCAACTTGCAGCACTGCCGCTGCTGCTGGCACATAACAAATAAGGACCAATCCTGCTGCCACTGCCCTATGAAGTGCTGAGGCTGGCACCACCCATCAGAGAGTTCTAGCCAGCTGTCTGGAAACAATTCAGGCCCCTCCAGTGAGTTAGGTTCCTAACCTCCAGGGGCCACAGAATAAAGCTGGGGCCCATACTGGCCCCCTAGAGTTAGAGCACACAGTTCAGGAGTTATGACCTGAGCCCTGGCCCCCTAAAGTCCTTCAAAAATGAAACCAGTCAACTGAACCCACCTTATGCCATAATCAACCCCCCAAGGACATCAAATAGGATAGAAGAAAAAGAAATCCAAAGGTCATCAACTTCAAAAACTGAAGCAACATCAGCCCACGAAGATGAGAAAGAACCAGCACAAGAGCTCTGGCAGCTCAAAAAGCCAAAGTGGCTTCTTACCTCCAAATGACCACACTAGTTCCCCAGCAACAGTTCCTAACTAGGCTGAGATGGCTGAAATGATAGAAATAAAATTCAGAATATAGATAGGAATGAAGATTACTGACATATAGGAGAAAGTCAAAACCCAATTCAAGGAATCTAAGGTTTACAATAAAACAGTATAGGAACTGATAGACAAAATGGACATTATATGAACAAACTGATCTGATAGAGCTTAAAAACATGGTAGAAGAATTTCATAATGCAATCACAAGTATTAACAACAGGATTGACCAAGCTGAGGAAAAAAAGTCACAGCTTGAAGACTGGCTCTCCAAAATAACTCAGTCAAAGAAAAAGGAAAATAAAAAACCACAAGGAAAATAAATAAAGCCTCTGAGAAAGATGGGATTCTGGAAAGAGACCCAGTCTATGACTTATTGGCATGCCTGAGAGACAGGGAGAGAAACCAAGCAACTTGGAAAACATATTTCAGAATATCATCCATGAAAATTTCCCCAATTTTGCTAGAGAGGTCAACATTCAAATTCAGAAAATTTAGAGAACCCCTCCAAAATACTACACAAGATTCTCAAAGGTCATAATGAAGAAATGTCAAAGGCAGCTAGAAAGAAGGGTCAGCTAACCTACAAGGGGAACCCCATCAGACTAACACTAGTCCTGTCATCAGAAACCCTACAAGCAGAAGAGATTGGGGGAATTCAGCATTCTTAAAGAAAAGAATTTTCAGCCAAGAATTTCATATATGGTCTAACTAAGCTTTCGAAGTGAAGGAGAAATAAAATCCTTTTCAGAAAAGCAAACGCTAAGGGAATTCATTACTATCAGACCTGCCTTTCAAGAGATCCTAAAGGAAGTAGCAGTTATGAAAAGGACAAACTGTTACCAACCACTACAAAAGCACATTTAAGTACATAGACTAGTGACACTATAAAGCAACCACACAAACATGTCTGCATAATTACGAGCTAACAACCTGATGACAGGATCAAATCCACACATATCAACACTAACCTTGAATGTGAATAGAGTAAATGCCCCAATTAAAAGGCACAGAGTGGCAAGTTGAATAAAGAAGCAAAATCTAACAATGTGCTGTCATCAAAAGACCCATCTCACATGAAGTGGCAGCCATAGGCTCAAAGAAAAGGGATGGAGAAAAATCTACCAAGCAAACAGCAAACAGAAAAAAGCAGAGGTTGCTATTCTAATTTCAGACAAAACAGACTTTAATAAACATAAAAAAGTCAAAGAAGGGCATTACATAAAGGTAGAGGGCTCAATTCAAAAGAAGACCTAACTATCCTAAATATATACACACAGAGCACAGAAGCAGCCAGATATATAAAGCAAGTTTTTAGAGACCTACAAAGAGACATAGATAACCACAAAAGAATAATGGAAGACTTTAACACTCCACTGAGAGTATTAGACAGATCATTGAGGCAGAAAGCTAACAAAGATATTTCAGGACCTTAACCAAAAGCTTGAAGAAATGGACCTAATAGACATCTACAAAATTCTCCACCACAAAAGAACAGAATGTACATACTTCTCATTTGCACATGACACACACTTTAAAGATGACCAAACAGTTGGGCATAAAACAACACTCAGCAAATGAAAAAACCCAAAATTATACCAACCACAATTTTGGACCATTATATGATTTGGCTCTGTGTCCCCACTGAAATCTCACCTTGAATTGTAACAATCCCCACGTGTCAAGGGCAGGACTGGGTGGAGATAATTTAATCATGGGGGCAGTTTCCCCCATGCTGTTCTTGTGATACTGAGTGAACTCTCATGAGATCTAATTGTTTCATAAGATGTTTCCCCTTTCATTCAGCACTCATTCTCTATCCTGCCACCCTGTGAAGAGGTGCCTTCTACCATGACTGTAAGTTTCCTGTGGTCTCCCCAGCCATGTGGAACTGTGAGTTGACTAAACCTCTTTTCTTTATAAATGACCCAATCTTGGGTATTTCTTTTTTCTGTTTTTCTTTTTTTCTTTCTTTTTTTTTGAGATGGAGTCTTGCTCTGTCACCCAGGCTGGAGTGCAGTGGTGATCTCAGCTCGCTTCCACTTCTGCATCCTGGGTTCAAACAATTCTCCTGCCTCAGCCTCCCAAGTAGCTGGGACTACAGGTGTGAACTACTATGCCTGGCTAATTTTTGTATTTTGAGTAGAAATGGGGTTTCAGCATGTTGGCCAGGCTTGTCTCGAACTCCTGACCTCAGGTGATCCACCTGCCTTGTCCTCCCAAAGTTTTGGGATTACAGGCATGAGCCACTGAGCCTGACCTAGTCTTGGGTATTTCTTCATAGCAGCATGAGAAGAGACTAATACAGTAAAATTGGTACCAGGAGTGGGGTGCTGCTGTAAAGATACCAAAAAATGTGGAAGCAAATTTGGAAATGGGTAAAAGGCAAAGGTTAGAACAGTTTGGAGAGCTCAGAAGAAGACATAAAGATGTGCGAAAGTTTGTAACTTCCTAAAGACTTGTTGAATGGCTTTGACCAAAATACTGATAGTGATATGGACAATGAAGTCCAGGCTGAGGTAGTCTCAGTTGGAGATGAGGAACTTGTTGGGAACAGGAATAAAGGTGACTCTTGCTATGCTCCAGCAAAGAGATTGGAGGCATTTTGTTCCTACCTTAGAGACGTGTGGAACTTTGAACTTGAGAGAGATGATTTAGGGTATCTGGTGGAAGAAATTTCTAAGCAGCAAAGCATTCAACATGTGACTTTGGTGCTCTTAAAAGCATTCAGTGTTATGTATTCACAAAAATATGTTTTGGAAATGGAAGTTATGTTTAAAATGGAAGCAGAGCATAAAATTTTAGAAAATCTGCAGCCCCACAAAGTGATACAATAGAAACACCCATTTTCTGAGGAGAAATTCAAGCCTGCTGCAGAAATTGCATAAGAAATGAGGAACTGGTCAGGCGCGGTGGCTGATGCCTGTAATCCCAGCACTTTGTGAGGCGGAGGCGGGCTGATCATGAGGTCAGGAGATTGAGACCATCCTGGCTAACATGGTGAAACCCCATCTCTTCTAAAAATACAAAAAATTAGCTGGACATGGTGGCGGGCTCCTGTAGTCCCAGCTACTGGGGAGACTGAGGCAGGAGAATGGCATGAACCCAGGAGGTGGAGCTTGAAGTGAGCCGAGATTGCATCACTGCACTGCAACCTGGGTGACAGAGCAAGACTCTGTCTTAAAAAAAAAAAAAGGAAAGAAAAAAGAAATGAGGAGCCAAATGTTAATCGCCAAGACAATGGGGAAAAATGTCTCCAGGGCATGTCAGAGGTCTTCACAGCAGCTCCTTCCATCACAGGCTCAGAGGCCTAGGAGGAAAAATGGTTTCATTGGCTGGTTCCAAGGCCTTGCTGCTTTGTGCAGTCTTGGGACATGGTCCCCTACATGCCAGCTGCTTCAGCTCCAGCTGTGGCTGAAAGAAGCAAAGGTACAGCTTGAGCCATTGCTTCACAGTGTGCATGCCCCAAGCCTTGTCAGCTTACAGGTGGTATTGGGCCTGCAGGTGCACAGAAGTCAAGAAATGAGGTTGGGGAACTTCTACCTAGATTTCAGAGGATGTATGGAAACACCTGGATGTCTAGGCAGAAGTCTGCTGCATGGGTGGAGCCTTCATGAAGAACCTCTGCTAGGGCAGTGCAGAAGGGAAATGTGGGTTTGGAGCCCCCACACAGAGTCTCCACTGGGGCACTGCCTAGGGGAGCTATGAGAAGAGGACCACCATCCTTCAGACCCTAGAATGGTTGATCCACACAGATTGCACTATGTGCCTGTAAAAGCCACTCAACACCAGCCTGTGAAAGCGGCTGGGAGGGGGCCTGTACCCTGAAAAGTCACAGGGGTGGAGCTGCCAAAGGCCATGTGAGCCCACTTCTTGCATCAGTGTGACCTGAATGTGAGACATGGATTCAAAGCAGATTATTTTAGAACTTTAAGGTTTAATGACTGCCCTATTGGATTTCAAGTTTGCATGGGGCCGGTAGCCCTTGTTTAGGCCAATTTCTCCTATTTGGAATGGGTGTGTTTACTCAATGCCTATATCACCATTGTATCTAGGAAGTAACTAACTTGCTTTTGATTTTACAGGCTCATAGGTGGAAGGGACTTGTCTTGCTTCAAATGAAACTTTGGACTTGAGCTTTTGGGCTAATGCTGGAATGAATTAAGATTTTGGGGGACTGTTGGAAGGGCATAATTGTGTTTTGAAATGTGAGGACATGAGATTTGGGAGGGGCCAGGGTGGAATGATATGGCTGCGTCTTTGTCCCAACCAAATCTCATCTTGAATTGTAAGAATCCCAATATGTCAAGGGTGGGACCAGGTGGAGATAATTGAATCATGGGGGCAGTTTCCCCTATGCTGTTTTTGTGACAGTGAGCGAGTTCTCTCAAGATCTGATGGCTTCATAAGGGTTTCCCCCATTTGCTCAGCAGTCATTGTCTATCCTGCTGCCCTGTGAAAAGGTGCCCTCCACCATGATTATAAGTTTCCTGAGGCCTCTCCAGCCATGTGGAACTTTGAGTCAATTAAACCTCTTTCCTTTATAAATTAACCAGTCTCTTTTATTTCTTCATAGCAGCATGAAAATGGACTAATACAGACCAAAATGCAGTAAAAATAGAAATTAATGCTAAGAAAATCACTCGAAATAATACAATTAAATGGACATTAAACAACTTGCTCCTGAATGACTTCTGGGTAAACAATAAAATTAAATCAGAAATCAAGAAATTATTTGAAACTAATGAGAAAAAAATACCACATACCAGAATCTCTGAGATACATCCAAAGCAGTGATAAGAGGGGAGTTTATAGTGCTAAACACCCATATAAAATAGTTAGAAAGATTTGAAATTAACCACCCAACATCATATCTAGAGGAACCAGAGAAATAAGAGGAAATGAAATCCAAAGCTAGCAGGAGACAAGAAATAACCAAAATCAGAACTGAAATGAAGGCAATTGAGACACAAAACCCTACAAAACATAAACCTTCTTTGAAAGAATTAATAAGACAAATACACTGCTAGCTAGACTAGTAAGTTTAAAAAGAGACAAGATCCAAAAAAAAAAAAAAAACCACATTCAGAAATGACAAAGGGGACATTACAACTGGCCACACAGAAATACAAACCCCTTAGAGAAATACTTCTATGCAAACAAGCTAGAAACCTAGAAAATTATTCTGAAAACATACACCATCCCAAGATTGAACCAGGAAGAGACTGAATACCTGAACAGACCAATAACAAATTCTGAAATTGAATCAGTCATAGAAAGCCTATGAACCAGAACAAGCTCAGGAACAGACAGGTTCACTGCCAAATTCTACCAGATATATAAGGAAGAGCTGGTACTATTCTAAAAAATTGAGGAGAAAAGATTCCTCCCTAACTCATTCTATGAAGGCAGCATCATCCTGCATAAAAACTTAGCAGAGACACAACAAAAAAATAAAACTTCAGGCTAATATCATTTATGAATATAGATGCAAAATTCCTCAACAAAATACTAGCAAACCAAATCCAGCAGTACATCAAAAAGTGTATCCACCATGATCAAGTGGGCTTTATCCCTAGGATGCAAGTTTTGTTCAATATACAAATCAATAAGTGTGATTCATCACATAAACAGAACTAAAGACAGAAAACAACATGATTATATCAATAGATACAGAAAAGGCATTAAATAATATTCAACATCCATTCATTTAATAACCCTCTACAAACTAGGCATTGAAGGAACATATTTCAAAATAATAAAAGCTATCTATGAAAAACCCACAGCCAACATCATAATGAATGGGCAAAAGCTGGAAGAATTCTCCTTGAAAACTGGAAGAAGACAAGGATGTCCTCTCTCACCACTCCTATTTAACATAGTGCCGAAAATCCTAGCCAGAGAAATCTGGCAAGAGAAAGAAATAAAAGACATTCAAATAGAAAGAGAGGAAACCAAACTATCCCTGTTTGTTGATGATGTGATTCTATACCTCAAAAACCTCATAGTGTGTGCTCAAACGCTTTTTGATCATATACACAATTTCAGCAAAGCTTCAGGATATACAATCAATGTACAAAAATCAGTAGCATTCCTATACACCAACAACATCCAAGCTGAGAGCCAAATTGAGACTGCAATTCCATTCACAATAGCAACAAAAAGAATAAAATACCTAGGAATACAGTTAACCAAAGTGGTGAAATATTTCTACAATGAGAATTAGAAAACACTGCTCAAATAAATCAGAGATGACACAAACAAATGGAAAAATATTCCATGCTCATGGACAGTACGAATCAATATTGTAAAAATGGCCATACTGCCCAAAGCAATTTACAGATTTAATACTATTGCTATCAAATTACCAAAGACATTCTTCACAGAATTAGAAAAAAAAATTTTAAATTCATATGGAACCAAAAAGGATCTCCAATAGCCAAGGCAATTGTAAGCAAAAGAACAAAGCTGGAGGCATCACATTTCCCAATTTCAAACTATACTACAAGGCTACATTCACCAAAACAGCATGGTACTGATACAAAAACAGACATAGAGACCAATGGAACAAAATAGAGAGACTATGAATAATTCCCCACACCTACAATCATCTGATCTTTGAGAAAATCCACAAAAACAAGCAATGGGGAAAGTATCCCTATTCAATAAGTGGTGCTGGGTTAACCGACTTGCCATATGAAGAAGATTGATACCGGACCCCTTCCTTACACCATATACAAAAATTAACTCAAGATGGATTAAACACATAAGTCTAAAATCAAAAACTATAAAAACCCTGAATGATAACCTAGGAAATACTATTCTGGACATAGAACCCAGCAAAGGCTTCAAGACAAAGCCACCAATAGCAATTGCAACAAAAACAAAAATTGACAAATACAACTTAATTAAACCAAAGAGCTTCTGCATAGCAAAACAAAACAAAACAAAACAAAACAAAAAACTATCAACAAAGTAAAGACACAACCTAAAGAATGGGAGAAAATATTTGCAAACTATACAACCAACAAAAGTCTCATATCCAGAGTCTGTAAGTAGCTCAAACAAATTTACAAGCATAAAAACAACAACCCCACTAATGAGGGGGCAAAGGACATGAACAGTTTTCAGAAGAAGACATATGCATGGACAACAAGCACATGAAAAAAAGCTCAATATCACTAATGATTACAGAAATGCAAATCAAACCACAATGAGATACCATCTCTCACTAGTCAGAATGGCTGTTATTAAAAAGTTAAAAAAAAAACACATGCTGGCGAGGTTGTGGAGAAAAGGGAACACTTATGCATTGCTGCTGGGAATATAAACTAGTTCAAATATTGTGAAGGGCTGTTTGGTGATTTTTCAAGGAACTTAAAATAGATCTACTATTTGACCCAGCAATCCCATTATTCAGTATATACCCAAAGAAATATAAACTGTTCTACCATAAAGAGACACATATGCATATGTTTATCACAGCACTATTCACAATAGCAAAGACATGGAATCAACATAAATGCCCATCAATGGTAGACTGAATAAAGAAAATGTGATACCTATATACCATGGAATACCATGCAGCCATAAAAAAATGAGATCATATCTTTTGCAGTACCATGGATAGAGTGGGAGGCCATTATCCTAAACAAACTAACACAGGAACAGAAAACCAAATACTGCATTTTCTCATGTATAAGTGGAGGCTAAACATTGAGTATGTGGACACAAAGAAGGGAACAACACACATTGAGGCCTACTTGAGGGTAGAGGTTGGGAAAAGGATGAAGATCAAAAAACTACTTATTGGGTGCTATGCTTATTACCTGGGTGATGAAGTAATTTGTAAACCAAACTCCTGTGACATGCAATTTACCTATATAGAAGCCTCCACATGTACCCCTGAGCCTAAAATAAGTTTTTTTAAAAAGGAATAGAATGTGTGTTTGTGTGCATGCATGCATGGGTACATATTTGTTAGTGAAGCAGCTGGGGATGCACAATAAGGAGTAAAATAGCTATTGGGTATGTGTCCGTAAAAAGAATTAGAACGTTGGTAGAGGAAGGACCATGGGAAGATTTCTTTATCAGTCTTGTCCTAGGTTGTTATCACTCTCACCACTGAAAGACAAGGTCCTGATCTGACACAGAAAAATGAAAAGTGGAAACTGAGTTGGAGAGACTGATCCTATACCAACGTCAGAGATTTCAGTGGAAAACAAAATGGCAGAAAGACCTACAAGTATTGTAAACTGGAAAAGAAAGCTATTTATTCCTGTTGCCAAGTGGCTATAAAAGAAGTATATGAGGAAGTAGTATCAAGCAGGAAGTAGTAATCAAGGACTATGACAGTGAATTATATTATAATTGACTTTTACTGAATTATAAAATAGCATCTTCCAACTAGTGTTTTAGGGACCACTTATACACTTACCAGGCATACTGCTCTAGATTGGTGCATTCAATTGTCCTTACCTGAAGTCTATCAGTTAAAATTTCCTGAAAATTCACTTTTAGACATCTGAGGCTACATTGCCTCTAGAAATACAAGGAAGACTAAGCCAGATATGGGAAAAATAAAGAATACATAATTAATCAAATATATTCTCTATTGCCCAATTAATCAAATATATTCTCTATTGCCCCCATTCCCTGATTACATGCAAAGTTGTCCATAATTTTTAAACCTATTAAAGGATATTTGAAGGATGCAGTCTTAAGCAACTTTGGCTCATCCCTTCAATTACTTGCAAGGAAAGCCTATTGAAAATATGTCTTTGATGTAACTTTCACTTTTACTGAAATATTACTATTTGTACTTAAGAACAATAACTTTTTATAAAAAATGTCACGTAGAAGCAAGAGTGTGGACACACAACACATGGATTGGGGGGAAATATTTGCAAGCCATATATCTGATAAGGGGTTAATACACAAAATTTATGAGGAACTCAAACAACTCAATAGCAAGATAACAAACAACCCAACTTAAAAAATGGGCAAGAAGCCAGGTGTGGTGGCTCATGTCTGTAATCCAGCACTTTGGGAGGCTGAGGCGAGCAGATTGCCTGAGCTCAGGAGTTCGAGAGCAGCCTGGCCAACATGATGAAACCCCGTTTCCACTAAAAATACAAAAACTTAGTCCGGTGTGTTGGTGCATGCCTGTAGTCCCAGCTATTTGGGGGCTGAGGCATGAAAATCGCTTGAGCCCCGAGAGGCGGAGGTTGCAGTAAGCCAAGATCGGCAATCCAGCCTGGGAGACAGAGCAAGACTGTCTCTGAAAAAAAAGAAAAAAGAAAAAAAAATGGGCAGGAGAGCTGAATAGACATTTCTCAAAAGAAGACATACAAATGACCAAAAGACATATTTAAAAAATGCTTAATTCACTAATTATTAGAGAAATGCAAAATTAAAACCACAATGAAGTATCACTTCACATCTGTCATCCTGACAGATGAAAGATAAGTGTTGGTGGGGATGTGGTGAAAAGGGAATCTTTGTACATTGTTGGCAGAAATGTAAATTAGTACAGCTGTTATGAAAAACTGTATGGAGTTTCTAAAAAAAATAGAATTACCATATGATCTAGCAATCTCACGTCTGGGTATTACTCAAAGATTTGAAATGAGATTGTCAAAGAGCCATCTATACTCCCCTGTTCATTGAAGCAGCATTCACAATAGCCATTTCATGGAATCAACCTAAGTGTTCATCAACAGGTGAATGGATAAAGAAAATATTATATATATATTTAATATATATATTAAATACAATACCACCCAGCCTTTAGAAAGAAGGAACTTCTGTCATTTGCAGCAACATGGATGGGATTGGAGAACATTACGCTAAGTGGAATAAGCTAGGCACAGAAAGACAAGTGCCACATGTTTTCGCTTGTATGTGAAATCTAAAACTACTGAACTCATAGAAGCCAAGAGTAGAATGGTGGTTGGGAATGAAAAGATGATGGTCAAAGGGTACAAAATCTCCGTGAAATAGAAATTTTATTTTTAGATATACTGCACGATATGGTGAATGTACTTAACAACAGTGTATTGTACATTTCCAAATTGCTGAGAGTAAATTTCAAATGTTCTCAACCAAAAAATAAGTATTTGAGATGGTGGATATGATAATTAGCTTGATTTAATTATTCCATCTTGTATTAATAAATCATAGCATCATTTTGTAATCTATAAATGTATAGAATTATAAGTTGTCAATATAGAATAATTTAAAAAAAATCATGTGACTACCCAAGAATAATTTTCAAAATCAATAAAAATAACGGAGGCTACAAACTTCATTGTAAATGGATTTTTATTGCTTTGGCAGCAAGGCAGAGAGGACAGTAAGAAAAACATTACAGTAAAAAACATATCTTTGGGAGGCCAAGGTGAATGGAACACCAGGTCAAGAGATCAAGAACATCCTGGCCAACATGGTAAAACCCCGTCTCTACTAAAAATACAAAAATTAGCTGGGCATGGTGGCATGCGCCTGTAGTCCCAACTACTCAGCAGGCTGAGGCAGGAGAATCGCTTGAACCCGGGATGCGGAGGTTGCAGTGAACCAAAATCGCTCCACTGCACTCCAGCCTGGTGACAAAGCGAGACTCCATCTCAAAAAAATATATATATATATGTATGTATATATATATATATATATATATATATATATATGTATGTATGTATATATATATATATGTGTGTATATATATATATATACACACATATATATACATATATATACACACACACACACACACATACACACACACACACATGCATACGCATCTACACAGATACACATATGATGCATAATTTCACATTTTGGGATGGTGCTAGAGAGGCAGTTGTATTTATAGTGCAGAGGTCTAAAGGAAGCCGATGGTTAACTACTTCCTATGGGTAGGCTCAAGGAGTAGAAAATAGTTTTATACTGTCCAATGACTTACCTTTATACAGAACGTTACTATCTTATTATGAGAATCAGGGGCTAGCACAAATACTGCTTTTCCACATTTGTAACAAAATTAATTTTTTGCCTAATATAATTTTTATCTTTAAAACTCAATTACATCCCTGCCTAATTGATGACTTAAATGATTCTCTCAGTCATGACAAACATTTCAAATACATGAGTGCAACAATATTTGCTCGGTGCTACTTTTAAAAGTCCAGGAATGCTCCATGTCATAAAAGAGGGCTCAGACATTACTATATATTTTTTATTTTGGACTGATAAGCTATTGTCTTGGTAATGAAAGGGGTTTTTTTATAAATTACCTATTCATGCAAAAATCTCATTTGAATGAAATTTTTACTGTCTTTTGATAAATAATCAACTTTATACATTAACCAAAATATTTTGTTTTTTGAAAGTAAGTATAAAAAACACAAATGTTATATTTTAAATAGTCTATTTCATGTTTATGGAAGTATGTGGCCAAGTATCCTTAGAATTTTCTGAGGTAGCATTACTATAGACTGCCCCAGACACCTGTTTTTATTCTGTACTACTTAAAATCATACTATGGCAATGAAAAACAACTATTCTGCATAATCATTTCAGAAAATAGTACCATGATTGCTAGCTTTTAGTGAGTAATACTTTCAAGGATAATATCTAATTGCTGACTCCGAAAAATCTGGAGAAATGTTGTAGTTTTTAATATTTTTAAAATAAACTATCCTGTATTAATAAAATCTACAAAGCAGCTATCAATTTCATTAATAATTATACAAATATTTGAAGTCATTCATTAAAGAAGAAAGCTGATTTTAGAGATGTGATTAACTAAAGATGGGGTATTTAAGATAGAAAACACCTTTTTAAAATAAGACCCCCCCAAACCCAACCTGTAATCTTTATCAGTTTCATAGCTATCATTATATTTGGTGACCTGAAATGTTTATATTTTTTTATTCTACCTTCAAACCAGGCAATTCTGTTTTGCAAGTGAGAGAGGATATCATTTTAGAACTCATTTTTAACTTAAGTTATTTAGTGTAAAATGCAGAATGTGAGGCTCAGAGTAGTAAAACTAAATTATTTAAGGTTTTGTTCACTCAGTGTTAATTAACTATAATAATACTGTTGCCTTCTCTATGTGTAAAATATTACCTGTTTCAAAGTTTTAAAATATTTATTACTGTATTTATTCAACCAGAGAACTGTAAAGGGTAAATAGGGTGGTGTTCTAATTTACCAATAATCAAACGAGTTTAGAGATGAATTAACTCTCCTAAACTCACACAACAGAGATGTAATGTTTACTCTGGTCTCTTGATTTTGTTCCAAGCAATTTCTTCACCATGCTAGAAATTCTCAACAAGACAGGGAAGAAGGATAGGCACAGAAAAGGGCATATCCCCAAAATATTAATATTACCTAGTTTATTTTGCATGTGGCACATTAGCCTCCGCATTCAACGCCTCTGAGGATAAGCCACCCCCACTGAGGAGTATGTCACATCCTCCATGGGTACTGGGCCCAAGACCTTGAACTCCTATTTCAAGTGTAGGTTCTAACCTTATATGCAAAAGGCTGAGTTTAATGTTCGAGGAAGTGAAACACGGTATCCAGGAGTTGGTGACTGAAATGGATTTTGTTTTGGTGAGGGAAGAATCAACAATTTTGCCAAGATTTCTGTGTTCACATAGGCAGCACACATAGAACACTGGAATGATACAGTGAAGATGAGCATGGCCCCTGCACAAGGATGACACACAAATCCATGAAGCATTCCATAAAATAAAACAAACAAACAATTTTGCCAAGATTTCTAGGAGAGCGATTGAGAAAATGATGGTAACGTTGACACAGATTAGATTTTGGGACAAGGAGGTATTTTGCTTCACTTTGTTTTTAAGGGTGTGGCAACCTGACAGACCACAGGGACGTAGTTCTCCGTTTTTGTTTTTGTTTGTTCCTTTGTTTTAACACATTGTGAATTTGGGACTAAAAATAAGAAAGCAGATGCAAACATGCTAAATGCATGAACATAGCAGGTGTTTAAGTAGACAGTGGGTGGATGAACACAAAAGAAGGTAACAGAAGAGAGAATCTACTATATTAATGGGAGTGGCATTATCATGGTATATCCTTCTCAAATTATTGATTTTATCTTCCACTTAAAATCAGGAGATACTCTGAAAATCAAAACAGAAATCCCAGAATTATTCTTGGGATTAGAGTTCCCAAAACTTCATTTTAGTATCATGCTTTTCAATTCAAATGACTTGGATTATTTATATACAGCACTGAAGGACAATTTGTATGCAAATTCCATTGTTGGCACAAGTCCATAATTAAATTGCAAAAGCTTGGAATGATATGGAACTTATCACTGATTACTTTCACAAGTGGCTCTCAGGAACAGAATCTCAATAAATCACTGCCATTCTTCTATATTTTTATACATCTGAACAACTAGCACCTTATCAGCATGCTAAGAGTTAGATATAGCAATCATGTTCTTCATGAGCATGATATAAATCTACCAAGAAGCTGCTACAAATCCATCCCTTACTCTTGTTATCATGTTTACAATTACCTTCCCTTTGCCGGTTTTATGTGATTCATATCTCTGCTCAAATATTACTCCTCACTCTATCTCCCACAACTCCATTCTCATCATTCACCATTCTTGTACTCATTTACATGGCATTTACCACTATCTAAAATTATATATTTACTTGTTTATTGTCATCATCCCCTACAATGCAAATTTTGTAGGAGAGACAAGCCTGACACTTAGTAGTTAGTTATTCCATAGGTATTGCTCAATGACAAATGAAATGGATGAAATACAAAGCATTTTTGGAGAGACTATAAACCTCTCATATACAGACCAGTAACAGCATAACAGTAATAATATCACATTATGTCTCAAAATATTGAATTTTTCTATATTAAATGCTTAATAAGCTGCATGACATTTATATTGAGAGCTCAATCTGGACAACTATAAAGGGCAATTAGCAAGTATTCTAAATTATGCCAACTCTTTATAGTTCAGCTACAATGACTAATTGTTGATATTTTGAGATAATTTTATGTATTGATTAAAGGTGTCTTTATAAACAAAAAGTGTTTACTGAATTTGGCTTCCCGATGTAAAATGTATATTTAGTTTCTCCTATTAATAATAAAAAATTGTCCATAATCAAAGCACATTTGTTTTGTAAAAAAAGTTTAAGTATATGATGATTTATGACTTTACTGAGTTTTATTTCCTGCTTTAAATGTTATATAATAATTGATTTAGATTTATCATCCAAATAATCATCTTATACAATCATCAAATAGAAAATAAGAATATAAAAATAATCCTTACTATTTTCAGTATATTCACATCAGGTATGAAACTATAGAGAACATAAACTATTATGCAAACATATTATATTACAAGATTGTACCATAACATGATGGCACCAACTTAATATATAATTTTAGCCCTCAGTTGAGCTATATTTCATTACATTAAGTAAAAATGAAAGTTTTTGACCTAGTGAATCATCATGAGGAAAAATGGATGGCAAATGCAATTAATTTTAATATGTAAATTTTATACTTCAAAGCAGTATTTGCTAAACAAATATTCTCTGTCATTCTTTTGGCTTCGATCAATATAAGACCACAGGGGCCAGGCACGGTGGTTCACGCCTGTAATCCCAGAACTTTGGAAGGCCAAGGCGGGCAGATCATTTGAGGTCAGGAGTTTGAGACCAGCCTTACCAACATGGTGAAACCCCGTCTCTACTAAAAATATAAAAAATTAGATGGGTTTGGTGGCAGGTGCCTGTAATCTCAGCTACTTGGGAGGCTGAGGCAGGAAACTCACTTGAACCCAGGAGGTGGAGGTTGCAGTGAGCCAAGATTGCACCATTGCACTCCAGCCTGGGTGACAGAGCAAGACTCTGACTCAGAAAAAAAAAAAAAAAAGACTGCAGGGCACATTACCCATTATGAGAGTGGAACATCAAGTCTAGGTTTAGATTTATTTTTTAACCATCAACTTATTATGAAATGTTAATTTTTAAAAATATGTAAAAATCTGAAGCACTCTATCTGTAGCTTTCAGGGAATCTATTATTAAAATTAAGCCTGCAGCAAAGGACATTAGTAAAAGGAAAGAGTTTCTAAACAAAATATTTAACACTCAAAGTAGTAAACATATGGACAAGAATGTAGGAATTTCATCAGTTTTTATTAGATGTATCCAGACAAGCAACTTTTAAACTTTTCTAAAATCTGAAATCACTGTAACATTTCCAGAGGTCTTTTAAAGTTCTTTTGAGAAGGACAGGCTACAGCTTCGTGGAGCTATTCATTTACTGTGACAAATTATTTTCCCGTGATGAAGAATGGTTGTAATAGAAGACATAAATTCATTGATAAGTACATGAGTTGTCCAAAAATGGTTTCATCAAAAATACTAAAAGCCAGGAGATTTTTGAACCACAGTCCAGGTTTAGAAGACCTAGTTGAGGTATGCTCTTGGATCTGTTCTATCTATGGAACTCTTCTTTTGCTTCTTCCCAGGTCTCCTTTGTTTCTGTACTAGTGAAACAAAAATCCTGGATGTAGAACTCCTCCATGTATTATCTATACTGGAAATTTCAGAAGGTGATGGACCATAGGCAAATGTGCTTCAAAATAAAGCTTAACTTGATCCAAGCAAGATATATAGCTATATGTTTCTTAAAGGTTTTACACCATTTGGTCACCTATGTGAAGGAAGTATTTCTTTAAACACAACTCAAATAACCATTTTGGTTTTGACTTTTTGTTTGTTTTCTTTGATAATATGTATTATAATTTTCCTTAAAATATTTCAGAATAAACATTTTATATGTGTTTTCTATGTCTATGTCTGTGTAAGATGTGTAAGTAAACTTTAATCTATACCTTATGGACAATTAGTTAGCAGTGGAATACCTTAACCAAGACTCAATACTCCAAAGGAGATTACTTAGGGACTTCAAATGTTTGCATATCTACATTGGCTTGTTATTAATTTGCATTAGGAATCTTGGAAATTAATTTCTATTGCTAAAATTAAGGGTGTTCAGGATACATAGTTGGTTAGAAAAATTGTAGTGGATTCATTGTTATTACATGAACAAAGCATAATAATTTGGCCCAATGGCTTAATATAATAAGGGCGGGGCTTTTGGTCTTCTCTGTCAGTGGTACATAAGGTTCAATCCAGTGGTAGTGGGTGAAGTGGTTAACACTGTAAATAAATTAAGGGTAAAAAACATCTGTAACAACTTATCAGAGTAATTTTATATCTTTGAGTTCTAAATATACTAACAAAACAAACACACCAACGAAAACTACTAGGAACTTGTATTTTGTATTTAAAAAAAATGTTCTAGTAATTAACTATTAATTTTTAGTATATTTTTTAAAAAATTAGTCTTCAAAAGATTAAGAAAAAGATGATATATTGAGACACACTATCCTAGTTCCTTGCTAGCTTTATATTCTTCCATCTACGCTAAATAGAAATTGTTGGGTTTGCTATCATAATGCCACTGAGTTCTCCAAAAGAGTAATCTTTTAGTGCATGGAGCTGTCACAGGACTGAAGGCTGATGATATTGCATAAATGTTGGTTTTTTTTACCATTTCCTTTCCTTTTGCTTTTCCTTTCCTTGTTTATTCTGCTTAATAAAAATATTGTTATGTTTGACAAAATTTGACCTGTCAAATGTAACGTAATGATCTTTAAATTTAAATTACATTTCAGTGCAATACCCTACTGGTATCCAGGTTGCGGGTGAGTATACAAACTCCAATATTTACCAAAATAACTTTCCAGTTGCTAAAATGCCAAATATAGGCTTAGTTTTGCCATTTCTTTCCCAAGTTCAATCAGCCCTTTTGCCACTGCTCCTATTTTGAAACCCATGTAATTTGTATTTCCTGTTGTTTTTTTCAAAGGCTCAGAGGTATAGACTCATTACTAAGAAGGTGAATACACAATCTTTGTGAAGGAGCAGAATTATATATGAAGTTATAAAAGATACTCAAAGAACTTTCTCCAGGGGATTATAACTAAATCTTCACTCCCAGCTGCCTCACCTGTCAATTAGCCAGAGTGTGACCAAAATGGCAGCAGGCAAATGTGAAAAATCCAATACTGACCATAAGCACATAAGACGAAACCACTCACCCTTGTCCTTCGTCAAGGTAGAAATCTGCTTCAGCAGTACTTTCAAATACAAAGGACAATAATATGGCAATAACAACTGGCAGCTTTCCCGGATTTAACTGCTCTCTAATTTTGTATTAACTTCAAGAAAGATGAATTTCTTAATAACGAATTAGGGCTTTGAGTTGCTGTCTAGAGCAGACTGGCAATTTGACTGATATCCTAAATGTAAACCTTAATGATTACCACTTGGATACTTAAAGTTCTGCAATTGCTCCTACTAGGTTTATTACGAGAGAAATAATCACCTCTACAGATGTTTTTTGACACATAATAAATTGAAAAGCATGAAATCCTTGCTATAAAGTATTTGTTTTGGAACATCTACTTTCCAAACACATGACTATTTTTGAATCAGTGCATTCCCACAAAAAAAAGTGTGTGTGTGTGTGTGGTGGCGGCGGGGGCAGGGGGGGTGGTGGGCCTGTGTGTTGCTGCTCTGGAAGTTAAGGTGATTGAAATATTGTTCTATTGTTGCTCTACCAGCATCATTTTAGTTTTGCTTTATGAAATATTTGAAATGAAAAGCAGTGTAAATCTATTAAGACTCAAAAGTGATTCATACTATGTGATTGTGGAACTGGGTTTATCTGTCTCACATTATTAGTAAAATAGTTGCCTTATGTCACATAAACATCTGCAACATGACAACACTACCCTGTTAGCAAATTCAAATACCTCTTTAAAAAACCCTCATAAGTCACCTTTTATGTAGTCTTTCTAAAAATAGGTAAAGGCATAATTATGTAAATTCTAAAAGAGAATTGTTTCAATCAACATCATAAGGTGCACAGTAATTTGACTCAAGGATGATTATAAGATTTTAAAATATGTAAAATGGGATACATATCTGCTCACAAAATCAAGTTCTCAATTTATTCTTTATTAGTAAACCTATTAATTTCTTATATTAAGACTTTTCCCTACAAATAATATAGAATTTCTGATTCAATCTAGACTCATGGAGAGCACTTTGTTACTTTTCCAAAAATGAAATCATAAATGAAGAAGATTATAGAAACCCAATTCACAATCCTGTAAATTGAGAAAGTATACTTTTCATTAATTTTGGCTTTAAAAGTTGAATTTAAAACCTTCATAAATGATATTCCATGTTGTCAGTACACTGAATAATTTAAAAATTGTTTGAATAGAAATATGTAAGGTGAGAGAACATGACATTGATAACATACAGATATGCGCAAAGCACTCACAGGAAGAAGTGCCCATCAGAAATGTGAGGAGTCAGCAAATAAATGATTCAGGATTTCTTCACCATCAAATGCCACTTTGTAAAATGTGACAGCCCAGTAAGTTAGGATGAGCTAAATTAAACTAAAGCCCACATGTATAATCCCTCACAGTTTCCAAATAACTTTCACGGATAGCATCTCATTTCATCTAAAAAACATTAAAAGGTAAGCAAAGCCAGCAAGTATCTTCGTCTCTTATTTGAGGAAGCCAATGTAAAAATAGGATAATTGACTTGAGGATTATCACACTACTTATGGATAGATGTTAGATTCATTGGTACTTTCACCCAATTCATCCCCACATCCTGTGTGTCAGGAAATGGGCATGTTTCCTACATGACTGAGGATTAATGATCCTGGCCCTTGACCCACCACTAAATTAATATATTCCATAGAACTAGGGATGTCAGGATACTAGTCAAGGAATTCAAGTTGGCTGTGGATAAAGAGGATAATTTTAGCTTTGTCTCCTCTTTGTTTAAAGCCGTTAAGCAAGATTTAGGCAGTTATAGCTAGATCAAAAATCTCAATCTTCCATCCTTACACCACTACAAACTCTGTGGGAGATTTGAAACACATGTCTGTATTTTCAGGGATTTTTTTTTCCCCCGAGTATCCTCAATGCACAAAAGAAGCAAAACAACTTGATACCAAGAAATGAAGGGCATGTGAGGGTAATGGATGGATAAAGAATCTAAACTCAAAGTGAAATAATAAAGTACAAATCAATGAATGAATAAAATAACCGCCAGAGGTAAATTTTAACATTGGTGAATCCCCCTCAAAAACTCAGATCTATTGAGTCGATTTTAACAAATTGAGCAGTTTCAGAAAACCATATGTAAAAATTATGTTAATCTTTTATGTCTTGCTCACTTCTTAAACAAGACGCCTGCCTTTCGTTCATGTAGGGTTTCACTGTCAAGTAAAGACTAAGCATTCCAAAATCCAAGATAAAACTTTACATTGACACTTTAACCTTTTTTGGACATTTGGCCAGAGCTGAAAATCCAGCCAACCATGATTTTTTGACAGAATGACAGAAATAAGCGAAGCAGTTTCCTCACTCCCTTCGTTTATGTAAGCAGCAATATAATAACTAAAACAGCTTTCCCAAAGTATGTTCCACAAGATGTTAACAGCTATTATGTGGGGAAAAAATGTTCCATGGTCAAATAAATTTGACAGTCATTGTGTAAAACCAAATTTAGAAGTTCTCTTTATTTCAGGGGCCCTTATGACCATAATTATACTTCTGGTCATAAAACCCCTGCGTTTCATGACTACGTACTAGGAATTGTTGCTTTAAGGAAAGGATCTAGTTATTCTTTCTATTACAAGCACAACCCGAGTCCTGGAACTTGACCAGGGCTAACACACTGAAATAGTAACAGAGGTTCTCTGTATGCTGTGGGCTTCATGTGCCACCATTGCTTAGGACTACAGTCACCTAAATTTGGGAAGAATTTTATGCTTGTTAATAGATCAAGGTTGCTTCTTAGTTCCACTAAGAGTAATTGTTTTATTAAAAAAAATCACAGTACCAACATTATACTGAGAAAATGTGATAAAGCCCTAATCATCAAATATCTAAGTCAGAGCTCAAATTTTCCAAATTATGGCAGAATTTTTAAACAGATGATTTGTTTGAATGACCATGCAAGTTCCACACATTGCATGTGATTGATATGTCATGTAAGGCTACTAGTAATCTACAGATATGCTCTTCCTTACTTCTTTTTTGTCTTCCAATATTTGTCATTATTCTTAAACTGGAAAATTTTTCTTGTAGAGTTTCTCACCTTCTGAATTTTAAGGATTATATCTTATGATGCCATTTAACATGTTCCTCTGTCCCTTGAAACTTCTGCAGTCTTGTGGATAAATCTAAAGGCTTGACTTGGTTCAGGTTTAATTTTTAATTTCTGTCTACTTGCCAAAAACCTTTTGTACGTTCATCAAGAGTCATGTAATGTCTAGAAGTTTCTCTTTTTGTGACATTAGTAGTAGCCACTGATGACAACTGTCTAGATTGATTATTTTATTAAAGGTTTTCAGGTGACAGTGATATTCTAACTGTATTATTTCATCTTCATTAGCTGGCATATTTTTATAAAGAGGAACTCAGTCTCATCAACTATGTGGTTAGGGTTTTTACAAGAAAGTCAGGTAAAATGTTGTCTCCATTTATTTAGCAGATTACAGATGACAGAGATGGTTCACCAGTTTCCTCCAAACAAGCTGAGAGTTTTTTCTTTCTTTTTAATTCATGTATTTTTTTATTATGATGAGCTCATGGATTACAAAAAATTTTGTGTTTTAATCCATTGTTATTATTAATTTTCTTGATGATAATTTTGTACCCTTTTTTATGGCCAATAGAAGCCTCTTTCAGTTCACTTTTGAATCTTTCTGTTATGAGCCAGTAGACTTTGATAACTCTATTGCATTCAGGTTATACTTTCATTTTTTAAAAAGTAAAATAGCTTTGTATTCCCTTACTTGTTTTTAGACAAAAGGTAGCAATCATGCACCATTTTCTCTACCTTGAATTTTGTTCATCAAGAATCATATATAGAGATATTTTTCATTTCTTTTTACAGCTATATAGTATGTCACTGTGTATGGAATATAATTTCTTTAATGAATTCCTTTTTTGATGCACACTTGGGTTGTTCAAGGCTTTTTGCTTTTCTAAAATATACTGCTGTAATGCAGCCTTGCCTGCATTGTTTTTAAATTCTATTCATGTTGCTGTGTGTGTGTCTAGTCTGTTGTTTTTAACCATGTCATGGTACTCCATGCTACACATAGAAAAACATAATTTTATAAAAACCACAGAGGCAGAATCCACTAATGATTTTCATTTGCAAAGATATAAACAATTTACTCCATTATAAGTGGATAGTTTTTGCAATTACATAAATTGCTTTTCAATATCTGTATCGTTTGGCTGTGCCCCCACCCACTCATCTTGAATTGTAATCTGAATTGTAATCCCCATGTGTTGGTGGAAGAACCATGTGGGAGGTAATTAGATCATGGGGCTGGTTCCCCCTGCTCCCCCCATGCTGTTCTCGTGATAGTGAGTGAGTTTTTATGAGATCTGATGGTTTTATAAGGGGCTTTCCCCACCTTCGCTCTGCACTTCTCTCTCCTGCCGCCATGTGAAGGACATGTTTGCTCCCACTTCCATCACGATTGTAAGTTTCCTGAGGTGTCCCCAGCTATGCAGAATTGTGAGTCAATTAAACCTCTTTTTATTAAAATAAATAAATAAATAAATTACCCAGTGTCCGGCGTTTCTTCACAGCAGCATGAGAATAGGCTAATATAATGTGTCATAATTCTTTTCTTTTTTTTAATAAAAAGTTACATAGATTATTTCTTCTGGAAGTGTTATTGCTTTATTCACAGGCAACAAACACAAAAACAGACAAATGGAATTACATCAAGCTAAAAAGCTTCTGTATAGCTAGGGAAACAATCAACAGAGTGAAGAGACAACCTACAGAATAGGAGAAAATATGTGCAAACTATTCATTTAACAAGGGATTAATAATCAAAATATATAAAGAACTCAAGCAACTCAAAACTAAAAATAATAATAATCCCAGTAAAAAGTGGGCAAAGAGGTTGGGTGCAGTGGCTCACATCTGTAATCCGAGCACTTTGGGAGGCCAAGGTGGTCAGATCACTTGAGGTTAGGAGTTCGAGACATATATATATACACATATGTATACACATATATACATATATTTCATTGTATATATTATATATACATATATATTATATATATATAATATATATGTATATATAATATATACAATGAAATATTATTCAGCCATAAAAAGAAGAAAATCCTGTCATTTGCAGATGTGGATGAGCCTGGAGGACATTATGTTAAGTGAAATAAGACAGGCATGGAAACACAAATAGCATGTTTCATTTATATGTTAATATGATTAGGCTTTGTTTCCCCACCCAAATTTCATCTTGAATTGTAATCTTCGCAATCCCTATAGGTCAAGGGAGAGACCAGGTGGAGGTAATTGAGTCATGGGGGTGGTTTCCTGCATGCTGTTCTGATGATAGTGAGTTCTCATAGTATCTGATGGTTTCATAAGGGGCCCTTCCTCCTTCACTCGGCACTTCTCACTCCTGCCACCTTGTGAAGAAGGTGCCATGCTTCCCCTTTGCCTTCTGCCATGACTGTGTTTCCGGAGGCCTCCCCAGCCATTCTGAACTGTGAGTCAATTAAACCTCTTTCTTTCATAATTGTATAAATTACCCAGTCTTGGACAGTTCTTTATAGAAATAGGAAAATGGACTAATACATATGTGGAAGCTAAGAAAAAAGTTGGTCTCATGGAGGGTGGTTATCAGAGGCTGGGAAGGGCAAGCGGGAGGGAGAGGATGAAGAGTCAGTTAATGGATACAAAAATACAGTTAGATAGAAGGAAACAGTTGGTGTTGATATAGTTTGGTTCTGTGTACCTACACAAGTCTCACCTTGAATTGTAATCCCCATAATCCCCACATGTCAAGGGTAGGACCCAGGTGGAGGTAATTGGACCATGGGGGTGGTTTTCCTCATGCTGTTCTCATGATAGTGAGTGAGTTCTCACAAGAGCTGATGGTTCTCACAAGTGTCCAGCATTTCCCCCGCTTGCACTCACTCCACTGTCACCCTGTGAAGAAGATGCCTGCTTCTCCTTTGCCTTCTGCCATGATTCTAAGTTTCCTGAGGCCTCCCCAGCAATGCAGAACTGTGAGTCAATTAAACCTCTTTCCTTTATAAATTACCCAGTCTCAGGTATTTCTTCATAGCAGTGTGAGAATGAACTAATACAGTGTTTGATAGCACAATATGGTAACTACAGTTATCAATAATAGATTATATATTTCAAAATAGCTAGAAGAGACGTTCTCAGCAAAATAATGATAAATTTTTGACGTGATGTATATCCCAAGTACTCTAATTTGATCATTACACATTCTACACATGTATCAAAATATCAAAATATGTATCAAAATCCCACTACTTCTAAAGTACTGGGATTACAAATGTGAGCCACTGTTCCTCCTCCATGATCCACTATTCCTTAGAGATAAACAATCTTTTTCTAGTCTGGAATTCAACAGCAGACTCCTTATATGCACTATGAATTTTTTCTAACATTTATATATTCAAAGAAGTTTTGCATTAAATAATGCTGAATTTTGGAATCTTTTCTGAAATATGTATAAAAATACTATGAGGACCTTTGATAGAAATGAGTCAAAGGACTGGAAAAACAAGGCAACTGTTGAGCCTTTATTGCATCTCAAGCTCTAATTATCTTTAATGTTGTTACTAATATTTGCTCATAGTTATAACAAGAATCAGATAAAATTCTTTAATAAACATAATATGATGATAGTAAAAATGTACTTATGCTTGAGTAATAGTAAAGTTCATGTTGTTTTAGGAAATGCACAATTATTATTATCACATTAGTATAAAAGTAATATCTAAATCTGAGGCTTTCTCATGAGCTGAGAAATGCTACTTTTAAATATGAGGGCATGCCTAGATATAGATATTTCATAACAAAAACAAATAGATAAATGAATATAAGAGTCTAGAAATAGGCTGACACATAATTTCAAATGTTTCTGACATATTTCTAAGATGACTTAATAGGGAAAGGATAATCTTTTCAACAAATGTGGCTGGCATAATTAAATATGTGTATATATAACAAAACTAAAGCCTCAACTCAATATTATACCATGGACAAATAACTTGAACTGAATTTTCAATCTAAATATGGAAGTTAACATCATAAAACTTCTAGAAAAACACATGGAAGAAGATCTTCACAAATTTAGGCAAGCCAAGATTTCTTTGACAAGAAACAACTAAGAATTAAAAAAATTATAAACTAGGCTTCACCAATATTAAAATCTTTTGCTCTTCGAGAGATAAATTAAGAAAATGAAAAAAATAAGGCATAGACTGGGAGAAAATATTCACAATATACATATCTGACAAAGGACTTGCATTCACAATTATAATGAATATTTACAACTTAATTATCAGCTGAAGAGCAAGATTTTTAAAATGAACAAGACTTTGCAGTTTCTTCATCAAAGGAGATAAATGAATGGCCATTAAGGACATGAAAATATGCTAAACATTCTTGTTAAATTATAACCTTATCATTATGTGATACATTTCTGTGTCTTTTTTGATTGTTGTTGGTTTAAAGTCTGTTTCGTCTGAAGTTACACTAGTAATTCCTGCTCTTTTTCATTTTCTGTGTGCTTTGTTGATTTTTCTCTATCCCTTTACTTTGAGCCTATGAGTGTCATTACATGTGAGATGCATCTCTTGAAGACAGCATATAGTTGGGTCTTGCTTCTTTATCCAACTTGCCACTCTGTGACTTTCAAGTAGGGCATTTAGCCTGTTTACATTCAAGGTTACTATTTATATACTAAATATATATGCATGCAACACTGAAGCACCCAGATTCATAAAATAGCTATTAGAGACTTACAAAGACTTTGATAACCACACAACAATAGTGGGAGACTTCAACACCCCACTGACAGCATTAGACAAATCATTGAGGCAGAAAAATAACAAAGATATTTGGGATCTGAATTTGATACTTGGCCAAACAGACCTAACAGACATCCACAGAACACTCCACCCAACAACAGAATATACATTCTTCTCACCTGCATATGGCATATACTCTAAAATCAGCCACATAATTGGCCATAAAACAATTCCCAACAAAGAAAAAAACAAAACCATATCAACCATGCTCTTGGACCACAGGAAAATAAAAATAAAAATCAATACCAAGAAGACCCCTCAAAACTATACAATCATGGAAATTAAACAACCTGCTCCTGAATGATTTTTGGGTAAATGGTGACATTAAGTCAGAAATCAATAAATTATTTGAAACTAATAAAAACAAGGACACAACATAGAAGAATCTCTGGGACACAGCTAAAACAGTATTAAGAAGAAAGTTTATAGCACTGAACACCCACATCAAAAAGTTAGAAAGATCTTAAATTAACAGCCTAACATCGCATCTAGAGGAACTAGCACAACAAGAGCAAGCCAACCCCAAAGCAAGCAGAAAAAAAGAAATAACCAAAGTCAGAGCTGAACTGAATGAAATTGAGACACAAGGTCGGGTGCAGTGGCTCACGCCTGTAATCCCAGCACTTTGGGAGGCTGAGGTGGGTGGATCACGAGGTCAGGGGTTTGAGAACAGCCTGACCAACATGGTGAAACCCCGTCTCTACTAAAAATACAAAAACTAGCTGAGTGTGTTGGTGGGCGCCTGTAATCCCAGCTACTCAGGAGGCTGAGAAAGGAGAATTGCTTGAATCCGGGAGGTGGAGGTTGCAGTGAGCCAAGATCACACTACTGCACTCCAGCCTGGGTGACAGAGTGAGACTCCATCACAAAAAAAAAAAAAAAAAAAAAAGAAATTGAGACACAAAAAACCATACAAAAGATCAACAAAACCAAAAGTTGGTCTTTGAAAGAATAAGATCGATAAACTGCTAGGTAGACTAATAAAGAAAAAAGGAGAGAAGATCCAAATAAACACAATCAGAAATGATAAAGAAGACATTTACCACTGGCCCCAGAGAAAGACAAAATAACCCCTCAAATACTATTATGAATACCTCTATGCACACAACTAGAAAATGTAGAAGAAATGGATAAATTCCTGGAAACATAAACACTCCCAAGATTGAAAGAGCAAGAAATAGAAACTATGAACAGAAGAATATGAGTTGTGAATATTGAGTGTGAATACCATTAGAGTTGTGAAATTGAATCAATAATAAAAAGCTTCCCAACCAGAAAAAGCCCTGGACTAGATGGATTCACAGCCAAATTCTACCAGACATACAGAGAAGAGATGGTATCAATCCTACTGACACTATTTCAAAAAATTGAGGAGGTGGGACTGCTCCCTAACTCATTCCATGAGGTAAGCCTCATTCTAACATAAAAACCTGTAGAGATACAACAACAACAAAAAAGAAAACTTCAGGTCAATATCCCTAATGAACATAGATAAAAAATCCTCACTAAAATATTAGCATCCCAAATACAGCAGCACATAAAAAAGATAATTTACCATGATCAAGTGGGCTTCATTCCTGGGATGCAAGGTTGGTTTAACAATAAATGTGATCAATAAATGTGATACATTGCATAAACAGAACTAAAAACAAAAAACACATAATCATCTCAATAGATCCAGAAATGGCTTTTGATAAAATTTAACATCCTTTCAGGTTAAAAACCCTCAGTGAATGAGGCATTGCAGGAACATATATCAAAATAATGAGACTCATCCATAAAAAACCACAGCCAACATCATATTGAATGGGCAAAAGTTGAAAGCATTTACCTTGAGAACCAGAAGACAAGGATGCCCACTCTCACCACTCCTAAAAGTACTGGAATTCCAAGCCAGATCAATTGGGCAAGAGAAAGAAATAAAAGGCACTCAAATAGGAAGAAAGGAAGTCAAACTATCTATTTTGGCAGATTATATGATTATGACTAGAAAACCCCATAATGTCTGCCCAAAAGCTCCTAGATCTGATAAACAACTTCAGCCAAATTTCAGGATACAAAATCAATGTACAAAAATCAGTAGCATTTGTATACACCAGTATTGTTTAAGCTAAGAGCAAAATCAAGAATGCAATCACAGTCACAGCAGCCAGTATAAAATGGCATAACCACTTGGAAAAGTTTGACAGTTTCCTATAAATTTATACATGCATTTACCACATGACCCTACTACACTGCAATTCTAATCCTTGTTATTTACCTGAGGAAAATCAAGAGAACAAATGTGCATCAAAAGACTCTTACTTGAATGTTCTTAGCAACCTAATTCATAGTATCACAAAATTGGGAAAACCTAAATATGTATCCATAGAATAGTGGGTTAATAAATGAAGTACTTCTCAGGAACACATGGATGAATTTCAGAAACATTGTACTAAGAAAATGAAACTATACTCAAGAAGTATCAACTGTATGATATCATTTATATAAAAGTAAATGTAATCTATAGTGATAGAAAGCAGATCAGTGGCTTCCTAGGGGTGAGGATGAGGTTTTCCTGTAGCAGAAGGGAACTTTTGGACATGATGGAAATATTTTACATCTTAACTAGGTTTGTGGTTACATGTGTATATACACACGTCCAAATCCACTGAAGTGTATGCTTAAAATGAGTGCATTTTATTATTTGTAAATTATAGCTCAATATAGTTAATTTTAAACATTTACTTATAATTTGTTACTTCATGATGTTATATAAATGAAGGTACATGGTATATAATCTTTGAGATTGACTGTTTTAACTAAGTGTATGCTGTTAAGATCTATCCAAGTTGTAGAGATGGCAAACAGGTTAGTGGTTGCCAGGTGTCACTTTGGGAGGCGGAGGCAGGCGGATCACGAGGTCAGGAGATCGAGACCATCCTGCCTAACACAGTGAAACCCCATCTCTACTAAAAATACAAAAAATTAGCCGGGCCTGGTGGCGGGCACCTGTAGTCCCAGCTATGCCGGAGGCTGAGGCAGGAGAATGGCGTGAACCCGGGAGGCAGAGCTTGCAGTGAGCCAAGATCACGCCACTGCACTCCAGCCTGGGTGAAAGAGCAAGACTCCATCCCCCAAAAAAAGAGTGGCAGAGAAGAAAGGGATGGATGTGGCAATGAAAGGGTAGCACAAGGGGGATCTTCAGGACGATGCTATAGCTCTGGACTTGATTACGGTGTTTACATGAATCTATACATATGATAAAATAACATAAAACAATAATGACCTTATACCAGTGTCAAATTGCTGGTTTTGACATTGTACTATAATAGCGTAAGTTGTAACTACTGGGGAAAAATTTGAGTGAGGGATACACATATACACAAGGTCTCTCAGTACTATCTTTGCAACTTCCTGTGTGCATATAATTATATTAAAACAATTTCAAAGATAGCTTAATATGTTTGATTTGTTATGGAGTAGGGTTATGGGCTGAACTGTGTCCCCTTCAAATTTCTATGATGACGTCCTAATCCCTAGTTTCTCTTAATGTGACTGTGTTTCGAAATACAGCCTTTAAAGAGGTCATTACTGTTAAATGAGGTCATAAGGTGAGGTAATCCAATCTGACTGATGTCCTTAAAGGAAGACACACACACAGAGGGAAAACCACAAGAAGACACCAGAAAAAGACAGCTATCTACAACAAGCCAAGGAAAGAGGACTTAGAAGAAACCAACCCTACAGACATCTTGATCTCAGACATCTGGACTCCAGAATTGTGAGAAAATAGATTTCTGCTGTTGAAGTCACCCAGTTTGGCGCTTTGTTGTGACAGCCCTAGCGAAGTAATACACGTGATATCTCTAAAATTAATGCTTTGAACCTAAGAAAGTCTGAAAATATTCTAAGGATAAGTTTTATCTTTCCCATATTGTAGCCAAGGAAGCTAAACCTTAGAGAGTTTACAAAACTTGTTCAAGGTGATAAAATTAGTAAGATGTAAAGTTGAGGACAGAATCCTCCTCTGCCCAACTTGCTTTTTCTACTGCATCATGCTGGCACTGAAGTCTTGTAAATCAGGATTTACTTTAAGGAATTAGGAGAGACAACTAAAGGCACTGTAAAATTCTAATCATCATCTAAACTTAGTACCAAATATTTTCTAAAAGTTAAATACTCTGAAGAAGAAATGTGTAGTGCCTCACTAAAATGTCATTTATAAGATTCAGCATGTTTCATAATATCCAATTATGTGTTTCATGAAATGCAGCTGAGGTCTTGTATCTAGATTCTGGAAGGAAAAAGTAATTTCATTTTCTTGTTAAATAAAACCAAAATTTTACAGTTTCAAGTGTTCATTTTGAATGAATATATTTTTTTAAAAAGCAGACAAAAATTAGAATATTCTTATATTCTCCCTTTTGGGAATAGGAATAAAATTATGATGAGGCTATTTTATTACTGACTTTATAACAGGATATCAGTTTTTGTTATGACAAAGTTACTATATTAGCCAGCAAGATGTGTTATTATTTGCCATATAACTATATAACATATTTTAAGTTACATCAATCAAACCATTAAAACATGAAAGATGTGCACTCATTTTACAATAAAATAATGTAAGTTAAGGCACAATGTGTATAATGTGCTAAATTACTCTTTATTAAATTAGAAAAATCAAAGAAGATATATAAAATGATAAATGAAATATCTACACAATAGGAAATCAATGTTTGTAACAGTATGGACAAGTACAAAATAATAATATGGCACAGTTCTTTATTGACCTACTATTATGGAAATATAAATGCTATAAGCCATGGTGGTCTTTAACAAAACGAGAAAATGCCTATATACAAATATGTGTGTATGTCTCTGTAACATACAACATTCTTTTATATGTGTGTTTCATGAAAGAATTAAATTAGGGAAAAACCTCTATTGAGTTGATAAGCCTATTGAAAAAATACACAGTTCTTCAATGAAATAAATATATATGTATATGAAGGTTTGATATATGCCATTTGAACAGGACTAGAATTTTACATTTTATATTATCACCTAGTATTATGATTAATTATTCAAATTCCTTATAATCCCTGATTATAAGGGTCTCTAATGAAGTTCATTCATTAAACAATATCTTAATACCCTTTCCAAATTTTAGGGGACATTGTTTATTCTTCACTAGAATATCCTCTTATAGTGAGTAGGGATGGTGATTGTATGTGCTGTAGACCATGGAAATAGATTTTTAGAAGTCAATAAATGTTAAACTTCTTTCCACAGTCATCTGAACTATGAAAATGTAAGTTTCCCACTACGATGGCCTATTAGTACAGCTATCCAAGCATGAAGGTGAAACACTGTCAAAGCATGGGGCTTTGCTTGGCATGTCCTTTGTTTTAAAGGGTAGAATACATGTGGCACTGTAACGCAGCTTAATAAAGTCTGTATTCTTAGCACTTCCATTGTGATTTCATAAATCACTTGTGGGTTAATTTATAAAAACCACTATCCCAAGCTTAGGGTAATAATTCTACTAGCAACTGGTCAGAATGGTAAAAGATCAGAGGAAAGAATGCATAAAATAGGTAAAACCTTAGAAAACACATTAAATTCCTTTTTACTACCTAGGCATGGAAACAATTCATAAAGAAATAATGCTGAAATAATATTACACACACACAGTTTACTTGAGGAACAAAATGCCACGATGTTCTCCAATTGAATGTTGTTGTGTGAATGGTATTTGACTTTTTATTTCTGCATGTTTTAAGTCAGAAAAAAATAAATAACTTCTCCCTTTTTACTACAAGTCTTACTGCTAAAACATTTTTTAGTGTGTTTCAGCTGTGCACTTATCACATTAAATATTTAGACATAAATAATGAGTAAATGTATAAATATTTCAGATAAATTAGTATTCTAGAAAAGCTCTATGTTCTAATTTTGTACCATAATATTAGTATAGGTTCTGCTTATTTTATGGTCACAGAAGCCATTAAGCTTAAGAATTATCTCAGGGGGCCTGGCACAATGGCTCATGCCTGTAATCCCAGCACTTTGGGAAGCCAAGGTGGGCCGATCACTTGAGGTCGGGAGTTCGAGACCAGCCTGGCCAACAGTGTGAAATCCTATCTCTACTAAAAATACAAAAATTAGCCAGGTGTGGTGACACATGCCTGGTGGTGCATGCCTGTAATCCCAGCTACTTGGAGGGCTGAGGCAGGAGAATCACTTGAACCTGGGAGGCAGAGGTTGCAGTGAAATGTAGATTACCAAAATAAAATAATAACATTTTGCCAAACAAAAACAGTTTAACAAAGAATAAACTGTTCTGTTGCTATGGTTTTTAGACAAGCAAATGTTGCCAACTTCAAGATGATCATGCTTTTAAGGTCCATAGGAGTGACATGCTCCACCTCTAGGGAAGTTATTGCTTTCATAATCTTTAATGTTACTCATCCACAAAGGAAAAAATGACATGATTAAAAGTGTGGATAAATGGAAAATTTGAGAATTCAGGTTATTTCAATGAACATTAAATACTTAGTTCAAATTGTGTATTGTGTCAAATACTACTAGGAAATCAAAAATTAATTAATAAGACTTTTTTTTCCCCCTGCCATCAAAGAGCTCACAGTTCAGCAAGGAGAAAGACATGTAATCAAATTTACATAATAATGTGACAAATGTGATAATATAAGTATGTAGATGAAAGCTGGTGAGGAAATATTCAGGGAACTCTAAGAATTCTTTATACGTAGAGAATAAAAATGAGGCTGAGAAGTTATACACAGGCTAGAAAAGGATGGATCCCTATGCAAAGTACTCTGCCTGTTTATTACAGACTTGTATCCTAAATTCCTTGATTAATCCAGCTTTGATGTTTGCCAACATACATCTGTATCTATTTAATAATTAATTTAGATTTTTTCTTTATATAATTAATTAATTTTCATCTTTGTAATTTTTAATTGCTAAAAGATTTTCTAAAATCGGCCTTGTTATTTTTATGTTTTTTATTCCTTACTCATATTTTACTACCTCTCATATTTTTATACATACTAAATACACATATTTTGTTTTATATGTCTGATAACACTCATATGTAGAATTTCTGAGACTCTGATTCTGTAATTTTTAATTGCTAAAAGATTTTCTAAAATCGGCCTTGTTATTTTTATGTTTTTTTATTCCTTACTCATATTTTACTACTTCTCATATTTTTATACACACTAAATACACATATTTTGTTTTATATGTCTGATAACACTCATATATAGAATTTCTGAGACTCTGATTCTGTAGTCTGCTGTGTTCGCTGGCTGTTACTCAGGGAGCCTCATTTCCCTGCACATTTTGTTTTTGACCATGAAGCTTTGGTTGAAATTAAGTTCCTTCAAAGGTGATTTAAATTTGCTTCTTTCAGGGGCCCTGAAAGCATTACCAACTTAGAAGCACCTCAAACTAAAGTTTCAGCTAGAAGTCTGTTGTTTTCTCATGAATACATGTGAATTTGGGCTCCATGCACACGTGGGGGCTGGCTTGAATTTACAAATGATCATTAGACCCTTCTCTCCTGTTCATTTAACATCAACATAAAGACAAACAGGTTTACTGGTCATCTCCTTCTGGAAGGGACTGTGGGAGGGAGACATGAAATATGTGGCCTCTTTAATGTCACACTATGGGTCTTATCAGTCATAAATTCTTCTTTTTTCTGTTTTGTTGGTGACAGGGTCTTAGTATGTCACCAGGGCTGTATTGCAGTGGTGCAATTATAACTCATCTCAGTCTCAAACTGCTGGGCTCAAGCGATCCTCCTGCCACATCCTCCAAATTCGCTAGGAGTGCAGGTGAGTGCCACCATGCCTGGCTAATTTTTTTGTTTTTGTAGAGACTGGGTCTTGATATGTTGCCAAGACTGGTCTCAAAACTCCTGGCCTCAAGGGATCTTCCTGCCTCAGCCTCCCAAAGTTTTGGGAACAAAAGCGTGAGCCATTGCACCCAGCCTCAGGCATAAATTCTCGAAAAAATTTTTCTCCTACCATTTTTACCCCACAAGACAATCAGAAGTTTGACTCACCAACATTCAGTGAAGTCTCCTGGCTGAAAGCCAACTTTCTTGTGTGCCTGACTCTGAATTCCTGCTTTTATTTCAGTTTTCGCATTGAGAAAGAAACAAAAGAGCCAGCCTCTGATGTGTGGAAGCTGCCCTGGCACTCACATCTAAAGACTTGTTATTCTATTGAATATAATCCGACAGAATAAAAAACTCGGAAAAGAGTACTCTGAGACCATGATAAAAGGAGACAAAACATGCTACTTAATAATTTTTCTAAACGTTGACAAAAACAAAGTCACTGTGCCATTCACAAAATACAAAACATCCCCT
Organism: Homo sapiens; assembly: GCF_000001405.40. Lineage (NCBI taxonomy): Eukaryota > Metazoa > Chordata > Mammalia > Primates > Hominidae > Homo > Homo sapiens. The sequence continues at coordinate 79,051,065 of NC_000007.14, forward strand.
CTTGGCTAAAATGAGTAACTGATACTTTTTTACCAAGTAGTTTGATCCTCATTCTAAGTCTACCCTCACTCTAGATAAAACATATTGAGATACCTGGTCATAGAATTGCCTTTGCTTTTTTACTCTATCTAATCTAGGGGAAAATCCTATTTTCTTAGATTCTTCTCCAAATCACCCAACCAAAGCCCAAGCCCTGTAATAGATTGTCACTAATACCGTGTTACCAAGACCCCTCATTGTTCCCTATGCAATGAGGGTCTTTTCTCAATGCAATGAGCAATAAATCCCAACTTGTTTAACTACTGATGTGCTCCTGGTGGCCTTTGGCTAAAAGACATTGACAGCGTCTCAGTATTCTATTTCTTTATTATAATTCTTATTTTGCTAGCTCATAGCTCAGTGCAACATGTGAAACTATTTGAAAAACAATGTATCTGCCATTTTTCATCGTTTTGCAGCAGGAGCAAAGTTCAGGATATCTAAAATCTCTTATTGCACATGTCTTTTATAAATTATATTTAATCTATAAAAATCAGGGAAAAACCTAAAAATCAGCTGAGCACCAAGTAATTATTTAATAAGTATATTTACTTTGTTATTTTGAAACAACAAATATGTTTCAGAATTAATTTATACAAGAAAAAATGTAATGGGCACACTGGGGAGCTTTTAATGTCATGACTATGCAAAGCTAAGAATCATGCAAAATTATCTTCAAATGTCAGGAACTTTTTATGAACACTAAATTTAACCATTAGTAAGTTTTAAACATATTATTTAAATATTTGTTAATTTTGACATTGTAGTTTTCTCTTTCTATTTGGAGCCTCACTCTCTCTCTCTTTCTATATATATATATGTATTTAGTTTTATGTCTCAGAGATTTTTTTGTAGGCCTTTGGAAAACTCATAAGCTGTAAGATTTGTTCTTATAATTCCAAGTAGATAAAACTGTCCTTTTTGGGTATAGTTCCTAACACTCCCAATAGCACACCCTCTCTCAGGGAGTGGGAATGTGAGAAGCCAGAAAAAGATTAAAAATTGTGGGAAAGTACAGAAGACACACAGAGAAACAGCAGCAGAAACCATGCTAAGTGTGAACCATAATGTAGAGAGAAGAGCAGAGATGACTCAGCAGGGGGAGGAAAAACAAGCAACACACAGACACAAAGGACATTCGACAGGAGCATGGCTACTATCAGGGGGATCAAGTGGGATCCCAATAATCGGGACTGATTACATAACTTGTGGGACCTGTGCAAAATAAAAATGCAGAGCTCCCTGTTCAAAAATTGTTAAGAATTGCAAGACAGTGAAAGCACAGCATTAAGCCAAGCACAGGGCCATTTTGAGCATGGCACCATGTGCACCTGCATGGGTCGCACACCCATGAGGCTGTCCCTGCAGAAGGCTTTCCCACTCTTCCCAAGAAATGGCTCTGGGATGTTGGCATTGACTTGGATGCTCCCATGCCACTGGCCTTTCCACACTGCATCTCATTGCCTAAGCCAACTTGACCGCGTCGCTTGCTTGGGACCCTGACAAAACTATGATTCCGTGTGTTTAATATGAAAACGAATTAATATTAGAAACCTAAGGTAATTTAAATAAATAATAAAAGAATTTAAATAAACCAAAAATTGGTCTATCTTTTATCAATTAACATATTTACACATTATAAGACTGAAAATCAACTGCTAATTTCTTCTTATAACTTGAAGGCACATAATGAAAATATAGCACATGATTAATACCTGGTCTAAGGGTACCAAGTGACATTGGCATATTCTTAATCTTATAAAAAGTGTGTATGAAAGCATCTTTACATGCTTTTATTATCATTAATCTTTAATATAGTTGAAATGAAACAGTGTGCTTGTTACACAAGACAAGGCCTCAAATCCTCTTTCCATAAGAGGCAACATGAACTACTCTATCTCACTCTGTCGTCCAGGCTGGAGTGCAGGGTGCGATCTCGGCTCACTGCAACCTCTGCCTCCCGGGTTCACGCCATTCTCCTGCCTCAGCCTCCCGAGTAGCTGGGACTACAGACGCCCACCACCACGCCCGGCTAATTTTTTTGTATTTTTAGTAGAGATGGGGTTTCACCACATTAGCTAGGATGGTCTCGATCTCCTGACCTCGTGATCCACCCATCTTGGCCTCCCGAAGTGCTGGGATTACAGGTGTGAGCCACCCCACCCGGCTGCTATTCTTATATACTGTGATACTATTTGATGTATTGTGACTCTCAAATAATGTTAAGACTTACATAAACAAGGGAGACTACACAGAAAATATCAGTTTTCCAAAAACAAATACATGAAAATGTATAAACTTTATGCCCAGCAAATACTCAACCAAATTCTTCATCTATGAACACTCTGATCTCCAGTACTACATTTCCACTGTCCATGTCACTAGTAGTAACTCCAATAATTCAATTCATTTAAAGTGAAAAAAAAACTTTATAATATGTATCCCATTTTTAAAAATAAGTTTGAGTTTATTAATAAAATACACTAATATGGAATGTATCCTAAGTATTTATAATCAGGCTTAATATTATAAGCTCCCACACATGTAATGTAATCATTCTATAAAAATTTGATATATGGCAAAAGAAGCTGATTCCACAGACTTCCATAATAATTGAAAAAATATCCTGTATTAGCAACTACTATAACAGAATAAGACAAAATTATATTTATGGTCATCTGCTAAAAGCTAATTAATGTAAAATGTTGGAAAATAATGATATGAAAGCACTTTCAAATTTAAAAGAACAAAGAAGCATGACTAAATCCTTCTGAACTTGTTTGAATTTTTTGTGTTATAAATATAAAATTTGGCTGGGAGCGGTGACTCACACCTGTAATCCCAGCACTTTAGGAGGCTGAGGTGGGTGGATCATTTGAGGTCGGGAGTTCGAGATCAGCCTGGCCAACATGGTGAAACCCGCCTCTAGTAAAAATACAAAAATTAGCCAGGCATGGTGGCTGGCGCCTGTAGTCCCAGCTACTCAGGAGGCTGAGGAGGGAGAATCGCTTGAACCCGGGAGGCAGAGGTTGCAATGAGCCAAGATTGGACCACTCCACTCCAGCTTGGGCGACATAGCGAGACTCTGTCTCAATCAATCAATAAAAATAAATATAAAGTTTCATGTAAGTACATACAGTAAGTTAAACTGAGAAAAAATAGTAAAATAAGAAAAAGTAGGAAATCATAATTCAAATACAATAATTACAAAATTATAAAAGTCCTTTCAAAATATAAATTTATAGCTCCATAAGATTCATAAAATTGATATTTTTTATTTAGAAAATCCAGGTCCCAGAAAAACAACCCTATTCTCTCTTCCTGACTTATTCATCACTGTAAATGACATCATAATTCTTTCTGTTACCTGAGTTCAAAACAAACTTGTTTCCTTTTGGATTGCTTGATTCAATCTGTCACTGATTCTTGTCGATTCCACAGTGAACTGTCTCTCCCATTCTGGTCTTTCTTTCCAGCCACTCTCTTCATACCATAAACTAGGCCTTGATACCTCTCGTTTGGGCCATTTCAATAGTTTCCTAACTAATTCCTCCATCTCCATTCTGTTCCTCCCATGTTTCTGCTTTTAGTCTCTGAAAAACCAAACTTTACTCCCTATGGTTTTTGTTGGAGTTAGTTCTGACTCTACCTGGAATCCCTTCTCTGAGCCACTTTGTCTTTGGGTCCCAATTTGTCCCTTTGGGACAGACGGAGTCCCGCTCTGTCACCCAGGGTGGAGTGCAGTGGTGCAATCTCAGTTCACCATAACCTCCGCCTCCCAGGTTCAAGTGATTCTCTTGCCTCAGCCTCCCAAGTAGCTGGGATTACAGGCACACACCACCATGACCAGCTAATTTTTTTGCATTTTTAGTAAAGACGGGGTTTCACCATATTGGCCAGGCTGATCTCGAACTCCTGACCTCGAGGTGATCCACCCACCTTGGCCTCCCAAAGTGCTGGGATTACAGGCGTGAGCCACCATGTCCGGCCTCCTTGCCTGTCCTATCTTTATGCTCCAGCTGAACTGGACTACACGTTGTTCCGATGTATCTTCTATCTCTAACTCCTTGTTTCTGATGTCCTCTGAATATAGAATGCTAATTATCTTTGCTAATATAGTCACAAGTTGGGAAACTGTTTTAGGTTAAGCTCACTAAAACATAAACTTTGTAAGGGCATGCCTTTTTTTTTTTAACTGTTTACTGATATAGCACAAGAGGCAGTAACTGTGTCTGGCGCATAATATGTACTCAATTGATAGTTGTTTCATGAATGCATAAGATTCCCTAAGAATTTAAAATTCTGCAATTCTAACCAATGATGCCCAAGTATCAGATATTTTATATTAAGTACGTGCATGTGCAAAGCTATATTATGTGTGCCTAATGACATAGATGTTAACAATATATGCAGGAAAGTGACAAGAGCAGCCAACTGGTCTATAGAACACACTTTTTTTTTTTTGCAAATAACTCCAGAGCACTTATTTATTTATTGTATACAATATTCCAGTCAGATTAATTACATATGTAATATTCTAGCCAGATGGCTATGTAGAAATATGTATATTCAAATTTAATTTAAAAGAAACTTTCAAATAATTTTCTAGAACACTGCATGCAACTATGAACTTAGAGCTTGTTTTTATTTTTCTGAGTTTTTGTTTTCCTAGGATTTTACGTCCACTACATATTCTTCTGTTTCCCTATGTTTATAAAACTCCTTGTTTATCTCTGCACACAACCTCTTGGTCCAGGTGTTCTGAAGTTACTGCCACCTAATGAGAGTGACACAGTAATGATCCCTCCAGTTAATCAGCAACACTGAATCTGCTCTAGAAAGACTAACAAGTGAGAACAATGGTGTCTGAGGCTGATTTTTAGACAAAAGAAACAGGTAAAACATTAGCAGAGAGAAAAGGCCCCAGTAAGTTAACCTCATAAATAAGTTTTAAAGAATACAACCTATCCAAAGTCTTTTGATTAAATGAGAGAACCCTTGCACACTGGTTTCTTAAAAATTTTATGGCCTGTAAACTCCAGCCCTTTCGGGGGCTGAGGCAGGAGGATGGCTTGATGCCAGGAGTTCAAGACCAGTCTGGTGAGATTCCATCTCAAAAAACAACAAAAAAAAAATTAGCTGTGCATGGTTGCGCATGCCCGTAGTCCCAGCTACTCAGAAGGCTGCAGGAGTTCAAGGCTGCTTCAAGCTATGATCGCATCACTGCATTCCAGCCTGGTAGATTTTTTTCTAAAGAAAAAAAATCACGTATAGTTATTTTGTAGTGAATAAGTTCATAGGTCACAATGAACTCCAAATCTCTGAAAGGACCTTAGTCTTAATTTAGACAACCCAAAATGGTCATAATGAAAAAAAGACTTCTTAAAAATATCTCTTCAAGGTCATTTCTGCCTGTTAGAATTCATTCATGTATTCAGTTCAATACTTGCACAGAGTATCACAGAGATAAAAAGTTCCTCAGAGGCATTTCTTCCACTGTTTAACATCTCTCCTTCTAATTGGGTAGATGAGAAAAGTGAATGCCATTGTTTAACATTTTCAGCTTAATTATATTGGCTATGGCAGCTAAGCTAATAACTAGATATTTCAAAGGAGTCATGGTATATGTAATTATTATAAAGAATAATATGTCACAGTATTCATTAGTGTTTATTAAAATACTTCACAGACAAAAATACACATTCACTAAAATACTGCATGCAATCACTTTCAAATCCATGCTTCCCCTAGGACTATATTTAGTGGAGAAATTATTTCCCAGGTTTAAATTCTGCCTCATATTTCCTGACCATTGTTTTTTCTAGATATTTTCCTTCTTAAGAAGTGAAACTGTGAACAATACCTAAAAGAGATCATACTATTTCAGAAATCTGAAGAAGTCCTCCTGTGGTGGGGTCAGTATTGTTGTTGTTTTTCTTGTTGTTTGTTGTTTTAAAATCTTACCTCATGCTATTCTGAAAACATTCTTTTTCAAGCTCACAGAACATCTTGTAAATATCTGCCACTTGACATTACATTCAGTGTAAGTATAAAGACTATTTGGATTTTATATAGATAGAAACTTAGAATTTTAAGGCTTAAAGGTCCTTTAGAGATGACATGGCTCAACCTTTACCTTTTATGGATTAGGAAATAGAGATGTGGAAGGACCACATGAGTTAGACATTTTGTGGGAAGATGGTTGTTTTTAAAACACTGACCAAGGTCTCCAAAATGCTCTGAAATCTATTGAAAAATGCTTCCCAATTTGTATTTGTATTGCTATTTTAAAGGTTAAAAAAATCTAGATTAATGTACAAATTGAGCAAATACATTTTAGAAACTGCCTTTATTCTGAATATGTGTATTTTTGTTTCTAATATGTAAGCTTATAATATTCTTACAAGAGAAAAGTAATTCAAAATATTAAGCAGTCTGTTGCTATCCCTCAGGTTGTCTCAGCCTAGAAGTGCACCTGCACACTTCTCTCAGCCCTTCTTTATGATATCACCTCTTTTAACTTTTATTCATTATCTTATCGGTCTTGAGGTATTTCAATGGCAGGTGCAGCATAAGTTTGTATTAATGCTTAGTACCTCCTCTTTATGTTCCGAGAACCGATTCACATCTTTCTACCTGGCCTCATGTGTAATTCATGTTAATGAGGCACTGAAATCTGAAGAGCATGTTAAAGTATGAGAAGGAGACACTTCCATAGGGGTGGTTGGGTTATGAGAAAGGAAGAAAGATGGGAGATAAGATCTCCACTTCCATTGCATTTTTTGCTAATCCCAAAATGGGCAGGTGACTGTAAGTAACTATACAAATTGTTCCTGCCCAGAAAGGGGCTCTATTAGTTTTTTTTTTTTTTAGTCACATAGACTTCATCAAATATAAACAGGAGGGAAAAGCTGGTTTTTGAAAATGTTAGCTCATCATGTATATAATTCATACTTTTGAGAAAAACAAATGATAGAAACAGAGGAAGTGGTGGAGAGGGGGGAAGAAGAACAAAGAAGGAACTGAGAGAACAACAAGGCAAAAGACCAGGGAAAATGCGATGGGATACAAATTCAAGTCAGAAATTTATTTTGTAGATTAGACATTGACTCCCATTAGTTCAATTTTTTTCTATGCTATTTAGGAAAAAGAATTTCACTACCTTAATAATGTTGCTCTCAGTAGAGTTACTTTAACCATGAATCTTATGCCAAGATAACTAATACACTTAATAGAAAACTCTAAAGAAATGAGGAACATAGGATTCTAGAAAATACATGTAGAGAAGTGTAGGTCCTGAGAAAGTAGAAAAACATTTTATGGAAGAACATAGATAGTAAGAGCTGGACATGTACCTACTCCACAGTTGAGAAAGCATCAAAGGTAGAGCACTGCAGGCAGATCAGTGGGTAATACTTTTACCCTCATGCCCACACGTAGTTTTGTCATTTTAATTTTCCCCATATTACACATTTTACCAAATAAAAATATATTATAGTTTTGTTATTACAAGGGGTGACATTAGAGCAGACATCAGCAAACACTTTCTGCAAGGAACAGAGAGTAAATGCATAGGAGGTAGGAGAATAACAGAAATAAATAAAAGGAAGGATATAAAAGTTATAAATATACACTGCTGGAAAAATGAACGCAAAACACTTACACCTGAATAGAATTGCAGTGGACCATTAGGGTCTTGAAATCAGACAGATTAGGCAGAGTTAAAATACCAGTGATGCAGGGCACCCCTGGGTAAATTACTTTTCCTCTCTAATCTTTAGTGTCCTTATGAGTAGATAAGGGACAAATAATAGCATTTACTTTTCAGGGTTGTTGAGAAGTTTGATTCAAATAAGTTGTATAAAGCTTAACATGGCATACTCAGTATAGTAAGTAGTCAATAAATAGGAGTTGTTAACATAAAGATATTTTTAAGCAATAAAGAGTAAAATAATGGGTATTAGGTTGGTGCATTACCTTTAACGGCAAAAACTGCAATTACTTTTGCACCAATCTGATATTTTTAATTATATTATTTTATATTACAAATAATACAGAAAAGGATTCTCAAGTTACACACTCTCATAATATCCTGTGATTTTTTTTGTAGCACAATTTATATTTGTATTTTTAATGATTTTTTAATATATGTTTCTCCCACTGGGCTACAATCCCATGGGTAACGGACCTTGTCTGTCCAAAATTGTATTCCTAGTGTCATCCACAACCTCTGGCATATCAAAAATGCTCAGTAAATATTTTTGCTGAGGTGAATGGACTCAGAATGAGAAAGCATAGGTTAAAATAAAAATTCTATAATTTATAGTTGTGTGGTTGTGGAAATGCCTTCTCAATCTTAATGTCTGTATAATGGGGACAATAGTAACATTCAGTTTAATTGCTATGAGGAGTCAGAGTGTCTAGGAGATATTCCGTGCTTAAAAAATGCTACCTGAGTCAAATTTAGTTATTTTGTTTAAATTTAAGTTGACCATAGCATTAAGTTAATCAAATTTCTATATTATCCAAGCACTTTGGTTATTAGATCTTTATGTCCATGTTTGTAATATACAATAATCAAGGTAGCATATATTTAAACTTATGAGATGCCTTTACCTTTCAATAAAACTTCATAAATAAAATGTAAAGGGAAATATATTCTTCAAAATTTCATGCTCTTGAAAGAAAAGTCACTGATCCTAGTATAAAGAACCTAGTTGATCAGTTCTGCCAAAGCAGCATGTTGCTCCTTCTGCACTCTGATTGTAAATTAAAAATTAATATGTCTACCTGTGCTCACTAGTGAATTTATTAGAAACCATCAATATTTCATGTGTGGCATAGGTCAATCCTATGTTGTACATCTAATGAGTAATGTATGAGGTGTTGCTGGGGCCCAACCAGTGGCTGCAGAAGCTTTGCCTTCAGCAGAAGATGGTAGTATCAGAGAACATGATCAGCTAAGGAGAAGAAATCAATGGCCTTTTTTTATCTTACTGCAAAATTAATGATGACCCCTATGAAACCAAAATATCTCTTACTAACTATAAGAAAGGAAGACTCAGAAAATCTCCAGTACAAAGTTGAAGTTTAAGGTTTTCAAGGTAGAGCCATTAAAAGTCATAATTTTAGTAATATTTAAAGTCATTGGAAAATGCCAATGATACATGGCTACATGTGCAATGAGAATGGAAAAGTACATACAATATGGCCCCAATTTTATGCAATTATCTTTTTCATGCACATATTTTTTTAAAAAAAAACTTGGTGTAATTATGTAAATGTAATAATGGTAGTTACCTCTAAGTATTGGAATATGGATACTTACCTCTTAGTATTTGACTAGTTAGGTCAATCAGATAGTATCAGGAACACAAAGATACATGAGGGGTTGATGGCAGTAGGAGTCAAAAAATAGAATGCAGATGATTTTGAAGATTCTGTAATAGGCCACATGTAGGCCCAGGTTATGAGGAAGCAGAAATTAAGAGGAAGCGTAAGTCAGGAGTAAACAATATGTGTTGGAGAGTGACATAGCTAATCTGCAAAGAGACCAACAGGACATCTGACTCTGGGTAATGATAAAGCACGAGAATTAAGGTCCTGTGGCCTGACTTACCCCATGAGTCTTTCACTTTCAGGGTTATGGCCTTGCTGTGTTTCCCACCTGATAGAAAGTGAATGATGTAGCTATTTTGGGCTTCATATGAGTACAACAAATCCCACTACATGAAATAACGAAGTCTCTTCCTTACAACAAGAAATTGAATTAAAGAACAATTATACTAAAAGAAAGAAAACAACATACTCTGTGGATTCAAAAGCCAGTGGTGGCTCCAGAATTTCTATCTGAGATGAGTTTTAAGGGAGGTTATATTGTTGAGCCTATGCAGGGATTATCTTGAAGCACAGTCCTATAGCAAATATACTGTTGACTAATCAGGAGGCTTTAAGTGATATTTGCATAACTAATGTTTCTTAGCTTGTATTTTCATTTAGGGTGGATGGAAGATTATGCAAGTACTAACCTTACATTTTAGAATTCATAAAATTAGAGGTCCTGTGCCATTATAAATTTTCAGGAAGATGTTCCTGAGCATGATACAGAACTGAGAGCAAGATTAAAATGCTCTATTTTATTGTTAATGCTTACCTATCAGGTGTGCTTTGAAGGTTGCTTAAAGGACTGTTAGAAAAAAAAAAAGCCTTTTTTTTTCTCGGGCCTTTCATTATATGACACTCGTTTCCTGTATTCAAGCTCAACGAGGCTGAGAAGAGGAATTAATTTTATTCATCACACAAGTTAGGGAGAAGTGCTGTCGGAGATATTTAGAGGCATATTTTAGTTACAAATCTTCTAGTGTTTAGGATAGCGTGCACAGGCCAACAAATATCAGAAGGTTGTAGTCTTAAATAAGGACCCGCTCAGGCTAGCTCTGAAGTTTTTTTTGAGGCAATACTGAAAAAGAAGAAAAAAAGAAGATGTGATGAAGATAGGGAATTATTAAAGAAATTGAATTTATAACTGGGACCAAGATTAGGGGTGGCAAATAAGTTCTACTTTGTATGCCAATAACAGTAGATCGAAAATGACTGCTACTGCAGTAAAGAGAAGAAATTCATAGCCAAGTCTGGGATGCCAAAATGTTCTGGGACCAATTAAGGTCTGCTATCAGCCTCGGATGTCACATAGTTGCCATTCTGACAAGTGAAGTCACAGATAGAAGGGGTGGTGGTATGGAAAGAGTAAAGGCTTTGCAGTTCAAATACCTGCTCCACCTTATACATGTGGAGTTTGGGAATATTTATTTAATCTTCCATTTTCTCATCATAGAAATCATAATGCCTACTTCATGTCATTTCTGTGAGAATTAAATAAAAAACACATGAAATCCACAATACATTTCCAGGCACAAGGCAGGTGTCCAATAAAATGATAAGTCCTTTCTTCCTTCATTTTTATTTGATTACAATTGCCACCCTATTGGCCCACAATTAATGAAAATACATATCTAGGCCAAACTACAGGCTCATGATTCATTTTAACTGTACCACTCCATACTACTGGCCCATGATTAGTTATAATTTCACAGCCCATACCTACGTCCATTATTGATTCCAATGCCACAGCTCATACCCCAAGTCCACAATTGCTTACAAATGTTCAGCCCATACTTCATGTCTACAGTAGATCACAATTGTACCACTCTATCCCCTCTATCTACATATTGCCATTTCTGCCATTGGAATGTCATAAGAAGAAAACATATGAACATTACAGTGAAACTGTATAGAGATGACTTGAAAAAGACGTGGTACTTTTGTGGTAGTTTTTTGAAGCTCCGTCTGGCTCCTCCCTGTCATCCTTGTTTTCTGTTCTTCTTAAAAACCTATGCAAAAGATACTTTATTTTCATTGAATGGAAATGGTGAAATTAATCCTTGTTTTGAAAAATGCAAAAGATTAAAACTTTTTGTATTTTCTGCTCAGTTATTTGTAAACCTAAAACTGCTTTAAACATAGTCTATTCATTTTTAAAAAGAGAAAAATATATATTTTCATGAGTCTATAATTTGAAAACAAAACAATCCAGGTGCATCCATGCACCTCCATGCCAGCGAGGAAGCTCCTTCCACCTCCTCCCTGTCATCGATGTTTCCTGTTCTTACTCCCATCCGTGTTCTGACAAGGGTTGGGTGAATGATGAGTGCAATGAGGAAACAGCTATTCTGAAATTTGATGATGCTAATTCCTATCTTAGTAATGGGAAGCATGTAGTTCAACTCTGTTCACAAACTCCTAAAAGAAAGAAACAACCACCCAGTGAAAGTCAATTAGGATTCAACTATTTTTTTGCTTGTTTTAGAAGGGCTACTGCTTATGTATGCTTTCCTTATGCTGCTTGATAAACTCCAATGAAAGGTCCATGCTGGATGATTCTACAAACCCTAAATCTAAAATTCAAAAGTAATTTGCAAAAATGGCAATAGGGTGTACTGAGAAGACTCATTTTGTCCTGGCTTCATTTTATTCATTTTTCTGTAAGACTGGGCTGATGCAGCAGTGTGGCTCACCTACTTACTCATTGCAATCTGCTCTTCCAACAGTGTGTTTCCAACAAATGTGTGACTGGGTTTATGATTCCTTCGGATTCCAGTTGCCTCATATTATCATCAGCCAAATCAAAATTGTACTGCAGCTACAGAAAACCTTTTTTTAAAAAATAAAATATGCAGTCTCATCAAAGCTGCATAGCTTCTTCTATTTAAACAAAATATGTATTTTTTATGTCAAAAGGATTACATTACAAAGTGTAAATCACTCTGGTATCCATGGTGAAGTTTGAAATTGACCCACAGATTTTTCTCCTCTGGGCAAAATCCTAACACCCCTAGTGGCCAGCTAATTGAGTTACTTTATCAGTACAGAGTGAATATTAGAAAGCTTGGAGAGGCAACTAGGAAGGAGGCAAAGGCATGGTTTTATTAATTTACTGATTTTTTAAGAGAGAAATGAGCCAATATATTTAAGCTACTCTGTATTTTTCATACTTTATCGCTGAAATCAAACAGTTGAATTTCCTTTAGGATATTACCATACCTATTTTCCTAAGCTAAACATATTTCTACACCAATCCATCTGCTTCTCAAATTAAAACGTTAACACAAACCAAGCCTCTGCCAATAAGCAACCACATTTGCAAACAGACTAGATCTACTTCAAAAAACAAACTTGAAATGATAAATAGTAAGTACTAAAATTCTTATAAAGCCACAATTTACTTATCATATAGCCCTTGTCTAAAGGAAGTTTCTACATTTTAAATCTAGCTTAATTTTTGAATTGAGTTCTGGCATAGAGATCACATCAAACTTCGTGAACGTGTGCTCAAGTAAGGATATTGAAGATATCTCACGTATATAGCTTCAAAAATGCCAGTGTTGATACTTTTGATGAGAAATTATGTCTTTTGAGCCAGCTGCAAAAGCATGAGTGTCACAGATGATACAATAAAAAATATATAGTCACATGGAATGCTTTCTTTGTACTACAGAGAATATTTCTAGCTATTCCATCTCACTATAGAAAAAAAATCTGCTGAAGATCTAGTGGTAAAACACTAGATCTTCAATGTGTTGCTCACTTTAATATAATTAAGTAGAAAGTAGTATTACAAATTGAGTCATAAAACATTTATACAGAAAGAAAAAACAAGGATGTCATGTGGTTATTCCCTCTTCCCAGTATAGAGAGGAGAAATCTAAAGCTCAAAGTTCAATGACTTGCATAAGACCACAGAGTTGGTTTTAGCCAAGTGCCTAAACCGGATCCCAGAATGTTGAACACATTTATCTTTTTAGAAGAGGAAGAAGATTAGGTGTTTTGCTTAAATGTCTATATAATGATTTTCAGTCCGAATCATAAAGAATCAATCTACATATGTTCAATATTTTAAAAACTTCCATGTATTATACACATAGAACCCTACAAGTCTGTGCATAACTACATTTGTACTCTTGGTTTTTGCTCCACCTAGGCATTCTTCCAAGTTGTGTCAGAGACTAATTTTCCTTGACAATCCATTATTCCTTCTCCCTGTGAAGTAACAGAATTGCCTCCTCTGACACATGAATTTTAGCAGGGTCATTTAGCTTGAAACTGCACTTCTGACTTTGTTGGTGGCTAGATTCGGCTGTTTCACTAGGTTGTAGATAATTGGATATGAACAGAAGTGATGTGTTAAATTTGTCTGTAATATTCTTGAAATAATGTACTTGTTCACTGCTTCCTCTTTGCCCCACTTTGGTCAGGAATGTGTACCTACAGTCCATGTGATCTAGTGTAATACCCTAATTATTGGTGGAACTACAAAACAGATGAAACCTGGTCTCCAAACAAACTATGCTGCAGAGCTATTTATTCACACTAGATTACCTTCCTATTTCTGTACTGTATTGTAGGAGTCAGCTTTTGTGAGTCACTGTATTTGTGGGTCTTTTTGTTACATGGGCTCAGCCAATACCCAATATGAATACACTAACTCTAATCTATCCATTTCAAAAAGAAAACTGATTGCCATAAACTATGCTTAGGTATCCATTCCATTATACAGTTGTTTTATGATCTCTACAGGTTAAAGTAGCCACTAGTTGGTATACACTTTGGAGACTGTAATAGAATATATAAAAAACTTAATTGTACTTATTTGCTTATAAACAAGCTAGACTGAAAACTGCTAGAGGGCAGGAAGAATATCTTAATCATATTTGTTTGCCTAATGCTTAACATGGTAGCTGACACATGGAAGGTACTCAAATTACACATATTGAATGAATGCATATTTTTCCTTGTTGGTTCCAAACAGACATCAAGAACTTGCAGTTTATTGTGTTTTAATATTATTTTTATTATAATATGGTTAATTGAAACTATTCTCATATATAATACCAAAAAAGCAATTTTTCTTTTTTATTATACTTTAAGTTTTCAGGTACATGTGCAGAATGTGCAGGTTTGCTACATAGGCATACATGTGCCATAGTGGTTTGCTGCGCCCATCAACCTGTCATCTACATTAAGTATTTCTCCTAATGCTATCCTTCCCCTAGCCCCACACCCCATGAAATCCCCAGTGTGTGATGTTCTCATCCATGTGTCCATGTGTTCTCATTGCTCAACTCCCACTTATGAGTGAAAACATGCAGTGTTTGGTTTTCTCTTCTGGTGTTAGTTTGCTGAGAATGATGGTTTCCAGCTTCATCCATGTCCCTGCAAAGGACAAGAACTCATCCTTTTTTATGGCTGCATAGTATTCCATGGTGTATATGTGCCACATTTTCTTTATCCAGTCTATTATTGATGGGCATTTGAGTTGGTTCCAAGTCTTTGCTACTGTGAACAGTCCCGCAGTAAACATACACGTGTATGTGTCTTTATAGTAGCATGATTTATAATCCTTTGGGTATATACCCAGTAATGGGACTGCTGGGACAAATGGTGTTTCTAGTTCTAGATCCTTGAGGAATCGCCATAGTGTCTGCCACAATGGTTGAACTAATTTACACTCCCACCAACAGTGTAAATGCATTCCCGTTTCTCCACATCCTCTCCAGCATCTATTGTTTCCTGACTTTATAATGGTTGCCATTCTAACCAGTGTGAGATGATATCTCAGTGTGGTGTTTTTTTTTTTTTTGCATTTCTTTAATGACCAGTGATGATGAACATTTTTTCATATGATTGTTGACTGCATAAATGTCTTCTTTTGAGAAGTGTCTGTTCATATCCTTCACCCACTTTTTGATGGGGTTATTTTTTTTTCTTGTAAATTTGTTTAAGTTCTTTGTAGATTCTGGATATTAGCCCTTTTTCAGATGGATAGATTGCAAACATTTTCTCCCATTCTGTAGGTTGCCTGTTCACACTGATGATAGTTTCCTTTGCTGTGCAGAAGCTCCTGTTCACTCTGATGGTAGTTTCTTTTGCTGTGCAGAAGCTCTTTAGTTTAATTAGATCCCATTTGTCTCTTTTGGGTTTTGTTGCCATTGCTTTTGGTGTTTTAGTCATTAAGTCTTTGCCCATGTGTATGTCCTGAATGGTATTGCCTAGATTTTCTTCTAGGGTTTTTATGGTTTCAGGTCTTATGTTTAAATCTTTAATCTATCTTGAGTTCATTTTTGTACAAGGTGTAAGGAAGGGATCCAGTTTCAGCTTTATGCATATGGCTAGCCAGTTTTCCCAACACCATTCATTAAATAGGGAATCCTTTCCCCATTGCTTGTTTTTGTCATATTTGTCAAAAAACAGATGGTTGTAGATGTGTGGTGTTATTTCTGAGGCCCCTGTTCTGTTCCATTGGTCTATATATCTGTTTTGGTGCCAGTACCATGCTGTTTTGGTTACTGTACACTTGTAGTATAGTTTGAAACAGGTGGCATGATGCCTCCAGCTTTGTTCTTTTGGATTAGGATTGTCTTGGATATGAGGGCTCTTTTTTGCTTCCATATTAAATATAAAGTAGTTTTATCCAATTCTGTGAAGCAAGTCAATGACAGCTTGTTGGGGAGAGCATTGAAACTAAAAATTACTTTGGGCAGTATGGCCATTTTCATGATATTGATTCTTCCTATCCATGAGCATGGAATGTTTTTCCATTTGTGTCCTCTCTTATTTCCTTGAGCAGTGGTTTGTAGTTCTCCTTGAAGAGGTCCTTTACATCCCTTGTAAGTTGTATTCGTAGGTATTTTATTCTCTTTGTAGCAATTGTGAATGGGAGTTCACTCATGATTTGGCTCTCTGTTTGTCTGTTAATGGTGTATAGGAATGCTTGTGATTTTTGCACATTGATTTTGTATCCCGAGACTTTGCTGAAGTTGCTTATCAGCTTAGGGAGATTCAGGGCTGAGATGATGGGGTTTTCTAAATATACAATCATGTCAACTGCAAACAGAGACAATTTGACTTCCTCTTTTCCTAATTGAATACCATTTATTTCTTTCTCTTGCCTGATCATCCTGGCCAGAACTTCCAATACTATGTTGAACATGAGTGGTGAGAGAAGGCATCCTTGTCTTGTACCAGTTTTCAAAGGGAATGCTTCCAGCTTTTGCCCATTCAGTATGATATTGGTTGTGGGTTTGACCTAAATAGCTCTTAGTATTTTGAGATACATTCCATCAATACCTAGTTTATTGAGATTTTTTAGCATGAAATGCTGTTGAATTTTGTCAAAGGCCTTTTCTGCATCTATTGAGATAATCATGTGGTTTTTGTCATTGGTTCTGTTTATGAGATGGATTACATGTATTGATTTGCATATTTTGAACCAGGCTTGCATCCTAGGGATGAAGCCAACTTGATCTTGGTGGATAAGCTTTTTGATGTGTTGCTGGATTCAGTTTGCCAGTATTTGATTGAGGATTTTCACATCGATGTTCATCAGGGATATTGGCCTGAAATTTTCCTTTCTTGTTGTGTCTCTGCCAGGTTTTGGTATCAGGATGATGCTGGCCTCATAAAATGAGTTGGGAGGATTCCCTCTTTTTCTGTTGTTTGGAATACTTTCAGAAGGAATGGTACTAACTCCTCTTTGTACCTCTGGTAGAATTCGGCTGTGAATCCATCTGGTCCTGGACTTCTTTTTGTTGGTAGGCTATTAAATATTGCCTTAATTTCAGAACTTGTTATTGGTCTATTCAGGGATTCAACGTCTTCCTGGTTTAGACTTGGGAGGCTGTATGTGTCCAGGAATTTATCCATTTCTTCTAGATTTTCTAGTTTATTTGCATAGAGGTGTTTGATGGTAGTTTGTATTTTTGTGGGATCAGTGGTGATATCCCCTTTACCATTTTTTATTGCATTTATTAGCTTCTTCTCTTTTTTCTTCTTTATTAGTCTGGCTAGTGGTCTATTTTGTTGATCTTTTCAAAAAACCACCGCCTGGATTAATTGATTTTTTGAAGGGTTTTTTGTGTGTGTATCTCTTTCCATTCTGCTCTGATCTTAGTTATTTCTTGTCTTCTGCTAGCTTTTGAATTTGTTTGCTCTTATTTCTCCAGTTCTTTTAATTGTGATGGTAGGGTGTCGATTTTAGATCTTTCCTGCTTTCTCTTGTGGGCATTTAGTGCTATAAATTTCCCTCCACACACTGCTTTAAATTTGTCCCAGAGATTCTGGTACGTTGTGTCTTTGTTTTCATTGGTTTCAAATAACATCTTTATTTCTGCTTTCATTTCGTTATTTACCCAGTAGTTATTCAGAAGCAGGTTGTACAGTTTCCATGTAGATGTGCAGTTTTGAGTGAGTTTCTTAATCCTGAGTTCTAATTTGATTACACTGTGGTCTGAGAGACTGTTTGTTATGATTTCCATTCTTTTGCATTGGCTGAGTTTTTTTTTTTTTTACTTCCAATTACGTGGTCAATGTTAGAATAAGTGTGGTGTGGTGTAGTGCTGAGAAGAATGTATATTCTGTTGATTTGGGGTAGAGAGTTCTGTAGATGTCTATTAGGTCTGCTTGATCCAGAGCTGAGTTCAAGTCCTGCATATCTTTGTTAATTTTCTGTCTCGTTGACCTGTCCAGTGTGGACAGTGGGGTGTTAAATTCTCCTACTAGTATTGTGTGGGAGTCTAAGCCTCTTTGTACGTCTCTAAGAACTTGCTTTATGAATCTGGGTGCTCCTGTATTGGGCGCATATATATTTAGGACAGTTAGCTCTTCTTGTTGCATTGATCCCTTTGCCATTATATAATTCCCTTCTTTGTCTCTTGGATCTTTGTTGGTTTAAAGTCTGTTTTATCAGAGACTAGGATTGTAACCCCTGCTTTTTTTGCTTTCCATTTGCTTGGTAAATATTCCTCCATCCTTTTATTTTGAGCTTATTTGTGTCTTTGCATGTGAAATGGGTCTCCTGAATACAACACACCGATGGGTCTTGACTCTATCCAATTTGCCTGTCTGTGTCTTTTAATTGGGGCAATTACCCCATTTACATTTACAAACATTACATTTGATATTGTTATGTGTGAATTTGATCCTGTCATTATGATGCTAGCTTGTTATTTTGCCTGTTAATTGATGCAGTTTCTTCATAGCATTGATGGTCTTTACAATTTGGTATGTTTTTGCAGTGGCTGCTACTGCTTGTTCCTTTCGATGTTTACTGCTTCCTTCAGGAGCTCTTGAAAGGCAGGCCTGGTGGTGACAAAATCTCTCAGCATTTGCTTGTCTGTAAAGGATTTTATTTCTCCTTTGCTTATGAAGCTTAGTTTGGATGGATATGTAATTCTGGGTTGAAAATTCTTTTCTTTAAGAATGTTAAATATTGGCCCCCACTCTCTTCTGGCTTGTAGGGTTTCTGACAAGAGATCTGCTGTTAGTCTGATGGGCTTCTATTTGTGGGTAACCCAACCTTTCTCTCTGCCTACCCTTAACTTTTTTCCTTCATTTCAACCTTTGTGAATCTAATGATTATGTGTCTTGGGGTTTGCTCTTCTCAAGGAGTATCTTTGTCGTGTTCTCTGTATTTCCTGAATTTGAATGTTGGCCTGCCTTGCTAGGCTGTGGAAGTTCTCCTGGATAATATCCTGAAGAGTGTTTTCCAACTTGGTTCCATTCTCCCCATCACTTTCAGGTACATCAATCAAACGTACATTTTGCCTTTTCACATAGTCCCATGTTTCTTGGAGTCTTTGTTCATTTCTTTTCATTCTTTTTTCTCTAATCTTGTCTTCTCACTTTATTTCATTAAGTTGCTCTTCAATCTCTGATATCCTTTCTTCTGCTTGATCGATTCAGCTATTGATACTTGTATATGCTTCACAAAGTTCTCGTGTTGTGTTTTCAGCTCCATCAGGTCATTTTTTTATTTTTTATTATTTTTATTTTTATTATTTATTTATTTATTTGAGACAGAATCTTGCTCTGTCACCCAGGCTGGAGTGCAGTGGCACGATCTCGGCTCACTGCAAGCTCCACCTCCCGGGTTTACACCATTCTCTTGCATCAGCCTTCTGAATAGCTGGGACTACAGGCGCCCACCACCACACCCAGCCAATTTTTTGTATTTTTAGTAGAGACGGGGTTTCACTGTGTTAGCCAGGATGGTCTCGAGCTCCTGACCTTGTGATCCACCCACCTCAGCCTCCCAAAGTGCTGGGATTACAGGTGTGAGCCACCGCGCCCAGCCCATCAGGTCATTTATGCTCTTCTCTATACTGGTTATTCTAGTTAGCAATCGTCTAACCTTTTTTCAAGGTTCTTAGCTTCCTTGCATTGGGTTAGAACATGCTCCTCTAGCTCAGAAGAGTTTGTTATTACCCACCTTCTGAAGCCTACTTCTGTCAATTCATCAAACTCATTCTCCATCCAGTCTTGTTCCTTTGCTGGCGAGGAGTTGTGATCCTTCGAAGGAGAAGAGGCGTTCTGGTTTTTGGAGTTTTCAGCCTTATTGCACTGGTTTCGCCCCATCTTCGTGGATTTATCTACCTTTGGTCTTTGATGTTGGTGACCTTTGGATGGGGTCTGTGAGTGGATGTCCTTTATTGTTGATGTTGCTACTATTCCTTTCTGTTTGCTAGTTTTCCTTCTAAAATAAGGCTGCTGTTCTGCAGGTCTGCTGGATTTTGCTGGAGCTTTGCTCCAGACCCTGTTTGCCTGGGTATCACTGGTGGAGGCTGCAGAACAGCAAAGATTGCTGGATGTTCCTTACTCTGGAAGCTTCGTCCTAGAGGGGCACCCCCCCAGATGCCAGCCATAGCTCTCCTGTATGAGGTGTCTGTTGGCCCCTGCTGGGAGGTGTCTCCTAGTCAGGATACACGGGGGTCAGGGACCCACTTGAGGAAGCAGCCTGTCCCTTATCAGAGCTCGAACGCTGTGCTGGGAGATCTGCTACTCTCTTCAGAGCTGTCAGGCAGGGATGTGTAAGTCTGCTGAAGCTATGCCCACAGCCGCCCCTTCCCCCAGGTGCTCTGTCCCAGGGAAATGGGGGTTTTATCTATAAGTCCCTGACTGGGCTTCCTGCAATTTTTTTTTTTTTTTTCCAGAGATGCCCTGCCCAGAGAGGAGGAAATCTAGAGAGGCAGTCTGGCTGCCGCGGCCTTACGGAGCTGTGGTGGGCTCCACCCAGTTCAAACTTCCTGGTGGCTTTGTTTACACTGTGAGGGGAAAACCACCTACTCAAGCCTCAGCAATGGCAGACACCCCTCCCCACCATGTTGGAGCCTCCCAGTTCAACTTCAGACTGCTGTGCTAGTAGCGAAAATTTCAAGCCTGTGGATCTTAGCTTACTGGGCTCCGTGGGGGTGGGACCCACTGAGCCAGGTACTGGAGGGAATCTCTTGTTCTGTCAGTTGTGAAGACTGTGTGAAAAGTGCAGTATCTGGGCTAGAGTGCACTGTTCCTGCTAGTACAGTCTCTCATGGCTTCCCTTGGCCAGGAAAGGGAAATCCCCCTACCCCTTGTGCTTCCAGGGTGATGCGATGCCCCACTCTGCTTCAGCTTGCCCTCCATGGGCTGCACCCACTGTCCAACCAGTCTCAATGAAATGAACCTGGTACCTCAGTTGGAAATGCAGAAATCACTCGCCTTCTGTGCCAATCTTGCTGGGACCTGCAGACTGGAGCTGTTCCTATTTGGCCATCTTGCCAACAAGTCCAAAAAGGCAATTTTTCTATATAAACCTGGGAAAACATGACTCTTCCAAAGTAATCAAGATACTAAATCACCTGCTATTTAATTGGAGATCTTGTATAGTATATCAGATTTAGTACCTTCTTTGGTAAATTGAAGGCTGTTATTGCCACATTCTTCCTAAAGCAGAACTACCCTTCAATTTATTTTCAGTTAATTGGTTATAATTATTTTGTAATATTGTCTTCTTAAAATGAATTTTCCTTTCTAATTTCTGGTAGGAAGACTACTATGTGGTTGATGTATGAGAAAGGTAAATCATAGGAACTGATGATATCAACAATCAGAAAATATTGCTAGAAGACACTATTCAAAAAATCTGAGCATAAAAATAAAACTAGTTATTAAAAAACAAATTATTTACCTGGAAAGAGAGGAGCAAATAAGAACAGTATTTTTTAGTGCAATTAGCAAAGTATGATTATGCATAGACCAGGCAGAAGTAAGATGAAATATTCGGCATAGCAGCAAAGTTTTTGCATGACATGTAGAACACATTTAATCCTGGACAGTATATAAAGCAGAAATGCTTTGTAAAACTATATAATGAAGTGCAACTCTTAGCAGCTGCCCTTGTAAATCTCTAGAGAGGAGGCTGACTAAAGGCTAGGTTCAGTAGTTGTCCCTGTTCCAGTTGAATGATCTTTAAATTTGATCCCTAAATCACAGTAGCACCTAGGAAAAAGTATGCATTTGACACAGATTTCTTTTCTGTAGGAGAGTCAAAAAGACAAAAACAAAAACAAACAACAACAACAACAAAAAAAACAAAGGCTAAGAGAGATGCTGTATAAAAAAAGAGCTTGCTTATGTCATCTAAAATCTTATAAGCACCATGCATTTGTCTTCAAGAATTAAACCCTTGGGGCCAAGTCTATGCAGGAGATGCCTAATATCAAGAAAACTAGCTATTGGAGTATACCAATAAATTCATAAATTAACATAAGAATTTAAGTGACTCCTGAGATTGGCCAGTGGAAAAGGTAATTACTGCCAGAAATTTATATGTTGAAAAGGGGATTAGGTGTTGAATTTGGTTCTTCCTTGTTCTCCACTAACTCTTAGGCCCATAGTGACCATACGTTCTGTTTTTTCACAGGACAGTCTTTATTTAACTGAGACTTGATTGTTAATTTTTATTCTCAAAATCATTTCAGTTTGGATAACGAGTTATATATGTTCATTCCCTTGAAGACTAAGTCTCTTAATTCTATTTCCTAAACATCTCTTGAACCTGTCCACTTCTGCCAACTCCATTCTCCTCACACTTTTATCTTTTACAAGGACTACTGCAGAAATCTTATATCTTCTATTCTTGCTCCTCTCAAGTTCATTTTGCACAATACTGCAGGGAGTCTTTTAAAAACAGAATTATGATACTTCCCTTCTTAAAATCTTTCCCATGTTCTCCTTTGTGTCTAGGCGGATAAAGACCTGCATGATCTGGGCACCCCCCTGCCCCTCCAACCCCATCTTATGCCATCCTCTCTTTTCTCTTTTCTTTTCTAATTTCTTGACCATACTAGATTTCGTAGAGTCCTCTCAGCTATCTCAGAGCTTTCACATATGTTCTTTCTAGCACAGACTTCTTCTTCCTAACTTCTTTCTTCCAGTCTTATTCTTATTAATCTTTTTGATGTCAGTTTAAATGCCACTTCTTTCAGAGACAACCTCATAGATTTTCAAAGACTAGGCAAGTCTGCTCCTACAATAATGACAATAATGCACAATTCTTCATAATACCCAGACAGAGAATTTCAAAATGTAAATTTATATGCCCCACTAGGTTACAAGTTTCAGAAAAAAAGGGACTATATTTTATCTCGCTTGTCACTTGTTTGTCATTTTACCTTGTTGCCACCTTATCATACACTGAACGTTCAACAGCTTTTTGTTGAAATAATAACCAAAAAGAGAGTTACCATCTTAGGCATCTAAATATGATCAAATGTGCCTATGTAGCCCTGACTTTAAACACCATCTTTAAATACATGCTGCAAATATTTTATAATAAACATAATATTCTATTTTATTCTTCTTCATAATTGAACCCACAGTGAATTAACTTTAGTCCAATAGGCATCAGATAAAGGTAAAGGATACATGCTTTTTTACACATCTAATTATTTCATTTTTATCTCAATTATGTTGACCTTATGCAATTGACATTTCATTCAAAAGTTATTCTTAATGTTTTCTCTTCTCTGCTTTCTATTCATTTGTAAGATGAGGAGAAATGTAATAAAATACTCAAGTATTTAAGCAAAAATTGATGTGTAAAGATGTTTACTCAGCTCAAATGGTTGGCTGAAAGGAAGTACTATGATACAATAGCTAGAAATATTTGTCAACTGAAGCATGAAAAGTTGAATTAAGTATGTGAAAATCAATGTGAGGATATTTGCTCTTACATACATTACACACTTTCTGATCAATACATGTTGTCGGAAAGTCAAACATGCATGATGGGAAAGCCAAACAGGAAATCTGAGGACTATTTGCAGTATAATTCAGTTAATATTTAGGATCTATCTCTGTTAGGGTGAATTCAGCTACGATATAGAGACATCCAACTAACTGTGGCTTAATTAATGAAGATATTTAATTATCTTACATAACAAGAACTCTGAAGGTTGGTACTTCCAGAGTTTGGTATAATGGTTCAAATATTTCATGAGAAACTAAATCTTTCTGTCTTGTTCTTTCATTCTAATATTTTTCTATAGGTTTTTACCTTATGGATGTAAGATGGCTGCTTCAGCTCCAATTGTCAAATCCTCCCACAACCACACTCATGGAAAGAACTATGTAGCAGGGGAAAAACAACCTTCTCTTCTCGATCTTCTCTCTTTTTATTCAGTAAATCAGTCTTTTTCAGAAGCCACTCAGATGATTTCCCATTATGTCTTATTGACCAGAGCTGGATCACATGTTCACTCCTGGATGTATTACTAACAGAGGGGAATGAAATTTCCATGAATGCCTTAGAGCAATCATGATTTGTCTCCCAGGATGAAGGAACTCTTACCTTCCATGAGAACAAAGAATCTCATGTTACCACATGAGTTGGAGTCAGCTTGTGGGTAGGCAACACTATTTGCCATAGAAACCTGTCAGTCAGGATTGTATCAGATTCCTCTGATTTAGAAAAACAAAATAATAGTAGTGAATATAATTATATCATTAGGCTGGGAGTGGTGGCTCACATCTGTAATCCCAACACTTTGGGAGGCTGATGTGGGCAGATCGTTTGAGCCCAGGAGTTCAAGACCAGCCTGGGCAACATGGCAAGACCCCATCTCTACAAAAAATATATAAAAATTAGCCATGCATGGTGGTGTGTGCCTGTAGTCCCAGCTACTCAGGATGCTGAGGTGGGGAGTATGACTTGAACCCAGGAAGTGGAGGTTGCAGTGAGCTGAGATCACGCCACTGCACTCCAGCCTTGGTGGAGCCAGACTCTCTTTCAATAATAATATCATTAAAAATCTTGCCTCTAAACATTCTAATAAAAAGGAGTTTCAGGGAAAACACAACTATTTCTAAAACAGGAAGGGATAAGTTGTAAACAACACCACATAAATTGTTAAAATATCAATTCCATTTTGGAAAATACAAATATCTGGGCAGTTTTAGAGACTCAAATAATATGATACTTTAAAAAAAATCTGTATCCAGAGCCACTTACATCAATGCTTACAGCAAATACATACTAATTGGCTAAAGATTTTATTTAGCTCCATGGTTTTTATAATCTCGTTATACTTAAGGGTGGACAAAAGACAAGCAAAAATATGGAGCAACCTTTCATACTCAAACTTTGGCTTCCACTCCACCTGCAATTATATTCTCAACTTTATGGTGCATCAAACTCACTGACATAAAAGCCATCTCAAATCACTTCAAACTTTCCATTGCATCCTAGAGATATATTGGCTCTGAACCAAGTACCTAGGTACTAACTAGTTTAGTTTTAATTTAGAGCAGATGGACTGGGGTTCTCAAGGTTGCATTGAGAGGATCTACTTGGAGGACACCTCGTGGTCTCTGTAACACAGCAGATGGTGAAAATATTTTAAGGCTATTTTCAAATGATGTTAGCAAAACTACATTTCCATCAATTGTCTTATATGGCTTTCATAAATATGATTTTTCTTCCAAATCAAGAATGACAATGATAGAGCTTAGCAGGGTTCTTTTGAGATGTCATTATCAACAATGACACACAGAGGATTTATATTCAAAGTTCAAAGATGAACTGAAAGCAAGAAAACATTGTATCTCATGAGATAAATAGATATTGATAAATGATGTTATAATGCATATCCCGTTTTCCTGTATGAGAGGAAATAATTTCTATCTCCTGTTATAGTAGACTTTTCAACTGATGTTTCTTTTTGGAAGATAAGCAAAATATAATTCTTTTCGACCCCTAAAGAACTAACAATGTAGACATACTGTAGATGTCCCATAAGTTATTCTTTCTTCTTTTTAATGTAAATTTTATTTTTAAAGGTAAAATATTGTGGTGGACATTTGCCATTTGGAGCAATACCAGGCATCTACTTCTTCCATTCTAAATTTCTCTGGGGAAATTAATTTATTCCTATTGCCTGATATCTGTTAGAAGGGCAATTCCTGGTTACTACATCCCAAAATGAAAAGCAGAAAATGGAAAATTCTCAGATTCTTTACTTTTCCTAAAATGCCAGGGACTGGGATATGGTATAAGCTGGGCTAATAATACCATTTATTTGGGGATTTTGAATCTTGAGTGACACAAGGGTGAGAAGAAATATAAAGCTCATTTGTTACAGCAGCAGAGGCAGAAGAGGTGATTCTGTCCAAATTAAAACATTTACTGAAGGTGATTTTGTCCTAATTTTTGTACTGTGGTTCCTATTTCCTAGCCCCCATCTGATTCTTGGTTCTGAACAAATCCCAAGCTAGCTTTCACTATTCTTTTAAGAAATTCCCTTTTTTGGGCCGGCGCGGTGGCTCACGCCTGTAATCCCAGCACTTTGGAAGGCCGAGGCGGGCGGATCACGAGGTCAGGAAATCGATACCATCCTGGCTAACATGGTGAAACCCCGTCTCTAATAAAATACAAAAAAAAAAATTAGCCAGGCGTGGTGGCGGGCGCCTGTAGTCCCAGCTAAGTAGTCCCAGCTACTCAGGAGGCGGAGGCAGGAGAATGGTGTGAACCTGGCCGGTGGAGCTTGCAGTGAGCCGAGATTGTGCCACTGCACTCCAGCCTGGGCAACAGAGCGAGACTGCCTCTCAAAAAAAAAAAAAAAAAAAAATAAATAAATAAATAAATTCCCTTTTGCTTAACTAGAGTTGGCTTGGATTATTTATAATAAAAATGGAAAAATACAGAGAAGCAAAATTAGATAATGGAAGTATCCATAATATATTTTGTAGCCTTGTTTTCATTATTATTTTCCGTGATTAATAAATAATATATGTTGCAGAAAATAAATTTTAATGGTTACCTAGCATATATTTACATGGATGTACTGTATAGTACACTATAGTCTAATCAGTGCTAGATATTTACGTTTCTTACTATTGTAAATAATTATCTATTAGCATCTTATGTGAACGTCATTGCATATAGTTTTTATTTTTTTCCCTTAGAATACATTTCTAAAAGTGAAATTGTTGGGACAAAATGTAGTATCAATTTTGAAGCTTTGAATTATACAGAATTTACCCCACAAGGAAGACTGCACCTACTTATACTCCAGCAGCAATGTATGAAGATGTATTCTGATAAGACCTTATCTATAAGTTCCATTGTAAGACGGAGGATGGGAGAACATAAATCTATTCAACTTTACTTGCCCAAATAGACAGTTTAGAAAGCAATCAGCCTTTCATGTGAAGAGGCCCATGGAATAAAGGGGAAGAGTTACAACAGCACTCAATGCATGTCTCAGGCTATTTAAGTGTTCTCCACAGAGTTCTTAGTACAACTGAATACAAACCGATTCCATAGGTGGTTTTTTTTTTAGGTGAATGGATACTGCCTAGGTTCTCATAGTGAGTTAGGAAGAAAAAATGGAAAGAATCAAATAAATCCCAGCTAGCTTTCATAACAGCTACTCCTCAGTTAACTGACCCTACACTCCAGGCTCAGGAATGAAAGGATTTCTTATCTACCAAAGGTATATTTACACAAAAGGCACTGCTAAAATCCATTCTAAAGTTGGAATGTCTAGAAAGAGACTGAAAATCACAAAGTCTACTCTTGGCTCACAATACTTTCTCTAGGTTGTTGTATAAAAATAACATGGCATTTTCCTTAGTTACCTGACATTTATTTTAACTCATATGCAATGCAATAAAAGAGGCTATCTAGCTAGGTCTGTGCTCCAACAACAGTATCTTGGTAATTGGAAGTCAATGAGAGCCAATTTTTATAATTTAACTACTATAAACCAAGGAAATACACCAATAAACACATTTTTAAAAACTTATTGTATTTGTCATCAACTCAATGGGTACGTTAGCCCATGTGTATGTGTGAGTTTGCGTGCATATAAATGTGTGTATGTGCGTGTAGTCTGAATAAATCCAAGGGCCCCAAGTGGTCCAAGCTCAGTGAGGTTTTAAATTCATGGAATCACAGTTAATGCAGGAAGAAAATAATTAAAATACTTCCATTCTTTACTCAATCTTTCATAGATAAATACATTTTTAATGCACAGCTAGTATCTTGAGAATTCTTTTCTCCCTACCCTAATTTTCTTTACATAGCAGCTGTTCCCTAATTCATTTCTCCCAATCTCAATTCCCCATTGTCCAAAATTCAGCTTTTCTTCCTCTCTCACCCCCTCCTCATTTCTCAGCTGTTTATAATATAAAATCACTCAGTACCTCTAACATCTCAAATATTTCCTCTGCTTAAAATATTATCTGATTGTGCATAACTAATGTGCATCCAAGTGCTGTCATGGTAAGCACCTAGAATCTGGGGGAAGAAGGTGAATATTGTAACAATTCAAATATTCATTGTTTTAATTCTAATGATACTTTCATATTTTTCTGTGACATATTCATATACAGTTTAAGAGGAAACAGCTTCACAAGTGGTCGATAAGGTGTTCTATGTCAATATTAAAGGTTTCTGGTCTAATTGCTACACATGTATTCTCCAAGGGAAGAGGAACATTTAAACAAGGCCTTAAAAACAGAAAATTTGATTTTGTATTTGAAGAGAAGACAAAAGAAGATAGTGCTTTCAGGCTCTAATAGATTTATTAGTTAGTGCCTTAAGTAGCTATGGCTATTTCTATTTTTTTCAAAAAGGAAACTTACCCTGGCAAGATAGAAATGGTTGAGGTACTCACATATCTAGACATGAAACTAGAAAACCTGACTATCAATAGAATTCTCATAGATTCAAAAATTTCTAAATAGCCCTAAGAATTCCTCTAGTAACATAACTATAGATACTGACACTTTTTGACTATAAATTTACATTACTTTATTTCTAAAGTCATT
Organism: Homo sapiens; assembly: GCF_000001405.40. NCBI lineage: Eukaryota > Metazoa > Chordata > Mammalia > Primates > Hominidae > Homo > Homo sapiens. Next base: position 79,079,802 of record NC_000007.14, read on the forward strand.
ATCTGTGTTGTACAGAACACAGAAATGTATGCTCGTTAAAAAAATGGTGCAATCCTCTGGGTAAAATAATTTCACAATGTATTATTGGTATATTATTGGTACCTAAGGCTTTAGTCTTCTCCTTTAAAAATAGTGAGGTACTAACATAATTATGTTTTGGAAGGAGAAAAGAGTAAGAGATTGCCAGCACTAATGATTTATCAACAGAGTTCATTTTTTTGCAATTTAATGTTAGCTGTAGACTGAGATCTCAGACACTATTTCATTTCTCTCATAATTACTTAACCTATTTGACTGCTTCAAATGTTCACAGTGACCCTTCCTTAATGTTCATTTCTATTATATGAGGCATCTGTTTAGATGCATACGCTGAATTAATGTTTTTATACATTCCAAATTTATATTGATATCATAAAAGACTCGGTATTAATGAAATTCATTTTTCGACAGTCCAAAATGAAATGTACAATCAATGACACAATGTTTCTCTAGGGAGCAATAAAACTAAATGTAGTTAAAGTATACTGGGCAGCTCACTGTGTTTTTGAATAAGGGTCAATAAATTATATATATTCTCTGCATCCAACTGCTGGCCTCAGTAGCTGCTTAACGACCAGGTAAAATAAATAATTACTTAGTCCTACTCAGACATAATAATATCTGCTAGAAGCACCAAATTATTGGTTGTGAAGAAAAATGTTTTAAATAGTGTTTAAAGGCTTTCTTTTGGCTTTTAATTCAAACTAATATATCATCAAGTATGTACAGAATATCTTCTCTGTGCAATATGCCTCATTATACAGAAAAGATAGGAGTGCTCCTATCTTCAAAGCTCTTATATTCTAATGGGTGTGGAGAGTAAGGAGTTGATGCATATAGTGCAAAACGTCGCTATTACATAAGACAGGTACAAAGCACTCTAGAGTCATTTCTTTCACTCTTAATATCTAACCCTTCAAAAGTCAAAAGTCCTTTTGATTTTCTCCTAAATCTCTCAAATCTGTCAACTGCTCTCTATCAGTTACCACACTGGTCCACGCTGTGTCATCTCCTATTTGGTCTCTAGAGTAGTCTCCTAATGATCATTCCCACATTCACTATCACTCCACTAAAATCCATTGTCCACAGCAGCCGAAGAAACTTTTCCAAACTGCATCTGATCCTGTCCCCAGCCCATCCTCCCCAAAACACACAGTTCCTATATGGTTTCCCATTGTTCTTAGGATAGAAATCAAGGTCCTAAACCCGGCCGCACAGATATGACCCTGCCTACTCTATCACCCACCCAACCCCTGACTTACATGCCCAATTTGACAGTGTACACAAGGGCCTTCTCACAGTGCTCTTATGTATCAATCTCCTTCTAATCATTGGATGGGGCCACCAGCCTGGGACACTCTTACTCCTACCCTGTCTCTGCTTAAATTAACTAATGTCTATTTATCTCCATCTCAGTTCAAAGGTCATTTCCTAAGAACCCATGGCACGCAAGAATTCAACCAGGTTCCTTTGTCACAAATTCTCCTAGGAGGGATTTTATTTGCTCACTTTGCAGTGTTTATTTATGCCTTCATATATTTAAATACTCAATTATTGTCTATCTCCCTTGCCAAAGTGTATGCTCCATAAAGCAAGAACAGTATTGGCTTTGGTTACCTATACATCATCACTAGCATATGCATTGCACATGGAAATTTCTCAGTTAGTACTTGTTGAATAAATGAACAAATAAGCTTGGGGAGGGAAACACCAGTTGTAAATGTGGGGCTCAGTAATAAAAATAAAATTCTTGCTAGTCTATGTTAACTAACAATTATCTTGGATATGAACTGTTAAGAAAATAAACAAGCTAAGAGTGCAATTAACAAATATTCTCAAAATAGTCGTTTAGGGTGCTGTTTCTTCCTCTCCTGTCCCCAGTATCAAGAGGGGATAATATTCTTATGTAACTCATATCAGAACTTTTTCCATATGGGATGACACTGGTTTATGAAAGGAAAAAATGGAGCTTTCAGACATAGACCCTTCATAAAAGCCACTTTAAAACACTGAAACAATTACATTTGATGCCTCAAAAGTAACACTATTTTAGCTGTTGGTCCTACTTTTTGGCTATTATGAATAACGTTGCTATGAACATTCATGTGTAAGTTTTCTGTTGACATACATTTTCATTTCTCTCTAGGAGTGGAATTACCGAGTCATAGGGTAACTTTCCTTGGTAAAATGACTATCCAAATGTTTGCTCATTTGTTAATTGAGTTACATGTCTTTTTATTGTTGAGTTGTATGAAGTCTTTATATATTCTGAATACCACTCCATTACCAGATATATGATTTGCACATATTTTCTTCCATCACATGAGTTCCCTCTTTACCTTCTTGATAATGTTCTTTAAGGCACAATAGTTTTAATTTTGATGAAATCATGTATATCTATCTTTTCTTTAGTCACTTGTGCTTTTGGTGTGATATCTAAGAAAGCATTGCCTAATCCAAGGTCATAAAGATTTACACCTATGTTTCCATTTAAGTGTTTTAGAGTTTTAGCTCTTCCATTTAAGATTTATGATACATTTTTAGTTTATATTTGTACATGGCTGGAGGAAGGGATCTAACTTCATTCTCTGGCATGTGGATACACAGTTGTCCCAGAACCACTTGTTGAGAAGGTTATTCATTTCCCCATTGAATTATCTTGGCATTCTTGTCAAAAATCAATTGACCACATGTGTATGCATTTATTTCTGGACCCCAAATTCTGTTTAACTGTTCTATATGTCTGTCCTTTTGCCATTGCCACAGTGTTTAAATAAGTTATGAAATTGGAATTTATAAGCTCTGCTACTTTATTTTTACTTTTCAAGTTGGTTTTGGTTATTCAGGGACCCCTGAGATTCCATGTGTATCTTAGGATCAGTTTTTACAATTCTGCATAAAAGACTGTTGAGATTTTGATAGTGATTTTATTGAATCTGTAGATCCCTTGGGGGTTGGGGGGTATTGCCTCTTAACAATATAAGTCTTCTAATCCATGCTCACAGGCTGTCTTTCTAGTTATTTAGGTCTTCTTTTACTTTTTTTCAGCAATGTTTTGTTTTGTACATTTTGGTTAAATTTACTCAAGTATTTTTACCTGATGCTATTATAAATAAAATTGTTTTAATTTGCTTTTTCAATTGTTCATTGATTATATATAAAAATACAAATGATTTTTTGTATATTGATCTTCTGCTTGCTGAATTCACTTGTTATTTCTAATCATGTGTTTGTGTGTGTGTATTCCTCAGGATTTTCAAGATAAAAGTTCATGTAATCTGTTAATAGAGAGAGATTTACTTCTTTCTTTCCAACCTAGATGCTATTTATTTTTCATTTAGCTTAAATGCTCTTGCTGGGCTCTCCAGTATAATGTAAAATAGAAGTGGTATGAGCATACATATTTGTCTTGTTACTGATTTAAGGGGAAAACACTAGTTTTTCACCAATAAGTATGATGTTATTTTTTTTTTTTTTTTCATAGATGGGCTTTATTAGGTTGAGGGTATTCTCTTCTATTTCTACTTTGTTTACAGTTGGGACATTAGATGGTGTTAGATTTTGTGCAATGCTTTTTCTACATATATTGAAAATATTATCTTGTGTTTTGTTTTTTATTAATGTAGGGCATTCCATGGATTTGATTAATTTTCCTGTGTTAAACCAACCTTGTATTCTTGGGATAAATCCCACTTGGTCATGATGCTTTTTATATGTTGTGGGATTAAATTTGCTAGTATTTTCTGAGATGTTTTGTTCATATTCATAAGGGATATTTATCTGTAATTTTCTTTATTTTTTATGTATTTGTTGGGTTATTATACCAGAGTAATAGCCTCAGAAAATAACTTGGACAGTTTTGCCTCCTCTTCCATTTTTAAGAAGAATTTGTGAATGACTGGTGTTAATTCTTCTTTAAAAGCTTGGTGGAATTTATCTGTGGAAACATCTGGGCCTGCAATTCTCTTTTTGGGGAGTTTTGTGATTTTTAATAATTCAGTCTATTTACTCATTAATAGTATTCATATTTTCTATGTTTTCTTGAGTGATTCTGGGAAGATATGTCTTTCTAGAAATGTGTCCATTTTATTTGATTATATAATTCATTAACACACTATTGTTCATTCCCTTATAATCTTTTTATATCTTTGAGTTTGGTAATGACACTCCCTTTTTAACTCTTGATTTTATTAATTTGAGTCTTCTTTCTTAGTCAGTTTACTTAAAAGTTAGCAAATTTGGTTAATCTTTTCAAAGAATCAATTTTTTGGTGTACTTGATCTCTATTGTTTTTCTATTATCCATTTTACTTATTTGCACTCTAATGTTCATTAGTTCCTTTCTTATGATTGCTTTGAGTTCAATTTGTTCCTTTTTCTAGTTTTATAAGGTAGAAGATTAGGTTATTGATTTGAGTTCTATTTTATTTTCAAATATGTTTATAGCTACAGATTTCTCTCTATTCACCACTTTAGCTGAATCTCATGCATTTCAGTATGTTCTGTTTTCAATTTAACTGTTTTTGAAGGATTTTATAATTTCCTTTCTGATTTCTTTTTTGACTCACTAATTGTTTAGGTTTGTGTTGTTTAATTGCCATTGCATAGTTGTAGATTTTCCAAATTTTCCTCTATTAATCATTTATAATTTTATTCCATTGTATTTAAGAAAATATGTTAAATGACTTCAGTTTTTCAATGTTTACTGATACTTGTTTTGTGGCCTAACTTCACAAAGAAGGTTCCATGTGCCCTGCAAAGAATGTGGATTCTAGTGCTATTTTCTGACATGTTTATAGATGTCTGTTAGGTTTATTTGATTTATAATGATAGTGAGTCATTCTGTATCCTTGCTGATCTTCTACTAAGTTATGTCCATTTTTGAAAATGAATATTTGAGTCTCCAACTAATACTGTTGAATTCTTATTCTGATTTTTGTTTATCTGAAATATCTTAATTTATCCTCTATTTTGAAAAGATAGTGTTGAATTTTTTAATTTAAATTTTGAATTCTTGATAGAATTTTTCTTTCAGAACACTAAACATTTCTTCTCATTACCTCTTGAGCTTCATGATTTTCGATAAGACTCATCTGTTGATGTTATCGAGAACTCACATTGTTTGTATGTGATGAGTTTCTTCACTCTTGCTGCTTTCAAATTATTTATATTTGGCTTTAAACAGTTTGGGAATTTTTAGTTCATTATTTCTTCAAATATTTTTTCTGTTCTTTTCTCCTTTCTCTCTTTTTGAATTTTCATTGTGAGTACATTGCTATGCTTGATGATTTTCCACAGTTTTCTAAGTCTCTGTACAGTTTTTCATTATTTTCTCTTTCTGTTGCTCAGACTGAAAATTCTCAATGTATCTGTCTTGAAGTTAACTAGTTCTTTCTTCTGCTAGTTCAAATCTGCTACTGAGCCCCTCTCTAAACTTTGTATTATGGTTATTGTATTTTTGATCTTGAGAATATATTTTTGACTCTTTTTTCTAAAATTCATATATTTTTATTATTATCTTCTGTTTGTCAAGACATTATTTTTGTAATTTCTTTAATTCTTTAGATATGGTTTCCTTTGGTTCTTTGGACATATTTATAACAGCTGGTTTAAAGCTGTTGTCTAGTAAGTCCAATATCTGTGCTTCATCAGGAACAGTTTCTGTTGACTGAATTTTACTCTGTTTGGGCCATGCTTTCCTATTTTTTTGCATAAATAATAATTTATTGTTGAAAATTGGATATTCAAAATAATATAATGCACCAACTCTAGAAGTCATTCTTCCTCCTCTGCAGAGTTTGTTCTTGTTTGGTGTTGTTGTTAGTTCATTGAGTATCTTTCCTGGACTAGTTTGTTTAGTATCTTTCTTGGACTTATTTAAAGTCTTTATGCTTTGTTGTGTATGGCTGCTAACGACTCTGATCAGTCAGCCTAATTGTCGGCCAATGCTTGGACACAGATTTCCTTACATTCTTTGAATCACTAAGTTTCCCAGCCTTCCATGAGGGCCTTTTTGTATAAACTGTGCACACATTAAATGATATGGCAGGCAGTTTACAACTGCCTTAGCCTTCATGTGCTACTTACACAGAGCCTAAGGTGTAGCAAGAGATGAGAAATTAGGGTTTTCTCACATCTTTTCTGGGCACATGCACAATTCTTCATATGCATGTGGCTTCCAAGACTCCCATTTATATATTGGAGTATTCGAAAACCTCCTACAAATATCACATTCCAAAGTTTTTCCTTTTAGATTGTTTTTAGCCTGTCTCTCATTATCTCTATTTGGTGATGCCCCCTCAGGCAGCTGTGATACTAAACAATTGTTAGTGATTGTTTTCAGCAAATTTCCCTAAGGATGGGACAGACTGAACTCCAAGTCAGGTCAAATTTTAAAAGTCCTGACAATGGAGTTTTTTAGGAAGCTTCCTGATAGGTCAAATTATGACAGTTCTCTGAGGACAAGGTTTTGGGAAAGCTCCAAACCAATTCTGTCCCTCTACCATGAATGCTAAGATGCTCATTTTCACAGTTACTATAGTTGTGAAGCTGATAATATTCAAGCATATCATGCAGATCTCAGAAAACAGATATAGGAAGAATTAGGGAATGTTAAAATGGCACAAAACTCACTGTTCTCTCTGGAATTCAGCCATGTTTCCTGGATAAATACTCCTCAAATTGCTGTAAGTTTTACTAGTTCTGAAAAAGTTGATTTTGACATTTTTATTTATTTATTTTTTTGCCAGTGTTCTCATAGTTTAATGGAGGATTGGATTTTTGGTGGTTCTTACTCTGCCATTCTGAAAATGTGATCTCGCTTTCTTATTGTTGTTGTTTTCTAAATTTATTCTCATTTTGGTGAACAAAATGAAAAAATCTTCCCAATTGAAAACACTGAGAATAAAAATATTTCTTTAAAATGTAGGTAATTATAAAACTTTTTATGAAACAATAAGAGTATGCATTTTTAAGTATGTAAAAGATTCTATTAGCAAGTTTATTTAGCTGCTGCTAGATAAGGGGAAGGGTGTGGGAATTTCTAAGAGGTGCAGACATTTTAGTCCACATTTCTCTTAGTTGAACTCCTCCATTATATAAATATTAATATTTATTAAGGCACTTGACAAGTATCTGAGGACTAGAAATAAAAGAGTTATTTGTTAATAAAGAAAATTAATCAGATATACTCTACCATTTCCCTCAGAGTTCTTTGTTAATAAAGAAAATTAATCAGATATACTCTACCATTTCCCTTCATAAATAAAAAGAAAAGAAAAATAATTACTTGATTCCAAGGAATTTGCAATTTCAGAATAGTTTCCTCAATAGACAGCAGTTCAATAAAAAATCTAAGAACTTTGACAGAATATTCAAGAGTGAAAGGCTGCATTCAAATTAAATATATTCATTTAGAGTCAAATTCTGAGACATCCTTACTGATAAAATGGAAGGTTGCTTTCCTTCTGTCTGCATAGATAAATATTGGATGAGTTCTGATTGTTCATCCATGAAGGAATAAGATGTTTTTAAGATTTCTTAAAATCATTCCTGTAGTCACCATTCACCATTAACATAGATTCAGTGTTATACATTGAAGGCTTTGCAATGTTTACATAAGTATTTTATAATGAATATAAAATTATAAACATAAGTTTATGGAGCATTTAACAAATGTTTAGTTGAGGCTTTTATAATGAGTCAGTGTAAGGCAGTTAATAGATACTCATGTGTTATATGTTACTCAAGTGATTAAAAGTGGAAGATTCTAGGAATTTTATGGTTTTAGGTCCTACGTTTAAGTATTTAATTCATCTTGAGTTAATTTTTGTATAAGGTGTAAGGAAGGGGTCCAGTTTCAGTTTTCTGCAAACAGCTAGCCAGTTTTCCCAACACCATTTATTAAATAGGGAATCCTTTCCCCATTGCTTGTTTTTGTCAGGTTTGTCAAAGATCAGATGGTTGTAGATGTGTGGTGTTATTTCTGAGGCCTCTGTTATGTTCCATTGGTCTATATATCTGTTTTGGTACCAGTGCCATGCTGTTTTGGTTACTGTACACTTGTAGTATAGTTTGAAGTCCAGTAGCGTGATGCCTCCAGCTTTGTTCTTTTGGATTAGGATTATTTTTACTATGCAGCCTTATTGGTTCCATACTAAATGTAAAGTAGTTTTCTCCAGTTCTGTGAAGAAAGTCATTGGTAGCTTGATAGGGATAGCATTGAAACTATAAATTACTTTGGGCAGTATGGCCATTTTCATGATATTGATTCTTCCTATCCATGAGCATGGAATGTTTTTCCATTTGTTTGTATCCTCTCTTATTTCCTTGAGCAATAGTTAGTAGTTCTCCTTGACGAACTACAACCCCTTGAAGAGGACCTTCATATCCCTTGTAAGTTGTATTCCTAGGTATTTTATTCTCTTTGTAGTAATTGTGAATGGGAATTCACTCATGATTTGGCCCTCTGTTTGTCTGTTAATGGTGTATAGGAATGCTTGTGATTTTTGCACATTGATTTTGTATCCTGAGAATTTACTGAAGTTGCTTATCAGCATAGGGAGATTTGGGGCTGAGATTATGGGATTTTCTAAATATACAATCATGTCATCTGCAAACAGAGACAATTTGACTTCCTCTTTTCCTATTTGAATACTTTATTTCTTTCTCTTGCCTGATTGCCCTGGCCAGAACGTCCAATAATATGTTGAATAGGAGTGATGAGAGAGGGCATCCTTGTCTTGTGCTGGTTTTCAAAGAGAATACTTCCAGCTTTTGCCTATTCAGTATGATATTGGCTGTGGGTTTGTCATAAATAGCTCTTATTATTTTGAGATATGTTCCATCAGTACCTAGTTTATTGAGAGTTTTCAGCATGAAGTGGTGTTAAATTTTGTTGAAGGCCTTTTCTGCATGTATTGAGATAATCATGTGTTTTTTGTCATTGGTCCTGTTTATGTGATGGATTATGTTTATTGATTTGTGTATATTGAACCAGCCTTGCATTTCTGGGAAAACTCAAGCAATACCATTCAGGACATAGGCATGGGCAAAGACTTCATGACTGAAACATCAAAAGCAATGGCAACAAAAGCCAAAGTTGACAAAGGGGATATAATTAAACTAAAGAGTTTCTCTAAAGAAAAAGAAACTCGCATCAGAGTGAGCAGGCAACCTACAGAATGGGAGAAAAAAATTTTCCAATCTATCCATCTGACAGAATCTAATGTATCCAGAATCTACAAAGAACTTAAACAAGTTTACAAGAAAAAGACAAACAACCCCATCAAAAAAATGGGCAAAGGATATGAACAGACACTTCTCAGAAGACGACATTTATGCAGCCAACAAACATATGAAAAAAAGCTCATAATCACTGGTAATTAGAGAAATGCAAATCAAAACCACAATGAGGTACCATCTCACACCAGTTAAAATGGTGATCATTAGAAAGTCAGGAAACAACAGATGCTGGAGAGGATGGAGAGAAATATGAACGTTTTTACACTGGTAGTAGGAGTGCAAATTAGTTCAACCATTGTGGAAGACAGTGTGGTGATTCCTCAAGGATCTAGAACCAGAAATACCATTTGACCTAGCAATCCCATTACTGGGTATATACCCAAAAGATTATAAATCATGCTACTATAAAGACACATGCACACGTATCTTTATTGCAGCACTGTTTACAATAGCAAAGACTTTGAACCGACCCAAATGTCCATCAAAAAAAAAGACTGGATAAAGAAAATGTGGCACATATACACCATGGAATACTATGCAACCAAATAAAAGGATGAGTTCATGTCTTTTGCAGGAACATGGATGAAGCTGGAAACCCTCATTCTCAGCAAACTAACCCTCATTCTCAGCAAACTAAACCCTCATTCTCAGCAAACGAACACAGAAAAACAACCACTCCATGTTCTCATACATAAGTGGGAGCTGAACAATGAGAACACATGGTCACAGGGAAGGGAACATCACACACTGGGGCCTGTCAGAAGGTGAGGGGCTAGAGGAGGGACAGCATTAGGAGAAATACCTAATGTAGATGATGGGTTGATGTGTGCAGGAAACCACCATGGCACGTGTATACCTATGTAAGGTATACCTATACATGTGCACATTCTGCACATGTATCCCAGAACTTAAAGTATAATAAAAAAAAAGAAAATTACATCTACATAAAAAAATTAAAAAATAGAAGATTTTTATGCCAGAGAATCAATTGCATTTTCCCCTTTAAGAAAACTGTATTTATTTAATATTACTTAAAACAACTCAAATTTATAGCTGATATTTTTCATGTTCAATCTATTCAGTATTTTGTCTATTATGCAAAAGGAATAATTAATTATGTAATTGCATAGGTAATACCTACAGCTGTTAATAATATTCTATTATTAATAATAGATAACTATTTTCTTTCTCCTCACAAAATTATTTAACCTGGATTTATATTCTTTTATTTCATCTGTATTTTACTTGATTTTTATAAAAATGTCTCTCCATAATATAATATACCATAATTTGTAACTGGAAATAATGGGTAGTGACACTATTCTTCAACCATTTAAGAAAAGATGGATCCTGAGGAATGTCATATAGTTAGTTTATAATGTAATAATTTCTTGACTGATGAAACATCCCACAGAATATTAGCTGATTTGCTTAGAACATTTTCTTAAAGCTTTCATAGACATGAGACAAGGAAATCTGAATTCGTAGCTCATGCGACATGTATACACAAAGGAATGAATTAAATTAAGTACACGCAACCTAAATTTAAAATCATTTGTGGTTAGACAGGAAATTACAGCTATCATTTGTGGTTAGACAGGAAATTACAGCTGATAGATGACAATGCCATAATTGTGTGTTTAAGCCTTCTGTCACAGAAATAAAAACTTTCTTCTTTATTTGAGAAAGAATTTAAACCTACATAGTGAGTTATATCCATGGTATCTGTGGACCACATCAAAATTGTATTGAAGGTGAATTCTGATAGTGTATTAAATATTGGGTGAATTTCATCCCTCACACTATGACCACTTCCGTGATTTATCACACACTGTTCCCACAACAGTGTACAGCTCAGCACCTAGTTTGTCTTCTTACTGCAGTTCCATTATGGTATTAAGATTTAAGAGCCTTTTTTTTTCCTTTATAAAACTCTTAGATCTTCCTTTTTCATTACACCTTAGTGCTGCGAAGTTTAAAAGATATTATTACCTCTTATCTTCTTCTCCTAGGTTCTCTTATTCAGCATTTATTCACAGTGGACCACATTTGCTAACTCTTATCCTTGGTTCTCAGAGTTTCCAAGATTTTTCAGTGTTGATTACGTTGTCTCTCAAGCTCCTTATGACTGAAAGTAAATTCCTCTTGAAGCTTGTTGCCCTCCCACCCCACCAACAGAAAGAATAAAGCAGTCTTCCCCTAAAAGAAATCTCACATTTCAATAGTCTATGAAACGTCACACCAAGCATCATAACTCTTTCAGAGAAATATTTTCGATACAAACACAATTCATCTAAAACAGAATTTTTGTATTGGCAAGATTTTAACCATTGATGCATATTATTTCTGAGGCTAAGCAAACTGAACAATCAGGAATTATTATACTGTTACTAATGCATAACATAGAATTGATTTCTTACTATAAGCAGTTGTGATAACAGGAATTAGCCTTTAAAAGATACTAGATTTAATAGGTTAAATAGATAATGGGATATTATGTTTTAAATACTATTTTACACATCTTTCTTTAAAAAAAGTCTCTTAGAATCCTGTAAACTAGAGGTAGGAAAATGTTTTCTGCCAAGGGCTAAACAGTAAGTCCTTCAGGTTTTGAGAGCCATATGGTCTCTGTGGTAGCCACTGAACTCTGCCACTGTAGCAGCCATGGACGATACACAGATGAATGGACATGGCTATGTTCCAATAAAACTTTATTTATGAACACCAAATTTGAATGTTACGTAATTTTTTATGTCACAATACAGTATTCTTCTTTTGAAATTTTCCAACCATTTAAAAATGTGAAAACCACAGTCAGTGCATGGGCCACAGAAAAACAAGCAGAAGGCCATATTTGACTCATGGACCATAGTTTGCTGATTCTGTTGTAAACCATGGTACTAAATTTTATTTCCTTAGTAGCCTTTGATACATGCTATACACTATGCTAACCAGAAGAAAAAGAAGCTCATTCATGATTCACTAGGAGGAATGAAATTTTACTGGATTTTTCAGAAGTTCCACATTTTTTGTTAACATACATTGCATTTCTCTCAGTAATAAAAGAGGAAAGAAAAAGTCAGATTCTAAGCTATTATGAAATTCAGCTAAGCGTTTAATCTAATAATGCAAGTTAAAATTTTTAGTGTAGTTAAATAATTGAGGTTTGGCTCCAACAGGGCTTTGTTGGATTGATTTACTAATTGGTATGCCCTGTGAAGTTCCTAAAACATATTCATTTTCAGAACATCTGACATAACTATAATGTATCTGTCATCAGTTCCAAGGATAAAGTTCTTGAATAATCCTATGATTTTGATATTAAAAACCTTGAGTTCCAATGGGAAAAATAGGTTTGAAAGACCAAACAAACCTATAGAAATGATTAAGTTTTTAACTTGGCCCCAGATAAATCAATAGCAATATCAACAACAACAAAAGACATACCAATGCTATTTAGGCATCTTAAATGGGTTGTTATGAATTGAGGGCTATTAACTTCCATATACAATTTATTTCTAGGAAATCTTTCAGAATTTCCCCAATCTCTAATTTTAACCAGATGCTTATGAACAAATTTTAGGTTGCTACAGATAGTACATAAACCAATAATTATTTTCTTTTTGGCTTTGTATACAAATTCTCAGTGCATTTCTGATTTTAAATCAGAAGGTCATGTCTGATTCCTAAGGCCTATGTATACCCAGCCTTATTTTTATCTCTTTTCAGGCTAGGCATCACTACATCAACCCCTAATGTCTTCAGCCACTCCTCTTACCTCCTTTTCTAACCTTTTCCAGTCTCTTTTTGTAGTTTTCTGTATCAAGTGTGACCCACAATTTACTTACATTAAAAACAAAACTTTCACAGTTGACTTCAAGTTACATAGAAATAAATTTATGAATACAGAAAACTCATAGTTGGCAAAAGATTATTATGTCTTTAGATCAGGTATTATAAATAATTTTTTTAGTTAAATGTTTGAGGTGCTCTAACCCTAAGATTTTATAAATGAGGCAACTAAGGCCCTGTTCCTTCAATGGCTTATTCTGGAATTGACATAAAATATACAGAGCTGATTATCAGCTCTATTAAAAAAAAAAAAAGAATGACTCATGCTGGGAGAAGCTCAGTTCTGAGAAACTGAGTCCTAGGCTCAGAGTAACTAGCAGTAATACCCAGAGGCACAATGTCAGAAGCATTCAAAAAGAAGACCTATCTGATGCAGAACCCAAAATAAAGAGTGAAATTCTTTAGCATATATACAGGTATACCTCAGAGATATTGTGGGTTCAGATCCAGACCACCACAATAAAGCAAATATTGCAATAAAGTAAGTCACATAACTTTTTTGTTTCCCAGTGTATATAAAAGTTATATCTACACCACATTGTAGTTTATTAAGTGTGCAATAGCATCATGTCTTTAAAATGTACTTACTTTAATTAGAAATACTTTATTGCTAAAAAATGCAATCATCTGAGCCTTCAGCAAGCCACAATCTTCTTGCTGGTTAGAGAGTCTTGCCTCAACTTCCATGGCTGATAAGGGTGGTGGTTGCTCAAGGTTTGGGTGCTGTGGCAATTTCTTTTTCTTTCTCTTTCTCTTTCTCTTTCTTTTTCTTTTCTTTTCTTTTTTTTTTTTTTTTTTAGATGGAGTTTTGTTCTTGTTGCCCAGGCTGGAGTGCAATGGCATGGTCTCAGCTCACTGCAACCTCTGCCTTCTGGGTTCAAGTGATTCTCCCACCTCAGCTTCCCAAATAGCTGGGACTACAGGTGCCTGCCAACACACCCAGCTAATTTTTGTATTTTTAGTAGAGACGAGGTTTCACCAAGTTGGCCAGGATGGTCTCAAACTCCTGACCTCAGGTGACCCGCCTGCCTCAGCCTCCCAAAGTGCTGGAGTTACAGGTGTGAGCCACCTCACCTGGCCCAGCAATTTCTTAAAATAAGAAACAAATTTAGCATATCAATGGACTCTTTCTTTCACAAGATTTCTCTGTAGCATGTGATGAAATTTGATAGTTCCCACAGAACTTCTTTCAAAATTGAAGTAAATCCTTTCAAACCCTGCTGCTGCTTTATCAACTAAGTTTTTGAAATATTCTAAATCCTTTGCTGTCATTTCAAAAATGTTCACAGCATCTTCAGCAGTAGAATCCATCTCAAGAAGCCACTTTCTTTGCTTTTCAATAAGAAGCAACTCTTCCTTCATTGAAGTTTTATCATGAGATTGCAGCAAGCAGTCACATCTTCAGTCTCCACTTCTAATTCTAGTTATTTTGCTATTTCTACCCCATTTGCAGTTATTTATTTCACTGAAGTCTTAAACCATTCAAAGCCATCCATGAGGGTTGGAATCAACTTCTTCTGAACTGTTAATGTCAATATTTGGAGCTCCTCCCATGAATTATGAATGTTGTTAATAACATTTAGAGTGGTGAAACCTCTCCAGAAGGTTTTCAATTTACTTTGCCCAGGTCCATTAATGGAAACAGTGTCTATGGAAGCTATAGCCTTATGAGATGTATTTCTTAAATAACAAGATGTGGAAGTTAATATTACTCCTTGATCCATGGGCTACAGAATAGATGTTATGTTAGCTGGCATGAAAACCCATTAATCTCCTTGTACATCTCTACAAGAGGTTTTGGGTGACAAGGTGTATTGTCAATGAGCAATAATATTTTGAAAGGAATCTTTTTCTGAACAGTGGGTCTCAACAGTGGGCTTCAAATATTCAGTACCCATGTTGTAAACAGGTGTGTTGTCATCTAGGCTTTGTTTTTCAATTTATGGAACATGGGTAGAATAGATTTAGCATGATTCTTAAGGGCCCCAGAATTTTTGGAATGGCAGATGAGCACTAGCTTCAATTTGAAGTCATCAGCTGCATTAGCCCCTAATAAGACAGTCAGTCTGGCCTTAGAATCTTTGAAGCCAGGCATTGAATTCCCTCTAGATAGGAAAGTCCTAGACGGCATCCTGTTCAAATAGAAAGCTATTTTGCCTACATTAAAAATCTGTTGTTTGGGTAGCTACCCTCATCAATTATCTTAGCTAGATCTTCTGGATAGCCTCTGCGAACTTCCAACTTTTCATCTGCAGCTTCCTTACCTCTCTCAGCCTTCATAGAATTGAAGAGAGTTAGGGTTTGCTCTGGATTAACCTTTGACACAAGACAGTGCGGTGGCTTGTTTGACAATCTGTCCAGATCATTCCAAATTTCTCTATATCAGCAATAAGGTTGTGTTGCTTTATCATTCCTATGTTCACTGGAGTCGCACTTTTAATTAGCTTCAATAACTTTTCCTTTGCATCCACAACTTGGCTAACTGTTTGATGCAAGCGGACTAGCTTTTGGCCTACCTTGGCTTTTGACAAGCCTTCCTCACTAAGCCTAATCATTTCTAGTTTTTGATTTAAAGTAAGAGACATGTGACTCTTCCTTTCACTTGAAAATTACAGGCTATTGTAGGCTTACTTATTGGCCTAGTTTCAATATTATTGTGTCTCAGGGACTAGGAGGGCCCAACAAGAGTGAGATAAAGATGGAGAAGAGCCAGTCTGTGGAACAGTCAGAACACACAACATTTATTGATTAAATTTACCATCTTTATATGACTGTGGTTTGTGGCACTCCAAAACAATTACAACAGTAACACCAAAGGTTACTGATAATAGATCATCATAATCGATATGAAAATAATAAAAAAGTTTGAAATATTGTGATAATTACCAAAATGTGACACAGAGACATGAAGTGAGTGAGCACATGCTGTTGGAAAAATGGCACTAATAATTTTGCTCAAGGCAGGGTTGCCACAAACCTTCAATCTGTAAAAACGACAGTATCTGGGAAGTGCAACAGAGTTAACTACAATAAAATAAGGCATGATTGTACCTTTTCAGGATGTTGAAAAGGTCCAGAGCAGGGGGCAGGGCTGTGCCTGAGGATGGAAGTGTGCTATTTATGCACTGAGGCCTCCCCATAACCATTATCCTTTTCCTGGCCCTGCACTGTGCTGTAGGAGCCTGACCTCTGAATATGGTGTTGCTGGGAGGCATTGCTGGGAAGCATTGCTGGGATTCTCGTGTCCTGTAGCTTCAATTAAATTAGACCAATGGGAAGTAGGCAATGAGAATGAGGGAAGAAAGAGGTCAGGGTAGTTATTCCCCAGTGCCCTCCCAGTAAGAAGGAAGTTTTGGCAGTAGGTGTGTTCTTCTACCTATAGCCACAAATCCAGCCAAGAAGCCACACTACGATGACCATTCCTAGCTCTGCTCCCTGCCATGCCCCTTCAAGTGCCTTGTGTACAGCTTCCTTCTATTGCTAGTCCCTGGGTGCATCACCAGCCTGAGTTCATTGTCATATGCACACATCATGGCCTAATCCTGCCTACAACTTTACAAAGAGCATTTCCTTCTTTTAACTCTAAATTACTCCTTTGGGTGCATCATCTGCTTCCTCTGAAGTTCTGATGAATACACAGAACAAACATTTAGACCTGCCAATGTTATAATGTTTTCAAGAATTTAAAACCTTCAAGATCCTGATAGTATCTAATATTCATGTGATTCATGCCTTCCTTAAAAACGAGAATGAGTTACTATTAATATGATTCATCAAAATCATTTTACCTCTAAAAAACCCTAAATAAACACAGCAACTCAACTGTATCTATGCATCACTTCTGCTACCCCTTCCTCCAGAGTCCCAAGTTTACTACACTAGCAACCAAAATTGCTTTAGAATTCCCTGACAGCCAGAAACTCCAGATGATCCCAAACTAGGGAGAACATAATTCTCTAAAAGAGACTTATTAATTAAGGGTAAAATATTGCTGTGAATTTTCTGTAAATGTTATTCGTTATCTCCCCAATGATCCTCCCAAGGTAGTAAGATTTCTTTTTGTCTGATAGTCACTAAATAAAGGCCATAAAATGACAAAGTAATCTAAAACATAAAAATGTGTTATTATTAGTATATTTAAAATTACACTTATTATTATTAGCTAATCCTCACTGAAGGCTTTCAATATGCCAGTTACTGTTTTCTATGAATTGATTCAGTGAATCCTCAAAGTCTCCTTATGATATAGGTATTACAGTTATCCCTATTATACAGATGAGGAAACTGAGACATAGACATATCAAGTAATATGCCCAAAGTCACAATTCAGTACAAAGAGAAACTGGCACATTTATTTCTCAGTTGTTTCCTTATCATAAAACAGAAAATATCATTGAAATTTGTACAATTTAAAGTAATGCCTACATTTACTGTGCCATTTTTTGCTGTTACTGAAACCAACAGAGCTGGTGCTATAATGGGGGATCTGTTATGTTGAGATGTGGATCAGAATGAGAAAGCTTCCTGCTGGAGGATCACATAAATCCACAGAGTTAGGACAGGCAGCCAAGAAAAAGGCAGAGAGTGGGGAACCCAGGAAGACTCTCACCCACAAGGCAGAGATAGAACCTCAGGGGTACTAAATCAAAGCAGATAACAGAGGCTAAGAGAAATAAGGTGTATCTACTGAAAGGGCTGTGGTGAAGGCCAAGAGAAGTACTGCATATAGGAAAAACCTGCACCAGTAATCACTTAGTAAAAACTCTCAATTTCTAACTAGTTGCAGGGATGCCTAAAATCCACACTATGATGTATTATGTTTTCCAGGTTTGGGACATTTTATCTACATAAGCAGAAATGTTACATGACCACTTTCAGAAAAATTCCTTAAAAATAGCTGATGTGGGCCAGGCGTGGTGGCTTATGCATGTAATCCCAGCACCTTGGGAGGCAGAGGTGGGCAGATCACTTGAGGTCAGGAGTTCGAGACCAGCCTGACCAACATTGTGAAACCCCATCTCTACCAAAAATACAAAACTTAGCCGGACATGGTGGCACACGCCTGTACTCCCAGCTACTTGGGAGGCTGAGGCATGAGAATCACTTGAATCCGGGAGGCGGAGGCTGCAGTGAGCCAAGATGGCACCTCTGCACTCCAGCCTGGGTGACAGAGAGAGACCCTGTTTCAAAAAAAAATAGCAGATGCGCAATTTTTATTCTTTCCTTCCTCCTTCCTGCAGTCTGGAATGTGTGTGTAATAGTTGGAGCTTAAGCAGCTTCCTTGGACCACACGTTGGGAGGACTTTGCTGAAGGTAAATGGGGAAAGGAGCCAGTTTTCCTGGTATCTTAGTGGTAGCCCTATCAGCCCTGAACTGCTCCTCTCACATGGGAGATAATTGTATTTACAATACTGTTATTTTACATTTCCTGTCATTTATAGTCGATCTCATAGTCCTAACTGGTACAATGCATACAGCACTTAACACATTGACACTACCCATAGTATGCTACATTAATGTTAGCTCTTATTATTTTGCCATTATTAGGGCTGAGATAAAAAGCATTCATAAAAGCTCAGTTTTGCCAGTGGAGTGTGTGAGTTTGGATAACATGAGAAGAAAACTTCGGAGTGCTGAGGAGCTGGTTAGGCTACTTAAATAGACCTTTACTTAGGACTGCAATACTAATCTTTGTTCCTGTCTAAATCTTTGCAATTAATTTTTGTATATTGTTCCAAATGCTGTCAAGAATGCTTGGGCCAGTCAAAAAACATCTAAGCAATATATTTGACATACACCATAATTAAGATTTCTCAAAAATCTGTCTGGCAGCCAGAGCCCTGTCTGTGTTTGAGACATGAAATAAATGGACCCATAACCTTAGGGTGTTCCCAGGAGAGGAGAGAGAAAGGGGAGGGTTATTGTTCTCCCACAGTTATGCACAATGTTGTGAACAAACAAGGAATGCGCAAAGTTGCTGGCTTCTAATAACCATTTGTTTATATTTTCACTTCACATTTCACATTTTCAGTATAAAATGTAAGAGAACATATTTTTAAAAAGACCTTTACTTTTGAGCCTCCAGAGGGTAATGTCAGCATGCCAGACGTGTCTATGAAAGGAGACTTTAGGGAATGGTTAGACTGAAATAATGATTTGAACATTAAATAAATTTAAATTCAAGCTTTCCCTTTAGCGATTTCAGTTATTTAAAAGTTAAAATTAGTGCTATTTTATGGAAAATAGTTTCAAAAATCTGAGTTCCAGAGAGTACATTAAGTTCAATTTCAGGATGAGAGCAAAGTACAATGACTTATCTATTATCCAAAAGAATACAAATATTGAGTATCATACAAAGTTCTAGGATTAAAAAAACAAAGAAATGAAATAAAAAACACCAAAGGGAAATTATTAGAGATCTTAAATTCACCTATAAGATTTTATTCATTAGTCTAGAAGTAATAACATCAAATTCCACTGAAATTTAATATTTTCAGTAACTTTTCAAATTTTATTGTTATTACATTATTTTAATTTTTTATTTTTAACTTTTATTTTAGCTTCAGGGGTACACATGAAGGTCTGTTATATAGGTAAATTGCTTGTCATAAGGGATGGATGTACAGATTATTTCACCACTCAGGTAATAAACATAGTACCCAATGGGTAGTTTTTTCTTCTCACCCTCCTCTCTCCCTTCACCCTTAAGTAGGTCCCATTGTCTATTTTTCCCCTCTTTTTTCCATGTGTACTTAATGTTTAGCTCCCACTTATAAGTGAGAATATGCAGTATTTGCTTTCCTGTTCCCGTGTTAGTTCGCTTAGGATAATGGCCTCCAGCTCCATCCATGTTGATGCAAAGGATGTGATCTTGTCCTTTTTTTTGGCTGCATAGCATTCCATACCATAACTTTTAAAATTCTTTATCAAATGGTAATATATGTTCATTTTGGAGAACTTAGAAACTATTGTTTAGCCAAACAAAGAAAGATCACGAATTAGCTATTATAAATAATTGTGTATATGTCCTTCTACACTTTTCTCTTTGCATATATGTGTGTGAACATTTTTTAGAAGAATCTTATAGTGTATGTGCTGTTTTTCTCTGTTTTGTAATTGATCCTTCTCCTAAAACATCACTTTGAATGACTGCATATTATTCCATTTTATGCTTGTATCACAACTTATTTAAACCCTTTTGTTATAAATTAAAGTTGCTACTTTTTTTTAGGTTTATCTGTGCTTCTTTATTATTATTTTAGTATTAGCCATAGAAGTAGAATGGTGTGGTCAAAGACAATGCAAAATCCTAAGCATCTGATTAGCATAACCAAACTGCCTACATAAATATGCCTACTAACATCAGGCCAGTAGTATGAGAGAATGTCTGTTTCATTCCACTTTCCAAACACTGATATATCTGTGATAGACAGACAAAGAGGTAGGAAAAAATAGACATATATATATTTTAGCCAATATAATAGTGAAAAATATGTCATTGTTTCCATTCATATTTTTTAGATTTTTCAATCAGGTTAATGTACATTATATAATATATAAATATAATTTTCTTAGCCATTTCTATTTTGTAACGTGTATATCTCTTTATTCATTTTCTACTTTTTAAAACCTTAAAATTGATTCATAACAGTGATTTATGTATCAATAATATGCTAGAATATTTTTTCCTGATTATGGTTTAAGTTAAAATTTTTTAAAAAATTATGTATATTATATTATTTGTAAGTTTACTTTTCTTTGTAATTAAATATATAGCTATTTTTCTTTTGAGCTGTTCATGTTAATTTAAGAATGCTATTTCCATTGACTTTATAGTCATAGGTATTTTTTCTAACTTTTAGTGTCTTAGTTATTTCCAAAATATTTTAATCCATTAAATTTTATTCTGTCTATGGTAAGAGGAGGTAAAAATCTACCTTTATTTCATTAAAATAAAAGATTATCCAGTTGTTTCAGTAACACTTTTCCAATGCCTCATCTTTTTCCTACTGAGATAAAAATGCCATTTTATCATATATTAATTATGTTACATTGATTTTATGTCTAACCCTGCAACCACAGTTTTAATGGGGGTTATTGGGGCTTTAGAATATAGTTAATATCTGACAAAGCAAAAGCTCTTTCATTAATTTTACATTATTTTAATTAATATTTTTCTTTACAAAAACATTATACTTATTTTTCAAATTTAGAAAATGAATATAAGTAAAATAAAATGAAATAACTACCACCTAGAGATAACTATGGTTAAAACTCAAGTATATGCCTTACCAGTGATTTGTCAATGCAAAGGTACTTATCCTACCTGATTTACATTTAACATAATCAGTTACTTACTGAACATCATTATATTAAGCTTGAAGACCAGAACTAGGTGGGCTGTGCAGCTGGTTGCTTTGTTTATCCTGACTATGTGATATCACAGTGATAAAAGTAAGAAGGGCTCTACTAAAGTTAATGCTGATGGTTTTAGAAAAAGGAAAATGGGGCCGGGCGCAGTGTCTCAGGCCTGTAATTCCAGCACTTTGGGAGGCCGAGGTGGGCGGATCACGAGGTCAGGAGATCGAGACCATTCTGGCTAACACGGTGAAACCCCGTCTCCACTAAAAATACAAAAAATTAGGCAGGCGTGGTGGCGGGCGCCCGTAGTCCCAGCTACTCGGGAGGCTGAGGCAGGAGAATGGCGGGAACCCGGGAGGTGGAGCTTGTAGTGAGCCGAGATCGCGCCACCGCACTCCAGCAGGTGCTACAGAGCAAGACTCTGTCACAAAAAAAAAAAAAAAAAGAAAAAAGAAAAAGGAAAATGGACTAATGTTAAACACAGGCTGAATCTGCTCAATGTTTAGTTTTATTCCCAGCCAAACACTTAATAGCTATTTAAAATTCACTTTTATTATCAAAATTCTGTCTATAACATATATATCATATATTTCATAATTTATATCATACATTTTCAGAAACATATACACCATATATTTTAGGAAATATATGATATATATTTCTTATCACAGTAGACTATGGCATGTGTTTTTGCTTTATACCTTACATTTGTTCATACAAAAATCTATCTTAAACACAGGTATATGACATAAATATTTTCTACAACATGATTGTAGAAATTATACAAATTTTAATGACTTCATTTTATTTTGTTTTGTTTTATTTTATTTATTTTTTATTTTACTTTAAGTTCTGGGATACATGTGCAGAACGTACAGGTTTGTTACATAGGTATATGTGCCATGGTGGTTTGCACGTATGCCCCAAAATTCATTTAATCATTTGATTTTTTTTACTTTCAGATGTTGCCAACTTTTTTTGCTCTTAAAAATAAGATCACAATTAATATACCTAAGCTAAATCTCCGCATATATATTTGATTGCTTCCTTAAAAGAATGGATCTTTAGCTGCTGCCTAAATCAAACGGTAAGCAAATTCTAGATCTTTTATTTCACTAAGCTCAGTTACACTTTCTTTCCTTCCATCTCTTTCTTACCAAAATCCATAACACTTTGCCTGCCTTTATTCCTCCTGCTGAACTTTAGCATCATTTAGAGAATTGTAACAATTACCTAGTAGATGTTTTGATTAAAATCATGTTAAATTTATTAGTTCATTAAGAAAGAGCTTATTTCTATAAATTTTGCCTTTCTACCCAAAAAGTATCTTCCTCACCCACCCAAAGGCACTATATTCTAGTGACATTTTAAAAACCTGATCATTTGTAAGTAGGGTGGAACATGAATATTCAGTCAATTTAAAGACATTTTAGTTGATTTAATTACTTTAGAAAGAAAGAGAGAAAAGGATATTGCGATGATCTTTTGATGTGTCGGCTTGGCTAGGCTACAGTCCCATTATTCAGTCAAATACTAATCTAGGTGTTGCTGCGAAGATAGTTTGCAGATGTAATTAAAGTCTATAATCAGTTGATTTTTAAGTAAGGGAGGTGATCCCATATAATCTGGGTGTTCTGATTCAATCAGTTGAAGGGCCTTTTAAGCAGGGTTGAGGCTTCCCTGTGGGCAGCAGTTTCAGTCCACGCCTGAGAGGCCCAGTCTGCCCTTCTTGTCCTGCCACATAGACATCAGGCTTGCCTTCCCAGGCCCCACAATCTCTTAAATTGATTCCTTACAATCAAGCTCTTAAACTACATACCTCCTACTGATTCTGTTTCTTTTGTTGAATCCTGACACACAGAAAAAGATTTACTTTTTAGAACTTAGAAAATATCCATAATCCAAGACAATTAAGCCAATTTAAAATATTAGTCTGGCATTTAAAAATGAAGAAGCACTTTTGTGAGACTCTTATCCAACTAGAGGCATCTCTTTCACCTGAGTTCCTGTCCTAGCCTGCTCCCTGTTTTTTATACTGTTCTTTCATTCTTGTAGCACACTTCCTCCAGGGTAATCCATACACTGGGCTTTCCACTGAGCTCTGGGGTGTACAGATGAGTAAAGCATAGGGTTGATTGTACAGAAGCCACAGACTAATAGGAGCAAACTGAAATATGAACAGATAAATTTTAATCCAGCATAATAATAAAAATTATTATTGAAAAAGGGGTCATAAGGTGATGAAGATACATATAGATTTTAAGAACAGGCAAACTTAGTTCTTAGTGTTAGAAATTAGGAATGTGGTTATATTTATAAAAACAGAGAGGACAGTGACTGCAAAGAGGCACACCAGGACTTTCTAGAAAGCTGGCAGCATTTTATTTATTTATTTATTTATTTTTTATTTTTTATTTTTTTTGAGACAGAGTCTCAGTCTGTCGCCCAGCCTGGAGTGCAGTGGCGCAATCTTGGCTCACTGCAAGCTCCGCCTCCCGGGTTCACGCCATTCTACTGCCTCAGCCTCCCGAGTAGCTGGGACTACAGGCGCCCGCCACCACACCTGGCTAATTTTTTTTATATTTTTAGTAGAGACGGGGTTTCACCACGTTAGCCAGGATGGTCTCGATCTCCTGACCTCATGATCCACCCACCTCGGCCTCCTAAGGTGCTGGGATTACAGGCCTGAGCCACTGCACCAGCATTTTATTTCTTGATTAAGTGGTGGCTACATGGTTGTATTCACTTTGTTATAGTTCATCAAGCTGTGCACTTAAGATTTTAGTTCATATTGTGTATGTGTGTTATAAGTGAACAAAGGGATTTTTTTCATAAAGCAAAACCATTCTAAACAACAAAATGTAAGTAATCACACCTCAAGTAAGGAGCCCCCTGTCATACTTAAGCCAAATTAAATACTTCTTCCTTCAGAGCATCAGCCACTGTTCTAGAATTATGTGCTAACATTCTGGGGTCTGTGGCTAGACTGTGAGCTTCGGAGGGATGGGGACCATATCTCATTTAATTCTCTAGTGCTTCAAACATGACATGGAAAATGATTACTTATTGTTTAAATAAAAAACAATTTTTAGGCCGGGCGCCGTGGCTCTTACCTGTAATCCCAGCACTTTGGGAGGCAAACGCAGGCAGATCATGAGGTCAAGAGATCGAGACCATCCTAGCAAACATGGTAAAGCCCCATCTCTACTAAAAATACAAAAATTAGCTGGGCGTGGTGGGACGCGCCTGTAGTCCCAGCTACTCAGGAGGCTGAGGCAGGAGAATCGCTTGAACCTGGGAGGTGGAGGTTGCAGTGAGCAGAGAACGTGCCACCGCACTTTAGCCTGGCAACAGAGCGAGACTCCATCTCAAAAATAAATAAATAAATAAATAACAATGTTTAAAATACAAAAAGAAAAGAAAAGAAAAAAAGGCTAGGGAATAACCAAGCAGCCATGAGGTTATGAGAGAATGAGGAAAGGACCTTCTCCTGTTTCTTTGGTGAGGTTCATTGCAATCTCAAAAAAAGACTACTATTCCTAAACCTGTCAGTGACACTGCTGGGTGTCTACCAGAAGCTCTCACGCCTGTTTGGTAAGCACAGCTAAACATACAAAGTTTTATCCTGTACCACTATATCCTACCTCCTGTCTTTTAAATCCTTGAAGGATTTTCATTCATTGGTGAACTTCTTTATGCAAATATTCCTCTTTGGAAAATTCTATTCATTGTTGTTGAAAAATAAACAACATGTTTTGCTCTCCACTGATTTCTGCATGTCAAGCATCAAGTGTGAGTGACAGGTTTTAGATTTAACAAATCGTTCTGAGTGCATCAGCCTTTGCTGCAGTTATGCGAGTTTCATATTCATCACACATCTCCAAAATACTTCCCTGCTTAGTAAAACACTCTGAGGTATAGTATATGAAAAGCACTATATAATCCCCAGCAGAGTGCAGAATGAAAAATCCTGTATTTAAAGATTAATGATTCTTTTAGCTGCACAACTGACTTATGGAACTGTCTATTTTTTAAGTATGGAGCTATGACTGAGATGCTTATATTAAACAGATAGAAAAGGTCTTAACTGAGATCGCTACTGAGCAGGAAAAGCATCCAGTTTCCTGCTCAGTAGCGATTTACTTGCACCATATAGGACTTGGAATCATGAATTCTAATGAGAACAAATTCACATCTGGTCAAATCTCAATTATCTGAATGTGGCTTATCCACTCTGCTGAGTATCTATAGAAGCACAAAATTTAAACTGTTATTTTCTCTGCCATCCTACTTGCTTCTCAGCTGCCTCTGTCCTACCACCAGCTGTTATACAGTTAGGAATTAAAAATAATCTTAATGTTAGCATAACCAAAATGTTAACTATCACAGAGCAAAATTCATATATAATGCAACAAACCCGACTAACCATTTTTTTTAGACTATCTAGGACTGGTTTTCTCCATTGTAGTTGACTATTGAGATTTAACCATATCTCTAAGTCTAGTTCTTATCTTCAAAATACTGCAATGTTCACCTGGTTTTTTTTTTCAACATTAAAAACTTGCATTAAGCAGACTTTCAGAGTCACAGGTGGCTTAAACACATTAATAAATCCATGTTTTTCTCAAAATAAGTTTTGTATATGACTCACACACAAAATTTACAAGAAGGAAAACAAAACAAAACAAAAATTCAGACTTTTAGCATTATAACAAAAACTATGCTGGAATGTGCCTGTTGAAAGGAAACCACTGTGGGTAATTTATTAGGAAAAACAATTGGAGTCTAATATAGCATGAATCTCAGCCAAAAATTTAGGAATTATATACAGGAACTAACTATTGATACATGCAGCAAATTGGATGAATCTCAAATGTATTATGCCAAGTGAAAGAAGCCAGACTCAAAAGGCTATACACTGTCTGATTACATTTATTGTGACATTCTGGAAAGAGAAGGACAATAGAGATAAGGAACAAATCAGTGTTTGCCAGGATTAGGGCTGGGAATAAAAATTGATTGCAAAGATGAAGCATGAAGGAATTTTTGTGCATGTATGTTTGTGATGGAAAGGTAACAGGATTGTCATTGTGGTTACAGTATTTTATGCATTTTTCAAACTTATGAAACTGTATACCAAAAAGGGTAAATTTTATATAAATTTTAAAATAAAATGTTAAAGTTTGTGATTGAATCAGGAAGAAAAATATGATAAAATATTATTATCACAACGAAATCACTCAAAAGTTCAGCTCAGTCAAATCATATTGTTGAATGGAAACAATTCCTACTAAGAGTCTTACAAACAGTAGCAATCCCAACAGTCCCTGAAACAATTCTAAACTTAGTCAAATATAGATGTGAGCACAGGAAGATAATTTCTATACACTGAGCTATGTCAAGTATATTTTCTCAACCAGGTGAAAATAAATACATCCCAAATAAACTCAAGTGTTCTCTAAGTGTTTAAGAAAGAAATATCACTGTTCTTGCTTATGCCATGTCTACACTTTTTGGTTTCATGTAATCTCTGATCTCTTTCTTTCTAGCTTCATACTCTTCTAGACTTCCACTTAAGAAGAGCGAATCAATATATCTTCTATCATGTCTGAAATCTTAGTTCCCAAGTTTTATGCCTCTGTACCAGCATTTCTCAAAATGTGGTCCAAAGCAGAGAAATTAGAGTAATTTACTCTGGTAGACCAAATAATGGCTCTTCAAAGAGATTAATGTCCTGATTCCCTGGAACCCATGAATAGGTTCCATTATTTGGCAAAAGGTATTTTGCAGATGTAACTAGGGTTACAGATCCCAAAATAAAGAGATTAGCCTCAAATATCCAGGTGGGCCCAGTCTAACCACATGAATAAGTGGAGAGCTTTCTCCAGGTAAGAGCAGGATAGTTGAGGTAGAAGTCAAAGAGATAGGAAGCATGAAATGAACTCAAATCTCCATTGCTGGCTTTGAAGAAGAAGGAGGCCATGAGCCAAGAAATGAAAGATGCTTCTAGCCTCTAAGAATGACCTCCAGCCAACAGCCAGCAAGGAAACATAGACTTGGTCCTATAGACACATGGAAGTGAATTCTGCAAATGACCTGAATGAACCTGAAAGTGGATTCTCCCCTAGAAGCCCCAGAGAGGATCCCAGGTGGTAGGCATCTTAATCTCAGTCTTGTGACATTCTAAGCAAAAGAATCAGTTGAGGAGATAGATCTGTGATGCACAAAAATTATGAGATAATAAATTTGTGTTGTTGAAAACTGCTAAATCTGTGGTAATTTGCTACAGTGGCAACAGAAGACTAATACACCTCATGAATCATAATTGTTAAGGGTGATACCTGAGAGTTTATATGGAAATTCTTATGCATACTCCATTTGGTAATCTCTTTTCTTCATCTTCCTCCTCAAATGCATTTCATATTAACAAGTCAGACCCAAACCATCATCCTCTCTATCTGGAAAGTCTAATGTCATTGGTCATCTAGTCTTTGATTGCTCTTTAACTGGGCACCCTCTTAACACTTACATAATTAAACTGTAGAATATTAATTGCATTAGTTATTATATTCTATTATAAAAATTCATTGTAATTATTTACATTTGTAGTATATACCCACAGATTCTAATTCTATGGTTTAAACTTCTGGAAGATAAAAGTTGTTTTCTATTTCTCCTGAGAACTATTACAAAGTACTTGATTTAATGATAGAATTTTATGGAAAAGGTAAAATACCTGATATGACTAAGAAGTTTCAAAGAAATAGAGCAATTCTCAACATCAGAGAGTGTTTAGGGAAGGATGTGAATGACTCCTGAGATGCAACATGAGCTGGAGGTGACCTTGGTGATTCTACCACAGACCAGGTGCTGGCCCTCATCTTTGCAAATGAAAACTGAATTTTGTCAGTATGCTGAGTGTCTCATTTCTTAAAAGAATGGGCTAGTCCTATCAAGCTCACAAAGGCTGAGGTAGAAGACCAGATGTTAATGTATTATTTTGGAATGGTATCAATGTCAAACAGAAAATGGTCTTGATCCTTTGATAAGCTACACAGAACAACTATTTGGTGAGCTCATACTCAAAACAGGAGGATTTTAGTATATTACTGAAATGTGTATTCTGGTTTTGATAAATTGATTTATTCATCTCTACAACAGACATGTAGAAATATCTGATGGAAATACCTAGTTGGAAAGTTAATAGTTTTGCCAGTTTGATTTTTTTCTCAATCCTGATTGTGATTAATACATACTATCACTATGAATGTTAATACTACCCATCAAGTTTTGCCCAAAGGCTACTTTGTCTCATGTTAACTTTGTATATCCCTGCTCTATTCATTTTGTCTAGATTTTACCATATAACTGTCAGTGGAAGATTTTATTTATAATTTCATGGGAAAAGTGACTTGATATAGTTTTGGGTGTCCCCTCCAAATCTCATGTTGAGAGGTGATCCCCAGTGTTGGAGGTGGGGCTTGGTGGGAGGTGTTTAGATCATAGGGGTGGATCCCTTGTGGCTTCTTGCTGTCCTTGCAATAGTGAATGAGTTACTCACAAGATCTGGTTGTTTAAAAGTGTGCGGCACTTCTATGCCCCCTATTCTCTCTTTGGCTCCTGCTTTAGTCATGTGACATGCTGGCTCCCTCTTTGCCTGCTGCTATGAGTAAAAACTCCCTGAGGCCTCCCTAGAAGCTGAGCAGATGCTAGTACCATGCTTCCTGTACAGCCTGCAGAACCATGAGCCAATTAAGCCTCTTCTCTTTATAGACTATCCAGTCTCAGTTATTTTGTTACAGCAATGCAAGAATGGCCTAATACAGAAAATTGGTACCAGGAGTAAGATATTGCTATAAAGATACTTGAAAATCTGGAAGCAGCTTTGGAACTGAGTGGCAGGCAGAGGTTGGAAGGGTTTGGAGGGCTCGAAGGACAGGAAGATGAGGGAAGCCTTGAAACTTTTTAGAGACTAGTTAAATGCTTGTGACTGAATTCTGATAGTTATTTGGACAATAAAATCCAGGCTGCCAAGGTCTCAGATGGAAATGAGGAACTTATTGGGAACTAGAGGAAAGGCCACCCATGTTATGCCTTAGCAGAGGGCTTGGCTGCATTGTGTTCATGTCCTATGGATCTGTGGAAGTTTAAACTTCAGAGTAATAATTTAAGGTATCTGGCGGAAGAAATGTCTAAGGAGCAAAGCATTCAAGCTGTAGCCTGACTGCTTTTAAAAGCCCAACTTCGATACAGGAGCAAATATATAACTTAAAGTTGGAATTTATATTTAAACAGGAAGCAGAGCAAAATATTTGTAAAATTTGCAGCCTGGCCATGTGACAGAGAAAGAAAAAGCTTTTTTGAAATAGGAATACAAGCAGGCTGTGGAGCAATCACTTGTTAGAGAGATTTGCATAATTAAGAAGGAGCTGAGTGCCAATAGCCAAGAATATGGAAAAAGTGCCTCAAAGGCATTTCAGAGATCTTCTAGGCAGGCTTCTGCCTGGGCACCCAGGCTTTTCCATACATCCTCTGAAATCTAGGTGGAGGCCACCAAGCCTTCTTCACTCTTGCACTCTGTGTGCCTACTACCAGTATGATCACAAAGGTCCAGGACGATTGATTGGTTTCAGGGGCCAGTCCCAAGTCACAACTGCCCTGTGCCACCCTAGGAGGTTGCTCCTCACATCCTGGCAGATCTGGCCCCAGTCTTGGCTCAAAGGGCTCCAGATACAGCTTAGGCCGCTGCTTCAGAGGGTGCGAGCCATAAACCTTCATGGTTTCCACATGGTTTTAAGTCTGTAGGAGAGCAAGAGTGAAGAAGGCTTGGTAGTCTCCACCTAGACATCAGAGGATGCATGGAAAAGCCTGGGTGCCCAGGCAGAAGCTTGCTACAGAAAAAGAGCCCTCACAGAGATATTCTACTAAGGCAGTGTGAAAGGAAAATATGAGGTTGGAGGCCCCACACAGAGTCCCCACTGGTGTACTAACAGAGTTGTGAGAAGAGGGTGGTGGGGCTGAACCCTACAAAGCCACAGAGGCAGAGTTGCCCAAGGCCTTGGGAGCCTACCCTTGCTGCAGTGTGCCCTAAATATGGGACATGGAGTCAAAGGAGATTATTTTGGAGCCTTAAGATTTAATGACTGCCTTGATGGGTTTCAAACTTGCATGGGGCCTATAGCCCCATTCTTTTGGCTGATTTCTCTCTTTTGGAATGGGAATGTTTACCCAATGCCTGTACCCACATTGCATCTTGGAAGGAAATAACTTGTTTTGATTTTACAGCTCATAGGTGAAAGGAACTCATTTCAGTTGAGATTTTGGAATTCAGACTTGGGACTTTTGAGTTAATGTTGGAATGAGTTAAGGCTTTAGGGGACTATTGAGATGATTATATTTTGCAGTGTGAGAAGGATTTGGGATTTGGGGAGCCAGGGGTGTAATAATATAGTTTGGATATCACCCCCAAATCTCATGTTGAGATGTAGTTCTCCAGTGTTGGAGGTGAGGACTGGTGGGAGGTATTTGGGTCATAGGGGCAGATCCCTCATTGCTTGGTACTATCCTCATGATAATGAATGAGTTCTCACAAGATCTGGTTGCTTAAAAATGTGTGGTACCCCCCATACCCTCTTGTTCCTGCTTTCACCATGTGATGTGCTGGCTCCCGCTTTGCCTCCTGCCATCAGTAAAATCTCCCTGATGCCTCCCCAGAAGCCAAGCAGATGCCAGCAGCCTCCAGTATTTCTCAGGTATTTCTTTATAGCAGTGCAAGAATGGTCTAATACATGACCTAATTGTCAATACCATGTATTCTCTGATGTATTAAACAGACAAACAAAAATCACAAGGAATTGAACCAAAAAATAATTTGATTTATAAGACAATTTAAAAATATGGTCTTATTATTAACTCAGACTTTTTGTTGTTGTAGTTTTGGTTCAAAATATCTATCTCTTATTATTTTAACTTGATTTGAAACGTTGTACTCATTTCAAAATTACTTTTGCTTATCCAAATTGTGTTCTCTTGACAAGCCTGATGATTTTGAACCTTTCACTTTCATAGAGATATTACAAATGTCTGTTATGCATATCTCATACCTAAAGACACAAATACCTTGGCAATATAGAAAAGGAAAGAATAAATTATCATTTTTGGTATTTTAGAAAATTCTTCTTTCTCCAAAATCTACCTGAATTCTTTATTTTTTTGAGACAACAATAATTAGGATAAACAAACATCAGGTAGGTATGTTATTTGTAATACTCGGAAAAAATATAAGCAAGCATTTTACAGAAGATAAAATGGAAGCTCGGAGATAGTAACTTTCCCAAGGGTACACAGTTGTCCAAATAGAGACTTTTGTTTGTTTGTTTGTTTGTTTTTGAGATGGAGTCTCACTCTGTCGCCCAGGCTGGAGTGTAGTGGCACGATCTCGGCTCACTGCAAGCTCCGCCTCCCAGGTTCATGCCATTCTCCTGCCTCAGCCTCCCAAGTAGCTGGGACTACAGGCGCCCGCCACCATGCCTGGCTAATTTTTTGTATTTTTTAGTACAGACGGGGTTTCATCGTGTTAGCCAGGATGGTCTTGATCTCCTGACCTCGTGATCCGCCCCTCTCGGCCTCCGAAAGTGCTGGGATTACAGGTGTGAGCCACTGCGCCCAGCCCATATAGAGATTTTAACTCCAGTGTTTCTGACCTAAAATCTCCCTGTCTTTGGCCAGTAGTACTCCATGCTGTGTCAGAATTCCAAGAACCTCTTAATACACAACACCGAGAGGTATAGTAACTTGTAATCTATGATTACAGATTGTAGTAACTATCATTCTATAATTATACATTTTTTTTTAGTTGAAAGGGGCCTCAGGCATCACCTTCCCGCCTACATCTCTGAAAGACATCTCTGTAAGCGAATAGTTATCTGGAAAAAAAATCTCATCAGCACAGCAATATGATTCCATTGCTCTGGTTTCATTTTGGGGCAAGTCTATTCGCAAATATATATATTCAACCAAGTGAAAGTCTGTCTCTGGAACATCCACCTGTTAGTCTCCTGGTTTGCCCTCAGGAGTTACACAGACTAAATTGGCTCCCTCTTTCTTTATATCAATAGTTTTAATTAGATACACCTCAATTTCTCTATCTCTTCAACTATAATGAATATGAAATTATTTTCCTTCTCTGCAGTCTTATTTAAATGTGAGATCCACTATGGAACATTCCACTGCTAGGATAGTCTGCTAAGTGCAGATGTCAATGAAAAAACTACTCCAAGACTATTGTTATAATCCAAATCACACCACTCTTCTTACCATCTATGTCACACAATTTGCCCATATTAAATTTGTGCTCAATATATGACTCTAAATGCATACCTTTATGTTTCTCTCTTAAATGCCATTTTTTTTGTACTTGTCAGCCCACAATTAAGGCCCTTAAAAATTATAGGAGTTATTTGCATGATAGTGCAGGATTACAAAAATGACTGCATGATGAAACTGTGCAAAGTAGTCTTAATAATCAGTGGAAAAAATGCAATTGTTCCATGACCTTTACATTTTTTTGTCAAAACATTAAAATCTTCATATTGTTAGATATAAATAGGAATGTATAAGAAAATGTAAGATAGTTAAACTAATATTTATTTAGTACATGAACTTTAAACATTGGGAACATTGAGAATTAAAAAAATAATTTTTAGTAAAAACTTTAACAGATCTTGCCTTCTTATTGTATAATTTACAATGCAGAGTTATTGTCTATGCTTTGGCAGATTGTCATATAGACTAAGTTTGGATCTGCTTCCAACACTTTATCTTTTGTGCTTTCAATGTTGTGAAATATCTGAGAGTTCCTTTAAAATGAAGTATTTGTCAGTATCACTTCCTCAGGGCTGTCATCCTTTTTGTCACTTCCCTTAATTGTCAGTAAGTTCACCTTCATTAAATTTCCATGGCTGCGTGCTAGAGTCTCCAACAGTGGCAGTGCCAACCTTCCCATGGTGAGCTATTTCTTTCATAACTCCATTTATGTTTGATTTAAATTTCACTTCTAGCACTATTATTCATCATTTATT
Organism: Homo sapiens; assembly: GCF_000001405.40. Classification (NCBI taxonomy): domain Eukaryota; kingdom Metazoa; phylum Chordata; class Mammalia; order Primates; family Hominidae; genus Homo; species Homo sapiens. The sequence continues at coordinate 79,113,376 of NC_000007.14, forward strand.
TGGTGCACTTTCATTTTTGTTGGTTATACCGTCTGATTACCCATTTTCATAAATTGTCACACGGGTTTGTCATGGAGAGACCAGAAGGCAACACAACTCTAAGTTTTGCTGTCTGTACTTAAACTGAATAACAGATGCAAAGTGATCAGTCACTGACAGACTTTGAAAGATGTGATATGATTGGTCACTGATCAAGATGTTCATCTGTTACTTATTTAGTGATCTGTGAACTCAAGAGCTACTAGCAAAGTTTTTACTTTGTGCAATTAGTCACATCTTATAGAGCATGATAAAATGAACTGTGTTCTTGAGCAACTAGTTCTATTTAACTAAACCATGGTAACTGAAATTTGTGCACATTGTGCCAAGTGAAGATTGCGTGTATTCTGCTACCCAGGGCAGTGCTAATAATAATCTCCTCCTATTACACACGCTTACACACACACACACACACACACACACTCCTTTCAACCTTCATTCATCAGGGAACTTACCTTAATGTCAGACTTGACTATTTCTATCTTGAATTATATTACCTTTCAGAGGCCCTGACCATGGAACAGTATATGTCTTTTTCTGAATCATTTGAGCAATTTCATTTTCTAATGTGTAATGTTCAGGTGTTATGTGCATTCCCTGCTTTTACATACAGTTTGTTCACATGTAGTTGTATTTATTTTATTAGCAAGCATGTAGAGTCATCCAAACTGGGATTGCCATTCTAGATTTCCTACTTCAGTAAAAATGGGGTCTAAAATCAAGCCTGCTGAGACTTCTCCAGGTTAAGTGTTACTAAAGACTCTAATATCCTGCATTTCACCCTGTATTTAATAGAGCCACCTAGGGATTCCTTCCTTGTCCTTCCTTATTGTCTTAGATTAGAACACTTTCCTCCTTACTCTATGAAGGATATTGTCTTGCAGGTTGATCTCTTTAATGGATATTGGACCAGACTCCAAAATACCAGCTGAATGTTACAGGCTTACCAAGAGTCAGGGTGGTAGATGTCTCATGATCAATATCTCTGAACTATAAGGCAAAGTTACAGTGCCTCCTGGTTTTAACAGAGGATGTTTTCAGAGGCTGAAATTGGAAGGGATTTGTGAATTGTGGCAAGCTTCAATTTAATCATTTTGTCTGCTCAGAAAATACCCCCATTTGAGAGAGAAAGAACAGTTAGCTGCCATAGCTTCTACCGTGATCAAGTGAATGTCATAGTATCAATCAAATCTACCAACATTCTGTAAGCATGCTTGACTGTCACTTTAAGTTATTACAGGACACACAGAGCCCCCCCATTACCAAGAAAGGAATCCAGGTACTCATGATACATACCATTTGGATTTTTATCATCCATTGCAAGTGACCACAGAAAATACTCTCACTTTGAGCTAAGTAATTATTCTCACCACCACACTGCTTGTTAGTGGCAAAGTGGAGTCTGAAGCCAAGATCTGCTACCTCCCATTCCAATAATCTCTTCTCATTATTCTAAATAATGCTTTCAGGTTTGTTGACAGTAGCTACTTGGTCTAAATTGTTGTTTTGTTGATATATGGGTCTTTTCTTCCCCGAAGGCATCTTAATTGCTTCCCGTTTTTATTAACTTGGTGTATATGACTTTCATCAAAGCACTTAACTATGTAAACCATCGTCCTGCTCTCCTGAAAGCCAGGAGGAGGGCAGCTCTACTTTGAATCTGCCTTAGCAATGCTGAATGTGCAAGAGGATCGGGGGAGGAAGGATAGGTTTGCATCTGCTCCTGAAATGTTCATGACCTTTGCAATAGAATTCCTGGGCCAGAAAACCTGTCTACCTTAAGAGAAAACCTTAGAAATACATTTCACAGATAGATGCTTTGGGACCAGAGAAAGGGAAAGGAATATTCACAGGTAGAATTCAAACTGGTGACAGACAAGATAAACTCTAAAGTCATATTCACATTACCAAAGGAAAAATTTAAAACAGAAATTCAATATTTAGCATTATTTTTATATATGCCTTAATTATTGTCTGAAATAGAAGGTGCTCTGTTCTTTAGTCACAAGCCTATCAATTAACTGTCTTAAATTAATTGTTAGAAGATATAGTTATAATTTTACTTATAAAATAACAGGATCTTGTCACTAGTTTCATTATGCTCAGAAAAATCTGCTCCTATCTGGTGGCAGCATTTCCTGAGGGTATTCAGTTGGCAAACTTAGCCAGACTTAATAAACTGGCTGGGAATTGTCAGGTAATTTCCTTAAAATTAAGCATGATGAATAACCATTTCATGTATGGTCTGTTCTGAGCTCTTTAGCTGGTGAAATAAAAATAGACTCCTAATAGATTTTTTTTAATCCAAATTTTACCAAACTCATTTAGAGTGAATTTTATAAAATGTGGAATAAATTTTATGAGGATTCTAAGCAGTATAGCCATTTTGGTTATTAAAATTAATTTAAAATGTCTCTGAATTATTCTAAATGTTTTAAAGTTTTTTTTTTTTTTTTTTTTTTTTTTTTAAAGAAACAACATTACTGGAAAATGAAGAAGGATCTACTTGCAGGTCTTAACATAAAACACCATTTTCCAGATTGTCTTTCAGACTCTCCTATCCCAAATTATTCTGCATCCCATCAGCAAGGGACATTTTCTACAGAACCACTCAGCAGCGAGGCAGACAAGAGGTTGAGGCTAAAAGAATCCAAGACAAAAACCAGCTGCTGCAGACAAGGTAGAGGAAGAGAACAGACTAGGTGAGCTAAAGATTGAAGGGACACTCATCTTTTCCGTCAGTGTTTTAGTAATCATTTGATTCTCCTCAACTATTTGGAAATAGATATTCAGCTTCTCTTTTCTTTCTTACAAGATTCCCTTAGTTAAAAGTGGCTAAGGCTCCCATAACATCTCATCCCCTTAGCAGAATATCCAAGGTCCATCACATTATTGGACCCTCTAGCACATGTTGCTTATACTTGTTATGGTGAAGCCTGTGCATCAGCAAGTCAGGGAATGTACTATCCCCATTTCCTATTTGATAGGCTATTACTCACAACTCAAGTGTCAGGAAACTTTTCTGTTAAACTTTCAGGATCCTTCCTGGGAGGCCTATTGCTCCTTTCTCTAGGGTACAACAGCCTGTTGTTCACACAGCTCTGCTAGGACTTATCACCTTGCCATAATTACCTACAGCTCCATTAGACTGTGCACACCTTCACCTTGGTATTCCAGGGATGTGGTTTGGATATGCGTCCCTCCAAAACTCATGTTGAAAGATGACTGCCAATATTGGAGGTGAGGCTGGTGGGAGGGTATTGGATCATGGGGGCAAATCCCTCATGAATGGTTTAGCAACATCACCTTGATGATAAATAAGTTCTTGCTCAGTTCCTCCACCCAACATCTGGTTGTTTAAGAACCTGTTTCTGCCCCCTTCTCTCTCTCTTGCTCCCCCTGTCACCATATGATACACTGGCTCCCTCTTCAGCCTCCACCATGATTGTAAGCTTCCTGAGGCCCTCACCAGAAAGACACTAGCACTATGCTGCCTGTGCAGCCTGCAGAGCCATGAGCCAATTAAAGCTTTTTTCTTTATAAATTACCCAGCCTCAGGGAGTTACAACAACAGAAAAATGGGCTAATACACCCAGGCACCAGAGTAATGACTGTCTTGCAGTAAGAAACTAACTCAAAGCACATTTGCTGAATGAAAGAGCAAGTGCACATATGACTTGAAGAATAACAAAGGTGTTTAAATCAAATAATTTAAATATATATAATGCCTTAATTGCTTCTATCTTAGAGTGTTTAATGGAAATTTAAATTTTCCTTCAACTAATAGATAGTTGTTAAATTCTGCAGAGTAGAAACCCACTAAGAAAATCAATAAACTGAACTATTTTTGCTGCAATATTTTAACATGAAGCTAAAGATTAGAGTCAGACCAAAACTTTTCAATAGAATATTTACCTCTCAAGAGCACATGTATATAATTCACTTTTAAATAAATTACATTAGGTGTTAATTTGTAGGAAAAAAAATCTGACACTGTAGGCATGTGATCAAAATCATAATATGATTTTTAATTAGGGACCACTGCAAAGGTAATACTAAACAGTTTGAAATCATAAATAGTTTTGAAACTTCTTATTTCATTTTTGGTATTTATTTCACAAATGGTACGAAGTCTTCTGGAAACTATATTTTTAGATGTTATTATTCATTATAATTGCTAGAAACAGCATCTTTCCCAGAAAACAAAGTTCAGCTTTTATCTGTATGCAGAAATTATTACTACACAATACTTTTCCTCTTATTAATTTCCTCTTTCAAATGGCTAGTGCTAACTTACACAGGTACTTTGAAAAGAAAAAACAAATGATTCTGTTCTTATGAATATATAGCTAAAAAGCTTCTCTGAATTCCTTTCCTGGCACATTTAACAATACTATAATGTACAGAGAGTAGTTAGCGGGGTGTACACACATGACTGTAAAACCCTGAAATACATGTGATAAATTTCTAAACATGAGCCATAACTCTTACTTAGAGTCAGTAATGTCTCATGGCCATATTCAACTATTCACTGCTTTATGCAGGTGATAGGTGTTCTCTATTGTAAACTTACAGAAACCTGTTGTCTCTAAATTTGAAAATACTGATGCCAAATAAGGAAACAGGAACTTAGCTTTATTAAATGCGATGCAAGTCCATACAATGAAATAAAGTAGGACATAGCCATGAGTACCAAACTCAGTTATCTGTGTAACTTTGGCTGAGAAAAATGGTCCCTCTGTGTTCTCACTTCCTTGGGCTACCCAGGACAGTCCTGATTTATGCCTCTTGTTCTGGTGTCATTATTAATAGAACTCCTTTGCACTTGCAAACATGCTACTATTTGGGTGTACACTTTATGGTCACCTAGTCATCTTCCTTGTAAATGGAGCACTCGACTCTAGAAATAATGTAGTACAAGAGGAGGAAGGAAATACTAGCTTAGTCATTTCTATCAAGTATATATTTTTGCTGAATGTCATAGCCACATTCATTCCTACTTGCAGGAAGCTAGTTTGCAATCAACATAGAGCTAAACATTATTGCATCTAGTAGAAAGCTAGACATTATTTTAACCTTAGCTTTACTTAAACTTCCAATACATGGCTACTATACCTTTCAACTTAATCAGCATATTTGGGGAGAATAAATAATTTATAGATCTCTGAGTACTTCAAAGCAGAAAACTCTGGTGATAGCTTTCAGCTGTTTATATAACATTCCAAATTGTGCTGTTTAAAATGAAAATTCACTTTGTAAGTTCTGTCTCAGAAATCCAAGGCCTTTTCTTGGTTCCTTTCCTAGAAGTGCTACATTTCATTTTGCACTACCCATATCCCTCATGACCTCCTCCCTGATTCCACTGGCCCATGACTACTCCCCCAAGCAGCTTCTGAATTGGCTTCAGGATATCATTGCTTCTTTATATATATCAATTAAGAAAGAAACTTGAGGACTGGTGGATATCAAAGGAAGACGATTTATTCTTCTTCAAAGATTGTTTTACATGTTGAATTGTCTCACAAATTAGAAGCAGTAGATTCAATTAAGTAGAAGTCTTTAGATAGAAGTTGAAATGATGTATTCTCCTGGCAGTGAGTGTAATTTCAAGTGGTCACAGAGTTTCAGTTCTAAATGTTTCTACTTGCTTTATTTTCCCTATAAAAATACATAAATATATAGATTCACTGTGCATAAATTTAATTGACATAAATTTACTCAGGGAGAAATCAGCGAAGTAATTTCTCTGTCTGGTTCACATAATAATTTGCATAGTTAACCAGTAGTGACCTCTTCCTTTTAACAAATAAGTTGTAGTTCATAACCTGAATTTATTATTTGTAGGGAATGTGAGTTTATAATTATTTTCCAGGACACGTTTCAAAGCAACAGCATTTCAAAGCAACGGTATGAATCAAGTGTTTTTAAACAATATACGTGCAGAGCAGAAATAACAAATACATGGTTGTGTGCCATCAACCATGCTCTTGAGAAAGGGGAATGAATACCATTTGCCTGAACAATCTGGCCGAGATTGTAAATTTGTTCAGATGAATCAATCCAAGCTAAAAAACTGAAAATCACATCAAATGGATGAAAAGTAAAACATATGAAATTCATAAAAACTGAAGTTTTCAAGCTTTCTTTTTGTTAAGTGACAGAACGTTTTCAGTAAATGAAATATTAGTTGGAAACCTAGATTTTATCTCCATATAAAGGAGGAGATGCTTTAGAAAGAAAAGGAGGAGAAGAGCAGGACCTTCAATCCCAACGCTCATCCCTCCCTCTCATTCCTTAATACTGTACTGCTTTTTACAGGGTTAATCTAACATCGAAGGGAAGGGCAAGAAAGAAGAGAACTTGGCTCAGCTATCTACAGTATGTTATTTATAATGTATTATGGTGTGAGGAAAAAAATGCTTCCTTTACAAGGCTAGGGTTTCAAAAAATAAAATCTGCAGCTGCTAAACATAGAAACTAAAAGAAACTCTCTGATTAAGAGCATTAACGATAAGGTAAGTGTTGCCCTGAGTCATTTTTTTCTGATTTATATGTTTAAATTCAAATGAGTTCAAATTAGGCATTAACTGATAGCAAGTTTGTTTGTTACTAAATATAGTGACTCAACTAATTTTGAGTAGATCTTACATTATCTGTGCTAACAGGTGCATAGAAGAGAAAATGAAATGGATTGAGCAACACTTTAGGAACATCTGGAGAAGATATTTAACTTGTATTCCTCACAAAGTAGTCTGATTGCCTTTTTATCTTCATTTACAATTTTTATTATGATCTTTTGGTATAAAAGTCATGTATGCAACACACCTGTTTAAAGCTATGTTACATATGGAATATTTAAAATTGGCAACTTCCAGTAATGATATTCATTGCATACATTACACATATTGAAGAGGGTTCATTGGGAATTTGCAAATACATTTTCAATGGGAATGATATGCAAGATGGAAGTACTGAAGTTACTATAAGAGGGCCTTAATGATGCTTTTTCCCTTTTAATATTATTAATATTGATTCACACAATGTAAACATTCCTAAATCAACTAAAAAACCCTTTACATATACACACACATAAACTAGTCCTTGTACTACAAATATGTGGTCTGATTGGCAAATATTTTAAATAAGCCACTATAATTCTGGAAATAGATCTCTCATAAGCTAGGTCCTAATCTATTTACAGAAGCATGGTGAGTTTAGCAGATGTTTGAAGAGTCTAACAAGTAGAAGATGAGAGAAAGGACCACTATAAGTAGGAACTTAGTGTTTTTGTTACTTGAATGACTCATTTAGTGGTTGTTACAAATTTTATTTAAATACTAGGGTTCTATATACGGTATTGTAATGTTTATATTATGTAATTGTGGGGGACTCCAATGATGCCGCACTTTTCTCACCAAAGTATAAAAACCGAAACTACTTCTCTCCCATTTATATATACTTCTCTGGATTTTATACTACAAAATAAAGGCTACCAACATTCTCCAGATGAATTGCTTCTGAATATATAAGTTTAGGGTTGCCAGAAGAATGGCAGGATACTGAAATATGTTAGTTATAGCTGACAGCATTTCTGCCAAGAAAATCAGAAACCTCCTAATCAGAGTAAATACTAGGATACTTCCCCCACATTTCTTCTATAACTTTTGCTTTTAATGTCAATTAGTAAAGCAAAAAACACAGGCTAATAAGGGAGTAAAAGAACCAATAAAATAGTTTATTAAATACTAGCTAATAAGCTAATTTACCTCCAGAACATGACTTATACAAGTTATCAATGAAATTAGAATGAAAAACAGATCCCTAACATGGAGAAAAGCTTACATTAATTATGACTTCAAAAGCAACCCATTCAGTGAACTTTTGAGAGCCCATCCTTCTAATAGACTTCTCCCTTTAGGCTCTTGTATGCTTTACTTGGTTCTACATCCTTTCTGCTTTCCAGCAGGAGGTGAATTCAATGTTTGGAACCTTTCTTTTGTTTCTTTTTTCTAAAAAAAAAAATTTTTACTTAATTCTTTGGAGACATTTCCATCATTTCCTTAGGCGCTAGGTAGCATTTCAGAGCCAATAATCTCCACATTCAACTTTCTGCCTTATGTATCATCCCATGGTAAATTCCAGTGGGATGACCCCCAGCTACTGTATCGCAAATGCATTCACATCAACTCATCTTGCCTTAGAAACACCTCCTTTATCCAACATTCTTCTCTGTCAATGCCATGTTTTTAGGTTAAAGATCTTGCAATAATCTTTGACAGTTCTCTCTTTTAATACTCATAAATTTTCTTTATATTAAAAATACTAATGAAAGTTTTTTCTTTCTTTTTCATTCTAGTCACCATGACCTCTAAGCCCTCATTAGTGACCCTTTGATTCTGGTTTCTCCTTATGCTAATTAATCCTACTGAAAGAAAATGACATAATGACCCTATAACTTACTTATTCCAGAAACTTCAATTGTTTTCTAACATCTTTCATCAGTATTTCACATTCGATAATATAAAGTCATCCTACTTTCTCTTTCATACTTTCAAAAGTTGGTATTCAGTAGCTATATCACTTTGTATTCCCACAGTACTTAAAAAGAGATCACTGTATATAATTGATTTCTGCATATAAATGTAGATGTTCAATTAATCGTTATTGCTTTTCATCTTGCTGGAAGGGGTCTCATTGCTCCAGCCTATCAGGGTCATTTTGAATCTATACTAAATTCTCTGAGGCATTATTTATACCCCTCTGCTTTACTATCATTATATCAGATAAACACAGAAGATACGTCTTCCTTTAAGTTTGCAAGGAAAATATGGAACGACCCAGAGCCAAGGCAAAAAATCTCAGCCATACCTCTACACATGTCTCTCCAACTATCAGTCATTCATTAAGACAATGACCAAGTTTTAAACCAACCAACTAGGTTCACATAACTATGACTATGCAGGACAAAACTGTCTCGGGAAACACTGTCAACTCTTGAAAATTAAGGCACATAGATGTATAGGGTTATAGTGATCCACAGACCCAGAAATGTATTAAAAAGGAAATGAGTCATTACCCATTACGCTTTTCAGTTGATACATAGAGTTTATCACATTATCTTCTGCATGCAAATAAACCAACTATATAAATGATTTCGTTATATCTGGAGTTGATACAACTTTGTTTCATATTTTCTAGTGAGAAACAAAATTATTAAAGATTTTAATATATTACTTTTTTTTTTTTTGAGATGGAGTTTTGCTCTTGTTGCCCAGGCTGGAGTACAATGGTGTGATCTTGACTCACTGCAACCTCCGCCTCCTGAGTTCAAGCGATTCTTCCACCTCAGCCACTGCAACCTCCACCTCCCAGGTTCAAGTAATTCTCCTGCCTCACCCTCTCAAGTAGCTGGGATTATAGGCACCTGCCACCATGCCCAGCTAATTTTTGTAATTTTAGTAGGGTCAGGGTTTCCCCATGTTGGCCAGGCTGGTTTTGAACTCCTGACCTCAGGTGATCCAATATCTTTATAAAATAGAGATTAGTATGTTTAAAAAAGAGATAGGAGAGAGAATAGAGCCATTTAACTTTCTTCCTGAGCTGAAATGTTCATTAAGAGAAACAGAGAATGAAGGAAACAACCACCAACCAAACAAAACTTACCTATTTGCTCCTAAAGAATTTGTGGAATGCTACTGCAAACTATTGTCTTCTGAAATAATATAAAATAGTGCCACAACTAATAAATATTCAAGAAATGAAATCCTTTAATAACAACGTTCAATGTATGAATGAAAACAGAACATCCTTTATAGACTATGATAAGTACAAATATGGGTTTTGAAACTTTACCTCAATAAACAGCTTCTCTTTTTCTCTTTCTTTTTTGAAGGGAAACAGGGCTAATATGAGGTAAAATTTAAAGGATGAATCAGATAGATATCGGTTTAAATTTTGGCTCCGTCATTTACCAGCTGCATGAACTTGGTCAAACCATTTTTACTTCTCTATGCCTCAGTTTTCTCTTTTGTAATGAGGATGATAATACCTACCCTATTGGCTTGCTGTGAATATTAAAAGAGATAATGCAGCCAGGTGTGATTCCTCATGCCTGTAATCCCAGCACTTTGGGAGGCTGAGGCAGGTGGATCACCTGAGATCAGGAGTTTGAGACCAGCCTGACCAACATGGTGAAACCTCATCTCTACTAAAAATACAAAAATTAGCCAGGCGTGGTGGGGTGTGCCTGTAATCCCAGCAACTCAGGAGACTGAGGCAGGAGAATCGCTTGAACCCGGGAGGCAGAGGTTGCAGTGAGCTGAGATCGCACCACTGCATTCCAGCCTGGGCGACAGAGTGAGACTCCATCTCAAAAAAAAAAAAAAAAAAAAAAGAGATAACGCACATCAAGTGCTTATTTCATCATCTGTAACGTGGTATCTATTTATTGAGCAGTCACTATTTTACTCGTTCTTTTAGTTGTCTTATTTGTTGTCCACTCACAACTCACTCCACTTTTTTTTTCAACTTTCTTTTTCACCTGTGACCCCCTCACCTTTTCACTGTCCTGTTGTTCTTCCCTCTAAATCTTGAAAATGGAGAAGCAGTAGATATGCTGCTCAATTTAGTAGATTATTTTATTAACAGTACGTTAGCATGAGGGCATTTGTTACAATGAAATATTTGATTTAACACCTTCATTTCTAAAATTGGAATGAAAAGATTTATCTCTAAAGAAATTCTAAACACCAGAAAGTGAGTGAGACTATATTATTTTAGCCAAAATATAGAAAGGCCAAGATAACCTAAAACACCATTGTTTAGTGTTTTTAAGAACATTGGTTTGAAGGAGGAAAACAAGTTAATCATTAAAATGCCTACCAATTATTGAACAGCTATTATGTGCCTGGGATATGCTTTAACATACAACATTAAAATTTCATTGCTCATGTACTCAAATATATTATAAAAGTTATCCTCATTTTATACAGGAGAAAACTAAGGATTTGAAAAGGTAGTTATTTTGTCTAAAGTCACAGAGCCAGAAGAGGAAAACAGGACTTGAACTTAGGTCTACTGACTCCCAAGTTTGCGCTGTCAATCATGGAGTTATATAGTACTTTGATCTGTACCTCCCACAGAAACTGTTTCACTGAGCAAAAGAAAGCAGAAACTAACACTGACTGAGTGGCTACTGTCCCAGATATTATGCCTATGAAAATATCTGCTAATGCCTATTGTCACAAGTTACGGAGATAATGTTCCTTAGCTTACTGCTTTCTGCATCATTAAAGTCTCTCTGCCTACTACCATCAAGTGCAAGTCAGTCTCCTAAAGAGCCTGAAAACCTGTAGAAGCTCTTCATTGGGTTGGGGGAGTTGAGCTTTGAAACAACCCATGAGAATCTGAGGATCCATTTTGAGCAATGGGGAATGCTCATGGGTTGTGTGGTAACAAGAAATCCAAACACCAAACCCTCCAGGGGCTTTGGGTTTGTCACAAATGCCACTGTAGAGGAGGTGGATGCAGCCCTGAATTAAAAGCCACGAAAGGTGGAGGGAAGAGTTGTGGAAGCAAAGAGGGCCAACTCAAGAGAAGATTCTCAAAACCAGGTACCCACCCAACTGTGAAAAAGATATTTGTAGGCGCCATTAAAGAACACACAGAAGAACATTACCTAAGAGACTATTTGGAACAGTGTGGGAAAATCAAACTGATTAAAATCATTACTGACAGAGGCAGTGGTAAGAAAAGGGGCTTTGGTTTTGTAAACACTGACTATGGTGATTCTGTGGATAAGACTGTCATTCAGAAATATACCATACTGTGAATGGCTACAACTGTGAAGTAAGGAAAGCCCTGCCAAAACAAGAGATGGCTAGTGCTTCATCTAGCCAGAGGTTGGCATGGTTCTGGAAACTTTGGTGGTGGTTGTCAAAGTGGTTTCAGTGGGAATGACAACTTTGGTCATGGAGGAAACCTCAGGGGTCATGGTGTCTTTGATGGGGATAGCTATAATGGATTTGATAACGATGGTAGTTATGTTGGAGGCAGTCCTAGTTACTCCAGAGGAAGCAGACGCTATGGAAGTGGTGGACAGGGTTATAGAAACCAGGGCAGTGGCTATGGTGGGAGTGGCAGCTATAACAGCTGTATCAGTGGAGGAGGTGGAAGTGACTCTGGTGGTGGTAGTGAAAGCAATTTTGGAGGTAGTGGAACTATGATAATTTTGGAAATTACAACAATCAATCTTTAAATTTTGGAGCCATGAAGGGAGGAAACTTTGGAGGCAGAAGCTCTGGCCCCTATGATGGCCAAGGCCAATACTTTGCCAAGCCACAAAATCAAGATGGCTGGGGTGGTTCCAGTGGCAGCAGTAGCTATGGCAGTGGCAGAAGGTTTTAATTCCTGCCAGGAAACAAAGCTTAGCAGAAGAGGAGAGCCAGAGAGTGACAGGGAAGTTACAGGTTACAAAGGATTTATGGGGTCAACCAAGCATAGTGGTGGCAGTGCCTAGCTGCTACAAAGAAGACATGTTTTAGAAAACACTCATATGCGTAGGCAAAAAAACTTAAGGGCTGTATTTGTGGCTAATTGTATAACAGGTTATTTTAGTTTCTGTTCTGTGAAAAGTGTAAAGCATTCCAACAAAGGGTTTTAATGTAGTTTTGTTTTTTCCTTTTTGCACCCATGCAGTTGATTGCTAAACATAATAGTCTGATCATAATGCTGGATAAATGTACCTTTAAAAAAATAGAGGAAGATGAAGTAATGGGGACGAAAGCTTCACTGATCACAGAGCTCTCCACACTTGTAGTAGGCAGACACTATTTCGTTTCCTCCTAGAATGCTTCCCAGACTCCTGGTTGTATTCCTTTGGGAATTCTTTCCCATTTATATGGTTATGGTGGGACTGTGAATCAAGGTGTGTGTCCCATCCAAGCCTCAAATGAGTGTGCATATAAGATAGTTGGGGTAATCAGTCTTTCCCAAGGCTGCTTGGTGTGAACAAGAGCTAAAGTTCTCTTACTCATTTACGCTAATGGAGGCAATGTGATGGGAGAATAAAGCCAACAAAGTAAGAGAAGTAGAGAAAAGTCGAGCTGAAAGAGGAGAGATACAGTGACAGAGCCATGACACAGTATCAGTCCTGGATCTAGATATGCCTGAAGCCAGAGACTTACAAATTCCTTTTTAAATTTTTAATAGTCTACTTTGAGTTGGGTTTCATTCATAGGTGCCTGAAAGAGTTCTAACTGAATCACTTCTTTTTTGAAAAAATGTTCTTATCTTTCTCATCTCCCTTTTTTGGCTAAACACCAGTTGTGCCCATTTACAATGTCCCCCAGACTTTTTTTTAAAAAATGTTTTGTACATATTAAATAATTTATTATTATTATTATACTTTAAGTTTTAGGATACATGTGCACAACGTGAAGGTTTGTTACATATGTATACATGTGCCATGTTGGTGTGCTGCACCCATTAACTCGTCATTTAGCATTAGGTATATCTCCTAATGCTAACCCTCCCTCCTCCCCCCACCCCACAACAGTCCCCAGAGTGTGATGTTCCCCTTCCTGTGTCCATGTGTTCTCATTGTTCAATTCCCACCTATGAGTGAGAACACATGGTGTTTGGTTTTTTGTCCTTGTGATAGTTTGCTGAGAATGATGGTTTCCAGCTTCATCCATGTCCCTACAAAGGACATGAACTCATCCTTTTTTATGGCTGCATAGTATTCCATGGTGTATATGTGCCGCATTTTCTTAATCTGGTCTATCATTGTTGGACATTTGGCTCATTTTCAAGTCTTTGCTATTGTGAATGGTGCCACAATAAACATACGTGTGCATGTGTCTTTATAGCACATGATTTATAATCTTTTGGATATATACCCAGTAATGGGATGGCTGGGTCAAATGGTATTTCTAGTTCTAGATCCCTGAGGAATCGCCACACTGACTTCCACAATGGTTGAACTAGTTTACAGTCCCACCAACAGTGTAAAAGTGTTCCTATTTCTCCACATCCTCTCCAGCACCTGTTGTTTCCTGACTTTTTAATGATTGCCATTCTAATTGGTGTGAGATGGTATCTCATTGTGGTTTTGATTTGCATTTCTCTGATGGCCAGTGATGATGAGCATTTTTTCATGTGTTTTTGGCTGCATAAATGTCTTCTTTTGAGAAGTGTCTATTCATATCCTTTGCCCACTTTTTGATGGGGTTGTTTGTCTTTTTCTTGTAAATTTGTTTGAGTTCATTGTAGATTCTGGTTATTAGCCCTTTGTCAGATGAGTAGGTTGCAAAAATTTTCTCCCATTCTGTAGGTTGCCTGTTCACTTTGATGGTAGTTTCTTTTGCTGTGCAGAAGCTCTTTACTTTAATTAGATCCCATTTGTCAATTTTGGCTTGTGTTGCCATTGCTTTTGGTGTTTTAGACACGAAGTCCTTGCCCATGCCTATGTCCTGAATGGTATTGCCTAGGTTTTCTTCTAGGGTTTTCATGGTTTTAGGTCTAACATGAAAGTCTTTAATTCATCTTGAATTAATTTTTGTATAAGGTGTAAGGAAGGGATCCAGTTTCAGCTTTCTACATATGGCTAGCCAGTTTTCCCAGCACCATTTATTAAATAGGGAATCCTTTCCCCGTTGCTTGTTTTTGTCAGGTTTGTCAAAGATCAGATAGTTGTAGATATGCAGCATTATTTCTGAGGGCTCTGTTCTGTTCCATTGGTCTATATCTCTGAAACTTAACCAATCTCTCTCCTTTTTTTTTTGACCCAGAAACTCCAGGATTCACATATTATATGGTTTTCAGCATATTTAGTGTTGGTTTAGTTTTTACTGGTAACTTTCTTGGGGTGTAATCTTCCTTACCAGACATGTCAAAAAGTACCCCTAAGTATGCTATACTATTTATAGTTCAGATAATAACATTACAAACAAAGTAGTGTGTTTTTGCCACAAGATATACTGCTTCAACTCATTTGAATGTTAAACTTTTGAAAACATTTTATTTTGAAATAAAAACTCTAAGTTGTAAGACACAGTGTCACTGTCACTGTGATCCTGCTTTTCTTTTATATTAACTAACTTGTATCATCATCCTTATCTAATATGAATTGAATTACAAATATGCTACAGGGGAACTCCCTGATCAGGAACAAGCTGAAATAGTACCTTGTTTTCAACATTATACTATTCTGCTCCATCTCTGAAAATGCAAGGACACATTCATTAAACAGGCTTGTGAGAAAACAGTCATACATGGTAAAGGTAAATTTATTCAATTTGATTTGTAATTATATTTAAAATTAATACTCTGTGTTAGTCCAGATTCTCCTAACTTATGATGGGGTTACATCCCCATAAACCTATCATCGTAAGTTGAAAATTTCCTTAGTTGAAAATGCATTAATACATCTAACATACTAAACACCATAGCTTAGCCTAGGCTACTTTATTTTTTGAGATGAATTCTCACTCTGTCTCCCAGGCTGGAGTGCAGTGGCATGATCTCGGCTCACTGCAACCTCCATCTCTCGAGTTCCAGCGCTTCTTCCACCTCAGCCTCCCGAGTAGCTGGGATTACAGGCAGGCACCACCACGCTCAGCTAATTTTTGTATTTTTAGCAGAAACGGGGTTTCACCATGTTGGCCAGGCTGGTCTCGAACTCCTGACCTCAAGTGATCCACCTGTGGCCTCCAAAGTGCTGGGATTACAGGCGTGAGCCACCATGAGCCTAGGTCACCTCAAATGTGCTCAGAACACTTACATTAGCCTACAGTTGGGTGAAATCATATAACACGAAGCCTATTTTATAATAAAATGTTGAATACCTTATGTAATTTATTGACTAATGTACTGAAAGTGAAAAACACTTTCTACTGAGTGTGTATCACGTTTGCACCATCATGCCATCCAAAAATCTTAAGTTGAATCCTCATAAATTGGGAACTGTCTTTAAATTCATGCATAATATCAAATCTAGTACTCCAAATGTGATTAACAAATAATGTTTTTTAGCACTTTGGTTAGCAACGTAATGCAACTTTCAGGATTATTAAATCCATCTCCATTTATTCTCCATCTCTATTCACACAACAGAGTAACCTGTCATGAATTGCAATTATATTTATTACAACTGACCCTCAGAAAGAACTAGTTTAAGTTTGCTTAGTGGTGACAGAAGGCAATTATAATGATAGCCATTTCAATAGGGATGCTTTAAATACGATGCTTGCAGAAAATAAGTCTCACTGCTTTAACAGAATAGGCCACAGAACTTTAAAGATGCAAAATGACAAAAAGACCAAAGATATTATAGTATTAAATGAAAAATTCAGAAGGCAATATTAATGTGAACTTAGTCATAATAATGAAAGAGGTTTCAGAGCAAGAAGATAAAGGTGTGAAATGAAAATCTTGCTGGGTGTCAGCAATGAAATGCTGCACATTTCTTGTAAAACATCACTGGGCTAGTTTGCCAAATTAGCTGACAAATGTCTGCCATAATCATGCAATTTACACATTTGTACTCATTTTAGAATTAGTCTCACGGTTATTTATTTTTGGAGTTCTGTTAGGTTATGAAAATGGGCTAGGCATGGTGGCTCACACTTGTAATCTCAGCACTTCGGGAGGCCAAGATGCGAGGATCAGTTGAAGCCAGGAGGTCAAGGCCAGCCTGAGTAAAAAAGTGAGACCCCCCTCACTTTGTTAGACTCTCTCTACAAAAAAAAAAAAAAAAATTAGCTGGCCATGGTGGTGGGCACCTGTGATCCTAGCTACTCTGGAGGCTAAGGCGGGAGTGTAACTTGAGCCCAGGCTTCAGTGAGCTATGACAGCGCCATTGTATAGTCTAGCCTGAGTGACAGAGTGAGACCCTGTCTCTAAAATAAGGAAGAAAAGAAGAGAAAATACTTGGATTTTTTATTTCTTTTTATTTTTGCCTTTTCCTGGTAATTAACCATATTTTCTAAGAAACCTGAAGAATGAAGATTATTCGGCTTTTCTTTTGCAGGTGCAATGCTGCCGCAACTGATTATGTCATTTGTGCACTGCATAAGGATGCCGCGGCTAAGAAGCACCCACGCATTCACATCACATGCATCACATATTTGCATCCTGATAATTTGCCAACATTGAGAGTCTAGTGTCTACTTCATCTCACAATACATCAGTCTCCTCATTTGTAAGATGAGATCAATAACAGTGCCCTACATCATTGAATTGTGGTGAGGATTAAATGAGTTAATGAATATAAAAATTTCAAATGTTGTTAACTATTATTATTAACCAATTTTCACTCATGACCTTCATGTGCCATGTGCTAGAGACTGTACTAAGTGCTTTCGATGATATTTTGAAAACAATAAAAGGTAAAGGAAACAGAAGCTCACAGAAGTTAATTAACCAAGCCAAAAGGTAGCTTGGTTATCTGTTGGATTATGGAACACTAGTCTTGAAGAAAGTCACCAATTCATTCATTCATTCATTCATTCATTCATTCATTTATTCATTCACTCACTCATTCATTCATTCATTCATTCCAGATAAATTTATAGAAGGAACAGGGATGAGGATCATGGAGCAGGTACTAGGCTAGTTACAATGCAAGGTGTTAAGTGATCATTTAGCTCTCTAGGAAAGGTGCTGTGAAAGGAAGAATTCAGTCAGTATAGCAAAGGGAACACAAAGTCTTCATAGAGGAGGTAATTTAGGGGAAAGTAAGGTTGGAGGATCTCCCAAAAGCAGGGTCCAACATCTCCTGGTTTTTAAAATCAGTGCTGTTCATACTGTTCTTTCTCCCAATTCATCGGTTCTGGGCTGAGTGGCCAACATGGCTAGTGAGTGTTAAGAGATTGAATGATAACATCAAGATTAAATCAACACAGGTTTCATCTATACTGTAAACACTTACTACTGCTCCAAGAAGGAGTAGGTAGGAAGCTGTGAATAATGGCACACAAACCTTCTCCACTTTTGATAGAGAAACCCAGAGGACGTGATAAATACTAATATGTATCTGAAGAGTGCTGGATTCCTTATTAAGTACTTTGACATTCATTATTTTGTGGGATCGTCCTTACAATTATTTCTGATAAAGTTAAATGTTGTTACCTGCATTTTACAGATGAGGAAACTGAAGCTCTGTCAAGCTGAGAAATGTTAGAGCCTGAATTTGAACTTGGGTTTGCTAACTCTAAATTTGATGTTGTTTTCATTGTATCTTATTGCTTTCCTTTCAAGGAAGTTATGCAACCAGGACTAAGAAAAAACTACTTCAATTACAATAGTATTGTAGCATGTCTTTCGTTTTTGAATTTTTTAATTTTTAAACTTTCTTGAATTTAAATTGGATATGTAACTGATGAAAATCTAGTTAAAATCATTTATTTCTATTACGATGTCTATTTCAATGTTTCGCAAATTTGAATGATAGCCGTACCCTTTCAAATAAAAAAATTGATTACAGGTCTCTAGTGCTCTCTTAAATTATATTTAGTATAATATTACTTAAATACGTGTAAACACAAAACCAGATATTAATTCATTTTTCCTCTAGCTTTTATAAAACATTTTATGACTGCAAACCACAACAAAGTTACAAAATAAATACAAATAATACTTTAAAACCCAATACAATTCAAATTAAGAATATTAATTTAATGTGATAAATGGTAATATCTTGCTGAAGGTAGATCACTCGCACTGGCTTTTTAAAAATTTTTTGTTTCAATAGTTTTTGAGGTATAAGTGATTTTATCATACATGGGTGAATTATATAGCGATGAATTCTGAGATTTTAGTGTACCCTTCACCTAAGTAGTATACATTGTACCTAATGTGTAATTTTTTATTCCTAGTCCTCCTCCCACTCTCCCCCTTCTGAGTCCTTAAAGTCCATTATATCACTCTGTGTGACTTTGCTTACTCACAGCTTAGCTCCCACTTATAAATGAGAACATATAGTTTTTGGTTTTCCTGTACTACTTCACTTAGAATAATGGCCTCCAGATCCATCCAAGATGCTGCAATAGACATTATTTCATTTATTTTAATAGGTGAGTAGTACTCCATGGTGTATACATACTACATTTTCTTTATCCACTCATTAGTCAATGGGCACTTAGGTTGGTTCCACATCTTTGCAATTATGAATTTTGCTTCTATAAACATATGGGTGTAAGTGTCTTTTTTGTATAATAACTTCTTTTCCTTTGCGTAGATACCCAGGAGTGGGATTGCTAGATTGAATAGTGGATCTACTTTTAGCTCTATGAGGTAAAAGTTTAAACTGTATTGTTTTTCAGAGAGGTTTTACTAATTAACATTCCCAACCAACAGTGTATAAGCATTCCCTTTTCTTCACATTCACGCCAACATGTATTGTTTTTTAACTTTTTAATAATGGCCATTATTTCAGGAGTACGGTGGTATCTCATTCTGGTTTTAGATTGCATTTCTCTGATGATTAGTGATGCTGAGCATTTTTTCCTATGTTTGTTGGCCATTTGTATATATTCTTTTGCGAAATGTTCATTCATGTCCGTTGTCCACTTTTTGATGGGATATTTGTTTTTTCTTGATGATTCACTGGAGTTCCTTGTAGATTCTGCTTACCAGTCCTTGTTGGATGTGTAGTTTGCAAATATTTTCTTCCTTTCTGTGGGTTGTCTGTTTACTCTGATTATTATTTCTTTTTCTGTACAAAAGCTTTGTAGTTTAATTCAGTCCCATTTATTTATTTTTGTTTTTGTTGTGTTTGCTTTTGGTGTCTTAGTCATGAATTCTTTGCCTATGCCGATGTCTAGAAGAGTTTTTCCAACATTATCTTCTAGAATTTTTATAGTTTCAGGTTTTATATTTCAGTCTTTGATCCATCATGAGCTGACTTTTTTTTATAAGGTAAGAGACAGGAATCCAATTACATTCTTCTGCATGTGGCTTGCCACTTTTCCCAGCATCACTTATTAAATAGTGTGTCCTTTCCCTAATTTATGTTTTTGTTTGCTTTGCCAAAGATCAGTTGACTATATGTATTTGGCTTTATTTCTGGGATCTCTGTTCTGTTCCATTGTCCCATATCCTTATTTTTTATACCAGTATCATGCTGTTTTGGTAACTACAGCCTAGAAACATGTATTTATATATTCTATATCAATATGTTCTGCAAATCATTGTCATTAGTAGTATTATTTTTCTAACTTTTAACTTATTTTAACCAATACTTTACCAAAATCCATTATATCCCATAATATAATACCAAAAATAAAGATAAAAAGCATGCAACAGAAAATTTTTCAATTATAGAATTACTACTATACTTAGTGCTAAAACCCAAAATGGTGCATCTTCAGATAGAATGCAGGCAAGATACCCGCTCAAAGTGAGCATCAAACTAACTGCTTACAGGAAGGTTCCTTTGTATGCCCCATGCCTAGTACTCCAGGGGTACCACTGGGACCCATGTAATAACTAAAGTGTCTATCACTTTTCAAAATACGTTGGAAACCTTTGTCTTTATAGAGCCTCACAATTTCATCTCTTCTGTTGCATCAATTGTATAATACATACACATATCTTCATTGTTTTTCTTATTAGCCTAAGACAAAGCAATACAAATTCTTCTGTACTGTAGGATATTAATAATGTTAAACCAAAATCTCAAATGATTAAAGTTAAAATCTTAGTCTATTAAGATGTTTTTGAATTGCAAACCAAATTAAAATTGCAATACTGACTTTTTAGGGGTCCTCTAGGTACCTACTTTATCTTGAATCTAATTACAGAAAGTGAACTGAAGATATAGTGGAATACTCAGTTATTAGTTGATATAATAATCAAAAGAGAAAAATTTGTTAAAAACGCTCACAGGCATCTGTTTTGTCCACAGATTTCTCATCAAACCCTCTTTAGTACTGACAAATCAAATTTTCACTTTTCAGTAGAAGTTTTTTACTCCTAAATCTTCAACTCTCTAATTCCATGTAGAAGCTTAAAGATGGTGTGGTTGTTGCTTGCTGACCCCTCCCACTTAGATGAGTTTCAGGAGGTTGGTATAATGTATCTCAGCTGAAAGCCTCATAGTCCATCATCTCAACTGGAAATTCTATATAAAACTTTCAAACAATCTCTTACCTTCTCTATATCGCACATACTTAAGTAGAGAAAAATAAACTTTCTTTCCCTTCCAATTATTTTAAAATTCAATTATGGCAACCAAATTGAAAATAACCAATGAATTCTATGTTCTAATATTGTCAAATTGCTTTGCAATCATCAATATTAAGATTTAAGAAAAGCAAACAAGTAGAGAGTATTAGAATACCTGAAGTTGAGTATAATTAGATGCCAAGTATGAAGGAATGTTTGTAAACAAAATGCTGCTAACAGCATAAAATAATTGGCATTTTCAATAGAAGGCTTTGACATTGGCTGGTTTTCAGATAATAGATATGATTCCCTGTTTGTGTATTAATAGAGGGTTAGATTAGCCAGGACTTGCTAATGGGAAAATAAAACACACAACACAAATATTTTGAGATGGATAGTGTTATGGGGTTGGCTGGGTAAGAATAGATGACAAAGAGTGGAATAATTTTCCTTTAATATAATTTAGAGACATCCTATATTTGGAGAATGAGTCTGTCTGCACAGTGTCTAAAAGTCCACCATCACTATGGTATCAGGTGGTGTGACTATGGATATGATTTATATGTAAAGTGGCTGAAGGGAACAGGACTAAGAATGGTGGTCAGCACAATTTTAGGTAAAGTTGAGTGAGATAGTAAAAACTGTAGGAAAAAAAACAGTATCAGGGAAATGGATCAAGTTATTGAAGAGATATTCCAATATTATTTTGAAGTAAATATCAATGATCAGATTATTTATAATATTGCAGAAGGTGTGTTAC
This sequence comes from Homo sapiens, assembly GCF_000001405.40. NCBI lineage: Eukaryota > Metazoa > Chordata > Mammalia > Primates > Hominidae > Homo > Homo sapiens. Next base: position 79,135,340 of record NC_000007.14, read on the forward strand.
AAAAGGAAATTACATAGATTTTTGTTTGCTTCTTGTAGCCATCTTATCAAAGGAAGAAACTCTCAGAGACATATAACCCTCTGGATATATAGAAACAACACAAACTCTTGTATAACACTCCAGTGAAATATTTATAGCACATACATGTCAAAAAATAGGGCAATTTATGGGATAGAGGAAGAGTAGCTTTTAGACTAAATGGTGAATTCGGCCCCAGAATCCTCCTCTGCTTCCCCTGCCTGTTGCTAGCCCCTTGACATCTTCCTTTTCTGTTTCTTCCTCCATCTGAAAAACAATCTTTACAAAAAGGCTTTGGGCAGGGCACTGTGGCCGACAGATGTAATCTCAGCATTTTGGGAGGCTGAGGTGGGATGAGAGATAGCTTGAGGTCGGGAGTCCGAGATGAGCCTGGGCAACATAGCAATACTCTGTCTCTACAAAAATTTAAAAAATTAGCTGGGTGTGGTGGCATACTCCTGTAGTCCCAACTCCTTGGGAGGCTGAGGCAGGAGAATCATTTGAGCCCAGGAGTTTGAGGCTACAGGGAGCTGTAACGATGCCACTGAACTCCATCTTGAGTGACAGAGTAAAATCCTCTCGAAAGAAAGAAAGAAAGAAAGAAAGAAAGAAAGAAAGAAAGAAAGAAAGAAAGAAAGAAAGAAAGAGAAAGAAAGAAAGAAAGAAAGAAGGAAAGAAAGAAAGAAAGAAGGAAAGAAAGAAAGAAAGAAGGAAAGAAAGAAAGAAAGAAAGAAAGAAAGAAAGAAAGAAAGAAAGAAAGAAAGAAAGAAAGACACAAAAGGCACTGTATACAGTCTTACTTTTAACATTTAAATTTACCAGAGGGAGATGAAAATAGTAACATAATTCCAAATGTCTTATATTTGTCTTTCCTATTTCCATCCAACACTATGTACAAGGTAAAAGGTTTTCAGTCAGATGTCTACTTACCTAGGGCCAAGAAAGCTAAGTTCTAATCTAGATTCTGTCTTTGATACACTGGGAGCTTATTTCCAATAGCCTCATTTGCCATAATTTTGCCTTGGTTATGAAGAGAGTGAAGGCATTAAGAAAGACATGCAAATCTGCAGTGAACATTCAAGGACTAGCACCTTGTCTCCCATATGTTCAGCCTAATTCCGCCTCTCATCAGCTGCTGAAATAACCTCATATTTGCCTCTTTTCAGACACTAGTCAATGTGTTCTTTTAGCCCAGGGAAGAAATTCTTCTAAATAAATCCTGACACCTATTCAGACCTATTGATGGCAAATATTACCTCTTCTAGGATACCCTCAAATAGACTGAACTCTTCTCCTTTGGATTTTTGAAAATTATTTGAGTGAACAATTCTAAGTGCTCTGGTTACATTTTGTTATATAAGGCTACTCATTTTACTTTTTTCACACTAAGGTTTATGATGGAAGTAATTGAGTTTTTTAAGCTTAGTGTTTGTGTCATTCACAGGGCATGAAATGTTGCCTTACACATATATGTGCACAAGGCAGGAGTAATAACTTGAACAGGGAGGAGGACGAGAATGAGAAGGTTGGAGATGAAACACTTGCCCGGCCTGATAGCTCCCTGATGCCTCCCATTGGTCCCAGGGGTCCACCAGTAGGAAAATCTGTTACTGTATTTACATCAAATACAGATTCTTTTTTTTTTGAGATGGAGTTTGAGTTTTGCTCTTGTTGCCCAGGCTGGTGCGATCTTGGCTCACTGTAACCTCTGCCTCCCAGGTTCAAACTGAGGCTAAACTGAGGCTTGACTGAGGCTGGGGTGGCTGTTTTCTCTGGCTTATGTGGTGGGAAAGGACTTCCCTGCTAGAAGAAACCTCCAAACCCGTAAGACCCTTCTCTGAGAGGGGAGAAAAGAGTGGGCTCAGTTTACCTAAAGTTAATCACTGTGTGCCCTTCACAGTCAGTGCTAACATATAAACACTAACAATTTTCATAGGATTTATTGTTTTCATCAGGCATGTAACTCTCTAATGGCCATTCTGAGGGATGCCATGGGAGCTCTTAATCCTGCTGGTTCTATTCCACACCCTGGACTACCATGAGATGTTGAGGGGACATAACAAGGTACTTCTTCCACTTCTGGGTGTTTTTTGTTTTTTTTTTTTTTTGAGACAAAGTTTCATTCTGTCGCCTAGTTTGTAGTGTAGTGTAGTGGTGTGATCTCAGCTCACTGCAACCTCCATCTCCCAGGTTCAAGTGATTCTCCTGCCTCAGCCTCCCGTGCAGCTGGGATTACAGGTAGGTGCCACCACACCCAGCTAATTTTTGTATTTTCAGTAGAGACGGGGTTTCACTATGTTGGCCAGGCTGGTCTCGAACTCCTGACCAGCCTGCCAACATGGTGATCCACTCACCTCGGCCTCCCAAAGTGCTGGGATTACGGGCATAAGCCACCATGACCAGCCCAAATACAGATTTTTACACCCTGTGGTAGACAGAATAGTACCCCCCACCCCACAACATATGTCTATGTCTTCATCTCAGGAACCTGTGAATATGTTACCATACGTGGCACACAGGACATTGCAGTTATTGTTAAATTGAGACTCTTTAAATGGGATGATGATCATGGATTATCCTAGTGGGCGTAATGTAATCACAAGCACACTTACAAGAGACAGGTACCAGGTTGAAATGATGAGCTTTGAAGATGGTGGAAGGGACTGCAGGCCAAGTAATGTAGGTGGCCTCTGGAAGCTAGAAAAGGCAAGAAATGGATTCTTCCCTAGAGTCTCCAGAAAGAATGCAGCTCTGCTGACTCTTGATTTTAGCCCATATGACTCATTTCCGACTTCTGACCTCCAGAACTGTAAGATCGTAAATTTGCATCATTTTAAGCCATTCCATTTGTGGTAATTTTTTTTCATAGTAGCCATAGGAAACAAATACAGACCAGGCTCAAGAACTCATATTCTCTGGATGGAACCTACAGCTGCCTTTTAAGTAAGCTACAGCTACACAGTTGACTATTATGCTCAACATTTGAGACCCTCTTCTTTAAAACTGTATTCCCTTTCTGTGCAATGGAATTTAACTACCCAATGTTCCAGTCCCTAAGTCCAAGTAAAATTGAGACCATTATTTTCATAAAATTTATCATGTATGAATACAAGAGTGATTAGGAAAGTAGTATAGGCTTCTCTCAAGGCCCTCCTTCCATATTCAAATGTAAAACTATGTTTGAACAATGGCTTTCTATTTCAGACTGAAGGGAATTCCCCTAAAATTCACAGGTTGAAGCCATAACCCCCAATGTGACTGGTCTTGGAGACAGGGCCTTTAAATAAGTAATGAGGGTTAAATGATGCCCTAAGGGTGGGGCCATAATCCAATATGACTGGTGTAGTTATAAAAAGAGTCAAAGATGGCCAGGCGCGGTGGCTCAAGCCACCTAACCCAGCACTGTGGGAGGCCAAGGCGGGCGGATCACGAGGTCAGGAGATCGAGACCATCCTGGCTAACATGGTGAAACCCTGTCTCTACTAAAAATACAAAAAAATTAGCCGGGTGTGGTGGTTGGCCCCTGTAGAATGGCGTGAACCCGGGAGGCGGAGCTTGCAGTGAGCCAAGATCACAGCACTGCATTCCAGCCTGGATGACAGAGACAGACTCTTGTCTCAAAAAAAAAAAAAAAAAAAAAAAGAGTCAAAGACACCTGGCATGTGTGTGTACAGAGAAAAGGCCATCTGGGAACACAGAAAGAAGACAATCATTTACAAGCTAAGGGGAGAGGCCTTAGAAGAAACCAAACCTCCTGACAGCTTGATCTTGAACTTCCAGCCTCCAGAACCACAAGAATATAAATTTCAATTATTTCAACCACCCAGTCTGTGCTCTTTTGTTATGGCAGTCCTAGGAAACAAATACATGTTTGTAACCCAAGTTCCTATTATTTCTATTTACCTAAAAGGGTTAATCTAATAGTTAGGATTTCCATTACCTGACACTCATTTACCACTCATTAAGTACCACCTACCATGCTAAGGTCTTTTCTTCTATAATCCTCCCAACAATTCTACAAAGGTGATATTATTTTCTCTGTTTTACAGATTATAACACTGGGACTCAGGGAGGTTACACTTGGATACAGAACATGTGCAGACACACAAGGGAGCTACGACTCAAGCCAATGTCTGAAGGATCCCACTCTGATACACGGCTTCCCTCATTACTGCCACTTACTGAACTCCAGCTATGTGCCAGGTATCATGAGACAAATGGGAGGTTGTATTTTGTCTCAGGAGTATTACCCGTAGCTAAGGAAGGCTGTCAGGAAGCAAGGGGTAAATTTGGTAACTGGGAGTACTATACACGAATTGAGTGGATGAAGATACATGTCTACTTCTTTATTATAATTCTAGATCACTAAGCAACAGTCACATTATTACCTGGATTCAAAGGCTGTTTCCACAGCAATAACAGTTTAAACAAATGAACCAAAAAAACCATAATGTGGAGCCTAATGGTTAATCTCAATGACTACAAGATGCCTGCAGTCATAGTAAGCATGTTTCTTATTTACAATCCTTTCAGAAAGTAAATGGAAACCATGTGAAGATGGGAGTAAGCCTAGAATTTCAGTAATATGTGTGAACCTGTAGCAGGGCATGGCTTCCTTAAATGCTGCTCTGATACCCTGCCACTTGGGAGCCAGCAGCTTTATAAAGGTAAACACAGCTGATTGGCTTTAACTTTCCTGGAATACATCTGACATCCCCTTTAGCCTTCGAGACCATTAAGATTTTGGCCAGGTCTTTAAATAGGTCATTTGATTTCCCCCAGGTTTTGACTTCTGATCATGAAAGCCCATCACATTTGCTAGCTTAAAGCAATTTTTATTTGTCACTGTGGAGAAATGGTATGGTCCAGATTTTATGCTGAATGTAGGATTCTAAAAATTGGGTGTTTATTTCTTGTTTTCTCATTGATTCACTATATTTTTGCAAGTAATTTAATCTCTGCATATCTATTTATCAATTATTAGTCTGGGAAACATAATTTTTTGAAATTCACAAGCTCCTCAAAAGAATATGAATTCCTCTCTGCCCCATTATTAATAGGCCTCAGAAATGTTGTTTCTCTCCTCTGAGACCATACTAATTATTACTGTATCTTGTTTATGTAAATAAGACTGTGTAGTGCTTTAAAAAATAATAACTAGATACAAGAAGTCATTTGAAACCTTGAAATATGGAAAGGACGATGAAAAACAGTAAATCTGACCCCACGATTAATGATTTGAGCATCAAAAAGTCAAAATAGCACAATGATTGTAGGTTTCTTCCAGAGTCTTCAATCTAAACATCAGATTATGAACCATAATCAATATTATAAAATGTTATTTCCAAATTCTAGGGTATATTTTCAAATTACTCTTAATATGGCTTTGATCTATTTGGTATATCGTTGTTCTCCCACTATCCTAGTGCCTAAAGTTCAAAGAAATGACACAGTATGTAATCACAATGTAAAAAATTACGAGATTATTTTAAGATATTTTAAATGTAAATTGTTTCCTTTATTGTTTTTGGCAATAGCAACATTGTTAAGAATATTAAGTCCTTTGGTTTGGTTATAGCATCAATACGAATCCAAGTGTGTAGTGCCTTAATCAGTTTCTAAATACTTCTAGGTTTTCAAATAAAAAGCAATTTGTATAAATGAATTGTCAAACTGTCTAATCCTTTCAGTTGTTTATAAGTACTTGGACAGTTCACCATCACCACAAATCCTACATTTATCAAATTAAAACACCTTTCTTCTAGGCAAGCTATTTTCTCCTCATGACCCCAGTATCTGCCGCTCTTGACAGTTTTTCAAAAACCTGGATTGTTTTCTCAACTCCTTCCTTTTCCTGTCTTGTATTATCTTCATCAGGTGCAACATTTACCAAATGATTTCTTTGTTCCAGATGATGTGCTGGATACTAAAAATACAGAGAAAGGAAAATACTTGGCTCTTGGATTTTTCATATATTTCACTATACAGAAAGTTACTGAGTCCTCCCAGTTTTCCCTTTCAAATGTCTGTATCATGCTGCCATTTCAACTTGTCTAAATCCTCACCACCTCATACATGTATTAATGTAACATCTACTTCAGAGCCAAATTTATTCTTTGCCACTTCTATTTCTGTCCCCTATCTCTCATTACTTCTAAAAATAATGATGCACACCATTGTTATTCTAACTTTCCTTTGGGCCTTTGTTTTTTTATTTCTTTGCTCAAAAGTCAATAATTATTAATGTACTATATCTTACTTCAATAATCAATGCAAATGGCCAAATAACGTTGTGTTCAATAATACCCAAAACGTCAATTCCAGACTTTCTAGCTTCTTGGTACCCCATTATTCACCATCACAAAGTTGAATTCTCGTTGGCTTTGTTCGTGTTTTTTTTTTCGCAGATCTGGAAGAGTTGCCATGCTCTTTTGAATTTACATAAATTCTTAACATCTCCTTAGCTGAGGCTCAAGCTTCAATATCTAACTAGTTCCAGCTTCATAGGATACCTATGTCTTGAATATCAATTAAATTTCTGGGTTTTAATGCATAATACAATACTTTTATGTAGACTAATATTAGTCTTTTTCATTTTGCCTATATTATCTCGATGGAAGAATCCAGTGAACTGTCCTTCCAGGTTATTTACCATACACAAATGTTGGTTGGGTACAATAGGTACAAAACAAATAGATACAAAATAAATACTTTCCCATAATCATGAATCACTGAGTGAGGTTATACATGTTTCCGGGTCTTACACATTGTGGCTATAATTACAGGCAATATAGATCACTGAGGCTTAACTAGAAATGAAATTTCATGTGGTAAATTCACAACATTTTCCTTTTCTAATTTCCCACTTATTTTATCTATTCTGTTATTTGGATATCTTGATTGGTTCATGTTTTTACACCAGTGACTGTTACAATATCCCCTCTAATTAAAGTGTACATTCTCAAAAACTTTCTTTACTCCACCAACACCTGAGTTTGGTTCACATTAAACATAAATTTATGTTGTTAAAATGATTGAGACAGAGTTTAACTCCACAGCTTTTCTTTAACAGGAAAAAATGCTTCTAAACTGAACCTACAACCTTATGGCTGCATGCCTTGGTTTCGGGGTTACCGTTCTAGAAAGAGGACCTGAAGATGGGTGTATTGAAAAACTGGAACATGGAGAATGTTTTGCTGTGAGTGTGCATGTGTGTGCATGTGGATGTGTGAATAATGACAATTACATATTGTAATGATGATGTCAACATGTAGTTTAATCTTAAAAGATATATAGGCATTTACCAGAACATAAAATGAGAGCAAGTCCAGAGACCTGAAGAGTCTGTTATTTTACTTGCCTGACACTCTACCGTTAAGCATGTTGGATCTAGCTCCTCAGTTTTACCTGCCATCCAGCATCTGTTAAATTGTTCCCACCCTTTTAGTGTTTTGATTATCCCCAGTCATGGTCCCTGTTCCACCAGCAGAGAAGCTGGAAAGTTTCCATGCGATAAATAGGCAGCATGTCAGCCAGGGAGCCCACCCTTTTTGCTCTTTGACAAGTGACACATGTCATCTTTCTGACACTACTATCAGCTGCATTTCCATATGCCATGCTTCACATGACATTTCAGGCAACGCCATGTCTTCTTTTATAAAAGCCTTTTGCAGTTTTGTTCTGATAAATGAACAAAGAGTGAAAATAAAAGATCAGTAAAATAGATGGCTTTTAAACTCTCTTCATTTATTATAATCCAGAAAAATGTTTGTGGTAAGTTGTGTTTAATCAGTATACATAGTTTTCACTCTCTAGATAAAAACATTCAACACAATTTTACATAGTGCTGCCAATAATTTTGGTTTTGACTTAGGCATAGAGTAACTTAGATGCAAACAGCAGACGGATGTGGAAAAAAGGTGAATAATTATTTGTGCTTCATATCAGGCTCTAGGAGAATAGCTAGGGATAACTTGGCAATACTCTGTTTCAGTATTAAGTGATGTGAAGAGATGAAACTATGCAAACACAGGTTTGTTGTAACATCTGTTAAGCTAAAAACACATCCTAAAGAATTGTGTTGATTAAATTACACATTTTCACAGTTCTAAATGAGCACCTGTTCTGTCCAATTTTAGATGACCATGCTCCATTTGCTGTGGTAATAAAACTCAAATAATAATAAATACAGTGTAAAACTCTGACCACAATATCCCAATGCTGATGTAGATGATTAAGATTGAACTTCAAATCCTACAACACTTCAGGATAAATGGCCTAAAGCAGGAACCAGTGTATAATTGCTTTTAAGAGTTTTGTTAGATATAGAACAAATGTGAGCTTCTATTTTTCAGCACAGATTACAATTAATTCTAGTAATTTTAAAAGCTTTTGAACAATAGTTAAAACATTACTTTACAATTATATGATATTTAAATATCCCTTAAAATTTCAATATTACTATCATGCAAAGCATATAACATTAAAATGTAAAATAAAGTATATATTTTATATGAAACTATTAAGTCATGTAATAAATACCATTTTAGTTAAGATTTATCTTCCAAACTGGAGTAGGAAGAAAGGAATTATATAATTACAGGCACAGAAGATAGATAATTAATACCTAAAAATAACAAAATTAGGTACTTATATAGAACACTTCACAGCATTACCAAACATACAGTATCCTACTTGCTTTTTGCCATTTCCTCATCTGTAAAGTGGGACAATCATTGTACTTACCTCATTGTTTTCACAAATGAAATGTGTTCATAAATGTAGGCAAAGTACCCACAGCAGTGCTAGGCACATAAGAGGCATCATGTAATTGTTAGTTATTAATGTTACCTACATAATATGTATAACAGGGAGAACTGAGTAAGTTCATATAAAGCACTGATATGGTTTGGATTTGTGTCTCCAAATCTCACGTGGAATTGTAATCCCCAGTGGTTGGAAGAGGGGCCTGGTGGGATCATGGGGACAGATTTCCCCTTTGCTGTTCTCATAATAGTGAGCCAGTTCTCACAAGATCTGATTGTTTACAAGTGTGTATGTAGCACCTCCCCCTTCTGTCTTATTCCTGCTCCAGCCAGGTAAGACAAGACATGTCTGCCTTCCCTTCCACCATGATTGGAAGTTTCCTGAGGCCTCCCCAGCCATGCTATCTGTAAAGTCGGCAGAATTGTGAGTCGATTAAACCTCTTTTCTTTATAAATTACCCAGTTTCAGCTATTTCTTTATAGCAGTGCAAGAATGGACTAATATAAGCACTTTATGCCTTTTACATAGTAAGAGTTCACTGTGAGTGCTAACTACCTAAGAAGCAGGTGACAGGCATTATTACTCTCATTTCCCACATGAAGAAACTGATGATTAAAGATACAAGCAAAGCTTCCAAAGGTCAAATGTCAGTGCTCCAAAGAGAGAAGTTAAAACTTCACAGTTTGCCGTTTAAAATTTCTATGGAATCTTCCATTTTTAACATGCCTTCCCCAACCCCTCTATTTATCTTTCCTATTTGTTTCTGTGAATATTACGGGTGACAATTTATCTTAGTCAGGAAATGTGCTGCTGCTCCAACTGTGGCTCTGCACTCACATTAAAGAGATTGTTTCATTTTTGGTTTCTATGGAAATGAAATTTCTGACTTTATTGCTGGGTTTGGAAATGTTTTTCTAGGGGTTGACAAGGTTCTTCTTCACAAAAATGAAGGAGCTGACCTGGGCTTTAGGATTGGGAAGTTGTTATTTAACATAATTTGGGTATAAGGAAGGGTCTACTACTTCCTAGAAAATTGATGTGCTGCCTCTGAACATTGCTTGATTTAAGAAACAATTTTTTCCTACTTTATTTTTCTGTTAGAAATATACATTTAAAACATGTTCCTGTCTTCCATTTCACCTTTCTTCCAAAGAGACTTTATTTTATAAAAATCTTCCACATATTTCATAGCCTATTCATTTCTCTAATACATCATGTATTACCTAGGTAAGGCATGATGTTCGATAGAGCACAGGAGTCCCTAAAATAATAGTCTGTTGATTTGGTCTCAATAGAGGAATATTATAATGTCATCCTTGAGCTGGGAAACAAGAAACCACCTACAACTAAACAAAATGTGTTTTTGAGCAAGCATCTGCAAAAAAAGAGCAAATGAATTAGGGAGAGCAAACAGGAAGACCTAATCTATTCCTGCTGTGAAAATACAAGTTAGAAAAAAAAAAGCCAATAAAATACATACTAGTTGCACTATCAGTCCTCAGAGAACCAATGCTCGTGTTCACATTGTCTGTTTTTAAAAGCCTACAGAGCATCTGGCTTCTGAATCTCTGCCACTCCAGAACTGAAATCTCCAGGGATTTTAATTTCTGAATTTATTTTTAGGTAATCAGAAGTACATTATGTCTAGCACATTTGTTTTCTCTAACCAAGGCTGATGCTAGTTGAAGTAGAAAAATTCAATTCATGATTAAGGAATTTGGTCACTGGACACTAATAGAGTGTCATGCATCCAAAATCATGCTCATGCAGAGCCCTGCTTCACAGAAGGCGTTTCTTCTTGATTCAGCTATCTTGATTTGGGGCATGGAAGAAGGATGCATTTTCAAGGACTAATAAACCCAGTTACCATGCCCTCATTTTTGTTATTCCCAATTTTATTAGTAGGAACTGAAGAGAGTGATGTAAGAGATTTTTTTTTTTCCTTAAAGAAACTCAAAGCTGCACTAAACCTCTGTTCATGCTCTACAATCCAAAATGTGTGTGCTGGCTTACCATTTGAGAAAAGTGCTTATTGTGTAAGCTTTAAACCAAGGTATGCAAAATTGGACTCAGTTGTGATGTGGAAGAGGGAGAGCAAAATTAGCTTTCAGCAAACACAGAAGAAGATTAAGTTTGGATTTTTTCAGGCAACCACACCTTTTTGTGCTTTGTACCACTCATGATCTTGTTTGTCTCTTGCTGTTCTCACGAGTTCATGTGTTGAAATTCAGCTTTCTTATTTTGGAAGTTGCCTCTTATGATCTGGACATTTTTGGTTTCCTACTGCCTATCCTGTGTCCTTTGCCTCCTGTAGGGTCCAATCTTTGACAGATATGACTTAATGGATGGTGTGATTTTGTTGTGTCCCCACCCAAATCTCACCTTGAATTGTAATAATCCCTACTTGTCAAGGGTGGAGCCAGGTGAAGATAACTGAATCATGTAGGTGGTTTCCCCCATACTCTTCTTGTGGTAATGAATAAGTGTCACAAGATCTAATGGTTTTATAAATGGGAGTTCCCCTGCACAAGCTCTCTTGCTTGCCATCATGTAAGACGTGACTTTGCTCCTCATTCACCTTCCATCATGATTGTGAGGCCTCCCCATCCATGTGGAACTGTGAGTGCATTAAACCTATTTCCTTTTTAAATTACCCAGTCTTAGGTGTGCCTTTATTGGCAGTGTGAGAACAGGCTAACACAATGGATAATGTCTTTTCCATCTAATAGGGGAATTTTGCTATTCCAGTGTAACTCTGCCCTGATGGAGTAAGATATTTCGTCTTTCTGTCCTAATAGACTGTGCTTTATTTAGCTGGCTCAACCTCTTACCCGAAGCAAGAGTCTCTTCTAGATTACTTGAGAGATATCAAAGTGTTAAGAATGCAGGATCTGCGATTAGACCACCTGAGTTCATATCTCAGGTCTAACAGTTACTACCCATCATGGGGTGCTCATTTGAACTGTCTATGCTTCACTTTTCTCATCTGTAAAACTAGAATCGCAGTGTCAACTGCATAGGATTTTGACGAGGATTCAGTAAGTTAATACATGCAAAGAATCATTCCAGACAATGTGCAGCCCATAGAAAAAATATTCAATAAATGTTACTTTTTAAAAAAGAGCTTTTCCAGGATTTAGTAAACCAAACCAAGAGTCAGGAACAGGAAAATAATATATGAAGTAATCATCATGGAGTAAATGACATTTATCCCCAAATAAAGCCCAAGCTTGCTTTACTCTTTCTTTTCCCACAAGTCATGCCCACCCTTGGGCCGTAGTGGATCCTCCTCTAGCCTTTAAAAGAAGTAAGCAAGCTCTGCAGGTTGAGAAAGTGGCTTGGGCTGCTTAGCTTGGGAACCAATGCTGCCTCTCTTCAACTCCAAAGAGCACCTGCACAGATGACACAGGAGGGTCGGTGCCTCAAAGACCATCCCCTAACAAAAGATGTCAGTGAACCCTTTGATGTCCACCCCAGGGCCCAGATAAACAGTTTAACACTGTGACTGCAAACCTGATCTCATCTTGCATTCTCTCTCCTTCACTTTCCCTCACTTCACATCTTCTCTCTCTGCCCCTCTCCAGAAACAGACTCTGTGGAGGTGCATGTTCTCTTGCCCCAGGGAATGGAGCAGGAGGGACAGGAGAATGGAGCAGGGAGAATGCAAAGCATGAGGGTGGCAGCAGCTCTGGGTGGGTCAGGTGCCAGGCCCTGGGTGCAGATCACCTCCTTGTCCTCCGGCCAGGTATGTCCAGCTCTAGCCGCAGCTTGTATGTTCTGAGGGGTCAGAACCTGGCTTTAAGGTATCGTATCCACTGACATAAATTATGAAACATTGGCTTGCTTGCTACTGTACATAGATAAAGGGTTTCTAGTTGAGAGATGGAATGGAGGCTTTCTGGAGCACACGGAAGTGTTGGCTTTGGATAAACAGAACTTTTCTTATGGAAGAAGACCTTGTCAGTGGCCCATCGAAGCCCAGCTCCCACATATTTTTATCAGAAGGAAATTTTCAGAACAGCTCTTCATGACTGCTCCATGGGCAAAAGCTATCAATCCATTTATTGCTGGGCTGGATTGGAGCGAGGTGGGAGGTGACAGAGAGAATGTGGGATGTTCACCCTTTGGTGAACCTTGTTAGGATGCTTTGCTTCTCACTGTTTAGAAAGACCTACAGGAATGCCAATTCCTGTCATTGAATCTGTGTCTTGAGTGATGTTGGGTAGAAATTCTGTCTCACTTCCCAGGCCCACCTAAGTGTCAGTCACTGGCCTTCACTGGGTGATCTGCCTAACTATTTCCCCTGAAGGGTGAAATTACGGTGGTCTCTCAGCATTTAACCATTCTGTGTGGTTCTGCTTCTTCCATTTTACTATGTTCTCTATTGTAAACCTCATATATCTTCTTGTTTGGGTTTATTCCAAGTTTGCTAGACTTGGAAGTTTCTAACTGGTTCTTTATTGGTCTGTGTAATCCTTTGTCCCATTTTTTGTCTTCATTCAGAGGTAACTCACTCTGGCCATGGATGTGTTTGTGCTTGAGGTCTCTCTCAGGCTCTCTATGATACCAGGAAAAAAGAGGGTGTGTGAAGAAAATGTGGGCAGCAGATTGGGACCCAGAGTTTCTTGAATTGGTTACAAAGCCCTGGCTCTCTCTGGCCCTTTCTCTGTATTGTATACTATTTGGTGGTTATCCATATATATATATACACATATATGTATGTTTTATATATATATATGTATGTTTTATATACATATATATGTTTTATATATATATGTAATTATTTGCTCCCTCTGAATTCAGGAGAGTGTGGAAGGAAGGAAATACCATGTTTGCATTGCTCATCCTCCCCTGTCTATTTTCTGGGACATTAGTGCTCCAATGTTATTTTTAAATAGCACTAGATTTTAGGAAGTATATATATATATAATATAATATAATATATTATATATATGGATATATATTTTTATATGTAATATAATATATTATATTATATATAATATAATATATATACTTCCTAAAATTATATATATATATTATATATATAGACAGAGAACCACAATATGCTTATATATATAGAGCGAGAGAGAACCACGGTATACTTCTGGGCATCTTCCTGACACTGATCTTACCTCTGGTTTCTATCACCCAATCAAATAAGTCCACATTACAATTTCACATGACAGGTTTTCACGCCCTCAATGCTGATTACCACACGCCACTGCTAACTCTACTGGCTAAATGGCTCCTCTCATAACATGATTTTGGATGCGTAACCTTTGCAGACACCTTCTTTGGTGGAGCTCTGGTCACTGATGGGCTCATTTTCTTTCAAAGGGGATGAACCACGCAGATATGCAATGGAGCAGCATTAACCCAAACCTGAGAAGGTTTCACCGGAGGAGGAAGCCATGATTTTCATTTCCTTCAAAGACTGAGCATTGAAGGAAATTGAATCATACAATGAGTTAGTCCTTTCCAATTCTTTTGATTATATCAAGAAGCAACCTTCAGTTTAGTGCTATCTTTCTACTACTGGCAAACACATTTCCAGCCAAGATCCAGGGAACCTCAGGCTCAGAGCCTTAGGTAGGAATATCTGGCAGGAATTTAGGGTCATTGCCTCATTTCAATTTACAGTAAGGACACAAGGTTTCTTTTAAAAATAAATATATTCAAGATATTTGAAAAGTCAGTAACTTAACAAAAAAAGTATTATTTAGCAGAGTCTCAAATTTTTTAAAAATGGCATTTAAATGCCTGAAATTAGGAAAGACTTTAGTAGGAAATTCCAGAAACATTCTTTTCCTATCAATATTAAGCAATAGGAGAGCTGCAAGTGTTGATATGCAGGGGAGGATTTGTTAACCTATGTGAGATCAGGAGATAAAGTGTAAGAGGAAGGGGGAAAGATGAGCTGAAGTTAACTAGCCACATGTTTGTGTGGCAGAAAGATGGCATGAAAGTCAGCTGGCAGGAGGAAGGAATGCAGGGAGATGAGCCAGACCACAATCACGGTGGGGACAGGTAAGAAGGCAAATCCATGGAGCAGCCCTAGAGCCAAGAGATTTCCTTTCTGAATCTAAACATCTGTGTACATTTTCTTTTCCTAAATAAAATGGTAAATTTACGGTTAAAAAAAAAAACCCTTAAGGCACACATTAAACATTAGATCTTTCATAACTCCAACATCCCAAAATAGCCAATGTTAACATTTTGTACATTTCTTTTTGGTTTCTTAATGAAGATGGTGGTAACACCAATAAATATCTTCCCTCCATAGACGTATTGCAGATTTTCTTTTGATGATAAAGTTAAAATATTTTTCTAGACATTTCTCCCTAAAATAAATCTGAAGTTAAGAAACACTTGGCAGAAATTTATACTTGTCAAATGACTCATTTGTCTCTGTATAAAAGAGAACTTTATCAATATATTTAATCACATAAATAATGTGTTCTAAAAGTACTATTTTTCTTCATTTTGATATTTTTGCAGAATGTTGATTGTGGAATAAATGTTTAATAATATAACTTCCCAGAATGTTTACATGATATTTCATATCAGGTGGGCCATAATTCAATTTTTCCTTCTTTTTCATCAATTCAAATATTTCAGGATGTCAAGCTTGAAATAAATTTGTGGGACTATACAGTTTTTTCAATGAGAAGACTACAGAACCTATAGTAACTAAACCCTACTAGATAGTTATATGGAAAAATTCAGGTTTTCTATAAAGTAGTGGGTTCTTCTTTTAAAAGTTGACTAATAAAATATCTTAAAATAAGTTATCTAGTTAAAGGCATTTTAAAAATGTTTCACACTTATTTATCTTATTCACTTAAACTGGGCTCACAGCGTTTTTGTTTGTTTGTTTTGTTTTGTTTTTGTTTTTGTTTTTGTTTTTCTGAGATGACCAGGCAGACTTTTTAAAAAAACATGTTAGCTTCCTCAGTGCTGCTTCTGTTATTGAAATTACCAGTTATTATCATTTTGTTGCAGACGAAGATGGCTATGTACTTTCTTGCATATTTTCAGGAATAGATCATTCAAGAAATATATCATTCAAGAAATGCTTTTTTATTACATAACTTTTTGGAATTTCATGTAACTTCTATCTTGTTACCTTGAAACCTACTAAATTGTTTTTGTAGCATACAAAATGTGCTTTACAAAAAAATTAGTATTTAATTATATCAAAAGATGAACAATCTAACATTTGGCATATCTAACGATGGAGCCCTATCTAGCTAAGTTAGGCACTACAATACTAGAATGTAAATGATTTATTTGCAACTAAATTTTGTTACGAAAGCTCCTTATTCTTCATTTTCTCCTTTTCTCCAGTTTACATTAAATATTCTCAGAATCCCTGAGGGCACACAGGGAGAACTGGATGCCTGAACTACTATCATTAAAATTAGGTCCTGATATCAAGTATAGTGTGACTGAGTATACATTAGAAATACCCCCTGGACATTGAACAATTTTTAACCACTAATTTTTACATACAGTCATTTTCTGAAATTATTCTGAAGGGAAAAATAAGCTGAATTCTGGACTTCAGCAGAACATAACACAGGGCAGGTAAATTTGATAGAAAAGTAATAAGAAAAATAAGATGAGAACAAGGTGTTTGTGGAGAGACAAGTCTATGTGTGGCTTCCCTGTGGATTTATAAAAATGAAAACTACTTCAGCTGGAAAAAACCTCTAAGGGAGAAAGACACAAACTCCCCTTTTAGATGCCTTACCAGTACTTCAGGTGTCTAAAGTCCAGAAATTATGGTGTGACAGTAGATTGTGATAGAACATGAATCAAAACCTGTCCTCATTTTGAAATTCAAGGACACCACTTCAGGATGATGGGAGACAATCAAAAAGGGATAAATTAAGATACGTTGGGAGGAATGGTAAAGTAGCACTTCAACTCCCTTTCTTCTATGTAAATAATGGAAATAATGTGTGGTTTATCATTCAGCAGTAAAGAGAAAAGGAATTATAGGGAAAAGAGAATGTTCAACTGCCAGTGTGTAGAAGAGTATCTAAGTGTAAGTAAAATACTCCTAACCAACAAAGCAACAGATTGAAACATCACTAGAGAAAGAAATATCATTCGAAACTGAATTTGAAAAGCAGAATTATATTTTTTCATTGACTAAAAACATTTCATCTACTTGACAGTGTTTTTGTCAAGACTCCTGTTTCTCCTGTGGTTAATATTTGCAAAGCACCTTGTGCTTTTTGGTAGGAAGGATTGATAAGTGAAAACTAAATCTATGTCTGAATAAATAACTTTAAAAAGTACAAGCTTCAATTTTAAGACCTAGCTTCGTTAAGAAAAAGTATTCTTGCTTTTGAGATTTAAATTATGCAAGTAAGTGCTATTTGGCTACAATTCATCACTAGCACAAAACACAGAAGTTTTTTTTTACTGAGCCAGGCAACACTGTCTGCTGGTTTCCAAACATGGATGGGTATCAGAGCTCCAGGGAGGCGGGAAGTGCTTTTAAAATACATATATTTTCAGGTTCCACTCCAAATGAATTTCTATAAGATTCTGGAAACTGTCAGGTTTACAAAGTTCTCCAGGTGTTTAGGTGGAGCAGACAGGTTGGGGATTTAGAGGTGGAGTCCATCCTTAACTTTGAATACCCACATCATACCTGTTCTCTATGCATGAGGTAGCAGTAGAGCTTATTGTAGAGAACTTTCATCTCTATCTCCAGTTGTAGGATAAACTGAGTACAGACTTAAGGTATCAATTTCAACCTCAAATTATCCTCTGAGACAAAACAATGATTTGTAATTTTTAAAATCTCCAATTATATTATGAACTTCTTTATATAACAATTTCTATTTTATTAATTTTGGTATCATAAGCCTTTAGAACAAGCTTTGGATAAATCCAGACAAATATAGTATCACTTATTCATAGAACAAGTATACAATGGTAAATAAAGTGATAAGAACCCTTTCCTGGTAGAGCCTAGATTCTAGTGAAAGGGACATCAATAAACTCAGAAGCAAATAAATACCCAGGATAGTTGAGAATGCTTTCAATTTTGATATGATTAAAATTCTTAGTTCTTCTAAATTTAGTCAGCTCTACAAGCCATTTATTTCATGTCTTCAAGAACTTCATTTAGTTACATGCTTGGCAACTGTTCATTGAATGCCCACCAGGCTCTGAGCACCACTGGCGAGCAGCAGACCTATAGCCTGCCCTCATGGAGCGCACAGTTAATCTAGCAGGGTGCAGGCAATAATAAAATAGTTTTACAAATAGATAACTACAAATTGTGAGAAGTGCTTTGAAGGCAAACCTACTGGAGTCATGAAATCACATAGCAGACTGGGCAGGGTCTAGTCACAGAGAGAGCAGGAAAGGCCTCTGTGCAATCAACTCTGAAATGAGACCTAAGCATAAGAGTAACTACGTGAAAATGAAGTAAAAATGCATTCCTCTGAAGGTGAGTTACGGCTGGAGGACTAGGAAGGCATTGAAGTGGGCAAAAGTATGGCTAGGAGTGAGGTCAGGGATGGGCTGACCCTAAGCATAGTGGAAGCCATGGCTGGGTTTTTATCACAAGAGTTACAGGACCAGATTTGCATTTGATGTCAATGGAGGACAGGCTGAAGAGCAAAGCAAGGACAGATTCAGATGGGTTTATGCAAAGCATCACATTAATGGATAAAGCCTCATTACTTCCAAGGCCACCTTTCACTGTGATCTAGTGTATAAAATTAAAGTCCTGGCATTTTCCACACCAAAATGGAATAATTAAGAAACAGGAAAGTTAAATTAAAGGAAGAAATATAAAAGAGTAATTTATATGCCATCACTTGGGCCAATGGCTTCTATCAATTACTTTTAAATATATTTTCCATTTTGAATTTTAATTTCTAGCTGTATATTCCTTTTTTGGAACCTTTAACATTTCATTTTTCTGACTTAAGAAAGAAATAGACTTATAAAGGACCATTTACAACTGTAAGGGTTGTAGATAATGTTTCTTTGGCTATCTTTCAACAGGTGAAAGTTAGTTTCAGCTTATCCCAATCAGATAAAATTTCTATTTGTACCTTTCAAATGCAATTTCAAAAGTATTCAATAAAGTAGTCATTGAATATCAGTGATTCAAGAAGTCTTGCCTTCAGCATTTGACAAAAGAGCAAAGAAAACCTAAAATACCAACTTTGCTGGATGACATTTACATGTCAAGCTTCCTTTTCTTGACTGTTGAAAAATGTTATTTTATTACAAATTTGATTACATTTGATCTTGTTTTGACTGTCTACAAAGAATGTCTCTCTGCTAATGCCAGTAAAAGCACAAATAAATTGGAAGGGCATCACCTCCTAGAATTACTAACAAATGCCAAGCCAATCCATATTATCACCAGTGTTGGTTTCAAGAAAAGAAGTACTTCAATGGCTGCCTTTAATTTCATTTTCTTGTGCTTTTAGAGGAGGAGAGATTTAAATGCCAGACCATCATTTACATAGAAGAGTTTTAAGCTGGCAATAACATTACCTCAAGCAGGAAGGAACCTGGAGACAGACTACAAACTATTCTCTGGCTACCTCAAATCTTGTTGAATATTTAGCCTGGCTGACATTACTTTTGTCTTTCAATTTCCTCTGTCATTTGTGCTTTTTTCTAACATGGTACCTGTCTGCCTGGAATGGTCTGCTGCTCTTTTACTCCTTTAAATGACTTCTGAAAACTAAACTCTTGCAAACAAACAAAACAAAACAGCAACAACAACAAAAACACCTGTTTTGCCCATTTGAATCTATTTTGCGCATGGCTTGCACAATTCCCTTCACACTATATTCTCCTTTTCCTTACGTTTGTTCCACTTGTGGAAAGGATAGTAACAGTGTTGACAGTCCATAATATGTTCAGGTCACAGTCTGTCTTCATTATTTTGGGTTTATTAAAATTTTCACAAGGCACATCCCATGGCATCAAAGTAATAGCAATAATGCCAGCTGGTTTGCAGGCAGGGGTCTATGAGGAGGGCTTACTGTTAATGGGTATAGCAGTGGCTTTGTTCTATGCTTTGCTTTGCTTATTTACAGGTGTAGCTTTTAATTGAGATGATCAATGTTTTAAAGTCATGAATAATCAATTTCACTTATATATTCATTTATTCACTCATTCATGTACTCATCCAAGTATTTGCTCAGTATATTTTACAATCAGCACTGTGCTAGACTCTTAAGATAAAATGCTAGGCACATAAGACAAGGTTCCTAACTGCCTAGAGTTTGCTCTAGTGGGGAGGGGGGCCATGGTAGGTATTAATTAAACAATCTCACTGATAAATATATAATTACACATTGAGAGAAGTATTTGGAAAGATGGGAACACCATGGTTCCATAAGCCCAGGTAACAAAAAAATTTAAGTAGGCTGCTGGGAAGGTGAGGAGAAAGAATCCAGAGAAGGATATTTTCCTCAGGAAATGACAAAGGTGAGATCTAAGAAAAAGGCAAAGGGGGACCAGAGAGTTGGAAGTGTGTTTTAGACAGAGGGTATAGCATGTGCAAAGGTCATCTTGCAGGGAATACACCTCTCTCAAGGAACTAAAAGAAGGCCAATGCCAAAGTGACTGCAGTCAGCAGTAAGAGAGATGATGGTGTGAGATCATCACTAGACTGAGGCAGGCATGGGGTCAAGTCAGAAGGCCCAGTGGGCCTTGTTGAAGACTGGGTCTTCATCCGACTACAAAACATTAAAAAAATGTTATACTGATGGAAGTATAAGTGAAGAAGCATCAAACTGACTTTTTGAAAAGAACCTTTTGGCTAGAGTATGCAGATTGGAGTCACCCTGAATGCTAACATTTGGTATAACTCATTTAGAATGAGGAATGGAATGTTGCTTCTTTTCATGCCTGAACTCTTTCAAAATCAGACTGTGATGTTAATGGGGACTAAGCTCTGATTTTTTTTATCTTCCCCAAATTCCTATCTAAGGGGTCTGGGGATTCATGCCCTACAAAATATAACTTCTTGTTAGATGGGTTTTATTTAACTCTATGTATCGTGACTTGCTTTCCAATCTGATTCTGCCATAACATTATGTAACAAAGAAGAAAATCAAAATATTTTACCCCAAAACATGTTTCTTTGCCATATTTTGAGATAACCCTATAAAACTGTCTTTTGTGGGGGAAAATTTGCATCTGTAAAGAATCAGTATGCTGTTAAAGAACTAGATCTTTTTCTTCCAGGCCCTCCCAATCCTGAACAGATTATCTGAAAATCTAGCACCTTTTAAAAGGTCTGAATAGGAAACCTTTGTCACCTATTGTCTCTAAGGGCAGCCACTAGAAGACTTCAATAGAACCTTGGTCTCCACAATCTTTTATCTTAACCTGAACATTTCCTTTCTTTTGATCCCAGGTCTTTAGACAAACTCAACCAATTGTCAACCAGAAAATGTTTAAATTTACCTATAACCTGGAAGCTCCTGCTTCAAATTGCCCCACCTTTCTGGACCAAATATGTATCTCTCAAACATATTTGATTGATGTCTCATGCCTCCCTAAAATGTATAAAACCAAGCTGTACCCTGACCACCTTAGGCACATGTTTTCAGGACCTCTTGATGGCTGTGTCCCTGGTAATGGTCACTCATATTTGGCTCAGAATAAATATCTTCAAATATTTTACAGAGTTTGATTATTTTCATTGACAATAATTTGGCATCCAACATAGGGCCTCAGAGAAGTCTCAGAACCCCAAAGAAGTTGCCCAAACTCAGAGCTAAGGTACCAGCAGGGGCCCATTGAAGCCTACCCAACTTAATGCTTCTCTTCTGGTAGAACTGCTAAGTCCTCCTGAGTCCTGGAACTCCCTTCGGTTGACAGTCCTTGATTTATTCTGAGCTGGTTTTTCTCCTAGGAAGTTGTTGCTAAAGGATCCTAATTCTAGTTCAAAGATGCATTCTAAAGGGTCTTCTCTGTTGCTTTTTCTCCAAAAATTAATCTCAATTGGCTTGTCTGTGCGCATTTGCATGAGAAACTGAACTGTTGTTTTCATATGTAAATAAGAGACTAAGTTTCCTCAGCTCTGAAGAGAAAGGACATTTTTCTCCTCCCAGCCAAAAGGCACCCTTAGGTGACTGGGGACCTTATGGCAGTGTCTGGGGGATTGACACCTCACAACATGCAGTGGCCCTACCGGGAAATTCCCAACAAAAATTAATTTAAAAAAAAGTCTTGTCTAGGAAACGCATATAAGGGCTGATCACCCAGTGTTTTGAGCCCTCTCAGAGGTAACAGACCACTGGAGAGAGAAACTGAGACATGTAAGAGGGTGGAAATGACTCAATGGTGACACACTATGGAGTCTTGCCTGTAAGCAGCACACATTGATCCACCAGACAAAATTCCTAGGCCACATCTCAGATCCTCCTTTTAAGAAAAAAAAAAAAAAAGTAGGAAACAAATAATCAACAAATAAGGCAAGAACAAGCAGAATGACCCCCTTTCAAGCATTCTGTATGTTTTATGGCACATCTCCTTGCCAGAGTTTGTATAAAATGGAAGTAATATGGTCTTTGTGCACATTTACATTAAGGTAAAGAGCCCTAAGTTTGACTTGCCAACTATAGGGATCCTAAGTATTCTTTTTCTCTATTTTCTTTTCTGACTGCTTCAAATCTACTGTTGCTTTTCTACTGAGATAAAAACCACTGTGTGTATCTAACAAGTTTTTTTTTTTTTTTTTTTTTGCAAGCTAGTTAATTTGTATTTATGTCATGGCTAAAGTTCTGAAGTAAATGCTACAGAATCTTTGTGTGAGTGTGTGTGTGTGTGTGTGTGTGTGTGTGTGTGTGTATTTAAAAGACCTTTATAAATTCTATAATTTTATGTTTAATTGGCAGTTAAATTGGTTTTAATTTCCCCTTGGCACGCCAGACTTTTTCTCTCCATACCATATGATATAAATTTTGCTATTTGATTTTCACCTGAGGTAGTTTCCTTTAAATACAAATTTAGGGCTATTTAGCTGACAATTGCCTAGGATGGTGAAACAGGTTATTAAGAATTTAGAAGTCTAAGAAAGAAAAGAAGTTTTAAAAATCATAACATGTACTTCTATCAGCATGCCTAATACATCTATGTATTTATGTGTTGTGTACACAACGTTTCACTACTAAAAATACATAAAAGAGCTCTAATTAATTGGCTTAAAAAATAAAAGTGCTTAAATCAGATACTTTAAAAAAAGACTAGTCAAATGCTTTTTCCAAGTTCACGTGACTTAAGAAAAATCTTTAATAAATAATTGGCTTTAAAGTTATTGGTAAAATGATATTAAAAATGTCCTAAGAATTGTTTGCATTTTTTTGCATTTATTGGTCATGTGGTTTTATGTATTCCTGCAGAATACTATAAGATTGACCATAAGGGTTATAAAACTAGAAAGCCCATCCGAAAACAGAATAATCTTAGCTTTCGTATGCTTATGAAATATTGTTGGCTTAATGAAAATAGTCAAATCCTGAGCTATTGGTATAAATACCCTAAATTTAACCATAAGTTTTATTACTTAATACTTGAAATTCACAGCTATAAAAATGGTTAATAGAAAAATAAATTTAAATATTTGCTATCATTGTTTTTGTAAATAATCTAGGTAAACTATTAAAGCAATCAGGTAAATGGAATAAATGCTTGAAACAAATGTCATAATTTAGAATCTAATTTTATTAATTGATATTAAGTATCTAGATAATTTCCAATTTAAAAGTTATAGGAAAATATTTTTTAATGTTCTTATTAAATATCTTTGTCTAATTCAAAGTTTATTTAAGGTTTTATACCTTTTACCTTGTTTATACATGTTATACAAGGTTATACAGGTTATACAAGGTATACACAAGTTAAAAGGAACCAGGAAATAAAAGATGTAAAGAAAGTTAAATCTATAAAGAAGTATGTTGGTGAAGAAGATAAAAAGGAAAGTAATTTTATATAAGAAAGGATCTCATGCGGTAAATTTCTGTCCTAAAATAAAATGACTAGATTGTTAAAGAGAGAGGGATATTTAGGACAAAACAGAAAGTCTAAGCATGTTGCGAATGGTCTATGTAAGTCATCATAAGGAATTTTTTAAGGGGTTGTATAATTCATTTGGCTATGGGAGGATCACCTGAGGTCAGGAGTTTGAGACCAGCCTGGCCAACATGGTGAAACCTTGTCTCTACTAAAAATACAAAAAAAATTAGCCTGGCATGGTGGTGTATGCCTGTAGTCTCAGCTACTCGGGAGGCTGAGGCAGAAGAATGTCTTGAACCCAGGAGACAGAGGTTGCGGGTGAGCTGAGATCACATCACTGTGCTTCAACCTGCATGACAGAGTGAGACTCAGTCTCAAAAAAAAAAAAAAAAAGAAGAAGAAGAAATTATAATAGCCTTTATACAGATGGGTCTTTTATATTAAAAATACACACTAATACAAAACTAACTAATTGGTTTAAACAAGATTTTATTACAAATATTAACTTATTTTTAATGCGAGAAGTTTTTAAATTTTTAAATTCTATAATCTGTCTCTTTAACATTCTTCAGACTGATATTTCAGAAGTTCTGTTCTTTCTCTTTCGAAAAGGCCTTGGAGCATAGCTCTCTCCCTTCACTTTTTGTTGGCTCCTATAATGTTTACTAATTATCTAAAGTAACAGAATTTTCTTTCAAAAACAGGCAAATAAAGTATCTTTTGGACATGTCTTTTTATTCTGCATGCTGTTATATCTCTATCTTTATATGTGTCATGTGAAAGTGATATTTCACTACCAAACTAAATTAAAGGTCTCTAATCAAGTAACTTACTTAAGAAGGTACTTATCAGATTGGTAGAAGCTAGCTCAGATGCCTTTTAATTCACATGACCTTGGTAATCTTTGGTAAAATTAATTTGGTAAATTTCATCTCAAAACCCTCCAGTAATTTAAAATCTTATAGTCATGTTAAACCCTCTGGTTCCCCATCCCCCACCACTGGAAATTTATGTTACTGAAAAGTTAAAATAGTAGGAAAATAAAATATGTTTTCGGTAAAGTTTATAAAACTCAAGGATGTTGATTTTTCTTTAAAAAAGTGAATCTAGGTTTTTTCCTCTAGTTAAAAAACTACTTAAGTGTTGCTTTAAAATAAAGAAAAAATCATACAGATAAAACAAAATAAAAGAAACAATTAAGCTTGGGCAACAAAAGTTAATTCTAAGCCCCATGGTTACCAAGAGAGTAGTTGATATGAGGGAAGTGTAAAACCAAGCAACTGTCAAAAACCAAATGGTATAATATAAAGGAATTGTTCCATTTTGTAGATTGTTATCATCAGCTTCTTAAAAAATCTTTACTATAGTGAGTTGTAAAAATAACCCCTTTAAGAACAAAATTCTCAATTTTAAATGCTAGAGAATTTAAGAGTTTATGCAAGACCCACAGCTCACTCCTGAACAATCACTAATAATTACATGTAATCCAAATGCACAGGAAATTAGTCCAAAGAGAATGATCATCCTAGTAAAGTGGATACATGCCACTGTAAGGTCTGTCCTGAGAAAGGGTCTTCCCAACTCTCCCTATAAAATACCGAGTGAAGCACACCAGATGAAGCAGTTAATATGCTTCATATGCAAGCCATATCAGACAGGCTTTATGATAACTGGTATATCCTCCCATCAAATATGCCTATTACCCAGGTCACAGTAAGTCTGGGGCTAAGGGGGCCCCTTTTACATTGGTGCCCCTTCCACAGAATCATAGGATTATTTAGGAAGCCTTATCAAATTTGCTGTCTCTCATAGGTCTTACAGATGCAACTCCCTACTGGGAATCCCAAACTCCTTTTCACCAGAAAAGGTAAAATGGTCTGAAGGTTAAAAAGGGTTCCTGGGATCAGAACATAAAAACATACAGGTTAATTATAAAATTATATAATTATAATTATAAAAATTAAGATATTTAAACAAGCTTTACATAAGGTAGTTGTAACCCCTTTACCTAAATGTCTTATGAAAATGGGTAATGCATCTGACTGGGGATGTTACCCCTTTCCAGTACTATAAAACTGAAGGCAAGTAAATCTGCTCTTTTAGGAAATGTTAACTGAACACACTAAATGGGAACTAGTAAAATTGCCTGAGCCCACAAAGTATAGGGTAAAAGCTGGAGTGCTAGTCGGGACAAATCCTCCAGTGCATGGCCCTTTGTGCTGAGCGTTTATTGGGGCTGATGCCAAAAATAAACTGTACTTTTCGATAACAATGACTGAACTAGAGAATTTCCACTTGGTGGGGCATTTACTGCCTTGTGATGGAATGTTATCCGAAGCTACCCCTATGCTAATGGAAATAATATTTTCCAGAAGAGTTCTGTGACAAAAAAAAATATTATGTAAAATCTTGCTAACTGATAAGCAGAAAGCCTCTTTCCTAGAACTAATTATGAGGAGCTGCCAAATTCTACAGTGTCTGATAGACAGCTCTCCTGAGCTGTTTGGTTTGCAAATGGTATTTTCAAGGTAAACAAACATCTTGTTTAAAAGCTGCTGCTCTGGTAAAAGAAGGGTCAAGAAAATCTTTTAAGTTATTTGGGTGAAGTATGTTTTTATAAGCAAACTTATCTTTCTAAGTTCTCTAAAATTCAGATCGCAATTTTATGACAATATAGTTGTTTGCGTAAGTTCGATATAAGTTTTAAAACAAAACAATTAGAGACACTGGTTATTTTATCGAGGCTTAGACTAGAATACACTATTTTTAAATAAAGTTCCAGCAAAGCCAATTTAAAAGGAGTTTATATGGTCAATTAATTCTTGCTGCATTTTATGCAAATAATCAGGCAAGCATAATAAGCCTAAAACTTACCTTGCACACTAATTGGTCTTGCTATAATTTATCTTTAATAGAAAAAAAAAAGCAGCTCAAGAAATTGTTTCAAAGGAAAAGCATAACACATAGTGTTAGATTTTAGCCCTAAGTTGTTTTTTCGATCACAGATTGAATAATTATTCTTGGCTACAATAATCCTCTAGAGAGCACCAGATTATAATTTTTCATCATATTTTTACTTGGTGGCCTAACGGAATGGGTTCCTTTTTCTATTCTGACACACAAATTACTCTTAAAATTGTCAAACTATACTTCCAAGGAAACCAAAATCATGGTGTTCTGAAGACCAGAGATAGGAATCTGCCTTATTTGGCATCCCACTGGGCCTAGATGTGTTTCACTACAAATGCTCTGATGCTAAAACTATACAAGCACCCTCCCTCTAGGCCCAGGGACTATCGAGGAAGAGGTGAGTGCGTGAAATTTTAAGGGCTGATTTTGAGGGATAAAATTAGGTCAAGGTCAAACCCTGCAAATCAAGAAGGGATACAAAGATGCCTAAACAGCTGGTAAGACAAGTTTAGTTGCCTTCTAAACTATTATGTGTCACCTTTGCATCCACTCCAACCATAAGGAATTTTCTACTTACTATAGAATTAAAGGAAAATATTTACTAACAGGATAAAAATACCTTGCAACAAAGCCTCCTGGGTATTTATCCCAATTATGAGTTGTGAAGAGAAATATATTTTTATCTAGATACATATTTTAAAATTCTTTTGCAGAACAATGCTTATGTTTTCTATAGCTAATTGCTGTAAGCCTGTAACACAAACCAAACTTACAGTAGCTCAACACATAGAAGTTAAAAATAAGTCAGTCTTATAACTTTGACTTTTGGTTTTGTTCATTGGCTTTTTACTTAAAATAATAATTTTAAGAGGTGATGAATACCTGTCCACATCCATTCCTATCTGGCCTAGAATAATTAACTGACTATAAGTCCCTCTGCCATAGGGAGTCCTGCCAAGGGACAAAAAACAAAACAAAACAAAACAAAAAAAACACTGTAGAGTTATATGACTTCTCCTGTGACAAAACCTCCTTTTCTCTCCCCAAAACATCAGTATAGGGTACAATACAAAAGCAGTGAGAAAAATAGATTTGTCTACTGATAACAAGTCCTATGACGATTTATTTATGTATATATTTTTTGAGACAGGGTCTTACTCATTGTCCAGGCTGGAGTGCAGTGGCTCAATCTCAGATCACGATAACCTCTGCCTCCCAGGTTCAAGTGATTCTCCTGCCTCAGCCTCTCAAGTAGCTGGGATTACAGGCACCTGCCACCATTCCTGGCTAATTTTTGTATTTAGTAGAGATGGGGTTTCACCATGTTGGCCAGGCTGGTTGCCAACTCCTGACCTCAAGTGATCTGCCTGCCTCAGCCTCCCAAAGTGCTAGGATTACAGGTTTCAGCCACCAAACCAGGCCCTTTATGACAATTTAGACACTGAGGATCAGGTGTTTCTTGGATTTGATTTATAACCTCCTCAGGATGTCATACCTATGGAGATAAATTAGCCTGAAGAGAGATTAAATTTGTTGAATTCTGATTTAATGCTGGTCCTACAATCCTCAAATAAGATTTATGATAAGGTTTAAATAACCCTGATAAGGAAGGTAAACACACTGTGAGTCTGATCAAAGAATATAAGGATGCAAGCAGGGATTATTTTTTGGCTGCTTGGGTTGTTTACTGCCCTCTGATTTCACTTATAACCTTCTTGGATGCCTAATCTTGACTATCTTTTTGATATTTGTTACTATATTAGCATTTTATATCTCTTGTAAGTGTTATGTCAGACTCAGCAAAATGAAAAAAGGCACAATTGAAGACTCAGATCATGATAGCTCACAAAATACATCTGATCCAGGATTTTTTCTTCTTTTTTTTAGACTAAACCCTAGGCCTGACTCCATCTCACCCCTTACACAATTGGCTATTACATCAGGTCAGGGCATGTCCTCCTGCCATTATCCAAATTGCTGCTGTTTAAAACGATTACCATCAAATCAGACAACTCTAGAAATGAGCCTTCCTAGCACCCTGAGACCTGCTGCTGTTTATTGGCCTGCCCATGCATTCTATGGAATGTTTTTGGCCAAGAGGGGAGACTGAGGACTAAGCTCTGATTTTTTTTTACCTTGCCCAAATTCCTATGTAAGGGGTCTGGGGAGTCATGCCTTACAAACCATGAATTCTCATCTGGCAGGTTTTATTTAACCGTATGTATTGTGACTTACTTTCCAATCTGACTCTGGCATAACATTATGTAACATAGAAGAAAATCAAAATATTTTACCCCAAAACATATATCTTTGCCATATTTTGAGGTGGCCCTGCAAAGCTGTCTTTTGTGGGGGAAAATTTGTATCTGTAAAGAATCACTATTCTGTTAAAGAACTAGATCTTTTTTTTCCAGGCCCTCCCAATACTGAAGAGATTAACCGAGAGTCTAGCACCTTTAAAAAGGGCTGGAGAGGAAATATTTGTCATCTATTGTCTCTAAGGGCAGCCACTAGAAGACTTCAATAGAACCTTGGTCTCCACAGTCTTTTACCCTGAACATTTCCTTTTTTTTGATCCCAGGTCTTTAGACAAAGTCAACCAGTTGTCAACCAGAAAATGTTTACATTTACCTAGAGCTTGAAAGTTCCCCCACCTTGACACATTGAATTGCCCTGCCTTTCTGGACCAAACCAATGTATTTCTCAAATGTATTTGATTGATGTCTCATGCCTCCCTAAAATGTATAAAACAAACCTGCACCCCGACCATCTTGGGCACATGTTCTCAGGACCTCCTAAGGGATATGTCACAGCCCATGGTCACTCATATTTGGCTCAGAATAAATCTCTTCAAAGATTTTACAGCATTTGACTGTGTTCCTCTAAATTAGTAAGCCAAACACCCATGTAAGTTTTGTATTAAATTTTCCTATTTTGATAACAGTATCTACTAAATTTCCTACATGAAAAACCTCTCTTGTTTCTAAAAATCAGAATGTTTAGGAACTCAGAGTCTTATTTTTAAATCATAGCCACAATAAATATTTACACACTGAACAGCATCTTGTAGATTTTACAAAGCATTAGGATAAGTGGTTTTCTTAAGTGTTTTTTTTGTTTGTTTTTTGTTTTTTTTTTTTAATTCTCAGTGCATTTAAGCTTAACTGATGGACATATTTACTGGTGAGTATTGAAATAGATTAACATCTTTTAAGTGCCAAAAGGCAAAACCACCGCTTTTTATATGTGCTGTACTAATAGAGATCCTCTGACTTTTGAAAGCTTACCCACTGCAATCAAAGCCCTAGACACTCTTTAAGCATCCAGTTCACACTACTCAGCTTTTAAAAAAACCCTCTAGTGAATTTGCTAAGCCATGCAGTTCTGGGATCCAAATGAGTGAGTGTGATTCAATCTGCATTTCCATATTCAAAATAATACAAAAAAGTCTAAAGGAGCAAAGATATTTAGGACTACAAACACATACATTTTAATAACAATAGATAAAAAAGAAAAATCAGATCCATGGCCAACCTGCCATGACCAAAATTTAGAAGGCCAGATTTTCACTCTTCCAGCTGACAACATAATTAGCACCCACAATTGCCACAGACACATATTTCCTGTAGTGTTTTAATTTTTATTATTATATCACAGTTTTCTTCTTAAATAACACAATACTAAATTATAAACTCATGTCTCATTCAACTTTCAGACAGGATCATAGCTTACTTTTTTACAAGGCAGAGTTGAATATTTACAGAAATATACATATTACAAATTTTATAATCTCCCAAAATAAGCTATTACAGATTCTCTATAAATGAGGAGCAATATTAGCAGAGGAGGTAACTACAATCACATCAAAGGCAGGTAACAAACTCATTGTTTGACCAAAATGGAATGCTTGTTCTATGTTTTTGCTTGATTATTAGAACAGACTTAAAACAACCATGTAGGGAAAAATCTTTGTTGGTTTGAATCTCAAAAAAATTTTTGAAATATAATTATTAGAAAACATTGAAGTCTTACCAAGTATATAACCTAGAGGTAACTTTTCAGACATCTTTGCATGTGGTAGGCAGAACTCTAAGGTGGCCCCAACATTCCCATGCCTTGAATGTGGGTGGGACTGTGGATATAATGAGATAGTCACTTATCAGTCCCAGATTAGCTTACATCATATAGCAAAGGGAGAGTCACTCCATGATCAGATTACATTGTATGAGACCGACTTGACCCACTGAAGAGAGAGATTGTCCTCTAGCTTCAAAGAAAACTGTCAGGGAACACGACAGCCCATAAGAAGGCAGGGACCCTGAGTTCTACAACTAAAGGAAGAAAATTCTGTCAACAGTCGGTGAATGTGGAGGAAGATCCCAACGCCTCAAATGAGATAGAAACCTTCTCCAACACCTTGATTTCAGCCTGATGAGACCCTGGGCAGAGAACTCAGCTAACCAGTGTCTAGACTCTCAACCCGTGGAAATTGTGAAATAGTAAATTTATATTGTCTTAATGTGGTAATTTGTTGGGCAGCAGTAAAATCCAATTCACTCAAAAGAAGGTTTGTGTTATCTAAAATTCCACAATGTCTCCATTAAATACAAAACAAACAAGGTGGGGGGAAAAATCCTTATCTTTAGCAAATGAAAATATGGTTAGATAATTCAGTTTAAATTTCTCAAAATTTGCATTTTACTCGAGGGAATCAGTAAGACTAATTTTTTTTTCATAGCTCTAATAAGGATAGGTAGAGGTTTTCTGATAATATAAATAATAGAGGCTAGTAATATAGAGCATGCACGGTACAGAAAAGAAAGATCAGTGAAATCAGTACATGAGACCTAGTACCAGCTAGGCCACCAATAGCTGTGTGATCTTAGGAACTCACGTAATTTTTTTGAATCTCAGAGTCCTCATAATTAAGGGGAAGGTATACTACTCCTCAGGAGTCTGTGTATTAATAAGCTCTTTGAGGTGATTTCCAGGCTTGTTGAAGTTTGAGAAGCTTTATTTTATATGTTCAAGAGGTTTGCACATTTTTGTTCCAATTTAATACCTTACTATACATGCAGATACAGGCTTTATAGGGTCTTTGTTTATATAATTTTGTGGGGGTTGAGGAAGGGTTCAAACTAGTTTCATGAGATTCAGAGAAAATCCTTTTTCGCCTCCTTTTGTTTTAGTTCCTTATTCACATCCATCTAATTCCAAAATCCTTGAAATAGCCCCTCCACTCCTCTGATTCTTCTGCCTCTCTACTGATACTTCCCTATCACAGCTGAAAACAGTCACCTTTTTCCTTCTTAATATGAGAGTAAACTAACACCCCCCAAAAATGGCAAAAAAAAAAAAAAAAAAAAACTCCAGGCAAAACATCAAAATAAAAAAGTAAAATACTTCCTTTAAATATACATTTCCTTTCATTTTTAGACTGACTTCTTTCTACTTCATAACTGTTAATTTCTTCCAAGTGTTGCCTAAACATACTATTTCTTTTTTTGTTTCACCCCTGGTTTACTTTTCAATTCATTGTTACGTGGTGAAATAAGTACCCTCACAAAGGAAACAACCTCCTCCTGCTAAATCTGTCCCTATGTTGCTGAATCTTTCAGCAGCATTTAACACTCTTTATCCCCAGTGACACTTTTTTTTTAGGAAGAATTTAAAACATAAAGTTTAAATCATACAATGATTACATTTATGCCCACCACTGTTGGGAACAGTCCCCCCAAAATCTGGCCATAAACTGGCCCCAAAACTGGCCATAAACAAAATCTCTGCAGCACTGTGACATGTTCATGATGGCCATGACACCCATGCTGGAAGGTTGTGGGTTTAACGGAATGAGGGCAAGGAACACCCGGCCTGCCCAGGGTGGTAAACCGCTTAAAGGCGTTCTTAAACCACAAACAATAGCATGAACGATCTGTGCCTTAAGGGCATGTTCCTGCTGCAGATAACTAGGGAGACCCATACCTTTATTTCGGCCCATCCCTTCGTTTCCCATAAGGGATACTTCTAGTTAATCGAATATCTATAGAAACAATGCTAATGACTGGCTTGTTAATAAATATGTGGGTAAATCTCTGTTCGGGGCTCTCAGCTCTGAAGGCTGTGAGACCCCTGATTTCCTACTTTATACCTCTATATTTCTGTGTGTGTGTCTTTAATTCCTCTAGCCCTGCTGGGTTAGGGTATCCCAACCGAGCTGGTCTCGGCACACCACCTAGATTCTTCAGTAATCTTTGCGACCTTGCCATTTGCTGTGTCTAGCATATATTTTGCTAAATGATTGTGTAGGTAAATTGTGAATATCATGTCATGCACACACCTTCAAATGTTAGTACTTCAGCTTGTACTTTCTAAGCATAATGACATTTTCCCATAACACAAAGCGTTATACAGTACATATTCATATTTCCTAATTGTCCCTGAAAGGTCTTTAGCTATTTTACTTCTTGTATAAGCTCATACTCAGGTATCAGACAGTGCATTTTGTTGTTATGTTCTTTAAACTCTTATAATCTTGAGTTCCTCACTGTCTTCCATGATGACTTTGACCTGTTAAACAGTGTAGGTCAGTTGCCTTTGGAATGGCCCACATTT
The DNA here is from genome assembly GCF_000001405.40 of Homo sapiens. NCBI lineage: Eukaryota > Metazoa > Chordata > Mammalia > Primates > Hominidae > Homo > Homo sapiens. Next base: position 79,168,664 of record NC_000007.14, read on the forward strand.
CATTTCATCCTGTTTTCACACATTATTCTTCTAATCCCTGAATTTGCTATAAACAGGAGATACAGTTTAAACATTCTTTGGAGACAATTTCTTCATAGGTGATACTGATTGTTTCATATTACACCCTGGCAGTAGGCCCCTAAGTCAGATGGACCCTCTATTAGTGACGTTCAGTTTGGTCATTTGGTGACAGTAATGTCTGCCAGGTTTTTCTTTCTAAAGATAGATATATATATATATATATATATATATATATATATATATATATATAAATTTTTTTTCCCTTTGCAACTTGTGGAGTGATATTTTAATATGTGCAAATAATCTTTTGCCTAGTGGTATTAGCGGCCATTGTTGAGCCCTTGCCTGAATCAGCATTTCACTGGGGTTGAAGAATGGTCCCTTCCTTCTCGAAAAGCTTTCTACCCTTGGCATCAGCAATATCACAAGATCTTTGTCTATGTTTATATTTCCCCTTATATTCTGGTCCCTTTGCAAGCTCCTTTGCTTTTGCTCCTCCATAAATGTTGGTATTCCTCAGGGTTCTTCCTGTGAGCTGGACCGTTTTCAGTTACGGTTGGTACTCATTAAATATCTTGAGAAAGGGAAATTTGGAATGTGCATTTTAATAGAATTAGAAAAAAATCATTTCTCCATTGCCATTTTAAGGTTTATTTCAGCATTCAGGGCAACTGATCTCCAAAATTACCAACCATATGGTTAGTTCTTTGGAATGTCATAGTTCTAAATATTTAACTATATAGATTTTCAAGGACTGCTTTTACTACCATGAAGACTTTAAAGCAGCATTTAACATTTGTATCAACACAGAAGATGGAGAAGACATAGTCTCACTGGCAGCGCAAAACCTTGTCCTGTGCATGGTCACACGCTCAGCCACCAGGGCAGGCTCAGCTGGCTTTCAATATGTGTGAATGCCTTGCTGAGGTATCTCTAAAGGAGATACTTTATGTTTCCTTATTTTCATATTTTATTATTTCCATGTGTTAAAAAAAAATGTACATGGGTAGTTTATCAAAGAATCATATAGCAGTTTACTGAACTTACAATTAAATTTTCTAAAAAGATTAAAACTCATGGCCAGCTAACAGCCACATCAACAACTAAACATACCGGAATCCTGTAGCTGTTCAATTTAATAAAAATTTGCAGGAGGGGTGATTAGCTTCTCTCTCTTTTTTTTTGTCTTTTTAACTTTTAAATTCCCACTTTCAGTGCCCAGATGCCACTCCATAAATACTCATCAATTGTCTCTACTCTTTTCACTGAATTATAAATGATCATTTCAATTGATGTTTATTCAAAATTCAATTTCCCTTAATTTGGAAGACAAATAACTGAAATAGGACTATATTTTACACAAAATCCAGATGACCATAGTAGGTCATCCAACCCACCTTCAAAATTATTCAAGAATAATTAATTTTTCAATGGTTACTTTGAGATATTATACTTTTTTTTTTTTTTTTTTTTTTTTTTTTTGAGACAGGGTCTTGCTCTGTTCCCTAGTCTGGAGTGTAGTGGCATGATCATAGCTCACTGTAACCTTAACCTCCTGGGCAATTTTCCCAGGCACCTTAAACTCCCCAGCAATCTTCCTGCTTCAGCCTTCTGAGTAGCTGGGACTACAGGCATGTGCCACCATTCCTGGCTAATGTTTTAAAAAATTTTTGTAGAGACAGGGTCTCACCATTTTGCCCAAGTTGGTCTCAAACTTCTAGCCTCAAGTGATCCTCCTGCCTCCACCTCCCAAAGTGCTGGGATTGCAGGTGTGTGCCACTGCGCCCAGCCAAAATACTATAAAGTATTGAATCAAAAGTAGATTGATATATATTTTATAGAGACTATTGTTAAATGTATTCTAATGCTTTAAATCCAAAATATCAGATTATCTACAACATACTGTTTTCTAAGCTTCTGGATAAATGAGTGGTTTAATATTGTTATAAATGCCTAAAGTTATAGCTATTTCATAGCTGACTTAATTCAACAACCCTTGTCTAAGAAGAATAATCATGAATGTAAAAGGATGCCATTGAGATTCTTAAAATTGTACCACTTAGAATATACAGATCTGTCAGCAGGTCAGCTGGGATAAGGGGTTTGTCAGGAGTGTTATGAACAATTTGATTCTTAATTAAAATAAAACTCATGGAAAGAAAATGAGTTTTACTTAAAATGAGAATAATAGAGTGCATTCATTCCATTAGCCAGTATTCTTAATAGCTTAACATTTATATTGTGTTGATTTTACAAAACAGTTACCTAAGATTCTTTTTATTGGGCAGTCATTCACAACATATATCATAAACTATCATAATGTTTATGTTTGTTTGTTTGTTTTTAAAGAGTAAAGTCAGTCAACTTAGTGGATACAATTGGAAGCTATATTAGTTTGCTAGGGCTGCCATTACAAAGTACCATAAACTGGGTGGCTTGGAACTGCAGAAATTTATTTTCCCATGGTTCTAGAAGTCAGAAGTCTGAAATCAAGGTATCAGCAGGATTATCCTCTTCTGAAGGCAGTAGGGAAGGATTTGTTCCAAGACCTTCTCTTAGCTTCTGGCGTTTCTTTGGCTTACAGCAACATAACTTCAGTCTTCACAGGGTATTCTCCCCCTGAGTGTGCCTTTGTGTCCAAATCTTCCCTTTTTATAAGAACATCAGTCATATTGGAATTAGGGGTCTACTCTACTATAACTCATCTTAAATAATTATGTTTCCAATGACCCAATTTCCAATAAGCTCATATTATTCTAAAGTCTAGGGCTTAGGTCTTCAGCATAGGAATTTGGGAGGATGACATAATTTGATTCCTAAGAAAAGATAATTGCCCATTTTGGAAATTATATCCCCTCAAAAATTAGTGGAATAAGCCAATTTGAAGTCCCTTAAATTTAATACCATATACAAATAAATGTAAGAAATATATACTCTATGGTCATATGTCTACAGGTAACTCACTTTTGTGATACTTTCATTCAATAAAAATAGATAGTAAGTAATTCACCTTAGTCTTTATTGACATCTATTAAAATTAAGCAAGACAATAGCCAAAAATATATATATATATATATATATATATATTTTTTTTTTTTTTTTCTTTTAAAGGGTCTCCAAAATACTACCTAATTTCATAGAGTCCCAAACACATGTTGACACCTATTTCTCATCCCAACATACACATCCCAAAGGTATTAGTCTTAGGTCATTTGAGATGGTTCACATGTAAAAATCTGGGTCACTGTGCCCTGTGATCTCCTTATACTTTGGTGTATGCCCTTACAGCTTTAGGCCTTGCCTAATCACATGCTCCCTGGGAAGTTACAACTAAGTAGTTTCTCCTTCTAAACCACCCAGCAGCTATTCAAAACTGTGATTCTTGTGCAAGTTCGATCTCTTCTATTTCTCTTTTGCAGTGTGTAAGAAGGAAGGGAAGAGGGCAGGAAAGGAAAATGTTTGAATTTAGAACTTGTGAACATGTAAAAGAGAAACAGTGGGTTATGGAAAATACAATAAAAAATATAAGACAGAGATGAACAGTGTGAATCTTAAAACTATAAGATGAGAATTTATTTCTTTCAGTTTGATCTCTTGGTATTTATTGATTTTGGAACATTATAGATGTTAAGAAACCTTACTTGTTAGTTATAGCCATACCTTTGAACCCTCAATCAAGGAGAAACACAGTAATTGACATGAAAATCTCTTTTTTTGGACAAATTCAGACAAAAGATTAGGTTATTGGGAGAAATCTTGCCATTATAAGAATGTGATGTCATAATTTTCAGAAACTTAGAGAAACACAATGCAGATTTAAAATTTAGTATTAAAGATCTATTGATATATCATGTTAATAGTTCAAATTAGAAATGCCATATGAGTATCAGAATAGTTGAGTAAAATATGCTCTATGATTTTATACTTATTTTGGATTTCAAAAATTCAGTAAATTTAAATAAATTAAAAAGGTATTTATGTAACATATTAAAGAATATATACCTGTAATCAACAAACATGTATTTACCAATAAAGCATTGGAGATGTGCAGATTAAACTTAAGAACAGAAATAGGATGTTATCTATAATCTCTGGTAGTTCACCTATTTCCAGAAGCTCTAGCCAATGGAAAAAGGCAAGAAATATAATATGCACAACCATCAGAAAAGCAGAGAGTAAAATTGGGAATTAAGTGTCTCAGTTTACTTATATGTAAAATGTGATATTAATGGTATCTATATTTCAGGGTTATTTCAAAGAAGATAATACTGCAAAGCGCTTGGAATATGCATATGTTTACAGTAAGTATTAAATAGAAATTAGCTATTATGATTACTATTATTTGTAGATATAATTCTATAACTTTAAAATAAAGAAAATCAATTAATAAATTATTAGAACTTTATTATAAGCTTCAGTCATGAATTTTCTTACATAAAATAATGTTAGAAAATAATAGAAAACATTTTATTCATAATAGCAACAAAAAGGTATAATCTAATCAGAAATGAACTTACTAATAAATATGAGGTCTTTCTTAAGAAACATTGCTAATACTCAGAGAAATAAAAAAAGCAGTGTCATGTTCTTGCATAGAAAAAATGACTTCATTTCCCAAATTAATTTACTATTATAATTGCATTTTTTTTTTTACTTCTGATGATAAGGTCTTCCTCTATCACCTAGGCTGGAGTGCAATGGCACGATCATAACTCACTGCAAACTCAAACTCCTGGGCTCAAGTGATCCTTCCACTTCATCCTCCCAAGTAGCTGAGACTGCAGGCACACGACTCCACACCCAGCTTACTTTTTTATTTTTAATTTTTGCAGAGATGGGGTCTCACTTTGTTTCCCAGACTGGTCTTGAACTCCTGTCCTTAAGTGATCCTCCAGCCTTGGCCTCCCAAAGTACTGGAATTTCAGGTGTAAGCCACTGTGTCTAGTGCCGAGTTTTCTTTATAAAATAAAATGTGACAAAATGATTACACTAACCAACAAAAATAAATATGGAAGACTAGCTCTGATAAATCTTAAAATTTAGAGTGATGAGGAAGGGACCTGTTCTATAGAACATTCTACCATATTATAAAGCTGAAGTCATTAAAACATTATAATAGTACTTAGAAATCAATACTAATGGAACAGAATTTACAGTTCCTTAACATATACCAGAATATCAGAACTCAAAATAAGATAAGGTACAGATCACCAGAGAAGAATTCAGTGTGTCATATTTTCCAGAAAGAACCATTAATAAATTGTTAGATCAATTTTGTGAACCACAGGCAGTTTTTTTTTATTTGAAACGGAATGGGATGGAAAGGAAAGGAATATAATATAATAGAAAATATTAGAATTCATCACATAATACTGAGGATAAAAATTATTTTAGACACTTTCATTTCAGTTATAGGTATGTATATAAGTGTTCACGTGTGTCAGCGTGTTCTAGATTGTGATGTAAAATTTATTTTTTCTCTTACTGTGGGTTGTGCTCCAAAAAGTTTGAATACCTCTCCAATAAATAATTTGGGGTAATTAATTAATTGAAAAAGAATCATCTATTTATATCCTTGTCTTCTGCTAAATAATGAAACAAAATATAGATGAGTATTTTTTAAGATTACTATAATAAATTTAAATGGATATATGTATATAAGATCGCTAGGAAAATACTTTAGAAGCATAAAAGGGAAGAAACCACAAAGAAAATTATTTGCACGTCTGAATTCACACATACACAAATGTGTGGTTCGGAAGGTAATCAAAAGTGATGAGAACATGACAAACTGGGGAAAAAAATTACAACAAAATACCTTTAATGTATTAAAGAAACGTATACCCTTCATGTGTAAAGAGAACTTGGCAATCAATTTTTTTTTAAGCTGGGTGCAGTGGCTCATACCTATAATCCCAGCACTTTGGGAGGCCAAGGTGGGAGGATCTTAAATCAGCCTGGTCACCATAACAAGACCCCCATCTCTATATTAATAAAAAAATTTAAATTTTTTAAAAAAAGAAATAAATTATTAAAAAAACACTCATTCTCTAGGTAGACATTTTGTAGAAAAAATATATAACTGAATACAAAATGTTTACTTTCAAAAAAGTAATTAATTAGACAACAAAAAAGTAAATAATTAGACAACAGTGAAATATTATCTTCCTTTTCAAATCTTGCAAGAACTATTGGAAAAGATATAAATACTGTCTGTGGCAATCTAAGTTGATGCACACTATTTTGGACTCCAATGTGGCAATATATCAAGAACCTAAATGTTAGTGCTCTTGGGCCAAGTAATTCCATTTTGTTTAGTTTCGTCCAAAGAAGTTGTCTGAAATATGCACCATAGTTCAGCTATTGATACCATTACTTGTAATGGTGCTCATTAAATGCTGTGTACATCAAGCAGAACAAGCTGCAGAAGATACATGCTTTCATTTGAATATTTTTCAATGAAATAGAGAAAACAATCTATAAATGAGAAAATCTGAATCAAAATTTTATATATGTCCAAAAGAAAAATGATTAGAAGAAAAAACACTGACTGATTTTCTCTGTGTTGATAGATGTGGAGATTATAGGTAATTTTCAATTTTCTTCTTTATATTTCTTTATTTGTCCATATATCTCTAATGAGTACATATTTCTTTTATAATACTAAAAGGCAATTCAGTTTATTTTTAAACAAAACAACCTCTCTGTTGCCCCCTTCCCATCTTGCTTTAGTACTGGTTTTCTAAGGATTTCCCTAAATGAGATTACAATGGTTTCAAATTAAAACATCAGTTGTCCCTATCTAAATTGGTTCTTTGAAAAATGAATGCCTGAAGGTGTTGTAAACTGCTCTTCTAAGTGCAGTCATGTGTCATTTAATGACAAGGATAGTTCTGAGAAATGCATCCTCAGGCAATTTCACCGTAGTATACTTACATAGAGCGTACTTACATAAACATAGATGGTGTAGCCTACTACATACCTAGGCTATGTAGGATAGCCTATTGCTCCTAAGCTACAAATTTGTACAGCATGTTACTGTACTGAATAGTAGGCTATTGTAACACAATAAGTATTTGTGTATTCGAATATATCTAAACATAGAAAAGATACACTATTATAATCTTATGAGACCACTGTCCTACATGTGGTCCATTGTTGACTGAAACATCATCATGCAGCACATGACTGTACAATTAAGCATTTCCCTAGTCATTTTGTTTTGTGTTTCAGTGATTTATTTTTCTTAATACAAACCTTGCATGGGGCATTAACCTCAGTATTTTCATTTGTTACCTCTCTCACCTGTTAAAGACAAGAAATTGAAGGAGCTAACACAGACCTGCTAATATAATAGTTTCCTGTTAAACATGTTAATGAATTAATATTGTAAAAGATAACAAAGCTTGCTAAGTAAATGAAAATGTCACCCCTTCTGTGTTAGCATAAGGCACTTTGATTACTTCATATTGCATATGCATGTGGTGGACATCATGATGCCCACTCGAATATACCTTTAAGGAAGGACCTGCTGCCTCGTCAGGATTGCCCCAGCTGCCTTGCTTACAGTCAGTCCCCTTCCTGGTATTGCCCACATCCACTTACTGACAAGGTGGGAGTATAAAGACCTCACCCTCTCAGCCTGATTTAGGAGGACTCAAGGACCATTCTAGGTCCCAAGCATCCTGTTGAATTAGGCCTGCACTGCAGTTTCACCTTTCCCTCTGCACAGTATTTCTTCTCTTCTTTTTCACAATGGCATATCTTAAGAAACTCATACAAGGTCAACTCCATCTCAGAATGAGAACACTCTCTGGAACAATGAATTACTTCAGTGAATACAGGTGTACTAGTGGCCTCTTGGATATATTTTGGATTTTATTATCATAAAAATTGATGAATGAAATTGTAGAATCAGAGATATATAGATACATTAATAAGAAAACACCTAAAACCAAGCTCACCTTAGATCATTATAGAATTTGCCTTTGCCCACTACTCATTAATAGTTACCAGTTTATAATTTTATAAAACACCGTGATCTGAGTTTGGGAGAACTTGACAATTTATTTTGTAATATCTTAGTAAAATAATTTTTTAAAAAAATCACTGTTGTATCAAGCTTTGGGTTAGTTTTAGTAAAATGACACACTCAATGTACTAATTTGAAATCTTTTCTTGATTGCAGCTAAATAGTTGATCTGATCCATGTGTCCCCCTCACTCTGTTCCACATATGGCAACAAACAATCGCATAAGTTTAGCAAACTGAACCTTGTTTTTGACACTTTGCAGTGCTTCAAATGATGCGGAATCAGAAAGCAGCGATTGAAACTTACTAACCCGACCTGCTAGTCTTTGAACTGAAGCTCTTTGCTGCCCTCTGTAGATACCTAGAGATGAAAACGGCAAAGTCAACATTCACTTTCTCAGTTATGGTAATTTTGTTCTGTAATCTTAATAGAAAAATAGACTAAACAGAAGGTGTTTCAATTAAAGGGAAATTAAGGATCGTTTTTTCCTATAATTTCTTTTGTACTATATCGTTGAATTTCTGTATTTGCCTTTAAAAAAATCACTATTTAAAATTAAAACTTCGTGTTTAAAAACACTATGGTAAGACAAAGTGAAAATACACACATGAATGCATGAAAAAAGAATTAGTAATTTTTCAACTTTCTTTTGACTTTTTTATCATTTTATGTATATTATCCACATTTTAAAAGTCATATGAATTATGGTAGATAATGTCCTCTAAACATAAGCTACAAGTTCTATTTTCACATGATAGTTTTCCTTGCCTTTGGCATGATAATTATTGTTGTTTCTAGTTTCTTGGGAGGGGCTATTCTTTTGCAAGAAAATAATCACTATTTCAATTGTTGCAATTCAACTTAAAATTATTTTGCTGAGCATTTTCTATGCACTCAGCAAAAGTCTACATGCTGTGTAGGGGATATCAAAATGATGATAATAATAGCAGCAAACTGCTAAGTGCTTAACCTTGGAAAGATATTGTAGCACATTACTTTACATATGCTAACCATTTAGTCTTCCCAAATATTATAAGGTGTCTGATTTTGTAGAGCCTACAATTTTGTTGAAAATAGTATTACTCGATGTTCCATCATCATTTCTCTGTTACCACAAATTGCTATCTTAAGGCATAAGAAAGGTCAGCCACGTTTTGTAATGCTTGCTATTTCACAGCGTGTATGCGGTTTTACTCCTATTCAGGTTATCAGTACTTCAAGCTTATCTATAGCATCTTGTCTTTTAAGCACTGTGTTAAGACTACTTCTCAAGATATAATCAACTACTGAATGTAGTTTCTCTAAATATTAGCCAGGCTTCCATCTATCATATCTTCAAAGTAGTGGTTATATCTTTATGAAAATAAGATCCTAAAAGTCCTACACTGTGGTCCTTCATTATTTCTACTAAATAAATTTCTACTAATTCTCTCTTTCTTGTCGCTGTACTTCCCTTATTTTGTACTGGCTACAAGAAGACTTACTTGGTTCATCTTTATGGGATGAAATTATACTTAATTAGATGTAATAATAAGAAAATCATTATTAGTGAAAACAGCAGATACGTTCTAGCACTGATGGTATGGAATTACAGTCTGTGAAAAAGTTAGCTATAACAGAATAAAAAGCCACATAGTTATGATAGATATTCGATAGATATGTCCCTATGAAAGAGTGGAAAATAGGTTTATATAAATGTAAACATATTAATATTAAGAATCATATTTATTCACACCTGTAATCCCAGCACTTTGGGAGGCCGAGATGTGTGGATCAACTGAGGTCAGGAGTTCGAGACCAGCCTGACCAATATGGTGAAACCCCGCCTCTACTGAAAATACAAAAATTAGCCAGGCATGGTGGCATGCAACTGTAGTCCCAGCTACTCAGGAGGCTGAGACAGGAGAATTGCCTGAACCTGGGAGGCGGAGGTTGCAGTGAGCCGAGATCACGCCACTGCACTCCAGACTGGGCAACAGAGTGAGACTCCATTTCAAAAAAAAAAAACTATCATCTTTATAAAGGAGTTTCAGTATTATGTAAAGGGCATCAAATTAATTTTTTTTGTTAAACTTTATATCTAAAAGCATTAACATCATTGGCTATTTCTGCAAATAATTTTCAAAAGAATATAGCAAAAGTTTGCCATAAGTTCTGCTCAACACAAGATAAATCATTGTCTTTTTTATTATACTACTAATCCAGCATGTCTACATAGTATGAGAGCAATAAGTTTTGCAAAAATTGAAGATTTAGTAAATTATTAATTAAACAAATAATTTTAAAGCCTATTATGTGCTAGGTACGATTTTTGTCACTAGAGTTACCTCAGCAAACATCATAAACAACAATCCTCACCATCATGGTATAGTCATCTGATGCATAGTAACATTTCAGTAAAAAATGCACCACATATATATATTACAGTGTTAATAATTTAGTTTAAATATTGTGATATTTTAATCTTTCAAATCTTTTTTCTGAAAACACCTATTTTTTCCTTCAGTTGTTAAAAATTGTGAAAATTTATGTTCAGCAAAATTCACTATTTTCATATAAACAATTCTATATACTCTGTTGAACATATAGTCATGTAATGACCACCACAATTTCAAGATGTAGAATGATTACTACCCAAAGCAATCAACAGATTCAATGAAATGTCTATCAAAATAATGTGTCACTTTTCACAGAAATAGAAAAAACAATCATACAATTCATGTGGAATCAAGAAAGAATCCAAAATGACAAAGCATTCTTGAACAAAAAGAATAAAGTTGGAGGTATAATATAACTTGAATTCAAAATATATTATAAGGTCACTGTAATAAAACAGCATGGTATTTCTATAAAAATAGATATATGGACCAATGGAACAGAATAGAGAACCCAGGAATAAATCTACATATTGATAGCCAACTGATCTTTGGTAAAGCTGTCAAGAACACACATGAGGGAAAGGATACCTTGTTCAATAAACAGTGCTATAATAACTAGACAGTTATATGCAGAAGAATGAAACTAGATTCTTGTCTGTGACCATATACAACAATCAACTCAAGGCGGATTAAAAACTTGAATGTAAGATACAAAACTATAAGACAACTGGAAAAAAATCAGTGAAATGCATCAGGATATTGCTCTAGGCAACTATTTTATGGTTAAGACAGAAAAGCGCAGGCAACAAAAAGAAAAATAGACAAACGGGACTCTGTCAAACTAAAAAGCTTCTGCACAGCAAAAAGAAACAATGAACAGAGTGAAGAAGCAACCTGTTGAATGGAAGAAAATATTTCCAAACTATTCATCTAATAGGGGAGTAAAATCCTGAATATACAGGAAACTCAACAGATGAAAGACAAATAGCCCCATTAAAAAGTGAGCAAAGAACACGAATTGATATCTTTCAAAAGAGACATATAAATGAGCAACAGGTATATGAAGAACACACAACATCATTAATCATCGGGGAAATGCAAATCAAAACTGAGATATCATCTTGCCCCATTTAGAATAGCTATTATTAAAAAGACAAAAAATAACAGATGTTGTTGAGAGTATTAGTCTGTTTTCATGCTGCTGTAAAGACATACTCAAGACTAGGCAATTTACAAAAGAAAGAGATTTATTGGACTTAAAGTTCTACATGGCTGGGGAGGCCTCACAATCATGGCCGAAGGCAAGGAGGAACAGGTCACATCTTATGTGGATGGCAGCAGGCAAAAAGAGAGCCTGCGCAAAGAAACTCCCTTTTCTAAAATCATCAGCTCCCATGAGACTTATTCACCATCATGAGAACACAACAGAAAAGACCTGCCCCCATGATTCAACCACTTCCCACTGGTTCCATCCCACAACATGTGGGAATTCAAGAGATTTGGGCAGGGACAGAGCCAAACCACATAATTCTGCCCCAGCGCCTCCCAAATCTCATGTCCTCACATTTCAAAAGCAATCATGCCTTCCCAACAGTCCCCCAAAGTCCTAACTCATTTCAGCATAAACTCAAAAGTCCATAGTCCAAAGTCTTATCTGAGAAAAGGCAAGTCCTGTTCACCTATAAGCCTGTAAAATCAGAAGTGAGTTAGTTACTTCCTAGATACAAAGGGGGTACAGGCATTGGGTAAATATGCCAATTTGGAGAAATTGATCAAAACAAAAGGGGTACAGGCCCCACGCAAGTCCAAAATCTAGCAGGGCTGTCAAATCTTTAAGCTCTAAAATGATCTCCTTTGACTTCATGTCTCACATCCAGGTCATGCTGATGTAAGAGGTGAGTTCTCATGGTCTTGGGCAGCTCCACCTCTATGGCTTTGCAGGGTACAGTCTCCCTCCAAGCTGCTTTCATGGTCTGGCATTGAGTATCTGCAGCTTTTCCAGGCACACGGTGTAAGCTGTCAGATCTACCATTCTGGAATCTGGAGAACAGTGGCCCTCTTCTCACAACTCCACTAGGCAGTGCCCCAGTAGAGACTCTGTGTGGGGGCTCTGACCCCACATTTCCCTTCTGCATTGCCCTAGAAGAGGGTCTCCATGAGGGCCCTGCCACTGCAGCAAACTTCTGCCTGGGCATCCAAGCATTTCCATACATCCTCTGAAATCTAGGTGAAGGTTCCCAAACCTCAGTTCTTGACTTCTGTGCACCCACAGGCTCAACACCATGTGGAAGCTACCAAGACTTGGGGCTTGTATCATCCAAAACTGCAGCCCAAGCTCTATCTTGACCCCTGTTAGTCACAGCTAGAGCAGCTGGGACACAGAGCATCAAGTCCCTAGACTGTACACAGCAGAGAAACCCTGGGCCCGGCCCACAAAACTATTTTTTCCCCCTAAACCTCCGGGCCTGTGATGGGAGGGGCTGCTGCAAAGGTCTCTGACATGGCCTGGAGACATTTTTCCCATTGTCTTAGTGATTAACATTCAGCTTCTCATTACTTATGCAAATTTCTGTAGCCAGCTTGAATTTCTCTTCAGAAAATGGGATTTTCTTTTCTGTTGCATTGTCAGGCTGCAAATTTTCCAAACTTTATGTCCTGTTTCTCTTTTAAAACTGAATGCCTTTAACAGCACCCAAGTCATCTCTTGAATGCTCTGCTGCTTAGAAATGTCTTCTGCCAGATATCCTAAATCATCTCTCTCAAGTTTGATGTTCCACAAATCTCTAGGACAGGGGCACAATGCCATCAGTCTCTTTGCTAAAGCATAACAAGAGTCACCTTTGCTCCAGTTTTCAACAAGTTCCTCATCTCCATCTGAGACCACCTCAGCCTGGATTTCATTGTCCATATTATTATCAGCATTTTGGTCAAAGCCATTCAAGAAGTCTCGAGGGAGCTCTAAACTGTCCCACATTTTCCTGTCTTCTTCTGAGCCCTCCAAACTGTTCCAATCTCTGCCTGTTACCCAGTTTCAAAGTTGCTTCCATGTTTTTGGGTTTCTTTTCAGCAGTACCCCACTCTACTGTTACCAATTTACCATATTAGTCCATTGTCATGCTGCTGATAAAGACATTCCTGAGACTGGGCAATTTACAAAAGAAAGAGGTTTATTGGATTAACAGTTCCACATAATTGGGGAGGCCTCACAATCATGGAAGAAGGCAAGGAGGAGCAAGTCACATCTTATGTGGATGGCAGCAGGAAAAAAGAGAGCCTGTACAGAGAAACTTCCCTTTTTAAAACCATCAGATCTTGCAAGACTTATTCACCATCATGAGAACACTGCAGGAAAGTCCTGTCCCCATGATTCAACCACCTCCCACGGGGTACCTCCCACAACATGTGGGAATTCAAGATGAAATTTGAGTGGGAACACAGCCAAACCACATCAGTGAGCATGACAGAAAATTGGACTCTTATACACTATTAGTGGAAATGCAAACTAATATAGCATTATGAAAAATAGTATGAAGATTTCTCAAAGAACTAAAAATAGAAGTACCATACAATCTAGCAATCCCACTAAGAGTACGTCCAAAGAAAAAGAAACTAATATATCAAATAGATACCCAAACTCCCATGTTTATTGCAACACTACTCACAATAGTAAAGATATAAAATCAATATCAATTTAAATGTCCATCAACACTTGAATGGATAAAGATAAATGGATAAAGAAAATGTGGTATATATGCAATGGTATAGTATTTGGCCATAAAATGAATGAAATCATGTCATTTGCAGCAACATGGATGAAAACTGGAGGTTACGAGAAATAAGCCATGCATAGAAAGACAAATATTGCATTTTCTCATTCCCATATGTGAGAGCTAAAAAAGTTGATCACATGGAGGTAGAGTAAAATAATAGATACCAGAAGCTGAGAAAGGTGTATGGGAGGCAGAAGGGGATAAACAGAGGTTGGTTAATGGGTACAAACATGCAGTTAGATAGAAGAAATAAGTTCTAATGTTTGATAGCAGAGTAGGGTGACTGTAGATACAACCATATATTGTATATTTCAAAATAGCTAGAAGAGAGGTCTTGAAATGTATCCAACATATAAAAATAATAAATACTTAGGTGATGGAGTATTACAAATTACTCTGACTTGATAATTATATATATTATGTATGCAACGAAATTTCTCATGGACCCCATAAACATATGTAAAAATATAAAAAATACATTTAAATAAAATTTTAAAAGATATAAAACAGTATCATCATCCAAAAAATTTCCCTTATACCATTTTGTCAAAATAGCTCTGCAAATATATTGCCCACCTTTTTAGAAAATGGGAGTTTAAAAAAATTGTTTTCTTATTACTGACTTTAGAGAAATTTTTCAATATTCTAGGTATCAATCCTTTATTAGATATATATTCCACAAATATTTTTTCCCAGTCTGCAGCTAGATCTTTTATTTTCTAAAGAATTCCCAATATTCATTTGAAGAACCTGCCCATTATTATTTTTTAATTATGCAAAAGTATTGAAATGACTACGTCAAAGAGATATCTGTACTCTCATGTTTCTTGCAGCACTAGTCACAGTCAATTCCAAGAGACGGAATCAACTTAAGTGTCCATCAGTAGATAAATAGATAAAGAAAATGTGAATATATACGCAAGGAAATAGTATTCAGCCTTTAAAAACAGGTAATTCTGTCATTTGTGACAACATGAATGAAATTGGAGTGTATTACATTAAGTAAAATAAAGTCAGGCACAGAAAGACAAATACTGCATGATCTTATTTGTATACAGAATTTTTTAAAGTTGACTTTATAGAAGTAGAGAGTAGAATGATGGGTACCAGAGTATGGGGGGAGATGAGAGTGGGGGAAAGCAGAGAAGTTGATCGAACAATACAGAGTTCCAGTTAGAAAGGAGGAAATAAATTTCAAGATCTATTGCACAGCAAGGTAACCATTGTCAATATTAATGTATTGTGTATTTCAAAATTGCTAAAAGAATAGATTCTTAAGGGTTTCACTACAAAAAATGATAAAAATGTGAAGTAATGGTATGTTAATTAGCTTGATATAATTATTCTATAATGTACACATATATTAAAACATCACATTGTATCCCCAAAATATATATATAATTATTATTGGTCAATTAAAAATAAACATTATACTATACCCAATGTGTAGTCACTGCACAGGTGATAGGTGCACCAATATCTCAGAAATCACCATTAAAGAACTTATTCATGTAACCAAACACACCTGTTTCCCAAAAACGTATTGAAATTAAAAATAAAAATAAGAAACAATAAAAATAAAATAACATAAAAAATCAAAATATTAAAATATTAAAGTTAAAATAAAAAACAAACTAAAATATTGGATTCAATTGTTTTACTATGTTCACTCTATAGCAGTAGAATATTATTAAAGAGTAATAGGAGAAAAAAAGGCATAAATGTAGATATTTCTAACATGGGATACAACTTTGCATAGGAGAAAAGCAGAAGGAAAGCTGACTCTTTCTAAGCTATTAGAAAAGTTCCTCGTAAAGCAGTTATAAAAACAGTAGGTTACTAATATTTGCAAACTTAAATGCAATTGAAATGAGCATTAACTGCAATTCTGATTCTATCAAAGTTTTGTAATATTCTCATTGCTGTTTAAGTTTTGGATAACTTTTTTCTTTTCTTTTGAGTCTTTAAAAAAATAAAAAATAAAGCTTGATGTGACATAATAAATAAAGGTGCAATTCATAACCTCCTTTCCTCACACTATAAAAAAACAAAAAAACAGGAAAATATGGCAACACAATTAATGGCACCAATCAATGAAGGAAAGGGCCATGATCAAGTGACAAAATTTAATAGCCTGGGGGATAAGGAAAGAATGAGGTGATTCCATAGAAGAGCTCAACACAGCTGGGTTCCTAAGCCTACTTTGAACCCCAAATCTGGAGACAAGTACTCTGAGTGGATACTATTGTATTTTTCCTTTTCAGAGAAGAGAACTTTAGAAATTGATGCTGAGAGAAATGATTAAATTGTGAATAATGAGTTTGACAATTTCAGAAAGAAAAGGATCTGAAGGAAAAATAATCCAAACTCCATTGGTATCTTTCTAGGGAAATGAAATGCGTATCTCCAAATGAATAGAATAAACCCTGATAAAGGGCCCATAACAATAACAAAGAAAAACCGCATCTCTATTATGAAAAATTTCAAACATGTTTTTCAAAAAGAGAGACTAGTTTAATGAGCTGCCATGCTCTTATCACTCAAACTTAACAATCATCAACAACAGTTGCCAAATTTGTTCCATCTATACTGCCACAAGCTCCAGCTTTCTTTTAATTTGGAGCATGTGGCAGTTGGTTACCAATTTGGTCATTTTTTTTTTTTTTTTTTTGTAGTCAATGGCATGTCTATTACATAGCAGGTATTCAATGGCGTTTGCTAAATGAATGAATTAATCAATGAATGCATCAACCTCCATTCAGCCATTTCCCAGAAAATGAGTCTGCCTTTAAAAATGATGAATGTTATACATGATGAATATAACAGGTAAATATATGCAAAGAACAACATCGTGTTGAAACATGCTCAAGGACAGGCATTTCAAAGATGATTCAGGCTAACATTATGGATTCTTCTTAAATGAGAAAGAAAATCCTGCTGATGGATGTCTTCCTAAGCCAGTTGGGACTAAGAAACACAGTTGAAGCTCATCCGTGACAGAACTAAAATGATCAGGCCTAAGGTCATAGCAACAACTTGTTGCTGACACATCAGCAACTTGTACAGACATCAGCCTGTACCTTAAAACAATGCACTTATATGAACTTAAAATATGCTTTTGTAAAACTGTCAGATCTAAATTGATGTAATTTAACATTTTTTTGATAGTGAATTTTATGTCTTACAGAGCCAGTGCTAAAAAATGTGCATAGACACATATATACACATGTGTAGACATACAAAGACCAACATAAATGCATAGGATTACACCATTTTTACCATTTGTTTCCCAAATACTCTAGAGGCCAGCCCTATTTGCCTGGGAAAATATATATATATATATATATATATATATATATATATATATATATATATATATTTATATTTATTTATTTATAAACTACATACATTTAAACTATATATATAAAGTTTAATGAGCGACCATGCACTTATCACTCAGTCTTTTAAATATTGATCATTGTAGAGATCAAAGTAGCTGATAGTAGATCTGAATTGTTTTTACTTGAAAGAAAATAGAAAACATCTCAATTTTGCTAACAATCTTACAGGATTTATGGTTGAAATTATGTCACATCAAATTTATAAAAACAAAAACAATTGTGCAAGTAGATTTGCATGGTTGTGTTTCACAGATATACACACATACTTTGTCATTTTGTTTATTCCTAAGAAGGACTGTTTGGGATTGCCACTCCAATGGAAGAAAAATAAGAATTGAGATACAGGAGACCTAAATGTATATACTTTCGTATAAGTGCATATATATAATATAAACAAAGGACGTTTACATTTTATACGAGTATATATATTTATACAAAAGTATATATATATATTTATACAAAAGTATATATATATTTATACAAAAGTATATATATATATATATATATATATACACACACACAAAAGTATATATATATATAAACATAGGATACCAGAATCCCTAAAATGTCAATTGAAACGACTTAATATATCACCTGGATATTCAGTTTATATCACATTAAACACCTAAATATTTTGAAATATGATGCTCTTGAGGGCACTATTGCTATTATTAAAAAGAACTCAGACTATATTTGCTTTAAGGAAGCAGTAATTTTTTTCTGATACAAATGCTAATATTTGGAAGCGATTACAATTCAAATGAAACTTAAGTATTTGGGGGCAACTTAAGAATTTGGGGGAAATTCTAAGTGACTACTTGTGGGAAATTAGTAGCATCCACAGAGAAAATATTTTAACAGAGATGATTTGAAAATCTGCCTTTTTTGATTTTCAATATAATGAATAAAACATTATGATGACTTTAAAATGTATATAATTTAGTTTGAAATTTTAATACAAGAAGTATTATTTTAATTCTCATAATTAAATTTAACCTTATAATTCTATTTCAATAAAGCAAAAGTTATAGAGCATTTTATGTTTCTTCAAAAAGTAGTCAGTTGATGGTGATTTCTACTTCTATGATAAAACTATCTCAGGTAGAACGATTAAGAAATCTGACCAATCTGTACAAGGAAAAACATTACCAATTTTAGTATAATTCTTAGCTTAGTCCTTACCCTCAGTCCATCTACCTATTTCACTAAGCAATGAATCACCAAGGAACTTCATCATATGTACATAGAATTCAGAGAAATGTCTCTAATTTTCAACAATAACTATTTTCTCAGCAACAATTTACTGGATGTAGATACAGTCTTTTAAGTATTGATCATTCCAGAGGTCAAAGTAGCTGATAGTAGATCTGAATTGTTTTTACTTGAAAGAAAATAGAAAACATCTCAATTTTACTAAAAATTTTACGGATTTATGGTTGAAATTATGTCACACCAAATTTATAAAAACAAAAACAATTGTGCAAGTAGATTTGCATGGTTGTGTTTCACAGATAAACACACATATTTTGTCATTTTACTTATTCCTAAGAAGGACTGTTTGGGATTGCCACTCCAATGGAAGAAAATTAAGAATTGAGATACAGGAGACCTAAATTTTTAGAAAACATAAAGTTATGCAAAAAAAATTGTATGTTTATGTCTCATGAATATACACATGCAGAAATACAATAATATTTTAGGCATTTCCACTAAAAGGTTTATTTGGAGTTTGCCTCTGTTCAGTGAAAGAGAACTGTGGATTGAGTGCACAAGACATTAGTTGTTGTCTCAGCCTTCCATGTAATTCAGTTTGGGAAAATTCTCTTTACCATATTAAGCATCCAATTTTATTTTATTTTATTTTTAGTTCTGGGGTACATACGCAGGATGTGCAGGTTTGTTACCTAGGTAAACATGTGCCATGGTGGTTTGCTGCACCTATCAACCCATCACCTAGGTATTAAGCCCAGCATGCATTAGCTAATTTTCCTGGTGCTCTCCCTACCCTTTCCACCCCGCCTCCCCCAACAGACCCTAGTGTTGTTGCTCTTTACCCTGTGTCCATGTGTTCTCATTGTTCAGCTCCCACTTATAAGTGAGAACATGTGGTGTTTGGTTTTCTGTTCCTGAGTTAGTTTGCTGAGGATAATGGTTTCCAGCTCCATCCATGTCCCTGCAAAGGATATGATCTCATTCCTTTTTATGGCTGCATAGTATTCCATGGTGTATATGTACCACATTTTCCTTATCCAGTCTATCATTGATGGGCATTTGGTTGATTCCAGGTCTTTGCTGTTGTGAACAGTGCTGCAATGAACATATGCATAAGCACCCAATTCTTGATTTGTTAAATAATGGGGATATATATAATAAACAATCACTGAGGTCACTTTCAAAGCTAAAAAGCGCTAATATTGTATGTAGTTGGAATTATCACCTTTCTTTTTATAAAGGGTTTATATATTTTAAAATTTATGTAAGCAATGAATTAACATTAAATGAAAAATGTAAATGAAATATGAATAAAAGGGAAAAATAATAAGTCACAGATATTCTACTGTCCTGTCACAGCCATTACTAGTATTTGGTCTTCCAGACATTTCCATATGCGTGTATATTATTTAAAACAGTATCAGGCTCTCTAACTTACTTTTCTTCCTAAATACAATATAACCAATGCCTTTCCATGTTATTAGTATAAATGTCCACAATTATAAATATTTTATGTGTATGCACAAAATACATTTAATCAATTCCCTCTTTTGGACTTTTAAATTTTGTTGTTGTTTTTAAACAAACTGTGGTAACACTGTACATATATCTTTACTAATTTATCTATCTCCTTGATATAAGTGCACAGATTTGTGATCATTAGGTCAAAGGCTAGATATTTCTTTTTAGTAATTTGATACATTTTGACAAATTACCACACAGAAGCCCTGTTCTCATAGGGAGTTCTACAGGCTATGTACCAGAGGGTTTATTGTCTCCAAACCAAGACAATCCTAGGAGCCTCATTCCTGTTAATGTTTGCCATTTTTATAGGCAAAAAAAAAAAAAAAAAAAAATGGCACCCTTCTTTAACTTGAATGTTTATTTCTTTGATTATGGATGGGAATAAATCTGTGTCTACATCTTTTGACTCACTTTACCTATTAAAAGTAAATTTTCTGGATGTGATACCCTATTTTTAAAAAATTGATAGACTTTATTTTTTAGAGTAGTTTATGTTTTCAAAAAAATTAAGCGGAACGTACAGTTTCCATTTACCCCTTCTATTCCCCTCCTTCCCCCAGCTTCCCTATTAACAACTTGCAATATGTTATATTTGTTATAATTGATGAACCAATATTGATACCTTATCATTTACTAAAGTCCATAGTTTACATTAGGGTTCAAGCTATATATTGTATAGCTCTACGGATTTTGACAAATGTATGACAATTGTCTTCCATTACAGTTTCACACAGAGTAGTTTCACTGCCCTAAAAATCCTCTGTGCTCTGCCTATTCATCCCTTCTTCCCTCCCACCCCTGACAACCATGGATCTTTTTACTGTCTCCAGAGTTTTCTCTTTTCCAGAATGTCCTATAGTTGGAATCATAAAGTATGCAATCTTTTCAGATTTTCTTCTTTTACTTAGTAATATGCACTTAAGGTCCCTCCCTGTCTTTTTATGGCTTAATTATTTATTTCTTTTTCAAGCTGAATAATACTCCATTGTATGAATATACCACAGTTTGTTCATATATTCTACCTATTGAAGGACATTTTGGTGGCTTTAAATTTTTTTTGTCATTATGAATAAAGCTTATATAAACATTTGTGCACAGTTTTTTTGTGGACATAAATTTTCAACTCATTCTGATTAATACCAAGGAGCATGGTTGTTGGACTGTCTGGTAAGACAATGTTAAGCTTTGTTAGAAACTGCCAAATTATCTTTCCAACTGGTTTTACCATTTTTTATTCCCACCACAGTGGATGAGAATTTCTGTTGCTCCACATCCTCACCAGCAATTGGTGTTGTGTTTTAAGTTTTAGGCATTCTAAAAGGCAAGTGGTGCTATCTCATCATCATATCAACTTGTAATTTCCTAATGACATATGATGTTGAGCATCGTTTCATATGCTTATTTGCCATCTGTATATCTTCTTTGTTGAAGTGTCTGTTCCTATCTTACCCATTTTTAAACTGGTTTATTTGTTTTATTATTGTGAGGTTTTAATAATTTGTTGTATATTTTGGATACCAATTCTTCACCAAATATGGGTTTTGTGAATATTTTCTCCTAGTTTTACTTTTTCATTCTCTTAATTGCCCATTAAAAAGTTAGCAGTATTAATACTTTCTCATACATATTGCAAACACTCTTACAATAAACAAGGCTTTTTGGTTTGGGTATTTGCATGTTCTACCATCTTAAAGTTTCTAATTTATTTGAAGACAAATTGTATCAACCCTTCTACGGTTTCTGCCTTTGGTACCATGCTCTGGGATTCTATACACATTAACATGCTATATTTTAGTATACACTAGTCTAATTTTTTTCTCCCATTTTTAAAAATAAGTTCTTGATTGATATGAAATGATTTTGATGTATACAGGAGATGTTTTATTCTTTAATAGTTATTAGGTAAATCAATGCCATTAAAAATAAGATATAAATTTTCTCTATTGATTGAAAATACCAACGTAATCATACACTATATTTCCACATATATGTGGGCAATGTCTAAACTCTTAATTCTGTTCGACTGCATGTTTTGTTGATTTCAGCATTGCACTACTCTGTTTTGAGTTTTGTAGGATTTTAGTGTATTTTAATTCTGAGTAGGGCAAATTCATCTTCTTTTTTTATATTTTAAAAATATTTTCCTAATTAGTTTGATACTTCTAGTTTTCCACACAGATCTCATATTTATTTTGTTACTTTCCCATGTATATCCCATTTTACTTTTGATTTAGGTTGTGTTAAATTTAGAGAATAATTTGAAAGAGTTTACATATTTTCAATGATTGGATCTTCCTTCACATAGAGATTATGTCTCTCAAATCATGCAAGCTTTGAAAAGTATCTTGCAGCAATTTCATTTCCTGAGCATTTCTTCTTTTTTTCTTTTTCTTTTTCTTTCTTTTTTTTTTTTTTTTTTTTTTTTTTTTTTTTTAGAGATAGGGTCTCACTGTGTCACCTGGGCTGAAATGCAATGGCACAATCACAGCTTATGAAGCCTGTAACTCTTGGGCTCAAGTGATCCTCCTGCCTCAGCCTCCCAAGTAGTTGGAACTACGGGCATGAGCCAAAATGCCTGGCCTGAACATTTCTTTTAAAATAAAATCTCAAATATGTTGTGTTATTCTTGCTACTGTGAATGTGATTTTCCTTACAAAAAGTTTCTACTTTTTAAATTCTTATGTTTTAGGTGGTTACCTATTAGTTCTCATATATGTTTACTTGATTATAATGGTCTTCCATGAATATAATTACATTGCTTTAAAATAATCCATACTCCCCTTTTCTAGTATCTATGCCCTTTTAAAATTTTGCTTATTTATCTTATTTCCTTATTAAATTACCTTTTTTTAAAGCACTTACAGACCAGTGTTAAATGGATTTGGTTGGCATCTCTAACTTCTTTCTGGCTTGAATGGAACTCTTTGGGAATGCATAATTCTGACTATTTGTATCAAATAGAATCTTAAAAAGTATTTTAAATGCATTTTCAGTCCTATGGCTAGTTGAATTTATTGATATCTTTTTGCATGTACATAGAAATATATCTTTGTAACTTTCATCTAATAACATGATAGAATAAGACCTGCACTATCACACTCCCACTTAAATTTGTAACCCCTACACATATCCAGTATTTCCTTTTGCCTTTCCGTGTCCTATTTTTTACCATAGAACTTATCACCATTTGACGTACTTTACCTTTCAGCAAGTTTATTTATTTTTTATCTATTGTCAGTATCCTACAGCTAGAATATAAGTTTCATGAAGTGTAGAATTTTTATCTGTTTTGTTCACTGCTGTATCTCTGCAACTTAAAAAAGTATCTCTAGAATTTAAAACATCTTAGGCATTTAAGAAATACTTTAATAAATAAATATGATGCCACAACCATTTAGAATGGTTAATCAAAAAAGACACAGCCTTTGCCTTTACATAATTTATAATATATTGAGGGTATATATAAAAAAAACTACAAGAAGGGACTGGGATCTACAATTGTAAAGTTTTGGGGATGTGAGAGACTCTCACTTACATAAAGTGGTTAGAAAAGGCTTTTCTGAAATGATCATCTAATCAGTGTGGCAAATATGTGTGAAGACCCTAAGGCAAAGAATTGCTAGATAGAATCTAGGAAAATACAAGAAGGGTGGTGTGGCTGAAGGTTTTTTTGGGGGTGAGGAAGGATGGGGAAGAGTGACTTATTATAAAATAAGAGAGATACAAAGAGGACAAATTGGCTTAATAAGCCACAGTGAAGAGTTTGGATTTTATTCCAACTGAAATGGGTAGGCTTTTAATAGTTTAAATCAGAGGCATAGTCTGATTGATTTATATTTTTACAATCTCACTCTGTCTCTTTGAGAACAATATGTTGGGGGAGAGAGCAAAACAGAGGAAATATCAAGACCAATTAGGAAGCTCTTATAGTAGTCTGGGCAAGTAATACTGATTGCCTGGGATAGAATGAGGGCAGAGTGGGCAGAGAGCCATCACTAGAATTGAAATATGTTTGGGATGTAAAATCTCAAACTCCTTCTCCTCAAGTGATCCTCCCATCTTGGCCCCCACAAAGTGCTGGGATTACAGGTGTGACTCACTGTGTCTGGCCCAGGGTTGTAGAATCCAGATAGGACACACTTTCCATAAGGACCAGAACTTGCTTTGAATGCAGAAAGGCAATGGCTTTCTAAGAAGTAAGAATGACCAAGGAACCTTATCATAGCCTTCCTTATTTATGTTACTTTCATATAGTAGCCAATCGCTTATGCGGACAATGTTGATAGGAAAGGGAAAGATAGGGCAACCCATAGTTTCTTTTCCTTTCAGTTCTTCCTTACTCATCAGTAAGATGAAGCTAAAGATTGTTACAGAATGTCAGGTATTAATATTAAAATATGAAATACAAACAGTTGAATTAACATTGTATAGTATTTCCACTGTTCTAGTAAGAATGAAATACATATGCAGGTACAAACTACATATTATGAGTTGTGTAATTTTAGCCATTCTACATACAAGTTAAATACTCCTGTATTTACATTTAAAACTGGCATTGCACAATGTAAAAATGAATGGTAAAATGCATACTAATAAACTAATAACTTAAGAACTTTATTTAGGACAACATTAAATATCAAATTAAAAATACCATGAAAAGTCAAGAGAGGGACTGTGGAAGAAAGCAAAAAAAAATTATAATTCATTACCTTTAATAGTACTTTCTCCCCCCACCACTTTTTGTACAAGGGCCCTACATTTTCATTTTGCACTGGGAAAATGGCTGCATTTTTTAGAGTTTTTATTACAACAGGCAGAGTCATTCTTGGGCGTTGCAAACCGGTGTCTGTTTCTGGGTACCCCAGGCAAAGAGAGGATATGGGAAGAAGAGGGCTTTGACAAGCCATCAAAAATGAGTCTCCTTTTACTCCTTAATTGATCACATAGAAAATCTTTTTTTGTTTGTTTGTTTGTTTTGTTTGCTTGTTTTCCAATTCCAGCAACTAGTATTTCTACTTAGCACCCTTATCCTGCAAAAGGTCATTTCTTAACTAGTATAGTATTCAGCTGGTTGGAAAATTGAAAGAATCTCCTACGAGTCATTTATTCTTTTCTTACTGACAAGATAGGCCTCAAAAATGTTGAATATCAAAATGTGGAGAAATTATTTTTTAGAGAATTCTGGTTTTACTGATTCATCGAAGATTTATAAGAAAAGCTATAAAGGTATTATCCTTCCATCCTATTAAAGGCCTACTAAAGTGAGACAACACACCTTTTTGTTGTTGTTTCCTTTTGTTTTGTTTTAAAAAGCCTAGTGTTCTACTAGAAAATATTAATTTTGTTACTTTCTAAGTTGTAGGAATTAGTTTTTTCATTTAGTGATTATTCTCACAAGCAATCATAAATGTAACAACTGTTTTAGAACAGAGATGGCCATGCATTTTCATGTATACACAGGGTGTTTTAAAAGATAAAGAGCTAATTCCAATAAAAATAGACTGAATTACATATGTAGGTTGTATTAATTAATTCTGGAATCAAAATTTTCTCTTCTACTATAGATGTTAAATTTCTTTACTACATTGAATCTAGTTAAAAGGTTTTTGTACAATTTACCCTTGTGTGTCACATATATTTAATATTTTATTTCATAATAAAAAAGTAAGCATTTCACAGAGAAAATTGACATCTAGCTTTTTTGATGTCTCAGTGAAATCTTCCCTGAGCTTTAGGGAATGGATGAGAATTTCGTTTCTCTTAGGTCTTCAGTTTGAAGACTACCTTAGAAAAGAAAAAAAAAATGCCGCACACTCTAGATAGCTGTTTGCTATAGTAAAGGTTATGAAAATTAATAGAGAGAATCAAGTTACTTTTACTGGGACATCAATGAGAAATATCATACTAAATTATCAATTCATGCTATTAATAAAATGAAGTTATTATAACATTTTAAGAAAGACATGCCCAAAGTTCATTTAGGAGAAGCTCTTGGGCAATAAGTAATATTGAGTCAAATATTAGAAGGCCATTGAACCTAATGACTTTTTCGATACTTTCTAATTTTATTATTTTATGACTCAATTACCACTTTTTTGTAAAAAGATAAAATTAACAACTGTCATTCTTGACTGACACAAAGAGACGATGTGGTCACCTAGCAATCAAAAACAATGGGGCCAGATGTTCTGCATCAACTAACCACCAACACATTTAAGCAGACATCACTGACTAATGTGGTGTTAATGAAAGCACCTCTTACAAATGAAAATCAGATGTTCACCTATCCCGACATCTGTGATGTTCATCTCATCAACTGAGCTTTTAATGACAATTAACTGTGGTTTTTACACATTGCATACTGCTTCCTAGTCACAAGGTATTAGACCACATTTTGAGAAATCCAGAAAAAATAGAAAAAAGAAAGCATATAAAACCTTATCAATAAAACACTTGTGGTGAAAGTGTGCTAAAAAGGAAAATGCATTTGTATTTTGGAATTAAAAGCCATTTGTAGTTATGTCCACTTTGAAAATGGAAAAGTGATTCAATTACCAACTCAAACTTCAATGAAACCAGCCACTCTTCTCCCTCTCCCATCTCCTGCTGCCTGCTCAACTGCCTTTCTGCCCAGCAATGGAGAGTCACACGCTAATCCTTAAGACCACGGCACTGAGCATTCTCAGTGTTTAATTCTGCGCACTTCTCCTAGGCAAGCTCTCTACAATAGTCATATTAAAGTAATATCTGTCCTCCTTATCCAGCATCAATCTAATACTAAGGATTTTTTTTTTTGAGATTTAATATACAACAACATGGATGAACCTGGAGGACATTATGTCAAGTGAAATAAGCCAGGCACAGAAAGACAAACACTGCATGATCTCACTCATATGTGGAATCTTAAAAAGTTGATCTTGTAGAAGTAGAGAGTAGAATGATGGTTACCAAGGGCTGAAGTGGTTGGGCATCGGGGGTTGAGGAGATATTGGTCAGAGGAATAAGTTGAGAATATCTATTGTACAACATGGTGAATGTAGTTAATTTATTATACTCTTGAAAAATGAAAAAGAGTGGATATAAAGTGTTCTCATCACAAAAATGATAGCTATGTGAGGTAATGAATATGTTAATTAGCTAGAGTTAGTCATTCCACAATGTATATTTTCTTTAAAATAACATGTTGTACATGGTAAATCCATAATTTCATGTCAATTTAAAAATAAATAAAATTTATTCATAGAGTTTAAATGCAAGACATCAGAAAATGAAACTGAAAAAGTTATACAAATATTCTTTTTTTTACTTTAAAACATATTTAGTTAAGTAACATGTACCCACTTTTTGAAAAGCAATCAAATGGCACCTTGCCCCTCTCTGATTTCAATGATTTGAAATGTTTTTAACTTTAGTATTCACCTGCTATATTTCAAAAACATTCTACTCTAATCTTGCTATTTGTTGTTATTTTTAGGCACTATCTAATGACTTTCTCTTATGCAAATTTAACTACTTAATATTATCTTATTTGCTTGCTGATGATTCCTACTTCCCCCTATCTTCTTAGTACAATAGAATAATCATTTTTAGTTAATAATCAATGTTTATATCATGATGACTATTGTTCACTGTAGTGTGTTATCACTGCATTTCCTTTCTTATAAAGCTTTTGCCTTTTCTTTCATTTGTAGAGTTTCCTACTCTTTCATTCTTTCCCCAAAGTTGCATCAGATATGGCATATTCCTATCATAAATTTGTTTGCTTGTTTGTTTGTTTGTATTTTGAGATAGGGTCTCACTCTGTCAGCCAGGCTGGAGTGCAGTGGAATGATCACAGCTTACTGCAGCCTTGATCTCCAAGGCTCAAACAATCCTCCCACCCCAGCCTCCCAAGTAGCTGGGACTACAGGCTCACACCACCATGCCTAGTTAATTTTTGATTTTTTATATATATAGAGAGAGAGAGACTGGGTTTTGCCATGTTGCTCTAGCTAGTCTTGAACTCCTGGACTCAAGCAATCTGCCTGCCTCAGTCTCCCAAAGTGCTGGGATTACAGGTGTGAGCCACTGCACCTGGCCCAGAAGTTTGTTTTTTACATCAAAAGCCCTATCACATCTGATGGATTCATTTCCTTCTTTTTCCTGGAGCCTGTCCTTGTTCTTCCAGATCTAGTGGGTACTTGTCATCTGCTAGGACAGCCATCCTGTTGCCTCCTTACACTTCATTTTGCTGCTTGCCAGAAACGTGATTTTTGACTGACTTACCAATTAAGTGAGTTTGGTATTAATGTCAGGTCTGACTATGCCTGAAATAAAAAACCCGTGAAATGAGACTGTAAAGACCATAAGCTTAAGAAAGTGGGCCAAAGTAATTTCTCATAAAAAGACAGAAGATGTTTAATCACTCAATCACCACCTAGTATAGAACCTCACACTTTGCTCAGAGGAAAATCACAACCAGCGCTTGCTCCAAGTCTAGTTCTGCTCAGCAATGCAAGTTCTCTGAGTTAATTTAACTAACTTGGTCTCTTTCTAAGTAGATATGTTGGTCTACATCTGGCTGGCATGACCTCACTTAAGGTAAACTCTGCAGCCTGAGTTGGAATTTCAGAAAGAGAGCTATCAGTCTGTTTGTTGCTGCTGTAACAAAATACCTTAAATTGGGTAATTTATAAGCAACAGAAATTTATTTCTTACAGTACTGGAGGCTGGGAAGTCCAAGGTGAAGGCTGTACCGACTCCATGTCTGGTAAGGACTCTTTGCTTCAGGGAAGGCACTTTGTTTCTGCATCCTCACATAGCAGAAGTGGTAAAAAGGGATGAACCTGCTCTCTCATGCTCTTTTATAAGGGCACTAATATCATATCACTTCACAAAGACCCCATCTCTTAATATTATTGCATTGTGGATTACATTTCAACATGAATTTTGGAGGGACCCAAACATTAAAACCATAGCAAGAGGGCTGGGGGTGGTGTCTCAATCCTGTAATCCCAGCACTTTGGGAGACCAAGGAGAGAGGATCACTTGAGGCCAGGAGCTTGAGAGCAGCCTGGGCAATATAGTGAGACCCCGATTCTACATAAAAATAAGTTTTAAAAATTAGCTGGGCAAAGTGGTGCATGCTTCTGGTTCCAGCTACTCAGGAAGCTGAGGTTGGAAGATCACTTTAGCTCAGAAAGTTGAGGGTGCAATGTGCCATGATCATGCCACTGCACTCCTGCCTGGGTGACAGAGTGAGACCGTGTTCAAAAACAAACAAACAAACAACAACAACAACAAAAACCACAGCAAGGGCCTTGAAAAGCACATTAGTACAGTGCTGCCATTTGCACAGGTTCCCTCTCCTGTCCTTTTTGATAGGCTCTCAATTTTGCCTCTCAGAGATTTGCACACAAACATGATATGACTGAAAAAAAAAATGCCCTTCAATAGCATTGTTGTTTCCACTGCACTTCTCATTTGCTTGTCACCTTGGCAATGCAGTGGCAGGATACAAGCATCTTAATTACAATACTGATCCTAAGAAATAAGGAAGATAATTGAAAAATTTTAGTCATACTCGCTTTCTTTGCTTATTATCTATTGAATAAAAAGTAAGAGGTAGGCCGGGCGCAGTGGCTCATGCCTGTAATCCCAGCACTTTGGGAGGCCGAAGAGGGAGGATCACCTGTTAGGGGTTTGAGACCAGCCTGGCCAACATGGTGAAACCCTGTCTCTACTGAAAATAAAAAAAATTAGCTGGGTGTGGTAGTGGGTGCCTGTAATACCAGCTATTCGGGAGGCTGAGGCAGGAGAATCGCTTGAACCCAAGAGGCAGATGTTGTAGTGAACAGAGATCGTGCCACTGCACTCTAGGCTGGGTGACAGAATGAGACCCTGTCTCAAAAAATAAATAAATAGTAAGAGGTAAAAGAGATGCAGGACCATTTCATCCCTCAGGATAGGTACAGAGCCTACCAGCTTTCCAAAGACCTACTTTCTGGGAAATATTAAGGAACTGATAGGGGAGAAAAAGTTTATTATCTCTAAACTAAAAAAAAATTAAAATTGAAGTAAACAAATGACAAATTAAACATTACGAAATCCACAAACTATCTAATTTAATGAATTATTTAATAGATTATTACATTGAAATACTAATTTTATTACATGTAAAACATTTTGTAAAGCTTAGATTCTTTTCACTTTCCAACAGCGTCCAAGTATGCATAATGATTCCAACAAGAGTAATAATATTAATGATAGTGGCTGCATTTGGAGGGCAGAAGGTGGCTTTCTAACTTATTTTGAAAAATGTCAAACAAAAAAGTTGAAAGAATAGTCCAATGAATATCTGTACGCTTCCTACTAAGATTATACAATTGCTAAACGTTTAAGAATTGTTAAGTCTTTTTACAAGCTCAGTAATTCTTCATGACTCTCTGAAGTAGTTCTTTTAGCATCCCTAATTTGCAGCGGAGGCATATGAGGCACAGAGAGATTATGCAACTTTTCTTAGTCATACAAAGGCAAATGGTTGGTCTGGGATTCAAAGCTAGAGATTTTCTAAAAGCACGTTTCTTAACCTACGTGCAAAAATCATTCCTGTATTAAATAAAGTAAGTAAAAGTAAATCCTTTATAAATTATTTTACATCGAAATTTTATTTAATATAGGATATAGGTGTATTCTAATGTACTTTATCAGTGAAATCTCTGAATATCATAATGTCTAGAAAGCTTTCTAAAAGCCTCTAGGTGAATAGACAGCAAGGCAGAAGTAGATGTCCTTGGCAGTGCAGCCGGGGGAGAGGTGAGGAAACCAAGCAAGACATGCAAAGATTTTGGACTCATTTCTGCATTTTTTGGGATGGAGTAAGTTTCTTTTTCTCTGGGGTGACTGTGTACATTTCAGGGAGATTTCTATGTTACACAGCCTAGTTTTTCTCCACAATGATGGAAAACTAAGAAATATATCACTAATTCTTAGACTACACAATTAACAACTCTTGTTGCTTAATTGAGAGACATGGACACCGAGATTCCTGATCCAGCCCCAGCTGCAGCCTCTTTCATTTGTGGCTGTCAATTACAGGACTACCAAGAATAATCCACCAATCTCCTGGCATACCAGGAAAATTCCTGGTCTAGATTCAGACAAGTGGTTTATAGTTCCAGCTCTACTTTGAGTTAATCCTGTTTAAATTTCAGTTCTCATATTCTATGATTCATTTGTGGAACATATACTGAGTCATTTTGAAAAGTTTTAGGCCAAGGCTAACTTTCTTACATGCAACAAAAAGTTGCTGGAAAAATACCATGTTGCCTTACAACTGTTTCAAACACTTTCGGCCTGATATCTGTAACCCCAGCACTTAGGGAGGCTGAGGCAGGAGGATCACTTATGCTCAGGAATTTGAGACCAGCCTGGGCAACATGGCGAAACCCCGTCTCTACAAAATTAAAAAAAAAAAAAAAATTAGCCAGATTTGGTGACCCACACCTGTTGTCCCACCTACTTGGGGGGCTGAGGTGGGAGGATGGCTTAAACCCAGGAGGTTGAGGTTGCAGTGAGCCAAGATCATGCCACTGAACTGCAGCCTGGGTGACAGAATGAGACCCCATCTCAAAAAAAAAAAAAAGTTTATATCTATTGATATATCTCATTTCACAATCTTCACAGTCTTGTGAAAGTGTTATCCCCATTGTTCCATTGAGAATATGGTGATACTATGACATCAGGAGTTAAAAAGCCAATTGGTAACAGTGACAAGACTAAAGCCCAAGCCTCTGACTCCCAGCCCTTCCCACTCCAACAGGCAGAATTACTTCTATAGCTTCATTTACCACTACTTTTCCTGAGAAATGTATGTATTTTTCCAGCATTAGCATCAATAGCAGGCAAAATAGAAGGTGACCAATTAGATATAAATTGAGAGGCTGCCATAGGGTTCCTTTGCTCAAGAGTAACACTCCTTACCTATTTTCTGTAGGGCCTAAAATGTCACGAGTACACACATTTGTTAAGGCCCTCGGCAGGGCTTTCGGTCTACAAGATAGTGCAATCAACGTACTCCAAGAGATGGCATATCCTAAGCAGAAATTGGCTCTTTGTCAGGAGAGGGGTGGGAGACAGGTATAATTGCCATGTTTAAACACCTTCTGGAAATGGTTTTAGCAAAAGGTTCTGAGATGGTGAGGAGGGATGACAACCTAAGTTGTCAGTAATGGGAAGAAAATGTGATGATATTGAAGGTAGTGGACCAAAAATAGACTTTGCTTACTTCACAGTTTTGCCTAGGGCCAGTTTTGATTTCTTCCATTAACATAGCATTCACCTTGCCTAACCTTGAAAGTTTATGAGGGTTTTATGTGAATATAAGAAAAACAGAAGTGATCACTTTCAAGGTCACAGACAATAAAGTTTCTCTAACTGTGGTCAGGGTGTGTGCCTCTGATGTCCTTCAATATCAATCTTTCTTTGGAGAAGCATTTTCCAAGTATATTCCATGAATAGTGTTTTTGTTTTGTTTTGTTTTGCTTTTTGTTTGTTTTTTTAATGGAAAAATCTTGGGATCTGTTGACCTGAAATTTTGGGGAGTGCTAGCTAACATATTTAACCCTGAGGATCAACAGTGCACAGCTGCACATTACAAGTTCTAAGAAGTTTGGGTTTGTTAACCCACTGTTTCCTAAATCGTTGTGCTCAGAAAAACTCCCTTTTTAAAATATTAGTATTCTGTGAAGTCCTCTTGGAAAATGAGGTTTTACTATTTGCATAATAAAAATAGAACACTTTAAAATTGTTGTCCATGTTTACCTAACATCTAATAGTTCAAATTATGTTTGGATTTGTTGTAAATTTTTATTTATATGGAATTCAATTTTTGTCTTAGTTAATGCTTTTATTATCTAAGACTCATAGCATACTTTTTATTAATTCTCAAAATTAGGTAC
Source organism: Homo sapiens (assembly GCF_000001405.40). Lineage (NCBI taxonomy): Eukaryota > Metazoa > Chordata > Mammalia > Primates > Hominidae > Homo > Homo sapiens. Next base: position 79,201,940 of record NC_000007.14, read on the forward strand.
AAAAATGGTTAGTCCTCTTTTTATTTCAAATATTTTTATCAATTTCATGATTAAAGACATTAGTTGAATTTGCTTTTGGTGATATGATAACACTACTGGTATTGTATAGAAAATATATTTTAGACCTCAGCAAAACTTTTTTCTCACTCATGTTCTAGACAAAGAGAAATCAAGGAGATAAAGAATTAGTAGATAATGCTAAGTGTAACGCTGTAAATATTGGTCATTATATATAATGATACCAGTATTACCTTTCAGTGGGCAGGGTGGTTAAAAACCTGTTTGCTTCCTTTGTTTTTGTAAAAAGGATTTTGATTATCTACCAAGACTGGAGATGGGTGGTAAGGAAGAGTCACACCCAATATGGCCTTTAAGGTATGGTCAAAGTCACTTAATTGGGAATGAGGAAGCCTGAATTTAATGTTTGGCTTTTCACTAAGTATTTGTATAAACCTGGTTTATACAAACAGCCCTAATAGGGCTGTTATTTTTAGTTCTTATTATTATGTTTATAGTTTTAGCATAAGGTATATAACTGAAAAGGTTTGGGATGTGTTTATTAGTTACTGTGAGTTACGAACTTCATATGACTTAGGATCCACTAACTACCATACTATTAAAGACACATACTATATTGTGCTGTTTCATACATTATTTAATAAAACGTATTTAAAAAACTCATGGGCAAGATACAGGTGAACAAGGAAACGTTTATTTGGGAAAATACAAGTAATGACTGCATAAGCTTAGGAAATTGTAATAATCACTTTCTTCCACAGAATTGGGCTCGCAATATGGTATACATTACTCTTATTCTCATTCCTGTTGTAACCAAGTCTTCTAAAAACCTGTACTACTTATATTTCTTCTTGTGATTTCATCCAGGTTCATATCTTTAGAATCTATAAGCTGATAATTGTCAGTGTGCATTTCCAGCTCTGAGTGCTCCCCTGAGTTCCCCTGACTCAAAAATCCAACCATCTACTTGACATCTTCACTTGCCTTTCTAATAGACATGTAAGGCTTAACATGTCCAAAACATATATCCTGATTATCCACAAAATCCTGGCCCACAAACTTTTTGCCCAACATCTTTCCATTTTAGTACAGAGCACATATAATTTTCCAGAACTTATAATGGATCCTTATTTACTCACTTTTCTTCATCTCCACACACGAAAATTAACACATCTAACTTCTCGATTTCTCATCCTCTCCAGTGATACTAACACTAGTACACACTACCATCATTTCTCCCTTGGGTTTTGGATATAGATTACTCACTGCTAGTTCTGCTTCTTATTTGCATTTATTTAATAATCTTCCAAATAACAAATAGAGTGATCTTTTCTAAACACAAAGTAGGTCATTTTACTCTTTAACTCAAAGTCACCAAGGGCTTCCCACTGTACTTAGAAACAATGTCAAATTATTTTCCATAAAGCCCTATTTCATCTGGTCCTGTCTACCCCTTCAACCTTACCTTTTAATCCTCCTTCCTCTCTAGTGTTCAGAAATGCCAACAAATAACTCAGTTCTGTAGTAACCTCATTAGAGAGGTAGATAATGACAAAGAAAAAAACTCCTTGCAATTTGTTTTTACTATGTTATAGCACCATTGGTGCTTCAGTAACCACTACACAAAAATAATTCTGAACAATTAGGCATTCACTCCTGAAAAAAAATTGTAGAATATTATGTTGTACGTTTATATATATTGACTTGCTCAGTGCTAACATAAAGCAAGGGGACAGAAAAAAAACCAATCCACCAATCAGTAGGCATTTTAAAAATATTTAAGCCGCCACCAACGCACCAATGTAAAATTCACATGCACACAAAATATCTCCAAGTTCTACAACCAGCATCTTAAATTAACTTTGTTTCTTAATGTGCCAAGGAAGGGCAGTGCAAGGCCTCAGGGTAGGACTCTCCAGTGGTCGTCCCCATGCAGAAACATTAATTTGAACAACAATCCATGCACAGAAATACCTTCACAAGAGCTAAGGAAACCAGATCACAGTATTTGGTTGTAGTACAATAATAAGAAAAGGCACATGGAAGAGGGTAAGGATGTCAGTATTACATTACATGTATCACTCCTTTCCCAACCCAAGGTGCCACAGCACAGAGAGAGATACAGTTCACATGGTGGGAAAAGAGATGTGAGTGCAAAACTTTACCTTGGATACTAACATTGGGCCCACCAAAGTAAAACCCAGCACTAGGTACCCATGGCCTCATATTCAAGGCTGATTCTTGCATATTAAGCCTCTGGATCTACCCTGGTGTCAGGAAGGATCACACTGTTCCAGGCTTCAGGCTTGTGTGTAAACTCAAACTATGACCTGCACCATGGGTCAGTGGATGTTAGTGGCCCTGGGCTCAGGACAGCTCTCAACAGCAGGCCGGCCTCAGTGGGCCTGGGCTTCTGGCCTGCGCTAGTGGTGCATTTGCCATAATGAGTGCTAGGCTTCTAGTAGCACTTCACCAGTTGCAGCTGCACCAGGCTTCTGGTGCACCCCAGCACAGCATTTGCACAGGGCTTTCCCAGACATAGTTGCTAAAATAAGTACCACTTTTTCAAGTTGTAGACATCAACACATGACCACAGGGATCAAAAACAATCAGGAAAACATAACATCATCAAATGAACAAAATAAAGTCCCAGTGACTAATCCTAAATAATTGAAGATATATAACCTGCTTGACAAAGAATTCAAAACAAATGTTTTAAGAAAGCTCAGTGAACTTCAAGAAAATACAGAAAAATACTTCAATAAAATAAGGAAAACACTAAGTGACCAGATGAACAATTTAATAGAAAAATTGAAACAATTAAAAAATAAAATAAATAGAAATCCCATAGATTAAAAATACAATGAATGAAATGAAAACTGCAACCGAAATCATCAATAACAGAATTGACGAAGCAGAAGAAAGAATCTGTGAACTCGAAGACAGGTTATTTGAAAATATACAGTAGAGGAGAATAAAAGAAAACAATGTAAAGGAATGAAAAAAGCTTATGGGACTTATGAAACATCATCAAAAGAGCACATTTTTGAGTCACAGGAATTTCAGAAAGTGAAGAGAAAGATCAAGGGTTAGAAAGTTTATTAAAAAAAAAATAGCAAAAAACTTCCCAAACATGGAGAAAGACGCAAATATCCGTGCATTAGGAAGGTCAAAATTCTCACATAATGTCAAATCCACATAAGAATACCCCAAGACATATTATAACCCAATTGTCAAATATCAAACACAAAGAAAAGATCTTGAAAGCAGCAAAAGAAAACAACCAAATAGGTATAAGAGAGTCCCAATAGAGACAGCACCAGACTTCTCAGTAGAAACCTCACAGACCAGGAGAAAGTGAGGTGAAATACTCAAATTACTGAACATCAAATTGCTGAAAAATCTGTCAAGTAAAAATACTGTGTCAAGCAAAACAGTCCATCAGAAATGAAGGAGACAAAGACTATTCCCAGAAAAATAAAAGCTGAAGGAGTTTCTTACCTGCAGACCTGTCTTATAAGACATGCTAAAGTGGCTTCTTTGAGTTGAAAGAAACAGACACTAATATGTAATATGAAAATATATGAAAGTATAAAACTCACTGGTAAAAGTAAGCACAAGTCAAATTTAGAATACTCTAAGACTATAATTTGGTGTATAAATTTCTAAGACTGAAAAACAAAACTATTAAAAAAAAGACTACAATAATTTATTAAAGGATAGACAGGATAAAAAGATATAAACTGTGGCTTTAAAAATTCAAAATTTGGTGGCAAGAGTGGAGGAAAAATGTAGAGGGGTGTGTGTGTGTGTGTGTGTGTAATTAAAGTTAAGTTGTAATCATCTTAAAATAACCTGTTATAACTATAAGATGATTTTGTAAGCTTCATAATAACCACAACACCAAAACCTAGAGTAAATACAGAGAAAAGTAAAAGCAAGAAATCAAAACATATCAATTAAAAAAATCACTTAACCAATAATGAAGACAGCAAGAGAGAAAGGAAGAACAAAGGATCTATGGGTCAATGAGTCAATGACAAAATTAAAAGGGAAATAAAAAAGAGATATATGAAAATGGAAACACAACATACCAAAACATATGAGATACAGCAAAAGCAGATATGAGAGGGAAGTTTACAGCAATAAATGCCTACCTCAAAACAATAAGAAAGATCTCAAATAAATAACCTAATGTTGCATCATAAGAAACTAGAGAAATAAAAACACACCAAGCCAAAGTTAGTAAAAAAAAAAATGAAATAATAAAAATCAGAGCAGAAATAAATAAAATAGAGACTACGAATACAATAGAAAAATTAATAAAACTGAGTTGGTTTTTTGAAAAAATTAACAAAATTGACAAGTCATTAGTTAACCTAAGAGAAAAAAGAAAACTCAAATAAATAAAATCAGAAATAAAAAAGAGACATTACAGCTAATACAACAGAAACACAAAGGCTTATGAGATACTATTATGAAAAATTATGACAACAAATTGGATAATCTAGAAGAAGTGGACAAATTCCTTGACACATGCTACCTACCAAGACTAAATCATTAATAAATAGAAACTCTTAACAGATCAATAATGAGTAAGGATATTAAATGACTAATAAAAAATCGGTTATCAAAGAAAAGCCCAGGACCTACAACCTTCACCATTGAATTCTAATAAACATTTAAAGAATTAATCCCAATTATTCTCAAACTCTTCCAAAAAATTGAAAAGGAAGGACTACTTCCAAACTTATTTTATGTGGCCAGTACCACCCTGACACCAAAAGCAGACAATGACATTACAAAAAAAATTACAGGCCAATATCCCTGATGAATATAGATGGAAAAATCCTCAACCAAGTACTAACAAATCAAATTCAACAGCACACTAAAAAGATCCATGGCACCACAATCAAAGGGAATTCATCTCAGGGAGATGTAAGGATGGCTAAATTACGTATATCAACAAAGGTGAAACAACACATAAACAGAATGAAAGACAAAAGTGATATAATTATTTAAATAGATGCCTTAAAATTTGACAAAATTTAACAACCTTTGACAATGAAAATTCTCAACAAATTAGGTACAGAAGATCCCTTCTATAGTCCGTAACACAATAAGGGCCATACATGACAAACTCACAGCTAACAAATTACTCAACAGGGAAATGTTGAAAGCTTTTCCTTTAGGATATGGAACAAGACAAGGATGCCTACTCTCACCACTTTTATCCAATACAGTACTGCACGTTCTAGGCAGAGCAATTAGGCAAGAGAATTACATAAAAGTGATCCAAATTGGAAAGCAATAAGTTAAGTTGTCCCTGTTTGCAGATGACATGGCCATATATATAGAAAACCCTACAGATGCCTCCAAAAAGAATTAGAAAAAATGAATGAATTCAGTAATGTTGCAGAACACAATATTAATATTTAAAAATCAGTAGAATTTCTACACACTAACAGTGAACTGTCTGCAGAAGAAATAAAACAATTCCACTTATAATTGCTACAAAATATAAAATATTAGTAACAAATTTAACCAAGGAGATGAAAGATCTCAAATCAAAAACTATAAAATATTGCTGAAAGAAATTGAAGACACAAATAAATAAAATGATATTCCATGTTCTATGGATTGGAAGAATCAATATTCTTAAAATGCTGATATTTTTCAAAATGATCTGTAATCAAAATACCAATGATATTCTTTAGAGAAACAAAGAAAATCCTAAAATTCATATGGAAAAACAAAAGACTCCAAATAGCCAAAGCAACTCTGAGCAGAAAGAACAAAGCTGCAGGCATCACACTTCTTGACTTCAAAAACTACAAAGCCTTAGCAACCAAAACATCATGGTACTGGCATAAAAACAAACACGTAGACCAATGAAACAGAATAGAGAGCTCAAAAATAAATCCACACATTTACGGCCAACTTAATTTTGACAAAGCAGCCAAGAACACACAAATGAGAAATGCCAGTCTTTCCAATAAATGATGCTGGGAAAACTGGATAGCCACCTGCAGAAGAATGAAATTAGACCTTTCTCTCACACCATATACAAAAATCAACTAAAAATGGATTAAAGATTTACATGTAAGACCCAAAACTATGAAACTACTAATGAAAACATAGAGGAAAACTGCATGACATTGGACTGGGCAATAACTTTTTAAATAGGATCCCCAAAACACAGGCAACAAAGCAAAAACAGACAAATAGAATTACATCAAACTAAAAAGCTTCTGCACAACGAAGGAAACAGTTAAAAGAGTGAAAAGAGAACCTACAGAATGGGAAAAATATTTTCAAAATATACATCTGATAAGGGTTTAATAACCAAAATATATAAAATACTCAAACAACTCAACAGCAAGAAAAGAAACAAACAAAAAACCAATTACAGAACACCAAGAACATGAATGGACGTCTCCTCAAGAGAAAACATACAAATGGCCAACAGGTATGTGAAAAAATGCTCAACATTACTCATCACGACACAAATGCAAATTAAAACCACCATGAGATGTCACCTCACACCTGTTAGGATAAAAGACAAAAAAAGAGAAGTGTCAGTGAAAATGTGGAGAAAAGAGAATCCTTGTACACTGCTGGTGGGAATGTAAATTATTATAGCCATCATGGAAAACAGTATGGAATTTCTTCAAAACATTAGAAATAGAATTACCATATGATCCAGCAATCCAACCACTGGGTACATATCAAAAGGAAATGCAATCCGTATGTTGAAGAGATCGCTGCACTTCCATGTTTATTATAACATTATTTACAATAGACAAGATATGGAATTAACCTAAGTGTTCATCAGTGGATGAGTTTCTGAAAAAAATATGGCATATATACATAATGGAGTATAATTTGGCCATAAAAATAAATGAAATCCTGTCATTCGTGACAACATAGATTAACCTGGAGGACAACATAGATTAACCAGGATAGAAAGACAAATATTACATGATCTTACTCATATGTAGAATCTTAAAAAGTTAATCTCCTAGAAGTAGAGAGCAGAATGGTAGTTACCAGAATCTGGGGTGGTCGTCGGGGCAGGGGGCTGTTGTGGAGATGGTCCATAGATACAAAATTTCAGTTAGAAGAAATAAATGTAAGAGACCTATTGTACAACATGGTGATTGTATTCAATAATACGTTGTATTCTTAAAAAATGCTAAGAAAGTGGATATAAAGTGTTCTCACTATAAAAATAATAACTATGTGAGATAATGAATATGTTAATTAGCCAGATTTAGTCATCCCATAATGTGTATATACTTCAAAACATTATATTGTACACAGTAAATATAAACAATTTTATCTGTCGCAAAAACATAAATATACTAAATACAATGAAAGTGATTACACATAAAGTGTTTTGATTACAACATTACTGCAACAGAATATATATTGTGAAACATCTTAAAGCATTTGTAAGAACTTACAAAAATAAGGAAAATTCAAAATATAAACTTATTTTTATCTAGATATTAAGAATGTCACTTATTTTCTCCTGTCACCCTCTACCTCTAGCAATGCCAAAATGCTTGTGATTCTCTAAAAGCACCACCATATCCCACAGAGTTCTACTTTTAAGTTTGTTACTTCCTCTGCCCCAAGGGCACAACTAGGACAGCCAACATCAAGGTTTATCAAGTCCCATGTGCTTTATTCCCCAGTGACCCTCACACTCTCCTCCAGGACAATTAATCACTCTCTTTTCTGTATATTGTGAACACAACTCCACATAATTCATATTTCTAAGAAAGTACATTGTGCATATTATTTTGTGTGTCACTCTAAAAATAATAATTTATTTAATATTTATCTCCTCTATAAGACTGTTAGCCTTTTGACTTCATGAACTATGTCAGATTCATTCTTTTATCTTTCACAGCATATCCTGGTACCACATATAGAATAAGTGTCTGGGTTTCTTAACTGAACTCTATTTTATTTTTATTTATTAAATAAGCATACAGTTTACATTGTCTTGTAAGTTTTGTGGGCACTATTGATAAACAAAATGAAAGATAAAGACAAATGAAAATCTGAACTATATAAATATCAGCTAGCTTTCATATTTTGCATTCAAATCTAATTTATATATCTTTCTCTTTTGATTTCATGCTTTGTTAAATACATTGACTGTTGAATTTTCCTGTTGGCATAGAATGTGTAGCTGCTTCTTTTATACAAATGTCTACAAAGAAAAAATGGATGAGTGTGACAGAATCAACTGATACCAGATTTTTTATGCTAGACATGCTAGGCACTCATTACTAAACACTAGACATGATACATTATTTAATTATCCATATATGATAAAGCTTCTATAAATGTTGATATCTGTATGTATTATAACATGCATACTTTCTGAGGTATCTGGGGCTTTCAGACCAGTCTTGATTGATCAGGATTCCTATTTTAGGCTTACTCTTCCCAGGTAATTGCTCATGTGTGTTTCCCAGTCTCCTCTTTAAAAAATATGTGTGATTTTATGTTAAGGCCCAAGTGACTAATAATAGTCTAACATGCCCACCTAAGTGTTAGTTGAATAACATCTTAACTTAATGGAAGGGCCAACTGTTGAATGAGTACCAGGCATCAGTTGGAATAGATATTTTTGCATGGGAAATGTCCCAGCACTAAAAACTTCCATCACATGCAACATAACTCATGTGCGCATGCCATCTGAAAGGGCCACATTTCATTCTACTTCCAGCTCTACCTTATTCTATTTTTTCTACTCCTTCACATGGCTCTCTTTGGGATGCACTTCACATTTTCAATAAATTATATTTTAAAATAGCATTAAATATTCTCTCTCAGTTTTAAATAACAGATATATTATTCTTCCTGCAACAGTTCATGTCTAATTGGCATCATCCACCTTTCACTTCTTTCACTGTTGAATACATCATTCTCACATGCCATGAGTTTGTTTGGGATGGGAAGCCATTCACTAACCTAAGTAACCATAAAAATGTTCATTATGTATGTATGCATTATGCATGCTATTGAAAAAACCTGGAAAACAACCCAAACATTTTACAGAGAAGGATTGGCTAAGTCACTTGCAGGATATGATGTGGAAGAATATTCATTGGCTTATTCATGATATGTGAAGTGGGAGAAAGTAAGTAGGTTAATAAAGAGGCATGTGTGAATATAGAAAATAAGTAGGTTAATTAACAGGCATGTGTGAATATATCTATATGTATATCTGTATGTGTATCAATATCTCTAATTTATCTACCATCTATCAATATTTTGTTAAAACGTACACAAACCTTTCTTTTTATTTATTTTTTTTAAGACAGGGTCTTGTTCTGTCATCCAGGCTGTAGTACAGTGGTGTGACCATAGCTCACTGCAGCCCTGATCTCCCGGTTCAAGTGATCTCCTCTCACGTCAGCCTCCTGCGTAGCTGAGACTACAGTGCACCACTATGTCCGGCTAATTATTTTCTTTCTTTTTCTTTTTTGTTTTTTTTTTTGAGGCAGGGTCTCACTGTGCTGCCCAGGCTGGTCTTGAACTCCTGGGCTCAAGCAATCCTCTCACCTTGGCCTCCCAAAGTGCTGAGATCACAGGAGTCAGCCACCATGCCCAGCCTTATACAAACTCTTAACATTAACTTTACTGAATAGAAAGATTATAGGCAATTTTTGTTTTCTTATTTTCCTTATGTTTTATTTTTTCCCAAGATTACTGCAGTTAGAATGCTTTAAAATAACAACAACAACAATAAAAAAAGATAATTAATTTTGTAAAATGACACAGGTTTTAAGACTGGGTTAATAGGAGGGTGGCGAGGGCTATTATCAATTTAGGTAACAGAGGGTAAAACGGCTTAGAAGTAATATGGTGTAATAGAGTGATATGCCCTTTTGAGCATGATGAGTTTAAGCCAGCTACTTGGTCATGTTTGGTGAGTACTTGAAACAAACACAGCTTGTGTAATAATACCTGTGCATTGCAAAATTTTCAAACAGAACAAACATATATGAAACTGAAAGCAACAGTTATTCCTCTACCCTTGTCCCAAACTCTCTGGACTTCTTCCAAATAGTCATTGTATTTTCTTGATTATTATTACAGAAAAACCACATATGTATCCATATTTATTTTACTTATTACAATACACATACTTTCTGCAATTCTTTTTCACTTAATAATATAGCTTGGAGCGCTCTTTACATCAGAATACAAAGATGTTGCATTATTTGTAGTTGCTATAGAGTATTCCATGGGATGCATTTAATTGAGCCATTTCCTCATTGATCCTTGGAGGTGTCTGTAGTATTTTGCTATTGCATATAATCTTCAACAGATATTTTGGCTCATCTATTTTTTGCCAGCATGATTTCAGGTAACATTCTTAAAAGTGGGATTTCTGGGTCATGGACTATGTACATTTTAAAGTTTAAAAGATACTGCAAAATAATTTTCCAAAAATTTGGCATCAATTCACCTCCCAATAAATAGGCTTTGAGAGTTACTATTTCCTCAAACTCTTGCCAGTGCAGGGTAGTACAAAACTTTCCATTTGTTGTTAATCTGATAGAAAAAAAGAAAGCAATAACTTCTAGGTTGGCCATGGAGTCTTTAGTCTGATGCAGCAGTAAAACTGTAACTGGGATTCTTCGTGTCTCTTCTTACAGGGCCACCTGTTCTGTTAGAGGAGCTTGTCTAATTTATTTTCTGCTTTCTCTTTTATTCTAATAAATCTCAACTAATTGCAGGAAATAATTTTCTCTCAGTGATTATGTACATTTTACCTTTCCTTTCCAGTTTACCATTAAGCTGGAGAACAGAACAAAACAAAACAAAACAAAACACTCAGCCTGGTAGTTCTTCCTGGCTTTGGTGAATTGCTGAAATGGTAGGACAGGTTTTGAGCCACTGTTTTCTTCCTCTCTTGAGGGGTTTTCTGTTCTTCCATGTGATTTTCAGTGGATGGGATGCTTCCTTAACACATAAATTTACTTAAAATCACTAATGGGAAGTGGTTATGCCCACACTATTGTGAGGATTCTGTTACCTGGATTGCTTTGATGTGAGTGAGAATAGCGGTAGTGAGGGCGGGTGGATCGAGGGGAGCAATAGTACCACATGGTCATTTCTGGGATTTTTTGCCTCTGTAACTACCACTATTCAAAAATTATGACTTGAGATTTTTCTGTATATATTTTCTGTATAGATTTTTCTGTATAGATTTTTCTGTATTTTTCTGTATATATATATGTGTGTGTGTGTGTATATATGTGGGTGTGTATATATATATGTGGGTGTGTATATATATATGTGGGTGTACGTGTGTGTATTTACACACACGTACACACGTACACACACACACACACACACACACATATATTTTTTCTTTTTTGAGATGGAGAATCACTATATTGCCTAGGCTGGTCCCAAACCCCTGGGCTCAAGCAATTCTCCAGCCTCAGCCCCCTGGGATGATAAGTGTGCACCTACGTGCCTGGCTCCTGGTTTTGCTACTTCCTTTGCTTTATTGCTGAGGATACATTTTGCCCATTTTAAGACTTTTTGGTGGTTAATTTTGTAAAGTTTTGAAGAAAGCAAGTCAATTGTACAACTTTTATCTAACATCTCAGTCTAGAAGTCTCTTAGCATATTTTTCTCAGGTTTAAAAAAATAAATATGTGTGTAAAAAATGTGTATATTGATTTTCTGAAATAGAACATCTCTAATGGGACTCTCGCAATTACTACAGACACTGCTTCTAACATTGCTATCACACACAACAGCGGCTACCCAGCCCTTTTTTCTTTTTATCAACAATCAAATGTTCATGGAGAATTATTTTTTGTTTCCTGTGTGTTAATCCCTTTCTGGAGTTTATTCTCTAAAGACTATCAAGTAGTATTTCTCCACAGTTTATTTAGCTTCTTCTAGAACATTTTTCTTGCTCTGACAAGGACTATCACGGAAAATTAATCAGGGAGATAAAAGTCATATATATAGTACACCAAAATGATAAGAGGAAACATGGGAATTTAAACTGGATTTTACAAGGACATCAGATTTTCGCATGCAAAACAGTACAATTAAAGCTAGTCTTGCAGTTCAAACTCTTAAGACCCAAAGTATAATGTAAACGTTTTATGAAGAAACTTAATATACTTTAAATACAGTCTCTGGGCAGATATTCATAAAATATTTCATGGTAGTAGATTACCCCAAACTGCATTTTATTGTTCTTCCAATAATTTTCTTTCTGGTTTGATACTTCCTTTTATTACATGACATGAACAAGCCTTTTGATGGGCAGTTTCACTGCCATTTTAAATAGGTTTACTTGGTTGCTACAGCATCTATGCCCAGGACATGTCATTTCTGCATTACGCACCTCTCTCTCTCTCTCTCTCTCTCTCTCTCTCTCTCTCTCTCTCTCTCTATATATATATATATATATATATATATATATATATAAATATGCACACACACACAAACATATATATACATATATATGTATATATATGGGAGATAAAAGATAAAAGTCATACAGTACACCAAAATGATAAGAGGAAACATGGGAATTTAAACTGATTTTACAAGGATATCGGATAGAGACAGAGAGAGAGTGCAAACAAAAGAAAAATTTATATAAATATATATAAATTTTATATATTTATAATTTTATATATTTATAATTATGAAATATAAATATATAATATATATTTATACATAAATATACATAAATATAAATATATAAATATATAAATATAAATATATAAATACATATATGATATATAAATAGATAATATAAAAATATATATTAATATAGATAATATATAAATACATTATATTTATAAATTATAAAATTATAAAATTTATAAATTTATAAATATATATTTATAAATTTCAAAATTATAAAATTTATAAATTTATAAATATATATTTATAAATTTCTATGATATATAACATATAAACATATGTTTATATAAACTTTATTTTTGGTTTACAAGTACGTTTGTACACAAATATTTCTAAACCAAAAATAAAATTATAAGCCTCCCAATCAATTGAATAGACCCCCTCTAAGCCAAGGGCATTCCAAAGTAAAGCAGAAAAACTAGTTCAGGTCATGATGGAAAGAGGACATCAGATATGCCTCATTATACCCACCTCCCTTTGGAATTCAGGAACAACTGACCAGCGTTAACATTAAAACGAAGTTTAAAGACTGACAAACAGACTCTTTGCAGCAATAAGATACATCATAAAATGACAGATAAAAGCAGGCCTTGAAAGAAATCGAAGTATTTTACCCTGAAATATGTTTCTTTGAAGTATTTAAAATGGCCCCGCAAAACTGTCTTTCAAGGGGGAAATCTACATTTCATAGAGAATTCCCTTCACTTTCCAGTTTTTTTCCTGATCCAGGAGAAATGAAGAGTCTGGCACCTTTTTAAGTCTGATAAGAAACATTTACCATCTATTCTCTCTGAAACCTTCTTCGGGGAGGCTTGATGTGCATTAGAAGAGCCTTGGTCTCCACAACCCCTTATCTTAACCCAGACATTACTTTCTATTGATTCCAGGTCTTTAGATAATAATTGAACTCTTTTGACCAATTCCCAATCAGAAAATCTTTGAATACACCTATGACCTGGCAATACTTCCACCTCCCTGACCCCCTCCCACTTTGAGTTGTCCCCTATTTCTGGACTGAACCAATGTACAGCTTACATGTATTGTTTGATGACTTCTTATAACTTCTGTCCCCCTAAAATGTATAAAATCAAGCTGTAACTCAACCACCTTGGGAAAATGTTCTCAGGGCCTCCTGTGGCTGTGTCACAGGCAGGACCTTAACTTTGGCAAAATAAACTTCTAAATTGATGGAGACTTGTCTCAGTTACTTTTTGGTTTACACATTTTTACATATATATATATTCCATGACATGGAATACTTTGTGTATTCCGTGGGAATACAGGGAAATACTGGGTAGAAGTGGGTAGCTCCCCAGGAACCCCAAGCCTGGAAACCCGCAGCGCTAAATGGGAACAGACATTCCTGTTTTCACGCCCAAATGTTCCCTTTTGGCCCACCACATCCCTCTATCCTGTAACCATATAAACCTCAAACCCAAGGCTCCATAAGCAGATGGGCAGGTGAACAGAAGAGCAGAAGAGCAGCAGAGAAGGAGAGAAGAGATGGAATGTCTGAATGTTGAGAGGAGTTTGGCTGGGGATGGTTGGAAAGGAGATTATCCACTGGATGGCCAAACTCTAGGGGAAGATTGTCTTTCCACTCCATCCCCTTTGTAGCTCCTCATCCATCCCACTGAGAGCCACCTCCACCACTCAATCAAACCCCTGCATTCACCATCCTTCAAGTCTGTGTGTGACCTGATTTTTCCTGGATGCCAGACAAGGGCTTCGGATACGGAAAGCTGTCACACTGGCCCTCTGCCCTTGTGAAAAGGCAGAGGGCCCACTGAGCTGCTTAACACTTAAGCTGTCCATGGATGGCAAAGCTAAAAGAGTGCACTGTAATACAGGCCCACTTGAGCTTCGCAAGTTGCAGGCACCTACCCCTAGACACTACTGTGGGTCCAGAGCCCAAAAAAGCTTGCCCAGATCCTGCGCCTTTTGCTCCCCCTCCCATAAAGGGTTTGAGCAGTGGCAGCAGCCAAACAGATGAGCCACACCCCTGTTGCATGTCCTGCAAGGGGCGTCAGGGAACTCTCCTGTTTCACATATGCATATACACACATTAATAACTTTTTTCCTAATCCCTTGGGAGCATGCTCTTTCTCCTTTGGAAGATGGTTGTTGTCTTCAAATGCAAGAACAGAATAGAGTGGAGTAAGAGACAATTAATTTGTTTACATCCTGGTAGTTTTCTTCGCCAATAGATAAACAATGGCAGGAATATAAGAGAGTCTAACATTTACATTTAGTCATTAACTTCTAATTCTTATGTACAATATATTAGCCAATATTCATTTGTTAGAAACATCATTGTTAATTGACAAATAAAAGCACGTGAAGCTAGTTTGTGTTAGACAGTTTATGATAAGTTGTTCTTTTCAAAATATAGAAATTGTAACTTGACATTAGAAAACATATTAGAAATAAAGTTTACCCTTTTCACTTTGAATGCGGAGTTTGACTTTTTTCCATCAATGATTTTTATATCTGAGGAAATGAGTAAACTCAGAATTACTCTGATTTCAAGCAAGATGAATCCTGATAAAGGATAGAAAGATCAAATATTCTCGGAGTTTAATTTGTATATAATAGCAACCTCAGTGAATGTAGTCAGTTTATTAAATATGCTGATGGTGACAAAGGAAAATATACTCTAAATTTTATACTTTAGTCCCTATCATATATTTATTTCCATATTTTGTTCTTCTAGAAAGCTATAATAAGGACAATAACAACTATCATTGTGTGAGTATTTTCTCTATGGTAGGTATTGTTCTAAGAGCTTTATATGTAACTGCTCTTTTAATCCTTGTAACCAATGCTATATAGAAGGTATTTATAATTATCATTTTACTGATGAAGAAACAGGTGTCAAGAAGTTAAGTGTCTTATCTATATTTAAAAAGGAAATGAGCAGGAGAGTTGGAATGTAAACCAGGCAAAGTAGTTCTGGACTCTAAACTCATTAGAATAGTTTCTGTGCTTTGGTGACTAAGAACTAGACCTTTGTTTGAACAGGGCTTTATTTTAACCAGCTATAATACATTGAGCAAATTATGTCACAATTTCCTCTCTAAAATGGGGATGATGATTCCCACCTCAGAGGGTACACTAGGAATTAAATTACATTTTGGGTATAAACAAAGTAGAATAGTGCTTGGTACATAATAAGCAGTCAATAAATGGTGGTTATTATTATTTATTAATGTAGTTGTTTCCTTTGCTAATATGATAAATTTTCTTCTGTGAAAATGACAGCAAATGATGGCTTTCAGAAGCTTTACTGTGAACAACATGCACGAATATTAGGCTTTTGATTTGAAAAAAAAGTATTGTTTTGGTCTCAGCACTGAAAAGGTTCATAACTGCTGACAGAGACTAGAACTACAATCTGCAACCAATTTAAGAAAAATGAAGTTCCCTGATATGCAAAGAGCAGGAGAGTGGCTATACTACAGAATTTTCTGAAGTTGCCCATTAAGCTGTAAATATGTACCTTGAGCCTGTCATTCCTCTGGGACTGCATGAATACTTTGTATTCCATGACCTTATATATAATGTTTCACACGCCACACTGTAAAAATCCCCAGTGTGCTATCTCCAACTAGTGACTTTTTCCTAGTACCAAGCAGAGCACCTAGGGATTTGACAAATATTTGGCACCTGCACGTATTACATAACATTGAGAATAAATCTGTAAGTTTTAGAGACAGACGCCGTCAGGTGGGGAGATGAACTCTGCCACTCTTTAGCTATGTAACCTTTACCAGTTTTATAGTCTAAGGCTCTGTTACTTTCTCTATAAAACAATAACACAAATATCGTCTCTGAAGGATTGCTGTAAGAATTAACCAAAGTGATACATGTAAAATTGTTATTACTGTACCATTTGCACAGAGTGAAGGCTTCATGTTTATTCTTTTCTTACTCTCCAATTGTAATTAACATGTACCAGTAGAAAAAGCATCTCTATTTTATTATACTGCATTGTAAGATGCTACTCTGTAAAAAGTTGGATTCAAAATATTCAGCTCACTGAAAACCCTTTCTTGAATGCTACTTGTCAAAATAAAGAGGACCCAATGTAACATATTTATATAAAGTGTTAGTGTTTAATAAACTGATAAGATTGGCAGTACACAAAATCAAAGTCTAAGTTCCTATGTATGTACAGCATGTGAGGCCTTCGCCTATGCTATTGCATTGAAAACATGTAATGTGTAAAAGTTACATAAGTAACATTCCTTTTAGAAATTTTCCCGAATATTGCTAAGATGTCCCTGACAAAGAAGAATGAGGTCTCTGTCTACAGAGAATTTTAAGTAAAGAACCCTAGGGATTTTGCCAATTGCCTTGTATTTGCATGCAACTAAGAACATTACCAATAGCATTTTCTTTTGAAATACTAATTCTAGCACTATAATAACAAATGGTGTATTAGATGAGTTATTTCTACAATATTTAGAACACTGACTGGTATACTATAAGCTTTAATATTTATCATTATTATTGCTGCCAAAAGCAATGGTTCTAGTTAAAAAGCATACATGGCCAACGTTGTTTACTCACAGATTAAAGTTTTTCATGTGATCAAAAAGACCACAAAAAACCCTAAATAAAGGTAGATTTTTTTTCCTTACAGGAAACAAATGGTAAAAGGAATATAAAACCATCTAATCATTTTATAGAACAGCTACTGGCTCTGCCAAGAGCTCATTTAAATGATCCCATTTGCTTCTGAATATGTTATATGTATTTGGCATTTAGCTTTCCTCTACTTCAAAAAATTTAGACTTTTCACAGAGATAATGAAATCACTTTCAATTAATACCCAGAATTGTTACAAAGTGGCCAGTTTGTCCTTGATTGATTGCTTTTGTATTTTGTCAGTATTCTTTCTTCACTGAAAATTTTGAATTTGGTTATAAAAAATAAAGACATTTACCTTTTAAGATGCTTCAGGGACATAGAATGACAAATGAATGAGACATATATTGAAGCTGTTTTGTGCTCATTTTTAGAATGTCTTATATTTCAGTGCCTTCACATTTGCAAATCTTAATTCAAGATATTTTTACATTTTTCCCTGTGCTCAGTATTTGAGAGTCTCAATACTGCCATCTGCATAGGCTATCTGGACACTGGAAATCTTTGAATTTTTAATTGTAGGGATTTTAACTCTAAAAATATTTGGCCACTAAATGTATATTTTTAATTTCTCTGCTTTCCTATAGAAAATTGAGATTAATTGTGAGCTGGGGCTAATAAATAATACACACGATTTTTTTTTGTTCTTATCCTCACAATACTCATATGGGGTTGAAAAAAGGGAGCAATTAATAGTGTTTGTATTACCAAAATGTCTCCCTTAATCTGCTTCTGAATTCTCCTCTCCTTGGGCTTCCCAATGCTAATGGCAGAAAGGAGAATTCAGTGGCACTCCCCTGAAGCCAAAGCTAAACCAACATATTTACAGCACTCTTTTGGAAACTACATTTGTGTCCTTTTCTATCCCATTCCTTACAGGATGGTGATGTGGTGGGCAGGGGAAGCAGGGAGGTGGGTGCATGTTTTTCAGCAATCACTGCCTCAGTTGATCAGAACATGTCTCATCTGACACACAATGTCTTAACTACCTCACGGACAGCCTTAGTCAAAACATGTAAGACGACATTATACATGAGGAAGAAAGGCTGGTAACAGGTCAAAAAAAATGACAATATTTCATTTAAAACTTATTTGAGATCAGCTCTTTATTTATCATTACATAAGTCTTTAATGACCCCAATACATACATACACTGACCTCTCCTGTCCTCCTCACTCTCACACACACAGGAACAGAAAGCCAGCATCCTCCATGCACTCCCATGAAAGATGGACCCTTTAAAGAACCTCTTGGTTGGAAGTCAGAGAAGCGGCAAAGATATGAACTGGAGGAATAACAGAAGAGCAGATCCTAGAGCTAATGCTCGGGGGCTAAATAAGTCCTGGTGGCCCCCAAACCACTTCTACCGTGCTGCCTGGAACAGTCACCTCACTCTATTAAACTCTTTGAAACATTATCAAGTTGAAACTTGTGTGTCTTAACAAGCACACTGTCATTAAAATACTGAAAAACCTGGTCACAGTGAGGAAATCATAGGCATTCACGCCCACCGTGGTACAAATTATTTCATTATAGACACTGCTTTCCTTCTAAGAGTCACCTGAGAAAAAAGACTCACCTGAAGAGATCTGAATTTTGACTGGGTGTAAGGGAATAAAAACTTAAGGTCATCCTGGAGCTTAAAATTCACCACCAGTAAACGGGGAGGTCTGAGGAGTGGTGTGTAGTATGAAAAACCTGAGAGGAAGAGCAATACCACGTGCACCTGATGGTAGAAGGGTTTTCTCTTAGCCTAGAAGGTGCATGTGGAATTTTCCCCCTCATTCTACTTACCTGTCTAAGCATTAAAAATATGAAGAGACACAAAATATGTCTAAATTATGAAATGACTGCCTTTCATGAAGCATAGTTTTCTGTGACTTCTTATAAAGCAGCACATTTAACTATTCTTATTTTTAAATTAGAAAATTATTTCCATGCATTACCTTTTATAAGAAATGTGGATTGTTATTCCGTGTTCTACAACCACATCCAGGAAGAGCTGCCATTTAGGAAGAAACTGTCATCTGCCCAGCCCTGTGCTATGTTATTTCACTTAATCCTCTCAGAAACCTATGAGACAGGTGCACAGCAGGAAACCAGAGACAGGGTGCGGTTTATGGTAGGTAATGCACAGCTGTATATTTTGTGTAGCCACTGCTGTCATTTTATATCAAAGGCAACTTGAGGTGGGAACTAAATGACTTACTATCATCTTTACTGTTTTTTGAGTGAAGCTGATCACATGGAAGGAGCTGAAGGTGGTACCAAAAGTCAATTATTAGGCAGGTAAAATCATACTGGGGAAGGCTTAAATACAAGGTTCATCAGATTATTTTGCTTTCACTTTTATTGTTCTTCTTCAGAAGTTTCAATGTGTCATTGAAAAGTTTAATGCACAATGTTTTATAAATAGGTATGTTATGAAAACTTAATTTTATAGTTTTAGAATGGATTAGAGTAGGCAAGAGAAGGGTAAGATTGTAGGCATAAAATGGCAAAGGTCTGGATTGGGGTATTAGTAGTGGACACAGGAAAGATGGATTGATAGGGTTACTTTAAAAGAAAAAACATTAATAGTTCCACAGCAAGCACATTTTCTCCAGTGTTCAAAATTAAAGATAATTTTTATGCTACAGTTTATAAATGAGAATAAGGACAACTATTATATATAAAACAGCTCACCCACTCATTGAAGGGTATAATACCATCTTGTGAATAATTAAAAGCTACCAAGTGTTCGATGGGAAAATATGCAGTTATGTTTAAAAAATAATTTACTTGGGGACATGCATACCACATAAATAAATTAATTAATATCCAGAGGAAACCAGTCCTTCTATGACCTCATATTAAACAGAAAGGTTCATAATAGCATGTAAACTATGTCTTAAAAAATAAATGGAAGTTCAATCAACTCTTTAGTTATCTAAAAGATATTTTGGTAGCCAAAGTGTCAATATTACTTGAAATACAGAGTATAACAAGAAATATGAAAGCAATAATATATTTGGAAGTTCAGAATTGTTTTCAAATGAAGCAATATTATATTATTTATACACTTTGAAGAAATGAAAATAGAGAATTATTGAATCATCTAGTTGGATGGACCTAGGACCAAGGAAAACAGACTATATTACAGGAGATGGTATTAGAACACCTAGTTTAACCTTTAATTGAAATTTAATAATTTGTTTTAAATCACGACTGACTGTTATAGAGATTCTGCATAATAAAAACCAGTCTCCTCCACTAGACAACTCTAACGATTAAGTCCATTTTATCTTTTATCGAAAACTATCTCCCTTAACATCTATTTAATGGCCCATTCTGGTCTTGGTAAAAACATAAAATAATATTACTCCTCCTAACAGATGGCAGCCCTTTAAATATTCCAAATGTACCTTTACTAAAGATTTTATTTGCTAGGATAAACATTCCAGTTTCATTATTAATTTTGATGAAAACTATCTTACTATTATTTTCATGAGAAAGGAGAGGGAATGCATGTTTGTATGTTGTTTCATATACATTATCTCATTTCTTTTCTTTTTGTTTTTTTGTTTGTTTGTTTGTTTGTTTTTGAGACGGAGTCTCACTCTGTCGCCCAGGCTGGAGTGCAGTGGCGCTGTCTCGGCTCACTGCAAGCTCCGCCTCCCGGGTTCACGCCATTCTCCTGCCTCTGCCTCCCGAGTAGCTGGGACTACAGGCACCCGCTACCGCTCCTGGCTAATTTTTTTGTATTTTTAGTAGAGACGGGGTTTTATCGTGTTAGCCAGGATGGTCTCGATCTCCTGACCTCGTGATCCACCCGCCTCGGCCTCCCAAAGTGCTGGGATTATAGGCGTGAGCCACTGCGCGTGGCCATATCTCATTTATTTTCATTAAAAACAGACGAAGGCAACTTGAGATGACAGTTCTCATTTATGTTGTTTTTAAATGGATTTTTAAAAGTATTGGTAGAAGTCCATTACCAATCTTTAGAATTTATTTGAATGCTTGATTTTTTCTTTGAAATTGCATTCGTCAAGCCTAATTTTTAATTTAGCAGTTAACACTTCATTATGCATGTCTAGAGAAAAGTGTGGGGAAACTAGCTGCAGTGAGGAAACAGTCACTGACCACCAGAAATACTCTAGAGACATTTTGTTTGTTGTTGCATTTAATCTTCCTAAAATTCCTATGAGGAAGATACTACCATCTCCATTTTTCAGACAAGAAATCTGAGGCCAGGTGCAGTGGTTCACGCCTATAATCCCAACAATTTGGGAGGCCAAAGTGAGAGAATCGCCTGAGCCCAGGAGTTTGCAAGCAGCCTGAGCAACATAGTGAGACCCTGTCTCTACTAAAAATAAAAATAAATTTGAGCTCACAGAGTTTAAGCAATTTATCATAGATTATCATAGTAAAAAAACAGATTATCGTAACAAAAAGAAGTAGCTCTGGTACACAGTCTGCTGACCCTAAAACCTCTATTCTTCTCATTACAGCAAATACAGATGACAATGGCACCTCCTTCACAGGGCTGTTGGTATAATTAAGTGAGTTATTATTGGGCATCAGTGCCAGTGCTTGGCCATCTTAAGAAGGCATCAGCTTAGTTCCACATAGTTAAGTCTCTTCTTCCCAGTGAAATCTATTTAGCCTAAACCATGATCATTGGGAGTGGGCTATTTAATTCTTCTGAAGTGTTAACTGTAAGCATTTTTCTCCAATTGCACAGTATTCTTGGCTAATAACATTGGAAGTCTTGATTATGCTCCACTTTCTTGTTTTCAAACAGGAAACTACTGGGAATAGGTACTATCATAGGATCCTGGACTAATAATAGAATCCTAAACTGTTCTTGTTGACTCTCCCTCATATCTACCCCAAGGTCTCCTCCAACCCGTTTAGGTTCCACTCTGATACCTCAGATGAAATGAAAGTATGCCATATGCCATCACTGCTTAAAACCCTCCCTATTGCCTGGAGAATACAATCTGGGTTTCTTAGCATGAAATAAGTATTGAGCAATCTGGTCTTGGCCCGTCTTTTTGCTTCCTCCTTTCTTTTACCTTGTGCTATAGTAATGCTAAACAGTGAGTACTTTATGCTGTTTCACACTTCTGCCAACTTTGTCGAAATATCACACAATCCCAATCCTAGATATTTACCCAAGAGAAATAAAAACATCTGTCCATACAAAAGCCTGTACATAAATGCTTATAGCCACTTTATTAATAATCTAAGAAACTGGAAACAACCCAAATGTTCATCAATTGGGGAATGAATTAAGACTCAGGGTTACATCCATCAATGGAATACCACTCAGCAGTAAAAAGGAACAAACTACTGATATATGCAACAACATGGGTGACTCTCATATGCTTTACGCTAAGTGAATGAAGACAGACTCAAAAGACTACATATTGTACATCCCATTTATGTGATAACTTGGAAAAGGCGAAATTGTGGGAACAGAAAATCTGTCAGTGGTCACCAGGAACTGAGGTAGGGGTAGGGCATTGACTACAAACGGACATAAGGCAGCTTTAGGGGGTGATGGAAATGTTCTTTGATTGTGGTGATAGTTACATGACTATATGCATTTGTCTAAATTCAAAGAACTGAACACCACAAAACAAATGGATTTTACTGCATGTAAATTATATCTTAATAAACTTTACATTTAAAAGTCACATATCTTATTTCACTTTTGTCCATCTATTCATGCACTTTTTAAACAATCTCCTTCATTTTGGGGCAACTCCTGCTTACCTTTAAGACCTCAACCTTAAGTATCAATCTCCTCCAAGTAATTATGCCTCAATTCCATGCTAGGCTGTGGGCTTCTCCTCTGAGCTTTTCCACCACCTGTGCATACATTTGTCTCTTATGATACATAAAATATAGAACCCGTGCCTGACACTGCACCACAAACTCCTTAAGAGAAAATAAAAGTTTTATTTATTTTTACATCCGAAAACACTCAATGTAAGAACCCCACAAATGCTTGTTGTACACCTTAAAGTTATGTTTGGAACTTTGCTATCTTCTAAAATAGAGGTGGAAATTATAGAATGTACTTGATTTAAACTCAAGTCCATTTGACTATTGTATGAAGTCTGTTTTCATATTAGAAATAGTGCAACGAAGTTACTGTCACACAGTCTAATTATAATACAATCTTTTAAAAGATTTACAAGCAAAATTATTGCATGGTTCTATATTTGACATATGTTTTGCTGGCAAAATGTTTGTGAGAGATATGCTAAATATAGTAACATAAAACATCCTAAAGTTTGTAAAATATATCACAGCAGTTAATGTTGTAATAGTTCTTTTGCCTTTTTAATATTTTGAGCAAATTTTTAAAATCTCAACTTATGCAAATGTGTGCATATAAAATTATAAAACTCTCTGGATTAAGGCAACTGAGAATTCTCATTGGTCAATGAGACATTTAGAGGATGAGGATAATCCATGCAAATTAAACTGCTCAACTGAGCCTGTTTTGTAATATTCTAAACTGCTGACCCTATCTTCTTTCCAGAGACAGGAAAACACATTTTATGGCCTGATTATGATGCAGAGCTGTTGGGAAAATAGTTATTATGAGATAATTATATCCCAACAGAATGTGAGGTGCTTGGCTGCCCTTTGTATAGAATGTCACCTGAGGTGTAAGAGTTGTATACCACTTTTATTCTAGCAGGGAGGTTATTCTGATTCATAGCCTGTTCTGTTTTTCAGGCATTAGGCCACTGAAATGATGTTTTTCAATCAAAGGAAAAAATTAAGATAAAAGTGAAAGTTCATGATCGACTACAGTTATTAATTTAACATCTAAATCTTACATTTATATTTACTCTCTGGTAAAGAATGAAAGAATACATTTGTGTCTAAAAAAGTAGGATTTGCTGAACAGACTAGAAGGAAGAGATTCTGCAATGATTATTCCATCAAGATAGTTACAGTTTCCAATTATAACATTATCAGTCCTTCCATTTTAGAGTGGTGTCTGGGGATGAGAGTTACCGAAGCATTGCAAGGGAATGTTTAGGCACCCCAATCCCCATCATATATGGTTGTGACAGCTATAGAATTTCATTTCCAGAATATATAATCTTCCCTTTTTATACTGATCACTGATAAATTATAAGACCCATAACAAATAGCATAAAAACTGGCTTCTAACATGAAAATATCTAATAGATCTGAAGCTTGGAATTAAAATTAAATAAAATAAAAATACATTGATAGGAAACAGGTTGAGCTATCTGCTCACTGGGTTTTCCTCCTTTCTCTTCCCTTCTCTTTCCTATCCTCCTTTATTTCTATCTTCCATTCTTCTCTTCCACCCTTCCTTCCTATTTTAGTTACCAAGGATCAATAAATGGAGTCACAGGCAGATTTACTTTCACGCCCAATCTACTCCTAGCTCATAGTATTATAGTGAAATTCCATTTTAGTTTTAAAATAGATATAGTAGCACCTATCTTTAAAAGATTACTTGAAGAAAGTGTCCATGCCATACTATGCATCATAGCTTTGCTTTGAAATCTCATTAAAAATACAAAATGATTAGAATATGTAATTTGCAAGTGACTATTGCCTGATTCTTTTGTAATGTTTATTTTGTTTTTAAATCTCTTAACCAATATTGAAAGTGTTTTTCAGTCTCTAAAGTAGCTGTGAGAAAAAAAAATCCTACTGAAGTAAACATTTCAAGAAGCATTTATTTTTGCACTTAAACAGTCAATATTTAATCAGTAGGTTAAACATCCAATTTCAGGGTTCAAATGCAAGCTGGCTGCTAACAAAACCACTGGCAATAAATAGTATGAGTGTTCTTTCATGCAGCCATAAATTACTGTCTATTATCACTAAGCTGTTGTGAACAAAACCTCAAAAAAGTTGAATTGGTCATAAACTTAAAAAATGAATGCATGCAAAATGGTCAGTTTTGCATGACTCATTTGAGAATGAAGGATAATATACCCACTGTAATGTAAATTCTCTCCATGCGGAGTGTTGTTGTCTTACTCTCAATATATTCCATGGCAGGGACATTTAATGGTACAATACAAATGCAAACATTTAATTCTTTCTGCCAAACACTCAATGGCAATACATCACATCACACACTAAGCAAAGCTAGGCAAGAAATTTGCTATATAGTTAACAGTATTCAAAATTGTTATAATATATTCTTTTATTTTCTTCACTCCTTATCCTTATCCTTATCTTCACTCCTTTTTTCAGCACATAATACTTTTGTTCCACTGATGAAGCATATAAATATAATGTCACTTCTTTCTCTGATACACATAGCTAATTTTATTTTTAGTGAGAGTAAACATATAGGTGTATCCTAAATCTGAACTACAACTCTCAACTTCTAGCTTCCAAATCACAAGCAAATTAGAAAAGAAATCTTGATCTGTTTTTATCTTTTATAGAAAAAGTTGAATTGTTAACTGGTTTCTTTTGTTTGATTGTCTCTAAACTCAAGACTCTACAGGCTGAAAGATAATTTCTTCTTGGTTGCTCCTCACACTTCCTATCTTTCCTGTTCTTTTAACATTCTAGGTCTTGTGACAAAATGCTGCTTAATTCTCTATGAAATGATATCATATTTAAAAGTGTTGGCACCACTGAAGTGAACAGCAATCTGTGTTAATGTGGCCAGGGTAAAGCTAAATCACTGTGGCCTCTTTTGGAGATATTTTAAAAAACAAAAGAAAACAAAAACTGCTGAAGGCTAGGTGCCTTGTCTTACATCTGTAATTGCAGCTACTTGAGATGGTTAGGTGGGAGATCACTTGAGGCCAGGAGTTCAAGACTAGCCTGGAAAACACAATGAGACCTCGTCTCTAGAAAAAAATTAAAAATTAGTCAGGCGTGGTGGCATGTACCTGTAGTACTAGCTACTCAGGAGGCTGAGGTTGGGGATTGCTGGACCCCGGGAGTTCAAGGTTGCAGTGAACTATGATAACACCACTGCACCCCAGGCTGGGTGACAGAGCAAGACCCTGTCTCAAAAAAACAGGCAAAAAAAAAAAAAAAAGATCGTGGGATTGTCTTGTCTTGAAATAAGAAAAAGAGAATCTATGCCAAGTGTTTACGTGCTGAGAGTACCCCTTTAAAAATACAAAAGCTACCCTACAGTTATCAATAACTACTAATTGTAAAATGTGTAAAAGGGTATTTTATTGGATAAATTAAGACAAACAGAGCTAATATAAAATGTTCTCCTAGCCCAGTTTTATGTGATGCTGGCTAACATGACACAAGCACTCTCTTCCAACAATGAAAACTAAGAAAATGAACCCAAAGAAGACTTGCATAGAAGCGTAAGTCAGATTGTTATGGTTATTTATGGTTGTGATTGTTTGGGCCATATCTTGTGAACTGACATGACTTCTTAAAGGACAAGAGAGTTAGTTGGTCACCCAGTTGAGCCCACATCAAAGCCTGAGAGGAGTCTTTCCTACCTTTTCAGGTCATTCTAGATCTAAATAATAGTAAAAGTCCCAGATCTTTAGAGGATGCTAATAGGTACTGAGCATTGGAAGCGGAGTAGGGGCAATGGTTTGGTGCTGCTGTTTCCTGCTTTGTCTACCCAACACCAGTAAATTTGTCTCTATTTAAAAGCCTTGGCAATGAATGCGAATTTTATTAGCCCATGTGGATTAAAAAGAAGTAGGAAGAGTTGTATTTACTTCTTGTGAACTTTGTTCCAAGTCTGAAGTAAAGCTCTGCAGGATGTATACGACAATGATTTTTTTTTTTTGAGCCAAAAATAAGACTTAATTCCTAGATTTGTACTAAGCACAGGAAAAAAAAAAACAACAACATAAGACAGAAAAGTTATTTATAGTTTGTATGGCTTATTTACAGTTTTCTTCAGAAATCTCTCTGCTGCTTGCTTCTGACGTGATATCTCACATATCTTTGAAGTTCAGAACATTATTGTTTTTTTCTACCTCCCCTGGGCCATCCATAAAACCCCATACATGCTACAAAGAACAGAAGTGAAGAACAGGACAAAACAATTAGCAGTGAAAATAAGGAATACAGCCTTTGGGCCTACCATCTTTCCTCCAACCTACAAGAGATCGGCATAGAAGGGGGAAAAACTTGAGTCAAACACATTTTCAGATTGGCTTCAGCTACTGACTGATACATTAAAAACATACTGTTTTTGAATCAGTTACCATCCCGGAGCCTATAATAGTATGCATCAAGGAAAAGTATAGCTTGAGAGTTATTTCTACAGGTGCAAATTTCTGTTTTCAAGTGGATAATGCATATGAATCTGTGTTTAGCATAATTGACCAAGAATCAGATTCTGGGCTCCAGTTGCAGACAGAGATAACAGAATTCTAAATATGCTTGTCTGCAACTGATGATATGACTTCTCACATATATTCTTTTCATTTAGCAAAATTTATTTGAAAAATATTCTTTTTTTTTAAGTTTTTTTAAAAATTTTTTTTTATTATTATACTTTAGGTTTTAGGGTACATGTGCACATTGTGCAGGTTAGTTACATATGTATACATGTGCCATGCTGGTGCAGTGCACCCACTAAATCATCATCTAGCATTAGGTATATCTCCCAATGCTATCCCTCCCCCCTCCCCCCACCCTCACAGTCTTCAGAGTGTGATATTCCCCTTCCTGTGTCCATGTGATCTCATTGTTCAATTCCCACCTATGAGTGAGAATATGCGGTGTTTGGTTTTTTGTTCTTGCGATAGTTTACTGAGAATGATGATTTCCAATTTCATCCATGTCCCTACAAAGGACATGAACTCATCATTTTTATGGCTGCATAGCATTCCATGGTGTATATGTGCCACATTTTCTTAATCCAGTCTATCATTGTTGGACATTTGGGTTGGTTCCAAGTCTTTGCTATTGTGAATAATGCTGCAATAAACATACGTGTGCATGTGTCTTTATAGCAGCATGATTTCTAGTCCTTTGGGTATATACCCAGTAATGGGATGGCTGAGTCAAATGGTATTTCTAGTTCTAGATCCCTGAGGAATCGCCACACCGACTTCCACAATGGTTGAACTAGTTTACAGTCCCACCAACAGTGTAAAAGTGTTCCTATTTCTCCACATCCTCTCCAGCACCTGTTGTTTCCTGACTTTTTAATGACTGCCATTCTAACTGGTGTGAGATGGTATCTCATTGTGGTTTTGATTTGCATTTCTCTGATGGCCAGTGATGACGAGCATTTTTTCATGTGTTTTTTGGCTGCATAAATGTCTTCTTTTGAGAAGTGTCTGTTCATGTCCTTCGCCCACTTTTTGATGGGGTTGTTTGTTTTTTTCTTGTAAATTTGTTTGAGTTCATTGTAGATTCTGGATATTAGCCCTTTGTCAGATGAGTAGGTTGTGAAAATTTTCTCCTTTTTTGTAGGTTGCCTGTTCACTCTGATGGTAGTTTCTTTCGCTGTGCAGAAGCTCTTTAGTTTAATTAGATCCCATTTGTCAATTTTGTCTTTTGTTGCCATTGCTTTTGGTGTTTTGGACATGAAGTCCTTGCCCATGCCTATGTCCTGAATGGTAATGCCTAGGTTTTCTTCTAGGGTTTTTATGGTTTTAGGTCTAACGTTTAAGTCTTTAATCCATCTTGAATTGATTTTTGTATAAAGTGTAAGGAAGGGATCCAGTTTCAGCTTTCTACATATGGCTAGCCAGTTTTCCCAGCACTATTTATTAAATAGGGAATCCTTTCCCCATTGCTTGTTTTTCTCAGGTTTGTCAAAGATCAGATAGTTGTAGATATGCGGCGTTATTTCTGAGGGCTCTGTTCTGTTCCATTGATCTATATCTCTGTTTTGGTACTAGTACCATGCTGTTTTGGTTACTGTAGCCTTGTAGTATAGTTTGAAGTCAGGTAGTGTGATGCCTCCAGCTTTGTTCTTTTGGCTTAGGATTGCCTTGGCGATGCGGGCTCTTTTTTGGTTCCATATGAACTTTAAAGTAGTTTTTTCCAATTCTGTGAAGAAAGTCATTGGTAGCTTGATGGGGATGGCATTGAATCTGTAAATTACCTTGGGCAGTATGGCCATTTTCACGATATTGATTCTTCCTACCCATGACCATGGAATGTTCTTCCATTTGTTTGTATCCTCTTTTATTTCCTTGAGCAGTGGTTTGTAGTTCTCCTTGAAGAGGTCCTTCACATCCCTTGTAAGTTGGATTCCTAGGTATTTTATTCTCTTTGAAGCAATTGTGAATGGGAGTTCACTCATGATTTGGCTCTCTGTTTGTCTGTTGTCGGTGTATAAGAATGCTTGTGATTTTCGTACATTGATTTTGTATCCTGAGACTTTGCTGAAGTTGCTTATCAGCTTAAGGAGATTTTGGGCTGAGACAGTGGGGTTTTCTAGATATACAATCATGTCGTCGGCAAACAGGGACAATTTGACTTCCTCTTTTCCTAATTGAATACCCTTTATTTCCTTCTCCTGCCTAATTGCCCTGGCCAGAACTTCTAACACTATGTTGAATAGGAGTGGTGAGAGAGGGCATCCCTGTCTTGTGCCAGTTTTCAAAGGGAATGCTTCCAGTTTTTGCCCATTCAGTATGATGCTGGCTGTGGGTTTGTCATAGACAGCTCTTATTATTTTGAGATACGTCCCATCGATACCTAATTTATTGAGAGTTTTTAGCATGAAGGTTGTTGAATTTTGTCAAAGGCTTTTTCTGCATCTATTGAGATAATCATGTGGTTTTTGTCTTTGGCTCTGTTTATATGCTGGATTACATTTACTGATTTGCGTATATTGAACCAGCCTTGCATCCCAGGGATGAAGCCCACTTGATCATGATGGATAAGCTTTTTGATGTGCTGCTGGATTCAGCTTGCCAGTATTTTATTGAGGATTTTTGCATCAATGTTCATCAAGGATATTGGTCTAAAATTCTCTTTTTTGGTTGTGTCTCTGCCAGGCTTTGGTATCAGAATGATGCTGGCCTCATAAAATGAGTTAGGGAGGATTCCCTCTTTTTCTATTGATTGGAATAGTTTCAGAAGGAATGGTACCAGTTCCTCCTTGTACCTCTGGTAGAATTCGGCTGTGAATCCATCTGGTCCTGGACTCTTTTTGGTTGGTAAACTATTGATTATTGCCACATTTTCAGCTCCTGTTATTGGTCTATTCAGAGATTCAACTTCTTCCTGGTTTAGTCTTGGGAGAGTGTATGTGTCGAGGAATTTATCCATTTCTTCTAGATTTTCTAGTTTATTTGCGTAGAGGTGTTTGTAGTATTCTCTGATGGTAGTTTGTATTTCTGTGGGATCGGTGGTGATATCCCCTTTATCATTTTTTATTGTGTCTATTTGATTCTTCTCTCTTTTTTTCTTTATTAGTCTGGCTAGCGGTCTATCAATTTTGTTGATCCTTTCAAAAAACCAGCTCCTGGATTCATTAATTTTTTGAAGGGTTTTTTGTGTCTCTATTTCCTTCAGTTCTGCTCTGATTTTAGTTATTTCTTGCCTTCTGCTAGCTTTTGAATGTGTTTGCTCTTGCTTTTCTAGTTCTTTTAATTGTGATGTTAGGGTGTCAATTTTGGATCTTTCCTGCTTTCTCTTGTGGGCATTTAGTGCTATAAATTTCCCTCTACACACTGCTTTGAATGCGTCCCAGAGATTCTGGTATGTTGTGTCTTTGTTCTCGTTGGTTTCAAAGAACATCTTTATTTCTGCCTTCATTTCGTTATGTACCCAGTAGTCACTCAGGAGCAGGTTGTTCAGTTTCCATGTAGTTGAGTGGTTTTGAGTGAGATTCTTAATCCTGAGTTCTAGTTTGATTGCACTGTGGTCTGAGAGATAGTTTGTTATAATCTCTGTTCTTTTACATTTGCTGAGGAGAGCTTTACTTCCAAGTATGTGGTCAATTTTAGAATAGGTGTGGTGTGGTGCTGAAAAAAATGTATATTCTGTTGATTTGGGGTGGAGAGTTCTGTAGATGTCTATTAGGTCTGCTTGGTGCAGAGCTGAGTTCAATTCCTGGGTATCCTTGTTGACTTTCTGTCTCATTGATCTGTCTAATGTTGACAGTGGGGTGTTAAAGTCT
The DNA here is from genome assembly GCF_000001405.40 of Homo sapiens. Classification (NCBI taxonomy): domain Eukaryota; kingdom Metazoa; phylum Chordata; class Mammalia; order Primates; family Hominidae; genus Homo; species Homo sapiens. The sequence goes on from NC_000007.14 coordinate 79,233,405, forward strand.
CCCATTATTAATGTGTGGGAGTCTAAGTCTCTTTGTAGGTCACTCAGGACTTGCTTTATGAATCTGGGTGCTCCTGTATTGGGTGCATATATATTTAGGATAGTTAGCTCTTCTTGTTGAATTGATCCCTTTACCATTATGTAATGGCCTTCTTTGTCTCTTTTGATCTTTGTTGGTTTAAAGTCTGTTTTATCAGAGACTAGGATTGCAACCCCTGCCTTTTTTTGTTTTCCATTTGCTTGGTAGATCTTCCTCCATCCTTTTATTTTGAGCCTATGTGTGTCTCTGCACATGAGATGGGTTTCCTGAATACAGCACACTGATGGGTCTTGACTCTTTATCCAATTTGCCAGTCTGTGTCTTTTAATTGGAGCATTTAGTCCATTTACATTTAAAGTTAATATTGTTATGTGTGAATTTGATCCTGTCATTATGATGTTAGCTGGTGATTTTGCTTGTTAGTTGATGCAGTTTCTTCCTAGTCTTGATGGTCTTTACATTTTGGCTTGATTTTGCAGCGGCTAGTACTGGTTGTTCCTTTCCATGTTTAGCGCTTCCTTCAGGAGCTCTTTTAGGGCAGGCCTGGTGGTGACAAAATCTCTCAGCATTTGCTTGTCTGTAAAGTATTTTATTTCTCCTTCGCTTATGAAGCTTAGTTTGGCTGGATATGAAATTCTGGGTTGAAAATTCTTTTCTTTAAGAATGTTGAATATTGGCCCCCACTCTCTTCTGGCTTGTAGGGTTTCTGCCGAGAGATCCGCTGTTAGTCTGATGGGCTTCCCTTTGAGGGTAACCCGACCTTTCTCTCTGGCTGCCCTTAACATTTTTTCCTTCATTTCAACTTTGGTGAATCTGACAATTATGTGTCTTGGAGTTGCTCTTCTCGAGGAGTATCTTTGTGGCGTTCTCTGTATTTCCTGAATCTGAACGTTGGCCTGCCTTGTTAGATTGGGGAAGTTCTCCTGGACAATATCCTGCAGAGTGTTTTCCAACTTGGTTCCATTCTCCCCATCACTTTCAGGTACACCAATCAGACGTAGATTTGGTCTTTTCACATAGTCCCATATTTCTTGGAGGCTTTCTCATTTCTTTTTATTCTTTTTTCTCTAAACTTCCCTTCTCGCTTCATTTCATTCATTTCATCTTCCATTGCTGACACCCTTTCTTCCAGTTGATCGCATCGGCTCCTGAGGCTTCTGCATTCTTCACGTAGGTCTCGAGCCTTGGTTTTCAGCTCCATCAGCTCCTTTAAGCACTTCTCTGTATTGGTTATTCTAGTTATACATTCTTCTCAATTTTTTTCAAAGTTTTCAACTTCTTTGCCTTTGGTTTGAATGTCCTCCCGTAGCTCAGAGTAATTTGATCGTCTGAAGCCTTCTTCTCTCAGCTCGTCAAAGTCATTCTCCATCCAGCTTTGTTCCGTTGCTGGTGAGGAACTGCGTTCCTTTGGAGGAGGAGAGGCGCTCTGCGTTTTAGAGTTTCCAGTTTTTCTGTTCTGTTTTTTCCCTATCTTTGTGGTTTTATCTACTTTTGGTCTTTGATGATGGTGATGTACAGATGGGTTTTTGGTGTGGATGTCCTTTCTGTTTGTTAGTTTTCCTTCTAACAGACAGTATCCTCAGCTGCAGGTCTGTTGGAATACCCTGCCGTGTGAGGTGTCAGTGTGCCCCTGCTGGGGGGTGCCTCCCAGTTAGGCTGCTCGGGGGTCAGGGGTCAGGGACCCACTTGAGGAGGCAGTCTGCCCGTTCTCAGATCTCCAGCTGCGTGTTGGGAGAACCACTGCTCTCTTCAAAGCTGTCAGACAGGGACATTTAAGTCTGCAGAGGTTACTGCTGTTTTTTTGTTTGTCTGTGCCCTGCCCACAGAGGTGGAGCCTAGAGAGGCAGGCAGGCCTCCTTGAGCTGTGGTGGGCTCCACCCAGTTCGAGCTTCCCGGCTGCTTTGTTTACCTAAGCAAGCCTGGGCAATGGCGGGCGCCCCTCCCCCAGCCTCGCTGCCGCCTTGCAGTTTGATCTCAGACTGCTGTGCTAGCAATCAGCGAGACTCCGTGGGCATAGGACCCTCCAAGCCAGGTGCGGGATATAATCTCGTGGTGTGCCGTTTTTTAAGCGGGTCTGAAAAGCGCAATATTTGGGTGGGAGTGACCCGATTTTCCAGGTGCGTCCGTCACCCCTTTGTTTGACTCGGAAAGGGAACTCCCCGACCCCTTGCGCTTCCCAAGTGAGGCAATGCCTTGCCCTGCTTCGGCTCGCGCACGGTGCGCGCACCCACTGACCTGCGCCCACTGTCTGGCACTCCCTAGTGAGATGAACCCAGTACCTCAGATGGAAATGCAGAAATCACCCGTCTTCTGCGTCGCTCACGCTGGGAGCTGTAGACCGGAGCTGTTCCTATTCGGCCATCTTGGCCTTGAAAAATATTCTAAGTCATTGCCTTACCTTTGGAAACACTTTTAGCTAGAACTTTGTTTGCTTTGTATTTTCGGGTTCTTGGCAGTACCAGACACACAGTTGGTGCTCAATAAACAGTTGTTAAAAGGATGACAAATATGCATTTCTACTTAATTTGGGAAATGGAGAAGTCCAGCCACATCTTCACTGCTATACAGAAGGCTCTAGGTTTGCTGGCATTTGGGCATATGCTATATTATATGGTGCTTGTATTAGAAAAAGACTAGCTTTGGAAGAAGGAAGTCATTGGGAATGAATAAGTCAGGAAAAAGCATACTTTTCTAAAAACATATTAATTTTCTTTTCCTTTTGTCTTATCTGAAACATCTGCCAGTAGCCATAATCTTAAATGATAATCTCACTGTATTAAAGCAATAGGTTATCTGAGAGAATTAATATGTTAATGGGTTAATACATGATCAATAATTAGTTAATTTCCTATCCACAACCAATTCACAAAAGTGTCAAGGGAGTAAGGACAGACCAGTTAGCCTGGGGTTCTGTTGAAGTCTAAAGGGGAATCACAGTAAGGAAGTCAAGGGTTAGCATGAGGGATTGGAACTGAAAACAATCATTGCTCAATAATTGCGTATAAGGCTGGTTTTATGAAAAAGATTCAAATACAATCAAATATGGTTTGGACATAAGCAGCACAAAGCAGCATGTCTGGAGTCAGCAAAGCTGACCAGCAATCTCCATTCTGCCAAAGAGCCACATAACCTCGGGTGAGACATTTAATGTCTTTAGACCTCATGTCCCAAGTCTGTAAAATGAAACTATCGAACTAGATGGACTCTAAGTTCTGTTCCAGCAATAAAATTCTGTGATCTCTTGTCTTTTATCTGATTTGTCACAGAACATTTTAATATCATTGATTTTTAATAGCAAAAAAAGAAAAACAAACACTTAAAACTTATTGCTAACATACTGAGTAAACAATGACAGTTTTATTAACCATATGTGTAAAGTGCACTTAAAACTTAAATAGACAAGCCTGGGCAAGTAAACAAGACTCCATCTCTACAAAAAAATAAAAATATAATTAGCTGAGGACAGTGGTGTGCAACTGTAGTCCCAGCTACTCAGGAGACTGAGGTGGGAGGATTGCTTGAGCTCAGGAGCTTGAGGCTGCAATGAGCAACGAGTGTGCCACTGCACTCCAGCCTGTATGACTGAATGAGACTCCATCACTAAAAAGAAAAAATAACTTGAATAGACAGCTCTCAGTTTGTACCTTTAAATAGTATGAGAAAGTAGATCAGAATTACAGACTTGCTACTACTAATAATAATGATAATACATTAAAATGGGTCTTTACAAACTCACAAAATATTTTCTGATTAGAAAAGTTTTATACACTTGCCGGGCGCGGTGGCTCACGCCTGTAATCCCAGCACTTTGGGAGGCCGAGGCGGTGGATCACGAGGTCAGGCGATCAAGACCATCCTGGCTAACACGGTGAAACCCCGTCTCTACTAAAAATACAAAAAATTAGCCGGCGTGGTGGCAGGTGCCTGTAGTCCTAGCTACTCTGGAGGCTGAGCCAGGAGAATGGCATGAACCCGGGAGGTGGAGCTTGCAGTGAGCCAACGTCGCGCCACTGAAAAAGTTTTATACACTCAAGTTAGACCATGCATGCATACACATGCAAACATATATTAAGAAAAATGTAGAAATATTCTATAATCCTCAATGCAGAGAGATACCATGAGCACTTTAATATTAATCTCTTTCTCTCTAGGTATCTCCCTGTCTCCCGGTCTCTCTCCATACTCATGCCAACACTCACAGTTGGAGTTCTCTACCTATTATATTAATATACCCTACTTTCCTCACTTAACGTGAGCATTTTATCATAGCCCTAAATACATTTTACAAACATGATTTTGATTGCTTGAACAATAATCCATCCTTGCATATGCCACAATGTATTTAAATATTCCTCTGCTGTTGGGCTTTTGGCACTTTCTAATTTTTCACAATGATTTTAAGTGAAATGTCTTTGTACATATGCCTTTGATTGAATCTCTAATTATTTCCTTAGGATAGACTTCTGGAGAATATTATGGAAAAGGAGGCTAAACTTGAAGCTCTGAGACGATCCTGAAATCTAATATCAGCATAATTTGACAAATAGATTAATATGCATGAATTTCCAGGTTTAGTTAAACTAATAGGTGCTCTTGAAATTAGGATTTTCAGTATTTTATTATAAGAGTTACAAATCTAAGCATTCCATTTGATTCTACTGGGAAATACATTGGCTTAACACATTCAAATTTGCTTTTCTTATTTTTAAATTTTCAATTCCTGCTTTTTTCCTTTCATTTCCTTTAAAATTGATTTCTCACCTCTTAGGCTTTATCCTTATCTTTGTACTATTTCATTATTCTTACTTCCATTTGTTTCCAGAATTATTTTCTGTTATACTCTATTTCCTTCATCAAATATATCTTCCTCTTACACCTCTCTACCTTTTTCTTTCTATCATAATTCACACTTCTCATGTGTTTCTGTTCCTTTTTGATCTTACAATGGCTTCTTTCCTTCCTGGGACCCTTCCATTTGACCCTTTGTATTTTCTTCCATCAAAGCCATGTTTATAAACTAGTATTATGGCAGGACATATACGTCAAGAAATTGGAGAGAAGATAAAGCATATCGTTTGGATAAACTATTTCATCAAAACTTTTGATTCATCTGTGTCCCATTTTGTACTAAGGTGGTTTCTAGTCAAAACAGTTTACTGGTAGTTTTAAGGAACTGCAGTCAGTACATATGAAGTATCTCTCATCATTAAGAGTAGCTAGTCACTATTTACAAAGTTTCTCTTAAATATTATTTGAGGGACTAATTTGCTTTGGATAAGAACTTTGAAATCTTACATGAGCATAAACCCTATCTTTGAAATTCATACTTTATTTATGTGATAAGAACTCATAATAGTAACTTCCATATTTTCTTTTAAGGTATTACTAATATTATTACTTAAAGAGAAAAAAACATTTTGCAGGAATAGAGGTTCATCTCTCTCAATACATTTTTCAAACTGGGTCTGATAAAAGAAAATTGTGGAACTGATGACAGAACTTGAGGATCTGGCATGAATTCCAAGAGAAGAAAATGAATGATCATTTTAGAACACATATAATAATAAAATCGTAGTAACATTCATTAGGAAATAATGTTCTAAGTGGGAGATACAAATCTCACATACACCTGACAGCTATGCACTTGCACACCATGTTTTTTAAAATAATGGTCATGAATTTCACATTGACAAAATTATATTACTACATGAACATAAAATTGTATTAATGTATTAATTAATTGTATTAATGGGTGGTGAGTCTACTAGTAGTTACTCTTTTTTTCCCATACAGTATAAGCAGAAAAGTGGCTAATGCATTTGACAAACTTGTAACTATGTAATTGAGAAACACTAACTCACTTATCTTTCAAATTTTGTTTCTAAGACTCGACCTCATAGTTCACTATTATAAAGATAGATTTTTTATTTCCTCAAAGTGTTATGATTAATAGTTTCCCAGGGAAGGGAGGTGCCGTATCACATGTCACTGATCAATGGTTTCAACAACTCATCTTTTCATTCATTTATCAAAACTTTACCGACCGTAATACACCCTGAGTTTGTTTGGTTAAGATATGATGTAACAAATGATTTAATAGAAGCATTGAATATAGTTTTGGAAGAACAGAATGTGTAGCTTCTGAGAAAGAAAAAATTCCACCCCCTGACATCTAGAAATGGACTTGGCACTCAGAGGTGAACCCTGTTACTCTCCTACTGGACATAAACAATCTCACAGAATACCAACCACAGACAAGTTCAGCATAAAATGATGATAAAACAAAAGAAGCTCATTTCATAATTCTGTGTAAGTACAGACAAAAACACGTTTGCCACATTACCCACAAAATGACAAACTTCCTTATTTCTCAACTAAAATCAGGGATTGCTACTTCCTGTCAATCGCAGCTTTATCCTTTTTCCAGGTGGCCCTCCTTGTGGATAAAACTTACTGAGAAGCCCAATCTTAGAATTGCTCCTGCCTTCTGACAACATCTAATCTAGAGAAAACCCCTGCGTTTTAAATGTCTTCCCTCAGATTATCCAATGAAAGCCCAAATCCTTTCAACATCCTCTTACTGATATGTCCCACAGCTTCCATAGCCAGTGCCATCCCTTGCTGCAAGGAGAAATAAACCCCATGTGTTCTGCTGCAGTGGTGTTCATCCTGGTCTGAGACCTGAAGGCATTGCATTCCTCTGTACTAACAGGAGGAAAATGAAAACCTCGCAGGGGAAGGGGCCCAGTGACAGTCAGGTCTTAAAGGATGAGCAGGAGTCAGGGTGGGTGGAACAAAGGACTGTCTTCTAGGCAGAGGAAACAGGATCTGTGAAGGACCAGAAGACAACAGAGCGATAGTTTGGTTTGTTTGGAATGAAAGGAACATAGGAGAAAGTGGTGGTTTATCAGAATGAAAAAAAAAAAAAAAAGAAAAGGGATGAATGAATGAAAACAATGGGAGCCTATGTCACCTCCTGTTAGTGACAATTTATCCTCTAAGGAAAGGGGGAATAGGGGACAATGGCATGTATTCTCAATGTGGAGAGCACACTGGCAGAGGCAACATCCAGCAAAAAATGTGCAATTTATCATTATTTTACATAGTGATCACTTGGTGATCTAGAAATCTAATTTGTTCTTTCTCTGCTGTTCTTATCTCTTCTTTGATATGAATCTGTTAAATTACAATTTTTGTCTCCTTCCAACTTATGATTTCAAGGAAGATTAGGAACAGCTGGTCAGCAGCTGTATTGAGCAGCTTTGCATATACTTGAAGGACATTATTAAATTGTCCCGTGCTTTCTATTTTACAATTGCATTTTCTTCGACATTTCCCTCACAACTCTCTTTTTTCCAATCTTTCTTCATGTCTGTTGTGTTCAAAACTCTCGTTGAATTCTCTATATCTCTTCTTAGGCAGGTACTCACAGCTCTAGATTAGTCTAGTGAGGAGGTAACGGCTGGGCACATCTTATCCCATTTGTTTATTTTTTATGCCTCCCTTCAAAAAGTAAACAGATATGTAGTCTTCAAAAAGTAAACTAATATATAATATACAATTATATATTTTTTATTTTGGAAAAAATATAAAGAACCATGTCAGTATCAGTTTTCATAACTTAAAATTGCTTTCATTTGGAATAATTATGTTTGGTCACTGATGTCTCCGTTGCTTGTCCTCTCTCTACCATCCCAAATTCATTGTTACGTGAGTGTGATGATGGAGTGAACAGGAGAGGAAATTTATTGTTCTAATAGCATTTAAGATCATTGCTGTTCAAAAGTAAGCCAAAACACAACAGAATAAACTGCCAAACAGAATCATTCTTTTCTAGTTTGAAATTGTTTGCTAACTAAAAGTCATATTAAATATGATCCTGGAATTGAAACCACCTTTATAAAGATTATAACAGTGAGATAAGTTTAGCAGGGCTGACACTGTCTTGCTTTTAGCTTCACAGGCTGTCTGTCCTCCCTTATTCTGGGGAAGGGCCAAGTTAACCACAGGAGGAATTTAGTTTGTAGTTTAACTTTAAGGCAAGGATGATAATAGTCTCTTCCTCCCTTATTCTGGGGACAGGCCAAGTTAACCACAGGAGGAATTTAGTTTGTAGTTTAACTTTTAAGCAAGGATGATAATAGTCTCTTCCTAAAACTGACCCCATCTTTGTTTTGGGACTGAAACTGCCTTTGTAAGACTAATGAAAAATGACAAGATTAGGCTATGGGAGGTGCCTTTCATAGCATGCCTTTCTATAATTGTTTACTGCACCAGAAGTCACAAGATTTGTGACTCTCCCAACTGATCCTATAGATAACATCATATTGTAGAATCTAAGATTGGTCTTTTGAGATGTGTTTCAAACCTTTGCATTCTAGTGACTGACTGACTCCACCTGGATTTGTGCCTCATGATTCAGCCCATCCTGTGGTCCCATCTAGAGGCAGACTCAGCTCATGCATAAGGATAGTTTTCCCTATGATTTAATTCCCCAACGAATCAGCAGCACACATTCCCTAGCCCCACTGCCTGCCAACCCTAGCCTGTGAGTTCTCAGGGAGGCTGATTTGAGTAATAAACTCCATCTACCACTTGGCTAGCACTGCATTAATTAAGCTCTTTATTTGCTAAATTTCAGTTAGTTCAGAGGAATAAGTTCAAGAGATCTATTGTACATTATGGTGATTATAGTTAATAACATATATTGTATAATTGAAAATTGCTGAGAGTATATTTTAAGTGCAAAATATAAGCATGTGAGGTGATTCATATGCTAATTAGCTTGATTTAGCCAGCCCACAATGTATATATATATCATAACATCATGCTGTATCTCATGAACATATACAATTTTTATCTGTCAATTAAGAAGAATTAAAATAAATAAATCTGTAATTTCATTGACCATTTCTCACAGGTTGTTTTAAAGCATAAGTTAAGGTGATCAACATATTCTTCTCTTTGTTATACTTTTCCCTACTTGATATATTAGTGAGAATATTAATTATCACCTCATTCTCAATGACTAGGTTAATTACTACAATTATTTTAACTAATATAACTTTAAATACTACTTTAGAGTTTCTACTCTTAGTATGCTTTATTTGTGGATAAACACTTTTAGTTATCTAGGTACATTTTTATGGCACTTGGATTTGATGGGAATAAAAAGAAATTATCCTGATCTAAATCTTTAGTCTTTCTTTGTATTCTCCATATATTAGTCATGGTTTCCATGTTGTTGAATTGTCCTTTTTTGGAGTTAACATGCCTGATTTCTGTTTACATTGGCCAATAAGAGGATGTAGAACTGCAGCTGGTATTTAATTCTAATTATTTGCATTTTTCAATAACATTTATTTCAGAAAAATTTTTCAAGATTATTTTTTGCTAAGCACAAGATATTTGCTATTCTGTACCATGTTCCCTAAAAGCATAATGCTAATAGAAATCTGCACCTTGATTAATTTTTATATTAAAAAACAAGTGGCTAGGCACAGTGGCTCACATCTGTAATCCCAACACTTTGGGAGGCTGAGGTGGGTGATCACTTGAGGTGAGGAGTTCAAGACCAGCCTAGCCAACATGGTGAAACCCTATCTCCACTAAAAATACAAAAATTAGCTGGGCATGGTTGTGCACGCCTGTAATCCCGGGCAACAGAGCAAGACTCTGTTTCAAAAAACAACAAAAAAAGAAAAGACAAATAAAAAAATGATAAAATATTACAGTGTTCTGAAAAGCCCCATACAGCATCAGCTCACACATGTACACAGATACACATTACCAATAGACGTATGATCTACACATAAGAACCAAGAGAGCAATTTTACTTTAATGGTACTTTGGTTCCTAAAAGGTCATTGTGAAGAGTGGATTTCTTATCTAATTTTACTTGTTTTTAAATTTTAATTCCTAATCTAAACTAGCTGCCTCATGTACGCTTTCAGAAGCACTTGATGCTGGAAACAGACAATATGATAGAGTGTGGGGATATTATAATAAGGGCCAAAGGCGAATAGTCAAACCTGAGAAAAATGGGATGTGAGTTGGTGATATCATGGAGAATTAACTTAGGAGTTAGTGGGTTAAAAATATGATCTCCAGGGAAATGAGTTCAAACTTTTAAAATGCTGGAAAAAAGAATTTTAAATCTGAGAGAATGGATTTCTTACTTTGGGGACATTCTGGTGATAGAGGGTAGGGGATTGGTAAATGATTTCTGACTTACTGCTGCTGATTTTGAAATATTTTACCTTCATATTCTTTTACCTATGGCTTTAATGTCCATAACTTAAAACAGTATCTTCTAAAATTATTATGATTCCCTAAATATGCATGTTAAAAATAATGAATACTCGTCAAAAAGACTAACATAAACTCTGTTAGATAATAGAAAAGAAACAGCTAGTAGTCAGGATTTCAATTTTCATAACTTATTTCCTAACTCCATGGTGTCTAAAACTTACTTGAAAGAAACATTATTTCCTTTATCCCTGTCATAGTTCTTCAGGCTGTATTATGCATACCACATCCTCTGTAGCCCTCAGCCTTTGGTGGAAGAAACGAAAGAAAAAAAAAGTAACAATTACATCTATTTGATGTTTCTTCTGCCTATGAGGTCTTTGTATAAGTAATGCACACTAACCAATCATGCCATTGGCTCTCCATGAGGTCTTTGTAAACCTAGAAAATGTTTTTCTCTATTGAAACAAATCTCATTATTAAAACATACTGAGACAGAGTAAGATGGCTAAACAGGAGCCTCCACTGATCATCCATCCTCCTCACAGGAACACCAAATTGAACAACTATCCACACAGAAAAGTGCCTTCATAAGAACCAAAAACCAGGTGAGCAATCACAGTACCTGGTTTTTAACCTCATATCACTGCAAGAGGCACAGAAGAGGGTAAGAAAGACAGCATTGAATTGCTGACACTACCCCTCTCCCATCCTCCAGCATTGGCCACCTGGTGCTGAGAGAGTCTGTGCAACTGGGGGAGGGAGAGTGCAGTGATTGTGGGACTTTGCATTGGAACTTAGTGCTGATTTGTTACAGTGGTAAAAACACCGAGCAGAAGTCAGTGGATGCCCATAGAGGGAGCATTTAGACCAGCCATAGCCAGAGGGGAATTGCCTATCCCAGCAGCTGAAACTAGGGTTCTAGCAAGCCTCACTACCTCAGGCTAATGACTCTGGAGTCCTAAATAAACTTGTAAGGCAGTCAAGGCCACAAGACTGCAATTCTTAGACAAGTACTGGTGATGTGTTGGGCTTGGAGCCAGTGGACTTGGGGGACATGTGACCTAGGAAAACACCAGCTGGGGTGACCAAAAGGAGTGCTTGTGCCACCCCTCCCAAAACCCCAGGCACCACAGCTTACAGCTCTGGGACAGACTCCTTCCTTTCACTTGAGGAGTGGGGAGAGTAAAGAGGACTTTGTCTTACAACTTGAGTACCAGCTCAGCCACAGTAGGATAGAGCAACAGGCAGTCCTGTTCCTCTAGTTCCTCTTCCTGAAGTTCCTCTTCCAAAACCTAACTCTAAAATGACATTTCTAGATACACCCTGGGCCAGAAGGGAACCCACTTCCTTAAAGGTAAAGACTCAGTCCTAGAGGGATTCATCACCTGCTGACTAAAGAGCACTTGGTCCCTGAATAATCAGTAGTAATACCCAGGCAGTACTCACAATGGGTCTTTGGTGAGATTCAGAGATGTGTAGACTTCAGGTATGACCTGACATATTCCCAGCTATGGTGGCTATGGGGAGGGACTCCTTTTGTTTGAGAAAAAAAGAAGGAAGAGTAAAGGGGACTTCATCTGTCAGCATAGGTACTAACATGACCACAGAGGGATGGTGCACCAGGTGGACTCATAGGGTCTCCAATTCCAGGCCTTGGCTCTTAGATGGCATTTCTGAACCTGCCATTGGCCAGATGGAAGCCTGCTACCCTGAAGGGGGCGTTCTAGGCCTGGCATCATTCACCAGAAGCTGACGGAAGGGCCCTTGGTCCTTGAATGAACATTGGCAGTAGCCAGGCAGTACTCTCTACAAGTTCGGGGTGGTGGTGTCCATGAGGGGAGACCCCTCTGCATGTGGAAAGGGATGGTAATAATGGGAAGGACTTTATCTTGTGGCTTGGGTGCTAGCTCAGCTGCAGTAGAATATAGAACCAAGTAGCTTCCTAAGGTTTCTGACTCTAGGCCTTAACTCCTAGATGGCATCTCTGGACCCACCTGGGATCAGGGAGAACTTGCCACCCTGAAGGGAAGGACATGAGCCTGTCAGGCTTCACTATCTGCTGATTGTACAGCCCTATGCCCTTGAGCAAACACAGCCAGTCAGCAATTACTCTAGGTCTTGGGCAAGACCCAGTGTTGTGCTGGCTTCAGGTGTGGCCCAGCATGGCCCCAGCGGTGGTGGCCAGAGGAGTGCTGGAGTCACCCTTCCCCCAGCACCAGGCAGCCCAGCACAGAAAGAGACTCCATTTGTTTAACAGAAAGTGAGAGAAGAGAACAACAGCGTCTGCATGGTAATCCAGAGAATTGTTCTGGATCTTATCCAAGACCACCAGGGCAGTAACATATAGACCAAGGTGGTATGTAAGACCTACAGCATTACTGGGCTTAGGGTGCCCCCTAATGCAGATATAGCTGCAGTGAAGAAAAACTTAGATCATAACACACATAGCCCTTCAAATACATGGAAAATCCTCCCAAGAAGAATGGGTTCAAACAAGCCCAGATGGTGGCGGCTAAAATAAATGCCCAACTCTTCAATGCCCAGACAACAACGAATATCCACAAGCATCAAGACCACCCAAGAAACATGGCCTCACCAAACAAACTAAATAAGGCACCAATGACCAATCATGGAGAAGCTGAGAGATGTGGTCTCTCAGAGACAGATTTCAAAATAGCTGTTTTGAGGAAACTTGAGAAAACTCAAGATAACACAAAGAAGGAATTAAGAATCTTATCAAAAAGATATAAGAAATAGATTGAAATAATTTAAAAGAATTAAGCAGAAATTCTGGAGTTGAAAATGCAATAGACATACTGAACAATGCATCAAAGTCTCTTAACAGACTTGATCAACCAAAAGAATGAATTAGTGAGCTTGAAGACAGGCTATTTGAAAACACACAGTCAGAGGAGATAAAGGAAAAAAGAATGAAAAAGAATGAAGTATGACTATAAATCTAGAAAAAAAAGCCTCAAAAGGGCAAAGAGTCATTAGCCTTAAAGGGGAGGTAGAGGGAGAGTTAGGGGTAGAGAGTTTGTTCAACGGAATAATAATACAGAACTTCCCAAACCAGAGAAAGATACCAATATTTAAGTACAAGAAAGTTATAGAACACTAAGCAGATTTAACCCAAATAAGACTACCTCAAAACATTCAATAATCAAACTCCCAAAGCTCAAGGATAAAGAAGGAATCCTAAAGGCAGCAAGAGAAAAGAAACAATAACATCCAATGGAATTCCAATATGTCTAGCAGCAGAATTATTTGTGGAAACCTTATAAGCCAGAATAGAGGGGCATGACATATTAAAAGTACTGAAGGAAGAAACTTTTATTCTAGAATAAAATATCCAGTAAAAATATCCTCAAACATGGAGGAGAAATAGTTTCCCAGACAAAAAAAACCTGTGACATTTCATCAATACCAGATCTGTCCTACAAGAAATCTAAAAGGAGTTCTTCAATCTGAAAGAAAAGGACATTAATGAGCAATAAGAAATCATCTAAAGGTACAAAATTCACTGGTAATAGTAAATACACACCAAAAAACAATATTATAACACTTTAATTGTGATGTGAATACTATTCATATCTTAAGTAGAAATAATAAAAGATAAACTGATAAAAATAATAACTGGCTGGATGTGATGGCTCACCCCTGTAATCCCAGCACTTTGGGAGGCTGAGTTAGGAGGACCGCTTGAGCCTAGGAATTTGAGAACAGTCTGGGCAAAATGGTGAGACCTCGTCTCTAAAAAAATAAAAAATTCGCCATGCATGGTGGCACGTACCTGTGGTCCCAGCTGCTTGGGAGACAAGGGCACAAGAATGTCTTGAGCCTAAGAGATCGAGGCTATAGTGAGCTGTGATTGTGCCACTGAATTCCAGCCTGAGTGACAGCATAAGACACTGTCTGAAATACTACTACTACTACTACTACTAATAACTATAACAACTTTTAAAGACACAGTACAATAAGATACAAATAGAAACCACAAAAAGTTCAAAAATGGGGGTGGGAGAAAGTTACAGTGTACAGTTTTTATTAGTTTTCTCTTTGCTTGTTTGTTTATGCAATATGTGTTAGGTTGTCATCAGTTTAAAATAATGACTTATAAGATAATATTTGAAATTTTCATGGTACCCTCAAATCAAAAAACATACAACAGATACACAAAAAATAAAAATCAAGAAATTAAAACATACCACCAGAGAAAATCACCTCCATTTAACGGAAGTCAGGAAGAAAGGAATGAATGAAGGAAAGAACACAAAACAACCAGGACACAAATAACAAAATGGCAGGAGTAAGTTCATACTTATTAATAATAACATTGAATGTAAATGAACTCTCTAATCTAAAGACACAGAGTAGCTGAGTGGATGAAGAAAATAAGATGCAATGATTTACTGTATACAAGAATTACACTTGACCCATAAAGACAAAAATAGACTAAAAATAAGGAGATGGAAAAAGATATCCCATACAAATAGAAACAAAAAAGGGCAGAAGTATCTATATTTATGTCAGACCAAATTGATTTCAAGACAAAAACTATAAAAAGAGACAAGGAAGGTCATTATATAATGATAAAAGGGTCAATTCAGTAAGAGGTAATAACAATAATAAATATATATATTCAATTAACACGGAACAACCCAGATTATAAAGCAAATATTGTTAGAGCTAGAGACAGAGATAGACCCCAATACAATAACAGCCGGAGATTTCACAACCACATTTTCAGCATTGGACAGATCATCTAGACAAAAATCTAACAAAGCAATATCAGACTTAATCTGCACTATAGACCGAATGGACTTATATAGATATTTAGAGAACATATCACCCAATGGCTGCAGAATACACAGTCTTCTCCTTAGTACATGGATCATTCTCAAAGACAAATCATAAGTTAGACCACAAAACAAGACTTAAAAAACTCAAAATAACTAAAATATTATCCAGTATCTCCTCTGACCAGAATAGAGTAAAACCAAAAATCAATGACAAGAGGAATTTTGGAAACTATACAAACACATGGAAATTAGACAATAAGCTCCTGAATGGATCAATAAAGAAATTAAGAAGAAAATTGAAAATTTTCTTGAAATAAATTATAATGGAAACGCAACATATTAAAACCATTTTATTTTATTTTATTTTATTTATTTTATTTTTTTGAGACGGAGATTTGCTCTTGTTGCCCAGGCTGGAGTGCAATGGCACAATCTCGGCTCACTGCAACCTCTGCTTCCCAGGTTCAAGCAATTCTCCTGCCTCAGCCACCCAAGTAGCTGGGATTACAGGTGCCCGCCACCACACCAAGCTAATTTTTGTATTTTTAGTAGAGATGGGATTTTACCATGTTGGACAGGCTGTTCTCAAACTCCTGACCTCAGGTCATCCCAGAGTGCTGGGATTACAGGCATGAGCCACTGCACCCAGCCTAAAACTTATTAAATGCAGCAAAATCAGTACTAATAGAAAAGTTTATGGCGATAAGTACCTGCATCAAAAAAGTAGAAGAACAATCTTATGATGCATCTTAAAGAATTAGAAAAATATTAGTAGGAGAAAATAAATGATAAAGATCAGAGGAGAAGTAAGTGGAATTGAAACGAAGAAAACAATACAAAGGTCAGCAAAGTAAGTTTGTTTTTTGAAAAGATAAAATCAACAAAATTTTAGCGAGACTAGCTAAGAAAAAAAAAGAGAAAAAGATTTAAATAATAAAATTTAAATAAAATCCAGGTTAATAAAAAAGACATTACAATCATTAACATAGAAATTCAAAGGATCATTAGAAGCTACTATGAGCAATTATATGCCAATGAATTGGAAAACCTAGAAAATAGGATGAATTCCTAGACACACTCAACATACCAATATTGAACAATGAAGAAATCCAAAACCTGAGCAGATCAATAACAAGTAACAAGATTGAAGCTGTAATTAAAATTCACCCAGCAAAGAAAATCCTGAGACCTGATGGCTTCACTCCTAAATGTTATCAAACATATAAGGAAGAACTAAAACCAATCCTATTCAAACTATCCTGAAACAGATAGGAAGAGGGAATACTTCCAAACTCATTCTATGAGGACAGTATTACCCTGATACTGAATCTTGACAAAGACACATCAAAAAAAGAAACTTAAGGTCCAGTATCTCTGATATATATTGATACAAAAATCCTCAACAACAACAACAAAACTAGCAAACCAATTTCAAAAGCACATTAAATCATTTATCGTGACCAAACAGATTTATCCCTTGGAAGCAAAGATGGTTCAGCATATGAAAATCAATCAATGTGATACACTGAAGGACAAAAACCATATGATCATTTCAACTGATGATAAAAAAGCATTTAGTAAAATTTAACATCTCTTCATGATAAAAATAAATCCTCAAAAAACTGGGTATAGAAAAAACATATGTCAACATAATGATAGCCATATAAAACAGCCCCAAAGTTAGTGTGATACTGAATGGGGAAAACCTGAAAGCCTTTTCTCTTCTCTAAGATCCAGAACACAAGGATGCCCATGTTCATCACTTTTATTCAACATGGTATTGGAAGTCATATCTAGACCTTTGTTTGCAGGTGATATGATCTTAGATTTGGAAAAAGCTAATGACTCTACCAAAAAAAAAAAAAAAGAAAACAAACAGAACTAAAAAACAAATTCAGTAAAGTTGCAGGATACAAAAGCAATACACAAAAGTCAGTACCATTTGTATATAACAAAAGCGAACAATCTGAGAAAGAAATCAAGAAATTAATCCTATTTACAATAACTAAAAATGGAATGGAATAAAATATCTGGAAATTAATTTAACCAAAGAAGTAAACAATCTGTACAAGAAAAACTATAAAACATTGATGAAATAAATTTAAATGGACACAAAGAAATGGAAAGACATTTCATGTTCACGGATTGGAAGAATCAATATTGTTAAAATGTTCAAGACAATCTACAGATTTAATGCAATCTCTATCAAAATTCCAATGACATTCCCTACAGAAATAGGAAAAAAAAATACTAACAGTTACATGGAACCATAAAAGACCTAGAATAGTCAAAGCTATCTTTAGCAAAAAGAACAAAACTGGAGGAATAGCATTACCTGACTTCAAATTATGTAGAGCTATAGTAACCAAGACAGTGTGGTACTGGCATAAAAACAGACACATAGGCCATCACAATAGAGAACCCAGAAACAAATCCATACATCTACAGTGAACTCCTTTTCAACAGAATTGCCAAGAAAGTACATTGGGAAAGTGACAGTCTCTTCAATAAATGCTGCTGGGAAAGCTGGATATCCATATGCAGAAGAATGAAACTAGACCCTTACATCTTGCCATATACAAAAGCAAATCAAAATGAATTAAAGACTTAAATCTGAGACCTCAAACTATGAAACTACTAGAGGAAACATTGGGAAAACTCTCCAAGCCACTGGACTTGGCAACAATTTTTTTAGTAGTACCCAACAGGCACAGACATCCAAAGAAAAAATGGACAAATGGGATCCCATCAAGTAAAAAAGGTCCTGCAGAGTCAAGGAAACAATCAACAAAGTGAAGCAACAACCCATAGAATGAGAGAGAATATTTGCAAACTATCCATCTGACAAGAGATTATTAACCAGAATATATAAGGAGTTCAAACAACTCTATAGAAAAAAACTCATAATCCAATAAAAAATGGGCAAAAGATCTGAATAGAGATTTCTCAAAAAAAAAGGGACATACAAATGGCAAACAGCCATAAGAAAAGGTGCTCCACATCATTGATCATAAGAGAAATGCAAATCAAAACTACCATGAGATATTATCTTGGTTAAAAAGGCTTTTATAAAAAAGACAGACAATAACAAATGCTGGTGAGGATGTGAAGAAAAGGGAATCTTTGTACGCTGTTGGTGGGAATGTAAATTAATACAATCACTATAGAGAATAGTTTGGAGGTTCATCAAAAAACTAAAAATAGAACTACCATATGTTCCAGCAATACCACTGCTAGGTATACACCCAAAGGAAAGGAAATCAGTATATCGAAAAGACATCTGCATTCCCACGTTTACTGCAGCACTATTAACAATAGCCAAGATTTGTAAGCGATCTAAATGTCCATTAGTAGATGGATGAATGGATTTAAAAAAAAAAGTGGACATGGTGGCTTATGCCTGTAATCCCAGCACTTTGGGAGGTCAAGGCAGGAGGATCACTAGAGCCCAGGAGTTCAAGACCAGCCTGGGCAACTTGGCAAAACCTCATCTTTACTAAAAATAGAAAAATTACCCTGGCGTGGTAGCCCACACCTATGGTTCCAGCTATTCATGATGCTGAGATGGGAGGATTGCTTGAGCCTGGGAGGTGGGGGTTGCAGTGAGCCTAGATGGTGCTGCTGCACTCCAGCCTGTGGGTCAGAATGAGACCCTGTCTCAAAAAAAAAAAAAAAAAAAAAAGAAGAAGAAGAAAAAGAAGAAAGAAAATGTGGTATATATACATGATGAAATACTATTCAGCCATAAAAAGTAATGAGATGCTGTCATTTGCAACAACGTGGATAGATCTGAAGGTCATTACATTAAGTAAAATAAGCCAGAAACAAACAAACAAACAAAGAAAACAAACAAATGTTGCATATTCTGACTGATTTGTGAGAGCTAAAAATTAAAACAATTGAACTCACGGAGATAGACAGTGGAATGATGGTTACCAGAGGCTGGGAAGAATAGTTGGGGGTGAGAGGAGTGGTAGGAAGGGGAATGGTTAATGGGTACAAAAATATAATTAGATAGAATGAATAAGATTTAGTATTTGTTAGCACAACAGGGTGACAACAGTTGACAATCATTTATTGTACATTTAGAAATAAATAAAAGAATATAATTGAGTTGTTTGTAACACAACGAATGAATAAATGTTTGAGGTGTTGGATACCCCATTTACCTTCATGTACTATTACACGTTGTATGCCTGTATCAATGTATCTCATGTGCTTGATAAATAAATATACCTACTATGTACCCACAAATATTAAAAATTAAAAAAATATTATTTTATGACTTAATATTAAGAGACAAATTCTTACTTTTAAGAGGACTAAAAATCAGAAGGTTTTCAATCACCAAGTACAAACCAAATAAAAAATATAGTTACAAGCACTGGGGCAGTTTCTACTGGCAAAGCATATTAATAGAAAATCTACTTTCTGAATAGCCCAGGGTTTGCATAAATGATAATGTTTGTCATGCCACTGTTAAAATAACTGACATATCTAAAAGCACTTTGCATGTGAATAAATTCATAAAATAAAAGGCATTGAGTTCTTTATGATAGAATATAGAATATCAATCTCATTTCTCTTATACAAAAGAATCTTCAGGGTGTTGGAAGAATAAGTGAAGCATACAATTCGTACAAACTCCAGAAAGTGTCATTTTTATTATATGAGCTTTATTATTTTTTAAAATATCATGTATATTCCTATATTATATGTTTCCCTGACTACTATTTTCAAGTTAGGACAGAAGATGAGCTTGAGTTTTTCTTAAGTATATTTTAACCTTATCATCATTCTTTCCACAACCTCTTTAAAAATTGCTTTAGCACACTGTCATTTACTGTTAAAATCTGACACTGTTGGCCAGGCACGGTGGCTCATGCTTATAATCCCAGCACTTTGGGTGGCCTAGGCAGGCAGATCACTTGAGCTCAGGAGTTTGAGAGCAGCCTGGCCAACATGGTGAAATCCTGTCTTTACTAAAAATATAAAAATTAGCCTGGCATGGTAGCACACACCTGTGGTCCCAGCTACTCAGGAGGCTGAGGCACGAGAATTACTTGAACCCAGGAAGCCGAGGTTTCAGTGAGCCAAGAGCATGCCACTGCACTCCAGCCTATATGACAGAAAGGGACTTTGTCTTAAAAAAAAAGTAATAACACAGTTTAAAACTGTTAACATTTACCCAATTATAGTAAAAATGTCAAGTTTGATAGAAGTATAAAATGATAAGAAGTAAAAATTTAAAAATCCTCTCTAACTCCTTTTCCTCTCCCAGAAACAAATACTGTAATTATTCATGTTGTATTCAAAGTGTATTCTACAAATTTTAAAAGTTAAACAATACAAATTTGAGAACACAATAGAATAATGTACACATATAGTCTGCCAAGTTGACTATAGGATAAGTACCTTGAAATGAAACACTGGATCTAAAGATATTTATCATTCCAGATTTTGAGAGCTATGCTAAATTGCCCTTCAAAACAAAACAAAACAAAACAAAACAAAACAAAAAAGGTTACTGTTAACAGTGTATAAACATACTTTTATCCTCTGGGTTCTATTAAACATTTCATTTTTTTTCAATCATATATGGAAAGTGATATCTTGGTGTTATGTTATGTGAGTGAGGCTGAGCAATTTGTCAAATGTGCATTTCTATTTTGCTCTTTCTGTGAACTGTCTGTTCATATTCTTTGACCATTTTTCTCTTGGGTTGTTCAACTTTTTCTATTAACTTGTAAGAATTCTCTGTATAAAATAAATTAATTCTCTATCACACGCTTTAGAAGTATCTTCCCCATTTTGTGTTTGTCTTTTGACTTGTTTATGGCATTTTCAACTCCATAGAAGTATTTAATTTGCATGTATAATATGTATCCATGTTTTCCTTTATAGCCTCCAAATTTATTGAGATACTTACAAAGGCCATCTTACTGAATATGTTTTTAAAAAGTTTTCTTGCCATTATTTTCTCTATCTTCTCTTCTCTTTATGTTTAAAATTTTGGTGCTTCTAGAATCCAATTTGATGTAAAGAGTAACTAAGAATACAGTTGTATGCTTCTATAAATGGTTAGGCAGTCCTAAGACAATATTTTGTCCAGCCTATCCCAGTGAACAAAAATGCCACCTTAATCAGGTATTAAATTTTCCTAAAATATATTTCTGGGCCTCTACATTTTTCCATGAATCTTCTACTTTTGTACCAACACTATACCACTTTAATTATTACAGATGTGTTGAAATGTGTTTAATATGTAGTAGAACTGAACTCGCTCAATCTAGAGTATTCAATAAACACAATAGAAAGTAAATGCTTGAAGAGACAATTAAGGGCACCTAATTCAGCTCCTTCACTTTGGAGGTAAGAAAACTGGAGGCCAGGAATGTTCCAAGACTCATTTGAAATTCCATAGAAGTTCACGGGAGAGAGGCACTAGAACAAGGATTCTCTCGCTAGTATTCTAGTACTCATTCTTCTGAGCCATGCTAATAACTATTAAGAAATACATTCCCATAGACTTTAATACTTCTCAAATTATTTCTAGTCCATGTTTCTGTATGACACGTATTTTTCTATTCTAATTTTTTATGCCTTTGAACCTTCATTTTTCTATAAACTTGTGATACTTTCATTATTATACTTACTTACAAACACCCATATCCCATGAAAAAGAGTGGGAGACAAACCAAATCTGTCTTCCAACATCCTTTGTCATGGTCTATTTATTTTACTCATTAGAATCCTAAGTGGGATTGTTCTAATGTTAAAAACATTTTCAAACCGATGCCCAATTGAAAGGTACAGTTTTGACTGATGATTACCATGGGAGTTGTCAGCTAGAGGTGGTCATTGGCATGTTCATGAGATCTGTGGTTTCGCATGAAGTGTAAGGTATTGTAAGGTAATGCAAGCACCACTGAGGGTATGAACACAATACACATCTAACTTCTATTAGACTTAAAAATGTGAAACAGTTATGTAAAAAGAATATGAAAATATGTGATGGAATCACACAATGATTTAGAGAAAGAAACTTCGCAATTCGCACAATGAGAAAAAGAAGATAAATTTAAGAAAATTTTAGAAAATAGTACCAGATTAAATCAGGATATCAGGTCAGTGTCTCTGGAGGTCTGCCAGAGAAACAACAGCAGGTGTGGAAATCGAAGAATATTAGAGTCTGGTAAGTCACTGCCTGGGGTGGTTTCATATAAAGAAGCTAGACGGTCTACAGAACTAGGAATCCATCTTACTCTCATGCCAATAATAAAGGTTATAATTTTAGACAATTATGCTATCACCTAGACAATTCTAACTGAAAAAAAAATACTCATTATATGAAATTTACCCAAACCATTGTGGCAAAATTAAGGATTTGGATGTTTTCCAGTTGAATGGGGTTGGTCACATGATATTAATGAAAGAAAGCACATAGTTTCCCCAAAGCTAAAAGATCTGAAACACTTTAATATAAGCAGTGTGGAATGAGAGTTTAAGCCAAAATGCAGCATCATTTCTTATCTAGAAGGCACATTGTACAATTGCAGAATGTTGAAAAGGGTCATATAGATTAGGAACTAGAAAGAATCACTTGAATTAATAACTTTCACCCAAAGAGAGTAGAAAACTAATGCTCCCATTTATACTACTCTCAGAGAATTAGACGCAGATGCCTCTCAGCACTACAGATAACTACCTTTGACACAAACAAGTAAGGGATTTTTATTTTCCTTTCGAGATGGGTTGGTATGTGAAAGTGTTACTACAAATTGTTACTTTTAGAAACGAGTTTCCATCTTGAATACCAGACTACATGCAGCATGGCTGTTCCTTATCATGAACAAAGGCATTGAATAATAATGTCCTCTTCAGTAACAAACATTTGTTCATTGCTCAGGAGTTTCTCATATTCATTAGGAGCTGAAATTTTAAATAAATGCTCAATTTCTTAAGTCTTTTCTGTCTCTCTCTCTCTCTCTTTTTTTTTTTTTTTTTTTTTTTGACAGAGTCTTATACTGTCACCCAGGCTGGAGTGCAGTGGCACAATCACATCTCATGGCAACCTGGACCTCCCTGGGCTCAGGTGATCCTTTCACCTCGATCTCCCCAGTAGCTGGGATTACAGGTGTGCACCACCACGTCCAGTAATTTTTGTATTTTTGGTAGAGACAGGGTTTCGCCGTGCTGCCTAAGGCTAGTCTCAAACTTCTGGGCTCAAGCGATCCTGCCACCTTGGCTTCCCAAAGTGTTGGGATTACAGGCATGAGCCACCACGCCCCGCAAAAATATCTTTAAAATTTATATAATAAAATAAATCTCTCTCCTCTAAGATCTGTTGAAGTAAAATCCATATACTAAATACACTCATATGTACAATTTTCTTATACCTGAATTAGAAAGAACAACAATATTGGTCCAAGGATACAAATTTCAGTTAGAAAGGAGTAAGTTCAAGAGACTTATTGTACAACATGGTGACTATAGTTATTGACAATGTATTGCTGAAACATGCTAAAAGAGTAGATTATAAATCTCACCACAAAAACCATACTTTATGATGTAATATGTATGTTAATTAGCTACAGTTAGCCATTCTACTATATATATTTCAAAACATCATACATGATAAATACATACAGTTTTATCTATCAGTTATAATAATAATAATAATAGTCCCTTGCATTTATAAAAAGAGCTGCAGTTCAATACATAAATTATTCATAAACATACACTTCATAATTTGTTTTTAATAATAAGAAAAGGAATACAAATAAAATTTACTGAAGCATTTTTATTATAACAAACCAAATCACCTCACAGATATCTGAGTGATATTACTTTAACAAACAATTCAAGAGTGACAAAAGCAAAAAAAAATTGTATTTTGATTTATCAAATCCAAACTGTAGAGTTCATCTTAAATTTTACTTAGGATTTAGAGAAAATGTAAAAAGCATTCACTTGTGTCTATTAGATCCAAATACCCTAAACTCACTGGCTTAATTTATCAGCTTGAATGGCTCTTTGTCAACCTTAGTGTTCTGCGTTGGAGAAAATGTGCCAATCATCACAGATGTCTTTACAATGAATATGAGTTCACCACTTTTAGTGATTAGATTTTAGAGAGTAACATCCAAAACAGTGAGCATCTTTTGAAAGGATATGGCAAAGTTAAAGTACTGGGGACTGCTCTAAAACAAATTAGACTTCCAGGTCACCAAGAGATCAGTACATAAAATAATGATAAATTGCATATAATTTGCTGGATGGTGCCTATGTCACTATGCTACTCACGAGAAAAAGGAATAAATAAGAGACACACAGTTATTGATGTATTTATTATTTGTTATGTGCAGCAACATTTTGCCCCACAGAAATTCTGTGGTGGATGCCTTTCTGAAACTTGGAATATCAAAGATTTATAGTATTCTCACTGGCAAGAGAACATATAAGATTAATCAGCTCCTTAATCATACATTTTGCCTGACCTCATGCATTTTTTTCTTAAACTTCGCAACCATTATAAACCACATTTTAAATGTCTTTGAACATCAAACATGTTCCATGATTGGTTTTGTCCATATTGATTTTAAAGCCAGTCACAGTAGTACATAAGGGGTTGTATGTCAGGGGTCAAAAGAAGAGACACAAATTAATAAAGCATTCACTCTGTCCTCAGAGAGCTCCTCCTCTGACAGGAGAGGCAGTGCTTGATTAATTATCACAATGTAATAGAGACACTTGCAAAGTATTATAAAATCTCTTTGTCCAGAAAGTCATTTCTAGTCCAGAAGAAAATAAATTGCTTTTAAATAAATCTTCTGGGATAGTCAGTGCACATCTAACTAATCAACAGGGGAAAAAACTTTATACAGACACTTCATTATATTACTCCCAATATCTCAAACCAAATAAACCTTCTTCCTTCAACCAGGCCATTCTCCACAATGCCATTAATCACACCTTGCTCATCTCTCCATCTTTTCCAGGGGGAGGCTCTGCTCTTCACTTTCAGCTAAGTTATTGAAGGATTACTTTGGCGTAGGTAGTTTTCTAAGAGCTTTGCCTGCATCAACTGATTTCATCCTCACTGTGGCTCTAAAAAGTAACTACTTATTATTTATTTTTAGAGATGGTGTTATGTTTTGTTGCCCAGGGTGGAGCACAGTGGCTAATCACAGTACTATCGTGGCATACTATGGCCTTGAACTCCTCGGCTCAAGGGATCCTCCTGCCTTGGCCTCCCAAGAGGCTGGGACTATAGGCACATGCCTGCATGCTAGGCAAAAAAAAGGAATTACTCTTTAACCTCTTTGACAGATGAGGAAGTGAGTGCAAGTGCAAAGATCTTAAGTAATTCATCACACAATGAACAAACTTTCAAAATGGAGCAATCTACTATCTTCAGAGCTCATGCTCTTAACGATTATGCAGGATTTACACACTCATTCTCATTCTTTCAAGCTAAACAGCTGTGATGGCTGCTACAAAGTAAATCTAGTGCCTATTGCTTCTGTCACTCACTTTGTATTTCTGTACGTGGTTACAACTGCATGCTTTACGTCTTTGGAAAGATCACCAGATAGGGACCACAGACCAAACTTTGAATCTCTTTCAGTGCCTAGAGATGAAAGGATGCACTCAATGAATGTTATAAATAACAACAAATAACAATACTTTATCTTAATCATGATTAAACTTCTGTCCCTTAGAGTAAAAATAGTAGGATAGTAAATTCCTAAAGAAGTTTCTGCAATGTTGTAGGAATACAGTTCTTAACATATATTTTTTCACTGTTCAAAAATTTTAAGCTGAATGGCACCTTATAGATCTTAGAGGCAATCAGCCACAAATCACACAGAACTCTCTCTGTTTGTTATATCAAGATTGACTTTATTCTGTAAAATAATTTCTTATGCATCATCTGGATATGCTACATTGAGGAGGCATACCTATTATAATTAATAATGAAGGCTTTTTGAGCCAAAGTATGAAGAAATAACTTGTTGATGCATTTAAAACAAAACTTTAGACCCCCACTTCATGTTTTATGTACACAATCCGTAAGTGGTAGTGTCCTTCTTAGGTGATATTTAGTACCAAATAATCAAGATAACAATCTATGTGTATAAGTTATAAGTTATAAATTTGGGGAAGATGCTAAGAATTTTTTGTTCCAGTAATATTTTTCATTACCAAATTGTTACTTGATTTTTGTTTTATCAATTTTGAATGTTCAACACTGCTGAAAACCGAAAAAGTACTTCAATATTTATTATTTGTTTGATGTGTGCTATATACCAGATTGTATTTACCCTGTTTAACACAAAATGGTGGTAAGATAATCCTTAAAATATCTTTATTTTTTGTAGTTTAAAGAATTTCAGAGCTGCAGGGCACTTTATAGGAAAATTGTTTTCTTGACTATGTTGGTCAAATTAAAACTGGTGAGAATCCAATGTGTTTGATTTCAATGTGTTTGATTATTAACAAGATATTGTACCGACAATACAAATGTATTTAAACATGAAATACATTTTCAATTATTTGCAAGTGCAGTACAAGGCTGGGCATGGTGGCTCATGCCTATAATCCCATCATGTGGGAGGCTGAGGCAGGTGGATCGCTTGAACTCAGGAGTTTGATACCAGCCTGGGCAATATGGCAAAACCCTGTCTCTATCAAAAATACAAGAAAATTAGTCATGCATGGTGGCGCGCTCCTGGGGTCCCAGCTACTTGGGAAGCTAACATGGGAGGATGACTTGAGCCCGTGAGATTGAGGCTGCAGTGAGCTGAGATCGTGCCACTGCACTCCAGCCTGGGTGACACAGTGAGACCCCCATCTCTAAGTAAATACATACATACATACATACATACATACATACATACATACATACATACATACACTACATTTATGACCTAAGAACTTTATCTTCAATAATAAGTAGGTTAGAGCTATAAGAAGATAGGAATCTGCCTATTATCAAAGAATTTAATGTTTCTGTCCAATATCACACATTAATTCAACAAATACAGGTTGAGCATTCCTAATCTGAAAATCCAAATTCCAAAATACTCAAAAATCCAAAAATTTATGAACATTGACATGATGCCCCAATGGAAAACTCCATACCTGACCTCATGTGATGGGTTGCAGTCAAAACACTGTCAAAACTTTATTTCACGCACGAAAGTATTTAAATTATTGTAAACAATTACCTTCAGGCTATGCATATAAGATGTATATGAAACGTAAGTGAATCTCATGTTTAGACTTGGGTCTCATCCCCAAGATATCTCATTATGTATTTCTAAATATTCCAAAATATGAAAAAGTCTAACATTTGAAACACTCTGGTCCCAAGCATTTCCGATAAGAAATACTCAGCTGGTACTAACTGAATGGGGGTGTTCACTATACTAGGCCTTACTAGAGGTCCAAACATGGATAAGATACAGCCCTTCTCCTCAAATTGCTTATATTCTACACTGGAAAACAAACAATAAACAGGCAGAAGTGAAACAACAATGAGAGAATTAAACAACTCAAGAGAACAGCCATGAGCATTCAAGAGTGTTTACATGCTATAACTCAAAATATGGTCATGTTTCAGTATAGAACAGTCAAAATCATAGAGGTTAATCAACAACCAAATGGAGCCCAAGAACCTGGATTGAATGGGAAGACTTGATTCCCAATAGCTATTAGACTCTCTCACTTCTTACATTCACTTCTTCATTCGTTGTGGTTCAAATTTATTGTCCCTTGACGTCCCTCCGACACACCAGGGTTTCCCCTGGGCTACAACCTTGGCATACCCCTGTTTCAGCTGGAAAGACCTTGCCTCACAAATTGCTTGAATCCGTTTTGCTGCAATTACAAAGGATACCAAAATATCTGCTTACATTTAATTGGTCAAAGCAAATCACATAGTTCAAGCCTAAGGTTAGTGGATGGGACGTCAAATCCACTTCCTCAAAGGACAGGCCTCATGTGAGGGCTTTTTGCCATTTCCTTCAAGTTGCTCAAATGCCATCTTCTCAGTCACCTCCCTCTGACCCCTTTATGTAATGTTTCTACCCATCTCCCCACACACAAGCATGCAAACTACATTCATATTCCTCTATTCCCCTCCATTGCTTTATTCCTACCCTTAGCCTCACATTGTCTAGATATTGGGTCAATGAAACAAAGAGCATTTTCCAAGGTAAAGCTAAAATGTTTACACAAAATACAATTTAAAGATCTCTAAATCTTACTACATTAACATCACTTACCATCACTTAAGAACCCAAATCATCAATACCTGCACCATTTATTGTCTAAATTATGATTTTCTATTCCCCTATCTTAATCAACATGACTTTAGTCTTCTGGGAAACTCTTACCCCAAAAGATAAAAGTTGCAAGTAACTTTGTTGTTCATTTCAGAAACTTCATGAAATTCCACTTCAATCAACCACTGACTACTTAACTTGCAAATATAGTATCAAATGACTGTGTATTCCATAAACACCCCTAACAAATTCTCTCCTAGTAGTATTTATCAATCTTCAATTATTATATCACTAGTGTTATCCCATCCTTAAAAAACCCCTGCTTTAAAATACCTGTCTGTAAACCAGATTCCCAAACCTTTCTTTATCTCTAAATATTTCTACTTTGCCCTTCCTTCTCTTAGATGTTAAGACTCTGTTGAGGTAGTAAATTTCCTATACCATAGGCAGGAATAAACTCAGTTTTGTTTTATTTAAGGTTATTTTGGTGACATTTTAGAGGACCTAGCATTCAATCTATTTTCTGTGAGCCAGAGAGACATGTGAGACACTAGACTCAAAGTTCAGGACAAACCATAATCCTAATTCACTTCTTTGAATTTATGCTTAAAATATACATAACTAAAAAGGCTAGAAAGCATTTTGCTAATTCTACTTGCCTGTGCACTCATCTCCATTGAGTACACATGGAAAGCCAAAGAAATATTTTTGAGCTAATAAGGACTAACAGTTTTATCATTTACTTATCAACATTTTAAAATTACAATGAGAAAAAAAGTAACAAAATATAACAAGGGGATTCTTTCTGTCACTTTTTTGGCTGAAGCAAAGAATAGATGGAAAGTATCACCACATTACAAAGTGAGTTGCTAGACCCGGGTAGGATACGTAAAGGATATGACTGACCTCACTGTGAGTTATGTGACATGCATAACTTACACACAACAAAGTTTTGGGCAAAGCACACAGTGCGGTGCTAGAAAATACATACACTGTTTTATGAAGTTAGCATATTAATAACCTACAGTGAACTTTCAAATACTTTTATAAGCTAAAATGTCATCACACTAACATGCTAGTATGTTTTATAAGGTTTGAGAGGTGCCTTTTCAAAAATTAAATATTAGCCTATTTTTCCCTATGGTTACCAAGTCATAAATTTCTGTGATTCCTGTCTGCCATTGATGTAGCATTTTAATGGAGTTCCCAAATGTTGTTGTGCTTGGCTTATATATCATCATATCTTGGTCATTTCCAAGCTTGTTTAGAAGTAGACAACCATGTGATTTGGCTGGCACTTACATTTTATGTAAAATATACTCATTGACATAAAAACAACAATAATAACCACAACAAAACAACCATATAGCTTGTATATGTCAATCCCCTATGAATCTGCCTCTGTAACACCTAATTATTAATAAGGTTTACAGAGGACCTTCTACGGTAAGGCACTGCACTAAATGCTTCACGTTTATTTTATCATGTAATCTTCAACCCTCACAAGAGCCCTCTGAGGTAGGCACTATAATTAATCCTATTTCACCGGTATGAAAGCCAACAGTTACTCTTAGTTGCCTAGAGGTAAATAGAAATAGCAGTGATGGAGTCTGGATTCACATCCTGGTTTCCCAGCTGACACCAGGACCAGAGCTAATAACTAAAAGAATCTCTGTATACATTGTTAAAATACAGAGCCTTCAAGTTAACAAGTTTTTACAAAGTCCTGTTAAAATTCAAATAAAATAACTCCCCCATCACCAAACGCAAATTCTCCTTAAGGAAAATTCTATATGTGTTATCACTTCAATATATTTATCCTGCAATCATGAGACTTTTGGGTGGAATATAAATACTTGACCCTTGGAATAGTGATTTAAGGTCTCTGAGGTACAAAATGACAAATATATTGAACTCTTGAATGGACTGCCCAAGAAAAATATATGCTGCTTTCTTTTTCATTGACACCCTGAGGCTATACTAAAGACTTATTATATCTGAATAACAAATAAAAATTAATTGTATAGTAGCCATATGAGATGTAGGAAATTACATTGATATTTTGTGTTTAGAGATTTAATCATTTCGTTTAGAAAAAAATACTGAAAAAGCAACATTAACAAAAACCACATGTGAGAGTATTTTTAGTATGGAGACCCTGATCCCCAATCTCAAACAAAATTTTACTTTAAGGTCTATGGCAGAAATGTAATGAGAGTCATATATGTGATTTAAAATTTTCAAGAAGCCACCACATTTTTTTAAAGTAGAAAGAAAAGTAGAAAATATCGAGAACATCCTTTGTATTCTTTTTTCATACTTAGTCTGGAAAATCCAGTGTGCATTTTATACCTACAGAACATCTCAGTGCACACTACCCACATCTCAAATGCTCATTAGCCACATGTGGTTTGTGGCTGCTGTTTTAGATAGTGCAGATCTATATTCTATGAATCTCCTAACACAGATTTTTTTTGAGAAACAAAATGCTTTTGGTTATAGACGAACTATTATATGCTATCTGAGATTGTCAGTTTAATTCAGTCAACAATTAACTCAAAATGTAGGGGTTTTTTGGTAGGAAATTAGTTCCTGTGTGAGGATTCCAGACACTAGGACAAAGTCAGGTAAATTTTATTTTACTGCTCACTTCCTTTTTAGAGACCAATATTTGTTATTATCTGATTATTAAGCAGGCATATAACTAATTATATTGCCTAATAAGCATAAGCTTACTACACATGTAAATTTTACAACCCCTATATTAATCTCCCAACATCTCTCTGGGATAAGTATTTTACTATTTTATTTATATGAAAAAATATTTAAGAGCTAAAAGAGATTAGTTACTATTTTAGTCTGTTTTCTGTTGCTATAAAGGAATTCCTGAGAGTGGGTGATTTATAAAGACAAAAAGTGTATTTGACTCATGATTCTAATGTCAGGAAAGGTTCAGACATCAGAACCTGGTTGAGGATCTAGTGAGGGCTTCAGGCTGCTTCATGGTGGAAGATGAAGGGGAGCCGGAGTGTACAGAGGTCACATGGCAAGAGAGGAAACGAGAGAGACACAGAGAGAGAGAGAGAGAGAGAGCGCACGAGCACACGCCAGCCTCTTTTTAACAACCAGTTCTCAAAAGAACTAATAGAGTGAGAAGTTGCTGGCCCTCTAGGGAGGACATTAGTCCATGAGGAATTTACCCCCATGACCCCACCACCTCCCACTAGGCTCCACCTCCAACATTGGGGATCAAATGTCAATATGAGGTTTAGAGCAGACAAATAATAATAATCCAGACCATAGCAATTATTTACCTGAATTTCCACAACTAAACATAAAACTCATGCTCTGAACCAGTGGTTCTCAAAGTTTGGCTCAAGATCAGCAGCACCATCATCACCTGAGAACTTGTTAAAAATGCACATTCTCATTCAGACTCCAGACTTACTGAACCAGAGACTTGCGGTGGGCCCTGAGTCCAACAATCAGTTTTAACAAGCTGTCTAGGTGATGGTAATACACATGAAAGTTTGAGGACGACTGCTCTGTACTGCTATACTGCACTACCTCTTCCCAGTAAATACCTACTATAGAATATACAAAAATATTCAAAAATGATATAAAACCTACCCACCATTACCCAAAGCAAATCATTATTAATATGTGGTGTATTAAATTTTCTTATAGTACTTTTCCTTTTTTTTGGTGTTGGTTTGTGTGAATGTCCATATTTATATACACATACACATTTTCTTTTTTACATTTGATAGTGTACGTGCTTATATAAATATGCATATGTGTATGATCATATGTACCATAACAATACAAAACTATAGTCTTGAATGTTACGTTTTAAAGACAATGCTATATTGCATGCTACAAGTAAGTTTTGAGTTAGATTTTTTTAAAATTAAAGAAGTTCTCATGGTGGGGTGCTGCCTGGGAGGTGAATTATTGGGCACTGGGTGATGGGGGAAGGCAGGCGCTAAGAAGGACATTATTATATGCTGAGAATTTAATTCATCTAAGCTTCCTAAAGTGCTAATCTGATATCTGTTCACAGCTATGTTTCTGCTTTTCCTAACCAATTTTATTCTAGTTTGATTTTAAACAGTGTTTGTTTTCTATTTTGTGCTGTTTTGTAAGCTGAAAATATTTTGTGGCAATTTTACTTATCAATAATAACTACAGAGAGAATTTAACAAAGTGGAAAGTTAAAAATAATGATTTTTTCTGCAAATTTATTTATCTATTAACACCAAAATCTCTAACCCCCTCTCTCACTACTTCATGCAGTTACAAGGAGATGTATCTCCAGAGCTGGAGGATGGAGTGGCATGAATAAACGTTGTTGGTCACTGGTATTGCAGGAGCCAGGATCCTGACCCCATATGGTGCACAGTGGAGCATGAGCTTAGTGACTCAAACATCATATCCCTCCCTGCCCACCCCACCCCCACCCCCACCCCCACCCTCCTCTCTGATCACTTTGTTCAGAAAAGTCTTCATATACTAACGGGTGTGACTTTTTGCTCATCTCACACACTGTGGGAGCTAAATTTATCATGAGCTAAAGATACCCTTATTTTTCCAAACCATCACAGTGTCATTTGTTCCCAAATTACTTTATAACCAACCCTGATTACCCACAGAAGATTATCTGATTACTGAGCAGTTAAATGAGAGCACTTCTCTGTTCTCCACAGCTAATTTCCCCACTAAGGGGAGTAGGGGAAGGTCTGGTTTGAAAAGCTAAAATAGGCAACTGCCCAGGTGATGTAATGTGAAATGTCTGGTAAGAAAAGTCTTTTCTCTGGCTTAACCCATTGCCGTCCATCATTAGAGAAGCCAGCTACATGACATGGCAACATTTTTCTTAATAGTCTTTAAGAACTCCTTGTAAAATTAAACTGCCCCATACTCGGGAAACTTTTTAAACAGTTGGTCAAGGTGACTATGGTCAGGGCTACTAGAGCATATGGAAAGTTGAGACAAAGCAGGAACCCTTCTTAGGAACCTGACAGACACCCCCCCAAAGCAAGCCAGAGTCAAACAATGCTTTGGTTCCCTAAAGAAACTAAAGGATAACATCTTAACATACGTTCTTGAGTTATTTTTCAGAAACTCCTACCAGATGGAAAATGAGGTCTATCACATAGACTTCAGATAAGGGGGAATGATACAGACTTCAGATAAGGGGGAACTGAGGACTGAACTTTGATCATCTTTGTTTCGAATTTCTTCCTGAGGACCCTGGAGAGAGTCACAGGTATGGACCAGACCAACCTAACACCTCCATGTATCGATTTATGATTTTGCTTGCAATTTCCCCTTTCCCGAAATGTACCCCTGCCTTTAAGAACCCTTGCTTGTCAGCCAATGGGGAGCTCAGGTCTTAAGTGTTAGCCAACTCTATTCTCCCTGCTTGGCACCATGCATAAATGCCCTTTCTCCTGCTGCAAATCTCTGCATCAGTGTCTGACTTTACTGCACTGGGTAAGGGGACCCCAGTTTGGTTTGTTAACAAAGCCTTCAGGCAACTTAGAGACTGGCTCTCTCAGCATGTGTGTCTTAGGAAAAGGGGCCTCTCTGACCCAGCCTCTTGCCCACTGATGGGGTTTCTTTGTGCAGGACTTAACACTGTAACCAACAGCAAAACCTAAGTGGGCTGACTAGAAAGAGAGGTAGAACAGTGCCAGCGTGCTGGCTCGGGGTTGCCTTATGTGGTTAGCCATGAAAGTTTATAATAGAACTTGTCTATGTTGCCAATAGTTTACAATGCAGTTTAGTTGCTTAAGTTGCTGCCATACTCTTTCATCTATACAGAAATCAAAATTGGCTATATCAGGTGTAGGGGCAAAGAGAATTTTCCCTCCCCTCCTGAAGGTTCGAGTCTGTGGAAATAAACTGACAATAGACAGATAGAAGGAGAAAAGACATAGAAAGTTATTAATGTGCGTAAGCATGGGAATCATACAAAATTTGAGACTCAAAGAGGGGCTGGATGGCTGAAGCTTAAATAACACCCTCTTCATAGGAGAAATGCAGATGGGAAAATAAAGGCAATGTTGAGGAGTAGTAAGCAATTTTTAGGATAATTTAATAGGCAGAAAATAATTTGTAAATGATTCTCTTTGGAAATTAAATGGGACTGGAGGGCAGGCAATAGCTTCTGAAAAAGCCTAGGTGTGATGACATTCTTCAGTTTTCCTTCCTACAGTATGAGTTTAATCGCCCCTGGTCAATGATATTTCAGGGAGGAGACTGAAGGCCATTGTGCTCCTTCTGGAGAAGCTTCAGATAAGAGAACTTCAGAGACAGAGGAGTTCTATCCTGTGCTTGGAGGTAGAAGCAGGAGAAGGTTAAAGTTCTCCATTCTGCAGCTGCTTCTAAGGCCTTTTAATTTTCTTTAGTTCAAAACACTCAGCATGCCAGAATGCCATACTTTTGGGTACTGTTATCTGAACCTCAACACTGGAAATGTCTTGTATGAAAATAAAACAAAGCAAAATAATACTGACAACTCAGATTTATACAGTGACCATCATCACAAATATAATCTAATAAACAGAACTTATATAGTTTAATATATTTTTATTGTAAAGGGCCAAAGGCATTGACGATGTATTAAGAATCTTCATGCTTTTTCTTAGCTGCTATTTATAAATATGTAGCTTTCCTAGCGTTGGAAACGCTAACCTTTAACATGGTTCAAAGTAAGCTAGCCTTCAAAACCATATTACTCATAACAATTGTCCCAGCATCACAGAGAATGTGACATTAAATGATTTTTAATTTGGGATTTTTTAAAGTTTTAAATAGAAACCGCAGACTGAAGTATACTAGAGATATTTTAGCTTCTTTTGGATTATCTCTATGTTTCCCTTTAATTTCAGTGGATCAGCTTAGTATTTGTGGCCTTTTTGGGTCTCTGAAGTTCTGTATGGCAAGTGCCTGAGTTTAGATCTGACAGAAGATTTCAACTGTCAACACCACCAGAAAGAAATAACATAACAGCTAATTTCACAGGGGGTCGCTGTGCTGGCCTCTGCCTCAACACCGTGACATGGGGCACAGGATAGATGATGACAGGAGAAGGTTGTTATTAGCCCTATTAGCTCCCAGAGAGTTTCAACCACACATCAAATAATGCCTTGTTTAAAAAGCACTTAAACACGTTTCACATTGTTTTCAAAATGCTCTTCCCCACGTCATTCCCACAATCACGGGAAATGGTGGAGTTGATGAAAGAGGGAAGGAAAAGTAAATTTCAATACGCTTTTATTGGAAGTCAAATCCCCAGCTGGAATCTGAATTTACAATACAAGAAAGCAGAAGGTAAATATACTGAAGTGAGGCATTGTTAGCAGTTCTCTCCGCTTTTTGAGAACAGCTTAATTGAAGTCCTACCAAGATAGAAATGATCACTTAGCAAACCACATTTTAAAGGCATTTAATGGAGCAACTCAATCCCTAGTGGAACTAACTTTTTAAAATAAAAGAGCAATAAGTAACAGTTATTATGGGTGGATAACAAAATTGGAGTCTCATATAGCTGCTTATTTCTATCATTTTGATGAAATATGGGTTGCTCAGAATTTCTGGGTAGAAGACTGAAATGCCTGTCTCTTCTGCCAGGCTAAGAATTTCTCAGGTGCAAGGCTCTTTGTTTACTCAGTAAGTGCTCAATGTTTGGAAAAAATAAAAATAAATAATAAATGAAAAATATACTTCAGGCTTATCACCTTTTCAAAATAAAAATCAATGTGGGTGGAGTACAAAACTGATAATATTTAACACCTATACATAAAAATGCCTTTGGTGCTATGTATATTGATTGTAATGTTTATGAAACTGCCTTTGCAAAATTATAACAGCAAGAGAAATGTGACATAGTTGACCCCATCTTGCTTGTGATCTCCAAGCTGTTTTTGGTTATTCCTGGTTATAGGCCAAGCTAAATTTAGCAGAAATTTAGTTTATAGTTTAACTTAAAAGCAAGGATGATAATAGCCCTTCTTTAAAAAATAACCCCCTCCTTGCTGAAAACAGCCTTTGTAAGACTAATGAAAGGCCACAAGAATAAGATTATAGGAGGGGCCTGAACTCTGATAAATTTCTATAGTTTCCATAATCCCTGACTGCTCAGGAGTCATGTGGCCAGAAGTCACAAGTTTTGTGAGTTCCCCAGTTGCTCCTATAAAAAACATCACTTCTGTAAAACTTAAGACTTTTTTAGAGATTCTTTTTCAGACTTTTTGGCAACCAACTGACCCCACCTGGGCCTATGACGCATGACTCAACCTGTCCTGCGGCCCCACCCAGAGAAGGACTCAGCATATGAAAACCATTTTCCACATCTTTATGATTTCATCTTCAACCAGTCAGCAGCACCCATTCTCCAGCTCCCTGCCCACCAATTTGTCCATAAAAACCCTAACCTCTGAGCCTTTGGGGAAATTGATTTGAGTAATAACTCTGTCTTTTCTGTGGCATGGCCAGCCTTGAGTCAAACTCCTTTACTGCAATGCCACAGTCTCAGTGAATTGGTTTTGTCTGCGTAGTGGGCGGGACGAAACTGTTGGGTGATTACATATTCACCTTGTTTAGATGATCAGTTTCCTAACTGAGAGAAGTCATTCCAGAGAATGGTACTATTGGCTAAGATTGAAGCAATCTGTGATCATCAATTATGATTATAACTTTTCTCAATCATTTAACATTTCAGTACTTATTGACTACCCACTTCCTTTTTAGGCAAGATAGGGGATACAAAGAAGAATGAGACAGATCCTTGTAGAGGAAATTTTCAGAAGAATGACTTCAAGTGTTATACAGGTGACATATGTATACATCTTTATTTGATACTCATCAGTGACACATGCCAGGATCTCTGCCATTAATTAGCTAGCTGTGTGGTCTGGGGAGAATCATATATGTCTGAGTCTTAGTTATTTTTTTTTAACTAGGATAAGAATAAATAGCATCATAACCCCTTACAGCATTATCCTGTATTATTCTATAATATTCTACCCTGTGGTTTTTCTTTCCCACATTCTCTAGTTTCTTCATACCACTTTCCCTGTTATTTCAGCTACATTTGACACTACCAATTTACCACTGTTTTGAAACTGCTCTTCCTTAGTTTGTTTCAATAATATTACACTATCTTGGTATTTTTTTCTTCATCCTTTTCTAACTCCCCTATTTCCTTTACTGCTTCCTCTCTGTCTTCACAGATCCCAACATCCAACTTATGGCTCTCTTTGATTCCAGTCTCTGAACTTTCTCCCTTAAAATGCTATACAGTCTCACCTAACAGCTCTGTGCTAATAAGTTGCAATTTTCTTCCTAGGGTTCCCTTGATGAAGCTAGCCTTCATGGATTTCCATCTTCTCTGAACTCCGGGACAGCACATATTGACGATTCTACATACTGAAAACACAATCATATAGCATTCTGTGCCATCACATATATGTCAACTTCATCTCCCCTCATGGACTGTCAGCTTCCGGAGTCTAGAGAACATGTTTTATATCAGCATTTTACGTCTAGCACTTGGTGAATGAGGCACCATAGAACTCCATTAGTACATCATTTGGTGGGTAATGGACTTAAGCCTCTGAGGCTGTAAATCTGGCACCTCTGACACATACTAAATAATTGGAATCAGCTTGCCTTGTGTTCTGGCTTTATAAAGCTTTTATAAAGCCCTTCAACAACATAGTTAGCTTTGAAGAAGCCAGATTTGTTTACATAACCTTATAAAAACAATTTTTCTTAGAGAAGTTTTTTAAATGTGGGTGATTTATTTTCCTATGCTAGGGATAATAAGGAAAACAAATATTTCTGCAGGATGCTTGCTATGGTGTGAGTGATTTTTTTTTTTTTTTGTGAAGACTGTTGGATAATAGAGGTAAAAGAGATTTTAACGGTTGCCACCACACCCCTCCATCGTTTTTATTGATGAGAAACCAGATTTTATATTAAGTTGCTGGTTTCAAAAAAGTGATTAACAAACTTGACTCTTTGTTAAAATTTTCTCAAGTACTTCCAAAAAAACACTGATGGCTGCCCCCTCACAAACTCTCCCCACCACAGTCTTCAAAGGATTCTGATTTAATTAGTTTGAGATGGGGTCATGGCACTGGAATGCTTTTTTGGACATTTTAATGAGAACCACACTGGTTTAATGTCTAGGTTTACTGCAGAGTAATTTAAACAAAAACACTGAGTTGTGGTTTAAAACTATATATACAAAAACCATTTTTATGAATTATTATTCCTGGTTTTTAAAGTTAGCAAATACTTACATAGTCATTTTATATATCACCTAAAATGTATGTATTAAAACTTAAGTATAATTTCAACACCAAGAAATAACACTGGTACATTCACTTTATGAAACCCATTGTCTTGTAATGAAATCTCTGATTATTACTTTTATTAAACACCTGTTGGAATTCTACTCTTTGACCAATAGGTGGCACCAGTAATTTCTGTGTTAAACCATGCGGCAACTAAATGGCACAGTCTTTAGTGGAATATATTTTATGTATATCTCTATTAGGA
The DNA here is from genome assembly GCF_000001405.40 of Homo sapiens. NCBI lineage: Eukaryota > Metazoa > Chordata > Mammalia > Primates > Hominidae > Homo > Homo sapiens. Next base: position 79,272,361 of record NC_000007.14, read on the forward strand.
TTCCATTACAAGCTTCAGCTTGCGAAATTCAGTTTTAATTTATCTGCATGTGTTTCATTTAAGTGCTCCTTAATTACTAGAACGCTTAGCATAATGAATTCTGAAACTATGGATTGATTTAATGCCACAGTAAAGATTTTCTGCTTTAATCTTTAATTAGTTCACCGAACTTGTATCCATTTAATATCAGCAACTATGATATTACTACTAATAATATTGTTTTCAAAGCAGAAACAATGCAATGCACTGAGCCCTCTTTAACAACAGTATCAATTTAAGGTTATGATTTCTGAGAAATAATTTCAATGTTAAAATATACTTTATGGTTATGAATATTTTTTAGGATTTCTATAAGTTTAAATATAGTATTAATCTAATACCATAGTACTCTATGACTTAAACAAAACATAGAGTTTTAGTTCAGACAAATGATCTAGTTAATTGAGTTAATTCACAATCTCCTGCTCCTCTTTACATTTTCTGCCAAAATGCCACCACTCGAATTCGAGAGCAATGATAATATATACCAGAAGATATCTATCCATATAATTTTCCTTCGCCAAACAGCAAGAAAGATACTCAGTAGCACTAACTCTAGCCTAGCTCTATTCCTACAGTAATTTTGGTCTCTCTATTAAAGTTCTTTTTCCAAATTTCTGGAGGTTTTTGTGGTTAAATACTAGGCAACAGGTTTTACCATGATACTTGGCTCAGGCAAGCCAATTCAGCAAATATTCTTTCAGCTGAATTTAGTTAAACGTATCTCTCATTCTGTAGGAAAAATTAGTCATACCAAGATAACAGAGTCTTACGTAGGGATGCCTTTTTTCTTTGTTTTGTTGTTTTGTTCTTAAATCACCCTTAAGATGGTAGGCCAAAAAAAAATAGTTTTGAAGGCTGCAATACCTCTTTCAAAGACACTTAGCCAATTAGCCACAGAAAATTAGTACTGAATCTCTAATTTAGATCCTGGAGCTATTCTTATTTCTTAGTATGAGGCTCCCCATGTTCCAGGAAACAATTTTCTCAGCCCAGAGACATGTTTGTTCTTTATAAGAAGATTCAAGAGGAAATAAGTAAAATAGAAGTATATAAAGTTTCTCTTGCTCTTGGGGGTTTTCTGCAACTTATTTCAAGAAGGCTTAAAAATTGAATGGTTGCAAAGTAGAGTGAAATTTAAGTGGGTTTTCATTGATCAGCCTGAACCTGGCCATTTTGTCGTCAGAATTGTTTCCAGAATTTTGTTTCTTTTTTTTTTCTTCAGAGTAAATACACTATAGATGGTGGGGTGTTCGATTGTTGTTGTTGTTGTTTTTTCTGCTTTATGGAAGAAAAACAGAACTTTTGTTACAGTATGGCTCACTTTATCTCCTTGCCCCCAAATTTCTGTTCTCCCCAGTGTTCCACAATCAGACATGCCTTCACTGTTCCCCTTATGCAAAGCTCTCTTAGGCATTTTGAAACCTGTTCCTCTTAGGAAATGTGTTCTGATGTTTGTTTATTACTATCTGCTCTTGAGATAATTATGGTACTAATAAAAAACTGCTTATTAAAACAAAACACAACAACAACAACAACAAAATTCCCTGATTCGACCAATTGAACATAGGAGTAAATGCAGTTCAACAGAAGTCATAATCCTGGGGTGCCATGGTTCTCAGCCTTGATGCACATGAGACTCACCACCTGGAGGTAGGTTACCAAAGTTAGCCAACAAAAACACAGGGCACTCACTCAAATTTGAGTGTCAGTCAAGCAATGAATCACTTTTTAAATATAAGTATGTCCCATGAAATATTTAGAACACAGTTATACTGAAAAACACTTATTGTTTATCTGACATTCAAATTTAACTGAGCATCCACTATTTTATCTGGCAACCCTACCTGGAAGGCTTAGTAAAACACAGATTACCTTTGAATCTGTACTACCTTCAGAGTTTCTGATTCTGATTGGGTTTGGCACAGGAACTTTCTAAAGTTTCCTGGGTGATGCTAATGCTGCTGGTTAGAGACTAGAGGGGGCTATCCTGGAATTTTTCAAATTTATTAGATCATTATTTATTAGATCATGGAACAACATCCGCTTCCCCACAGGGAAGCAATTTAAGCACATGGTTTTCCGTGAGGAACCAGATTAGGAAATGTGGCCGTGGTTCACAGGGCATCTAAATGCAAAATGACATCATTACAAACAGGGATCCATATATATATTATATTATATATTTTTTTTCAATTATTGTTGGCATCCAACAGAATTATGCTAAAACTAAAATGCATACTTTCTTTATTTACAGGCATATTTTGTATTATTGTGTTTCACTTTATTGCACTTTGCAGATATTTGTGTATTTTACAAATTGAAGGTTGTGTCAACACGATGCCAGGCAAGTCTATCAGTGCCATTTTTCCAACATGATCACTTTGTGTCTCCACGTCACATTTTAGTAATTCTCACAATATTTCAAACTTTTTTGTTATTATTATGTCTGTTATTGTGATCTGTGATCAGTGATCTTTGATGTTATTATTATAATCATTTTGGGGCACCATGAACCATGCCCATATGATACAATGAACCTAATCGATAAATGCTGTAAGTGTTCTAACTGCTCCACTGACCAACCACTTTTTCCTCTCTCTCTTTCTCTTCAGGCTTCCCTATTCCCTGAGACATGATGACACTGAAATTAGGACAACAAATAACCTACAATATCCTCTAAGTGTTGAAGTGAAAGGAAGAGTCACAAGTCTCTCACTTTAAGTCAAAAAGTAGAAATGATTAAGTAGTAAAGATGGCATATCTAGTGATGAGATAGATCAAAAGCTAGCCCTCTTGTAGCAAACAGTTAGCCAAATCATGAATTCCAAGGAAAAGTTCTTGAAGAAAATTTAAAGTGCTACTCCAGTGAACATACAAATGATAAGAAGTCAAAACAGCCTTTTTGATAATATGGAGAAAGTATTAGTTGTCTGGATAGATCAAACAAGCCACAACATTCTCCTAAGCCAAAGCCTAATCCAGAGCAAGGCCCTAACTTGCTTCAATTCTTTGAAGGCTGAAAAAGATAAGAAAGCTTAAGAAGAAAAGTTAGAAGCTAACAGAGTTTGGTCCATGAAGTTTAAGGATGTAAACCATTTCAATAACTTAAAAGTACAAGGTGCTAATGTGAAGCTGCAGCAAGTTATCTAGAAGATGCAGCTACGATCATTCATGAATGTGTCTACATTAAACAACAGACATTCAATGTAGACAAAAATAGCCTATTGGAAGAAGATGTCATCTAGGACTTTCACAGCTAGGAAGAAGTCAATGTCTGCCTTCAAAGCATCACAGGACAGGCTGACTGTCTTGCTAGGGGCCAACACAGCTGGTGTCTTTAAGTTGAAGCCAGTGTTCACTTACTATTCTACAAGTCTAAAAAAGGGCCCTTAAGAATGATGCTAAATCGACTCTGCCTGTGTTCTATTAGTGGAAAACAAGGCCTAGATGACAGCATGCCTGTTTAAAGCATGGTTTACTAAATATTTTAAGCCCAATGTTTGAGACCTACTGCTCAGAAAAAAAGATTCCTTTCAAAATATTACTGCTCCTTGACAATGCACCTGGTCACCCAAAAGCTCTGATGGAGATCTATAAGGAGATTAATGTTGTTTTCATGCCTGCTAACACCCATTCTGCAGTCAATGGAATAAGGAGTAATTCCGACTTTCAAGTATTATTATTTGAGGAATACATTATGTAAGGCTGTTGCTGTCATAGATTGTGACTCTTCTGGTGGATCTGGGCAAAGTAAAATTGAAAACTTTCTGGAAAGGATTCACCATTAAGAACATTTGTGACTCATGGGAGGAGGTCAAAATATCAGCATTAACGTGTGCTTGGGAGAAGTTAATTCTAATCCTCAGGGATGACTTTGAGGAGTTCAAGAATTCAGTATAGGAAGTCACTGCTTATGTAGTAGAAATAGCAAGAAAACTAGAATTAGAAGTGGAGCCTGAAGTCACTCCACCCTTTAGCAACCACCACCCTGATCAGCTGGCAGCCATCAATTTTGATGCAAGAGCCTCCACCAGCAAATTAATTATAACTTTCTGAAGGCTCAGATGATTGTTAGAATTTTTTAGCAATAAATATTTTAAATTAAGATGCATACATTGTGTGAACAATTTGCTGCAATTTCATGAAAAACTTGAACAGATAAACACATGAGGAATTACTTCTTATGAAGGAGCAAAGAAAGTGGTTTCTTGAAATGGAATCTACCCCTGTGAAGTTACTGTGAATATTGTTGAAATGACAATAAATGATTTAAATATTACATAATATGCAGTGGCTCATGCCTGGAATCCCAACACTTTGGGAGGCCAAGGCAGGCAGATCGCTTGAGCCCAGAAGTTCAAGACCAACCTGGACAACATGGCGAAACCTCATCTTTACAAAAAAATTCAAAAATTGGTCCAGTGTGGTGGCACACCCCTGTGGTCCCAGGTACTTGGGAAGCTGAGGTAGGAGGATTGCTTGAGCCAAGAGGTGGAGGTTGCAGTGAGCTGGGATTGCACACTGCACTCCAGCCTGGGTGATAGAGTGAAACTCTGTCTAAAATAATAATAATAATAATATTAATAAAATATATAAACTTAGTTGATAAAGCAGTGCCAGGGTTTTAGAGGACTGACTCCAGTTTCAAAAGAAGTTCTACTGTAGGTAAAATGCTATGAAACAGCATGACTTGCTACAGAGAAATCTGTCAGGAAAGAAAGAGTCAATTGATGCAGCAAAATGTGATTGCTTGTCTTATTTAAGAAATTGCCACAGCCATCCCAACCTTCAGCAACTACCACCCTGATGAGTCAGCAGCCATCAATAGGGAGGCAAGACCCTTCATCAGCACATTGATTATGACTTGCTGAAGGCTTATATGATTGTTAGCCTATTTTAGCAATAAAATTTTTTAGTTAAAATACATACATTGTGTTTTTTTAGACATAATGCCATCACACACTTAGTAGACTATAGTACAATGTAAACATAACTTTTATATACACCGGGAAACAAAACAAACTGTGATTCTAATGTGCTATTCACTTTATTGTGGTGGTCTGGACCCAACTCTGTAATATGTCCATGGTGTGCCTGTATTCATTTATTCAACATATGTGCTGATCATCTAAAATGTATATATATATACAGAGCTACATGCTATAATGATACAAGGAAGAATTTAACTGAAAATACTACCCTTAAGTGGCTCACAGTCTGGTACTTAAAATATTTAACAATGGGCATTGACCAAGAATGCATTAACAGGCCCCTCAGCTGGACTAGACTTCAGACAGGTTTCTTCCTCACTATAGGCCCTTGACTTCCCTTTTCTTAGAGCATTTTCTTTAGAAAATTCACAGATGTAACTCCTTTCTCTGTCTCCTTGAGATGTAAATCTTCTACAATCCAGAAATTACTTTCTGAAAAACCTGGAGTCATCTCTTTGAAACGTAATCATTAAACAAGATAGTGTCCCTATCTCCCAGTATCTGTAAAAGGGTAGGAGCCTGAGTTTCATAAGTGACAATTAGCAAAAACAGGCAGCCCAATCATATTGACCAACCTCCCCCTAACATCCTCTAGAACTTTTCCATTAGCTCACCGACATGATTTTGATGTCCCCTCCAAATCTCATGCTGAAATGTGACCTCCAGTGTTGGAGGTGGGCCTAGTGGCAGGTGTTTGGATCAAGGGGGCAGATCCCTCATGAATGACTTTGCACCATCTCCTTGGTGATGAGTGAGGTTTTGCTCTGGGTTCATGTGAGATCTGGTTGCTTAAAAGTGTGTAGCACCTCCCCAGCTTCTTGCTTCTGTTCTTGCCATGTAATGGGCCTGCTCCTCCTTCACCTTCTGCCATTAGTAAAAGCTCCCTGAGGCTTCCTCAGAAGCCAAACAGATGCTGGTGCCATGCTTCCTGTACAGCTTGCAGAGCTGTGAGCCAATTATGCCTCTTTCTTTATAAATTACCCAGTTTCAGGTATTTCTTTATAGTAATGTAAGAACAGCCTAACACACTCACCCCATTGTTTAAAAATCCTTTCCCCTTTTGTTTTGGCAGAGTTGGTTCAGTCTGCCAAATCTGCCAACCAACAAATCAGAGTTGGTTCAAATATCATAATATTGTGATATTGTTTCCCCTTTCAAGTCTTGGCTAAAATCCTCTTTGACTGTTTGACTGGGCTGGTGCAGTTTCTCTTTCATAGTACTGACCACAATATTAATCTTGAGTAGTTCAGTATATTACTAATGAAGCTCAACAACAAACAAGGGTAAATGTGGTACTTAATGTTTAATATTTTGAACACCATCTCTGCTTATAGACAGTGGGCTATGAAGGAAAGAGCACTGCTTTAGGAATCAGATGGAATTTGTTTGAATCTCAGTCCTACCACCTGCTACTTAGGTGGCCTTGGGGGAATAATATCTAATTTCTTTGAACATTTTTTTTCCTCATCTGTAAAATAAAGGTAGCAAAAACCTACTTTCCAGACATACTCTGAGGCAGGAAAAAGATAAACAGAGTAGGAAGAGATGACATAGTCTACAATGAGCAAATAATTGAGCAGACACTCAGAGAACAGCTGAGACAATTTAATGGCAGGGCACTAGCAAAGGTCCCCCAGCTGAATTCCTTAGTACTCCTTCAGGCTGCTTGCTGCTCAATCTAAAGGAATAAGGCCTTCTAAAGTGCCATCTCCTCTGGAAAGTGTGTGCTACTACTATCCCTGCTCTTTTTGAAGCGTGGTTCTTTGGCTTCTTCTGAGTTTTTACAGGCTTCTCTCCTTACAAAAAACGTCCCTCACTTATTTCTATATTCCTGGAACCCAGTCACCTTGCATCTTGAGTATCTTCCTCATATAGAGCTGTTTTGGTCTGGTTAATTCTCTTCCTCTGCCAACCCACTCCTTTCTGAAGGAACCAAGCCCCTATGCCTTCCTGATTTTTATCCATCACCCAAAATGACAATCATACTCCCTATTGTCATTACTAAGCAAGAGAAATACATGTGTAGCCTGGACAGAGCCCTAGAAGAGACGTGGGGACTGCTGTGTGTCACTGCAAACCAAGCCACCCTTCCTCTGAAAGGATATAATCAATTTGTCAAAAGTGGGTTATGGCTGGGTGGTGGCTCACGCCTGTAATCCCAGCACTTTGAAAGGCCCAAGTGGGAGAATCACTTGAGCCCAGGAGGTCAAACCTGCAGTGAGCCCTGATTGAGCTACGGCACTCCAGCCTCGGCAACAGAGCAAGACCCGATCTCAAAGAAGTGGATTATTTTGAACATTATTGTCCTCCAGTAGGGCATCTGTTTTTCTCACTAAGTAAGTCAATAGTCCTTTCAAGCCAAAAAAGCACATTTGATTTAACTTCTTCAGTTCAAATTACGTGACATTTACCATAACATAAAATTTACAATGTTTGCAGCTTAATTTGTCACAAAACTAATTTTTAATGAGAAAATATTAGAAGGCAGTGATTTAAGCTTTACTAAAGATATCAACAGTGTCAAATAAATGCAACCAATATTATAATTAAAGTGATGACATTGAATGCATATATTTCTATCTGTAGTCTGGAATATAAAGGAAACTAGGAGGAGGTCTTTTTTATTTATTTATTTTTTATTTTTTTAGCATCACCTAAAATAATCAACCAATGTTGAGCAATTTCTGTAGATTTAGTACATAGCTACATGATGTAGGATGTTCAAAAATATAATAAGTCTTGGTCTCTGTGTTAAAAGCAGAGTTAGGAAGATACAGAGGCACATGTGAACATTTAACATGACCTAACAGAGATGACGTAGAGAAGACTTTCTGGGAGCACTGGGGATTTATCTATTCTTTGTAGAGATTTGATCAGACACTTGTAAAGGACAATGAGAGGGCAAAGCAAAGATAACAGTTGGAAAAAGGAAGTGTGTGAGTTGGAAGAATAACTTGACAACCAGGTGGTAGGGTTGATATTGTATGTAGGAGATATAAAGATACCTATCCAAGTCCAATGGAATCTAGGATGTAAGAGGTATCAAAAAGTCCTTGTAAAGGGAAAATATAACAGATGACAGGAAGTTTTCGGAAGATTTTCCATGTAGCATGTATTGGAAGTCAGGGAGTAAGGGAATAAGATTACTTGTTGGGAAATTGATGCAGCAATACATTTTTTTAAATTTATTTAACACAAACTGGTGGCAAAAGATGACTCAAGAAGACACAATAAAGAATAAAACAAGGTTTGGGTCTGGGAGCCATGACTTATGCCTGTAACCCCAGTATTTTGGAAGGCAGATGGGGAGGATCACTTGCAGCCAGCTAAGACCAGCCTAAGGAACACGGCAAGATCACACCTCTACACAAATTTTACAAACATAGCCAGGCATGGTGGTGCGAACCTGTAGTCCTAGCTACTTGGTAGGTTGAGGTAGGAGGATAGCTTGATCTCAGGAGTTCAAGGCTGCAGTGAGCTATGATCATGCCACCATACTCCAGCCTGGGTGACAGAGCAAGACTCTGTCTCTGAAAAAAAAAAAAAAAAAAAAAAAAAAAAAAAAAAAAAAAGAATGATATAAGGTTTGCCTGCAGAATGAATTTTCCAAGGGAGCATAACCTAACTGTTTCAAATAAGTGACATGTCTGTCTAGAGAGTCACTTGGGAGTCATCCACATAAACATGACCAGAGAATATGAAATGCATGAGCTGAAAGAAGATAACATGTACTGACCATGAAAATGCTGATAACCAAGAGTTAGGCATAGATAATGTTCAAGAAGTTAAATTATCAGGGACTACATACATTTTCCAGAAAAGTAATTCTTAAACTTTGGTGTGCATGAGAACCATGTGAAGGCTGGATATTCATAATGCAGAGTCAATAGATCTAGGGTTGAAGCTAGAAATCTGAATATTAACCAGTAGCTCCTGGTGATGCTGCTGCCAGTAATCCTGAGACAATTCTGGGACACACACTGAGAGATATTTGTAAAATAAGAAAAAAGCTGGCTTTGATGTACAACTTTATGATGCTTTTATATCTGAAAAGCGATCTTTATGTTTTTCATACAGTCTGCTTGATGCTGCTATTACATATTAAAAACAAAGCCAAAACAAAGTAAAACACTAAGTTTAGAAGAAAAAAAAGAGAGGGCAAAAGTCTGCAATACTACAAAAAAAATAGAGCATAAGAAAAATTGCTGAGTCATCACTGCATATTAAGAGGTGGACATTTTACTGCAGACATCTTTCAAAGGACGTCTGGGTAAAATGAAGTTATGGAAAAAGTAGATTTATCTTTATTGCTATACTAAATCAGAATGCTTGATGTGTTCCAAATATAGTTATCTTCAATAGATCCATGGCAGTATCATTTCAGCTAGTCATATTCTTGCAAGTTTTACATACTATATAACTTCTTCACTCTATAATATGAAACAGAGTTAGAGAATTGTCTAAATCTTGAAAGAATATTTAAAAATTAATCAGCTTCCCACTTTTAATTGAAAATTATACTATATATATAACTTTTATCATTCCTGTGAGATTTTTACCTTTTCATGATTCCTACCAATTATTTCCACTATAAATCTTTTCATGGATGAATATTACAGAATTTTATAGAAATTTAGAAATCTGTGTGAAGAAAAGGGATCAATGAAAAGATCTCTTTCCAATAAAATGACTAATAACAGCTCTAGAGATATTTAATACAATTAATCCCTCTGAAAATTTTATGTGAAAATTTCCAAGTTTAACAGCATTCGTCTCATTAAGCAACCCATATTTCATTAGGTATATACAGCACTTGTGAGGCATTGTAAAATCTTACAACTCCAGTTCCCTCTGGTGGCAGAACATTCAAAATTAGACTGTCAGCAACTGAAGAGAGCTGCGGCAGGCTTGCTTGCGTTTATAGCCTCCAGATGAGAATTACAAACGGTTTTTACTTGCGGGCTGTGATGGCTTTGGAAATAGCTTCTCATCTACATCCTTGGAGCAAATAACTGCTGCTGAGGATGGAGAAGAAACGAAGCTGATTTTATACTGTTGTTTTTGTTGTTGTTTTCTGCAGGAAAAAAGTTAGAGAGTTAATGAAGCTTAAGAACATATCTGCAGGTGATTTGGAAAATAATTTTCAAATTAATGTATCTACTACATCTTTTAAGCCAAGACATAACAAAAAGCAGAGAAAAGAACAAAAGAAGACAAGGGAATAGAAAAAAATCATAAGGAGGAGAACCCTTACTGTGCTCATTAGAAGAGTCTCTCAGGCATGAAAGAAACGTTGGGCAAGGTGGCTTAAAGACCTGGCATTCAGAAAGATGATCTTATATAGATAAAAGTTTTATTTTAATGTATTTTTAAAACCAAGGGTATTTCAGGCAAATTGAGGCAGTTGAGTTTCCAGAAATCTAAGTACATTGTAGAGGTTTAACAGCTAGTTGAGCAGTAGAATGAGGATTCAACTACAAACTTCTGACTAGAAGTTAATTTTTTGATATATAACACTTTACAAATGTAGATCTAAAGCTGGGAAGGACAAAAGGCAATTCTAGGTTACTGCACTCTAAGAGGCATATGCTTGAAAGAATGCCAGATGTGATCAAATGGCTGAACATGTTCTATTTTCTGTAACATGAAGCTTAAATATGCTACTGATTTTTGTAATCCTAGTGAAATGCAGCCTCTTAAATATAATCATATGTGCTTTTGCTTTTGAATCTTGAAGCCAAGAAATCTGTAGGATTATGTTCCCTCAGGGTTCAGAAATTTTAAGAATCCAAGAGGATAGGGCTTAACTTTAAACTCTTTCTAATACACAGATTTTAAAAGTCATTTGGAGGTGTAAATGTCACAGAGGACATATAAATGCATGAAACATTGACATTTTTTAAAAAATGATAAGCCCTCAGATTTCAATTTCTCAAACAATAATAAAGCAGAAAGCATTCTTTGCGTGTCCAAGTGGTGACTATGATTTATTTAAGTTTGCATAGCATTCATTGCTTTGTAACTACCTAACAACCATTACTCACTTCCACTCCTTTATCTTCATTACTAATGGAATCTAGATTTTGTTTACCATCCTCTGAGGGACCTTAATCTTCAGAGAGGATAGGCACCAGCACCAGTAATGACTGACCAAATCCGATCATGGTAGTCTAATTCCTTCTACTAGTAATTAGTTCAGGTGGAATATGTGATGCAATTATGGCCAATAAGACAAGAGAGGAAGTCTGCTAAGAGGCTCTGGGAAAATTTCTTTGTTCTTAAACATATACATAAAGAAAGGTTTTGACTTCTTAATGGAACTACCTAATTTTGCACTTCTTATTATCTATTAATACATATGCTTGCTGTTTAGATTATTTTAGTTGTTTCTTTGGCTACTTCCATGCAAAAGCATGCTACCTGATATACATTCATGTGCTGCATAATCAATTTTCAGTCAACAATGGATCACACAGATCAGAAGGTGGTCCCATAAGGTTATAATACCATATTTTTACTGTATCTTTGTATCTTTATCTATATTAGATACACAAATACTTATTATTGTGTTATAATGGCCCATTGTATTCAGTACAGTAACATGCTATATAGGTTTGTAGCCTAGGTGCAATAGGTTATATCACATAGCCTAAGTGTGTAGTAGGTTGTATGATCTGGGTTTGTGTAAGTGCACTTGATGATGTTCACACAATAATGAAATCACCTAATGATGCATTTTTTCAGAACGAATCCTGTCCTTAAGCAACACATGCTGTGATTTGTCTCTGAGCTTTTACATTTTATGATAGGGTCAGCCATAGGGTAAAAGTTAGGTTGAAGTAGGCCAGGATAGTCTTTATCAGTCTCCTCCATGATAGCTGGAATCTTCAGAGCCCAACTCATTCCCATAATAAATCCATAGGCCCTTACTGCACACTTACAAATGGACATCCATGTGTCAAAAGCCACAGGGCATATCCTCTACCCTCTTATGTAGCTCCTAATATGGGACTTCAATTGGTCTGGCATGGTCCTGGGCACCCCACTAGACCACATATCACATACTTTTAATAGTTACTGCATATGCTGGCCTCTTCCAATTTTTCATCCTCCTACTCATGACTTATTTTCTTAGAATTCTCTTTCTCTATTGAAAAATGGTGATAGATACAATGAGAGCATTAAATCATAATGAAAATATTATTCCTTTCCAAATAGTTAAAATTATTCGATTTCAATAGGTTATCTTTGAGAACTTAGCTCTGATTTAAGAAGATCAATAGTTTCAATTAATGTTAGTTCTGGTTTAAGAAGATCAATAGTTTCAGTTAATGTTCAATTGGAACGTTACCAGAATCATTTGCATACATACAAACATATGTTTGCCCCCTTAGCATGGTCTATGTTTTTAAATTAAAAGTACAGTAAGTGTTCTGGAAGATAAAGGGTGCTATTTGTGCACAGCAGAGAAAATTACTTTAGTATCTGCACTTCGGTCCTTAATCCTCCTAGAGGATTCTAATATACATCTGTATGGGCTGAATTTTTATAAGTTTATATTCATATCACATATATTTAAAAATTATAAATAATATAAGATCTAACTGTGAATTGGAATGAGAGAGAAAAGATGGAGAAGAAGTTATATCTGGCAAGAACCTCTACCATGCCCATAATAGAATGACTCTTAATAAGATGAATTCTATCCATGTGAGAAAATTACACTCCATCTAAAATATTTATATGCAGAATTACTTTCAGTTACAATTTTTACAAGGTGACCTACTGTTAATTGCATTAAACAAATTAAAGTCCCAGTTTAAATATCCATTACTAAGATGATAGCACTTTTATTTTTTATAATAGCATAAACTAACACTGTCTGATTTTAAATATGACAACCAAAGATTCTTTTTTAAAGTTTTTTCTGTCAAGTTTTCAAATCCGAGTTTTGTTCAAGAGAGAGCTCATACTGATTGTGCATGTCTGCTATTATGATATACATTCAATTTTTAAAGACTTTTTATCAAGACTCCATCCAGTGTGCCTGAGAAAAAGATATTCACCTCAGTGTCTGATGTTTGTCTCTGATTTAAAACAGCCTTCAAACACCTTGTCAGAATCTGCCAGTGTATTGCTTTAGGCAACAAGTTTCTAACAGTGCCCCACTGGAGTACAGGAGAAAGTGCTTTCTGTCAAATGCAGCACCTCCCTAACTCTTTTTTATTCTTTTAAATCTTTAGACAAATGGAACACTAAAATCTTGAGTCCATGGCTTAATGTGGATATCATTACATTTTACTGATCACAAAGGATACACTCACAAACCAGTACTGCAGAAACAATGTTAGAGAAGAATGAACAACGATACTCTGAAAACTACTCTCTCCCAAAGAGAGGTTGTCTTTTGAGGTAGTTCTTTAAAGTATTCAACCTGGGGTTTTGTAACCACAGGAGTTATTCAGAGAGCCACAGAATGGGGCTAAGTTAATTACTTAATGTATATGTTCAATAAATCCAGAAATATTTACTGACCACTTCCCATATGTCAGGCAGTAGACAGTTAAAAATGAGTAGGACAGTAAATCTTCTGACTTCATGGGATCTACTGGGGAAGATGGTCAATTAAGCAGAAACTATAAGGCTGATCTGGAAGCATGTGTTGGAAACAACTACCTTTCCTGGAATGAGGGGAAGAAGAGTAAGGAAAGGCTTCTAGAAGGAAATGACACTTAATCTAAGATCCCAGGAGAAGCCAAATAGAGGAAGTGTGTGAGGTTTCTTCAGATGTGGCTTGTGTTAGGGCATTAAATGGAAGAGGAAATGGAAGTAATAAATATAAGTAATAAATATAAAGTCTTTAGTGTATGCCTTGGGTTTTATGTTATAAGCTCATCTGATCCTCACAACCAAACATCACTGAGTTGGATAGTATCCCCATTTAACAGAAGGGGAGACCTAGCTAGGTTCAGAGAGACTTGACAAAGTGCCCAGGTTCATTCATCTGGTAAGCAGCAAAGCCAGCAGTTTAACTCAGGTAAATCACACTCCACGGCACTTGCTCTCTCCACCAAACAATTCTTGCTATTCCAAGAAAGAAAGGGTGAATATGGGGGAAAAAATCAATCAATGATGCAAATTGACAGCATAACTTTTCATTATCTAGTGATATTCATGTAATAGGAAGATGTTGGAGCTCAGAAACAGCCCAAAATATGGTCTTTTGACATGCCAGACTAAAGAAGCAGCCTCAAAGTCTCTCTAAGAATTAAACTGAACCTTTGTTGAGGGCTAAAAAACAACTTTTGGGTTACAGACTCTGTCCCTAGGAAATCAACTGTTTTTCAGTTTGGATGCAGATCAGTCCAGAAATCCCCATCCCAATTGTTCCCACCCCTCCATTAGCTTCTCAGCCCAATCCTTCAAAGCAAGCCCTGCAGGTCACTGATTCCTATCTTTAAAAAAATTGTATGAATTTATGGAGTGCAAGTGCTATTTTGTTATATGCATAGATTGCGTGGTGGTCAAGTCAGGGCTTTAGGGTATCCATCATCCAAATAACAGGTATTGGACTAATATTTATTCCTATCTTGAGATTACCCAGGAAGGTTGACAATGGACTCCCTGAAACTGCCAATTCCTTAATCATGGCTGGCAGAAATAAATGGTGCAGGAGTTTCCTATCTGTGTCCTTCAGTACCTTACTCCTCAGAGGGTGGTCCTTGAACTAGCAGCATCAGCATCACCTGGGAGTTTATTTAAAATATGCAATCTCAGACCTCATCCCAGACCTACTGAATAATAATTCATATTTAACAAAATCCTCATGTAATTTGTAAGCACTCTCAAGTTTGGAAAGTTCTGGTTTGAACAGCAATGCAGCTTCATGATAATAAATATGTTTCCCTCCGCAGGGCTTCTATATCCCTATATTAATATTATTATATTCATATTCACTAAGATTCTCTAAGAGGGGCATATTGAAAACAGTGTTGTCCAAATATATTTCACCTTAGACGCCTCCCTCCCAACAGCCATGTATATTGTGCAGAATTGGGAGAGGGAGATTAAGAAAATTACAGGACTATTAACCTAAAGAATCAATTCTGGAAGTGCTGAAGCATTAGAGTAAGGGTTTTTGTGGCTGGATAGATTTGAATTTGAATATCAACTTTTTTCTGAGTAGCTGTGTGTACTTGGCCATGATACATAACCTGTCTGAGCCTCAAGCACTCAGTAGTAAATTGGAGAGGATAATACCTGCTTTGCAGGACCTTTGCTAGCATTAAGGTGCCTAGCACAAATAGGCAATCAGTAAGTAGTGGCTTCAGCTTCAGTTATTTTTATCTAGGATAATGTAAAGTTAAAAATACACCAGATGATTACTATGCAAATAACTAATAGATTACCAGACATTTATGTATATGATTAATCTATTAGTCTTTATCACACTAATATTTTCTAATATTTAAACACAAATAGAAAATTGTACAATGCAATTTTAATCTTTTTTCTGATTCTAGAAATTATATAAAATGTAGAACATTTTGAAAATTTCAAAAAACCACAAAAATAAAAACAAAAATCATCTTTAATTCCACTACTCAGAGATAAGAACTATGAACATTTTAGGGTCTATCTCACCTATATTTATCAACGCATATATATGTGTGTGTTTATATATGCAAACTTAGTATAAAACTGCAATAACTGTTTTCTAACTTGCTATGCTCACCACTAAGAGCACAGACATTAGAGCCAGACTGCCTGTGTTCAAAGCCTGGCTCTGTCCCAAAGCAGCTGAGTGATCTTCACTAACACATGTAGTCTTGCTATGCTTCAGCTTCTTCATCTAGAGAATGGGAATTATAATAGTGTCTACCTTGCAGGGTTGTTGGAGGATTAAATGAGATAGTCTCTATAAAACATAATAGTGCCTGGTATATAAGAAGGTCTAGGTCATTGTCTATTATAATTATTAACTATATATTATGAACATTTATAATCCAAAAATATTCTACTGCAATTTTTTAAACATTTCCCTACTATTACACTGTATTTCATACAACTTGGGTTTATTTGAAGAAATGCATTTAATTTTAAGCTGTTTACATTTTTTGGTACAGTAAATAACCATTCTGCATATGGATTTCTGCACATACCTTTCAATGTTCCCTTAGAACACATTCCTGGAATCAGAATTGTATAATAAAATATCATTTTACCAACTGGTAACTATCCGTAAGATTTAATGTGGGAACCAGGACGTCATTCAGATCTCCTGGAGATCTTAGGAAAGTTGAGGAATTTGGGCTGCTTGGAGAAATACGACCAAAGATAGAAAAGCTAAGGTCAAGAGAGACGGGAAGGCAACATTATCTACTTTAAAATGACAGCTACACTACAGCTGTGGCTCACAGAGGGAAGGATGATGCCTTTGTGTTTCAGCCAGGCATAAAATAGACATACAATGAATGACGTTTAAATACTAGACTTTTTTCTTTTTTTAAGTTGGTGCAGTTATGGTCCCATAGGAACTGCTAGACTTGGGCTTTTCTCTGGCACAGACCAATTTATCAAACAGCAAAGCCATGGCTTTTGGAGCCAACTGAAACTGGAATCAAATTTACCGACCCCTGGCAAATGGAACACCCATGTGTCACTTTGAGAGCCTAGTGCACTGTTTCTAAACTGTCCAAACCCACGTGCTTATGCAGCCTTGTGTTCTCTGCTGGGCTAAGAGTGGAACATCCACCTGCACATCCATTTGAAGTGGACCTTTCAGCATTTGGGAACCTCCTTCATATTCCCAAAAATGACTTTGCCCAGATACAGTATCAGCTTCTCATTAAGCTCTGCTTTGTTCTTGATCTCATGCTCTCATAACTACCAAACATGAATTAATATCACCACTAAAAATTAACTGGGAGGGCAGCAGTTGTTAACATCTCTAATAGCTTACAGAAGTATGACATTTTCTATGTTGGAAATCATGTCTCAATGCAATGGGTGCTTAATATTTTCTAACACCTTTGAGGGCAAGGTCATGAGATTTAATATGTATTTCATATTACTGAGATCGTAAAATCAATTAAGTAACAGATGAGGCACTCATACAATCCTCTCTGATGGACTATTATTGATGACTAGTAATATAACAAATAACAGTCATCCCTGAATATAGATCACCTAGTTTTATTAGACCCAGATCAAAGACATTATCTTTAGTGGTAAAAGGCAAATAAGAATATAGATGAATCTCTTGGATTCAGTTACCACTGGACTAGGGCAGGGAGCTCATCCACTTCTCGAGATAATCTCACTAGAAAATTGATTTAATTATCCTATAGCAGTTAGAGCAGGAAATCTGATTTCCATTTCTGCAGTGTCATTTTAGGAACCTTAAAACATTTCCAAGTTTTAGTTCACTTTTTTATTTCTGCCTTTGCATCATATAATTAATATCTGTCTTAGAATTGTAAAAAAAAATTTAAAAAATAAAAAGTAATTTTGAAAACCAAATTTGGGTTATAATTTCTCTTCATTTAACCATTTCTTAAATATTGGGTGGGATTCCAGCTCTTCCCATTTTTTAAAGTGATCTATTCTTCTCTAAGATTTTTGTTATTATCTTTAATGTTGGTAATACAAAATCTATATGCCCAGCCTCCAACTCAACTCTACCATTTTAAAAATCACATATTAACTACATATTGCATACTTGAAAATGGTTTTATTAATTCAACAAATGTGTTTAGTGACTTCTAAGGGTACTATTGCTATTGTTATTATTGGTTACAATGATAAGCAAAACACAGAAATTTCCTGTCCTCACAGAACTCCTATTCTCGTACCACCTCAAAAGTAACATATCAAAAGCTAAACTCACCACTTTCCTTTAAACTAAGCTTCGATCACTTTTGCTATCTTAATATGATTAATACAATTGTGGATATATATATATGTATATA
This sequence comes from Homo sapiens, assembly GCF_000001405.40. Classification (NCBI taxonomy): domain Eukaryota; kingdom Metazoa; phylum Chordata; class Mammalia; order Primates; family Hominidae; genus Homo; species Homo sapiens. The sequence goes on from NC_000007.14 coordinate 79,290,365, forward strand.
TATGTACTATGTACATAATCTTTTTAATTTTAAATTTTTTTGAATGGTCAGATTATAAAGATGAGTCTGATATTATTCACCTCTGTTCTTTTTTGCTACAAATTACAGTTTTCTCAATGCTTATGACAGACGCATCCATCTATACGTCCATTGATGCCAAAAAATAAACATTCCTCCATGTTCACCTCAAATTTGCTTTCCCTCATTTTTTTTTCTGGCTTAATGAATGATGTCATCATCTACATAGCTAAATGTGGCCTTCATTTTTTCTAATATCTATTCATGTGTGATTTCTTCACACATTTAGTGTTCATTACTTTTCCACGATATGGTTCTAGATGCTGCAAGCATATAGATGGATAAAACCCTTTGAACTCCTACATCCAAACAACTATTAAGTCATCATGAATAACTACCAAATCCAGAGGAATCTTCTGGAAAATATCGTTCTAATATGCTCCCTTTCTGTTTTTTAAAATAATAGTTTTATTGAGATATAAGCACATACCATAAAATAGTTGTTTTAAAGTGTATAAGTCATTTGCATTACTAATCGCGGGGATTTAAAAATAGATAAAACATAAAAAATGAAGCTTACAATTCAGTGGCTTTTAGTTAGTCACAGAATTGTGGAGCTATCACTATGAATCATTATAAAATATTTTCACCACCTTAGAAAGAAGATCTGTACCCATTAGTAATCACTCCCCGCACTCCACTTTTCCAGTCCTTGGCAAATACTAATGTACTTTTTGTCTCTGTGGATTTTCCTATTCTGGACATTTCATATAAATTGAATCAACAATATGTGGTCTTTTGTGTCTTTTTTTCATTTAGCATAACGTTTTCAAGTTCATGTATGTTGTACTATATATCAGTACTTCATTCCTTTATATGGATGAATAATATTCCATTGTATGTATAAACCACACAATTTATCCATTCATCCATTGATGGACATTTGGGTTGTTTCCAACTTTTGGTTATTATGAATCATGCTTTCATAAACATTTGTATACAAGTTTCTGTGTGGACATATGCTTTCAATTTCTTTTGTTATATACCTAAGAGTGGAATTACTGGGTCTTATGGCAACTTTCTGTTTAATATTTTGAGGAAATGCTAAACTGTTTTCCAAAACAGCTCTACAATTTTACAATCCCACCAGCAGTGTATCAGGGCTCCATTTTCTCCATATACTCACCAATACTCATTTTCCATTTTTAAAAAGTTACAGACATCCAAATGAGCATGAAGTGATATCACATTGTGTTTTAAATTTGTACTTCTATAATGACTAATGATATTGAGCACCTTTTCACATGCTCATTGGATCTGTATGCTGTCCTTGGAGAAATGACTATTCAGGCCAATTTACCCATTTTAAAAACTGAGTCATTTGTCTTTTTATTGTTGAATTGTAAGAGTTTGTTATATAGACTATATATAAATCCCTTATCAAATATACAATTTGCAAATATTTTCACCCATTCTGTGAACTGTCATTCATTTTCTTGATGGTGTCCTATAAAGCAATTTTTTTTAATTTGATGAAGGCCAATTTATCTGATTTTTTTTCACTTATGATTTTACTGTCATGATTAAGAAATTTTTTGTTTGCCTAATCCAAAGACTTATTCCTATGTTTTCTTCCAAAACTTTTATAGTTTTAGCTCTCACCTATGCTCTATGATCCAGTTATAGTTAATTTTTATATGTGATGTGACGCAGGGGTCCAGCAGCTTCATTTTTTTACATGTGGAAATCCAGTTATTTCAGTACCATTTTTTGAAAAACCTACAAATTGTCTTGGCAATTTTGTCAAAAACGAATTTGCCATAAGTGTAGGTGTTTATTTCTTGACTCTTAACATTTCATTGGTCTGTATACAATTTCATTTATTTACTTATTTATTTATTTATGCCAGTACAACATTGTTTTGATTACTGTATCTTTGTAGCAAGTTTTAAAATTGGGGTTGGCACGGTGGCTCATGCCTGTAATCCTAGCACTTTGGGAGGCCAAGGCAGGCAGATCACTTGAGGTCAGGGGTTTGAGACCAGCCTGGCCTGTGTGGTAAAACCCTGTCTCTACCAAAAAAAATAAAAAAATAAAAAATTAGCCAGGTCTGGTGGCATGTGCCTGTAATCCCAGCTACTCAGGAGGCTAAGGCAAACAGAATCACTTGAACCTGAGAAACAGAGGTTGCCGTGAGCTGAGAGCATGCCACTGCACTCCAGCCTGGGTGACAGAGTGAGACCCTGCCACCAAAAAAAAATAAAAGAAAAAAAAAGTTTTAAAATTGGGAGGTACCCTCTATCTTTGTTCTTTTTCAGGATTGTTTTGCCTATTCTGGGTCCTTTATCTTTCTTCACATCAATTTTGGACCACTTTGTCAATTTCTGCAAAAAAAAAAAAAAAAAAAAAAAAAAAAAAGGCAGCTCCTCAGCTGTCATTTTGATAGGGATTGCCCTGAGTCTGAGAATCAATTTAGGGAATATTCCCATCTTAATTAAGTCTTCGGCTTCCTCTGTTTTCTTCTGCCACTGCTGGGTGTTGCTTGCCATTACCTCCAACCTACATTACTGCTTTAAACAATTAGATTCATTTCCCACTGCACTCCGGAAAAATTTCAAACTCCTCACTCACTCTGTCCTACAGTGCTTTCTGTGGGTCAGTATGTACTATCCCTCTTTGACCTTATAGCTCTTCCACTTCTTTACTGTTTCAGTTGTTTTTTGTTCTGGTCCTGAACAGAGCATGTTTATTCCTATATCAGACCCTTTGTTTTCTATGTTCCCTTGTCTGAAATCCTCTTCCCTGAAATCTTTGTAAGCCTGACTCCTTTTTATCATTCACTTCTTAGTTATGATCTTACTTAAGCATACCATCTAGTGTTACAAAAAATGAAAAATCTTTATTCCCTTCTTTCATTCCCTAGCTGCTCTCTTTCATATTTCCCTATTTAATTTTCAAGAGTACTTACAAGTATATAAAAATTTCCCATTTATTATTTATTTCTTTATTGTCTAGCTTCTTACCTAAAATATAGACTCCAGAATCTTGAACAATGCTTCACACAGTTTGCATTTAATAAGTATGCTAAATGTTGTTGCATGGATTTCAATAATTATTTTCTACATAGTTCTTCAAGTAAGAATAATAGTGATAAGTATAACAATGGTAGATAATATTTGTCTGGCACCTATGTGTTAGGCTTTGCAGCTAAGCACTTTATAGTTTAATTTACAATGACATTATAAGGTATGTACAATCATTCACTTCCACTTGACAGATGAAAAATTTATGGTTTAGGAGGCAAGTAACTTAGCCAAAATCACTGGTCAAGGGACAGAGCTAATATTTAAATCTATGCAGTCTGGCTCCAAAGCCTACACCGGGAGACCTCTCAGGCCTCCTAGTCATTAAATAAACATTTGCTCAAGCGCCTTTTATGCTGTAGGCACAGTGTTGGTTGCTGTGCATACAACCACCAACGCCTTCAAACAGTACTTCATATACAAAAGTTGTAAAGAGGCTGGGCGTGGTGGCTCTTGCCTGTAATCCCAGAACTTTGGGAGGCCAAGGAGGGTGAATCACTTGAAGCCAGCAGTTCGAGACTAGCCTGGCGAACATGGTGAAACCCCTTTTCTACTTAAAATATAAAAATTAGCCAGGTGTGCTGGCGTGAGTCTGTAATCCCCTCAGGAGGCTGAGGCAAAAGAGTTGCTTGAACACAGGAGGCAAAGGGTGCAGTGAGCCAAGATTGCACCATTGCATTCCAGCCCGGGCAACAGAGTGAGACTCCGTCTCAAAAAAAAAAAAAAAAAAGGAAAAAGAAAATAATGAAGAATATGTATGGTGATGTTGTAGGACTTTCTCCTTTCTCCTCAATTCAGCTAAAAACCATTTTCTTGTCACGTGACCAGAAAAGATTAGGCTTGCGGACACATAGAAGGGTGCGAAAAATAGAATTTATTGGGCAGAAAAGGAAAAAAAAAACTCAGCAAAGCTAGAGAGGTTCCCATTAACAGGCCCCCATCTCACCGATTGAACCTTAGGTTACCAGTATGGAACAGGGGAAGCCAGGCTCCTCCCCAATGCAAACAGCACAAACTTTCCATGGGTCCGCCCCATCCTCTCAGTGCACAGGCCTGTCTGTCAGAGATTCTCCAGAGAGTCCTTTTTACTTGGCTGTCTCAGTGAAGTCACTTGGTAGACAGTCTAGGATATCTTGCTGAGGAGTTTATTCTTTTTCTTTTTGAACATACTAGGTGATAACCCGACCTGATCAAGTCAGCATTTAATTTAATTGTGCTATGTTTCATTATGTACAATAAGATTATATTTTGGTAGCTTTTTTTTTTTTTTTTTTTTTTTTCTGAGACGGAATCTCACTCTGTTACTCGGGCTGGAGTGCAGGGGCGCAATCTCGGCTCACTGCAAGCTCCGCCTCCCGGGTTCACGCCATTCTCCTGCCTCAGCCTTCTGAGTAGCTGGGACTACAGGCGCCCGCCACCACTCCCGGCTAAATTTTTGTACTTTTTTTTTTTTTAGTAGAGACGGGGTTTCACCGTGTTAGCCACGATGGTCTCGATCTCCTGACCTCGTGATCTGCCCGCCTCGGCCTCCCAAAGTGCTGGGATTACAGGCTTGAGCCACCGCAACTGGCCATATTGTGGTAGTTCTTTTAGTGGTTGAAATTAATGAAATTCTCTGGAGAATAAATATATCTTTTCTTGATGGAGTTTTATTTTGCCATAGAATCTAACAGCAATTCCAGGTTTTTCAGAAAATTTTAAAATTTAAAACATTATAAAACAAAAAAAAGGTAAATGACAAGCTTAATTGGAAATCCATTAGTTACAAACTTTAGAGCTAATTTTATATGTCCTCATGCCCAAAGAAGTGTTATATATTTTAAGACCAGAGTTCAGATAGTGAAGGAATAGACAAAGATTGCAGAATACATTATGGTACTTAAGTACAAAATCAAGACAAAAAGTGACTTCAGTATAAAATAATCAGTGCTATCACCTGCAGTATATCCAATGGAAGAAATAATAAATACAACTTAGAGATTTTCTTGGTACAACCATTAACAATATCCATAGCATATTATATTTGCTAAATATATAATTGCTTTTCAATTACCTCTTTAAAAGCTCCTTCAGGCACGGTCGAGTCAAGGGAAAATGGTTAATATACTTCCTATTCTTCCCAGGATTATTTAGTATGCCTGTCCAGACACTTTCAAACAATGGCTTATATCACTACTTCATTTACCTCTGGTCTAGGGGAGGTGGTAGAGTAGTGCAGCTAGTGAAGCCAGGCTAGCTTTACGAAAGCAGGAATTTTTTTTTCACACTCTTGTATCCGCAGTGACTAGCATTGTGCTTGGTACTTGGTAGACAATACCACATTTCGGTGATAGTAAGATGCCTTCAATTATTAGATATATCATAATTTTAAACGTGATCAAGAAGAAAACACACTTCCAATTAAATTGTGACAAATTATGTCTTATTACTTTGAATTTTACTTATATATTTATTCAAAATATTATTTTAGGCTTATTTAGACATAGATTTGTCATATGCTGTTCTAGTGAAAATGAAAACAGAAAACAAGAAAAGTGAAACTATTCCTAAAAATCTTCACATTCAGGATTTAACTTTCCTAATTGTGCATTAACTCAGAGTTGTTCAAATCCATGTTTCAGTACAATATTGTTCTTTGTGCCACAAGAGCATTGATATTGTGGCATCTCTAAAAAGAGTGCTCCACTCTTGTCTCTGTAGATTTTCTTCCAAGTCATTTCCACCCATTCTGTGATGCTATTGCTGGTCCTTTAATCTTATCTAAAGTTGTAATAGAAAGTTTTCAGACTACAATATCAGAAATCATATCCCCTTTTCATATAATTTGAAGATAGAACTACCATATGATCTGTCAATCCCACTACTGGGTATATATCTGAAAGAAATGAAATCAGTTGTGTTGAAAAGATCTCTGCACTCCCGTATTTATTGTGGCACTATTCATAATAGCCAAGGACATAATCAGCTGAAGTGTCCAACTACACATGCATGGATAGAGAAAATGTGGTATATATACACAATATAACACTCCTCAGTCATAAAACAGAACAAAATCCTATCATTTGTGGCAACATGGATGAACCTGGAGGACATTATGTTAAGTAAAATAAGCCAGGCACAAAAAGACAAATACCACATGAGCTCATAATGGGAAATTGCAAACACTGTGGGCCAGGTGGTGGGATCCTGAAAAGGATATGTGGAATCCTGAAAAGTTGATTCATAGTAGAGAGTAGAATGGTGGTTGTCAGAGGCTGGTTAGTATAGAGGAGAGGGGAGAATGAGGAAGGTTGGGCAATGGGCATAAAGTTACAGTTGGATGGAAAGAAGACATTCTGGTGTTCTACTTCACAATAGAATGACTATAACTCACAATAGTTTATGGTATATTTCAACATAGGTAGAAGAGAGGATTTTGAATGATATCACTACAAAGAAATAATATGTATTTAAAGTGATGGATGTGCTAATTACTCTGATTTGACATTATACAGTGTAATACATGTATTGAAATATCACACCATACCCCATAAATATGTACAATTATGTGTCAGTTATAAATAAAGTAAAACAAAAAATAACCCTTAAGTATTTCATTAAGTTGAAACCTCAAGAGAACGGAGTCATTCAGTCATGCCAGCAGGAAGAGCAATCAAGTTTGCACATGTGCAGGCAATGACAAATTCATACATCACAACCACCACCTGGCCTACAGTGTTTGCAATTTCCCATTAATTGAAAGATGCATCCCAATTTTAGAAATGTAAAAATGTAAAAGATGTAATTTTTCAAATTGATAAACTATGATATTAAAATACTAGAGATGCCAGGAGGAAGATGAGCAAGATAGATGGGGATTGCATGTTTTAGATGAAATAAAATAGATTAAGCATTGAGCTCAGTGCCTTCTCCTTGCATTTCCATCCTAGTAAAGAGCTGGAAGAATTCACACAGTCATTTACAGGCTCTTCCCATGTGAGAACTATCATCGAGAAGGCAGTTGACTAAGAGCCTCAGTTAAATTTTAATTTATTCTAATTAGTCAGATACTATTCATTCATTTTATTAATATTTATTAATAACCTGCAGTCTACCCAGTACTCTTCTAGTTGATGGGAACAGAATCACGAATCAAAAGGTCTATAGAGCTTATCTTCTAACAAGAGAAGCCCATATTGTAAATAAGTAAAAATTAACTGAATAATATAAATCCAGAGAAATAAGTTTTGTGATATTATTGATAGAGAATAACTGGGTTTAGTGCGGGTATTTTTTAGATAGGTGGTCAGGGAAGACCTCTTTGAGCAGCAATATTTATTGCCTGAGGCAAAATGAATGGCTGGGCAAATGAGTGGAAAGGACAGTTTTGAAGTACTATCTCAGCACAGCTTTGACTTAACTTTCGTCAGGTGGGAATGAGCAAGTTAATATTTGCAACAGATATTCCCTGCTACATTCCTAGTCAAAATTTAAGGGAAAACAACCATTTCTCTCTGTTAGAAAAGCTGCTGATACCTTTTTGTCTCTTTGTAAGATCAGCAAGGACTAAAACCTGTGTTATCTTCCTGAGTGGACTTATGATATGTTTGTGGTCAAAATTAAAGTTGAATATAAGTTATGGTTTGTTTTTTATATCTAGCACATCAACATTTTATCAGAGAACGATGAATACTGTCTTATTAGTTTAAAAATATTTGCCGTATATAATTACCTGTCAATTTTTCTTCAATATTTGATTACATTTTTGTTTTAATGAGGGCAATTTATTTTTAAAATGCAAAAATGTCATAATTGGGTCTTTGAGAGGTTTTAAGAGAGATTCATCATCTTTAATTTCAGCAAAAGCTTAGATTCTGCAGAACAAGTGGAAACAGTTCCATCAAGTGTCACTTGGTGGCAGCATAACAAAATTGCTATGAGAGTTCCTAACTTGGGGAGCTAAGTAAGTTCTTTTAGGAACAAGCTAGTGAAAAACAATATTATGGCTGTTTTGTAACACACAAAAAAACCTGCCAGTGTTCTTATAATTTATTATAAGAAAAACATTTTTAAATACCATATCATACATAGTAAATTTTTTTCATTAATATAGCGTTCATTAACAAATATTTATTGTTTCTATTATATGGTAGAAACTGAGTTAAGAGTTAGGGCTAGATAATTTAAGCATGGTCTCTACTTGGGGCTAAATTGTGTCCCCCCAAAATTCATATGTTGAAGTCCTAACCCCCAGTATCTTATAATGTGACCGTATTTGGAACAGGGTCTTTAAAAAGGTAATCAAGTTAGAGTGAGGTAGTGAATTTAGAATGAGCTAATTCTACAGGACTAGTGTACATATAAGAAGAGAAAATTTGGAAACACATACATGCAGAGGGAAAACTGTGTGAAGACAGAGGGAAAAGACAGATATCTACACGCCAAGAAGAGAAGCCTCAGAAGAAACCAACCCTATTAATACCTTAATCTCAGGCTTCTAATCTCCAAAATTGTGAGAAAATAAATTTCTGTTGTATAAGCCACCCCATGGTATTTTGTCATGGCAGCCCTAGCAAACTAGGCAGTTTTGATGCTCATGCCACATAACGTTTTAATTTTAAAAAACTGAAGCAGAGAAAAGTAATTTCTCTGCTATAAGTAATAAGGCAATGTGATGGGTTTTATAATAGATGCATGCTCAGAATTGTGAGCATGGTGGGGAGTGGAAGTAATTCTTTAGGATGATGTTGGAAGACCTTATATAAGAATATTTGATGTGGGTTTTTAAGATTAAGTAGAAATTTTCCGGGCAGAGAAATGGGAATGAGAATAAATGGTATTTAGGTAAAAGAAGATGATGTAACTGGAAATGGATAGGCAGGGGGTGACATAGAGTGTTGTGAAAATCTTGAGTTCTGAGTTGTTTATGGTCAGGAGATGGCCTGGAAATGTAAGTTGGGAGTAGATTTTGAAGAGGCATAAGCCATGTAAAAAGATATCTTTCGGGAGGCTGAGGCAGGAGAATCGCTTGAACCTGGGAGGTAGAGGTTGCAGTGAGCCAAGATTGCGCCACTGCACTCCAGCCTGGAGACAGAGCAAGACTCCATCTCAAAAAAAAAAAAAAAAAAAGATATCTTTATTGTCCAAGGCATTCCTTTCTTGAAATGGTAATATAAAATTATATATTTCAAATCGGTTGGCAAAATAGGTTCAAAAAGATTCACTAAAAAAACACAAAAAACGATAATTGATCAGTGATATCATTTGGATATTTGTTCCCACCCAAATCTCATATTGAATTGTAATCCCCAATGCTAGAGGAGGGGCCTAGTGGGAGGTGTTTGGATCATGGGAGCAGATCCTCATGGCTTGGTGCTGTGCTTGCTATAAGGAGTGATCTGTCACAAAATCTGGTCATTTAAAAGTATGTGACATCTACTCCCCTCACTCTTTCTCTCTTGTTTCTGCTTTCACTATGTGAAGTACCTGCTCCCCCTTGCCTTCCACAATGACTGGAAGCTTCCTGAGACCCCCCTAGAGGCAGCTGTCACTATGCTTCCTATATAGCCTGCAGAAGCATGAGCCAATTAAGCCTCTTTTTAAATAAATTACCCAGTGTCAGGTATTTTTTTTAGAGCAGTGTAAGAACAACCTGATACATAAAATCAGTACTGAGAAGTGAGGCATTACTATAAAGTTACCTGAAAATGTGGATGTGACTTTGGAACTGCGTAATGGGCAGAGGTTAGAAGAGTTTGGAGGGCTCAGAGGAAGACAAGATGATGAGAGAAAGTTTGATATTTCTTGGAAACTGGTAAAATGGTTGTGACCAAAATGCTGATAGTGATATGGACAGTGAAGTCTGGATTGCTGAGGTCTCAGATTGAAATGAGAAATCTTATTGGAAACTGGAGCACAGGTCACACATGTGATGCCTTAGCAAAGAGCTTGGCTGCATTTTGTTCATGACTTAGTGATATATGAAAGTATTGAACTTCAAAGTGATGATTTAGGGTATCTGGTAGAAGATATTTTTAAGCAGCAAAGCTTTCAAGTTGTGACCTGGCTGCTCCTAAAAACCTATGCTCAGATGTGGGAGCAAAGAAATGACTTAAATTTGAAATTTATATTTAAAAGGATAGCAGAGCATAAAAATTGGGAAAATTTGCAGCCTGGTCATGTATCAGAAAAAGTAAAAGCCTTTTCAGGAGAAGAATTCAAGCAGACTGTGGAGCAATTACTTGCTAGAGAGATGTGCATAATTCAAAAGGAGCCAAGTGTTGATAGCCAAGGCAATGGGAAAAAGGCCCTGAAGGCATTTCAGAGACCTTTGTGGCAGCCCATCACATCACAGGCCTGAGGCCTAGGGGAAAGAATGTTTCATGGGCCAGGGCCCTGCTGCTCTGTGCAGCCTGGAGATACTGCTCTCACATCCTGGCTGCTCTGGCTTTAGCCTTAGCTCAAGGGGGTCCAGGTACAGCTCAGGCTGCAGCTCCAGAGGGTGCAAGCCATAAGCCTTGGTGGCTTCCATATGGTGTCAAGCCTGCGAGTGCACAGAGTGCAAGACTTGAGGCTTGGGAGCCTCCATCTAGAATTCAGAGGATGTATGGAAAAGCCTGGGTGCCCAACAGAAGCCATCTGCAGGGGTGGAGCCCCCACAGAGAACCTCTGCTATGGCAAGGCAGAGGATAAATGTGGATTTGGAGCCCCCACACAGAGTTCCTATTTAGGCACTGCCAAGTGGAGCTAGGAGAAGGGAGCCACTATCCTCCAGATCTGAGAATGGTAGATCCACTGGCAGCCTGGGCTCTGCACCTGGAAAAGCCACAGACACTCAAATCCAGCCTAAGAGAGCAGCCATGGGGACTGCACCCTGTAAAGTCACAAAAGCAGAGATGCCAAGGCCTTGGAAGCTCACTCTTTGCACCAATGTGCCCTGGATGTGGGACATGGAGTCAAATGAAACTATTTTGGAGCTTGAAGATTTAATTACTGCTCTATGAGTTTTGTGTGAGGCCTGCAGCCCTTTTCTTTTGGCCAATTTCTCCCTTTTGGAACAAAAATGTTTACCCAATGCCTGTACTCCCATTGTATCTTGGGAGTAAATAACTTGTTTTTGATTTTACAGGCTCATAGGTAGAAAGACTTGCTTTGCCTCAGATGAGACTTTGGACTTTGAACTTTTTGGTTAATGCTAGAACAAGCTAAGACTTTGAGGAGCTATTGGGAGGGAATGATTGTATTTTGCAAGTGAAAAGGACATAAGATTTTGAAAGGGCCAAGGGTAGAATAATATAGTTTGGATATTTGTCCCTGTTCAAATCTCATGTTGAATTGTAATCCCCAGTGCTGGAATAGGGCCTGGTGGAAGGTGTTTGGATAATGGGAGTGAACCCTTCATGGCTTGGTGCTGTCTTCATGATAGTGAGTGAATTCTTACAAGATCTGGTCATTTAAAAGTGTGTGGCACCTCTCCCCAGCTTTCTCTCTCTTGCTCCTGCTTTCACCATGGGATGTGCCTGTTCCTCTTTTTGCCTTCTGCAATGATTGGCAACTTCCTGAGGCCTCTCTAGAAAGAGATGCTGCTATGCTTTCTGTATAGCCTGCAGAACCATGAGCCAATTAAAACTCTTTTTAAAAAGTAAATTACCCAGGCTCAGGTATTTGTTTATAGCAGTGCAAGAATGGCCTAATACAGTCAGTAAAATATAGTAACCATAAGAACCAGCAATAACTGAGATTAATTTTAATCCTTCTGGAGCTAGGATACAAAGAAAAACAGGTAAGAAAGTTGGAAGACATTCAGTTTTTTAGAATATCATCTTCTCAGGGCCAATAAAATATTCTCTGTGTTAAATAAAAAAGACAAAGTTCATATTACATTTTATATAGGGGAAATAATGAATAATATCTCCAGCAGCATTTCACAGCTAACATAGCAGCAGACATGATATCTTTTTTCCATTATTCCCTTCAGCACAAGCTAAGGGCTTAACAGTGAAATACCCTGAAGATTCCAGTAGGGGATAAATTGATGGGTTTGGGCAGCCTTCTATGACTGGAGCCAGGGGCAGGGTGTGTGTATATATTTAAAGTTGATGGATACCATGTGCCTTCAACAATCTTTTCTAAATATTGCTTTTTCTCAGTTGAGCTTTCCACAGGAGATGCAAAAAGATGTAAAATTCATGTAGTAAGCATTGGGAAGCCATTACGGATTAGTAATCTTAGGGTCAACAAAATCAGTTAGAGATTTTGGAAAGAGAATTTTGGTCCTCAGTAGCAGGCCTGGTTAGAGGATTAGAGACTTTCAGAATAGTGCTTGACAATGGAAGCAGCATGAGCTTATGATAAAAACATGGCTACACTACTTTTGGGTGTCCCAACATCAAACACCACATTGCAACTGAAGAATGTTATTTTAATTTCCCTGACAAAATAGCTTTATCTTTGCTATAGCACACACTTGATAAAGATATTAGAGGATGTACTGGTAGTCACTAACCAATACCATTTTAATTACACATGAGTCATACTGTTTAAACATTAATAAACTGTATAAAAATATTTCTAATATTTCTTCAGAGTCCATTAAATCCCAAACTTAGCAAAGTTTGATAGAGTCTCACAGATAAATAATTTATGATTGCCATTTATAATTAAGCACCATATACAATTTCCTTTAAATACCTTTCCTGCTTTGGAGACTCAGAGGGTGGAAGGGGTATGAGGGACACAAAGCTACATTTGGGGTACGATGTACACTATTCAGGTGACCCATGCACTGAAATCTCAAACTTCACTATACAATCCATCCATATAACCAAAAAACATTTGTACCCCAAAAGCCATTGAAATAAAAAAAAACTTTAAAAAATACCCTTCCTGTAGAAAGCATACATTCAATAATGTTAAATTATTATTTTTAAACACTTTAGTACCTTGGGATATTTATCTAACAGATTAAAATAATGATGCCAGTTACACATCATTTAGTTTATTATAGGCTTCTTTGAAAACAATCATCTGTGCCAAAGTGTTTTCATCAATCTAAGCTTATTTTAAAGCATAAACCTAGAAAACATACTTCTGATAGTGAATTCTAGTAAATAGGAAGATATATCTTAAAGCTCAAATTAGCAGTGATGCTCAGAATTTAAGGTTGGTTTGTTTGAATTGGTTTGTTGATTTTGTCATCAGATGATTTAATGAATGAAAATCCATTAATGAACTCTGACAATGTTTACCATATCACTTAATCTTTCTGTAAAATATTTACTCTGAGTAACTATCACTGGTTAATATGTCACATCATGAATTGATAGCCCAGAGACAAGACCTTATATTGTTTATAGATTAATATAATTAGGAACGACATTAAGGTTAGCTTGTCTTGCGTTTCATCTAAAATAACTTTGAAACACGTGGTTAATGTGTTGCTAGATCATATCTCCTTCAGTCTTAGAGAACAAATACACACACATATGTATGTACATATATGTATTTTTGTGTGTCTCATATATCCTGTATATATGATAGTCAACAAAATTGGTCCGGAAGATTGGCCTTCTTGGCAGATGAGGAGGCTGAGAGAGGGACAGAATCTCCATTCGTGCCCTTTTATTGACACCACCAGTTATCACTGAAGGATAACTGTGATAAAATTATAGTGTAATAAGACCTTTAGCAATAATTAACTGGCAGGTGAGTTTCTAAAGTGCCAATTTTCAACTGGGATGTGTGTGTGTGTGTGTGTGTCTGTGTGTGTGTGTGTGTGTGTGTGTGTGTAGATTTCTAGAGGTTAAAGCCGTTACCTATGGGGAGTTATGTTAAATTATTCAAGGTATTCAATAATCAAGTCACCAAATCATATACAAAGTGGAAGCTGGGAGAGGCGGGATAGAGTATTTGTATTATATGAATAATCATGGGGTTTATGAACATTGCTCCTTATATTACAGTTTTTTCTTCCTTAGATACTCTGGTGATGGGAGACGGAAGGTTGAAATCTGCTGTCCTAAAACTCCCAGAAAAGATAATTTGGCTATATTCTTGGAAAAGCTCCGATATACATAGCATTTTACTCTTTATACTTAGTTCTAGTGTGATAAACCCTGGAGAGTGATTGTGTAGATAAGCTGAAAACTTCCATGATTTAGTCTGAGCCCAGCTCTTCCGTTCTGGTTTCTAAGGCTAAAAAGAAATCCCTAGATTTACACTGCCCAGACACTGCTGCTGAGCACTGAATGTCAAATGAGGAAGATGTTATGGTGAAACACCAGGTCTAATTCCCTCTCAGCTTCTCAAGTGCTATGGCCATCTCTTAGTGGGGCAAAGCCAATGTGAGCCCTTAATTTCCAAATCCTAGAGTCCACATGATATGGAAAAGGAATGCATTAAATAGTCACACTCCTGTACACCTGAGCCATGTGGTTAGGGAATGTTTAATGGTGTCAACCAGGAAAGGTCACAGTGCTTATGTGGCTGGGTAACGGAAGTCTAGTGCATGATCAGACTCTAAGCAGGAAGTGATCTGTAACTCCACAGAGTACTTACAAACAATTCTCCCATCACTATGGAGCGATGATGGAAATCAGCATGGGAAAATACAGATGAGGAAATGTCAACAGAAAAAATGCAGAGATGGAGTGTTAAATGATAGAGACAACATTATCTTACATTATCATTTTCTTGGCCCTTTGGTTAAGAGCTGTCAGTTCTTAAAGAATTTGGGGGACTAGTGGCAGCCTAGTAGAGCAGATTTTTCAAAAAATTATATTTAAGTTTTTATATTGATAGAGCATACATATATATGTATATAGTTTTCAGAGTATGAGCTCAGTCACTTCAACAGATCTTGTTTGTTTTCTTCATTGGAAGCTTTGATTTAAAAATTGATTCTTCTCTGGAGTCTGTTGAGTATCTAACCACATTAAATGAGGTAAATAATAATGGTATAACACTTGAAGTGGTATCTGACTAATGAAGATCCCAAAGGGAGAACATTGACGTATTAATACCTCATTCTTTCACAATGTTTATCTATTCTTATCTCTTTGATGTTAATTACTACATTATGTTAGAACTAATTTGACCATGTAACTCTTCCTTATCTCATTTTGATTTTTAAGCATTTTCCATATCTTAGTGTTTACTCTAAAATAATTATTTAAAAAGGGATCTAGGCTGGTCACGGTGGCTTACACCTGTACTCCCAGCACTTTGGAAGGACAAGGCAGAGGATTGCTTGACCAGGAATTTGAGACCTGCCTAGACAAAACAGTGAGACCCTGTCTCTACAAAAAATAAGAATAAAATACAAATAAATTCTCCAGGCATGGTGGCACATGCCTATAGTCCCAGCTGCTTGGGAGGCTAACACAGAAGGATCCCATGAGCCCAGGAGTTTGAAGCTGCAGTGAGATATGATCATGGCACTCCAACCCGGGTGTAAGTAAGTAACAAGTAAATAAATAAGATCTAAAACTCCTTTGGTGAGGCATAGGAAAGGCTTTGGAAATTGAACTACATATTCCTGTAGTATCTTTTTTTTTTTTTTCCTTTTTGGAGACGAGGCAGGGTGGGGGTGTCTTCCTCTGTTGCCCAGGTTGGAGTGCAGTGGCACAGTCATGGTTCACTGCAGTCTTGACCTTCTGGGCTCAAGAGATCCTTTCACTTCAGACTCTGAAGTAGCAGGGACTACAGGCAGGTGCTACCACAACTGGTTTTAAAATATATATACACATATATATATACATGTATATATATATGTGTATATATATTTTATTTATATGTATATGTATATTTTATTTATATTTATATATATTTTATTTATATGTATATATATTATTTATATGCATATATATTTTATATATATGTGTATATATATATATATTTGTAGAGATAGGGGTCTTCTTATGTTGTCCAGGCTCATCTCAAACTCTTCGGCTTAAGTGATTCTCCCACCTCGTCCTTCCAAAATATTGGGATTACCAGTATGAACCAATGTACCTGGCTGCTTTTTTGATTTGACATGAAACCACAGATCTACATTTTTACTTTCAAATTCTTTCTGTAATATTTGCATAGATGAGCATTTGACCTTCAATATGTCAACTTGAATTTGTCTCTGTTGAACTTTACCTTGTCATGATGCAGATTTTTTTCTTTCGTTTTTGCATAAATCTTATGAAGTGGTCTGGATTTCAAACTTTCAACAGTCAGTCTAAATGTAAACAACAAACCATGACACTTCAGTGGCATTGTAAGCATTTACTGTGTATACCTACTCTGAGATTCTATGAAGTATTTGAAGCTGTTGTCAGAATTGAATCTACGTGTAAATCTTTGAATGCTTTCCTTTGATTTCTGAAGAATTTTTTTTTTTTGAGATGGAGTCTAGCTCTGTCACCAGGCTGGAGTGCAGTGGTGTGATCTTGGCTTACTGTAACCTCCACCTCCCTGGTTCAAGCAGTTCCCCTGCCTCAGCCTCCTGAGTAGCTGGGATTACAGGCGACCGCCACCACACCCGGCTAATTTCTTTTTCTTTTTCTTTTTTGTATTTTTACTGCTCTATGCTTAAATTTTGAGGCTGCCAGGATGAATTTATCCTGAAAACTCCTTCTGAGGGTATCTCACAAAAATATAATGACTTACACTGAGCAGCAGGAGTGGTAGGGAACTTACAATCTGCCTTAGAACAAAATGGACAGTTACTGAGGAGTTAGTGACAAGTGTGGTACCACGCAGTGCCTTACTCCAGGTGATTTTGAATGAATGCTTTATTAGCCATTGTTCTCAAAACAGCAGTGTAAAATCATAGCTACACCTAGTGGGCCCAGATGGACACAGTTTTAAGATATACTCTAAGAAGAGTCACAGAATAATTGAACTTCTTAATTGCTAACCAGATCTGGAAGTTATTTCCAGAGTTAGTGATACTTAGGAGTCTAGGTAAAGAATTACGATATGGATTAAGTGAGAGGCTTCACCAGAGGCTTTCCCTAGAAGGTAAAATGTGTCAGGGTGTGAGAAAATTGCTGTCTGGCAGGTCTGCTTTTCCTCCATCCCTACCTGCATCATCTATGGGAAAATGGTTTCCCTCTATTGTCACTTTTATCTAAGAAAAAAGTAGATGTAATTGGATTTCTTCACCTTTTTTGTCAGCAAAAAGAAATAACGAGGATATGATATAATCAGGAACTTTGGATGAGGGTTTAAGATAAATGCTGGAATCCTAGATTCTTAACCTAGATATAGCTTTTTGGTTAAAAGAATGTGGCCTGGAGCGGAACATTACATTACAGGAGATTTGAAAGCCAAAGTCTCTTCCTACTGTGATTCTTTAAAGTGTCAAACTATCAGTACAGTCAATACCTGGGTAAACACTTTATTGAAACAACTTTTGTATATTCTTATTTTAAATTGAAGATTAGAAACTGCCTTATTCTGAAATATGAAAGGAAATATGGCTGTAAGGCTAGTTCAGTCTTTCCTCTTTAACCACCATAGAAATCTCTGAGTTTGGTTCCACATTCCTACAGAAAAATATGGCTAAATAGATTTTCAAGTTATGCCCATTATCTTTGGGGAGCTGGGATTGGAAACTGTTTATGAGTCAGATAAAAGAAAATGGATACACTTCAGGATGGCATGTGAAATAAAATTATATTACTATATTTATTGAATGCTGTGTGTATGAAAAACAGTGTTTAGCATTATAAAATCATATTGAAATGATTTTAATAGATAATAGACAAACTGTTATATTTCATGAAGACATTGTCATGGAAATATTGACGTTGCCAACACACGTAGCTCAATATTCCCACTGCTCTTATGAAATAGATTCTGCTCTTTCTCTCTGAACACCAACATGCGTTCTCAGTACAGAGACAGGTCACTCAAAACAGAAGGTGTATAGCTTCTCTTGGAGTTTTCCCAGGACAGTGCCCTCTGGTGCAATCTTTGGCTATGGAAGCATGAGCGAGTTCAATAGTGCAATAAACATTCTTCCCTTCCTCCACATCAGTGGCCCAAATACTAATTTGTCCAAGAAATTGCCTGCTGGTGCTGTAATTTCAACTCCCTCTTCAACTGGCAGAAAGGTATTCATGTCCACAAACAAATAAAAGAACAAGGACATATCTATTGAGACAGCTGAACACTAAACCTCTAATTGCTTAAAGTAATTTGGAAACATTTCTGGAATCATAATACCAAGAAGAACATGCCTTAAAGAAATTATTAAGTAAATAAGGACAATTTGAATTATTTCTACCTGATCTCATTTCTATTGGGCATTTACTAAGTATGTGAAGAATAACTCTCAAAGGCTAGGCAAGCCAGCTGTAAAGTAATAATCATTTCTTTTCTTAAGAAAATAAGGGTTAAATTAAATCAGAAAATAGTAGAAACAGCAATGAGAATAAAATGCTTTAGAATATTTATGAGAATTTCCTAGAATACTAATAACCTCAAAATTAATTCAAAGTTGAACATTTTTTTAAACTTTACCCTGATTAAAAAATAAAATTTTTCACTGACAAAGAAAAATAAAGCCTCAGTTAAAATTATTTCATTCCCACCTATCCTCTTTGTTCTCTCTTCTACCTTTAAAATTACTGAAGTTTATATCCCCAAATATATATAATATTTGCGGTACAATTTCCTTGCAATAATCACTTTCATTTTGTAGACTTTTTATGCTGTCTAGCTTAATTCAATTCTAATGCATTTCTCTTTTACCTAACAGTCTCAATATGTGTGATATAAACTCTGATTATCCCAGAGATTATAACATGCAGGATGGAAGAAGAATAAAAGGCAATACATATAGATAAATCTTTCAAGATTTGTGTTGGACGAGGAAACTAGTTTAGAGATTTTGTTTTTGTTTCTGTTTTGGCTACACTTTCCTTAAATTTCCTAAGGTGATATTATATATATTATATCTATATATAATATAGATATGATTTAGAGTTGTGCTTTTACGTTAAAATATGTAGAGTTATTCCATTCAATTTTCTGCTATTGAATATTTCTTAAAGACTCAGCATACATACTAGCATGAGACATACACTTCTTTTATTGGAAAACTTCAGTGAGAACACTGAAGGAGAACAGTGTTCAGAAGAACGCTGAACAATCTAGTAAAAAATTAGTTTCACTAGACACGGTATATAATCTGTCTATAAGTATTTAGCTTGCATACTGCTGTGATGGCATGATTAAAATATGACATAAAATTCAACTTATCAGATCTTTCATCGTTTATGATGTTTATCTAATATCTAGAAAAAAATCCCTTATGTATACTTGTGTTCATCACTGTGAAGATAATGTTACTTTAGTCCCTCTCAAATGCAATCAGGGAAGACTATGATTAGAAAAGTATCTCCATCAGGTCAGGCGCAGTGGCTCACACCTGTAATCCCAGCACTTTGTGAGGCCGAGGCAGGTGGATCATCTGAGATCAGGAGTTCAAGACCAGCCTGGACAACATAGGGAAACCTTGTTTTTCCTAAAAAAAAAAAAAAAGAAAAGAAAAGAAAGAAAGAATGGAAAAAAAATTAGCTGAGTGTGGTAGTGCACTCCTGTAATCCCAGCTACTTGGAGGCTGAGGCAGAAGAATTGCTTGAACCCGAGAGGTGGAGGTTGCAACAAGCCGAGATCGTGCTACTGCACTCAAGCCTGGGAGACAGAGGAGAGTCCATCTCAAAAAAAAAAAAAAAAAAAAAAAAAAAAAAAAAGAGAGAGAGAGAGAAATATCTCCATCAGTGTTAAATATTCGAATGCATTTTTGTGTACAAAATTATCTGCTATGTACAGATGAAAGTATTCTAAAGATACAGCAATCCATGGAGGGATGAAAGAACATAAGGCATTTATTATTGAAGCAACCAAAAGAGGGAAAGGGAAGTGGTGTTCAAAATTTAGTGTGCATCAGAATCACCAGGAAAGCTTGCTAAACATTCAAATTACTGAACTCTCCTACCTGGAAATAATTTGATATGCCTGGGATCCAGAGATCTGCATTTTAACAAATACTCCAGGAATTTCTGATGTATTTAATTTGGGGACCAAGCTTTCAGCCTAAGAAGGGTAATAAACTAAATTATTGGGTAAGTATTAAAGAGGGAGTTAGTGAAGCAGAGAACAGATGGGAAGGAAGTCATTAGCAATAAAGCCGGTGATCTTGTTTCCTATTTCACTGGAATAAGGGAAGCAACCAGAAAAGAATTCCCAAACATTCCACAGAACATATATCTATTCATTTGTACCTGTGACCCCATATCAAGTAAAATTTATCACTATGAGCAAATTGTGACCCTAGTTGAGACCAATCACTTCAACTGACCAGCAGAACCCATTCTCTCATCTACTGAAGATTCCAGAAATTCTTGCCTTTCTACAGCAGTACTACATTTACCTCTTTGTTCTCTGATCATTATCACATTAAGAAGTATTCCCATATTTCTCTCACTTTAAAACACACACACATGCACACACACACACACACACCCCTCTCCATTTCACTCTCCTCTTCAGTTGTCCTAGTTTTATTTATCTCTTTACAATAAAACCACCCCCAACAAATTGTTTCTGATCACTATTTTCAATTTTCCTACTTCCATATTTTCCTGGCCTCTCTCCAATCAGAATTTTCCCTTTTCCATCAAAACTGCTCATAAAAGATCACCAATTACCCCTATGTTGCTAAAACCAATGATCAATTCTGAGTTCCCATCTCACATGGTCTAATACTGGTATTTGAATTAGGTCATGCCTCTAAATCAGGTGTGTCCGATCTTTTGGCTTCCCTGGGCCACCTTGGAAGAAGAATTGTCTTGGGTCACACATAAAATACACTAACACTAATAATAGCTGATGAGCTAAACATAAATCACCAAAAAATTCTCATAGCGTTTTAAGAAAATTTATGAATTTGTGTTGTGCTGCATTCAAAGTCGTCCTGGGCTGCATGCGGGCTGTGGGCCATGGGTTGAACAAGCCTGCTCCAGATTCAATATCCCCCTCACTTGACTTCCAGGACATCAGAATAGCATTCCTCCGTAGGCTTCTTTGCTTCTTATCTTCCCATCCCTTTCCTTCTCCTCCCACCACCTGCCCCTATTTCCCTTCACTGCTTTATTTGATGTTTCATCAGTTCTCATAACTTTACGTACCATCTACAAGCAGATGATTCCCAAATGTACTCCAGCCAGACCATTTCTCATTAATGTCAGGTTCATATTCCCACAGTTATTGAATGTTCAATAAACACCTCAAATTTAACATTATCAAAAACAATATTGTAACCACTTGCTCTCTTCTCTACTAATGTACACTTACAGAGCCTTTCCCATCTCAGTAAAAGGCAACTCTATACCGCAAGCTACTTAGACAAAAAATCTTGAAGTCATTCTTGCCTTCTCTCTTTTTGTCATATTTCATATCTGGTTCGTTAGCAAATCCTTTGTCCCTATTTTTAAAATTTGTATATCCAGAATATCACCTCTTACTGCCTCTATTGCTAACATCCCAGTCTAAACCTCTCATATTTTTCTCCTGAGGCAACTGGAGTGATTCTATTTAATACACATTAAGGTCATGTCACTCATCTGTTCAAAACCCTAAGATCCCCATCTCACTCAGAGTAAAAGCCAAACCTTTATAATGCCCTTCAATGGAAATTTTTGTCAAGTAAATTCAATTCAAGCTATGATAAGTCAAGTCGAAGCATGTCAATCAATCCAAGCTGAGACAATTCTAGTCATGTCATGTCAGGACACAAGTTAAGACAAGACAGGTCATGTCAAGTCCTAGATGATCTCCCCACCCACTATTACTCTTTGATCTGTTTCCCTCCAATTCTTCGTCTCAGTAGGCGCCAACAACACTGGCCTCCATGCTATTCCAGAACTCCCCAATCATGATCTTTGCTAGTGCTGTTCTATGTGAAATGCTTCCCCTGGGAACCTTTATTACTTGCCCACTTACTGATTTTCCATCTTTACTCAAATGTCACCCCTTCAATCAGTCTTGCTTGTCTATTCTATGTAATACCGCAACGTAGCCTCACCAACACAGTCTGGCTTCTGTTTCTCATTTTTTGGCTTTGAATTCATAACTAATAACATAGAATTTACTTATTCCTCTTGTTTATTGTCTATAATTCCTCTCTCTCTCTCTCAAAATACAAAGTACCTAAATTTTTGTCTCACTTATTAACTACTGTGCTCCAGAGAAGTGCTTGGCACAAAGTGTGCATACAAAAAATAGTTCTTGAAAGATGGATGAATGGCATGAAGAGCACTGTCAAAACCTAAGTATTGGGATCTCCTCGAATCTGGATAAAAATCTTAGCTAATTCTTATCAGAAGGTGAAATGGCAGCTGATGGTGCAGTAACAATAAAGATGCAGTTGCACCGTACAGGCACCCTCCTCCCCCTCCACCCACCGCCTTCTTCCCTTTAGCTTGTATGCAACACTATCTAGTCCTTTGTAAATGAACATTTCTAAATACCTGGGGAGAGTTTTGGTGAAGTCAACATTTTTTATTACATGGAATATTTTCTAAATAATACATTTTAAACATGTAAGAGAAAATTCAATCAATTATAGACTTCCTCCTTTTCCCTCTCCCTACTTTAAAGATTGTTTTAGGTAAAACTATATGGCTCACAGAATATATTTGGGGCTTATCAGGACACAGGAATACTACTACTAAAATTATTATTTCTTGTAAGCCTTTGTAAGCTTGATGTGGCAATGCAAAAAATACACAAAAACCAGGCAAACTTTATTTTCTGAAGCATCAACTCCAGTTATAATTAGATTTCCAAAATTGGTTTTAATAAAATTAGGGCTGGGCCCATATCTGCAGGCTCTCTCCTTGTTCACAGCTATATGTCCAGGATCTAACAGAGTGCTTGATAAATAGAACTCTTCCTGTTTCTTACTGTCTCAATCTCTCTCTTCTCCCTCCCGCCCTTCTTCCTCCCCTCTCCCTCTCTCTCTCTCTGAGAGAAAGAATAACGGAATTAAATTGAATGATTAATCTCCAACTATACATGATACAATCGATTCAATTTTGGCATTGTTGCCTTAAAGGGTATCATTTAGGCCAACTTAAACTCAAACAAGATACAAAAGATTACAAAAACCAGGATAAAGATAATAAGGAGAGCCAATTCTATTTGTTCGTTTATAAAAGCCCATGTTAAGAGAACTGTTAGCCTTACTTTTATTTTTGAAATTCTTCAAATCAACCTACTAATAAGATAAATGTTCATACTTTGTTCTACTCATTGTGCTAGCCAATTTAGATACATTATTTACATTATTTAATTTACTTTTTTTTTTTTTTTTTTAAGATGGAGTCTCACTCTGTCATCCAGGCTGGAATGCAGTGGCCCTATCTCAGTTAACTGCAATCTCCACCTCCTGGGTTCAAGTGATTCTTCTGCCTCAGCCTCCTGAGTAGCTGAGACTACAGGAACACACCACCACATCCTGCTAATTTTTGTATTTATTTTATTTTTAGATGGAGTCTTGCTCTTGTTGCCCAGGCTGGAATGCAGTGACGCAATCTTGGCTCACTGCAACCTCTGCCTCCTAGGTTCAAGTGATTCTCCTGCCTCAGCCTCCAGAGTAGTTGGGATTACAGGTGCCCACCACCATGCCCAGCTAATTTTTATATTTTTAGTAGAGACGGGGTTTCATCATGTTGGCCATGCTGGTCTGAAACTCCTGACTTCAAGTGATCTGCCCGCCTTGGCCTCCCAAAATGCTGGGATTATGGGCATGAGCCACCCTTCTTGGCCTTATTTTAGTATTTTTGTAGAGACGGGGTTTCACCATGTTGGCCATGCTGGTCTCAAACTCCTGACCTCAAGTGATCCACCTGCCTTGGCCTCCCAAAGTGCTGAGATTACGGGAATAAGCCACCGTGCCTGGCCTATTTATTTTACTTTAAAGAGAAGTCCTATGACCTGGAAATTTCTCTGACCCATATAATTCAAACTGCTTATCAGAAGTCTATATATGTCACACGCATTAAGCCCTGTAGAGTCATGGAATATTATCCTTGAGACAGATTTTAGTGGATTTTCATTGTTTCATTTTTTTCTTAAGAAACATTACTCTTTCCTGCTAAATGCAT
This sequence comes from Homo sapiens, assembly GCF_000001405.40. Taxonomy (NCBI): domain Eukaryota; kingdom Metazoa; phylum Chordata; class Mammalia; order Primates; family Hominidae; genus Homo; species Homo sapiens. The sequence continues at coordinate 79,314,612 of NC_000007.14, forward strand.
TGCAGTCTTCCTCCTGAGGATCAATTTTTCTCACACTCCTAGTCCTTGGTCTTCTGATGAGATAGTTCTAAGTCAACCAACATGGCTCATTTTCCTGAGTATAGTGAGAGGTTTAGAGATGTACATGTGACCAATCAAACTACATAAGATAAACTGTGACTTTTATTGGGACATAGAAAAAGAAAATTTTGCTGTTCTCTTATGCACTCAAATCAGAAAAGTTTTAGCTATGGGACCTCTTGGTAGAATTTTGGAGCCAGGTAGAGAGAAGTGCCCTAAAATGAAACTCAGATAAGGAAATGAAATGTACATGAACAAACTGGGCTCTAATTATATCACTGGAAATTTAAACAAAGCCTAGCCAATCCCTGGACTGCTCTCTTATGTGACATAATAAATCACTTATTGTTTAGGCTGGTTTGAGCTGGATTTTCTATCACATGCAATGCAAAGTTTACTAAGTGATACAAAATTCTTCACATTTGCAACTCTACGAATATCATTTTAAAAATGCGATTTTGTTCATAACAGTAGTATAAACTAGATTTAACTCTTTTTTTTTTTTTTAAGGTGAAGTCTCGCTGTTTTCCAAGCTAGAGTGCAGTGGCATGATCTCGGCTCACTGCAACCTACACCTCTTGGGTTCAAGCAATTCTCCTGCCTCAGCCTCCAGAGTAGCTGGGATTACAGGCATGTGCAACCATGCCCAGTTAATTTTTTTTTTTTTTTTTTTTTGTATTTTTAGTAGAGACGGGGTTTCACCACATTGGCCAGGTTGGTCTTGAACTCCTGACCTCAGGTGATCCACCCGCCTCAGCCCTCCAAAGTGTTAGGATTATAGGTGTGAGCCACTGTGCCCAGCCTAATTCGTTTTTTTTAAAGTAATGATCTGACCCACCAAATTTCCACCAGTAGATATTCAACGTTAGATAATTTGGTGGGTAAAATTTGGATGCATGTTTACAAGTTCAAATGATATGACAACGTACCACAGCTGTATCATAAATCCTGTATCTATTTCTTAATTTGAAGCAGCATTCAAGTATAAGCAGGATGCCCACAGGAATGTATTGAGGCTGGGGGAGGGAAAGGAGATATTGTTAATGGTGGTAGAGCATAAAGTCCAGTAACTCTGGGCAAAAGCAGAGAGATGAAAAGAGGAGGCAGGAATGGAGTCAAGACTGGGTGGAGACCTGAGATGAGGAGACAAAGTTGAAATTTGACAGGGAACTGTGATTTTTGCTATGGGCAAAAGATATGTAGTAGAGTTTCTAAAATGAAGGAGGAGTGGGAAAGGAGCTAAGTTGGACCATTCCAGTGTAGGAGGCAGGTCAAGGCTGAGAAGCTACTAAATAGTTACATGGCCCTGGGCAAGTTATTTAACTCCTGTGAGCCTTGATTTCCTCAACCATAAAATGAGAATCATAACACTCAGCACACAGGGTAATTGTGAGGATTAAATGTAAATATAACGTAAGCCTCAAAATTCAAAAAGGATGGGGGGCCAGGTCAAGGCTGAGAAGGAAGAGACTTGAGGGCAATGTATGGTAGTTAGATGGATGTCTCCTACTTTGACTTTTGGCAAATTCTTCCCATCTTTTCAATGTCTTTCTCTTATTTCATCATCATTTCAAACTTTAATTTCTACCACCACCACCCCCCCACTCCAAGTTACTCTTTGTTTTTCTCTGTCACTTTCAAATAAATGATATTTTATAGAATAGGAATAACAACACCAGTATTAATATTTAAATAGTGCATCCTAGTTTATAAAATAGTTTCATATCCACAGTTTCATGTCGCCCACTGAAAAATATATGCTATTTTATATATATACACACACATATATGTGCACATGTATATGTATACATATGTATATATTCATACGCACATACATATGCATTTCTGTATTTGAAGAAACTTTTTAGCTTTGTTCTTACAAAGAAGCTAAGTTTGTCAGTATTTTTTCAGTCTTGAGAAGATTTTGATTTTCTTATTCGGAAGGTCAATAACCTTGATTCATTTTCTTATCCTGTCCCTCCATCCTCTTCTAATTTTGAGACTAATGTTGTATCAGACCAATTCCGTCTCTTTTAACAGAATTATGGGTTACACAGTAAGGAAAGAAGGTAACTAACATTTATTAAGTGCAAATTATGTGGTGGGCACTCTGCAAAGTCCTTTATATCCACATTTAATCCTCACAGTTATCCTGTGTGGTGAGTCTTATGATTCTCATTTTATGGATGAGGAAATCAAGGCTCACGGAAGTTAAATAACTTGCCCAGGGCCAGGTAGCTATTTAGTAGCAGAGCTGGATCCAGGAGCCCATGTTCTTTCTACTATAATAAATTACATTTCTAAGTTAATGTAGAAAAAAAAATGTAGGGTTTTTTTTTTTCTTTTTCTTTTTTTTTTTTTTTTTTTTGAGGCAGAGTTTCTCTCTTGTTGCCCAGGCTGGAGTGCAATGGCATGATCTCGGCTCACTGCAACTTCTGCCTCCCCGGTTCAAGCTATTCTCCTGTCTCAGCCTCCTGAGTAGCTAGGATTACAGGCATGTGCCACTAATCCCGGCTAATTTTTTGTATTTTTAGTAGAGACGGGTTTTCACCTTATTGGTCAGGCTGGTCTTGAACGCCTGACCTCAGGTGATCTGCCTGCCTCGGCCTCCCAAAGTGTTGGGATTACAGGCATGAGCCTGCACGCCCAGCCAAACTGTAGCTTTTAGAAAGGCTTCTGATTTCCCCTCATATGTTATTGTCAAAAATTGAGATGCCAAACTGAAGTCAGAGTATATAATGCACTGACTGTCCAATAGAATACACTGAGCCACAAATGCAAGCCAAAGGTGCATTTCGTAAAAATCTTAGTAACGTGTTCCAAAATAAAAACATACAGGTGAAGTTAATATTAATAATACCTTATATTTCATCAGGGATATCAAAGTAATCATTTCAACATGTAATCGATATAAAAATTTCAATGGATTCTTTACATTCTATTTTTTCATACTGAGTCTTTGAAATCCAGTATAAATGTTACACTCACAGCCCAATTCACGCAAGCTACATTTGAAGTGCTCAATAGCTATATGGCCACTGGCTCTCATACTGGACAGCACAGGTGTATATAGGCCTTAATAGACCCAATACTGCCTCATTTCCTTCGCTTGCCATGAAGGCTTCTTGGGGAGTACTGTGAACTCAATGACTCATCCTCCTTTGCATTTGTTTACTTAACTGGAATGTGCCTGGTTTCAGCCAGCAGCATGTCAGTTCAGTTAAGATGACACATTTTCTCCTGGCTTCCTAATTCTCCAGCTTTTGCTGTACTTAACCTCTTTGCTGCTCTTTGACCAGTATTGATCACTCCCTCTGCCTCAAAACTCTTCCCTCTGGATTTCTGTGAATTCACTCCATCTCCATGATTCTACTTAGACTCCTCCCCTCTTACACCGAAAAGGTAGCCCACAGCCACCTTCTTTTTGCTCTCTTTTCTGGGATTGCTAAACTTCACCTATCATCTATACACTGAGGAAAGCAAAATCAAATGCCCTCCAGACCTTTGACATAAAATCACCTCTATATATTCAGGTGCCAAAAGTTCATTTGGATACATAGTTAAAACATCATTTATAAAATGTCAACACCACAACACACACCACTTCATATTAATCATCAGTAGGTTGAGGAAACATTTATTTTCTTAAAAAAAGGTGCTGGCCAAGTGGGTTATAATTTATTTGTCTCATTAAGTAAATTGAAAAAATTAAGAAAAGGAAAGCCATAAAAAACACAATGTAAGTTGATTGATAGATAAATGGAATAAAATTCCTTTTGTGGAATTACATCTGTCTCAAAGTGAAATAATGGCCATCCTTTTGAATTCTATATTTTCTGTAAGTTTGACTACTATCAGCAATACTACCATCCAAGGAATGTGACAATAAATTCTGAATAACTATACTTATCAAATTTTTACTCCGACCTAATATATTAGGCATGTGTTAAAAACTGCAGAGTGAAGAAAACAAATACAACAGAGTATTTATGGATTCTCTTGTACTACGTATTAGTTTTCAGACTCCTTTAGTATAATATTTGCTTTTGCACAGGAAACAAAGACCATTTCTCACACGACGTTGAAAAAATAATTAAACAAATTTGCTGTAGTTTTTCTCTTTTTCCAGTAAGTTTTCCTTCCATCTTTAATTCTACTTACCATCAGTTCAAGCACACTACTGCTGCTCATGGGGTACACTCTCTCTGTATATGAATTACAGTAAGAGAGCTGGGTCATCATCATTTCCCCATATCCCATTAAGTATTTGCATTATAAATATGCATTAAATAGACTTTTTTGCTTGGGAGCTGCTATTCGCAACCTCTTTTTTGCCACTGTATCTCAGATTTACTATATGAAAGGGTTCTTAAAGCGAGATGTGAATCTATTGGTATCTCAGCGTCTGCAGTCAATCTCTGATTTTTGAGGCTAGTTTTAGAATATTTATTCAACTTTCTTTCCTGACTTTCCTGCATTTGACTATCTACCCTCAGTTTACAGACAGGTAAGTTTGGGATGTTTGCCACCATTTTTCCTTCATACACATCCAGACTCATAAAGTCACCTAGAAAGAGGACACTAACACATACAAATGCTTGAGTGAATATAGTGCAGTGTAATGCAATAAACACCCTGTAATTTCTATGGCATGACTATTTCAGATGCTTGCTTTTCATGCTAATTGTCTTTCAATATCCAGTTTTACTTCTTCTTTAGTAATAGAATCCTGGACAATGTGTTCTGCTAAGAAGCTCCCAGCCTCACCTTCATAGTTGGCTATGGTCATGTAACTAAGTCTGGCCAATCACATTTAAGCAGAAGTATGTATGTGTCTATGGGAAATTCTTAAAAGGGAGTAGCGAGCACAGCCTTGAATGTTGACATAATAGGTGGAACTCTAGTCATCATCTCAACCCTTGAATTTGGAAAGCCCAAGCTAAGAATGACAAAGCAGAAAATATGAGCCATGATAACATAGTTAAGTGGTCATAGGAGGCCTGTACAGCCTACTTATGAATTCCTTTTCTGTTAGGGACAAATAAACTTCTACCATCTTAAAACTAATTTTATTTTGCTCTTCCTGTTAAATGAAGTCCCATCTAAGCCTAACTGGTACACACACCATAAATGGCTTCCTGAAACCTAGCGGTGCCAGATTTCAAGGAGATAGACATGATTGACCCACGTTTCCCAGGAAGATTCATAATCATAATGTTTTCATCACCTAAAATTTAGTCTCAAGTGTTATTTGTTAGTATTATATTTGCCTGTGTACTTTGCAAAGGGCATGACTGACTACTTGACTGCATTTTCAAATGCATAGGTTAAGTAACAGAATTGATTGGTGTTTTTCCTTCTTTGTGCTACTGAGGAAATTCAGTGGTATGTCTTGGACATTCCTGGTGCTGACTGTTACATATTCTAAATGATTATCAGATCACAATCCCAGTAATTATTTAATAAATCTGTATTTCTTATTGCTTTAGAGAGTAAAAGAATGTTACTTTATAGTACTATGATTTCCCATATATACAAAAAATCCCTGATATACAAATAACACACACACACAAAGAATACACATAATTGCTATATTTTTAATAAAATATATGGGATCTAGCAATATTTGAGAGCAATTCTAAAATCAAAGTCGCAAAGAAAGCAATATATTAAAAATCCATGTAGAATTATTAATCTAATTTTCTACAACCATAGTTTTTAAGACAATTTTCTGTGGTATGAATATTTCTCCAATTTGCCCTTCATAGGTGTAACATATGAATGTTTAAAAGTTGTTTTATAAGGTGTTGAAATTTGTATTTTAGATTTCTTGTGTGACCAATTTATCATATTTGTTTATATCTACAGCCATATATATGTTTTAAGTAATCTTGAGAAACTTCAATAATCAATGATTATTCTTTCAAGTTAAGTTAAAACAAATTAGGTCATAGAACAATAGATGGAGCTAATGCCTGTTTTAAAACAGTAGCATTTTTGCATAGATATTTTGGAAGCTGACTTGGATCTATTGCTTTATTTATTCTTTATTTTTTTAATTTCAAATGTTGCAGGCCAAATATCATGTATCCATATGTTGATGACTTCTTACACATCACAAAATAGGGAACTATGCACATCAAAGCCAAAGTTACTGCTGGATTCATGTAATAAGTTACTACAGACCCAAGGCATTTCAAAATTGAAGAAAACCCACTAAAAATTCTTTCTTGTGGGTTTCAAAGTTCTTATAACAAAAACTGCTTTGAAACATGCTGGGAGAAGGACTGAAATACCACACACATAACCTGTTCAGAATTGTATACTGTGGGCAGATTACCAACTGCTGTGAGTATATTTACTGGGAGTCATTATTGAATTTCTGTCATTAGATGGACATAATTTGGATAACAATATGCAGTACTATGGTCCTTTTTACATTTGCATTACTAAAGCTGTTCATTTATTTGTAGTAAGTGAGATGTTTTATATTCACTTAATAACACTGTTAATAAGTGAAAATAGATTTACAATTTAACAGATACATTTACATTTTACTAATTTTTCATTTCATAGCAAGAACCTACTTTCAATGTTTGACCACTAGGGCCTTGGTTTTTCAAAGAAAATTACAAAAAGAAATGTGACCTGTAAATTTATTAACTTTTTTTAGTGCTTTGACATAATTTAATATTCAATCTTTAGACATAGCCATATATCCATGTTCCTTAAAAGTAAAAGATGAGGTCGTCTAATATTTAATAAAACTTGCTGATTCCCTCAAGTAGATCCAACCACGTTAACATTCTCACAGAACACGTTGGAAAGTAGTGTCTACTGACAAAAGATAAAATAGGACAAAAAGGCAGTGCTTCCATAACAGAACACCTTATGTGAGAGAACAAATTTTTTTCTTTCTATAAATTTGTTTGCTTTCAGTTAAGAGCCTGGGTACCATGGTGATTATATAATAGGAACATGTACCAAATTAGCTACAATGCTTATTAGTTGTCCTTTTTCAATAAGTGTTGTTGGAGACTAGAACAAAGTGATATAACTGAAAACTCACAAGAAAAATACAATCTGTAAGAATGAACTAGAGAGCTAACATTTCCTGAATGCCTACTATGTGCTAGCCAGTGGACTAGGCAATGACCTACATTTCTCATTTAAGTTACTATTGTTGGAAATAGTGTGCCCAATTATCAGTGGAGACTGACTTTAATCTCTTAGGTGGCTCTAATGTGGTTACTGAGTCTCACAGCCTTACTCGAATGCAAGTCCTTGATCAGAGAGCAATGGGATGAGATTATGAATTTTCAAAACAGTGGCAATAAAAGCCTGAAGAAGTCTGCAGAGGGGACCTAGAGTACCTATTTTAGTTCATAGTCATTTAGTAATTTTTTTCAATAGAAAAAAAATTAAAGGCATAGAAGCATTTACCTTCTTCATAGCAGCATAAAAAAGTAGCTGGTTCAAATCATCCTCATTTAGAGAACAAGGACCTTTGAGATCACTCAGTCCATAGTTTTCCAATTTTGCAAATAATTAAAGTAAGGTACAGAGAGATTACAAGAATCACATAATTGTTAGTTATAGAGACAAGAGCAAAAACCAGCTTCCATGTTTTCCCTCTTGTCAATGTCCTGAAGTGCCACTAGTCACCTAGAAACATTGATCTATTGACTTTAAATCTTCAGAAAGCCAGTGTAGCAGAAGTTAGGAGTCCAGACTCTGAAGCCAGACTGTCTAGGTCCAAATGCAACTGTTGCCACTGTGTGATCTTGGGCAAGCTATTTAAACTCCCTGTCAAGCAATTGTCTCATCAGATTGCCACAATAATGAAAAAAAAAAATTAGGGCTTAGCACTTTGGGAGGCCAAGGTGGGCAGATCACCTGAGGTCGGGAGTTTGAGACCAGCCTGGTCAACATGGTGAAACCCGTCTCTACTAAAAATACAAAAATTAGCCGGGCCATAGTTGTGCACGCCTGTAGTCCCAGCTACTCAGCAGACTGAGGCATGAGAATCGCTTGAACCCGGGAGGCAGAGGTTGCGGTGAGCTGAGATCATGCCACTGTCATTCTGGGTGAGAAAGTGAGACTGTCTCAAAAAAAAAAAAAAGAAAAAGAAAAAGAAAAAGAAGTCCTATGTGGATGAAATGACTTTATATTTGTTAAACACTTAAAATTGTGCATTAAGTGTTACCAATTGATTTTTGCCCAGGTTGGAGTGCAGTTCAGGCTGGAGCCTCTAACTCCTAGGCTCAAGTTATTCTCCCACCTCAGCTTCCCAAGTAGCTGGGACTGCACGCATGCACCATTACTCCTCAGCTTATTTTTAATTTTTGTAGTGACAGGGTCTCACTATGTTGTACATGCTAGTCTCAAACTCTTGGGCTCAAGCAATCCTCCCACCTCGGCCTCCCAAAGTGCTGGGATTGAGCCACTGTGCCTGGCCCCAGTTAGCTTTTAAATGACGTCCTCCTTCATTCACTTACACAACAACAATTTTGAGCTCCTACTGTATACCAAGTATTGAGGGCACAAGTATGAAGAACAGGACCACATCCTCCCCTCTCCTCAATGAACTTACAGTCAAATGGAAGATAAAAATAAGTAATCAGACATTCAGATTGCATGATATTCTATGACAAGGTGGTAGAAAATGATACTAGAATATCTAGGGGAAATAATTAACCCAAATTTGAGACTTCAGGAGCAATGTCTTACAGAAAGCACCTAGAAGTATGGAGCAGTTTAATGTGAGAGGCGAGGGCAGAGTGTTCTAGTTAGGGCCGGCAGTGGGTGTGAAGACCAGCTGGAATGATCGTGGATCTGGAGAGACCAGTTGTGGATTGTGAGAGTGGAAAGAAAGGAGACAAGAGTGGTGAGTAGAGTCCAGAGAGGAGTTTATGAGCCGCATGGCAGAAATTAAAACATTCAGAAAGAAATGGAGAGCCCCTGAAGGATATAAATGGGAAAATGATACAAACTTTGCATTTTAGAAAACTCACGTAAGCTAGGGTAGGAAAAAGGGGTTAGAAGTGGGTAAGATGGAGGCAAGGAAACTCAAAAGCCAATTGGTACAGTTTCAGGTGAGAAATGATGAATGACCAGACAGCTCAAAGGTGTATATGGGAGCCTTGTTTTCTAATGGAGCACATGTGATAATCCCTGGACAGCAAGAGAATACCTGGGGTAGACCTAAGCTTTCCCTTAGTGAAGAGGCCTCTGCTTAACACCACCATGTGGATCAGTTTTAAACACAAGAATGGGGCATCTAGCCTCCTGGGGATGCTCCTGGGAAGCTAGAGACAAACTACCTGGACTCTGATACCTTGAGATTAGATTCTGGCTCCACTACTTCCTCTGGTATGTGATTTAGGGCAAATCCTCTTACAGCAAAGCACTGTTATTATTTCATATTTAAAAAGGAGATAATAGTACCTATTTTATAGTGCTAAACGAAACAATGCATGTAAAGATCTTTTTCAATTTTTCAAATTTTTATTATTTTCTCTTCTATTTTTATTTAATTACAAGGGTCATGCTAATCTCTGTTTTGTTCCAATTTTAGTGTATGTGCTGCTGAAGCTAGCACTATGTAAGGTCTGTGCCTAGCATGTATTAAATATTCAATAAAACTTAGGTCTTACATTAAATGTTTCAATTTATGTATGTATGTATGTGTGTGTATGTATATATATACAGTGTGTATGTATATATATATACACACAACGTATCTATCTATAACCATATATATATAACCATATATATATGGTTATAGATAGATACGTTGTGTGTGTATATATACATATATATACATATATACACATATAACCATATATATACACCATATATATATAACCATATATATACATATATACACATATAACCATATATATACACCATATATATATAACAATATATATATAAAAAATATATATAATATATATATTATATATATATAAAATATATATATATTATATATATATAAAATATATATATATTATATATATATAAAATATATATATATTATATATGTATATAAAATATATATATATTATATATATATATATATAGTTTTCAGGATGTCAAGTTTCCAAAGCAGTGATCCTCATTTTTAAAAAAGTCAGGGAAAACCTTAGCATCTTCAGGTTACAAGTCTACTCGTCCTTCAGAGTACAACAAAATGCCTTTTCAGTATACAAAGAAACAAACAAAAGAAATTCCACTCAGGATAACTTATATAAAATAGGAAAATTTGCATTTTTCAGCTCTTCCCACATTCGCACATTATTTCCATCATAACCTCTTAAATATTTTCTTGTATCTAAGGTGTAGCTTGGTCTATAAGATGAGAGACAAATAACTAAATGTATTATTACTCTTATTTTCCCTTCCTAATTACAAAACATAAATACGTCCTGGGAATCTTCAGCAACTTCAGATGCTAAGCAGTCTCTCTGCCTCCAGTAACTTCTAGCAGGATGCTGTCCATCCAACATCCTTGACCATCCTTTCTACAACATAGACTTTAGCATGCCACTGTCGCCCAGCCCCTAACCCTCCACTCCCACCATCTTACCAGTCCCTAAACATAAACTGTGTGTTATCGTAACCCTCCCTTTGCTCATGCTCGTGCCTGGAATGTCCTTCTTGAGACTTTCTGAAATTTCTATAGAAAGTGTGGAGAAGCAAGTTTCTAAAGATGCCAGTCCTAGGAAACCAGCTGCATTTACTCTATTTCTTCTAGAGTATTTCTAGATATACTCTAGAATGAGTATTTCTCAAATCACAACAACAGACTTTTATGATAAAACCAATAGGTGTATCAGTTATGGTGCAAAGCATGAGAGATAGGTATAAAGAAGAGTTAACTGTTGCTTTCAAGTTGTCCATATTCTAAGGGGAGAAAGCAGATCCATAGAGCTTCATTTATTACAATGTGAAAAGTGCTACAGCAGCAGATGCACCAAACATTGTGAGAAAAAACATGAAAGAGTTATTAATTCCACTCGGAGGGTGTAATGAAATCCTCATAAAAGTCCATTTTGGAACCGGTAGTTTATTTGGTTTGCATGTGTATAAAATGGGAATCCTCCAAATACGCATTCACAAGGAAGGCAACATTCATAGGAAGGCATTATTTTTAAAGGCCATTAAAGTCTCTGTTTGAGATAAAAACTGCTGATACTACACCTGATACCACTATTATCATTATTGTGAAAACTCAACAACATGATAATTAACCACATTGAGTGCTGGGAATAGGGGGGTTCTGCACTTCAACTCGTGAACATTTGACCATCTCCCCAAACTTCCTCCAATTGTGAATCACCCCCAAATAAGCACCGAATAAGAAATTACCAAATGCACAAAAACATTCACACACACATACACACACTTGGAAGTTAGTTTCTTAAATGTTAAATGTTTTAATACATACAAAACATTTACTACACTGTGGAACCAAGTGGTGCCTTTCCTTCAAAGATGGTGAACAAAGTATATAGACCAGAAAGAACAAAGAACAAAAAACTATGGATCTTAATTATTAAAGCACGGCTTCTAGATTTTTAAAATATGACGCTTGCATGGTCAGTTCTACAGGTTTTCAAACAATTATAATCATTGTTCATAACCATAATTATAAACCTGGCTTAAGAAAAAAACTAGACTACCACATTAGGATTGTTAACTTAGCTCAGGTTACACTATGATATTATTAGCTTTTATTCTAGGCTTTCCCTCCCTAGGGTTGAAACTGTGTAAGAAAAAATAAGTAAAGGAGCCTATATTTTGATGTTTTAAAACGTCATTAATTGCTATGTGCTATCTTGTAAGGGAAGAAAAGTATTTTTAAGAAGACCTATGAAAGGTATACTCCCAAAAGCATAAATTATGTTGTAGTGATAATACGCCTTGGAAACCTCTTAGTAAAAATATTAGTCATTCAGAGCAAATTGAGTTCAGTGTCAGTGATACATTTTTTTTTTTTTCAGATACTATGTATCCTGTTTTCCTTTAGTTACTGAAAAGTACAGGGCCACATTTAAAAGCAAAATCTCTCCTGACATCTTAGCACAACCAATAATGAAATGGAGCAACTGAGAATTTAGCTGCTGGGACAGATGTTCAAGATCAGAATGGCAACTCCCTCGTGCACCAAGTCCTCTTTTCGGCATGATGACGATAAATACTAGGATCTTAACAATTCACAGAGCTCACTGGATTTACATTCAGACACCAAACTTCTGAGAGAAGACGAAAGAAGATGTTTTCACTCTAAAACCACAATCATGAGTTCAGGGTCTTTTCACATTTTCAGAAATCTGAGGCAGGTAAAGTAGAACTATAAAAGGAAAATCATTTTACATGATATTAAGAAACAGTGCAGACTCTGGAGCCATACTTGGTGGGTTTGAATCCTGCTTTCAACTCTTCTCATCTGTGTGACCTGGGGTAAACTGCTGACCAGCTGAAGGCCTCAATTTTTGGTCTGTAAGAGTATGCACGTCAAAAGATAGTAATGACGATTAACGTTTAGACAGCTCCTGGCCATAGGGTAAATGCCATAAACGTGTTTGATAGTATTCTTCTGAGGATTTGGTCACAGGTATGAATATGGGTAGCATATAAACTCTTCTCTTAGAAATATTTTCTCAAAGATGGTGTTTGTAAGAAATGCTTATAGACAGAGTAGATGAAGTGCCCCTGAGACGAGATAGCGAGATTGCTCAGGACACACAGGTTCCACTCAGATGGCTGTTCTTTCTCTTCCCTTTACCTGGTAAAGGGAAATCCTGACACATAAGAACAAGGTCTAACCTGTTTAGGAACACTAACAGTTATATGTATCGCAAAATAAAATCATGACAGGATTATGGTTACATAATGATACAAAGGCAAACCACAACTGTCAGTTGCAGTCAAAGAGTTTTTTCAGAAGCGTCCTCATATGCTGCCTAAAGGAATACTATATGGGTAATGTCTCTCTCTCTATTTCACACACACACACACTCACTCACACTCACACACACCTTTTTGTCATATAATAAACACAACACACTCTTTAGATGGAATTTGTAAAACACAGTCAAATGCAAAGAGAAAGTAATAATTTATAATGCAGAAAAATCTACTGTTAATGTTTGGTATATTTTTTTCCAAGCATTTTCTTCTGTATGCTTAGAGTTAGAAAGTTGAAACAAAGTTTTGGTTTTGGTATTTTTAAACTTGTATCAAATATTCACTTATATCTTTAAGTTACCTTATAAATTATGATTTCAATAATTAAATGGTATGAAAATTTCAATATATATCATAACTTATTTAACTGGCCGTCCTCTGAGATGTTTCAACTACATTTCAGTAGTTTGTTATTTAAACCAATACTATCAAAAATATCAATGTGTAACTATCTTGCACATCTTTATTTCAATTTCTATAAATTGACCACAAGGAAATTTTGCCAACATGATGGGTAAGTTATAGCTTCTACATTATTAATAATCAAATAGATGCAAATTAAAACAATAAACTTGAATACTGTTTTTCATAGGTTCATATAGTTTTAGTTTCCATGATTGAATTTTGCTAAATACCTATGTCTTACTTATCTTTCCTGTAATATCAAGAATATCCTCCTGTCCAAAGACCCATGGATGTCAGTGGCCCAACCTTAGTGCTATCAATGGTCAGAACCATCTTTGTCACCCTCTTCAGACTTGGACACAGAAGGAAGACAAATAGGAAAATATTTATAACTACCAATTATGCACTAAGATTAGGAAGAGGGAAAGAAGAATTTTGGTGAAGTAAGCATAGGGATCAAAAGAAATATGCAATAAAATTGAAGACATATTATGTACATTAAAGCAAAATAACATCAAATGCAAATTCAGCTCCACAGACACTGGAGTCATTTCTTTTTCTCTGTTGCATGCAAGCCCCTACTGCATAATAAGTGCTCAATAAATATGTGTTGAAGGAATATTAAAATGTAATGCAAACAGCAGCCTAGGTTGAGAGTGATCTTAGAATTGGTATTAATATTTAGCCAGAGTTAACATTTTCCTTTTTGAATAGAAATAGCTTAGTTTTCTTCTCTCTCTCTCTATTTTTCTTGTGCTTAAACCATCCAGAACACTGGTTGGCACGTAATTTCTATGTAGTTATAATTATCTCTTTCTCTGTAAATGGAAAAGCAGAAGTTTAATTGATTGTATCGCTGGTTCTCAAACTCATGATGGTTTAGCATCTTTAGCACCAATTAGGAATTTGCAGAAATACAAATGTGGGGGCCCTACTGCGGATCTACTGAATTAGAAACTCTAAGGGTGAAACCCAGCAATCTGTATGTTTAAAGAGTCCTAAAGATGATTCTGGTGATAAGATTTCAGAACCACTGATATAATCCAGGGCTATTCTCCTTCCAACATACTACATAGTCACACACTGGGTTAGCCCATTTTCTAGGACACAGAGGAAAAGTGGAGATGAGGTAAGAAACTTATAGTTTGAGAATCACCATTTCATCACTCTACAGATCAATATTTTCCATCCAGAAAAGGCAACCATGCATTAAAAGCATCTCAATTCACAACACAGTAACATTATAGTGCCTGCTTTTTCACATTAAAAATGACTGTTTTTAAAGATAAACATTGTAACACGTAATAATTTGTTTTATTGCCTTAGAAAATATTTAGAATTATAATTATTTAGCACATGACTGTTTACAATAGAGTTATTAAATAAAAGGAAGTATATGTGTATAATATTTAAACATTGCCAAGGCAAAGTAAAATAATACAACATAGTATGACTTCTTAGTATGGTTACTATTGATTATAAAGATGGCTGGAAGAAGCCATCCGTATTACTTTGACTGCATAATGTTCACATTAGTAGCCACATATAGAATCAGTGTCAGTTTTAATACTGGCAATATAATTACGAGATTAGATTTCTGTTCTCCCTGACAAAGCCATTTTTAGATCCCGTCAACCAAATCCTCTGGGCTCCATGGAGACATGTGCTACATAAATACAAAGCATTATTTTTGCTCATATCACGTTATTGTGGAGATTGGTAAATGGAGGAGCACTATATCAAATATTAATAGTTTTTAAGCATTGAAAGCTGTTTTACACCATAATAAACAGCAATCTAGCAAATTGAAAACCAAGATAGAAGGTCATCTTTCACTTAATAGTTCTGAATTCCAACCCGGTTATTCTAGAGAAAGATGCTTCTCTTTATAAAAGACTAAACTTATGCAAAGACCTACAGCTGCTAAATATAGGATTGATTTTAAAAATATCCAAAACTAATAAAGCACCACCCTAATAGATGGGCTTTAGCAGATACTCCAAGTATAGTTGCATATTAAAACCTAGACCATTATCCAAATAGGAAGAAAGGAAACAAACTAAACGTGCCATGAAGAATGATCAAATACCTCTTGCCTCACTATAGCACATCAGTAACAAACAATCTGCATCTTTTTTTTTTTTTTTTTTTTTTTTTTTTTTTTAGAAGGAGTCTCGCTCTGTTCCCCAGGCTGGAGTGCAGTGGTGCGATCTCGGCTCACTGCAAGCTCCGCCTTCCAGGTTCATGCCATTCTTCTGCCTTAGCCTCCCAAATAGCTGGGACTACAGGCACCTGCCACCACGCCCGGCTAATTTTTTTTGTATTTTTAGTAGAGACGAGATTTCATCGTTTTAGCCAGGATGGTCTTGATCTCCTGACCTCGTGATCCGCCTGCCTCAGCCTCCGAAAATGCTGGGATTACAGGCATGAGCCACTGCGCCCGGCCCAAATAATCTGCATCTTATTCCTCCTTAAAAGAGAGAGTCACTTTATACTGAGGATTGCTTTCTTAGTCGATGCTGATTTATTTAAGTTTTTTGTAAATGGTGGTCAGTAGTAGTTACATGTATGGGTCTTGAGTCAAGGTTTTACATTACACTCTTTATTTAGCACTCATTTTTTTTAGGTGAGTTACTGGTTGAAGCCTCACTTTTCTCATACACTAAGTGGAAATTTTATGGCCAAAGATTGTTGTGAGGATTAAATTATACATAATATATAATAACATATTAAACATAATAATTTTAGGAGTATCTGGCAGAGTATAAATATGCAATACAAGTTGCTATTATTAAAACATAATCTGAATTTAAATGAATAACAATTTATATTTCAAATAAATTCCTTAAGCCTACTTCTACCCTATTTTATTTGATGTTGTTATTTAGACATTCCTTCACGACAATTTACTCTGGGGTGAATACAACTGGGACATTAATTCATTCTTTAATTATTTTTCAATTATTAGTACTACAGAGTATTTGTTTTGCTGTCTATTAAGAGCTGCCACTCACACAAACTGGGAATGGTTTGGCAGTAGGTCTAGAGGATGTGAGTGCGTACTTGAATTTCAAAATAAAAGATAATTCTATTTATTAGAAGTTCTTATCCTTTCCATTTTCAGGCTTTTGCAGAGAAAACACAGAATTACTAAATTTAAAGGCTTTGTGGTCCAGCTAAAGTTATTTATATGCCTCGATGTATTGTTAATGAGTCCATAATATGCAAAGTTTCACCAGTTGTAAAAATAATTATATATATTATGCATTTTTATGTATTCCATGTATTATTTCAGGAAAACTGTCAACCTCAGATACTAGTAATAGTTGGAAATTTGAATTGAAATGTCAATAAAAACATTTGTACATATCACATTTAACTAAAATACCAACGTAGACATTTGGGAATATATAGTTACATGGGAACTATAGGTATTAACTTATTTTATATAGATTAACTCCCACACATTGACTATTACATATAGATTGCATATTAAGGGTCTATTTACAGACCAGAAAGACCAAAATGTTTGCCTCAAAATAGTCATAACCATAATGCAAGTATACTTAAGAAAACTGTAGAAATGCAATGATTGGCCTCACAATGATTCATGGATCTTTTGATTTTGCCATTTGGAAGGCAACTTAGTCTAGTGCCATTTCTATATGACAGAAGCACGTTTTCTTCAGTATTCTCCTTGGAAATTGGTCATGTAGTAGTATAAAAGGTCAACTAGTAATTTTTTAAAAAGGTATCATTTTTCGCCTAAAAAGGCAACTTAGAGTTGTCTAGTTCCATCTCTTTATGATAAAAATTGCAGCGCACCAGCATGGCACATGTATACATATGTAACTAACCTGCACAATGTGCACATGTACCCTAAAACTTAAAGTATAATAAAAAAAAAAAGGAAAAAAAAATTCCTTTTCTCTTTGGAAATTGGTCATCTAGTAACAAAAAGGTAGCATTTTTGAGCACTTTATATGTGACAGGGGCTGCATTAAACCTTTAACACATAGTATCTTCTTTAATCCTAATATTCACTTCGTTAGTTAGGTACTATTAACATTCCCACTGAATTTCTCAGAAATGTTCACTTGAGTGATCAGATCCACAAGGGATGATTAGTGCAAAAGCAGGTTCTCATACAAGACAGCTCAGGGGATGAAAAGCTTGTCACTTAAGGAAGTAAAGATTCAATTCCTGTTAATGTGGTCTTCCTGAAATTCAGATGCAATTGGTCACTCTACCACTTTCCCTCCCTAGTGTTTTGAATTATTAAATTGCGTAAGCAACTGCAATAATCCAAACTATTTCCTTTATCCCTGGTAGCTCTTTAGAACTTAGTAGGCAGATACTGTGTTCTGCTTTCTTCTTCAAACAACTCCCTAATTCTTCAATAGTTTTGTGGCACTTGATTTCCAGACCATTTACCATCCTTATTGCCCTTTTCTGAATAGACTCCAGATTTCTCCTGATCCTATTAAATGTAGAGTCAAGAAGAATTACGAGATCCTGGGTAGGATTTAATAGGTAGGGAGTACATAGGAAATATTAGTTCCTTTCTTTCAAACAAGTCATATTGGGTAGAGCAGTAAATCACTATTTATGCAGGTATGTAAGTCCCAATACTAATTTGTACTGTGCTTGCAATAAACTATAATTCTAAGCATTTTATTTATACATACACTCTTGGTAATTTCTATATCCCTTTGCCTATATTTAATCAGTTATTTTTGTGAACCTAAGTTCATATTTTACATTCATCATACCCAATCTATTATTTTTGGTTAAACTCATTCATCATCCCTTTAGAGTTCTAACTGTAGGAAGTAAACATAGGGATTAATTGTCTTTCTCAGTGTTTGATGCGCATAAATATGAAAACCTTGTTGATTATATCCTCATCCAAATATTTTATTTGAAAAAAATAACAATGTAGACTTGGGCAGGCTGACGAAAAGATACGTGATTTGTCAGTATAGCTCTCATCCAGTCCCACTACTGCCCACTTCCTCTCAACTTGTACCAATCTACTAATAAATTTACTTTAGATACAGTGGTTTCATCAGATCTTTTTTCAGTATTCATTTTTTCTTTTTTCTTTTTCTGTAGCCCAGGCTGGAATGCAGTGGCACAATCTTGGCTCACTGCAACCTCCACCCCCGGTCCCAGTTCAAGCATTTCTCCTCCCTCAGCCTCATGAGTAGCCGGGATTACAGGCACGTGCCACCATGCCCAGCTAATTTTTGTATTTTTAGTACAGACAGGGTTTCACCATGTTGGCCAGGTTGGTCTCAAACTCCTGACCTCTTGATCCGCCTGCTTCAGCCTCCCAAAGTGCTGGGATTACAGGCGTGAGCCACCGCACCCGGCCTCATTTTTTTCAATAATGACATCAAATGACCTTCAGTTCATAAACAGCATATCTATAGAATTCCTCTTATCTATAAGCCTACCAATCCATTTTACAGTATTTGGATTTATTCTTGATTATTTTACAATTTCTTATTAAGCAGTTGCTAAATAAGGGTTTAGAATTTTGTTGGGTATTCAATTCAAGCTCTGAAACCTACTACCTTTTCTTTTTTAAAAAACTTTCAAAACATGATTCATTTAAATTACTGATGTAGGCATAAAGGTGATTTTATTGAATGTTTAATTAATTTGTTAACCAGAGTCATTTTCAAAACATTTTCACTTGATACAAAAATAAAAAAGACAATGGAGTTAAAATACATAAATATAAATTAATTGAAAATAATAGCACAAACAACTCAAGTGGAAGAAAAGTATTTTTTAATAGTAGCAGGTCACTGTATTCTTCTAGGAATTTTATAAGTAAACAACTTTTAAAAAATACTTTTCTAATATCCTCTGGAAACTTTCCCTTGATGAAAGAACACTTTTACTTTCCAAAAATATTTAGTATTTTAGAGTTAAGGATGACATTACACTGCAAAAGAACAATGAAATAGGTTTGCTATCTAATTATTCACCCAGCAACCCATCCGTGTCATCTCTATACACATCTAGTAAACACCTTTGAGAGGCAGCTGTGACATTGGACTGAGGAAAGGACTTGAAGTTAGGAGACCAGATTCACATTCTATTTCTGCCAGTTCTTATGTAACGTTAGTGTTCCATTTCCTTATCCATAATACAGAATTAATACTACCAGCCTCACTGGGGTGTGAATATTACATAATATAATGCATTTCCAAGTGTCTGGTATAATACTTACATATTGATGATGTCAGTAAGCATGGTTAAGAATCTAATAAAAAATGGTTATTTTAGTTCTCAGGTTGAGAAATATCATTTTGAATTTTAATTGTATTTAATTTAGGACTTTTCCATAATCTTCTCTTTTTTATAAGTCTTTTATAATTTCATTAAAAGCCCCTGACTTTGATCTCTGCATAATCCAGTTACAACAAAGCAACATCTGGTACCACTGGAGGCCTTGGCTGTTAAACAATTTGAATATTGCCCTGAGTCAGACTATCAGGTGATCCTCTACTTAAACCATATCTATGTATGCCCAGGGAGTACAGTCCCTATTTTAAAGAATTATGGTATACTTTTAGAAATAGTAATGTTGTATTACCATCTTTACCTCTAGCCATATTGCTCTTGCAATTTTGGAGAGCTTAGTTGACAATTTAAATACAGGAAATATAAAAATGAAAACTACGTGATGCTTCCATCAAAGATTTGTAATTGATAAAGTGTAATGATGACATAGTCTGTCCTCAAGACTGATTAAATTCTAGTACTCTATCCATCTATCCATCTTCATCAGATTATTCTTGAAAGCATAATTCAATTACATATGTATGACATGTATCATTATAAACAATTTTCATGGGCTACTTGAAGAACATTCAAATGTGGTCCGAAAGGAGTGGTTTTTAAATACTAAGAAAAAGTCTCTATGGTAACATTCATGTTGAAATTTCTCAAGCATAAGTGCTTTGGTTCTTGGTTTACATGGCTGAGCTACGACTTGGTGAATCATCTTTGTAAAAGAACAACATAAATATAAATGTAAATTCTAAGAGTCACTTTTACAGTGGGGGGAGATCCCCCTCTAAAGCATGAAGATATTCTGAAGATTTTACACAATTGACAACATAAATCACCTTTTCTTAACAAAAATAAAAAGGTCTATAATGACTTTAACATAGTTTATTTTTAGCAGAGCAGAGCGTTTAGGTTGTGTCTTCAAGCTGCATTTTACTTCTTTGCACAGTGCTTGAGTGAACATCAGTGACCATGGTTTATGTATAGAAAAGGGAAAAAATGCCTGCTGTGATATGAGTGGCATTTTTAGATACAGTGAGAGAACTCTCAAGGTCAAAAATAGAAAGATCCTTGGAAAATGTACAGTATAAATATTGGATCAATGGAAGAAATTATAAAGGAAAGGCAAGATATATGCAGTAATGTAAAACTGCAAAACTTTAGTACAATAACCACAACACTTAATATCAGAAAAATGGTAAATATATAGGAAAATATATAGAAAAATGGTAAATCTATAGGAAATAAAGGAGAATCCATAATATGTAGTAAGATAATTTTATTTTCTGAAGTACACAGCAACATCCTTAGTGGACAAAAGATGGGTAAATCTTTTTGACAAAATTATTTTGCAGATATTAAGGTAGAAATGAAAAAATTTGAGCTAAAAGCTATTGAGAATTTCAGTAACTAGTGCATTACTCTCACATATTATTTTAAATGTTCAATAGTTTGGAAGTTAATTAGGCAATATATATCTCCTTGGTCTACATTTTTTAACACTTTTACTTTCTCTTCTGCAACACTATATTTAAATATAATGACTTAATGTAATGTCTATCTTCTCTTCCAAACTGCAAACACCTCTTATTTGGGGGCCTCACCTGACTGTTCACCACTTTCTTTCAGCACTTAACATAGAGTAGACATTCAATTATATTATGACTAAATTAATGAGTCTCCAAATCATTTAACCAATATTCTCATTCTTGGGAAATCAACTCAAATTGATAATTCAGAAGGACAAAAATTGTTATAGCAATAGCTAACAACTATTGAGCATTTACAATATATTGGTTTACATAGGTCATCTTATTTAATTCTCAGGATAGATTTATCATGAAGCTACTATTCTGTATCCATTTAGGACACAGGTGAACTGAGGTTCAGGGAGGTTAAATAGCATGTCTAACGTCACACTACTATTAAGAGGCTCTGACAGGATTTGAGGCTTATTCTGCCCAACTTCAAAGCCCAAGCTCTTAAACATCAGTACGTTGGATAGTACTATAAACTGTTTATGATAGAGTTACTTATAAAAATAAAACTAGGATGATCTATCTAACAATATGGAATTAAATACTCTTATAATTTATACAATTTAAATAATGACCAATATGAAAATAAAAACAAATTATGTATAAGAAAAAAGAAGGCGCTTATGCAGTACAGTATTTCATTTATAATGTACGTATTGATAAAATCAGGATAGAGGAAATTCAAATAGTGTGTGTGAAGATGACTGAGTAAATGATATATTTGGATTTTAATGCTAACAGTGGCTTTTAATAATTAAATATGATTATTTGACTTCTTTTAAGCTTCCGCCTGTAAGTGAGATTATATACTATTTTTCTTTCCATGTCTGGCTCATTTTACTTAGTATGATGTCCTCCAGGTCCATCCATGTTTTGGCAAATGGCAGGATCTCCTTTTTAAAGGCTGAATAAAAATACAGAGATCGAGAATAACAGTTGTTAGGGGGATAAGGAGAAGACAGAAGATGTAGGTCAAATGATACAAAGTAGCAGATATGTAGAATGAACAAATCTAGAGATCTAACACACAACATGAGGACTAGAGTAAATAAAATTGTATTGTACCAGGGACTTCTGTTAATTACATTTTAGCTGCTTCTGTCACAGAAAAAAAAAAACTAACTCTGTGAGATGATAGATATATTAATTTGCTTGACTACAGTAATCATACTACTATCTATATGTATCCCATAACATCATGTTATAACCTGAGATATACATAACATTTATTTTAAAATCATGACATCTGAAATTGAAAACAGAAGTCTATTTTCCTCAGTATTTAAGACCCTTAGTAAAGAAACACCAAAAAGTCTATCCAGTTCACTTTATTTGAATTTACAAAGTTTCCAAGCGATCTTTTTACTTTAAAAGGTGTGTGAAATTGAGCACATTTTATATTGTACATTCCACTGTGAAATTCATTGTGAATTCTATAGAAGTGCAATAACAAATTGGAGCATGTGAGACTCTGCTGCATTGGCCCTGCCAGGCACAGACTACCAAATTAAATATTGTGTGCACATTCCTATACATGTCCAGAGTTTCACTTTATATGAAGATAAAGAAAATTGCAAAGAGAAAGATCTACAGCATAAGTCAGCAGTGCAGAAAGAGATGCACTCAGATTTGAATGAAGTAATCTGAGCAGTTGGTTCAAGTTTGTGAACAAAATTCCATCAGTCTTTTTTGGTACAATGAAAAGTGATGATTTTAATCCATAAATCCTGACATTCCTTTATCTTAGGTATCTATTTGATCACCTCTTAAAAAAATACAATAGTGAGAATCTGCTGGAAAAAAAAGTGCTTTGTGTTTTCCAAATTGAACTACAATGCCCATAGAGATAACCACATAGGGCAATGCTCATTCTTAAGACATGTTCTAATCTCTGACTAAAAGACAGAACACAGGGCTCCATCCTGCCTAGCTGCCACATGGGTAATTGAACCCTTAATTGTGATGTGGTGTGTGCCTACTAGTCAGACATCCGTGTATGCTTGCTTCAGCATTGCCACCATGCTGAGCTGCATGCAAATGAGTAAAGCTAGTGACCCGGGAATATCTTCCTATTTTTAGGACAAGTGATGATTGAGCAGCAATGAACATAAAACATCCTTTGTGATAGCGTCTACCTGCAGGTTTGGCATGCGGTAAATGCTCTCAAAATGTTAGTCGCTTTAAAATAGAAAAAAAAATACTTTTGCACTTTTGGATTTGTAACGATTAATTATTCCCCTTGGCAACCTATTGCAGCAGCTCTGGAATGTTTCATTTTAGAAGGCAGTGAGACTAAGGGTGAGGTTGTTTATTTGTTGCTGTTCTACATAGAGTTTGGAGAAGCAGGGGAAGCTTTGCTGTTGCAGGTGCATCTGCCTTCTCTAGATTAGTGTGTGGTTTAGAAACAGACAAATCCACCTCCATTTTTAACAGGAATCCAGGTATTTCTAAATTAGGTGGTCTGGTGACCAGACTTTGAGGACTGTCACTCATACCAGAATAAATAAGAAAGATACCTTAGGTGGATTGGGAATGTTATTTTAGCAGCCTTCCTTCCATAAGAGCATGCAGTAACATGTGTATTTCCGACCAGCAAGCTCAACACTGAAAATTCTGATCGAAATCCAAAGAACTTTTAAAACCAGGGTCTTTAACCTGGAGTCCGTACATTTCGAGAGTCTCTCTGGATGAGCTTCTGGGGGTTCTGTGAGTCCCATAGGATTATAGGCAATATGTGACATGTACGTTTTTTTCTGGAGAAAGATCCTACTGCTTTCGTCAGATTCTCAAAGGTGTCTAGGACCCCTAAATATGTTGTATCCCATGTTAAATGTTGTAACATATTTTTGCTCCCTTGAGATGAAAGAGCCAGAAGTTCCCCTAAATACCAATGTCAGTGATGGGAGAGCCTCGTAGCCACACCTTGAGAGAGAAGACTTCCCTGTCAACCTACGGGGGGTACTCCCACTTCCTGCTAAGGGATAATGCTTCCATGATTCTTGATTCAGCATTCAGAGTCAAGGAAAAGAAATTGATTCTACAGCCACTCAAGTGGTATTAGCTACCAAAAGTCAGTAGACATTATTGTACTATTATTTTCTTTAGGCTTATAATCTTCAACTTGGCGGTCATACTTTCATTCAATATAATAAATTTTCTAGAAAATAAGTACAAGGAGGAGCATGATATTTATTTTATGGTTATGTTTTGCCGTAAGTTATTTTAAGAGTATCTTCTTGGGAGAAAAAAATATATTCACCTCATTACTCTATTTAAAGGGCTATGCAAGTTTTAGATGTAAAATTTTAAAATTCAGTATTGCCATGCCAAATTGTCAAACATTTCTATTTTTAGCTATTTAGTAACAGTGTATGATTTTTAAAAATAATGTTTATTTACTGTTTTGTACTGTTAAGTGATACAATTGTACTATGTTACAATTCTATTACTTAATGTATCAGTTTTAGGTAATATACTTTGACTCCACACTGTTACAGATGATGCAATCAGTCAATATTGTACCTATAGGTTTCTACATATGGTAGTTACAGGTTTGTTTGTTTTTGTTTTTGTTTTTTTTTTTTTTGAGGAATCACTAAAATTTGTCCTGCATTACTCTCCCAATTTTTTGTTATTTGTATATTTTTAATTGCCAGGGCATATACAATTTATTCTGGACTTTTTCTTCTAATCCACACATTTCCTTTAGTCTTAGTTCTACTACGTATATTAAGTGCTTATCACCAGCCATTTGCGAAAGTTTTCCCTGTCATCCTTGATTGGCTGAAGTTCAGTCTCTAGTACGTGAGCAGTATTTCTTGAGTTGTGGCACATTCTATATTGTTTGTGGCTTTATACTTAATGAATATCTTGTCTGGACATGAAATCCCTGGCTTAAACTTTGTTTCCTTGAGTATTTCAGAGGTGTTGTTCCACAAACATCTAGTGCTGAATGCAAACAAGGAGAAATCAAACGCCAGCCTGAGATTTTTTCCTCCTGTAAATAATATGATCTTTTTGGTTGGCCATTTAAAAGATGCGTTTCGTATCAATTTGCTAGAATATGTCTTAAGTACATATATCCTGAGTATGTAGCAGAAAGATATGTCTCAGCATTGACTCAGTTTTACTGCTATGTAATATATGCTTTCAATAGATACGGTTATTCTTTTCTGTTTTTAACATTTTCCCCCTCAAATTATATTTTCAAATATTTGTTCTGTTCTATTAGCTTTGGTTTTGTTTTTCATGGACTCTAATTATGAATATATAGCTTCTGCCTTGTCTGGTTTATGTACCTATCATTCTTCCCTAATTCTTTATATAATCCATTTTAATTTTGATTTCTTGCCTTGCCTCATTTATATCTTCTATCTCCTTGCTGTGTTTTCTTCAGTGTCTATTCTCATGTCTCCTCTGTGTAATTCTTTTATATTTCTGTGATTTTAGTTTGTTTTGTTTGTGGTTTTAGTTTGTTTCTTCCACTTCACTGAATTCTGCCAGTTGAAATTCTATTTCCTCCCACTGTCTGGAGTTCTTGCACTTATGATTCATGGTCTTCCTTCATAGTAGTAAAAGCTTTATTACAATATTCAATGCATAGTAAAACTTTAGGTGACAGCTTTCATATCTGGCCTGTAGCAACATTTTTCTTATAAATGCTCATCTATTGACAAATTTGTTAATTTGTTGCTTTCTTTCACATTTTTTTCTAATAGGATTTTGGTATTAATTGTCTGCCAGTTTTTAAAAATTATTTGTCTATTGGAAGAGTTGTTTTTTCCTAGACAAGCTTTTGTGCACAAATTTCCTAGGTAAGTGTACATATGGCTGGGGAAGGCAGAATGGGGTGTGTATGTGTGAACGTGTGTATATGAATGTCCAGAAGTGCCTTTGGGCTTCATAACTCAATAAATCTAGTCTTCTATCTTAAACTCTGATACAAACTTGCATCCCTAGGATGGCCATTTACCTGAGGTTTCAGGAAAGGAGCCAGCACGAGTCCTGGATCCTGGAGAAGCTCTTAGCCATTTTGTTGAATATGGGAACTCTGGCACAGGGTCATCCTTGGAAGTTAGAACCTACTGTATGAAGCAAACACCTATTATAAAAATTATTTATCAACTATAGCCAGTGAACTTGACCATTTGTCTGCATCTGAATACACAGGACTCTAGTGGAAAGATCCTTAAATCTGGAGTTACATAGAAGGTAAATTTGAGCACATAGCACTTATGTTGTAAGTATTGGGTCAAGAAATGCCTGAAATACATATAGGGTCAGAGAAAATTACTTTAATTTTTGTATTGGGCAGTAATACTCAGTGGAAATAAATGTTTTGGCATTAAATGGACCTGGATTTGATCCAAGTTCTGAGCATAAGATCATGAACAAATTAGTAAAATTACTGGCTGGCAGCATATCTGATTCATAAGTGAAGTTTAATAAATGTCAGTTTCCTTTATTCTCCATATTGACATTGGTAGAAATAACGAGTTGTGTTTATTTAAAAAAAAAACAGCACCCTTAAGCAAGAGGTGATAGTTCTTGGGTTGAGTATTTGTTGGACAAGATGATAGAAGAATAAAAGTGAAGAACAATTTGGTTAATATCTGCACTCAGAATCTGGTGCAAAGAGGGCTTTACCAACAAAAATAAAAAGAGGCCATATTTTCCTGTCATTTGAGATGCCTTTACCTTAGAAAGGTGATAGTTCATAAATATCAACACTCCTATTTAAGGAAGCAGTGCGCAGTTATCTGCAGTGGCCAATAGAGGCTAGTTCATGAAGACCAGGATGGGGATCCTATAACAAACTGTGATTAAACCTAGTCTTGGTCTTTCAACCACTTGAAAATCCCACAAGTTGAAGTTCTAACAGGTTGAAATCTTCAGTTGAATTTCCAACAGGTTGAACTGATGTGCACTTCCAATGTCTGTCTTAACTTCTTCCCCAGTATTTTGGTAAGCTTCTGGGTACCCTACATTATTTTGCTGCAGAAAGGAGAACTGGGTAACTTCTTATACCTACTTTCATGCTATCTTGGCCCTGGGACTAGAGTTCTGTTCCTCAGCTCCAGATCCACTTGTTTTCACTGTCTAGTTAGTGAACTAACTTTTCTTGAACTTGTCCATCACCTTTCTGGTTTACTTGTACTGTAACGGAGGCTGATTCTCAATGAGAACTCCACAAGAGGGCATACCTACTTACCAGGTTCCTCCCTCTCTTGGTCTCACATTTTAAACTCACTTTAAAATGATACATTTAAGAGTGTTGTAAGGCAATTTGATGGAAACATTAATGAGCCAGAAATTTCAATTCTTCCCGTTAAACCTTGACAAAATTGGATCATCAGAAAGCGAAGGGCCTAGGCCTTGTTATTCGTTCTCTGCAAGAATAACTCGGTCCCCTGTGTTAAAATAGAGTATTATGCTCTCAGTACTGTTAGAGCCTCAGTAAAAGAAATGTCCATTGAACAAAGTGCATCTTTTTCAAAACTGTAGTTGAAGACATGGTCTGTTCTGTGTCCCAATATCCCTTACAGAAGAACTAACAAAGTGGGTTTTATCTTTAAGCCAATGTCAAGATAGTTTTTCTCTGTAAAATGATTTAGATGCTTTTTTATTATGCAATTAAAAGGATATAGCCAAGAAACTCTTCTTAATCTGATATTCCAGAAAATTTAGAATCACATACAGTGCGTACTCACTTGTAATTTAGTCAATTCAGATAGTAAGTACCACATATTATTTTGCTTTTCTTAGGTTACTTGTTTATTTTACTTTTTCTTCATGTTCAAAACACTAGTCTCTTCACTAATTATTATGAGGAAGCACTTTATCTTATTTTATTTATTTATTTGTTTGTTTATTTATTTATTTTTGAGACAGAGTTTCGCTTTTGTTGCCCAAGGTGGAGTGCAATGGTGCAATCTTGGCTCACTACAACCTCTGCCTCCTGGGTTCAACTGATTCTCCTGCCTCAGCCTCCCAAGTAGCTGGGATTACAGGCACGTGCCACCATGCCTGGCTATTTTTTTGTATTGTTTTTAGTAGAAAGGGGGTTTCACCATGTTAGCCAGGCTAGTCTCGAACTCCTGACCTCAGGTGATCCACCCATCTCGGCCTCCCAAAGTGCTGGGATTACAGGCGTGATCCATCATGCCCGGCCTGAGGAAGCACATTTTTACATTTACAGCTTTACTGAGGCATAATTGAAATACAAAAAGTTGCATATACTTATTTTTCACAATTTTATGAATTTGAATATATGCAAATACTCATAATAACATCACCACAGTCTAAGTAATAAACATATTCAGCACCTGCAAATGTTTCCTTGTGTCACTTTGTAATTTTGGGGGGTAAAATATGGTAATATGGAATGCTTTACAAATTTGTGTGTCATCCTTGCACAAGGGCCATACTAATCTTCTGGGTATTATTATAATTTTAGTATATATGCTACTGAAGTGAGCACCATGAGGAACCACTTTGCATATCCTAATATGAAAGGACGCGAATAAAGCTATCTATGTATTTCACAGACACTTTTAGATTTGACACTTTGCATCTAAGTGGAGGAATATGAAGGAGGAAGAAGACATTTATATTTATTTTTATTATTGATTTTCACCAGCCTGATGTATTTTCTTTAAAAAAAAAAAAGGCATTGGCCCCAAATTGGCTAATTATTATTTTTTAATTTTGAAAGTAATATATATTCTGTTAAAAAAATATTAAACTGAAAATTCCACTACCTGTAATTTCCCCGATTCTGCTCCCTGTAGCTAATCACTGCTAGGAATAGTTTCTTATGTAACATTACAGGAATTGCCTTCAAATTACTTTTTAGTTTTCATTTTCAATAGATCACTTCAAAACTATTTACAATGTAGCTAAAGTATGGATTATAAAACCAAAGAAACAATTGAGAATCACTAAACTGACAGTCAGCACTAACAAAAAAGCAACAGCACTTAATCAATTACATCCATCCATGTATCTGTATACAAGCTTGTCATGCCCGATTAACTTTACATAGAGATTGCATTTTAAAAAATATAATGTATAGACTTTGAAATTGTGGAATTTTAGATCTGAGAGTAACCTTAGAACTAAATTAGTGTTACTTCCTAATTTTATAGGTAAGGTAAGTAAGTGAGAACTGGATAAACTAGTTCAATGAGATGAATCCAAATCCCCTGACCCCCAACTATATGTGCGATAATGTCAAACTCTGTGAACTAGAGATGTAACAACTAACTATGGATGCTCAACAATTTAAACCAAATAAAAACACAGCTACAAAACACTTCACTGGTTAAAAAAAAAAAGGTACAATGAATCAATACTAATTACATCAATAACATCTGAAGACCAGTATTACACTATGAATAACATAATTACTTACTCCCAAGATGTTTACAGGCTAGCTAGGGAGGTAAGACATAAACATGTTTTAGAAATCTAGCAATGCAAAGAGAAATGAGTACAAAATAACTCATAAGATTGCTACATAAATGAGCAATTGCTATAGGAATGAGTGCTATAGGGATGAGAGGCAGGAATAACTTGTGAATTGTGATGGTGTCATAGAGGAGGTGGCATTTCAGTCAGGTTTACAGGCCACATAAAAGAAATAGGATTTCTTATGCCAGCAAAAATAGATATAAACAAAGGTGCAAAAATAAGAAAGTTTCTGGTGTGTTCAGAAGACAGTGAGTACCTAAATTTAGCTGGAACTTCGGATTTGTACATGCGACAGTTGACAGTATTAAATGGCAGGGATGCTTTGGTGGATGGAAGACTAAATGGCATACTTAGGAACTTGCGTTGTACCTTGAGGGTAACAAGAAGCCACGGAAAGTTATTAGGGAACAGGGTAATATAAATGTGGCATTTACCTGGGTGACTCAGGTAAAGCATACGCTAGAGAATTGGGGTTAGGGTAAGAGTTGATATTAGGGGAGTCAGTTAAGAGGTGATCCCCAATAGTAGCGCTTGGGTACTTGTGGAAAACAATCCCTCTTCTGATGAAAACTTCCCTGTCTTTAATTTCTCTGGGTAACTATGAGAGACAAATGATCTCAAATGAGTAGATAATCTGCAGGTTGACTCCAAGAATGTCCATATCCATCTATTTAATACATATTGTTATGGGTTGAATTGTGTCCTCCTAAATGCATATGTTGAAGTCCCAACTCCAAGTACCTCAGAATGTCACCCTGTTGGGAAACAGGATCACTGCAGATGTAATTAGTTAAGATAAAATCATACTGAGTAGGGTATGCCCCAATCCAATATAACTCATCATGTCCTTATGAAAACGAGAAATGTGGGCACAGACACATATATCAGGCTAACACCATGTGAAGATGATGGAAGAGATCAAGTTGATGCTCCCATAAAGCTAAGGAGCACCACAGATTGACAGCTAACTAGCAGAAGAGGCATGGCATAGATTCTTTCTCACAGGACTCAGAAGGAACCAACCCTACTGACAGTTTGATCTTGAAATTCTGTTCTCTAGAACAGTGAGAAAATAAATTTCTGTTGTTTAAGCCACTCAATTGTGGTACTTTGCTACAACAGTCCGAGCATACTAATGCATGTATGAACACTAGAATCTAAGAATCCAGGAAGACACCAAGTCTTAAGGTTAGATTTTGATGTTCTCTTGAGTGCAAAAAATGCTATTAACTAAATTTGCTAAGTTTCAGAATTGAGAAATTCTCATAATACTTGTTTCTTGGATGTGTTCTAAAAAAATCTAAGAATTATGAAGAAGAAAAATTGGCAATTTAAAATAAACTTTGTTAAAAATAAACTTTGAGGCTAAATCACTTCTTGGTTCTAAGGATTCTGTGTGATAGTAACAGCTTTTTGAAATATGTAGTCATAAGTAGCATCTTAAGTGTATGCCTGAGTTCAAGATTTTCATTCATTTTGCATTCACTATTTCCTAGCCAAGAAAATCACCCCTTATCCATTATTTCCACTGTTGCACAGAAAACTGCCAAATGTGAAGAGGCGTATTAAATGTAAAAATATTACCAAATGATCTGGCAATAACTTCCATTGTTAAGAATGCTCATAGGTAAACCATTTCTACATTTTTCTCTTCTTAAAATTACATTTTACTAGTCAGATTAAATGAAGAATAGACCTTTAAGTTAGATGGGATGAACAAAAGAATCCATAATTTTTGAGGGAAAAGTAATATCCAACACTTAGATTTTTTTGTAAGGTTGTCATTCGGGCCTAATTAGTAAAAAGAAGCCATCATTATTGTTTTCATTTTCTTATGAGTCCTTCCTTCAGCTCACTTCCTACTTAATTAAGAAATCACTTATTAAAACAAGTAGCTTCATTTCTTCCCAACTATCCTTGCAAATACTCATATAATTTCCTATGAACATTTCACCACTCATAAACATCAATCCAGTTTTGAGGTTTTGTTTTCAGAGTATAAAATTTACGATGAAAGTACTTTACCATGAGTTTTTCCCTTCTTGTTTTCAACATGTGGTGGGATAAATTTCCCTAAACAGCTTTTGATTCTGATTTATCCTGCTCATCAGCCTGTTACTGCCTCAATCCTTTTCTAGGCACTATTTTATCTTGCTCATCAGACTATTACAGCATCAATCCTTTTCTAGGCAATAAGGCTCTCTGCAACTGTACTGCCCTCTGTACTGAGTCTTTCTTCAGTTCTCTGATCCACTAATTCTCTCAACAAAGTCTGTGCTTCTGGTAGTATATTTATCTTATGGTTTGCTGAACCCTCTATACTCCTGGGTTATTGCTCTTCCTCCAGTTTATTACTGCTGGAATACTTTCCATTCCTATGGCCGGGATCCCATGTTCAACCTTTCCTCACACCTTATCTGGTTTTCTTAGGCAGAAATGATCTCTCCTTTTGCATTCTTAGAGCTGTTCGTTCACACAATTACACAATGGTTTGTAGGGATGTGTTCTATACAACTGATTATTGCTCATTGAATTCACATCTGTGATAATAGCTCTAATACACTATTATAGTAGATCTTATGTGAGCATAGAGACTCTGGCTGTCTTGAACATCCTGAGTCACTGTTTTTCAGATTCCCTGGAAATGTTGTCATTTCTTTATTCGCAGCCATGATCCCATCAATTCTCGACTGCAACAATCCTCACCTTTTTTATGTTAATTCGAGAGTGTTCATCTTTACCTTTTTAATTTTGCCCTAACATGGCTTGAACAATGTTTTATTTTACAAGGAGCCTGTTCCATAAATATTTGTTGGTTGAAATAATGAATAACTGAATGTCTTTCTGTCATGTCGACGTCTTGCAGAAAAATAGCACGCTAAAATCATAACCAAAAACATATGTCAAATCTATATTTAATTCTTTATAATTTTATTAAATTATGTGAATACATGATCAACACTAAATGACTTCATTTCCCCTCAATCCTGCCTTAATTACTCAAGCCTCTCTGTTCTTCCATAATCCCATGATTCTTTCTGTGTTATCTTTTCTTCTTTGCCTCTGCCACACTGTGGATCGTCCCTATCTTAAGCAATTTTTTTTTTGTCTGCACAGCTTCATTGACATTGAGAGATCAGTTTTGCTTATATTTTTAACTAGGCCTATGTTACACACGAATTATCTCACAGAGCTCTGGTCTTCTTCTCTTGTCACTTTCATCTTATACTTCTTCCTTGAGCTCCGTTCCTGCACTTCCAATGTACCAGACTTGCCATGTGGAAGAGCTGTTTTCCCCTTAATTTTAACATATATCATACTAAGAAGATTCCTTACAGATATACTCTGTTTGTCTTTTTGGTAGACTTCAGCTGAAAAGTCCAAGAAACATGAATAATAAAAGCATGGATAAAACTTAAGTACATTATTATTTGGAAATATTTCATGTATAGCTTTGTGTGTATGGCCATAAACCTTAAACTATCCCAGGATTATGTCACAGAAAAATCTTAAGTAAAATTACTAGTGCTGTATTATTTAGAGATTCAATACCAGTTAGTATCACGTATACATTATCTTCTGTTGACAACAAATTATCCTTAGAAATTATCAGGGGAAACTTGCACCATAAAATCTGATTATAAAGCAAACTAGTTGGTAAATCCTTTACTCTAAAAATGTAAGTCAAGTATATTAAGATATTGCATTTGATAAAAATAAATACACATATAAGATCCAATCTTATTAATGAAATAAATAAGCATTTTTATAATCTGTGAACAATGCCTACTTAAGAGATAATGAATTTTCCAGAAATGTTTTATTTGCCCCAAAGCAAAATGCTGTCATTTAAGCAATCTTATTTCAGCTCTGTTTTAATGTGCTGCAGATCTTCTAGTTTAATTACACAAATAAAGAAAATTACAGTGGTATTTTTGAGTGAAAATTAACCATACCTCTGGTACTATTTAATGTAATCAGAGTATGGTAGTAAGGGGAGACCATTTAATGTGTATATAAGCTCTGACATTGTCTCCATTTTATTTATTAAATTTTTTGATGCTAGTACATAACTATAGTTTGGATTTGTAAGTCAGCAACATGGTAGGACAAAGAATATAACTAGTCATTATAATGACCTTGATGGTCAAATCTGCCTTATCAATTTCAGTGTCCCCAGTAACTAGTTGCCTTGCATGTAAGTGCTCAGTAATTTGTGTGTTGAATACTAATTTTAAAGGAAGTCTAGAAACTATTTTTATCTAAGTTTCTACAAATCAAAAAGACGAGTTTTCTGCTTTTTTTTTTCTGGCCATCAGAGAAAATCAACTTCTCAGGTAAAGTGAAGCATTCATCATTTACAGCCACTTTTGATTTTTCTATTTATGTAGTTCATCACTTTCTTTCCAGAAGCAAAATATTTCTAATCTGTTGTGAAAATAGGGTTTTATCATTTTTGAAGCTTTAACAACATAAAATATATGTGCATTAATCACTGTGCTCTCTTCTCTTTTAGAAAAAATTATGCAATGCAGAGGAAGCCAACCTATTTAAGACAACAGGAGAGAACAGCAACTCTGCTCCACATCATTACTTTTGACAAATATTCAGGAAGTCTTAAAGTATTTAGCTCAAAAAAAGACATCTCTGTTATGTAAGTAAAACTATTTGTACCATTATTTTTCATTCACTTTCTATGTAGTATATTATTTGTACATAAAAGAGGCTATCTTTAAGGTTTTATGGATTTATAAAACGTAACAGTGTGTTCATAATTTGTTGATTCATTCCTTTTATCAATATCCATAAAAATTTATAATTAGGTGATATTATTTCTCAGTAGGAATAGGCAGATTGTAGAAAAGGCTTAGGGATTTGTAAAATGATACAAATAAATTCTAAATACAGCATTAGCATTCATTATCTTGCAAATGTTGTTTTTGCTTTCAAGTATAACACTAGATTGGATATTAGGAAATCTGGTTGCTATTTCTATCTTGCTTTGTAACCCTGGACAAGTATTCTACTTCTTAGGATCTCACCTCTTACTTAGAAAAAGAAGGGATTAAATAAGATGACCTTCAAAGATTCTTTTAGTTAATAATAATAATAATAATAGCTAGCACTTACTATGTGCCAAATTCTGATTATTTATTCCCCACAACACTCTTTGTGGTGCTGTTATTACTATTTTACCTAAAAGAAAATTGAATCTAGAGAGGTTGAGTAATTTGGTCAAGGTCCCATGGCTTAAAAGTG
Organism: Homo sapiens; assembly: GCF_000001405.40. Lineage (NCBI taxonomy): Eukaryota > Metazoa > Chordata > Mammalia > Primates > Hominidae > Homo > Homo sapiens. The sequence continues at coordinate 79,349,624 of NC_000007.14, forward strand.
GCAGTGCTAGAAGGCGAACCCAGAAGCATGGAATAATCTGCTTCCATGCTTATAATCTGTGCTCTTAACTGCCACATCCTACTGACCCTTTTCATGAAGAATATTACATGTTTCTGCTTATGGTATTAATAGAAAGTTTTATTTTTCCCCATTGGTTCTCAGGGAAATTTAGAATTAACTTTAGAGCCAATTATTTTGACTTTATAATCCTAATTCTATCACTTACCCTCTCTGTGACCTTGGGCTAGGTGCTTACACTAAGATTCTCTTTCCTCATCTGTGAAATAAGAATACTCGCCACCCTCACAGTTAAACTAAAGATGCACAGTCTTTAGTTAAAGTCTTGAGTTAAAACTAAAGATGCACAGTCTAGCAGGCATTCAGCCAATTTTGTTTTCTTTCCTAATGTTTAAGTACAGAGGCTGATGCTGAGGCCAGAACTTGAAATTAAGACCACATAGTAGGCATTTTTAGGATTCACATTCCTAGTAACTCAGATGACACTTAAAATCAGACCACTGCTGAACTGTGAGGAGTCATGAAATAAAATTAAAAAGCGAAAAGCCTGCATGTTCCTTTAGGGTGTACCCAGTGCTCCAAAGCCTCAGAGGCCGGATTTTCTGGAAATTTGTTCATTTCAATCTTTAACCTCAGGGACACGCAAATAGTCAAGATTGTCTGGTAATGATACAACAGTTTTTAGAATCTCAGTTTTTGGTCTGCAACTTCATGCCCTCTGCCTTTTTAAAATGAATTTTTAAACAAGCACAGAATTTATTTTAGTCTTTCAAGGACATTTTGGGAACATATAATTTAACATGTTTCATATTATGAAGAAAAAAATTGCTGTGAGAAAAGTGATAATAAGGACCTTGCCTAATTTTCTTATAATTACAGTTAATCAACATCAGTCCCTCTTCCACCTTATAGTTCTGTTTTAATTACAGATGTTAAAAAAAATAAAGGAATGAACACTTGCATACATCTTCCTTTGAATTTTTGTGTGATGAAGGCTTAAACAAATATTTAAGAAGATGGGCTGAATGGAAAATAAATTGACGGTAGAATTAAGTTTGAGGAAGATTCAAGGATATGGATTAAACAGTCATTCTTCTTATTAAAATTTTGAATTTAGATAAGAATCACATCTCTTTGTTTTTCTACTAAGTTCTAAATTCTGTGGTCTGTTACTGAGAAAATTATTGTTAAATATTTTGGTGTTTAAGAAAAGGACCTCAAAAGCATCTGGAAATGAGGGAAATCTATGTCCCTTTGTTTAATTGATTGTATGAAACAAATGGACAAACCAAGTTTAAACAGTGCATTGAGAAAAGTTCTAGAATATTAATTTATTTCATTTAATAAAAACAGCTCTATTAAGTAAATGTTATTATAGAGCAGTCCTACATACCTAAAGAGTATCTTCAGATTTGAAAATGAAACCGTTAGTTTGATTCTAAAACCAGGAAAAGTTGTATAAAGCAAAGAAATAATATACTTCAATTTTTTTAAAGTAGACCGAACTGTTAGAATGCATGCTTAACGTTAAAGAATGATTTTACATTTTCATATATGTCTGACATTTGAAAATATTGTAGGGTTAAAGAATTTACACTAAATTAAGTAGGATTTATAGTGAATCAAAATATCATAGGACATTCTGTTTTGTCTTGGTATGCATCTGGTAAAATGCACTTGAAGTTAAAATTCTCTGTTCACAAACTTTAATGACTTATAGTTAAGTAAAACAAGACACTACAGAACTGTACCAACACAGTGATTCCAGCCTTGCTATTAACGAGCATGTTGGGACTTCAATGAAAATAATACTAGAAGAAAAACTGAATAATTTGCTTCATATTTTATGCATGCAGGAGAAAAGTATAAATAAAGAGAGCAAGCTATTCTAAGTATAATTCCATAACTACTACAGATGAATTATTATAGTATGTCAGATGTATCAATCTAGGTTGAAGTAGATTATTTTAATTAAAATGATTAAAACATCAAATTTAGCTCTGGTATTGTAAAAATGTACAAAATTATTACAATTCATGGAATATTTCCAAACTTTAAAAGCACGTCAATGTGAAAGATGAACACTTTCTAAAAACATGGATCAGTCTGTGCTGTGCAGAATTCACATAAGCCAAAGCATTTATCAATTGACATGTACCTTAAATCTTTCTTCCATTACTTCAATATTTTAAAGTGCCAGGCATTGTGGTGAGTGATTAAAAATGTCCACTATTTCACTGCTCCAGTGATTCAAACTTGTATGGTCATAGGGCACAGACCTACAGGTAGACCAAAATCATTAATTCATTTATTTAAATCAAAATCACAATAATTAGCTACACTTTGTTTTTATTGAAATGCGTTCCCTTTTCAGGAATGTTGTATACTTTTCCCGTAGCACTAGAGGGTACAGATAACACCATATAGAAATTAATAATGGGAAGAATTCACCTATTGGTAAAGAATAAATGAAGCATCGTTATCTTTTGAGCAAAAAAAGAAAAACCACATTAAGCAACACTTCAGGATTATAGGACTACTAAAAATAAACCTTCGGATTTTCATAAACTCCTCACAAAGCTCAGAATATCAATTATGCGAAGTTAGACATGGATGACTCGGAGAATGCACAAACAGCTTTGTCTCATTTGGGAAAATATTAACTGAAAGGAAATTTTGGAAATGGTGGTCAACCAAGCAGAGACCACTTTGAAAACATTCTCTCTATTGGTAGAGTCCAAAAAGACAGCTTTCTAAAAGTCCTGGTTTTCTTGAAAATGTTTCAGACTGGTCAGAGATTGGTAGGAAGGTCTCTTAGAGGTCATGTAGCTCAGGATTCCAGGCAGTTCTGAAATGTGTAAACAAGGAGAAGCCCAGACTCTGCTAAGCAGAAGCATGAGGGGGAAGGTGCAGTTTGCAATCTGGCTGTAAGCCCCACTCACACTGGGATCTCTGTTCCCATAGTGCTATTATTACTGGAGGACTAATCTGGGCAACATATAATGTCAGGTAGAATTTAATAAAACATTATTCACAAAGAAGGTATAGTAACCATTGGTCTCAGATCCAAGACAACCTCATCCCAACAGATGAGGTTAAGAGTACAACTAATATGTTTAGATTCAAGGAAAATTCAGCTTAGATAAGCCAGTCTGCAAAGTATAAGCTATACCAAGAGTGCCTCATGCTAGCTGAGTTTTAGACTTTTGAGAGTCTAAAACTGGGAGCAGAGTGTTGCAAATTGTATAATAATGCCAACTAAGTAATTTTGCTAAGCCCTTCCAGTATGCCAGGATTAGTATTTAGTATGCCAAGTGCCTTTACGTACTTTAACTTATTTCATCCTCTCATCTACCCTGTGAGGTAGGTTCTCTTATCTCTATTTTAAAGTTGAGGAAACAAATACTTGGAGACTAGAAATGTGTTCCTCTGGAAAGGAGCTGCAAAAATAACAGGAGGCCGATTTAGCTTACAGAGTTTGGGCTATGACTTGCAACAGTTTAGGGGGCAACAAACATAGTGGTCCTGGAAATGTCTTCTACCAACTGCCCCCCAGCTGCCTAGGACCTCCAGGTGGGGATGCGGCTCAGAGTCTAGGGAGCACTTCCACCCCCTCCTCTTCTCAGCCCTGGCAGGGTGGTTTCCCAACACCCTGAACACATTCACGATGAATGAGAGGAGCTGACACTGTCTGTGACCACTTTCTCTTCAGTCATGGAGGAAGCCTTGCTGTCTCTGGCTGTGGCATCTTCTCCCAGATCCCTTAATCAACAACTCCCAGAGCTTCCAGACCCAAGATACATTTTGGAACCCCAGGACAATCCTGAACTGGCACCCGCCCTGGTGTGTGCCCTTTGCTGCTGCTGCTTTGGAATCATCTCCTGCAGCTATGGCCACCACTGCTTCAAGGCAGTGATGTTTCTCTCAGGCCTGCTGTCTGGAGCTCTGGTGATCTTCCTGCTCTTTCACAAGGAGCAGGTGCTGGAGATACAGCTGAGATTGGGGGTGAGCACGGGCATCACACTGGGCATTGGACTCTTCTGCAGCCTGGTCACCATGTTGATTTGCAGTGTTGGGCTCTTCCTGATTAGTCTCCTTCTAGGTCTGAACCTGGATGCTGGGACTCTGCTGGGCACTGAGTCCATCTAACAACCACTTTCACTGGGTGCTGGCAGGGGGTGGTGGTGGGGCTGGAACTGCTGGGAGCCCTGCTTATGCTTCAGTGGCCATGTCCATTCATAGTTCTGGGCACAGCCCTGCTGGGTGCTACGGTGCTGGTGGCTTGTGCTGACTTCTTCCTGGAGGGTCTGGCACTGGGCAGTTGGCTGGGTCAATGCTGGCAGGCACTTCCAGCCTTGCCTCCTTTCTGCTGGTATAGCTAGATTTTATTGAACTCCTGGCCAGCCTTGGGGGCTTCTAGGGCCCTGGCCCAGTGGAAGCTCATGGCTAAGGAACATGGAGGCCATGCTAATGTGACCTTGAGCTACCAGCAAAGGGGTCTCCAACTCCTTTGGATCTATCAACAAGAGACCAAGTAGCACCAGACCGCCTCTGGGGTGGGGCTTTGTGAAAGTAGCTATAGGTGTCAGCTCCCTGCCAACACCCAGAGCCCTGCTGACAGTCTGGCTCCAAGTTATCTCCAGAGTCTTTGAGAGCACCAACTGGAACCAGTCCCTGAGGCCACAGTCCCCCACACTCATCTGGACCTGGGTTCTGATTGTGGTTCCACTGTTCCCCTCACAACACCCTCTAGTTCTATGCAGACCTAAGCCTAAACTTCCAATTTTGCCTCCACCCCTAGTTAGAGCCTGAGAATACTAGGTGGGCAGGGTTTGGGCCCATAGAACCCACACACAAACTTACCCACTTCTTGGATTGGGGACAGGATCTGTGCTTCAACTCAGACCAGCCCTGTAGGAATATGTTTCAGGACAGATAGAGAGGAATCTTGTGGGGAAGGGAAGTGTGAGTACCTACCTCTGTCCAATAAGAGAGGTGCCCTGGTCCCCAAAGAAACTCCCTCCAAATTCCTTTCAAATTCCCTCTAAATCAAGTAGGGCATTTACCCAAAAAGCCTTTTAAATGCTCACCTCGGTGTGCCTCACAATGGTAATATTAGAGGGTTTGTTTTTGAATGATCTACAGAAAATCAGGGTGCCTTAAAGGCATTTGATAGCTTACTCATGGGGAGAAGGGCACAGAGGAGCTCCAGGATACTCCAACTCCTAAGCCGCTCCTTAGTGAGTAGCTGGGTTTCTGACTGGCTTTTTCCCCTGGACCCAATAGGTGTAAGCCCCCTTCTCCTACCTCTGTTGGGATCACTATCTTTCATGGTGCTTCCCTTTCTCTCCTTCTCTACCTGAGGAATACCACAGGGCATTGGCCCACATGCCAGAGTCTTGCCCTTTTACCCAAAGCAGCCTGGCCTTCAGGGCTGCATGGGAGAAAAGTGCCTTCCATACCTCTCACTGTGGGTGATACTCATTTCCTCTTTAACCAGGACTTCGTTCCTGCCACTAACCCATTCAGATTCTTCCCCCTCTCACTCTCCTGCCCAAGATCTGTCCTCTGGTTCCCCAGGCAGCATAAAAGAAGACATATTCTTCCCCTGGGGAGCAAGGCTATGATGGGAGAGAGGAAAAACATGGGAGCATGTGAATAAAATGGCATTGAATACTGAAACAAACAAACAAATAAACAAACAAAAAAACAAACAAAAACAAAACAGGAGGGGAGAGAGTAGGAAAATTAAGGAAAAATCACTAAGGTGTTAGAACTTTCTCTGCTGATCTTTGTGGCCTTGTAGCTACTAGTTTTATGGTTTCCATCACTTTCTAGTGGTGTTGGAGGTATACATTTTAAATTATAACTACATTTAAAGAAGTAAGTTCACTGCAACTGATCAGGACACAGTCAGAACCCACAGTCAACTCAATGGAGAGACGTTACTTGAAAGGCAACCCAGATAGTTGCAGGGCCTTTCACACAATGTGTTTGTCACTGCCACGACTTTTTGTTTTGTTTTGTTTTCCTAAATCAGATAGACAGATAGAAGATAGATAGAGTTCTACCTATTTTTATCAATCTCTGTCTATTGCTTTAAATACAACAACCACTGTGATTATCAAAACCCCCTTATTCTTTGTGAACTAATTAGTTATACATATGATAAAACACAATTGTCAGATATACAAATATTTTAAGATATCAACACTTCCTATTTTGAAAGAGACAATTAACATATTTGAGAGATTAATATTTTCTGCCTTTTGTAGGTAAAATGATGTCTTTATGTATAATCATGCCATATAGAAGCATATTAACATGTCATTTTAAAATTAAATTCTTTGTAGCAGATATTACAAACAATATCTAGGAAATAACCAGAAATAAAAATGTCCATACATACATTTACAGCATCCATCTTGCTTAAAGGATATAATTTTGTTTTGTCTACTGTACTTTGACAATAGTATTCATAGGAAGTATACAATAATAATATGTGAAATAGGTTATATGAAAAAAGGTTAATTCATAAAGCATAATTGTTTAGAGTATCTAGGAATTTAAAATATCACATGTATTATAGAGCCAGAACTTCAAACAATCATTAGTTAGAATGATTTTCTGTTGAGTTCTTATTCTGAAATTGCTAATAAATAACATGCTATGTTACGAATCTCTCAGCCCCCACAATAATCTACATCAGCAATCAGTATTAATAAGAATAGTGGACATGCATCTATATTCAGTAAGTCACGACTTCTGCAGTGTTTGCTCTCTAAAATTTAAACATTAATGAAGAAAAACAGAAAAGTATTTAGAAATGAAAAGCAAAAAAAGTTTCCAAATGTTTCCTATTTACAGCATTAATTTTTAGAAAAAACATGTTGATCTTGATCTTAGAATGTTCTCAGTTTCCAAAGCCTTGATATTTTATTGACCTTCAAAAAAGAAAATAAATACAAACACCAGTCAAGATTAAGTGATACTATCTTAAACAATTTCTGATGAAAGAAACTGACTATAATACTGGCATTCATAGAAAAGAAACACAGTCGAAGTAGATCTTTATTTCTAGAATAAAAGAAATAGATTGGGTCACTGTGTTTAAGGAAACCACGTTATAACCCACAGCATGACTGAATATAGGACTAAATACTAGACACATCACTGTGGGGTTTTGTCATCGGGTCTTACTCTATTAAAGAGATTACTCTTTACATCAATGAGTAATACTCATTCTCTAGGTCCAAAATCAAGAAGAAGAAAATCTAGCAAATTTCAATTTTGCTTGACAGTCCTCTCAAAAGAAGAAAAGGAGAAGAAATTTCCATGTTTAAATCTGCAACTCTGTCTATAACCCTCATGTTTAAATCTAGAGATGATTACAATGGGTATTATAAATGATGCTCAAGGTTATTTTACTCATTTTGTAGATTCCTTCAGTATTGGAAATCTGACAGTCAGGCTTGTTTAACTGTTCAAACAGTACAGAATAGCCAGAAGCTGTGATTTCTTCAGATTAGTAAAGAATAACCCAAAGGACTGGAAAGTCAAAGAACAGCTAAAGAAAGAGTCAAATCGCCAACACTGTACCTCATCAGGCTTGTTGACAATGCATCCTGGGAGACATGACTTTATCTTCAAAGTGACACCATGTGAGTTTTGCTCACTGAACCAGGCATCTTATGCAGGGCTCACAGCAGAGTAAGCTGCCAACTCAGAAAGGGCATAAATGCTGACTGCAATTATGCTGACCCTCAGAAAGTTGTTTGCCTACCAAGGAAACTATTTGTTCCATCAGAAAATAAAAATAAGCAAACAAAAGTAAGTACCATCACTTTAATGTCCTCTCTTAAGGCTGCCCTGCTTTATTTTTAATTTTAGATACAAAAAATAAAGTCAAGCAAGCCCTCAGTCTTTTAATGAATTGCTAAGGAAGTTAAATGCGGAAACTAAGAGAAGCTGGAAAAGATCTATGACATTAATCACACCATGCCCTTCCATCTCTGTCCAAAAGGGGCATAAGTCATCTATTTTGACTTAAAACAATCTTTAAGAAATGGAACCCCATCACTTCCCACAAGCCTAAAATAGGACCTAAGTGTATATACCTACCATTGCCATTTACTGGCTTAGAAATGTTGCATATGCCATCTAACCTCTTTGAATTTTATTTTTTAACTATAAAAAAACCTTGTCTCCTATGTTTATGTAACGTAACTAAGTATGAGCATGTGCATGAAAATACTTGCAAATCATAAAAATGCAAATAAAATTATTAAGCTGGATCTCTTATTTAATTACTTATTTATCTATTTCAAATTGAGTGCATTCTGTTTTGTTCAGGACCTTGATTTGTAGGACAATAGGTGAGCCTTGAAACCCTATTTAAGTGTTTGAAATCAACATATTAATATTTAAAAGAAATGTATTATTAATGAGCTACTAGGTCCCTACATTAAAAAAAAAGAACCTTTCTCTATGAAAATATCCTCTGCTGTTGTAGTTATAGTAACTTTCCTCTTTTTTTCCCCACCTAACGCCAACACTTCCCCCTACCCCTGCACACACAGGTGAGAAAAAACAAGTGCAATGTGCATTTGATTAAATAAGGAATATTTTAATGTTGTGTAAATACAAATAAATGGAATTTTTCTGAATTCTATTTTTACCCAAGTCAACTAATCTTTCAACATCAGTTTTATGATAATTTCAGATGCTTTCTCCAAAGCATCCTAATTTGTGCTAGGTAACTTAAAGGCCTATAGCACTCTTGCACAAGGGAGCAAGAGTACTATACCTCTCGAGGTAACTAGATGCAATATATATGGTAGTCTATAGATAAAAGGTTCTGAAAATGGAATGAAAAGTCTTATTAGAGACAGATAGCCTGAAGAGGAAATAGAGATGCAATCACAGAAAATGACCCAGTCTAGAAAACTTAGCTTTCCCTATGATCTGAGGATCTCCTTACCTACCCAGACATATCAGGGTAGTAGTTGAGAGTTAGGGGGAAGCACTGGCAGAAGGATCTCACCACACCTGCATCCTCCTAGTGATACTTGGAAGCCTAGCTTGGGGAAACACCTTTTACTCCCTCTGGAACCAACAGCAAGAAGGAGGAGAAACTTCAGTGGCACTAACAAACCAAGTAGACCATAATAATACCACAAAGACTCTGAAGTTTGAAGCATAGTCCACAAAAGTATGTCAAGACACATGGGCAAGACCTAAGCAGGCTGACTTTCAACTAAAATTAAAGGATCCAGAGTTTGCTAACCTAATAGACAAAATGCCAAGAATACAGTCAGAAATCACATGCACCAAGAACATAAAATTTCACACCTTGAATGAAAAGACAATCAACTGGTGTCAATACTGATGTTAATTAGTTCTTCAAATTATCTAATGAGGATTTTAAAGCAACAAAATAAAAATGCTTCAAGAATTAACTACAAATCTCTTGAAACAAATGAAAACATTAAAAAATCTCCAAGAAAGTTGTACATAAAAATAGTGGAAAATATTAAACTAAAAAATACAATAACAGAAATATAAAAACTCCCTGGATGGACTTAATAATAGAATGGACATAAAAGAGAATAGAATTAGGAAATATGAAGACAGAATAAGATAATTCATCCAAAACTAAACAGTAGAGAGAAAATAAACTGTGAGAAAAATAGATCCTTAGAAACTTGTGAAACAATAAATGATCCAACTTTCATAACATCAGAGTCTCAGAAGGACAGAAGAGGAAGTGAGGCTGAATAAATATTTTAAAAAATAATGCCTGAAAATTCTCCACACTTGATAAAAGACAAAAACCTTCAGATACAAGAAACTGGGTAAATCCCAAATAGGATAAACTTAAAGAATCCATTCCAAGAAATCATTGCTAAACATTTGAAAATTAAAGACAAAGAAAAACCCTAAATCAGCCAGAGAAAAATAACACATTATGGGACGGAAAAGCCAATTCAAATGACAGCAGAGACCAAAAGGAAATGCTCAAGTGGGAAACACACACACACACACACACACACACACACACACACACACACACAGAAAACAAAAAAACTACCAACCACAAATTTTATATCCAATTAAACTATGTCTCAGGAAAGAAGGGCAAATAAAAACAATCTTAGATGAAGGAAAACTAAAATAATTTGTTGCTAGCTGACCAACCCTTAACCCTTTTCCCATTTAGAAAAAAAAGAAAAGTGCAGCTCACTGTCAGCGCTCATTTAATTTTATATAAACATGCTCTTTGAGGCTGAAGCAAATCTGACTGATTTTCAAAGTGTAAATAAAATATAAAACACTGTTCTTGGAGTTATTTCCAAACAGAACTAACATCAGAATTGTCTGAGTCATCAGAATTATCCATTTCAAAAAAATTAAATTCATCAAATAAATCTTCAGCCAACAACTGCTCAAGAACAATGTTAACATCACACAAGGTATTCTACATTTTCTAGGATATGACCTTTTCAGCAATCAAGAATCACTATATTTTGTAAGTGTAAATACCACTACCTAAAACAGAATGTTATAAATAGAATGATGTCTTTTGTTTCCAAAGTCAACATACTAGAGCAACACAAAAATAATAATAAAAGTAAGGTATTTCATGGCAAGGTTATCTTGGGGTAAACACTGCAGCTGCAAGTTCCTCTGACAACTATTCTTGGGACAAACAAAAAAGTGGTTAAAGATTGGCTAAAGTAGTTTCTTCAAATAGAAAGGAAATAATAAATGAAAGAAAACTAGAACATCAAAAAGGAAGAAGGAACAACAAAAGAAGCTGTAACATAGGTACGTACACTATATCAATTTTTCTCATGAATTTATAAATTATACTTGATCACTGAAACAAAAATTATAACACTATATGACTCTGAAGACAACAATATTTAAAAGCGGGGTAGGAAAAGGAACCTAAGTGGAAGTGAAGTTTCCACACTTCACTGGAAATAGTAAAATACCAGTAGACTCTTATAAGTCACATATGTATATTGTAACACCCAGAGCAGCCACCCAAAAACTATGCAAAGAGATCAACTCAAAAATGCTATAAATAAATTGAGATTATATCCTTAAAATTGTTCAAGTAGCCAAAGGAAGGCAAGAGAAAAGAAACAGAGGAATTAGTAACAGGAAAGAAGAAGCAAACAAAAACAAATAGAAAAGAAGAAATAAGGTGGTAGATTTAAATGCTAACATATTATTAGTTATGTTAAATATAAATACAAAATAAAAAATGAGGATTGGTAGTGTGGATAAACAAAGAAAAATCAACTATATGCTGCTTACAAGAAACTAATTTCAAATGGAAAAACATAGATAGATGAAAGTAAAAAGATGGAAAAAGATAAATCATGCAAACTTTAATTTTAAAAATCAGGAATGGCTAATTAATATCCAGTGAAGTAGACTTCACAGAAAAGATAATTACTACATTCAAAGAGGGCCACTGCATAATAATTAAAGTACTTTTCTACTAGGAAGACTTAATGATTTTAAATATGTATGCATCACACAATAGACCTTTAATGAATGTAATAGAAACTGATACAGCTGAAAAGAGAAATAGGTAAGTTCATAGCTACAGGTGGGAACTTCAATACTGATACAGGAGTGCTGGGAAGGGAAGAGTGTGGTCCCTTTAAATGATATGGAAGGAGGGAAGGGAAGAGTGTGGTCCCTTTAAATGATATGCAAGGAGGGAAGGGAAGTGCTGGGTAGAGGAGGGCCCCCTACTGACATAGGTGAGGACAGGCACTTCTGCCTTCATGCCCAAATATCGTATTTTCCAAGGCTACCTTGGCCTGCCAAACCCCCATCCTGGGCCTATAAAAACCCAAGACCTTAGCAAGGCAGAGACACAGGCAGCTGGATGTCATGAGGAACATATCTATGGAGGAAGACACAAGTGGCTGGTCGTGGAAAGAGAGAATACTCTATCCAACAACAGCAGAATCTGCTTTTCTTCACATTCCCATAACACACTCACAAGAGAGATCATGCTATGGGTTATAAAACAAATGTCAATGATTTTTTTTAAAAAATTAAAATCATATAGGATATATTCTTTTAACATATGTAATCAAACTAGAATTCAAAAACAGAAGAACAAAGGAAAATCTCTAAATACATGGAAATAAACAATACACCTCTAAATAATCCATGGATCAAAGAGGAAGTTTCAAAGGAAGTAATATAAATGAAAACAAAAACATAACATATAAAAATATATGGGAAGCAGCTAAGGCAGTGATGAGAGAAGTTTATAGCATCAAATAGTTACAGTTTATGGAAATGAGGAAAAGTCTCAGGTCAATAGTAAAATTTCTAGGAAAAAATCTGGCAAAATAAGTCCAAAGCAAGTAGAAACAAGGAAATAGTAAAGATAAGAGCAGAAATCAATGAAGTTAAAAATAGGAAAACAATATGAAAAATCAATAAAACACATAGCTTTTTTTTAAAAAAACAATAAAATTGACAAACTTTTCACAACACTGACAAAAATAATAGGCGATATCACCATAGATGCTGTGTGCATTAACCAGATAGTAAGGAAATGCTATGAGCAACGTTATGTTAATAAATTCAGCAACTTAGAAGAAATGAACCAATTCTTCAAAAACTGCAAACTACCAAACTCAACCAAAATGAAATGGACAATCTGAAAACTCTCATCAAAAAGTGAATTTATAATTTTAGAACTATCTAAAAAGAAATCTTCAGGCTCATACTGTTTCACTTGAGAATTTTACTAAACATTTAAAGAATTAACACCAATTTTAACGAATCCCTTTGAGAAAATTTAGAAGAGTAGGGAATACTTCAGAATTCATTTTATATGGTAAGTAATACCAGACAAAGAAAAAAATATTAACAAACCAAATTCAAAAATTTATAAAAATATGTGTATACCATTACCAAATGGAATTCATTTCAGGTATGTAAGGCTAGTTAACATTCAGGAATCAATTAAGGTAATCTATCGTATCAACAAGCTAAAAAAGAAAACACGATCATATCAATGAATGCAGATAAAGCCTTGGATGAAATCCAATGGTCATTAGATAAAAACTCTCAACCAATTAGGAATAGAGGGGAATTAGGAATAGAGGGGAAATATCTTGACTTGCTTAAACACAGATATGTAAACCTAAAACTAGCATACATACTTAGTGATGAAAGACTGAATGTTTTCTCCCTGATAATGGACACAAGTCAAAGGCATCGGTTCTCATTACTCTTATTCATTATAGTACTGGCAATTCTAGCTGTGGTAATAAGGCAAGCAAAAGGAACAAAAGGCATAGAGATTAGATAGGAAGAAATAAACTGTTTCTAGATAGAGGTGACATATTATCTACATAGAAAATCCCAACTAATATACATAAAAACTCCAAGAACTGGTACTTGAGTTCAGCAAGGTTCAAGGGTACAAGGTCGAAATGTAAAAATCAATCACATTTCTACATACGAACAATAAACACTGAAACTAAAATTTAAAACAGTACAATTTTCAATCACTTCGAATAAAATGAAATTCTTAGGTATACAGTTTAAAAATGTATGCTGAAAGCTTCGTAATGCTGATCAAATAAATACATGCTGATTAAAATGCTGATCTTCCAATACACGAACAGAGTATGTCTCTGTACTTAAATCATTCTTTGATTTAAAGAGAGAGACATACTCTGTTCGTGTATTGGAAGACTCAACATAGTAAGAATATATATTCTCCCAAAATTACTATCAAAATTCCACCAAGGCTTTTATAGATATAAAAAAAAATCTATTCTAAAGTTTATATGGAAAGGCATAGCCCCAAAATAGCTAAAGTGATTTTCAAAATTAATAAAGTGGGACACCTGGTTAAAAATCAACTCAAAATGCATTAAAGACTTAAATTTAAGACCTGAAACTATAAAATTGCTAGAAGGAAACAGGGGAAGTTTTCCTTGACATAGGACTAGTAATGATATTCTGAACATGACTCCAAAAGTACTGGCACAAAACTGAAAATTAAAAAAAAAAAAAACAGAATTGCATCAAACTAAAAAGCTTCTGCATAGCTCAGGAAAGAATCAACAGAGGGAAGAGACAACCTATGGATTGGGAGAAAATATTTGCAAGCCATACATCTGATAAGGGGTAAATATCCAAAATATATAAGGAACTCAAACAATTCAAAATATCATATGTATCCCACAAATATGTACAAATATTACATATCCATAAAAATTAAAAATAAACTAGGCATATCACCTGAGTAGACATTCAAAAGAAGACATACAAATTGCAAACAGGTATATAAAAAAATGTTTAACATCTCTAATCCTCAGACAAATGCAAATTAGAACCATCATGAGATATCACCTCACACCGATGGAATGTCTATTATTAAAAAGAAAAAAGATAAGTGTTGGTGAGGACACAAAGAAAAGGAAACCCTTGCATATCGTTTGTAGGAATGTAAATTAGACAGCCATTATAAAAAACAGTACAGAGGTTGCTTTTCTCAAAAAACTAAAAGTAGAACAACCATATGATCCAGTAAACGCACTATAGGTTATGTATCCAAAGGAAATGAAATCAGTACATCAAAGAGATATGAAGACTATGGTTAATACCTATATATGTATTACATTTTTAAAATTGGTAAAAGAGTAGATTTTAATGTCTCACCTGAAAAAATAAGTATGTGAGGTAATACATATGTTAATTAGCTCAAATAAGTCATTGCACCAATGTGATCATATTGTAAAACACAATGTTGTACACTATACATATATAACGACTTTATTTTTACATACAAAATAAATAATTTTAAAAACAACATGAGAAGAATCACTTTAGTTAATATTAAAGCTTGCTACATAGCTAGAGTAACTTAGACTGAGGGTCTTGGGTGAAGAGATAGACATATAGATCAATAAAACAGAATAAAGAATCCTATATTAGATCCCACACAATCATATTCAACTGATTTTTGACAATAGTGCAAAAGCAATTCAGTGGAGGAAGAATAACCCTTAAGTAAATAGTGCTGAAGGATCTGGCAAAAAAACTGATGTGAACTTTATACTTTTTATAAAAATTAACCCAGAATAGATCATAAATATATATGTAAAATATAAAACAAAAACACTTTTAGGAGAAAATCCTTGGGCAAAGAATTCTTAGAATTGACAACAGTTGCAAAATTCATAAAAAAATTAATTAGACCTCATCAAAATTAAAAAAAAAATACTTTTGCTCTGGTAAAACCCATGTGAAAAGAATGAAAAGGCAAGCTAGAAATTTGGAGAAAATATTTGCAAACCACATATCTAACAAAGGAGTAGGAAAAAAAAAACCTCTCAAAATATAACATTGGGAAACAATCTAATTAGAAACTGTGCAAAAGACATGAACATTCATTTCACCAAAAAGGAAATACAGATGGCAAATAAGCACATAAAAAATGTCCAATATTATTAGCTATCAGAGATACGCAAATTAAATTCACAATGAGCTATCACTATATACCTTTCAGAATAGCTAAATTTAAAAATGGTGACAATACCAAAGCGTGGAGAGAATGTGGAGAACTGAATCAATTGAATATTGTTGAAGGGATACAAAATGGTACAGCTAGTTTGGCAGTGTGTTATAAAACTAAACATGAAATTGCCATACAATCTTGCACTTGCACTCTTGGACATTTATTCCAGAAGAATAATAATTTATGTTCACACAAAAAAACTGTAAATGCATATTCATAGCACCTTTATTTGTAATATCCCCAAACTGAAATCAGCTCATATGTCCTTCAACAGGTGGATGGTTAAACAAACTGACATATACAATGGGATACTACTCAGCAACAAAGAGTAACAAGCTATTTTTTTAAAGTAACAAAATAGGCCAGGGGCGGTGGCTCAAGCCTGCAATCCTAGCACTTTGGGGGGCCGAGGCGGGCAGATCACTTGAGGTCAGGAGTTCAAAACCAGTCTGGCCAATATGATGAAACCCTGTCTCTACTAAAAATACAAAAAAATTAGCCAGGCATGGTGGCAGGTGCCTGTAATCCCAGCTACTCAGGAGGCTGAGGCAGGAGAATGGCTTGAACCCAGGTGGTGGAGGTTGTAGTGAGCCAAGATCGGGCCGCTGCACTCCAGCCTGGGTGATGGGTAATAGAGTGAGACTCTTGTCTCAAAAAAAAAAAAAAAAAAAAAAAGTAACAAAATAGTGATAGATGTGTCAACTGGATGAATTGCCAGTAAATTAGGTTGAGTGAAAAAAAAAAAAAGTTGGTGCGATGGCTCAGGCCTTAATCTCAGCAAGTTGGGAAGCCGACACAGGAGGATCACTTAAGCCCAGGGGTTGGAGACCAGCCTGGGCAACATGGTGAAACCCCGTTTCTACTACAAATACAATTAGCTGGGCATGGTGGTGGTGAGAGCCTGTGGTCCCAGCTACTCAGGAGGCTGAGGTGGGAGGATCGCTTGAGCCCAGGAAGTCGAGGTGGCAGTGAGCCATTGCACTCCAGCCCGGGCAATGGGAGTAAGATCCTGTATCAAAAAAACAAAAAACAAACAAACAAACAAAGAAAAATATATATATATCCAATCCCAAAATGTTATACACTGTATGATTCCATTTATACGACATTTTTGAAATAACAACATTTTCAAAATGGTGGATGGGTTAATGGTTTGATTGCCTGGGGTTAAAGACAAAGGGAAAGAGGGCAGGAGGAGGTGGGTGTGGTCACAACAGGGAAACAGAAGAGATCCTTGTGGGGTTGTAACTGTTCAGTATCTTGACTGTGATGAATATGAAAACCTACTGAGCTAATAAACGTTATAGTACTTAATACACACAAATAACCTCACATAAATGATTCCAAATAGAACTGGAAAAATTTGAATAATATTGGTGGATTGCATCAATGTCAGTATCTGGTTTTGATCTTATCCTATCATTTTTTCAAAATGTTATTATTGAAGGAAACTGGCAAATTAAACAAGGGGTCTCTGTATTATTTCTTATAACTGCATATTAATTTATAATTATCTCAAAAATGTTTCAATTAAAAAATCCTATTAAATTCCAGATTCACTATTAGTGTCCTTTTCTGTCCTATAACTATTGAAACAGAATTTTTTCATAGGATATATTATGATGTTGGGTAAAACACATACAAGCAGATAATTAATTCCTAATACATAATAATTTATTTCACACACAAAATTATCTTTATTAAATATGACAGTTCACAAAACTGCATTTTATATGCTTCTTAGCAACTTATAGAAATTACTGACCCAGGTTTAACAGAAATATTCACTCCTTCTAGATACAGGTGAACTTCTTGACTTTGAACATAGACTGCTAAGAAGGCTGAGGGTGAACCCTTGCAAATTAACTGATCCTGGCAAGTCAAAAAAGAGCGTAATGGGAAAGAATTAAGCTACAGACCAAATCCCTCTTCCTTCCACTTACCCATCCGTCGCAAGAATTTAATATTAGAAACTGCAAGAATAGTGCTGCTGCTAATAACTAGAAGAAATGACTATGAATATGTGGAAATGCATGGATTAAACTAATGGGGTACATGACATTTGACATTGGCCAATTCTTCTAGAGGACTTTTTAATCAGTGGAAAGTCCTATTCAGGGAGAGAATCTTAATGCATCATTGATGTTGCTTATTTTTTATTTTAATAGTGAGATAGTTTTAAACAAAATGGAGTGATTTTGGAGGGTGGAAGGAACAGAGCTGATCAGGCAATGCAGCAGAGAGTTAAAGCACAAAGCATTCTTGGAACCAGAAAGACCTGGCTTCAAAGCTGAAATTTTTCACCAGTGATGTTCTGTGCTGTTGGTTAAGTCAATTTATCTAAACCTTAGTTTCCTTCTCTGTAAAATAGTGTTTGCAACAGTAATGACTTTATAGAGTCATGGAAAATAATATATGAGATAATCTGTATGTTTTTAGCACAGTACCTGGCATAAATATATGCTCAATACAAGATTCTTATCCATTTGATTCACCTAGTTTTCAGGTAGGTTTTTTATACCAATTTATTGATGAATAAGCATTTCAAATGACTTTTTGTAAATGTTTTAACCCAAGACAAAGTTGGATGGATTTGGAATACTCTTCCCCATTAAGTCATATATATATGCTTATATATGTGACATATATATATATATATATGTCATTGACTGGTCAGTCTTCTTCAGAATTCATATCTACTTCAGATAACAAGGGCTGAATAGAGCCCCAAAGCCACAAGGGTGTGGAATCATCACCACGCCTTGACCCAAGCTTGTCTTCCACAGGATAATTTCCTATGAACTGGCCACCAGGTTTGAGAGTACTCCTGAAACTTTGCAAATCAGGAGGGCAGAAGATTCTGTGGATGAGACACGGCCCTTATAAGATGACTGAGCACTATATACTATTTAGACCAAAAGTTTTCCAAATGAAGCCTGAGAGTCCTTTTCATCATAATCAACTATTGAATGGCTAAATTGTGCATCTAGGAAAACATGAGGAATAACAGAGACAGCATAATAGAGCTAGACAGGGAATGAGAACCCCAGGAATTAGCAGAAATCCTAGTGAAAGCTTTGTACTTTCCCTAGACAGAAACTGGCTAGGGTCTAAATCAATTAGCCCTCAGAAAAACCCCACCCAGGAAAGACTCAGATGATACACATTTGCAGCATAGTTTTGACTTCCCTTCAGATCAATCAAGTCCTTTGCAACATGAGTGGGTTAGTGTTATTTTTTAGAGCCAAACAATTTTTGAATTAACTTCTTTCAGAAGACTAGGGAAAAAAATCATTTCCACTTATCACTGGATTTAAAGAGTACTACTTGACTTTTAAAATGTCTATTGTAGGCCAGGCGCGGTGGCTCACGCCTGTAATCCCAGCACTTTGGGAGGCCGAGGCGGGCGGATCACGAGGTCAGGAGATCGAGACCATCCCGGCTAAAACGGTGAAACCCCGTCTCTACTAAAAATACAAAAAATTAGCCGGGCGTAGTGGCGGGCGCCTGTAGTCCCAGCTACTTGGGAGGCTGAGGCAGGAGAATGGCGTGAACCCGGGAGGCGGAGCTTGCAGTGAGCCGAGATTGTGCCACTGCACTCCAGCCTGGGCGACAGAGCGAGACTCCGTCTCAAAAAAAAAAAAAAAAAAAAAAAAAAAAAGTCTATTGTAAAATCTATTAGTCACCTAAGCCACAAAATAGAAAGTGCTACCCCATCATCACCATTTCTGTGACCTGTGTGGTGGTCTACTTCTGAAGGCTAAATATTTTTAAGATCATTTTTAATAAAAATATAAGACGAAAGCATTCATGTGTGAACTGAAACACTTAAAAATGCCAAACTTTAGCCAGGTATAATTCTGGGTCTTTTTAAAGAGCAAATGGAAACCATTTCTGAGCATCTCTCCTGTAAAGTGTAGCTCCTACACTTCAAATAAAGGGCTTGAGAGCAGGCTTTAGATAAATACCTAAAACTTAGAAAACGACTTCTTATGAGGTCCCAGTGAATAAAGACAAGAGCATTGTTTTTATAAGTATTTGGCAATTCTATTGCAGGTACCTAATTCTTCTATCTTTACTCCATTTCTACAGGTTGTTCTGCAGGCAAGTCTTTCTCAGTTTTCCATAGCATTACCCTAATGAAACCACTCAACTTAGTCCTCTAACCAAGGAACATACATGATTCACTCAATGCAGACAGATGCAAAGCCTTTTTCCATTTTTGCTGCATCTACACATTTGATGTCCAGTCAGGAAAGCCCAGCTGAAGTCAGTATAAAAACCTGTTGTAGAGAATGCAAGAAGCTCCCATGATGCTACCAGGAGAAATGAAGACAGTAGCAGGCATTGAAACTTACCTTTATTATATCCTTATCCCAAATCTATTTTCCCAGGCTTGTAGAACTCCAGCACAACTTAAAATTGGAAATCTATCAGATGTGATGAAGGATGAGATTGTTGTGTGGGTTGTTTTTAGTGATGCATGTAGAATATGTAATGTACATGCACATCGATACATATGTGTGTTTATTGCTTTTCAGGTGTTTGTAAAATTTTGAAGAGTATTAATACATCATCCACTGCACGAATTAATAGTTAATTATATTTGTGTTTTATAAATAAAGATGAAAAAACATCATAGATAAATTTGAGGTTTTACTCCATTTCTATTCATATTCCCCTCTCCCAATTCCAAGAGGCAAATTCTATAGTAAATTTAGTATGTCATACCTAAAGGTATTTTTATATTATATATTATGTCTGTTTCTCTGTGGCTACATTTTTGCTTTTGTTTCTTAAATAAGGCATGCATGAATATAAATCACTCTTTTTAGTGGTAATCATAATACAATTGGACAAGGATAGATGTGAGAGCTAAATAATTTTCATCTAGTTCTAAGTTAGATATTTATATCTTATATGTTTTAGCTTTTATTTATTTTGCTAAAAATCCCTAAACACTTTATTGTACATATGTCCAAATAGACATTGAAAATATATACAAAATATAGATGGTTATTAAATATTTTTACCACTAGCATTTTCTCATGCTTTCATGCCCTTACTTATGAAAGTATTGAATACCTTACTGTATTAGATAATCTTATCACAGTTTACTAAGGATAAATGAATTGCCTATACATTCTTTGTGTAGACTCACAGAAATAGAAAAGCCTAACATACTGCTTTGGAAAGCATCTAATTCCTCTTAGCACAATGTAAGTAACAAAAAAAATGCATGTCTTACTCATTTTGAATCATCACACTCATATCAATAGGGCTACAATGTTTCCATCATAAGCAAGAAAAGTAAAGGATCAATTTACACAAAAAATAAAGAATCATTTTGGGAATATTGGAAACAATGGGCCAGCCAGGTTTCACGTTTCAGAAAGAACTAAATTGCTCACTTTGGGGATTCCATTAGTTCTTTTTTTTTTATGAACTAATACAACCGCTTCCCTTATAATGAACTAATGAAGCCATTATAGAAAAGATAGATGGATAAAAACCCTGGCTCTGCTTTGCTTGAGCCTTAACAGAATAACCCAATCTTCACGCTATTGCCTCAAATTAGAAAGCATAATATATCAGTGATAAAGTTCATAACAGAAACACGGCACTCCCCTAAAATATTCCTCTTTCACTTCTGAAGAATGGTTATAAAGGTCAAAATAAAATGAAATTACTTGGTTCATGGGCATTTTTTTCTCACTCTTGAATCCAGTTTTTCAGGGATCTCATGGCTTCCAGATAATATAGATATCCTTGTCTAGTCTAATCAAAAATACTGGAGTAAGAAATAAAAAAAAGGAACATGATGCTTTTATCACATTTCTACCAATGTCTAATGATATTCCAGTTTTTTAAGGAAGTCTTCCCCGATCACTCCAGAGACAGTAATATTTTCTTCTTCTAAAATCCGATAACAGTTTATTTATTCCTCTACATTTTTTTACTTAGGAATTTTAAATTAACTTTCATGTTCAGTCTCCAAAATTAAAGTGTAAAAAACTATCTTAACATCTCAGAATCTGCAATAAATAGAAAAGTACATTTAAGTTAGTAAATGTTTAAAAATATTTGCAACAATAAATGAATTGTCAAAGTAATACTCTAACTTACATCAACATACTTCATTCTTAAAGAATTGCATTACTAAAAGGAAAAAAAAATAACTTATAATAACACAATCATGAGCCACATGACATTCCTGTTAACTACATATATGATAGTGGTCTTATAAGATTAAATTATAGTATTTTTACTGTAACTTTTCTATGTTTAGATATGTTTATACATACATCTATTTACCATTGTGTTACAATTGCCTATAGCATTCGATATAGTAATATGCTGTACAAGTTTGTAGCGTAGAAACAGTAGGCTATGTCATATATAATAGCGTACATATGTAGTAGACGACACCATCTAGGTTTGTGTAAGTACATTCTATGATGTTCGTACAATGGCAAAATTGCTTAAAGATACATTTCTCACAATATAGCCTGTCATTAAGCATTGCCTGTATTCGTTTTTAGAATTTTTGAGTGCTTATAGACAGTTCTCAAACTTTAGCTTTCATAATAGTCACCTAGATAACCTACTAAAAATGCAATTTTAGCTCATATTCCCAGTGATTTTAATTTAACATGTGGCAGCCAAGAATCCACTTTGTTACAAGCACCCAGAGTATTCTGATGCAGGTAGCCCTGAAGCACTCTTTGAAGAGCATTATACTGAACATTAAGTTGCATGCTTTACAGGCATTATATTACTTAATATCCCATTACAGAGCAACCCTACGAGGTAGCTACTAGTGTATCATTCTATTTTATGGGTAAAAAACTGAGGTCTAACTAAATAATCGAAATCTGCATTGCCTTCTTCCACTCTCTTGTACTTAATCTATAGTGCTTTCTTGGTGGACAGATTAGCAGACCAACGCATGGGAGATTTCCGGGGCAGGGCCAAAGCCCTGTCAAGTATGGAGAGGGTTAGTGTTTTGTCTTCACTGGAGTATCATTCTAGAGGAAAGGTTATGACAGTCACAATTCAAAGAATGAAACTATCCCAGGAGATGTATGATTATTCAGGTAGCTAACAGGAGGATTTCGCAGGAAGAGATGTAAAGAATAACAAAGTCTGGTAATGGGATGAAAGAGAAATAAAACACAATCCTCTAGAAAGTTGTAAATTACAGTTATTGAATATATAGTAGAATAGACTAGACTTAGAGTAGAACAGACTTAGAGAAGAAATTTTAGAATGTAAGCTTCATGATAACAGGGATTTTTATCTATTAGTTGATTGCTGTACCTCATTGCCTAGAACAAAAGACGGCATGTAGTTAGGTACTCAAAAAGTCCTTGCTGAATCAATTAATGAATAATTATGGAAGGTGATTTTGGAATATATCAGAAAATACATTTTAACACCCAATTTTCAGTCATTCCTGGGTCACTGACCATCCTCTCCTCAGCAATTCTTCACTTTACTTCCCGCACCAGTAACTTCTTTTTATTTTGACTATAACTAAATATAGACTTCTGCTGGAGGAAGTACTGTTTAGTCAAGACTCAAAGAAAATAGAATAGCCTTTTGCCACTCTCCCTATGAGCAGATTCACTGAAGTCTCTAAATATATTTGAAGTCATTCTATGTGGAATTCAGAAGCCACTCTGCTTTGGGGGAGTTCAGAAATGCTTAAAAAATCAAATGCTTAAAACATCAAACTCTTCTGGTTGAAGAGTTTGAAGAGATTGAAGAGCTATCTACAGTTGCTATAAGTGGATAATAAAGAATACTTCATTTAAAATTAAATGATTTCAGGTCAACAGGAGAGAGTAATTTTTGGTTAACTGCTGAATTTGCAACTGAAATATTATCATTTGGTAATCTTAAAAAATCCTATCTGGAACCATAAAGGGAACAATCTGCAGATATTACATTTGTTTTTCTTTTTTTAATAAGTGGTACTAATATTATTACCAGGGTAATAACTCACATGCTACATTAAAGTTATGTTTATTTTTACATGTACATATTTAATCATTGAATAAAGATTAATTAAAATATTGGAGTTGCCTGTTATTGGCAAAATATCTAGGAAGAAGAAATCAAATGGATAAGGTGAAAGAAGAAACACAATAACCTGATTTTCTCTGTTTGACCAATACAGTTCCCTTCTGAAAATTGTTAAATATCCTATAATTTAATAACATGTCTTCTGCTAAAAATAATTATGTATAAGAAGAATTATCTATTAAATTTGTGTTAAAGTATGAGGAATATTCAATTAATGTATTATCTAGCACAAAATAAACACTCAATATATATTAGCCAGCATGATTATTATTCCACATTTAAATGAATTTTATTCCCAAATAAAAATATCCTAATTTTAATTTGTGGTTGAATAAATGAAAACCCAATAGGTAAACATAAAATTTAAAAATCAGGACATTATTTACAGGAAAGAGTGACAACTTTTAAAATTTTAATTTGATAATTTCAAGTATTACTAAAGATACCAGGAAATGCTGGTGGAAATAACACTGGCCTGTAAGATTGGCGGTCAGATGATAATGGGCATTCAAATGTAAATGTGAATTGACTATGACCTAAAAATTCTACTCCTTGAAGAAGTTTGTTGTGCTGTTAATTGTAAAAGTAAATAACAGCAAAAATTTTAAAATTTTATCAACAGGACAATTTCTTAATGGTAATTTTATGCCATATTTGTATAATATTATGCACCAGTGTAAAAGAATAAATTTAAGCTGTATCTACTAACTGGAAAGCTCTTCAAGACATATAACTAGGTGAAAAAACAAGTTATGGAAGCAAAGAATATGATATGGTACACAAACACACCTACATACCAAACAATGCTATTTAGTTACATAAATACATTGGGAAATATGTATGTGAGTACTATGGGTTGAATTACTTCTCTCAAAATCAATAACCCCAGGACCTCAGGATGTGGCTTTTTTTGGAAATAGGGTCTTTACAAAGTAATGAAGTTAAAATGAGGTCATTAGGGTGAACCCTGATCTGTTATGACTGGTAGCCTTATCAAAGGGGAAATTTGGACACACACCCACACAAACACACACACACACACACAAAAGACAATGTGAAAATACACACGGAGAAGATGGCCATGTACAAGTCAAGGAACACCTGAGACTACCAGAAGCTGATATAGAGGCCTGGAAAAGAGCCCTCACTCTGTTTTCAATGGGAGCATGGCCCCGCCAACACCTTGCTTTTGGACTTCTAGTCTCCAGAGCTGTGAGAAAATGAATTTATGCTTCAGCCATTTAGTTAATGGTACTTTTATGGCAGCCCTAGAAAACAAATACAGC
Organism: Homo sapiens; assembly: GCF_000001405.40. Lineage (NCBI taxonomy): Eukaryota > Metazoa > Chordata > Mammalia > Primates > Hominidae > Homo > Homo sapiens. The sequence goes on from NC_000007.14 coordinate 79,374,590, forward strand.
AAGTCATAGAAAATAATCTTTTATACAATATACATGTAATATAATGGCAACTTATGGGAAATGGACTGAATTCAGATATGGTGTTTAAAGAAGAAATGCACACTTTTACTACAATAATATATTACCTGTATATTTACAAATTAAAAAATTAGAAAGAAACATTTCTTTATGGGTATAAAGAGTCTATGCTGTGACAACTCAGCAGTATATTTAGCCTACATAAAATTGTGGCATTAGGAAAGTTTTCCCTTAATCTTTTGAAGCTCCCTCTTTGCATTCTCATCTGCCTTTCTGGTACTCATGGGCATCACTACTGACTTTGATTGCCCAGGTTCACCAGTTATCCACCTACTATTTGCAAAGCACTCATCAAATGGCCATGTCTGCTGAGTGGGCACTCAATAAATGCTGGTTCCCTTCTGCTTTCTTCCTCCTTGCCCAGGGCCCAAACATCCCAAACTCACCTCTCTTTAAATTTCTACCTATTCATAATGTTCTCACTTCTTATAAGATTATTAAAAAGGAAACAACTAACTTTTGAATAGTTGAGAACTCTCACTCTTTGTGTTGTTGGCAAATAAAAATAATATTTCAGGAAAGCCAAATAAATACCGATTGAGTATAATTTCATTCTGTATGAAAAAAGGAACTGTAGAGCCTACAGTCCCATCAGAAAGATTTTGGCATTAGGTCTCTAGATTGTGCATTCAGCATGTAAACCTGGTTCTACCAATAAGGAGTTCATTGAGCAAGGCATTTCAAATGTGTTTGTAACTGATAATGCTCCTAACTTCAGAACTGAGAGCTCTCTTCGAAAAAACACTCTTCCTACTGTGCATATAGTTAGAAAACCTAAAGTAAGACCAATAGAAATAAGATACAAATAATTTTTTTCATCAAAATAGTCTAATGACTTAGTTTATCCTTCATGTGCTTTAATAACAAGGCCCAAATATATATAACATTTTAGCTGTAACAGTATAAGTTTACACACATTAGCCCATTTGGTCTTCAGGAAACTCTTGTGAAGCAGGCTAGACAGATCTAATTGTCCTAGTGCCTGGCTTGATAATTCAAATGAACTTCAATTAACACTGCACTGACTACAAGAAACATTGAGGAATGCAGAAAGTGATTAAAAGATGAATAATATAGGGATTCATATCATATGGGAAGAGGCCAGTCTGAAAAATAGAGAGGTTTGAGTTATCAAATTATAGAACATATAAGCAGATAGGCTTGAATTATCAGTATTTAAAATATTAAATACCTTTTTTCAAATTAATTGAAGACTGCTTCTAAGCAATTATTGGTCTTATCAGATATATGCTTTAAATGACCAGAGAAAATTAATGCATAACAATCGTATTGTTGGTTTAATTTTTTTTCTTAAATGATTCTTTTATATAGGTTAACATGATTAGTTTACCTAGGAAAAACCTTTTTTCATTTTTGGTCCAAAGTATACTTTTGTGATAATTCTCACATATTTTAGATGAGCAACCTACCCGTGAATTAATCTTATTGTATATGTTTATATAGTAGTTCCCCTTATCATTGGGACATATGTTCAAAGCTCCCCAGTGACCACCTGAAGCAGAATCCTATATATACCATGTTTTTTCCTATACATACATACCTACGATAAAGTGTAGTCTGTAAATTAGGCAAAGTAGGAGATCAATAACTAACAATAAGATAGAACAATTATAACAATACACTGTAAGAAAAGTTATATGAATATGGTTTCTCTCTCAAAATATCTCATTCTACTGTACCCAACCTTCTTTTTTGTGATGATTTGAGGTAATAAAATGCCTACATGATAAGATGAAGTGAGATGAATGACAGAGGCATTACAACATAGCATTAGGCTTCTATTGATCCCTTGACAACATGTCAGAAAGGATTATCTGCTTCAGGTAATCCTAGATCATCAAGCCATGAAGATGTCGATGGTTGGATTTCAGGAGAAGGTGATGTCAATGACTAATGGGTGGGTAGCGTCTACAATGTAGATGCCTGGGACAAAGGGATGATCCACAACCTAGGTGGAACAGAGCAGGGTCATGCGAAATTTCATCATGCTACTCAGTACAGCCCGAAATTTTAAAGTTATTTGTTTCAAATAAATGAATTAATTTCTGGAATTTTTCATTTAATATTTATGTAGTTGACTGTGGATAACTGAAACCACAGAAAGTGAAACCACAGATAAGAGAGGATTTGTGTGTGTGTGTGTGTGTGTGTGGGTGTATGGCGTGTGTATTCAACACAAGAGAAACATCAAAAGTTATTCACCATCCATATGCAGCTTCCTGTGTATGTGCTTTGGGAAATGCAAATATCAATAAGAAAATATTCTTCTGCTTGGTAGAGTCTACTAGGACAGAAGAATCACATAAAAGAGAAAAATTATAAAAAGTAAAATGCAACACTATAGAGGTTTAGGGAGCTTTTCCACATATAAAGTTAAGATTTTTAAAATATTTTTTGTGTTTTACATTTTAGACTCATAAAAGTACACTTCTTCATAACTAACGACTACAACTTTAAAAAGTCAGATATATTAGGGCTGGTCTTTGAAATGGGAGTTATTTCATCCTCTAAAGCAAAATTACAAATGAAGTCCACTCAACTATTAAATTATCACAGGCATGACACAGTACCAAACTGAAGAAAAATGTGCATGATTCAGCACAATAGGAAACTTGAAAAATTGTAGCACAACAAGCCTCCAGCTCAAACTACACGGTAGTCTTGTGAAATGATGGCCTCCCAAGGAGCCCTAATGGCCAGAGAGTTAGACTCATTTTTAAAAGCATTTTCCGCTGGAGGACGAGATTCATTGCCATCCATTATCAAACAGCATCAATATCAAAATCAATAATGATACTTCTGAATACTATTAAAATATTGGCAATGAAGCCACGTTCTTACATTTCAGGGAGTAAAACAAATGAAAGATAAGAAAAGAATGCCAAAACAGCAGTTACATGATGAAGTGAGCAACGCAATCAAGCATAAGATGGACAGCCAAAAAGCTTCAAGGGCAAACTAAAGTAAAATTTGAACCAATGTAACAGCAACATCAATTGCTTCAGAACAGCAGCAGCAGAGAGGCATCACTGGAGGGAACAATTAGTGACAGTGACTTGATTGTGGAAAATTGAGTGCCTACAACAAAAGTAGGAGATAACGGACACACCAACAAAAAACTACAGGAGGAATAGCTTTAATCATCCTCATCAAAATAATAGTATATGTAGGTCGAATACAGGTCACTTTTAGCTTTCCTCATCCTCACAGAAAACAGCACCAGGAGATATTATTAATGAATGCACAAAGTTCTAATGTGTGTCAAAAAATACAGTTCATTAAGCTGAACAGTGCGTGATTCAGACTAGACATGTTTTCACAGATAATTAAGAAATCTTGGGTTAAACAGATGGAGAAGACAGATGCTGTTCCTTCTAAGTTCTCAAATTTTGGGGGTCAAGCTATCCCATTATTTCTCTTAGCCAGCTGTGATGTAAATATGGAAAACACACCTGATTTGGTGGATGCTGCTCAGGCTATTATAAAAGCTAATGTAGTAACAACACTTTGATATAATTATCTGAAACTGGGAGACAACAGGAAAAGGTCATTTTGAAATTAACACAAGTTTCAATAATATCAAGGACTTATATAACACTAACAATGTTCCAGTCACTTGTCTAACTGCTTCCCAATATTAACTCATTTAATCCTTGTAAAACTTCTGTGAGGTACAGGTAAACTGCTTTTCCGATGAGGACACTGAGATACTGGGAGGACAGATGGCTTGACCAAAGTCATACAACTAATAAGCAGCTGTACTTTAGAATATAAAGAGCTCCTGTATGACTACAGGAAGAAATTTAAGGGATACATGATTTCATTGTCTGGCAGGGTTTTTTTTTAATGGAAGAATCATTTTATTTACATCCATAAGATTTCACAGGAAAAACTATCAAGGATATAACAAATTAACATCAATTTTTCTACATATTCTCTAACCATTAAATTCATAATTCCTTCAAATTAGAGGAGGATAAAGCTCTTTGGGCAATCACAAAGTATATTGTTAATGCAGTTAACAAAGTATTTCAATATACATTTATTAAGTATCTTTATTATCTGCAAAATATTGAAGAATATGGAAAAGAACAGTGCGACTGAGGCATCTAGGGCTGACTGCCTGCATGAACACCTCACATTGCTGCATGATCCCAGTGGGGTTTCATTCTTTCTCCTTCTCAAAAATTTCTTGTAAACTTTCCAAGTCTTCTTTTATATATATATATGTGTGTGTGTATATATATATATATATATATATATATATATATATATATATATATTAAACTTTAAGTTCTAGGGTACATGTGTGTGCACAACACGCAGGTTTGTTACATATGTATACACGTGCCATGTTGGTGTGCTGCACCCATTAACTCGTCATTTACATTAGGTATATCTCATAATGCTATCCCTCCCTCCTCCCCCCCACCCCACAATAGGCCCAGGTGTGTGATGTTCCCCTTCCTGTGTCCAAGTGTTCTCATTGTTCAATTCCCACCTATGAGTGAGAACATGTGGTGTTTGGTTTTTTGTCCTTGCGATAGTTTGCTGAGAATGATGGTTTCCAGCTTCATCCATGTCCCTAAAAAGGATAAGAATTCATCATTTTTTATGGCTGCATAGTATTCCATGATGTATATGTGCCACATTTTCTTAATCCAGTCTATCATTGATGGGCATTTGGGTTGGTTCAAAGTCTTTGCTATTGTGAATAGTGCCACAGTAAACATACGTGTGCATGTGTATTTATAGCAGCATGATTTATAATCCTTTGGGTATATACCCAGTAATAGGATGCCTGGGTCAAATGGTATTTCTAGTTCTAGATCCTTGAGGAATCGCCACACTGTCTTCCACAATGGTTGAACTAGTTTATAGTCCCACCAACAGTGTAAAAGTGTTCCTATTTCTCCACATCCTCTCCAGCACCTGTTGTTTCCTGACTTTTTAATGATTGCCATTCTAACTGGAGTGAGATGGTATCTCATTGTGGTTTTGATTTGCATTTCTCTGATGGCCAGTGATGATGAGCATTTTTTCATGTGTCTTTTGGCTGCATAAATGTCTTTTTTTTAAGATTTCTGTTTATCTTTTATAACTATACTCTTACAAGTTTTCTCATTATTTCTCCCCCCAACTTTTTTTTTTTTTACCCACTTGTTGATGGGGTTGTTTGTTTTTTTCTTGTAAATTTGTTTGAGTGGAAAGGATTCCCTATTTAATAAATGGTGCTAGGAAAACTGGCTAGCCATATGTAGAAAGCTGAAACTGGATCCCTTCCTTACATCTTACACAAAAATTAATTCAAGATGGATTAAAGACTTAAATGTTAGACCTAAAACCATAAAAACCCTAGAAGAAAACCTAGGCAATACCATTCAGGACATAGGCATGGGCAAGGACTTCATGTCTAAGACACCAAAAGCAATGGCAACAAAAGCCAGAATTGACAAATGGGATCTAATTAAACTAAAGAGCTTCTGCACAGCAAAAGAAACTACCATCAGAGTGAACAGGCAACCTACAGAATGGGAGAAAATTTTTGCAATCTACTCATCTGACAAAGGGCTAATATCCAGAATCTTCATGTCTTCTTAAGTCCTTCACAACTTTGCCTTCTTTTGATAACCGTTTTACTCCTCTTTCATTTTCCCTTGTGCTTCCCTTCTGCTCTATAACAACAATGCTGCATATTTTGTCCTTTACAGTCTTTGCTAGCTGAATAGAACATCCTTTCTGGTCAGCAAAAGGACGATGCACATTACAGAATGGCCACACTTGCTCTTGCCCATTAGTTCTTGAATTCAACATGTAACACCTCCAAGTTTGTTGCCCCACTTGACAGCTGAGGGCAGGAAAGAGTTATTGTTAATCATCCTAGTGATTTGGCATAACAGCTGAATTTGAAGCCTAGTTCTGATCTTCTATCATTACTATTTTGGATTTGCAAATAATGTGACTCTAAATTCTTTGTTTAATCTTTTAAAAATCCACTACAATTTTATCTGAATTGTCTTATTTGTCACTAAATGAGAAGTTGCAACAGTAAAGGTGTACACAGGAAGCAGAACTCAGAAACTCAGATTAAGAGAGGTGGCTGCTGTTTGGCTTATGTAAGAAAATACACTTCTTTAAAGTACTTCAAAGTAATTATTTGTATGCCATTAGCAGAATACTCATTTAAAACGATGGCAGTAAACATTGTTTTAAAGTAATTAATTTTTATACACACTTGGTATGTAATTTTTGTATATACTTGGTAACAATGGGCTACTCTCTTTTTCAAAAAAACTGATACTTTAGACTGTGCCACTGAACAAATCTGAATTAGTGATGCCTTCCAGTTATAACCCTTCACAAACTTCTTTCCATGAATCTCAAATCACCAGTTTGGCTCAATGTCTCAAGTCTAAGGACTCAATGCCATATTACCATATCGGTGCTGCTCAGCTCAGATTAAACTGTAATCTTCTGGCAGTTAATCTGCATCTCTGCATCTCCTTTTTTTGTTGTTGTTGTTGTTGCTTACTGCCTGGATGTAAAGCAGACATTCTTTCTCCTTTATAATCTTTCTTCTCTATGTCAACACCTTTTTTCTTGATTTTCTAAAGGGAAATCTATAATATTCTCTTTTATTATGAATCCCAAATCCTACCTACCATTTTCTGGAGAACTCAGTTCATATGCTATAGGTTTTGCTATATAATAAAAGGTTTGCTTATGTTTAGATTATGTATACTCTCAATTTGATATATAGAGACATTTCTAGTTCTTTCATCCTTAAATATTTTCCTGCAAGGACTAAAATGTACCTATCTTCAAGAATATATATTAGAACTGTGATTTCCTCTATGTAGCGTCTATTAATGCAATCTAAATAATGGCCCATAAAAATCAGCAAATAATTAACAATGCTGGTGGAAATACCTGTAATCAACCAGATTTGAGATTAGGCAGAACTGAGTTTGAGCTCAGATTCTTTTCACTGAAGCTCCATAAACTTTGTAAAATGAAGGTAGAGGTGAAGACTAAACAAGATAATAAGGGGAAGATTTTGACCAAGTACAGTGCTGTGTGCTCAATAGAAACATAACTACACAGATATAGCCTTTCTTTTTTAGTTTCAAATATTTCCCTTGCAAATATATCATTGTATTATAAACATGTTATTAGTAACCTTAGTTGTAACAAAGCACATTTACAAATATCACTATTAAACTGAAATAGAAATTTTCATAATATTTGTCTGAGCTCCTCACTTATTAGTTATTTTCTAAAAGTACAGCTTAAGTGTTCCACCATGACAACATTGGTGCTGGTCCTGATACTGCTGGGGAATAGGGAGAAGCAGTATTTCTTTTATTCCACCCTCTGTGACAGTCTAACAGCTTTTGGCAGGCAGAGGAAGAAATAATTCCCAGTCTCCCCTTAAGTCTTGAATCTAAATCTTACATTTTTATGCTCAACCATAAGTTATTTATCTAGACAGGGATCTCACTGTCTCTCACATTCATTTTATGATGAATGTTTCACTGGGAAAAAAAGAGATTTCTTTGAATTATAATCCAGTGGGAATTCTATTATAGTTCAAGTTCACTATTGAGAAGAATGCATCAAAGCAGGTTTATTAACAGCATATTTTTCTTCTTATATTCTCCTGGAAGTATAATAAATTTCTACAATTTAATTATCATTATTAGAATCTCAGGATGTAAATCTCATTGCATCATAACATCTAGGTTACATGTTACCAGACATACAGTACCCAACTTGGGGTTAAGCCTACAGTATCTGGAGTCAATGCTTGGGACCTAAATCACAGCTCTAATCTGTTACCCACTGGGTAATCTGGAGTAACTATTTAACATACCTGTGCCTCAGCTTCCCATTTGCATAAGGGGAAAGCAATAGTGCTCCACAAATGTGTTTTTGTAAGGTTTAAATGATAGGTATACTGATAAAGAGGTACCTGGCATATGGTCACTGCTAAATAAATATTACATATTATATTAAATAAATATACGTTGACAATATAAAAACTCTATATTGGAATAGGTTTTTTCATTTTAGGACAACAGTTATTGTGCAATGCATGAGTGTAGAACTCTGGTCAAATTGCTGACCCCTTGAACCTTAGGTCTTCTCAGATTATAAATCTCTGAGAGATATCTCCACTTCTTAAACATTATCTTTTAAAAAGTGTCATACATTATGAAAGACCTGAAAAACAAATCTTTGTAGTTTGCTAACCATCTTTAGCAACAATAGCAATATAAAATAAGTTCTCAATTGTTTGCAAAAGACTTAAAAAAAGATCAGAAACTTGTTTCTTAAAGATGACAGGACCAAAAGAAGATACCGAAAACATTTGTTTTTCTACATTTAAATTCTAATGAGCATATTAAAAACAAAAGTGAAGACACAACATGGTGGGTCTAGGACCATTGGTGGCTTTTTCTCTTTGCCTCAGAGTATTGTTCTGTAAATCCATTATTTTTATCATTCTGGCCTATAATGGGATTGGGAAGTTGTTTGGCCTAGTGTTTCTCAAGAAGGAATGTCCAGGATGCTTTACTTCACTCTCTTAGAATTTACATTGCAAAATCAATAATGATAGATTGTTTCCTTATTTATTGAACCTAGAATTGTTAGAAATACCATAGACATGGCTAGTAAAAACATTCACAAGGAAAGTTTAGGAAGGGTTCAGTAATATTAAAATGTAGTTAATACAGGTATAAAATGGGATTTTAAAATACCTAGTCATATGGATAAGGACAAAAATACTCTTTTGCGATACATGGTCTATAAATTATTTTAGTGAATTTTTGTGATTTGATCAATTTCTTAGTTATCTCTGAGAATGATAAAAAGTTTATAAAATATTTAAAATGTAATGTTCACATACCACAAATTCAAAATTGTATTTATTAATATTAGAATCATATTTATGTTGTTAATATTAAACAATATACCATGATCAAGAATCCAAAGACAGTTTAATATTAGGAAATCTGTTAATAGTAAAATTCAACATCAATAAGCCAAAAGAAAAAATACATCTTTATTTTGTCAGATAGCAAAATAATAATCTGACTAGCAAAGGAGGAACACAAGGATACTTCGCTAACATGATACAGCAACCCGAAAGTTGACATAATTTCAAATAATGAAATACTACAAGGATTTCCATTAATGATAAGAATAAGGCAAGAGTAATATTTTAGATATACCAGACTGCAATAAAATTTAAAAATTAATAAATGTTATAAATATATTCTAGGAAGAGACAACTGTATATCAGTACATAAGTTATGATAAAGCCATTCAAAAGAGTAGCACATGAATATTTATTTAATGGTTTGGGGGTAAACAATGCATTTAAAAGAGAAACCCAATGTATTCACCTAACATTATATATGAAGATTACAGATACATTAAAAGAAAATTATCAAAACAAAACATCAAAACTCATGGCAAGAGAAAACCAAAGGTGAATATTTATGCAAATACAGGCTAAGAAAATCATTTCTATAAAATATAAAAGAAAGAAATGATGTTAGAGAGGTGTTGATAAATATGACCATATAAAGCTTATGGTTACAAAGATGGATTGAAGTGACCAATTTGCTTCTTGGAAAATATGAAAACTGGAATGCTTCTTGAAAGCACCAGAAGAAAGTCTGTTCTGTGAACTATTTTTTTAAATGAACTCCTAGGATAAATGGGATATACTTTTATAAAAGTATAAAAACAATATATTAAGTCAAATAACTTAGATCATTTGCTATATAACTTTTTCCATTAATTTTCTTTGAAAATGTAAGCAATTTGTTATAAAATAGCTTAAATATGAGAATTCAGTAAAATTTCCAGGGTATTAAGAATAGATAACATACTATGGTTTTCTCATTAGCTATTGAATTTCACTTGTGGTGATGGTTTCACAGGTAAATATTTGCAAACTTACCAACTTATATATATTAAATAGGTAAAATTTTTTGCATGACAATCATCTCCATAAAGTAGTTTAAAAATTGCATCCAAAATGTTTTCAAAGATTCAATGGACAATAAATGAAACTTTTAGGACACTTTGTGTTTTTGTAATATGTGGAATGAAATGTTTTCATCTGTATGACTATGGAAACTTCAAAGTTGGAGGAACAAACTGAATATTTTTATACAGATGGAAATCTCATTTTTCCACAAATATCTTAGCAGTATACTATTTCACAGATAGTTTCTGTTAGACTCTGTCACTATGTACCTTCTTAAAGGTATAGTTGTATTAATATAGTAATTAGCATGAAAAATATTCCATGGAAGGTTAAAGAAAATGGGGGTTTCAACCAAACCAACAGCACCATTATTTTCTTTAAAGTCTTATAGACAGAAGGTTTAAAGGATCTTTTAAAAGATCTGAGCATACTGAAATTTTCATAGTAGTACAAAACAGAGCATGTACATAAAGTGTAATAAATGGAATGTTGTAATGGACTAGAAGGCGGTAAGGTGATTATGGAAGCTATCATGTGCAAGCTCGCATAAATGTAAGGCTGTAATAAAAAACATAAGTGGATGGTTTCTGAACCTGGAGTACTATTTAACAACATTAGTAAATTTGGATTATACACCTTCAGGACCAGGAATGGAATAATGGTTGAATATCATAAAATTGTTTTAAGATAACATGACTTCAAATTCGAGCTAGTGTTTGAATTTTAAAATATTTTTTCTCCACACTTTTATTATAAAAATAGTGATGGTAGGAAGTCCACTGTATTGCATTTAACAATACTTTTAGTTCTAAGAATTGTAATAGTACTCTCTCATCACACATTGTAGCAGAAAAATCTATTTTCCTTACCCATTTTTGACCTTATAAAAGTACTTTTATAAAAAAAATTCCACATATAAGTGAGATCATGCCGTATTTTTCTTTCTGTGTCTGCACACAGAAAAAGAGAATGAAAGAGTGGTTATCACAGGTGGCGAGGGGGACGGAAATGGGGAGATGTAGGTCAAAGGATACAAAAGAGCGAATATGTAGGATGACAAGTTTAGAGATCTAACATATGACATGAGGACTAAAGTTAATACAATCCTATTGTATTAGGGATCTTTGTTAAATAAGTAGATTGTAGCTGCTCTTGTTACGAAGAAAGTAACTGTGAGATAGTAGATGTTAACCTGCCTCACGATAGTAACCATTTTACTCTCTCTATGAATCCCATAACATTATGTTGTAAACCTTAAATATGCACAATAAAATTTATTTTTTTAAAAGACACTTTATCATCTTTTAAAAGATATCCTTCTCTGGAAAAGAGGGATTCTGATAACATTAAAATTACTTTAACTGTGTTTTAAAGCTATAAGAAATAATAAAAAATTTTAATATAGAACAAAAAAACCCTTATATAATGTTTCCTCAACAACTCTGGGATCTGAACACCATTAATAATTTATACTAATGGTTACATTTTTAATATAAAACTTATTAACAAAATGGTTATCTGTAGGTACGTCAAAATTGACAAAAATATCTGAAAGGTATTAACATAGATATGCATTTAACAAATTAGTGTTGGGAAACTGTCAGAATTTATGCCCAGTCACTTCTGGTGATTAAAAGAATATTCCATTCAGATTCAAAATTGTGAAATAAAATATCTGTTTTAACAGTTATATATGAAATTTCAGAGTATCAAATCAAATTGTGTACATTGGGATTAAAAACAGAGACATTTTGGCTGTGATTGACAGCAGAGCTAATGCAACAAGAATCATTATGATAACTAAAAAAAAGAATATTGATACTTAGTTACTCTTCTTAACTAACAGGTGGGGCTGATACTCAATCAGCCAATAAGATGGAATAGCCAAGCTATAGTTACTCTAAGTTGTCAAGGTAACACATTCATCCTTGAGATTTTCTCATTAATCTCCTCTCATGCTTAGGTTTATGGAATAACACCGAGGACAATTCCACTCCTTTACTACTTGGCTGCTATGATCTGAATGTGTGCCTTCAAATTCAAATTGAAAACTATCCCCATTGTGGTGGTATTAAAAGGTGGTGCCTTTGGGAAGATGACTAAGTAATAAAGGCTTTGCCCTCATGATGGGATCAGTGACCTTATATGAGAGGTTGAAGGGGGCTGTTTTGGCACTTCAGCCATGTTGAGGACACAGCAACAAGGAGCCATTCTGAAGCAGAGAGTAAGCCCTCACCAGACACTGAATTTGTGGGCCCCTCGATCTTTGGCATCTCAGGATGTGTGTATTTTTGTGGATATATATGTATACACACACACACGTTATATATAAATAGTGAAAAGTTCATATGCCTCTTCAAAATTTATTTACTTCAACAGAGATGGCTCACAAATTTTTATGCTTGTGTGTGTGTGTGTGTGTGTGTGTGTGTGTGTGTTAACATTAACTTAGAGGACATTTGCTTCTGAATTCAGCTCTCAGCTGTTTGGAGCCTCTGGGTATGATTCAAGTCTTAGAATTGGCAAGGAATTCTCTCCTATCTTTACATCAGTGGGATTTCCATTTGCTTACTTTGGAATTGTTTACTTTTCTACTTTCCTCTTGCTTTTCTGTGTAGACCATAGTCACTTCCTCCACCTCTGATTCTTCCTAAGGCTTTCGATTACCACTTAGACGTTCAACTTTTAACCTCTTCTATCATATCTCTGTATTGCAACTTGTTACACTACTTTCTAATTCTAAAAAATCAACACTACCACGAAAGTAACATTGTTTACTATCAATGGCTTAAATGTGCAAACTATTGATTTTATTTTAAAAAATGAGGTTTTTTTCCAGAAATTATTATGACTCCTGTTTATACTTCTGCAATTTTGGTCCCTACTCTCTGGTATTCCAATTTTGTTATTTGTTATATTCTCTTTTGTCATAATCATATGACGTGCTAAATTTAACTGTTGGCTTTCAATAATTTAATTATCAACTTGGACTTTTCCCTTTAGTACTCACCTATATAAGCATTTAAAACAATGGTGATGTGTTCTAGAACAATATATTCTAATTTCATAGTAGGTCTAGATGTCTTCCTTGCCTTCCTTCTTTATTTCTTCTTTTTTTAAATTTGGAACATGATGGAAATTTTAATAAATTTTTCAAAAAACAAACTATAGCAATAATCAAGTCAAATATTTAAATTCGTATTGATTTAAACGACCTGATTTAAAACTTTTGAACACTTTTAAATGAATAATTTACATTATTTAATCTCAAAATCATAAAAATCATTTTGTAGATAGTAAATAATGATATTTCCCCAAATTAAAATAATAATATTCCTGCTTGCTTAATGATTATATACATAGAAAACCTGCAATTTGAAATTTACCTGAGATTAGCATCTAGCCTAGTTTCATTTTCAAATTCAGATCATAATTATAGTTTTTCCTTTGGCTCTGGTATAATTCTCTTCTATTAAGACCATTCATTTTTCTTAACACAACATTGTTTGCTAAAAAGGCATGCTAAAACATGCCTTTTAAATCTCTGACCCTTATTGTTGATAAATACCTAACTTTTCTATTGCATTCATTGAAATGTATCCTAAGCTTACTTACTTTTAGTTCAGACTACAGTGACACCTCTGTATATACAAGTACCTATCAATACAGGTAATCAGAGAGAGTTCAACATATACCAATACTTAGAAAACTGTTAACTGGGTTTATTTTATTTAACAATGACATCTATAAAACATGATGAGACTTTTATCACGTAAGTTATTCTTAGTTCATTAGAGAGTCAGTTGAGGCTTACATGGACATTGAATGGGCAACTTATTTTAAGGAAAAGAATATTCAAATTATGGTAAAGTATGTAAATGTAATTAAAATTATTTTTATTTTTATTTTATAATAAGAATATTTAGAGAGTTGCCTCACCCTTTGACAATAATGAATCTTACAGAAAGGCAAATGATTTCACAGAGTGGGAGGTCATCTAGTTCATATTGTACATTCCACTCTTAATGAGAAAGGTGAAAAAGAAAAATAATAATCAGGCTAAATCAGAGACTTAACCAAAAAGGCAGTTTTCAATATATGTCTTGAAATCAAATCAGACTCAACTTTATGAACCACATATATGTAGTCATTAAAAAAAAAAAAAACACAGTCTTGACCCAAAGCTGGGTATGAGTAAACAATAATTTCAAAAGAGAATCACAGCAATGGTAGCATTATTAAAATAAGTATATAACCTTTCCATAATTTAGTATATTTTGGGATGCTTCTTAGAAATTCAGAAACGTCAAAGTTTTACTGTGCATACTGGAGAAAGAGTTTTTATAAAATACCTAAAACACTTCTTTTTTTTAAACAAAAAGTTGATCTTAAGATTTCTTGAGATGTTGTGGCATAATTGTATTGATTAAGTAAGATACCTAATGTGTTAACAAATAAAATGCATATCTTCTATCCACATATCCTTAATTAATAAATTAAGATAATCTATATTTTTAATTTTAACATTGACAGATATCAAGGACAATTTCAAATTTGTGTTATTTCATAAACGCTATGGTCAGTATGCCATAAAAGAAATTACGTACGATGATAAGTATCATAAAATTTCTTATGGAATAGCTAAATTGCAAAATTCCTAGGAAATAAAATTAAATTTCTGAGATGTTAACTAAAAATAAAATATACTTGAAAGAGAGAAGACTAACTTATGAATGTGCTGTAATTATTTTGCATCATACTGGCATTTATGGTGCTTGCCTTTTCTGTCTTTGACTCTATTAACTGTTTAGTAGCAAATGCCACATCATAAGGGATATTTTTAAATAATGCCTATGTAAATAGCATTATTCTATTTTAAAAGTTACATGTATCAGAAAGTTTTTCTTTTCTAACCATTTTGAGAAAAATTATAAAAGCTTTTCCCAGATATCAAGATACTTATTTCTAGCCAACCTGGAAATAAGTCATTATATTTGACTTAAAAGTTGCAATAGATTCTATGAGAATAAAAGGAATCCTAGTGTATATAATGGGGTAGGGGAAGGGGAGAAATGGTTTACTGTCTGAATCCCCTTTTACTCACTAGAAGACTAGGGCTGGCTGGGACCAGTTTGGGTTTCCTGAGTCTAGAGCTATCCCCATGGTTCCAATAGCTTAGAGAAGTTGACAAGGGACCTAGGGGAGACTCCTATGCAAAACTGAGATTCAAATGCTATGAGGAGTTCATTATTTCCCCAATTATATATGGGTGCTTTTTAAGTAACAGAAACTGTAGGGTTTTTATGAAATTTATATTTTAATGCAATCAGTATATATTCCATGCCCAACAGTCCAGAAAAACACTGAATATAAGATTACACAGTTTAGAATTTAGATGTGTGTTCAGAGAAGACAGCAGGTATAAATAAATTAGGAGTTTCCCATATGGCCACCAGTCACCTTGGCCTGATGAAATTTCCGTTTATAAGTCTGGGTTTGCATGGCTCCTAAAAATGTCTGAATGACTAGAAGAACCAGAAACTCAGGACGCAATTCCACTCTGGATGGAAGGAGCTGAGCAGAACAAAATCTTCAGGTACAGTATTATTTTTCTTGAAGACAAGACAACTCTGTATGGCTTTACCCAAGTATAATCTTCTCCATTTGGAAAGTTTTAGAATTTTATAGACAAAATAACCTGAACATTTCAAAAAAAGAGTAAATATTAAATAAAACATTAAAGCAAATTATATAGCAATAGAAATAGAGCAGCAATCCTATTTTATTTAGAAGTCAGTTATAAATGACATTCACAAATTATATCAAGAAGGTTTTATTTTCAGTATGAGATGCTGGAGGAGGGTGCATAGAAGAGATGGTCAGGAAAAGGTAGAGTGTTGAGTTTCGAGAGGAGGTGAAGAAATTGTCTTTCTGCAATTAAAGTATGTGGGAATAGTCAAATCAAAGCACTATCTGTAAAGATTTTGATCCCAGGGCAGAGTTCCGTGCAATCCCCTCTTCCTATTCTTCGAAGCGTGGATTTTATGAACTCAAGTCATATTGCAGGGCAAGAAAGTTTTGGTAGAGAGCAAAAACTTGGGAAGAGCAACATTCAGACTAAGGGATGCATTTCAGGAGAGATAAGTACTTCCAACCTTTCCTCTCTGAATTAGCAGAAAGAGCCTACAGTACATTGTGTGACAGCCTCCCTCTTTTGAGTCCCCAGCCATCATCTGTGTAGAGGCTCATGGCCCAGAATAAACAGCCCAATTCATAGTATCCTAAATCTGTCAAATATCTTACTCTGAGAGTGAGGAAAGCGTGGAACTCAATACACGAAATGTAGCTACAGAAATTATGATATATTAATACTCTATCCCAGGGCTCTGTTTATCCCTGACAGTTTTTACATAAAGAACTTTGAGAAATTTCAGAAGTTGACTTCCTGAGTGAATGAATGAAAACATGAATGAAGATAACAAATTAAAGCCTAAATGTCTCAGATACTTTGGAAAATGAGTAGAAACAAGCTCTTTTTTGTACTTAGAGGAAACAGGGAAAGCTGGTTTAATAAAATAATCCATAAATTTTGCAAATGTAGATTAATATAAGAAAATGAACTCTCATAATAACAAAGATTCAAAACAAACTAAAAGGTAAAAAAATATACAGAAAATGACTTCATTCTGGCTTTAGACTCCATTCTTATTACGGACAACTTAGGATTGTTGTAAAAATCTGTTAAAGAAACGGTTAAAAGAAGGAAAAAATGTATTCTAAAAGCAATTACCTTTAACATATATATATATATATAGACATATATATATATATATATATATATATATAGACATATATATATATATATATATATACACACTTTACTGTAAGTTCCAGGCTACATGTGCAGAGTGCACAGGTTTGTTACATAGGTATACGTGTGCTATAGTGGTTTGCTGCACCTTTCATGCCGTCATGTAGGTGTTTTTTGTTTGTTTGTTTGTTTTTGTTTGTTTGTTGAGACGGAGTCTTGCTCTGTCACCCAGGCTGGAGTGGCGCGATCTCGGCTCACTGCAAGCTCCGCCTCCTGGTTCACACCATTCTCCTGCCTCAGCCTCCCCAGCAGCTGGGACTACAGGCGCACGCCACCACACCCGGCTAATTTTTTTGTATTTTTAGTAGAGACGGGGTTTCACCATGTTAGCCAGGATGGTCTTGATCTCCTGACCTCGTGATCTGCCCGCCTTGGCCTCCTAACGTCATCTAGGTTTTAAGCCCTGCATGCATTAGATATTCGTCCTAATGCTCTCCCTCCCCTTGACTCACCACCCTCCGACAGGCCCCGGTGTGTGATATTCCCTTCCCTGTTTCCATGTGTTTTCATTGTTCAGCTACCACTTATGAGTAAGAACATCTGGTGTTTGGCTCTCTGTTCCTGTGTTAGTTTGCTGAGAATGATGGCTTCCAGCTTCATCCATGTCTCTGCAAAGGACATTATCTCATTCTTTTTTATGGCTGCATAGTATTCCATGGTGTACATGTGCCACATTTTCTTTAACCAGTCTATGATTGACAGGCCTTTGGGTTGCTTCCATGTCTTTGCTATTGGAGACAGTGCTGCAATAAACATACGTGTGCATGTGTCTTTATAGTAGAACGATTTATATTCCTTTGGGTATATACCCAGTAATGGCATTACTAGGTCAAATGGTATTTCTGGTTCTAGATCCTTGAAGAATCACCATGCTGTCCTCCACAGTGATTGAACTAATTAACAATCCCACCAACAGTGTAAAAGCATTCCTATTTCTCCACAGCCTCGCCAGCATCTTTTGTTTCCTGACTTTTTAATAATCACCTTTCTTACTGGAGTGAGATGGTGTCTCATTGTGGTTTTGATTTGCATTTCTCTAATGATCAGTGATGATTAGCTTTTTTTCATATGTTTGTTGGCAGCATAAATGTCTTCTTTTGAGAAGTGTCTGTTCATAACCTTTGCCCACTTTTTGATGGAGTTACTTGTTTTTTTCTTGACCTTTACTCAATTTTAAGTGGTATTTTAAAACCAACCTTATGAGGGCCTAATTCTGATTTTCCAAATTTAAAAGGCACCTCCTTTTTCACTTATAGTAAATACTTTGCCAAGGCAGGAATGAGAGCTACCCTGAGAGTTCTCCCAGGACAAACTAAACGACCATTCACCAATATGTACTATAGGTGGTGGAAGAACAAAAATGATTTTAACACTCACGTATTTTACTAGGATTTGTTAATTGTCTTCCCTCCACTCTCAGAAATTCCAACACAGAGATAGAACATGAACTAAAGTAGAAAAATGATTGGTACTCATCAAAAAACAATACTTCAGCCTTTATTCTCCACTAGTATCTATTTGCAGTGTATATTTGGTTAGGAAACTTGATCATAATCTTTAAATTACTGTGTGTTGGTAGTTGAAATCTGTTTCATTAAATGGCTGCAAAGGTGTATTTTCCCATTTTCTGATTTATTGTAAAGACTTAAATGGTAGTATCCTATAATAATAGACTCCAGTAACAACAGTTTAAGAACTCTACATCAGAGAGACTGCATAAGTAAAATGGTAATTACTAAATATGCACCCAAAATTTAAGGGAAAAAACAAGCTTCTTATAAAGATGTTTTAAAATTTGATTTTTTATTTCTCTACTTTTCATGCAGTGATTCATCTGAGTAAAACAAAATCAATTCCTAATTTTCAGAAAAATTAGAACTCTATAACATTTTATTTATCCTTTGATATGATTATTCTGGGATGGTAAGTCAATGATACAAATTAAGTTTTATAAAAAAATTAACATATAGCTGAACAAAGCCAGAAAAAGTAATTCTCATTCTCAGTTGCGTATATGAAACTTCATTAACACTTATTTCAGTATATTAACATTTGGAAGCAAATTTCTTGCCACATGTGAAACTTTGTTTCCTTTTATTGGAAATCCCACAGGTATTACTTGTTTCATATCAATAATTTAATTTCTAAGAGCAATTTAATGGCACATTGTTATGTGAACATTTCTAATTCTCCTCCTCCAATAAGTTGAATATGTGAAAGTATTTTACCTGGCCACATTTTACTATTTTAACTGCAAAAAACACAGGCAGTTCCCGCTTCCCTAAAATGACCCAGATGTCCAAAATACAACTTTTAGGCTCCGCTCTGCTTAAAGCCCAAGAAAAACAGAGCCAGGTCTGGGTGTCTATAGAGCTACTAGGGAGCCTAGCCTTAAGATGGAATTGTTTGTGTGTCCAGCTTGAAGAGTTAATGATCATCAACTCATCAACATCAACTCATCATGTACTGTTAGAACTGCTGCCAAGTCACTGGTGTACAAGAGTTCTTCTAAGACTTGGAGCCACAAGCTTGTCTCCCAATTCAGGATCCCAGATGGAAGTAGCCCGGCACCTCACCTGGTTCTATGCAGACTCTAACCCTGGTATTAGACCTAAGACTCTAGACGTTGATTCTGACATGTCTTGGGCAACTGAAGTGAACTCTCCTGAACATGTGACCTAACAACATGAGCCCCTATGCTTAGAGCCCATGAATTTATGCCAGTCTCAACTGGAAAAAGAGCTTGGGCTATTTGTTGCACCTGTAAAGACATAAGTATGTGAAAATAAGAGTGAAGGGTTAGGCAGCCTTTTGTCCCAATTACTCCCACTGATTGTGCCGATTCCTGTTTACTCCCATTGGTTGTCATATCCAGGTGGGATGTCCTTGCATACTGTAAAACTGGTAACCTGTTATTTCTGACAATTTTACACAAATGTGGCATACCATGAATAAAATCCTGCCCCAAGATACATAATTACAGTAGAGAGAGCAAACAGTTCTCATTGTACAATGAAATTATAAATTAGGTGTTTCAAAGAGCTGACTAGAATGTCTCATATATGCAGCCAACCCCAGGCATGGCCTTCTTCCTAAGGCTGTGCCATGCTTCTTTTCTTCATTCTACAAACAGTAATCATGTTGTTCCTGTTGAAATAGACTGCTTAAAATGACACTATTTGTTTTTAATGACATTATTTGTTTTAATGTTTTTAATGTTTCACTATATAATTTCAAAGCAAGTCTTTCTCACTTGCTATTGATTTTATCCTTCTAGAATGAAAGCAAATGGAATTTCTAGGTCTCCAGATAAAAATTAAAACATAAAAATTCTTTCAGACTATAAATATCAGTCCTTTGAAGAACAAATGTGCTCTGAACAATTTACGCCTTTAGATTTTGCACTTCAATTTTCTGAATAGATACAGAAATATGAAATTCTGAGAAAAAATTCAGTCATAGCTGTAGTACTCTCAGAGGCATACACATTATGTGTGTGAAAATATGTCATTGAAAAAATGTTATTGAAATCAATTGGCCCAGCTTCTTTTAATGGGTTATAAAAATAAGCCCAAAGTTTAAAGAAAGGAGAGGAAAGGCCAATTAGAAAAGATCATATTTTCTTACAAATAAATGTAAAAGTGAGCTATTTAAAGCTCTTACCTTAGATAAAGGAATATAACATTGCTGTTAAACAGAAACCATGTAATTATACAATGAACACAAAATTGTAGTTGTGAGAAATGATATAATCAAAGGAAAGTGTAAAATTATAACAGAAAATGTGTTAATGATTATGAAACTGCAGAATGTTGGTTTTCAGAAAGCTTATAATTGGTATCTGAAAACAGGCAGGTTCCTGAACATGGGAAAGTATCATCATCCCGTAACGTGATATAAGAGGAACAGAAGCAAATTCTTATAACTGTGTCTAGTGGTTTGACTTCTCCACATCTTCCAGAGAGCCCCAGAGAGGTCTGTGGTGGGACTGTATAGTGACTCATATTATTCTACATGTTTAGAATATCAGCTCCCATTTTCATCTCTAAAAGTTTATGTTCTACAATTCCATCAATTTACATTGAACCATTTTTATTAAGATCATTCTGATATATCATAATCATTACATTATTTCCAACTTCTGCAGAACATATAGATACAAACCTCAATGTAAAATCATGTATGTGATTTTATGACACCTGCAGCTAGACCCTGTTTGTTTCATGTATATGTTTGTTTTTCTCACTCCTTCCATCAGATACTCTAGAATAGCTATGCAGACCATTCAATGTAAGGAGAATGCTGGATGAATGAGTGAATTAACAAAGGAGACCGTCTAAAATAGGCTAAAACATGAATATATAGATATTGCTCTTAAAGTAGAAGAACATGTACATTGAGGTATCTATTGATTTTTTTAAATTAAAATTATATGTGTGTCACTTTCTCTGTCCTATAAGGCTGGGGATTTCTTGAGCCTATAGAATCTTGAATCATTTAGCTATGTTATCCCATCATTTAGCCCAGCGACTGTTGTAATAGACTGCTAGCATTCACCAAAGATCTATTTTTTTTTTCTTTCTTGGGCTCATAACTAGATTGCATTTGCCAGCATCCTTTGCAGTTAGGTCCAGCCATAGGACTTGTTCTCAGCAGCAAATGTGTGTCATTTCTAGGCTATGCTCTGACGGCATGCCTGTCCATTCTATGTTCTCTTTTTCCTTTCACCTGGTGGATGCAGAAGACAATGAAGCCCCAAGGGTAGCAGAGCCATAGAACAGAAGGGGATCAGTCCCAGAATCAGCTGGGAAGAACTGCCCACTGACCAGGAAAATCTGCCTGGTGAGGGAGAGCCAAGAGATGCACTTAAGGAATAAAATGTAAGGAGGCACTTTCTCTCCAGTTTACTTTTTTCTTGAGTTCACTTCTTTAAACAACATTTTTAACATAATATGGTTATTGAGAAAGATCCCTACTGAGAAACAAGAGGCTCTGAACCATTTCATGAAGTTTCCAGTGGCCCTATACAGCTCTAATCTGAGTTGAGAATTAATCTTAATTATGTCAATTTATGTCCTGCGGGTTTGCAGAGTGTGTGCTACCATAATTACCACTGGATAGGTAGAAAACTAAACTCTCTGACACTCAGAGTTCAAAATTCATGGGCAGACTGTGGAATAAAAGAAGTAGCTACTTTAGAGCCTAATACGTATTACTTTTAAAAGACTTATTATTTAATGTAAACATTTACGTGATTCATATACATTATACTTCTTAAAACTGACAGCATTGACCTGGAAGACAGAGTCACATTTCACATATATTAAGTGAACACCTTGACGGTTAGTAGCTTGAAATGCATCTTAAAAATAAAAGTTTTTAAGTATAAAAATGTTAGAGAGATAAAAATTAGGATGTAAATTAAAATTCTTTCTTTATATCCCCACTAAAAATGCAAACATTTTTTCTTACTTTTCCAATAATGTTTTCCTTTATTTTGTGATTAGAAAGGTTTTACATATATATGCTTTTTTAAATATGAAAATCATAGAATAAACTGATCCATAGGATTCACCGATTCACTTTTTAGGAGTTATTATTTATATTATATATATATGTTATTTTAGTATATATAAATACATTGTTTATATATGTATATATGCGTGTGTATATTTATGTTAAAAATAAAATTGGCATCAGACTTATCAACATAGATTTGATTATTTTTTCACATTTAATTATAATAGCAACACTTTTTCATGTCATTAAATAATCTACACAATTATCATTTTAATAGGTGCCTAAAATTCCCTGTTTGAATTTCCCCCGTTTAGTTCCTCTCCTGTTTAAATTTACATTATCAGTTTTACTGTAATAGTTTAAAGTAAATATTTATGTATATTTCTGATTATTTCCAGAGGTAAGCATTCTAGATTTGGAGTTAATGGGTTACAAAATGTGACTATCTCTAAGCTAATTTCTAAAAATTACCTTATATTCCCTCAAGCACTGCATAAGTGTACTGGTCTCCCCATACTCTAACCAGCTTTTAGTATTAACATTTCTTGATATTTGTTAGTTTGATAGGTAATGACTATCTCATATACTTGTTTTTGTTAGCAATTCTTTGCTTATTAACCTTAAAAACAATTATTTTGCTTTCATAAATTGCTTCTTCACATCATTTGCTCATTCTGCCTCCCCCTCCAACCTTTTCTTTATTGGGATGTATTTCTTTTGTGCAATTTAAAAGTACTCACTGTATATTAAATGAATTAGCTTTTAAGATATCATATATATTTCAATTATCTTAGTTCAAGATGCCACTTATTTTATCATATAGTTTCAAATTTTTGGATAATCATATTTATTTCAACTTTCCTCCCTAATATATTTCCTTGTTTTTATGTTTAGAATGTTCTTCTCTAATGTAAGATAACAGAATTATTTATTCTCATATGTTTTGTCCATGTGCCTTTTAATTTTCTTTTGTTTTCCTTTAGCTTTTAAAATACATCTATTTTAGCATAAGAACTGGTCATGTAACTCTTCATGCATGCAAGTCCCTTGTCATATGTATTTTCCAAGCTCTTCTGCTTTGTGGTAGAGACATAGTGACCAGCACAACTAATCGAACATGGCAGCAACATGTGATCTCAATGCAGTGAAATTAGGTCATCAGGAGTCATCTATTTTTACACCAAAATCTTTTTTCTTAGAAGCTTAGTATAGAGCACTATCCATTCGGCCTGTGTCTCATTTCCCTTGTTTTGTTCCTTTAGTCTTTGTCTTAAGGCCCAGATTTTCCTTTTGGATTTTACTGGCTGAAAAGAAGGCTGTCATCTTCTCATATTCAGTGGGCTCAAGATGTTTGTGAGAGGCATGTCCTGAGACAAATCCCCAAATCTGTCAATGTCACTGTAGCCTGTGATTTCCTGGATAAAAAGCAGCCAAGAATAATTGAACAGTGTAAGCTTTGGAGAAGTATTCCGTAATACTGTTTTTCATCAGTGATGAATTCATTTGGACAGGAAGTTGTTTTCCCTAAACCTAAACCAATTACTTTCATACCAGGAAAAGCCTTTCTAGCACCAGCAAAATCCCACCCATGGAAAATTCATGTTCATAATCTCCCTTTAAATGATTGTGAAATTTAAATGTAGGTTTTCTATTAGTTCATTTAAACTGTCAATCTAAAATACTGAGATTATCTAATTTTTTTCTTAAACTAATTATTCTTTGATTCAGTGCACATAGTATTATGGAAACTACAAGTAAAAAAGAATTGATTATAGCAAAATACAGATGTAAGGAGATAAAACACTTTATGAATATAGCTTACTTGTTACTGCCTTAGGGCTCAGATCAAATTTCTTTATCTAAGAACCCTAAATTGGCCAAGCTATTCCATGTTCAAAATATTTCCTTCACTTAACAAATCTCAAGAAACTGCTGTTTTCCTACCACCTTATTCAGAATAACAAAATCTGACATCTTCAATTCACTAGTATTATTTCTTTTTTTTTTCTTTTCTTTTTTTTTTTTTTTGGGAGATGGAGCCTCACTCTGTGGCCCAGACTGGAGTGCAGAGGCACAATCTTGGCTCACTGCAAACTCTGCCTCCCCGGTTCAGGCAATTCTGCTGCCTCAGCCTCCTGAGTATCTGGAATTACAGGTGCATGCTACCATACCTGGCTAATTTTTTATTTTCAGTAGAGATGTGGTTTCATCATGTTGGCCAGGCTGGTCTCAAACTCCTGACCTCAAGAGATCTGCCCACCTCAGCCTCCCAAAGTGCTGGGATTACAGGCGTGAGCCACTGTGCCCGCCATAGTTCACTAGTATTATTTCAATTCCTACAGGAATTACCAGGACTGGGGCTTATTTCCCAGGGGCTGGGTTCAGTTGCTTCACTGCCAGGGTTGTAGAGAGCATCTTGTGGCTAGGAAAAGATTAGGTACAATCATTATATTATAGGAAATGCACACCCTAGATACACAACCGAAAAGCTGTAGATACAAGTGCAGTGCTTCTAGAAGAGAGCCTATCAGCAGAGGTTTTCCCAATGTATCTTTTGGGAATTTGTAGATTATACTCTAGTTTAAGAACTCTGAATTATTTAAAGGACCCTAATTCTTGACTGCTGAAACTGTGGTTCCTCTATGTGCTAGTAAGTTGTATTTTCAAAATTCATGCATCTAATCCAGTCTTAGAATAGAAGCTGCAGCAAATATTAAGCACTTGCCTTAAAAAGATCCTAGGTAAAGATTAATAGATCAAAATGTTCTCCAACTATCATACATCTGGCTGAAGATTGTTCATTTGTGTTAATCATACTAATATTGTATTAGTGTTCCATCTATTTACATATTCAAAGTCTTTAGAAGAATATTTTAGTCGCATATATTTGATCAAATGAAAAATACAGGAAAATATATGTGAGTGCAGCAAAGGCTGTCAGAGAAAATAGAAATTGTGAACTTGTGTTCATGAACCACGTTGCTTTATCTTAGTAAAAGCCCATTTTTCTCGACCCTTTCCTTTTTTCCCGCTATCCTTCTCTTCAATAAACAGACATGCCTATGGGGAACAGGAAGAAGGGCTCCCACCAAATGATACATATTGCAGAACTACAGAACAACTATGTTACCAATATGTGTAGTATTACTGAATTAGTACAATCACATTTCAACTTTCTGTTGTTTGTATATAAAAAACTTTATAAGGTATACATACACATTAAAATAAATGTTTATATGTAAAAATAAATACTTTGAAAGGGGAAAATCAATTATGCTTTGAAGAGTAATCATTCTATTTTTTTATCCAAAAAAACAAAGTCATAGTGCTGACTTTGCATTTTATCTTTAGAGTTACAAAAGCTATCTTCAAAGGCAAGCAATTTACAGCTCACAGTTAACATATACTCCAAGGAATAGATGTACAGAACAGCAGCATAATAAAATCCTTGCCCTGTGGCTTCACTGCAGAATTCCCTAAATGCAAACTGCAATGATTAATATAGCATTCCTTAACTGATTTTCAGAAATAGTATATTCCCTTGTCATGATATACATTGTAACTCCTAGTACTTTTAAATAAATTTGTTCCATTGGATTCAAGTAAATTTACCTTACAGTTAAAAAGAATTTTACTAAAATGACACATGAACTATAGTGTACATACTATAATTATATGGTATGTTCTAATACTATAGTTATGTGGTATGTCCTACATACTGTAGTTATATAGTATGTTCTACATACTATATGTTGTACAAGCACAGCTATCCTGATGTTGAGCAGTTTTTTAGAAGAGCCTGCCTCAGTTACACTGGTCACATTCAATGTAATGTGAAGTGCCAGCTCTCAATATGACAGATCTTGATTTTAATCATGGAGATACACAGGATTAGTTATGGGTATATTTAACATATTTTTATGTATTTTGTTTAAAGTCACATAATCCTAGGATCATCAGAGGATATTTTTATTATATTTAAGTAGGAATTTTCAAAGATTTTTACATCCATTCTTCACAGAGTATTATGCCATAACAAATACAAATGTTTAAAACTTACAGTGCCATAACAAATACAAATGTTTAAAACTTACAACACCCCAGCAAATAATGTTGATTTGTGTATAGATACACATGCCACATGCAATCTTTTCCATTTGAGCATAGGCCATGGTTAATACCTACACAAATCAGTTCTCAAGTCTATTGTTTTAATAGCACTTGCTATCAACTGTGCAGTCTCACAGCAAAATTTATTGAATAAATAATTGGAAGGATATGCTGTTTCTCTCATTCTGGCAATATCAGTTTTCAGGCAGGAGATAGAATGTCCAAACTTGAGGAGTGGCAAAGAATGTGGGCTTGTTTCCAGCTGTCATTTTCTAACACGTTACTGTGCCATATTGCCTGTTTGTTATTTGTTGACTTTTAATTAAGTTGGAAAAAAGGCACATGCCCTCAGTCTTTTGAAGTTGGTTGGATGCCAGGGTAGCTTTAGGGATAAAAGTCCAAACTTAGATACAAAGCACAAATAATGACATATCCAAAATAACAGTAATTAAAAAAATGAATGATTACTATATTGGTACTCTATTATAAACATGGATGATTACTATATTGGTATTCTACTGTAAACA
The DNA here is from genome assembly GCF_000001405.40 of Homo sapiens. Lineage (NCBI taxonomy): Eukaryota > Metazoa > Chordata > Mammalia > Primates > Hominidae > Homo > Homo sapiens. The sequence continues at coordinate 79,401,720 of NC_000007.14, forward strand.
TGCTAAGATTTTTTAAAATGACACCTATATAGAAACAATAATATAAACTTATTACTACATGTTTACTGATCAGTTTGGGCCTCCACACGTGATGAACAGAAAGTCTTTAAAAGTTAAAGATATAAGAAAAGGAATAAAAAATGGCTTTTCTAAATACAAACATAAAAATTTGATAAATGACTTAACTAAATTTAATTAAAGTATGCCTCAACCACACTAAATATCCCCCACCAAATAAAGAATAAACTTAAATTTTTAAGGAAGATTTAAATTAAGGATAAAATAATATTCATGGTTGCAAATATTGTGAACATTAGACATGGCTGTGTCAAAATTTTCAAACACATGATTCTACAAAACTCTGACATACTTTTAGCTGTCCTAGAACTTTGTATTAAGCAGATATCCTTTTTAGTTCTTTTTTTAAGGCTCTATAGTTCTAGGAAAATAGCTATAAAAATATAATCTTAAAAATCTAAGATTATGTTTTAATGAAATGACTATTAGTTGCAATGAACTAATAAATTTTTTAAAATTGCAATTTTAATAGTAACCATGAAATTATAGAGATATTAGAAAACTATTATCTCATCTACTTTGGTCCTCCCATTTTTCATTGAAAACTGAAGTTCAGAGACAGAGGGAGGGACATAGGAAGGCCAAAACTTTCATTTCATGTTTGTCTGTTACACAAATTATTGTAAAAATAGCTTACATGATATCTGATTTAATCCTCCTACCACTTATTTAAACAATATTACTTTCCATAGTTTAAAAATGAGAAAATAGAAGCTCAGAGAGGGTAAGGTAATTTATTCAATGTCACACAGCCATTGGCAAAATTAGGACCAGAATCTTGTATCCTCTAAGTCCGGTGTTTTTTAATAAACCTAGTATTTTAACAGGAAAATGAACTACTACTATTATTTCCACTATTTGTTTCATTTAAAAATGTTTTCAGGCTGGGCGCAGTGGCTCACACCTGTAAACCTAGAACTTTGGGAGGCTGAGGCAGGCGCATTGCTTGAGCCCAGGAGTTCAAGACCGGCCTGGGCAACATAGCAAGACCCCATCTCTAAGAAAATGTTTTCAGTGTCTATTGACTTACAGTACTCTATAAATTCCATAACTTTCCATGGGTAATATTATAGAGTGAATAAAACAAGAATGGCTTGTTCAAACTTTGGTTCTACCCCAGGCTACTGTGTGACCTTAGATAAATCACTTAGGTACCCTGTTCCTCAGTTTACACATCCATAACATGGAGATAAAAATGCCACCTATTTTATTGGGTATGAAGATTAAATGTGATTAACCATATAAAGTGCTTAGAACAGTGCCTAACACACAGACACACACTCACTCATCTGTACATATTATGCACCTGAAAATATTGTCATTGTTCATGTTGCTAGTTCTATCCAATGTATAATAAAAATTAGAGGAAATCTTAAATAGTGTTAATGCAGCAAAGACTGAAGTCCAAAGAATAGCCCAAAAGTTTTTTGTTTTCATGTATTCATTACTTGTATGTTTACTGCTTTCTCTCTATGTCAAGTTTATTAGTAGTATGTAAAAAGGGAGATTTAGTGCATGTTTTCTTCGTATTTAGTGACTCAATATATCAGCTGTTAGTTTTTTGAATACATGACAATTTTCATATATAACATGTAAAATACAGTTGAAATGTAGACATCTTGGAAAACCTTTCTTGCTTTTTTTTTAAAAAAGAAAACTTGATAGTAATCCCTTTAAAATTATTTAAAAAGCACTTCTGGATAAAGTATAGAAATATATATTTTAGGTGCAAAAAAATAACCACAGTCAAAATTTTATGAACTCTTTCCAGAAAGCACAGTATTGAATTCCAGTTAAATTTTTGTTTCAAATAAACATTTTGAAACTAGGCCACATCCTGCACTATGCCTGCCAAAAATGAAAATTTCAAAATCTAAACTGTGTGTTCTACTTCCGAAGCCACACAGAAATCATCTTACATTTAATCTAGTCAACTTAAAAATGACTACTGAGACTTTAGAGAAAAGATATTTTCAAAATATAAAGTAAGTACAAAGTAAATCTGATAAGTCAACATTAAATCCGACAGATGACTATATTGTATAAAACAAAAGCAGCTGCAATGACATAGAGTAGTGTATGATATGAATTTCTACATGTGAAAACTGCGATATTAAACATGGAAACCTGCAGCATTTTGGCACCTGCTGGAATTTAGTGACAAGAAGCCAGAGGTATTTTCAAGGGCCAAGAAGATAATGGGAAAAGGCTCTACTTAACTCTCCTGTCTATAGGGATGACAATGTTAATGTTTACATAAAGAACTAATTATAGCCACCTGCTTCTCGAACTGTCTGACAGTCTAGCCCTATGACTACAACAGCTGGAAAAATGACACCTGGCAAGGATACAGCAACCATGCGTTTCACTCCTAATTTTTCTACCTATCATAGGTAGCCTCTTATATAGTCTTATTAATATTTGTATTGATAAACAGAACTTTGATCAAGGCAAATAGTAAATAAGACCAAATAGTCTTCCCTGTTCATAGGCTTCTGCATTAATTTATGTCTCAAATATTCCTCTCCTTCCCCTTCTCCTACTTATTTCTGTTTAGAGACAAGATCTCACTCTGTCACCCAGGCTAGAGTACAGTGGCACAATCATAGGTCACTGCAGCCTTGAACTCCTGGCTTCAAATGGTCCTCCTGCCTCGGCCTCCCAAAGTTCTGGGATTACAGGTGTGACCCACCGTGTTCAGCCTTTAACATTTCTTCTTGAGTTATATGAATACATTTTTCTTTTCAGAAACTACAGTGCCATTACTGTCTTCATCACACAAATTTGTATATTTCCCAAGAGCAATCTCTCATTCTAGGAAACATATGTTTTTCAAAAAAGCCAGACCACCCTTAGACCCAGGCCCCTGAGCTAGGCCCAATGCTGTTCTTTCTCCTGTCACAACTTTCCAAGGAGTTAAGAATCCATGGGGCCCAGGATACCCACCCAAAGCTCATATCCCTCTATATAGACTATTCTCCAGGTAGCTGGAACTCCCAAATTCCCTGTCTAATTAACCTGGGCATTACTTCCAAGCATTTTCCTTAGGTCCACCTTCCTAAGGGGAACGTTCTTACCCATATGTGTCCTCCTAGGCCCAAAGGAGACCAAAGGAGATATTTTTTAGAGATCTTTAGTATGGTTGGAGACTGGTCATGCAGGCTCAGGTGCCGACATGAGTGCATGGGTCTCCTCCTGGTGCTAGATGAAGCCAGGATAGGAAGGGAAAAGGAGCTGGCCATGGACCAAACTTGGGGCAGGAGGGTCATATTCCAGCATGAATCTAACTACAAGGTGTCAGAAAATTCTAAATTTGAACCTAGCCTTCCTAGTAATTGGAAAGTTGTATTTGCTAAGACAAGAGACATATCAGATATAATTTTGCAGCTTGTTAGTTTGATTTATAACTTTAAATATTTAAACTTACAATATCCTTATAGTATCCATTTGTTCTTGACACAGCCATGCAAATGTTAGGGGTTAGCGTGAAGGAGGCCAAAGGGTTTAGCTGTTCAAAATGTTATCATTCATAAAGTAAATCAGGGAACCTTGTTCTTCCTTCTCTGCATGTCAAAATTCAACTTTTTCTCTCAGGTTTGAGTGAATATGAAAAGAATAGCTGAGTATTCAGACAGCATTGGCCAAATTCCATAGTGTATAATTCAGAAAAAGAGAGTGATCCTTATTAATACTTACTACTATGAGCTTCACCTTTGGAAACAAAAGTTCAAACAGTACCCTAACTCCACTGTTTACTCTACAGTCCATTGCACATTTTCCTCCATGCCCCAAGAGTGCTAGTATGTTTCTTGTTATATTTGTAGAGAGATTACCATTGTACCTAGGCCTTTAGCAATGCAAGTTCTGAACTTAAATGAGTTCCATGGGACCTGAAGCAAATTAAAAAACAAATTCAATGTCAGGAGTAATTTTAGACTCTAAACTTTTAAGTTCCACATAAATCACTTAAGTAAACTGGGTCAGAGAAAATATCCTTTTCTTGATGATTGACTGAGCTAATATATTTGAGAGCCCAAAATATCCTTTGTTCTGATAAGAGACACATCATATTCCCCTCTAGGGTGCTCCACCCTGGAGCAAAAATGACCTTGTAACCACAACACAAAAAAAAAAAAAAAAAAAATGGAGCCCTTTGCAGTTTATGACAAAATAAGAATAACTTAAGCCACCAAATCATGTTGAGGATAAAAGATTTCTTTCCTCAGTCTTATGCATTTGACTCTATAGAATACTCGAATAAATATTTAAGAATTTTACAAAGTTAATAACCTCAAAGTTTCCTGTGTAAATTCTATCAATGAGTATATTTTTAAGGAAGTTTTCCGGGTTGATAGGTTTTTTTGGCAATTGAAATCCCTATTTAACAGATTTAAATAAAGACAAAGTACAAATAGGAGACTGCAAATAGTAGCATGTTAGAGTACAAGAGGATATTGCAGCCAAGATAATAAGAGACCTGGAAAACATTTCAAATAATGTAAAATATTTGAAGACTTATAATGCGGGTGAAGTGTTAATTTTGCATTATTTCAATCATAAATGTAACTAGAGCCTGAGAGGGGCAAGGTACAAGAATGTAGTTCTTTCTTAACTATATTTCAACAACTAGAGTTATTGAAAATGAGACTACTATTTTCTAGGCAGTCATTGCCTATCAGTGAAAGAATAGAGATTTGGTTGCATTGTAAATTGTCAGACACATTTAGAAAAGAATCTCTTCAAAGGTTGGGAGGCTGAACCAGGAAACTTTGAGTTTATGTCAATAAACAGGTTCTGTGATTCATAGCTAATGAGTTCCTGTAAAAAGGCAATATAATCATTTTTTCATCTTCCAGGGTCTGAATTTTCTACTTTTGAGTTACATAAGGATCTCCTATATTCGTCTTTATCTTCCCTTGTTCAACAAATATTTATTGAGTGCCAACTATTTGTAAAGCTCTGCGTAAAAGGCTGTGAAGAAAACAGAAATGAACCTTATTTAGACTTTTTAATAAAGATGCCCCAAAGAAAGCTGAAAAGGAAGTTAAAATTTAAATCAGTTAATGCAATTTTCCAGAAGTGTCTATTAAAGGCAGGACTGAGGTGAGGATTTATGGGATAAAAAAGTAAAATAGAAGTCACATGTTAATACCAGCTTTCTAAAATACCTATGGTCTCCTAATTGTCCAAGTACCCCTCCCCTATGTCACAGTAGGACCAATGATTTTGAAATAATTTTGCCTCTTGGCTTAGAAAGATGGATTATTAAAGAAAAACACATACATTTTACTAATAAGAACAGGGATAAAATTTTTCTATGCGTTTTGTAAAATGTAATAACAGTGCAAAAAGAACTTGCTTCAGAATCAAAATGATGAATTTTACATTTGTAAAACCTTGACCTGATATTCATACCCATGCCTATTCAGAACTGATGACTGGCTAGTAAAGATAAATCTTGGAGTGAAACTGGCATCTGAACTGCCACGTTAAAGAAAACCTTCACATGGCTATTTTTCCAGATCAGCCACGTGATTCTTACAAACCCTGAAAGATATATTATCTCAGCTCCTAGCCTTAATCAGTCCCTATGGCTCACTATGAACTTTTCCCTTTCTAGCATCCAGATTTTTGACATACTAAAGAGTTTCTGATGTAAAAACAAGAGTTCCCTCTGAAACATATAAGTTAGCAGGATCACCTGAACTTGTTCGTTCTAACTGGTGCACTGTTGTGAATGTAGGCAAGCCACTTCACATTTCTGGGCTCAGCTTTCTTATCTGTGTAAGAGGTTGGTATGACGAACATTGCTATGAGCTTGTATTTTGTGAGAATTTTGGTCAGTTGTAAGGCCTTTCCCAATCAAAACTTAGTTTTGTTAAGAAAAGCAAATTCTGTCCAGACCTACAAATATGACCATAAATGTGTCATAAGATATGAACTTCAAATAGACCTAAAATCCAAACATATTTCTTGTGAGAGCAATATATTCTGAGTTAGTTTTGAAAAAAAAAACATTTGACACAATACCTACAATTTTGGGTTTTCATTTATACATAGCATAAGGATTGTACATACAAATCTGTTTCTATATTGACATATTTTATATTATTAAGCCTTTAAATTCATATGTGCCACCCTAACCATAGATAGTAGACTAAAATGTACTTTTGTAACACTTAGCCCTCAAATGATATTTGTACAATTAAACTTTATAAGTTTTCCCATGTAACTTATTTACTTTGGTACAGCTTCTCTGAGATAGCTAATATTATGCCCCGTTTTAAATGCTATAAATAGAAATAGTCTAGCTTGGAAAGCTTGATTTTACTACAGCTAAATTTTATTACTGCTAAATGTTTTGTGTACTGTTAGAATTAAGACAACAGAAACTATTCATGTGCTTTCTCCCTATTTTTTTCATAATATGTTTTCTAAGGATGATGAAATTATTACTAGGAACACTCTAATGAGAAATATTTTATAATTAATTTCATTTGTAATCTGCCTTATAAAATATATTTTAAGAAGTAATATATCAATATAACATCACTAAAATATAGGAAACTAATATTGAACAGAAATCATTGAAATCAAAGTTAGCAAAAAATGTCTAGAGTTGGGTCTTTGGAGGGTTACCCAGCACAAATGGTAATTACATGGGTAAGGAGATACTATAGGACAAAAGAAAAAAAAGAGAAGCAGGAAAAAACTATGGCCTATTGTTTCCATAAGTGAGGGATTAAATAAATGTCTAAATGGAAATGTGTATATTGAAAAGAATTAATAAATGAAAGTGCAATATGTGCATCAAAAGTATGAAACTAGTTAGAAAATTTAGTTAAGTAACATTTAACTCAGAGAGGCAAGTAGAAACCAGGAACAAGTTAAATGGAAATCTGTGGAAGATTTTGGATGGCGTGATTTAGTCTGGGTTAAAAAAAGAGATGGGGGGGTCAGTATTTCCTTCAAATTCTACATTTAAAACCCATAGGTTATTCATATAAGGGTTTAAGATGATACTGCCTCATTTAAAAAGTAAAGATACATCAGTGAATTCTAAAGATGTGAATTCTAAGATAAATTCAAATCAATGCCTTGAACATTATCCAGATAAAAATGGAACAATTAATAAAGTACAGTAACCAAGGTTTAACATGCACAGAAATTGTATATCATTCTAAATAGGTCTTGCCTCATAGATGGAACTTGATTTATTTCAGACATAAATCCAAAATAACCCTCTACAGAAATATAGGCTGACAAGTATTCAGACACAAGTTTTAGTGTAGCTTATACAACATTTTTTCACAGATACCTGAGGGGAAAAAATAAATTCATTAGATATACTAAGAGAAAAAATTAAAACAATTATTCCTGCAAAGCAGCACAACTAGGAACTTAATAGAGGGGCCAAAGAATTAAAAAAATTTTTTTTCAGAGAATGTCAGTAATCAAAATATCTTTTTTAAAATGTTTTGTCTGTCTCTCTCTCTCCCTCTTATTTTTTTAAGATGGTGTCTCACAATGTTGCCCAGGCTGGTCTTGAACTCCTGGCCTCAAGCCACTCTCCTGCCTCAGCCTCTCGAGTAGCTGCGATTACAGACAAGCACAAGCCACTGTGCCTGGCTTAAAATACCTTTTTTGACTTAACATTTTTCTTTCTGTTTTTTTTTTCGTTTCCTTTCTTTTCTTCTCATTACATTAAAGTGATTGCTACAACAAATATTCTATTTACTGAGAACTGAACGGTTATTAAACCAAAGATTGCTATACGTACATGAGCTTGGGGACATGAATAAAGTAGATTATTTCAGTATAATTTTAACAAAGAGTTAAGCAAAACACTTTCATAATGAGTCCTAAGGCAAGTGGCAAAAAGGGTTATATGTCACAATAGATCTCTCCCATTATGTCTAATATAGGATGGAGTCATCAGATACGAGGTTATTTTAGTTTTTACAACTGAGATAGCAAGGAAAGTAGAAAGTTTACTAGCATTATCACTTGCCTATATGTCCTAGGTCAATTTAATCATTAATTAAATTTAGTATTTTTTCTTATGAAAACAAAGGATAACATTTCCAATAAAATTCTGCTAAAAGTTGAATCAATTTTAGCTGTTTGACATATGTTAGACATGGCCAAATATAAAATACATACTTTCTTTTTGTAATATTTGATGGGAAGAATAGAAATCACAATTTTTCAAAGGAAGTACAAATAAATAGAAACACATATAGGAATTCAGGAGTTATTATATTATCAAAATAATATTAAAGTGTTAATTTTCTACTACTACTACTACTAGCTCTATGTAATGCTTACTCTGTACAGGCGACATTCTAAGTGTTTTCCATAGTTTTTCCAGAGTGTTTTCCACCAATTTTGATGAAATTTAGTGTTCATTTAAATTAGAATGTATTTATACTTAGTGAAAGCTGAAAATCTGGTAAGGCTAAATTATAGAAGCTATGATTTTCAGAATCTGAATCCTAATTATTTTTGAATCCGGGGCTATGTTTGGCAGGTGAGGGATAATTTAGGAGTGGGAAGAAATTGAAAAGATAAAAGGTAAAATGGGCATTTATATCCATCCAACAGTGTGTTTCACATTATGTGTACATTGTGGATGCTTAATCCACACAAATATTGAGAAGCCACATGGTGTTTCACTGCCAAAGAATTCTCTCTCTTGAGTAAAGAATGACATGGGTGGAAGTACATAAGGAACAGGGATGCCAAGGAGGAGAGCCACCTGCTCAACAGTTGGCATGACTAATCTCAATGATTTGTCATGAAAACCTGTGTAAAGGAAACAATTAATTGACTAGCTTTCTATAAAAGCAAAAAAAAGATATTTAGTATTACCTCATATGCCCACTCAAATAGGTTTATTTGTCAGTTTCATAGGAGTTCCATCAGTATATTTTATTCTGTAAAAAAATTACTTTCCAACTTAACTACTATAGTGATTGCCAAAAGTAAAATTTTTGAATGCAGATATCAAGGTGTTGAAAGGAAAAAAATGGATATGGTATTTACATAAACTATATTTTGAATTTGGCTATATTTTCAGTTTTGTTCAAAATGATTTTTATCTGAATATATTAGCTGCCTACTACTTATATACATTCAGGTATATTCTGATGGAATCAGCTCATATAATTAGTAGTTAACTCATTAATAACATTCAGCACAGACTTAGCTGCTAGGCATCCTAGCCTGTAGCGAGGTGAGGGGAAAGTACTGAGTCTCATTCTATGCCTTAGAGAAATATTGCATTCGGCCCACTAATCACACACACTCCAGCATGAAGTTTTCAGCAGGGATGCAATGATATCCTCAACCACCTGTCATCAAGTGGCAGTAACAGCTTTTCATCTTAACCTTCTTGAGCTTTGTGGTAGGCAGAATAATGGCTCCCAAAGACGTCTAGGTCTTAATCTCCAAAATTTGTGAACGTAATTAGGGTACAAAGAAGAATTAAGGTTGCTAATCAGCTGACCTTTAAATAGGGAGATTACCCTAGCTACACAGGTGAGCCCAATTTAATCACAAGGGTCTTTGAAAATGGAAGAGAGACTGAAGAGAGAGTCTGAAACATGGCAATGTGAAAACAACGACAACAATAAAAACTTGTCCTGATGTTGCTGGTTTGGACAATGGTGGAAGGGGGCATGAGCCAAGGCAAACAGGTGTTCTCCAGAAGCTGGAAAGGCAAGGAAACTGATTCTCCTCTGGAGCTTTCACAAAGCTACATGGCCCTGTCAACACCTTGATTTTAGCCCAGTGAGAGAGAGTTCAGACTTCTGATTTCCAGAACTATAAGATAATAAGTTTGCCTTGTTTTACACCTCTAAGTCTGTGGTAATTTGTTACAGCAGCATTACAAAGTTAACACAACCTCCTGTTCCATGAATAGTAGGTAGGAAAATAACACCCCTTTCTTTAAAGGGAACAATAGAATCGTGATTGAAGTCTTTTATTCCCATAACCATTTTTAGCTCTTCAACTGAAAATACATAAATGGTGTATAAATACCTATTGACATGAAAGGAAAAATTGAATACTATATATTCAATTGAATACTGAAATTCAATTGAAATTCAATTGAAAAATTGAATACTATATATTCAATTTTTGACATGAAAGGAAAAATTGAATACTATATATGTTTATACTTTCAGTTAATCAGGGTCATTTAAAATTAAAAGTAAGCATAAACATTTACTTTTAAAATAAAAGATTTCATCACTTTTTCATTCTGGAAAGTTGTTTTATTTCCTAAACTACCAATCTACACACCTGGCAAACACTACTTAGAAAAAAGCTCACTCATTTCATAAATTAGCCCTGTATTTTTTCTTACCTCACTGAAATATTAACAGTTATAAGAAAATACAGACTTGTGATCACCATTTTTCACTCAAATGAGTTAAAAAAGCACCCTAAGTTGATGTTGTACAGTAGTATTTCCAAGGGTCGTATGGAGCAATTTCACTGCAATGTAAATATATAAGTATTTAAAATTAGAAATACAGCTTGAGAGCTGGAGAGCTCCTGTTTTCTACAACAGAATTGAAAGAGCTATCATTAAGTGTAAAATCTGCATTACTGTCCTGATGCTGCAGAAATGTAGGGCTATATTTTGCTGTGATGCTAGGTCCCATTGTGTCGTGGCTAAGCTCCCACACAAGCTTGTCCCCAAGCATCACAGCAGAGACAAGAGCTCATTTTTGTTGTCCTTCACCTTTCTCAGGTTGTTCTTCCTCCTTGAAGCTCCCTTTCTTTGTCCTCTCTTTGTACTCTTGACAGAGGGCTGATCCTGAACAAGGTGTGGCATAGAGGAAAGACTAGTGGTGAGAGTCAAGAGATACGGTACTGGTTTGTTTTGGATTTGTAACACAATAATTTCACATTTGTGTACAACACTTTACCACTCCAGGACTCAGCCTCCTCATCTGTATGTTGAAAACAATGGGTTCAGTGTTTCAGAATCTGAAATGCTATGATTTTCTGAGCTCTAAGATACGTATCCAGTTTACCCTTCAGGTGTGTGGCCCTAAGGGAACAGCCAAAATTAAAAGCTTATGTCACTGCTACTTTAGACATGTTCACATCTTATCAAATGCCTTTTGAGGGAGAAAATATCCTCAAATCTTCTAATGAATTAATGAATCTCTAATAAAAGAATGTCAGAATACAGTGTAAGATTTTTGGTGTTTTCTCTCTGAAGCCACCACTTGGAAAATAAGCATAGTGCTGCCTATTGTCAATGCTCATGAACAACTCGGAAGACAAAGCAATTTCACTATTGAACAATCCGATCTTTCATGCTCATGCAAAGGATGAATATGGATAAGGACAGTTGAGTTTACATTTAAAAATATTTTACAGACAGCTTAGATGTTATATTGCAGCTTTGATCTTATGAGGCCAATAATGTACATCCCCACACAAATAAATCCAGTTCCTCAGTAATTCCTACTTCCTATTCTATCCTTTAAATAAAGAGGGAGATTTTTCTATATGCTCACTAGCAAGTGCAATGGAAAGTCCTGCCCACTCATATAAAAGTGGCAGGAATTTTGATAGCCAAGCCAAGAAGCACTGTGAATCAGAAGACTTTACTGATTCATCTGAGCCCCTTTTCACCCCACCAAAACTATCACAGAAAACAGAACCATACAGTGCTGAGTTCTGCTAGTGGCACAAACACCCCTTTTAACAGCTGAACTGACTGCTGGGGACCCACCACTCCTTTAATTATACCTCAGAAGTGCACATAATGAGAAAAGAGCCAACTGCACTGCCTGAGCCCCTAATGTGGGCTGGCTCAGGACCAGGTCCTTTGTGTCTGTTATTTCTTCTTTCATCCTCTCTCAAAGTGGTGCTGGTCTATAAGTTTCCCTGCTTCTGCTTTCTTTCTTATTCCTTTTTATATAAATTTCTTCCTACCTGCCCTACCGTTCCTCAGCTAACATCTCTTTGCCAATTTTCTCCATGTTGAAACACTTACCCTTCAACATCTATTCTGTTCAATATTTGAAATACTCCGGGTCTGCATCTATACCACTCCTTTGTCCATTATTCATCTGTTTATTCCATTTGCTGATCTCTGATGTTTTTGCCATTGGTGATACAAAGGCTATAAAATATATGGCTTATAATCAAGGAAACCCAGGGAGAGAAATCCTGTGTGAGAATGCATTATGATAGAACAAGTAAAGTATTCCAGGACATCAGAGGAGAGAATGGCTATCACTACTCCAACAGTTGGCAAAGGCATTGGTAGGATACTACATGATACACTGCCTTAAATAATTTATGGTACAAATTTCAAATAAACAATCACCGTGTCTTAAAGGTCATTATATCTTCTGTATGATGCCTTGCAAATAATGAATAAATTGTAGGCATTCAATAAACACACATATTTCACTGATGGATCATGTTCTTATGGCAGAGGTACAGGCTGGCTTTGGTTGCACTTGACCTTCCTCTCTCAAGTTGTCCTTTCTTCTTTGATCTCTCTTTTTTCTTCAAGTACCTATTTTGTTTTTACTGCTTGGCAGAGGGTTCATCTCTACTAAGGTGGGTTATAAAGACAGTAACTGGTGAATTCCATTTATTTAGTTCAGACTGTACACAATTTGGTCAAAGTTAGAGTTCATAAATGTGACCCGTGCTGGTGTCAGTTTTACAGTCATACATGATCAGAGGTGGCATTTCTGAAACCTTCCAGCCATTTTGCAAATGGATCTATTTGTTTAAAAATATTCCAGATGGCAGAATATGACAATCTCAGGTTCATATTTGGTGCCTTATCATTAAGTAAGTACAAAAAACTCTATCTCCTCAGTCCCATAAGTGAAATAGTTCCTTAATATTTACCTCTTTGGGCATTTATTTATATATAAATGTATCTGTTGAACATTTACTACCTTGACAAGAGTTGTGGGGAATACAAAACTGAAGAGTGTCCTTCCCTTTGTTGGGAAAACCTGTTTCTCCTCTTTACGTCTTTCCATGAGATAGCCCATCCTGCTTACTTCTGTAATATTTCCAATCTAATTTTTAGTAGTGTAATTATTTTGAGATTCATCTCCTTTAGTAAACTGCCAGTTCCTTGAAGGGAGGGACTATACTACATTAACTTCTCTCCAAAGCCTGGATTTTACAGTTGAGGAAATAGATCCAGTAAGTTTAAATGATGTGGCCAAGATTTCAAGGACATGGGCTGTGTCTTTTCCTTTTTATAAGCCCCAGATGTGGAGAACAATAGTAAACACATCTGCTAAGAATAGGATCAGAGAATATGAATCCAGTTTTGCTCATTACTCACCTCTAGCCTACATAAGAAAAAGCTATGAATTCATGAGATGTGAAAAAATGGTAGTGAGTTTCTAGTTAGATAGTTTCTGAAGTGCTGTGTCATTCTTCTTTCTTCACCCTAGTCAAAGTTTTCTTCCTGAATTCAGGCTAATTGTATGTCTCTTAGAGTTGAGGGAGGCTGTACTCCTATGAAGCCCTCTCTGTGAGACTGGCTGGAAATAGCACAGTCTTGAGACCGGTCTATATTGGGAATGGCTTGCACTTCCACTGATGGACCCATCAAGCAGGTATGCGTTTTCTCATTGGCCTGGTGGATTTCTGAAAAGAAGTGTTCTTGAGAGTTCAAAGGCACTCCTTCCCAGATAGCTGCCTTAGAATGATAAGAAAGTCCCAACAGAAAGTATTTCTGGGAAGACAAGGGCTGAGAGGAAACTGTAAGTTCCCAGGCAAAGACCTACAGTTGGAAGTTTCCAATGGTGAAAAATCACAGAAAATCCCTCAAAAGGGCTTCAGGAGAGAAATAGCAAGGACTTTGGCATCTGAAACAGAGAAGATGGACACCAGATTAAACAGTACCAGATACACAAAAGCATTCTATTTATAAAATGGTTCTATCTATATTATTTCTTGTTTCCTCCCTCACCATTGGGTCTGAATCTGGAAGATCCAGAAGTAGCAGCTAGTTTGTAAGAGAGAGATGGTTGAGAAAAAAAGAATAAACTTGCTGGTCTCTTCCACAGTACAGGACAGAACTGGCCTGGGTCGGGGAATAGCAGGAGGTACTGGAAGGGTAAAACCTTAAAACTTAGTAAGAAAATAAATTGTATATTAGACTAGATTAGACTATTCGACAGCAAGAAAAAAGAGTCTATTTGCTAATACCTAATAATGAGTAGAAAACTAGGAGGAAAACTAAACTGTATGGAAGAATGAGTCCATAGAGCTTGCTTCAAGGGGTAACAATGAGAAAGAATCAAGTTGCTAAGTGTTTATATCCTACTGAGCCTAATTTGTTCAATAACTGGTTACATCACCAATATTACACGCCAAATTTTCTGACTCAAAGCCCACTGTCTACTGCATTCCCAGGTAAATAAAACTAGAAATATTAATCTGTTCTAAAAGTGAGGGAGGGTAAAAGAGATGTTAGGAACATATACAAATGCAATTTCTGACTTGTTTTCATCTTGATTCATGAGGAAGGAGGGAGAGAAGGTAGGAAAGAAAGGAGAGAAGAGGAGAGAGAGAGAAGGAAGGGGGGAAGAAAGGAAAAAACATTTACAAAACATCTTTAAGATAATCAGGGAAATTTGAATATGGACCAAGGATGTGAAATTAAGAAATTACTAGTAATTTTTAGGTGATAATGACAAGCTTATGTTAAAAATGCACTTCTATGTGAGTGCTGTGTACCGAAATATATATGGGGAAATGATATGATGTCTGAGATTTGCTTTAAAGTACTCTAGAGATCAGAGAAAATGTGGTGAAGACAGATAAAATAAATTGGAAAAATACAGATAATTGTTGAAAGTAGGACACAGGGTACACAGAGGTCCATTGTTTCTTTTTTCTTTTCTTTTCTTTTTCTTTTTCTTTTTTTTTTTTTGAGGTGGAGTCTTGCTCTGTTATCCAGGCTTCCAGGCTGGAGTGCAGTGGCGCAATCTCAGCTCACTGCAACCTCCACCTCCTATGTTCAAGCGATTATCCTGCCTTAGCCTCCCAAGTAGCTGGGACTACAGGCACCCGCCACCATGCCTGAAAAATTTTTGTATTTTAGTAGAGACGGAGTTTCACCGTATTGGCTAGGCTGGTCTCTTACTCCGGATCTTGTGATCTGCCCACCTCAGCCTCCCAAAGTGCTGGAATTACAGGCATGAGCCACCATGCCCGGCCTGTTCTTTCTACTTGTGCATGTGATTAAATGTTCTATAATAAAAAAGTTAAAAATGAATAAAGAAAATTCACAGGCCTATATGTTTTATTTATCTAACTATACCTCCTCTACAATGTCTGACTTGCACAAATAAGGCAGCTTCCCTTGAAGATCACTTCTGTATAAACACATTATATCTAATTGGTTGCATTACAATCCCTTTATGTTTTAGAGCATGGCTTGAAGTCTAATACTGATAGAATTGATTCAAAACCTATTCTCTATATTGAGAAAACCAGAGCTCTCCTCCATTGATAACATAATAGAGAGCTGAATGTTCCTAGGTATCTTCTAATATAATGGTTAAGGCTCTGTTTACCAAGGTTTTGGGTACTTATCTTTGCATTCATATCTTGAATATCATATCTCTGATGACAGCATCAGAATTTATCAGTCAGAGGAAGCTGTGAAGACCAAAGTTCCTTGGGAAACTGCCTTCACAAGGAAATCTGGAAATAGGGACCGATCACTTTTCAAACACATCTATGTAGGCGTTATCTATGTTATCTTAGACTGAACTAATTCAGATTATTCCCAAAAGATACAGTAACATATTTGCTGGCAATTATAACATGCAGAGATTTCACATTTTAATTCCTGTGATCCTGGAGTAGGTGCTGCTTAAATAATATTGTCCAGGCTGCAGTTGTGACATAGTTGAATATGTCCACATATGCACAAAAAAAAAAAATAACTTACAGACTGGAGGTTAGTAATTTGGAAGAAAGTTCTAAAAACAATGAAGTTCTTTTTTTAATAAAATAAATGCTTCTTCACCACATTCTTGATGTAGAAACAAAGAGAAAACAACAACTACCCCCCCAAATGACAGATATCAAAAATTCTAGGTAGCAAAGTTACTTAGAAAAGTCATAATCTCAATGTAAAGCAATCTGAGGATATTCCAATCAATTTACCTCACATATTTTTTTCATGTGTACAGGCATTAAATATTATAAAATTCACCCAAATTTATACAAAATCTATTTTCAGTAAGTACCAGATGCAAATTCTAAGTAATAAGAAATTAATCGTGTCATATTTAATTGGTGCCATTGTTTTTCTTTCTTAGTAATAGAAAAAAATAATGGTGCACCTTAAATCAATGAAACACAGTATCTGAAAATGAAATAAAGTTTGTAAAGCCTTAGCAACTTTATGTAGGTTAGATAATAAGATATTAAGGGAAATTACAGATGATGAATACATGTCCTCAATGCTACAAGCTTTCTTCAGAGGAACAGTCATGGTTTTACATCATTAGTCTCTAAAACTGGAGACAAACTAATAATGTTGGTAGCTCACTGAGCAGTTCAACGGGGATAACTCTGGATGTTTACATATACTTGCTCTAAAAATATTCCTTCCTATTCTCAAGATTAGGAAAACTGGATAAATCCAAGTGATCAACAGCGCCACAATCAATTTAGACAGGAAGATAGATTTCAGATCATTACGATGAAAGACCAATGTATGAAATTGTTTAACATGAAAGCTGTGGTTGCTGCCATCTTAGAACACAGGACTTTAGTTACCATTTACCATTTGCCATGCTCTGGAATTGGTCTTTCTACAGGGAAGAAGGCTGACTAGAACAATGACCCACTGAACCCCATTTAACTTTATGCTTCTATGTTTCTAAATAAAATCCCCTGAACCTGCAACTGATAAATATTTAAAGATAAATTATATAATTAGACACTTACCTCTAGGTTTATTAGCCCCAACAATGAAAAAAAAAGCAAGTTCCAATACACATACACACACACACACACACACACACACACACACACACACGCACACACACACACACACATTTGTCAGATAGTCATAAAAAGAATTTACAAGCTCATACATTTTATTTTGTTTTAACTTTTATCTAAAATTAAAGAAAAATTAATTAACAATGCTACCCCAATGCCATTCCTAGACAGATACATAATCAAGCTTCCCCCAGAAACTCACTTTTAGGTAAACCTATTACTTTATTTCTAATTTATTTTACTTAATACTGACCATTCTCCTTTAGTTGTCAATGACTTATGATAATTTTTAAAATATTAAAATGAATAACAATAATTCAATTTCCTTTACTAAACATCTCTTGTTTTCTCCTTTGTATATTTCAGTAAAGATTATCCTTCATGGAGGAAAATGAATACTGAGATGCCTAGAATACCCAGTTCTTGACATGATCACTATCACACTTAACCAACAACCGATATGAAAGCTGTGGTTGCTGCCATCATAGAATGCAGGACAACAGTTACCATTTACCAATACTATTTTAAGAACATAAGGGAAAAGGTCGATTACAAAATGAAAGACAGTAAGAAAAAGGAAAATGTGAGAAAGAGAGGAAAGGGAATGGAGAGAGGACATATGCTTTTCCTTTATTTCCCTAGAAGTACTTAAGTAGGGACAAAATGTGAGAATGTGGTAACTTTAGCTTTGAATCTTCCAAATTAACCCATAGCTGTTTTGGCTCAAATGACAACAGACATCTTTCTGGCATGTCCACAAATCAGCTTTGTTTATGCATCTATGATTTATCCAATATATAAAGAGGAAACCATTGACAAGACAGTAAGATTATACAAACTATGTATTAAAAGCCAACATATTACCCTATTCCCATTAAGCATGGTATTCCTTGTTAAACAAAAATTTATCTAATGTTATAAATATTTATCTGATATTGAAGTAGCAAATGCAAAACTTTAAATAGACTATTTGATTATTATGCTGGAAAACTGATGACATAAAACATAAATTTAAGCAAAAGACTCTAAATAATTCCTAGTACTCTTTGGTAGCATGGGAAATACATTATTTTCCCCCTTGAATAAAATGTCCACCTACATATACCTACAGGTTTACTGCAAGAAGTTAATCAGCAGCCCATATTGGCCCACAAGGGCATATTATTGGTTACATCAATGCACAGTGGGATGTCTCACTAGAACTAAATATAAGACAGCTTTGATTTCTTTGCTGAGGACCATCTAACCTAATTTTAGATAGCCTGGATCTTTCTCTGAGTAGAAACCATGCTCTGTTCTGATTCTATTGTCCTGGAAAGCAGAGTAAAATATGCATCAACTGACCTTTCAACAACTGCATTATGAAATAATACAAAGGGGGAATAGGTTGCACATGTTCACACACAAACATGCAACTGTCTCTACCTTTTTCCAGAAAATTAAGTTTAAAGTTCTATAAAACTAGATGGATATTGCTGAACAAATATAACACATGACATTAAAATCAGCCTGTTACAAAACTTAGAAACTACTCAAAGTGATGCCCCCAATTCACCACATATATTCAGCTTATTATACAACCCCGCAGGAGTTCTGCTTGCCTTCCTAACCATACTAATTCTTAAGTGTATTTTGTTTCAACCTCACTTTTCTCAATGTCAACATTATTCATCTCTTCTGTGATCAATGTGAAAGTTAAAAAAACAAATAAAGCACTGAGCATTTCAGACCAGGCAATTAAACATGTGGTTTCTCTAGGCACATATTACAGCATCAGCATTTGCAGCTCAAGAAGCCACTGATGAGTCAGGCTAAAATAAAGTCTTCAACGGAGCTGACACTTTATTTTGCATCTACGCCACCAAGATTACATCATCATGGTGAAATTCATGGTCCACTAATATTTAGTTAAGAACTCCAAAGTTCAGGCATTTTTATTCAAACCATAAAAATCCAGAGGATGCCAGCCTTTACTCTGACATCATATGAACTTGGACATTTCTGTTGCACTATTTCTTTTTACAGCATTAAATTCACAGTAACGTTAATGTGAATCTGTGAAAACTCAATGCCATGACTTCAAGTTATGAGAAAGCTTCTAAATAAATGAAGGGATGTTTTGTTTATCATTCATAATCTCAAGAGTGGCTGTGTGAAGTATTTAATAAAGTCAAATATAATATGCACAAAATCCAATAAAATTAAAACAAAGAACAAAATGTAACAACACCAGATAGAACAACAAAAATATTCCTTTGGGTACCGTGGACTGTGTTAGCACTTTGAGAAATACAAAAGAAGTAAATGTCACAATGCTATTACAATAAATCTGTTTGACATTATTACTGTAATCACAGCTGATTTGCAGGCAAATGACTATCTGTTTTGTTTACCTATATATTCTTACCATGTTGCTTGGCTTATAGTTAAGTACCCAATAAATATTTATTAATTGAATCCATTGTGTTATTGGTCTTTACAATGAGCTTTTAGTGTTACTGCTATTATTAATATTACTCACATTTTATTATCATTTTACTATTTATTATTATCATTAGCCTTCCACAAATAAGACATTAGGGTGTGACAGAATGCCCAAACTCTTGCTTCTAAAGTAGTAATAGCATGACAGTTCTATCTTGCATTGTTCTTAAAATATTTTTATTAATAAAATAATGAAGGAATTAAACTTACAAAAGGTACTGCTTAATGTATCTGACAGGAGCATTTATTTTATTATCAGCAGTGTCATACTGCTCCTTTTCTGCCTATCACATTGTCTACTTTTATAAGTGGCCCTATCTCATTGCAATACAGCTACCTTCACTAACCTGGTGGGCTATCATCTGAAGAATATGATATAAAAGAAAGTTACAGCCATTACTCTGAAAAGAATATCCTTGGAGACATTCACAACACAGACTGCAACATTTATGTAGTTTTAATGGCTATACACTTGAGTGCCCGAAGATAAAACTAACAACTGTTTTCACATCTAATCAGTATGCATATGTCATTTATAAATTTTCAATATGCTGATTTATCATTTCTAGTCTCTATACCAGGGTCCTCATATTCTTGTATTTCTTTTTATCTGAACTCATGCAGCTTTCACTGAGATTCAAACAAAGGAGGATGTTTCATTGTTCTAAGGCCTGGTCCATTTGTTTCATTGCAATACGCAAGCCAGCTGTGCTCAAATGCAGCATCTGAAGAATGATATTGAAATAAAGTAGGCAGCCTGGCAGGACCAATCACACTAAAGAAAATGACTTTGGTCAATTCTGAAATGGTAACACAACCATAGTATTAGTCGCCTATGGTATGCTCATAAATTCTACATGACCTTTTAGGAAATAGAGTGGAGTTATTTAAACCTATATTCTATACTTCTAGCTCCACTCTGTCAAGCAAATTAGCTCTTTCCTGTCTTTGCCTAAATCATTTTTCCTGTACTTAGCAGGGCAGGATTTTTGTTTGTTTGTTTTATTTGGGTGTCCTAATCCAAATGCAAATCATGAGATATTATTTGAATTAATCATATATATGTCACATATATTTAGCTACAGAATACTTTATATTTTATTTTCCCCCAAAATCCAGGTACTTTATGAAATTTAATTATAATATCAAACAATATATCAGAAAAAAATGTAAAATGTCAGAAATATACATTTTCCCCTTGCAATTAAAAAAGTGATAAACTAAAGCTGTCCTAAGCATTCCACACTGACAAAAAATAAAATTCAGTCAGATTTATGGCTTCATGCAATTTCAAACAGTAAGGTATATATCAATAAACTTGCATTTTTTGTTTGGTATTTTTTTTGTGGTTTGTTTTTCACTTGCTTGATTTTATTTAGGAAGGTTTTTCTACTAACAATTTTGTTCAAGGGAATAAAGCCAGGTTCCCAGTGTGCAAAAACACAGCCCGACTCTGGGAAGGTTCAGTCAGAAACCAAACTTGGAACTATCCAATGGCAATAAATATAGAATGCCAAGGTAGATAGACAAACCTGTATAATGCTGAAACAAAAGGAAGGGGGTTCTTGGCACTCAAAATGATTTTCTCTCATACCAGAGCCAATGTCTTATACATCATTGAAGCTTTCTAAATTTGAGCAACCATAAATGGTGAAAAACAAACTCATGAAACATAAGAATTAAAAAAGAAAAAGAAATACAGGTAGATAAATTCACAAGATTGCGTTACATGGCTGCCCAATTAAATTATTGCCATAATTTGTATGTCGTGTAATAACCATAATGTCTTCTAACATTATAGCACTCTCCTAGAACCAACATAAAAAGGTAAAAATAAATATACGTATTGGTACTTTTTAGTCAGTCTCTTTAGAAGTATTTTGAAATCGTTGTACACATCATCAATAAAAACTATATTTATTATTTGTAAACAGATTATCATTTTAATCTTCAACACCACTAGGAATTAGACATTAACATCTCTGTTTTAGAGATAAAGACACAGATACTGAGAAACAGTCAGCAATTTGCCCCAGATCCAAAATCATCTGATTTCAAAGTTCTCTTTTCATTTAATATTAATTGTGATGAAATACATATTATACATTTCACCTAATTAGGAATAATTCAAAGATGTAATACTAAATATCTACTCAATATCCAGCCCTCTACTACTATGTCCTAGATTGGGGATATAAATTAAGTATGGACATAATCTAAGAATAGTTTTTGTGAGGAGACGAGTCTTTCAATAAATAATTAAAAAATTATTTTAAAATATTTAAAATGATTTAGATACGAAGTATATGTATTATGCAGGTTATGCCATTTCTTTCAATATCTGTTTTGAAGATATCTGATGTTTGAAGATGGCAGAGCAGAGAAACTGAATGAAGACATATTTTTAGTCATTCAATCAACCAATCTTGGAGTCTGTCCTATCTTTAGATTTCCTGTTATGTAAAATCATAAATATCCTTATGGTTTATGCCTACTTGATTTGGCTTTCAGTAACTTGAGCCTGAAAATGTTACAACTAATGCATATTATTATATAAAAGTGCAGAGAATTTAGCAACATCTAGGAAGAGTTAGGAGGAAGGTGAAGTGTTTATTTGGTTCATGTAACTTTCACCATGTATGTTTATTTAACTATGTATATATATTCCTATAAACCATTGTTCCAGGCATTGGGAATGCCAATATGAAACACTGCCTTTCCTCAAGGCTTAGCACATCAGAGAAAACAAATTAATCACAGAATGTTAGAAGTCACATCATCCAGTGATGTGATTTTTCACACAAATAATCTGAGGCCATATAGCTAGTGTCCATGTGCAGTAGAAACTTAGACTTTCATATGCTAAACAAGAAATAATATTTCACTAAACATAATGCCTTCAGATTCACCCATGTTGTTGCAAATGGCAGATTTTTCTTTTCTTTTTTTTTTTAATTTGATGCCTAATAGTATGGTAAGTGAAATAAGCCAGGCACAGATCAATACTGCATGATCTTATTCATATGTAAAATCTAAAAAAGTTATTTTCATAGAAGCAGAGAGTAGAATGGTGGTTGTGAGAGGCTGGTGGTTAGTGGGAAGGGGAGGTTGGGAAGATGGTCTAAAGATACATATTTAAAGTTAGAAAATGTTCAAGAGATCTATTTTACAGCATGGTGACTATAGGTATTGACAATATATTATATGATCAAAAAATGCACAGACAGTGCATGTTAAGTGCTTTTGCCACAAAAAAATGATATCTATGTGAGGTAATGCATTTGTTAATTGGCTGGATTATCCATTCCACAATGTATGTATACTTCAAAACATCATATTGTACATAATTACATAAATTTTTTGTCCATTTAAAAAATAAGTTTCAAAAAAAGAAATAATATACTAAAGACTATATAAAGTCACATAGTCTATATTCACTCAGAAGGGAATTTTAAAATAATATTTCAATATTTGAGTTGGATCAGGCAAATCATTTTATTCCTCATGTCACAGTCTGAATATCATGTAATGAAATTAATTATATTATACCTGTATATTTATTTCCATTCACATTCATGCCTTCTAGAGTTTTTAATTTTTTAAGCCTCCAAAAATAAAGCCATATTTAACTAGGTACACTATTGCGACTAAGTTCTGGTCAATAGGATGTAAACATAAGTCTTGTGGCCTTTTCTGGGAGCTTTCACTAAAAGATAGTCTGGAGTTTAAGACCAGCCTGGCCAAGATGGTGAAACTCCATCTCTACTAAAAATAGAAAAAAAATTAGCTGGGAGTGGTGGTGGGTGTCTGTAATCCCAGCTGCTTGGGAGGGCTAAGTCATGAGAATTGCTTGAACCCAGGCATCGGAGGTTGCAGTGAGCCGAGATTGCACCAATGCACTCCAGCCTGGGCGACAGAGCGAGACTCCGTCTCAGAAAAAAAAAAAAAAAAGTCTGATGTTCCCCCTCTTTCTCTCATCCTTCCTGCTATTTCAAATGTGCATATAATGGCTCAGCCATTGGGATTAAGATCATCCATGAGGACGGAAGAACCAAAATTAGTAGTATTCTGACTTCTACGTAACTGTTGAACTACCACACCAGTCCTGGACCACCTGTGTGCAAGAGAAATCAGCTTCTTTTATAAGTCAATATATTTGGGGGTTCTCTAGTACTTCCAGGCAATTAGAATACTAACATCCTAAAGCTAACAAATTATATATTAGTTTAGTCAGAACTGTTTTGCAGAAAATAAGGGTTTTATATATATATATATATATATGTATATATATGTATATATACGTTTTGATTACATAACTACCATTGTCTGAGTCTCAGTTCTGTAACTGAGTTCTCAGTTATGTGACTGAAAATTAACCTGATAATATTTATTATAGTCTTGTTATATCTGCTTAACATCGTGTTTACGAGTGACACATACAGACAAAATAGAGAGAGAGAGGGTTGGGGGATGGAGGAAAAGAGGGGGAGAAAGACAAAGAAGCCCTTGGATAAAGGCTTCAATGACTATTTGCCTCTCTGCACTATGAAGCATTGTGCAGATTGTTTAACGACAACAAAAAGCTGCACCAGGAAAACTCAGTGTTTGAACTTGAATAAAAGGCACCACATAATTTTTAAAAAAGAATCTTTTCAAAGAAATACACAAATGATTGTTCAATCTATTGCGTTGAACAGAATCTAATCGGATGGTCTTCGAAACATTATACGTATTTGTCTTGATCCCAAACTGAGAATGTATTCATGGACTCATAAGAAACAATGTTTTAGATTTTAGTGTGGAGCTGTCTGTAATACTCCTGTTAGTTATACTCTAAACCTAACCACAATCTCAGAATGTCAAGCTGGGAATTATTAGATTAATTGAGCATTCAGACAATTTGGTTGACTGAACACTTTCCAAAGATGAATGCATAGATCATTAGATCAGAAACATGCTCTTGACTAAATCACATTCTCCTCCCTATCTTCCTTCTCTCCTTCCTCTTCCTTTCTCCTTCTCCTACTTGTTTTCTTTCGCGGCATTTTCATCAAAGAACTTCTCAGATCTGCATACAGACATATAAAAAATTGTCATTGTAATATATTACACTATGCCAATCTAAAGGTAAAAATGATTTTCTGCATCTCTAATAGAAATTATGAAATTAAGAAATTTCTCATTTTCTCACAGCTTCTGACTTATCTTCTCTCCTGAGGAGTTAAAGCGAAGATATTGGTTATTTATATGTTGAGGTGTACTGATTTGGGTAAGTTACTACATATATAACTAGAATCATCAAAGAACATTGGGCATTTATATCCTATCTCTACAAATATGTCAAATTAATCAGGGATGCACAATGTCAGAGATGAACTTTTTACACTTTAGTTTTGAAGCCAGTTCCCCTTAAAATTTGCTCTTTGCAAAGAAATTACTTTTGCACTACAGATTCAAATATCAGGAGTTTACATGAGTGATATCTTGAGCTGCAAATGTAGTAAATCTATTCTGTACCTTGATTTGAACTGCCTTCCTACCTTTGCCCCTATTCAAATGACATAATTGTACTTTTGAAAATTAGGGCACTTCAACCTGTATGCCTGGATGGTTCTGCAGTTAGTTTTAGTCCTAAAAAAGGAAAAAAAATCTTTACTTCCACCAACTTTACTATTGTCTGATTGCAGGGCTTTATTACAAAGCACTAAACTATAAAATATTGTTATGATTTGAAGTTGGATATAAATGTATTGTACGTAATCTAGACTTTAACTGGCAGTTTTTGGACACAAACTTTCATTTACACCTTGAAACAAGTATATTCTTCATTCAATAAATATTTACCGAGTACTTACTCTGTGAAGTTAGTAAGGAAAGGGACTAAGAAGATATAGAAGCTTGAATATCTAAACTTGAAGATTCTATGGAACAGTAGATAAGATGCAGGACTTAAAACCTAGATGATGGGTTGATAGGTGCAGCAAATCACCATGGCACATGTATACATATGTAACAAACCCACACATTCTGCACATGTATCTCAGAACTTAAAGTAAAATTAAAAAATTAATTAAATTATTTTTTAAAAAAGATGCCATCTATCGAAATGATTTTTCAAGGTGTCATGCAATAAGTGATCTAAAACAGACAAATAAAAGAATGTAGATATCACTTCTAATAGAGCAATCAAGGGATGATATGAGAAGGAGATGGCATTAGAGTCCAGCAGAATTTTCAGCAGGCAAAACTCAGACAATATTCTTGGTTGAGGAAGGGAGAGAAGGATAGAGATAAAATCCATGTTGTCCAGCATAGCTAAGATCCAATGCATATGTAGGAAAATGGCATCAAATACACGTAGAAAGTTGTGCTGCGGTTTTATTATAGCAAATTCTTAATGTCAGGCTAAATATTTAGAGGTTGTGCAGTACGGAAAAAAAGTAGAAACAGATGTATCATGCTGAGTGCCATTTTAGGCAGGTGAATTTGGTAGTCACTTGCTGGATGGATTGGGCAAGGGAAAGACTGTCAGCAGGAAAACTGTTAGAAGCTATGGTATTAATACAGGTAGGGCAAATGAAGGGACACATATACAGTGCTAACAGATGAAAGGGAAAAACAAGAATTATTACCAAGACCTAACAGAATTAAGCAGATTAAGGAGTCAGAAGAAAAGAGAAGAGACAGCATGAATTTCCAAATTTTTAGTGTATTGAACTAGAAAACTATGGGGTCCCTAAAAGAAACTGGGAAATCAAAAGGTAGAGCTTACTAAAGTGACAAGTAAGTTGACTTTTAGATTTTTAAAGGAAGAAGTAGGGCATACATGTGGAAATGTCCAGAGAACAGCTGGAAACCATGACTAGTGCAAGAGAGGACTGGATGAAAACTTGGCTGTTGTCAGATTAGAAGTTGGGTCTGAACATATAAGACTGTGTAAATCTATTAACAACAAGCAGAGAAGTATTGCTTTATAAATAATAAATATTGTCTTCAGAGAAAAATAGGATCATTTGCATATCTTTAGAGACAAAGCTGAGGTTAAAATGAAGCAGTAATTCTACAAGCCATTCCAGCTTAAAGGAACTTTAACTCTGTTACAGTCCCATAACAATAACTTGTACCTTCATGACCACTGTTGAGAATGACTGTCTTGCCATGCTGATATTTATTTTGTAGGATCAAATGCTTTGGACTATGATTATTCATTAATAGGCTTTTCTGTCTTTATAGTTGGAAAGGTTAATACAGAACAAAAATAAGGAATGTCTACATTTGTGATGAAATGTAAAAATATTTTAATTTCAAAAATTATTATAATCATCACCATTATATGTTTTCTGATGATATAGTAACAATCAGGAGAGTCTTCAGCAAATGGATGCTAATAAAAATGATAGCAGGCAACTATAAATACATCTATATTGCCTTTCCTTATCAGATTATATTGGATGACAAATCGCCTGAGTTAATACCCTACTGAAAATGTATAATTGTTCATTGTTCTCATTTGCTGAAGCTATTCCTTTGGAAGGCTTTTATTTCTAAGAACACAAAAACATTTATCTGTCTGTTTTCCAATAGGTAATTTTTTTAGATAGCACTTTGGATTTGTTTTATATAAAACTCTTTTAAATATACCTTGATTATCAAGTATAAAAACAATGATATAAGTAGACTATATGTTGATATATAACAGAAACAGCCTGTATATAACTTCTATATACTCTAGAAGTATATATATATCCCTGAAACCAAGCCCATATCTATAATGCTTCATAAATTAAGGATGTATTTTTCCATTCACAAAAGTACTTCTCCACCTTTTATTAAAAGTAAAATATTCAACAGAACAGCTTTTGATCTTTTCCATTTATTTGAATAAAATCAAATTGTTTTAACATATAATAAATCTTGAACAAAAATATTAAACTATAAACCTTATTGACAAGTCAATAAATGAAAAAGCAATTTTTAATTTCTACTTTTTTTTTTGTTTTTTGAGACAGAGTCTCACTCTGTCACCCAGGCTGGAGTGCAGTGGCCTGTTCTCAGGTCACTGCAACCTCTGCCTCTCAGGTTCAAGCAATTTTCATACCTCAGCCTCCCAAGTAGCTGGGATTTCAGGCGTGTGCCACCAAGCCCAGCTAATTTTTTTGTATTTTTAGTAGAGACGGGGTTTCACCATGTTGGCCAGGCTGGTCTCGAACTCCTGGCCTCAAGTGATCCGCCTGCTGTAGCCTCACCAAATGCTCGGATTATAGGCATGAGCTACCGCATCCAGCCAATTCTATTATATTTCTTAATAAAATGTATAAAAAGTTGTTTTAAAAATTGATCTTTCCTACTTTCAATAGAGTTTTGTGTTATTTTGTTTTAGAAGGAAGCAAAAAAGGTAAAAATAATTGGAAAAAGTCTTTTGCATAAGGTTATTCAAGAATCTTCTATTTTTCAGACATATTAAAACTGACTCTTTTCTAATAAAAATAATATGATTATCTCATTGAATATAAAGTCAGAAGTCTACCAAATGATTAAGAGGATTGAGGAGTTGACTTTACAAGTTATAGTCAAGTTAACTTTTTATAATAGGAGTTATAACTTAAAATTCCAGTCACTTAAAAGCTTTAAAAAAATAAGATGGTGCTAATCGATGAAAAATGTTCCCATCAATGACTACTATTCAGAAAATTAGAAAAATATGCCTTGTATTTAAGCTAATGGATTCAAAATGGAAGAAAATAATATTCTAAAGAGGAATGCATGATGTATTTATTGCAAAGAATACATATGCAATTGACATAAATTAGTATTTGCTAAATAGGAAATATCCAGATTTTATTTTTTAAATATTCTATAAAATTTTAAAAATCTATGTCAACAACTCAATCTCCTGTATTTAGTTATTTCTTTACTTTATTGTGATAAAATAAGGCTTTGCAGGATTTTTAGTTACCCTTCACAATTATAGCTACATGGGGAAAAAATGACAAAAGAGGCAACTTCACAAAGTCAGCATATAATTTAATGCCTTTATTCCCTGATTTCCACTCCTTCTGAATCCTCAAATTTACATAAAAACTTCAGAGAAAATTTATTCAAATGAGTTAAGTTCTTATCAAGTCCTTTGTGTACTTAGTAATAGAGAAAAAACTGTCTTCTGCCATAAAGCTACTAAAGAAACATGGAGAAACAAAGCAAAGTGTATGTGTTTCTTGACTCCTTCTCAATTGCCAGTTCCACAACCTCCACATTCACAGTTGTCTGGGAGCACCAAGCACGGATTACACAAAAATTACCTAATCATCTCCAAAACCACCGCAGATATGTAACCAGCCATCTAACTATAAACACTGCTGGTATTGTGACATATATGTGCTTATAACCTCTACTTTTTCATATATTACATGTGCATAGAATATCACAGAACTCACCAAATATATCTCCATAGCTTCTCTAACAGATGAGGACAATGGCCTAATCTATCAGAGCCAATGAAAAACATCTTACTTCCAAACTATGCCATAGTGTTAAACTGTGGCTTGAATACACTTGGGTTTTCGTCTGCAATGCCAAAGAAGACCAAAATCAATATCAAATTGCTAACTTCAAGTATTAAAAGATGCCTTCTGCAGTTAAATAAAGACCGATAAGCTTGAATGTTAGCTTGAGGGAATAACCTATTCTTTTCTTTCCCTTTCTATATTTGCTTTTGCCAAACTTCACTCAGGCTGGAAATAATCATAATAATTGGAACCAGCAGAAAGAAATAGCTGATGCTGCTAGGCAAGATGAAATAAATCTGCAACTCAAGTAATACTAAATATAAGCTCCACATGAGCATACTAGAATGAAACACCTGAGATAAGACAGCTCTTTGGAGCCAAATCCCTAAGTTTACATTTTGCAAGTAGATATTCTAGAAATGCAATATTTATAATCTACCTGGATGCCATTGAGTGTAAACAAATAGCAGATTTATATCAACCATAGCAGGAAGACTAACAATTTCCTAGGGGAAAGAAAGAAGAGAAAAAATTTGATTTCTGAGAAAAATGTTCATTTAAAGTGATAATATAATAAACTTTTAAGTTCTCAAAATAATATTTGTTCTAAAAATTCAAAAAGCACAGAAACATTGTTAGGGGAATTTTTAAATCTTTGCTATTTATAGTATTTTATATTCCTTGTATTTTAACGTAGTCCTAATATAGTATTTTTATGGTTGTCAATGGTGTACATGACACAATACTGAAATTCAGAATAAAAATATTATAATTCTTCTAAATGTTTATGATTTCAGCATGAAAATGAGCAATTAGTCTTGAAACATTTGAATCTTTCTAAGATGGGAAGAAGGAGAAGAAATGAATTTCATTTCTATCAGAAAATTTGAAGCTTTGAAAACGGAAACTGAACCAGGAATATGACATATTTGGGTACTATAACTGTCTGTGTTGCAGTTTGTGGTACCTATCTAGGGAATTGGTTCATTAATCCTCTAGACTCTGCACTATTCTGTTTTAGCAATATAGCAAAGTGGTTAAGGGTGTAGACTTTTAAGTCAGGCAGCCACTTAGTACTGAGTGACCTCAAGAAATCTGTGTGACCTTGGGCAAGTAATGAACCTCTCTCTCCATAAGCTTCCTCATGTTTAACTAATATGATTTTAAAAATGCTTTACTCATAGAGTTAATGTGAGCCTTAAATGAGCATAATTCCATGTGAAATGGTACTTTTCCTGTTTTCCTGGAATGTAGCTAAGGCTTCAAAGCTGAGGACAGTGGAAAACAAGCAAGTTACTAATCATATCCCTGGTCAAACCAGTTCAAAAACCATCACTCTCATCAGCCTAGATAGAAAGACTAAATATTTGAAAAGAGATTCTATGAAAAAGATGCTTTAAAAATAATTTTAATAGACAATGGAGTCTCATCTCACTTTTCCTCTTAGAGGAGAGGGATGTGTTGCATGCACAGAAGTGGTCATTTAAAAAGGATCACTCCCACACTAGCTGTTTGTTGAATTATTGAAAAAGTATAGGTGTCCCATGATGATACCCACAAGCAAAGTGTGAGAGAGTTCTTGTAGAATATGACAGCTTTTTCCATGAGCCTGAGGAATGTTCATAAGAATGGGGATTTATGCCTACTTCTTGGCAGAAGAATTCTGAAGGTGGGAACCTGAGTGGAGCTGCTCATAATATTTGGGAAAGAAGTGAGATGGCTGCATTTCCACTACATGGTAGGTCAGGGATGCCTGAGGTTTTCCTTGCTTTTCAGAAAAAACAAGTACAAGTTCTCTTGAAGGGATGCTGCCCAGGAGGGCTGCCTGTTGGGTTAAGGGGACAGCCTCAGAAAGACCCTGGAGGTATAATGCAGTGGGAAGGAGCTGAATTATAAGTGGTCAGGTTTAGTCTATTCCCCTGTCAGAAAATGCTGCAATAGGCAGAGTGAGGTGTGCGATGGTGATGATAAAGGTGGAGTGTCTTTGAAGAACATACAAATATCATTCATAACAGAAAAGCAGCATCTGGATGCCTGACATAACAAAGGACACACATGGGGAGATTAAGGAGAAATGGAGGAAGAAGCTTTTGCTTCTTTATTCTTGTTCCTCCTCATTCCTTGCCCTGATCTCAAGAGGAGACAGAAGAAGGTGAGGTTGGGAGGAGCTAGAGCAAATGGCAAAGAAACAGACCACACTAACCTCCCTTTTCACTGGTTTCCAGAGTTCAAAAGATGAGAGAACCTTTAAATTGGATGCAAGGTTAAAGTTTGTCTTCGGAACAGACTACATTTTTGTTTCATACCTAAAATTGAGACTATTCCGATACATGAAAGAAACAAATAGTTATGAGGTGGGCTAGCGATGCTGTCTAGAGGTAGGGCAATGGGGTCTGACAGGGTACACTTTAAGGCAGGAGTAGGTGAGAGAAAAATAATTGTTTTGGCCAGGCGCGGTGGCTCAGGCCTGTAATCCCAGCACTTTGGGAGGCCGAGGCGGATGGATCATGAGGTCAGGAGATCGAGATCATCCTGGCTAACACGGTGAAACCCCTGTCTCTACTAAAAAATACAAAAAATTAGCCGGGCGTGGTGGCAGGCGCCTGTAGTCCCAGCTACTCGGGAGGCTGAGGCAGGAGAATGGCGTGCACCCGGGAGGCGGAGCTTGCACTGAGGCGAGATAGCGCCACTGCACTCCAGCCTGGGCGACAGAGCAAGACTCTGTCTCAAAAAAAAAAAAAAATTGTTTCTTGTTTGCATCCTTTGAGCCAACTTGCTTAATAAACTGGTTACATGAGACAGTACATGTGACTAGAACATAGTAAATGATCAATACAGTCTAGCTGGTATTGCTATTATTAGATATTTTTAAATTGTTGCCCCTAAGTAAATTCAGCAATGTTTGTATTGCAGGGCTAAGTTACACACGGACTCTCAAGTTCAGCATTAAAAAATGCAGAGATTCACACATGAATAAAAAAATAAGAAAGTCAACTGATTTGTCTACCAACCAAACACATCAAAATATCAAGTATAACAAAACGGGAAAAAACATATTCTTAATACAAAAATGTATATTGTGATTTTCCTTGATGGAATAAACTTATTTCTGACTACTCAGACAATCTAACGGTGTTTTTTAAGAAGAATAGCACATGAATTCCATTTTATCACTAATTTACGATGAACTGCTTAATCTATCATTTCTATATTTTCCTTAGTTCTCAAATAGAACAATTTTATTTTTCTAAAAGCCTGAAACAAATCTTATACTAGATGAAAACCTCTCTTTTGGAGAAAAAAAAAAGCCAATTGAAGTCTCCCAATAAAGAAAATCTCTTATTTTAAGTAAATTTCTAAGGGGTCTTTTGATAGTGGAGATCCATGGTAATGTCATCCTGCCTCCATCATTAGTAGCCAAACTCTCTTAGATGAGATGTCGATGAGTAATTGACTCAGCATCCTAGCTTTCCACAGAGCTCATACTCTTTTGAATCACAGAAGGTATAGATTACACACTGCTAAAGTATTTAATGTGTAACTTAAAACAGAAACAGATACTTTTTCACAACAGTTTCAGTGTAAGGACAAAAATGATAGTAAAAAAACTAGGAAATATCATAATTTAGATGAGTTATGAGCAAAAATGCATTTCAGAACAAAGTAGGGCATCGTTATGCCTGATTTTGGGGAAAAAAATACTTTATGCAAACTGAGTCTCATAATGGATAAGGTAAATAGTGATCACATTGTCAAAAATCTACCACAGCATAATATAGTGAACTCTAAATATATTCAGAAAGAAATTATACCAATTGTTTCAAAGTATTTTTTCAAAGATGGAGCTGTAGGTAAAAATGACTGTACTTACAATGTTTATTAGTTATGGACAGAGGTTCTTAAAGTGTGCGACGGTCAATCTTATGTATTAACTTGACTGGGCCATGGGGTCCCCAGCTATTTGGTCAAGCATTATTCTGGGTGTTTCTGCAAAAAATTAACATTTAATTTGATATACTGAATAAAGCAAGTTGCTCTCCTTAATGTCGTGGGCCTCATTCAATTAGTAGAAAGCCTAAATAGAATTAAAATGATGACCTACTTCAAAAAAGGGAGACTTCCTCCTGCCTGCTTGCCTTCAAACTGGAACATTGTTTTTTCTGCATTCAGACTTGAATTGAAGCATCAGCTCTTCCTGGCTTTCAAGCTTCCTGGCCTTTGGACTGGAACATAACATCAGTGTTCCTGGGTCTCCACATTGTTGACTGATCCTGCAGATCTCAGGATATAACAGCTTTCAGAACTGTATGAGCAAATTCCTTGTAACTATCAGTTAATCTTAGTTTCCTGGTGGTTTTGTTTCTTTGTAGAACCTTAATGTGTCTCAAATAAGTCAACTGTTACAGAGAAAGAGAACTTTTGACATTTATTCATTCAATGAATGTTTTCAAAAACATTCTACATATTTTAAGGCATTATGCCAGGTATTAGGGAAACAAATATGAATTAAATGCTGCCTGTCCTTGATGAGTTCCAGGTCTAGTTTAAATGACATGTTTGAAAACTTCATTGGCAAATCATTGTTATATACAAAATAAGTGCATAATTTATTGGGATATGAAAAATTAGGAGAATCTGGATCTAATTTTTATATATCAATTCTGCATAAAATAACTGAACTTTCAGACACTGTGTTATAAATGCCATTCTTTTAATTTATAGCATAATTAGTAGGACATACAGTTTAAAATACTCTACTTTTCATTTCTGGGACTTTGAACTGAGAAGGTACCTATAAAAAGTTTTTTATTCCATGCTCGTGAATTGGCAGAATTAATATAATTAAAATTTCCATGCCAACGAGAGCAATCTACAGATTCAATGCTATTCCTATCAAACTACCAACATCATTTTTCTCAGAATTAGAAACAAAATTTATTATAAAATTCATCTGAAACCAAAAGAGCCTGAATAGTCAAGAGCAATCCTAAGCCAAAAGAACAAAGCCAGAGGCATCACCATTACCTGATTTCAAACTACACTATAATGCTACAGTAATCCAAACAGCATGGATTTGCTATGTGTCTAAAGACAGACACATAGACCAATGGAAAATAGTAAAGAGTCCGGAAATAAAGCTTCACACCTATACCAACTGATCTTTAACAAGGTTGACAAAAATAAGCACTGGGGAAAGGACTCCCTATTCAATAAATGGTGCTGAGATATTGGCTATCCATACGTGATAGAATGAAAATGGATCCCTATATATTATCATATACAAATATTCAGTCAAGATGAATTAAAGATTTAGATGTAAGTCCTGAAACACGGAGGTTTCAGTGAGCCGAGATCGTGCCACTACACTCCAGACTGGGTGACAGAGCAAGACTTCACCTCAAAAAAAAAAAAAAAAAAGTCCTTGAAGAAAAGCTAATAAATATGCTTCTGGACATGAGCCTTGACAAATAATTTATGACTAAGAAGTCCTCAAAGGCAATCGCAACAAAAACAAAAATTGACAAGTGGGACCTAAGTCAACTAAAGAGCTTGTGCATAGCAAAAGGAACTATCAACAGAGTAAACAGACAACCTAAAGAATAGGAGAAAATATTTGCAAACTATGTATCTGACAAAGGACTAATATCCAGAACCTATAAGGAACTTGAACAACTCAACAAGCAATAAACAAATAACCCCATTAAAAACTGGGCAAAGGACATGAACAGGCACTTCTCAAAAATAAACAAGTGGTCAAAAAACATATTAAAATACTGAGCATGACTAATCTTCAGAGAAATGCAAATAAAACCACAATGATACATCATTTCACACCAGAAAGAATGGTTACTATTAAAAAGTCAAAAAATAACAGATGCTGGCAAGGTTGTGGAGAAAAGGGAATATTCATATACTGTTGGTGGGATTCTAAATTAGTTCAATCCCTGTGGAAAGCAGTTTGGAGAATTCTAAAAGTAATAAAAATAGAATTTCCATTCAATCCAGTAATCCCATTACTGGGTATATACCTAACAAAAATAGATTGTTCTATCAAAAAGATACCTGAATGCATATGTTCACTGCAGCACTAAACACAATAGCAAAGCCATGGAATCAACCTATATTCCCATCAATGGTGAACTGGATAAAGAAAATGTGGTACATATACACCATGGATTACTATGCAGCCATGAAAATAACACAAAATAATGTTCTCTGCAGCAACATGGATGCATGGACGCCATTATCCTAAGAAAATTAATGCAGAAACAGAAAACCAAATACCACATATTATCACTTATAAGTGGAAGCTAAACATTGGTACACATGGACATAAACATGGAAACAATAGACACTGGGGACTACCAGAGGTGGGAGTGGGAGAGGGGACAAGGGTTGAAAAACTACCTGTTGGGTACTATGTAACTATCTGAGTGATGGGTTCAATAGTACCTCAAACCTCAGCAACACACAATATATCCTTGTAACAAACCTGTAGCAGAATCTAAAATAAAATTTGAAATTTTTTAAAAGAAGATATTTTTCTTTTTTAAAAAATTGAAATTGTATATCTTTAAGGTGTACAGGATGGTTTTTGATACATATATACACACACACATGCATACACACACATATATATTAGTAAACTAAGCTTTCAAAAAGATATATGTTCTCACTATTGCCATATAAAATAAGTGAATAATTTTATATGTCAAAGGAAAGTAACTCATTACAAACATAGTACTCAAAGAGTAATTCCTAGTACAACCTAGAGAAAAGATTGTTTCAAAATTTGCTCCAAGTATAGCCTAGAACGTCACAGCAATGGGCAAGAAGGTTGGTCTTAAATTAGCACTTTACAGAATCAAAAACTGGGGTATTGTTTAGGTTCTGTGGCCTTTGAATTAAGACTGAAACCATATAGCTGATAAAAGCAGCATTGTCAAAGATGGAATTTTTACTATTATTGTTTGTATCTGACTTGCTAATAAAGTAAAAATGTTATCTTTAGTGTTTATAAGTGATAAATTAATATTCTGTATATATGATGAATCAATTCCATATGCTACCCATTAAGAAAAACTCAATTTAAGAAGATTGGTTTGTATATTATTATAGATGTATGTCCTCCTCTTCCCCTATTAGAAATAATAAGTAAAACAGAATATATGTGCAGGCATGTTAAATATAGGCATTCCTCAAATTTCCACTCTTGATCTCTTCTCATTTTCAATGCTCTTCTAATGGGACTACAGCTCTTTGCCAGGCAACAGCTATTACTGTA
The DNA here is from genome assembly GCF_000001405.40 of Homo sapiens. Classification (NCBI taxonomy): domain Eukaryota; kingdom Metazoa; phylum Chordata; class Mammalia; order Primates; family Hominidae; genus Homo; species Homo sapiens. The sequence goes on from NC_000007.14 coordinate 79,438,110, forward strand.
AAAACAATACATCTGAACTCTCTACACTGAAGGTCCAACAATCCTGTGAGCTCTAGATATATGTGACCAAAAATGTTTGTCAATCAGAAACATGCCATCTGCCAGGTACCTCAAACACATTATACGAGCCGGCGCTCATTATTCTCCACACACTGTGTTCTTTAATACCAACTGGAGCAAAATGAAACAAGAAAATCTCCTAAAAATATAAAATAGGCCATTTCTAACTTAATTTTGTCAACTCACCATCTTTAATTCCAATGCCTAATCTAAATTGCTTTAAGTAAAATATCAGTTATAACTATCTTATGAATAGTTATGTGCATATATTACTTATGCACTAAGAACCACAATATTCTGAAATATTGTGGAAATAGCATGCTACTACTTCTGCAGTTCTCAAAGATAGCAATTTTCTTTTTCTAGAACAGCTAAAGCCATTTCCCCTGTACAGTAAATTTTCGTCTTTGCAGCTAATGGCATCTTCATCTCCTTCACACACCTAGCCCTAAGTCAGAAACCTGAAAGTCATTTTTGCCTAGTGCCTCCCCTTCACCACTACCTCCCATTCCATTGGATATAAGTTCTTACTCACACCATTCTTAAATATGTTTCAAGCTCACCTCCTCCCTCCATTCCCAGTACTCATGCCAAAACTTAAGCCTTGCTCTCAGTTTCTTCTCTCCTCCATAAGTGAGTGAAACCAAATTTTCTCCTTTCCCCCAATCCCTCCCATGAAATAAAACAAAAAACAGAAAACCACTTTATGTTTCTCCTTCGCCTAAACACATTCACTGGCTTTATCCACCTACAGTATAATGTCCATAGGCTTTATCCGCCTTCAGTACAATGTCCATAATTTTTAGGTTTCTAAGTAAGGCCTTCCTTTATATGGCTCCAAGTTTCCTTTCTGGAAAAATCCTCGGTTGCCTCCAGAAGTGCTCAGTTACCCCTTTCTTTGGCCTCATTGGTCTATATTTATTTTCCTACACAGGCAGATCATCTTTTCCCTATCCCACCTTGGGTCACACTCTTCTCTCTGCTTCCCACACCTCCCTTCTTGAATTCCTACTCAAGCTTTAGTGACAATCTCAAAGATCTCTTATTCTATGCAGCACTCCCCAGCTCCACTTGCTATCTTCCATCTCTAAATAATGTTTCCAATGGAACTGCACTAACCATTTTACAAAACATTTCCACCTGTCCTATCTTCTTGGATTCTAATAACCACCCTCTAACATGAGGAGACTGAGGCTCAGAAAATGTTAGTCCCATCATAAGGAAGCGATAGCCATAGACTTGGAGCTCAAATCCAATTAAGTCTTCAGACTCCAAGATCCACACTCTCTATATTATACCCCTCTGCTTCTTCCTGTCCCTCCTATGTGCTGTAAAGGTAGTAATGTTTACTCTTGTACCATCACACTGAGCACAGTGTTTTAAAGTTTGCTTTTATATTTTTGCCTCTCCTTCTACTCTGCATTCTTAGAGGGTAGAATCTGATCCTTATTATCATTTTAATGCCAGGACCCAGCTTTAGCATGACATAAAACAAAAATTAATGAATAATTATTTATTCAATTAATCAAAGGATCTTAATTTGCTAGAATATTTTTTATCCTGATGGAAGAAAGTAAATTTATGACACAAAAAGAGAAATTAAAGTTCAAGTCTCTTCCATCATAACACACACACACACAAACTCCTATCCCTCCTAACCATGTTTCTTCTTACAGAACAATTATCCATTACCCCTTACTACTAAGCAAGTTTCTTGAGGAGTGGTATGCATACACGATTTCCAGTTTTTCACTTCCTATTCATTCTTCAACCCTGTGACATGTGGCCATCCACTCCCCTGAAATAGCACCAATAAAGATGATCTTCATTTTTGCCAAATGCAAGGGAAACATTTCAAAGCTCATCTTTCTAACCATTTCTACTCTGCTTGGCAGTACTGACCACTCACTCAATATTAAGAGTGCTCTTAGTTCAGTCTTAGTTTCCTTCCTGGGATCCCCTGGCTTTTCCTCAAACTTAGATATCACAGCATTTCTTTGTTCTTTTTTTTTTTTCTTTACATGCTCTTATTGGAGAGTCTTATAAGTTAATGGATTCTAGCCTTGGAATTAGAACACTTTGATGAGTCAGTTTATAATTACATGCACTCCTGGGTCAATAGCAAAGGCATTTGTAAAAACTACATAATTTTAAAAAGTACTTCAAGTTGGTTTTTGCATGCATTGTTGGTAAATTTTTGTGGCTGGTTTGCTTTCTTGATTATGTTCTATTTTGGATAATTTTAAAATGAATTTGTGTTCCTACATATTACTTCAGAATGGTAAAAAATTTCTTGAGCCCTACCAGAGCAAAATTCAGTGAGGTAATGGAGACATGCCTAGAATTTGACTGAGCCTATGTAGCTGGAAAATACATCATGATGTATTCTCCAAGATTACTCCTTATCTTGGTAAAGATACTCCTTATATTGGTAAAGAAAGTCTTTACCAATATCTCCAAAACAATAAAATGGGAATAAAACATATTTTTCCATTCCTATAATGTATAGTTATATAAATAGGTTTACATAAGTAAGAATTATTTTGGCTGCAAGTAACAAAAAAAAATGTAAATGGCTTAAATATCTTGTGTACTATATTATTATCTCTATAACAAGGAGTCCAGAGATAGTGCTAGTCCTAGCTTCATTATTTCAGCAGTTCTTTAAGGAGCCAGTAGCTTTTCCTCATTCTGCTCTGCCATCCTCCACCTTTCGGCTAGCTCTCTTCACGATCACAACATGACTACTGTGGCTTCAGGCATCACGTCCATGTGGAGCAACTTTCATAGGCAGAAAAGTAAATAGTCTTTTGTTGAATCTTATCTGAAGAACTAAGACATTTCTCAGAAACTCCCCAAGGGAATTTACTTTTCCTTACTTAGAAGTGGGCTATAAGCGATTTCCTAAACTAATAACTGGTGAAGAGATGGAATTACCTTGCTTGATTTAGTCTAGTTCCTTCCCGCGGTCTGAGGCCATCCTGATACGAAACACTTACCAGTGTTATAAACATGTGGATACTTGAACAAAACTGGCATTTTGATACTAAGAAAGTTGGGGAGGAGGAGAAAAAATACATTCCAGGTAGACAACCAACAATTTCTTTAGTAACTAACTTTGTGGTTTTCTAAGTTCTATCTGAAAAGATATTCAACTGAAGCAAAGCATCTCCTTAGTCAATGTTAAAAGCGTCAATTTCCCCAATGATAAAAGGCATCATGGATTTTATATTAGACAATGAAGACTTTCCAGTTAATTTTAAAAGGGAGATTTGGGATAAGAATATAAAAAGGCATTTTATTGATTCAATTTAGCATACTGTTTGGGCTAGCAAATATATTAAATTTATACAGTTTTATATTTCATTTATAGTATATATGTATTTTGCACATTCCTTTTTTCAAGCCAGACAGACAGTATTTTGCACATTCATATATAGTATGTACTCCATAATGAATCTGACATAAGGAAAATGATTTTAAATTTAAAACATTAATGTAATTCAAAATACTATATTCTTCACTTTATGGCAAAAACTTGTGGGATCCTTTCCACTTAAACTTAGTTTTAGTTTTTCTTTACATTTTTGATTTCTCACCAAAGCAATGCCAGTACTTGGACTTTAGCTAAACACTTATAAATTAGGCATAATTTAACTTATTTTTAATAATTATTTTTTATAATTGCAATATACCGTATATTCATATTATTGAAAGCAGGTCTCTCATTTTACTCTGAGACATTTAAACCAATAAAAATGTAAACCATTCTGCAAATGCATTATCCAGTTCATGAATAAGTATGTACCTTGCCCCTGCCTCTTCTTTTGTAACACTAATATAAGGTTATAATCCTGTGCATTGTAACATTAATATTAGGATATTATCCCATACACTGCAACACCAGCACATCAGCTTGTACATTATGTGGTCCACCAGCCACTTTGCGATACAAATAAAAATGACCAAAATCCAAACTTTTAAATCTGACTTCTTTTAATCACTTCTCAACAACTAATATATACAACACATAGAAATCATTTAGGTGCTTTATTTCATTATGTCTTCATGGACTCTCATAATCAGAGTTAATAAGGGTTAAAAATATCACTGATAATTGAAAATTGATGGGTGACTATGCAAGCTTTCCAGCTTGATTTGTCACACATGGAATAGTTTAATGTAACTGTTTTCCCTAAACTAAGGCTGTATCCTCACATGCCTAAGTGCCTTTCCGAGACTATTTATTTAAAAGCTGGCACTGAACCTTAGTGTTTGAAGAGTGTGTGTGTGTGTGTGTGTGTGTGTGTGTGTGTGTTCCATGTATCCAAAGATGCAGAACAAATCTGTTGTTCACTAGGGTGACTCCCACGCTAGACTGAAGAAGAGCAAAGCATAGGAACTTCCAACTAAAGAGAAAAAGGAGATCCAACTATAGATACTGTTTCAGAAGAAACACTAAGAAAGAGGACTTGAGTATTTTAACTGCTAGTAGGTAATAGGATCTTTGATAAAGCTCTTGCTCTTCCAGAAGAGGTAATCAATTTTCTTCTGCTCATTCAGCCTTCACTCTTCACACACACAAAATGTCTACTCCCTAAGTATATGACTTGCTAGAATGGTAAGATTACCGTTATCTATGTTCAGGGTGTTTTTAGAAATTAGCCAAGACTTTTGGAACATTTTAGTGACCCTCCAAGCCTAAATACTTGCTATGTTTTGAAGAAACTTTGTCTAGCAAAGAGTTTAACATCCTTACATCATAGACTGTGAAAAAAAAAAAGGAAATTAGGTATTGCAGATCAGAATGCAGATCAGAAGGCTGGGCATGGTGACTCACGCCTGTAATCCCAGCACTTTGGGAGGCAGAGGTGGGCAGATCACTTGAGGTCAGGAGTTCAAGACCAGCCTGGCCAACATGGTAAAACCCCATCTCTAGTAAAAATACAAAAATTAGCCGGGTGTGATGGTGGGTGCCTGTAGACCCAGCTACTTGGGATGCTGAGGCAGAAGAATCACTTGAACCCAGGAGTCGGAGGTCTCTGTGAGCAGAGATGATGCCACTATACTCCAGCCTGAACCTTAGTGTTTGAAGTGTGTGTGTGTGTGTGTGTGCGTGTGTGTGTGTGTGTGTGTGTGTGTGTGTGTATTCCATGTACCTAAAGATGCAGAACAAATTTGTTGTTCACTGGGGTGACTCCCACACTAGACTGAAGAAAAGCAAAGCGAGACTCCTTCTTAAAAAAACAAAACAAAACAAAAGAAAAACTTCACAAAAAGCAACATTGGACAATTCATATCTCTGAAACTTATTGGTGTTTACAAAATCCAGCTAATCAGATTTGACAAGTTTAGGGTATGTCACTAGATTAATCTGTGGGTTTCTATAGCACTTATTATCCTCCACATAGCAACACAAAATACTCATATAAGCAAAAATACTCACTTGTAAAATGCAAAATGTTAAAAATGTATGCAATTGTTTTTGTATTATTTTTACTCAGACATTCCCTGTGATCTATTAAGTGACAATGTAAAGTATAAACAGTTTTTGTGCTACACTTGATCCATGGCAATATAAATAATTCAATTTATGCTGGAATTGGGAAATTTACTTTTTAACAAACATCTTCAAACACAATGTAATATAAAAATAGATTTTTAAATATACATTTTGATTTTTAATTAAATAGTTTTGTTTCTTTCTGCTTCATTTCACAGAGTCACTTAATAAAATCCATGGTACTTACAGAAAAATTCCTGATGTCATATGCATGTGTTTCACTATAAGGCAGTTATGAGGTTGATAAAATTTCTTCTACAAATTTTTTCATTAGACATACGCAAATCAATAAACGTAATCCAGCATATAAACAGAACCAACAATAAAAACCATATGATTTTCTCAATAGATGCAGAAAAGGCCTTTGACAAAATTCAACAACGCTTCATGCTAAAAACTCTCAATAAATTAGGTATTGATGGGACGTATCTCAAAATAATAAGAGCTATCTATGACAAACCCACAGTCAATATCATACTGAATGGGCAAAAACTGGAAGCATTCCCTTTGAAAACTGGCTCAAGACAGGGATGCCCTCTCTCACCACTCCTATTCAACATAGTGTTGGAAGTTCTGGCCAGGGCAATCAGGCAGGAGAAGGAAATAAAGAGTATTCAATTAGGAAAAGAGGAAGTCAAATTGTCCCTGTTTGCAGATGACATGATTGTATATCAGAAAACCCCATCATCTCAGCCCAAAATCTCCTTAAGCTGATAAGCAACTTCAGCAAAGTCTCAGCATACAAAATCAATGTGCAAAAATCACAAGCATTCTTATACACCAATAACAGACAAACACAGAGTCAAATCATGAGTGAACTCCCATTCACAATTGCTTCAAAGAGAATAAAATACCTAGGAATCCACCTTACAAGGGACGTGAAGGACCTCTTTAAGGAGAACTACAAACCACTGCTCAATGAAATTAAAGAGGATACAAACAAATGGAAGAACATTCCATGCTCATGGGTAGGAAGAATCAATATTGTGAAAATGGCCATACTGCCCAAGGTAATTTATAGATTCAATGCTATCCCCACCAAGCTACCAATGACTTTCTTCACAGAATTGGAAAAAAACTACTTTAAAGTTCATATGGAACCAAAAAAGAGCCTGCATTGCCAAGTCAATCCTAAGCCAAAAGAACAAAGCTGGAGGCATCACGCTATCTGACTTCAAACTATATTACAAGGCTACAGTAACCAAAACAGCATGGTACTGGTACCAAAACAGAGATATAGACCAATGGAACAGAACAGAGCCCTCAGAAATAATGCCGCATATCTACAACTCTCTGATCTTTGACAAACCTGAGAAAAACAAGCAATGGGGAAAGGATTCCCTATTTAATAAATGGTGCTGGGAAAACTGGCTAGCCATATGTAGAAAGCTGAAACTGGATCTCTTCCTTATACCTTATATAAAAATTAATTCAAGATGGATTAAAGACTTAAATGTTAGACCTAAAACCATAAAAACCCTAGAAGAAAACCTAGGCAATACCATTCAGGACATAGGCAGGGGCAAGGACTTCATGTCTAAAACACCAAAAGCAATGGCAACAAAATCCAAAATTGACAAATGGGATCTAATTAAACTAAAGAGCTTCTGCACAGCAAAAGAAACTACCATCAGAGTGAATAGGCAACCTACAGAATGGGAGAAAATTTTTGCAGTCTATCCATCTGACAAAGGGCTAATATCCAGAATCTACAGTGAACTCAAACAAATTTACAAGAAAAAAACAAACAACCCCATTAAAAAGTGGGCAAAGGATATGAACAGACACTTCTCAAAAGATGACATTTATGAAACCAAAAGACACATGAAAAAATGCTCATCATCACTGGCCATCAGAGAAGTGCAAATCAAAACCACAATGAGATACCATCTCACACCAGTTAGAATGGCAACCATTAAAAAGTCAGGAAACAACAGGCGCTGGAGAGGATGTGGAGAAACAGGAACACTTTTACACTGTTGGTGGGACTGTAAACTAGTTCAACCATTGTGGAAGTCAGTGTGGCAATTCCTCAGGGATCTAGAACTAGAAATACCATTTGGCCCAGCCATCCAATTACTGGGTATATACCCAAAGGATTATAAGTCATGCTTCTATAAAGACACATGCCCACATATGTTTATTGTGGCACTATTCACAATAGCAAGGACTTGGAACCAAGCCAAATGTCCAACAATGATAGACTGGATTAAGAAAATGTGGCACATATACACCATGGAATACTATGCAGCCACAAAAAAGGATGAGTTCATGTCCTTTGTAGGGACATGGGTGAAGCTGGAAACCGTCATTCTCAGCAAATTATCACAAGGACAAAATACCAAACACCGCATGTTCTCACTCATAGGTGGGACCTGAACAATGAGAACACATGGACACAGGAAGGGGAACATCACACACCTGGGCCTGTTGTGCAGTGGGAGGAGGGGGGAGGGATAGCATTAGCAGATATACCTAATGTTAAATGACAAGTTAATGGGTGTAGCACACCAGCATAGCACATGTATACATATGTAACTAACCTGCACGTTGAGCACGTGTACCCCGAAATTTAAAGTACAATTAAAAAAAGAAGAAAATTCAACATAGACAAAATCTCTCTTTGCACTATAAAGGTTTATTTTTTTCTTCTGTAACATATCTGTGTTTGGGTATATCCAATGATATATCCAAAGTATAGCAAGTATTTAGGCTCAAACTGCCATGGTTTTGACAGTGATTTTTTTTTTAAAGTAAGCCAAAATAAATAAAAATGGCATAAAACCTCATAAGGATTCATGTAACGATTACATGGAGAAATTATTTCCCCAGGTAGAGCAAGCCATCTAATTATTTCAAATATTGAAACAAATCTAGCCATTCATATAAATCACCCACTCATTAGCCTAATGGATCTTTGAAAGTATATCAATGGGGGTTGGGCGCAGTGGCTCACACCTGTAATCCCAGCCCTTTGGGAGACCGAAGCAGGTGGATCACGAGGTCAGGAGATCAAGACCATCCTGGCTAACACGGTGAAACCCCATATCTACTAAAAATACAAAAACATTAACCGGGCGTGGATGGCGGGCACCTGTAGTCCCAGCTACTCAGGAGGCTGAGGCAGGAGAATGGCGTGAACCCGGGAGGCGGAGATTGCAGTGAGCTGAGATCACGCCACTGCACTCCAGCCTGGACGACAGAGCGAGACTCCGTCTCAAAAAAAAATAATAAATAAGTGAAAAAATAAAAGTACATCAATGGGATGCAATTGAGTTAATATTCAATAACTTATCAAAGAAGGAAACTTTTATTGTTTCTTCCAGACCACTCAAAACAGTCAACAATATATATTAAACTTAACACAAATTTTAACTTTTTTAAAAATATCTCAATATGAAGTCCTTTTAGAGTTGACAAAGATGTCAGTAAGACGTAATAATAAAAGCAATTTTTATTAATTATCTATGATGATATGGACATTGTACTATGTATGTCCCTATGCAAGTCTTTAACAATGTAAATTCAGCAATTATTATATTACTAAGTTTTCTATATAAGATAATTTACTTTTATTAAAGGAAATATAACAAATACTTACTAGAGACAGAAGAGAGCTGAGAATAGAATGGAGTAAGTAATAATAAAGTCACTAAACTAAGGCAGTTGTATGTTTGTTGTCATAATATATAGCCAGATTATAGCTAGGAGAGATTTTTAGAAATTAATACTGAACCCTGGAGCTTCAAGGTAGATGTTTCCATTGAACTGTAAAATAGGATTAATTCAACGAAAATGCTAAAATTATGGGGAAGCTAGCAGTGGAAGTATTGTTGGTTGCTTCACCTTGTAACAGTATTAATACACAGACTTACTTATATTGCATTTCTTTCATACAAAGTATGAAAATACTATAAAATAGTATTTTAATAGTACTATAGTACGTTAATAGTATTTAAATAGTATTTAAATTTAATGGTATTTTAACAGTACCATAAAATACTATAAAATAGTATAGTATAAAATACTATAAAATGCAATACAAATAGCCTTTTAACTTATTTACATTGCAATACTCACAAATGCAAAGTATTATTTTTGCTGAATTTGATGCATTTCCTCTTTATTATACATTGTTGACTGTGAACACTTAAGAGTTAACTTTTATTATTGTTATTCTTTATGAGGTGCTTAATTTCTAGCTGAGAAGTAAAAGTTCAACAGCATGATACTTACTCTTAACTACAATGATGTATTAATATAAGAAGTATAAACTCCTAAACTTAATAAATTCTAATAGGATTTCTATGTTGTCAAGTTTAGAGTAAATAATTCAATATATTCAGCAATTCTTTGGGAGTAAAGATATGCGGTATGAAGAAAACAAATTACTATGTAAAAATAAACTATGTCTAAAGTATAAAATAAATATAAAATAGCAGATGTTTACACATAAAGGGAGGATCAGTGGAAGTTATTTTTAAAAAGTGAAAATATTTTCCATTGTATTTATTGATATTATTCTTCAAATAAATTCTTTTCAAATAAAATATTTATTTCATTCTGCAAAAAAACCTTAAAATACAACTTGCAAAATACTCTATATTAATGTCAATCATTTCATATTTTTCAGTTAATTTGAATTGAGTAAAATATCTTGAAAATTAAAAACACCTCATAATGTCACTAGCTCAAAATGACCAATATGTTTGCAATAGCATTTACTAAAATCTACATAATGCTTATCACCTGCCAGACACTACACACTTTAAATACATAACTTATCTAATATTCTTAAGGTGCCATTACTACCCCAGGTTAGTTATCTTGTACATATAGCTAGCACTAACTGACATACTCAGGAATTAAAACTAGGTGGTCTACTTAGGAGACTGTACCTTTAACCATTGCTCTACCCCACCTTCTGAGGAAAATGATTCTGCCAGGGTCTGTATGTATTTGAAAGTCATTAATTAAACTATAATCAATCAGAGATGTCAAATGTGAATATGCTTTTCTCATTATGAAAGTGAATTTGTGAGTTACAAGCAATGAAAAGGAAAGTGAGCATAATAAACATGCCAAAAGATTAAACAGTGTAAATGTTAAGAATAGGGACAGTACAGATAAAAAGCAAATAATCATATTTAACATTCGAGGTCATACCATTTAAATTATCTACATGTACCAGAAAACTACAGTGGTATCACTTATAAATTATGCCCCAAGAGAACCGTCTCATTAACCTTGTTCAAAACATTAATGGTACTTTATTTCTAAAATAATAAACTGATCAAAATGTTTAAACAATGTTTTGTTTATTAAACAACACTATTCATATACCTCACATTTCTACAGAAAAAAAGTCAATCTTTATTTTCAGAAAATTTGACATAATTTGTTTTTACCTTTTCAGATACAAAGGAGTATAGAGATCTGACTCTATTATTCTAAGCCTGAAGTCAGTCAAGAAGAAAGTATGACTCTTAATAAATGTGGATCTACTTTCCTTTGAAGGTATCTTTGAAAGGAGCAGTAGGAGGGAGAGCAATGTAGATCTTCTCTAAAACTGAATTTCAAAGGATTTATTTGGCCCATCTTCCACATGGGAAGAATTAGAATTTTTTTTTTTTTTTGCCTTTTATTTCCCATTGTGAGACCCTAAATGGGAAAATAAGTCCAGGTTATGTAGGTCTCTATGTGGTATTAGATGCAATAGCAGCCATAGTGCAAGGAATGTAGGCCACAAAGGCCTGTGTAACTGGCTGCTGTGAACTTTAGTGGCAAACCTTAAAAAAGGGAAAAGAAAAAGGAAAGAAGACCTTTAGCACTTCCATATAGATCTCAACATCACTCAAAAAACTTTCTTCAACTGGGTCTGATGCATTAACGAGATCATAGAATTACTGCTAATTTAGAATTACATACTTTGGTGAGGAAAGTTTATTATTACAAATAAAATGCCATAGTTTATAAAAAAGAATTGGATGTGACAATAAGCCATATTTTAATATGTGGTTTATTATTGTGTGGATTAAAAGCAGAAAGCTTAAATTAAAAAGATAATTCCTTGAATTTCATTAAACAGTTTTAAAAATTGTTTTGCAGGTATTTAAACAGTGTAGAAACACTGTGAGATATATACATATATATATATATATATATAATGTCTTAAAATCCCAACATTTTAAAAGGAGCTCACCTCCTTTTAAAATTATGACAGATGAAAATTATGATAACTGTAATGTAAAATTAGGCAAACAAGTAAATAAAATTAAGTAAATAATGCAATTTTACCTGGTGCACTTATTAACAATATTCTTATTATTCAAATCTTACCTTTTCTTTATAAAATCTTCCTTAAACTATGATAATTCTTGTAGTTTCTGTATAATACCCAATGTCTGAATGAATATTCAAAAATCAGTCTCATTAATGTTTTAAAAACGCAACTGCTAAACAAACCATGTTTAAGTTTTTCAGCTATGCTAGCTTTTGCATCTCTTGAAACATAACTACTGGGCCAAGAGTTTCTAAATGATTTTCCAGTAAATGACATCTGTATTGAAACCTAAGACACACAGGCACTATAGTAAAGGTTCTGAAAAATTTCATTTTTTATAATCATAAATAAAATTAATCTATGATTTGACGAGGAAAAGAATTATTAGAATAGCAACATGAATCATATTTAAAAGAATATACAAGAGAATTAATTATTCCACAAAAGGTAAAAGAAATATTTTGTTTTGTTTTGTTTTTGGTCAGCAGTGGTTCAGGAGATGAACCAACTGTGGGCTCTCTGGCTATCATTATACAAATTTATCATCAATGAACCAGTGAAGCACGAAACTGAGGGTTAATATAGAATGAAAAGAGACTTTCCCCTCAATATATCACTTTAGAAGCATATATTCTGAGTTCTAAAAGCAATAATCTTCCACATAAAATTCAATACAAGAGTGATCTCCAACCACATTAGATCAAATTATGGCAAGATTCAAATAATATCTAATCCAGGTCCTCATCTTATATAGGAATCCCTGGCATATGGTCATTTCAGCCTCTTCATGGATACCCACAATGATGGGAACTTCAGCCAACAGGGTGCTCACAAATTTTTGGAAAACTCTGTTAGAAAGCTCATGATTTAATGAAAGTAAAGCTGCTTCATCCTTTCAAATTTCTCATAGATTTATCACCATTTTGTCCTGTGGGCTATCACAGGATAGTCAGAATTCCTTTTCTTACCTGATAGCTTTTCGCTATTTAATGATAGCTTTCATTCTTTCACTTCTCCACGTTAAGTCTTTCCACGGCATTTCATAGAATACATCTATAATACACAATAATCTTCCTTTATTTCTCTTTTGAACTTACTCTTTGCTAGCGTGACAGTTTGCCAACGTCCGCCTCAACAAGGAGTGCTCAGAATTGAACACAACATTTAAGATGTGATGATCATTGCAAACTATAATAGGGCATCCGTTTGTGGGACTCTATTAAGTCCAATTTAACAACGCTTAACTTTTGCAGCCACGTTCCATGACAAATATCAAGCATTTGGCCAACAAAACCATGGTCATTAGTTGTGTAGTAGACTTTTCGTACCCAAAGATCTTTCCATTTATGTCTATTCCTATAAGGTGGTATTTTGACATCGAACATGTTAACATGAATCTCTGTATTTGAACCTTAGGTATCTTATCTTCAAAAATATCAAGTTACTCTATTTTCCTTCCTACCAAACTCATATCCCTTCAGTGTTAAATAGTATGGAGCTATGTTGACTTATAATAACCTATCTCAATTTATTACCTCTTAATACTCAAGAATACCCAAGGAAAACATTTTCTTGTATGGCAATTTACATTTAAGAAACCTTGCCCAGTACTTCTTTTTATCTTGTTTATTTTAAAACAAGTTTTTTAGAGAATAATTTAACAGTGCGGTACATCTCCGTAAAAGCATTTCTTAGTAGTTGATCATGATTAAGCGGCAAAATGCAGGTAATGACATGCTCAATTCCACCTTTGAGTCAGGACAAACAGTGTACATCGACGACAACAACAAACCCTTATGCTAATATGCCTGTGACGCAAATATCCATACATACCGCACACGAATTGTGCAGTGAGCTAAAAAAGAAAACAGAAAAGAAAAAAGCTACTACTTTATTCTACTTAAAGTTGTCCTCTATTCAAACTTTTATCTCACTCTTCTCTCCTTCTGCACCATAATTTTCTTTCGAGCAAAGACAGGGAGTTCTGGATGATTCCAATCTCCCCAAATCCACATCACAGCCTCCAATTGAGGTTCATTTAAGTCAGGTTGGAGCTGAGGGAGCCTGGGCTGGAACCGGCCAGGGTTTCATCCAGCTCCTCCCCCAAAACACGCCCCCCAAATCGGAGCCAGAGGAGAGCCCAACCACAGAGGACTTCCACTCAATGAGGGCAACCCCTGAGTAAAGTCCATGCGGACAACCATTCATCTCCTCCGACAACCATTCATCTCCTCCGACCCCCGCCCAGCACTAGACTGCGCTCCTAGCACCGCGCCTTCTTCCGGAGCCTCCTCCCCCGGGCTGGCTAGGGGTGAGCGCAGGGGTTAGTCAGTACGCACGTGACGCGCGATGCCCACATGACACGACCGTGAGCGGGGGAGGGGGACACGGAGTGAAGAAGGGGAAAAGTTACAGAAGACCCGTCAAAGCGCCCAAAGCAATTTGTCCCTTCTTTTCTTCGCCAGCGGTGGCTCACGGATCCCTAAGGGACAGCTGGGGACCCAGGCGCCCCCAGCCCAGCCCCAGAAACGCTGGACGCAGTTCTCCGCTCACCCCACCACCTTCTCTTCCCAGACCCGCTGGTGATGCCGCTGCACCCTGAAGTTGCTCCTTCCTTCTTTCCCTCCCTTCCTCCCATTCTTTCTTTCTTTTCTTCCTTCCTCCCTTCCCCAAAAGCTCTTCATCCGCTTCGGGTGATGCCACTGACGCACATTCAATTTGCCCCAGCAGCTCTGAGGAGGTCAGACCAGGCCGAGCACCTTCCAAAGGGGAGGGTCTAACTGAGCAAACAAAGTTGCACGCCACACCACAACCTGCCCCTCCCCTCCCTTTAGCCCCCAAGTCGAATCCCCGGCGAAACTCACTTGCACTGCGGGTGCTCTCTGGCCCCCACCCCATCATCGCGCAACACACCCCCTTCAACATGCGCGGCCACCCTTTCATTGCCCTGCGCCCCGAGCGGTCCCACCGCCCGGCAAAACACTGAGCAAGCCGCTGCTCTCACCTTGCTTGACACACTTGAGCCGGAGGGGGTCCTTGCAGTGTTTGATCACGGCCAGCACGTCCCTGATGGTGAGCCCCGCCACGGGGGTCTCGTTCACCTCCAGCAGCAGCTCCTCCGACACCAATTTGCTGCCGCTCTCATAGGCCACCTTGCCGGGCTTCACCTCCCCCAGGTAGGGGAACTGTCCATTCTCGGCGCCCCCCTTCAGTTCAAAGCCCAGCTGGCCCTCCGGGTTCCTGCCAATGACACTCTCATGGACTTTGCTAGTCCAGTGGCTTTTCTTTTTCAAGCTTTTGGACATGGCAGTGGGGCGAGTCGCCTCAGTTCCTGGGCTCCTTGGGGTTAGGGGGGCTGGTGGTGAGAGAATGAGGATGGAGGAGCAAGGGGGCCCAGGGGGAAGAACAGCAGACTTTGCCTTCGCCCCCCTCTATTCGGTGCTTTCCCTCTTCTTTGGATGGAGTGTGGACGAGGAATGGGGAGGATGAGAGGGACGGCTGGGCAGAGGTAGGAGAGCTTGGATGAGGTTGTGCTGTCCCTTGAATGACACTCAAGGCTGTGGCCCCGCAGCAGAGGAAGCAGTGGTGGTGGCGTCGGCGGCGGCGGCGGCGGCAGCCGGAGCGAGCAGTAGCCGAGCTGGTGAGCGGGTGTGGTGGGGGTGGGGAAGGAGGGTAGGGATGCCGGGGGCCACTCCTGCGTGGTGCGAGTGGGAACGCGCGCGCGCGCCTGGGTGTGTGTTGTTAGCTGATATCCATGGCAGCTGCAGTGGCAGGGTGCGTGTGCGTGTGTGTGTGTGTGTGTGTGTGTACTAGTTCTACTGTACTGGCAGACGGGAGGAGGCAGGGGAGGAGGGGCGCGCGCGCCGGGTGGGGAGCCACGGAGGGCTTCGCCGCTGCCTCCCTCCCTCCCTCCGCAGCTTGACCCGGTAGTGAAGGCAGAGAGAGAGGCAGGCTGGGTCCGCCTGGCAGCCTACGGGAGGAGGCGGGAGCCGGGAAGGAGGGGAGCCTAGGCCCGGCGTGGGGAGGCCGGCAGGAAGGGCCTCGAGCCCAGTGCGGACCTTTCTTCAGCCTCTGTGCGACCGAGCCGCGCGCCAGGCTCCTGTGCGAGGAGGACGCGCTGACTCCCTCCGACCTGGGCTCCGATGGAGCAGAAATAGCGGGACCTGGACTTGTGGCGCGCCTGGTGCCACATCTCGGGCTCTGCGAGCGTCCTGGCGCGGGATCCTGCCGTGAGAAGGAGTTGGGGCGGGGGACCCGGCGGGGCATTGCGGGAGAAGGCCTGGGATCCCTGGGAGCCTTGTAGCGTGGGGGAGTTCACTGTGTAGAGAGGTTTCATGTCTTCATCTATATAGTCACTTATTTGTCTTAAAGTTCTCGAAATTCCCTCTTAGAGAAGGAGAAAGTTAGAGAACTGGAGGCTGCGTACCCTGATTACGCAGAAGGGAAGCAGCCTCGCATTCCCCGGGGCAGGCCCCCGCCCGCGCGTCCCGCCAGTAGGGGAATTTAGCGGACGGCTGCGGTTGTCTGGTGAAAGGCTATCCAAGGATAAGGGGCTTCACTTTTCCCAAGTAGGGGAAAGAGAAGGGGTCTACAGGGCTAGGGGTGGAGGGAGCGGATGCAGTGAGCAGCCTCCGCAGAGAAATTGACAATTTAACCAGGGACCTGCGGCAGAGACAAGGCGGAGACACTCCCTTGCCCAGGAAAGCCGCCAGAGTCCGGCTTGTACCTGGGGAAGAATCCTTAAGACGGTCTGGCCCAACACTCCTTTGCTCACAGAGAAAGGGGAGAAGACTCCCGAGGGTGAAAATGGTACATTCGGAGCTGGAACTCAGCTCGCTGACCCCAAGCAGTGTTCCCTTCTTTTCGCCAGGTTTGCATCCAAGAGAGGGGAGGACAGGGGCAAAAGGATGCAGGGAGGCTGCTGATTTCCACTGAAGAGCTAATTTCCTGTGAGACATTAACAGTGATTTAAGAAAAAGATTCCTGTAACTGGTAAATGAATTTCATTTGCTTAACTTTTAGATGATATGTTTCAGGCAAAAAAAAAGTTGTGCACCCACTTATCTCTTTAAAGCGGAGGATGAAAAGCATTGAATAGGTAGGATTCTTAATGTCTGAGATGAAGGCGATGTAGGAGGCAAACAATACGGTTAAAAATGTTGAGTCGACCCAAACAGAAAGACCAGGTTTCAATCCAGACTCTGCGGCTTACTGAGAATATGATCTTGAGTAAACTGCTTGACCTTCCTGAGCCTCAGCTTTCTTAGTTGTTAAATGGACTTTAACAATACTAATCTGTTAGGACTGTGGTGAGGATGAAATCAGGGAAATCAGTCACAGCAGTGCTCTCCTGGCACAGGTGAGTAGGAGTTCGAAATGATAATTCCCTCCTCTTTCCCTCTTAGGTATAACTTACTACTTGGGGATGAGGGGGATCAAATGTAGTCAGAACTGGAAGAGATCTTAAAAAAAGATGATTTGTTTAACCTTGTGTCTTTTTTTCACTTGAGAAAACAGATCCTCCGTAAGTTGGCTGCACTAGTTGAAGCTTATTCAGTGAGCCAGGGGCAGTGCCAGGATCTGAAGCCAGAGCTGCAGGCAATGCCCAGGAGTAGGCAAGACTTGATAGCAAAGCCTAATCTCACCCAGAGAAGTTGAGTGTTAGCATTATGAGGCATAGTTCTAAATGGAAACTCATCATGAGAACCGAATATATACATATTGTAAAACCAAATGACAAGCTACCATTCATGGAATATACTAATATTTATTAGGTTCTAACTACATGCAAGATGTTGTTTTATAGGCTTTACACATAATACTTAATTTCTCCTGACATTTTGATAAAATAGGTACTGTTATCTCCTTTTACAGGTAAGGAAACTGAGGTATACAAGGATGAACTTTTGCAAGGCTACAAATCTTGTTAATAGTGAAGCTAACGTTCAGACCCAAGTGGTTCGGCTCTAGACTTTGTCTCAGTTACTGAATTGAACTCTCTGTGCACTTACGATGTGTCATACCAGTTCTCACTACATAGTGTCCCAAAAGATTGGGCCTGCTCTTTCTTTCAGAGACAATTAGGAAAAAAGTAAACAAACGGAGCAGGATTTGGGCATAACAGCATGCTCCTCCCATCCCCCAAATCCCAGGAGTGTCACTGAGGTCAGTGCCAGTTAACTTAGTGCTCTTCAACTTCACAGCTACCCTTCTTTGCCCTAAATTGTGACATTAGAGCTGAAATCTGTAAACGTCTTTATGGTCAGTTGGCACAGTGTTTAGCTTTGTCAATAGAAGGTGCTAGGGGAACACTGCAGAAAGAAAGGGGCTCCTTTTCTTGGTTCCAGTGCTTTCCTGCTTGCTCCTACGGTGTGGTGGCCAGTGAGTGACTTTCTGACCAGTGGTGTGCAAGAAGGCCATGTTACATAATCTTCAGTAAATTTGGCCAGTTCCCTAGTATGTGTCTTTCTATGGAGTACCACTGGCATGTCAGTGGAATGGCTTCCTAGCAAGTTTTACTGAAAACACAGCTGATGGTTTCCTCAGCAGCCCAGTGTGTGACACCTTAAATTTCTGGATCATTAAGTGGACCACAGCCATATTATTTCCAATGAGCGCCTACTTTCAGGCTTAGTAGGGTGGAGGGTGGGTAGGGGGAAGTTCTACTCAGTTATTCCCTCCTTGGGTACTCTCCTAGAGCCTGAGAGATAGTGGCTGTTCCCAATAACCACTATTACTGTATTCTTTAGTGGGATTTTTTCCTGTCCTAATAGTCAATACCCTTTGACTGGATCTTAACTGATAAAAGTGGAACCCTGAGGAAAGCACTATCCTTGGAGTCAGAAATTGGGATCAGATTTTTTTTCTTTCTCTTATGGTATTCCTCATATTCGCTTAATTTCTCCACTGCCTTTACCCTTTTTGGATTTGATGCTATGTCAAGAAAAAATTATTTCATCACTGAGCACTCTGAGTGTAGAGCAGAGTGCTAAATATTGCATGCTATTCCAGAAGAAAAATAGTTTAGGAATCCTAAAAGCCAAAGAAAGAAAGATATGAATGCATTCAGTTCTTAGAAGAGTTCTATGAGATAGATGCTTGTGGCAGACATAGTCTCCACCCAGATCTCCTAGGATCCCTTTGGTTGAATCTGAGTATCCTTCCTCTAGCTTCTGTGTTCTTTTACTTCTCACAGCCTGCCCCGAGAATCTCTTTGGAGGAAGGCCCAAACACTACTAGACTCACTTTGTGTACTGGCATAGAGAGCCAGACAGAACCACCTGCAAGTTTACTTCTTTCCCAGGATACCCTTTGCCAAGGACTTTCCTATAGAGTATAAAAGACCAGCCGTCTTGCCTCTAGTAGCAAGAAAACCTGAGGTGTAATTTACACCCTGAGGCTCCCCTATAGAATTATATTGATGTTAATATTTTGCCTGAAACCACCTTCTTCCCTATCTTGCTTACTGTGGTACCTGATGAGTTTTTCTTGGTAGCATTTCTATAATAAATCACTTGCAGACAATCTTCATCTCAGGGTTTGATCCTGGGGATCCTGACTTAAGACATTGCTATTCTTTTTTTTTTTTCTTTTACAGATGAGGAAACTGAGGATCAGGGCTTTTAAATTGCCCCAAATCACACTACTAATAAGAGATAGAGTTGTGGTACCTTTTTTAGAGGGACCATTATTCTGCTGACTGCAGTACTGTAGAGCATAAAGTTTCTTATCCACACTGTTTCTTAGTTCAGTCTGTCAATATCACTACTCCACGATTATTGTTGTTTGTTTTTCTTTCTCCCTGTCTTTTACCTCAAAAATCTCTATTGTGATGCCAGAGAGACCTTTCTGAAACCTCTCCTTTTTTCTGTGTTTAAAACCCCCCAGTGCCGCCCATGAAATACACAGCAAAGTCCAAACTCCTTATCTTGCTTGGATCCTCCTTTCCACCCTTTTTAACTGTTCAGCCATATTTCTCCATGTACTTCTGAGATTGGAACCCAGGGCAACAAAGCTAATGTGGGTTCTCCAAGATTAACACAACTGAAAGGAGGCCCCTTTATGCCATCTATTCTAGGTCCCTTGGAATATAATTAAAAACAGGAATTTCAACATTGAAATGTAATGATGTTCAGGTAAGGGCAGTAAGGTACATTGACTTGAGTCAATCTCCCACCATGTCTGGGGACTGGGACAGCTGAGCCAGGGGTCCTACCTAAGGGTCAGGCCTGTGTCTTCACTTCTCCTTTCAACCCTTTACTTCTTCCAGAGTTGAACGGCTTACTTTCCTTCTCTCACTAGGCCATTTCATGGCTTGTGTTTGCCTGAAATACAACTCTTTCCCTCCCTGGTCTACACCTGCTCACCCTGAAAGAAATACCTCTGAGCCCACTTTCTTTCTTGGAAGCATTTTATGACTCTTATTTCTGTTATCAACACAGCTTTTATTTATGTCTCCATGTATCCTTTGAAGAAACACAACTTTTCAGGTTCTATGTTTTATTTGCATTCTTAGTGTCTGGCACATTGTCTGACACAGTGTAAAAGCTGAGTAGAATTTTGCCTGATAGCAGATGTGCCTGAAGTGAGGGTGTCCAAAATTTCATTAAATGACGACTGCTTTAATATGAATTCTTGGCTAAGGCAGGAGAATCGCTTGAACCCAGGAGGCAGAGGTTGCAGTGAGCCGAGATCACACCACTGCACTCCAGCCTGGTGAGAGAGGGAGACTGCATTCTCAAAAAAAAAAAAAAAAAAAAAAAAAAAAAAAAAAAAGAATATATATGAATTCTTACTGATAGTATTAAATGATTATCTCTTTACATTCACAGTAATGTCTTACAATAACAGAATGCAGGAGAGCACATATCAATGAAGAAAAGACAAAATGTACTTATCCATGAAGCTGAGGTTAAGAAACCAGTGTCTTCAAGAGCCAGGGACAGCACTGGGTCTGTGCAGAGTTGAGAGATGGTGATGACATGGTGAGACACAAATTCAGTCTATTTCATAGTTTGTGGTCATTCCTATTAATAAACTTCCTTTCACAACTGTTTCAATATTCACACAAAAATGTTAACCCAATCTGCAGTTGTACCCCTTGAATGTAAAATAAAAAACAAAAGCCCACAAAAATAGGAATCCACACTTAAAAGGTGGATTTATTTAGCACAGTATGGAGTTTCTTAGACTTCTCTATCACTGTCTCTAACAATGACATACTCACCTAACCCCACTAAGAGCAACTTTATTTCATCTCTAGTTTTCGTCTAAAGATTCATGTGGATTTTAGATTCTACTCTTTTGTAGGTTCGTATTTGTACTATTATAAAATGTGACTCTCTCTCCAAACTTTGCCTAAATTATGGAATGATTTTTCATGTTTATCCAGTGGTTTCCAGCATTCTTGGCCCAGTCTGGGATTCTACTCTTTTGTAGGTTCGTATTTGTACTATTATAAAATGTGACTCTCTCTCCAAACTTTGCCTAAATTACGGAATGATTTTTCATGTTTATGCAGTGGTTTCCAGCATTCCTCACCCAGTCCAGGGACACTGTGGGTGTGCCCAGCTTAAGTCCAGTAACTGGAAATACAAGCCCAAGTTCTGGAGAGTTTGAGCTGCAGAGATATATATGGGAACACTTTGAATCTTGACTCATTGGCCATAACCAGCAGAGTGGAAAATACAAGAAGAGAAAAAAACATTGAACTGCGATTTTATAACATCCTTTACTAGGCAGAGAGAAGAGGAAACACCAGGAAAGAAAACTGTATTACGATGTGAAAACTTAATGTTGAGAAATTCAGGCATCTTGGGGTTAGTGAGGAGAAGTTTTAGGGGCTTAGATTCTTCTAAACACATGTACAGAAATGCATATTTCATCTGATATCAAATGGCATTTATAGTGCTAATCTTTACCTCAAGACTTCACATCTTTTGGTGATTGCATCTTTTAGGTTTATAGCAGCTAAGTTTGCATGAAAACACCAGGGCTGTTTCATTTCAGTCAAGAATTAATGTTCATTGATTGTGCTTCTGCATTTCATGTAACTATTGTAGAATTTGTTTTAGTTTTATGAGGGAATAATTGTTCCAACTTCTATATAACTCAGGAATTTACTCTCAAACAACACTGTCAATTAGTTACTTATCTCTCTGGAAATGATCTGGGAACATGGAGAGGAAAGGGAGGAAGGGGCAAAATCTGACCACTTAAATCTAAGCATATTAGATCATTTTATGCTAGAAAGTCCTGAATGATGTGACTTTCGTTCTTGTAAAACACCTCTTTCCATAGATTCATGGCCCAAACAGTATATAAAGAGTGGGGAAGGAACTGCATTTGCAAATAGTTCAAATCATTGCTCCATCTTAACTACGCAGTTCACAAAGTGTGAAGAAATGTGATCATCTCAAAAAAGATAATGGGGAAAAAATATGTTTTGTTCTGTGACTTTAAAGTCTTGCAATATTTTACATAAATGATAATGGGTGCTTTAATAAGAACTCTTGATACTTTTGTTATTGTATTCAATATATGCATATAATACAACAGGATGATATTGTTTTGGATTTGGAAATGTATTCTTTCTTATGCAATCTTATGCAGTCATACTGCTTGAATATCATTACCTGAATTTATCTTTCTTTTTTTTGTTGTTGTTTTACACTCTACTTATTTGGTGCCTGTCAGTCTTTTGTCGTCAGTTTATATTCTACTAAACTCAAAAAGACAATCTCATACCTTTTGTAATTGTAGGCATTCTTTACTAGATTTTTAAATACACTTCAAAAATTCAAGTACTTTGATTTCATGCCATCAAGTAGCTGAATCTATCCCCCCGTCTCTTTTTAAATTTAAGTGAGTAGTTCAATTTCTGTCACTTTCTACTTTGTGAATTCTAAATCTTTTAAAACCATCTTGCCATTTTTCGTGCACTTACCCTTACAGAAAACTCTGTGAAACACTACTTATCTCTACTTTTATGTTTTTAACTCCTTTTTTATATTACTATTCCCTCTGCTTTCTAAATGCACATATTAATTTGTTCTTTTTATTCTCTGTAGCTCTTCTCAGTGTATGAATTCAGTTTCCCATCAGTCTCCATACAATTAAAAAAAAGTTGAGTATTCTGTTATTTTAATAAGATATCTAGTGCCCATATTCTAATTCTGCCCCTTATTTTTAATATAATTTTATTGTTGATTTAAAATGACAACAGTTTCAATTCCCAGAAAGTGAAAGGAAACAAAGGAATAATATTATAGGCTTAATTTTTATCAGTGAACTTGTAGGTGAAGAAAAGATTTGGGGAAGGAAATGAACATATTATATTGCAAAATAGTAAGGAACAATCAGATGTGTTTTCTAGTCTCTGGAAAAGCATGTTTCAAGAAATTCAATGAAAAGTTCATCATGCTTGCTTAGATTGTTGAGAAGCAAAAACACTGATGAACATTTGGAAGCAATGAGAATGTAATTCTAATCATACTCTTTTAATAATGTTGCAAAACTCTCCAAACACTACTCTGTGTGGATGTCTTTCAGAATATGATGAATACTAGTAGTCTTATTCTGCCCTTTTCTCTCTATCACAATATATACATTCTATATTGCATACACATATTTTCCAAATATTACATATAATTTCATGTAATTTATAGACCTATTAAGGCCCAACCATTTTCTTGGATAGGGGATTCTTTAGAAGTCCAGCTTAAATAAAGCCCGTATAGAAAGTTTTTTTAAAATTTATACATAATCACCTAAAGTAACCTTATCTACTGAACTCTTAGTACATGCTACTGGAACCTTTTATCATGTTTCTTCCTGGCTTGCATTACAACACTGTTGACATATCTCAGCCTTACTTCTAGGCTTCTTTGAGAGCATGACTCATGTTTGTATTCCTCACTGAGGTTGAATGAATAAGAGAAACTACAGTAGTAGGAAAAAACAGTACATGTACATATCAATGAATATGAAAGGGTCAAATGGATCTATTATAGTAAGCACAAAATCAACTGACACCAGCAAAGTAAACCCAAAATTTTTAATGGTATTTTAATAGATCAAGAGGAGCAAGCAGATTTTTGAGACAGTTGTCTCCTACTTTCTCTATCACAGGGAGTAATTTTAAAAGAAAAATGGAGGGTAAGTTTCTTTAAGAGAAAATTGTAGTTTAAAACAGGTCATGGGATAATTAGAAATAATTTAATTTCTTTAGAGGATTTTAATCTTTCAACTGCTTGCAATTAGATCCTAAGGCAATAAAAGAATAAGGAGATTTGGAAAACCATTGTCTGTAATCTCTGAAGAAAAGTGGACATTAGGGGAGTCAGTTGAAAAGCAAAGCTATCACCATTTTCTAAAGAGGAAAAAGGTGAACCTCACAAACTATAGACCAAAAAAATAGGACATCGAGAGAAAGAATATGAAGCTAGCATAGGTTCACAAAGAATGAGTCAAATCAAACAACATGCATTTTTTATTTATAAAGCATGACTTGTTCATTGTCAATTCATGTTAGCTTAATCATTAGGCATTAATGCCATCACTGCAATGCATATGTCAGCAATAAATAATCAAAGACCAGGCTTCCATCATTCTGTTTAATATCTTCAAGTAATGCTTAAGTTTGCAAATGCTCTTTTAACACATTCTCCATATGCAGCCTGCCCAGCACTGCACACAATAGACCTGTTACTTCCCCCTCACGAGCACTCCTAATATTTCATGTGCTCATCCAATTGACTTCTCCCACTGGTGCCTCATATTGAATTTGTAGAATCACACCTGCTCCTTTTTCAAAACTCTTCTGAGTTTTTTCTTAAATAATTCACTGACCCCAAAGTTGTCAGATATTTGAAGACTACTCGCACAATTTTAATATTATAAATGTATAATGTAAATGTAATTAAGATTTGTATAATGTACGATGTACTTTGGTAAATAAAAGTATGCTGTGAATAAATACGTATGATACAATTCAAAATTTTACATAAATATGTGATAAAATTTAGCTCATATTCTTTTTTTTTTTCTTTGAGACGGAGTCTCACTCTGTTGCACCCAGGCTAGAGTGCAGCAGCATGATCTCAGCTCACTGCAACCTCTACCTCCTGGGTTCAAACAATTCTCCTGCCTCAGCCTCCTGAGTAGCTGGGATTACAGGTGCCCGCCACCATGCCCAGCTAATTTTTTTCTATTTTTGTTGTTGTTGTTGTTTTTAGTAGAGACGGGGTTTCACCATGTTGGTCAGGCTGGTCTTGAACTCCTGACCTCAGATAATCCACCTGCCTCGGCCTCCCAAAGTTCTGGGATTACAGACGTGAACCACGGTGCCCGGCCTAGTTCATGTTCTTTAAGGACAATTATGAATATTTTTATGCACTGTTAATTTTCATTAAGATATTGATCAATTAATAGCTATATATGTTCTATAAATTAATCCTATCTAGTTTCAATCTTAAATTGTTTGCATATACCAATCTAGTTTATTGTTTGCATATATTTTATAGTGTAGAGATTAGGCATTTTAATAAAATTTTAAAATTTCCAGGACATACTGTTAATGACTATGCTTCCTACTATAGGCCATAATTAATTTTTTTCTATTGTCAACAATATTTTGGTAGGGATGATCAGGAAATAAGGAAATGTTTCCTTCATTTGTTAACAATAGGTGTTTGGGGATTTTAAAATGAAAATTGAAGAAGTAAAAGACACCATATATTTAGTTTGTTTGATTTCGTGGCTTCAAGAGTTCAATAATTTATTGAAATATTTTACAGACCAAAGAACAACAGATATATTACGTTTATAAGCCCCCACATATTTTAAAGGATAATGGTTTATATATGAAAATTCCCTGAACCTACACTTCATCAGGAAAAGCTAAATAAAAGAAGTTTACATTTCCTAGGACTAATGGAGATTTATTTCCCAGTCCTCTTCTCTGGAGACAAATGTAGGTCTCTCTTGAAAAGCAGAAAGTTTTGCATATGAGGTATGATTTAGTGGGCTAGAAACATCTTTTCCACCCTCCCCAAAATGTTTCACTATGTTTTATCATACTATCTGATAATTTTGCACTAAAGTTTTCTTTCTGTGTTAAGAAAATGCAAATATCTCTGAATGGGTCTCTTTGCTTTAGTCATACTCATATGGCTACTACTGAACAAAATATGTTCATTACAGGATGAAGGGAATGTTGCCAGCCAGCAAATCCCTAGAGTTTGCACTACACCAAACGTTGCTTAGCAATTTCCACGATTTTCTCAGTCTAATTTGCAAGAATCAAGGAGATGTTTGTGTATGCTACATGAAGTTGTAAAATTGGTATTTATTGTATGTTTCTATATCGAAAGCTTTACAAACAAAGGAAATGGAAAGTTAACAGGTGGATATGATAGTGTGGCACTACTTTAGCTGGATGGTAAGGGAGAGCTTCTCTTAGGAAGTGTTTTAGGCCAGGACTTGAATAATGAACAGTATCTAGTTGTACAAAAATCTGGAGGAAAGACTTTTCAGGCCCAGGAGAAATGAAAATTCTTTTCATGCATACAAGAATGAAAGTGAAAATTACCTACTCTATGTCCTGAAGTGGGAAGTTGGCTTGCCAGAGAGTAGGTAATTTTCACTTTGATTCTTTCATGCCTTCAGTTATACTACTTCTTAGGTTAGTTCATAAGGGTTTCCACAATTTGGTTCCCACTTAAAATTTAAAACTTCCCTAACCCATTCCCACCATATATTGTGCTAATCCATGCATATGTGACTTTGCGTATGCTGTTTTCATTGTTTAATATTCTTCTCATGCATTCGTTCTTTCCTGATAACGAACTCATCTTTGAAACTCCCCTTCAAGCATCCTCTACTTTAGGAGGCCGCTTCTCACTGTCTCCTGCCTACCACCCATTGAATTGTTCAATTTTTAAGCTGCCATTGTCTTGTGCAGTTGACACATTTCTTTGCAATTACTGATTTACATGTCTGCTTTTATCACTGGTGAGGTTCTTTAGGACAGAGACATTATTAATTCATCTCTGGGCACATATGTTCCAACATATTAGAAGTACTACAGAGTGCTATTACTATGTAGTATGTAGTATTAGTAGTAGTTACTCACAAATCATTTTTAAATAAGTGATTATAATATCTTTTTGTTATTATGATTTAACACAAGATGGAATTTATTTTCAGAAGTTTCCATGATATATTTGTTCTATTTAAAATCCAATAGCCATTAGAATATTACCATTATTTAATGTAAAACAATAAAATATTAAATATGATCGTTCATATTTAATGCAAACCGAACTCATGGAAATATTGTGTAAAGATCAAGTAATTTTTGACATACAATTTTAAACTCAACTTTTCATATAGCATACCTTATGATATATTTTCAGCCTACTTTTAAATATGTTGGCATTGAAAGCCAGTTACTAATTCGCTGAATTCATGATTTCTTTTTAAGTTATAGAAGTGGAATTATGTTTGAGATATTCATTGCATTACATTTACCAGAACTTGAGTTCTTAACATGGAACCTGAGAGTTTCTCCAATTCTTAAGTCCCTGGGAGAAATAGATTAGCTGGATGAGGAACTGAGAGGAAAAATGGTCAGAGATGTAGCAAGAGTTGGGAAGAAGGAACAATGATTTGCTTTCAAGGAGATTTTTTCATTGGTCTGTTTTCAGTGACAAACCCACTGCGATAATACATGTAAAGTGAAAACATTCAGGAAGTTCCCTTAGAAACCTCTTTTCTGGCAGTTCCTAATTCTACAACATTGTATAAGTGAAATACCATAGTTACTGTCATAGTAAATTGAGCCAAGAGAAACAAGGGAGCAGGAGAAGAAAAGAATTAAAGAGAGTTTTGTCTTTCAGTCTTCACTCTGTTTCTTCTTGCTTTTACCAGTCATTCAGGTTTATATAATTTCTTTAGAGAGGCTTCTACTATGCAGGTCTTCCTTAAAGTCATTGGTATTACCTGGCATGATATGTGAGCCTTTAATATCAGTCCCTTTATCTCTTTATTTTTAAAGTTTATATCAGTACAGAGTCCTGGATTCTTAATTAATTTAATAGGTTAGACTTTATGCTAATATTCTTCATTTTGATGCTCAAATTTTCCAAAATTTGGCCAGCAGGGTTCCTTAAAGCTGGGTACCTTGCCCTTTCAACATGTCCCTCTGATTCTTTATTTTTATTTACTTATTTATTTATTTATTTATTTATTTATTTATTTATTTATTTAGAGACTGAGTCTTGCTCTGTCTCCCAGCCTGGAGTGCAATGGCACAATCTTGGCTCACTGCAACCTCTATCTCCCAGGTTCAAGCAATTCTCCTCCCTCAGCCTCCCGAGCAACTGGGACTACAGGCATGTGCAACCATGCCTGGCTAATTTTTTTTGTATTTTTAGTAGAGACAGGCTTTCACCATGTTGGTCAGGCTGGCCTCGATCTCCTGACCTCAAATGATCCATCGCCTCGGCCTCCCAAAGTGCTGGGATTACAGGCGTGAGCTGCCACACCCAGCCGTCCCTCTCATTCTTTAAGTACTTCCATGTTTTCTAAGGTACAAGATGTTCCATATTATTTTGTTATTTGTCTTCCCCAGCTCTGAAATCTGCCTTTCCTTCAAGGAGCCTTGGTTCTTTCTAGTGACAAATTATATTTAGAAAGAAGATCTGGGTATTTGACTTGTATATTGCTATTAATTGGCCATTGTTTCTAGTCTCTTTCAGTAGACAGAGCTAAGAAATGTAAAAGGAAATATTTGAATGTATGTATATGTGATATATTAAGTACATTTAAACATATTAAATTCATGAGTTCATACTAATACTTTCAATAAGCCACAATTCCCTTTTCATGTTTTCGAAGGAAAAATATCCATTGTCTATATACAGTGGACATAGATAGTAATAATACTGATCTTGAAAAGAGCAGTCTTAAATAGATCCCATTAATAGTTAAAGATAACATATCTTAGAATTCTAGATATTAGAGAGATTATCTAGAGCTGTAATCTAGATATTTTATAGATCTTTGCTGTGCTGTTTTGAATTTGTGTTGGAGTAGAACAATCAGATGACAAAAGCTCATCCCACATGGAAAAATCAAAGCATTCATTACAGAGAGAATTTTGAAATAAATGCATATATAAAAAATATATATGCATATATAATGCATATGTATATGCATATAAAATATATATATATAAAATGAGGGTTATAAACAATGAAGGAAATAGTGATACTATCTATGTGGGAACAATACTAGTATCCTCCCTTTGGATGAATACAGTAGCTACAGATGCAATTCTGGGGACTCTGTTTAGCAATAGCTTAACTATTGCTTGGCTACAAGCATGGATAACTTGTTCAAAGATAATGAGGAGTTGTAAATATTTAAATAAACAGGATTTGCAACATAAAAAGCTTTGTGACTATGTGTCTGAATTCTTAGAGTTTTCTCCCAGCAAGACCTTGGATGTGGCAGACTTTTCTGTAATTGTCCATCTCGCCCCTATTTCATGAAAAGCCAGAGCTTCTCTACTTAGTTTGCTAACCCCAAATATATAAATTCAATAGAAGTACTAGCCTGTTTTTACTGGTTTATTTGCTTTATCTAAAAAAAACAAGGCATAGTTTAAAGTCTGTTTTTGATAGCATAACAAAACAAAGGTTCTCATTTTAATAATGCATCACATATACACTTGGTAACTATTGCATAGTAATAATTTAATAACTTGAGAAATATATTTATGCATGTATGTGTATATGTTCATATATATGTTATTTTTAATTCAGAAGTAAAACAAATATTGGAAGAGGCCACAGTTATTATAAAAATAATTTGACCAGTATTGGACAATGCAAATAGCAATCATTTAGAAGTTTCTGTACAACAGATGCCATATGTGTTACATTTTATTTGATCATCAAAATTGTCATAGATATTATTATCCCCATTTCATAGAAGAAACTGAGATTATATAATTTGTTCAACTTGACCAACTTCTTATAACTAATACATAGTAGAGATAAGGTTGAAACCTCATTAACCAACTTCTTATAACTAATACATAGTAGAGATAAGGTTGAAACCTCATTAGGTTTGACTCCAGACCCCAGCCTCTTTTGAGTGCATCATAAAAGGCTTTGGTCTGCCCGTGGCCAGTAACAACTTTTACTAAATTGATTCTTTGCTTTTTATCTGTAAAAGGAAGTTATTCACCTATTTTGATGATCCCCAATGTTTTTAACATCAATAAATGTGTCCACCACACATGATAGTTTTTAATGTTTTGTTTCCATGATTACAGGATTAAAAAACTATTAATTAGTGATACTTTTAATTTTGATTTTATTAATTAAAACACATCTGTCTACATCTGAAGAATAGCACTTGTGACAACAGCATAGACGGCTTCATTTTGAGGAGTAAATTACAATTGAACATGACCAAATATACATAGAGAAGGCGTGGACCACACAAATGTGATTGAAAGCTGGCGTGGAGTCATCTTAAATTGACTTTTTCCCAAAGGGCCCCTAAAAGAGGGTAGAATCCCAACAGATAGAGTCTATGGAGAGATAGACTGCTGAGACCCATATTATGGTCAGTGAAGTGCAGGCAAGGAAGGGATCCTTAGCAAAATGGGGAGAGGAATGGATGGTCTGAAAAACCCTGAAGGAACTGAAACACTCTGCAAAGGAAAGAAGAACAAGTATCAGCTTTGACCCCTGCCAGACCTAGGCAGCAACAACGGCAGCTCACAAAGCACCAGAACAAACGCGCTTTCTTGTGCCCCTACATGTCTTCCCTTCACCGTCTTGAACCCTGGTGTCATCATAAACTGTGTAAGTTAACAACTGAGGAGGGGAAGAATGATAAATTGGGAAAATAGAAAAGTGTCTGGGCCCTACTTTCATACCGTAGGCCAGCCTTCTGTAGCATGGCAGATTAGGCAAGTGCAGAAGCCTTAATTTTGAATGAAAGTTGGAGTTTTTGTTCTGCTCTGGCTGTACCTATCAGTTTCAAAACTGGAATAGTTTAAATGACTAAAGTACTAGGAAGATTTTATTACTTAATATAACTATGGAGAACTGACCAAGATTTTATCTAGGGGGAGGAGTATCACCCTACAGAGCAGACTTTAAGGGACATTATGAGAGAAAACAGTTACTTAGTGATTTAATGTTGCCAATTCTGTTCTTTAGAATACCATCATGTATTTATATCCCTATATATCACATAACTAAAATATACATTTATCTGTACGCGTGTGTATCATATGGAGCACATTTTCTTTTGCAGGGTTTCTTTGTTTTAAATGTCTATTTGGTTATTTTCTTGATTGAATTTCTGTGTATGCTTTTTTCCTCAATGCTTTAGCTGTAAGCGAATAAGGTAAGGACTTTGTATGCAATATTCTACATGTTTTGTTTTATAATTAGAGAATATCTTATTTTATCTAAACCTCGTGTATCACGTGATATATTTGACACCCTGTCATATATCATACTTGGATGCAAATGTTTATGAAACACAAATCATCTCAAATCAACAGGATCAAAATTATATTTGAAAAATGTATTCAATAATATGTGTAAGACAAGATAAAATTAATTCTAATTGAATTCACACAGCGTTTGAAATTGGATGTAAATCTGTAATATCAAATTACATTACATATGAATTATTATTATATTTGCATTCAGGAAATTGTACTGTGTTCACTTCTGAGTATCACTTAGAAAGAACATTAGAACAGATACCCTATTTTCACTTTCTCTTCTCTTTTCCTGCTCCTTTTCTTCCTCTTTTCAATAACCTGTCATTGAAAAATCTCTCCATCTTAATTATCAATATGAAAGACTGATTCTGAGAAATGTAGAGAACCTAAGATTTGCATTTTGGTGGAATATAGAATATAATTAATAAATATTTTTATAAGTATGTAAAATATTTAAGAGGTAACAATTTTAAGATCTTAAAAGTCTTCTATCAAATACTGAATTTTAGATGTTAAGGCTAGTAGAGCTGTACAAAAAACAACAGCTTCTTGTATGAATGTTCCTCAGTTTAAATATTTAGTGTTCTATTATCAGTATGTGGGCATTAAAAAAACAAGTCATTTGAAACTGATAGAGATAATTAAGAAATTCTTAGATTTTGGGTATAGGTGCTGCAACTTAGAATTTAAGTGTCGTCCAAAAGAGATTAGTATTGGTCATAACATGGACTCTAAAGCCACCATTTAAATGAAGCATGTAAAAAAGAATATTCTAGTACACAAAAGTTATTAATGGCCTAGAATGACCTCCTTCTCACTCATATGATGCAAAGAATAAAGTATATAAAAATGTTTGTTACAATGGCTATCCATAAAAAAGAAAACCCTCCAAAACAGCAAAATTGAATAGGTATCCACAGTCAACTTTATCCTGAAAATTGCCTAGAAATACTGGTTGTGATTACACAGCATCCTGAGACCAATGAATCTTTAGACAGTAATAATTTCCTACTCTAAAGCTATTCTCTACTTCCTCCTTAGTGACAGAGCTCCTTGCTGCTCAAATTTTATGCCAGATAAAATATTCACCTTCTCGGACTCCCTGGCACCAGGCATGGCCATGTAATGTAAGTGTAGGCAATGAGACTAGGTATGGACCCATTAGGGGTTTCTTAGAATGTTTTTGCTTTTCTAATATAGACAACCCTTTGTCTCTTTCTCTTTCTCCAGCCTACAGCACAGCTGATGAAAGAGAAGACATCTTGCTGCTATTTGACAAGCAAGAAGATAAAAGCTTTCCTATAAAGATGATGGAGCAAAAAAATAGAAGGGGCCTAGACTCCCTACCTTCACACTTCCTGCTATAAAAGCATTGCTATTATAAGGTTAATCTGCAGAAACAGACTTCTATGTCATATGCTTAAATGCATCAAAATTCATACAATATCCATTAAATTGGTAAAAGTATCCATTTTAAAGGATTAATCTGAGGGACCCACAGACACTTAACACAATCAAATCTCAGAAAAAAAATCAGTTATTTCATTGTGATTTTGAGGCTGATCTTTTATGATCTTTTAGTTATCAAACTGTTAAATACATTTTAACTTTCAAATTTTATGAATAAAGGAGATGAATCCTGTTATTTTCTCAGTGTGAGTGTGATGATGTGTGTCATATGTGCCTATGTATGCACACACATGTACTCAAGGAGCCTGAAAGGGACCATGACTTTCTGGGCACTCAATGCTACTTATCTCTAACTCCTCCTTCAAATGTCCCCATTCTAAGTCTACTTCCTTAGGGAATAGGTACAAATATATCCCATTAAACATGATTTAAGGATGTATTTATTTTAAACTTGTCATCACTGGTGGTTGGAGTGTGTGTGTGTGTGTGTGTGTGTGTGTGAATTCTGACTCATTTATTTTATCTGATGGTAAGATACCCTATTGAAGAGATATTTATTTATAGAGCCAAACAATGAGCTTCTTTCTCACTCTTGGACTTCTGCTCTAGCTGTCAGCCACTCTGAATATAGAGAACAATTAATAGCCAGTGATCTTTAATTTGGGAGGGAGAGTAATATAACCATTTCACATATTAGTAATTTAAGCCCTAAAGTGACATTTTTGTACAAAGTCAGTGCAGATGCTGTCTGCCTTGATAATAAAAATGGTCACTTTAAATATCACGTAAGCCACCCCATCACATCATCTCATTGAAATGAAGGAAGATGAAAAGTTACTGAGTCAAAACAATACTTGAAGGAAAACAACTTCTCAAAGTCTGGAAGCTGTTTCCATGGGAACTGGCTGGACTGATAAATAATTGGAGGCCTTTGCATATATTGTCCCTTAAATGTGAGCAGCACTTGGGAGGAAGAAGGCTGAACAAGGCTGCATTTTTGACCCACTGCCCATCCCTATTACAGAGATTTAGGGATTTTGCCAATCACAAATTCAAACAGCCATCCATTTCCTGAAACATAATTTAATTTTAGTGGTAGCTAGGGACATTGCTTCCTTAGATTTTACTACCCTCTGTGTACTGATATCCATCAAACACACAGAAAATGTGGTTCCTTGTAAAACAACATGAATAAAGAAGGGTTGGGAAAAATGTTACATGGAAACTTGCAATGTGATATCAACCGTAGGCAAGGACAGTACTTATAAGCAATGCTTGGGAGGTATATAAGATTCTTAAATACTGTTTCAGGGGGGAAAAATTTAAAGACAAGACAATCTGAATGATCCAGAAATAAAGTATCAACCTAGAAGACAGAAGAAGGCAACAGATTAGGATTCCTTTTCACTATAGTCAAGCATACTTAAAGCTAGAAATTGTTCAGAAAGTTACATACATTAATCTGCCTTCTGATTTAAGAATACAAGGAGGCTTCTGTCAACACTTAAGTAGGTAGTGAGAGATACCTACAGAAGCCTATGTCCCTTTTTTTTCATTTCAACTTTTAGTTACAGGGGTTACACGTGTAGATTTGTTACATGGGAATATTATGTGATGCTGAGGTTTGGAGTATAGATCCCGTCATCCAGGTAGTGAGCATAGTACCCAATAGGTAGTTGTTTAACCCACTCACCATTCTCTCTACTCTACAGTAGTCCACAGTGTCTGGTTGTTCCCATACTTATGTCCATGTTTTTAGCTCCCACTTACAAGCAGAAACTTGAAGTATTTGTTTTTCTATTTCTGCATTAATTTATTTAGGATTATGACCTCCAGCTCCATCCACGTTGCTGCAAAAATATGATTTCATTCATTTTTGTTGGATGCGTAGTGTTCCATTGTGTATATGTACCACATTTCCTTTATCCAATCTATGGTTGATGGACACCTGGGTTGATTCCCTGTCTTTGCTATTGTAAATAGTGTGACAATGAACATACGAGTGCTGTGTTTTTCTGGTAGAATGATTAATTTTCTTTTGGGTATATACCCAGTGATGGGATTGCTGGATCAAATGGTAGCTCTGTTTTAAGTTCTTTGAGAAATCTCCAGAGTGTTTTCCACAGCAGCTGGACTAATTTACATTCCTCCAACTGTGTATAAGCATTCTCTTTTTGACCCAGCCTTGCCAGCATCTGTTGTTTTTGACTTTTTAATAATAGCCATTCTGACTGGTGTGAGATGGTATCTCACTGTGGTTATGATTTCCATTTCTCTGGTGATTAATTATGATGAGTGTTTTTTCATCACTTGTATGTGTTTGTTGGCCACTTGTATGTATTCTTTTGAGTAGTGTCTGTTCATGTCCTTTGCCCATTTTTTTTAATGGCGGTTATTTGGCTTTTGCTTGTTGATTTGTTTAAGTTCCCTACAGATTCTGGGTATTAGGCCTTTATCAGATCCATAGTTTGCAAGCATCTTCCCCGCTTCTGTAGGTTGTCTGTTTACTTTGTTGATAGTTTCTTTTCCTATGCAGAAGCTCTTTAGTTTAATTAGTTCCTACTTGTCTATTTTTGTTTTTGTTGCAATTGCTTTTGGAGACTTAGCCAAAAATTTTTCACCATGGCCTATGTTGAGAATATTTCCTAGGTTGTCTTCCTCAATTTTTATAGTTTGAGAAATATTTAATCTATTTTGAGTTAATTTTTGTTATGGTGAAAGGTAGGGGTCCAGCTTCAATCTTTTGCATATGGCTAACCAGTTATCCCAGCACCATTTATTAAATAAAGATTCCTTTTTCCATTGCCTGTTTTTGCTGGCCTTGTCGAAGCTCAGATGGTTGTAGGTGTATGGCTTTATACCAGTACCAACCTTTTATAGTTACTGTGGCTTTACAGTATAGTTTGAAGTTGGGTAATATGATGCCTCTGGCTTTGTTCTTTTTGCTTAGCATTGCTTTGGCTATTTGGGCTCTTTTTAAAAAGAATTTTAAAATACTTTTTTCTAATTCTGTAAAGAATGATGCTGGTAGTTTGATGAAAATAGCATTGAATCTGTAAATTGCTCTGGGCAGTACGGCATTTTAAAAATATTGATTCTTCCAACCCATGAACATGCAGTTTTTCCATTTATTTGTATCATCTCTGATTTATTTAAGCAGTGTTTTGTAGTTCTTGTATAGATCTTTCAGCTCCTTTGTTAACTGTATTCCTAAATATTTCACTTTCTTTGTGTCTATTACCAGGCCTATTAAGTAGGAGTGAGTAATCTTTATTCAAGGATGAACACACAGAACAATATACAAGTGAATAAACAACACCTATCTTGAATAAAGAAAGCAGATGCAAACAAACTGTGACTTATGGATGAAATTCTTCATCTTAAGAGAAGGGGAGAATTATCCTAAAACACTTCTTGAAATGGTTTTGCTATAAGAAGCAGAATAAATTATTTTAAAACATGCAGAACTGAAGCAGGCAATCTAATTAAAAATATTTAGTAACACATATCCTGATAAACTTTTAGAAATGTTAAGAATAAAGAAATTATTAAAACCTGGGTTCCCAAATATATAGGTTACCTAGAAACCAGAAAAAAATACAAGAAAGCTAACATACGTTCCAGGCTGGCTTTAAAATTTAACCTTGGCAAGACCAAATACAAAAAGATAATGGAAAGTGTTTAATGAGATTTTTATTTTCCTTTTTCTTTTTCTGCAGGGTGACAAGGCCAAGTAGCAAGTGGCAACTGATTTTTATTTTAATTTTCTGATATGCAAGGGTTCATAAATTATGGTACTGACATAGACCCCTGAAAAGTTTACTCAAGCAAATAATCCAGGGGGCTAAAAGTTAATTAAAATTGAGAAGAACCAGAAAATTTGGTATAAATGTTCTTATGGTGAGCATTGATATAAGTGAATTCAAATAATTTCTGTACAAATGTTAATATAATTTAATATAGTGTAATAAATGTCACTTGAAAAAGAATATAATTTTAGAAAATAATTAAAGCTTAATAAGCTATACCTCTAACCTATAATCTATACTCCATAATAAATTAAGAAAGATCTGTAAGTGTAGAGATGGGTCACTAGAAGCACATTAAATTTCTTGTTTTACATAGATAGAGGTTAAAATTACACTTCTGTGTTACATTTGAAGCTGAAAAAAATACATAATCTAGAATTTTATTAAATATATAAAGAAGCCCACAGCAAAATTTTAAAATGCTCCATTCTTTTAAAACTACTACTGATTACAGTAGCAAACAAAGCATAGTACAGATTGCAAATTACTGAACACAAAGATTAGAGAAAAATAGCACAAAGTATACAACTCAATGAGAAGTTAATGTAAATTCAGTTATTACAGCTAACATAGTTTAAATATCAATAGACAAATGTCATCAGAGCTAATTACAAAAAATGCAATTATGTACTCTTTTCTGAAACAATCGGAATTTAAAAAATTTGAATATGTAAGTGTCACATTATATCTTTTGGCTTCATCTGTCTGTGGACACTTGCCCACTTGTTTCAGACTGCTAACTTAAAAAAATTATAAATTCAAAAAAAGAAGAGGCTTTATTTCTTATACAGGGTTGTAGCCTGCAGGATGGCCATTCTGACAGGCTAGGAAACACAGCTTCCAGACAGAACCAGAAACAGATACTGCTAGAGAGGGGCAAAGGGAATAGGCATGTATGCTGAGCAAGGTGGCCAAATACATATATTCAATAAGCTAGAGGAGGAGTAATGAATATTTATGAAAGGAGAAACATACAGAAGTGCAACTGAGCTTCATTGTTGTCCATGTTCAGAAAATAGCAGCGATTTGAGGGTGGAGGTTTCAGCCCTCTGACATCAAATATGAAGCAGAGGATACACAAACTCTTAATGTACATTGTCCATAGACTGGTCAGAAGCACTCTATGGTCAGTGGTCTCTTATTAGGCATAAAAGGAGGGGTAGCATCTTGCCACCTGTCCCAGATTTTCATGTTGATGCTGAGGTATGAGGTCTGCTAGTATCTTCCTGGCCCCCTCATTTATGTGCAACCCCTGTGTGCAAGGGAATCAATTTCCCCTGAAGTCTAACTTAAATTAATGGGAGACGAGAGAGATTGGATGAATTCTTTACCTTCTCTTTGCTGGATAAAAGACCCTAATATTCACTCATTTATGTAGATTCTGGAAAAACAATGCAACATGGATGAGCTAACAGTCATGTTACAAAGTGGTGGCCAGCATGGAAACCTATCCTTGTATTGGTTTTTCTCCCTTACTCCCTCCCTTTTCCCCTCACTCCTATACCCCGGAAATGCATTTTCTAACAAGGTAATAATAGTTAAGTCTTTGTCTTAGGCTTTGTTCTCCAGAGCTCAGGGCAAGAGAGTCGGTAATAGGAATATTCTTAGAAAGCAGACCATAAAGATGGGATTTTAGAACTGGACTACTCACTGGCCTTCTAGCAATGAGGATTTCAGTGCTAGTGGTAAATAGGATACTGAAAATTCCTGGTTAGCAGTGGTACCATGATTATGGAAGTTTTAACCTTTGTTGAATTGGAATGAAACGCAGGTGAAAGGGGAAGCATTAGCATATATGAAAGTTGTGATGTTTTAAAAGTATGAGGTCAGCAATCATCATAAGGATTGTGTAGAATGGCTTCTCTTTAAGCATTATAGATGTTGAAAATATAAAATTCTCAGCTCGGGTCAGCCAAATGCCATAACACGGAACAAGGTGAAATCTGAAGAACTTCCGGGGAAGTTTTTAGGGAGACTTTCCTCTCCTGTGGCATAAGAATGTGCTGAAAATCAGGCTCAGGATTTACTGAAAGAGTGGCAGAGCCTCGATGTATCCTGAACGCAAAGACTCAAGAGGCCCCTATGCTAAAGTCAGTGGCTTCATAGGAAAGAATGGAATGTTGAGACCTGAAACAGGGTAATTTGGGTAAACAAGCCTGAAAATATTGAACTCACAAGTTCTATTGAATTTCCAGGATGGCAGAAGAAGCCCTCTTCTCCAAGCCTCAGATTTTACAATGACATAATCAGAGGTGAGTGCCTCTCCGGATAATGCTTTCCCTCATGGTCTACCCACCTCCCTTTATTGCGTCTAGTCAGTAGCTAGGGTTAGGCCTCAGCACAGGCAGAGCAGAGAAGTATAATCCATCTTCAGGAGAAAATAGTTTATGTCAAAGGAATTGACACACCTGACTAATCAATACTGTCAGCAACCTGAGAAGCAAATGTCAGAATAAAGCTTCAGATTTATACCCAAAGAGGTGCAATATTAGGCTGGGTATGGGAGAATTTATTGAATAAAGGCAATCACAAAAGCCTTTGAATTTGATGATCTAGAAATGACACTGATGTCTACCCCAAAATTTTCTTCTGGGATACCTCTTTGAGGCTTCAATATAGCAAATACAATGAAAAATCTGGAATATCCTAACATGGTATTGAGGAAGGAGTGAGAAAAATTGAAGATATGGGAATGTTAGAATGGATTTACTATGTACAACCTGAGTACGCACACCCTGATTAAGATTCTTGTGTGGTCCAGACGACATTCCATAAGCAATGAAGTTTTGAGGGTACCGACATCTTGCTGGCAGCTGTGCTCTGCTAGCTGTGGTTGATGGTAGGAGTTGTTGCTGTTGAACTGGGCCCAGCTGATACAACACTCAAGCATCAGAGGCAAGTCAGGTGAAATTGCTAGACTTGCCATCAATTTGTCTTGGCCTTCTCACCTGTGGTAATAGTTAATGGGTCATGGTGTTCTTAGAAATGAGATAGATAGACATGAGAAAGAGGGAAGGAAGAGATGATGGGCAGAAGGCTGACATCAGCTGCTAAATTGGAAAACTCTGGTTCCATACCCAATTTCCAATGTAATTTAGTTCGCAAATGTAGAAGTAATTGATTGAAGAGTATGGTCCCCTTGAGAAAAAAAAGAACCTGCAATGCCATCTGAAGTATATACAGTAAATATTCCCTTGATTATTCTCCAAGGGGATCTGAAACCATTTCCAGGGTAACAGTGCTGGGGAATGGGACAACACAGACATTTCTAGGACATTTAGATATAAGTTCTGAGCTGACACTGATGTCACGGGATCTGAAGCACAATTGCAGTACTCTGGTTAAATGGGAGTTTACAGAGGCCAGGTAGAGTTTGACCCAAGTCCATTTCACAGTGCATCCAAGTATATTTGGACCTAACCTGTGGCTATTTCCCTGGTCCTCACGTGCAGTATGCAAAGAGAAATACTTAGCAGCTGGCAGAACCCATACATTATGGTCTGTGGAATAAAAGCTATTAGGGCACCAAGAGCCAGTAGCAGACCCAGAAACCACACTCCCATCCTGAGGAAAATTATAAATCAGAGGTAATGTTATATCACAGTAAGAAATGCTGAGATTAGTATCACTATCAAAGATGTAGAGGATGTAGGGGTGATGGCCCACATCATATTTCTATTTAATTCACCTGTATGTACCCTACAAAAATGAAATGGATCGTGGTAGATGACAGTACATTACTATAAATTTATCCAATTGGCAGTCCCGATCACAGCTTCACAGCTGCTATATTATACCATCTGCCACAGAAGCTGCTATTGGAGCTACCACTAAGTTAAGTGACAGTAGATTAACACAGGCTTTGGCACTTGTTATAAGACTACTGATCTTGCATATAAATTTTTTCTCCAATTCTCTTTAATAAAGAGAATCAAGTTCTGTGTTTATTCACATGGTAAAAACAACGGCACCCATTTACTCTCAAGTCCAGGGATATGCAAACTGTCCTGCTCTCTTTCACAATAGAAAATGCAGATATCTTGATTATCTTGCCAATCTCTAGAATATAACACTAGATCAGTAAACTGATAACATCATGACAATCGGACTTGGTGAGCAGGACACGAGAAGTATAGTAGTTGTCAGAGGTGTCAGAGGATTAGAGATAAGCCTTATGAAGAGTCAAGGAATGGCCACAGTTTTGGAGGTCCAGTGGTCAGTAACATGGCACAACATCCCTTGTAAGACTAAGGATAAATTTTTGCACTTTACAGCTGACACTTAACTGAAAGATACACAGTGTTTAATAGTCCTCTTTTGATTTTGGAGGTGGACTGAACATGATGTCACTACTCTGACTCATCTATTATTTGGTGACTTGGAAGCTGTTAATTTTGAGAGATGCCTAATGGGAGAGAGTTCTGCAGAAGATCCAGCCTGAGGCGTCTAGCCACTTAGGACTTATAACAGAGCAGACTGGCTTGAGGTAGAGATATGTATGGAGACAGGTTGCTATGAGTTTGAGAAGTTTCTAGGTTTTAGAGAAAGATAATTCTTTCTCTGTAAAAGAACTATTCTCAATTTGAATAAACATTCCTGTCATTATACTGTATTCTACTAGAAACGGATGGCCTGACTACGGGATGCTAAGTGACTATGCCACTGGGGTTTAATTTTCTGAACTGAGTATAATCAGATCCATCATTTTTTATGTTGGGTATATGCAGAAATGATATTTGAGTTTCAGCCTGAGCATATCCAGAATACACTGGTAAATCACACAGTTGTGTGGCCTAGACATCCACATTACTTACCTCTTCTGTACAGACACTCCTATCTCAGCTTACACCTTTGGCCTCAAGTGGTACTCCCAATAGTCAACCAACCTAGAAGAAAAGAACTTAGGCTAGTGCAAAGGCAGACTGATATGATATGTTAATGCAAAAGCAAACAAGACTGATGCCAATCCTTATGCTGGTGGACCAGCAAGCAAAGAAAGAAGTTACAATGTCAGTGGGAGTAATCAATCCTAATTACTAGGATAGTCTACAGCTGTTACATAATGAGGACCCAGAGGGTGTTGTCTAGAACCCACTGAATTTATGAACTTTTATGCCCATGGTAACCGTAAATGGATAACTACAGCAACAATGGTTAGAAAAGGTGTTTGTTTATATATTTCTCTGTAAAATTTAGTGGATTAAGATTAAAACAATACATTGTTTTGTTTATAATGTATAATTTGTGCAGAGCTCAGCAGGAACATCTTATCTTTGCTATATAAATTGTCTGTGGCCTCAACTGGAATGACTTGAAGGTATGGGGGCTGGAGAATTTGGGGACTGCCCATGCATCTCTTTCTCTTTATGTGGTCTCAGGCACTCATATGATTCAGGGCCTCTGAATAGGGTCTCTCTAGCATATTATCCTCAAGGTAGATGGATGTCTTATGCAGTAGCCCAGAGAACCAGGAGTGTGTCTTCCAAGAGACCAAGGTGTAAGTTGCAACGCCTTTCATAACCCAGCCTCTGAAGTCATACATGATCACATCTGCTATATTCTGTCAGTCACACAGGGACAGATATTATTTAATGCATGAGGGCACTACACCAGAGCTTCAATACTGGGAGATGTGCATCACTGGGGGTCCATCTGTAATATGGCTGCCACACAAGGAAATGGACACTAAATGGTAAAGTTCTGACTCATAACGTGTAAAGTTCTGAGACTCCCTGCCAAGCAAGCCACTCAGACCAGCCAACAGGATGGCCAAGGGTAGAACAAATGTAAAATGGGTGATGAAGGAGAAAGGTGTTGAATATCAGTCTCGGTTTGGGCACTAGTCACAGAAGTGGGTGCCTTTGTTTGTTTCACTTAACCATCTTCCCTTAAAGCCGTTTAGTGCTTGAATCTGGCAACCATTATGAGGCTGACTCTGACTGATTGGTCTTTTACATCCTTTCTTGGGGAAAAAATGAAGAGATGCTATAATAAAGACCATTTTCCTGAATCACTGTAAAATAAAACTGGAAATGAATTGTTAATATAACAATGTATATAGAGAGTAATAAATGTAAAAATAATTTAAATGATAAAATTTGGCAATGGAAATTATGAAATATTTAGAAAGGAATAACTGAAGGCACCACATATCAAATCTTGTGGGGTGCACTTAAATGGATTAATTAGAGACACATCATCTTAATTGCATTTATTAAATTATAAGACAGATTTTAAATTAATGAACTCAAATCTAGGATAAAATAGAACAAGCCTCAAGAAAATAGAAGAAAGTAAAAAAGTGAGCATGAATACAAACAAAACAAAAAAACAATAGATATAGTTAATAAAATAACCATCACAAAATTTTTTGAGAAACATAAATTAAGTAGACAAACTTCAATAATTTTTATAAAGTTGTAAAGGTACAAATAAACATTAGAACACAAAAGATGATATCTCTGTAATTACTGTAAAGATTTACACAAATAAAATATCACACATAATATTTTGCTAATAATTTGAAAGCAGATAAAATGGGCAAAATCCTACAAAATTATATACTAGTAAAACCAATTCAAGGAGAAATAGAAAATCTTAATATACTTAAAACAGTTTAATAAATTGACTTTTTAAAGTCAAAACTCTTAGCCTTCAATGAAGAAAGTCAATACAGATTTCTCCCCACACCTCCTTCCTTACAAAGATTTCAAATACACAAAATGAAATCAAATACATTTCTTGATGCTTACCTTGCTAAATTCCATGTCATATACAAGGTCTTTTATTGTCCTCATGTTCATTTCTTTAAAATTACTTTTCTTTTGTATGCCTATTCAATTTCCATCTTCTTCCCATTTACATGCATCTAGTATTTTGTGTTTAATGTGTGTCCTCTCTTTTGATCTTTAATCATGTCTTCTGCTGAGTCCATTTGATTTATCTTAAATGTTCTAATAATCTATACATATGTATAAAAATGTATAAACTACTCTTTCTAATATTTTTGTCAATTTTTCCCCCATGTTACACACTGTTATCCCAAAGGTCTTACCTGATAACTCCAATATCTGGATAATCTTGAGTTCTACTTCTCTCGACTATTTTTAAACACTCTTCCTCTTACATTTTCTTATTTCTTTGCATATCTGGACATTGTATATAATTTATATGGAGGTTCTATTAACTTTGCCAAAACATGAGTTTTGTCCTGGCAGGCAGTTAAATTACCTGTGAAGCCCTTGAATCTTTAAAACTTGCTGTTAGATTTTGTTAGGACTGATCTATTTCAATTGTATTTCTACTTCTAGGATATAGCCGCTATTCCTAGAATATGTTCTTAATCTTAGATGTGGACTTTCTTGGATTTTAGATAAATATATGGTTTCTTCACTGAAGTCTCTCTACTCTGCCTGGGCCTACACTCCAATCTCTCCAAACTGCTACTCTACCTCTGAAATCGGTGTTCATC
Organism: Homo sapiens; assembly: GCF_000001405.40. Lineage (NCBI taxonomy): Eukaryota > Metazoa > Chordata > Mammalia > Primates > Hominidae > Homo > Homo sapiens. The sequence goes on from NC_000007.14 coordinate 79,482,243, forward strand.
TCTTAGCCTCCTAGAAGTTGGTCTTTGCTATCCCTCCCAGAGCCTCATTCTATGGATACTCATCCATGGAAGCTTAGCTTAGAAGTTGGCCAAGAACTGGAGAGAAAAAAGTTATATAAACCTCTTGGGCAACCTTTGCTAGATTAGTTCCTAGGCAATTGGTAGTTTTTGTTGTTATCATAAAGTGGATCTGTTTTCCGTTTCTTTTTTTTTTTTTAGTTACTTATTGCATTGAAGAGAACTTGTTGAATATACTTAAAGAATGATTTATTGAGCTGGAAGATAAGGTTGAAAAAGTCTTTCAAAAAGCATTAGCAGGAAATAAAGAGATAGAAAGAATAAAAAAGAAGTCAAAAGATATGGAGAATAATAATAGAAATTGCAGTGCCCATCTAGGATGAAAGGCAAGGTATACATGTAGAGAAAATATTTAAAGAAAAAAATTAATGATAAGTTGTTAAAATTAATGAAAGATGTAAGACTTAATACTAAAAGGGCACATCAAGAACTGAATAGGAGAGATAAGTACAAAAAAATCCTCATTTAGACTTATTATAGTGACATTTAAGATTATTGAAGACAAGGAGAAACTCTCAAGATTTTCAAAGAGAATAATTAGATTATCCACAGGAAACTAAAATTCAGTACCTATTAGACTCGACAACAACAACACTGAATGCAATAAAGTTTTCAAGGAAAAGAATTTAAACCTGATATTGCATTCAGTTAAGCTATCATTTCAATGTTCAAGCAAATATAATATTAGTTTTCAGAGAGTCTAGCAACATGAAGAATCTCTGAAAGAATTCTGAGAGGTTTAGCTTTTGAAAGGAAGCAATTGATTTTGTAAGCAAGAAATTGTTATGGAAGGGAAGAACATGTAAAAAGCAGAATAGAATTTATCCAAATAAACAATAATTTAATCGTTTGTGTAAGGATAAAAGTACAATACTAATACTTCAACTGATACTAATGTTGTGAAAGTTTTGGGGAGAAGAGAGAAAGGTGGGGAAGGAATTGTGTTAACACTTGGTTCTGTTCAGGGGGAAAACACAGCTATCTATAAGGTTGCAGATATGATATGGAAACATAAACAAGATATTAATCTGTTTTATTTTCCAATGCTTAAAGCATTTCCTGGGATATAGTCAATGATCAAATAATATTTGTTAAAATAATCTTAATAAATTAATAATTACTACCAAAATAATAAAGATAGAATGCATATAGTTCAATTCATAAGAATCATCTTATTAAAATCAGGGAGACAGGAAACATAACATTTTGAAAATTAGAGTAGAAAAAAACACAAACTAGAAGGACAAACAACTTTTAATGCAATTGTAATAAAAAATAATTTATGGTAAACTGACTAAAGTAGATAAAACTTACTAGGGGAGGGGGGAGGGATAGCATTGGGAGATATACCTAATGCTAGATGACGAGTTAGTGGGTGCAGCGCACCAGCATGGCACATGTATACATTTGTAACTAACCTGCACAATGTGCACATGTACCCTAAAACTTAAAGTATAATAATAAAAAAAAAACTTACTAATCAAAAGATAAGAACTCTCAGATTGTATTTAAAAGAAGAACTACTGGCCGGTTGCGGTGGCTCACTCCTGTAATCCCAGCATTTTGGGAGGCCAAGGCAAGTGGATTGCGTGAGCCCAGTAGTTGGAGACCAGCCTGGACAATGTGGCAAAACCTCATCTCTAAAAAAACAAACAAACAAAAAATTAGCTAGGGGTGGTGGGGCACACCTGTAATCCCAGTAACTCGGGATGCTGAGGTGAGATAATCGTCTGAGCCTGGGAATCAGAGGTTTCAGTGAGTCAAGATCATGCCACTGCACTCTGTTTAAAAGATACACACACAAAACATAAGACACAGAAAACTTGATCATGGGGGCATGGCAAAGTATATCTGGAACATATCAAATGGAAATTTTAATATCAGAAAAAAGTGAAGGCCAAAATGAGATTTATGACTGAAAATGAATGTTACATATGTAGAAAGCAAATGTGAACCAAGAAGATTGTAATAGTCAATAATAATTAATAACTATTGCATTAAACATTAAATGATCAAAAAGAAAAAAATACAGGATCTTTCAGCTGATGCTGAAAAAATGTTCAATACAATTTTTCACACAGTTAAGGCAAAAATTTTTAGCAAATGAGGAAAAAGAGAGGCACTTCTTTAATAAAAAGGGAGCTATCTACTGTATAATAAGTGTCATATTTAATAATGGCCTTTCAAATTCATTCCTTTTCTGGTGGACGTCAAGACAAAGACGCCTGCAATCACTACTATAGTTCAACACAGATCTGAGGTCCTGGCCGAGACATTGAAACAAGAAAAATAAGTAAAGATAATAGGAACAAGAGGCAAAATGCCATGATATGAATATCCTAATGTAATGCTGAAAACAATTTATAAACAAATTACTGGAATTAATATGAAAAATTAATCACTTTAAGAGCAGAGAAATAATATAATAAACACTCATGTAATCACCACTCTAAAAGTGAAAATTTGTCAAATTTGTTTCATGTTCCTCTTTTTAAGTAAAACTGATACATTTATAAGAACATTTATTGCAGCATTGTATATAAGAACAAACAACTGGTAAAATCTATTTTACATTAAAAACATTAACGTTGAATGAGCAATAATCACCTACACTTTCTGCTCTGTGAAAATTTTCAATTAACTCAATCCAGATTTTTTCCCCAAAGTCCTTCTAGATAACATCCAATACTTCAGGCATAAATATATATTTCTTTTTTTAAATTTTATTATTATTATACTTTAAGTTTTAGGGTATTAACTCATCATTTAGCATTAGGTATATCTCCTAATGCTATCCCTCCTCCCTCCCCCTACCCCACAACAGTCCCAGGTGTGTGATGTTCCCCTTCCTGTGTCCACGTGTTCTCATTGTTCAATTCCCACATTTCTAATATTCAAAGTTTCAAGACAGACTCTTACCTTAAAATCAGGAGTTGATTTATTAAGACTAATTGAGGAGTGTATTGAATGGAAACTAATGAGCTACAGATACGTCTTCCTTTAGGAAAACAAAAACAAAAAAAAAACTTGGTTTGAAAAAGCTGATTTATAGTCTTAAAAAATCAATATTGTAAAACATTAAAATTCCACGCTCCTACCCCTGGTCAGGATTTTTTATCCTCCTTCTCTAACAAATTTCGCAGTTTTTTTTTTTGTTTTTTGTTTTTTGTTTGTTTTTTTTTTTTGAGACAGAGTCTCGCTCTGTCTTGCTCTGTCGCCACGCTGCAGTGCAGTGGCGTGAGCTCGGCTCACTGCAACCTCTGCGTCCCGGGTTCAAGCTATTCTCTGCCTCAGCCCCCCAAGTAGCTGGGACTAAAGGGGGCGTCACTATACCCAGCTAATTTTTGTATTTTTAATAGAGACAGGGTTTCATCTTGTTCGCCAGGATGCTACCAATCTCTTGACCTCGATTTCACATATTTTAAATATGGGTTTTAAACAAAAACTCAGATCACTTGGAACCGTTTAAAAATGTAGCCGGCCATTCTATATAAATGATATAAATATGAGAAAATAGACACAGTAAAGTCTAGATCAGTGTTGCTCAGTGGAAATAATGTTAACCATAAATGTGAGCCACATATGTAACTTAAATTTTTCTAGCAGATGTATTACAAAGTAAAAAGAAACAAAATTAAATCTAATAATATATTTCAATCCAGTCCATCAAAATATTAGTCTTTTAACCTGTAATCAATATAAAATTACTATTGAGATATTTCACATTCTTTTTTAATACCAATTTTTTCAAATCTAGTATGTATTCTACACTTTCAAGACTATCTCAAGTCATACTATTCACCTTTCCAGTTCTCAATAGCCACACATGGCTAGTGGCTGCCATATTAAAAAGCACAGTTTCAAAGAATGTATTGATTAATATAATGAATATGCTATGCTAATCTAAAGAAAGCAGGCACCATTATTTAGGAGTTTTAGAATGTGCTAAATACTGTGCTAAGCAATTTATGGATGATCTCATTTAACGCATCAAAAACCTATGGAGCTAATACTGATATTACTCAAATTGTCTTCATTATATAGTTGAGAAACTTGAGATTCAAAAGATATCCCAATGTACTACATATAAAATGGAGCAAAGCTGAAGATTGTGCCTGGATTGGCTGCTTCCTTAGTTTATATTGCTACTTATTTATACTGGCTATAGTCTGGTTGATGGTTGGCACAAGGGTGATGGCAATGGAGGGGAAAGAAGTAGACTGCTTTGAGAAATATTCAAATGATGAAAGAAGCAGGACTTGGAAATGGGTTACACATGCAGGTTGAGGTACAGGAAAATATCAAGGATGATGCTTAGGTGTTTGGCTTATGCAGATGATCAGATTGTATGACTTTTTTTTTTCTTTTTAAATAAGCTTTCACAGGTTGAAAGATTGTATGACTATTGTTGAGATAAGAACTACCTATTGGGTCAGGCTCACTACTTGGGTAACAGGATCATTACCCTGAACATGCTTCAGCATCACACAATATACTCAAGAAATTTGCACATGTAACCCCTGAATCTAAAATAAAAGTTGAGATTGTTTTTCTAAAAAGAAACACTGGAGGGATCAGCTTTTGAGATAAGAACCTCAGTATTCCATACGTCACATTCTGAATATTCCTGCGATGGTTTTAGTTACATTAAGCCTCTGCTAGGAAATGTGATTGCAAAATGATCGTTGGCTTTTATTGGCTTTTACAGTGACCAGGAGAAAAAATAAGGAGAAAAATATTGTACCAGGATAAAAATAAAAAAAAAATCTTCTATGATGACTCCCTTTCACAACTAGGATTCAAAACTATATGAATGAGAAAATAATTTACAATTTATTTGGTGTGAAATCTTTTAGAAATGAGTAAAATCTATGTTAAAAGCTCAGTAATATGAAGCTTAATGCTATGATTTATTTGTACTAAACTCCTATAAACACTATGGACTAGAGCTAGGGACACTAGTTTATTCCACTGTTGTTAAAAATGCAATTATTTACAGCTCTCTGAAGTTTCTTCAGCCTAACCACTTCATTTCAATTGAAGGTTTTTGTGATTATTTGCCCCATAAATTTGAATCCCTCAATAATGAGATTGAATTACAATCTTCATATTTGTCTTGTAAGATAAGGGAAACCATCCTCTGCATCTGAAAACAGGTGAGGGATAATATCTGGGAGAGAAGGCTTGAGGGATTTGTGGAGTGTGAAAAGTTCTGGACTAGTTGCTGTGGGGAATAGCACAGGGAGGGGATGCAATATGGTCAGGGAGGGGACACAAAATGGTTAAGGGGCTTGTGAAGCTGTGGTCAGGGCTAAAACTGTCCATAAGAACAAATATAAGAAAGAAATCATCAACTATACACAAGTCCCAAAATGTAAAGAGTAAAATAAAGTTAGTTTCCCAGGTAGCGAGAGACAGGAGGAGACAGAACCTCATAGGTCTTATAATTCCCTTTATGTTCCCTGAGGGTATGATATTACATCATTTCAGAAAAATCAAATAAAAAGGTTTTATTACTCAAATTTGCTTTGGCAGAATTTGCCCTAAGAATGATATTTACCTAACCTCTTTCATGAATAGGGGACTCTGTTTTGTATTTGTAGCCCTCCATCCATCTGTTTGTCATGTCTATTGCTTGTTTCTTAGGGCAGTGGTCACTGTACTGAAATTTAGTCCAATATGAGGCACCATTTTAGTTCAGTGACTACATGAATAGTGCCAAGGACTGAACAGTGAGGCATCAGGGACCCCCAGCTCAAACTGTAGTGTGATGCTGGGACCTTTTATGCTTCCTGCTGAATCAGAGTAGATTTTAACAATTGTCCCAGAGACTAAAGTAATCAAAGAAGTGCTTTAAAAAAATCACCTGAGACCAGGACATAGGATGAAGTAAGCCAATTAAGAGACTCCTTATAATAACCAAGTTATGAGGTAAAAAGTGTTTAAACTCAAGTAGTAGTGATGAGAACGTAAAGCTATATCAGTAAAAAATAGTTATGTTAGAAGAAGAATCAGGAAAAAACTGACTTATTTAATCAGGATATTAGGAATCAGGAAAAAAGTCAAAGGTAATGCCATTTGAACCTACTGTGTAATAATCATGGTACCATTAGTAGGAGAACGTGGGTGTGATGTGCACAGAAAGGTGTTGAAGTATTGTAAATGAATTCAGACACTTTGCTATTGAATCTCTTTTTAGTTCCCTGTGGGTTTTCCTTTTGCGTTGTAATGGCAAAAGACATACAATAGATATAATATGGGTACTCTATATTTGCCACCATAGTAGTGGGAGAAATGCCAGGCACAGGTAGTGTCCAAGATGTATTAAGCTTTCAGGTTGTATGTATTCATTTTTATTACCACCCAAACTCTTCCCCATATGATCTCACTCTCTAACCTTTAATACACATTTTAACTCCACAAGGATAACAAAACTGTATGTAGTTTTTTTACAGTCCTTATATATTATAATATTATATATTTCATATATATATGAAATCTCCTAGTATCTCAGTGACTAACACATACTCTTTTTTTTAATAGAGAAATCTATTTATTTGAATCCATGCAATCAAGTTTTACCAAAGAATCTAACCGAAAAATATTCTTGTGCATATCGAACTCCTTTCATGGAACTTATCAGTTCCTGCCCTGCATCATGTCTTTCTAAATTTTGTACCTCCCTATATATATAGAAACCCACATCTATGTCTTTTCACTGCCTACGTTTCTGATCAATGCAACCCAACATCCATAGTAATAGTTAGCTGGCATCTGTAATGTCAGAATGAAATTAGAATACAGAAGTCAAAGAGACAGTTTTGGGACTCATTTACATAATGATCTTAGTCTCTGGAGAAGACGATGAACAGAGAAGAGAGAATTTAAGTCCAAAGAGCAAAAGAAGGAAATCAAGGACAGATCCTTGAAGAACACCCACCTTTTGTGGCATTAGTTAAGAAGACCCTTGTGAAGCAGACAGAGAAGAAAAAGGATCAACGAATTAACAGCATTTTCAAAATATTCCAATGCTAAACAAAGACAAATGCTTCAAAAACAGAGCAATGTAATATACAATCTTCTCTTTCTGGAAATGGAAGAGAGATAGGTCTTCAGAAAGACAATGGGTAACTTCTGATAAAGCATTGTTAGAGTTTTAGTGGAGTATTGTGGGAGCACAGTGGCAGGGGTTAAGAGATGAGTGGTTAGTAAATAATTAGAGACATCTGCTCCACATTGTGTAAACCTCAGAGATCAATGGTAGAAACCACACAGACCACTTTAGTGTCCTCTTTTATCACAGAGAATAATTTGATACCCTTCATACACCATTAGTCAGGAAACTGGGTTCAATTTTATTACTATTGATCTATTCTACAAGCTAAGACAAGCTATTTTAACTATTTTCACCTTCTTAACTAAATTTTCCCACTAATTACCTAGAGGAAATGAAATTAGGATGATGTTTATATGCAACTGAGAGACAAGGTATTCAGCTGCCATTTAGTGGTTAGCGTTTTCATTAAATTTATAAGTAAATATGATTTTATAATTTCATGATACTTTTATATAAATATTAACCCTGTCCCTTAATTCCACACAAAATCACCAAAAGGCTATATGTAAGTACCCAATTTTACTGAATTCCTGGTGGTTTATTAAAGGGAACCACACTGTAGGAAGAAGATTATCAGAAACTAAATATTACCTTATCCACAGTTTCCAAAGAGTTTACAGCTTCACAGGAGGTCTCCTCACAGGCAAATATTGGATTTAGAAACATTATTTCTCTATCTTGAAATAATCTGTTTAATCTCTGTTCTCTCAAATGAAGAGACTGGAAAGGGATGCATCAAGAAGCAATAGTGTCTATGAGTAAAGGAAGAAATTCTCTGCATGCCAAGGAATCTAAGTGGGTGTTTAGAGGACCAGGAAACTGAAGAACTCTCTGAAATCCTAGTTAACAGGATCTTCAGTTCAAAAGACAGTAACCATTCTAAATAACCTAATAGACCAATCCCTTATAGAGTCATTCACACTGTGCAGTCTGTCCAGATAGTTCCATTTATTGTAAAATGTGCTTTTTATGGAAGCATGCTTTCCTAGCTTTAGAAAACAGTCACCAACTCTTGTTGTCAAAGGAATTTCAATTTACCTGTTAATTTAATTTCATGTATTTAGCACCCGAGACATAGGCTTCTTCATTTCTCTGTTCTCCTCTCCCAGGTCTATAATGGTACATAAAACTCAAACCCTAGTTTGATTTGTGAAACTAGTAAGTTATAGAGAAGTTGCTAATTGTAGCTTATATGTACATTCAAAAATTCTTACCCACTGAACAAACTAAATATTGATCTGTTAAGTATGGATAAGAATTTGTTTAAAGCCTAAGTTTTTTTTTTCTTTTTGGAATGAGCATTTCTAAAAAGATGCCATCATTTTTAATGGTAGGAAGAAGAATGATGAAAACAAATTCAGTAGCAGAAATTAAAAATAAGGGACAAGAAAAATTTATAACAAGAGGTACAGAATCAAAAACAGTTTTTCAAAGAAGATGTATTAATAGGGATTAGGGTCAGATAATTCAAGCAATCTTAAGTGAGATTAATATATCACAATTGTGGAGATATACTTTATGTCAAATTAGATTGTAGGACTTGTCTCTGCTAATTAGTGATCATCCATGACCTCTCTGTTATACACTGGTTGCAGGGTTTTAGCTAAAATTTAATAAAGTCTTATATTTTGAGTCAAAGTCATTTGATAGACAGAAATTCCCTGATACTTGAAAAATAAATTAAGGATGATGTATGCCTTCAATAAACAGATAATCATATACTGAAGGGAAATGTGCCTATGACCTTGTCAGAGGCCAAAGTTGGCTATGGGTGGAATCACCAAAAACAAAGCGAAACAAAAACCCAAAAAACCTAACAAAGAGCATATCACTGTTGGGTTCACCACGTCCACAGAATGTTCATTGTCCTTTGCCTCAACATGTTGCACATGTTATGGTAGATCACTTGATGTCTATTCTAAATCCATTCTCTCTTCTTTCCTTTTAACAACTCAGTATATTATATATTACAGGTATGCTATATATTATATAGACCTATATGTAATATATGACCTTTCATTGACAGGGGGAGTAGGAGTACTGACTTTTGAACAGTAAAAAACCTGCATATAACTATTGACTCCCCCAAAATTTAACTACTAATAGGCTAGTTGACCAGAAGCCTTACTGATAACATTAAGCAATCAACACAGATTTTGTATGTTATATGTATTATTTATTGTATTCTTACAATAAAATAAGAGAGAAAAAAGAAAATGCTATTAAGAAAGCTGTAAGAAAGAGAAAATGTATATACTATTCATGAGCTGGAAGTGGGTCAGGAGAATGGTCTCCATCTTCCTTGTCTTCACACTGAGTAGGCTGAGGGGGAAGAGGATGAGGGGGAGCTGCTCTCACTGTCTCAGGGGTGGCAGAGGTGGAAAAGGTGGAGGAAGGGGAAGGAGAAGCAGGTGGAGCAGGCACACTCAGTGTAACTTTACTAAAATACATGGTAATTTCTGACTTTTTTTCCTTGTCATTTTTCTAAAATTGTTTCTATATGGTACCAATCCTTCTTCCACCTTTTGCTTTTGTGTCAGTGCCCATATCATAGGAGAGTCCATGTTATAAAAGCAGTTAAAAAGTAGTCTTGAATAATGAGAATCCTTCTGATGATTTTCTAATGTTAATTTGTTTTCGAATACTGCTTCTTCTATGTCTTCTTCCTCATCATTTGGCACTGGTTTGGAAGCACTCTCTCCATCATGGAGTCTTCTGTTAATTCCTCTGGCATGGTGTCTGATATGGTTTGGATGTGTGACCCTACCCAAATCTCATGTTGAATTGTAATCCTTAATGTTGTAGAAGGGGCCTGGTGAAAGGTGAATGGATCATGGAGGTGGACTTCTCCCTTGCTGCTCTGGTGATAGTGAATGAGTTCTCATAAGATCTGGTTGTTTAAAAGTGTAGCATCTCCCCCTGCTCTCTTCCTCCTTCTCTGGTCATGTTAGAGGTACCTACTTCCCCTTCACTTTCTGCCATGATTATAAGTTTCCTGAGGCCTCCAAGCCATGCTTCCTGTACAGCCTGCAAAACTGTAAGTCAATTAAAACTCTTTTCTTTTTAAATTACCCAGTCGCAGGTAGTTCTTTATAGCAATGCCAGAACAGACTAACACAGTGTCTATCAGCTCTTAAAATTTTCTGAAATCTTTATCTTGAAAACCTTCTCCCCTCACCTTTTATTTTGGGTGATGGACATATCCACAATCTCTTTTGTGATTTTCTTGATTGGCTCTCTTGTAAATCCTGTGAAGTCAGGCACAACAACTGAACAGTTTTCTCTAGCAAGAATGTATTGCTTTGGCCTTAATGGCTTTCATGGATTTTCCTGTAACAACAAATGCCTCTTCAATGGTGTAGTCCTTCCAGACATTCATAATACTCTCTCCATCAGAGTTTCTTGACAATCTTTTCCATGGGGTACTGTGTGTAATGAGCCTTAAAGGCCCCTATGCTCCCTAATCTAAAGGCAGCGTTAGAGACATTGTGTTTGGGTGCAAGTAGACCACTTTAATGTTTTAGGTGTTGAATTCATGGGGTTCTGGGTGGCCAGGGGCATTGATTAATATCAAAAGAACTTCAAAACGCAGTCCCTTACCGGTAAGGTACTTCCTGACTTCAGGGACAAAGCATAGATGCAGCCAATCCAGAAAAAGCGTTCATATTGTCCAGGACTTCTTTTTGTACAACCAAAAGACTGGCAGCTGGTGTTTAGCTTTTTCTTTCAAGGCTCAAGGGTTAGCAGCTTTATAGATAGAAGCAGTCTGGATCATAAACAGGACTGGAGGTGGGAGAAGGAGGGAAATGCCTCATTTAGTAGCCTATACCCTACTGGAGTTACTTTACACCCTTTACATTACTTGTAAAAGCTGTATCTAGAAGACGGGATACATGACACAATGTTCAGATATGGGTACAAAATAGTACTAAAAGAAGTCAAATACTACATTTTCTACTTATAAAAAAGGAGTTGGCTCTGGGCAGCCAATAGGTAACAAGAAGGCATTTTGTTCCAAAGATAAGGCATAGACTATATGTTTGTGTCCTCACAAAATTTTTGGGTTCAAATGATTTTTGGAGATAGGGCCTTAGATCATGAGGGTGGAGCAGTCATGATGTGATTTGTTCTCTTATAAGAGGATACATGAGAGTTCTTCCTTCATCCCCCCCCCTTCTCTCTCTCTCCATCCCCTCTTCTCTCTCTCTCCTCTCTCTCTCTCTCCTCTCTCTCTCTCTCTTTCTCCCTCTCTCTCCCTCTCTCTCTGCTATATCAGAATACAAGGAGAAGATGGCCTTCTGCAGATCAGGAAGAGAGCCCTCCTCAAACAGTAAATCTGCTGGCACTTTGATCTTGGACTTTTTACCTGGAGAACTGTGAGAAATAAATGTTGTTTAAGCCATTCAGCCTATGGTATTGTGTTATAGCAGCCTAAATAAGACAGAAGGGGAAGGAGAAATGGAGGAAACAGTGAATGGGGTACTCAAAGGAAGATAAAACTGAAAAATAATATTTTTTAATTTTTTGCACAGGTTCCCTTTTTGAGTGCTTCGTTAACATCTTGGAATTCCATAGTAGCGCACACGTAATCTGCCTTTTATTCCCTTTAAAATTTAGTGTGTTAAAAAGCATGAATTATCTATAAGCCTTTACAGGAAAGAGAATTTTTTTTTTCACAACACATAAGTGTGAAGATATCTAGCATTTGTGGTTGGGGTGTCATTTTTAACTGATAACATTCTGCTTTGTCATAGAGTTCCAACAGGAATGCACTAACTACATTACTTTGCTAATCTTAGCATTTGCTTCATATGGTTCTGTGTCAAATTTATTACTTTAATGTTGGTTTAGGACATACGACAATATTTACAATAATAAGCACTAAGAATAGTTTGTGTCCACAGACTACTGCAAGCCTTTGTGGGAGAGAGTGAGAATGGGGATAAGGGAGGTAAGAGATACCATGCTATATTTCAATAGAAATTACCGTCACTTCAGGGATTATTACTAAGTAAAGGAATTACAACAATATTTATTCATGCTTCTTTTTTATATTAAGGAAAAGCAGGATGATTATGAGGAAAGCTTTTATTTATAAAATTTTCACACAGGTTACTTATGAAAATCGCTCTACTTTTTAACCTTAGTTTCTTATATGAATATATGTTCTTTAGTCCATTTGAAATGTTTAATCAAATTAATCCTTTAATCTTTTACTGTTTTACTGAATCCAAATGCACAAAAAAAGCTAATCTTAACATATCTTCTCATGTTGTTTTTTCTGTTCATGATCATTTCCCTATATCACTAAAAACTGTTAAAAAAAAAAAACCTTTGGTAAGCAGCATACCATTTGCATACACAGATATTTGTGCAATTAAGCATTCCCTTTTGTACTATATATGTATGTTACAATTGGAATAGGTTCTGGATAGGGACTTAGTATACAAATGTTTTACGAATGTAGCCTTTAGGGCTACATGGCCACGTTCTCATCTCACCCTCAGTCAGTTCTTAGATACGTGAAGTTGGGCATATTACTTATTTCTTTGTATCTCAGTTTTGTCATCAGTAAAATGGGGATAATAATAGTATATACATTGGAGAATGTTTTGAGGATTATATGAATGAATATATGTAAAGAATTCAGAACATAAGTATTTTATCAACATTTGTTCTTATTATTCCCCTAAATACAGGCTAGAGAAGGAATTGTCCTTTGATCTACAGAACCTTAATATCATCTACACTCATGAGTTAATTAATTGGTAAGGTCACATGTTTATACACTTTGAAAGAATTTTTATAGAATAAAAATTGTGGTTCCATGGAAGCTTAAATGGACATTCCAGAAAAACTGTTCTACAAATTACAACTTTCTAGGAAGAAAACCTATTTTTTTCCAATTTGGTTCATAATCATTTGTCTATCTAGCTCTATTCTTCTTCTTTTTTTTTAATCAACAAAAAATTGTATATATTTAGAGCATACTTGTCCAATTCATGGCCCATGAGCTGCATGCGGCCCAGGACAGCTTTGAATGTGGCCCAAAACAAATTCCTACATTTCTTAAAACCTGACATTTTTTGGTAACTTTTTTAAGCTCAACAGCTATCATTAGTGGTTAGTGTTAGTGTGTTTTATGTGTAGCCCAAGACAATTCTTCCAGTGTGGCGCAGGGACGCCAAAAGATTGGAAACCCTTGATTTATGGTGTAAAACATGATGTTTTGATATATACGTATATACGTTGTGGAATGACTAAACCAAACCATTTAACATGTGGATTACCTCACATACTTAACATTTTTCTGTGGTGAGAACAAAAATTGTACTCTCTTAACAATGTTCCAGCATGCCATATATTGCTATTAACTACAGTCATTATGAAGTACAATACATCTCTTGAACTTATTCCTCCTAAGTAAAACTTTGTGTCCTTTGACCAACATTTCCCAAACCTCTCCACCCTCCAGCCTTTGAATACCACCATTTTACTCTCTGTTTCTATGAGTCCAACTTTTTTTACATTCCACATGTATGTAAGCAGTATTTGTCTTTCTGTGCCTGGCTTATTTCACTTACCATAATGTCTTTCAGTTTCATCCATGTTATCACAAATAACAGGATTTCATTCTGTTTGTGGCTGAGTAACATTCCATTGTGTATATGTACACTACATTTTTTGACTCATTCATCTGTTGATAGACACAGACTGACTCCATATCGTGGCTATTGTGAACAATGCTGCAATGAACATGTGAGTGCAGATATCTCTTTGACATACTGATTTCATATCCTTTGATATATGCCGTAGTTAAATTGCTAGATCATAGAGTAATTCTATTTTTAATTTTTTGAGGAACATCCATACTGTTTTCTATAATGGCTGTACTAATTTGCATTCCTACCAACAGTGTGTGAGAGTCCCCTTTTCTCTACATCCTCACCAGAATTTATCTTTTATCTTTTTGATAATACCCACTTTAACAGGTGAGAGGTGATATCTCATCATGGTTTTAATTTGCATTTTCCTGGTGATTAGTGATAAGCATTTTTTCATTAACTAGATCTATTATTCTTTCTCAGATAACTTTTGGCCATTTAATTTTTCTCCAGAAAGTTGTGCACTTCATCAGTGTTTTGGTTTTATAGAAATACTATAATAAAGCATCACAAGCTGAGTGGCTTAAACAACAGAAATGTTTTGACTCCCAATACTGGAGGCTAGAAGTCTAAAATCAGTATTTTGGCAGGGTTGGTTCTTTCTGAGTGCTGTGAGGGAAGAATTTCTTCAAATTTCTCTCCTCAGCTTATAGATGAGCAATCTTCTCCCTATTCTCTTAACATCATCTTCCCTGTCTGCTTCCCTGTCTTCACATGGTGTTTCATATATAAGGCCAATACCATTAGGGGCCCACCCTACTCTGTATGAACTCATCTTAACCAATTACATTTACAATGATCCTATTTCTAAATAAGATCTCATTCTGAAGTTCTGGGAGTTTAGACTTTAACAAAATAATTTTGAGGTGACACAATTCAACCCATATCAATCAGCACCTAAAAAGTAACAATAGCGGCCGGGCGCGAAGACTCACGCCTGTTAATTCCAGCACTTTTGGAGACAGAGGCGGGCGGATCACGAGGTCAGGAGACAGAGACGATTCGGGCTAACACGGTGAAACCCCATCTCTACTAAAAATACAAAAAATTAGCCGGGCTCAGTGGCGGGCGCCTGTAGTCCCAGCTACTCGGGAGGCTGAGGCAGGAGAATGGCGTGAACCCGGGAGGCAGAGGTTGCAGTGAGCCAAGATCGCGCCACTGCACTCCAGCCTGGGCGACAGAGCGAGACTCCGTCTCAAAAAAAAAAAAAAAAAAAGTAACAATAGCTTCTTGTGTCTGGGTATGTGTGTGTGTGTGTGTGTGGGTGTATACACATACATATGTGCATATATATACATACATTTTTTAATCTCTTCAAATTGACAAATAATTGTACATATTCATGGTGATGTTTCAACACATATAATGTATGTCATTCAGATCAGGTAATTAACATATTCATCATCTCAAACATTTATCATTTTTTGTGTTGGGAACATTCACTATCTTCCTTCTAGCTACTTGACACTATATATTATTGTTAACTATAGTCATTCTACAGTGGTACAGAGCATTAGAACGTATCTTTCTATCTAGCTATAATTTTGTATTCTTTAACAAATTGCTTGCTATCCCTCCTTCCCTCCTACACTTCTCAGCCTCTAGTATCCACTGTTCTACTTTTTGTTTCTATGAGAACAACTTTTTTTAGCTTCCATATATGAATGAGAACATCCAGTGTTTAACTTTTTGTTCCTGGCTTATTTAACTTAACATAATGTCTTCCATTTCCATCTATGTTGGCGTGAATGACAGGATTTCATTCTCTTTTATGGATGAATAGTATTGCATTGTGTATATATACACCACATTTTCTTTATCTATTCATCTGTTGTTGGACGTCTAGGTTGATTCCATATCTTGGCTATTGTGAAGAGTGCTGCAATAAACGCAGAGGTACAGATGTCTCCCTGAAATACTGATTTCCTTTCACTTGGATAAATTCCCAGTAGTGGGACTACTGGATCATATGGTAGTTCTATTTGTAGTCTATTGGGGAAATTCCATATTGTTGTTCTCCATAGTGGCTATACTACTTTACATTTCCACCAACAGTGGATAAGAGTTCCCTTTTCTCCGTATTCTCACCAGCATTTATTTTTTTGTCTTTTTGAGAATAGCCATGAGATACAATGATATCTCATCATAGTTTTGATTTGCATTTATCTACTGACTAGTGATTTGGGGCATTTTTTCATATATTTGTTGGCCATTTGTATGTCTTTTTTTTTGAGAAATTTCTGTTCAGATAATTGCCCATATTTTAGTTTGATTTTTGTTTGTTTGTTTGTTTGTTTGTTTGTTTGCTTATAAGATGTTTGAGTTCCTTATATATGCTGGATATTAGATCCAAGTCAGATGAGTAATTTGCACATATGTTCTCTTATTCTGTAGGCTGTCTTTTCACTCTGTTGATTGTTTCCTGTGCAGAAACTTTTTAGTTTAATATAACCCTATTTGTTGTTGGGTTTTTATTTTTCACTTTTGTTACATGTGCTTTAGAAGTCATTCATAAAATCTTTTCCCATGTCAATGTGCTAAAGCATTTTCCATACATTTTCTTCTAGTAGTTTTATTGTTTCAGGTCTTACATTTACATCTTTGATTAATTTTGAGTTGATTTTTTGTATAGGGTGAGAGGTGGAGGTCTAGTGTCATTTTTCTGCATATAAATATCCAATTTTCACAACACCATTTTTTAGAGAGACTGTCCTCTCCCCAATGAGTGTTATTGGCACCTTTGTCAAAATGAGTTGGCTGTAAGTGCATGGGTTTATATTTGTGTCCTCCATTCGGTTACATTGGTCTATGTGTCTGTTTTTATGCCAATACTATACTGTTTCGCTTACTACAACTGTGTAGTATATTTCGAAGGCTGGTAGTGTAAGGCCTCCAGCTTTATTAATAATTTCTAAAAATCATCAAATATTGAGTCAACATTCAAATTTCTTCACATACCTGATAAAAGCTTTTTTCCTCCTCCCTCCCTTCTAATTTTTCTTCCTTCCTTCTTTCTTTCCTTCCTTCTTTCTTCTCTTCCTTCCTTTCTTCTTTCCTGAGACTGATGATTATATGCAGAAATTCATTCAAGATTTATAGATATAATCACATTTTTATGAAGTATACTCTATATGTGGAATACTGATATTAACATTCATTGATAATGTAGAAGATGCTTCTGATTCTGGGGCATCATAATAGCTTAACCAAGCTCTAATTTTAACCATTGATGCAACGGACAGTTCCATGAGAAATCAAACTCATTGGACCTGACAGCATCTTATGGCAAGCACACTGCCTAAATTTTCACCTGCTGTGAGTACCTTCCCTGAAGCTATAGGGCAAATGAGCCAGAGGTGCAGAGGGGTTAAACTCCAGAGCTTGGGGGATTGCCATACTTTAAATATACATACATATACATATATACACATATATACATGTATATATAAATATACATACATATACATATTTACATATATACATATACATATATATATAATTTTTTTTTGAGATGGAGTTTCGCTCTTGTTACCCAGGCTGGAGTGCAATGGCGTGATCTCGGCTTACTGCAACCTCCCCCTCCCAGGTTCTAGTGATTCTCCAGCCTCAGCCTCCCTCCAAACCTCATGTTAAAATTTGATTCCTAGTGTTGGATGTGGGGCCTAAGGGGAGGTGTTTGGCTCAAATGATGGATCCCTCATGAACGGCTTAGTGTCATCCTCATGATAATGAGTGCATTCTTGATTTGTAGGTTCCCACGAGAGCTGGTAATTAAAAAGAGCCTGACATCTCCCTCCTTTCTCTTGCTTGCTCTCTCATCATGTGATCTCTGCACACACCAGCTCCCTTCCCTTTCTTTTTTTTTTTCTTTTTTTTTTTTTTGGAGACGGAGTCTCGCTCTGTCGCCCAGGCCGGACTGCGGACTGCAGTGGCGCAATCTCGGCTCACTGCAAGCTCCGCTTCCCGGGTTCACGCCATTCTCCTGCCTCAGCCTCCCCAGTAGCTGGGACTACAGGCGCCCGCCACCGCGCCCGGCTAATTTTTTGTATTTTTGGTAGAGACGGGGTTTCACCTTGTTAGCCAGGATGGTCTCGATCTCCTGACCTCATGATCCACCCGCCTCGGCCTCCCAAAGTGCTGGGATTACAGGCGTGAGCCACCGCGCCCGGCCCTCCCTTTCTGCCCTGAGTGGAAGCAGCCTGAATTTCTCACCATAATCAGATGCTGTCACCATGTTTCTTGTACAGCCTGTAGAATCATGAGCCAAATATTTTTTCCTTATGAATTACCCATGTTCAGGTTTTCCTTTGTAGCAACACAAAAACTAAGACAATGCCCCAATTCTCCTGTCTTTTGCCAGTGGGGGCTCATTCAAATTGGTTTTGAGTCCTTTTATTAAACAATTTTATTGCACGCAAAAGAATGCTCACACGTTACCTGTCCAGTTTAATGAGCCTGGACAAATGTAAAAATCCATGTAACTACTACCCAAGGCAGGATACGGCACATTCCTACCACCCCATAGACTCCCTCTGCCTCCTTAGAATTAGTCTGTTTTTACTTCAACCCCAAACAACACTTAATCTAATTTATAACACTAAAAATTATTTTTTCAGTACTAGAAATTCACTTAAGTGGAATTTTGCAGTATGTATTATTTTGTGTCAGTCTTCTTTCATTCAGCAAAAAGTTTTGAGATTCATTCATATTCTTTTGTGTAGGTAGTTCATTCTGTATTTATTGCTGAGTATTGTTGCACTGTATAAATATATCAAAGTTGGCTTCACAGTCACATAGTCTTCCATGATTAGGCATGCTATCTCTACCAGGTCCTAGCTGTACACCAAGGGGTGTTCCCAAAAGGCCTATAATTCAATGCTTCATATCCCATGACCTTGCTACAGGACCCCTATGATCTGAGTTATAGTTCTCTGATTGGGAAAAGTCATGAACTCCACATCATGTATTTTCCCACCAGTGATAACCTCTAATATCATGACATCTGCAGAGAGGCTTACATCACAGCCTGAAACCTTTTTTAAATTAACTTTCTATTTTGAGGTAATTGTAAATTAACATGAAATTGTAATAAATAATAGACATAGATCCTGTATACCTTTTGTACAGTTTCCCTCATTGGTGAGCTATTGCAAAATTATGGTAAAATAGAAAAATGAGGATATTGACATAGATTCACTCAAGATCAAGTATGTTTCCATCACCACAAGGATCCCTCATGTTGCCCTTTTAAACTCACATCCACTTTACTTCCACCTCCATCTCCTCCTTAACTCTTGTTTTCCTTTTCTGTAATTATGACATTTAAGTAATAATGTGTAAATGGAAACAGATATTATATGTTTGGAATTGGCTTTTTTCACTCCTTGTAATTCTCTGGAGATTTATCCAGGTTGTTGCATGTATTGATAGTCTTTCTTTTTATTGCTGGGTAGTATTCTATGATCTGATTATACCACAGCGTGCTTAATTATTTTGGAGGATATCTGGGTTGTTTCCAGATTTTGCCTATTACAAATAAAGGTGCAATGAGCATTCATATAAAGGTTTTTGTGTCAACATGAGTTTTAATTTCTCTGTGATAAATGCCCAAGAATTCAATTGGTAAATCATATGGTAGTTGCATGTTCAGTTCTTTAAGAAACTGCCATACTGTTTTCCAGACTGGCTGTAAAACTTTATATCCCAGTCTCTCTACATAGTTGTCAGCATATGGTGTTGTCACTATTTTTTTATTTTAGCCATTCTGATTGATGTATAGTGATATTTAATTTTGATTTTAATTTGTATTTCCATAATGACTAATGATATTGTGCATCTTTTCCTGTGCTTGTTTGCCATCTGTTTATCCCACTCTGTGAAATATCTGCTCATATCATCTTTTAACATGTCTTGACTATTGTTCCAGTACTTTCTAAAATGTTTGAGTATTTTCCTTTTCCTAACATGCAGTTACCAAAGTAAATGACTGCAGGTCCTTTTAGGAAAAGACTGAGACTGGTGACCATTTATACTTGTCATTATGAGAATTTTCAGGAGTATCAGCCTAGATACACCCATGATGCCTCAAGGTCCCATTGTTTCCCCAAAATGGTCTGAACCTTGAAATAGCATATATTTGCCATAATTGGGAGTTCATCCTTTGCAGCTAGGCTAATCTGATAATTAAATCTTGACTTTGTCCTGTGTTCACTTCTGGAAGATGAGAGCCTTCTTGTATACCACTAGGAGGCACTAAGGCTTTCACAGTTAGTTTTTTAATTGCTAATTAATCACACTTGCCTATATATTATCTTACTCAGAGTGAGCTTAGTAAAAACCATTCAATTCCACTATTCTTATAATTGCAGTTTCTCTCCGTATTTCTCCAGCAGCTTTACACTGTGCCAGCTAAGGCATTCACATCCTTTGGTATGCCACCCCAGTACTCCACGATTGTTTCAACAACTGTGCTGCCCAGTTGTGAAAGGGATTATCTGTACTCCACTTACAGATTGCCATGTGGTGGGGAGCAAAGCAGCTTCAAATTCCCATCCAAGTATGGCTTTCTTGAGTTACTCCTGGTACTACCTGTGCCAGGTTAGATTCTTAGGGAATCAGAATCTGTGATGGAGATTAGTATACAGGTGGTTTATTTAGGTTTTGGGGGATCAACACCTCTGGAGCGGAAGGGAAAGAAGCAAGATTTTCCAGAAAGAGAACAAGAACTCAATCCAGTCTCAACAGAAGCCTCAGTTGATCTTCTGGGGAGATGTGAAGATGGATTGACCCTCCAGAGATACTCTGATTGAGGGAAGGGAGACAGGTCTTTCTATGCCGCTTTTACCTGGGAAGGAGATATAACCATGGGTGACCTAGTTCTCTTCAGCCACCTGATGGAACAGATACTTGAGGATTATCTGCCAGACTTGCTCTTAGCATTTCATTTAACAAGGTATCTAGGATATTATTTCATAGTATTATATATAGATATTTCCAATTCCATTGCAAAGTTGCATAGTACCCTATAATGTGCATATACCTAAGTTTATACAGTTCTACTCATATATATATGAGTAAGACTAAATAAAGTATCTCTCTCTCTCTCTATCTCTCTCTCAAGGGTCAAAGGTCATATATGTATATATGTTTGTATGGGCTGTTGATGACCCTAACTCCTGTGTTAGGAGCATCAACTATGTATCATGGTGTGTGTGTGTGTGTGTGTGTGTGTGTGTGTGTGTGTGTGTGTATATATATATATATATATATATATATATATATATATATACATCAACTACATATACCTGTATTTGACCTTTGAATCACACAGGGGTTAGGGGCATTGACACCCTATGCAGTTGAAAATTCACCTATAACTTTTGACTCCCCAAAAACATGACTACTAATAGCCTACTGTTGACTAGAAATTTTACAAATAACATAAACAGTCATTTCACACATATTTATATATTATTTTTATTATACACTATATTCTTAAAGTAAGCTAAAGGAAATATTATTGAAATCATAAAGAAGAGAAAATTTATTTACAATTCATGAAATAAAAGTAGACCATCATAAAGGTCTTCATCTTCATCATCTTCACATTGAGTAGACTGAGGAAGAGGAGAAGGGGGAGGAGGAGGCGGAGGGGTTGGTCTTTCTGTCTCAGGAGTGGCAGAGGCAGAAGAGGTGGAGGAGGTGGAAGGGAAAGCAGAAGAGGCAGGCATACTAGGTGTAACTTTTATTGAAAAAAATTGAGTGTAAGTAGGCCCATGCAGTTTACACCTGTGTTCATAGAAGTGGAATTGCTTGCTCAAAGGGTAAATATATATTCAATTTTGCTGAATATTTCTAATATCTGGTTCAAGGCATTTTACTATTTTACAGTTTGAATAGTGAGTAATGACAGTACCTGTTTATTCATAGTCTCATCAACACACTATATCGTTAAGCTTCTGGTTTTCCAATCTTGTATGTGAGAAACATATCAATGTAGCATTAATTTGCATTTCTCTTATTATGAATGATACTAAGCATATTTTCATATGGGTAGGAGTCATTGGCATTTTTAACTGTCTCTTCATTTTTCTAGCTCATTTTTCTATCACATTGTTGGCTCTTTTAATGTTTATTTTTATCATTTGGAAGTTCTTTATACATTGAGATAGTAACACTTTGTACCATTATAAATCTTTTTTTTTCAGTTTTTCATTGTCCTTTAACTTGGCTCATGGTATATTTTTCTATGTAAAGTTTTATCTTATTTTTGTGTAACCAAATGTGTCTGTCTTTTCTCATATTGCTTCTGGGTTTGGGGTTATGATTAGAAAATAATTCCTCACTTCTGGTTTATAGGATAATTCACACATGATTGTTTGTGAGTAGTCTGGCTCCATAGCAAAACCTGTGTGTAGGTCAGGTGCGGTGGCTCACACTGGTAATCTCAGCTACTCAGGAGGCTGAGGCAGGAGAATTGCTTGAACCCAGGAGGGGGAGGCTGCAGTGAGCTGAGATTACTCCAATGCACTCCAGCCTGTGTGAGCAGAGCAAGATTCCGTCTCAAAAAAACAAAAAACAAAACAAAACAAAAACCTTATGTGTGATATTTTGGTGAAAACATAGACAGTTACACAGCCTTTACCTGGCAGGCCTCATGGAGCAAAGCTGCCCCGCAGTCTGAGACTCTGTGCAGTCTGGAAGGAGTTGCAGTTAAGAACTCGGCACTCCTTCCCACCCCAAGGTTCTTAAGATTTCTGTATTTCTAACCCAAATGCCTCCACTTGGAGGTCTCCTTGTTGTGGGAGTGGGTGGCGGAACAGGCTTGGCTAAATGCTTTCTCAGAGGCCTTTGTCACCAACACCGCTTATCAGGAGGGCTTGAAGACACTTCTCTCCACTCTGACTCACCATTCAGTACTTTTCCACTTCTAGACCTTTCTTGTCTCCCTCTCCTGGCTCGCAGGGGTGTACAAAGGCAGGAGACTTTTGTTTTGGGCTCCCTGGGCAGTGTGAAGTTTCCCCCCATCTGCACTGATACATCTGACCTTTGCCCTGGGCCACTGCCAGGGAAAAATAAAACACTGGGGAGCTAGTGCTTTTGGTGCTTTTTTCCTGTTTAGCTTCTTGCTTAAAATATCTCGGTGTGTGAATTTGGTTTGTTGTCCTAATTTACCACTCGACACCTGGCAGCTCAGTTCTTTCCAGCTCAGCTCTTGCCAATTTTAGATTAGTTTAATTTTTACATTCCTATCTCTGATCCGTTGGTAATTCAGCCTGGTGGTTGGTGCGAGGAGTGAATCTGATGTTACCTTTTCTTATACAGTTATCTTGTTCTTACACCATCACTTATTTAAAAGAATGCTTTTTCCTACTGATTTGAAATATAATCTATAAACTAATCATGTTTTAGTGGTTAAATCTTCTGCCTAGGAATCAAGCACATCACTTCCAATCATGATTTATTGGCAAAGGCAAGATATGTAATGGAGCATGATGTCCTACCCTACTCCATATAACCCTAGTATAACCCTATTTATAAACAACAAATAAAATTGATCTCACATTCCTATCCCCTCCTGTCCTGATGCACTGCCCTCCACCCCCAACCCCACTCCCCTGTAAGAAATAGCAAATCAGGAAATCATTGTAATTTCTGGTTGTTTTCATGCTTAATAAATGATAAATACTAGAGGTAATAATGGTAACCCTTATTTTGTTACTGAATTTAGAAAAGTTTCTTCTAGTGTTTTTCCAGTAAGCATGATGCTGGATTTGGTATTAAAATAGATACACCTTATTATTCTTATTTTACTGAATATGTTCAATTTTGCCAAATTCCAAATTTTCAACATCAATGGAAACTAATATATAATTTTTCCTGAGATCTACTAAGAGGATGCATAACATTAAAACATTTCTTAATTATAAACCCTTCTTCTGTTCCTTATGTAATCTCTCACTAGGTGATGATTTATTATGACATTAATGTGCTTTTCAATACTTGTGAGGAATGAAGAGTATATTTAAATGATTTGACACAGTGTCTGGCATAAAAGTACAAGCAATGCTATATATTAATATTTACCTACATGTTCTGTATTTTTGGGTTTCGTTTGCTTTATATATAAATTTTAAATTATCTAGACTTTAATTTAGCTTAATATGTAAAAGATGTCCAATTTCCTGCCCTCCCTTCCTCCCTTTCTTCCTTGCCTGTCAACCTGTTAACTGAAGATTTTAGTAAGTTGTACTGACTATTCACACATTTCTCCCTCAATTGGAAATGCTATATTTATCATATATGAATTATTTGTTCTGTCTCATTGTAGCCTCTTGCCCCAGTACCATATCAACTTAGGTTCTCCCAAGATGCTTCCTGTTTTTTCTCTTACTTCAATGCCTTTCCTAGTGCTACAATCCATCTCATTTTGAAGCATACCACCTCTCACCACTCTCTGTCTCTATTGTTGCTGGCATTTGCACAGTCAGTAAGAATATTTTTTAAAAACACTTGAAAATTTTTGGCAGTCAGCAGGAATAGATAGGGAGTAGCGAAAATGATGAGTACATTCCTGTCTGTCCCTATGCTGTGGTTTGGAGGTTAGCTATTTGAGATTACATTCTTCACATTCCCTGGGCCCTCTGAAGCCAGGATCAGAGAGTCATGTAAGTCAAAGTTTTACTCTACCTTTCTTAAAGCTAAAATTAATCTAGGTGAAAGTGCAGAACACGTGCAATTCAGAAATGTATTTTTAAAATGTGACACAATTAGTGATGTACCTAGATATTTAGGATATGATCTTTTGATATTTTCTGTCCAATTATTGTGGCTCTCAGCGTCTCTCTTTTTATGATTTTTTATGGGTATTTTAATTAAAAGTAAGAAGAGGTTGATTCAGGTCTAGCTAGGCTGTGATCATTATAATGTGAAAATTCCATTACTTGTTTATAATGATAGGAATCAGTAGGCTGTTAAGGTTTGCCTAAAGCCCTTCACCAAACTCTACGTTTTATTGGAATCTAAGTTTTTACTCACTTCTCTCAGATATCTATCTATCTAATATAATTTAGATAATACGTACTTAAACCTTCAAAACGTGATTGAGTAAACCAGGAGTTACATTTCACTAAAGTTTATTTTTTATTTTTTTAAGATGAGGCAGCTAAAATACCGTGAGTTGCAAATATGTGGAATGCTTTGTACGTGTTTGTTTTCCAAACAAAACTTTCAATAAAATCTCCCCCCTTTAATGGCATTTGCCAAGTCAACAGATCCCAGAGCAGGAATTCTCTCATTCTAAGGGATTAGTGTGTGGGAGACGAGATGAGCATCACTTCACTGGCAATTGTATGCGGAGGAGTGCACCTAAAAAAGTTAATATCAGAAGCCATGGCCCTGATCCCACTTCATGAGTTTTCATTAATAAATAAAATGATCATATAGCAAGGAAATAATTTATACATCTATTAATAGTTGTCTCTTTCAGAAAGGTTTGTCAACTATTCCTTTAGTTTAGAAGTTTCCAGTATTGCTCTGTATAACAAATTCTGAGTGACACAAGGGGAGAGTTAGGTGAGAAAGAGGAAATGCACAGTTACACCTTGGACCCTTTTTTCCCTTTACTGTTTTGGTTTTGAAGCCAGGCCCAATGTCATCATCGCAATGGATTTGTGAGGCTGGTATGTTTCATGGTTCTTGATTCCTTTCATGAATCTTTGCATAAAATGTCATGTCTGTTGGGAAGGATTTTATATAATTCATCCTGCTGATAATAACTTTTGCCTTTATATTTTAGTGTTTTTAATGTTGGAAATAATTTTCTATGTCTGAATTTATTTGGGGCTTTGCTATAATATTCAATAAGAAAAACTTTTTAATAAACTTTTGAAGAGATTAAGTTGTCCTCACTCTAGTGAAAGACCATTCAACTATTTTAATTTTCCCCTATATTCAAGGCTTTTTAATGTTTCAAGAAACAATCTTATTTAATGTTACAGAGAAATACTTGTAATAATGACTATGTATGTGAGTCCAACGTCAGTTTAGATATTTGAAGTTATATCCAATGCTTTCATAATATATGTATGTCAACTTAAAGATACAATAGCAGATTGAAGTCAGAAAAATATTTACAGTTGCAAAAATGTGATACTGAGACTATAGTTACAAATTGACTTTGGCCATTTGCTCTAGGCTGATGAAAATTCTGACATCTATGGCAAGGTAGGTCTTCTTGAAAATGAGCACAGTTTTCCATTTTGTTTTCCCTGTAAAGTCTGATCATGTTAGTCAGATAAATAGGCAGAGATAGAGATTGTCAATTTTGTAGGACTTGGGCTACTATGGTTAAAACTGCAAGCAGATTTATTTATTTTTTCTGGTCTTACATATAGTTGTCTTCCTTTGTTTATCACTTTTTTGAAAAATCAACGTTAGATCTTCCATGATTAAATTTATGACCAAATAGGGATCCAGAATAGTTTTATTGTAATGAATTGCGTTGAAATTCTTTCATTTCTAACAAGACATTTTAAATAGCCAAAAGATCACAAGGTTTCACCCCTTATGCTTTATACTGGTGGTGATTCCATTGGATAGCTGCAAATATGGAGGAAAACTTGTTAAACTAAAATTTAAAATATCCAGTTTATCATACCAATAAGTTTATTCAAATAGAATAAAATCAAATTTTTTGTTTCTTAAATCCTTGTAGAGATTCTCTTTCTACAAATATGTTAAGCTCTCTCTGTTATCTGTCCTCTTGAGTAGCTTAAGTACTATTGATTAGCTATAGCCTTCTCCCTAAGTAGCTGCCAGGTATTAAAATGTAAAGCAAAACAAAAATTCAAATAAATCGGATTCTGAGTACATTCTTCCTTCTTTGGAAAGGGCTAGTGCCTCCTCATTAAATGATTAACACACTTGAAAAAATATATTTAAGTAAATGAGATAATAAACCTAAAGATATTTTCAGTTTCACATTTCCTAGAAATTTATTTCTGGAAATAAATTTATTCCTAGGGGCTCTCTTGGCAACTCAAATTAATTCTAAAATCTCACTTTTCATTTCACCTTACTTCATTTATTCCCCCAATAAACTTCAAGCTACCTAAGATAAGAGACTATGGCTTATTTATCTTTTAATCCATGATGATTAGCTCAATGCCTGCTATAAATTAAGGGTTCAATAAATATTTATTGAATTATTAAACCTGTCCCTCCTCCTGGGTTGCCAACTTAGTCTCTCAGGCTTTGAAGTTCTGTATGATCTCTGTCTCCTAAATTCTATCAGTTCCCAAATTGTATAGACTCCCAAACAAATAACAGCTTTCAAATACAACTTTTTCTATATTCCCACTACTAGTTCACTGGTTTTTCATTGCTTCCCTCTTATACCAAAGCTAATCGTTCCTGTTTCCTCCATTTTCAATCTCTCTGTTTTCCCATCTCTGCTAAATACTGCTGACAGATAAAATATTCCAGAAGCATAGAACTTACAACATCGCTTCCTTAGACGGACATTTTTAAACCTCTTCCATATCTAAAGAATAAACTACAACCTTCTTTGCATTATAGGTACTCTGTAATGTAGTCTTAATCCCTTTTCTGTAAAGGACCTACAGATTGTCTATTATTCTTTCCATTTCTCTGCAATTGTATATAATTCATGTGGCTTGGGGAAGAGGAGAATCAATTTCCTAAGCTTAAGGCTGGCCTTGATATTTTTCTAATACAGCTCAGGTTAATTCCATCCTACCTGGTAACAATTCTTGGTACATTAGTTCCCGTCTTCTGAGATAAATACATGAGAAGTCATTCATTTACCAAAAAAATAAATAAATAAATAAAAATACAAAAAGGAGCCAAGTTTCAGGAAGATTGAAAATACGCTGTGTAATATAATCACCTTTGCCTTTGGGTGTCTGCAATTCACTGGATAAACTACTGTAGCTCCATTATGACTTGAAGTCTTTTTATCCAAGTTGTTGATAACTTACAGATTTTCATGACTCAAACCATGCTTAACTTGATTTGAAACTCAGTGCCTTTATCAGATCCACTCACTCTCACCTTCTGCAGATCTTCAAAGATGTCCAAGACCTTCTCTGTAGCAATGCAACACTTCATGGCATCCTATGCTATTTATGATTATCAATCCACTGCACAAGATAGTTCTCTAGCTTCTTAAATATATCGTGTTGTGCTTCTGAAACATGGTGAATATTTATGGAAACAACAACTCTATCCCAATTTTTAAAATTTTCTCACACATAGCAAAATAACACAGACAGCAGATGTGTGTGCCAAGCTTATGTGCTTTATATATTGATTACTTTCAATATTTTTTATCACTTCAAAATTTTCCTCTAAATGTACAGGCTTTTTTAGGTCTTATACACTTATATACTTTCTTTGCAGAATTTGTTTTACTTTCTTGGAAGTCATTTTTACTCAACAATTTGAGGAAGATGATATGATAATGCACAATGTGAAAAGTAATCCTAGCTAGGAGATAATTTAATCACAACTGCTCTATTGTATATGCAAATTTATTATAGCAAGTTTTCTGTTCAATTTGAAAATTCTGAGTAAGATTTGTAAGTTATTGCAGTAAATATTTTCATAGTGATAATTTAGAATGTGCTGACTGAGATTATATTATATTATGTATATACTCTTTGGTCCAGTTATATCAAAGTACTTTTTTGCCATTTATTCACCACGCTCTTTTTTTTTGTTGGACTTTTTATTTTTATTTTTTTCTTCAAATTTTAGGTTCAGGGGTACATGTGCAGGATGTGCACGTTTGTTACACAGGTAAATGTGTGCCATGGTGGTTTGCCACACAGATCATACCCTCACCTAGGTATTAAATCCAGCATGCATTAGCTATTCTTCTTGATGCTCTCTCTCTTCCCACGCCACCCTCCAATAGGCCCCAGTGTGTGTTGTTCTCCACCATGTGTTCATGTGTTCTCATCATTCAGCTCCCACTTATAAGTGAGAACATGTGGTATTTGGTTTTCTGTTCCCATGTCAGTTTGCTGAAGATAATGGCTTCCAGCTCCATCCATGGCCCTGCGAAGGCATGATCTTATTCCTTTTCAAAGCTGCATAGTATTCCATGGTGTATATGTACCACAGTTTCTTTATCCAGTCTATCATTGTTGGGCATTTAGGTTGATTCCATGTCCTTGATATTGTGAATAGTGCTGCAATGAACATATGTGTGCATCTGTCTTTATACTAGAATGATTTATATTCCTCTGGGTATATACCCAGTAATGGGATTGCTGGGTTGAATGGTATTTCTTTTTTCAGGTCTTTGAGAAATCATCACACTGATTTCTACATTGGCTGAGATAATTTACCCTGCAACCAACAGTGTATAAGCTTTCCTTTCTCTCTGCATCCCTGCCAGAATCTGTTATTTTTTGACTTTTAATAATGGCCATCCTGACTGATGTTAGATGGTATCTGATTGTGGTTTTGATTTGCATTTCTCTAATGATTAGTGATACTGAGCTTTTTTTCATATGATTGTTGGCTGCATGTATGTTTTCTTTTGAAAGTGCCTGCTCAATTCCTTTGTCCACTTTTTAATGGGGTTGTTTGTTTTTTTCTTGTAAATTTGTTTAAGTTCCCTATAGATGCTGGATATTAGACCTTTATTGGATGCATAGTTTGCAAAAATGTTTTCCCATTCTGTAGTTTGTATAGTCACTCTATTCATGGTTTCCTTTGCTGTGCAGAATCTCTTTAGTGTAATTATGTCCCATTTGTCAATTTTTGCTTTTGTTGCAATTGCTTTTGGCATTTTCCTCATGAAATCTTTGCCTGTGCCTAAGTCCTGAATGGTATTGCCTAGATTTTCTTCCAAGGTTTTTATAGTTTTGGGTTTCACATTTAAGTCTTTACTCCATCTTGACTTAATTGTTGTATATGGTATTTACCATGTTCTTAACTGTATCCATCACTTGGAATCTCTCTTTCTGAAGTCTCCTCCCTGTTATGTTTCAGAGGTTGAAAATGCACTGATTTTGATGATGTAGGTCATGCACCATTTGCAGTGTTGAATTTCATTTCCTACCAATCAGAAGAGAACACATTTATCTGAATTCCCCTGGCTTCTTCATTCATTAATTCGACAAATATTATCAAGTTTCTATTATGTACAAACACTAGTCTAGACACTGGCAATAGAATTGTGAAAAAAAATGGACTAAAACATTTTCCCTTATGCCGCTTATATTCTACTAAGAGACATAAGCAGTAGTGTACTGAAGTTAGCTCCCACTCGCTCCCAAGAGTTGATTGTGAGTGTGTCTTTACAGCTCTGCATTCAGTGACATCATGTTGGCAACTTGAAACTAGTCATAGCTCGAGTATCTACAACATGGAATTCAGCAAATGCTGTAAATCAACTTTGTCTTTTCCTCTAGAAAGCCAGTTTACAAGCACACCTAAGTCCAAATAAAAGATTATATCTATATCTATGTGTGTGTGTGTGTGTGTGTGTGTGTGTGTGTATATATATATATATGATGAGAGTTGATATAGTATAATAGATAGTGATACCTACCTAGGAGAAAATTGAAACAGGGAAGAGGATGAGATGTAGGGCGGCAGTTTAAATTTTAGATGAGGTAGTCAGGGAAGGCCTTGCTGAGTAAGATAACAGTCTAATGATATGAGGGAGCACGCTGTATGAAGCATTTTTGGGCAGGGGCCTTCATAAGTAAGAGGACTCTGAGATAATAACTTGTCTGCTGTTCTTGGAAGACAGTGAGAAGCACATTAAGATTGGAGCAGAGAGGGAGTAGTTGGAGGGTTAAAGAAAAGGTTAGAGACATTAATGGGGCACAGAGGTTCATTCATGTAGGGTCTTGTAGGTCACAGTAGGATAGTAAGAAATTTTCTCTCTTCTCTGAGTGTCTTGTGAAACTACTGCAATGATTTTCAGCAGAGAAATGGCATGCTCTGTCTACTGTGTGAAAAACAGATTGACATGAAGCAAAAACAGGAGCAAAAGGACCAGTAAGAAGGGCATTGCAAGTTTCAGGTGAGATACCATGGTTGCTTGGACCAAGCTGGCAGGAGTGCTGATGGAAGAATGGGTCTATTTTAAAATATATTTTGACTGTGAAGTGGAAAAAAAAGAAGAAAAATTATTTCAAAGGTTTGGGGCTGAGCAACTGGAGGGATGAGTTGGAAAAGATTTTAAGAACAACACATATTGCAGGGAGGGTGGAAGTCTCAGCAGTATTGGGAACTCAATTTTGGACATGTTAAGTGCGATATGCAAAAGCCTCATTGGAGTGTGTTCAAGAGAAAATTGGAGGAAAAAATATTGTTGCAGCAAGCACAGTTAATTCTTCTGAGAAATTTGCTGGAAAGGGAGCAGAAAAGTACAGAGATAGCTACGGGGGATGTGAGTAGAAAAGAGGGCACTTTTCTAAGACAGGAGAAATAAGAACATACTTGGTGCTTATGGAAAATTCCAATAGAAAGGGAAACACTGATGTTACTGGAGAGTCAGGAGGGAATTGCTCAAGAGATATCCTCAGGCAGATAAGAAGGGATGGACAACTGGGCAAAAATGAAGGGATTGACCATAAATAGGAGCCAGGAGAGTTCATTAATAGTAACAGGAGAAAGGTAGAGTATGGGAGCACTGATACTCGGTGGGTAGATACGAAGGTAATTACTTGAGGGAATTATCTTCCGATTGCTTCTTTTTTCTATCAGAAATAGAAATTATGGTCATGAGCTGAGAATAAAGAGGATGGAAATTGTTCAAGGACAGAGGTAAAAGTCTAAAATAGCCATCTAGGACTGTGAAAGCCCATGTGGTTCATGCACTGTAGTGTTTTCATGGGCAGCAGTGAGGCACCTCTTGGTTTAATGATCATAAATTTGAAGTGAGATCAGTTAGTGAGGCTCTGTTTATCACCATTCCTGTGCAACTGTGTGGATGTGGGCAGAAAGTAGGTGGGTATGGTAACACTGGGGAAAAATTTCCTGTGTGAAAGTTCCAGAATTCAGCATTTCATCTTAAAGCAATAATCAATTTCAGAAAGGCTTTTCAAGAGGGGATATGGTGCATTTAGAGATGGATATGATAAGTAGAGTCTTCTTAAAATAGGGACCAGGGTGAATGTTCTGATCACGCAGAAAAATAATTATGCTGATTACAGGATCTTTTTACAGCAGTTATTTTACCTCTGATGCATTCTAAGCAGTTACTTTGTTCTTCTGCTTTTGGATTTTCACAGATATTTTTTCTTTTTATTTGGCTTTATCTCAATTCATTACTTTTTGCTTATATTTCACAAAACCAGAGGGTGATTTAATATGGTGTAATGTATTTCAATGGTACTATGATTCAGTGATAGTATTTTGTTCTTATAGCTCTATGTTACATTCCATTAAGATGGACTTACCTCAAAATAATGTTTGCACAAACAGAAGATTGTGACTTTAGGTCTTATTCACTGCCACTCAATAAAAAATTCCATATTTTGTTTATAGAAACAGTACGTATTCAAATACAAAATAGGCATTCATTTAAATTACAAGTCATTTTGAATACAACAATTTTAGCTTTTCAGGGCCTTTTTATATTGTATTATTTAAAATTCAGAAATACCACTTCAAATTAGCACAAGTGACAGGGCATTTAGCTGGGCAATATTTTCAGTCAGATCTCCACATGCAATTATTTAAGACAAACCAACGATCCAATTATTCTTCCTTTACCTCATATGGATGTGCCAAAAATAGTTTGCTCTCAGAAATCAATTTACAATCATCTATTGTTTTTTAAATTAGAACAATTCATCATTTAACAAATCATAGGTTTTCCTTTATGTAATGATTGCTTACTATCGTTACTCAGAAGTAGTCTTCATTCTATGATCTGAATGTTTGTATCCCTCCAATATTCATATGTTGAAAAATCCCTCTTAAATGGAATTAGTATCTTTACAAAAGAGGCCCAAGAGAGCTTATTCATCCCTTCCACAGTGTGGAAGACATTCTCTATGAAGCAGAAAAATCTCTCACCAGACACCAAATCTGCTGGTACCTTGTTGGCTTTCCCAGCCTGCAGAACTGTGAGCAATAACTTTCTGTTACTGATAAATTACCTAGTGTAAAGTATTTTGTTACGGCAGCCTAAATGAACCAAAACACCCCTGGGACTTGAATCATCAAGAAAATCTTTAGAGGTTAAAAATGTTCTGCTTTGTTGTTTTCTATATATTTCTGCAATATTTAGAACCTAGTATGTTCAAATATCTGAAATGTGGGACATAAAAATTAGACCGATGTCAAAATACATCAAAATTTTATGGGAGAGAGATGCACTCCCAGAAACAACCGAGGAGAATAAACCAAGAGACCAAGGGAGTGAAATGCAGACTGTAGATGAGGTTTAGAATTGGAATGTTGGTGTCCAGTGAGGGAGGATGTTTAAAATTCCGTCATGTAAGCAAAATTATCTCAGCACTTATTCCAAGCTCAATGGAAATCCTCCCTGTATCTAGTCTCAATGTTATATATTTTTGTTCCATTATTAATTAGATTATTTTGGACCCTATGTAATTTAATTTCAACAAACCCTAAACAGGCAAAATAGCCCTAGGAGAAAAAAGCATAATAAAGTCTAAGGCAACTCACCTAAGTCCAGGTGCCTTTCAGTTAACAAATTTAAATTGGAATATTCTCAATACATTCGTATCATTGGAAATTGGAATCTTTTCTGGATGAAATTTATGTAAACATTACTCTCCATACTGATCCCAGTGCTCTTGGCCTTCCGCTATTTCAGTCCAACACCCGATGCAAAAGTGATTTTCTTTAAGTACAAATCTGATTTTGTCACTTTCAACTCAAAATTCTGCAACAAATTCCTTAGGAAACTTCCAAGTTTGTTAAAATAATATCAAAAGACCCTTAAATGAGGTGCCTTTTTAAACTTCCCAGCCTCATTTCTTGTATGCTTCTTGCATAATTCATGCGTAATTCATGCCGTCTTCCATCTGTGGCCTTTTGCATTTGGCACCACCTCTCCATCATTCCACAATAGAATATTTTTTGCCCAATCTTACCCCACCATCATTACTACTGCTACTACTACTACCACTACCACACACACACCACACACACACACACACACACACACACACACACAGAGTCAGGATAACTTCTCATTTTATTAATGACTTAACATCTCTCAGAAACCTTTCCTGACCTCCCAATTTGGGTTTGACTCCACATTCCAAATGTGTTCTCATTGTGTCTATTCATCTGCTTTTTCACTATACGATACTAGAAATGCCATTTTATGCATCTTTTTTCTTTACTAGATTTCAACTTAATGATTATCATGGTCACGTAGTCTTGCTTGTCCATTCTTGTTTTCCCAGTGTTTATCACAGTACCTGAAAAAAAGACAGGCATTTTACTGATTGAATTAAAGAATGAGTATTTTCTGTACCACATTTCAGACACTATAATGATAAGTTTAAAAATAAATCAGACTCCAGATATTCATTCAAGAATCCTATTGTCCATTAAGAGAGATTAAACTTGTACATGAATATTAGTAACATAAGATAGAAGGAAGGGTCACAAGGGGAGACCTCTACTATACCGTTAGCAGTGGTCAAGGTCATGCCCATGTGCTTGGAAATGATTTTCCCTCAAGGAGCATACAGGGCTTTTTCAGCAGAAGTGCAGAGTAAACTGATATGCTTAGGGTAGAATCACCTCTTTTCAGACTTCGTTTGTGGATGTCTAGAGAATGCCTGATGGCAGGAGCAAGATTCCTCTTCTGCAGCCATGATTTCTCCATCTGCAAAAGTCATATGTGAGTCTCAGAATTCTATATGGCCCTGGAAACACCCGAATCCCTTTACCTCAATACTCACAGCCTTTCCAAAACTATCTTCCTTAGACCATTGTAATCATCTGTAATAGGATAATTTACCACTATCTCTAATGAGACAACTGCCTTCCTTAGACCATCTGTATTATTTCAAATACCCTCTGTTCCTCCATATTTTACACACCACAAACAGCCAGAACTACTATTATCCTTCATTCCCAGGCTTTGATTCCCACTTAGCTCTATACTTTTTTTTTCTGACTTTATATTCTATACTCTCCATTCTCTGAAAACTTTCCATTGAGCCTTCTATAACTTTTGCAAGTCAACAGCCAAATCCCCTATTTTGAGCACTTTTATCTGATTGATCCCTTCACCTTCTTGATATAAGGAAAACTTGACACTTCTCAATGTTTTCTTTCCCTGAGTTCAATTGAAAGGATTTGATGAGCACCACATCCCCCTTTATACCATGACAGTTTCCTTCCTGCCAGAAAGCTAAACTTTGAGCTAAGATTACATACTTTACTTTTATGGCTAACAGTGCACATTTTAAAGTAACAATTTCTGCATTACTTAGGATAGGTTAGAATGTGCTGCGGCAACAAACAATTCCCAAACACTAGTGGCTTTATATAACAGTGGTTTATTTCTCTCCTGTTCTTCGTATCTATTGAGAGTCAGCTGGAGGCTCTGCTCTGCTATCCTTACTCAGGAATGAAGGATGATGGAGAATCAACTATCTGAATGTTACTAATTGCTAAGGAAGTGGGAAGTGAACATAGTGGATCGCATGCTGGCACCTAAAATCTTCATCCTTGGTAGTGACACAAAACAATTCCACACATAAATCATTGGCTACAGCAACTTACAAGGCTATATTTAACTTCACAAGGGTGGGTACATGAAATTCTGTCATGTCCCAGAAAGAGAGGAACAAAGAATAACCTCGAGAAGTCTGAGAAGCACCGATAGCCACCATAATACATATATTACAGTACACGGGTAACTAAATGGAAGTTAACTGTACTCTATGTTTCATTTCAATTTCTACCTGAGATTCCTTTTGAAAAATATTATGATGATGAATTCTATCCCCAAAATTCTTTATAAAACCAAAACATAAATAAAAAGGAAGAACAGCCATTTGACCCTACTGGTCTATAAAGCATTCAAGTTTGCCACCTAAGAGCATGGTTTTATGTTTAAGAATGATATTTGACCATTAACAAAGGTTAATTATCTGTTTCTTTGAAAGGAAATAACTTGAATTTGTATGTCATTTCTAGAAAATGGATTTTCCAGTTTATATTTTTTAAAAATTTTCATTTGGTCCTCTTTCCTCTCTCCTGAAGAAATTTTATTACTTTTATGCTTATATCCAGTATGTCATATGTACCTAAAAGGCAGCTTCCTGTGTTTCCATTTTCATATTTAGATAAAAATCTCAAGCTATTTATATGTTAAATTTATTTATACATGATACATGTTTGGAATATATATTAAGCAATTTGTTATAGTTCTCCTTTCTTATTTATGCATTTTGTTTTTTGGAATTAGTCAACTTAAGTAATTTTCTTCTAGTTATATATGAATGTTGCAAAAAAAGTCACCATGTTCTTGAACAAAAACCTTTCAAAGATGGCATGATAAAGATATAAACGGGCATTAGAGTTTGCATTTTCATCTAAATATAAGTAAATGCAATAAATTTTGACATGAATGTAAATTATTTCCTTTAACTTTGATTTAATGCATTTTCTTTCCAAAAATAAACTGGAGAAAATAGGTACTCTAAGTTTGTTGTTAAAGATTCCTTACATAATCATTATTCATATAATGTCTCTGGAAGAACAAAAATTTACTAAGAGCACACCAAGGCTTTTCATCAAATATGAGAATATTATTCAACATAATGAATATTATTCATCCCACACATCATACTTATTGACACATCAAGCACATATTGACTCTCAACTATTTAGGGCCTTGTGGCCTGTATTGGTCTATTTGGACGGCCATAACAAAATAGGTTTCAGTTTCTGGTGAGGGCTCTTCCCTGGCTTGCAGACAGCTACCTTGTATCCTCATAAGGCCTTTCCCCTGTGCCTGTTCATGGAGGGAGGGAGAGAGAGAGGAAGGGGGAAAAGAGTAGAAAGGAGGAGGGGGAGGGGGAGAAGAGCAGAGGAGAAGGGGAAGAAGGAGAGGGAAGAGGGAGTTCTTTCACCTCTTATAAACGCAATAATCCAATCATAAGGGCCCCACCCTCATGACCTAATCTAACCAGAATTTCCTCCCAAAAGCCGTCTCCAAATACCATCCATTGGGAATTAGGGCATATTAATTTTGGGGGGGTTTCAAAGACTCAGTCCATAATATAGCCACAAAATTTAAAAAAGAGGGAAATGGGCTTGTTCAATTATATCTTTGTTTATCCACTCTATGAAAACATTCATTCATTCTACAAATATATCCCTCTGATACATTCTATAATTGGTGAGGGAGTCAACAGAATAAGAAATGCAAATGAGTAAATGTTATGGTTTATTAGAAGGTGATGCATACTATAGAGATAAATAAGTCTAAGAGAGGGAGTTAGGCAAGGCAATAGGAGGGTCATCTTGAATGGAGGGTCTGCAATCCATAGGTCATTGACTCATCTCTAAGTTTGTTGTTAAAGATTCCTTACATAATCATTATTCATGTAATGTCTCTCACAGAACAAAAATTTACTAAGAGCTCACCAAGGCTTTTCATCAAATATGAGAATATTATTCAACATAATATTATTCATCCCACACATCACACATATTGTATTATTTCACTCCTAACCTGCATTATATCTATATTTAAAATAAATATTGTATTCTTCCACTCTCAACCTGCATTGTATCTATATTTAAGCCATTATGAGATTTTTCTTTTTGAAATGCCTTGGTTCACAGTAAAGTCTTGCTTTAGAGGAAAACTATAACATAAAGGAAAAGGAAAACACTAGCATTAATTTTTCAGTAGTCAAAAAAAATTATTTATAACAAACTTACATAGTAAACTGCTGGTATTGTTTTAGCTGCTAAATGACTATGCTCAGGCTTGTAATCTACATAGCAAAATGGGAAATAATAACGTCAGGTTCTGTAGGGGAAGAACATAAAAAACTTTTACTTAAATCATGAAATGCCTAATATGGTGACAGAGGGTAGGACTCTGATAAATTATAAATGGGTAACATCTTATTGAAAACAGAATTTAAGCAGTTTTTATATCCTAACTACCAGACCCATATTCTCCTTTTACATCTGTGAGCCGCTCCTTTTTTTACTTCCCTTCTTGATAATTATATTGTGAATAGAGTTTAAGCAAATAGAGTTGAGGTACCACCATACTCCACAGGTCACAGATGAATTTCAAATTTGGTCTTTGGGAAAATACAACCAGAAGAGACCTGTTCCAAAATTATTTTAAATAAGAACTTTATCATATAATATACATATATGTGTGTGTGTGTGTGTGTGTGTGTGTGTATAATATACTAATCTGTCACTGCACATATTCTCTGTCACATCCTTTCACTCTCTTTCCCTTTTTCCATTCAAAAAATTTGAGCTTGGATCTGCTGACTTCATCAACAACCTTTTTTACAATTTCATTTTTTTTACGGTAAAGATTCTGTAAGCTTCAGAAATGACAGCTATTAAATTACAGCTGCTTAATTCAATCCACCCTTTGCTCTTTCCTTAAAATGTATCTTCATTGATGAGTCACACTCTCCTATTCCTTTCAACCCATTAATCATTACATCATTTATATTATGTAGTTGTGTGTGCTTCCTTCATTTAGTTGCTGGAAGAAGCATCATATAAAGTTAGTGAATTTCTGTTGGAAATAGTAACTTGGATTATATCTATTTTTAATATAATTTTGGGATATTTTATCTTATTATGCTATTACACCCAATGAGAATGCATAAACTATTTTAACCCGTCACCCAAAATAACTATAATCTTGAAAACTTTTATTTACACAGCATCTCTTGGCTAACCATTCACACAAACTTCAGAATTAGACTTTAAACACAATATACAGAAAAGATAACACTGCAATAGTAATGAGAAAAATATATATTTTGTTGGGCTGAATTAATTTTTTTGTGAGATTGTTTTAAATAACCTGTCAAGTTTTTCACTAAAGATAAAATGGATTTTTTAAAGTTAGTGCTCAAGGAAGCTGGATAATAGACATTGGCATATGCTGTTGTTGGAAAAAAAATCTGGTGTGTTTCCAGCTTCAGTTCAGATTAGATGGAAAAAGTAAACAATATCAATACATCGTTTTCATTTCTTCCAAATAGATTATGTTCTTGATTGTGGCAATATCAAGAAATTGTTTTTATTTCTTCCAAATAGATGATATTCTTGATTGTAGGTCCACTAACTAATGTGTCTTCTTTGTGCCTGTATCTTGTCCCTATATTTTGTTAAAATATCCTCTAATTCAATTTGCTTTGTAAATTAATTCTTGGTTAACAGAAAATCAATTAAAGTAGAAGTATGTTGTCTTTGCTTTAAAGTGACATTCTTTTCATTTATTATAAATACAAAGATAAGGGCATTCAATAAACTTGGCAATAAAAATTTTGATGGTATGGGAAACTTCAAGGTAAGATGTGATTAGATAGGTTACTTTGTCTTCCTTGTTGATAAATATTTGGACATTGAGCCTGGCCTTCTGGATGAGGGGATTAAAACTAGATAGGGCTGAAGAAGAAAAAAACCTTAGCTTTAGTTATTTAATGTTTGCCTTGTGGTAAACTGGTTTGAAACATAGGATTGGGAATCAAAGTTTTCATTGATTAAAGTTATGGTTCTGGCCGGGCGTGGTGGCTCACGTCTGTAATCCCAGCACTTTGGGAGGCCAAGGCAGGCGGATCACAAGGTCAGGAGATCGAGACCATCCTGGCTAACATGGTGAAACCCGTCTCTACTAAAAATACAAAAAATAAAATAAAATAAAATAATAAAAAATAAATAAAAAAATTAGCCGGGCGTGGTGGCGGGTGCCTGTAGTCCCAGCTACTCAGAAGGCTGAGGCAAGAGAATGGCGTGAACTCGGGAGGCAGAGATTGCGGTGAGCCGAGATCACACCACTGCACTCCAGCCTGGGCGGCAGAGCAAGACTCTGTCTCAAAAATAAATAAATAAGTAAATAAATAAATTAATTAATTAAATTAAATTATGGTTCAACCAGTAAAATGTAAGGTGGCTTGGGCAATGTATCTAACCTGCTGGTACTTCAATATCCTTATCTGTGAAGTGGTAATTCTAATGCATAACTTACACAGCTTAAATGGAGTATAGCATACTGTGGATATTTTAGGGAAAGATAGAACTGTAGCATGTAGGTAAGTTAAGTACAAGGCAGAGACTGGAGATGTATGTGAGATGGAAATAATAAAGTATCTTGTTTACCAAGGTGGAAATATGGGTTTTATCTGATTTTTTTTACCACCCATTGATATATATTATTAATAGGAGTATTATGATCATTTGACATTTTAGGAAATGTCCTTTAACAATTGATGGCAGTGATCTAGAGGACCAATGATCTGGAATTGAATCTCATGGCAATGAAAATAGAGAAAAAGATGGAATTATAAAATATACAATACAAGAAGTGATTTGGGGTAGAACTTGCGCATGCAGCTTTTGTAATTAAATATTCTAGATTGTTTTCCAGTTTGGCCATCTAATACCTGTTGGTCATTGGGTGTCTCTCTTTTCAATCCCATTTTCCTTGTGTGTATAATGTAGATATTAATAACATTTTCTTCATAGGAATAGGGTAACCATGAAATGAGATTATGCATTTGTAATGCTTTACACAATGTCTGGCACTTATAATTGTGCACTAAAGTGTGAATTAATTATTGCTATTGTTAGACAGAATTGCTAGCACTATATCTTCTGTAGGAGGTAAGAGAGGGAGGAGGTTAGGAAAACATATTTATGACATCAACAGTTATGTTGAGGATGACGTAAAACATAGCAACCATTTATCTTTGTTTACTCATAATTTCCATATTTCTCTAACACTTGTGTGTGACACTATGAACAACAAACATTTATTCCATATATTTTATTAGCATAATAGGCACTAGAAACCATGCTATGACTATGTACAGTGTACATTGGATACAAAACCAAGTAGACACTGCCTCTGTTCTGAAGGAGCAGATGCACGAAAAGCAAATAGGTGTTATTCTTGTCATACCCGCAATATGAGAGGAGTAGACGCTTGGTTTTTTTTCCTATGAAAGTAGCCACAGTTAAATTTAAGTAGTGAAAGTTCTGTTGTTTAATGAGTATATCCATTTTTCACTGGCTAGGATAAGGGATTAATATGACAGTATAAATTATCCCTATGATTGAAAATAGAAATGCCAATTCCTTCCACAAGAATTGACCATTAGGTTAAATCTTAATAACAAGCCATAAGCTCATACAATACTGATTTTTAAAAAAATCTAGAGCAATGAACTCAGTACAGATGCAATAACCCTATCCATCTAAGTCCTTAAGAGAATTTCAGAAGGAAGAGAAATTCACATTCCTTCTGCAACCACACTACCTAGGAAAATTGTTTCACAATAAATGATCTCACAAGAATTTCATAATGATGAACATATGATGGGTCTTTTAAAATTCTATAGGCTATTCAGTGTTTAACATTAGAGCGAGAGAAAAATCCCAGGAGCAAACAAAAATGTAGAGAATGCCTATCCTTTCTGATCACAGAAAGAAGAAAATGGGAAATGTCCACCCTCTGAAAACACATGAAGAATAACTTTTTTGTGTATATTTCTAATTATTTCCATGGGACAAATGCTGCGAGTTGGATTTTAAAGGTACATTTATGACTTACAATCTTTAGAAATATTTTGCTAAATTATATCCCCCAGCAGTTTCTCTTCCCACACTCAAAAATTCTGGGTCATCTTTCTTTTAATGTTTGCATATGAGGAAATAATGATGTTTCACCGGCATTTGATGAGGTGCACAGAGCTGAGGTCCAAAACACAGCACTAATGGTGAGCTCTTGTGTCCAGGCCTGTGATGGCCCTAGTACCTAAGGTGCTGGCACCTGCTGCAGTGTTAGTCATATGATGGAAGGCACAGATCCTTAGGAAGGCCTGGTTCTCTACAGGGCTGAGGTGGTACCCAGGGCATGGGCCGCACAGTGAGTACTTGGCTCTGGGGCCCCACGTGCAATGGTTCTGATGTCTAAGACGGCAGCAGGCCCAGTGCTACCACACAGCCTGGGTCTGTACTGTGGTTACTTAGAGCAGCTGGGACTCCTGACACGTAAGAGGTTGGGAGAGGTGGTAGCTCCTTTCTCAAAGCAGCTCAACAGCAGCTGGTCATGGAGCATGAGGGGTGTGCAGCCAAGTTTCCCTCTCAGGTTCCCTGGTGGGAATGGCTGTTGGTTACC
Source organism: Homo sapiens (assembly GCF_000001405.40). NCBI lineage: Eukaryota > Metazoa > Chordata > Mammalia > Primates > Hominidae > Homo > Homo sapiens. The sequence continues at coordinate 79,524,484 of NC_000007.14, forward strand.
TCAGTGGCAAGAGATGCCAGTGTCCTCTACTGAGCAGACTGCTGGGAACATGGTGGCTGCTGCCATGTGGCTGATACTGATAGCCTCACCTTTCTCCATTGCTCCTGGTGTCTCAGGTATGTCAATCTTATCAGCAATCCTTTCCATGTGGAAATTCTCTTTTAAAAAAAATTTTTTTTCACTGTGTTGTTGTAGATTCTTTAATCAGCCCTTGAGCCCACTCCACGCTATTTTGGTTTGTGAATAGCTGTCTATGTGTATGTGTATACATACATATGCATGTGTCTATGTATATGGATATGTGGGGGGGGAGGATAAAGGGATAAAGACTGGTATCTCCTACTCTGCTATCTTGCATTCATATTTCTAAATACAGTCATGCACTGGGGATATGTTCCGAAGAAATGAGTCATTGGCCGGGCGCGGTGGCTCATGCCTGTAATCCCAGCACTTTTGGAGGCCGAGGCGGGCAGATCATGGGGTCAGGAGATCGAGAACATCCTGGCTAATACGGTGAAACCCCGTCTCTACTAAAAAATACAAAAAAAAATTAGCCAGGCATGATGGCGGGCGCCTGTAGTCCCAGCTACTCGGGAGGCCGAGGCAGGAGAATGGCATGAACTCGGGAGGCGGAGCTTGCAGTGAGCCGAGTTCGCACCACTGCACTCCAGCCTGGAGGACAGAGCGAGACTCCGTCACAAAAAAAAGAAAAAAAAAAGAAATGAGTCATTAAGCAACTCCCTCCTTGTCCAAACACTATAGACAGCACTTACGCAAACCTAGATGGTATAGGCTACTACACACCTATTCTATATGCTATATGGTATAGTCTATTGCTCCTAGGCTACAGACCTGTACAGCATGCTACCATACTGAATTCTGTAGACAATTGTAATACAATGGTATGTATTTGTGTATTTAAACATTGCTAGACATAGAAAAGGTACAGCAAAAACATGATATAAAAGATAAAAAATGTGCACCTGTGTAGGGCACTTACTGTGAGTGGAGCCTGCAGGACGGGAAGTTGCACTGGGAGAATCAAATGAATGAGTGGTGAGAGCATGTGAAAGCCTAGGACTACTGATCTGCACTACTGTAGATTTTATAAACACTGTACACTTGAGCTATGCTAAATTCATTTTTTAGAAATTTATTTCTTTAATAATAAATTAACCTTAGCTTATTGTAAGTTTTTTACTTCATAAACTTTTTAATATTTTAAAAAATTTAACTCTTATTGTAATAACACTTAGCTTAAAACACATACACATTGTACAGCTGTAAATTTTTTTCTTTATATTGTTATTCTATAAGTATTTTATATTTTTTAAGTTTTTAAAAAAACATTTTTGTTAAAAAGCAAGATATTCACTCATTAGCCTAGGCCTACACAGGGTCAGGATGATCAATATTACTGTCTTCCACCCCATATCTTGTCCCACTGGAGGATCTTCAGGGGCAGTAACATGCATAGATCTGTCATCTCCTATGATAACAATGCCTTCCTCTAGAATACCTCCTGAAGAACCAGCCTGTGGCTGGTTTACAGTTAACTTTGTTTTTTGTAAGTATAAAGAATACACTCTAAAATAATGATAAAAATATAGTAAATGCATAAACTAGTAACATAGTTGTTAATTGTCATTATCAAGTAATATGTACTGTACTGTAATTGTGTGTGGTATACTTTTATAGGATTGACAGTGCGGTACATGAGTAATGCATTGTGCTACAAACTTAAAAAAGCTATGACACCAGGGAATTTGAATTTTTCAGCTCCATTATAATCTTATGAGACCACCATGATACATGTGGTCCATCATTGACTGAAATATTGTTATGCAAAGCGTGACTGTATTAGGCATTTTATATATATATATATATATATATATATATAACATACTTCACATTCTGGGATACAAGCGCAGAACATGCGGGTTTGTTACATAGGTACACATGCCATGGTGGTTTGCTGCACCCATCAACCCGTCATCTACATTGGGTATTCCTCCTAATGCTCTCCCTCCCTGAGCCCCCCACACCCTGGGCTCCAGTGTGTGATGTTCCCCTTTCTGTGTCCATGTGTTCTTTTTGTTCAATTCCCACTTATGAGTGAGAACATCCAGTGTTTGGTTTTCTGTTCTTGTGTTAGTTTGCTGAGAATGATGTTTTCCAGCTTCATCCATGTCGCTGTAAAGGACATGAACTCATCCTTTTTCTATGGCTGTGTATTCCATGGTGTATATGTGCCACATTTTCTTTATCTGTCTGTCATTGATGGGCATTTGGATTGGTTCCAAGTCTTTGCTATTGTGAACAGCGCTGCAATAAATATACGTGTGCATGTGTCTTTATAGTAGAATGATTTATAATCCTTTAGGTATATACCCAGTAATGGGATTGCTGGCTCAAATGGCATTTCTGGTTCTAGATCTTTGAGGAATTGCTACACTGCCTTCCACAATGGTTGAACTAATTTACACTCCCACCAACAATGTAAAAGCGTTCCTACTTTTCCACATCATTGCCAGCATCTGTTGTTTCCTGACTTTTTAATGATCACCATTCTAACTGGCGTGAGATGGTATCTCATTGTGGTTTTGAGTTGCATTTCTCTAATGACCAGTGATGATGAGCTTCTTTTCATATGTTTGTTGGCCACATAAATGTCTTCTTTTGAGAAGTGTCTGTTCATATCCTCCTTCCACTTTTTGATGAGGTTGTTTTTTTTTAAATTTTTTTTCCTGTAAATTTGTTTAAGTTATTTGTAGATTCTGGATATTAGCCCTTTGTCAGATGGCTAGATTGCAAAAAATTTCTCCCGTTCTGTAGGTTGCCTGTTCACTCTCATGGTAGTTTATTTTGCTGTGCAAAAGCTCTTCAGTTTAATTAGATCCTATTTGTCAATTTTGGTTTTTGTTGCCATTGCTTTTGGTGTTTTAGTCATGAAGTCTTTGCCGATGCCTATGTCCTGAATGGTATTGTATTAGGCTATTTTAATGGTGCTTTTTTTTTTTTTTTTAATGTGTACTGGCTCTCCGATATGGTAGCTGAGGATCTGGCATTCTTTTACCACACTCTTATTTCTGCTTCTTCCATCTTTCTGTTATAATTACATTATAATGTTTGGTTAAATCAAAAGTCAATGTTTATATTGCTATGAGACTATAAGTATTATTCACCGTTAATGATGTAAAATAATTGTATTTCCTTTCTCATGGAAATTTTTTTCCTGATGATAATTTCTTAAGATTTTTCTTCTCTTAGCTTTTCCATGTAGTAGTATCACTCTTTCCCCTCATATATCCCAACATGACTGGAAAATGCTGAAGCACATCAGCCTTTGGTTTTCCCTCCCTCTCACTCCCTCCATCCCTCCCTCCTCTTCTTCCTTCTCTCTTTCTTCCTTTCTTTTTCCTCTTCCTCCCTGTCACTTTTCCTCCTTCTTCCTCTTTCTTTTACTTCTCAGAGCACTTCCTTATTCTAGTTCCAATTGGAATTTCTTACTCTTCAGGACTTGAAAACGTATTTTTTCCTTTGACCTCTCTTTGTTTAACTGATGCACACCTTCCAGTAGGTTCATAAGAAAACTCATCATGGTAGATAAATTGTTTTACCTTGAATGTCTGAAACCACTTTTTCCTGCTCTCACAGTTGATTAGTAATTTAGAAATCATTTTCCTTCCACCTCTCAAAAGCTTTAGCTCACTGGTCCTGGGCTCCAATAAATTGCTATTGAAAAGTGTAAACCTCACTCCTGCCTGAATAGTTTCTGCTATGTGCCTCTCGGGATTTCTGTATTTCAAACTCCCTCACTTTTAATCAGAATTTCCACTCTGCTTGAAAATAGCTCTATTTTCCCTCCAGCTAAGGTATTTACCAGTCTTCCAACTATTTTCTGTTTGAAAAAGTTGTTGAAATATGACTTCTGTAATGAGAAATCTGACTCCATTGTTCTACGTCTGCTGGTAGCTTTTGAGCCTCATCCCCTCTTCTTTCCCTGCTGTCTACACACAGGCAAGCTGCTAAATAGGCCTGGGTGCTCCCTTCTCAGGTGCTATCAGGAGATATAAACCACAGAGTCCCTGCCCATACATGTGGGAATCCTCAACCTATTACCTCACCTTAACCACAACAAAAACTCAGGCCTGACTTCCTTCTTTGTTCTCTCAAACCACTTCAGACCTGCTTGAGAGGCCTGTCCTGCTTTCCCTAGAGACCTCAATTATGTAAGTCATAAACTTTTCATACCCTCTTGGTGTCAGCATGTGGTGTTATTAGTCTCAATATCCAAACTAAACCTGGAGTGGGGCTCCCTCCCACTTTTGCAGAGTGACCATAACATTTACTACTCTGTCCTATTCCCTTTGTCTTTATAAGTTATTAACTTTTTAATGCTCTGTTGCATTTTCGTGGGATGTGTGGAGAGAAAGTGAATAAAAGACTATTATATTTATCCAGAAATCTTACCATCATTTCCTTTAGCATCTCAAACTCTAATCATTAGTCATACTGGATTTTCATGTCTCCTTTTTCTCTGTACCCAAGCTTTGTTGATTTTTTTCTTTCTTAATGTCTCTCTGTTCTTATTTCTGCACAGATACTTTAAATATTCCAATTTGCTTGTTTATTAACACAATTTAAAAATGGAATTCTTTCTGCTTCAGCTTCAGCTGAGGTCCAAGGCCAAAAACAAAACAATAGGTGGTTTCTTCTATATTGTTACGTGAGTGGTTAGAATAATTATGTAGGGATTTCCGAGGGGGTGGTTCAAAAACTGGTTTTATACTATGAAAGTATGTAAAAGGGTTGATTTTGAAGAGGTGGTCTGTTGTCATTTAAAAATGGACCCCATCCAACTGGGCTTCATGCGGCAACCTTGAGAGCTGAATGGAAGGATGCCTGCAGAGTGCGGTCGGGTGCAGAGCTGAGAGGGGCAGGTAAGCAGCTGGAGGGTGGGATGGCTTTGCCCTCATTTAGGTAGTCACAGTTAGTAGATCTCAGTGGGAGGGTCTCTGAGAAACCTATGAAAGCACAACATGATAAAAGCATTCAGCATTTGGACACCTGCCAGGGTACACTAGCATCAGAATATAACTGCTAGCAAGTAAAACTGTCTCTACCCCTTATGTCTCTTCCAGCTGGCCAGTTTTATTATGTATCCAGCATTTTGTGGGGCCTTTTAAAATGGCTCCTATGCTGGCTCCCTCCCACAGGGTCCACATCCAATCCAGAGGAAACACATACCTCTGGGGAGCTTGTGGGGGCAGGAGGGTAGGCAGGGAGCAGTTTGATGTAACAGTGGTCACCTCTGTGAACCCTCCTGCCTGGCAGATAATCCAGTCAGAGCCTTTCACTCTCACTCTCCTTCAATATTAAGTCAAAACCAGCCTTTTTGCCCCATCAAGCTTCTTGGGACACATATCAAGCCGTCAGAATCATGTCCTAAAGCCCCTCTCACTCAGCGTGAAATTCTGGGGAAGAGTTCCTGCTCTGTGATCAAGGAGAGAAAGATGCTTAAGCAATCCAAATTATTTCTCAGAATAACTCCCTCCCTTGGTGCCTAAAATGCCTTTCTCCTGACTTCACCTGGTCTGTGATAGGAAGCCTGCCTTTATGGGGCAGATTTTTAAGTGATTGTTAGTCCAGTTTTTGACCTCAAGCATTTGATACTATTGAAATAGGTTAATGATCACAAAACTGATTTTTGAGACACCACTTTGGTAGTGTTTGCATAATGGTATACTATATTATATCTCATTTCAAAACATGGGGGTACTTCCTACTTATTATATTCTCAGCACTTAGGACTTTAGTAGAATTAAACCAGAAAAAGTCTAATTTTATCAGTGTTACGTTGGTTCATTGATTTATCTATGTCTATCTTACAGCTTAGAGGCAACTTGGAGTTCATATGAGTTAAAAGTAGGCAAGAAAGAGGGGGAAAAAACTCGGTAGAGATAGAACACTTGAGCAACAAATGAAGGTAATACCAAAATATATCCTATAAAAACCTACATAGTACTATGGATGAGCTAGACATAGCTCTGAGAATTATCGCTATCAAGGTCATAGAATTTATTTTACTTATTCATTTAATTATGTGTCTCCCTTAACTAATTTTAAGCTCCTTAAGGACAGTCTTTTTGTTATTGATGTTTTGTTTCATGTTTTTGCTTTGTATTTTTGTTTTCCACTGACATAGGTCCAGCATCTGAAGCTTTGCATGATGGATGACTTATGCTAAAAAGCTATTTGTTGAATAAAAGGATGAATAAATAAATGTATTTTTATGAGTTTTGTTTTTGTTTTTGAAGTTGAAACACAAATACCTCTCTGGGGATATATGCTATAACCATGTTCTCTCTGTCTGGTCTTTGTTTTTCAACATTAGGAATCTTTGCTGTCATAGGAAAATTTTTTTTTAATTCCACTGTATTGAGGTAATATTTACATAAAATAAAATTCAACAATTTTAAGTGGACAGTTTGATGGGTTTTGATAATTTTTGTATAACTGTGTAGTCACCACCACAATTGTGATATTTCCATCACCCAAAGAAGGTGCTCTTGTCCCTATTTGCAGTGAATCTCCTAACCCTACCCCACGCCTGAATTTGGTTCTTGTAGTTTTCCAATAACTTTAATCATAGAACATGGTAGTATGAGAGATTCCCTAAGGAATTCCTTGTATTCTGAAGATATTTTTTCTTGTTTTCATTGAGTCGTAGCAGCCCAATTTTCCCCTCCATAATTAAGATCAATCATGCAAGCTAGTATAATAACTCACTTCTTTTCCTGTTGATTCAAAGTCATGAGGAGCCCAAAGTGGCGGGGTGGCAGTCATGACTTCCAATTCAATGGAATCATTGTTGTGTCTCCTGGTAGAAGCATTTCTCCTTTGAAAGCAACACCCTAGATCAGCAAAGCCTGAGGTCATGGGAACAGGAAGCACAATTTTGCTAATTAATTACCAGGGGTAATGAGTGGTGCCACTGCCATTTTCACCCCTTGATTCCTACATCCGTGAACCTTTGTTTTGGTAAGGATAGCGCCATACTGAATGCTGATTTAGAGCACATACAATATCCAGCCCCACAAGGTATTGCCACTTAACTAGCACTGTAATTGACTCTTCAAAAGACCAATGTATCATTCTATAAAGCCAGCTGCTCCAGGATATTGGGTAACATGGAAAGACTGGTGAATTCCATGAGCATGGTCCTTTTTTGCTATGAAGTGAGTTCCTTGATCAGAAGCAATGTTGTATAGAATACAATGATGATGGATAAGGTAGTCTGTAGGTCCACAGATGGCAGTTTTGGGAGAAGCATTGCATGCAGGGAAATAAAAACATATTTGTAGTGCCTCTTCTGGTAGGAACAAAGCACTACCCCTCCCATGATGGAAGCTGCCCAATATAATCAACCTACCACCAGGTAGTTGGCTGATCAGCCCATATTAGGGCACTCAGTATTTGCCCAATTTGTTCATGAGTTCACTGGGAAAGGAAAGGAGTGTCTTTAAAAGAGGATGGCACTCAGTATTGGTCTCTGATACTGACAGATCAGGCATTCAGTAGTGGCTATTGACAAGCTAGTGGCAGGCTGGACTTGGTACGTAAAAGTCCGTGTTGCTTAACACTTGGATAGCCTCCATTGCAGCCAAAAGGACAGTTTGTTCATGGACTCATTGGAAAATGAAAGGAGTGGCTTAGAAAGAAGATGACTGGTATCCAAAAAACTGGTCATCCTATCCACATTATTATTAAAATCCTCCACTCCTGTGGCCATCCTCTACCAACATTCATCTTCCCCAGACCACCTTGTCACCAATTTTCCAATCATATTCCTTCTAAGTCCCTTAACATACAGCCAAGCTAGTGGTCACAGCTTGTGAATCATTGTAGACTCTTAGGGCTGACTACTTTTCCTTCCAAGCAAAATGAATAACCAGATGAAATGCTCGAAGTTCAGCCCTCTACATGAATTTCCCTTCACAATGGTCTTTTATGCATCTCCCATAAAAGGAATTTAGTGCTACAACTGTCCACTTTAAGGCCATGTCTGCATATTGCGCAGAACTATCTGTTAACCAAGCCTGAATGTTTTCTTCCTTAGTCAACTAGTTATAAGAAACACACCATGAGGAATATTCTCTGTTTAACAGTTTGTAAATGTAAATAGAAAATTTCTTTCTTTTTTTTTTTTTTTTTTTTTTGAGTTGGAGTCTTGCTCTGTCACCCAGGCTGGAGTACAATGTCATTGACTTGGCTCACTGCAACCTCTGCCTCCCGGGTTCAAGTGATTCTCCTGCCACAGCCTCCCACGTAGCTGGGATTACAGATGGCCGCCACCATGCCTGGCTAATTTTTGTATTTTTAGTAGAGACGGGATTTCACCATGTTGGCCAGGCTGGTCTCGAACTGCTGACCTTGTGATCTGCCCACCTTGGCCTCCCAAAGTGCTGGGATTACAGGCATGAGCCACTGCGCCCAGACTGTAAATAGAAAATTTCTTATCACAGAGAAATGGTTTCTTTGTATTTAACTATGTAGTGAGTTTTTAATTTCAAGTGTATTTTCAAGGCAAATTTAATTATATCATTGATAAATAATGTACTTCAATATTAAATAAGTTTAACTAGAACAGGGTTGCTCAGTGGCAGAACTACTGATCTTTGGTGTCAGATAGTTTTTGCAGTTGGAGAATAATCTCTGCATTGTAGGTTTAACATCATCTCTGGTTTCTACCTCCCAGATGTCTGTAACATTCCTTTCAGTTGTGACAACCAAAAATGTGTGGGCAAAATATCCCATGTGGGCAGAATCATCCCAATTGAGAACCACAGAACTAGGGCTATGTGCTGCCTTACTATTATGCACAGTATTAAATATTGGATATGCATTTCTTTTTTTCTTTTTTCTTTTATTTTTTTTCTTTTTTTGAGATGGAGTCTCGCTCTGTCGCCAGGATGGAGTGCAGTGGTGTGATCTCGGCTCACTGAAATCTCCACCTCCCAGGTTCAAGCGATTCTCCTACCTCAGCCTCCCGAGTAGCTGGGATTACAGGCACGCACCACCACGCCCAGTAATTTTTGTATTTTTATTAGAGATGGGGTTTCACCATGTCGGCCAGTATGGTTTCGATTTCCTGACTTCGTGATCTGCGCACCTCGGCCTCCCAAAGTGCTGGGATTACAGGCGTGAGCCACTGCACCCAGCCAGATATGCATTTCTTAATGACTTAAATGTGTAACTGAAAAAAATGAAAGACTAAGCAAAATCCTAGATTTTGCAATGCCTCTCTGTTTTGTAAAATACACAATTCATTTTTTCTTCTCAGTGATTCAAGTAAGTTTGCCTGGTATAATAGAAAAACACACCTGTAATCATATACTTAAAATTCTGTTATAAAACTAGAATTCATTACAGTAAGTTATGTCTTTTAGTACTTGCCATGTATCATTAATTTATTAATTAAGGGTTGTTATCTTTTGACTCAGAGATTTAGAGGATATAATGATAACATAAATCATATACCACATTGAGAATACTTATTTGCCTATTTATGTTTATTGGTGTAAAAAACTTCTTGGGGGGCCCCCAAAATTTATTCTTTACTTAGCTTTCTTCCTTTGGATTAAAATATGCCCTATTTGTAACCAATATTAAATGTTCAGTAAGTTATCATGAATGAATCAGCCAAGAAACTGAGAGAATAAATAATACTTACTATTTTTACTTTCACACTAGATGAGCAAAGCACAGTAAAAATTACTGTGGTGAGACTGACTGATTTAGTCACTTTCATAGTTACTTTACATAAGGAACCCTTATCATACATAGGAGCTAGGTTAGGCTTTAGTCTATTTGAAAAGCATGCCAGATTATTGTTCATCTCTATACCAGTTTTAAACAGTTTGTGATTGTGAAGTGTTTTTTTCATAATTTTCATGTTACATGATTTTGTAACACGAACCAGAGCAGTCATTCCTAGACTTTAGTGAGCACAACTATAACCTGGAGAGTTACAATGAGGTATTGTTTGATATTTTGTCTTGTGGAAACTTAAGCAAATTTGCAAAGTAGGCATCTACTGCCAAGATTTAATGCCCTTTCTCCCACTCCTTGCTGTAATGATCTTTGTCCCATTTGTCAATATTATCATATTGTTTTTTTGTTTACTGAGCTCTTGCCTCCCCTGTTCTTCCATTTGTATGACCATTCCCATGGTTGTTTCATCCTCCATTAGCATTACCCAAATTTTGAAATGTTATCTGTCTTTTAGTCCAGTGGCTTACAAATGTCTATAAAGCAAGTCTTGGAGGAAAATATAAGTGGAGATATTCTAGTTGAAGTTCTTGAGACACCTTCTGGAACTTCTAAGGCCCCATGAAGGAGCATTTGAAAATTACTTCTTTGAGATTCCAAAACTTAACAGTTTTTGACTAGTTGACACTTAAGAAAGAGTGGAGCAATGTCATTTACATTAGGTTTGCATACATGGTAAGTCATATATATATTTTTTTCTTGTGATACACACTTTTGAATAGAAAATACATTTCAAATTAGGCACTACATTGAATAATTACTAGTAGAATTTAAGACATCAATGAAAGTCTTTTAATATGGTGGACAGAGATTTGGCTAGGCGCCTTTAGAGTTTCTTAACATACTTCACAAGCTAACATCATTTGACTTTTTCTGAAGATCAGTCTTGGTCATATGTAAATTACAGAAAATAATATTAGAAAAACTATTCACTTGATATTAAAAAAGAGGAAGTTTGATAAGAGCAACTGACCTATTACATACTGTTTTAAATTTGTTTCTAATCTCCAGCTTGGACCTTCATAGTATATATCACTTACCAATATTAACTTCTTTTTATATATCTAAAATTATTGTTCCACTGAACAAAAGGAAAACTAATGAAAATAGAAATAATTCCCAAGTCACAAGATTAAAGGCCAGAGAGATATTAACTGAATATGTTGCAGTGAGTGAATGGAGTATTAAAAAAAACTAGGGAATTTTGCAGTGCTTATTGGAAAAATGACATAGTAGCAAGCAAAAGGGAATACTTTTAAGCAAAACTGATGTATCATAAACTTATAAAGTGAAAAATTTAATTTTTTCATATAAAAAACATTGGCAACTTTAACTTTTGTTAACTATCAGGATATCAATTATGAAACATTAATATATTCTGATAAAATGGCTAGATTATGATGTAATTAATCTGTGTAATTCTAAAAATAGGAAATGTTCTTTATATGTGTACATATGCCTATTCCTACAATCATCATATGCACATAATAAGCAGTAAACCCTATCATTCTGTGGGTTTAATGTTTGCTAGGTGCAAACATTAAACACAGTAAATGCTATATTTCACATAAGTATCCCAAAGAAGTATATATTAAAACATATTTTCAGAGTAGATGAATAGAATTTTAGAAATAGGAAAAACATCCAATTCCACTTTGTATCTTATTGTACAGCATATGACATTAAGATCCATAGAGGTGGCCGGGCGCGGTGGCTCACGCCTGTAATCCCAGCACTTTGGGAGGCCGAGGCGGGCGGATCACGAGGTCAGGAGATCGAGACCATCCTGGCTAACACGGTGAAACCCCGTCTCTACTAAAAATACAAAAAATTAGCCGGGCGTGGTGGCGGGCGCCTGTAGTCCCAGCTACTCGGGAGGCTGAGGCAGGAGAATGGCGTGAACCCGGGAGGCGGAGCTTGCAGTGAGCCGAGATCGCGCCACTGCACTCCAGCCTGGGCGACAGAGCGAGACTCCGTCTCAAAAAAAAAAAAAAAAGATCCATAGAGGTAAAATGATTACTGAAAGTCAAATAACAAGCTAATTGAAGAGCTGGAATGAAAACTGCCAGGTCCACAAATTCTCAGCCCTCAGGTGGCTCCTTATCTCCACATACCAACTAAAATGTGATTGGTTATATCTAGATTATATCTACATTTGAATAGATTTTAGGTTGTTTCTCAATTGAAAGGAGACTTCTTAATTAAGCTTCTTGATTTAATTTGGGGTACATAAATGCTTGCTGTGAATTTGGACGCATTCCTGGCTTCAGACAAATCTACAAACCTGATGAAACCAGAGCTTTAATCAAGAGAATAGAAGGAACCTTTGAAATGCTAAACAGTGAAATGAACTGAAGGAAATTCACCCATTTCTTTTTCTTTTCCTTTTTTCTTTTTCTCTTTACCATATAACTTTGAACCTATTTGAAATCCCCTGGAGTGCTAACTTCAGCTGAAGGGTTCAGGAGGATGTAAACTCCCAAATTTCACAGAAATGTGAAATGGAGCACTTTTCCACTTTCAAAAGTATTTTGAATTGTATCTTTTAAAGCTCATGTGGCCTTTGTCTGTCCATGACATTTTTGTTTGTAGGTATGGTTTTAATTTTGTATACTAAGGCAAATGCATAAGCAAATATGAAAAGAACAAAGAGGGTCTACTGAAAAGGCAGGCAGAGAAATCCTATCTTTTACTGTTTCAGAGGATGATAAAATGGGTTGTCTTTTATTCTCTTTTTCATTAGTATAAGAATCTCTATGGTGAGTTACAAGCAGGATTTTAGAGTTCCCATTTCTAACCAAGAATTTCATTTCAGGCCTTTTCTATGTGAATTTACAATGGCAATTTTTTTTTTTAAATAGTAGGCAAATAGACTATGCAAAAGAAAACATAATTAACTTGACCTATGAGAGATTTTTGTTCTGCTAACATTGTAATATGAAGAAATAGTCAGTATAAGGCTACAACAATGTATCAATAATTAAGGGGTTTAGTTAGATATCTATTTTGAAGGAAGCATAGGGAAGATCTCTGTAAATTGCTCGTGGAAATCACTTTAGGTTTGTTGTTTAAGTTAGAGTTAACTTGACAAATTAAAAAGTTTATCTCTAAAACTTAAGACTGAATGAACATTTTTAGAAAACTACATTTCAACACAAAAAAGGAACATACTTCACTTTGTATCATAGTATTTACATTTTGCAGTGGATACCCTGAAGTAAGAAGAAAAGGGAAAGCACACAGAGGAACAATTACAAAAGAATAAATCAGAGTAATGATTCGTATACATTTAACGTTCCATGTGTTTGAGTGTTTGTTGAAGCTTTTAGTCCCTTATGGTGCATTTTTATTAAGTGAGGTACAAGAAAGAAAGAAAAGGAATTCAGAAAATGAGGTGGAAGAATAGGAAATATTCTTGAATTCACTACTGCTAGAATATAATATTGCCAGACAATCCTTTTCACTTAACTCCTTTTGACTTACTACCTTGTCCCTAATTCTGCTGTTCTCCTACTTTCCTTCACATGCTCATCTGAACTCTGATCCTTGGTCTTAGCATAGCATTACTGCTACCTCTGGAGAATGTCACAGCTGCTTGCTGAAGGCCCTCTGAGTGTCCTGTCTGCACCTAGGAATCTCTTTACTTTCAGTCTCTATGTTGTTGTTGTTACTATTATTATTATTATTATTATTATTTATCTCTAAGAAAGAGTATTCCCCCTTGATATAGTTCGGCTCTGTGTCCCCATCCAAATCTTATCTTGAATTGTAATCCCCACATGTAGAGGGAGTGACCTGGTGGGAGGTGACTGGATCATGGGAGCAGTTTCCCCACGCTGCTCTCGTGATAGTGAGTGAGTTGTCATGAGATCTGATGATTTAAAAGTGTGGCACTTCCCCTGCTCTCTCTCTAGCTCTCACTCCTGCCACCATGTAAGAAGTGCCTTGCTTCCCGTTTGCTTTCCACCATGATTGTAAGTTTCCTGAGGCCTCCACAGCTATAGAGAACTGTGAGTCAATTAAACCTCTTTCCTTTATGAATTACGCAGTCTCAAGTATGTCTTTATAGCAGTGGAAAAAGAGACCAATACACTCCTTTCAAAGGTAATTTATCACCTGCTTCCTTAAGGCATCTCCTGCACTAATTATCTACTCCTGTACATTCCTGTCCAATATCTTTGCTTTAGATTTTCCCCTGAGTAAACAAACTTAGTAATGCTTCAAGCTATTATTCTATTTCTCTATTTTCTATCACCATCAAAATGAGTTTTTAAAAATATTCTAGTTACTCTTTATTCTCTCACTTCCTACTCACTTGTTATTCCTTTATATTTTGCATAATCCCCCTGATTTTTCTCATACACTTTTGTTCGGATAAATTCTACCTCTACACCTCTAGAGTTAGTCTCTGGTTCTTGTTTGCAAGGAGCAGGTACCAACTGTGCTCCAGTTAAGTAGAAAAGTAATTTAATGAAAGAGTATCAGATCATACAAAGAATAGATGGGAAGACTATGCAAACGGTTCAAAAATTAAGCAAGAAAGAACTTATAATTGAGCAATAAAAAGACAACCCAATTTTTACAAAGGTAAGGCCAAACCACAAAGAAACCTTTTTATACCCGCTTGGATGGCTACTATAAAAGGACACATAATAAGAAGTATTGGCAAAGATACGGAGAAATTGGAATGATCATAGATTGCTGGCGAGAATGTAAAATGGTGAAAATACTTCGGAAAACAGTTTGACAGTTCCTCAAGATGTTATCAGTCTGTCCATTGGTGAGTGAATGGATAAATAAAATGTGGAGTAAAGATACAAGAGAATACATTTCAGTATTTAAAAAGAAGTTACTTTTGTCATTTGCAATGACACAGATTAGCCTGGAGGTCATTATGCTAAGTGAAATAAGCTAGGCAAAGAAAGACAAATACTGCGTAATTTCACTTATTATCTGGAATCTAAAAAAGTTGAATTCATAGAAGCAGAGATTAGAATGTTGGCTGCCCAGGCCTGGGGGTGGGAGAAAGGTAGAGGGAAATGCTGGTTAAAGGGACAAAGTTTAATTTAGACAGGATAAACAACTTTTGGAGATCTATTGTACATCATAGTGACTACAGTTAATATATGATCTACTTGACAATTGCTGAAAGATTAGATCTTAAATGTCATCACACAAAAATAATAAGTATGTGAGGTGATGGGTATGTTAGTTATCTTGATTTAATCATTTCACAGTGTGTGTGTGTGTGTGTGTGTGTATACTGAAACAGCACATTGTAAATCCACAAATATATATGATTTTTATTTGTCAATTATACTTTAATAGAGTTATCAGTGAAAATCATCTGTTAAAACAGAAGGGCAGAAAAAGTTAAACATGGTGTTGTCGTATGGCCCAGCAATTCCATTTCTACATAGCCAAGAGAAATGAAAATATGTGTGTCCACATCAAAATGTACACACAAATGTTCATAACAACATTATTCGTAATAGCTAAAAGGTGAAAACAACATGCATGTCTGCTAGCTGATGAATGGAAAAATAAAATGTAATATATCCATATAATCATTTGGCAATTAAAAGGTGTGAAGTACTGATACATACAACAACCTGGAACTTTGAAAACATTATGCTAAGTGAAATAAGCCACTCACAAAATATTGCACATTGTAAGATTTCTTTTAATGAATGTCCAAAGTGGAAATATCCATAGAGATGGAAGGGAGAATATTATTAATATTTGTTCGGAGGGAGGTGAAGGTTGACTGTTAATGGGCACAGGGTTTCTTCTGGATGATGAAAGTGTTCTAAAATTAGATCAGAGTGATGGTTGCAAACTCTGTTAATATACTAAAAGCTACTAAATTATAAATTTTAAATGCGTGAATTTTGTGTTGTGTGAATTATGTCTCAATGAAGCTGTTTTTATTAAAGTCAATCAGGGACCAAGGAAGGTCATTCATAATAAGGCATATCTAGCTCTGGCCACAAGACCAGTCAGATTTCCATGCTGCCAACGGTCCTGTTACACCTGAATACATGCTGCCTCTGCCACCAGTGGGCAAAGATATTGAGTGTTGGTGGTGACATGAGGCCTTTTCTCTTCTCTCTTCTCTGTGTCAGCCACCTCAGACTCATGCCCTGAGAGGGAACATCTGATTGTCCAAGTTTAAGACAAGTCTCTGAGGTCTAAGGTCAAGGAGTCTGGGGGAAAAGTACCTGATCTTTTATATAAAACAAAAACAATGCTCTACTCTCTAACTATAGACAAGGGAGTTCAAACACTAGGCAGCTATAAAATGAAAACTGTTACCTAGGGTCTCTACAGGAAGATTTGGATTTGTTTTCCCTATGGTCAGTTGTACTATCTAACTAAATGACCTGCCTAAACTTGAACATTAGAATCCTCAAGATTGGAGCTAGGAGAACACTCTGGCTTTAAAAAATGTGGTACATGTATGCCATGGAATACTATGCAGCCACGAAAAACTACAAAATCATGTGCTTTGCAGTAACATGGATGCAGCTAAAGGCTATTATTAGCCTAAGCAAATTATTGCAGGAACAGAAGCCTGAATACCTTATGTTCTCACTTATAAATGAGAGCTAAACATTGAATACACATGGACATAAAGATGGGAACAATAGACACTGGGACTACTAGAGTGGGGAGAGGGGGGTGGAGAAAGGGCTGAAGAACTACCTACTGGGTACTATGCTCACTCCCTGGGTGATGAGACCATCCATACCCCAAGCCAATATACCCATGTAACAAAACTGCACATGTACCTCCAAATCAAACAAAAAAGGGTGCTCAAGACAACCCCTTAAACCATTATTGGATACTGAATTACTGCATTCTCTCCTTTATTGGAAACTCTATTCATCCTGACAATGAAACAAATGTTACAGTTCTTTTTGATTTCTCACTTCTCATTACTCCCTACCACCAACAAGTGGCAAAGTCTTAAACTCTGTTATTATCCACCCACTCACTTTAAAAATAAGTTATTAGTACTGCTAGTTTTAATTAGTTTAAGCCTCTGTAATTTTCCATTCAATTTATTTCAATTAAATTGTAGCAGGATTTCCTTCTCTCCTAAGTTCAAACCACTTCATATGCCACTGCCTAGAACAAACTTCTCAAGGCATAGCTTGATAAGCTATTGCCCTTTTCAAAACCTTCCACGATAAAACATGAATTGCATGTTAAACCAAAGTGTGATTGATATTCAAGGTCCTTAAAATTTTACCCAGTCTCCCTTTCCATAATACTTTCCCAATTTTCTCATTTAGGTAAACATGTATTGACAAATAAGTTTTGCTTTTCACTTAAAGTATATAATTCAGTGATTTTTAGTATATTCAACGACAATTTTGAAAAATTGTTTCAAAAATAGATAAAATTAAAATCCACAGGAATAGACAAATTTGTGTCATTCCTTTATCACTACAAATCTAATAATTTCTTACTAGAAAATCTGTCATTTAAATAGGTTTAAATTTAGATAAATTAGTTAAAATTTCCTAAACATGGTAAAAGGTATTTCCCTGATCCCTTAAAAAATCTGAATAAGCATACAATTATTCAACAAGTGGCAAACTTTATTAGTGGCTATCAGATATCAGTTATAGGTAAAATGACATAAAATAAATAAGCTTTTGGCCACTTACAATAGACATGTCTTTTTCAATTATAAATACCTACCCTAAAGTGTATCTAATTTTAACTGAAAAGTTTTTTCTTTTTTTGCCTTTTTTGACTTCATGGAAGTATAACTGAAGTCCACTAAACTTCACATATTTAAAGTATACGATGTGATAACTTTTGGCATATGCATGCATACCTGGGACATGATAACCACTGGCAGGATAACAAATATTTCAATTTCTCTGAAAGTTTCTTTGGACCCATTTCTAATCTATCCCTCATGTGCCCATATATTTGTTCTGCTTTTTGTGACTATAAACTAGTTTATTGACATGGTCTGAATGTTTGTGTCCCCCCAAAATTCACGTGTTAAAATCTTAAGCCCTAAGTGATGGTATTAGGAGGTGGGTCCTTTTGGGAGGTGATTGGGTCATAGAGGCAGAGACCTCATGAATGTAATAAGTGTGAAGGGAGGTAATTGGCTCATTCTACCATGTGAGAACACAGCAAGCAGGTGCTATATATAAATCAGGAAACAGCTCACCAGACATTGAATCTGCTGGAAACTTGATCTTGGACATCCAGCCTGTAGAACTGTGAGAAATAAATTTCTATTGTTTATAAGCCACCTAGTTTATGGTTTTTTTTAAAGCAGTCTAAATGGACTAAGATATTGATTCCCTAGAATCTTATATAAATGGATTTATAAGATGTGTTTATTTTCCCCCTTTTTGCTTTTGATTTTTGGCCTGGCTTTGTCCACTTAGCATAATCATTTTGAGATCCAGCCATGTTATAGCATGAATTAATAGTTTCTTTCCATTGCTAAGTAGTGTGTTATTAAATGGATATATCACAATATGTTAACTCATCATGTGCTGGACATTTGAGTTGTTTAGAGTTTTTGTCTATTTCAAATCAAGTCGTTATGAATATTTGTGACCTGGTCTTTGTGCAGTCACACATTTTGGTTTCTCCCCGGTAAATACCTAGGAAAGGAATATCTCAAGTGTCTGATAAGTATATATTTAAGTTTACAATAAACTTTCCAACTCTTTTCCAAAGTGATTATACCATTTTACATTCCCACCGGCTATGTAGGAAAGTCCCAGTTGCCCCATATCTTTTCTGCTTCTGTTCTAATTTTTTTAATTGTTATTTTGCCCATTCTTCTGCATGGGTTGTGATGAATTTGCATCCCCAAACACTAGTGATGTTTTATACCGTTTCTATAGGTCATCTGTGTACTTTCTCTTTCAAGATAACTATTAAACTCTTTTGCTCATTTAAAAAAATGCTGAATTGTTTATTGTTCTATTATTGAGTTGTAAGCATTTTACCATTGACAATGTGACAGTTTGTTTTTATCAAGAAACTTTAGTAGTAAGTTTTTTAAAATAATGTATTGGTTTTATAATACACCAAGATGACAATCCATGAAAGGACATATATAAACAAAGATAATTAAAATGTGAAATACTATCTAAATTAAAAGACCATAATTCAAATTGCTAATAATAATCTTTGTGTAGAAGCAGCTGTAATTTATGAAATTCACCTACCTTCTCATGAAGACTACGAAGCCTTACCACAAATTCAATTATTTAATTACAGTAATCATGCTGTGTTTTTTGTGCTTAAATAAGCATGCGTGATCACAGACAGCACAAAACTTATTTACAGGGATTTTTAGTTTTCTTTAAAATGTATTCCAAGCATCCTTTAAAGTGTATTCCAAGCATCCTTTAAAGTGACAACAGGCTATGTCCTTAAAGAAAAAGCCTTCTTTCTAAAAGAAGTATGCAATAGCTATTCAATACTGCGGTAGTGGTTATATAACTAAGTGATGGAAATGAGCAGTACTCTGCTAACTCTGTTTTAGCGTAGCAACCTTCTCTTTGGTCGCGGAGTTCTTATGTCTTATGCTAGCAGCCAACACATATTGCTTTGGATACAAGACTTTCATTGTTTTTAGGTGTTTCTCTGTTAGAAATGATAGAAGCTCTGTATGCTGTAGCAAGAGGTCTCAGGGTAGAAATTCTAGAAGTATTTCCAGGTTGTATTGGTTTATCTAAGGTTTTGATTGGTGATGTAAAGGCTGAAGATGGGGATGATAAAGCACATCTGTCACTGTTTTCTGTAACACTTGCATCAAAACATGGTTGTACACCAATCATGATGAATTCTCTAAAAATTCTCCTGTCTTTGCTTAAGGCTTTCTAGGCCTACAGTTTAGATTAATAACAAATATGCAATTTCCTGTGTGTTAGACATAACGTATTTTAAGATATTCCCATAGTATGCAAATTATAATATGTAAAAAGCAGGTGCTTGAGGAAACCCAAACACAATCACTCAAGTGTCATTGAGGTGATATTCTGAAGTCAGAGGATATCCTTGAGTATAAAAGGTTCCAAGTGGGCGGGAGATAATGCTGTCTTTCATGGCTGACTGATATGTGCTAGACTAAACATACTTTGCCAAGTTGCAGGAGTAGTTGTCTTAACTCCAACAAGAGGACTCTGCATTAATAAAATGTTTGACTCTCTTCTTGAAACTAAAAGTGTTGATCCAAGCCCTGGTCTAAAAATGTCATTTTATATATACTTCTAACTGGTGGAGCTCCACTTTTATCTTTATAAGCTGGTGTAACTGACTATGGCCGTGATGAGCCACCTGCAAGTAAACATGATCTCATTTCCATTACTCGTACTAGGACCACTAATTGATTGAACTTATAGACTCACTGGAAAATCCATCATTAAAAAGACAGGTAAGAAGTGGACATTATCTCCTGGCTTTGGAGATGTGGATGGATGAACTCACCGTCACTGGTTCAGATCCCAGCGTGGGCACGTATGGTTTCATAGCAAAGGCTGCCACTGTGGCAGGAACTACGCTAATCCTGGGACCTTGAGAGTTGTAAACATTCTTATATCTTTTTCTAATTTATGTGTTTTGAATATTTTCTCTTAGGTTATAGCTTGCCATTTCATTTCTCCACTATATCTTTAGAATAATATGTTTTAAATTTTAAATAAGTCCAATTTGTATTTTTTTTTTAATTTATGGTTCATTGCTGTTGTTTCCTATGTAAGAAAACTTTGATCACCAGGAGGTTGCAAAGATTTTCTCTTATTTTTTTCCTCCAGGAATATTATAGCTTTTGATTTTATATTTAGGTCTATGATTCACTTTGGGTATATTTTTATGTGCAATGTATGATAGGAGTTGCCACTCATTTATTTTTCCATATGGGTATCCAGTTGATACCACATTTCTTGGATTGCCTAGAAGGCATTGTTCCATTGATCTATATGTTACTTTTCTCAAGGTCCATAGTCTTGATTACTGTACTTTTAGAATATGTCTTGAAATCATGTATAGTAAGACCTTCTCTACTTTGTTCTTTTTTTGAAAAAATTGCTTTAACTATATTAGGTTTTTTGTGTTTTCAAATAAATTTTAAAATTCCTTTGTTAAATTCTACAAAGAAGGCTGCTGCAATTTTAATTGTCTCCTCATTTGTTCAATTGCCAAAAAATTATGCCCCTATTATTATTTGCTTTATCTTATAATCTTCTGGGAATTGATATTTGCTGATTGAATACTTCGGGAAAGAGCAGCCCACCTGCCACGGGTATACCATGTCGCATTGTACCAGATACAACCTTTTTATTCCTGACACAAAACACTGAATTCAGTGGTAAGTGGTTGTGATAATACTGACAATATTTATATGCTTAGAAAATAGAGGAAGCAGTCATGATTTGACATCATTGAAACCTCTGCTGGGTGACCAGTATTGAGTTGCCCTCTGAAACTGGATTTTGGCAAAGCTAGTGGAGACTCTACATATTCTGCCTCTAATTTAGTTTTCTTGCTTATATATTGATATTTGATATATATCATATATTTGTATGTGTATATACATGCACAAACACACATATGTTTATGTGTGTGTCTGTTTTCTATCCTTATGCCTGTATTCTATTCTTAATCCTATTTTGGAATAAATAGTTTCTGACAGGATGATGTTCAGCCTTGAGTCACGTAATACGTTATATTGCATATTCCATTGAAACAAAATCTCTAGGTTTATCTATATTTTCTAGAAAGTTACTAATAGAGTTATACTGATAGAGTGCATCTGGCAGAAATTTACAATAAAACATATTGAGTGAGAATTATTTTTGAGAATTTATAAATATTTTAATTATTCATTGTAATTGTTTGCTTTTCCAAGAAGCCAACACAGCATCAAATGATGAACTTCTATAGGTTTATTAATTTCTGCTTATTCAGCCCCATAATTCTTACAGATGAATTTTTATCATAGTCTTCACAATTTCATGGTATATATTAATTTCCTTTAGAATTTTGGTTTTGTTGGGTTAGTCTGAGATTCTATGATGATTAACAACTGTATACTTGTTCACTAAAGAGCCCTAGCGTAAGAATACTTTTTTTTTTTTGAGACAGAGTTTCGCTCTTATCACCCAGGGTGGAGTGCAATGGCACGATCTCGGCTCACTGCGACCTCCGCCTCCCAGGTTCAAGCGATTCTTCTGCCTCCGCCTCCCAAGTAGCTGGGATTACAGGCATGCACCACCACGCCAGCTAATTTTGTATTTTTAGTAGAGATGGGGTTTCTCCATGTTGGTCAGGCTGGTCTCGAACTCCTGACCTCAGGTGATCCACCCACCTCGGCCTCCCAAAGTGCTGGGATTACAGACATGAGCCATGGTGCCCAGCTAAGTGTGCCTTTTTCTAACACCTTTTTAAGGGAACCAAATGTATCTAATATACTTATAAATTTTATGTAATTTTGTATACAAGAAACTACACTGGTGTATATACAAGTGCAATCACTGGTGTATATACAAGTGCAATATTTTTAGAGGAGAGATGGGCTCATGCTCATGTTCATCTTAGCTGCCTGGCCCACTGCCTTCTGGTTTCATATTAGCTATATTTTATTTATGTTTTCTCTTTTTATCAGAGTTGTTTATAATCTACAAAATGTCAGAAAGAAATTCAAGGGCATTTATTATACCATATATTTCATTATGTTACATAACCCATGTAACAATAAGTCCAAAATCAAAACTAGAAAACATATTCTAGAGGTAGAATGCAGGTAAAATATCTTATAAGTATTATTGGAAATAAAGGGATATCTTCCACCAAAAGAATCATTATTTTGAGGTGGTGGTGTTGAGGAAATTAAGACCATAGCATTGGAAAGAATACAGTAAGATAAGTTATTGGGCAATTTGACAGTTTTGTTTAATACATATAGCAAACCAGAATATATCACCTATCTCACCTACTTTTACTGTCTGCGATGATATTTTTCACTGTGATGCAATACTTAGATAAAAGACATTTGATGGTAAACACATTTTTTGGGCCTCTATCTAATATGGCTTCAGTGATGGTGCACGACTTCATTACCATGTCAAGAAAATATATGTGAGAGGGCATTTCAATAATTACATATGCTCAGTTTGAATTCTTAATATGTAGGAGGAAGAGAGAACTATAATTTTTTTTCTTAATGTTGAACTCTGTATTGCCTCAGTTATTTATCATCTGGGAGAACTGAGAATGAGTTCACATAAGGGAGTTTGAAGCTAACATAAAAGGAAATAATTGATAGTCATGTGACACACATACAACAATTTATTTTTTAGTAATTATTATCTTTCCTTAACTGTGGTATTTATTTTTTGTCTATGAGCTTGAAAACACTTAGCTGATACTAACTGGTTGAAAGTCAGTTGCCAAAGAACAATCTATTATGAGAAGGTATATACTCAATTATTTTCTTTTGTAAATCATGATTGAAGGGGAAAAAGAAATGGAAACAATATCTCTTGAAAGTCATTGCAAAAACAAATTTATACAACTTCTACTTCCAGCCAAGATAGACTAATAGAAACATGAGGAATACCCTCTTGCCCCAAGGAGCTTAAAACTAGAAAAAAAAATGATGCTCTATGTTACAACTTACCAAATTTTGCACTTTAAATGAATGCAGGATTTATTTTTAGATTTATCTGTCAAGAAAACTATTTGTAAAAATACCTCAGGTTCTAAATCTCTAAATCTGTACTATGTGTATTTTAGCCATGAATACTTATCCCACTGAAGTCTGGATTCAGCAAGAGTTTCATGGTCTTGTCTGGGATACAACTATTGTTATTCCAAAACATCTTTTTAATTTTGGATGTTTTCTACACAAAGAAATGATAAATGTTTGAGGGGATGGATATGCTAATTACCCTTAATTGATCATTACACATTGTATACATGTATCAAAATATCACTCTGTATATACCCCTATAAGTGTGTACAATTATTACATGTCAACTTTTTATTTTTTTTTTATTTTTTTTTATTGTTTTGAGACGGAATCCAGGCTGTCATTGAGGCTGGAATGCAGTCATGCGATCTCGGCTTACTGCAGCTTCGCCTACGTGGCTTAAGCGATTCTCCTGCCTCAGCCTCCCGAGTAGCTGGGATTACAGGCACCCACCACCATACGCGGCTAATTTTTGTGTTTTTAGTAGAGACAGGGTTTCACTATGTTGGCCAGGCTGGCCTCGAACTCCTGACCTCAAGTGATCCACCCACCTCGGCCTCCCAAAGTGCTGGGATTACAGCCATGAGCCACTGTGCCTGGCCCTACATGACAATTTTAAAAGATAAATAATTAATTTTAAAATGAGTTTCAGGCATTAGATCATGTGAACATATTAATTATGTAAACTACTTTTGCCCAACTTTTGTATGAATCATTGCTTTAAATTATGTTGTCACAAGCATGCAAGATACTCATTGCTATTGAGTGAATTGCATCACCCTCCAAAGTCATCTGTTGATGCACTATACCCCAATGTGTTAATATTTGGAGATAGGCCTTTGGTGGTAATTACGTTTAGATAAGATCATGAGGGTGGAGTCTGCATGATGGGATTGTGCTCGTATAAGAAGAGACGCCAGAGAGGTTCCTCTTCCTCCATCCTGTTAGAAGGCAGCCATCTGCAGGCTAGGAAGAGAGCCTTCACCAGTGCCCAACCATGCTGGCAGCCTGATCTTAAACTTCAAGCCTTCAGATCTATGTGAAACTTTCTGTTGCTTAAGCCAAAAAATAAAAAGTATTTTCAGCTCTTCACTTTGCCAATAACAGCACCCATCATTTTACTCTCAATATAAATGGCTGAAATGAAATTATTGCTCAATTCATAAAGAGGTTATAAAATTCACTATTAAAATACTATTAAAAGGTATTTATGTGTTTACCAATTCTCAGGATTTTATTCTTACGACTTACGTATTAACTCCCTGGGGGTTCAGACACAAATAAATTCAGTTCAGATAAATCCTGGAGTGGCTTCACTCACGTGCATTCATACTATTCAATTATTATTGGCAGAAAATTAGGCTACAGCTAATTACATGATTTGGTAATTACTTGCATTAGTCCTTTCTCCCTTTTATATATTGTCTGCATTTAGGAGTGAAATGTATTACTGCATCATCATAGTTAACAAACAGCCAAAATAGTAATAGTTGTTTATATGCTAATCAACTAAATTAGTCTCTTGTTTTCTGAGATTTAGAAGTTAGTAAAATTTTATAAGTATTTAAATATGCAAGCACTTTGGCAGCTTCTTCTGAGTAACAAATTAGACAATAGCGAACAGCATAATGTAATCTGGTTTTCTTGACACTGTGCATTAGAACAAAACGATTTGAAATTTGCAAATTATTGAATTTTGGTATATTCTTAGATTAAAATTATTTCATTTGTTTAACTGCTGATGGTTCTATATTTGTAGTAATTAGTAATTAATTCAATACCTTATTTTTTTCAAAATTATATCTTGTTTTCTTTGTGTTAGATTCTAATACTTTCAGAATGAGTAAGATAGTCCCTACCCTGAAAGATTGCCTGTATGGTGGGAGAACTATGTAAGCCAAATACTGTAAGATAAGTACTATGGTACAGAGAAGTATGCAGGGAGACACTATTTAGCTGGTGGGCTTGGCAAAATTTTAATTTAAAAAATGTTTATTTATTTTTTTATTAATTAATGATTATTTTTTAACGATTAAAATTTAATACCAAATTCAAACAATATCTGCTTCCTCATCTGTTCTCTACCATGTTGACTTCACAGAAGCAATAACTTTTGTCTGTTTTTACATCTTTTGACAATTACAGTTATATCCTTATTATCAATATGGTGTGTTTTTTTTTTTGTCTCTTAGACATTATTTAGTTTCTGATAGAATACATATTTAGATTATTTATCACCTTCTTTCCCTTCTTTTCCCAGCAACTATTCTCACTTAAATATAATTTTCCTTTTTAATTTCAAGTGGAATACTCAAAACTCTAGTTTTTATTCCATTAACCATAGACTTTATCTTTGGACTCCTCATTTATAAAATGGAAATATTAGCCCTTGCACCATTGGCATCTCTACTCTCCCAGCATCCCACCTCCTAACTTTGATCAGCTATACTTTTAGTGTAATGTGGTCAATGTCCATAACATTTAATCCTCTTATAAGCCTCCATGCTCCTGAGTTGGAAATAATCACTCTGAACAATCTATGGGACAATGCATGTAAAAGGATTTAAAATAGTACCTGGCACACGGGAAATGTTCCATCAGTGGAAAGATTTTCTTTGCAATTATAAAAAGTTAAGTAACTAGTACAGAGAATGACACATGTTTAGTTTTAATAACTTTTAGTTTCCTCCATAATTCTCATCTCTTTCTCCTGTTTAAAGATAGCAAAATACAAATTATCTCAGATGTGATATTTAATATTCTTTTTACGTAGAAATTAAGATTTAAGAGTTTGACTATTAAAGTTTATGTAACCATTATTCACTAATTTATTTTTAAAACAAATATATATAATATTTTATACTTGTAATATTTTATAAGCTATACATAAATCATATAGGAATTCACTAGTAACCTAATTTTTATGCTATGCTAATCTGTTATTTCAATATTCTTAACATTGTAGAGTGGTAGTGACACTTTCCTTTTCCAATTCAAATAAATGTTATAGAAGTTAAAAATTAAAAATATACATCAGTAATCAATTATATTAAATTTCCATTTAAAAATATTTTATTTTATATACTTAAATTGAGTTTTTAAATTTTGGTTTTATCATCATTTATGTGAAAATATACTATATTAACTGCCATTCTAAGATTTAAGTGGATATATAGTTGTGCTTAAAATTAAATCTCTCTGAAATTTGAGTACTACAACTTTATTTTAATATATACATTTAATTTTCAAATGTATTTGACCTGGCTAGGTCCAGTCTAACACATGTTCATATAGGCACATTTGTATTTATTTATTCATCGTTTAATTTACAATTTGTAGCAAAAATGACATTTTAAAATCTGAAAATATAGTAAGGGCATAGTTTATATTTTATAACTGGAAATATCTTAGAATCGCAATGTAGTATTCGGAGGTCCAAGAAATAGAGAACTTCCATACTATCATGGGTTAATGGATGGTATTGGTTTAAATGAAATATGATAGCTTTGATGTACCTTTAACTTGTATAAGTTATTTTCTAAAACTAGTTTTATGATAATTATAAAGGCAATCCATGTACCATATGAAATATAAAATTAATACTGACATGTATGAGAACATAAATTATAGTTTCATTACTCAAAGAGAAACACCATTGATATTCATAAATATTATCTTCCTTTAGTTTTCCCTAAGAAAGACATATCTTAAGGTAAATGAAATATCATATATAATATTTTATGGCTTACTTTTCAATTAAAGTTATGGGCCACATATCTCTCCACAATAAAAATTGTTTTTGCATTCCACTTTCAGGCATAATAGTCTACACTATGATTACACATCAATGTGTTTAACCATTTCCTTGAATTTGGATATTTAGGTTGTTCCCAGAGTACCCTTTCAAAAAATAGTGTTATGATTATTTTTTCTATTAATGTTTTTAGAATAAATTCGCAGAAGGAGGATTATAGGATCCAAAATTATTGGACTTTTAAAATTTCTTTGAAGTTTGTCTAAATTTCCTAAAATGTTTTATCGGTTTTTACACATATTAACAGTGTTTGTCAAAGTTCATTTTACTTATCTCTCTGCAACATTGGTTAATTTATTTTTACCGTTTTAACACTTGAAATATAAACATACACATCTCATTGCTCTGATGTATATTTAGTTGTTTACTAATATGGCAGAATAAAAAAAATATATATATATGCAGCTGACATTACTATTTTCACCAAAATTCATTTGCCCTCTACTTTTAGAAATATGAAAGGGTTATAGTTTCTTATCCTGTGGAAGTTATAGATGGCCATATGTCCTGCCAACTGAAATATACTTTATTAATCTGCCTACCTATTATATTTTAGTTACTTTAATTCCATAATTTATTTTCTATCTAAGAGATATAGTCCCCCATCAATCTCATCAGTCTCACTATTTCCTTTTCAAAATTTTCTAAGCCTGTCTTCCATGTTTATTTGTTCATTTTTATGTTAATATTATTTTAAAACTTTGTAAAATTAAGTGCATACTTTTGCTTAAAATTATACTGGCAAGAATAATTTTTTTAATTAAAAATAAAAATTATGCTGAAATTGCACTTTGATTTGAAAAGAACAGCTATTTCAATAATATTGTCATTGTATGTCAGCACTTAATATAGATCCTCCAGTTTCAAAGTAGAATATTTTTGTAGGTGTTTTATAGTGCAATATATCCTTCATTAATATCTTCCAATAATTTTTTGTTTTGTTTGTCATTATGAACAGTAGATTATGTTTTCCAACAGATTCTTTATCAATATTATTAGAAGATTATTATTAATTTTTGTATCCATAATTTATAAAGTACTGTTAATTTCTAATGATTTTCAATAAATTATTTTGAATTTTCTAGCAATGTAATTATTTTGTCTGTGATAATAAAATTTGGATGCTCTCTAACATTCATTTTTATTATTTCTGGCTCAAATTTTATTGCAATGGCTTAAACTTTTAGAAGATGTGTTAAGTAAATTGTTGACATAAATCAAAGTTGCTTACTTCTTAATTTTCTTAGAAATGTATCAAGTACTTCCATCTTAATTCACGTATTGTTGGTAGCTTTAAGATATACAGAGAGGCATTTTAGCATAATAATTATACTTACGGATTCTGGAGGCAGTGTGCTGAAATTTAAATCATGATCAACTTATTTAAACTCTCTGTCCTATTTTTCTCTAATAGAGGAGTGTCAATAAATGAGAAAAACTAAGAATAATAGATAAAAAAGACAAAGTATAGTGCCTGGGTCATATTAATAATGCAATATATATTAACTATTTTTATTATAATGGTTTCCCAAAGTCTTTGTTTTTGTAGGCACCCCTTTCTCCTGTATTACAAATCTTTTGTAGAATCTCTTATCTCAGAAAAAAAAAAACACATTTTTCACCTCAGATTCCCCTCTAAATACTGTCCCATACGAATGTTGTTCAATCTTCCTAAAATAATTATCTGCAATTCTTGTCTCAGAACTCCTCACATCCCTTTTACTCTTCAACCCACTGCTATCACCACTTCTTAAAAGCAACTGTTCTTGTAAATATAGAAGTCTTTCCTTCTCTGTAGAGAATATGTTCCAATACCCCCAGTGGATGCCTGAAACTACAGATAGTACCAAGCCCTCTGTATACAGTGTCATGTTTTTTCCTGTACGTGCCTATGATAAAATTGAGTTTATAAATAAGGCACAATAAGAGATTAACAACAATAAATAAAATAGAACAATTAAAACAATATGCCAATATCACTACTTTTGTGCTTTCGGGCCATTATTAAGGAAGATAAGGGTTACCTGAACACAACACGGTGATACCACAATAGTCAATCTATGACTGAGATAGCTACTATAAGACTTATGGCCTAGTAGTGTGTGCAAGGTGAATACCATGGGCGAAAGAATGATTCATGTCCTGGTCATGAGGGAGTGATACAGCAAGGGATTTCATCATGCTACTCAGAAAGCTGCCATGCAATTTAAAACTTATAAATGGTTTATTTCTGGAATTTTCCATTTAATATTTCTGGACTCTGTTGACCTTGGGTAACTGAAACCGTGGAAAGTGAAACTGCAGATAAGAGAGGACTACGGTATTGCTAATGATCTCCATCAATCCAAATCCAATGGCTACCTTTATCCTCATTTCACTTGGTAGTTCCAAAGGATTCAGTACAGTTGACAACTCCTGCCTTCTTGCATCTTCTTTCTCTTTTACTTTCATACATTCCAGGGTTTCTAGATGTTTTCCTAGTCATTCTTTCTCAATCGTGTGTGTGTCTGTGTGTGTGTGCATGTTTGATGTCTAAATATTCAAATTCTGTGAGCTCATCCTGGATAGCTTTTTCTTCTTAAGTCTCTCTTTAGTTGGCCTTATTCAGTCCTATTGACTAATATTTTACCTATTTTCTGTGTCAAAGACAAAAACTACATAGGTAAGGAGTCTGATTTTATTTAGGCTATTGCAGTAGATGCAAAGATCCAGACTGTCTCAATTGGATAGTTTTGTCTTAGACTTTCACTGGAAGGAGCAGACAAGTTTCAGTTGAGATTGGTTTGCAATAAGGGAAAGTATCAGTCGGTCAGCGGAATAGGACGTGTGAATCTCTGTTTCTAGATAGTTACATTCTAATCTCAGCTAATCACTGAGAAGATACGGAATAGAGAGATGGCTAGAGGTGAAAGAGAAAGGATCTGTGTTTGGCTTTTTCAGTAGGTTCAGGCAGAAGAGGGAAGATATCCGTGCTTAGTCTTGTCACAAAGGAGTGATTTGTGCATCTTTGGGGAGTTAAGAGAATGAGAGGATAGGGAGGTTTTTGTTTTGTTTTGTTTTTTGTTTTTGTTTTTGTTTTTGTTTTTGAGACAGAGGCTCGTTCTGTCACCCAGGCTGGAGTGCAGTGGCGCTATCTCGGCTCACTGCCAACCGCCACTGCCTGAGTTCAAGCGATTCTCTTGCCTCAGCCTCCCGAGTAGCTGGGACTACAGGCACCCGCCACCACGTTCCGCTATGGGTTTTTTTTTTTTTTTTTTTGTATTTTTTTTTTTGTATTTTTACTAGAGATGGGGTTTCGCCACGTTGGCCAGGCTTTTCTCAAACTCCTGACCTCAGGTGATCCGCCCTCTTTGGCCTCCCAAAGTGCTGGGATTACAGGCGTGAGCCACCGCCCCCGGCCAGGTAGTCTTTTTTCTAAAATATATGAGGAATAATATTCTCTGAGGTAAGTCATTTACTGGAACATAAAAGAGTGGGGGGATTTCTTATCCATTTCTGTTTTGGGGAGCACAGGTCTCAGTTAAAGTTCAACATTGTCAGCTGATAACTCCAAAACCGCATCCTGGCTTTCTCATCTCTTTTTAGCTTTACTATCACTTCCAAGTTTATGACAGCCATATTTATTGTAATAGTCTTATGACTGATGTTTCCTGTCTTATTTTGGATTCCTTAAAATACCTTGCCTGTATACCAGTTAAAATTTTGTTTTTAGTAAAATAAACTTTTCCATCAAGAATCTCAATCAGAAACTATTTTGTTGATGTACACATTTATCATCATCTTCCTCCACAGAATGGAAGCTGAGGTTGTGCCAGTGTGCCTTTCTGTAAGTAAATGGGTACTTAAATGCAGCCCATTGTCTGATGGCAAAACAAGTGCCCTGGAGTGGGCATGAGTCAGTCCAGAGGATGGAATCCCTCTTTTTATCTGAGGACCATAGAAAGGGAGAATTTGTATGTATGAGAGGCGGTCCTGGTAGCAGGCATTTTGTCAATTTTATTCACAGATGTATATGCAGGCCTAAAATGATCTCTGACTCATAGGCAGCAAATGTTTGTTTAATAAAGGAAACAAATTTGATATTTTACTATATTTTTGGATATTTTGAAACAAATTTTATAAAATAAATTATCAGCTCCTTAAAATTTTGAAAGAATTTAGGCACAAGCTTCACTGTGCTGATAAAACATTTAGGAAGCAACAGTTTCATGTAGCATTCATTTTTTTATACGGTTTTCTGTAATCTTTTCAGACTTGTACCCCACAAATGTTGCTAGTTAAAATATATCCAAAAATTATCTGTTACCTGGATAAAGCTATAAGTGTTTCTGTGTCTCCATATTTTCTTCCTTATCACTATGGTTGAATTTTTGTTAATTTAGTCAATGTTAATTTGTGGTCAAAATATTAGCCCTCGGATTTCTTTTTACAAACTTTACCTAGTTAGCATTTTTAATTTTATTAAATTCTATTTACATTGCTATTGTTTTGGCCTTCTCACCTTTCTAAAATTTTCTTGACAACTTTATTTTTAATAAATTTTATTGGCATTATAGATTCTTTCATACGTAAAAACTAATGATTGATTTTTATCTCTGAGTATATTTTTGGCCATTTTCCATGCCATTGTATTATTTTCCTAAATTTTCTTTTTGATAACATGGATATTTTGACAGTGTTTTTAAAAACATTGTAGTTGGTTGAAATACCTTTTGTTATTAACTATACAACTACGGGTAGAAAATAAATAGGACCTCTATTATTTCCTGTATTTAGATTTACTTGTGTGCTTGGATGCGTGTATGTGTGCAGGTTATTATATAACAAAGTTGTAATATCTGTGCACTTAAAAAGAAAGTGATTTTTAGTGTTCTTCATGCTTTTAATTAATTAATTAATTAATTTATTTATTTATTTATTTATTTTGAGACGGAGTATTGCCCTGTCACTCTCTTGCCCAGGCTGAAGTGCAGTGGAGCAATCTCCGCTAACTGCAAACTTTGGCTCTCAGGTTTTCCTGCCTCAGTCTCCCGAGTAGCTGGGATTACAGGTGCATGCCACCACGCCCAGCTAATTTTTTTGGTATTTCTAGAAGAGATGAGGTTTCACCATGTTGGCCAGGCTGGTCTTGAGCTCTTGATCTTAGGTGATCTGCCTACCTCAGCCTCCCAAAGTGCTGGGATTACAGGCGTGAGCCACCGCGCCCTGCCTTCTTCGTGCTTTTTAAATATGCAACTGTTATTTTTTTACACTGGATAAGTCTGTTGAAAATTAATTCATTTAAAAAATTTATCCAGTTTACCATAGATTAAACATTGTGCCTTTAATTTTTGTACGATTTGTGTGTGTGTGTGTGTGTGTGTGTGTGTGTGTGTGTGTGTGTGTGGCTTTCTTGTTTCTATTCTTTAGGTGGGCAGGAGGGACTGCGGCTCTTTGGCATTGTTTTAGCACATTACCATTCATGGCCTTATGTTTTTATTTTATGTTGTGCCCTTGAGTATAGAACTTCTAGGCAGAGCATGAAACAAAGCCACTAGGTTCTCATTAGTGAAGGATACACAGAGGTAGGGGCTCTTTCCTTGTTGCTAGCTGCTGTAGACCTAGTCATGGGAGTTGAAGAACACTCTCTCCCTAGGAGGTGGGGAGAGTAGGAGCCAGAGGGCAAAGGAGGCAACTTTTGTGTTCAAAGACATCCTGAACATCCCATGCATGTCCTAAAACATCTCTGACAGGGGCATGCAATATGTGGGGCAGATGAGCACACGACTCTTGGGGAGAAGTGAGCTGTGGAAAGCTATGGTGGGGATTGGGAATCACCGTTTCAGGTATTGCCTCGGGCCTGGCACAAATAAAACCATCCACAGACTGTAGGCTTCTCCTGCCCCCAGAGAATGAGAAGGCGGCACAGGGCCAAAGCTAGAGTGCAGTGTCTGGGATCCAAAGATTCTGTGCAGCATACAATGCACAAGCCAACATTTTAGGAGACTTTAATTCAAACAAACAAAAAACTAGGCAGATTCTAAAAAAGAAATTACCATTTTATGAGATTTTAAGAGATTATTCACAATAAATTGAACCAAAATCCAGGGAATGATACAAAAGTGAAATGGCTCAATTTTGTGGTCTGAATTTGCTCTGCTCTTTCAACAGGACTGTGTAATAGCCTGGTGTGGTATATAAGGGTAAGAACAAAATTCCTTGATCTGAGATGGACACTTCAGGTTTTCTGTAGGATGTTTCTACTCTCATACTTGAACTGAGTGGGATTTTAGACAACAATTGTTAAGTACTCTGACCTGACTTTGAGAATAGCTATTTTTCATGGGTTGGATCCTGGTTTCTAGGTTCCATATATTGTATGTATTATTTAATTTTTTTGTTTTATTTATATTTTTCTTTATCTTGCTTCAGAATATTTATTTACTATTGCCTTATTGTGGCAACTCAATTGCCTTTCATTTGGATTTTATTTCAGTTGAAGCATCTTTCAAAAATATATTTCCAATATGTTGTATTTTGTTCTTCTTTTTAATTAATTAATTTGGATCTTATCTTTCCATGTAATATTGTTTTTGTCTTATCTGGAATTTTTCTTATTATCTTACAACCTTTTCTCTATATTGTCATATTTTCAACACACATTTTATAATTGCAGCACTGACCCACAGATCTCACTTTTTGATTATTGTTTTAAAACAACTAGAATCACATAGAATAATTTATAGGGTTTTTTGTTTGTTTTTGTTGCTTTTGTTTTTGTATTTTGAGACAGAGGCTCACTCTGTGTCCCAGACTGGAGTGCAGTGGTGTGATCTCAGCTCACTGTAACCTCTGCCTCCTGGGCTCAAGAGATTCTTGTGCCTCAACCTCCTGAGTAGCTGGAACCACAAGCATGCACCATCATACCGGGCTAATTTTTGTATTTTTAGTAGAGACAGGGTCTCAGTACATTGACCGGGCTGGTCTTGAACTCCTGAACTCAAGTGATTCACCTGCCTCAGCCTCCCAAAGTGCTGGGTTTACAGGTTTGAGCCACCATGCCCGGCCAGGATAGTTTATACTTTGTCATTGGAACACAGATGCCCAACCTCAGCTTCCCAGATCTGTTATTTCCTCCATTTCAACCTTTCTAGATCAATTTTTCTCCTACCCCGTCTGGCACAAGGTTGCTTGTCCCAAAGCAAGCAAGTCATGCTGCCTCCCAAGAAGCGGTTCTTGAAGTTCCCCATAGCAGGAAAGGTCAAAACAAAATGAAAACCCTTTTGGTTGAAGCTCAAAGTTTTGACTCCTCCGTACTCTGCCTGATTTTATTTACAACTTAGTATCCTCTGGCAATTGTTTTTGTACTTTGTCCAGTATATCAGCTGTAGGGTTGCTCTGTAGGGGCTTACATACCTACACTGTCAGCAGAACTCTCTCCTGACATGACATCCAGGTACTGAACCATTGGGTAGGTTGGCTAGGTTGCTGGTTGAGAAAGTTTACATATTTTTTTCTTTCTTAGGTATGTAGCTTTATATAAACCAGAACTCTAGGTAGATATGATAGCAACATCTTTCACCATTTATTCAGGAGAATGAGTGGGAGGGCCCTCTGGCCCAGATCCTGCTCTCATGCATTGAGCCTGGTTAATTTATTCTGTTGCCTATGGAGTAATTTTATTATCTGTTATAGAGAGAAGAGACTTTCCAGTTATCTCTACTAGCTTCTAACTAGTTTAGTAGGCTCATAATATAAGCTAACATAGTGGTTTTGTGTTTATTTGTGGAGGTCTTTCCCTTTTTTTTAGTCTTATTATTTATGTTTGGCTTATTTATTTTATATTTTATCTGTCACTGCTATGTACCTGAAGCAAAGGTGGGGCTCCTTAAAACCTAAACCTACAAAGCCATCTTGACAATAACAAAGTACAACTTAACGTCATAGATTCCCATGCAGGGTTTAGCACTGTACTTTATAAAACAAAAAATGCTTACTAAAGCATCAGAAAAGGACTCCCACATGACTTTCACATTTACTAAAAAGTATAAAGAAGTCATTCTGATTAGAAATGTTTCCTTGTTTTTCAATGGATTCACAGAAGCATAGTTCTCTATTGCAAATTCCTTAAAACTAATTCAAATGAGATTCAATTTGCATAGTTTCAACTCACAGACAACATTGTAGAGTGAAATACACCATCATTCCTATGAATCTAACTTTCACTCCATGGGTACCAAGAAAAACGGCTACTTTAACTTGGTAAGGCATAGCTAGAAGACCGAAACTGTCACCCTCAATCAATTCAGTGTGCTTTTTAGTCACCTCTGATATTCACTGATTGTTGTTCTTTCCAGATTTATCAGGATATCTGACCTTTCTCAAACTATAAAACTTATTGCATTCAAGTGTTGTGATTGATCCCTGTCTTCTCTTCTCATTTGGCTCTTTCTTGTTGTAGCTTCTCCCTCTTTTTCAGTTAGTTTCGGGGCTTGAACACATTCTGTGAGTTCCTGAATTCCTTGCCATGACCTCTCCCCTGTTCTTTCATTCCTTTCTTTCTTGAGTCCTCTATTTCTTTATTCTCCAGCAACTTTCTAACAGAATTGCATTAATCCTGTTGGCCTTTCAAAATTTGAAGGAGAGCGAGTTGGTCTGAAATTTTCAGTGCTGTGTCATCACCTCTTAGCATAGTATCCAATATATAGTGACCTCCCACTAATATGTCTTGAATTAAATATTAGTTTCTGAGGCTATCTCCTAAATACCCAGTTGACACTTCATCTCCTCCATCATGACCCTCTTTGTTGATGCCAGAAGGTGTGGACCCTACTGCTTCATTACCACATTGTAATGTAATTACTTGTTTTGTGTCTTTCCCCCCATCAAGCTTCTGCAATCCTAGCAAATAGGAGTTGTGCTATAAATGATAATTGCACTGATCTGTTGAATTATTTGTTAATGTTTTGAAATCAGTCAGATCCAAAAATTGAAGAAGAGATGATGAACATGACAGCCCGTGACAGTTATATGGTATAAAAATGTAGAAGATGACAATTTCTTTGAAGGCAGAAACCATAGCTTTAAAATTTTATTTTCATGGGGCCTAAGAACTGCTAGTCAGAACATAAACTGACAAATAGTTAAATTCAATAAAGTGATAATAATCAAGAATTGAACAAGTATAGGTGAAGGTAGGACAAGTTGACTTTGAATACTTTTTAATTATCAAATTGAAAAGTTAATCTATTGGTTTTTAAAATATAACTGATTTCCTTGAATGCCATTGCTCTTCTACTTGACACTATAGTCCCAGATATTCTTCTTTTAGATATTTTTTGAATCTCAATTTCATTTTTTATGCTAATTACTTTCTTATCCTTTCAAGGTGTTTTCAGATTAAATTTCCCCTTTCATGAAGCTTTATTTGACAATTCAGTAAATATTCTCTATCTCTTCCATTAATTTTAATAGCCTTTACTATTTATGCATTAGAGTAGAAGGTCATGTACTTTGTTATTAAAGCACTTAAGAGCCAAATATTGGAGCCAGATTGCCTGGGTTAGAGTCCAATATGTACCACTTACTGGCTATGTCACTTTGGGCAAGTTTTTCAAATTTCCTGTGATACCGTTTTATTTTCTATAAAATGGAGATAATAAATAATTCCAGCCTCATCAGATTGTTATTTTGTTATTAAGTTAATATATGTAAACTACCTAGAATAGTGCCTAACACATATTAGGTGCTAAGTGTTAATATTTTTCCATTTATTGCATTTCAAAATTTTTTTCATAACTCTTTAAGTTTCATATACCTTATCTTAAAAATTGGAATGAAAAGATCTACTTCGTGGATTGATTATAAGGCTGAAATAACTGCAGCATGAGAAATAGTGTGAGGCAATGGCTGAGAGTACAATTGCTGGATTCAGACTGCCTGAGTCCAAATGGCAGCTCTGTCACTTATTGACTATATCATCTATAACAAGTTACTTAAAACCACTTGACCACTCATACCCTCAATATTCTCCCCTGTAAGCTGTGTATAATATCGCACTCATAAAATAGACTTATGTAGAGAATAAAATGAGTTATTATATGTAAGATGGCTAGAAAAGTGAATGGCACATAGTTACTATTCAAAGTACTAGCTATTTTTACTATGAAATCACCCAGCCTAATAAATTATCACATATTTCAATATATTAGTTTTAATGAAAGTTTCATTTCTCCCCTATATTAAAACTCTTAGTGAATGGAAATACTTTTCTTTCTAACATCCTAATTTGAGTAAAGGCTATAACCCTTATTCTGTGAGTAAACTTGTTCAAGTACTGCTGAATGTCAGTTTACTCATCAATTAAATAATATTCTTGTGTCACTATATTATTTGTTGATTGTTTTTGGCTGTATGTACCATAAAATTATTACCCTAAAGTGAGGATTAAATAAATTTGAGTGTATTTTATTACCATGCAAAAAGATGCCAAGAAGTAGGAAACCACTGTCCTTGATTTGTTATCTGATAGATTTCAGGGCCAAAGTATTGTGATGTTGTGAACCTTTTCTTTATTTTTTATTTTTATTTTACTTTAAGTTCCAGGATATATGTGCAGAATGTGCAGGTTCGTTACATAGGTATATGTGTGCCATTGTGGTTTGCTGCACCCATCAACCCATCATCTAGGTTTTAAGCCCCACATGCATTAAGGTATTTGTCTTAATGCTCCTCCTCCCCTCACCCATCCACCCGCGAAAGACCCTGGTGTGTGATGTTCCCCTCCCTGTGTCCATGTGTTCTCATTGTTCAACTCCCACTTATGAGTGAGAACATACAGTGTTTGGTTTTCTGTTCCTGTGATCTTTTTCTTTATAGTTCTAACATTACTGCTTTGGAATCTCCAACCTTTATGGCTACATCCCAGACAGGAAGCCAAAGTAATGGAGGAGGAAGAGGAAGAACTTGGATTAAAAAACACTTTTCTGAAATCCCAGAGACTTCTGTATATTTGCCTTAACTTGAATTGTGTCACATATCCTTTACTTGATGAAAGGAAATCTAAAAAGATACTACCTTCTTAGTATAAGTAGCCTTAAAATATAAGAAATAAGGGAAAACAGAGCCAGAAGGAATGCTGATTGAGTCACTTACCATATTAGTAGACTTACATCCTAAGATCTTTATGATCAAATAAGTTAATGGATGTAAACTTCCTTTTTAAA
Organism: Homo sapiens; assembly: GCF_000001405.40. NCBI lineage: Eukaryota > Metazoa > Chordata > Mammalia > Primates > Hominidae > Homo > Homo sapiens. The sequence goes on from NC_000007.14 coordinate 79,563,077, forward strand.
ATTAATAAAAATACATATGCAAAAATAGAAAGTCATTGGATTTCCCAGAACATATAATTCCCAATATGTTAAACAGTAATTCACCTAAAAAGAAAATAGATAATTTACAACATTTGATAGTTGATTTTCTATTTACAAAGTAAAATGATTTTATTTACCTTAAAGCACTGTGATAGTTTGAATTCACTTTGTAAAAATTAAATTATTTCATATTCTCATGTACTATTTTAAGTGTAAATATTTGTTATCTTTCAAATAATAGAAAAAGACATAGACTTGACTTCAGTCACTCATTCATGCAATATAATAAAACCCTGCTGTAATGTAGTAATTGAGATCCAAAAAATCCAGTCTCACAAATGGAGAATAGGTATGTATCCTACCTTAAATATCTATTGAATTAATTGTCACTGGAGTAGAACATCTGGAGCAGTAATAATGATTTTCATAATCTTGCGGTGACATAGTGCCCATTATTTTGGTCGGTTGGAGGAGAACAGGCTGGGAGACGTCGTGAGAAGATCGAGAGTCTTCTTTTGTGAGATAAGGTTGCCTGTTGATTTCCCATGGCTAGTCTTACATCTTACCCTTGCTTCCATTTCTACTCACCCCTCCAAAGGTCAGAACTTAACTTCATCTCTTTTGGTAATAAGGGCTAGGTGAGTATATCTTACTGGGTGGTTTTAAGATAGACAGGCTGGCTGGTTTATGTTTTGATGTAGTTTATAAAAAGAGAACAAAAGGCCATTACTCAAGCTGTAGCTTACCTAACTTCTAGCCAGTCAGCAACAAAAGATCCAAGAAGCTATTAACCACAAGTCCCTGCTTTAGGGGTCTAGGGACTTCCCCAGGGACCTATACATGCAGTTAGACTTAAATTTCAACTTATAATGACTCCTTACTCATTTTAATATGAAAAAGCACACCCAGGGGTAGAAATTTAAAGTGCTAATGTTACATGTAATGTATGAAAAAGCATGTAAAGCCACTGTGCCAGTGCTAGCGAAACCCCTCCTATACAACCCCTCCTATTCCTTTTGTGATGCTGACTTCCTTGCGCACAAGCTAAAGCTTTTTCTTTCTCTTTGCTGCTATGTCTGGTAATCTTTCTTGATTTCTATCCTGGGAGATTTAAATAACCCAGGGGCACCAGTAGCAGTTTTACTATAATGACTTATTTAGTGGCTATTTATATAAAGGAAACAATTTGGAACCAGGGACTATTGGTAAATAAATAAATAAATAAATAAATAAATAAATAATTCTAATTTGAATAATTGCTGTGACAAAAATTAAATGAAGCCTATGAAAGAAAAAAAATGGTGTCAACAGAGTGGTTGGGAAAGAACTTGGTAAGAAATGTACATTTAAGCTAAGAAGTAATAAAAGGCTGTATCAAATTCCTTGCAGCAAAATATGGTACAATCCAAATGGTTAAATGAGAAAAATTTTTCAAATTTTTATTTCATATTTATTTTGTTTTTCATTTAAATATTTTTTAAATAAAGGAACAATTTAAGAAAAATGGGCATATGTGGTAAAACCACATTTAAAGAAAAACATAAGACAAAATAAATTTAACAGTTTATTTGTGCAAATGAAGATTTGCAAATCTGGGAGCCATCAGAACCAGAAGAGGTTCAAAGAGTTCCACTTCAGCAGTGGGGGCAGTAAGCTTTTAAGTGGAAGGAACTTAAAAAAAATGTATTGGATTGGCATAAAGTGGAAAGACTTGAGTCTACACTAGAGTGGAAAAGGGTAGAGGCTAGTTGACAGTTTCTGATTGGTAAAGTCTCTAGTTTCATTTTACTCTTCTTGGCTCTGGTCCATTTATGGAGAACCTAAAACATTGAGGCTGTCTCAGTTTAAGGATAATCCTATTGGGATGTTTTTTAAACAACCATAAGAGATAGTATAATACTCCAGAGCTAGTAATGGTGGGAATGTGTGTGTGAGCATGTGTGTGTGTGTGTGTTTGTGTGTGTGTATGTGTATGTTGGGAAGGGGACAGCTTGCCACTTCCTGAAGTGTCAAGGAAAAAGAGTAATTATTCTGGTATCAGAGTGGAGAGGGACATTTTCGTAAAGTTTTCATATACTGTAGAGGGATGCAACCAATGCCTGAGAGGATCACTTACAAAGTATTCACATGGTTATATGTTTTTGTGAACTTTGATAAACTAATGTTTAAAAAATGCAATCACTTTCCTCTGTGAATTCTATTACATGTATCTCATATTGGCTGATAATGAGCATTTTTTGGATCTGGCTAAAGTGAATGTGATTTGGAAGACTTGAATTTAGTGTACTATGGCATTTGTAATCACGTCTTTAAAAGTTAAATTATTTTTGATCATTCATGTGTAATGACAGGAGGATTTCTGCCACCCATTTGCTGAATCACTCTGGCTTAGTGACACAAAAATCCAAGCCCAGAGATCCAATCATTGCATAGGCATACAATACAGTGTCAAGCGCTGGAAATAATCAGAGTAGTAGGAGTGAAAGTAACAGAGTTTAAAATGTACACATCCAGAAGCTACTTTGTGGAAAGTTATTTTAACATTCTTATACGTCAAAATTTCAAGTGGAGAAATAGTTCTCTTTGGTGGCTTCTCAAAATGATTGTATTAAATAATATACGGGGAATATATAAGGAATATACAAAGAAAAGTGGAGAGAGTAAAATTAGAAAAGTACCATGCATTTTTAATTTTATGATGAGAATTGCACAAAATATAATTTACCAGTGTTCCTGTGTTTATAGAGTGCTGTAAACAGTAAAACAAACATCTGTATGTAAATTATGATACATACCTTACAAATCCCAACTATCAATAATTATTTTAACCACATTGGAAAATAGAAGAAATTATCTTTCTATTATCTTGATAGAAAATTGTATCATGGAATCAATGTCTCATGAAAAACTGAAAAAAATGTTTGCAGGCAAATAATATAGAGATGTGTCAGGGAGTTAATTAATTAATGTCTTTTTTATCCTAGATCTTGTAATGTTTGTGATATTGGTCACATTTTACTTATGTTTTGTTTGTGCTCTGCCTTCTTAGTATAAATAAATATTTACTTTAATATCAAAGATTGTGTTGATAATTTCTGTCTTGTTTTTCTTAAAGAGGTTCCATGAAACCTGGATCTGCCTTTGAACAGATAAAGGGTGTTTTCTGAGTACTCATCTTCTGCAGTGAAGGAGACAAGGAATATATATCAGGCTTCCAATGACTAGCTTCATTTATTCTTAACTAAAACTCAGTCTTGTGGCAGAACTGAAACCATTTCTGGGAAGGTACAGCTTAACTTTCTTATTAGAAAATGCCAACAATTTGCCATATCAATTACACATTAAATTTTAGAAAGTGAGATGCCTGTGTATAAGAGAGAACTGATTTCTGTTAATGATTATCTTGAGAACTGAGCTAACTGATACCATGTAAGTAAATTAGATAATAGTTTATTCTAATATTCTCTTTGATTAAAGACACTGCATAAAAATATGCACCAAAAGTGACATTTGTAGGGAACATTTTATCTAATAAATGATATATAACTTATAAGTATATTCCTTATATGTGTTTAATATTGAGAAGCCTTCTGAATTGTCCATAATTAATAAGAATTATGGACAATTCTTATTAATCTTATATATAATTATCAAGTAACATAATTTATTCAGTTGTAGTATTGGTTAAATAAACCAAGTTATTTTTATTTTCTGTGTATGTTAATCCCAAATATATCCCTTTGCTTCTAAGTCATATCTTTGGAAAAATGTATGTTAAAAATTCTTGTAATTTTAGATTCTAAATGTCTATACGAATGTGTATACGAGTGTGAAGCTCAAATAATGTCTTTTTTTTTTTTTTATCATATAAGCCTTGGTAGATCTTTTGGTGAATAGATAGGTTTCCTCAGGGCAGCCAGGGGAATATCTCTTGAACATAAATATGATCATCTCACTCTCATGCCTAAATCCTCTATTATTATACCTTCTCACTGATTCGAGGATACAATCCCAACCCCTAACTGTTCTTCAGGCCCTAGGTCATTTCTCAATAGATCTGCCCTCTCACATGAGGCTCCAGCCATGATGAACTCAGTTTTGGGACTAGATCCTTCTTTCTGTCATCCTCAGGCTTTCATATGTGTGTAGGACAATGCGCCCTCCTCCTCTTCAGATGACAGACTCATCCTTTTGGGTTTCAGTCAGAGTCACTTTGTAAAAGAGATCGTTTCCTGAACAAAATAGCAGAGGTTAGTTACTTGTACCTTACGGTGTCCCTAAGAAAGTCTATGAAGATCCTTGTTTAAATCTATCGTATTTCTTTAAAAACAGAACTTCTGTTAAAGGAAGAATCAAGTCCATCTCATTTATATTCCCAGTCCACAATTACTGGCACATGGTTGGCACGTTGGACGAATTAATGCATTCTTTTTTTTTTTTTTTTTTTTTTTTTTTTGGCAGACCTGGTTCGTTTCCCATTTCAATCCTTTTGCTAACTGAACAAAGATGAGTTATTTCACATCTGATTGCTCTACTTATTTCCTGACAGTGGCAGTGAACATAGCTAAAACTTACATCATTGGGTTCTACTTGGGCGACTTGGTACAGGCAGAGAAAACCGCACAGGCAAAGACGCAGCACCAAAGGATTGTGGGGCATATTCAGAAAACAAAGAGTAGGCAGTCCATGGTGGCTAGAGAGTGAGAGACCCCTGGCTGGAAGTCAGACTTGGAAGGTAGGCTGGGCCACAGCATTATGGTCTTTCAAAACTGTGAACTTTTTTTTTTTCTTTTTGAGACGGAGTCTCCCTCTGTTCCTAGGCTGGAGTGCAGTGGCGCGATCTCGGCTCACTGCAAGCTCCGCCTCCCGGGCTCACACCATTCTCCTGCCTCAGCCTCCCGAGTAGCTGGGACTACAGGCGCCCGCCACTGTGCCCGGCTAATTTGTTGTATTTTTAGTAGAGACGGGGTTTCAACGTGTTAGCCAGGATGGTCTCGATCTCCTGACCTCGTGATCCACCCGCCTCGGCCTCCCAAAAAACTGTGAACTTCAGTTGTTTTATGTTTTATATTTTAACTGCAGTCTCCATTGAAGATGTTTTCAGATGGCATTATCAAAACCGTTCTTTGAGGCAAATAATTATTCTGACTGTGGGGGTCTGAATGAAAAAAGCCTTTTCAGTAGAAGTCTCTTGAAAAAGTCCCAACTATAAGGCGTGGACACGAGTAGGAAGGGAGAGAAGACAGAGGCACAGGGGAGTGCAGAGCAGAGTAGTGTGAAATGCGGAGAGAAGGAAGTAGAGGATGAAAGAGGGGAAGACAGAGGGGAGAAGAAGGAAAAGAGGAACATAGGTGAGTAAAATCAGAACCATGAGTTTTTCCAGAATAACAACAACAACAACAAAAAGACGTCACCAAATGGATGTGGAAATGAGAGAAAAAGGTATGACTTTGCTGTTTCTGGCTTTCTTCCCATTTGATGCATAGGATTTTAGTAATAGGAGTATTCATGTCCCACATATAAGCCATGCAACGTGCTCTGTATAACTTCAGCTACAATGGTTTACTTGTGACATATTATTAAAAAGTTTCAAAGTTATCTTGATTATCAAGAGGCTTTTCAAAGGCTGAAAATTACCCTTCAGTGACAAAGGTCATGTGCTAATCTTTTGCTTCCTTTAAGACAGTATAGGCCGGGCGCGGTGGCTCACGCCTGTAATCCCAGCACTTTGGGAGGCCGAGGCGGGTGGATCATGAGGTCAGGAGATCGAGACCATCCTGGCTAACAAGGTGAAACCCCGTCTCTACTAAAAATACAAAAAATTAGCCGGGCGCGGTGGCGGGCGCCTGTAGTCCCAGCTACTCGGGAGGCTGAGGCAGGAGAATGGCGTGAACCCGGGAGGCGGAGCTTGCAGTGAGCCGAGATTGCGCCACTGCAGTCCGCAGTCCGGCCTGGGTGACAGAGCGAGACTCCGTCTCAAAAAAAAAAAAAAAAAAAAAAAAAAAAGACAGTATAAGCATAATTATTTTTAAAACTGAACTGTGTGCTTTTTTATTTTTTGCTTGGAACTATAATAAATACCACACTACTTATGGAAAAATTAATATGCTTACTTATACATGTGAAAATTATACATTTTGATCTGAATGATAAATGTTTTAATATAGAACTAGTGGAGATAGAAATTGACCTGTCAAATTTGACTTAATTAAAATTTTAAGCATTTTTTAAAATCCAAAAACATTGTTTTTAAATGAACCTGATATAGTAAGTAGTAACATGATATAATGACATCTCTTTTCATTCTTTTAAAATCCTCAACTTCCTTTTTGTAGACAGACTGCCATAAGTCAGGTCCAAAATTCTGTTTGCTCTAGTAGTTTCTATCCTGCTGGTCAATAAGTAGTTTGGCATTTTTCTGAACATTTTTGTTCCATTGTTCCCTTGATTTAATGAAGTCTGTATGGTACAATTGAATTCTCCCTCTGCATGCTGTCTATTGAAATTGAGGTCATGGATAGCTCTAGCATTTTCTGGATATTAAATTTTAGACACATTTTGAATCAAAATGAAAATTAATACTTTATTTATTGTTCTGTTCTCTTTTTATATTGACTTTAGTGAAACTAAAACATATCACAGAGTGTGAAATGTTAAATATCCCAATAAAATAGAATTCATTTAGTAAATTCAGACCCCAAATGTCTTCTGACTTTTGTCAAGTAGAAAACCTAATTATAAATATAGGAACATCTTATCTTATGGAAATTAAAATTATTTCAGTTGTTTTCAAGGAATTACTATAATTTTATACAAACAAGTAATTTAAAATTAATGATTTTGAAGCATGCTCTTAATATGCTTAATTTTCCATTTTTTAAAAAGTGTGTGTTTTGTGTTAAGTTCAGTGTTTCAGTGGTGGAAACAACTTCCAACATTATTGATATCACTTACTGGGAAAAGATTATTTGTCAGTTAAAATAAGATGCTATTAGTTGATCTTTACTGTGCTCCTAGATCTGAACTAGGTATTGGATGGCATAATCAAACATAAGAATCAAATTTAAGAGTAAGTTATTGTGTTTCAGGACAAGAGGACTCATGATACATATATGAGCATTTATATATTCGAAGAAACACTAAGCAAATTCTATTATGTGCATAGAACCATATCCATTAAGAGTTAAATATAAATATAAGAAAATCTATAAATGCTAAAGATGCTACTATAGAACGTTTTCCCAGATTAAGATTTCAGTCTGAAATTCAGTCCTGATTTAGCGACAAATTAATAGCACAAGTCTTTCTTTGACTTATTTTGCTTTGCAAAGCAAATTATCCTGACCTGCCCTGTTCTATCCTTTGCTTCAGATAGCCCTGACAACATGAAGAGTTTTAGTTAAGGAATCTATCCCCTTCTGTAACCACCACCTTCCACTCCAGTAGCTGTGATGACTACTCCTCATGCAAGTGTCTCCAGCCTAGGTAGGAAGCTAGACTCCTGGAAAGGAAGCCCAGAGAGACTGGCCTGAGTGGTATGAAAGACAAGCTTCATTGCACCTCCATATATTCACTCAGACCTCAATCTCCTGTTCATTCCCAGTCAAAGCCAGTACATACAGGGACCTTTATTGTGTCTGCATACTGAGGACAATTTCTCCCTGCTTCTGTGCTATGCAGTTAGATTTCTCACTATTCTTTTACTTTTTTTTTTTAATAGATAGGTGTAAAATGTTCTCATGGGACTAAGTCCTATCATTCTTTGACTTGGAAGGAAGGGTAGAATTTTCTCTAAAGCGTCTTTTTTTTTTTTCCCCTAACTATCGCTCATGTCAGACCCAAAAATCCACACTATTTTTGGTACTGAATCTTCAGAAACAATAAACCTCCTCTTGAAAGAAGAGTCCTTTGCTTCCTTGTCATCTCTGAACAGTTCCTACTGAATTTTTACAACCTGTATCCTCTGGTCATCTACTTTGACCTGTCAGCAGATTGAAGTTTTTGCTGAGGTGACATAAATAGGTGGAAGTGGTAGCGTAAGGCCAATAATTCCACAGCTGAATGGCCTCCAAGCAGGCCCAAGCAGGCAATTGCTGTGACTGGGTAACCAAGAATCAACACTGACATGGCTGAGTGGAGAAGTATCAGAACCTAATACTGGTTGTTGAGTGTTGAAAACTCCTTTATTACTAGAGTGTAAATAACAAATTATTTGAAGAGTTCCATATTTCTCTTCTTAGTTCAATCCTTACTAAGAATTATTAACATTTTAAAATGTTTACAATTGTGTCTTCTTTCTTTCTTCAAGACCACACAGGTGAATATTAGTAGGCTTAACTGTCAGAGTTCGAGGATTCTAGAAGTGCATTGCTCACATTTCAGTAATTCAGATTTGTGATCTTTCTATAGGATAATAACAGCTACCTGAATCCAAATCTCTCCACTCATCTTCCAAAAACCATTCAGGCCAGTAAGGGGAGCAAATGAACCATCCGTAACTCATGACTACAACATAGTAATATAATTAGGAGACAGAGAATACAATGAATTTATTTTTACATATACACAGGGAAATAAACAGGGCCCATTCCAGAGTACGGTCTGGCTGTACTATGTCAAATAAGAAAAAGAAAAAAAAAAAACAGTGCACAGAAAGAAAAAGATTCTATTAGTGGCAGAATAGAAAAGACATCAACCAAAGAACCAACCAACCCAAATACAGGTTTGCCAGTATTTACTGGCAAATACTAGTGTATTGGAACACTTTATACTCGGAAATCTGAAGGAAGATGTTTAAAAATGCATGGGATTAGAAGTGGCAGATCTTGGAGTTATCAGTTTTAGGGAAGAAGAGGTTGACTTGGATATAAATGAGAACATCTTTTGGGGACTTTATACAAAAGCAAATGAGGGAACAATTTAGAGATATTAAGGGTCCTAGAAGCACAAGAGAATATCATAGAATCAAAAGACAAACTGATTTCCTTTAAAACAGGGCACCCATTATTTGTTGTAGAAATTATTCTTCACTATGCCAATGTAAGGTGAAATTCCTTTTTTATTGATTCATAATAGATGTATATATTTTAAGGGTACAAGTGATAATTTGATAATCAATATAATATGTAGAGATTGAATCAGAGTAATTGAGATATCTGTCACCTTAAATATGTATCTTTTCTTTATGCTAGGAACATTTGAATTATTCTCTTGAAGTTATTGTGAAATATATAATTAATGTTAACTATTATATCCCTACTGATCTATTGAACACTAGGTCTTATTTCTTCTATGTAAAAGTATATTTATACCTGTTAATCAACCCCTCTATTGCCCCCTACTCCTACCCTTCCCGACCTCTAATAACCACCAATCTAGTCTTGATCTTCATGACATTCACTGAAATTTTAACTCCCAGATGTGAAGAGAACATCCAATATTTGTCCTTCTGTGCTTGGCTTATTTCACTTAACATAATGACCTCCAGCTCTTTTCATGTTGCTACAAATGACAGGATTTCATTCTCTTTTATGGCTGAAAAACATTGCATTGTCTCTATATACCGCATTTTCTTTATCCATTTATCCATTGAAAAACACTTAGGTTATTTCTATATTTTGGCTATTGTAAATAGTGCTACCACAAACATGGACGTGCAGATATATCTTTGATACATTGACTTCTTTTCTTTTGGATATATACCCAGTAATGAAATTGCTGGATAATATGGTAGCTCTGTTTTTAATTTTTTGAGGATTGTCATACTGTTTTCTATAGTGGCTGTATTAATTTACATTCCCACCAACAGTGTATGAGGATTCCCTTTCTCCACATCCACAGCAGCATTTCTAACTGGGTAGAGGTGGTATCTTATTGTGGTTTAGATTTGCATTTTTCTGATAATTAGTGATGTTGAGAATTATTTTATATACCTGTTGGCCATTTGTATGTATTATCTTGAGAAATGTCTGATGTCCTTAGCTCATTTTTAAATGGACTGTTAATTTTCTTGAGTTGTTTGAGCTCCTAATATATTCTAGTTCATAATTTCTGATCAGATGGATAGTTTGCAAATATTTTAACCAATTCTGTGGGTTGTCTCTTCACTTTGCTGATTATTTACTTTGCTGTGCAAAGGGCTCAGACGAAGATAGAAAAATATGGGAAAGTTTGGAACCTCCTAGAGACTTGTTGAATGGCTTTGACAAAAATGCTGATAATTATATGAACAATAAGGCCCAGGCTGAGGTGGTCTCAGATATAGATGAGGAACTTGTTGGGAACTGGAGCAAAGGAGACTCTTCTTATGTTTTAGCAAAGAGATTGGAGGCATTTTGCCCCACCCTAGAGATTTGTGGAACTTTGAACTAGAGAGAGATGATTAAGGGTATCTGGCAGAAGAAATTTCTAATTAGCAAAGCATTAAAAAGGTGATGTAGGTGCTGTTAAAAACATTCTATCTTAAAAGGGAAACAGAGCATAAAATTTCAGTAAATTTGTAGCCTGACAATGCAGTAGAAAAGAAAACCCCATTTCTTGAGGAGACATTCAAGCTGGCTACAGAAGTTAGCATAAAAAGAAAGGATCCTAATGTTAATTCCCAAGGCCATGGGGAAAGTGTGTCCAGGCCATGTCAGAGACCTTCACTGCAGCACATCCCATCACAGTCCCAGAGGCCCAGCAAGAAAAAGTGGTTTCATGGGCCAGGCCCAGTGTCCCTGTGCTTTGTGCAGCCTAGGGACTTGGTGCCCTGTGTCCCAGCCACTGCAGCCATGGCTGGAAGGGGCCAACATAGAGCTTGGGCTGTGGCATTAGAGAGTGGAAGCCTCAAGCCTTGGCAGCTTTCACATGGTATTGAACCTCTACGTGCACAGACATCATGAATTGAAGTTTGTGAACCTCCACCTAGATTTCAGAATATGTATGGAAATGCCTAGATGTCCAGGCAGAAGTTTGCTGCAGGGGTAGGGCCCTCATGGAGAACCTTCGCTAGGGCTTTGCAGAAAAGAAATGTGGGGTCAGAGCCCTCACACAGAGTCCCTACTGGGGCACTGCCTAGTAATTAGTTTTAATGATGCAAATATAATTATGCAAGTTGAGCATGATTGCATGTGAGAAGAGCTGTGAGAAGAGGGCCACCATTCTCCAGACCCCAGAATGGTAGATCCACTGACAGCTTGCACTGTGTGCCTGGGAAAGCCGCAGACACTCAATGCCAGCCCATGAAAGCAGCCAGGAGGGAAGCTGTACCCTACAAAGCCACAGGGGCAGAGCTGTGCAAGACCATGGGAATTCACCTTTTACATCAGTGTGACCTGGACGTGAGACCTGGAGTCAAAGGAGATCATCTTGGATCTTTAAAATTTACTGCACTGCTGGATTTCAGATTTTCATGGGCCCTGTTACCCCTTTGTTTTGGCCAATTTCTCCCATTTGGAATGGCTATATTTACCCAATATCTGTACCCCCATTGTATCTAGGAAGTAACTAACTTGGTTTTGATTTTACAGGCTCGTAGGCAGAAGGGATTTGCCTTGTTTCAAATGAGACTTTGAACTGTGGACTTCTGGGTTAATGCTGAAATTAGTTATACTTTGGGGAACTGTTGAGATGGCATGGTTGGCTTTGAAATGTGAGGACATGAGATTTGGAGGGGCCAGGGGTAGAATGATATGGTTTGGCTGTGCCCCCACACAAATCTCAAATTGAATTGTATCTCCCAGTATTCCCACATGTTGTGGGAGGGACCTAGGGGTAGGTAATTGAATCATAGGGAGCCAGTCTTTCCCATGCTATTCTCATGAATATTCTCATGGGACTCCCATGCTATTCTCATGGGACTGTGATGGGACGGGCTGCAGTGAAGGTCTCTGACATGGCCTGGACACACTTTCCCCATGGCCCTGGGAATTAACATTAGGATCCTTTCTTTTTATGCTAATTTCTGTAGCCAGCTTGAATGTCTCCTCAAAAAATGGGGTCTCACGAGATCTGATGGGTTTATCAGGGGTTTCCGCTTTTGCTTCTTCCTCATTTTTCTCTTCCCGCTGCCATGTAAGAAGTACCCTTCATCTCCCACCATGATCTGACGCCTCCCCAGCCATGTGGAACTGTAAGTCCAATTAAACCTCTTTTGTTCTCAGTTTCAGATATGTCTTTATCAGCTGCATGAAAATGAACTAATACACTGTTAAATAATGATGCAAAATATTTTCAGAGTTTTATTATTATCCTCCATTAGAAGAAAAAACATACCTTTAACATAAATCACATTTTAGTGGACTAATATTTAATATAAGTCAACGGCACAAATATACGAAAAAATTTCTGTCCAATATTATTTATTATTTTTTCAATGTATTTGGTAAAAAAAGTAAAAAAGAAATAGTAGTTTTTAAAAAATTTAGGATGAGTTATTAAATTTCAAAGTAAAGGGCAATATTTTTCTACCTAATGTTCTTTTATGTGATTTTTAAAAATACAATGAAAAGACTAACAAGGCTACTAAGTAGTTATTTACTTGTTTCTGCAGATAAAAACCATGAAAATAATAAATGCTTTACCTTGAAGTATCAGCCAATCTAGGATTCATATATTTTTGAATAAACAAACAATTGCCTGATAAGTTATTCTATTTATGAGTGCATTCATGTATTCAGAAAGGTTAGATGCAATTGCTGTGGACTGAGAAAGGCAAACAACTTTTTTATAGTAAACAATTACACCGGTAAATGTCTATGTCCATGCTTATATCTACTGAATAAACAGTAATATATATTTATATATCATTCTTTATCACTGAATTTAAATTTAAAATGTAAATAAAATTATTTTGTTTTACATTTTATAGTCAATACATTTATAACGTTTTAAAGTTTGAATATTTGACAGATGAGTGTTTTAAAATTGAAAACAGATTTAATTTGCTGTCTGTATTTCTTTTTTTTTTTTTTGAGACAGAGTCTCGTTCTGTCACCCAGGCTGGAGTGCAGTGGCGAGATCTCGGCTTACTGCAAGCTCCACCTCCCGGGTTCACACCATTCTCCTGCCTCAGCCTCCCGAGTAGCTGGGACTACAGGCGCCCACCACCACACCCAGCTAATTTTTTGTATTTTTATTAGAGATGGGGTTTCACCATGTTAGCCAGGATGGTCTCGATCTCCTGACCTCGTGATCCACCCGCCTCGGCCTCCCAAATAATTTACTATCTATATTACTTAGTAGAATATTTTTAAAGTTAGGAAACCAATACAATTTGTGAAGCTGATTTTTAATTATAAGTAGAAATTTTATACGAAATCCAGAAGAATTAAACTTGTTTACATTATTAAAAAAAAGGTAAAATGTATTTATGAATTTGCATTTATTTATAACCTGCAAATATGTTATGGAACTCTCTATACTTTCAAGGATGAAAGAGGTTTTTCTCAAGACCAGAGATTGAGTGAAGGATTTGATAGTGACTGAGTGTTGACAAGGCTTTCACATAAAATTATTATGGTCTAGAAGCTCACGGAGTGTCATGGCTAAGAGTAGAGGCAATTCCATGGGCTTGAAAGCATGACTAGAGGAGTAGTCAAAGCCATCAGAGCTAACAGAAAGACAAGTCAAGGGACCAGAGGTGGTTGACACATCCATTGGAAATCTTGGGAAATCACGTTCAGAAGCTCACTAAAATTTGATATGAAATTTAGTACTTGTAGGAAAACCAGCATAACATAGTAAGTCCTTTTACAAAACATGCAAATATTTTTACCTCAAATTAAGTACTTTAAATAAGTCTAAAGGATTTGCTTGGAATATAAATTCAAAAATTCAAGTTAATGAGTGATTTAATTGGCAAACTTGCTGACTTGGGTCAAAAGATTTTAAAATGTCCGATCTGTTTCTTTACAGATCAAAGATGGCAAAGGACGGAAAGTTACCAAAAACAATAGCTTAGAAATAGTGCATATGGAATAAAATACATTTTCAATATACTCATAAGGTGAAAGGAATTCAAGCTGCTCACCATAAGCATCCAGTGGTGAATTCTTTATTGTAGAAATTGATTGAAATACTATTTTCAATTGACCTTTTGGAGTTACCCAAGGACTCCTGTGTCAAAGCCCCATGTTATCAGACAAAAGTAGCAAATGCTATTGAGGAAAATCGTTTAAATGTTCTCAAAGCAAGGCCAAACCACACAATTATGGTAGCTAACATCACCAGCTTAACTTGAATTAGAATAAAAATCAGCATGTAATTTCTGATTGTTTCGTTCTCAAAAGGTAGTGAGAAAACTGAATGAAAACAGGGCCAAATAAAATGCAGAAGTGGAAGATTTACTAGTGGTAAAAGTAAAGGTTAAACTGTGAACAAGAAGACCCCATGAGTTACATAATTAAAGTAATACACAAATGAGTGCCATTATATTTTCCATTACGTTCACTCAAGAGATTCATAAATTCCACAGCAGGATGGCCTGGCAGTTACCAAATGAAATAGAAATATCCAGAGGCAAAGAGCAGTTGCACACCACTGTTTCAGCCAACAATAAAGAGATTAATACAATTCATGTGAGCAAATTCAGATAGAATACTCTGAGAAATTATTAAAAGCTTTAAAATGTTACTAGATTTTCATCTTTGTGTTTAATAAATAATTGGCATTTCCAGCATTGCTATTGAATGCTAGTTTCAGAGTAAAATCATTTAAATAACTTTAGCATAAAATCATAAAGACATTTCATACAGGCTTCCGAGGAATGGCATTCCATTGACAATACAGAATAAAGAACGGGTATTTAAGGTTAACACCAAAATTAAAATCTGTGACTGACTGAAAAAATTCTGCAAAAGAAACCAAGGGGAAAAGGGGGCTAGTGATAATCATTTCAACATTATTGCTAAAAGAAGGAAAATCCCAAATTTTATTATGAGAACTTTTCTATTATGTTCATTTATAATTATTTTAACAAAAAAATACATAAATTGGTGGTAAAACTACCTGACCCCAGTTTTAAATTAATGCTAGTATTAAATTGCATGGGAAAATTATGAATAGAATCAGAAAATTTCTATAAGCTTATAGCTCTATGTTTGCATTTATAAAAAATGCAAAACAACTGATAATACTTCAAGGATTAAGATAAAATAGAATATGTACTTTATTTTTGTGTGTGTAAACAAAGGATACTTATTTATTTTTTGTACAAGTGTTAAAGATATTCATTTAGAGCAAGAAAATCATATACAGTAGACTTGTTATATGTGGTAAGATCAAATTATATATAGTATTCCAAGAAGTGTGTGTGTGTGTTTGGGGGGCGGGTCTTCAATGTTTAAAGTTTGTGTATTCAGACTTAGTTACTTAGTTATATCTGAAAAGTAGGGTTTTAAATGTAGTATGGAGTAATATTGGAAAAAGAAGTCCTTTTTGCATGTGCTTTTACAACTGCTGTTAAGACATTACAAGCAGATTAGAATTTTAAAAGATTCTGCCTGACATTGAACAATGTTGATTATAATAGTATTACATTCTCATTGAAAAACATTGGAAATAGATGAATATCACAATATAATTCCATTATTTAGAGAAGTAGGATTATATGGTGTTTTATTCCATTCTGGCTGCTGTAAGAAAATACCATAAACTGTGTGGCTTGTAAAC
Organism: Homo sapiens; assembly: GCF_000001405.40. Lineage (NCBI taxonomy): Eukaryota > Metazoa > Chordata > Mammalia > Primates > Hominidae > Homo > Homo sapiens. Next base: position 79,578,749 of record NC_000007.14, read on the forward strand.
AACAGAAATTTACTTCTTACATTTCTGGAGTTAGGAAGCACGAAATCAAGGTACAGGCAGATATAGTGTCTGGAAATGGCTGGTATCCTCATGGATATCTTCTCATTGTAACCTCAAATGGCCAAAGGGGCAAAGCTGATCTCTGGGGCTTCTTTTTATCAAGGAGACTAATCCCATTCACTGGGGCTCAGCTCTCATGACCTAATCATGTCCCAAGGGTCTTACCTCCTAATACCATCACTGGTGATTAGGTTTCCACATAAAAATTTGGGGTGGATACATTCAGACCATAGCACATGCCATCTTCATTTTATACTTTGTTTCACAATGATTGGCTGAATAATGGCTCCCCGAAGATGTCCACATCCTAATCCTCAAATCCTTGAGTGTTACCTTACATGGTAAAAACAACCTTGCAAATGCGATTAAGAATCTTGTGTTGGCATCCTGTTATCCTGTGTTATCCAGGTGGACCCAATGTAATCAGAGAGTCCTTATTAGAGGGAGGTAAGAGGATCAGAGTGAGAAGTAGAAAATATGACAGTGGAAACGAGAGGATGACACAATTCAAGGAAGGGGCCAAGAGCCAAGCAATGCAGATGCTCTTCGAAAATGGAAAAAAAAAAAACAAGAAATTCTTCTGACGTCTGCAGAAGGAACACAGACTTGCCAATGCCTCGAAGTTAGACTTCTGACTCCAGAACTATAAGAAACATTTATTAAGCATGGCATTAAATATTAGATAATATCTCATTCTCTTGATACATTGTAATTTGTAAAATAATTTCACATTTTTGGACATTTAGTTTGTTTCCAAAATTTTGTTTCATAAAAAGTCTGTGACAACATTAATTATTTACTGAGGACAGACATTTTGAAGAAGAATTTCTAAATAAAATGGAGAAGCATTTTCAAGCACAATATATTTTGACAAATTGCTTTTAAGGGAGTTTGGGCCTGTCTCCTCAGCTTATTTCATTCTATCTTCATTAGCACTGAGTATTAGTTCTGATATTATCTAAAAATGTCCTAAGTGAAAAAAAAATGTTATCTCATTGCTTTAAATTTGCATTCCTGTTTACTGGTGAAAATGTTTCTTTTTTCTTTTTTTAACCAAATGTACATTACCCTTCGTATGTTCCTTTTGAATAGCCTGCTCATCTTCTCATATTGAGTATTATTTTTATAATAATTTGTAAGAATTTTTATATAACAAGGTATATAATATTATTTCTTTCACCTTTATTGCAAGCTTCCAAATTTAACTTCATTTTGGTACTTGAATAGCAAGAATCTTTTAAATATTACACAATCAAATTTGCCAGCATTTCTTTTCATGAGTACTAAAAACATTTAGTATTTCCTATCTAGGGAGCAATTAAATAGAGCCCAACATCATCACCTTTACCTTTTAATTTTCAACAGTTAATTTTGAAATTTAGTTGAGTGATTGAAGTGAGCAGATACTCTAATTGTATGTTTCTAAATGGTCACTTTTTCTTAACAAACTTTGTTTTTTTTGTCTATTCCACATTGAATTATAATGTGTCATTTGTGATAACACTATGAATTATTTTTATTGTAATTTTGTTATACTATATGATATGTGGTAAATAATATTTTGCCTTAATATTCAAATATTAGATAATTTCTTAGCTATTCTAGGCCATTTTTTGTTCCTGAGAATATTTAGAATTTATACATTGTCTTCACATTCACACACACATATTTTGTTTGAGATTTTGGTTAGACATATGGTGTACTTTGAGAAGACAAGACGTTTTACATATTCAAAGTTTCCAAAGGATAAATTTTAAAAATTGGATGCAGTCATTTCTTATTAGAATTATTTCTAATGCTTTCTTTATTACTTTGATTTATTTTCTTTTTGAAATGATTATTTTACTTATCAAGTATTAATAACTGGTATAAAGAAAATCCTTTTTTTGTATTTTTAAAAACTCAGCTATTTTGCTTAACTCTTAATAAATCTGATTTCTCCTAAGATTTCTAAGTATATAATTATATAATTTGCCAACAGTAATATTATTATTCCCCTGCATTATTTCTATTTTATAAAGTATTACATCGTCCAGAACTTTCAAATGATGTTAAGTAATAATGATGATTTCTGGGTATTTTCATTTAAAAAAAAAAAAAAGACTGAAGCATGGAAATAATGTTTATAGCATCAATGACTTCTGGTCCCCTAGTCCTTGCTTTGATTCCTTGTCCAGTATTTCAGGAACTGGTAGTCATCCCTGTTCATCAAACCAATGATCTTAGTTTTCTCACCTCATCTTTATATGCCATAATGCTTAAACTAGATCCTCCAAATATAATGCTAAATAATAAAGATGAGAGGGAGCATTTTCAATAGTAAGAAAAATAATAATCCATCTTTAGTGAATTCTGGCTGCTGGTTTAAGATATATCACCTTCCATCCCTCTATAAATCCTGAAAGCAGTACTGAAGATTATAATTTTAATGCTTTTTCAACTGCTATTAATTAGTTTAAGGACATTAACTTGGAATGATTAATATGTTGCATAATATGAATATTAGTCATATTTGCAAATATTTTGTCTGCTGTATATATGCAGTATAAATATTTGAAATTATAATTTAAATTTTACTTCTAAGTGAATAGTTACATAGTCTTAAAGAGTTTTTTTATTTTTAATGAGTGGGATTTTTTAGACTTTTGCTGTGTTAGAACTTCAAAAACTTGTTTCTAGATTCATTGCATTATGTTTAATATTGTAAGAATCATTTCAAGGCTGTGACTGAATTATTCGTAGATTTTTTTTTAGATGGTTGAAAATGAGAAATGGTCATTATAAAGATGAAAATGTTAACCTTATGTCTTAAGTAGGCTACTTCCAACTACTAAAACTATTATATATTTACTTGCTTCTTGCTTTCTTTATCTCTATTTGGCCCAAAAAGTTTGTTACAATATGTTGTAACAATAGAATTGCTATCCATTTTTCTTTGTATTTCTAAATTTTTTATTTCTGCATTTGATACCGTTATTGTGTATATGAAGATCCACAGTTCATACATTTATAACAGTAAATTTTTTATCAGCATAAAATGCCCCTGTTTTCTTGAGGTCTACTTTGTTGGAAATTCATATTGCCAACACTACCTTATTTATTCATTTGCTCGTCACATATTTGTGCTTAAATTTTAATTATATTCCAAGCATACAAAATTTGAAAATATTTTATTAAGTAGAAAAAAATATAACATTCAATACAAATATTTTCATTATATTTTCAAAAGTTACAGTTCTGAGATCTTCAACAGGATTTATTAAAACTAATAGGCAAATACTTAATATAATAAGATCAATAATTAAATAATGCTGAAACATTTAGTTTTAAATTTTACTTAGATTTTAAAAATATGTTTAAAAATAAAATTATTCACAATTCTAGCATTCAATATTCATCTGGCTGTAATTGTGAAAAATAAGTATCATGCTTCTTGTAGTTATCTAAGATGTACATATATGCATATTTAGGAATAATATGAATTGTATTAATATTGTATTTCTCATCCTCCATGTGCATCAGGTGTAGTGTGCCACTGGCTGCTACCCACCTGTCATGTTTGCATACTAAAATTGAACACAAAGAAAAGCAAGACAATGGTCAGCTAAATCCACTTGGAAACCATATTTTGCTATTTGAGAATCTATTGCATTTATGCCTTCTGAGAGAAAGGATTTTCAAGATATTTATTTTGTCTTTTTCATTTCCACTCTCACAGACCTCCATGACATTTTGATTGGGACAGTTTTTGTTTGGAGGACTTGGGGACAAAATATGTGGAGAAACATTTATCTTGGACGTACTTGAATAGTGTTCATCATGAGAGTGAGTTTATAAGATTACAGGATTGTCCTCTGTCTATGCTGAGTACCACAACTGGAGTGAGAGAGCACTAGTGTGTTCCATAATGATTTTTTTGAGTGGGTCTGTTTGTGACACCTTAGGCTTTCTAAAGTTCAGGCTCTGAGCAGGGGTCCCTTGGGAACTAATGTGTGTTGTCTTGGGAGCCTGTACAGGATACTGAGCGAGACTCAGACATCTTATCTTCTTTCAAACCATAAATTGTTTTGTTTCAAACCTGTGAAGATGCATATACTATTACTCTAGTTTTTTAAAAAAATCTTAGTCAAAGAACATATCATTTGCCACATTAATAATTTTTAAGCATACAGTACAATAATGCTAGCTTTATGCACATTGTTGCACAACAGATCTGTAGAACTTTTTCAACTTGCAAAACTGAAACTTTACATTCATTCTGTTTCTCTTTCTAAGAATTTGACTACTTTACATACTTCATATAAGTAGAATCATGCAATATTTGTCTTTTTATAAGTGGCTTATTTCTCTCATTGTAATGTTCCCAGTGTTCAGCCATATTGTAGCTTATGACAGGATTTCCTTCTTTTTTATGCCAGATAATATTCCACTTTATGTATATATCACATTTTCTTTAACCAAAATATTTAGGTTGCTTCCACATATTGACTATTGTGTATAAAGCTGCAATAAATATGGATGTTCAATATCTCTTTGAGATCCTGTTTCAATTTTTTGATTAAATACTCAGAAGTAGGATTGCTAAATCATATGGTAGTTATATTTTAAATTTTTTGAGGAAACTCCATACTATTTTCTATAGCCACTTCACTAATTTACATTCTTATCAACAGTGCACAAGTGTTCCAATTTCTCCACATCCTCACCACTGCTTGTTGTTTTTCAGACAGTGGCCATCCTAAAGAGTGTGAGACCCCATCTCATTGTGGTTTTGATTTGTGTTGCTCCCATGATTAATGACATTGTGCATCTTTTCCTATGCTTGTTGAACATTAGTAAAGTTGGACATCTTTATCCTTTGCATGTGGATATCCAGTTTCCCCAACACCATTTGTTGAAGAGTTTGTCCATTCTCCCATTGTGTAGTCTTGGCACCTTTGTGAAAGATTATTTGACCATGTTAAGTGAGGGCTTATTTCTGGTCTCTATCCTATTCCATTTGTCTGCATATCTGTCTTTTGCCACTCCCATAATGTTTTCATTACTGTTGTACATGAAATTAGTATTTTTTCTATTTCTGCAAAAAAAAATGCCATTAGGATTTTGATAGGGATTGCACTGGAGTTCTAATTATGGGCATTTTGAGAATATTAAGTTTTCTAATCCATGAACACAAATATCTTTCTGTTTATTTGTGTCTTTATTTCAGCTATGTTTTGTAGTTTTCAGTGCACAAATCTTCTGCCTCCTTAATTAATTTTATTCCTAAGTATTTTATTTTTTGAGGCTACTGTCAGTGATAGTATTTTCTTTTATTTCCTTTTAAGATTTTTCACTGTTAATGTAAAACATTACTGATTTTGGGGTGTTAATACTGTATCCTGCAAATTTGTTGAAGTCGTTTTTTAGTTCTAACAGTATTTTTGTGGAATTCTTATGATTTTCTATATACTAGACATGTCGTCCATGAACAGAGATAATTTTATTTCTTTCTTCTCTACTTGGATGACTTTTATTTCTTTTTCTTCCCTGATTACTTAGGCTAGGATTTCCAGTACCATGCTGAACAGATGGTTACCATTTGCATGGAATACTTTTTATCATACTTTTACTTTCTACCTACTTTATTTTTCTTTCTTTTCTTTCTTTTTTTTAAGACAGAGTCTTGCTGTTGTCACCCAGGCTGGAGTGCAATGGCATGATCTCAGCTCACTGCAACCTCCACCTCCCAGTTTCCAGCAATTCTCCTGCCTCAGCCTCCTGAGTAGCTAGGATCACAGGCACATGCCACCACACCCAATTAATTTTTTGTATTTTTAGTAGAGACAGGATTTCACCATGTTGGCCAGGCTGGTCTCAAACTCCTGACCTCAAGTGATTCACCTGCCTCAGCCTCCCAAAGTGCTGGAATTACAGGCATGAGCCACTGCACCTAGACTGCCTACATATGTTCTTGTATCTAAAATGATTCTCAATTTGGGAGGCCAAGGCAGGAGCATTGCTTGAGCCCAGTGGTTGGAGACCAGCCTGGGCAACACAGGGAGACCTTGTCTCTAAAAGAAAAACAAAATTAAAGTGATCTCTTGTAGACAGCACATAGCTGGATATTGCTTTTAACCCTTCAATCATTCTTAATCTTTTGAGTGTGGTATTTACATTTAAAATAATTACTGATAGGGATGAACTTATTATTGCCACCTTTAAGTTGTTTTCTGTGTGTCTTATAGTTATTTTCTCAATTTCTTTTACTCTTACTGCCGTTTTTTGTGTCTTATTGATTTTTCTGTAGAGACAGGCTTTGATTATTTTGTCAGGCTTTTTTTTGGGGGGGAGTGCATCTTTTATGGGTATTTTGTTTGTGGTACTATGGGGACTACATAAAACACCTTACAGTTATAACAATCTATTTTAAACTGATAACAACTTAACTTTAACTGCATAACAAAACTCTACTCCTTTATGTCTCCCTCCCACACTTTATGTTATCAAAGTCACAGTTATATCTTTTTATGTTTTGTATTCATTAGCATAATTTTATAATTATATTTTTCATGCCTTCATTTTTAAATTCTACACCTGAATTAAAACTGATTTACCTGCCACTCTTACAGTATTACAGGATTCTGTATCATGTATATATTTACCTCTACAAGAAAACTTTCCATTTTTGTTTACTTTTTTTCTTGCTGTCTAGTGTCCTTACATTTTAACTTGAAGGAAGCTCTTAACAATTCTTATAAGGCATATCTAATGGTGATGAACTTCTTTAGCATTTGTTTATCTGGGAAATTATTTCTCCTTCTGCTTTGAACAACACTTTTTCCAGATATAGTATTTTTGGTTTGACTTTTTTATTTCAGGAGTTTGCATATGGCCAACCCTGACATTATTGGGCTGAAAACATTTACTCAGCTCACACTAATAAAAGTGGCTAAACAGCTTCTGCATGGCAAAAGAAACTACCATTAGAGTGAACAGGCAACCTACAGAATGGGAGAAAATTTTTGCTAATATCCATAATCTACAAAGAACTTAAACAAATTTACAAGAAAAAACAAATAACCCCATTAAAAAGTGGGCAAAGAATATGAACAGACACTTCTCAAAAGAAGACATTTATGCAGCCAACAGACACATGAAAAAATGCTCATCATTACTGGTCATCAGAGAAATGCAAATCAAAACCACAATGAGATATCATCTCACACTAGTTAGAATGGCGATCATTAAAAAGTCAGGAAACAACAGATTTTGGAGAGGATGTGGAGAAATAGGAACACTTTTACACTGTTGGTGGGAGTGTAAATTAGTTCAACCATTGTGGAAGACAGTGTGACGATTCCTCAAGGTTCTAGAATTAGAAATACCATTTGACCCAGTGATCCCATTACTGGGTGTATACTCAAAGGATTATAAATCATGCTACTATAAAGACACAGACACACATATGTTTATTGTGGCACTACTCCCAATAGCAAAGACTTGGAACCAACCCAAATGTCCAACAATGATAGACTGGATTAAGAAAATGTGGCACATATACACCATGGAATACTATGCAGCCATAGAAAAGGATGAGCTCATGTCCTTTGCAGGGACATGGATGCAGCTGGAAACCATCATTCTTAGCAAACTGTTGCAAGGACAGAAAACCAAACACCGCATGTTCTCACTCATAGGTAGAAGCTGAACAATAAGAACACTTGGACACAGGGCCTGTTGTGGGGTGGGGACCTGGGGGAGGGATAGCATTAGGAGAAATACCTAATGTAAATGATGAGTTGATGGGTACAGCAAACCAACATGACACATGTATACCTATGTAACAAACCTGCACGTTGTGCACATGTACCCTAGAACTTAAAGTACTGGGAGCAAAAATTCAGTGGACTATTAAGAGAAAAGAAAGATAAGAATAGAGAAGAAAGAACAAATACATCTGATGAATTTCTCATCCATGTAATACCTGCATATAGTTCACAAATAGACATGCCAAGATTACTCCTGGAGCCTATACTAATTGACATGAATTTTAAAGGATTTCTTTTCCTTGAAACCAAATTTCTGAACAAGATAGTTATTTAATTTTAACTAATTTTAAATAGAATATATGTTAATTCTAAATTATCTTAAATATTTTTTAAATTAACCTAAGTATAAGACAGTACAAAACACAGCATAAGTTGATCACATGGTCTTCTACATCGTCTTCAATCTTATTTTTGATGTGTTTGCACAGTGACTCTTCGAACTTTTTCAGTTATTATAGGGTATTTTGTTTAATAAGCTTCTTGAAAGAAGATGCTTCTACTGCCAACTTCCCCATAACAATTCTCTCTGTCATTCATGGTAATGTGAAGGAGGAACATTTTACTTTTACAATTTTTTTGTTGTAAAATTACATGGCTTTTTAACCAATTTTTACAGTTTTTAGGAAGTCAATTATAAAGAAAAATATCATAAAAATCTTCATTTTATTTAGTTCTCTGCCTTACAAAGCAAGAGCATAGTGTGAGCTTTTCACTGGGTGCTTTTCCAACAATAGTGAGAAGCAAATACAGAAACCAACTAAAAAAAGTTTAATAGTTTCTTACGACTTTCTGTCATAAAACTATAAAGGCAAACTTGAGAAGATATGACCTAAGAATGCAATGACTTAAGAAAGACAATTTGAAAATCAATTGGCTTTATGAGGTAACTTCTCTGAATTCCATAGTGTGACAATTTCTAAAATGAAAAAGCTTTTTCTTGTGTGTGCAAATTTTATTGGTTTCTCTAAACTCCCATAGCAGAAGCTATAAAAGAGAACACAGAAAACCAAAAGGTACACAGCACAAAATATTAATATAGTAATTTATTGTATTTTTTAGTATTCCTTCAGTACTCTAAGTACTTTTTAGGCAATATTTAAGTCTTATATCATTGTAAGAAGGGCTACTGGGCTAGTCATTAAAATGTAATATTTAGTTATAGACACTATAAGAAATCTTGGCTAAAATTCTTCCATAGTTTTATATTAATTCAGTTGAACACTGTATTGTCAAAGACTATATTGCCTCAATATTCTCTACCAGGAGATAAAGTAAAAAGAGTGAAATAAATAAATAATACAGTATTTCTCCATTTTATACAAAGATTTTCTATAAATATCGAGGCCCATGACCATGTTTAACAGTTCGGTAACTGAAGTGTTAATCTTTTTTTATGGTTAATTTTCTGTATCTACTATCCAGTTATCATTAAGAAGTGATTCTTAATCTTTCGGGGGTTGGAAAACACTTAGAGCATTTGATAAACAACAGAGGATCTTCTGACAAGAAGACAATTTATTCATTTATATACAACCTAATATATCAAATTTCAGGGAATAAAGAAACTTCAAAACCTAGCTCTGTATTCTCCAAGCTTTTTAACTCTGTTTAGTACCTCAATAAGTTTAGGCAGCCTTAATTTCTTTTATATCCCCACATTTCTTTTCATGGTAAAACATGAGTGTTTTCTAGGATCCTGATAATGAAAACCTATACAGTTGACCCTTGAACAATATGGATTTCAATTATGGGGGCCCACCTATAGCCAGATTTTCTCCCACCTCTGCCACCCCTGAGATGGTAAAAGCCAACTCCTCCTCTGCCTCCTCCTTTTCAGCCTACTCAACATAAAGACAATAAGAATGAAGACCTTTCTGATGATCCACTTCCATGTAATGAATAGTAAACATATTTTCTCTTCTTTATAATTTCCTTAATAAGATTTTATTTTCTCTACTTACCTTATTGCAAGAATATAGTATGTCATACGTATAAAGAATATGTGTTAACTGTTCATCTTACTGTAAAGCTTCTAGTAGGCTAGTAGTAGTTAAGTTTTTGTGGAGTCAAAAGTTATATGTGAATTTTTGACTGCAGCATGAGGGTCAGTACTCCTAAACTCTGCATTATTTAAGGATCAGCCATTCTTCCAGAGTCTGAATGGTATTTAGTGTATCAAATACGTGGGTTGGTTGGTTGGTTTGTTTGTTTTTCTGTCTCACTCTTGAGGTATATGACTCTAAACAGAAAATATTAGCTGTTGGGGAAGTAAATCCAATGGGACATATTTCCTATAAAGTAGCAACTATAGTTAATTAGAGAGTTACACATAGCTGTTGGGAGAGCTATGACAAATATTCAAGTATCCTACTTGGTTAGAAATAATCTTGCAGAAATTACCTTTAAATTAAGTCTGCATAATACAATGTAATTAATAAAGGGTTCTTATACTCTATTTATTTATTTATTTTGGTTCTTGTAAAAAATGGTTAGGTAGTGAGACATATATTATCATTAGCCTTATTTTATAGAAGAGAAAGAATCATGACGCTAAGTAACTTATCCAAGGTGATTCCAAAATAATCTTTAGAGCATGAACTTGGATTCTCCTCTCTCATATCAGGCACAATAGGGTCAATTTCAATGAATGAATAAATGAATAATGTGACAGCACTTTGAATTTACTACACATCTTTTCTAAATTCTTGAAAAGCTATTGTAGTGTCATTCATTCCTTGATTCACTTGTAGATATTGATTGGTTTTCTGGTCTTTGTGGCCTCGTTTAGATGCTGTTTGCACAGAGATCAGTCCCCGTTTGATTGTAGTTAATGAAAGGCAGTGGGCTGTAGCATCATATTAATTGTCAGCTATGACTCATTTAAGATCAACATACCAGAAAAATTGATATTTTTGCTATGCGAACTAAGATCTTGTTTGAGTTATTTAAAATATATAACCATTTCAGATGTTATGATACTTTGACTTTGACCAAAGATAATGTACTTAGTAGAAAATATTGTCTAAATAATTTTTCTGTAATGATGATTAAGTACACTGATTTTCCCATGTTCTCTCATCAGTAGCTTATGAGAGGGTTGTCCCAGTGATTGGCTTGCTGCAGAATGAAGTCAGTGAGCTCATTTATGAAGGTGTAAAAAAAAATGCAAACACATTGTGTTAAACTGGCTGGAACTTGTTCAAATATCAAAGATTTCTCAAGGACTGTCATCTTGGAGAGAAGGATCAATTAGTTATTTCTCAGGTGTTACAACCCACTGAAAATTTGGAACTGCTTAGGGGTCTTGCTTAGTGTTTTCAGATCAGGAAGGGGAGCAGCAGCAACAAACCTGCTACTGAGATCCAGGGAGCAGATTCACATTCTATCAATTCTACAACTCCAGAACAAGTGTTGCATAGATGAGGTTCATTGCTAAAGATGCACAAATCAAGTTTTAAGGCAGGTATGAATTAGCTTGATAGAGTTCTGCTTTGCCAATCAACTTCAAAGACTTGAAGAATGAAGTCCAAATTAATTAATACGTTTTTCTTGTTTAATGTACAATATATTGCCCTTCCAAGTTCACCTTGAATTGATGAAAATTGAGAATTCTCAATAATAAGTTATAAAGGTTTACTGAGCCACTGTTACTTACCTTTGTGTACATGTAAGAATAAAATCTTAAGAATCAAGAATTAAGAAGCAAAAGTGTATGCTTTTCACAATTGAATTAAAATTATTTGGGCCTAGAGCCAAGACATTTTCTTAGACTTGTTTTAAGTGCCTTAACCACCTGGAATTCTTTTTAAAGTACTTTCTAATTCATCTTTTTGAAATGATGGCTTTGCCTTTTAATGAGAAATCTACATTTCTTTCTTAAATAGGAAACATAGTGTCCTTGGCTTAGTTCTCTAAAGACATAGAAGTACACTTTTATGTGTAGTGAAGACACAGCTTGTGGCAAATTTATTTCAGGCATGTCAGACTGAAATTCTGTTTCTACAACAAACAGGCTTCCCTTGAGTTTACTAAGCCATGCTCTTCAAGTAAATGAGATACTTTATGGATGTATAACCTGAATGTCCCTACCAAGGAGTTACCGTTTGATTTATTATTCTAAGAAAACAATCTGAACACTAATCCCCACAGCTGCTAGAAGTCTTTGTCATCCCTCCCCCATATTCCTGAGAACACGGGGTCCTTGTAGTCATCATGGTTTCTCTATCTGGGCTCACCCTGGCTCATTTGTTCTTTCCTTCTACCTATTGCTAGAATCTGCTTGGTTTTATCCACATTACTCCTAAGGTGAACATACTCATCCCCCTTTTATTTTGCAAAGCACTATTACTAAAAATATTTGTTATATATAAAAGAACTTTACTGAAGTTTGAGGGGAACAGAGAGTTATAGAACAAAACATGAAAAAATTTAAATTGGTGATCAGACCCTGTATTCATATTCAACCATCTGCTCCATAAGGAGTCCATTCCTAGCCATCTGTCCATAGTCTAGTCCTGAAACCAGGCTGCTAGAATCCAGGTTCTAACAATATTTTCCTAACCTCTTCTCTTTTCCTGAGTTCCAGCTTACTGACACTTGATCCCAGTGGCCTTCCAAGGTAAAGTATATTTTGCCTAGAGAATGTGGCTTTCCATGTAGCACAGGGTTACATATAAACTATTAAATCACATTTATTAACTATATTGTTTATATATTCTGTGACTTAACTAAATTTTGGGGTTTTTCTGATCCAAAATTTTCTGAGATAAGTAGGTTAAAATTCCTAAGCATGAATGTGGATTGCACAATCTCTTCTACTAATTCTGTCAATTGTGCCTTGCATAATTTTAAACAATATTATAAAGATCATAGGTGTTTGTGGTTGAGATATCTCCTCATTGTTGATTTTTACTATCTGTGTGCCTTTCCTCTTATTAATATTTTGCCTTAAATTATTTTTTTCTGATATTAATATTGTAACATCCATTTTCTGTTGGGTAATACTTGTGAGATATAGTTTTTCCAACCATTCTGTGTAGTTGTTTTTTGTCTAATGCATTTTTCATGTAGAGTCTATAACTAGAATTTTAAAAATTATATGTTCTTTGTCTTTTCATAGGTGAATTAAATATGTTTATATTTACTTTGGTTACTAATATAGTTGGGCATATTTCAGTCAAATATTTTTGAGGTTTCCATTTATCACGTCTTTTTTTACTCCATTATTTTATTTTTTACATTTGGGTAGATTTCAAACATTCTTTGTTATCTACTTCTCTCTTTATTAAAAACCACAAACTTTATTTTTAGTCTTCAATGTGTATTCTTGCATTTTTAACACAGAGATCAAACTTTATAAGTCTGGGATAATTCTAAATTGATTCAGCATTTATATCCTCACAGAAAACACACCAAACCAAAACAAGAAACTGTGTTTAAGAAAAAAAAACTACTGAAATACCCCAGGTATTTTTCTTTTTATAATCTACAATTTTAATTCCAACTGTTTTCAGGAATAGAAATTGAATGGTATATTGTTACAATCACAAAAATAAAGTGAGTATATTTATTTCCTCTCTAATATCCATACCAATACACTTAAGAGTGTATTTGAAAGCCTAAACAGTTAGGTCTGGGTCTTTATAAGAAAAAGGTAATTTAGCCCCTCAAGACACAGTTAGATGTCCAGTTATCCCAAATGTACTACAATCGGCACATGACACTACTCACAGTGACTGACACTAAGGTTATTCAATCATAATAAAACTGAAGTTTATCACTCTTCTGCGATGTGTGAGAGTGAATCCATGTAACACTTCTGGCATCCATCCTATGACTATAAAAGGTGTCACCCTTACAAAGAACCCATCTTTAGAATGAAGCCGACTTTGTGGATAGTAAAAATAAGAAATAAAGGGGAAATAGATATTTGCTTGGATCTGTTGTAAAGCCACTGGATCAACCTGCTCAGAAGATTCTATTTCTCAGAACTTTCCAGTTATTTGACACAGAGAATTCTCTTATTATTTCTGAAATAGTTTGACTCAGAAGTCTGTTACTTACAACATAACAGATGCAACAGTTAAATTTACCAATGTTTCTTACATATTTCTTAGTTCCGTCTGTTTCTTGTATTCTTCTTTGGAGTAACCATTTCTTCATGTTGAAATGGATCCTTCAAGACCTCTTTTATGAAGGGCATACAGGACATAAATACTCTTATTTGTATTTTTTTCTGAAAAAAAAAAATCATTATTTCACCCTCACACTTAAACAAGAGTTTGACTGAAGACTGGTTATTTTTCTTCATTCTGAACATAACTGCTTTCTTCTGGCCAACATTGTTTCTGATGAAAAGTTTTCTGTTACTCCAGCTGTCATTGAATTGTGAGTACTTTTTCTTTTGTAATTTTTAGGGTTTTTTCCTTTCACCTTTGTTATTCTGCAGTTTCACTGGGGTAAATTTAGATGTGTCTTTATTTTCTTAATTAGAGGCCATGTTTTCAATCTGAAATACCCTCTTTTACTTTCTGTGCAATTTTCAACCATTATTTCTTCACATATTTGTTCTCCTGGATTCTCCCTATATTCTGTTTCTGGGAATTTATTTAGACATATGTTCAAGTCTCAATCTATTATCATTCTTCCATATTTATACTTTTATGTTTTTGTATCCATCTCTTTATATCACTTTCTGGACAAATTCTTATGTGCTATTTCTCATATGACAATTTCCTTCTTTGACTATGTTCTATGTCACTCTGCTGTCTAGTAGATATGAAGCATGTGTTCTTATTTAAACATATTTAAATTAATTATAATGAAGTGAAATTAAAACTTCAGTTGCTCAGTCCCAATGGCTACATTTCAATTGCACACTAGCCAGAAGTGGCTGATGACTACCATATTAGACAGTGCAGATACAGAATCGTTCCATCATTGCAGAAAGTTCTGTTGGACAAGGCTAGAGGGTACTTTCTATTTGATTATTTAAATTTGATTACAAAAATGTTTATATTTTATGTTTCTAGTTGGTTATTTTCCATATATATCTGGCTTTGACTGATTTCTTCCTCAGTTTTCTGAAAATGACTCATTTCTTTTATAGATGTCATTTTTATCTCTGTAATGACTTTAAAAATATTTACCTTAAAGCTATTGTTTCAGAGCTATTATTTTCACATTGGTGAGATTATTAATTTTACTGCCTCCAGTGTTTAGTGTTGTTTTATTTTGTTTTTCAAGTGCTTTATAATATTCTCTTGGTGACTCATCTTGAGGCTTAATTCTATTTTGTTGTGTTTCTGTTTTCTTTCTCTTGTCCTCTCATTGTATTTTCTTCCACCTGCCCAATCTTCAGTTCTGCCAGGAATTTATAAGATTCTTGGCTCCTGTCCCATGGATACACTAGGGATATCTCCTATCCATTCCTGGATCCAGCAATTCAGTTGGCAAACATGCTGATTGATCATCTGTCTGCATGCCTTCTGCCAGATTGAGTTCATAGGTCACAGCTACAGAGAATAATTATAGTTATGCTCAGAGTCTTTTATGGATGGAGAAAGTCCATTTCAGCCACAGATTTCATATTATGAACCTGGTTCTTTCCTCTCCCAATCATCTCTGGAGAGCTCTTGGGGCCCAGTTACTCTGGAAGGGCCAAACATCCAGCATCTTTTGCCTGTTACTGAATTTAATGCTAAACAGATCTGAGGCTTTAGTGCCTGGTTTATAATTTCTGACCTACAATGATTTATTTTTCTTCTGGGTTTTCAACATAGCTATACCTCTTTAATTTTCCAAAAAAAAAATGTAGTGTTAATATCATTTGGGATGAATATATACATTTGTAAACTCAAGACCATCTTGATTGGAAGCCTAATGTTTCTCTTCTATTTTGAGAAATTTATTATTTCTTTACTATAATCTTGTTCCTCATAGTTCTCTTCTCCTATTTGGAACTCTTTAATTTCTTGGGTTTAACA
Organism: Homo sapiens; assembly: GCF_000001405.40. Taxonomy (NCBI): domain Eukaryota; kingdom Metazoa; phylum Chordata; class Mammalia; order Primates; family Hominidae; genus Homo; species Homo sapiens. Next base: position 79,594,605 of record NC_000007.14, read on the forward strand.
TTTGGCTGTCATCCTTTATGCTTTCATTTTTGCTTTTTTTGTTTTTATTAGGTCATACTCTGATGTGGTTTGGCTGTGTCCTCACCCAAATCTTATCTTGAATTGTAGTTCCCATAAACCCCACGTGTCATGGGAGGGGCCGGGTGGGAGCTAATTGAATCATGGGGGCAGTTACTTCCATGATGTTCTCATGATAGTGCATGAGTTTTTACAAGATCTGATGGTTTTATCAGGGGCTTTTCCCCCTTTTGCTCGGCACTTCTCCTTGCTGCCACTGTGTCAAGCAGGATGTGTTTGCTTCCCTTTCCACAATGATTGTAAGTTTCCTGAGGCTTGCACAGCCATGCTGACCTGTGAGTCAATTAAACCTCTTTCCTTTATAAATTACCCAGTCTCGGGTATGTCTTTATTAGCAGCGTGAGAATGGACTAATACATACTCTGTGGAAATTATTGAATCTTATTCCTTTTTAAAATGTTGGTGATTATAGAGAATCCATATATGTGATATATGTGACATATATAATAAGTTTTTGTAAAAATTCTTCCTTGTCCTCTTCTTTTTCATTTATCATCCCATTGTTGTTTATAGAAACCATATATTTTTTAATATTTTAAAAAAGTTTTAATATGTATGTGTGTATATATATTTTTTTCTGGTTTTTTAATTATGTGTGTTTTATTTTCTCTGGTTTTATATCCAGTTGTCACTTTTCTTCATGCTACTAGTTTTCCTCAAATGTTGGTGACGTTTGATAGTCTTTTCATATTTTAGAATGACTAAATAGTATTTTAAATAGCAGGCATGGGTGCCTTTGCTGTTATGTAAATAGGTGTATTTTATTATAGCTCTGTCACTTAAGTAGGAAATGTAATATTGTCTTTGGCATGGGACATATCTCCTGGCAAGTTTTCTTTAAGGTAAATTGATGGAGAGTTGAATATTGTCTGAAAAAGCTCATAGTTTCACAACCAAATTCTGGGACACTTAGTGTAGGCCAGTGCTTCTTAAGCTACTTGAAGGCTTCAGGACTGTTTACATTCTTAAAAATTATTCAGTACTCCAAAAAGTTATATTTATTAAAGTACAGCAAATTAGAAATTAAAATTGAGAAGTATTTTATTAATCCATTTTAAAATAGCAGTAAACCTACTATATTTTAACATAAAAACATATTTGAGAAAATTATTTTTCAAAATGAAAAGAATTAGAATAATGGCAGTATTTACATTTTTGAAAATCCATTTAATGTCTGTCTAGAAAACTAGATTTTATACCTACTAATACAGCTGATATTTCTCATCTACTTCTGTGTTCATTCTATCACCATAAGTAAGATACTCTTAGATATGTAGTTGGAAAACATACGAATATTTTATCAGTTTTTTTTTTTTCAGGTAACTGACATTGTTCTTTGATAGTTTCACTACCAAACAAAACTCAAATACTAGATTTTAAAAAGTACAAAAATTAGCCAGTTGTGGTGGCGGGCACCTGTAGTCCCAGCTAGTCGGGAGGCTGAGGCAGGAGAATCACTTGAACCTGGGAGTTGGAGGCTGCAGTAAGCCAAGATCATGCCACTGCACTCCAGCCTGGGCAACAGAGCAAGACTCTGTCTCAAAAACAAAACAAAACAAAACAGAACAAAAAAGTTGCTTGTAATATACAATTTGACAGAATATTAACAAACTGTTATACTAAAATCCTTGACCTATCTTGCATTTTGAACGAATCTTTTTGTTACATGATTTTTTAACATTGTTCCTTGGTCATTTTGGATTCTTTCTCTTCTACTCTGTTTTCACTTGCCTTTTGTAGTGATTAGACCTGAACCTGGAAATGCCTTTTGCTTTGAGAGAGCTATAAGGAAGTGTATATTTGACTAATTAGTGCTATCTCTAGGTTTTATATGAAATGAAAAAAAATTATAAAAATAGCCCATCTGGGCTAGAGTCAGTGGGCTACAAAAGCCAACAGAAATTTAGATTAAAAACCCAGCTTATGAATAAGAATTAAGCTTTTGATGGAAAAGCCTATTCATCCTATTGGTTGGTAACTGGAAAAGGGAAGTCCATGACTTGCTAGGATGTGAATTTCACCAAGATGAAGCATCCCTAATTTGAGAGTCAGTCATCTTCAAAACAAACAAAACGGGAGGCAAAATACTATTTTGAAAAATATGAAATAAAAATTAGAACATTTTATATTGAAAAAAAGTGTTACTTTAGAAAAACAAAACAGCTGGAAATTTCTCAGGCACCACTGACTATGAATTGAAGGTAGTTCTGTTTTTTCCAAACACTGGCTTGTCTTTTGTCAATGCATTATTTTTACAAATTGCAAATACATCTGACACTGACACAGATGGAGTAAAGCAAATATACACTGAAATAATGCCTTTATCTTCAGGTAGAAAAATTTGCATCTATTGTAGCAATTGAGATAAAACTATGCCTTCTATAAGGGTTTCTGCCATGTTCTAAGACAGTGATTTTGTGGGTCACAAAACATTTAAGAATATGATCAAATTCATTTCTCTCAAAATATTGTAAACAAGTATGATTGGTAAAAATTTTTAGAGATATGTGGACTTCTTCAATCTCAGATACTAGGAAAAAAAGACAGGCTTCAGTTTAAAAAGCACTGTAATAAGAAAAGTAGTGCATCAAGGAAGAAGTAAGAAAGCTATTACTAAGTGTTAAGTCAATGATAGACTCCTTTTACATGAAGATGTAAACACATTTTTAGAGCACACAAAGGAATAGTAATAAAAAGCCTTGAAATGATTTTGGAATTATTCAGTTTCAGGTTTTTTAAATGTATACTGGATTTCTGAAAATTCCGATGCACCATTACATTTCATTAAGTGATGTAATTCATCAACATTTTCTGGCTTTACAAGACAAAATTTACTGTAATAACAACAGATTGGATCTTTGATGAATATGTTGTTGGTCATTTTCCATATCATTTTTGACAGGGTATCAGAAGGATGTATTCTATATTGTATTTTGAAAGGTTAAACTATGTTAGGGCTATGGAAATGGCAGAAAGATAAAATGACATGTATGAAGTCAGAATAAAGTGAGTGGAATAAAGTGAGCAAGGCATAAAACTAGGAAACAAATTTAATTGTGATACTCCATCTGTACTCCAAATAATGCCTAATGACAGCAGGGTGCCCAGAGTTGGGAGGAAGATTCCATGAATAGGGCTTCATCCTAACAAACAAAATTTGCAATGAAAGATTGAACTTACTTTGTAATCATTTTTAAAAAATTAATAGACTATTTTAAAAAACCTTTAGATTTACAGAAAAATTGAGCAGACTGTCAGTGACCATGTCTCCTTGCCCCCCCCCCCCAGTTTTCCTGTTATTAACATCTAGCATTGGTTAGTACATTTCTTACAATAAATTAACCAATATTGATAAGTTGTTGTTAATTGAAGTCGATAGTCTGTTTCACTCTTTGTGTTGTGCTGTTCTATGGGTTCCGACAAACACTTAATGTCATATTTCCACCATAAAGTATCAAACAGAATATCCCCTACACTTCAACTAGGCCTTTGTACCCTCCTCCTCTGCTTCTGAAACTTTGGAAACCACTAATCTTATACAGTGTCTATAGTTTTGCTTTTCCCAAAATGTTACATATTTGAAGTCACACTAACTTCTTTCAATTAACAATATACAAGAAATTCAAGTTTCTTCCACTTTTTTTCATGACTTGATAGCTCACTTCTTATTAAAGCCTAATGGTATCCCATTATATAGATGTACAACAGTTTATCTTTTCTCCTACTAAAGGAAATCTTAGTTGCTTCTAGGGTTTAGTGACTATGAATGAAGCTACTATAAATATTTATGTACAGGTTCTTAAGTGGACAGGTGTTCAACTAAATCTGGCAGATATCCAAGAGTGAGATGGCTAGATTATTTGGTAAAACTACTTTCAGTTTTGTAAGCAACTGCCAACCTGTCTTCCACAGTAGCTGTTACCGTTTTACATTTCCCCCAGCAGTAAATGAGAATTGCCCCACATCCTTCCCAGCGTTTGGTACTTGTCCGTGTTTTGGACTTTAGCCATTCTAATAGAAGTATAATGATACCTGATTATTATTTTAAATTAAATTCCCAGTGATATATGGTGTTGTGTATCTTTTTATATACTTATTTTCCATCTATTTATCTTCTTTGATGAAGTGTCTTCTTAGATCTTTGGCCATTTTTTAATGGAGTTGTTTTACTATTACTGTGTTGAGTTTTAAGAGTTCTTTGTGTATTTTGAATGAAAATCTTTTATCAGTAATGTGTTTTGCAAATACTTTATCCTAGTCTTTGGCTTGCATTTCATTCTCTTCAGCAGACAAGAAGTTTTTAATTTTAATAAAGTCTGACATAATTTTTTTAATTTCATGGTTCATTCTTTCGTCTTTACTTCTATATATACACAGACAAATCCAGAGTCACAAAGATTTTCTGCTATATTGTTTTCTAGAAGTTTTATAGTTTTTCAACTTGCATTTATATCTATGATTCACTTTTAGCTAATTTTTGTCAAAGGTTTAGGTCTATGTTTAGTTTTTTGTTTTGGGTTTTTTTTTGTTTTGCATTTTAATATCCAATGATCCAGTATCAATTGTTGAAAATATTATCCTTTCTCCATTGAAATGGCATTGTTCATTTGTCCAAAGATTACTTGACCTGTATGTGTGTCAGGGGGAGGGACAGTATATTTTGAGGTTTTATATTTTGTTTCATTGATTTCTGTCTATTCTTTCATGAATACCACTCTGTCATGATTACTGTAGCTTTATAGTAAGTCTTGCAGCCAGGTAGTATCAGTCCTATGACCATGGTCTTCTTTTTTCAATATTCTGTTAACTCTTCTATGTAAATTTTTCTCTCTTCTTGCCCATCAATGTAAACTTTAGAATCATTTTGTATATATCTGCAAAATAAATTGCTAGAATTTTGATTGTGATTACTTTGATGTATAGATCAGTTTGGAAGAATTGATATCTTAACAATATTGTGTCTTCCTATCCATTGATATGAAATATCTCTTCATTGATTAAATATTATTTGACATATTTCATCATAGTTTTGTAGTTTTTCTCATACAGATCCTGTACATATTTTGTTACATTCATACACACATACTTTCTTTATTTCTTATTTTTGGGTTGCTAATGTAAATGGTATTTTAATTTCAAATTCCAAATGTTCATTGTTGGTATATAGAAAAGTAATTAACTTTTGTATATCAACCTTGATTCTGCAAACTTGCTATAAGCTGTTGTTAATTTCAGAATTTTTTTGGTCAATCTTGGGGGGTTTTCTATATAAGTAATCATGTAACCTGTGAACAAAGATAGTTTTATTTCTTCCATCCCAATATATATACCTTTTACTTCCTTTTAAAAATCTGATTGCATTAGCCTGGACTAATGTATAATGTTTAAAAGAGTGTTAAATGGGAATATCAGTGCTTTTTCTTGATCTTAGCAGAAAAATTTCTAGTTTCTCACCATGAAGTATGATACCAACTCTAGGCTTTTTGTAGATATTCTTTATCAAGTTGAGGAAGTTTCCCTCCATTCCCAGTTTACTGAGAGTTTTTATCATGAGTGAGTCTTAGATTTTTACAAATGCCTTTTCTGCAATGTTCTGTTATTTGTCATTCTTTTTTCTCTTTGCGTTTCAATTTGGAAAGTTTATGTTGACATGCCTTCAAGCTCAATGACTTTCTCCTGGCTGTACCCAGTCCACCACTGAGCCCATCGAACATTATTCATTTCTCTTGCACTGCATTTTTATTTGTAACATTACCTTTTGATTATTTCTTAGAATCTCTATTTTTTGTTTATATCAATCTGTCCTTGTATGTTGTTTACATTTTCCACTAGAGACCTTCATGTGTTAATAATTGTTATTTTTAATCCCTATATAATTCCAAAATCTGTCTCAAATCTAAATGTGGTTCTGATGCTTATTTTATCTCTTCAGTTTGTATTTCTCTTCCTTCTCTCTTAACATGTCCTTTTAACTTTTTGTTGAAAGCTGACATGATGTGTCAAGTAATAGGATGCATTAGGATAAATATACATCCTAACAGACTCTGTTTTAAAGTTTGTTGTAGCTGTGGATACCAGAGACCAGTTTCCTCTCGTTTCCTCTTTTTTTCTCCCATATTTTTATTTCTCAAAGAATTTCTTCTAATATGAGTTTGTGTATTGCAGCTCTCTGTTGCAGTCCATGGTTATTACTGGAAACATGATGATATGATGGTAAAATTGGGAGGAGAGGAAGGATTATATAATCTTGTCATTAAATCTTCAGTTTTTACTTGACTTGAGTCTCTAGGCTGTGACCTTCAGAAGTATTTCTTAGCCTTTTTTTTGGTCGTTGTAGTGAGATAGAAAGGGTAGAAAATGCTGAAGTGGTCTCCTTGCCCTTTCCCAACATCAGATAATACTCTGGCAAAGTAACTTCCCTTCGAGGGGAGACCTTTGTTAGGGACAATGATCTGGACATATTTTTTAAAATGGTTCATTCCCCCCTGAGCATGTCTAAAATATGAGGGAATTTTTGTTAGATCTTTATAGCGACAGTCTGGTGGGGGCTCCAGGAAGGCCCTCACTCCTGCCTTTCTTTGTAACCACAAAAGTAGGGACCTAGGATCCCATCTAATACAGGGTTTCCAGGCAATTTTAATTGTCAAGCTTGTCCATGCCCTGCTTCTAAAGATTCCTGATGATTGGTGGGTGCATCAAAATCTCATAAATCACCACTAAAGAACTTACTCAAGTAATCAAACACCACCTGTTCCCCAATAACCTATGGAAATCAAATAATAAATAAAATAAATAAATGTCCCAATAGAATTTTGAAAAGATTTGTCAAAATTACTATTTAAGTGTTGTTATCAGTTACCAGCTCTAATGACTTCTGTTCCTGGTAACCTGATCTCAACTGTGATTCTCTGTGTTTGCCTCTTGCCTTACATATTTCAGAGTGATGATTTGCCCTATGACCTCAATTCTCTGGTGGCTCTAACAAAAGTCATTGATTTTTAGCTGGTTTAGATTTTTTTCACTAGAAAAAAAATCACAAAACAGCTTCCAAGCTGTTTAGATGTTGGAGCAAAATCAAATATCCACTATAGAAAATTTTCAGTTTCTTTGTAGTATAAAAACTACATAAAAATCACATATCTCCAAATTAAATTACCAACACATGTTCACAGCAGAGCATTTGGAAAATATAGGAAGTAAAAAGAAAAAAATATTTCATAGAATTCCACAATTCCAAATGCTGTTTCTGTCATGTTTCTGTCATATAAATTATATCATATTTTTGCATACCCATAAACTTATATTATTAGTTTGATTTATACTGATTTGCAGTGGTTTAGTTGCATTCAAACATAGGGAAAAAAATACTATTAAATTAATCCAATTCTTATTTTGGCTCAAATCACTGTTTACTATTTATATGGACACACATAAATAGTGACGTGCACATTTATGTGTAAAATCAAATATTGTCTTAAGAATGACTAATATTTTTAATCTAATAGAAACTTGGAACGCTATTGTCTGTGATCTATTTTAATGTAAACCATTCTTTTCTTTCTCTATGAATTTTTCCTTTTTTCTCAAATCTATGAAGTCCCATTATCTTGAAATGAGGGAAACACACATTTACATATACGTTCAGATTTTCCATGGCTTTAACTTCTGCATGTAATTCTGTTTTCTTTTTTTTCTTTTTTTTTTTTTTTTGAGACGGAGTCTCGCTCTGTCTCCCGGGCTGGAGTGCAGTGGCGTGATCTCGGCTCACTGCAACCTCCGCCTCCCAGGTTCAAGCAATTCTCCTGCCTCAGCCTCCCGTGTAGCTGGGACTACAGGTGCCGGCCACCACACAAGGCTAATTTTTGTAATTTTAGTAGAGACGGGGTTTCAGCATATTGGTTAGGCTGGTCTCGAACTCCCGACCTCAGGTGATCCGCCCGCCTCAGCCTCCCAAAGTGCTGGCATTACAGGCGTGAGCCACCGCGCCTGGCTTGCATGTAATTCTTTATTTCCTCCAGAGTTCAGCTTCATGCATGGTATATGGAAATTCTCAATTCTACCATCTGTCAAATATCCTATCAATTATTTTCTCACCACAAATGAATAATTCTTTCTCTATTGGTCAGAAGACCACCTTCATTATAGTAATAAGAATATTCTATTCCATTGATTTATTGTTCCATCTTTTTATCTTTGTGCTAGTATCACACTGTTTTTAATCCTTAGAATTTTAGTATGGGCAGAACATTTTTAATAACTTATTTTGTTTTGTTATTAAGTAACATAATGTTATAGATCAAATGTCAAAAATATGTAGTAAAATATCTTCATCCATCTTCTATTCCCCATCTGCCCAATTTCCATCTCCTTTCACAAACAGCAACTCCCAGTTAGATATTATTTACGTTTCTAGATATTTAAGTCAATACAGATATCTATCTCCTTAAAATACACAAATGCTAGTATATTATAATGTTCTTTTTGAGAACTCTCCCTAGTAAAGGAAGAGATTTCTAATTTCTGTTTACAGCTGCATAGCATTACAAATGGATGTCATATCATTTATTTAGCTATCCCCATATTGATGAACATTTAGGATTTTTTATTATGCAATTCTTATACATATTCAAGCACAATGCAACAATATCTGAAGTTAAAAATGTTTTTAAACATAATCCTTTTTTAAATTTAACTTTTTAGTTTTAGAAAATTGTAGATTCATGTGCATGTATAAGAAACAGTACAGAGATATCCCAGGTACCATTTACCTGGTTCCCCAGTGATAAATCTGCAAAACTATAATACAATATGACACTTAAGATGTTGAGCCTGATACAGTCATGATAGAGGCAATATATATGTAGACTATTGTGTCATATGCAAATATGAAGAATTATATTTTTATGATTGCTATTTCTTTTTTTTTGCCCTTTTGCACTGACTAGAACATCTACTATTACATTAAATAAAAATGATAAGGATGAAGACTATTGCTTTCTCCTCAATCTTAGAGACCAATCATTCCATTTTCCATCAAGTATAATGTTAGCTGTATGGTGTTCGTAGATATTCTTTATCAAGTTGAGGAAGTACCATTCTGATCCTATTTTTTCTGATACTTTTTTTTTAATCATATATGGGTGTTTAATTTTGTCAAATGCTTTTTCTACAACAATTAATTATCATGTGATTTTTTTATTTAGCTGATTGACTTTTTAATATTGAACAAGACTTGCATCCATGGAATAAAACCAACTTGATTATGGTGTATAATTTGTTTTAAATATGTTGCTGAATTGTATTTGTTAATATTGTGTTAAGATTGTTTGGTGTCTATTTGTAAAGAATATTGGTAGAAGCTTTCTTTTTTCGTTCTATTCCTGTCTAGTTTCAGTATCAAGGTAATATGAGCCTCGTTAAATTAATTTGGAAGTGTTCCATCCTCAAGCTCAGTCAGTGGTTGTTGGTAGTATTGTTAAGCTCTGCCCAGGAGCTTACAGAATGAGCCCTGTTGGCCTCTGCCTGGAGGCCACCCTCACATTTTGGAGCTCTATTGTCATCTCCTACATGGAGGCTTGCTTCATCAAAGTGTGCAAACAAAGATGATAGAAGAAAAACTTTGGAAATCTTACATATACATGGAAATTAAACAACACACTTTTAAATAACCGAAGAATCAATGATGAAATTTAAAGGAAAATTTAAAAATTTCTTGAGACAAGGAATAAACATACTGCTTATAAGAATAGAAATAAATACCAAAATACATTCAAAAAAAATTTCTTGAGACAAATGAGAATAGAAGCGTATCATACCAAACCCTGTGGGACACAACAAAAGTAGTTCTAACAGAGGAGTTCATAGCAATAAATGCCTACATCTAAAAAGAAAAGATGAAAGATTTCTAATAAACATCCTGACTATGCACCTCAAAGAACTAGGGAAACAAGGATAAGAATGTGTAAACTAGAAAAACAAAAACGCTTTTGGTTTATTAGAAGAAAGGAAATAAAGCTCAGAGCAGAAATAAATGAAACAGAGACTTAAAATACCCAAAAGATCAACAAAACGAAGAGTTTTCTTTAAAGATAAACAAAATCAAGAAACATTTAGCTAGACAAAAAAAAAAAAAAAGAGAGAGAAAAGATCCAAATAATTAAAATCAGAGATGAAAAAGGAGACATTACAACTGATATCATGTGAATACAAAGGATCATAAGAGACTATTTGAACTATATGCCAACAAGTTTGAGATCAGAGAAATAGTTAACTTCCTGGACACTTAAAATGGGCCGAGATTAAATTTTGGAAAAAAATAGAAAATCAACACAATAAAGGCCATGTATGACTAATTCACAGCTAACACCACACTAAACAGGGAAAAGCTGAATGCTTTTTCTCTAAGATAAGGACAAGATTAGGAACAAGACAAGGATGCCTACTTTTTTTTTTTTTTTTTTTTGAGGTGGAGTTTCAGTTTTGTTGCCCAGGCTGGAGTGCAATGTGCAATAGCATGATCTCAGCTTACCGCAACCTCCGCCTCCTGGGTTCAAGCGATTCTCCTGCCTCAAGCTCCCAAGTAGCTGGGATTACAGGCATGTGCCACCATGCCTGGCTAATTTTGTATTTTTAGTTGAGATAGGGTTTCTCCATGTTGGTCAGGCTGGTCTCGAACTCCCAGCCTCAGGTGATCCACCCACCTTGGCCTCCCAAAGTGCTGGGATTACAGGTGTGAGCCACCACTCCCGGCAAGCTTGCCTATTTTCAACACTCATATTCAATATTTTACTGGTAGTCGTAGCCAGAGCGATTAGGCAAGAGAAGGAAATAAAAGGCAATAAAAGTTGGAAAGGAGGAAGTCAAATTGTCCTTGTTTGAAGATGACATGATCTTCTATATAGAAAATCCTAAAGACTCCACCAAAACACTCTTAGAACTAATAAATGAATTCAGTAAACTTGTAGAATACAAGATCGACATACACAAATCAGTATTGTTTCTATATGCTAATAACAATCTGTCAAAAAGAACAATCTGAAAAAGAATTAAAGAAAATAACCTCATTTACAACATCTATGAAAAAAAGACACCTAGGAATAAACTTAAGGATATAAAATATCCCTACACTGAAAACTATAAAACATTGATAAAAAATTGAAGACATAAATAGAGAGATATCTCATGTTCATTGATTGGAAGAGTTAATATTGTTAAAAAGACCGTAGTACTTAAGTCAATATACAAATTTAATGTAACACCTACAAAAATACCAATGACATTTTTCACAGAAATAGAAAAACAACCCTAACTTCAAATGGAATCACAAAAAAAGCAAATAGGCAAAACAATCTTCAGTGAAAAGAACAAAGATGGAAGCATCACACTACCTGACTTCAAAACTATACTACAAAGTTATAGTAAACAAATCAGCACTGTACTGGCATAAAATACAGACACATAGACCAATGGAACAGAATAGAAAGCCAGAAATAAATTCATGCGTCTACAGTGAACTGACTTTCAACAAAGATGCCAAAAACACACATTGAGAAAAAGAAAATCTTCAATAAGTGATGCTGGAAAAAGTGCATATCCACATTCAGAAGAAAGAGACTGAACCTACAATTTTCAGCAAACACAAAAACCACCTCAAAATGGGTTAAAGACTTAAATGTAAAACCCTTAATAATGAAACTACTAGAAGGAAACATACAGGAAATGCTTTATGACATTGGGCTGGGCAAGAATTTTTTAAAATAAAACCTCAAAAACATAGGTAACAAAAACAAAAATAGGCAAATGGGATTACATCAAACTGAAAAGCTTCTGCACAGCAAAGGAACACAATCAATAGACTACAGAGACAATCTACAGAATGGGAAAATATTTGTAAACCATGTATTTGACAAGGGGTTTAATATATAGAATACACAAGAAATGTCACAGGAAAAAACAAATGACCAGATTTTAAAATATGCAAAAGACATTAATAGACATTTCTTAAAAAGGACATGAAAAAATTCTCAGCATCATTAATCAACAGGGAAATGCAAATCAAAACCACATCTTTCTCCAGTTACAATGGCTTTATCAAAAAAGCGAAAGAAAACAAGTGTGGAGAAAATGGAACACTTACACACTGTTACTGTGATTGTCAATCAGTACAGCCACTATGGAAACAGTATAAAGGTTCCTCAAAAAATCAAAAATAGAACTACCATATGACTCAGAAATCCCACCTTTGGGTATATAACCAAAGACAATGAAATCAGTATGTTGAAGAGATATCTTCACTTCCATGTTTATTGCAGCATTATTTACAATAAACAAGATATGGAATCAACCCAAGTATCTAACAATGGATGAATGGATAAAGAAAATGTTGTACATGTACACAACTGAATACTATTCAGCCACAAAAAAGAAGGAAATCCTGTTATTTTCAACAACACGGATTGACCTGGAGGACATCACATGAAGTGAAATAAGCCAGACACAGAAACACAAATATTGCATGATCTCATGTGGAATCTTAAAAACAAACAAACAAACAACAGTTGATATCATAGAAGCAGAGAGTAGAACAGCGATTATCAGAAACTGGGGTAAGGAGGGGAAAGCAGCGGATGGGGAGAGGTTGGTCAATGGTTACAAAGTTTCCATTAGATAGGAGTAATAAGTTCTGGTATTCTATTCCAGAGTAGGGTAATAATGGTTAACATATTGTATATTACAAAATAGCTAGAAGAGGCTTTTGAATGTTCTCACCACAAAGAAATGATACATGTGTGAGGTGATGCATATGCTGTATACCCTGATTTGATCATTATATGACATGTATATGTATGAAAATATCAAATTGTAGCCTATAAATATGTACAATTACAAAGTGTCAATAAAAACAGATGGCCATAGGGAGAGTACTAGCAAAAGAGAAGACACAAGGAGCTTATTAATTTATTTTTTATTACTAGAATACAACTTCTTAATTGAGAAAGCAAGTCTATAGGCGTTATTTTATTTACTCCGATTTATCAGATGAAAATATGCCAGCTGCGAAATTTTATATGATTTCCCTGAATTGCTTGTCTCAGAAATTAGAACCACAAATCTAATCTGAATTCATATGTACCTTTTGTTTCTTAGATTTTAATGTGGCAAGTAAAATAGGTATGCAGATTGCTGAAATGCACAACAGTATAGAGGAAAATGAAGTAGGAAAGAGATAAAATGTGTTGAACCATTGCTATGTGCCAGGCCATTAAAAAAACTTATCTTCTCTAATATGACATCACCATGAGATAGGAATTGATAGCTTAATTTTAACAGAATTTGAAGATTAATATGGTTGGCTATATTTTCCAAGTGTAGTAGCCAGTCTTCATTATGGCTCCCAATAATCTTTGCCTCCTCATATGCCTACCCTTTTATAGTGCCCTCCCACACTGCACCAAGGCCTATTGGCCTTGTGTGACCAATAGAATACGGCAGAGGTGATTAGATCATAAAGCATTGCAGTTTGTACCTTGGACTCTCAGATCACTGGCTCTGGGAATTCAGCTATCATGCTATTTACACAATCAAGAAGCCCCATGAAGAGTTCAATGGGCAGAGCACTGGAAACCCTGATCATTAATTAACATTAAATTGTCAGCCTTTTGAGTGCACACTCTTGTAAATGCAAACTCCAGTCAAGCTTTCAGATGACTGCAGCTCCAGGAAACATCTGATTGCAATCATAGGAGAAACTTCAAGCAGTTACTATCCAACTGACCCCTCCCAAATTCCTGACTTACAGAAACTGGAAGAGATAACAAAATATCATTGTAATTTTAAGCCAATATATTTTGGAGCAATTTCTTATGCAGCAATAGATAACCAGTACACTAAGTAGCATAGTAAATATTGAGGCCTAGATTTAACCAAAGTGTCCAATTCAAATACTATACTGCTTTGAATATTTATTCCGGAAAGCATATCACAATATCAAATTCTAAAGGTTCACTGTTTCCAGATATGTCTAGGAGGGGACGAGGAGGGTCTGCCTTTGCATGAATATCTTAAATGCATCATGGAGAAAAAAAGCTCAATTTAAGGGAAGGGGAAAAGTATCAGCGGCCTTAATGGCCACTTTTTCTCCTGCATCCATTATACCTTTTGTAAGTTATCCGGAACCTTAAAAGTTTAGCTGTTCTATGCAAGTATTCTCTGACTACTAGGATAGTTATATTTTCCCAGGAGCAAGCTTTTCTCAATTGCGTCTGTTTGTGTGCGTGTACTGTGTACATATACACACATGTGCTCATGAATGCATGTGTGCATATGTGTGTATATGACTTTCAATATTCCATAAAAGGGTCTCTGTTGCTACTGTCTAAGGGCAGAGAATATTTCTTCTTATTCTTCTGGGAATCTCAGGGTCATCACAAAACACATATTGCTATTTCTTTTATAAACCAAAATTATGACTGCCTGTTACAGACTCAAGCATGTAATGCTCATGGATTGTGCAACCTGAGTTGGTTTATTTCATTTTCCTCAGAAGCCTTGCTACCCACTTTTTCAAATTTAAATCTCTAGTGGCAAATATATTTCTGATTTCTTTGAGATCTAAAGCAAGAACACAAATGATGGTCAACATATTAAATGCTTATATATTTCAAAGCTATATATCAGATTATAAATTCTAAAATATATTCTATCTCCTATGTTGGCCAAAAGACCTTTGATTTTATTTTATTTATATATTTTTGCTTTTTAATTTCTTTTAGGGTTAGAGATTCTAGAACTACCTCACAAGACGTCAGCCCTGTTCACAGGCAAGGGGAGGTAAACAGGGCAAACGGACCTTTTAAATAGAAACAATTAAAAATAGAACGTGTGTGTGTTTGCGTATGTATATATATATGTGTGTATCTCTCCATATGATTGAGGTGAAATATAAAAAAAGTTGAATGTAAGTATTGTTCAACTGGTCAATGATGATGTTTGAGTGATAAATACTTGTAATTTATAAATTACTTAGTATTTAGCTCATAAAACCTGTTTTTCTTTTACTTTAAATCGTGATGTTATTAATATAATGTCTTTTGCATAAATTGTGTTCTTATAATAGTAACGCCAAATTAAACAATTTTCTTTAGTTATTATGGTTCTTTGGGTAGTGTTTTATTCATATTAAGTTAAAGATATCTTGTTCTGCTCAAATTATCACTAAGTTGGAATTACTAATAAATTCCTTACAGCAATATTTATATCCAGAAATTAACATGAATTTTATCCTCAAATACTGTAAAATGACCACACATGTCATAAATTATAATTATCACATTACTACCGAAAAGCTGACTTTTATCACTTATAAAATATGTTTGCCCTCTCTTACAGTAATATTTAGCTATGCTTAGTAATGTGAACAATGATTATGTTTCATTCATGTTAATCTAAATTTACAAATATACATGTTTGGCAATATATAAATTGTTTAATATTATACGGTATTTCTCCTTTCCTATTGATAATTTTGCAAATATGATAATTCTTGAGTACTTCCAGAACTATGCTTTGGACACAAAGAGAAAAATAAAATAGGTGTTTGGAGCTACTGTGAAATGATATCCCATTATAACAAAATCTATTTTATTCATGCTATTTGAGAGGAAGGATTACATGTTGATTCACTTGTCTTTTCTCTTACCTAAGCATCCCACCAATGAAATCCTTCTGGAACTCTGAAACAGTTTCCCTCTCCAATGTCAGCAACAATCCAAACCACAAACTTCTATGATATTTGGACACAATTAGCTTTTGTTCCTAGGAGACACAGTGCAGGAAATGTGGAGAAATGTTTCCTTTTCTTTGTACTATCATTCATCACAAGAGTAGATACATAGTTACTGGTTGTGTCCTACCATTGGGTCTAGTTGTGACTATAATGACTCAGTCGTTGTGTGCTGGTTGTGTACTGCATATTGGATTCTAAGTGTCAGACCAGTCCATGTGTGTTTTTTAATTTTAAGTGTGTGTGTGTGTGTGTGTGTGTTAGGAGAAAAGGAAAGGAAAGAGACTGAAAGAGAGGGAGAGGAGGAAGAAAGAGACAGAGAAACAGAGAGGGAGAACCCCCTTTACAACATGGGACCGAGGTCAATGGTCCTTGTTGCCAGGTTAATGGCCCCTGTTGCTCAGGTCTTATGTGGTTATTATCCTACAGTCTTGGGAATGTGTGATAATGAAAATGCTGAGTTCAGTCTAAGATCCCAGAGCACGCAGAGGCCTTGTGTCAATTACTTTGACAGAGGCACAGCCTTTTGTCTCTAGACTAATCCAACTAGGTTTAATTTAGTAAAAGAGTCTGGACAGCTGGACTGTTAAACAGTCACCTGACCAGATTTGTTCTGATGAGATAGGACTTGGCTGATTCTTTGTGCTGTGGACTATGCTTATCATGCTTTTAGGAAGTCTGGATTCACTCAATAGGGTAATGATTGTGTGAGAGTCAGACAGTCCATGTGCAACAATTCTATTTTCTGGCTGGCTGCTGTTCTTATCATCTGTTCCTTAATGCAGTGAATGTGAGCTTGGTATTACATGTATACAATCTCCACTTGCGATTTTAGGAATTGCACCTAGCAAGTACTGAAAAAGGCTAAGTTGGATTTTCACAAATTTTTGATGATTTTAATGCATACTTCTATTAAAACTCCATGCCATTTATTTATATTACCTTATGGTTTTTAAAACTGTTTTTAATGAAGATTTAAAAAGTAGTCAATAAGACATTCAACTTCCAATAGGAATGCATTATCAGTGAGTTTGATTATCAATACAATCTTTATTTTCTATGAATGAAACGCATGCTATTGTTTGTTATAACTATTGTTTAAACAGGCAGATAACAAAAGAGCTCAAAATCATCAGGAATATTTTTATTCTCCAGACTTATTGTAGTTTTATATTAGTGTTTTGTTGAAATTAAAATACATTAATTCATGTCATTATAAAATGAAATTTGTAAAAGTTGAAAATTAGTTATATAAGGTTATAATTATTTTATAAATTTACGATTTTTTTCTTTGGTGATTCAATTGGATTGTATTGGAGATATAATTGCAATGATAATGACAATAATAATAAATATTATCTATTATGTTGCTGGCATTGTACTGGTTGCTTTACTTTGCTAATGTAACCCTTCCAACAGTTATATAGGTGACTGTTAGATTTTCATTTGTGTACAATAGAAAATTAGAATATCATCAGCTTTGGTAAATTACATTATTTGCCTCAAATGCTCACCACTTCCTGGATTCATTTGCCCTTTGTTGTGTGACTCTGTAGTTCTCTCCACTAAATATGGTAGAGCCTATTTCCCACATTTTGACGACGGGTCATCTATGTGATTTGGTTTAGTCAAAAGAAAGAAGGATGCCAGTTCTAGACCTAAGAAAGCCTTTGGGGTTTCCATCTGCTTTCTTGTTATTCTACCATTATCATAAGAATAATTTGCTTTGACTATTCTGCTGGTCTCAGAAAAACAATGAAAGACTCTTGGCACAGAGCCACCCTGCCAAGCTGCCACAGATGAGCATATCCTACATTAACTGATCCACAGATGCAAGAGGGGTAAGCCACTGAATTTTAGTAAGAAATAGTTAACCAACATATCTATGGTGTCTACTTATACAAGAATTCTAGAAGAAGAAAATCCTGGACTAGTGAGATATTTCAAGCACATTATCATAGATCCAGAGCCTTCAATATTCTTGTTTCATCAAAAGTTGTGTGTTATGGGTTTTTCTTTTTTCTTTTTTTTTTTTTTTTTTTTGAGACTGAGTCTCACTCTGTCACCCAGGTTAGAGTGCAGTGGTGCGATCTCAGCTCATTGCAACCTCCACCTCCCAGGTTCAAGCGATTCTGCTGCCTCAGCCACCTGAGTAGCTGGGACTACAGGCACGCACTATCATGCCCAGCTAATTTTTGTATTTTTAGTACAGAGGGGGTTTCACCATGTTGGCCAGGATGGACTCGATATTTTGACCTCGTGATCCGCCCGCCTCGGCCTCCCAAAGGCTGGGATTACAGGAGTGAGCCACCACTCTCAGCCGGCTTTTTCATTCTTATGGTCAGAAAATAGCTTCAACAAACATCCCATTGTCTAGAACAGGATCTCGTGACCACCTATAGTCACATGATAGATTGAAAAAGTTTGTAGCCGCTATAGTAAGGCAAGGAAAATGTGGATTATGAATACCTTTTGAGGAAGTAGCTTGTCACGTCTGCCAGTCCTTTTACCACCCAATATCCAAATATACTGCATTTCTTATTTAATAGTTTATGCACTCACCTCCACTCCCAAGAGACACACCCAAAATATGATTCAATTATTGCATCCAGCTTCAAGTTTACAATATCTGGATGATACGCAGTTGGTCTGCCCCTATCTGTAGATGTGAATATGACCTAATAGCATATGAACTGAAAGGACAAGTTATCTGCTTTAATGGATGCAATATACAGTGATAGAGAGCCATGAAATATGAGCAATAAAAAAATACCACTCAGAAAGGAAAGACTGGACATTAAAAACATCCGAACTATAACTACAATCCAATCCTGCTGTTTAAGAATAGGGAGAATTCTGCTCTAGTGATGAAAAAAAATAATCAGTGAACCCTTGATTCTGCTCATGGAAACAACTTCCTTATCAGTTATAAGATATCTCTGGGTGATATCCAAGGTGACATTGGGGATGATGTATTCCCTAGTGGCTATGGAAGTCTCTCATGTTTTTCCCTCTTAGACTGAGTTTGGATTCGAATTTGTCTTAATTTTGAACATTCCCTGCCTCTTGAGGTCTACATTTGTGAATTATTTAGCAATTCAGCTTCCCCTAAAATTAGTAAGTGCTCAGTAAAATTGTTTTGGGTCATATCTATGAGAAACTACTCACAGATTTCATCTGAATTTTCTCTTTGAAGGTCAGAGGCTTTGGCTCTTGGGTATTTGCCTTTCTGATCCACCCATCTTTTAGTTTGATGCAACTTCTTTGATGCAGTTTTACTGAGGTAAAATTTTTAATTCCATTTTTGCCACCCACTTCCACACCTTTGAATGGCAGAGCACTTTAGCAAGCTAAAGAAATGCCTGAGGCTATCTTGCTCCCTGTAAGACTGATACTATCTGCAGGTTCTAATCTGTTCAAATACACAGACTCCTGTTTTCTTGATTCCCCTGTCCTGAATCTAAGTTTGCCTTTTTAACAGGGCTCCAAATTACAGCAATCAGTCAACATCGATTGCAGCTACAAGGAACATCTCTATTACCATTTGCAAATTTGATAGAACAAATCTGGAAGGCCCACCATTTCTTGGAGGAATTTGCTGAAATTGACATAGGCTATCATTCTGAATTTTTCTTATTTCCATAAAAGTTGCAATCTGATTCAGCATGTGGTCTATAACAGACCACAGTTAGACCGAATGCTTTGTCTTCATATAAGAAGAATCAATATCCTCCTCTATGCAGCAATTGGCAGGACTTTGCCTCTCAGTTTACTATGTCTTTTACACTTACCAAAGTTGTTATTTTCTTTATTTCTTTTTTAAAAAAATATTCATACTAATTTCAAATTTCACATTTTGGTATTTGTTAAAATTTTGTTTTGGTTTCAAATAACAAGAATCCTATATAAAGGCAGCTTTGAAGACGTTAAGATTTATATATCCCACTGAATATGGAGCCTGGAGTGACTGTTCAAAGAAAGATTTTTTCATTTTCCTGATTGCCTATTCTGTACATGTGAGTTTTGTCATTCTAGTCACAAAATGATCCTATACTCTCAGACACTGCGTGTACATTCCACATGGAAGAGGGGCAAATAAAGGTAAGCAGCTGACTTCATCTATTTTTCTAAAAATCTTTTCTGGAACCCCTACCCAGTGACTTTTACTCACATATATTGGGCAAAACTTATTCTCCAGTTACTTCTACTTTTCAGGCAGCCAGGGCAAATGAATATTTTACACTTTCCACTGATATATTAGAGGTAGAAAGAGGTAAAAATATGGTGCTGTATGGCTTCTTTGTGGTTAAATCATAGTATCAACCTGTTTTTTTTTTTAATTTCTTGACTAGGTTAGGAACTTAGACCTATATTTTGCCTTCAATTATGCCAAATTGTTTACATTTGCAATTGGAAATTTTTAAAATAAAAACTCTTCTTTCTATTGCAGTTAAGAATACCTAACCCTAGTAATTTAAATGTTTCTAACACCACAATTTGGTAACATTCACAATAATGTTTTTTTACTTAGCACAAATTTATTAATAAAATGAATTTCAAGCCTTTCATTTGTAGAGCACTTTGCCCACATGCTCAGTATAAGTAAGACTTGCTGGGTTTAATGGGAAGAACAAGGGAAATGGAGGAGGAATTCTTCTCTTTTGGCCAAATAACATAAGACTTTTGAGCATCAGATTCTTTATGCCAGAAAGTTAAATTGTCTCTATTTTAAATGAAGATTGTACAATTTTCATTTAAAATAGAGACAATTTGACTTTTAATTAATTATTTTAATTAAAATAATGTCTGTGGAAGTGTTTTGTGAAGGCTGAAACAGTATGTATCACAAATACTAGTTACATATTTACCCCAAACTAAAGAGAATTTAATTTTTGCCAAAAAAGTACACACACAATGGACTTACATTTATAACGCCAGGATCTTTAGAGATCCATGTTCATGTAAAATTTTTTCCACCGTATTTTAAAAAGCCCACTTTCCTGGATTTCGCTAAAATTTTGTGGTTTTTCCCTTTTAGGACCATTAACTGGGGAAAATTCATCTGAAAAAATTCCACCCTTCTCAGGTTAACTTAATGTGAGTACAGTGGTGTGCTCTGTGAGGGCTGCTCCTTTCTCTGTCAAATGTCCTTGCTGAAGCATGCTAATAAGGTACCCTTTGTGATTTATATGAGCTATCATTAGAAAAAGGAACAAGAATTATAGAAAAGCAACTCTTAGGTGGTGAGTCATGTTACAGAAAACGCACAACTTAAAATATAACAATGACTCTGTTGTGCTATCTAATGCCCGTCAAAAGATGACTGCATCACCAATTCTGCAAAATTTTCTTCATTCTTGTCTTTTATTTCACTCCTGTGAGAACATATGTATCTTGTCTCAGGAAAGTTGAGATTAAAAAGCATATACATCTAAAATGAAATGAAATGAAACATAATAAGAGAAAGTAAAAACATACTTAGATTAGAAATCACAGTTTAGAGGTCATGCAACCTCTGGCTCCAAGGCTGTGAACCTCCCGAAGTTGCTTCTGGTGATAACATCACTATTGTAAAACCTGAAATCAGTGCTTGAGATATTTTGCACACCCTGCACTCCATGGATCAGCTGACACCACCCAGACTGGTCATCTGGCTCAACCAGTTCTGCCATCCCATTCAGGAACAGATGACAGTAAGAAAAACTCACTTCTAACTCCATGATTCCATCGCCAACCTGATCAATCAGCACTCCCCACATCACAAGCCCTTACCCGCCAAATTATCTTTAAAAACTCTGATGCTCGAATGCTCCAGGAGACTGATTTTGAGAGGTGAAGCCAGCTGAGCTTCTGGGTCAGGTGGAGACTTGGAGAACTTTTGTGTCTAGTTAAAGGATTGTAAATGCACCAATCAGCGCTCTGTATCTAGCTAAAGGATTGTAAACACACCAATCAGCTCTCTGTAAAAATGCACCAATCAGCACTTTGTAAAATGGTCCAATCAGCACTCTGTAAAATGGACCAATCAGCAGGATGTGGGCAGGGCTAAATAAGGGAATAAAAACTGGCAACCAGAGCCAGCAGACGCAACCTGCTGGAGTCCCCATTCCGGGTGCGGAAGCTTTGTTGTTTTGCTCTTCGCAAATCTTGCTGGTGCTCACGCTTTGGGTCTGCACTACCTTTAAGAGCTGTAACACTCACTGCGAAGGTCTGCGGCTTCACTCCTGAAGTCAGCGAGACCACAAACCCACTGGAAGGAAGAAACTCCAGACACACCATCTTTAAGAGTTGTAACACTCACCGTGAAGGTCTGCGGCTTCATTCTTGAAGTCAGTGAAACCAAGAACCCTTGAAAGAAACCAACTCGGGACACAATTTGACCGGTAATAAAACAGTGGTTTCCTGAACAGTTGGTTCCGCATGCATTACTCTTTATCCATCGAAATTCCGCTGTCTTGATAAATTGTCTCCATCTAGGCAGCAGGCAAGGTGAACCTATTGGGTGGTTACAACTTTGTTGTAAGTTTACATTTGTACAGGCACAATCCTTATTTGCTGACCTACCATGCCATTGTAGGTCCGTAGATTGTAGTTTATGGATTGTTTGCACTAACTGACGAGGAGCTGAGTTTTTTACAAAAGCCTCCATTTGTTTCATGTTGTGACTCTGTTGTTTTTTCCTAAATACACCTAATGAGAATGGTGGTACTTCATTTTATGGCTGTCAAAGCAATAAAATGGTGAGCAAACCTAAGCTAGAAAATCTAATCCCATCTTCGCATATGACAGTAGGCCCCTAGCTTTACAGCTGTTATTGCCTCCTATTTCCAAATGATGCTGCTGATGAGTTACATACACAGAAAATCATTTTCGGTTAGTGGTAAATTATCCAAGCTCCTAGTGCTTTTCATAGCACTGATCAAGTGTTTGCCATTCCCCTCAATCATTCTGCAGTCTGTGAAACATGCTAGCAACCCAGTAAATATTTCATTGAAAAATTGTCATTTTCTCACAGAAAACTATATGTCAAATATTCAGATATTTGTTAATAAATATACTAATATTAATATCAATATTCTTTACCTACCTGAACAAAATTAGTCTTACCTAGAAAAATTGGCAGAGGTATTGTGTTTATTTTTCCTTGCTTTCAGTAATATACAACTGAGAAATTTTTCTGCAATGGGGGGGGAATCCCAAAAGTACCTTTTGAAAACTAGTTGTCATTTGTTAACACTATAGCTTAATATCATGATGAATTTTTTTGGCATGTGGTATTTATAAATAAATGAAGTTATAAGAAAACTCATATTGTTTTCCACAATGACAGATTTATGGTTTCTTATCATGCCTATTAGTTTGCAAACTATGCTTTATTTTCCAAATATGTAAAGTTAGATTGTTTTACATGATATTTTATTATAATATACAGTAAAATTTTGGGAAGCTATAGGGAAAAATAGATGAGAAAAAATCCTCAGCTAACGCTGAAGGAAGGGGAATGTGTTATTTAATATTAACATTTGTCGGTCTTGAAAATGGAATTTCAGGACTTTGGAGCTGATTAATTCACTTTTCTCTTTTTGCCATGATACAACAATCTCTTGAAACCAAATATAGATAAACACATTTCAATCAGGATACAAAAAAAAGGTCTCAATTTAAGAATACTATAATTTTAATCTTAATTGTGGTTAGTACTTTTTCAATCAGCCATTATTTCTTAATAGCTACTAGGTATCAAATATGTAATTATCACTGAAAAATAGAGATAAAGATGGCACACATATCTTTATCTCTGTGTCTAGTAGACTAAACTGGGAAATCAGTACCTGCACCAATAGAAATGTAACAAAATAACTCTATGAGCCTACAAGGAAGATGCCCTTGTTTGTCTGTGGGAATTCAGAAAGGCTTCATGGAAGAGGAATCCTGTTTCTTTTAGTTTTTGCTTGTTGTAGGCAGATTAATGACCACCCCAAAAAGTCCACATCCTAATATCTAACACCTGTGAATATGTTACCCTACATAATAAAAAGAACTCTGAAGATGTGATCAAGTTAAAAGTCTTGAAAAGACTGCCCTAGATTATTTGTCCTTAGAAGTGGAAGAGGGAACCAGGGTCAGAGAAGGAGATATCATGACAAAATCAGAAGTCTGATTCATGCGGGGCCAGCAACCAAGGAATACAGGAAATTTCTAGAAGCTGGGGAAGGCAAGGAAACATACTCTTTCCTAGAGTCTCCAGAAGGAACACAGAAGGCCCCAAAGTAAGATATTTTGATTTTGCCCAGTAAGACTCATTTTGAACTACTTATTTCCAGGAATTATAGGGTAATAAGTTTGTGTTCATTTTGTTTATTTGTTTGTTTTTGAGATGGACTCTTGCCCTGTTGTCAGACTAGAGTGCAGTGGCACTTTTTTTGGGGGTGGGGGGTGGTGAGGCGGGGACAGAGCTTCACCCTTGTTGCCCAGGCTAGAGTGCAGTAGCGAGATCTCAGCTCACTGCAACCTCTGCTTCCTGGGTTCACGATTCTCCTGCCTTAGCCTCCCGAGTAGCTGGGGTTACAGACACCCACCACCACGCCTGGGAAATTTTTTTTTTTTTTTTTTTTTTTTTTTGGTAGAGATGGGGTTTCACCATCTTGGCCAGGCTGGTCTCAAACTCCTGACCTCGTGATCCACCCACCTCAGCCTCCCAAAGTGCTGGGATTTACACATTTGTGTTGTTTTAAGCCACAAAGTCTGTGGTGCTTTGTTACAGCAGCAGTAGAAAACAGACACAATGTGCTTTTTTCTTTGTTTTGCTATTTAGCATCAGAATGTTTTGTATATTTTGGTAATTGTCTACTGTTTGAGACAGGAGTAAATAATGCCAGGGAGACTCACTTTCCTAATCTCTCTGGGAAATAGAGCGTGAGCCAGACCGCTAGGGGTGGCTATTAGACCCTCCCACCTGGGCGTGGCAGTGGCAGTAGCAGTAGCAGTGCCTCCAACATCCAGTCTCTAGGAATAGCAGTACCAGTGGTACCATCCTTGGTCCAGTGAAGGTAACAGCTGGGTTGCAATCTCTGACCTTACCTCCTTTTGTTTCTACTATTTTTTGGGAGAGAGAAGAATTTGTTTATTAGGACTTCTCAGTGATATTCTGTGGCCTTAGATATGTTTTCAAAACATTCTCTTTCTGCTTGAATCACCTAGACAGAGTCAGTTTGTGCTGCTTTTCATGAAGAATGAAGAGTGGTTTTAATAAAGCATCAAGGGAACTAAGATATAAGGCATGAAGGTAGGAGAGACCCCAGAGTCTTGAGGTTAACATTGAGTAAGTTAGCATTGCTGGAATTTCCAATGTGGGGAGCTTGATACATGGTGATATTGCATCAGTAGGCAAAAATCTAAGGAGCCACACTCACAATAAAGCTAAATTGTTTGGATTATTAGTTTTATCCTTTGTTTAACAGTGGGAGTCACTGAAGAAATATCAATGACAGTGATATAATCAGATATGGGTGTTAGAAAAAGATAAATGAGACAACACAGGGCCTAGTAAAAAATTATTTCAGTAGTTCAAGGAAGATTTGAGGTACTTGGTAAAAGATTAACAGCAAAGATAGAGGTAAAGAGAGCGGGATGGAAGTTCCTTTTCTTTTTTGGTTTTTACTTTAGGAAAAAGTGACGGCTTTGCTATGAAATGGAGATGGGAGCTAAGGTTGAGGGAATAATGTAGGCTAATTTTTATTTATTTTTTTATTTTGAATTTTTAATATACAGGTAGATTACCTAGTGATATGGTTTAGCTCTTTTTCCCCACCCAAGTCTCCTGTTGAATTGTAATTCCCAATGTTGGGGGAAGGACCTGGTGGGATGTGATTGGATCTTGGGGGCAGAATTCCACCTTGCTGTTCTGGTGAGAGTGAATGAGTTCTCATGAGATCTGATTGTTTAAAAGTGTGTAGCACTTCCCTCTTTGCCCTTTTTTTTCCTGCTTTGCCATGGTAACACGTGCTTACTTCTCCCTTGCCTTTTCCCATGATTGTGAGTTTCCTGAGGCCTCCCAGCTATGCTTCCTGTATAACCTGTGGAACTGTGAGTCAGTTAAAGCTTTTCTCCATAAAATACCCAGTCTCAGGTAGTTCTTTATAGCAGTGTGAGAACAGAAATATACACCTAATAAACACACTAGTTTGTAGTTTAAGACAGAAATGTGAGCATATAGTATATATTTGGAGTCATCAGCTTCAAGGTACTCACTCAAACCTCAGGTATTGTGAAGATCTGCTGAAGAAAAGACAAGATACACAATAAAATTAAAATAGGCCTGGTGTTCAATTGGTCCAAAAGCCATAGGTATGAAATCTATTTGTGAGTTGTTGTGAAAACAAAAACAAAAACAACTGTTTCTCTTAGAGGAAATTAATTATATGTATATCAACTTGGGTTAAGCAGTGAAGCAGTAAAACATTTTTTTTTCAATGTTGTTATCTTATACAAAGCGTTTGACTACCATCAAGCCATGAAAGTGAATGACACTCTCAACACTTCACAAAACTTTCAATTACACGTAGGGTAAATGGAATTTATTAAGTTTTTCCTTTTTTGAGTAGTATTTAATAAATTAAGCCAGTTGGCATAACTGTTTTTAACTTTGGCTACAGAGCATAGCATATTGCTGAAACTTTTTATAGACAGGAATAAATAGTGGATGTTGAAACGTATATCAAAGTTTACTTGAATTATGATACTAGCGGGGATGGAAGGACACTTTCTACAGAAAAAAAGAAATGAAATAAAGTACTAATCTGAATTTCAAACATTCTGGCTTCTACTGGCTTGAATTTTGGACTTTCAGGGTTTATGGAGAAGCAATCAATTAGAAAATTAGATCTATTAGAACAAGTTCAAATAAGAAAATTTTTTTTAAAGTTACCCAAGAGATAACTTTATTCTCATCCTTTCTCCAGGAACTACAAAATAAGACATAAGAAAATAAGTAACAACTGTCACAAGACAATTTCACTGATATAAATAAGAAAAGAGCAGTGTATTAAACACTTGATTAATTAGTATTGCATTGAACACACTTCTTTGGGAGTATTAGAAAAACGTATCAATTTCTATTCTATTAATTTTGATGAGTTCATTTTTGGTTCTCTTAATAGAATTTCCCTATCCTAAAGTATTCTAAAACCTGTTAGTCACCCAACCATTCTTAAAGCAGTAGATCTCAACCCTGTAAAAGCAAATGTTCCTTTTTTGTAATAGTTTTTCAAGGCAGTAACTCTGGAGTTACAGAACCAAAACTTTTCAAGTTTCCTTGGTGATTTTGGTGCACAGCCACAAATGGGAATTCCTCAATGAGGAAACTCGTGGCTAGCGCAATCTCTAATCCTTTCCCTTTTCTCTTTCTCTCTCTCTTTTTTTTTTTTTTTTGAGACAAGATCTCCCTTTGTCACCCAGGCTGGAATGCAGTGGCAGGATCATGGTTCACTGGCACCTCAAACTCCTGGGCTCAAGAGATACTCCTGCCTCAGCCTCCTGAGTAGCTGGGACTACAGATACACGCTACCATATTCAGCTAATTTTATATATATATATAATCAGGCACACACATACACTATATATACATACACATACTCTATACAACATGTTATATATATACACGTACACAACATTTTATATGTATAAAATATATATATATATATATATATTTTTTTTTTCCTTCAGCTTTTCTACAGCTTTTTCTTCAGCCTTTCAGGCTGTCCTGAAACCCTAGATTTCAAGTGATCCTCCCATCTCAGCCTCCCAATGTGCTGGCATTACAGACATGAAACCACCATGTCTGGCCCCTTTTCTTCTGAGGAGTGTAGTTCGTGCTGTTTGTCTACTGGGCCTGTGGATGAGCTGAGCAAGTGTCATCAGTGGAGAGGTAGAACCAACAGAATAAAGAGAAACCAAGGGTCTCAATATTAGAATTATAACCAAATAAGGAAAAATGTGGAAATCAATATAGAGTTGGACAAGTCTGATGCATTTAGTAGAGGAAAGAGTTTTTATGCTACTTTCTTCTGTGTCACTATTCTGAATAAGAAGGAAAGACTTAGCAATGGAAGGCACAGAATGACAGTTGCTGATAATTAAGTCATGAAGAAGTTCCAGAGCATAGCCAAGGCTATCTTGAGTTTGAATAAGACACACAGGTAGGGAGGTATGGCTGAAAAGATTTTTTTAAACCAAACCAAACTTTGCTGTACCTAAGGTAATACGCAGCCTTGGGAGTTTCTCAGAAATTTGTTGACATTTATCCAGCAAATTAGGCTCAATTCACTCAGAATTATGGTCTCAGTTTGCTGACACTCTCTTGCCTTCTCACCCCACACTGCTCTTGCTTCAGTCTTCTTGCACTGTGTAATCAATGAACTATAAATTAACATGAGTGAGCATAGTTTCATGTTGTAAATAAAAATTGACAGGTACTCTGAGTCATATTTACTTTTTTGCATCAGAGTTGTAATACAAGTTGGTAATTAGTCATAATGGGAAGGAAATAAAGTGCTTGTGTCTGGCAAGTTTTCTTTTGTTCATTGCCTTCTAAAAACTTTATGTATATTGGCTGCTGGTACCCTTGGTAAGGTGGAAAATGGCCTTTGGGAAATATGAACAAATGAGAGAACAGAGAGAATCCAAGCGTCTCCAAATAGGAAGTGGTGCAGGTGATCCTTGCGGGAAAGGGCACAGGACCACTAGATTTATAGAGGGGGAGAGTTGAACTGCTGGCATGAGTAATAGAACTTAGGATAGAAGCATTTAAAATGTGTTTCAGTAGACTGCATGCTATGTTCTTTTAAACCGCTCTTTAGTATTGACAGCAATCCTTCAGAAGAGATCCCTCTCATCAGTACTTTTGTGAGGTTTGCGTAGCAGTTGTTGTTTTATTTATTTTTGTGTGACAGTATGCTGACACTGGCCCCAAGAAAAAATATGGATTCTATTTACAGGTCACAAATAAACAAATTCTAGATGGTTCACAAAGACACTAAATACTAGTTATTGAGTCCCATATACATTGTTTCATTTTATCATCAGTATAATTACTTTCATTTAACTATTGCAAAACCGAGGCTCACAGTTTAGGTGACGAAGTTAAATTAAATGGCAAACCCAGATGTAGACACTATTTCCACAATGCTGAGCCACCCTTATTAATTGGTCATATTTATAAAGGTTTTATATAGCAAAATCACATGTTGGTGGCTATTTCTCTTTTTGTACCCCATTATATATAAACATATTATTTTGATAATTTTTCCTGATATCACAGAAGAACTTTATTCTCTCTCCTCTTCTGAATGACTTTTTATTTTCTCTGAATTACTCTCTGGCCATCCTTCGTAAGAATCACACATCCTATAGTCAATAATTATTTAGTAATTACGATTATTTAATAAATGATATTGTTAATCTTGACATGTATTGATGCTTACATATTATGAGATTATATTAAATATGATACACACTTACTATAAATGTCAATTTGTAAATGTGAGGTATATAATGATGTTTTTCATACGTGTTTTGCTTACTATTATAAATAATAAGCTTTAATAATAAGCTTGTAACATTTTATTTTTGTAGAATTATTGTCTTTGGACAATACATTTATTTTTAATTGGGAAATACATTGTTTCATATATATATGAAACTATATATATAGAAAGCACTATATATGTATGAAACACTATAGCTATATATGTAGTGCTTCCCATATAAAAATATATTATTTTTTACTATATTTTCTAATTATTGGAGATGTTATATTATATGTTATATAATGACTATATATAATATTATATATATATATATATATATGATTTTTAAAGTCATACCAAACTTTGCTGTACCTAAGGTAATACTCAGCCTTGGGTGTTCTTAGAAATTTGTCAAAGTTTATCCAGCAAGTTAGGCTCAATTCATTCAGAATTCTGGTCTCAGTTTTCTGACATTCTGTCACCTTCTCACCCCACACTGATCTTTCTTCAGTCTTCTTGTGCTGTGTAATCAGTGAGTAATTAGCATAAGTGGGCATAGTTTTATATTGTAAATAAAAATTGACAGGTACTCTGAGTCATATTTACTTATATATGATTCATTATATATATGATTATTTTTATCAAATATAATTACATAAAATGTATATTATAAATTATGAGTCATATAAAAGTAAATATGATTCAGAGCAACTGTCAATTTTTATTTACAACATAAAATATATCTAATTATATATATTTTATGTAGTAAATATATAATTATGTTATAATAAATATATATAATTTTATTATATATTTTATGTTGTAAATAAAATGTATGGCTTATATAATATATGATACATAATATATAATATATAATACAATATATAAAATTTATGGATTATATAATATATAGTTTAATTATATATTATATAAAATATGTATTATAATTATATATCACATATTATATGTTATATATTATATATTAAATGGATATATAGATATATAATATATATATTGTATATAGAGATATATTATATATTATATATCTCCCTCAAGATATAAGATATATCTAATCTAAATCTCTCTATTCATATTTATATATAAATTATATATATCTTTCTATATATTATATAATATATCTTTCTATATATTATATATCTTTCTATATATTATATAATATATCTTTCTATATATTATATAATATATCTTTCTATGTATTATATAATATATCTTTCTATATATTATATAATATATCTTTCTATATATTATATATCTTTCTATATATTATATATCTTTCTATACATTATATCTTTCTATACATTATATAATATATCTTTCTATACATTATATATCTTTCTATACATTATATAATATATATTTCTATACATTATATATCTTTCTATATATTATATATCTTTCTATATATTATATATCTTTATATTATATATCTTTCTATATATTATATAATATATCTCTATATTTTATATATCTCTCTATATATTATATAAATCTTTCTTTATATTATATAATATATCTTTCTATATATTATATATCTTTATATTATATATCTTTCTATATATTATATATCTTTCTATATAATATATCTTTCTATATATTATATAATATATCTTTCTATATATTATATAATATATCTTTCTATATATTATATAATATATCTTTCTATATATTATATATCTTTCTATATATTATATAATATATCTTTCTATATATTACATAATATATCTTTCTATATATTATACATATCTTTCTATATGTTATATATCTTTCTATAATATATAATATATCTTTCTATATTATATATTATATATCTTTCTATATATTATATGTTATATATATTTCTATATATTATATATCTTTCTATATATTATATATTATATATCTTTCTATATATTATATATTATATATCTTTCTACATATTATATATATCTTTCTATATATTATATATATCTTTCTATATATTATATGTAATATATCTTTCTATATATTATATATCTTTCTATATATTAAGATTACACATCTTGCACTGTGTAATCAATGAACTATAAATTAACATGAGTGAGCATACTTTCATGTTGTAAATAAAAATTGACAGGTACTCTGAGTCATATTTGCTTTTTTGCATCAGAGTTGTAATACAAGTTGGTAATTAGTCATAATGGGAAGGAAATAAAGTGCTTGTGTCTTTCTATATATTATATATAATGTGTCTTTCTATATATTATATATAATGTGTCTTTCTATATATTACATATATCTTTCTATATATTATATATGATATATCTTTCTATATATTATATATGATATATCTTTCTATATATTATATATGATATATCTGTCTATATATTATATATGATATATCTTTCTGTACATTATATATGATATATATTTCTATATATTATATATGATATATCTTTCTGTACATTATATATGATATATCTTTCTGTATATTATATATGATATATCTTTCTGTACATTATATATGGTATATCTTTCTGTATATTATATATATCTTTCTCTATATTATATATGATATATCTTTCTGTATATTATATATATCTTTCTATATATTATATATGATATGTCTTTCTATATATTATATATGTCTTTCTATATATTATATATATGTCTTTATATTATATATAATATATCTATATCCAAATCTCTCTATACATGTAATTCTCTGTATATAAAATTATATATGTCTATATAGAGCTTCCAATATAACATATCCAATAATAGGAAAATATAGTCAGGAAGGGTATAGTATAGTCAGATGTTTTGAACTAATCATACTGATT
This sequence comes from Homo sapiens, assembly GCF_000001405.40. Classification (NCBI taxonomy): domain Eukaryota; kingdom Metazoa; phylum Chordata; class Mammalia; order Primates; family Hominidae; genus Homo; species Homo sapiens. The sequence continues at coordinate 79,626,809 of NC_000007.14, forward strand.
TTTAAAATAAAATTGTCGACAATGTCATGCATAAAGTATACATACCATACATATGTTCATCTACTCATGAAAAGGAACTCAATTTTCAGACATTAGATATTTATCTGGAAATATTTCAGAATACATCTGTAAATGATAAGGACACTTTTAAGAAAACTAATCATCATTGTAATTTTTTATAGTTACAAGATAATTCTCTAAGGTGATCAAATATCTTTAATTGGTAATTAATCTGATAATTGGTAACAATTATATTTTGCCAGTGACAAGGTCTCACTCTGTTACCCAGCCTGGAGTGCAGTGGTACAATCATAGCTCACAGCAGCCTCAAACTGCAGAACTTAACTGATCTTCCTGGCTCAGCCTCCCAAGTAGCTGCATTGACAGGAGTGTGCTACCTTCCCCAACTAATTGAAGAAAAAAAATTGTAGAGTTGGGGTACTGCTATGTTGCCATGTTTGGTCTCGAACTCCTTAAGGGGTCCTCCCACCTTGGCCCCTCAAAGTGCAGAATTATGGGTGTGAGCCATCATACCTGGCCCTTTAATTTCTTTGTTTTAATCAGGGCCCAAATAACATCCATATATTGCAATTGAATGATAGTTTTAAAAATATATATTTTACTTCTCCATCTCTTTTTTCTTTCAATATTTTATTGAAGAAACAGGGTCATTTTTTCTGCAGTGTTGACAAGCATGAATTTTACTGAGTACATAGGTACTCATGTAATTTAATACGCTGCTTTAATTAAAATACAATATGTCCCTTGCATTTTCTGTAACTTATAGCTTTATCTAGAGGCTTATCAGAGTCAGGTTTGTTTGAGGGACAAAAATACTTCATAGGTGATGCTGTGTACTTTCATCAGGAGGCACATACTGACCATATGGATGGGATTCTGAAACCCTCAGGAAATTTCCTACATAAAAAAAGGACAGGATGTACGTAAATTTAGAAAGAATTTTATAAGCATGTGCTGTGCTTAATACATTTTAAGGGCAAAAATATTCAACAAGGGATGCAGAATATGGGGAGAAGATAAAGCTTAGAATTACTTTGAAGTGTTCTGTAATTAAGCTGTAAATGACCAAAAAATTTAATACTAGTTTAACAGTTTTCAAATATTTAAAATTCAAGCATTGAGTTCACTCGTTTAATGTGTTACTCTACATAATTCCTCTTTACCATAATCAAGAGAATAAAAACTCTGTTTTGGGATCTTGTTTAAGAAACATAGATTCTAGAAAACTATAACATTTTTTAATAACTAATTTATTTCTTCATTGACAGATTTCTAAAAGTGCTTATTTTCCCATTTATCCTAATAAATTATAATGCTATAAGTTTTATGAAATACATGGCTCCTCTTATGTAATTGTTTTACAGCTCTAAAAATTACATGAGAAATCTACTGATAGAAAGTAACAGCCTTCATGCAACACACATACACAACTATGGGGAGATAAAAACACTATTAAATTAAAGTTACACAGGTGAAAAATGAAAGACTTTCTTATAACTTAGCTCTCTGCTACGGTCTGAATGTGTCCCCCCAAAATTCATCTCTTGAAATCTGCACCATGAAGACAATGGTATTGGGAGGTAGGGCCTTTGTGAGGTGATTAGGTCATGAGGGCAGAGTCCTCATAAATGGGATTAGTGTCCTTAATAAAACAGGCCTCATCTTACTTGGTTTATCTGCAGTATTTCACATTTGATCACACCTTCCTACCAGACTGAAAAATAGGAATAAAGGTAAGGCCTCTTTTTCAAAGCACTTTGGGAATAAAATAAAGCAATGCATTTTATATAGATTTGTGACTTATGATGTCCAATAAATTACTAGTTATTTTCACTTGATAACTTCAAAGTAAGTGAAAACTTTTTAAAAAATGAAATGCATTTATAACAGGAAGTACATGTGATGAAATTCAATAAGAATCTTTAGTAAAAGTGAATGGAAAATACTACCAAAAAATCTATATATCACTATAAATTCAATGGTATAATATATTCAATGGTATAATATTCAATGATATATATATATATTTATAAATAAATAGACCTTGATATGACCCATCTCTTTCTCTCTTATCTATACCTATCTAATATTTTATCCTGGAATATCATAAAGGAAGATACTATGAAGGGATTCTAGATGTGACAGTCCTTTGAAAATACTGACTATTTTGACTTTCCTAATATAGTAATCGGTAAGCTATCAAAAGACTTAACCCTTAAAAAAAAAAACGAAGTAATTTGCCTAGAAGAAAATAACTTTTATACAAATAGATCCCGACTTACATGGAATCATACCATACTTATTCAAAGTATTCTTAGACATTGTTTAGCTTTCCACTTTGATAAATCTGGTATGCATCTGTTGAAATGATTTTATATTTTCTCCTTTAATAATTTTGTGGTTTATTACTTTGTTGATGTTTTTGCATCCCTAGGAAAGGCCTGAAGAATTATGATGTATTATCTATTTCATACAGAGTGGCTACAATCTCATATTTTATTTTGTATGAATGGCTAAGAAAGCAGATAAAAGTCCATCAGCATATGGCTTGGCTAGTGATGGGCAACTTTTCAAATTTGCAAGAAATCACTGAGTAATTTATAAAAGTTAGTCTATCTTACAGAGGTATGTGCACCTTGGCTATTTTTATAAAGTTTTTGTTTTGTTTGTTTTGTTTTAGTATTCCTAATTGCTAGATTAAGATTAAGTGCTATTTGTTTAAGGGTTTTGCACCCATATTAGTGTGTAATTTCCATTCTTTCATTTTGTTCTCATTGAATTTGAGTACGAACAGTATGATAGTATCATAAACGACATTACTGAATATTCTTTCTTTTCTCCTTTTTATAATAGTTTAAATTATCTTTGCTATGATTGTTTGGTAGAACAACCAAATGAATCCCATTTGAGCCTGAGTTTTCACTGTAGGAAAATTTTTGACCACTAATTTGATTACTTTAATGGTTATAGGACTATTCAGATAAGGTCTTACTGTGTTGCCCAGCCTGGTCTCAAACTCCTGGGCTCAGCCTTTAAAAAATTTTTTTTTTAGTTTTTTTTCTAGAAACAGGTGTCTTGCTATGTTGCCCAGGCTGATCTTGAATTCCCAGCTTCACAAAATGCTCCTGTTTCAGCCTCCCAAACTGCTAGGATTATAGGTGTAATTCACTGAAACTGGCTGAAGTTTTCTATTTCTTAAATTTGGTTTGATAAGTTTTATTTTCTTAGGAATTTGCCTGTTTCCCCCAAAATGTTCAAATTTATGGGCATATAATAATTTGTATTATTCTGTAATTATCCTTACAATATTTGACTGCAGTTCTAGCTTTCTTTGCATTACCAATATTATTTGTGCCTTTGTTATTTCTTGTTCGATTTCACTAGAAATTTGTCAGTTGTATTAGTGTGTTTAAAGAACCAACCAACTTTTGCTTTTTTGATTCTCTCTATTGAAGTTTTGCTCTCTATTTTATTAGTTGTTACTCTTTTTTTTTATTCATTCTACTTTTTTGAATTCTTCTGGTATTGTTTTTTGTTTTTCCCCCTAACTTCTTTCATTTTTTTTTTCTAATTTAAGATTCAAAACTATACCTGTTATCTGTAGTCTTTGGATTACTTAGAAACCTATTTCTTAATTTCCACAGATGTAAGAATTCTCTATTGCTATGTTTATATTTTTGATTTATAATTTACCTGCACTTCTAGCCAGAGAACATATCCCATTTGAATTCAGCTTTTTAAATTTGTTGAGACTTGTTATATGGTCCAGTATATGGTGAGTTTTTATACGCACCTCACCTATGTTTGAGAATAATGTGCTCTGCATCTCATCAATGCAATAAGTTGTATGTATTTATGGGATCAAGAATGTCAATTTTGGTTTTGAGAATTTTCTTATATTTACAGACTTATTTTGGTTTTTGGTTCTATTAACTATTAAGAGGTATATTAAAGTCCACATTATAATTGAGGATTTTCAAATTGTTCTTGTAGGTTTGTCAGCTTTTTCTCACTATGCATGAGGCCCTCTTCCTAGAAGTATACACATTTATTTGCAGATTAAAAATTGTGATATATTTTTTATTTCTTTAACTATATTATTATTAAGTTACCCTGTTTATTTGAAGTAATGCTTTTTTCCTTAAGGATAATTCTCTTTGATATCAGAATTGACAAAAATTTATATCAGAAGTTATACTAGCTTTTGTTTAGTAAAAATGTGTCTGATATACTTTTTCATTATTTACTTTCAATATTTATTTAGTTTTATGTTTTAACTGTGTCCCTTGCAATTAGCATGGAAGTTTTAAAACTATTTTTAATTCAGTCTAACAAGTTTGAATTAACTGAAGTGTTTAGTCCATTTGCATTTCTTGCAATGACTTATATATGAATTTTTATCTGAAATTTTTTATTTTGTGCTTTTTCATTTTCCTGCGTTTATTTTCTCTTTTTCTTTATATCTGTCAGCTTCTCTCTTTCCTATTTTATATCCTTTTATTTTTCCCCCAATATTCAATGTTTTCCTTTGACAAGTTTGGAAGATTCATATAGTATTATAATTTTTCAGCAGTTCCTTGGATAATAACAAATTCAATTATTGCCAAGGTCTAGAGTTAATCAATGTCTATAACCCCCTCTAGAGCAATACACTAATATTACCTTAGTTGCATTTGCCCACTTCCATCTTATTTTATATATATATATATATATTCTTCTTTATTAAATATTCACATGGAATTGCTATTTTTGGTTTTTAAAATATTTTCAAACTATGTATTTTTTCAATTTAACCACTGGCTTTTCACTTTATTTTTCTTTTCTTTCCTTCATCTCAGACCTTTCTTTTAGTCATTTCTCTTCTATTTGAAAAACATCCTTTTATATTTGTCCTTAATAAAAGTCTGCAGTAGTAAGTCTTTTGAATTTTTGCTTTACTTGTTTTGCTCTGAAGATATATTTCATTGGATATAGTATTCTAAATTGACAGGTTTTTTTTTAGAATTTTGAAATACATCATTCCACTCTCTTTTGCTTTTGTATTGCTGTTGTCTACTGCATACACATTTACTCTTTTAAAGTAGTCTGTCTTTTATTTGGGATTTTTTTTTTTTGGATGGAGTCTCACTCTGTTGTTCAGGCTGGAGTGCAGTGGCACAATCCTGGCTCACTGCAACCTCTGCCTGCTAGGTTTAAGTGATTCTCTTGCCTCAGCCTCCTGAGTAGCTGTGATTACGGGCATGTGCCACCATGCCTGGCTAATTTTTGTATTTTTAGTAGAGATGGAGTTTTGCTATGTTGGCCAGGCTGGTCTCGAATTCCTGACCTCAAGTGATCCTCCTGCCTTGGATTCCCAAAGTGCTGGGATTACAGGTATGAGCTGCTGCACCCAGCCTTGGAATATTTTTAAAACTCCGTTTGTGTTTCATATTTTTTCCATTTGATTTTGATATATCACAATGTGATTTCTGTGTATGTTTATTGAAACACTCAGGACTATCCTTGTTATATTTATATGTCAACTTGACTGGGTTAAGGGATGCCCAGATAGTTGCTAAACATTATTTCTGGGTCTTTCTGGAAGAAATCAGGACATGAGTCAGTAAAGTGAGTAAAGAAGATCAGCCCTTACCTAAGAGGCAGGCATCAACCAATCCTTTGAGTTTCTGAATAGAACAGAAAGAGAGAGGAAGGGCAAATTACTGCTTTCTTCTTGAGCTGAACGTCCATCTTCTCCTGTCCTTAGACATCAGAGCTCCTGATTTTTGGGATTTCAGACTCTGGGACTTATGGCAGTATCCTGCTCCCTACCCTGCAATCCCCCACTGCATTGGACATGCACTGAATTACACCACCAGCTTTTCTGGTTCTCAGGCTTGCAGATGGCATATTGTGGGACTTCAGCCTCCATAATCACATGAGCCAATTTCCATAATAAAAATCTTTTCTCTGTCTTTCCTTCTTTCCTTTCTTCCTTCCTTCCTTCCTTCCTTTGTTTCTTCCTTTCTTTTCTCTAGAACATTGGTTCAGTTAGCCTGAAGAATCTTGACTAATAAAAAGACATTTTAGTCTGGATTGGGAGTTTTATAGACTGAAAAATTTGGCCCTTGACCCTAATTCCACCTCTCGCTTACTATTTCTCTCCTTTGTTTCTGACTCTCTGATTAGATATATATGTTTGGCCTTGTAGTGAATTTCTTGAAGTTTTGTTTTATTGTGAATTTTCCATCTCATTAATTTCAATTTACCTTGTTATCTTACATATATCTTAATTTATTGTATATACAATTATCTCTTTTTTTTGGAACATATTTCTTCTCATCATTATCCAGTTGCTAAATCTCATCTTTCTAATTTGCTATTTAAACCATTCAATATTTTTAAAATATTAAGGTATAATTAACATACAGTAAAATTTACCCTTTTTGTGTAGTTTCATGAGATTTTTAAAAATGCATATAAACACAACCACCACATTAATCAAAATTTAAACAGCTCTATCATGAGAAAAAACCTCTCATGACTTTTTGTAGATGCTATTACCCAGCCCCACCCACTGTCAACCATATAAATTAAATTATACAGTATTCTTTATTGATTTTTTCAATTCACATGTATTACTCGTAGAGATACATTTGATTTTTTCACTTTATTAACATATAATTGAACTTCTAGTTTTTTATTACATGAACATATTTAAGCTTTACTTTTGTCCTACACATATTTACTTTATTGTCTATCCATAATAATTTCATTATTTGAAGATTTTGTGAGTCTGATTTGCCTCTATTAATTCTACATATTCTTGTTTATGGTGTCTTGATACATTGTATGTTCATTTTTACTATGCAATATTCATTTTCCTTGGAATTATATCTAATGAAACTGTTTGAGGCCTGAGACAGAACGTGACACACTAAAGAGAATCTACATTTGCTTCTGCATATTTTTGGATTGAGATTTTCTTGAACTTCTCATTTCTTGGTAATTAGGTTGCAATATTGTGTGGAGGTCAGCTGTGATTCCAAATTTTTATTGATTATTATTTTCTTTTTTCTGTTGAGCACCAATATATAAAATGGCTGGCATAACTTCATTCTCCAGTTTGGGGAACATGAGTTTATATATAATTCACTCTTATACTAGTTATAAAGTCTTTTGAGTAAAGAAATTGTACTTCAACAAAGAGAGGTCTGATTTTGCATTAGACTTTTTAAGGTGGGGGCGGGTCACACCAGATGTTAAGGATGGGGTGAACCATAACCCATAGGCCTAGGTTGTGGGCTGGCTATGACAGAAAGACCAATAATGTGACTTAAAGCTGGGCCATGTGTTATCATGTGGTATCCCGGTCATGTGGTATCAGTTGACCTGAAAGCTAAGATCAACCACATGGGCAATTAATTAGTCCATCATACCTATGCAATGGGGCCCCAATAAAAGGTTTGAATATGGAAGCTGCAATGCATTGTTTTGTGCTCTCACTCCACAGAGACAGGACAGGAAATACTCCATGTTTGGAACCCTCCTGGATTTTACCCTATGAAATTCTTCATTTGCCTAATTTTAATCTGTATCTTTTCTCTGTAATAAACTCTAACTGTGAGTATAATAGCTTCTAGTGTGTTCTATGAATTCTAGCAAATTATCAAGACTAAGGGTGGTTTTGTAATCCCCTGACATTGCAGTTGATATTAGAAAGGGCTAGCCATCTCTGGAGGACTCTGTGCTCAAATGTTACAGTCTGGATACTGCAGGCAGGGCCCTGGGTTTATTGGATGGCTGCTGTATTGCAAGGCTCTCCACTTTGGCCATACACTGGGTTTAAACCATTTTTACCTTCCCCCAGCAGGTTTGTGTACCAAACCTTTTGCCTTTGACAAATGCACCCAGGATAACAGGCTGCTCCAGTACTCTGCTTCTTTCTCATGCCTGCCTTCACCTGGTCTCTGCCTGAAGGTATATTATGTTTTTGATGGCTTAACAATGCTTATTAGAAGTTTTTGTTTGATTGATTTTACTCTTTCTTAGTCCAAATATCTAACCAACCACATTACTAGAAAGAGATGCAGAGTTCATTTAAAATGTTAAAATACTATGTTTGAGGAACTTGTAGAATAAGTAGAAGTTAATTGTCAGCAAACCGCTGAAAATATAAAATAAGAAAATGTGCAACTGGAGGTGAAGAAAAATTTTAGGGATGGCAATATAGAATGCAAGTGGATTTTAGAAGTATATAGACAGTTATGAAATGAAAAGAGAAAGTATAAATATTTGGTACAAGAAAAAAGAGTATTTCAGGAAAAAAATGCCCCAAGCAATGGGGAGGACCAATATTTATGACACAATGAAAGTCAGAGAGTTTAAAGGAAGACAAAAAATGGAGCAAAGCAAGAAAGCCAAGAAAATATAAAATTAATTGATAGAATTCATAGAAATATCTCAAATAGTAATCTGAGCTGTCCTGAAGTTATGGAGATTTTCAGTTCCATATAAGAAAATTATTTTTAAAGAAAGGTTAAATTTATCCTCCATCCATATGTGAAAGAGTAGATCAATAATTAGAATGATTGATGGAATATTTAAATCATAGTTCCACAAGCATCTGGACTCAGTAGTAAACTATTGATATTGGCATTATAAAGGGGTTAATTTATAATGGTGAAAATATAATCTGTGAAATACACAGCATGACTACATAGAGACATTTAACAGTATGATGCTGAATTGGTTTTCTCATGTTGCTAGAGCACCAGTTAAGAAAATGGGATTGATTTCTATAACATCATGTCTAGTTTTGAAATTTACCTCTTGTTTATATAGAATACAACTATTCATGAATTTCAAACAAACATACAAAACAACCATATCTCCTGAGCATACATAAAAAGAAACCATGTAAAAAGTAAAGTTACTTTCAAACAGATCTTCCTTTTTTAAAATAATTATCCTTTACTTTCTGAAGTCTAACTCACATGTAGCCAAACTCATGTTTTGGCTTGATTTTTATGTTGAAAGACAAAAGACAGATTTCGATAGTTCAGTGTGTATTCATCTGTTTATTTGGGGCTTAGGAGTAATGTAAGACATAAGGCATAGGCACCACCGTATTTTGTATTGTTGTTGACTTTCTTTTTCTTTGCTTTTTCCTGCTTTGGATGCACAGAGACTTATGACAAGAATATGTCTAAGTCAATGTGCTGAATATTGGCCTTTAACTTGTGCCAGCTTTTTGTCTGTCCTCATGACTTTCAGTTACACTGACTGTACAATTTGGACTTGCATTCTCATAATTGATTTGAGGATGAAATTAACTTTTATGAAACTTTTGGCTTGAGTATTGCCATCCTAAACTAGATGCATTTTACTGATCACAATTTGTCATCTAACACACTCTTTTGTGTTTTAAGTGAGGTACAGTCATTTTATTTTTTCCATCATAAATGGCCGTGATATAAAGTGTATTATACTTTGGAGAGAATGATTGAAGCTATCTCCATACTTAAAGCACTTTGGCTGAAAGGTGCTGTATTTCTGAAATAGGCTTTCATTATTTATTGACTCACTGCCCTATAATAATTTTTCTGAAGCACTTTTGATCTGTTTTATAAATATTGTGTTTTCATTTTGAAAGTATTTAGCATGCTGGAAAACTTACCACTTAAAAAATTATCATAATGGTCCTTCAAAAAGGATTTTGTTTAAGTAGCCGGTAGTTGAAACCTGTTCTCTGGACTCAGGCAAACATTTGGGAACAAGTCATAACTGTGAGCATTGTCAAAATGGTTAATAACACCAGCATCATATACGCTAAGGGAAATGACTGGTGACAAATTTAGGTGAAAAAAAGGCAAGAGCATTATCATTCTGAAATGTAACCTTTTGCTTTAAAATGTCAAGGATAGGATGTCAAAAACAGCTTTTTACATCATCAGGAAGAGTAGGTTAATTTAAAAATCCTGTTAATGCTAGCTAAGTACATGAAGTTCAATAAATCTCTGCTGAATATATCAGCCTATGAACAATTTAGTTTGTGATATCTTAAGCCAGTCCTAGAACAGTATTTTGCACATAATAGGCACTACTAAATATTTGTGTTATGATTTAAGGAATTTAAAAAAAATAATAATCTATCCCATAGTCACCATTTTCAGGGTTGAACTTCCTGAAATGTGTAAGTCCTTGAGGGCTTGGTTCTGACCTTCAATCCTTATCTAGTTCAGAGCCCTGCTAGCTGGAAAGCACACCCATTTTAAGAAGGTGGAGATTTTAAGAACAGTTCAGACTTGGCTATACAGTTTGTTCCTGTCATTCAGTTTTTTTTTTTCTTATTTAGTTTTACATTTATTTATTCAAATGTCAGCTTCTTTGAGCTGACTTCCCTGACTGCTCCAACTCTGGTAACCATGATATTTCAGCACTTTATCATATATATTTTTATTTCTGTAGGGTTTAGTGTCATCTAAAATTGTCATGGTCATTTATTTGTTTGTTTTTGTATGATCTCTCTTCCCAATTAGAGTGTAAATTTGCCTATCTTATCATTAACTCTCCAGAAATGCGTTAGCATATTGTAGGCACTGAATCAGTGTTTATTAAATATATGCCTAAGTCTTTAAAATGTGTGATCACCTCTGAAGTTGCCGGGAAAATATAAGTCATTTCCCCAGGGAAGGCACCGACTGGTATTCCTTTTTCTTCCATACAATTTGTAACTCTTGTGAGGGAGGTTCTGACAACAAAGGGAATGACATTTATTTGTTTATGTGTTTCAGTATTCCTTATTTTAATTCTAGCAATTTAATGTAGGGAGATACTACTTTTGGACTCTATTTGAAGTGTCTTTGATGAATATCTAAGATTCCATCAGTTAGTGATGAGGTGGTGCTGCCCTCCCAGACCAGAGACATGACATGCAGTTTAAATATGGAAAATGTTTTGGGGATGAAAAATAATTGGTTCATTAATATGACAGTAGCAAGGAGTTTAGAAATGGGGGAAATTATTTTGACAAGTATAAATTGTGACTTAGAAAACTAGAAACAGACTACTCAATAGAAAGTGAAGCTGAATAATTAAGGGTGAATACAATTGGGCATTTAATAAGTATTTGTCAGAATGAATGGACACTGAAGTTTTCCTTTTAAAAATAGCATTTCTATGTTATTCCATGTTCAAAACACTTACCACTTGAACATAGCATCACCGAGACAAATTTACTGATTTAATTCACTCATTAAAAATTTACTTTATATAAATTTCTATGTGATTTGTAAGAAGTGTTTATCAGATTTATACTACTGCAGGGAAATATTAAATAATGATTGATCTTGAGTGAAATATTGAGAGGCCAATATTCCAAGTGTTATATTATCCCAAGTGCTAATAATAAATGGTGTTAGAGAAAACAAACTGATTAGATGAGAGTTTATTGACATTTTAAAAAATCATTTAAATTATGTGGTGGTAATAAAGCTCTATTTTATGTTTGCTAATGGCACATACAATAAACTGCCTAAGATGATTTTGGGTTGGTTGTAATGTAGGGTGAGTGAGATTAATATGTTTTAAAATGACAAGTCGTATGTCATAAAAATCCTCTTGAGTTTTAACAGATTTGTTTCTTGTTAATAAACTCATGAAATTGCATTTAAAAGGTTAATGGGGAGAATAATCTCACACAAGGGAGAAATTGTTAGGCTCCTAGAACCTTTTCCTTGGGATCATAGTAAGTGACCTTTTTCTGAAGGTTCCACCAAAACTATTAAAAACGAGTCAACCGTAGAGAGTGATTATCTTTTAAATTAGCCACTGATTACTAGCTAGTTTCAGGAAATGCCAGTTTTAGGAAAATAAATAGTAATTTGTTTCAATGTCTCCTACATTTTTAGGTATGTAAATGGCCTAGGGCTGTGAATATCAGTGAAGTAGAACTTCTTACATACTCTACTTATTCCTCAAGAGACTGGACTCAGTTTGGAAATAAGGTCATTTTTGAAATGTCATTTCTGAACAAATAGCTTATAGTGAATACTTACAATTATGATTACTGCACTTTTTGCCCTTTTAGTCATATGTTAAGAAAGAAAATTAAAATCTTAAAAAATTAAAGTATTTTTGATGGTAGAAATATGAAGAGTATAAAATAGTATAACAATATTTATGGTAGTAAACAATAGTTACAAAAATAGTAAAGCAGTACCATATTGTTTCCAACATGTTTAATGCCTCTGTTGGCCAGGTTCATCCATACATAATCTCTTAATAATAATCTTGTAAGACAATACCCCAATTATTGGAGTAGGAATTCTAATAACAAATACATGGAATAGCTTGTCTTTTGTTTCACAGTTCAGATGTGAACTGTGACCCAGTTTGACCCAGATCTCTCTCTATGCTGATAATCATGTTTATAAAGACTGTAGTACATTCATTGACTATGAGCCTTAGTTTGTCATCTATAAAATGTTGACAGTATCTACTTCCTAAAGTATTTATACTAATGAAATAAGACAAATGCATATAAATTACTAGCGCAGGGTCTTCCCATAGAAAGTGTTAAATAGATATTAGTTATCTTTACTATTATTAAAATTATGACAATTTTCTAATGTTTTATTTTGAAATTATCAGCTACTTAGGTTTCAAAGCTATCTCTGTTTAACTTTTGCACCATCCTTTTGAGGAGCAACTCACTGTCATTTGTTTGAAAATAAAAATTTGCCTAAACAGAGAAAAAATATTAGAGCATTTGTGCTTCATGTTTTGTTTCCTGAGAAGTTTATATTTTCATGAAGTATATTGTAAGTTAATATATTTTTCTTGTTTTCACATTAAATATGGATTATAATTAGAGATTACTATAGGCCCAATGTTTGCCATAAGAATATATGACATTTAGCCACAGGAAGTAATAACCAGTTCACATGCAAAACAGAAACTAGGAAGAGATGACACTCATCATTTTAAACAATTGTACTGTCTCAGTAGGCTTTTGGTTGTTACTGACAAAATCTGTTCCACATGGTTTCTTTTTCCTTATTTTTCCCCCACTTCCTTAAAATGTACCTTCTGTTTATCTACAGGTACACTTGCAAATTTACATAATTGGTCTTTGCTTATATAAAACGAGTCAGAGTTTATAACATAGGGAAATTATTGTGTGATTTTTATATGGTCAATAAAGTTCTTTGATTCACAAAGATTAAGATATTTTGGAAACTGTGAGCTCCACTAGTTTGTTTACATAATTCAACTTATATAACACTTTAATTAACACTGAACCATCAATCAAACCAAGGCATAGTTATATAATCAAAATGGAAAAATAAAAGTAAAAGTGTTTAATAGATTTTCTAGGAAAGTTCAGGGTACCATGAATAATGCAAATGGCACATAATTGGACTCAAGTTACTTAAAACACCAGTTCTGCTACTAATTAACTGTTCTACTTAGGAAAATCATTTAACTTCAACTTTCTCATCTACGCCATGAAGTAGTTGAATTAAATGTGCGGTATCTAAACTATGAAGAAGCCCTAATATGCTCTCCAGAATTATTCAAATACCTTCCAAAGGTGCTGAGTGATATCAAATATGGGGATTTCCAACCATTCTTGTTAAATTCATTTAATGCTGTTCTGCTCTCATCTGATTTACTGGTGCTCTCAGAACATTTTCATTTGTTAAGAAAGGCTTACGTTGCTAGTAACATTTGAAAAACAACTCGATTTCTAAGGTCATTTCTAACACTAAGTTTTATTTTCCATTATTCCAAATGGGAGGACTGAATCTAAAGTGCATATTAACTTTGGAAAAGTGCTTTTGGCTTCCAGAAAAGGAATATATTAGGAACATAAAATTTATATAACTATTTTGCAAAGTAGTTTTGAACAGTAAAGGATTTTGAGGGTCAGAAAAAACTGCCTTTTTGCAATTGTTCCTTCATACATACAGTATGCTTTTTCCTGGCCCTGCTTCTACCATTTGTCAATCACTGTATCAACTCATTTTAACTTACATTATGTCTCCAATATTTAGCAATTGAAAGTAAAAGAGAAAGAAAAGGAAATTAAGAAGTGACAGTGAGGTACTAATTTTGAAAGTCACAGAAATATACTGTGTTGCATTGTATGAAATTTTGAAGTTAACTATAATATTTAGCTAATATTTCTTTGCAATGCAGTTAGGTAAAGACACTTTTAGATATTCTATATCATTAATGAAAGATTTTAATTTTACATGATTTCAATGCACAATAATGCTAAACTGAGGAATGAACATAATGCACACACTGGGAGACTTAAGAAAATTGCTTAGACATAAGGTGGAGCTTTAGATTAGAGCTCTTAGATTCCTAATAATTCCTAGACATATTTTTTCTGAGATACTGTATGTATTACAAGACTAGCTAATATTTATTCTTTCATTTGCAGTAGCCATTTATTTTTTCTTTTTAGATATTATAGCCTAGTATTGGCCTATTTATATATTTCCTTAATTTAATTTATTTATTTTGTTTTTTAAAACATTGTTTTTCTGCTATTGCTCATTTATCTAGCAACATTGTATATGTGTGTGTGCATATAAAATAATGCACTGTTATAGAGTCATCGTTTCCTGGGGCCAAAGCTGTCATTATAAAACATGTAGTCTATCACTGCTAATGTCAATTTTATTATTTCCTTTGCCAATTCTTGCTCTATCTATATATCCTGGGAATTTACTATGTGATTTTGAAAAGTTAGTAATAATTACTATATTTCTGCTGCATTTTGGGGAGATGTTGGTGCCAGGAGTAGTGTTTTCATCTCCCTAAATTTCCACATAGAACACACTGAGCAATTAGGATGGTAAAGACCAAACCTCAGAAAAAATGACTACAACAAAAAGAAGTGCTACCAAAATCTAAGCAAAAAATACCAACATCTACTAGATTCATTTGAAATCTGTATGGAGGAAGTGGAGGCTCTGAGAAAAGGAAAACCCCAAAGTGGTCATCAGGAACATAGTGAAATGGGTGTCAGGCCATTGTGAGATGAACAGTGTAACTGGTAGGGGGATACAGACTTCAATTTTCAGATGACTTCAGACTTCACGGAATCATCAGAAAGTCTAAAACACCTGGAAGTAGTTTGCACCCTGAGAACTCTTGAACACACAAAAGCTCTTTTCTAGCAAAAAGCACATGTGTAGAGAAAATGTTGGGAGAAGAAAAATTCAGTAGAACAAAGATAATAGAAGCAAAGAAAGAGAATATCAAGATAAAGTTGGGAGAGGGAAAGTGAGGAGAAAGAACTCACAAAGTACACAGACATTTTTTATTACTTCAGTAAGGTTAATAGAGTTACAGAGCTACAAAACCAGAAAATTATTTGAGAATGTCTCTCACTCCTAAAAGCATAAGAAAACTAATTTTACTTAAAAAATAATGGCAGAAAAGTACCTTGGTTAAATTCCACACAAACTATTTTAAAAGAAAAGGGAAAGTGAGATTGAATGACATCTTGCAGAAAAACTGTAAACCAATGTTTCAGAATGAAATGAAGAAATTAAAAGAGTAAGAGTTATGAAAAAACATTATGGATTAGAAATTTTAAAGTTAAAAATTTGATTATTAGAAAAACAGAAAATGGGCCAGGTGCAGTGGCTCACACCTGTAATCCCAGCACTTTGGGAGGCTGAGGCGGGCGGATCACCTGAGGTCAGGTGTTGGAGACCAGCCTGGCCAACATGGTGAAACCCCGTGTCTACTACAAATACAAAAATTAGCCGGGCATAGTGGTGGGCACCTGTATTCCCAGCTACTCGGGAGGCCGACACAGGAGAATCCCTTGAACCTGGGAGGTGGAGGTTGCCGTGAGCCTTGATTGCCTCACTGCACTCCAGCCTGGGTGACAAGAGCGAGACTCCATCTCAAAAAAAAAAATAAATGAATGAATAAATAAGAAAAACAGAAAATAAAAAAGAGAAGTGACAAAGTTCTGTTATGTTTTGACTTTTTAATAATAGCCATCCTGACTGGTGAGGAATAGTAATTCATTGTGGTTTTGGTTTGCATCTCTCTAATGATTAGTGATGTTGAACAATTCTTCATATGCTTCTTGGCTATGTGTTTGTTTTCTTTTGAGAAGGGTTTGTTCGTGTCCTTTGCCTTTTTTTTTTTGAGACAGAGTCTCGCTCTGTCACCCAGGCTGGACTGCGGTGGTACAATCTCGGCTCACTGCAACCTCCGCCTCCTGGGTTCAAGCGATTCTGTTGCCTCAGCCTCCGGAGTAGCTGAGACTACAGGCGCGTGCTACCACGCCCAGCAAATTTTCTATTTTTGGTAGAGACCGAGTTTCACCACGTTGGCCAGGCTGGTCTCGAACTCCTGACTTCAGGTGATCCACCCGCCTCGGCCTCTCAAAGTGCTGGGATTACAGGTGTGAGCCACTGTGCCTGGCCGCCCATTTTTTAATGTTTTTTTGTTTTGTTTTGTTTTGTTTTTTGCTTGTTGATTTGTTTAAATTTCTTATAGATTCTGGATGTTAGACCTTTGTTGAATGCGGTTTGCAAATATTTTTCTCTCATTTTTCAGGTTGTTTGTTTACTCTGATGATAGTTTATTTTGCTGTGCAGAAGCTCTTTAGTTTCATTAAGCCCTTTTTGTCTGTTTTTGGTTTTGTTGCAATTCTCTTTGGCGTCTTTATCATGAAATTTTTTCCAAGGTCTATGTCCAGATGGTATTTCCTAGGTTTTCTTCTAGGGTTTTATAGTTTTAAGCTTTACATTTAAATCTTTAATCCATCTGGAGTCTATTTTTATATATGGTGAAAGGTAGGGGTACAGTTTCATTTTTCTGCATACCACTAGTCAGTTATCCCAGCACCATTTATTGAACAGAGAGTCCTTTCCCCATTGCTTATTTTTGTCAGCTGTGTCAAAGTTCAAATGATTGTAGGTGTGCAGCTTTATTTCTGGGTTCTCTAAATTGTTCAATTGGTCTATGTGTTTGTTTTTGTACCAATACCATACTATTTTGGTTACTGTAGTCTGTATGGTTTGAAGTCAGGTAGTGTGATGCCTCTGGCTTTGTTCTTCTTGCTTAGGATTGTGTTGGCTATTCAGTCTCTTCTTTTAGTTCCATGTGAATTTTAGAATAGTTTTTTTATAATTATGTGAAAATGATTTTGGTAGTTTGATAGAAGTAGCATTGAATCTGTAAATTGCTTTGGGTACTATGGCCATTTTAACAATTTTGATTCTTCCTATCCATGAGCATGGAATGTTTTTCCATATGTTGGTGTTGTCTCTGATTTCTTTTAGCAGCATTTTGTAGTTCTCCTTGTACAGATCTTTCAGCTCCTTAGTTAGCTTTATTTCTAGGTATTTTCCTTTTTAGGTGGCTACTGTGAATGGGAGCGCTCCTTGATTTGGCTCTCAGCTTGGACATTATTGGTGTGTAGAAATGGTACTGATTTTTTTCCATTTATTTTCTATTTTGAAGCTTTAAGTTGTTTATCAGATATAGGACTCTTTCAGAAAGAGAGAGACTATGGGATTTTCTAGATATAAAATCCTATGGTCTATGAAGAGAGAGAGTTTTACTTCCTCTCTTCCTTTTTGGATGCCTTTTATTTCTTTCTCTTACCTGATTGCTCTTGTTAGAACTATTGTATTATACTGTGTTGAATAGATGTTGCAATAGTGGGCATCCTGTCTTATTTGGGCTCTCAAGGGGAATGATGTTGGCTATAAGTTTGTCATAGATGGCTTTTATTATTTTCAGGTGTGTCCCTTTGATGCCTAGTTTGTTGAGGATTTTTAACATGAAGGGATGCTGAATTTTATTAAAAGCTTTTTCTGTGTCTATTGAGATCATCATGTGTTTTTTGTTTTTAGTTCTCTTTATGTAATGAATAACAATTATATATTTGAGTATATTGAACCAACCTTTCATCCCAGGAATAAAGCCTACTTCAACATGGTGGATTAGCTTTCTGATGTGCTACTGGGTTTCACTCGCTAGTATTTTGTTGAGAATGTTTGCATCTGTGATCATCAGGGATATTCACCTGAAGCTTTGTTTCTTTGTTGTGTCCTTCAGGTTTTGGTATCAGAATGATCTTGGCCTCATATAGTGAGTTAAAGAGGAGTCTCTCCTCAATTTTTTGAAATATTTTCAGTAAAATTGGAACCAGTTCTTCTTTATACATCTGATAGAATTTGGCTGTTAATCAATCTGGTCCCAGGGCTTTTTCTGGTTGGTGGGATTTTTATTATTGATTTGATTTCCATACTCATTATTAGTCTCTTTAGGGTTTCATTTTCTTCCTGGTTAACTCTTAGGAGGTTGTATGTTTCTAGAAACTTATCAATTTCTTGTAGGTTTTCTACTTTGGGTACATAGAGGTGTACATAATAGTCACTGAGGGATTTTCTATAGTCTCTGAGGGATTTTCTGTATTTCTAAGGGGTTGGTAGTAATGTTCTTTTTGTCATTTCTGACTGCGTTTATTTGGATCTCCTCTCTTTTTTTTTTTCTTTGTTACTTTAGCTAGCAGTCTATTAATCTTATTTATTCCTTCAAAAGACAATCTTTTGGTTTTGTTGATCGTTTGGATGGTTTTTTGTGTCTCCATTTGATTAAATTCAGCTGATTTTGGTTATTTTCTTCTGCTAGCTCTAGGGCTGGGTTTATTTTTTTTCTTCTTCTATTTTTTTTTTTTTCTATTTCCTCTGGTTGTGATTTTAGGTTGTAAATTTGAGATCTTTCTAACTTTCTGATGTGAGCATTTAACATTATAAACTTTCCTCTTACTGCTTTAGCTGTGCCCCAAAGACTCTGCTATGTTGTACTTTTGTTCTAATAAATTACAAAGAATTTCTCAGTTTCTACCTTAATTTTACTATTTACCTAAAAGTCATTCAGGAGCAGGTTAATTTTCAGGTAATTGTATGTTTTTGAGAGATCTTCTTAGTATTGACTACTAGTTTTATTGTGCTGTGATCTGTGAGTGTGGTTGGTATGATTTTGGATTTTTTTAATTTTTTGAGAATTGCTTTATGGCCAAGTGTGTGATCAGTTTTAATGTGTGTGCCACATGCTGTTGAGAAAATCGTATGTTATTTTACAGTTCATTGGAGTGTTCTTTAGATGTCTGCTAGGTCAATTTAGTCAAATGTCAAATTAGATCCTGAACATCTTTGTTAGTTTTCTCTCAGTGATCTGTCTAATGCTGTCAGTGGGGTGTTGAAGTTTCCTATTACTGTTTTGTGCTTATCTAAGTCCCTTCATAGGTCTCTAAGAACTTGTTTTATGAATCTGGGTGCTCTAGTGTTAAGGTCATATACAATTAAGATATTTAAGTCTTCCTGTTAAATTGAACATTTTATTACCATGTGGTGCCCTTTCTTGCCCTTCATGATCATTGTTGGTTTAAAGTTTGTTTTGTCTGAAATTAAAATAGTAACTCGTCCTTTTTGTTTGTTTGTTTGTTTCACATTTGCTTGGTAGATTTTTCTCCACCTCTTTACTTTGATCCTATCGGTGTCATTGCATGTGAGATGAGTCTCTTGAAGATAGTATAACTTGGTTCTTGCTTCTTCATCCAACTTGCTATTCTATGTCTTGTAAGTGAGGTGTTTAGCCTATTTACGTTCAAGGTTAATATGGATATGCGCATATTTGGTCCTGTCATTGTGTTGTTATGTAGACTTGATTATGTAGTTGCTTTGTAGTGTAAATGGTCTATGTACTTAAGTGTGCTTTTGTGGTGGCTGGTAACAATCTTTCATTTCCATGTTTTGAACTTGCTTAAGGACCTCTTGTAAGGCAGGTATGATAGTAATGAATTCATTTTCACTTACGAAGCTTAGTTTGAATGGATATGAAATTCTTGTTTAGAGTTTATTTTCTTTAATAATGCTAAATATAGGCCTTCAATCTCTTCTGGTTGGTACAGTTTCTGCTGAAAGGTCCACTGTTAGCCTGATGGGGTTCCTTTGGAGGTGACCCACCCTTTCTCTCTAGCTGCCATTAATGTTTTTTACTTTTGCATTGACCATAAAGAGTCTGATGATTATGTGTGTTGGACATAGTCATCTTATATAATATCTTGTGGAGTTTTCTGAATTTCCTAAATTTGAATGTTGAAACAACCTTCAACACCCAGAGGAAATAGAAAAAAAGAAAAAAAAAAGAAGCAACCTTCTCTCTAGTGAGATTAGGGAAATTTTATTGGTCAATACCTTCAAAAAGTTTTCCAAGTTGCTTGCTCTCTTTCCCCCTCGTTCAGGGACACCAATAAATCATAGGTTTGCTCTCTTAATAAAATCCCATAATTTTCAGAAGTTTTGGTCAATTCTTTTTTATTTATTTTTGTCTGATTAAGTTGATTTGAAAAACTGGTCTTTGAGCTTTGAGATTCTTTCCTCAGATTGGTTAATTCTGCTGTAAATGCTTCCATTTGTAATTCTTATAGTGAGTTTTCAATCTCTGTTAGGTTACTTTGCTTCTTTCTTAAAATAGCTATTTTGAGTTTCATCTCTTGTATCATTTTACTGGATTCTCTAGATTCCTTTGAGTGGTTTCAACTTTCTGCTGAATTTTAATGATCTTCGTTGCCATCCAGATTCTGAATTTTAAGTATGTAATTTCAGCCATTTCACCTGGCTAAGAAGCATTCCTGGGGAGCTAGTGTAGCTTTCTGGAGATAAGAAGACATCCTGGCTTTTGAGTTGCCAGAGTTCTTGCACTGGTTCTTTATTATGTGTGTAGGCTGATTTTCCTTTAATATTTGAAGTTAATGTCCTTTTGATGGGACTTTTTGATTTTATATTCATGATGTCCTTGAGGGTTTGTGGTTTAAGTCAGTCAACTGGCTTCGTTTCTGGACAATTTCAGGGGTCCCGGGCTCAGGTCAGCACTCCTGGGCTATATGTTCTAACCTGGGGGGTTGGATCAGGCCCACGACTTTGTTCTCTGGTCCTTTGAGGTTAGCCACCTGCTGCGCTGGAGGAGTCAAGGTGCTCTCAGTCTTCTGGAAACAACACACCAAGGGCGGGGGAGGTACCGGCAAAAGCACTTTGTTGGGTGGTGGCAGCAGGGTCTGCACTTACATGCACTGGCGATGGCAGCTGGTGGCCAGAGTCTATGCAAGTGGGTACATTGGTGAAGGCAGGGCTGTGGTGGTGAGGTACACACATGTACTGGTGACAGTGAAACAGGAGTCTGTCCACACGTGCACCACAGGTGAGTGTGTGCTGGCTAAGTGTTGCGGGGAGGCTGCTGGGGAGTGCATGTCAGTGGGGGCCCGTCTGCTGAAGTTATCTGATAAGTGGAGTCTACTAGCTAAGAAGCTATAGTGGCAGATTCTGGAAAGCACCCTGGCTGAGGATCCAAGGC
Source organism: Homo sapiens (assembly GCF_000001405.40). Taxonomy (NCBI): domain Eukaryota; kingdom Metazoa; phylum Chordata; class Mammalia; order Primates; family Hominidae; genus Homo; species Homo sapiens. The sequence goes on from NC_000007.14 coordinate 79,648,217, forward strand.
TGCACTGCAAACAGGTATGGCCAGGGAGGGGACCCAGAAGAGGCCAGCAGATATGGTGGTGCTGAGATCAGATTGACCCTGTCCCATGAGCAAGACAGCCCTGCTCTGACCTGGTATGACAGTCAACAAAGGCCAAAGACACCTAGAGGAGTGTGACACACCTTGGGATGGGCATCACTGCCTGTGCTCCACTGCTGCTATTCCCACACCAAATCTTCTAGGCTCCTCACAGGCTGGAGTCCTGTCCCTGCCACTTCTCCAAGCAGCTTTCCCTGCCAGCTCAGATGTCAGTGGGATCATGGGGTCCCCTTCAGCCAGGATTCCAGAGGTCTCTGATGAGAGTGGGCCACTCCTCACCTATTCAGCTCATCCCTTCACCAGGAGCCACTGGGGGCTGCAAACAAGCCTTGGTGCTTGGCAGCCCCATGCAGGGTTCCCAGATTCCTCCCCGTTCAGCCCAGCATCTTCATCCTCCCTCTGTGTATTCTCAGTCCTCTCTTTCTGCAGATCTGCTCAGAGTTTGCGGGTCTTCTTCATCGAGATATATTTTCTTAAATGTATTGGACTTAAAAAAAGAAAGAAAATATTTTGGACATCCAGACAAAAGACAAATTGCAAAAAAAAAAAAGTACAAATTGTCATCAGACCTTTTCAAAGCAACACGCTACGTTAGACAAAAGTAGGACATTATTTAAGATACTCAAGAAAAGAAAAATGTGAACTGGGGATTATACATTCAACCCCAAATACTTCAAATATGGAGGCCACAAGCAACCTTTTAGAACGTGCCATCTTCTATAGGTATTTTCTACAACATTGTTACTATTCATGAGTCATCTAATAATGAGTTTAGGTAACCTAAATGATTGAAGAGCCATCAACAAATGAACCAGTGTTGATATGGAATATATTTACCTGTATATCAAAATAAAATAATGGATTATAAGAAAATCAGTGTTGTAGAGAATGGCTATACATTCTCACCATGTACATTGTACAATTATTAACCACTGAGGGAGAATGAGGAAATTATGTGAAAAATAAGATGCTCAATAACTGACTTTCAGATATTATTTTGGAGAAATAAGATATTACTTTAAATCAGATAATGATAAGAGGGTGTCAAAGGAGATAAAAAAGTTAGCACCTAATTTAAATATTTCTCATGGCACAAAGTATCAATAAATAAAATCAAAGGAAAAGCAAGAGTGAGGGATTAAGGGTAGTACATAAAGGCATTGTATGTGTGTAAAAAATTAGTATAGGATATATAAATAGCACTTTGTGTAAAATATATAGTTATATTTTAAAATTCGAAAAGATAAACCTTTTTTATCAAAAAGTTACTAATAGTTTAAAGGTATAAATAAGCTGGAGGGAACACCATTTGTATGGATCTAGACTTCTTTGGATATACTCTGGTAGATCTTAATTTGGAACTATGAAAATTATAAAAGTATAAAACAACATTGTTAAAAATGTCTCCCAAAATTGAAAGTACAGTGGAACAGATTAGCCTAAAAATGTATAGAGTTAGTTTCATTTCTATGCAGAATGGAACTAATCTAAGGATACTAAAATGTAGTTCTGGACTACACATCTCTTGTGGGAAATATATAAAGGAAAAAAATTAAGAATTGAATTCTTCATAAGCATATTAATGGTGATAGGGCGAGTGTTATTCTGAGACTCTTTTGTATGCAGTTTAGAAGATAAAGCAAGTTCGTAAATTTTGGTGTCACAAAACTGTAGAATATTTGGCCTGGAGAAAAAGAGATACAGATGTAAGATCAATGAAGTTAAATAAAACTCTGTTAACTTGAATTTGAATTATAAGTATCAGTATAAACTCATGAACTCATGTACTTTATAAATAACATGGTATACATACTCTAGGTGTCTTCGCTTCAGAGGCCAGGGAATAATAATGAACCCCATAGCAATGAGCATTCTTTCACTCAGGCTATGGTCTCTAAATACATTTTCACACAAACTTAAAATAATTTTTAAAATTATTTAAAAAATAGTCAAAGCAGGAAAGATACTACATGAGCCTGGAGTATACTGTTAGGCTACCAAGAAATGTGTCTATCAAAGGCTACTGGTGTCATGCCAAAAGGGCACAGAAGCCAAAGTTTTTCCCAATCGTCAAAAATGGGGTCATTGATTGTTAACATAAAGAATACTGCAATGGATTAAAAAACATCACGCATGTTTAAATCCATGCATGCATAGTAAAACCTTTATTGTAAAAAATCCTCATCTTTGAATGATGAGAAGAAATTGACTTATTATTTTAAAACCAATAAACAGAGAGAAAACACCATTCACTGTGTTTTCTATGCTATTTGCACTCCAGTTGACCAAAGAGTTGATAAAAGAAAGTTTCTTCTTATAGAAGTATCCAAATAAAAATTAAGAAATATTAGAATTATATCATCATTTTGCAATCTCTAATTAATTAATGGACCCAAGAAATTATCATCAATGACTGATAATAGCACAAAAACAGAGTAAAGCAGGCAATATATCCCTTCTAATGGGAATGACCATGACCAACTATGAAATAGCCTTGCAAAACAAAACACACAAAAAACTAAATCTTATCCTGCCTCCATAGTAACTACAGAAAATATGGGAGGCAGAAGAATGTGTTAAGTAGCACCACGGTAATGTAATGAGCAAAATCTGGGGCTAACTACAGTATTTCTTCCATAAAAGATTGCCAGAAAAATAATATAATGGAAGGTGAAACTCTGGTAAAAGAAACGTATGAGATATATTAACTAAGTGTAATCCACAGATCTTTCTAGGATTGCAAATGGCAGACAAACAAAAGTTATAAAAGTTACGAAATGTAAACCCTGGATATTTGATTATAATGTGGACTTACTGTTAATTTTCAGGTGTTATGTTGGTGGTGCTATGTGTAGAAAAGAGGCATTATGTTTTAGAGATTTACACTGAAATATTTATTCATGAAAAGGTGTAATACTTTCAATTTGCTTTAAAATAATCAGGGGTATGAGGAAGTGAGTTGTGTACAGATAAAACCAGATGGCTCAAAAGTTGATAACTGCTGACACTGGAGAGTGGAGAAATAGAACTTCACTCTACTTCTGTTGCTACATTTGTGTATTTTGAAGTTTTCTGTAAGAACATTTTTAAAAGATACTATTTGGAAAGGGTTTAGTTAATTCATTGCAAAAATTTTCATTATATAGCCAGGAGCAATTACTGACCCACTTATGCTTCAGTGAGCAGACTTGTTCCACAAACTGTTATTATACCTTATATGGCATTTTTTTCAGCCAAGTTGTATTGTCTCTTGTGCTCCCACTGTCAACTCATAGATATGTAAACAAAAAGATTTTAGGTAAAAGTTACCAAAATTACTGGTTGCCATCACCTCTACCCATTCCCCACCCAGACGTGTAGACTGTAAATAATTTAACAAATGGCTTATCAGTTTGGTTATGGCTTACCTATACATTAAAAACACAGTGTTCATAGTGTAAAACAACTCCTGGTACACTGTCGGATTCTGCTGTATTCTTAGGCACTCAGAATTACTGTATAGTACACCTTTCACTTCTGCCACTGAAACATGAATTTAAGGTTTATTATGGCTCTGGTATAGAATATGATGCTCCTACTTGTACAGTCACTAAATCAGTCTTCTATCAATTCAGACATCTTGGGAAATTAAAACAATTTTGCCTTTACTTGTTAACATTGCTTCATTTCCTTTTCATTTTGCAACTGCTGTATTGTATGTCACCGTCTAATAGATGACCAGATGGTGCTATTTGAAAGCTTCAATTTGTCCTAAAATTAAATTCCAATGAAAAGAACATCAGGAAAATTCACATTAGTAAAAGTTATGTTTTCAAAACTTGCTGCTGCTACATTTAACTCATAATTATTTATAAATTCTCTTTATTATTTTAAAAGCAATTGAGAGAAATCTTCTTCGCTGAATGCATTTTCCTTGTAAATTGGAGCTAATGTGCAATAATATATTCCTTTTAATTAAAAGAGAGTGATGCATTTAAGTCATTAATTATAAATTAAGTTATTTTTGGATATTAATGCTATGTAATTTGTAGATTGAAATATTCATTAGTATAGAACTTGGGCTATTTTAATGTATCTGCACTGAGTTGAAGACATATTTTACTTGAATACTTGGGCACAAGAAAACAGACTGTCATGTCATCTACCATTGTTACACTAGTGCATCTTTCTCAGCTCACAACTGTGGTTTTGTGTTTCCTTCTAGACCTGCTGGCAGAAAAGGAGAAATGCTGTACGAGGTTTATGAATAGGTCAGTTTGGTATACAAACTGAAGCCCTAAGTGGACTGCTACTACTATTGCAGGGTTAGTGCTGAAAGACGGTGAGGAGGGAAAATTATCCCAATGAATAGAGGTTACAAGTTGTATGTGGTCATCCACTTTATTAGAAAAGTGGCCTGAGTTTAGAATTTAAAACATCTCATGGGAAATATGTAAGGGCTTGGTTGATTGTTCACGGGCCTGGAAAGAGAAAGTTTGAAAGATTAGAGACAACAAGCTCTGGGTAATAAGCTGTGAATGAACTGATAAGACTGGAATGTGAAGCTCTGTGTATTATATACTAGGGCCTCCTACATTGCATTGTCTATGTAAGAAGAACTCAACGATCACATAGAAAGTGATTTGGCTATTAGTTCTTAGCCTGCCTCTGATATCAGCCATTCAATTGCTGGCATGATGGACTTGTGACCAGAATAGTCATAGTAGCAGGAAATGGCCCAACATAATGGGTTTTCACTCACCAATCCTAATTTAACTACTTTTGCTACCAAATTTCCAACATGCCAGCAACAGAGATCAAAGCTGAGGCCATAATTCAGCATTGTTTCCCAAGAAGACTCGAGATATTTTGTGGCAAATTGGTCTCATTAAACCACTTCCACTCGGGAGGGGGCAGCAGTTCAGTTTGACTTGAATGAAAATATATTAGTGTTATGAATGTATCTTTCCTGTCTACAGGGAAGACAAGTTCATAATGGTAATGTGTTTTGATTCAAGTCAAACTACTATTCCAGGGCTAATAGAGTATTTGAGTCATTAGTATAGAATCCTATCTAATATATCACACAGAGGTTATAGAGTACTTGAGTCATTAGTATAGAATCCTATCTAATATCATATCACACAGAGGTTATAGAGTACTTGAGTCATTAGTATAGAATCCTATCTAATATCACACAGAGGTTATAGAGTACTTGAGTCATTAGTATAGAATCCTATCTAATATCATATCACACAGAGAAGACACTTTACAGCAAAAGACAAGCAACCCTGGGCATCTGACTCTTGGCTACACTCATCCTATTTTATATATTAGGAAACAAAGCGTAGAAGTTGGAATAGTCCCTCTTAGTTGTACTTGCAATGACCCATGTGGGCACAAATGTGCTTTCCATCACCACAATTCTGAGCTCTAATGTTTATATGCATACAGAATACCAGGGAAAGAATATTTCTACCAGGGGACACAGCAAGAATCTCACTAAACTTTAAGCTATAGTTGCCATTTGGTCAACAAGAAGCTAGCAGGGAGTGGACTAATTATTCTGGCCAAAGCAAATAACACTAACCATCAGGAGGAAGCAAGGCTGCTGTGATAAAACGGGGGTAGGATGAAAAGTTCATAGTATGCAGTCAAGCTACTGTGGCATCATTTGGTATTGTCCTGGCCAATTTAGATATTAATTAACCAATGCAGCAGTCACAGCCTGAGAAAGACAAAGTACCAGGACTCACAGCCCTCAGGAATAAGGGCATGGATTACCCATCATGTAAGTAACCTAGGCCAGCAGAGGTGCTAATAGAGAAGAGAATTTCCCACAGCCATAGCACCCTGAACACACCAAATCTCATTTGATCTCAGAAGCTAAGCAGGGATGGGCCTAGTTAGTACTTGCATGGGAGAAGAGTATCTTGACTGGGCAGAAGAGAGATGATGAACATGTAAGGTGCAAGAGGCATTCTGCGATGGATGCTGTGGTGTCTGGCTCAGATCTTAATTCAGGATGGAACAATCACTACCCCAATCTCTGGGAGTACTGGCAGTTGATGTCACAGCTATATCCTTCCCAGACAATTGCTTTCAGACAAGGAGCAGGAAACAATAGTTTACTATTTTTTTTCAATCCAGAACATCTCTGACCGGCCAGGTTCAGAGCTATCACTGAGGCTCTGCTAAAGTCGCTTTTGTAACTGTAGCACAGTTCATCTTCTCTCTTTGCCCAACTCTCCTTCTTTCGCTTCTTTGTGGGTGTCCTCCTCCTGCCCCACCAGGAGTATTTTCCAGTAAAAAACTTGCATGCAAATCTTTAGCTTGGAGTCTATTTTCTAAAAAATAAACTTACTGCATCAGGCTTAAACTATAAATTGGTTTTGATTTATTGGTTTAAAACACTTTAAAAATATTACTCTATTACAAGTCTTATTTTACACAGAGAACTTCACAGTATGTAATGGGAAGATACTATGATTTTGTTACTTAATTTGTTTAACATTGACCTTTGAATGCAAGTGTGTGTGTGTGTGTGTGTGTGTGTGTGTGTGTGTGTAAATTAGCTTCCCATGCTCAGTAATTCAGCTAAGAAATTACAGGGGAATTGCAGTAGGTGTTTGTATGAACTCCAGAGGATTATATATTTTGCCTCAGAAGATGGCTAAAGGACACTGAAGATAACTGCAAAGCACCAAACGGCCATAAATCAGACATAAAAACAACACGGTATAAAAAATTACTTTATTTACAGTGGGTCCCCCAGATGTTAAAGAAAAGCTAGTTTATATGCCATAGCATCAACTGCAATTATTCAATTTTCTCTCTTTAAGATACTTGACATTTTACTTTAAAAAAGCGAAATTCTGATTATGCTTCATTCTGTTATCACTTGATTCATTCATCCAATACTCATTACATGGTGAATATTCCTTCTGATTTAAGGCATGAAGCCTCATGTTAATCTCCAAAATGTAAATCTTTCCTTAAAATACACGAGAACTTGTAACGCAAAGTGTAGTCTGTGCATCTGCACTAACAGCAGCACTTAGTAGCTTGCAGACATGCGAAATTCCCACTGTAGACCTCTAAAAACAGAATCTGCATTTTAGCAAGACTACCCCAAAATATTATATACACATTAAAGTTTGTTTGAGAATTACTGCATTAGAGAAAAATTAATTCTAGAGCTTTATCAGAACAAAGTTTTCTAATTTCACTCGAAAAACAAATTTCACTTGAATGAAATTAGAGGTTCTACTGCAAAAATCCAGGCTGATCACCAGCTAGGACATCTGCATGGCTACTTACTCTCAAAGGCTTAGGGGAAATATTACTTCAACTGGGAGGTGTGCACTTTTCCCTAAACAAAAATAAGGCCTCTTCTCTCTGCACTGGATATTTCTAATGACTCCACATTTTCCTTATCACAGAACACAGCACACAAGAAAAGGTGTCTGTCTTTCCTGTGTAATGGACAGGTTTTGAATCGTGGGCCCAGAAGGATTGTCTGGTAAGTTCCCCTTTTTATTTCCACCTGCATGTTGCCGCAGTAGCTGTGGTGATACTAATTTGTGCCCTTTTCTCTGTCCATAGACGACTGGTCGAATGGCAAGCATCTTACTCAAATAGAGTCATAAGGTCTCTTCTCTGGGAATTTTAGCCCTTGGAAATTATGTGGGCACCTGGACTATCACATATACACTGGGGAGCTGTATGTGGTAGCCATTTTCTGCTACAAGATCTAAGAAACAGAAGTTAGTTTGCAATGAAAGATTAATAATACAACAGGTACTCACAAAGAGGAGAAGTAAGGAAAATGGAAAACAATTTGAGTTTTCTAATATCAATGTAGGCCTTTGTTTCATTCTAAGGTTGCATCCTCCTCTTGAAACCTATGCAGAATCCCATTTTATTACCAAATTTTTCTTTCTCTTGAGTAGAAATTGGGTATCTACCATTTGCAACCAAAACATTATTAATATACCTTAGAACATTAGGAGCTTTGTGAAAATAAGATCAATTTTATATGATTTGGGTTGCAATGACCCTTCTCCTTCTATCAGGCAGTATTGGACACATTACCCAAAGCTTGGATAGAGTATTCATTTTATACTGGACACAGTAGAACATTCAAGAGAAAAGCACCACTGTCATTTCAATAGACACCAGAAAGGTGTTTTTAAAATTTACATCTTGTTCCTGATATAAGTATTTGACATACAAGGAATAGAAAGAAATAATACCTGATTTAGTGATTCTATCTAAAACCTTCAGCAAGCAAAATAAATTCTTATGAAGCAGTAGAAGTATTTCCAATAAATTCAGGGCCATTTAAGAAAGTACCACAAAATAAAAGGATATAAGATTAAATATATAAAAACCCCAAATTCTCCTATAAAAATTAATAATTAATTATAAAAATGCAAAAAAGAAAAATCCCTTTAAAACAGCAACAAAAATCAATAAAGTATGCATGTACTAAAACAGAAATGGACAAGACATATGTTGAGAAAACTTTAAAAAATACAATAAAGAAAAATTAGATCTAGCCCATATTCATAAATAATAAACATGGTACACATTTAGTTTTCAAATCAACCTATATATGTACTACAATTTTAATCAAAGTTGTTCTGAAGATCTTTTATGGGACTTGCCAAGTTGATTCTATAATCAGTATGTCAGCTTAGCAAGACCAGCTTTGGAAATGAAAAAAGATGGGGACTTACTCTATCAAATGCCAAAATATCTTATAAATTTAGATAATTTAAAAAATCAAGTTTGAATGAAGTCTCTATCTCATATCTTTCTAAACTATAACTTCCACATTTACTGAACATTAAGGAAAAATATTGGCAGAATACAATAAAAAATGTTTATGATTTTAAGGCAAGGAAGGCCATCTTATGCTCCAAAAATGAAGCAAGATCTCTGAAGTAAAATATTTTAATTGACAAAAGTAAACTACTATATGGTAAATAACATTATCAGCAAATTTAACAACACAAAAACCCTTAAAATAATTAACATTAAGCCCCCAAATCCCACAAAAAGAAAAAAATTGCCAAAAGCTCCACACCCAACACGAGTTACAAACTAGAAATGCAAGTATTATTAATCTTCCTAATACAGGGAAACAAAAACAACAATAATAAAACACTAATTTTTATAATAACTAGCATATGTAAAGGTTTGGTGAAATTGATACCTTATATATACTCCTATCGGCGTGCAAAAGCCATTTTGGAGAAAAATGAGGCAGAATATTATTACGTTTTGTTTCCAAAAGCCCACTGGAAAATAAAAAACAGACACTAGGCTTCTATTAACAGGGAAAGTGGGCAATTGCTGAAGGTAATTCACTCAAGCCAATTATGACAAGCTAATTCACCAAATAGCCAAATTGCAAAAGTCAATTCATAGAAAAATCAATTTGGCAAATTTAAATTAAGACAAATATTTTTAAAGTTTACAATAATTTAAATTGCATGAAAAATTTAAACAAACATTTTGTTTTGGATAGTTGACACATTTTTTATTTTTATTTTCTTGACAGAATTATAAGGAATGTCCATTTGTGCTTTAGCAACTTGAAGCTTCAGTGAAAAGAATCAGAACACAGAGAAAACTTGCTGCTAGGACAAAAATGAAGGAAAGAATCATCCCAGGATGGTGATACTCGGGTTACAGGTGAGCGAGGGGCACAAAGAAGGGAAGCCAGAAGGGCATATATTTAGAACATGATCACCACCTTCTGAAAAGTGAAATATTTTTCATTTCTAAATAACTCAACTTAAATTTTGCAGAAATCTGCAAAAGCTGACAAAATTATCTTACGTCCTCAAATTTGTGTAAGTACTATAAGTAATTTTTAAATTATTAAATTTTATTGCATTGGAAATTGACAAATTATAACTGCATAAAGAATTATTGTATGATCCAGCAATTCCACAGTTGGGTGTACATTCAAAGGACATAAAATCATTATGTAAAGCGATATCTGCACCGCCATGTTCATTAAAGCATTGTTCAAATTACCTGAGTTATGGAATCAGCCTGTATCTGTCAACAGATGAATGGAGAAAGAAAATGTGCTATCTATACACAATGAAATACTATTTAGCCTTTAAAAAGAAGGAAATAAAATCATTGTTACAACATAAATAGTTAAAATGTAAAAAGTAAACATTGCAAAATGTTTATTTGACAAATTGATTAGTTGGCAAAATGCCTTTCAGTGAATTGGCTTTGGTAAAATGGCTAAACAGATTGTGGCATAGTCAATGAAACAATGCATTATAGTTTAAAAGAATGAGGTAGATCACACAATGTGATATGATACTTTAAATAAAGTAATTAGTAAATTAGTAAAAAGTGAATTAGTAAAAAGTAATTAATAAAATTAAATAAAAAATAAAATAAAAAGTAATTAGTAAAATTAGTAAAGTAATTAGTAAAAAGTAAAAACCACACAAAACAAAATGGCACATTTCTTTAGGTACAAAGAGTTAGGATACACTTTCAAATAATGATAGACTGTCTTTGGGAGAGGAGAGACTTTTGCCCCAAATCTTATAAGTAAAATTTAATATCTTTTTCAGATGATTAAAATTAAATTTACATTTATATGTAGCAGGAAATTTAATTTATATCTTCCCCTTATCTTGAGACTTTGCCAAAGGTCCCATGCTAAGACCATGACTGCTGAGGCCCCAAACACTCTAGAGCAAGGTGATAGACCACAACACTGACTCAGTGGTAATGTAACAGAACTTGTGGACTTTGGCTCATACTCAGCTGCAAGCTGTGCAGAGTTGAAAAAAAATCAAGGAAGCATTTAGGAGGGCAAGGTCAATAAGTAGGTATTCACTTTTTGGCCCAAAACTGGGCCAAAAGAGTGTTGGACACCCTCCCACTTCTTCTCTAGGAAATTGCCAAGTGCTTTCCCTGCACATAAATTAAGCCAGGTAGGGGTGACGTGACTTGGAATCTTCTGCTGCCACAGGAGTATGATGGTCCAGAGAATTTGAGAATGTAAACAGTGTCCCTTGGTCTTGCAGAAGTACCAATTACTACTGTGCTTGACTGAAGAATCAATAAAAATTGTTGAGGGATGCTGCTGTGATAAGCAGAATAATGACCTCCTCCCTGAAAAATGTCTATGTCATAATCCCCAGAACTTAAATGACAAAAGGGAAATCAAAGATATGATTAAGTTAAGAATCTTGAATGGTTAGATTGTCCTGGAATAATCACAAGGGACTTTATAAGAAAGAGACGGGAGTATCAGGATGAGAGAAGTAAATATGACAATGGAAGCAAAGGTTGGAGTGATGTGCTTTGAAAGTGGAGGAAAGGGCCACAAGACCAGGGGTGCACGCCACCTCTAGGGGCTGGAAAAGAAAACGGATTTTCCACGAGAGACTCCAGAACAAGTGTAGCCCTATTAACATCCCAATTTCAGTCCCATAAAATTAATTCTGAATGTCTGACTTCCAGAACTCTAAGATAAGTAATTTCCTCTATTTTAAGCAAAAAAAAAAAAATGTGTAGTAATTTATCATAGCAACAGCAGGAATACAGCTACTGACCTCAGGTGACAATCGGTGTTGAATAAGTCATGTATATGTCCTTCCATCCTTCCTTCCTGTGTCATCTGATCCTGGATGAAATAGAAACAAAAGCAGGTTAAAAGACAGGGGGGAAAGAAAAATGACCATAACAGCGAAGAAAATAAAGAAGAAAAGAGCCCAAAGGGAAGAAAACAGACCACACCCATTTTCCCACTTCAGATTCTCCAGTCTGTGTCAGTCTTGAGCTGAGGAACAGCAGAGAACTTTTGAATTAAGATACAGAACATTTGATTTAGATCAACCTGGAATTTTCTAGACCTAAAAAATAAATATTCCTTTAATGCCTGAAAATGATCATAAAGCTGTGAGTTTAAGATATTTTCCTTAAGAGCTGGGAAAGAAGAGCAGGTTGGAAGAGAAAAGGTGAGAGATAAAGATAGTTATTCCCCTATTGTTCCTAGAATAGCAAGTCCCTTCAATATTACACACACATACACTCCGTCACCCTGAAAACATATAGTCTGTTGGGGAATGACTTTGGAGATAAGGGATAAAAGATTTTCTCATTTTACTTTATAGAAGCATCTGTTTTCAAAACAGTTAAAATGTATGTTCTACTTTTAACAATTCCAATAGTCAAAGAAATATCTGTCTAGCTTATTTAGTTACAGATGTAGATATTGGTGACATGAAGGGACTTTGTTTTCCATCTCAATCGCCATGAGGCAGAGCAACCCACACATCTAGATGAGGTGAGAGGTGAGAAAGATCAATAATTCAGTTAAGCAGGAAATGAGTGATTTAGTTCTTCAAATAATTGTAGCATCCCTTATATTTTGCCTGGTAATATTGGCATGGGTATCAGTGGAAGTGATATGTTTCCCATCACTCCCAAATTTCAGATGGAAAATTTGTGTGTATGTGTGTGTGTGTGTGCGCGCAAAGTCATTTTATTCTCTTCCTCTGACGTTCCTTTGGACTTCTTCAGAATGTGCCAGATGTCCACAGATTATTCAGTTATCTAAATGATTAAATTATGTAGTATAGACTACCAGAGAATAAGACAATTGGAGTAAATCATTAATTCTATGGTGTCAAGAGTAATTGCAAAAGAAGGAGACAGTGGAGGTTCGCAGAGGCTGCACTTCTGGGGACAGGGGAATAGTATGTGCAAAGAAATGGAAGTGGAATGTTACAGCTGATAATGTGACATGTGCTTATTGTAAGGTGAAGAAAGCAGCTGGGCTGACTCCTTAATGCTAGCCTCCACACCACAGGATAAACGTTCTCTTCCAGATAAGTCATTGAGTTAACATGAATACTTTTTATCCATCTTTGCATTCACATTCACGTTTATAGACTTCACGCTTGGTTTGTTTGCTTTCACAAAAGATAAATTTCTCATGTTTGAAAAATTCTAAGTTATTGGGCTGGGACACTCATATATCCTCATAATGTTAATTGTTCCAGAAACTATTATTTCTGGTCACTGCCTGACTTCTGTGTTTCTTGGCTGTTACAGAGAGGCTAAAGTGTCAACCATCATTCTGTTAGAATTGCTTAGTAATGCTTGCGTTGAATTGGCTACATAGGAAGCTTAGCTCAATGCCTATGTGCTGGTGTGAAATGTGTTGCTTCTGTGATATGCCTAGTATCTGCCAGCTAAAAGAACAGAAGACCTTCAGGGAACTAGAGTTTCTGAGAGCAAGGTGAGAGGATTATGCATGAAGACACTGGGCTGTCATCCATGATGCGGGTGGGTGAGAATTCTCTCTACGTTATTATAAAATATAGCAACGGTAAATATAGAACAAGTTGTCATCTTACAAAATAAGTTTTTGCTACAAATTTTCCCCCAAGTTTTTTTCTATTTGAAGACCTTGCATGACTTGCTTCTCTTATAGCTGCTTTGGGCCCTAGAGTCTACATTTCATCCTCAGTGCCATGATCTCTGCCACTTAGCAGCATTTCGTTTTCACAATTTAGTGACATGTCTGTCAAAAGCAATGGACTAAATTGCTCAGCAGTTAATTTATATTAATTTTGAGAAATGCATTTCAGTTTTTGATTATGTTAATAAGACTTTTACTTTGAGGGTAGAATATTCTAGCAAATGAAAAAGATGTTACAATCTTTAGCCAAAAAGAAACCACATATTTTGCAAAGGAACAGAAAGGATTTTGAAAGAGCCCCAGCGTCTAAAAATCTTTTTAATTGAAATTCTTTTAAGTGTGGCTCATAGTTTAATGGGCCTTATATGGCAACATTGCTCCCAGATAATGGCCATTCCTAAATATCATGACATTAAAGCATAGAATAAAGAATGTTCTATGACAACTTTACAATGTATTGCATACACAAATTGAGGTAATGATAGCTAGGTGTTTTGTGCTAATGGAGTCATTATATTGATCCATGGTGAGACAGAGATACCAGCTCTCCCTTTGCTCAGTATTATAAACTACAACTGTAATTGTTAACAAAAGAATATATGGAAAGAGAAAGTTGGTGAGAACCTTATTTACTTCCTATGTCAATATTTTCTTTTTTTAAATTTTATTATTATACTTTAAGTTTTAGGGTACATGTGCACAATGTGCAGGTTAGTTACATATGTATACATGTGACATGCTGGTGCGCTGCACCCACTAACTCGTCATCTAGCATTAGGTATATCTCCCAATGCTATCCCTCCCCACTCCCCCCACCCCACAACAGTCCCCAGAGTGTGATGTTCCCCTTCCTGTGTCCATGTGTTCTCATTGTTCAATTCCCACCTATGAGTGAGAATATGTGGTGTTTGGTTTTTTGTTCTTGCGATAGTGTACTGAGAATGATGATTTCCAATTTCATCCATGTCCCTACAAAGAACATGAACTCATCATTTTTTATGGCTGCATAGTATTCCATGGTGTATATGTGCCACATTTTCTTAATCCAGTCTATCATTGTTGGACATTTGAGTTGGTTCCAAGTCTTTGCTATTGTGAATAGTGCCGCAATAAACATACGTGTGCATGTGTCTTTATAGCAGCATGATTTATAGTCCTTTGGGTATATACCCAGTAATGGGATGGCTGGGTCAAATGGTATTTCTAGTTCTAGGTCCCTGAGGAATCACCACACTGACTTCCACAATGGTTGAACTAGTTTACAGTCCTACCAACAGTGTAAAAGTGTTCCTATTTCTCCACTTCCTCTCCAGCACCTGTTGTTTCCTGACTTTTTAATGATTGCCATTCTAACTGGTGTGAGATGGTATCTCATAGTGGTTTTGATTTGTATTTCTCTGATGGCCAGTGATGATGAGCATTTTTTCATGTGTTTTTTGGCTGCATAAATGTCTTCTTTTGAGAAGTGTCTGTTCATGTCCTTTGCCCACTTTTTGATGGGGTTGTTTGTTTTTTTCTTGTAAATTTGTTGGATTTCATTGTAGATTCTGGATATTAGCCCTTTGTCAGATGAGTAGGTTGCGAAAATCTTCTCCCATTTTGTGGGTTGCCTGTTCACTCTGATGGTAGTTTCTTTTGCTGTGCAGAAGCTCTTTAGTTTAATTAGATCCCATTTGTCAATTTTGGCTTTGGTTGCCATTGCTTTTGGTGTTTTAGACATGAAGTCCTTGCCCGTGCCTATGTCCTGAATGGTAATGCCTAGGTTTTCTTCTAGAGTTTTTATGGTTTTAGGTCTAACGTTTAAGTCTTTAATCCATCTTGAATTGATTTTTGTATAAAGTGTAAGGAAGTGATCCAGTTTCAGCTTTCTACATATGGCTAGCCAGTTTTCCCAGCACCATTTATTAAATAGGGAATCCTTTCCCCATTGCTTCTTTTTCTCAGGTTTGTCAAAGATCAGATAGTTGTAGATATGCGGCGTTATTTCTGAGGGCTCTGTTCTGTTCCACTGGTCTATATCTCTGTTTTGGTAACAGTACCATGCTGTTTTGGTTACTGTAGCCTTGTAGTATAGTTTGAAGTCAGATAGCGTGATGCCTCCAGCTTTGTTCTTTTGGCTTAGGACTGACTTGGTGATGCAGGCTCTTTTTTGGTTCCATATGAACTTTAAAGTAGTTTTTTCCAATTCTGTGAAGAAAGTCATTGGTAGCTTGATGGGGATGGCATTGAATCTATAAATTACCTTGGGCACTATGGCCATTTTCACGATATTGATTCTTCCTTCCCATGAGCATGGAATGTTCTTCCATTTGTTTGTATCCTCTTTAATTTCATTGAGCAGTGGTTTGTAGTTCTCCTTGAAGAGGTCCTTCACGTCCCTTGTAAGGTGGATTCCTAGGTATTTTATTCTCTTTGAAGCAATTGTGAATGGGAGTTCACTCATGATTTGGCTCTCTGTTTGTCTGTTATACTCAACTGTGTCATAAATATTCAGCATCAGAATAGGTGTGTTTTTGTGATTTTAAATATGAGAGACTCAGAGTTCAAATTCAGGCTTGCCTTATAAACTTTCAGACCCTCAATTTTCTCACCGACACAAATTAAGATTACAGTACCCATCTTTCTGTTCCTATCTTTCTGCATTACTGTGAGAAAAACATATTTACATGACTTTGAAATGACATCAACAAGGGACAAGGTGGCAGAGTAGGAAATAGCAGTATTCATCCCCCCAACCCCCTCAACAAAAGCAAAAAAAAAAAATTTAAAACCAAACAAACAACAACAAATGGAGAATATACACACAGAAAGAAATACTGGTGAGATCGACATCCCTGAAATGCCAGTAAATGTCTAAGAACAAAGAAGAAAGGCAGAGGCTGTAGGTATCAGCCATGTGGCTGGAACCACCTTGGTTTCCAGTGGCCAGCTCTGTTGAGAACACTGGTTCCTTTTGTAACTGAGGTAACAAACATCCATTTCCACCAGGAAACTCTAGAGAGGAAGAGTTGGGTACACAACTCTAACCCCATAAAAAGCAGCCATTGTTGAGCTGCTTTGGGAAAAGAAATGCCACCTCTCCAAATCTTCTGTATGCCCCAACTCCAAAGCTATGGTTATATCCAAAGTGCCCATACTCCAGCCCTGTGCTCTGTGGTTGCACTTTAACTGCTTACATCTCAGAAGCTAGAGCACTGTCATAGCAAACTAGTTTGCACTCCAAGCCCCAGAGCCAAAATCTCTCTGAGCATGCCTGCATTCTGGACACCAGCTCAGCTGCCATAGAGAGCTTGGCTGAGGCCAGGCTCAGAGGCCACGCCCAGGGCCACTGTAACTTTGCACACAACTATGTTCCTATAATAGGCTCCCTGAATACTTCACAAGCATCTGTCCCTTGCATACTGTTACCAATGCAGCAGAAGGGTGCTAGTACTCCAGACACCAATGCCATTACTGTCCGAGATTCCAGAGCTATCATCTCTCCATGTGTGTTCATGCTTTAGGCTTCAGCTCAGTGACAACTCAATGAGTGCTACTCATCAGACACCAGTGCCACTACTATTGTGAACAAACTCACAAGTTGGACCTACTGCCAAGAGGGATCCCCTCAGCCAAAAATTCCCTTTTGGAAGAAAAAGACACCTTATCTGCCATCACTAGAGACCCTTTAGACTCCAATTGGTTACACCCTGTGAAGGACTGGCCCACAACTAACCAGTGGCTGAAGTGGAGACTTGGCCTACAGCCAAGCAGAGGCTTAAGTGGAAACTTGTTATCACAGGAGTGAGGATGTGGCCTGTATGCTGCTTACTCTTGCCTAGAATTGGATGCACCTGCTTGTTTTTTTGTTTTGTTTTTTTTTTTTTTTTTGCTTATGTTTTAAACCTTGGTTACCCTAATTTCCTATTCTTCTGTCACACAATCATATAAAAATTAGTGATGAACTATTTTACATTCTTTGTGTATGTGTGCCTGTGTGTATTATAACCATTTTATTGTGGTGTGATTGGCATACAAAAAGCTGTACATGTTTAATGTACACAACGTGATGGGTTTGGAGATAACTATACACATATGAACCACCACCACTGTCAATGCTGTAAATGTATCCATTACCTCCAAAAGGTTTCTCCCAACCCCTTTGGGTTTTTTGCTGCTATCGCTCTGTTTTGGCTTTTCCTTTGGTGGTAAGAGTACTTAACAGAAGACCTACTATTTTATATTTTTATTACTAAGTATTTGAAATCCAGTGTATAGTTCAGTGTATCTATATAACACATCTCAATTCTAACCAGCCACATTTCAAGTGCCCAATAGCCATATGGCTAGTGGCTTCCATATCAGCTAGTGTAGCTTTAAAGAACTAACCAGGCAAACTAGGGAAGAGAAGTTATACAGACAGTGAGAAGATTCCAGTAAGTGCAAAGTATCAAGGTGAAGTAGAGAAACTTAAATAGCCTGTCTTACAGAGAGCACGGGTTTCAGGTAAAGTAGCACGATACAGAGCTAAAATCACATGGAATTTTAGAGTTCATGTTAATGCCATGTATTGTGTTCTTTATTCTACATGTTATGAGAAGTAATTGAAAATTTTACGTAGGGTATACAGGTACTGATTCAGATTTCAAAGGATTGCCCTTGCTGCTCTAGGAAGAATGGATTGAAGGGGCAAGAGTGGATATGAAGGAGAACATCCAGAAATTATAATTAGCACTTGCCATTGTCCAGGCAAGAGCAGGTGATAACAAGGACTGTGGAATGCAGTGAAGAGATTCAAGATATTTAGTAGATACAATTAATTAGACTTTTTTTTTAACCTTTGTAGACGGTCTGGCTCCATTGACTGGCTGGAGTGCAGTGGGTGATGACGGCCCACTGTACCTTGAACTCCTGGCTTAAGCAATCCTTTTGCCTCAGTTTTCCAAACTGCTGGGATTAGAGACGTGAGCCATCACACCTAGCCAGGCTTTTCCTTTTATCTTTTCTATTTGAGAAGGGAATTACCTAGAAGAGAGGTAAAAGCTATTTGCATTTGCTTTGTTTCCAGCTTTCCTGGAGAGGTAAATGTTATGCAAAGTCTGAGGGACAAAATTGGTCAACTCAGAGTTAGACAAGAGCCAATTAAATTATTTAGTTGGATAACTAGACATATATTTTGAGGACTGGATACATAGTAGTTGAGCTGAAATAAATGATCTGGTATGGTCTTTGAATTTCAGAGGACACCATTGATCCTTGCAGATTGTCAGGTTCCGGGGACGGCTCAGATTTATAGCTTCAGGGTTTGGTTGCCCGGCATATAACTGGCACTAAATAAATGTTTCTTGAATATGCTTTGTTATGACCCCCTTTCTTCCCATGATGAGGTGGTAGCTAAGACTGACAAGCCAGGCAAATAGACCTTCAGCAGTATTCAATTTGTGCACCTGTAATTTTTTCCCCATTTTCACATTGACCCTTGCCTTAATTAATGATTGCAAGGCCTGGGTGTGGCCCATGCACAAGCAGCCTTGAGTCCAAACATGGGTTAGTGAATTTTTATGGTTATTTCTCACTATTAAAGTCATAAGCACATTTAACAAATCACTTTGAACCTAAAAGGTAAAAGGTTCAGATTAATATTACTAAAATGTAGTTATAAATTGTATTATGTAAATAAGAGAACAAAATCCATTGCAATTAATTCTATCAGTAAAATTGGATCAATACAAGGTTTTCATACAATGCTTCCATGGCTTTTATCTTGGTGACACACTTACATCTAGGATTTTGTGAAGAAAAGCCTGTTTAGACTTGACTTTTCCATCCTTCTGAATTTTTTTTATGCAAGTCACAGCCACAGTTCCTTTCTTTTGCACGTAACAATAATAAAATATGACATCTTAAATATTCAGAAAAACCTACAAAGTTTCAAACTTTCAAAGCTGTCTAGAGCACCTGTACATCACAGTGATATGAAAATCATCCCTCCTCAACTGTAATTGTATTTTAATGTAAAATAATATCAGTGACTTAAATATGCCTAAATTTAGGAACTAATAAACCAACATTATTTTAAAGTGTCTATCATGCTGCACCTTGTACAATTCTAGAAGTGTTGAGAAATTAAATCCTTACCCTCAATAAACTGACACTATGGCTGAGAAAGCAAAGTGAATTAAAAAGAAAAACATTCATGATAACATATGTGTTATTAGCCAGGGAAATTGAGTAGCTTTGTATTTACTGGATAGGGAAAAGATTTAATGGGGATGTTTGGCTTGTTTTCTTTTGGCTGAAATAAGGAGTAAATTAGATAAGTGAAAGAGGGCTGAATTTTCCTCTTTGAGTGTTTTTACCATAAACATGATGGAACCAGAATGAAAAGCATTCTGTAGTGGGGAGGTGGTTCATAATAAGTCTGCTAACAGATTGGTTGTAACAGTACTCTCAGAGACTGTGTTGGTCCATTTTTCTTGCTATAAAAAATGCCTGAGGTAAGAGGTTTACTTGGTTCATGGTTCTGCAGGTTGTACAGCAAGCATGGCACCACCATCTGCTCAGTTTCTGGTGAGGGTCTCGGGAAGCTTACAATCATGGTGGGAGGTAAAGGGGGCAGCCCACATATCACATGGAGAGAGGAGGAGCAAGAGAGAGAAGGAAGAAGTCCCAGACCGTTTTAACCAACCAGATTTCTCATGAACTGGGCAAGAAATCACTCATCACCAAAGGAATGGTGCTAAACCATTCATGAGGGTTCCACCCCCATGATGGAATGCCTCCCACTATGGCCTACCTCCAACATTAGGAATCACATTTCAACACGAGATAGAGAGGGAACACACATCCAAACCATATCAGAGACATTTAATAACATAGTGTTACATGAATAAACTATAAAATGTGACAGTTATTTATATTTTTGTCACATTTTGACACTAGTTACTTTTTCTTACCTATAGAGTCATTTTGAAATTAAGGACAGATAGGTGATAAGCACTCTGCTAAGTGTTGTGGCCAAAAGAAAGGGATAAGAAATAACTCCTGTCCTCAAATCATTCTCTTCCAGTATCATTTTCTTATTTGGGGCCATCATCATTTTTCATTTGGACTTCCAAACTAAACTCCCTAATCTCTCTCCCTGACAATAAATCATCCACAGGCTTTCAAGGACAGTTTTCTTAAGTACAAATCTAATCAAGTTACTGTTCTGCTTAAAATTCTTCAATGAATTTGTGTATGTTGCATAAAATCTTGGTTCTTTAATATGACATAGACATTTCTTAACAGTTTTCATTTTTCCTGGCCATCTTGTTTATATTGAAGCCACACAAAACTATTTACTGTTTCCCAAATCTACCTTGTTCTTTCATGGCTCTGGTTCAAGGATAGTGACTTGAGCATATTTTCACTGTTATATACCATTTTGATAAGGTTTGGCTCTGTGTCCCCACCCAAATCTCATCTTGAATTGTGCTCCCTTAATTCCCATTTGTTGTGTGAGGGACCCAGTGGGAGATAATTGAATCATGGGGGTGGTTTCTCACATACTGTTCTCATGGTAGTGAATAAGTCTCACAAGATCTGATGGTTTTATAAGGTGAGAAACCCCTTTCACTTGGTTCCCATTCTGTCTCTTGCTGCCACCATGTAAGAAGTGCCTTTCACCTTCTGCCATGATTGTGAGGCCTCCCTAGCCACATGAGACTGTAAGTCCATTAAACCTCTTCCTTTTATAAAATGCCCAGTCTTGGGGATGTCTTTATCAGCAGTGTGAAAATGGATTAATGCAGTAAACTGATATCAGTAGAGTGGGGTGCTACTGAAAAGATACCCAAAAATGTGGAAGCAACTTTAAAACTGGGTAACAGGCAGGGGTTGGAAGAGTTTGGAGGGCTCAGAAGAAGACAGGAAAATGTGGGACACTTTGGAACTTCCTAGAGACTTGTTCAATGGCTTTGCCCAAAATGCTGATCATGATATGGACAATAAAGTCCAGGCTGAGGTGGTTTCAGATAGAAATGAGGAACTTGTTGGGAACTGAAGCAAAGGTGACTCTTGCTATGTTTTAGCAAAGAGACTGGTGGCATTTTGCCCCTGCCCTAGAGATTTGTGGAACTTTCAACTTGAGAGAGATGATTTAGGGGATCTGGTGGAAGAAATTTCTAAGCAGCAAAGTGTTGAATAAGTGACTTGGGTGCTGTTAAAGACGTTCAGTTTTATAAGGGAAGGAGAGCATACAAGTTTGGAAAATTTGCAGCCTGACAGTGCAATACAAAAGAAAATCCCATTTTATGAGGAGAAAGTCAAGCTGCCTGCAGAAATTTGCATAAGTAACGAGGAGCTGAATGTTAATCCCCAAGACAATGGGAGAAAATGACTCCAGGGCATGTCAGAGGTTTTCATGGCAGCCCCTCCCATCACAGGCTGAGAGGCCTAGGAGGAAAAAGTGGTTTCATGGCCCAGGACCAGGATTTCCAGGTTGTGTGCAGCCTAGGGACTTGGTGTCCTGTGTCCCAGCTGCTCGAGGCATGGCTGAAAGGAGCCAACACAGAGCTCTGGTCGTGGCTTCAGAGGGTGCAAGCCCCAAGCCTTGGCAGCTTCCACGAGGTGTTGAGCCTGTGAGTGCACAGAAGTCAAGAACTGAGGTTTGGAAACTTCTGCCTAGATTTCAGAACATGTATGGAAACGCCTGGATGCCCAGGCAGAAGTTTGCTACAGGGACAGAGCCTTCATGGAGAACCTCTGCTAGGGCAATGCAGAAGGAAAATATGGGGTCAGAGCCCCCACACAGAGTCCCTACTGGGACACCACCTAGTGGAGCTTTGAGAAGAGGGCCACCATCCTCCATATCCCAGAATGGTAGATCCATTGACAGCTTGCACCATTTCCTTGGAAAAGCCACAGAAACTCAATGCCAGCCCGTGAAAGCAGCCAGGAAGGAAGTTGTACTCTGAAAAGCCACAGAGGTGGAGCTGTCCAAGACCATGGGAACCAACCTCTTGCATCAGTATGACCTGGATGTTAGACAGAGTCAAAGGAGATCATTTTGGAGCTTTAAGATGTGACTGCCTCACTGGATTTTGAACTTGTGTGGGGCCTGTAGCCCCTTTGTTTTGGCCAATTTATCCCATTTGGAATGGCTGTATTTACCCAATGCCTGTACCCCATAATATCTAGGAAGTGACTAACTTGCTTTTGATTTTACAGGCTCACAGGCAGAAGGGACTTGGCCTTTCTCAGATGAGACTTTGGACTGTGGACTTCAGAGGTAATGCTGAAATGAGTTGACTTTGGGGGGACTGTTGGGATGGCATGATTGGTTATGAAATGTGATGACATGAGATTTTGGGAGGAGCCAGCTACCGCTCATAAGGTTTCACTCTCTGTCCCCACTCAAATCTCATCTTGAATTGTACTCCCATAATTCCCATGTGCTATGTGAGGGACGCAGTGAGAGATAATTGAATCATGGGGGCAGTTTCCCTCATACTGTTCTTGTGGTAGTGAATAAGTTTCATGAGATCTGATGGTTTTATCAGGGGAAACCCCTTTCATTGGCTCTCATTCTTTTTGTTACCACCACCATGTAAGAAGTGCCTTTCACCTTCCACCTTGATTGTGAGGTCTCCCTAGCCATGTAGAACTGTAACTCCATTAAAGTTCTTTCTTTTGTAAATTGCCTAGTCTTGGGTATGTTTTTATCAGCAGTGTGAAAATGGACTAATACATATTTTAAAATAATACATTTAACTCATCTCCTTACTTATTTTCTTTTGTTTTGGAGATGATGCTTGGACTGAAGCATCATAGGTTTAGATTTCAGACTGTGATTGCTAGTGTAGACATGCAGGGTGTGATATATGATGGTATAGGGCTTCAACTATTGAACTGAGAATTTGGTAGCAGTGTAGAGCTGATAAAGGTTAGATTTTCATTTTAAGTTGTTTGTTTCTAGCAATTTGCTTAAAAGAGTGTCTCAAGGCTGTAGTATCAATTGCACCAATGTTAGATTGCTGGTGCCTCCTACAACATTTAGGAATGTATTGCAGTAATACAGATGTAATATGATTATATCCTGTATTGGGGTAGGCTTAGAAAGAAAAGGTGAAAACAATCACATTTAAGGTAATTTAACTTGAAATCCGAACATAGAAAGTACACAAATAAAATTATTCAAATTTTTTAAAAATAACCAACAATTATAATAAAAATATAGTAATGTATGATTGTCCTATGGTGATAGTGTGATCTGAATGCCTCTACAAAAATTGGTTAAACTTCCAGAGATGACTGATTCCTGATGTATAGACCAGAGGTTCAAAACATAACAAACAAATATTCCTCTGTGAGATTCTCTCTTGTTGTGAAAACCTAATAAATATAATAGAACAAAGTTGTTTACTACTGAGCAAGTGATACATAATATTTCCATTCTTCAAGAAACTAAAAATTCGGAAAGAACACACATCTAAGGAACATTCTCTCTACCTATATGTCATTTTATTAGTTAGTGGTCAGAGCACTATGGGGCACTGTAGAAAGATATAGTTATGTATGCTACCTTGTTCTGGTATAGTTTTGCTAATAGCTGGGTAACTACATAAAATGGAAGTAGACAAATGGGAATGCTTTCCACTAATTTCTAAAGATTGGGGCTTCATAATAGTTCAACTAAGTAAAAATTTAAAGAGGATTAAGTACGATTTTGATACAACAAGAAACAGGTGGTTTTTCTTTTTCTCAGAGTGTCATTATAGTTATCTGCAGCTTAAATTTGGAGGTAAGTCAATCACTGTATGTTCCTAATCTTCCCGTTTCCTGCCCCCTCCCCCAATTTCCAGTATTTCTCAAATACATAATCCTATCCCCTAGTTAAGCATCAGTCTTTTCGATTTTATTTGTGAGTCTCTGGGAGCCAGTACATTGGCTTTGTGGTCTGGTATTTTTGACATAGAAGCTTCAGGTGAGGAGAGAGGTTTATACAGAAGGAGATAATTTGAGGGTATAAAGATAAAGATGTGAAGAAAGAAACGGTAGACATGAGGAAGTGTTTGATAAAAAAAATTCACACATGAAATGTCAAGGGGATTATGACATGTTTATCTGTAGTTGGCCTAGAGGCATCTCTTGAGAGTTTTTTTTTTTTTTTTTTTTCTTAATAACCTTTACTTCCTTTGACAAAAGTCCTATTACTATATTATAGAGTCCTGGTACTCCATCATACAAATGATGAACAGACAAAGTGGAAGGCAAATTTTTAGTAAATGACTCAGTATTCCATCAATCTCTATTAATATAGTGTCTACCACCTGAATAGATAGCAATGTCAAACCTGACCTTGTTGTCACAAGTGTGTTATGGTGCCAGCCACTTTGTAAATCACGAGCACAGGGTCATCAAATGAAGGCTTATGTTCTCTGGCTGAAGAGTTGTGTAGTCATACTATTTATCATAAAGATCCTTTTATTAGTTCACTTTCAAAAAATAAAATATAATCTGAGCATCTGATTTTTCCTTTCATGTGGCCTATCTCAAAAGAAAAAAACCTGAAATAATAGAGATTTCTCAATTATTAAGAATTTATATGAAATTATTAATCTGATAAATTTTACCCATATACATTTGACTTAACTTGCATTTATATTCAGTGAAGAGAATGGTTTACATACACAATACGCATCTCCATTAAATAAGTCTTTTATTAAATACTATGTAAAACAATCCTTAATTAATGCTTACTATGTGCTGCACTGTGCAAAAATTAACTGTAATTATTGCACTCCATTTTACAATTTAAGTAGGAACAGATTTCCATTGCAAATACTCAGCTTTCACACACAGGTGAATAGATGGCATACAGCAGATTTTACTGCTCATCAAAACTTGATAATCTTGTCAGCTGTGAGATCTTTTTGTATTGACATTTTGCTTCTGCAAAACGTTTTTCTGAATGGCAGTGAATTTCTATTTCCTGTTTGGGGTAACTCACTACTTACAGTTGTAGGGAGCTCAAAATTGACAATAAGAATTCTACTATAGAAATCAGATGATAATATAAATATCTTGTTTGATGTTCTGAATGTTTGCAATCAAAATTTTACATGTCTATCTGAATAGCTATAGAGGGAAGCAGGAAAACTAAATTACATGTTTAAAAGAGTATAAAAGGGAGCTATATATAGGAAGGATTGCTAGATGGGTTAACAAAATCAAATCTTTCTATCTTCTACAGGAATAGGAATTTTAGCTAGGCACATGGACATCAAGTTGAAGATTACTTTCTTGGACTGGAAGGAAGCAATATACGCTATTTCAGAGTTATGTGGTTTACGAGAAAAGGGGCAGGTTCTTCCTATTCTTTCCCTATTGTAATTTTGTTGGAGTATGGATGTAATGGTGGGGGTTAGAACAGCCATCTCAGACCTGAGATAAGACCTGCATGAGGAAGCTGGCAAAGCCATAAACTGGCAGGGCCTGTATTATTTGATGTCATGAAACAGATTGCTTCCACTTGGAAAGGGTTATATATTTGCCGTTTGCCTGAGCCACTGCTATTTTTTCATTTTTTGTAACAGCCACACCACACCCTAAAAAATACAACATCTAAATCATTTCAAGAAAATATCCAAATCTTAGTGAAAGAAAGATTTTTGGGGACCAAATTAGCCAAAGTTACTGTCTGACTTGAACATGTTAATAGTAGATCAGCGCCGTCCAACAGAACGTTCTGAGATGATATAAATGTTTTCCATTATCCAATTCAGCAGCTATTAGCCACGTATAGATATTGGACATGTATATATGATAAGTTATATTAGATTCTGCTATTGAGTTTTCCAAATTGTGCAAATTTGCCTCCCCATTTGCAGTTTATGAAATTTCCATTGTTCCTCCTGCACTCCAATTCTTAGTTAGTACTTTTAATTTTAGCCACTTTGGTAAGTGTGTTGTTTTATTTTAGTTTTAGCTTGTAAATTTCCCTTATCACTAATAGTCTTAGCATATTTTCTTATGTTTAATTGGCTGTTTGGGCGTCCTTTTTTAAAAATTGCTTGTTAACACCTCTTGTTCATTTTTCTACTGTTTTTCTTTTTCTCATTCCTTTACAGAATTAAAAATGAATTCTGAATATAATTCCCTTTGTCATTTATATGTGTTACAAACTTACTGTTCTAGTCTAAGACTTTTCTGTTTGGTCTCTTGATGGTGTCTTAATAAACAGAAATTGTTAATTTTATTGTAATCTAATTTATAAATTTCCCCTTTATTCATGTATCTTGCATTCTATTTAAGAAGACTGACCTTAACTTCAGCCCATAAATAAATTCTCCTGTATTATCTTCTAGTAACTTTTGTTTTGTCTATCATAATTTGATTGAAATAATCCAGATGTTACTTTTACGTACATGGTAAAAGACAGTATTCAAGTATTTTTTTCCCACATGTATATCCAGTCAGCCCTAGCACCAGGTATTAAAAAGACTGCTTCTACAAATTTGCTCTGCAATGCTATCTTGTTGAAACTCAAGTGTTCATAATATACCTGAGTCTAGACTCTTTTCTATCATTGTCTATTTTTATTGAGTTTTGTCTTCATGCTCTATCAGTAATTAAGAGCAATACTAAAATCATTCAGTATCTTTATAGACTGGCCTGGTTTGTCTTATACTTTTGTTAATTTTTGGAATTCTCATATTTCCTCTATATGTCTACCTTATATCATTATCTCTAGTAATTGTTTCTTCCCTACAGCTACCATATCATAGGCCAGCTTTTTAAAAGTTAGATTTACAAGTCATATGTTTATTTACTAATGTGTTAGATGTGTTTTCTAACATTTACAATTTCACTCATTATTGTTCATAACCTAAAACCTTTTTTCATATTATTGTAACATTTAGCCCACTTACATTTAATAAATAAATAACATATATTTAATTTATAACTACCACATTACAAAGGGCTATTTGACTCATCTGCCTATGATTCTTTACTTTCTATTTTCTTGCCTTATTTTTATTTAAGTGTTTTAAAAATTATTGTCATGATCTCAATTTGAAAGTTATGCATTCTTTTCCTATTCATTATTTACCGTAGTATTACTGCATGTCTCCTTAATTCATCAAATATAATGCTAAATTGTGATTTTGACATCTGTCCAGACGTTACATCATTCAAGTCTATCTTCTCTTCTTCCAACTTGCATGCCATTGTTGTCACATATACTAATTTTCTTTTAAATATACAAATCATTTTTTGCAGTAAACAGCCACTATTCTTTTAGACTTTCCAACATACGTATCCTTTTCTTTAGTATTTAATTTCTTTTTTTCCTCTGAGATTTGATTTAGAATCATTTTTCTTCTAATTCCAGAATATAGATTAGTCTATGTCTCTTAGTTTATATATAACACACACACATATAACTTTTAAATCTTACATAAAGTCCAGGCACTATCTAGACACTAGAAATACAACAGTGAATAAAACAAACAAAATTGCCACCTACATAAAGCTTACATTCTAATCAAGGGAGACATGTGCATAAGTCAAATATAAAATATATTTTATGAAGTATATCAGGTAAGGCAGTAGAGAATATTCATGAGGAGGGGATGGGTATTCTGATCTATGGACTTTGAAAGCATAGCATAGCCTAAGCATAATAAATACCAGAAAATCCATACCTAGATATGTCACTGTGAAACCAGATTATCAATGGCAAAGAGAAGCACTTAAAGGCAGATAGAGTAAAAAGCAAATAACTTGCAAAGGAATGACTGTAAGCCTGACAATAGACTTTTTTTTTCTTTTTTTTAAATTATACTTTAAGTTCTGGGGTACATGTGCAGAATGCGCAGGTTTGTTACATAGGTATACACGTGACATGGTGGTTTGCTGCACCCAACCCATCATCTACATTAGGTATTTCTCCTAATGCTATCCCTCCCCTAGTCCCCCATCCCCCAACAGGCCCCAGTGTGTGATGCTCCCTTCCCTGTGTCCATGTGTTCTCATTGTTCAACTCCCACTTATCAGTGAGAACATGTGGTGTTTGGTTTTCTGTTCTTGTTCAGTTTGCTGAGAATGATGGTTTCCAGCTTCATCCATGTCCCTGTAAAGGACATGAACTCATTCTTTTTATGGCTGCATAGTATTCCATGGTGTATATGTGCCACATTTTCTTGATCCAGTCTATCACTGATGGGCATTTGGGTTGGTTCCAAGTCTATGCTATTGTTAACAGTGCCACAATAAGCATACATGTGCATGTGTCTTTATAGTAGAATGAGTTATAATCCTTTGGGTATATACCCAGTAATGGGATTGCTGAGTCAAATCGTATTTCTAGTTCTAGATCCTTGAGGAGAAATCACACTGTCTTCCATAATGGTTGAGCTAATTTACACTCCCACCAACAGTGTAAAAGCGCTCCTATTTCTCCACATCCTCTACAGCTTTTTATGAGAAAAATGGAAACCAGAACACCTCAGAATAATATCTTTAAACTATTTTGGGAAAAAATTCTGTAAACTTAAAATTGTGGTCTCATGATTGCATACAATATTTTAAGGAGGGTGAAATAAGGGCTTCTATAAATGTGAAAATCTGAGAGAAATTACCACTAATAAATCTTCATTAAGAAGATTTTGAGAAATGTACTTCAGGAATCAAGAGACGCAAAAAGCAATGGTAAACAAAGAAATATGTAAGCATTTAAGTTAAATATAAATAAGAATGGTCTATCAAAAACAACTTTAAAAATCCACTTTGTGGAGTTAGAAAGGCCAACCCTGAAAAACAGTATTCATATTTTAAGGCAGCGGTGATGACTTAAAATCTTATAAGACTATAACACTCTTCCTTGGAAGAAGATATAAAATATTAACTTTACACTTTGTAAAATTCCATAGGAAATTACGAAGTGTAAACAACAGGATAGAAAAATAGAATTTGTAACTTTAAAACATGTGGTTTGAAAATATGTAATAACATAACAAAGAAACAATTTACAATCAAGAATAAGTGGAAAAAGGAGGGCAGAATTATAGAAAGTAGAAAGCTAACAAATTCATGATACTATTTTAAGTAAAAAAGCAGCAAACTAAAATTATATAAATTACAGGTTTGAGAGAAGACAATGGATGAAATTTGGGGGGACAGGAATATACAGACAATTACAACAATATGGGTAATGTTCTATTTCTTATATTTGATGGTGATTGATGGGAGGTTATTTTGTTATTTTTCCATATTTCCATAGTTATACACCAAAAATATAATACTTTAGGAATTTAAAAATTATATGAAGTGGCAATATCTATGATTCAAATTAGAGAAAAATACAACTTGTATGTTTTCTCCGTTTTTCCTCCTCACTTACATGTATTTAACATGAAAATTCCACTCACTGACATTTTAAGTTATTGCACCTGTATTCATATCTTTTGAAGGTACAGATCCTTTCCTTGTACTTTCTTTCTTATTTTGTCTGGCTCTGCCTGAAATGAACAGCTGGCATTTAAATCGACGGCAAATGTGCTTCACTCTACAAAGGCCAAAGATACCAGTCTTCATGATATCCAATAGCCTCTACTGTCCTGTCATCTGTCTTTTCCAAGTGGACATCAGTTAACCAAGACACACATATACAGTAAGGTCATTGATAATGTTTGTCATCAACTCAATTTATAATTTCAAATAAATGGAGTATGTCTTAAAAACTAAGCATTAATTTAAATAAATCAGATTTGCCTGTGAGCTTATAAAAATGAAGCAAAGATTCACACATTAAATTATGCGCTACTGAGCCATTACAATGCTGTCTAGATGTACTATTCTTCTAAATTGAACAAATCAGCTCATACTCTTTAGCCTAGCAAATTCGTTGTTAAAGATACTTCATTTTTAGTTCAAAAACCTGAAAACGAAAGCATATTTTTGCCTGAGGAAAATTTAATATTTAAACAGATTCAGCTTGAGTAAAATCCACATGAAACTGAGGGTTTACTCTTTAAAAAGCCATAGGTTTCCATGTAGAATTTTGGTAAGATACTGTGGTTAGCAATTATTATTATTATTATTATTATTATTATTATTATTATTATTATTATTTTAAGACGGAGTCTTACTCTGTCGCCCAGCTGGAGTGCAGTGTCGTGATCTGGGCTCACTGCAATATCCATCTCCCGGGTTCAAGCAATTCTCCTGCCTCAGCCTCCCAAGTAGCTAGGATTTCAGGCACACGCCCCCATGCCCAGCTAAGTTTTGTATTTTTAGCAGAGACAGGGCTTTGCCATGTTGGGCAGGCTGGTCTCAAACTCCGGACCTCAGGTGATCCACCCAGCTCTGCCTCCCAAAGTGCTGGGATTACAGGCGTAAGCCACCATGCCCGACCAGCAAACTTTTCTTACATATGAAAAAAACTACCAATTCACTTCTGGGCTTTCAGTGACAAGGAAAACTGAACAGATCAAGGTGGTTTAATAAAGATTCAAAACCAGATGCAAATATGATGAATTCACTCAGTGAGCTTTTTGGAAATATGCCAGATCTTAACTCCAAGAGGACACCAAGTTTGAATTAATTATTTTAGCTTGAATAAAGTTATTATGCAAAGATAAGTATCACAATAGCTATAAAGCTTGCTTCTTATAATTATTTCTGTATATTGGGTTCCTTTTTATTATAATGAAATATTTTAAGCACACTAAAAATGGAATACTACATGGATTCCCAAGTGCTTACCCTCTAGTTTAAGCAATACAACCTCATAAATATAACTAAGACCTCCTTTGTAGGATTTCTCAGTTCCATACTCTCCCCTTTACTCCCTAGAGGTGTAAATCCCGAATTTCATGGTTATCATTCTAGTGCATATCATATATTTTTATTAAATATGTTTACACCTCAAAATAATTTCATTTTGTATGTTCATAAATTTTATATGAAAGTATGATTCTGGGCCTAATTTTTATCTCAATATATTTTTAAGATTTATTTAGGTTGATGTAATTTTCTCTTTCATTTATTCACTATACATTCATTCTTTGCTTGATAGCTATTTTATATTTTCTCATTGTTACAAAAAATACACAATAAACATGCTTGCACATGTCTCCTTAATACTTAAAAATCAAAACAGAATGGAATGGAATAAGAGAGAAAAGAAAAGAAAATATCTGAATGTATCACATATAGTAAGGGTATTGTTTCACGGACCTTTTTTTTTTCCTTAAAGAAAAGTATATTTGTATGAGATTGTAGTACAAAATTTTTTTTTAACTGGGAATGGTGGTCAATTTTTTAAGCACTGCTTTAAAATATGTAACTAGGAATTGAATTCCTTGATAGTAGGGTACAGGCATCTTAAATGGATATTTCCACTTTCCTGTCTAGAATGTTGGTGCCAACTAAATCTCAAAAGCAGTGAGGGCGAAATCTTGTTTGCGTATAGTTTCACCAATGCTTCTGAGACACTGATTGCTTCTCACGGTTTTAACTTGCATTGCCCTCACTGGCAATGAAGTAGATTATCTGTTTTTCTTATTAGTCATTTTATTTCCCTTATCAGTGAACTGTCTATTTATAGTCTTTGCCACTATCTCTTATTTTCTTAACTATTTGCAGTCTGTCTTATTTTTGTATTGTGAGAGATCTTTATCATCTCAGACCTGTGTCCCTTTGATGGCCACCTTGTTCAAACACTTTTTTTATGTAGTCTGTGGTTTGCCTTTTAAATCATTTTGTGACACACAGAGATTTATTTTTCAATGTATTTGAATAGAGTACCACCATTTTGATTTTGATTTTTAAAACACATTATTACAAAATTATTGATTATCTTGCAGTCATGAAGTTATTCTTTTCTGTTTTGTTCCAACGTATTTTAATTGTTCACATTTAGTATTTTAATGCCAATAACATTTATCATTAGTATAAAATGGAAATCCAGTTTATTTTTTATCTTTGAATGAAAGTTTATCTTAGGACCATTTATTAGATAGGTCATTTTCCCCAATTACATTATCCCTAAAATATAATTATATTATGAAAAATAATTACAAAAATTGCTGCATCATTAATTGCAGTCTTCTGAACTTGTTCTTTGATAATTCTTTTCTATTTTTTCAATGGTTGCTCTTTCATATAATTTTAAGAATTAGCTTGTCTATGTAAAAAACTCCTTTGATTAATTTGATCTCAATTGCTTTGAATTTACAGATTCATTTTGATGTAATTGATTTCTTATATATAATAATTTTTATTGATATTTAAGAGTTATATTTTGGGGTACAGGTGATATTTTGATGACTGAATATGTGTAATGATAAAATCAGTGTAATTGGGATATCCATCACCTCAACCATTTATCTTTTCTTTGTGTTGGGAACATTGCAATTGTTTTTTTCTAGCCATTTTGAAATATACAATAAATTATTACTAAGCATAATTTCCCTACTGTACTCTTGAATGCTAGAATTTATTTTTTCTATCTAACTGTATATTTGTATGCCTTAACCAACTTCTCTTTATTCTCCTTCCCTTCTACTCTTCCGAAACTATGGTATCCACCACTGTACACTCTAGCTCCATTAGATCCACTTTCTTAGCTCACAAATGAGTGAGAACATGTGATATTTGCCTACCCATGCCTGGCTTATTTCACTTAACGTGATGACCTCCAGTTTCATCCATGTTGCTGCCAGTGGCAGGATTTCAATTTTTTTTTAACAGCTGAATCATATTCCGTTGTGCAATAAAAGTTTTATTTGAGAGTAGTTTTGGATTTACAGAAAATTTCAAAGACAGTACAGAGAATTCCATTTATTTGTGATATAGTTTGGCTGTGTCCCCTCCCAGATCTTATCTTGAATTGTAACTCCCACAATTCCCATTTGTTATGGGAGGAACCCAGTGGAAGGGAATTGGATTATGAGGGCGAGTCTTTCCTACGCTGTTCTTGTGATAGTGAGTAAATCTCAGGAGATCTGATGGTTTTAAAAAGAGGCGTTACCCCGCACAAGCTCACTCTTTGCCTGCCGCCATCCACGGAGGATGTGACTTGCTCCTCTTTGCCTTCTGCCATGATTGTGAGGCCTCCCGGGACAGGTGGAACTGTTAAGTCCAATAAATCTCTTTCTTTTGTAAATTGCCAGTCTCGGGTATGTCTTTATCAGCAGCATGAAAGTGGAAGAATACAATTTAACACCCAGTTTCCCCTGTTATTAACAGATTACATTAGAATGTACATTTGTCAAAAATAATGAACCAATATTGACACATTATCTCCTGTAATATTTTATTCAGATTGCCTTAGTTTTTACCTAATCTCCTTTGTTTTTTATTCTAGCATCTCATTCAGAATTAGTATTCTATTTATTAGTCATGTCTCCTTAGCCTCTTCTTGGTGTAACTTTTTCTCAGACTTTCCCTGTTGAAGTTTTGAGAACTTTGAGGAGAACTGGTATTTGGTAGAATGGGTATTTTGTAAAATGGCTTTCATTTTAGATTTGTCAGATGTTTTTCTCAGGCATAGACTAGAGGAGTGAGTTTTGGGGCAGAAGACCACAGAGCTAAAGCTAAAGACATTCTTATTACATCATGCCAATACTCAATATTATCAACCTGACTTATTTTTTACCTGATCTCCTCACTGAAGTATTTTCTGTCAGATTTTTTTTTTCTTTTTTTTTTTACGGCAAAGTTCCTCTTCCTCCCGACCCACCTTGCATACTGTATTCTTTAGAAAGAAGTCACTCTGTGCAGCCCAAATTAAGGAAAGGGTAGTAAGGACAGAAAATCTACTCAATTTATTTGACATTTTTCTGCATTGAAGACTTTTCTGTTCTGCTTTATTCATTTATTTATTCATTTATTTATGTCATGGACTCATGGATATTTACTTTACATTTTGATTATAATTCATCACTACTTACTTTATCTTCTTGCTCAAATTTTTTCAATTTTAGCCATTGGAAGCTTTTTTCCATTGGCTCTTTTGTTTCTTTGACATACCCCATCACTGTGTGTGTGTGTGCTTGTGTGTGTGTGTGTGTGTGTGTGTGTGGTGTGTGGAAGGAAGGGCGACTACTTTCTTACTTTATGACACTACACAATGCTGTAGGCTCCTCAAGTATATTACCTGCCCTAGTCCTAGAACCAGCCTTTTTCTCAAGGAGCCCTGGTTCTTTTCATTGGATAATGTGTTCCGTGTGCTTAGTGCAACTGAAGTCTTTGCTTCTCATCCCTCCACTGGTAGAACAAGGAAATACCTGTATATATACTTACCTGTGTTACCTATCTATAAATATTTATCTGTTTAGTCACCTGTATCTATATGAATGTAAACCTGAGTTTCTATTGATCCCTTCAATGCTAATCCATGCCACATGGATCATTCTAGCTTCTTCTCCTTTCTTATCTGTAAACTCCCATGACACCAATGATAGAAACCTAGCTTTCATCATTAACCACCCATTATTTGTTTTATTACAGTATATATGTATAGTATAGAATTATTAGAGTTATTAGAATTAGAATTAGAATTATTAAGTGAACCCCATGGGACACAACTTTATCAACTAGTGTACAGTGTTTGTATACTGCTACTTTTACCTTCTTTCTTAGAGACTTCACTCATTTTCAAAATTACTTAGGTCAGCACCTTTTTACCCCATCCCCTTCAGTGACGTTGTTTCATATGTTTGTAATATATTTAAATTCTCTTGTAATTGTCTACATTCCATTTTAGGGTATCCCCATATCCTAAATGCTTGTTTAAAACATTGAATGAATTGAAGTTCACTCTTTGTTATGGGAAGTGTTTTGGGTTTTGACAATGCAAAATGTCACTTAGCATTACCTTTCAGTATCATAGATAGCATAGCATTTCTGTCATTACAATACTATACAGACGTTTCACCACTTTAACAATTCTCTCATATTTCACTAATTCAAACAGAAAACCACAAACATGTATAAACACGTACACATACACACACACATCCCTGGTAAACACTGGTATCATTCCTTTTATCACTGAATAGTATCCCAATGTACAAATGTAAAACATTTTGTTTATATATTATACTATTTAAAGGATATCTTGGCTGCTCCATTTTTTCATGATTATGAATAAAGCTTCTATAAAAACCCATATGCAGATTTTTGCATGGATATGTTTTCAAATAAGTTGGGTAAATACCTAGGAGTGCAATTGCTGAATTGCATATTAATACTCTGTTTAGCTTTGCAAGAAAGTGCCATACTCTCTTCCAAAGTGTCTGTACCATTTTGCATTCTCATCAGCAAAAATGAATGTTCCTGATGCTATGCATCCTTACTAGCAATTGATATTGTCAGGTTTCTGTGGATGTATGTCACTCTAATAAGTGTGAAGTGGTATCACATTGCCATTTTGATTTGTATTTCCCTAGTTACAAATGATGTTGAGCACATTTTCATATGCTTTTTTTTTATTGTATATCTTCTTTGGTGAGGTGTCCATTCAGATCTTTTGCGTATTTTTCAGTTAGGTTGTTGTTTTCTTATGGTTGAGTTTCAAGATCTTTTGTGTATTTTGGATACACGACTTTATAAAAAGATATGTGGTTTGCAAATATTTTCCTCGTAGTCTGTGATTTGACTTTTTATTCTTAAATAACTCATTTTAATTTTAAAATTCATTTTAAGGTATTAATAAGATAAATGTGATAACTACTTTTTATGCTATTGACTACCGTGTTCTCCATTTTAGCAAAGTGATGTTATTATTGGCAATGCATGCTAATACAGTGACAGCTGCTGTAATTTTTAAGTATCTTCCAGGTCTCTGGAAGACCTTTAATCAACTTAGTCTAGTATAATAGTGGCTAGCATTGGAAAACCTTGATAACAACCATAAATTCAAGCAACGTTTTCAGCACTTTTTTGTGTGTGCTAAGCACTTAGGATATATCAGTGATCAAAATAACATAGATATCATTCTCACAAAGTAGCAGTGGAATAGGGAAGGAAGATAGTAAATAAGTAGTCACAATGTGAACTAATGCAGATGCTCAGAGAAGGTGAGAAGCAGCTTTTATTTACCCCACACTATAGCTGTCAGCATCCAATGAAGTAAATAGAAACAAGAGGTAGAGAAAGAGCTGAGAAGCAAAATGAAAAACTAAGTCCACCTAGAGCTTAGGAAGACCAAGAGGGATAAAAGGACAAGGGACGGGGTAGTGTTATTGGTGTCCAAGATTATAGTCACCCGGGGGAAGTTTGATCTGTAGTGGAACAGTCTGGTGGCAGCTGGAACCATAGAAGAGATGCAAGTGCACACCAGTGATGTCACTAGAGGCAGGGAGAGAGAGGAGGAAGAAATACTCTAGCTTCTCTCTTATTCCAGGCTCCAGTCTTCTGTGAGACCTTTCTGCTCGCTGATCCCTGCCAAAGCCAGCAGACACAGTAGCTTAAGAGTCTGTAGGGGTGAGCCTCCTTGAAATGCAAAATGGAGCAGAAGCAGGGAGAATGAATGGGCCAAGCATTTGCCCCCATACTTAGTATTGTACAACTTAGTTTTTAAAGAGGTATAATTTTTAGTGATAATCAGTAGAAAAATAAAATTCTATAAACTTACCATTCTAATTTTATCCCTCTTCCATTATTTTCTCCTACATTCCCAAATTCTACTGGCCAAGTAAACTCTCTTCTAGCATAATGGCAAGAGGGAGAATGACCAGTGGTTATTTAACAGTTACTATTTGTCAGGCACTGGGTAAGATGCTTTATATGAACCAACACAGTTACTCTATGGAGTAACCTTAGATCTGAGTAAGTTGGTTTAGTTACATGCCAAGGTTCCATAGATGCTACGTGAAAAAGTTGAGAGCAAACTGGATGTGTCCGATTTCAGAGCCCAGGCTTTACATGATACATGCAGACCCTATATGATTCAGGAAGTGTGAGATTTAACCATTACTTCAAAGTCATACAAAATATACTCAAATTCTAATAACATCCTTTAAAAAAGAGAGACCAGGCGCAGTGGCTCACGCCTGTAATCACAGCACTTTGGGAGGCCGAGGCAGGCAGATCAGGAGATTGAGGTCAGGAGATGGAGACCATCCTGGCTAACACAGTGAAATCCCGTCTCTACTAAAAATACAAAAAATTAGCCAGGTGTGGTGGCACATGCCTATAGTCCCAGCTACTGGGGAGGCTGAGGCAGGAGAATCACTTGAACCCAGGAGCTGGAGGTTGCAGTGAGCCAAGATCATGCCACTGCACTCCAGCCTGGGCAACTAGACTTGGTCTCAAAAAAGAAAGAAAGAAAGGGAAAGTACAATGTAGAGCATCTGATTAAAATAAGTACATTAAAAAATTCAAACAATATTTTTGGAAGTATTTATGTTACTGTAGCCAGGGCTATTTTTGTTACCAGGTGCAGAGATCCTCATAGACTTGTTAAGGACAGAAAATGTCCTTGAACCACAGACACCATGGGAGTGATATATTCTCTTTGTCTTTTTTTCTGGACAACATGGTTTCACTTTAATTGATTTCTGGTTTGTGTGTATCTTCTCAATTGGCTTCTCCTACTGTCTCATAATTCCTAGACCTTATAAAAGTGCTGTGACATCTCTTGCTCCTTATTTTCTGGCAAACTCAGCACATATTCCTGAGATAGATATATTGTTATATCTTCACAGTTTTTCCAGGCCTTTGGTCCCTGGCCACCTAGAAATTGGCTGCATTTGTTTCATTTGCCCATTTCTGATCCCATAATCTCTGGAAAGATTTAGGGAGAAGTTAGAGATATAAGAGCCTGTGACAGAGAATATTTCTGCTGCTTCTTCATCAGTAATGGTAGAACAGAACTTATTAGAAGCAGGGAAGTTGCTGAGACAACTTTAAGTAATATAGGTTCAGCTTTTGCCAAGAAATTATTCTATTCCCTAAATGTAATGATATTTGAAGCTGGGAGCCATTTCAAATATATACCATATTTTGTATTATTGTATTTCGAATATATACCATATTATTGTGTATAACATATTTTGTATTATTCCCAATGGTATTCTTCACTGGGAACACGTTTCCCCGACATTTTCAGTATCTAGAGCTGTACTCCTTTCATTCCTTGGTTCACGGTCCCTTTCTCCATCTTCAGAGCCAGGAGCTTGGCATCTTCAAGTCTCTCTCCGCTTCTGTTATCA
The DNA here is from genome assembly GCF_000001405.40 of Homo sapiens. Lineage (NCBI taxonomy): Eukaryota > Metazoa > Chordata > Mammalia > Primates > Hominidae > Homo > Homo sapiens. The sequence goes on from NC_000007.14 coordinate 79,686,938, forward strand.
TGTGGTCTGTTCTCCATTCTATAGTCTAATCTGGCTTTGCTTCCCTTTTCTAAGGACACTTCTGATTGCATTTAGAGCCCTCCTATATTATCCGGGATAATCTCACTGTCTCCATACCCTTATTTTAATCAAATCTGGAAAGCTTTTCCCCCCCCCCCCCCATAGAAGGTAACATTCACATGTCCAGGGATTAGGAGCTTGATATCCTTGGGGGGCCATTATACAACCTGCCATGACTTTTTGTTTGGAGGGGGAGGGGAGGATAGAGCTTCACTCTTGTTGCACTGGCTAGAGTACAGTAGCGAGATCTCAGCACACTGAAACCTCTGCCTCCCGGGTTCAAGCGATTCTCCTGCCTCAGCCTCCCGAGTAGCTGAGATTACAGGCATGCACCACCACTCCCGGCTAATTTTGTATTTTCAGTAGAGATGGGTTTTCTCCATGTTGGTCAGACTGGTTTCGAACTCCGGACCTCAGGTGATCTGCCCGCCTTAGCCTCCCAAAGTGCTGGGATTACAGGCATGAGCCACCACGCCCGGCCCCTATGATGACTTTTGTGCCTGTGTGTGTGTGTGTGTGTGTGCGTGCACGCACGCGTGTATGTGTGTGCATGTGTGTGTGACTGTGGACTGTGAACTACATATGAAATGCAATGACAATAATACAAAATATGGTATGTATTAAAGAGACAGGGGCCGGGCACGGTGGCTCATGCCTGTAATCCCAGCGCTTTGGGAGGCTGAGGTGGATGGATCACCTGAGATCAGCAGTTTGAGACCAGCCTGACCAACATGGTGAAACTGCATCTCTACTAAAAATACAAAAATTAGCCAGGCATAGTGGTGCATGTCTGTAATCCCAGCTACTCGGGAGACTGAGGGAGAATCACTTGAACCAGAGATTCAGAGGCTGCAGTGAGCTGAGATTGCGCCACTTTACTCTAGCATGGGCGTGAGACTCTGTCTCAAAAATAAATAGAGAGAGAAAGAGCTACAGAGGGAACATCTTTAGTTTTTGGAAAATATCCAAGGTTTGTTCTTTTTTTTTCAAATTAGATTAAGGCCTTATAAAAGCTTCATATTGAACAAAATTCCCTGATGTATAATTAAGGGCTTGTCTTAGTCCATTTTGTGTTACTGTAACAGAATATCACAGACTGGGTAATTGAGAAAGAAAAAAATATATATTTTTTTACAGTGCTAAAGGCTAGGAAGTCCAAAGTCAGGGAGCCAACATCTGATGAAGGTCTTGCAAACCAGATGGATATTTATTCCAAGTTCCTAATTCGAATTAAGTTGATAAATTTCTAGGTTTGGGTTAGCCTTTGAGCTAAGGGATTTCAATGACCACTGCATTGCTTTGGGTGCACAATGGAGTTCTTCCTTCTATACTCTTTGCTTCATCTCCAGAATTCAAAATCTGTTTCTTATTCCAGGAAGACTGTCTACAGTCTGAAAAACATTTGCTGTGGAATGAAATGTCTATTACATTTTCATTCCTATTTCATCAAATTATTTTTCCCTCAGCAACTAGGCAACATCCCCTGAGCATGTGTGACCACTGGTTAGAGACAAATTACTGCAAGTGGTCACCTACTGGAAAACTGAAGGTTACCATAAAGGATCAGTGGGAAAGCTTGTGTATGGCATAATGTTAATTTATTTTATACATCACAGGATTCAGCTTCTGAGCAGTAATAGATTTTATTACTCTTATTATAATGCATATTTAGAAGCTGAAAGAGAAAAGCTGATGATGCCTACTAGTATTTTGTACTTGTTTAATATGTTGTAAAAGCTATGAATCTAAATTACATATAATGATGCTATTAATGTGTTGTCCATCATGAATATAGTTATACACCTGACTTTCAAAGTTGTTTTAGTAATCTGGATGGTGATTTTGCACTAACTTTGTACTATCTCTGGTCCGATAATGAATTCCTTTTGTGACCAATGGAGCATAGTTGTGGCATGGTGAATTAAGATTTTGCTACAGCCTGTCACTGATGCAAGAGCAAAGTTAGAGGTCACAAATAGAAATTGATAAAAAGATATGATTTTAATAACAAAAAATTACAACAAATGAAACAATTAATCACAGATGCAGGGGCAAAATCATGATACAGTGATTCCTATTATTCCTAGAGGACATTCAGAAATAATAGAAATTGTTGTTTTCCTTTTTTTGATAGATGTTGTTAATAATAATCGCTGCAATATTCAAACTTTTTCAACTATAAGAGCAAGGATTAACCCTGAGATGTTAAAATATAGGGATATTGAAGGCATAAATTAAAGTTTAAAAATGGAAATACTTTTATAAAAGAGTTGTTCAACAATTTTGGCTACATAAACTAGAGCGTTACAGAGTAATATATGGAATTTTTTTAAAATAGTAAATTAAGCAAACTGAAATACTCCATTATGAAAGCCTTGCTGGAAAAAAAAATAGTGGTGTTTGACTTGAATTTCAGCTTTTTTCCAATGGAATAAAATAGATCGTTCAGGAAGGTTTTTTAATGGAAAAGATAATTATATCTTAAAAGTAAGAGAACATGTTTGCAACTCAAAAGACCTAAGGCAGATGAAAAAGTAGAAGCTTAAATCTGACAAAATGGAAGATTAAGTAGAAGTTTAGAATGAAAGACATACTTCTCTTTTCATTACAGTTATTTTTCTTACTTTATGGTACCCAGACTTAATTGATACAAATGCCAGGTTTTGTTTGTTTGTTTGCTTTCCCTTCAACAAATGTAATATATGGCTATCACTGGTTGAAGAGTTTCATTGTTCTCTTTGTTGTACTATCACGCCCAGTGTAGCTTTACTTTACTCAGAGAAACCTCAACTGATTTTTCAGGAATGCTTAGTCGTGATAATACCCACACTAAATTTTAATTCACTTTTGAAAACTTTCTCAAATGATCTCATGACGTTTTCCCTAGTCATTTCTGGTAATTGTAGAAGAAGGCATCACAATTCAATTCTTACAATAGTGCCTGTTAGCATCTTCTGCTTTTGTGGATCTCAGCTTATCTATGACAAACTATGTTATTACAGAGTTGTAACATGACTGTCATTTAGCAAACCGCAGGGAGGAAACTTAAAATACATTTTTATAAAATATATTTAACTAAATTGTGTTGGTTGACATTACACATAGGGTAACAGCACAAATTTTTAGTGGTAAAATAGTCATGCAGGTATCACTTTTGCAATTACTAGTGTATCCACTTTCTACATAGGAGACAGATAATTGCTGAAATGAACTAGAAGGCTTGCCTTCATGACATCTTCATTATTTGGGCTTTATATTTAACTATTCAAGAGACAGCTTGAATTAGTAAATTGTATATTATTCTAGAGTAAAAGTCCTTATTCTTTAAGATAACTGTGTATATTCACTTTTTTGTTGCATCAACACTGATTTGCAATAAATACAGAAATGCAGTAGTTCTATGTATTTACAGGATGTTTCAGGAGACGTAGAGACCACAAATGTTCTGTGAGAGAAACACACAGGACTCCCACCTAGTCATCCTTAGAGTGCTGGTTATACTCCGCCTCTGTGGTATAGGATTATCGAGACATCCTGCCCCTCAAAGCTCATTTAGGCCATATTTGCCAGCATAGATATACAATCTCCTTTCAAATGCCTAGAAACCACACACAAAGTGCATTTCATTTAATTGATTCACAAATAATACATAATTTTCTTTTCTTCTCACCTGACCTGCATGCATGTAAAATTTTGAAGCAAATTGGCTATTAACAAATTGGAGTAATAAACATTGTGTAGTCAACAGTGTAGGGAAGGGATATTTCTAGACACCTGTGGGTGTGTGAGATTATTTCTTCAGATATTTTACATTGGTGATAACAGTAATAATAATAATAATCATAACAGTGATGTTTACTATTTTTGTTGAGTGTAATCTGCAGAGGACAGCATGATATTATACTCTTTTCCAAGAATTATCTCCTTTAATCACCATAGCAGTAGGAGATAGGTACTGTTTTCTCTATTCTACAAATAGAAAATGAAACACACACAGCTTGAGTGAATTTCCCCATGCTACCCAGCCAGAAAGTAGCACAGGTAGACCTTGAATCCTGAATCTGGATTCAGACAATGGACTGCAACTGGAGTATACTGAATGACAGTACTGTCATTTGTTTTTCAGGTTACACTGCCATATTTTCAAAGAATTGCTAATGTGTTTTAGATAATTTTTAAAGTGCAAAATACAAAATATGTCACATTTGCTGGCTAAGTGGACTGTCAGTCATAGGTGGACTTTGCAAGTACTGATAAGGAATGAGATTGCAGAGGCAATAAATGCAAATCCCAGGGACATCACACAAGATACAGTATGCAGTTGCATTTCCTTCTGCTTCTGTTTAAAAATTATTTTATGGTACCAAATACTGCAGGGATAACGAAGTCAAGATATGAAGACTGGCTGACTTCCTGGCAGATGTATCCTAAAGAAAAATTGAAACTGAGATGACAGTTGATGAAATATGCAACGTGTGATATATCGGTCTTACTCTAAATTCTAGAATTACTTTTTCCATTTATTTTGTCAGCATTCAGAGCTCTCAACAAACTCAAAACTTAACCTAGGACACTTAAAAAATAACAGAGTTGAAATATAAGAGTACACACACATGCTATCATGGGAACATCACAGCAAAGTTGCTGCTTAGACATTAGAAGTAGAACACCACACCAAAAAGGCCGAAGCTGGTAGTGAGATAACAGCTTAGAGGCTTCTCTCTTATTTACCAGACTGGGCTCCCAGCTTCTCCCTCCATTTCCTTTAAATGAACTGATATGGTTTGGCTGTGTCCCCACTCAAATCTCACCTTGAACTGTAATAATTCCATGTGTCAAGGGCAGGTGGAGATAACTGAATCATGGAGGTGGTTTCCTCCATACTGTTCTCATGATAGTGAATAAGTCTCAAGAGAGCTAATGGTTTTATAAATGCATTTTCCCCTGCACAAGCTCTCTTGCCTGCCACCATGTAACATATGACTTTGCTCCTCATTCACCTTCCACCATGATTGTGAGACCTCCCTAGCCGCGTGGAACTGTGAGTCAATTAAACCTCTTTCCTTTATAAATTACCCAGTCTCAGGTATATCCTTATTAGCAGTGTGAGAGCCATGACTAATACATGGACCACTGAGGCATTTGCCTGGGAGCTTAAAGTGACTCACAGCCTATTCTCTTACATATACTACTAGTTGCCACACTTGTACTCTCTCTGTCTCGTTTTCTCTCTCTCTCTCTCTCTCTCTCTCTCTCTGCCTGACTCTTCATTCTTGCCTCATGTGACTCAGGGACAGTGGGCTGCCCTCCCAGCTCATTGCACCCTGCCCAGAATCTGTAAGTAAAAATCTTTGAGCCTATTTCCTATTGTGGTGCTATATAACCAGTTTGTGTCTTCCCCCTGAAGAATCTAAGGCCAAGTTTTCCCCAGAATGCCAAAGAGAACACAAGGTTCAGGGACAAGGCAATGGTTATGGCATAAAGTGGGCATAGGTTAGACAAGAGCCACAAGACAATACAGTTGTCTTCCAATATAAACTATTTTCCTGTTGAGAGCCACCTTGTCATGGGTCAGACAATTAGGTATCAGTCTGCCCAGCAGGTAACAGAAGTATCCTGGGGAAGGCACATTGTATCCACCTATGTCCCACTCTTCTTGCTAGCCACTCCGGTGCTGGAACTCCAGTTTAGCTGGGGGCTCTTGAAACACACTATCACTACATTTCTCAGGTACAGTAGCTAAAACGTAGCGAATTGGGGCTGTGTTTCTATTTTTTCATCTACTTTCTCTTCTTCTACATCTTTTTATCTTTTTTCAGTTGTACTGTTCTATTTTTCTTCATCCCTTTTTTTACCTTCTTTTCTTTTGCTGCTAGACCATAGATTGCAGATACTGAGAACTAAATTTTGATGCAACTGAGAGACATACAGGAGCAGCTGAAATAGTTCTAGCTAGAGTTTAAATCAGAAAGAAAGAAGGTGTCTTAATAGTTTTGAAGGATCCTTTGTGGTTCTTTGAACTTGGGAAAGACCTATCAAGTTAACAGAATACAGGAAGAAAGGAGTATCAGAATTTTAAACTTGAATATCCCATTTATAATAGCCATGTATCTTTCTCATTGACTGTTTCCTCATCTGCAATTAATACTCCATAGCAATGTCATAATTACTAAATTGAGTGAGGTGTATCAGTTCTCTGATTCAGTTCATGCTTCTTTAAAAACAAATCATATTTCCCCTTGCCTTACCATTAAAACAAATCCAGAAGTTAGCAAGTTGGGAGGTTTAAATTTAAGTAGGTCTAATCATCTGTAATTGTTGTTATGAGAAGAAAATGTATGTTTCTTTTCTCTTAAAAAGTCACCTATACATATTTTAATAATTAGGACAATACATCCCTCAATTGATTTTGGTTATTTTTGTTTTGTAAGGAAGAGTCTTTCCAAAGGAGTTTCAAAATCTAGTTTCATTGCAGAATGGGGCAATTTTCACAACTTGTTGGATCCCACGCAATGTTGTAGCTTGGGTTATATTAATCTTTCCTTACCAGCAGGGATTTTCCCACCAGAACAGTGCGTGGTTTCTTTCCCACTATAAGGACTGGTTGATTATTGTTTTAGCTGCAACCAGAGCTGGAAATTTGGGCAGCAAAGTGTTTTATACACTTAGCCTGTCCCAATCAAGCAAGTGTGGTTAATTAGTTATTTCTCTATATCTGAAATATCTTCTATTAAGCTAAAGTAGTCCTAAATATTCTACAAACATGACTTAACATGTCTTGCATATTGCTTTTCAGACTTAGTAACCAGCAGATACATAAAAATTAAAACCTTTTGAATAACTCTAGGCATACAGTATTACAATAAATCATCCAATAGCTATTGAGGAACATCATATTGTTATGTTAGAGTTTACATATTGATATGGTTTTCCTCTGTGTCCCTACCCAAATCTCATCTGGAATTGTAAACCCCATAATACCCATGTTTTGAGGAAGGGACTTGGTGGAAGGTGATTGGATCATGGGGACAGTTTCCCCCATGCTGTTCTTGTGGTAGTGAGTGAGTTATCACAAAATCTGATGGCTTTATAAGTGTTTGACAGTTCCTCCTTCAGACTATCTCTCTCGCCTTCCACCTGGAAGGCCATGCCTGCTTCCCCTTCTGCCATGATTGTAAGTTTCCTGAGGCCTCTCCAGCCATGAAGAACTGTGAATCAATTAAACCTCTTTTTAAAATAAATTACCCAGTCCCAGTCAGTTCTTTATAGCAGTGTGAGAACAAACTGATACACATATCAACTTTAAATAATCATTCGGCTCATCTCTATAAGCTACAGTTCCATCTGCCAATGTTTGTTGCTATCTACTTATTTTAATTTATAGTTTTAATGGGATGAAATTAAAAAGTAGAATATTATGCAGACATTAAAATGGTTGTAATGGCCAGTAAGTAATGGCATGGAAAAAATCTTTGATTTAAAGTGGTAATGTAGAAAGAATACATTTTTATAAACGTACAGCATTTACTATGAAAGATGTATACACAGGTAAAAACCAAGAGAGAATTTTAAAATGCTAATATAAGTTTTTAATGCATGGCAATTTAATCTGTTGGTACCTTTCAAAATATATTTAGCATTTTCTTTAATGTGCTTTCTTTGCTTCAAAAATAAATATATTAAATTTGAGGAATTTCTTACATTTCTGTGTATTTGATCTGAAAATAGTGAATTTTGCTTGTAAACCTGTCTATAAATTAAGAGGGCATAGGCTTTGAATGACAGCCCAGAGGATTTCCATTGAGCTGGGTGCATGGATTTAAGGTAATATATTTTGAGTCCAGTATTTTTGTTGTCAGAACTTTTTAAACTTCTATTTGTTTACCAAGCGGGAGTCTGGATAACTGAGCTTTTAGGCAAATTGCATTCAATTTCTATTCTTAGATGTTTCTTGACATGATGATTAGAATAACAGCAATATAAAAATAAGACACATTAGGAAGTAATGACACAAATTCACTTGGGCTTATTAGGAGGGTCTCTCCGTAGAAGATTTTCCATGTATGTTTCCACATAAAGTCACATCTGAGGCACTGTGGATCAGGATTTCAACATATCTTCTTTGGGGACACAATTCAATCGATAATACTTTAGAAAGTAAAAGACGTAGTAAGAGGAAATTTTAAAAACACTTATATTTTGTTTACTGCAAAATAGAGATGAACCAAAAGTGAAGTGAGAGTTTGAGCATGTATGGTTTAGATTACAGCAGACAACACTCCCACCACCCTCATAAAGAAGTGCCTTCCCGTGCTAATAATATTATGATGGAGGAAGGGGGGAAACTACGTTCAAGGAAAAATGACACATTGTAGGAAGATCTGAGATGAGTGTAAAATGGTTTAGGTCATAGGCCAAGAAGGAAGACAGGAGGGGAAGAACTTTGTATGCCCCAAAGTATTAGACAGCCTGTGGGCGTAAGATCTTGTAGCCCACTGTTGTCCTAGTACTTTTCTCTGTGATGTTGGAATTTTCTAATTTTTGTCAGTATTGTTTCCAGGAGACAGAAAAGTGGCCAAAACTAATTTTTCTGATACCTATGTAAGTTGTCTTGGGATCAGTGTGGTTGTAAAACTTTGGCTTGGACTGGTCTTCCTGGCATTAATATTCCTGGTTTGCCAGGGTTTGCTAGGCCTATCCAAAGGGCATTAAGAGTATTCAGTAGAACTGTGATCCAGTAAACACAGTTCAGTGGAACTTCAATTGGTGTATCAGCTAAAAATAAATTATTATTTATAAGGATGTAAGTATTTTTAACATTTTCTATATAACATCTTATATTTCAACACTGGAGACATTGATTATGGTTATGAAGACTTTAATATGACTAAGAAGCATAAAAGTATCTGGTAGAATAGTTGAATGTCACAGGGTAAATAAAAAGGTGCAAATAGATCAGTAGGAAATTTCTCTTCTTATAAATTTGATTTAATGTTTTATAGATGATCAACTCTTAAGCTCTAATATTTTTGCCTATATTATTAAGAAGTAAAGAAAATGGTACTCTGCCATGCTAGAAAGAGTTTTAACATATAATGTGTGAATAATGTGGAGATTATTAAACATAGAATTTAATAAGAAAATATTTATTTGCCAAACTTAAAAGGCTATATAGCATTTTTAACTTAAAATAATGATTGTCACTTCTTTTTGTAGATCTTTTCTTTCTGTTATATCATCCCACAAAGACATATTCTTAGTATTAACAGTTAAAGACACTGAATCAAAAATATTTATTTTTTTCGAGCTTTTTATTTTATTTATTTATTTATTTATTTATTTATTTATTTATTTATTTATTTATTTATTTTGAGATGGAGTCTCGCTCTGTCTCCCTGGCTGGAGTGCAGTGGCGCGATCTCGGCTCACTGAAAGCTCCGCCTCCCGGGTTCACGCCATTCTCCTGCCTCAGCCTCCCGAGTAGCTGGGACTACAGGCGCCCGCCACCACGCCCGGCTAATTTTTTGTATTTTTAGTAGAGACGGGGTTTCACCATGTTAGCCAGGATGGTCTCGATCTCCTGACCTCGTGATCCTCCCACCTCGACCTCCCAAAGTGCTGGGTTAACAGGCGTGAGCCACCACGCCCGGCCCCAGCTTTTTATTTTTGAGAAAGAATTGCTCTGTCTTGCAGGGTAAAGTCTGGTGGTGTAATCATAGCTCACCATAACCCTAAACTCCTGGACTTGAGATCCTCCTGCCTCAGCCTCCTAAGTAGCTAGGACTACAGGAGTGTGCCACCATGCCTGGCTAATTTTAAAATGTTTTGCAGAGACAGAGTCTTGCTGTGTTGCCCAGGTTGTTCTCAAACTCCTTTGGTCAAGCAATCTTCCCGCCTCAGCCTCCTGAAGTACTGGGATTACAAGTGCAAGCCACTATGGTTGGCCCTTTCCAGCTTTATTGAGGTATAACTGGTATATGAAAAATTGCATATAACTAATGTATACAATTTGGTGAGTTTGGACACATATATATACAGTCGTGTTCCAGTCACAATAGTTGAGGTAATAAACATACCTATTACCTCCAAAAGTTTCCTTTTCTTCCTTTTTTGTGTTTTTTGGTTGTTGTTTTGTTTTGTGGCAAGAACATTTAGCATGAGATCTACCCTCTTAATAAAAAAACAGTGCTAGTTCAATTTATACAATACCGTATTGTTAACTATAGGCACTATGTGATACAGTAGATCTCTGGCATTTTCTCTTGTGTAGTGTGTCATTACATCAATTGAACAACTCCCCATATTTTCACCTAACTTCATCTCCTAGTGTCCACCATTCTGTTGTCTAACTTCTGTATATTTGGCTAGATGCCTCATGTAAGAGCAGCCATGAAATATGTCTTTCTTTGACTGACTGACTTTTAGCATAACTTCTTTCAGGTTTATCCATGTTCTTACAAATGATCACCTTAAATTAAAAAAAAAAATTGCTAAAACAACAATCACAGAAAAAGAAAGTTAATACATCAAATTACTGCCAAAATTATTTTAACATCACCCTTTCCAGAGGCAAAGCTTGTTCAGAATCATCCAGTGGGGAATATTTTCCCACAAAATTTAACTTGGAAAGATCCAGCCTAAAATAACTCTATTTTAAACGTTATTTCAACATATTTTAACGAAGCCCTATGAATTATGAAAATAGCCTTCTGATAATACTAATAATATGCCTGAATAAGACCTTGTAACTTGTTGCTTGCTAAACAACTTCTTTTCAGATGCTTCACAATTGATATTTGATATAGGTGAAGCAGAAATCATCTCGAGGAAATAGCACTGAACAGTAATGCCCTGAAACACAGCATTTGTTGTCTCCAAGCCACTGTTAAGGTCAGGACTGGAATAAAGAAAATCACAATGTATCATGAAATCTCAGGTTTGGTTCTACATAATTTTCGGCCTGCTTTTGAATTTTTTTTGTTTCAGCTAAGCTTTCTGGCCCCCAGATCTGCACCTGACCTTTACCACCTCCTCATCATCCACTCTGGTCTGCATCCTCTTGACCGCGTCTGAGTCTCCTTTGGGGCTGGATGTCTGCTTCAGCATTAGGAAATGGACACATCTATAGAATCTCTCATGGCAACACACCAAGTAATTTTCTGGGCAATTTTATACTTTTATAAGAATGAAAGATGTTTTGATTCCAAAACATTCTGCCCTGTTCTCTAATCATTTTAGTCTTTTAAAGCATATTGTCTTGGAATGGTTAAGATGTTTTGCTCATCAATTTCTTTGTAGCCCAACAATTTATAACAGTATTTCTAAATTTCCAGAAAAATGCTATTGTATTCTTTCTTTTCTGCAGTTCCTCACGATTGTCACAGAGCCTGTGTTAGGGAATTTAGTCAGAGATTGTCACACAGGATTTACTTTAGAATCACCTGGGAAACTTTCAAAAATTCCAGAGGCCTGGTATCACTCCCAGAAATATGATGTAATTGGTCAGCACAGACTTAGACATCAATAATTTTTAAAGATCCCAGGTGATTCTACCATGCAGACAGAGATGAGAAACACTGAATTAGATCATTTCCAGAAGCCACAGAATAAAATGTAAACTCTTCTTCCATTCTTTAGGTATTGTAAACTTCGTCCTTTCAACAAGTTATATTACTAAAAATCGACAAACTGAACTCACATGAATGTGTACTTACAGAGTTGTGGCTCCTGATTCTATTTAAGGTATGTTAAAGTAAAAGCAGTTAGAATATGGAATATTTTTTTCCCTTGACTATGCCAAAGAAATATTGGTGAGGAATGTTGTGGCTTATTTTTTGTTCTTTCTACATTTTATTTTGTAAAAATTTAAATATTTAATCATGCTCTTCAGTCCTTTACCCATTTTAAGTCTTTTAGTAAGGTTTTATAACTTTAAACATACAGATACTGCATATTATGTATTAGGTTTATTTTAACATTTAACAGAGATTTGTGACTGACTATTATGAGTATGAATATATAATAAATTATTACAAATTCTAATCAGTTACGCTGATGTGGAATATTTTCAAGTGTTGATCTTGTACCCAGTTATCTTATCCAATAATCTATACTTTCAGTGAGCTCTAATTGATTTCTTGTAAGATAATATTATAAAATGACAAATTTGTAACCCTTCCAAGTCACTGATTTCCAATATTTATATCTCCTTTTATTTTTAATTTTTCTTGTTCTTCAAAACTGTTTAAGACTTGGCGTACATTTTAAATAAATATGGTGATAATGAATGGAGAGATTATTGTTGGTAACTATTCATCTGTTCTCTCTTTTATTTTATTTATTTACTTTTAATTTCTTTCTTTCTTTCTTTCTTTTTTTTTTTTTAAGACAAAGTCTCACTCTTTTGCCCAGACTAGAGTGCGGTGGTGCACTCATAGCTTAATGCAACCTCCACCTTCTGTGCTTAACTGCTCCTCCCAAGCATGCGCCACCATACTCGGCTAATTCTTTCTTTCTTTCTTTCTTTTCTGCTCTTTCTTTCTTTCTCTCTTTCTTCTTTTCTTTTCTTTTCTTTTTTTTCTTTTCTTTTCTTTTTTTTCTTTTCTTTGGAAAGATGGGGTTTTGCCACATTGCCCAGGTTGGTCTCCAACTCCTGAGCCTGAACTCAAGTAATCCGCTCACCTCTGCCTCCCAAAGTGTTGAAGAGATTACAGTTGTGAGCCACTGAGCCTTGCCTGTTTCCTCTTTTAATCAATGACTTGATTTTTAAAATGAGAAAATTCAAAATTCTCCAAATATCTCATTTGCGTTAAGGGCAACTGACCTAAATTCCACTTTGAAGTTTCAAATTTTATTGTTCAAGAGTAATAATGACTGGTTCAACGATACAGGCCTCAGCCAATCATCATACAGCATTACCCTTAGGCAAAATGAAGGATATAAATTGAATATATGAACTAAGATGAGGCTAAGAGACATGGACAATGACTTGCTGGAGGATTTTGGAAATGAAGTTTCTTCCCTCTTAAAAGAGATCCACCAAAAGAGATAGGTTTCCTTCTTCCTGATGTAGGGGTCAGATGTCTGACATTATACTATAGCCACTTTTCCATCAGGAAAAAAAAAAAAAATTGAGGCTGGCAATGAAGCAAGCACAGAGTGAATTTGAATAAATTATATTGGACAGAATTACTGAAAAACAGAGATAGGGTGACTAGATCAAGCCAATCTTGAAGCCTGACTTCTATCTGGTCTTCCAGTTTTGTGAGCCAAAAATTTTTCTTAACATATAAGAAAGTTTATAAGGTAGAATGTCAAGGACAACAGAAGGTAAAAAGCCTAAAGTAATAGTCTTGTTTTTAGCAAAAATCTAGGCATTGATAAGGTTTAGAAATTTATAAAGGAGATCAAATAGGGGAATAGGTCTTAAGAATTTAGATATAATCATTCAAATAAAAAATTGCCTCACAATTCCAACTTTCAAGTTATCAGAAAAGAAATAATGACAAAAATCTAACTAATGAAAGGCAGGTCAGGAGGGGGAAAATAAAAACAATAAGCAGTAATAGAAAAATGCAAATTAACCTTCTTTGCACTTTTGTAAAATTAAATCAGCTTAAAACTCAGTAGCTTGAACAGAGTCTGAAGAACTGAAAATACATCTACTACTACTTTATAAAAATACAAAAGTTGTTTTTGGAGTGTAAAAGATAATGGGTACTTTTTCTTGAGAAAGTGAGGGTTTATTGCTTGGCTTTCTTGCATGATGTATTAGTATCACACTCACATTTTCATGCATACTTATCTAGTTACCAGTATATGATAACTAACATGAAATGCTATTTTTCATTTTGAGATGGGCGTATTTTTAACTGTGTACTTTTTAGAGAAAAACCATTATTTTTTCATACATTTTCATAGTCATTTCACATTCAACAACAAAAAGAAGTAAATAAAACACTTAACATTTTAAAGTGCTTTTCATATTATTCTGTGTCATTAGAAATGAAAAAAAGTCTTTTCCATTACACTGATCTTCATTTTCCTGTTCTGTATTCTGCTATGAGTTCTCTGTTTTTCAAATAAAATTTATGTGTTAAATAACAAATAAATGTTCCCCTGCTTTGTTATAGATTATATTACAGTTTAAATATGTTACATGTTTAATATTTTATGTATGTTTATTATATGTAACATATATGATTTATGTATATATATACTACAAATATATTAATGCTATTATATGACTAAATAGAAAAGCAAATTGTAGTATCTTTCTTACTCAAGAATCTAGACATGTTGTCCTGGGAATGTCTTTTCAGAGTAGGTGACATTAGAGCATAGAATTTAATATATTGAGGACACGGGCAAGACTACCATTAATATATATGCTTAATTTGGTGCAAAGTCTCCCTTAATATAATTCAAGCTCCACAAGGTCAGATTATGTTTATCTTTTATGCTACTCAATAGTCAGTGCCTAGCAAAGTGATTGGCTCTTAGTAAGTATCTATGATGGATAATTTTATGCATAACTTGATCAGTCTAAGAAATGTCCAGGTAGCTGGCAAAACATTATTTCTGAATGTGTCTGTGAAGGTGTTTCCAGGAACGATTAGCACTTTAAAAAACATTTTCACTTTTATTTTAAATACAGAGGGTAGATGTGCAGGTTTGTTACACGCATATATTGCATGATGCTGAGGTTTGGGGTTCAGATCCTGCCACCCAGGTAGTGAGCATAGTATCCAATAGGTAGCGTTTCAACCAACACCCCTTCCTTCCCTCCCCCCCAGTAGTCCAGAATGTCTATAGTTCTCATATTTATGCCCATGAGTACCTAATGTTTAGCTCCCACTTATAGGTGAGAATATATGGTATTTCCTTTTCTGTTTCTGTATTAATTCACTTAGGATTGTGACCTCTAGCTGCATCCACGTTGCTGCAAAAGATGTTGTGTTATTCTTTTTTATGACTACATAATATTCCATGTTGTATCCTTTACCCAATCCAATCTAATGTTGATGGACACCTAGGTTATGTCATGTCTTTGCTATTGTGAATAGTGCTGCAATGAACATTATGAGTGCATGTGTCTTTATGGTGGAACTATTTATTTTATTTTGGGTATAACCTAGTAATGGAATTGCTGGATTCAATGGTAGCTCTGTTTTCTTTTAAGTTCTTTGAGAAATCTCCAAACTGCTTTCCACAGTTGTTGAACTAATTTACATTCCAACCAACAGTGTATAAATGTTGCCTTTTCTCTGCAGCTTCATCAGCATCTGCTATTATTGGAGTTTGTAATAGCCATTCTGACTAGTGTGAGATGGTATGTCATTGTGGTTTTGATTTATATTTTTCTGATGATTAATGATGATGAGCATTTTTTCATTGCTTTGCTGGCTACTAGTATGTCTTCTATATTAGTCCATTCTCACACTGCTAATGAAGACATACCCGAGACTGGGTAATTTATTTAAAAAAAAAAAAGAAGTTTAATTGGTGCACATGTCCACAATGCTGAGGAGGCCTCACAATCATGGAGGAAGGTAAAGGAGGAGCAAAGCCACGTCTTACCTGGCGGCAGGCAAGAGAGCATGCACGCTGGAACTCTCCTGTATAAAACCATCAGATCTTGTGAGACTTATTCACTAACATGAGAACAGCATGGAAGAAAACCTGCCTCCATGATTCAATTACCTTCCACTGCATCCCTCCCACATCACATGGGGATTGCTACAATTTAAGGTGAGATTTGGGTGGGAACACAGAGCCAAACCATATCATCTTCTCTCAATGTATAGAAATCAATAAATGTGATGCACCGCATAAACAGAATTAAAAACAAAACACATATGATTATCTCAATAGACACGAGAAAAGCTTCTGATAAAATCCAACACATCTTCATGATAAAAACCCTTAACAGATTAGAGGCATTGGAGGAACATACCTCAAAATAATAAGAGCCGTCTGTGACAAATCCACAGCCAACATCATACTGAATAGGCAAAAGCTGGAACAATTCCCCTTGAGTACTGTAATAAGACAAGGATGCCCATTCTTATCACTCCTATTCAACATAGTATTGGAAGTCATAGCCAGAGCAATCAGGCAAGAGAAAAAAAAAAAGACAACCAAATAGGAAAAGAAGTTACCAAACTATCTTCACTGACAATATAATTATATAACTGGAAAACCCTAAGACTTTGCCAAAAGACTCCTGTAACTAATAAATGACTTCAATGAAGTTTCACAATACAAAATCAATGTACAAAAGTCAGTCGCACTTCTGTAAGCAAGTAACTTTGAAGCTGAGAGCCAAATCGAGGACACAACTCCATTTATAGTAGCCACATAAAAAACTGAAATACCTAGGAATACAGCTAACCAAGGAGAGGAAATATCTGTATGAAGAGAACTACAAAAGACTGCTGAAATAGAGATGACACAAGTAAATAAAAGAAATTCCATGTTCATGGATTGGAAAAACTAATATTGTTAAAATGGCCACACTGCCCAAAGCAACTTACAGATTCAGTGCTATTCCTATCAAACTACCAACATCATTTTTGACAGAATTAGAAAAACTATTCTAAAATTAACATGGAACCAAAAAAGGGCCCAAATAGCTGAAGTGATCCTCAGCAAAAAGAACAAAGCATCACATTACCTACTTCAAAGTAACTTTAAGGATACAGTAACCAAATCAGCATGGCACTGGAACAAAAACAGACACTTTGACCAAGGGAACAGAATAGGGAACCCAGAAATAAAGCCGCATACCTACAGCCATCTGACCATCAACAAAGCCGACATACCAAGCAATGGGGAAAGGACTTTCTATGTATATGGTGCTGAGATAACTGGCTAACCACATGCAGAAGAATGAACTGGGCCCCTTTCTTACACCATGTACAAAAATTAACTCAATGTGGATTAATGATTTAAGTGTAACACCTCAAACTATAAAAATCCTAGAAGAAAACCTAGGAGATACCCTTTTTGACATCAGCTGGGGCAAATTATTTTTGGCTAAGTCTGCTAAAGCAATTGCAATAAAAGCAAAACGGACAAGTGGGAATCTAATTAAATGAAAGAGCTCCTGCACAGCAAAAGAAGCTATCAACAGAGTAAACAGACAACCTACAGAAAATATTTGCAAACTATGCATTCAACAATGGTCTGATGTCCAGAATCTATAAAGAAGTTAAACAAATCAATAAGCAAAAAACAAATAACACCATTAAAAAATGGGCAAAGGACATGAACAGACACTTCTCAAAGAATTAGCATTTGAGTCAGTAAACTGAGTAGAGAAGATCTGCCGTCACCAGCATGGGTGGGCATTATCCAATCTGTAGAGGGACTCAGTAGAACAAAAAGGCAGATGAAGGGCACATTCTCTCTTTCTCTTCTTGAGCTGGGACATCCATCTTCTCCTGCCCTTAGACACTGGAGCTCTTTTTTCTTGGGTCTTCAGACTAAGATTTACACCAGTGACTGCCCCCCTCAGGTCTTTGGCCTTGGACTGAATTATACCACCAATTTGCCTTGGGTCTCCAGTAAGAAAGTGGTATCCAAATAGCATAATAAGGGACTTCTCAGCCTTCATAATCATGCAAGCCAATTATCATTAATTTTCATATATATACTGTTAGTGCTATTGCTCTAGAGAACCCCGACTAATATGGCACTCCATAAATATATGTTAAATAAGTGAATGAATACATGAAATAAGAAGAGTCTGGCTCTATCCGCAGTATAATTACAATATTCTATTTGGTCCAGATATGTAGATTTCTTTACAACAACAAATAATGAAATGTTGAAAATGAACATTAACAATTTAGATAGTATTTCCTAGAGAAATTCTGAAGAATTCTATGCACAGAAATAATAATAATAAAGGCTTCCAGATGTCACCACAAATGAAATAATCACCTCTCTGACTCTGGAAGTGATCCCAGAGAGTGTGCACTCCTCTGTGGCCTCCATAATACTCTATGGACTTGGAAGCCCCTATTGTGGTGTGAATATGACAGTTATGGCCAAGGGATGCTTAGGGTTTGATTCAAGGCTGTTAAGAGCAAAGAAGAAACAATAAAGTGTTGCTGTCTGCCTACCATGCCCCAGGGCAGCATAAGGGGCACTAGAGAATGAGAGAAAATGAAATAATTATTACCTATGAAAACATAGTCTTTCTTAGTTTGGATAGAAAATTCTAATAAGATTTCCAGTAGAACGGTCATATTGCCATTTCCCAGTTTCTATTTTTCTAAGAGGAATGAGGCTACAAGAGCCAGACATAGGTAGAACAAAGCATCCAGAATTGTATTCTATTAGCCTTTCCCAAACTTGATTATTTTTTTTCTATGTTTACTTGTCATTTGTGACAAGTAAAAGTCAACTTTTGCATAGTATCTAAATAACAACAACCCAATTCCTCACCCATCATGTATGTTAGAATCCAGTTACTCACCAAGGGAATTGGTCTGTGTATTGTTGAATCACTGTATCACTGTGTCTGTGGAGGAAAGGAGTGTTCAGAACTTGCTGATCCACCACTTTGCTGATATCCAGCATTATTTTTAAAATAATACCAAAGATGTCACTTACTATGTGACCTGGTAATGTGAGAAGCATATACTTATTTTCACACAGGGTTGTTGTGGCTGTGAATTAATATTCTCTGTTTGTAAACAACAGAAATGAACTCTGACTAACCACCAGGAAAAACAAGAACAAAGCAGCCCTTCAGATTTAGATTTTGTGAACTAGTAAACAATCTTTTTAAGGCACAGTCATTGTGGGAGAATCATTAGCTCCAATTGTGATGCTTTGCACAAGATCCAAATTGAAGGGGAACTTCACTTTCTAGCTTCGATTATTTTTCCTTCTTAATTGATAGTTTTACAAATTCTTAATTGACAGTTTTACTAAGACTGCTTATAATGAAAGAGGTAATTCTAAAAGAAAAAGAGAGTACTTTTAGCAAGAGAAGGAGAAATGCTTTGTGGGCAAAAATAACAGAGGCCCACTAAACATCTTACATGATTTTTTTTTTTTTTTTTTTTTTTTTTTGAGAGGGAGTCTCACTCTGTCACCCAGGCTGGAGTGCAGTGGTGCGATCTCGGCTCACTGCAAGCTCCCCAGTAGCTGGGACTACAGGCACCTGCCACCACGCCCGGCTAATTTTTTGTATTTTTAGTAGAGACAGGGTTTACACAGTGTTAGCCAGGATGGTCTCAATCTCCAGACCTCGTGATCCCCCGGCCTCGGCCTCCCAAAGTGCTGGGATTACAGACGTGAGCCACCGTGCCCGGCCTATGATGTTTTTCAATTTTTCAAATGATGATATCTTCACTCGATTTTTTCCAAACTTGTTCACCTTTCTTACTCCAAAATCTTTGTTGTATTTCAGTAGCTAATAGAATAAATTTAAAATGTATTAACATTATGTTTGAGGATCTTGTTAATCTGAACTCAGCTTGTACTTTCCATCTCTTATCTCTTTCCACTTTTACTTCCCTCTTCACCAATGTACTCCTACCATTATTCATCCTGGTCACATAAGCCTATTCCAAATTTTCCAAATATATAAGTCACTCGTAGAACTTTATATATGCTTGCCATTTGCCTGGAATGCATTTACATCTCTCTGTCTATCTCTTTCTCTATCTGTCTCTCTCTGTCTCTGTCTCTCTCTTTCTCTCTGTCTCTCTCTCTTTCTCTCCCTCCCACTCTCTCCTCACCCCAACAACTCCCCCAGCTCAGATAGTTTATAAGATTATTATCTCAAGGAAGAAGGAACTTAGAGAAGTAAAGTTATCTGACAAACACCCCAACATAGATGCTTAAGGGCCCACCACAACATTCTGGGTAAGCTTTGTCCAGTTTGTGTGCTGTCATCTTCAGTAATAGAAAATTTACTGCTTCCTGATGCAGCCCATTTGACATTGTGATATATTTGGCTCTTGGAAACCTCTGAAAAGACAAGGCTGGAAAAACACAACTCATTCTTTAAGGTCTAAATCATGTGTTAATTATTCTATGAAACCTAGTCTGATATCCAGAATAAAAGTAATCACCCATATGTACTCCCAAAGTTCTAATATTATTATATTATACTACCATTATTTTATACATACATATATATATATATATATCTTTTTTTGAGACAGAGTCTCGCTCTGCTGCCAGGCTGGAGTGCAGTGGCGCAATCTCGGCTCACTGCAACCTCCAAATCCCTGGTTCAAGCCTCCTGCCTCTGCCTCCCGAGTAGCTGGGATTACAGGCTTGCACCACCACACCCAGGTAATTTTTGTATTTTTAGTAAAGACGGAGTTTCGCCATGTTGGCCAGGATGGTCTCGATCTCCTGACCTTGTGATGAACCCACCTCAGCCTCCCAAAGTGCTGGGATTACAGGCGTGAGCTACCACGCCCAGCCTTATATTATTATATTATACTAATGTCCATTAGTATTTGTTCATAGTAATATTATTCTATTATTATACTAATCATACTATCATACTAATATTACCATCTACTACAATTACTTTTGCTTGCCTTTACTTCCAAGCCTGCTTTTGATTTTCTTATAGATAGGTACTGTGCATTAACTTTCGCTTTCTAGTGCAAACCAGTGGAACCAATTTCCCCGACCCCGGATACCAAGGGACAATTGTAAACTATCTGATTCATTTCCCTATTAGACGAGAACGATAATCTTTTTGGCTAATGATGTTATCTCCTAACAGCTTCTTAGAGTTTGAGGTTATACAAAGTCAGGAGTACTACCATCACTGACATAGTGCCTTCATTATTTGCAAGACATCGTTCATAAGCAGTGCTAATATATATATTTTAGATTTTTAATGTTAACATCTTTCATTCACTGGTGTATATTAACAAAAATAGAGTATACTTGTCTTCTTAAATGTAGGCCTTTTACACTGTTATTACTCTAAAATTCAAATTTCTTTCCTTGACCACTACTCCTATTTCTTCTGTCTTGCTCCAACGTATTTCTATTATTACTTTTTCAACACGTGTCTAGTAAATAAAATAGCGGTAGAGATTGTAGATGACATTTTAAAAAGGCAAAGGAAAACTTACTAATTAACAATAATTATCATAATTTTATAGTCAACAGCTACCTTTCAATTTTCTTTGAAAAAAGTGACATGTAAAAAAAGTGTTCTCACAGAATCAAGTAGACAAGTAAAACATTATTGGAGGGGACATTTGGGAGTACACAGGATATCTTAAGAAAACTTGACAAATGTGAAAAACAAAAGTATAGCAGGAAATAGGGGCTCCTAAACCCACCTATCCCTGTGGAATAAAATGCTCGCCCTCACTTTTTTCTTAAACAGCCCTCAAATAGACTTCCTCTAAAACCATCTTTCTCCAGGATTGCTATGTACCTACCCTTTCTGTGACTAACTGGAAGAGTTGCTTATTTCCCCTGTCCCTACTACTCAGCAAGAAAGAATAAGAACAAACACAGACTATTCAACTACAAAACATAAGCTCATAAATAATGTAAAGATATAGCTACACATTAATAAGATTGATTTTCCCGAGGGACATTAAGAAAACAGTTTATTAGTGCGTAGTCCCAACTCATTTGTATGTATTTATTTATCTCTATTTTTATCATAAGAATAATAAATCTTCAAGGTGAACAAAGTCAAATACTACAAATATATCACAGAGTGAACATTCATTAATATTGATAAAGATCTTTGAAATTTTCATTCTATGTTATCTTAATGATAACTTAGAACCTTTGAGAAAAGTTTACATTATGCCCTTTGTAATAAGGCAGATAAATGTACAGCAAATATATGCTCTCTAATAGGTATGTACTCATACCTGGAAAAGTTATATGTGTGTGTCTGTGTGTAAATTTGTTTCCTGAAATGGCCAGATAAATGAGTCATTCGTTAATCAGGAAATAATAGTCAAATAATCAAGAATGTGTATTTTTACATGAATTTACTGTATGAAGATAATACCCAATCTTGGTGAGGAAAAGATGAAATAGGCACATTCTTATTTTTTTAAAATGAGAATATGTAAGGGTGACCTAGAAAATATACCATAGAAATTTGTCCTAAGAAAATAATTTATCTTAACAAATTTATCCTGAGAAAATGCTCAAATACTTATGTATAACCATTTCATTTAGTATTATTTTTACTAGCAAAAATTTAAAACTTGCTAAACTTCCAAAGTGGGAGTCGATCAAAAAACTATAGCTAATTCATTTAATAAAAAACTAGAGATTCATTAAAAATTATAATGCCATAAGTTTATAATAATGGAAAATATTAAATTAAAAAACACAACTACTTTTATAGTTTGTTTCTTTATTTCATCATTTTTCTGCATTTGCTAATTTTTATTTAAAAATCATATATCAAAATGAGCCATTATCAAATAAAAATATTGATAATGTTTATGGCATGTACAGTTCCTCAACATCTTGCCCATTCCCTTGAGTACTATATTGAACTTATGTTGTAAGAGCAAAGAGAACACACTGGTATCTACACAGAAATATAAGAGATTTTTGTAACTTGTATGCAAGGTTTAGTAGATTGGGCTCCCACAGGGAAGAAATCCAGGAGGCACCATTCCTATTGTAGTCAATGTGAAAAATTCCCATTGAGTTTACACAGTGCACAATAATCTGCATGGCTAGATGAGGAAGCCTTGGTAGGAGGCCAAGAAATGATGAAAAAGAGAAAGAGCCAAGGGATTTCTTGCTACCAGTATCAGAAGGGATGGGTGTTACTCCAAGTCAGGGTCCAGTAAACTATGGCCTGCAGGCCATAAAAAAGGTTTTTCTGGAACACAGCCATGCTCACTTGTTTACCTATTATCTATTGCTGATTTTATGCTATAACAAAAGAGCTGAGTATTTGTGAGGATATAGCCCACAAAGATGAAAATCTTTACTATGCTACTCTATACAGGAAAGGTTTGCCAACCCCTGCTGAAGTACACTGCAATCGTGAAAACAAATCAAGTAATAAAACCCAACAAGTAAATAAAAAAACCTCATAGGGTATAGTGGATATTACTATTGCCCATAAATATTTCCGATTCTCTTTTCCTTTCAGGCATATAGGAGGATTGCTCTTTTTTGACTCCTCGAACTTTAAGCAATCCCATAGGTCTTCCTTTGGCAATAAAATGTGAGCAGAGGTACCATGAATCACTTCCTGATTGAAGTGTTAAAGTGAATGTGTGTGGCTTTTCATGCTGTGCCTTATCTTGCTGCTGTGGTTATCGAAGCTCTGACGATATGGAGGTGTAACCTGGGATACTGACTTCCATCATGTAGGTCAGTTGTCCTGGAGAATTACCTAAGCCCAGCAGAAATTGTGTGAAAGATAAATAAATCTTCAATGCATTAGGTATTGAGATTTGGGGGCTGTTTATTACCATAATATTTACCCCGCCTATCATGACTAAGAGAACGACTTTTTTTATAATGTGTTAATAGCTAGTAGATTCACGGTAAAAAAAATAATAATAATAAGTTAAAAAACAACAGAAAGCCATTTCTTCAACTGCCTGCAGAGCATGAACGTGATAGGTATAGGATTCCTCAAAAGACGTATTTATGACTGCTATCTTAAATAGAATTTTAGTAACTAGAAAACCATATATATTCTTACTAATATGCCCATATCTACATATTTTAAGTGGTAAATCACTATAGAATTCAGTTTGTCAAAGAATTATAGTCATAAGAAGAAAATTTTAATTAAATTAATAGAATAAGAAATAAAAATTGATATAATTCAGTTTTAATTATCAGGAATATATTACAACCTCAGTTTATTAAAAAAATCCTACATTTCATAAACTTTTGATTTTATTTTATTTTTTAAGCATTACCATCTGTGGTACAATGAAATAGCAAATTGACTGGAGCCAGTAGTCCATTATTTTAACAATTGTACAGATACAAATATAACAAAATATGTTTGTCTTTTTAAGTTGTAGCACAAAAGAACATGGGCTTTAAAACCGAAGCTTGGATTTGATGGAACTTTTTGTTTTCAAAGGAAAATTAAAAACTAAAATACCTAGATTTTGTTTCTCTCCTGAATTTGCTGGTGTCAGAGCTGGGTTAAATAAAGCTCACAATCTTGGTCTTTTCATGGCAGTCATGAATTTTCCATGAGGTTGAAATTGAGATAGCATGGAAGATGTCCCCATTGTGTCACACAGAATGTTTGAATTTGGTTTGGCCAACATTCTCCAGCACATAATCTTTTTATTCTCCCCAAAACCCTAAAGCACGATTTGTGAATCTGGCAAATTACTTAACCATTTAAATTCGAGATTCATAGTTTATTATATCAACTAAGTTTCTAGACTCTCTTGGATAAATCAAAGTAGTAAGCTTTGACAAACTGAAAAAAAAAGCTATCTAACATTTGATTAGTCTTGAGGAAATTCTGCTATTTTATTTACCCTGTTAAAAAAGAAGAAAATGGTATGCTTTCCATTTAGAAATTATTAAAAGTATAACTATGTTTTAAAAAATCATAAAGAAGAAATTGTTATATATGCATACATATATAAACAGATACACATAACCTACAGATGATAATTGGGAATTATTTTATAATGAGTTTATACTAATTATATCTTAAAAGAAAAATAGATAAGGAAAATAAATTCGGTCAGAACACACTTCAAAAGAAATAACTTCATCATAACCTTTCAATTACATCTTCATTATTATTCTCCCTGAACTGATGTGGCACATATTTTTTAAATTGAGTCACAAAGGATTTTTTTTTTTCAGACATAAATTGGTAAAACTATTTGGAGCATGAAAGAAAAGATCAAACGGGCCAACTGGGAACAAAACATAGTGATCAGAATTCAAGATAAGCCACAACACATAATAATCCTAATTACCAATCTTTAATTAAACTACGGGGAGAATTTATGTCCCAAATAAACTCTTTCTCACAGCTTTTTCTGACTTCAAGATTGAATGTTTCGATGTGTATAAATAACAGCCAAAGAGGAAGCTTATTATTTAGTGTCTTATCATTTATAGAAATCTAAAGTCAGAAATAACATATGTTAAATGCAAAGTTCAAAACAAAATATGATCTTCAGGGGTATTGTTGCAAAATATTTGAAATTAACAAGCTTATTAATTCTGACAAAACTGACAAATTTATGAATGCCCAACTGATGAATTAAAGAACAGAGTATATTTGCAATGCTTTTAATGAATTCATTTAGAAATAATCTACTGCTGCAAAGTAGATTTTTCTCTGGGGAATAAACAAAAAAGCCAAGTGGGTTTTATGTGGTTGGGTATGGTATTAATGTGAATTAGCCTCTACTTGAAAGAGTAGACCTACTCAAAGTATATTGAATAAATTTCATGTTTCCCATTGTCCTGGCTATTGGACTGAGTTTTGCTTTTTTCTGACCCCAGTTTTGCTCTCTTCTTGGAGAGCCTTAGTCAAGGAGGTAATTGCATTGAGTGTGATTTTTCCCAATAAGGAAGATCCAATGTTAATTTCCATATGTGTTAAATCTAATCAACATTGCACAGTGTTATAGTTCACCCAATAACTGAACGTTTTTTCTAAAACAATTTATTTTTGGTGTGGGCCTAATTATTTATTGCACTTCTTAGTTTTAGATTTTTTTCCTTTGCTTGATTTTTTTTTCAGAAATTTCTAGAGATGTAACATACTGTGGTGTAATATCTGACATTTCTTTGCTAGGATCTTAACTTCACTCTCACAGATGGACCCACCTGTGGCTACGTTTACACACTATGATCCTAGCTATTTTTCCTAGTGTTGGAATGTTGGTCTGAGATATGGAAATGGTGAGTAGCATTAGAAGGTTAGCCTTAGAAATAGTTCAGCTTTTAAGGTGGGGTAGTTAAACCCTGTCATTGAGACTAAGAGCTTTTCTTTGTAGAAAACTTGCAAGGAAATTTTCTCTTGGATTGGATTCTGTGAGACAAGATGGCCCAATGTTTCATATGAAATAGTTTTTATTTGTTGTTTACTTGTTTTGCTTAAGTCAATCTACGTTAGTGTCTATTCTCTCAAAAATTCTAATACCCAAGTAATACCAAAGCGTTGGCATTGGCAATCCAGCATAAATATCACCAGTGTTGACACTGCCTGTCATCACTTCAAAACATAGTTTACTGTTAAACATGAGACACAATGTCTTATCTGAGGAAGAAATACATATTGCTTTTGATGGCTTTGTCTGAACAGAGCCTTCTTACCAATGCCCCAAACTATCAAGCTATTTTAAGTAATGCAGTCTTGAGTGAACAACACATATTTTAATGAAAATTTTACAAGTAACATATGTACATTCTAGTAACAGTTAATGACATTCCTTGTTATTGTGATGACATTGTTCTCTATGTGACTGCAGGAAATTGGCTAAAATTGTGTGACAGCTGCTAGTGAACTCATTCAGACTGACAATATGCTAAAGTAGCTGTCTCTTTTAGTATAGAGAAGATATCTGGAAAAGTAATCTTTCATTTTAATTCTGAGAACTTGGTGATTTTGCATGTCCTGGTTCGATTTTTTAAAAATTAGATTCAAACCAGGTTACTTTATGTCATTCTTCCCTGTTACTTATTTACAAGAATAACAAAGAACCGAACCTTGATCTCCTAAAAAACGTTAACTCATAGGATACAACAGTCTTGAAAATGACAGTTTGAGAGAAACAAGGCCAATGATGAGTGAATTCTGGGAACATAAAGTGCTTTAAAACCCAAATATACATTCAATATGACAAAATTGACCTCCAGTAAAAGAAAAGTAAAATCTGCTTCTGGTCCTGAAATGCGTTATGCATTTTCTCCAGTGAAAGTTATGTTATCCTTTATTATCAGGAAACTTCTGCATTTTTTCCTTTCCCCAAACCTTAATAAGATCATGTTAAATAGTGTGTTAACCAAAGATTATTTATATAAATATTGCTTTTAATGATGCCATGAACTTTTTTGAAATAAAATTGCACAGTTTGGAAGCTCAAAGCAGCCACTGTTCTCTCTAGTTTCATGTCTCTTTCTTATTCCTTCCTAGCATATCCATTGGTGGTCCCCACTCTCCTGAGGGAGAGCTCTTAGAGACCAGCAACCACTTCTCATTTACCTTGGGTTATTTGAGTATACTTCCCAATGAATATTTTTTAATGATGAATAAAAAATAAGAAATTATGTATTTGATTGCGGGAGGCAGATATTTTTGGCATGTTGCCAGGAGGGGAGACACATTAATGTTAATGAACGTCCACACAAACCTTTTCTATCAAAGTTTTAAACACTTGAAAAAAACCTTCAAACAAGACTCTGTCTCAGACTTTAAGAGAATTACTGGAAAATAAGAAGAGCAACACAAAGAAGGCAATTCAATTAAAAGAAAAAATAAATATGGGAAAATGAAGAGGAGTAGATCTAGTTTCTTTAAGTTTTTGGTTTTCAAAGTTACTTCATAGAGGGAATGAGGCACAATCACAGGTTTCAACAGCTCAAGCCAAATACAAACACTTTAACAAATTATTTCCTCCATATTTTGTTGGACTGAATATGCTTTATATACAGATCACTGTTACTGAGTCGAATTACTTTTGTGAAAGGATATAAGTAAGATAAATATTGTATAACAATGAAAAAAAGTAATTCTTGGGGAAAATTAATGAGGATAATGTAGAGGTGACAAAAGCAGTGATAATCCTCCTTATATAGTCTTTGGAAACTATCCTTCACATACATTGAGAGTTCTATTAAAATAAGACCTGAATATTAAAACTTATAATAGAAATGTGTCTGAACTTGCAGTTGGAAGGTAATAAACTGCCATTTTTAAAGACAACTTTTGGAGGTTGGACAAAATGAAGACAACTCAAGGAAATATTGTTACTATTATTACAACTGCCACTAAACGTTTTATAGCAAATACATCAGGAAAACAAAATAATTGTATAAATGTATTGAGAAACATATAGAAAGAGATAAATGTAGATATTACCTCAATAAAGACAGCTTCAGCAGAGGAACAGCAATAACAAAACACAGATAGTTTTAAATAAAATGAACTATTGCTTGCCAAGGCTGCTGAAAAACAATATCTGATAGGAGCATATGTATGACTATGTTATTGGTAAGAAAATTATATGTAAAAATATGTGTATAGATACATATACACACACAATGATATGATTGTAATATAGATACACATATATAATACAATTGTAAAATAAATACACATATATATTACAATTGTATCCTATGCCTTACATAGCAGTGGTAAAAGGATCACCTGATTACATGATTACATATCCACTGGAAAATTGTTTTTCCATAAAAACCTTCTTAAACTTTTGGTCTCTAGTTGAATATGTTCTAAAGGAGACCTTATACTCCATACTATAATGACATTTTGACATGAAGAAGCAAAGAAGTTGTACCTTTCTTTGTAAACAACCATTATATCTAATTATTTTTCTAGTATTCATATCATTGCTAATTTATAGCCATTAATACCAATATGAATAACAATATAATTAAATGAAAACACTTTGAATTTCAATTATGTGATATTTGAAAATATTCCATTTTCAAAATGTTATTGACAGCAATTTATTGGCTATTTTCCAGACAGACCATTCATTGAGAAGTGCAGAAAAAAAGGAGAGCTACACAATTTACCCAAGAGGTATTTATAATCATTGGGTAACATCAAAATCGGCAATTATGTAAATTGGAAACCTTGGTTTTTATTCAGTGGAGCTGTATTAAATCTTCATTGGTACAGGAGAAAAGTGAGAGTTTAATTTTATACATTCTTTCGAATTCAATTTATGATCACATAAATGTGCTTTTCCATATTAACTTTCTCATAAAGAGCACAATTTTCACTTTGAGGAAAAATAGTATTTCAGTGAACAAATTCAAGAGCCCTTTATATCTGGCTTCAGTTATGGGAAAATAAATCTAGAAGTCCTGACTGTGTTGATTAAACTCTTATAACTTTACAAGATTAGAGCAAGAGTCTTTGAAAATAAAAAGTCTTGATTGATAATAATGTTGAAAATATTATTGTTAAAAACAAGGTCATCCATATGTATGATTAAAGGTGGAAAGAGTTTGAAATTCACCTCCAATTTCTCAGTGAAGTATGAAAGACAGCCAGAGAGTTTGTTCATAATATTTGCAAGTAGATTTTTAAAAATTTAGACTTGATACGTAATCTAAAACAAAATATTCTCAATCTTATGCTTAACCTCATGCCATAAAGTGAAAATGACGCTTTGAACTACCCTGGATAAATTTTAGAATCATTTTATTGAATAAATTACTGGAATAGAAAATGTCCTATATCTACTATTGCTTGCTTTTTTACTGCACCCTGCCCCATCCCACTGTTGATATACATTCATTCATTCATCCTTGTGCCTAATTTTCCCAAAGAATAAAAATTTTGCAAGATCAGCGTTGTCTGTTTTTTACTCCATGTATATTCACTTTCTGGATATTTTCCTGGTTTTATATTCAGTGTTGATAGCCATTTGTACACACAAAAAATATTAATTCCTAACTGTTTTCATATTTTTACCTATAATTTCCTAGCTTTCATCTGAGATTCTTACCCATATTCCTATGATTTATCATGTAGGGTATGCTGGTTAGTGTTTAAAAACTGACTCTCTAGAAGGAAAAAAAAAAGAAACACCCTTATTTGCAGCATTTGCTTATTTTATGGTTGGATATTCTCGCCATGGATGATGCAAGTAGCTTATAAAATTCCTGAAAATATACAAGCAACTCTATTGAGCTGGTACTAGCTAGTTCCAGCACACCACTCTAAGTACACTAATTTTAAAGAGAAAACATATCTTTTTTGAGAATTTTCCAAGAAACTTCAAAGAGTTAAGAACACTTTCTGGCTCCAGAATGTAGACAGCATGTAAGGGGTGTCCCTTTAACCGTTACAGCAAAAAGGAATGAGATAAACTTCAGATTCGTAATTTTTTTTCAAACCCAACGAGACCTAAGTTTGCAGAGCCACCAACTGGCCCACAATATAAGGAGAGACAGGAGTCTGAAGGAAGAAAGGACAAGTGTTCACTCTTCTACTTGAGGGAAACACAGATGGACTCAGGTACAAAGAGCACTGCTAGAGTGCGTGATCAATTGGTAGAGGCTGAGTGTGGGATGGAGAGTGTAGAGTCTGTGAGGACCCCTAAAACTGGGGAAATCCCCACACAATGGCAGGCTCTTTGTTTGTAAACTCTTACAGGAACTCACAGAAAAGAATGGGAAGTTACCTAAGAAAAGGTTTTTGGTGGTACATACTTGAAAAGGGGAATATCAGTGGTGTGGGAATGTCAAAAACTTTATCTGGACTCTTCTCCCCTGTCTACCATATGAAATAAATGCCTTAATCTTCAAGGTGGAGGGCATAACACTGCCAACTTAGGGGAACAGGTATAAACTAATTGCTGCTGGAGGAAGGAAACAGGAGCTAAAAAAAAACTACCCCTGGAAGAAGAGCAGGAGCAGGAATAGGCACTGGGCCCAACAAATGAAGTCTGTGAACAGAGAACAGTGAATGCTGCATCCCCAAGACCAGCACATCACATCTGCCCAGGATCAGCCTTAGGCAGCCCACAGTTCGCATTTGCCAGCCCTGTGGAGAGGTGTGGGAGGTAATGGTGAAAATAGGTGAGTAAAATCATTGTCAAAATTGTTTTGAGAATAAAAGCAGGAAAGAGTAAATGTTCTAAAGCTCTCATATCATTGGATGTCAGTGGCAACAGTGGCATAATAGATCTATTTGGTGTGAGAAAAAAAAACTCTAAAGGTAATTAGAGAAAAATTCAATCAAATAAAAAATGAAAAGGAAATATGAAGCTCAATAATATAAATATAAGTATAAGCAATATAAAATATAATAAGAATTATATAATAAATAGAATATAAATCAAGAAATGTAAATCATGTATATTAGTCAAATCCCTGAATGAGAATGAACTGAAGTCTTACATAACAAGACACTATCAGATTAGGTTAAGAATATAAATCAGCCATAGTCTTTCGATAAGTAATACAGCTAAGTCAGAATGAGAGTTTAAGAATTAAAAAATTGGGGCCTGACATGGTAACTCACTCTTGTAATCCCAGCACTTAGGGAGGCTGAGACAGATTGCTTGAGCCTGGGAGTTCAAGACCAGCCAGGGCAACATAGCAAGACCCCTTTTCTACAAAAAGAAAAATACAAAAAGTAGCCAGGCGTGGTGGTGAGTGCCTATAATCCCAGCTACTTAGGCTGAGATGAGAAGTTAATGCTACAGGAAGCCATGTTTGTGCCACTGCACTCCAGCCTGGGTGAGAGAGCAATACCCTGTCTCAAAAAAAAAAGAATTGGTATGCATAATACTATACCAGACAAATGACAACAAAAACAAAACGTGGTTAACATTAAAAATGAAGAAATTTAAGATTCAAATCTAAATAAAATAAAGCAGGAGCATATCAATTTACAAAAGTATTGTATTAGTCTGTTTTCACACAGCTATAAAGAATACCTGAGACTGGGTAATTTGTAAACAAAAGAGGTTTAATTAACTCACAGTTTCACATGGCTAGGGAGGCCTCAAGAAACTTAAAATCGTGACAGAAGGGGAAGCAAGGCACATCTTACATAGTGGCAGGTGAGAGAGAGAGAGGACAAGGGAAACTGCCACACACTTTTAAAGCATCAGAACTCATGAGAACTCACTCACTATTATGAGAATAGCATGGGGGAAACTGCCCTCATGATCTAATCACCTCCCACCAGGTCCCTCCCTTGACACATGGGGATTACAATCTGAGATGAGATTTCGATGTGGACACAGGGCTAAACCATAATATTCTGCCTGGGGTCCCTCCCAAATCTCATGTCTTTTCTACATTTCAAAACCAATCATGCCTTCCCAACAGTCTCCCAAAGTCTTATTTCTGCATTAACTCAAAAGTTCACAGTCCAAAGTCTCATCTGAGATCAGGCAAGTCCCTTCTGCCTAGAAGCCTGTAAAATCAAAAACAAGTTAGTTACTTCCATGATACAGTGGAGGTATAGGCATTAGGTAAATATTCCCATTCCAAATGGGAGAAATTGGCCAAAACAAAAGAGGCCACAGGCCCTATGCAAGTCTGAAACCCAGCAGAGCATACATTAAATCTTGAAGCTCCAGAATGATCTCCTTTAACTCCATTTCTCACATCCAAGGCACACTGATGGAAGGGGTGGGCTCCCACAGCCTTGGGCAGCTCCACTTCTGTGGCTCTGCAGGGTACAGCCTCTGTGGCTGCTTTCACGGGCTGGCATTGAGTGTTGGCAGCTTTTCCAGTGCATGGTGCAAGCTGTCAGTGGATCTAACATTCTGGGGCCTGAAGGACAGTGGCTATCTTTTCACAGCTCCACTACGCAGTGCCCCAGAGGGGACTCCGTGTGGGGGCTCTGAGCCCACATTTTCCTTCCACACTGCCCTAGCAGAGGTTCTCCATTAGGGCTCTACTCCTGCAGCAGACTTCTGCCGGGACACCCAGGTGTTTCCCCACATCCCTGAAATCTAGGCAGAGGCTCCCGAAGTTCAACTCTTGCCTTCTGTGCACCTGAAGGCACAACACCTCATGGAAGCCACCAAGGCTTGGGGCTTTCACCCTTTGGAGCAACAGCCCAGGCTGTACCTTAGCCCCTTTTAGCCATGGCTGGAGCTGGAGCAGGTGGCACACAGGGCACCAAGTCCCAAGGCTACACAGAGTAGCAGGGCCTTGGGCCTGGACCATGAAAACATTTTTCTGTCCTAGGCCTCTGGGCCTCTGATGGGAAGGACTGCCATCAAGATCTCTGACATTCCCTGGAGACATTTTCCCATTGTTTTGGTGATTAACATTCAGCTTCTCGTTACTTATGCAAATTTCTGCAGCTGGCTTGACTTCTCCTCAGAAAATGTGTTTTTCTTTTCTGCCACATGGTCAGGCTGCAAATTTTCTCCACTTTTTTGCTCTGTCATCTCTTGAATGCTTGGCTGCTAAGAAATTTCTTCTGCCACATACCCTAAATCATCTCTCTCAAGTTCAAGGTTCCATAGATCTCTAGGGCAGGGGCAAAATGCCACCAGTCTCTTTGCTAAAGCATAGCAAGAATGACCTTTGCTCCAGTTCCCAATCAGTTTCTCATCTCCATGTGAGATCACCCCAGCCTGTACTTCATTGTCCATATCACTATCAGCATTTTGCTCAAAACCATTTAACAAGTCTCTAGGAAGTTCTAAACTTTCCCACATCTTCTTCTGAGCCCTCCAAACTGTTCTAACCTCAGCCCATTACCCAGTTCCAAAGTTGCTTCCACATTGTCAAATATCTTTAGAGCAGTGCCCCAAACTCCTTGTACCAATTTCCTGTATTAGTCTGTTTTGTTTTTTTTTTTTTTTGACAGTGTGTTGATATATCACCCAGGCAGGAGTGCAGTGGTAGGAACATGGCTCTTTACCCTCCTACTTCAGGGTCTGGTGCAGCTGGGACCACAGGCACACACCACTATTCCTGGCTGACTTTTTTTTATTTTTTGTAGAGATGGGATCTCAGTTTGTTGCCCAGGCTGGTCTGAAGCTGCTGGGCTCAAGCCATACTCCAGCCTCAGCCTCCCAAAGTGCTGGGATTATGGGTGTGCACCACCACTTGAAACTATTGTTTTCCTTTTTTAGAAACCTCAGTTTTTGCTCTTAATGCCTTCAACTGATTGAATGACGTCCACCGACACTACAAAGAGTAATCCATTTATTTATTTATGTATTTTTGCTCCATGGGAAATGTATAGCCTTCATTAAAAAAAATTCATAGTACTTTCAAAAATGCAAAAACAAGAAGAGAAGAATTTAATAAAGATTGTATGTGATTAATAAAATAGAAAATGGAAAATTGTAAAAGCATAAGTGGATTCGAACATGGTTTCTTTGACTAATAATGCCAACAATATTCTTGACATTTTGATTACATAAATTAAAAAGAATAAAACCATATAAGATTTGGAATGACAAATAATCACAGGGAAAAATTGGATAAATGAATCATAAAAGATTTCCAATAATATTTAAACTACTTCAGTCCAAAAGAAATGACGCTATCTATGATGCGTATTTTAAAGCCTTTATAACAATAATAACAAAATCTAAAAAGACATGAATAGAAAAGCATAAGACAAATTATATTTCTTAATATAAAAATTTTAAATAATTATAAAGATTGAATGAATATTAGTAAATTGGATAAATAAAATTCAGCACTGGATTACAAAGTTAGTATACTACAACAAAAGTCTGTTATTTTGTATCAGAAAACTGGTCAATAAAACATTGAAAAAATAAATATGTCTACCTTAGAATAATACAAATAGTTTCTCAAAGCTGTTTATGTTTATTCTATGATGCTGAGTCTTCTCATTCTCCTAGATGAAATTTATAGACATTCTCATGACTTTTCAGGTCATTGTAGGTAATTAATATTCAGTATCCTTAAGTCCAGTTCAATGAAGTAATAAAAAGTTTAAATGTCATCAACTTTTTCATCCTCATCTATCTTCTTTCTTTTCTTTTCTTTTTTTTTTTTTTTTTTGAGACAGCCCCCTCATCTCTCTTCTTTCCCATTTCTGGACCACTGCAAGATGGTCAAGTGGTATTGAAAGAACTGTGAGTGCATGGCTGCTTCTCATTTCCCCATCATTTACTTTTTCCATTGCCCAAATAAAGGACAGCAGAATTAACAGTTTCTTTTTTTACTGGACGAGAGGAGTTGGAGGGAGAGTAGGAAACAGTAAAGATTTTACTTGACTAGTGCTATTGTCAGGTGGCAAAGCCACCCCCAGGTTTGGAAGCTGTTTAAGCTCTAATGCTTTCTGACCTTCTTGCATCTGGTTCAGCTCTAATCCATAGAAAATACTTAACGAATCCTTTGCGCTCAAACTTAGGATACAAAAACCATCCAAAGCACCACTTCTGTTTTTCTCTATGTTGAGAGCATATTTGAAGCCAGTGCCCCTCACCTCCTTTATATTTATCAGACATAAATAGAAGACAAAGGAAGCTACCCTAATGATCCCACTGAAGCCCCTTTCCATGACTGGAGGTGACTGTGGGAGCCATACACCCTCTCCCTTGGAGACAGCACTGCTTTCCCCTAAGAAATCACTTTAACCTGCCACAACCCAATGACTTTTATGGGCTGTAAGTAGCTGTTAAAAATATTGAAAAATGGATTTTCATCTCCTTATGTAAATAGATGATGTTAGTCTCACAATTCATTTTGCAATGTGAAAGCTGTTGTTTTGCAAACTAAGCAAAATCAGAGACAAAAATAGTTACACTTTTAACCTTATAAATCTAATAATAAACATATAAATAGAATTGTGAAAATGGTTCATTTATAGCAGTAATTTTAAAAGCTATAAAAATAATTTAAACAGACAGGAAGTAAGGAATAGAACAAAATACTCCAGATTTTTAACATGGGTTACCTGGTTAGAGAGGATGTGTGGAGAAATAAGTAAGTGGCGGAAGAAAAGGTAAGCGAGAGGCAAAAGAAAAAAAAAATCAACAGAAAAAGATTGCTCTAAAAACAACAACAAAAAAATACTCTTTCATACAAAATTATATATTTGTGTGTGCATTTTTAAAAAAACGGTTAATTAGAATTTTATGTACTGACCTACAGGGTTGTTCTTGACATATTATTCAGTGAAAAAAATAAGTTGTTGGGTAGTATTTATATTATGATTCCATTTAGTAAACACACACACAAGGCTTAAAGCTTTATATATATACTTAAATGCAATATATATATATATAAAATATAACATTTTAATACATTATATAACATACCATTCTTTGGGGTTTTTTGTATAAGTGAAGAGAAAGTTGCACAATGACACCCATGAGTTTATTATCATGGTTATTCTTCACAAGTGGGATTGGCGGGAGGCTGTTGACCTTTCTCTTTATACAACATTGAATTGTTAAATTTAATGCATACATTGTTTTATTTTTAATTTTTTTAATTTTTATCTTTTAATTTTGAAATAAATTCAAACTAGAAGAAAATTTGCAAGAATGATACAAAGAACTCTCATGTATTATTTACCCAGATTTGTCACTTATTTATATTTAGCCTCATTTGTTTTTTC
The DNA here is from genome assembly GCF_000001405.40 of Homo sapiens. NCBI lineage: Eukaryota > Metazoa > Chordata > Mammalia > Primates > Hominidae > Homo > Homo sapiens. The sequence continues at coordinate 79,723,266 of NC_000007.14, forward strand.
TTTCTGGCTCTTGTTCTCATGCTCTTCTTGCTCTTTTCCCCTCTCTCCAGACATACACACACATGCACACACGCATGCACAAACACACACACACATAGTGCTATTATTCTTTTTCTGAATCATTAGGGAGTAAGTTGGAGTCATCATGCCTCTATTTCCTAAATAACTTCATATTTTTTCTTTAAAAAGTAATATTTTCTTATATACCATGGTAAAATTATTAAAGTGTGAACAATTTAACCACAATGTTACACTATTATTTATTTCATTGTCCCAAATCAAAAATTTTAAATTATTCAACAGTCTTTTAAAACTATTTTAATTTTGTGAGGTTCAGGATTCACTCCAGGGTCATCGTATGGAGTTATGTCTCTTTCAGTCTCTTTTATTCTAAAAAAGTCCCTAGCGCTTCTTTGCCTGTATTCCCATTGACATTTTTGACAAGTTATTTTGTAAAATGTCCCTCAATTTTAATCTGTCTGATGTCTTCTCATTATTACATTTAGCTTATACAGTTTTGACAGAAACATTAAAAACGGTGTTTTATTCTTCTCATTGCTTCATGTTAGGATGCACAGCAGGTCAGTTTGCCCCTGTGACAGAAGCACCCAAGAGAATCTCAGATATTCCCTTAAAAATTTCAAGAGACAAAGCATACGGTAGTACTTACAGCTAAAATTTATTACAGCAATGTAGTACAGACAAATGGTCGAATCAGAAGGGAAAAAGTCAGAATGGGGAGGAATTCACATGAAGCCTGTCTTCCTTATACTCTCTGCCTCCCACGTGGGGTCACCCAGAGTGCACTTTTCCTCAGCAAAAAAATATAGTGTAGGGGAGAAAAAAAATTACATTAATATTTTTTCCTCACCTTTTGCAAGTGCATAGCTGAGGCCCCATAACAGAAGATGAATTAACAAAAGAAAAGCATACAAATTTACTTAATATAAGTTTTACATGATATTGCAGTCTCCAGAAATGAAGACCCCCTAGAAACAGAAGAATCTGTGTATTTTTATGGACAGTCGTAGAGAAGTATTATTGGAGGACAAAAGGGTATGATCTCTGGTAATAAACTGGGAGGAACTTAGCAAGGCCGGCTTGTTCAAATGCTTCTTGGCATCCCTGTGTAACATTCCTTCCATCTGGGCAGGGGAGGATACCTGTCAAGTGAAGGTCTTCAGAAGAGAAGGGAGGGTGGAAGGTTAAAGAATGACCTAGGTTTTATGGCCTACTTCAAAGAAGAAGGGAAAGGAGAAGGTAAGTGGACATCCTGCTTCTGCTGTTTTCTTAAAGGCCAAGCTGCCATATTTTGGTGTAGCATGTCCTGAACCCCATCTGCAGCAACGTATGTGCAATATTTCTGCCTAGGGGAGCTCATTAGAGACTAAGCAGCTAAGATTTTTGTTTTTTAATTTAAGTAGTTAAGATTTTTATTTTTTATTCATAAACGTTTAATTTGTGAATATGATAATTAGTAGATATATTTTAATATTGTAAAAAAGAAAAAAATCTTATTTTTTATTTAAGATTTTATTTATTTATTTGTAGGCGCCCTCTACCTTACATGTACACAAATTCTAGACTCTGAAGAGAAAAGCAGGCATTTAACATAACCATATTGTTTGCACGTGCAGTCTATGCACAGTGAACCCCACCATTATTATCAGTTAACTGTTGCCCAGGGAACATTTGGAGAGCCAAGTTCCCAGATGCTGGTGACTAACCTTGCAAGAAGCCTTTGTAAGGACAGCAGTCTCAGGCCATTATGTTAATTCCTTTCAGTACCGACCCAATATTAATGATTTCAACCTTGATCACTTGGTAAAATGGGTCCCCCAGGTTTCTCCATTATGATGTGACTCTTTCCTTATCAATTGATAACCAATTTGTGGAGAATACCTTAAGACAATGAAAATATCCTATTCTCTAAAAATCTTTACCTACTGACTTTAGAGTCTTGTGATTTTCTTATGCCTTCATTGTGTCTATATGTATACTGGTTGACATTCTATTCCAAATAAGAGCTTTTCCTTTGTCCTCATATTTTAATTATACATTGATTTATTTGTGTTATTAGGGAGTCATAGATTTTTACATATTTTAGGATATGATTTACTGATTTCCACATATAACTTTATGAGTAATATTAGTCCATAGTTTATTTTCTTGTAATGATTTTCTCTGCTTTTGGCTTCCTAAAGATAGCTGGAAAATATTCCTTCCTCTTCTGTTATCTATATGATTTTGTGTGAAATTGATACTATTTCTTCTATAAACGTTTGGTCGAATTAACTAGTGAAGCCACAAGGGCTTTTAATTACAAATTTATGTTCATTAGTAGACAGTACCATTCAGAGTATCTATTTCTTCTTGAGTGAGCTTTACTAGTTGGACTCTTTCAGGGACTTTTTTTGTATAATATAAGTCATCAAATTTGTTGGTATAACATTTTAAAAAGATTTCATTATCATCTTTATCATCTTTTTAGTGTCTGTAAAATAGTATGCATTTTGTTCCTTTTTATTACCTTATTGCAGTAGTTAGTATCTCTGCCACAAATTTGAATACAAACAGTAGTAATAAGCATGCTTGTTTTAAACTCCAGACTTTAGGTGGAGTTTAAAGACAAACATTAGGGCTCCTTTCTCTATCTCTTTCTCCTTTCCAAAATTTCTTCATTCACTTTTCAGCTGTTTGGCATCCTATAACTTTATCCTCTAATGCCTCAAATCAGTAAAATGACGGATGTCTGTTTGAATTTCAGCTATCTTCATCTTGTGAACTGGTAAGTGTCTTCAGGAAAAAAATTTACATAAGCACAAATGTCACTAAATGGAGTTTTTATCTATTTTATGCTGCAGTTTCTGCCTGTTTTTAGTCACTCACCAGTGCTTCAAATAGTTGTTTATAGATATTTTGAATAAAATGTATAATTATTATCTGTGGGAGTATATGCATTCATTACCAAAAATGGAACTGCAAATATTACTTTTAAAATATAGAATATATCACATTAAAAAAGGAAAATAAAAAATTACATTTTATTGTATATTATGGTACTTAGTGCTTGTAGCAGTTTATGAGTTTAACTGGTTAAAGTAAATACTTGGAACGTTTTAAATTTATGAATGTGATAATTAGTATATATATTTTAATATTGTGAAAAAGAAGAAAATTAATTCAAATGCAGTAATGTCTTCCTCTGTTTAAACAGTATGGCTGACTCTGAAAGACAAGAAAAGGCCATAAAATCAACCCAAATACAATGTAAGCTACAAGTCATTGTGCTCTGTCACAAATATTGTTCTTTTGCATATAAAGTTATAAAAGATATTACTCTTTGCGAGGAAAATAAATGTCAGTCTTAAGAGAAAGATGACCTCCCTGGCATTAGCTGAAATTTTAATATGAAAATAAATATGCTTGGTAAGGGTTTCTTTATTTTTTTCACAAACTAAATTTTTGTTAGAGACAGACGTTTCCTAAGTAACTACCACTTCCAAGTGCTGAACTGTGACTAATTTACTTCACTTACTTAATAATAAATGGTTCCTTTGAGGATTTTTATTTCTACTACTTAGATAGTAAACCAAAGGCACAGTGATAACAGTTTTCTCCAGTGGGAAGACAAAAGAGCAATCGCAACACTTTATTCAGTGAGAACTCAATGGTATTCTTACTAGCGCCTATTTGCAAATCTCATATGACCATTCTGTGTTATCTTTCAGCAGCTGATAATTTAAATTTTCTAAATATTTTGTAGGTGAACATAATCTTGGTGAAATCAAGGTCTAATAGTAAGTACAGAACCTCTGAGATAATGGAAGGATTTATGAAAATTTTAAAAAGGACTTTTTTCTCCCAGAACCTGCAAGGAAATAACTTGTTTGCCTTGACATCTATGGATATCTCAATTGTTCCCAGTGACTGGTCAGAGCAAATTTTTCAGCTCAAATGTTCCAACAAAACTAATTAGTTCTATGGTTTTTTTATATCTATAAATTCTGCATGTCTATATTTAGAATTTATTACAAGTTTCACATCCAGAGCTAAACTAAGTCATTATTTTAAAGCAGAATCCTTTAATAGCTCAGGTAAATATTATTCTCTCCAGGTATTACATCCCTTGAAGAAGCATACTTCACAAATTGTCCTCTGAATACAGAATATTTCACATAACCCAACTGACTGTAGTACAGCTATGAGTACTCTCTTAATTCTAACATTATTATTAATCTGTTTTATTTTTCACATAGGTGAATACGACAAAACTTCAAATCTTATTTATATTCATTGTAACAAGTTTTTTTCTGAGTGTTTTGAGGTTTTTTTTTCTTAACTCAGCAAACTCCTAATGATAATCAGAGTCTTTTTCTTAAAAATTAAGTGTAATAAGAATGAGGCCTTGTCAAAAAGATAAGTTTCTAATTATAAAAATTGTCTAGTATTGTACTCAGGACATAGTAAGGGCTTTAAAATGTACTGGGTGAATGTGTAAGATGATATATTAGCTAACAAATGAGATCTTTGGGTACAAGCAGACTTAGATTTTAATAACAATTATATTTAGTTACTAGTAGTTTAACATTGGAGAATATTGCATATTTCCTCTAAGCCTAGATTTCTGAATCTGTGAAAGACAATAAGAACTAATTTCAGACGAGATCAGGCGCGTTCAGGGTCAATATCATACTGAATGGGCAAAAACTGGAAGGATTCCCTTTGAAAACTGGTACAAGACAGGGATGCCCTCTCTCACCACTCCTATTCAACATGGTGTTGGTAGTTCTGGCCAGGGCAATCAAGCAGGAGAAGGAAATAAAGGGTACTCAATTAGGAAAAGAGGAGGTCAAATTGTCCCTGTTTGCAGATGACATGATGGTATATCTAGAAAACCCCATCATCTCAGCCCAAAATCTCCTTAAGCTGATAAGCAACTTCAGCAAAGTCTCAGGATACAAAATCAATGTGCAAAAATCACAAGCATTCTTATACACCAATAACAGACAAACAGAGAGCCAAATCATGAGTGAACTCCCATTCACAATTGCTTCAAAGAGAATAAAATACCTAGGAATCCAACTTACAAGGGATGTGAAGGACCTGTTCAAGGAGAACTACAAACCACTGCTCAACAAAATAAAAGATGATACAAACAAATGGAAGAACATTCCATGCTCATGGGTAGGAAGAATCAATATCGTGAAAATGCCCATACTGCCCAAGGTAATTTATAGATTCAATGCCATCCCCATCAAGCTACCAATGACTTTCTTCACAGAATTGGAAAAAACTACTTTAAGTTCATATGGAACCAAAAGACAGCCCACATTGCCAAGTCAATCCTAAGTCAAAAGAACAAAGCTGGAGGCATCACGCTACCTGATTTCAAACTATACTACAAGGCTACAGTAACCAAAACAGCATGGTACTGGTACCAAAACAGAGATATAGACCAGTGGAACAGAACAGAGCCCTCAGAAATAATACCACACATCCACAACTGTCTGATCTTTGACTAACCTGAGAAAAACAAGCAATGGGGAAAGGATTCCCTATTTAATAAATGGTGCTGGGAAAACTGGCTAGCCATATGTAGAAAGCTGAAACTGGATCCCTTCCTTACACCTTATACAAAAATTAATTCAAGATGGATTAAAGACTTAAATGTTAGACCTAAAACCATAAAATCCCTAGAAGAAAACCTAGGCAATACCATTCAGGACACAGGCATGGGCAAGGACTTCATGTCTAAAACACCAAAAGCAATGGCAACAAAAGACAAAATTGACAAATGGGATCTAATTAAACTAAAGAGCTTCTGCACAGCAAAAGAAACTACCATCAGAGTGAACAGGCAACCTACAAAATGGGAGAAAATGTTTCCAATCTACTCATCTGACAAAGGGCTAATATCCAGAATCTACAATGAACTCAAACAAATTTACAAGTAAAAAACAACCCCATCAACAAGTGGGTGAAGGATATGAACAGACACTTCTCTAAAGAAGACATTTATGCAGCCAAAAGACACATGAAAAAGTGCTCATCATCACTGGCCATCAGAGAAACGCAAATCAAAACCCAATGAGATAACATCACACACCAGTTAGAATGGCAATCATTAAAAAGTCAGGAAACAACAGGTGATGGAGAGGATGTGGAGAAATAGGAACACTTTTACCCTGTTGGTGGGACTGTAAACTAGTTCAACCATTGTGGAAGTCAGTGTGGCGATTCCTCAGGGATCTAGAACTAGAAATACCAGTTGACCCAGCCATCCCATTACTGGGTATATACCCAAAGGATTATAAATCATGCTGCTATAAAGACACATGCACACATATGTTTATTGTGGCACTATTCACAATAGCAAAGACTTGGAACCAAGCCAAATGTCCAACAATGATAGACTAGATTAAGAAAATGTGGCACATATACACCATGGAATACTATGCAGCCATAAAAAAGGATGAGTTCATGTTCTTTGTAGGGACATGGATGAAGCTGGAAACCATCATTCTCAGCAAACTATCGCAAGGACAAAAAACCAAACACCGCATGTTCTCACTCACAGGTGGGAATTGAACAATGAGAACACATGGACACAGGAAGGGGAACATCACACACTGGGGCCTGCTGTGGGGTGGGGGGAGTGGGGAGGGATAGCATTAGGAGATATACCTAATGTAAATGATGAGTTAATGGGTGCAGCACACCAACATGGCACATGTATACATATGTAACAAACCTGCACGTTGTGCACATGTACCCTAAAAGTTAAAGTATAAAAAAAGAAGAACTCATTTCATAACACTGTATTATATTTAAATGAGATAATAATAATCAGGTACAGTCCTTGTTGCTTAGAAAATATTGCTTTCTCTTCTTTTTAAATATTTAAAATATTGATTTAATATTTAAAATATTTAAAATATTGATTTAATATTTAAAATATTTAAAATATTGATTTAAATATTTAAGAAAATATTTAAATATTTAAGAAAATATTTAAATATTTAAGAAAATACTTAAATATTTAAGAAAATACTTAAATATTTAAATATTTAAGAAAATACTTAAATATTTAAATATTTAATAAAATACTTAAATATTTAAATATTTAATAAAATATTTAAATATTTAAATATTTAATATAAATGTTTAAATATTTAAATGTTTAATAAAAATGTTTAAATATTTAACAAAATATTTAAATATTTAATAAAAATGTTTAAATATTTAACAAAATATTTAAATATTTAATAAAAATGTTTAAATATTTAACAAAATATTTAAATATTTAATAAAAATGTTTAAATATTTAATAAAAATGTTTAAATATTTAAAATATTGATTGCTTTTCTTTGATGCTTGCCTTCTGGGTTTTTGTGTTTTTGTGTGTGTGGGTGTGTTTTTTATAAGTAATGATACCAGTGGTAAAAATTATGTACTTGTGATTCTTATGTTCCCAATAAAGAAACATGTAAATATCATAAATGAGATGTTTGTAGGGAATATATTGCAAAAATATATCTGTAAAAATTTAAATTAATTTAGACAAAAAAGTCATTTTCATACACACTAGGAAAATTGGAATAAATAATGTATAAATAAGTTTCATATTTTGATATGTAATCATTTTAACAGGTAGATTCATGGAAAAGGTATTCAGTAAAAATTTTAATCCAGGCTGGTCATGGTGACTTATATCTGTAATCCCAGCACTTCAGGAGGCCAAGGCAGGAGGACTGCTTGAGGCCAGGAGTTTGAGATTAGCCCGAGCAACACAGTGACACTGCATCTCTACAATTTTTTTTTAAAGCCTAGCTACCCGAGAAGCTGAGATGGAAGGATCACTTGAGCCAAGAAATTTGAGGTTTCCGTGAGCTATGGTCATGCTACTGCACTTCAGCCTGGGCAACGGAGCATGACCTTCTCAAAACAAAAAAAATCTAAATTTCCTTTTATTCATCCTTGTTTTATCATAACATACATATGAGTCATTTATGTACACACACACATGAAGAAACTTTGAGGGAAATGAGAGAATATATGTGTTTATTAACATTGTCATAATTAGAAGGACAAAGTCTGATAAATAATATGGAATAGGCTAGATACTCTTTATTATTCAGATAAGTCTCTGAAATTTTTATTGTCCTATTTAGTGTCTAAATATTACTGCCTTGAAAAATAAAATTATAAAAATCAAATGCCAACAAGATTCACTTAAAAGATCTCTGTATTTCCGCAGATCTACATGATAACAATTCCAAAGAGTAGTTGTGTTAAAGGAAGTTTCCTTAGAACATAGGAAGCATCTCTTACTGACTCAAGTTTATTGTCTTTGAAGGCCAGGATTTTCTGTGCAGTAAAGAGTATTTTGGGAAGAGGGTAATGTTGCAAGATTGCAAAAAAGAAATCTTTAGTGATCATCCCATCATAGAAACATCAATTTGAACAACTATACACTCACAAAAATCTTCAAAAAGGTAAAGTGAAACAGGTGCAAGACTACAGTACCTAGATATGCATAATAACAAAAAAGATGCATGGAAGAGGATAGGAGAACAGTGTTAGATTACACACATCATCCTTCTCCCAACCACAGGTAGCACCACACTTAGAGATATGCTGTCTGCTTGGGGGAAGGAGAGGCAAGTAAGCAGAGGACTTTTTCTTGGACCCTAAAACCAGGCCTGCCACAGAAAAGCCCATCATCAGGCAGACTCCCATGACCCCTGATTCCAGGCAAGTACCTGTGGAATGACCTCCAGACCTGCCCCAGTGCCAGGGGCTACCCATAGCTCCTGAAAGGCAGACACAATCTGCAGCTGACATCACTACTTACTGACTACAGCAGTGTTCAGCTCTGGACAAATCTCAATGGACGATAGGCTTCAGAAGCCAGGAGTCTTTGGGCTTGCTCAAGCACTATGCCAGCCTCAGCAGCCACAAGGTTTCCAATCCTACCCCCAGCAGACATAGTGGTCCCAGGCTTAGGGTTCCCCCAGTGCTGCAATGGCTAAGCTGTCCTTGGCATAGGGACCATACGAGATGGCCTGCCAAGGATCTCTGGACAAGCTTACTATTAAAGGGTGCTGCCAGACAAAGCCAGTCTACAAAAACAAGTATAAGTACCTAATTTTTCAAGTGCACAGACATCTACGCATGGCCACAAGGATCAAGATCAAACAGGGAAAGGTGACAGCACCAGAGACAAAATAAAATGCCAGTGACTAAGCCTATAGAAATGGAGATGCATGAAAGCCTGACAAAAATACTGTTTTATAGAAGCTAAGGAAATTTCCATAAAATGCAGAGAAACAATTCAAACAAATAAGGAAAACAATAAGTGATTATAATTAGAAATATAAGGGAAGATTGAAATAATTTTTTAAAAGCAAAAATCTTAGAGCTGAAAAATACAATGAACAAATGAAAAAATGCAGTAGAGAACATCAACAGCACTTGATTAAACGGAAGAAGGAATCTGAAAACTCAGACAGGTTATTTGAAAATATACAGTTAGATATTTTTTAAAAGAAAAACGTAATGAGAAAGAATAAAGCAGACATGCAGGATTTATGTGACAGAATCAAAAGAGCAATTTTTATGAGTTATTGAAATTCAAGAGAGAGAAGAAAGATAAAGGTGTAGAAACCTTATTTAAAGAAATAATAGGGAACTTTTCAAAACTGAAGAAAGATATAAATATCCAGGCACAGGAAAGTTTGAAGTCTTCAATCAAATTCAATCTAAATAAGACTACCCCAAGACATATTATAATAAAACTGTCAAAAATCAAAACAAAGAATCATGAAAGCAGAGAGAAGCAAATAGCATATAAGGCAGTTTTAGTACAACTACAAGCCAACTTCTTTATAGAAATCCTACAAGCCAGGAGATAATGGAATGATATATATAACATACTGAAAAATAAGGTGCCAATCAAGACTGTGGTATCCAGGAAAGCTTTCCTTCAGAAATGAAGCAGAGACAAAGACTTTCCCAGACAAACAAAATCTGAGGGAGTTCATCATCTCACCTGTCTTATAAGAAATGCTAATGAAAAATCACTTTACCATAAAGGAAGAGGAAAGGAACAAAGGCGCTACTAAGCAGCTAGTAAGCAATTAACAAAATGGCAGTAGTAAGTCCCTACCTATCAATAATAACATTGAATATCAAGGGATTAAATTCTTCAAACCAAAAATATAGCATGACTGAATAAATTGAAAACAAGAACCAACTATACGTTGCCTACAAGAGACTCATTTTATCCGTAATGACATATATAGATTGAAAGTGAAGGTGCTGAAAAAAAAAATACTCCATGTCAGTAGAAACCAAAAGGGAACAGAAGTACCAATTTTTATATCAGATAAACAAAACTTTATGTCAAAACTGTAAAAAGAAACAAATAAGTTTTTTATGTAATAAAAGAGTTAATACAGCAAGAGAATATAACAGTGGTAAATACATATATATATAAATACATGTAAATACATATATGTGTGTGTCTGTATATATATATAAATAAAGTATCATTTCTCACCACAAGAATTTGAAAGCAGAAATCTATACAGAAGGAATTCTGGAAAATTTAGAAACACATGAAACACATGGAAATTAATGAATTGCTCTTAAAACACAAATGAGTCAAAGAATAAATTAAAGGGGAAATTTAAAAATAAATGGAGGCAAATGAACCTAGAAACACAACATACCAAAACCTATGTAATACAGCAAAATCAGCTCCAAGAGGAAAGCTTATAGCAATAAATATCTATATCAAAAAAGAAAAAAGCTCTCAAAGAAGCAATTTAACATTTCACCTGAAGGAACTAAAAGAAAAAAAAAAACAAGAACAAACTAAGTCAAAAATTAATAGAAGGAAAAAAATAATATAGGGTCAGAGCAGAATGTAAAAAAGTTGATCCCATAGAAATAAAGAGTAAAATGGTTGTTGGTAGAGGCTGGGGCATTTTGCAAGTAGGGACTTGGGAGGATGTTGGTCAAAGGACACAAATTACAGTGAGATGGAAGGAATAAAGAGATCTATTGTACAGCATGGTTACTGTAGTTAGTGATGATATTTTTTATTGTTAAAAGATGCTAACACAGTGAGTAAGTGTTCTCACCACAAAAATGGTAACTATGTGAGGTAATGCATATATAATTAGGTAGATTTAACCATTTCATAATGTATGTACTCTTCAAAACATCCTGTTGTTCATGATAAATACATGCAATTTTATCTGACAATTTAAATAATAAAGCAATCAACAAAGTAAACAGGCAACCTACAGAATGGGAGAAAATATTTGCAAACTATGCATTTGACAAAGGTCTAATATCCAGATTTTAAAAGAAACTTAAACAAATTGACAAGCAAAAAACAAACATTACAAAGCAGGCAAAGGACATGAAGAGACACTTCTCAAAAGAAAACATACATGCAGCCAAAAAAAATATGAAAAAAATGCTCAATATTACTAATCATTAGAGATATGCAAATCAAAACCACAATGAGATGCCATCAAAGAAATACCATAAAATATGAGTGAGATACCAATAAGAATCTTTATTCCAGAGATATACACTATCTACCTGCACATACCATACCACCAGTTAGAATGGCTATTATTAAAAAGTTAAAAAAAAATATGTTGGTGAGGTTGCTAAGAAAAGGGAACACTTAGACACTGCTAGTGGGAATGTAAATTAGTTCAGCCATTGTAGAAAGCAGTGTGGTGATTTGTCAAAGAACTTAAAATAGAATTACCATTCAACCCAGCAATCTCATTATTGGGTAAACTCAAAGGAATATAAATCATTCTACCATAAAGACACATGCACATATATGATAATCACTATTCACTGTATCAAAGACATGGAATCAATCTAAATGCCCATCAACAGTAGACTGGTTAAAGAAACTGTGGTACATATACATCATGGAATATTATGCAGCTATAAAAAGAATGAGATCATGTCTTTGCAGCAAGATGGATGGAGCCGGAGGCCATTATCCTAAGCAAATTAACACAAGAACAGAAAACCAAATACCACATGTTCTCACTTATAAGTGGAAGCAAAACACTGAGTACAAATGAATACAAAGAAGGGAACAACAGATAACAGGCCTACTTGAGGGTGGAGAGTGGCAGAGGGGAGAGGATCACAAAACTACCAATCAGGTATTATGCTTATTACCCGAGTGATGAAACAATCTGTACCCCAACCCCTCGTGATGTACAATTTACCTACACAAAAACCCTGCATATGTACCCCTGAACCTAAAATAAAAGTTAAGACAAAAGAAATTTGAAGGAAAAATAAGTATTTTGAAAAAAATTATCTTAAAAGTTTAGGTTCGCAAAATCTTCAGTCTTTAATTCCTCTTAATATGTTCCATAGATTAAATGACCCATGGCTTTTTTCTGATGTACTTTTGAACAATGTGAAGAAAATTACAGGAATTTATATATTCAGAAATATATTCATCAATTTCATACATACTAAAAAGGAAGACAGAAAACATACCAATGAGATATTTTTATAGGATTTAAAAAAATTTATGGAATAAAGATGAAATAAGAAATAATTTAAATTTCAGTTTAACACTAAAAGAATTATAATCTCTGTGTGGCCTGAAAAGATATTTTAGTTTGTATATTTCTTTCCATTCTCTGATCGAGTTCAGGACATATTACTCTAAAATATGGCATTTTGGCATTCAAGGAAGCAGCAGCAGAAGTTTATTCTCACTTTCTTCTCGCTACTCTCCCGTAAAGCAGGCTATAAGAGAATTATCTGAATCTGAAGTAGGTCATAGAACCTTTATTCCAGAGGTGTCCACCCTCTACCCACACATAAGGAACGTATGAAGAAACAGGCTAGCCAAATTCCCCTCAGTTTATTACCATACCCTCTTCTTTTCCAATCACACGTCTGCATTACAGTCCATAAAAATATTCAGGTTTCCCTCTTTCTTACCATGTTGATTTGTGAAGTCTCTCATGTCACGTAAAACTTGTGTTAAATACATCTGTATTCTTTTCACTTGTTAATCTGTTTTTTGATAGACGAGTCTTGAGCATGAATTTGTGATGGGTAAAAGATCTTTTTTCTCCTACATTTCAAAAATACATAAAAAATCAAACTGCAAGTCTTTGAGGAGCATCTTGCAGAACTGTAGGCACAAGGGCACTGGTGCCTAGAAAGATTTCAAGCGTGTGATTCAAATTCATTTCTATATTCAGCGTATATTATAATGTAAAACTGTAGAATCTGTTTTTCTCTTCTGACTTATTTTTTCATTCTTCCACAATTTGCTGAATGTGCATTTCTATGTATCGAACAACTGTCATGATCAAATTATCCTTGCTCCTATCTCCCACTATGTCTAACTATTCTAGAGGAATGTGTCCCTGTGGGTACACTAGTAAGGCCAATTACTTCTTGAATTGCTTTACTCACTTCTGATATAATTTATGAATATGTTGCTCTCTATAATTCCTTCATAAAGTCAAGAATAGTAATATAATGGAAGCATCTGAAATTATCTGAAGTGCATATTTAATTCTCCTACCATTTATGCATTATTTAATTAAAATAACATTTTTGCATATCATCAAGTTTATTTTAATATAGACATTTATCTCACATGCAACCTAAAGAATCTTAAAAATTCCAATTTATTTGCTGTATAAATATGGTGATATTTTATTCATTCAGCACTGTTGGGCATAGATAAATCCATATAAGGAAATTTTCAAACAACTGAATCTTACCGTCTGTTAAGCATAGACTTTCAGTACTTTGTGTCATTATAAGTCTTTGCTTCTTAGAGTGTCCTCTCCTTTTTTTTTTTTTTTTGGTGGAGCAGGGTGTTTTCTTCAGACTTCTTGACTGGATTATGAATATTTGAAGTTCCATATACTAACTTCAAGTAAGCGAGATTTTGCTAAAATTTATCTGAATTATCAAAAAGCATCAAACGTATAGACAGCCTTTTTGACCTGATAGATTTATCTTACCCTTAAACATATTATTTTAATATCTCTTCTCCTTACCTACACGACTCAAATTATTAAATTAAGAAATCCAATTTTAAAATAAATATGCATCACCCACCAAAAGTAATTCTAATAAATTCTACACTACGTTTAAAAAAATAAGGTTAAGAATTTAAGACAAAAGATAGTTCAGCTCTATTAATTTACTTTTTAAATTTTCTTCTTTTAATTTTCTCCTTTTCTCTCCCCTCTTTGTCTTTTTATATTTTTTTCTCTATTTTTACATAGGATCTGAATGCATGATCAGTGCATTGTTTTTAGGCAGTAGTTATGATAAATTAATATAGACCTTTACTGAATTATAATAAATAATTCATCCAAACTCCAAGGGATTCAAACACTTTGCAGCTATAATACTAATGTTGGTAAAAACAAAAATGATTTATTAGTCGTTTATGTTGGTTTATTTCGTGTTGACCTATTTGTTTCAATATAATAAGAGATGAACAAAGTCATACCACAAATATCCAAAAGTAAAAAATAAAATAGAATATGATCTAAACCATTTTCAATAAAATACAATCTTTAATTTCTGATGGACAGTGTGAAATTATTTTTAACTGGGGAGAGAACCATATAATAAAATGCAGAGGACTTACTGGGGAGATTTCTAAATGTAATGAATCCTGTGTCAGACACCTCTGGGATTTTTACCTCTCATCATAATTCAACTTGCCTGTGAGCACCTTCAAGACAGAAACTATGTCTTATTCATAAGCTTATTCTCAGCATAATTTTTATATTAATTATAACAAATTAGAAAAAATATTATTAATTACTGTAGATGCTTTATACATGTTGAATTAACATACCCAGATATATCACTGTGGTCAACTATCTCAATTTAAAAGGTGTAATTCATTATCCAGAATAATTCCTCAGCTTAAAATTAAAGGTGACTGAATGTGGTAGCTAAGTTGACATTTCCTCATGAATATTGTCTGCCATGAAGAAATCAAAATTTTAATGAAGAAAGGACAAAAATAAATTGCTCATATAGAGAAATAAGATTGGAGCCTAATGGTTTACAGGAAAATGGCCCTGGTGAGTGGAAAAATGTGAATTTTAAGAGAACCAGAGGCAGAATGAGAGACTATCCCTGAAAGCCCAGAAGAGGTAGATGTAGAACAAGAACATAAATTTTAAATGGAAAATGGTGATATTACTGACAATGGGTATATAAGTTAATAATGTAAACAGATTTAAAATGAATTAACAATTATTATCATGTAAATTCCTAGATGAGAAAATCTTCCTAACATGTATTATATAAAAATAGAACAATGTAATTGTAAAGGTCCTTGATGCCAATTTCAGAGATAAATTGTTGTACTGTTTCTTCATCTATCACCTGGCAGTTTTTATGTTTCTATGCAAAGAATATTTTAGTGTTTCTTAGAAGTGTTATTTATAAAGTTGAAAATCACATCTCAGAATTAAGAATAATCTTATCTTTTAAAAAATATCATTTAATTAATCAGCACTACCATCTGAATGTCTGCTGGATACTTAATCCTGTGTAACCAAGAGTTCCAAGTAATGGTACCTGACTTTGATCAACTTATTTTTTCATGATTCTTGATAGAGTTATCTTTAACTTAAATATTTCTGGCTATTAACAGTTAACCTAGTGTATCAGTCTGGATCCCAATAAGATGGTACATTCAAACAGAACTCAGAGAAGGCTTATTTAAAAGAACTAACTACAAAAGTAAAAGAGTAAGGGAATCAGCAGTTACCTGCAGCATAACAGTCCTTACGACTGAGAGGTGACAGAGTGCTGGCAGTCCTCACAGCCCTCGCTCCGTCTCGCGGCCTCCTCTGCCTGAGCTCCTACTTTGGCGGCACTTGAGAAGCCCTTCAGCCCACCGCTGCACTGTGGGAGCCCCTTTCTAGGCTGGCCAAGGCCAGAGCCGGCTCCCTCAGCTTGCAGGGAGGTGTGGAGGGAGAGGCGCTAGTGGGAACCGGGGCTGCGCGCAGCGCTTGCTGGCCAGCTGGAGTTCCGGGTGGGCGTGGGCTTGGCGGGCCCCGCACTCGGAGCAGCCGGCCGGCCTTGCCGGCCCCAGGCAATGAGGGGCTTAGCACCCGGGCAAGTGGCGGCGGAGGGTGTACTGGGTCCCCAAGAAGTGCCAGCCCACCGGCGCTGTGCTCGATTTCTCACCGGGGCCTTAGCTGCTTTCCCGCGGGGCAGGGCTCGGGACCTGCAGCCCACCATGCCTGAGCCTCCCACCGCCTCCATGGGCTCCTGTGCGGCCCAAGCCTCCCCGATGAGCGCTGCCCTCTGCCCCATGGCGCCCGGTCCCATCGACCACCCAAGGGCTGAGGAGTGCGGGCGCACGGCGCGGGACCGGCAGGCAGCTCCACCTGCAGCCCCGGTGCGGGATCCACTGGGTGAAGCCAGTTGGGCTGCTGAGTCTGGTGGGGCCTTGGAGAACCTTTATGTCTAGCTCAGGGATTGTAAATACACCAATCGGCACTCTGTATCTAGCTCAAGGTTTGTAAACACACCAATCAGCACCCTGTGTCTTGCTCAGGGTTTGTGAATGCACCAATCGACACTCTGTATCTAGCTACTCTGGTGGGGCCTTGGAGAACCTTTGTGTCAGCACTCTGTACCTAACTAATTTGGTGGGGAGGTGGAGAACCTTTGTGTCTAGTTCAGGGATTGTAAACGCACCAATCAGCGCCCTGTCAAAACAGACCACTGGGCTCTACCAATCCGCAGGACGTGGGTGGGGCCAGATAAGATAATAAAAGCAGGCTGCCCGAGCCAACAGTGGCAACCCGCTCGGGTCGCTTTTCAGATTGTGGAGGCTTTGTCGTTTTGCTCTTTGCAATAAATGTTGCTACTGCTCGCTCTTTGGGTCCACGCTGCTTTTACAAGCTGTAACTCTCACCGCGAAGGTCTGCCGCTTCACTCCTGAAGCCAGCGAGACCACAAGCTCACCGGGAGGACCGAACAACTCCAGACGCGCCACCTTAAGAGCTGTAACAGTCACCGTGGAGGTCCGCAGCTTCACTCCTGAGCCAGCGAGACCACAAACCCACCAGAAGGATGAAACTCCTAACACGTCCGAACATCAGAAGGAACAAATTCCAGACAAGCCACCTTAAAAGCTGTAGCACTCACCGCGAGGGTCTGCGGCTTAATTCTTGAAGTCAGTGAGACCAAGAACCCACCAATTCCGGACACACAACTGTTCTCTAGGCCAGAAAGAATAAGGAAGGAAGGTGTCTGAAGAACTTACAGAGGGAGAGTTGTGTAAAGCTGGCCATTTTGAAAGAGGTAGTGGCATTTGACTAAGGGACATGGCCAGCTCAGTGTGACCGTCAGCAGCAGAAATCAGGGAAATATATGTTGTCATCTCTTTCTCCCCTCTACCTTGGATCTTCTGTGTGGTTTGGCTGAAACCAATGGAAAGCAGATTTCTTATTTTTCAGCCTCTTGGTGTAGAAAGCAGAATGGAGAAGGGTACAAAGCAGAGAGTACAGCTCACCCATTTTGCCCCTTACCATCTACTCATATCTTTTGCCTGCTTGAGAACACTTCCCTATCATAGCAGATGCACAAAAAATCATCGTCTCATCAGCCTCACTGTAATTGTGGAGTCCTGGAATAACTCCAGTCATATTCCCACTTGAAACTTTAAGTTTCACTGGTACTTTTTGTAAGGTGGGGAGGGAAAAAAGAAGTGCTTTGAAAACATTAAACATAGCTGCTGCAGTCTCCACATGCTTTTCTGTTCACGAGGTACAATAAAATATTCATAAAATAAGGATGAAATAAGAAATGTTTTATATTTTAAGTTAACATTGTTTCTTCCATGTTACCTTAACAACTCTCCTTCTCAA
Organism: Homo sapiens; assembly: GCF_000001405.40. Lineage (NCBI taxonomy): Eukaryota > Metazoa > Chordata > Mammalia > Primates > Hominidae > Homo > Homo sapiens. The sequence goes on from NC_000007.14 coordinate 79,741,208, forward strand.
ACTGTTATTTCATAGACATTCTGAGAGCAAATTGATCAGGGGGCAGACTCATCTCCCTCTCCATTAGAAACCTGATTTTGTTTATTTGGAATATTATTCTTCCACTAAGACTGGTCCAAGTCTACCAATTGTGAGAAGATGAAGAACTTTTTTTTCAATTATATATAAACTTCAGTAATAACAGTACTCACATCACCATCTTGACTTCTGTACCCTACTCATGGAGAGAGTGGCAATATATATTGGTTGCAGCTTCAAAAGATGTACCAGATCTGGCAAATTTATGCCCAGCCTCATGGTGTATTGTCTCCTAGCTGAGATCATACGTGAGTAGACTATTTCATTGCTCTATCAAGATGGCTGCTTCTACATGATGAGTAATGATGAAAGACAAGTTTCTGTAGATGTGAGATTACTAACACACTTTCTTTGCCATGAACTGCGTCTCCAGGTGGAATACAATATTGTGTAAAATATCCAGGATAAGCATTTTGTCAAGTGACTAATTAACAGTGGTTCTTACGTAATCTTTTTTTGTAGGAAAGACAAATCTATACCTATGCTCCTGTATTTTCTTGATAGGACAAAAAGATTCTTCAATCTATGGAAGGGGTACAGTGAAATCAGTGGACCCCTAGGTTGGTTCACCTAGGAGATGATACAGTTCGGGAGATGACCACTGGCCTCTGGTGTTACATTTTGGACACAGCAGTAAAGGTAGCTGGATAAATAATTGTTTTATTTATCAATTGCTGTGTAACAAGTTACCCCGAAGTTTAGTGGCTACAACAATAATAAACATTTTGTATCTCTTTCCATTTTCATGGTTCAGAAATTCTGTCTCAGGGTCTCTAATGGAGTTGCCATCAAATGTTGGCCATTACTCCAATCACCTAAAGATTTGTTTGGAGATAGAGAATCCACTCCCAAGTTGGCTCACTCACATAGCTGTTGGCAGGAGCCTCATTTCTCCATGATTTTAGGGTGAGTTTAGGGTTGCTTTTAATTTAGGACTAGTTTCGCCTGACTAGAAAGACAGACCTTCTGTGGTCTTTACTGAATTTCCATGATGTCCAATGTGGCCTCTTTATTCTGGCTGTTCAGAATCTCAAGTTCTCTTAGCCCTGTGCATGATCAGGAACTTGTTCAGTGTATAGCCTCCTGGTAGTTCTTTACTCAGCATAGCAGAGAATCATTATACATGTGTCCTTTATTTTTTGTCAAGGGGAATCCCATGCAGGTTTCTGGAGCTCTTTTTTCATGTGGCTCCTCCTTTGCTGATATTATGCACCAGAAATTTCATCTCCTGCAGTCTCCCTGCACTCTAATCGTTTATGCCTCAACCCAGCAAGAGACGTATGCTCTACTTGGGTTTCTCCCAAACCCCAGCCCATTCTACTGTCCAAAAAGTTTCTCAAAAAACTAAGGCAAAGGGAAGATTAATTTCATTAGGTTTTTTCTCTCAAGGACTAGAGTCCTGGATTGCCCTTCTCCAATGTCTAAAGTGTGGTTTAATATATTTTGCCATTTTTATTTATTTATGTCAGCTGGCACATTTGATACTAGAAAATCCATCATAATCAAAACGGCATTAGAGATCTCATAGCTGTGTGGAACAAATTAGCACAATTTTCCTCTTTTTCTTAATAGTAGAAATTTTTATTTTATTTGAGATGTAATTGTTCCCATGGTATCTTTAAAATTCTATAAAATGACTTTTTTTCAAGGTAGTACTTTCAAAGCATTTCATTTTTTACTTACTTTTTAAAAATTATTCTATTTTACCTTGAGTCGCTTTGAATTATTTCATTTTCCCAGAAATTATTTCATGTTTGATGTTTTATTCAAATTTGTATGATTTTGAATAATATCCTTTGGGTTTTGTTAAAATTGTTTCTCTACTGTTTAGTATACACTATTTCTACTTTTGTGTATTGGCATTTTCTTATTTTTGTTAATTTGATTGACACCACTTAGCAGGGTGTCTCAAATTTCACTAAGGAAATTGAACAGTTTTTCACTTTTTAAACTATCTTTGTAGGTTAGCATCTGTAAATTTCTCCATTTGCCTATATTGTTACTACATTTGTTCTCTTTCTGTATGATTATTTGATTGTTGATTTCATATTTCCTTATACTAAATGTGAGTAAATTATTTTTGTTCTTTTTTTACCTATGAAACTTTTTTCCTGTCTAAAGATTCATCTATATTTTAGGCAAGTATTTATTGATAATATCAATTGTTTTTAGTTTTGTATTACTATATTTTTTATTATTACTTATTATTATTTTTCTTTAATACAGAGTCTTGCTCTGTCGCCCAGGCTCGCGTATAGTGACAAGATCATGGTTCACTGCAGCCTTGACCTCATGGGCTCAAGCAGTCCTTCTGCCTCAGCCTCACAAGTAACAAGGACTACAGGTACATGCCACCATGCTAACCTAATAATTTCTTATTTTTTCTGTTTATATGGAATTTCCCCATATTGCCCAGGCTGATCTCAAACTCCAGGGCTCAAGTGATTCACCCACCTCGGCCTCCCAAAGTGCTGGGATTACAGGTGTGAGCCACGAGGCCTGGACTGTTTTAATTTCTGCTTTATCTTTTTGGTGGGAGAGTGTCTGCTTTCTTGGGATTTATTTTGTTTCTATTCTACATTCATTAAGTGATTAAATTGTTCATTTATATTCATTATTTTTAAAAGCATTTTTATTATGTGTTTCTCTTTTCACCCGTATCTTTCAAGTTTTTATATACACTGACTTTAGTATTCATTTCTAAGCTCTTATGTAGCTAACATTATGTTTCTTTCCATTTGGCAAAGCAGTGATATTCAGGTTGACCCAAGTCACTTTTCAAGAAACCACTGTGTAGATTGATCATGGTTTTCTAGAATCTATCCTAAAAAAAAGTCATAGATTATCCTTAGTTTAATTACTTTGCAGGCAAATATTGATCTCAGATATAATTTGAAGTTCTATTTTTTATTCTTAATGTTAAGAAAATATCAGACTTAGACACTAGGCTGTCTTAATGTTATTCTAATTTAATATTTTTGCTTATGTCGATCTTTTTATCTGTGGGCTTCCTAAATATCCCTTTATTTCTTTCATTATTGCTTCATCTCCATTTTCTCTGTTTGCTTCTTCTACAATTGTTAAGTTCATTGGTTCACTTGATCTTGTCACTCATCCTTTAATTGTTTAATATTTTTTCTATTTATCCCTTTCCTCCTATTTCTTAAAAATTGCTTTAGTTTGTCTCCTACTTTATTTATTACACTTTACTAAGTATCCGATGCTCTATTCACTGCACATACATTGAAGATATTATTATTCATTTTATGATTGTTTCTTCCATTTGAAAGCCATGTAAATATATGTATATTTCACGTTGTTCCTAATAGCTTGATTTCATCCAGTTTACTATCCTCTTGATGCACAATGAGAATGTGGACAAAAGATATTGTAACTTTTTTATTTATACAAAACCGATTTGATATTAAAAGGGCCAAAGGGAAACATACAGATTAAACTAACCTTTGTCACGTCTACAAATAAATATTATATAAATGTTTATTCTGATTTATTTAGTACTTGTGAGAAAATACTAATTTCCTCTTAAGGAAATTTGCAAATAAAAGGAGATTTGTGTTACAAAATATGGTTAGTGGTCAAAGTACAGTTATGGGTTTTAGAATAAGTGCAAAATTGTTCCACTTTCTATAATTGCTGTAAAATCCTCAGCAAAATTCTTTAATTTTTCCAAACAGAAAATATTGCGGGAAGCATTCATAAGAACTTAATACTTTGATGAAAAAGTTATTTCCAGCACTATATTATATTATTTTGTTTCAGAATTTTAGCAGACCATTACAACAGTTTTTATCTGATTACTACCATGGGTATTTTTCAAAAAATATCAGCTGAGGACATTTTTCTTGAGAGTGGCATTTACTGGAACTAATTTGTAATTCAAAAGCCTTACAAATGTTGTAGAAACTTTTCAGTTCCTAATTACAGTGGAAGATCATAAAAGGCTGTTTCCAATAGCTTACATATTTCTTTTTACCTAAAATATTATAAATACGAATGTATCTATTATTTAGGTCTTATTTAGAAATTACAATGTATCACGCACTATTCTAAGAGTTTATACATGTTAGTTTATTTGATATTCTAACAGCCATATGAAGTAGTTACTATTATTTTTCTTATTTTATATATGAGGAATTTATAATTCCAGAGATACTAACTTGACAAAGTTTACATAGCTATGAAACTGATGTTCATATATAGAAAGGTATTTTAATTTGGTCTTATTGCCTGTCACCCTGCTAAATTCTGTTATTTCTAATAATTTATCCATAAATTTAACTGAATTTCCCATATATACAATGAATCATACCATGTGAGAAAAAAATAACTTATTTCCTGTATTTTTATTAAAAAATAAAAATTGTATATATTTATTATGTACAATACATTGCTTTGAAATATGTATATATTATGGAATGGCTAAATTGAGCTAATCAACATATTCATTACCTCATTTACTTACCTTTTTTTTGGTGAGAACACTTAAAATCTACTCTTAGGAATTTTAAAGAATATATTACATTTTTATTAACTTGATTCACCATATTGAAAAGTAGATCTCTTGAATTTATTCCTTTTAAGTCATATTTCGTATCCTTTGACTAACATCTGCCTGCCTCCCCCACCATCACAAGTCCCTAGTAACCACCCTTCTCTCTATGAGTCCAATTCTTTTCATTTCCACATATAAGTGAAATTATATGGTGCCACTCTTTTTGTGCCTGGCTTATTTCACTTTACATAATGTCCTCCAGGTCCATTCATGTTGTCACAAATGGCAGGATTTCTTTCTTGTTATAGCTGAATATTATTTCGTTGTTTGTATATATTCCACATTTTCTTTATCCATTTATGTGTTGTTGGATACTTGATTTTCTTTCGTATCTTGTATATTGTAAACAGTGTTGAAATGAACACGAGAGTGCAGATATTTCTTTGATACACTGATATAATTTCTTTAAATATCTAACCAGTAGTGGGATTGCTGTATCGTATGGCAGTTCTATTTTTAATTATTTGAGAAATCTTTATGCAGTTTCCATAGTGGCTGTACTAATTTAAGTGTTCTATCATTTTAAAACCTTACGTTTTTATGCAGCCTTATAACAATAATTGTTTGAACTTATTGATAATTGATTTACGAGCTTAAATTGTGATCATTGTTTTTGTAAATGCATCTTTTCCTGAGAGTGACTTGTATTGTTTAATTGTGGGGCAGAAATCTTCATCTTGCCATTATATTATGCTTATTATTTGTGATGTTGTCTTAGCACCTCAGAAAAAAATTTACCTTGGTGTGTTTTTTTCTTTTCAAATCTTGTGCGTTATGTTTTCTATATAATAGAAATTCATTGACATTTATTGATAATTGATTCACTGCCTATAATGTGCTTATTTAAAAACTGTTCTATATTTGGTAGAGAACAAATTGTATTCTCTTGTTTGGGTACAGAATTCCAGATCTCACCCACTAGGCCATGCTTGTTAACTGTGTTGTTCATATATTTTCTATCTTTACCAATTTTTTAACTGTTTTATCTATCAATAGTTAAAAACATGAATTGAAATCTTCTACTATAGGAATAGATGTGTAAAGTTTCTCCCTATTGTTTTATCAATATTTCTATTAATATATTTTGAGGCTAGTTTATTAATGTATGCCTGTTTTCCTCATGAGCATTTTGCAGCGAAATTATCTAATCCTAAGGATTCTTTTTGTCTTAAAATTTATTCCCTCTTAAAAGACATATTTTTGCTGGGTAAAAAAGTTTTGATTTCTAATTGTTTTCTTATAATACTGTAGAGATATTATTTTAGTCTTTTGGTTTCATTTATTGCTGTGAGAAGTCTTCCCTTGGTGTAATTTATGTTTCTTTGCAATGACTGGTCTTTACTCTCCAGATTTTTTTTTCTTTTCCTTAATTTTTTTTTTAATTTTGGTGCACTGCAACTGCTATATCATGTGACTAAGTATGTAATATTTATTGTGCTTATTAGCTTCTTATATCTGTAGATTCAGGTTTGACATTACTCCTGAAATGTTGTCAGTCATATTTCTTTAAATATTTCCTCCTCTCTATTTCTACGGTTTTTTCCACTAAACTCCACTCGCATTATTTTATCTTCAATATTTTTAAACTTCTCATTTATATTTGTCTTCTGGCTTATCTATACTGCATATTTCTTCCAATTTTCTAATATCTGTTCATAGTGTTTTTTGTTTGTTTGTTTGTTTGTTTGAGACAGAGCCTTGCTCTGTCACCCAGGCTTGAGTGCCATGGTGCAATCTTGGCTCAATGCAGCCTCTGCCTGCTGGGTTCAAGAGATTCTTGTACCTCAGCCTCCAGACTAGCTAGAACTACAGGCACCTGCCTCCACGCCAGGCTAATTTTTGTAGTTTTAGTAGAGATGTGGTTTCATCATGTTGGCCAGGCTGGTCTCATACTCCTGACCTCAATTGATCCACCCACCTCAGCCTTCAGGATTTTGAATGTTTTAGGGTTTTTTTTAATCCACCCATGAAATATTTTAAACTAAAATTATTATTTTCTTAGTAATTTTGAGAGGTGAAGCCCGCTGGGCTTCTAGGTCGGGTGGGGACTTGGAGAACTTTTCTGTCTATCTAAAGGATTGTAAATGCACCAATCAGCACTCTGTGTCTAGCTAAATGTTTGTAAATGCACCAATCAGTGCTCTGTGTCTAGCTAATCAGGTGGGGACTTGGAGAACTTTTGTGTCAGCTAAAGGATTGTAAAAACTCACCAATCAGTGCTCTGTGTCTAGCTAACGCTTTGTAAACGCACCAATCAGCACTCTGTAAAAACAGATCAATCAGCACTCTGTAAAATGGACCAATCAGTGCTCTGTAAAATGGACCAATGAGCAGGACATGGGCGGGGTCAAATAAGGGAATAAAAGCTGGCCGCCCAAGCTAGCAGCAGCAACGTGCTTGGGTTCCTTTCCACATTGTGGGAGGTTTGTTCTTTCACTCTTCCCGATAAATCTTGCTGCTGCTCAGTCTTTGGATCCTCACTACCTTTATGAGCTGTAACACTCACTGTGAAGATTTGCAGCTTCACCCCTGAAGTCAGTGAGAGTACGAACCCACCAGGAGGAACAAACAACTCTGGACGCGCCACCTTTAAGAGCTGTAACATTCACTTCGAAGATCTGCAGCTTCACTCTTGAAGTCAGCAAGACCACTAACCCACCAGAAGGAAGAAACTCCGGATGCATCTGAACATCTGAAGGAACAAACTCCAGACACACCATCTTTAAGAACTGTAACACTCACCGCGAGGGTCCACGGTGAGGGTCCACGGCTTCATTCTTGAAGTCAGAGAGAACAAGAACCCACTGGAAGGAACCAATTCCAGACACAATTTAATTTTTTTTTTTTTCATATTTTGTTGAACATCCCTGATAGGCTGTTATTGACAGCTTAGTGTTTTGTTTCCATCCTCTTATTTCAGGACTTCAGGACTTGGCAAACTTTTTCTTAAGTATCCAGATATTAAATATTTTTGGGCCATGGACCATACAGTCTCTGTTGTAATCATTCAACTCTGCTATTATAGTATAAAAGCAGCATAGTAATGCAGAAACAAATGGAGTGGCTGTGTTTCAATAAAATTTTATTTATAAAAACATGTGGCTGGAATATGGGCTATAGTTTGCCAACCCCTATTTGTTTATACATTACATATATACCTATTTTATTTCTATGGAGGGATGGATGGATGTATGGATGGATAGATGGATGGATGGATAGAGCTGATAGATGATAGAGAGAGAGAGATAAATATGTACATGTATGTCAGAGATGCTTTTCTCCAGAGAGGATATATGGGAACAACAACCTGGCAATATTTCAGCCACTCTCAAAGTTTCCAGTTCAAACAGTGAATACAAGGCTCAGCTTCCCTCATGGAATTCCCAAAGATTAAAATCAGCAATAGGCTCTCAATCAAACATCATCAAAAATAAAGAATTATGCCATCCTATATGATAATTCAAAGAAACAACAGAAATAAATTTATATCTAAAGAATTACAAATACTGGACTTGTAAGAAAAGTCTCTCTCTCTGTCTCTCCTCATCAATAGGATATTTTCATATACATTTATCAGCTGATGGACATTTGTATTGTTTCCACTTTTTGACTACGATAATTCTGTTATAAACGTTTGTGTACAAGGTTTGGTGTGAACGTATGTTTTTATTTCTCTTTAATGTATACCTGGAATTTTTCAATCACATGTTAACTGTATGCTTTTAAGTTATTGACGAACTGGCAAACTGTTTTTCAAAAAGGCTGCAATATTTTACATTCTCACCACGAATATATGAGGTTTCAGTTTCTCTACATAGTCACCTATACTTATTGTTTTCTGGGTTTTTTTTAAATTATTATTACAGTAGTCCTCTCTTATCTGCAGGGGATATATTCTAAAACCTCCAGTGGAAGCCTGAAAGCACAGAGAGTATGGACACTATAAATACTATTTTTCCCTGTTTGCATACATGCATAAATGTATATACATGCATACATACATCATCAAGAATAGTTTATAAATTAGGCACAGTAAGAGATTAACAAACAGTAAAATAGAATAATTATAACAAAATACTGTAACAAAAGTTATGTGAATGTGGTCTCTCTTAAAATATCTTATTATATGTAATACTTTTGGACTGTGGTTGACTGCAGGAAAGTGAAACCACAGATAAGGAAAGGCTACTGTACAGCTATCTTAGAAGGTGTGAAGCAGTAGCATCTCATTGTGGTTTGGGTTTGCATTTACTTAATGGCTAATGACATTGCCCATCTTTTTATGTTTTTAGTGGCCATTTATGTATCTTCTTTGGAGAAATTTTTATGCATATTCTTTGCACATTTAAAAATTAAGTTCTATTTTTATCATTGGATTATAAAAGTTGTATACATAGATTTTAGATTCAAGTCCCTTATCAAATGTATGATTTGCATATATTTTTCTATTCCGTATGTTGTCTTTTCACTTTTTTGATGGTGTCCATTGAAGCACACATACTTTTAATTATGAAGTCTAATTTATAACTTACGGATTTTTGTCAGTTGTCACTTGTGCTTTGTGGGTCTTAACTAAGAAGTCTATGACTGATTCCATGCTGCAAGAATTTATTCTGATATTTTCATCTAAGAGTTTTATTTTAAGTTCTTTCGTTTAGGTCTATGATCCATTTTGAGTTAATTTTTGTATATGGTATGAGGATAGGGTCTAACTTTTTTCTGTTGCATGTGACTTTTTTCAGTTGAACAAGAACGTTTTATGAAAAGGCTGTTCTTCCTTGACTGAATTATCATGATACCTTCCTTAAAAATCAATTTACTTTAAGTGCAAGAGTTTATTTCTGGACTGTCAATCTATTTCATTATCTGTATGTCTGTTCTTATGACAGTACCACACTGGCTTGATTACTGTAGCTTTGTAGTAAGTTTTGTTTTCAGATTTCTGAAGCCAAATGCATTTCCATATTTAAGGGGGCCAGCACCTCCACACCGGTGGGTATTTCTCGTCAGGCAGGACGAGAAACTGAGAAAAGAAATAAGACACAGAGACAAAGTATTGAGAAAGAAAAATGGGCCCAGGGGACTGGCGCTCAGCATGCGAAGGACCCACACTGGCACCAGCCTCTGAGTTCTCTCAGTATTTGTTGATTACTATTTTCACTATCTCAGCAAGGGGAATGCAGCGGGAGAACAGGGTGACAGTGGGGAGAAGGTCAGCAAGAAAACATATGAGCAAAGGAATGTGTGTCTCAAGTTCAAGGGAAGGTACTATGCCTGGATGTGCACGTAGGCCAGATTCACGCTTTTCTCCACCCAAACATCTCAGTGGAGTAAAGAGTAACAGAGCAGCATTGCCACCAGCATGTCTTGCCTCCTGCCACAGGGCGGTTTTTCTCCTATCTCAGAATAGAACAAATGTACAATCGGGTTTTATACCGAGACATTTCATTCCCAGGGGCAGGCAGGAGACAGAAGCCTTCCTCTTATCTCAACTGCAAGAGGCCTTCCTCTTTTACTAATCCTCCTCAGCACAGATCCTTCAGGGGTGTTGGGCTTGGGGATGGTCAGGTCTTTCTCATCCCACGAGGCCACATCTTAGGCTATCTTAGTGGGGAGAAACCATGGACAATACCCAGCTTTCCTAGGCAGAGGTCCCTGCGGCTTTCTTCAGTGCATTGTGCCCGTGGTTACTCGAGAATGGAGAATGGCAATGACTTTTACCCAGCATACTGCCTGTAAACATATTGTTAGCAAGGCACAACCTGCACAGCCCTAGATCCCTTAAACCTTGATTCCATACAGCACATGTTTCTGTGAGCTCAAGGTTGGGGCTAAAGTTACAGATTAACAGCATCTCAAGGCAAAACAATTGTTCAAGGTACAGATCAAAATGGAGTTTCTTATATCTTCCTTTTCTACATAGACACAGTAACAGTCTGATCTCTTTTTCTTTTCCCTACACATATCAATTTTAATACTAACTTGTCAAGTTCTGCAAAAAGGCAAGCTGGAATTTTGATAGGGATTACAATTTGGAGGAATACTACTATCTTAATGACAATCAGTCTTTCAATGCATGAACATGGAATGTCTTTTTCTTAAGGTCATTAATTATTTAATGTCTTGTAGTTTTAAGAGTATTTTTTTCTTTTTCTTAAATTATCATATATTTATTTCATTAAATTTTTTTTATTTCAACAGGTTTTGGGGGAACAGGTGGAGTTTGGTTACACAAATAAATTTTTTAGTGGTGATTTCTGTGATTTTGGTGTGCCCGTCACCTAAGCAGTATACACTGTACCCAGTGTGTAGTTTTTTTAATCCCTTGCCATCTGCCACGCTTTTTCCCAGTTCCCAAAGTCCAATGTATCATTCTTACGCTTTTGTGTCCTCACAGTTGAGCTCCCACATATGAGTGAGGACATAAAACGTTTGATTTTCCATTCCTCAGTTAGAATAATAGTCTCCAATTCCATCCAGGTTGCTGCGAATGCCATTATATCATTCCTGTTTATAGCTGAGTAGTATTCCATGGTGTGTATATAGATATATAACATTTTCTTTATCCAATCATTGATTGATCGGCATTTGGGCTGGTTCCATATTCTTGCAATTACAAATTGTGCTACTATAAACATACATGTGCAAGTATCTATTTTGTAAAATAACTTCTTTTCCCCTGGGTAGATACCCAGTAGAGGGATTGCTGGATCAAACAGTAGATCTACTTTTAGTTTTCCACACCGTTTTTCATAGTGGTTGTACGAGTTTACTTTCCACCAACAGTGTAAAAGTGTTCCCTTTTCACCGCATCCCCACAAGCATCTATTATTTTTTTATTTTTTGATCATGTCCAGTCTTGCAAGAGTGAGGTAGTATCACATTGTGATTTTGATTTGCATTTCCCTAGTCATTAGTGATGGTAAGCATTTTTCCATACACTTGTTGACCCTTTGTATATCTTCTTTTGAGAATTGTTTATTCCTTTCCTTAGCCCACTTTTTTGATGGGGTTGTTTTTTTCTTGCTGATTTCAGTTCTTTGCAGATTATGGATATTAGTCCTTTGTTGGATGTATAGATTGTGAAGATTTTATCCCACTCTGTGGGTTGTCTGTTAACTCTACTTATTATTTCTTTGGCTGTGCAGAAGCTTTTAGGTTTAATTAAGTCCCATCTATTTATCTTTGTTTTTGTTGCATTTGTTTTTGTGTTCTTGGTCATGGAGTCTTTGTCAAAGCCAACGTCTGGAAGGGTTTTTTCAATGTTATTTTCTAGACTCTTTATGGTTTCAGGTCTTAGATTTAAGTCTTTTATTTATCTTGAGTTGATTTTTGTATAGGGTGAGAGATGAGGATCAAGTTTTGTTGTTCTATATGAAGCTTGGCAATTATCCCAGAAACATTTGCTGAATAGGGTATAGTTTCCCCACTTTACATTTTTGTTTGCTTTGTCAAAAATTAGTTGGCTGTAAGCATTTGGCTTTATTTCTGGGTTCTCTCTTCTGTTCCATTGGTGTATGTGCCTGGTTTTACACCAGTACCATACTGGTTTGGTGACTATGGCCTTATAGTATAGTTTGAAGTTGGGAAATGCCATGCCTCCAGATGTGTTTTTATTTGCTTAGTCTTGCTTTGGCTATATGGGCTCTTTTTTGGTTCCATATGAATTTTAGGATTCTTTTTACTAGTTCTGTGAAGAATAATCATGGTATTTTGATGGGAATTGCATTGAATTTGTAGATTGTTTTTTGGCAGAATGGTCATTTTCACAATATTGATTCTACCCATCAATGAGCATGGGATGTGTTTCCATTTGTTTGCATTGTCTATGACTTCCTTCAGCAGTGTCTTGTAGGTTTCCTTGTAGCGTTCTTTCACATCCTTGGTTACATATATGCCTAAGTATTTTATTTTTTCTGCAACTATTGTGAAAGGGGTTGAGTTCTTGATTTGATTCTCAGCTTGGGCGCTGTTGGTGTATAGCACAGCTACTGATTTGTGTACATTAATTTTGTATTCTGAGACTTTCCTGAATTATTTTACAGGTTCTAGGATGTTTTTAGATGAGTCTTTAGGGTTTTCTAGTTATACAAACATATCATCAGCAAACAGCAACAGGTTGACTTCCTCTTTACTGATTTTGACGTCCTTTGTTTCTTTCTCTTGTCTAATTGCTCTGGCTAGAACTTCCAGGATTATGTTGAATAGAAGTGGTGAAAGTGGGCATCCTTGTCTTGTTCCAGTACTCAGGAGGAATGTTTTCAGCTTTTCCCCATTCAATATAAAGTTGGCTGTGTGTTTGTCATCAATGGCCTTTATTACCTTAAGGTATGTTCCTTCTATGCCGATTTTGCTAAGCATTTTAATGATAAAGCGATGCTGAATTTTGACAGATGCCTTTTCTGCATCCATTGAAATTATCATGTGATTTTTGTTTTTAATTCTGTTTATGTGGTGTATCACCTTTATTGACTTATATATGTTAAACCATCCCTGCATGCTTGGTATAAAACCCATTGATCATGGTGGATTATCTTTTGGATATGCGGTGGATTCAGTTAATGAGATTAACCAAGAAAAGAAGAGAGAATATCCAAATAAGCTCACTTAGAAATGAAATGGAAGATATTACAACCGATACCACAGAAATACAGAAAATTTTCTGTATTTTGTTGAGAATTTTTGCATCTATGTGTATCAGGGTTATTGGGTCTGTAGTTTTCTTTTTTTGTTATGTTCTTTCCTGGCTTTAGTATTAGGGTAATACTAGCTTCATAGAATGATTTTTAGGGAGAATTCCCTCTTTCTCTATCTTTTGGAATAGTATCAATAGGATTGGTACCAATTCTTCTTTGAATGTCTGATAGAATTCAGCTGTGAATCTTTCTGGTCCTGGGCTACTTTTTGTTGTTGTTGGTAATTTTTTTATTATCATTTTAATCTTGCTGCTTTTTAATGGTCTGTTCAGAGATTCAACATCTTCCTGGCTTAACCTAGGAGGGTTGTATATTTCCGAGAATTTATCCATCTCATCTAGGTTTCTCAGTTTATGTGCATAAAGGTGGTCATAGTAGCCTTGGAAAATCTTCTGTATTTCTGTGGTATTGGTTGTAATATCTTCCATTTCATTTCTAAGTGAGTTTATTTGGATATTCTCTCTTCTTTTCTTGGTTAATTTCGTTAATGGTCTATCAATTTTATGTATCTTTTCAAAGAATCAGTTTTTTGTTTCATTTATCTTTCATATTTTTTGTTACAATTTCATTTAGTTCTGCTCTGATCTTTTTATTTCTTTTCTTCTGCTGGGTTGGGTTTAGATTGTTCTTGTTTCTCCAGTTCCATAAGGTGTGACCTTAGATTGTCTATTTTTGTTCTTTTAGACTTTTTGATGTAGGCATTTAAAGCTGTAAACTTTCCTCTTAGCACCATTTTTACTGTATCCTAAAGGTTTTGATAGGTTGCTTCACTATTATCATTAAGTGCAAACAATTTTTCAATTTCATCTTGATTTCATTGTTGACCCATTGATTATTCGGGAGCAGGTTATTTAATTTCCATGTATTTACATGGTTTTGTGGGTTCCTTTTTGAGTTAATTTCCAATTTTGTTCCACTGTGGTCTGAGAGAGTAGTTGATATAATTTCAATTTTCTTAAATTTACTGAGACTTATCATATGGCCTAGCTTGGAAAATGGTCCATGTGCTCATGAATAGAATGTATATTCTGCAGTTGTTGAGCAGAATGTTCTGTAAATATTTGCTAAATCCATTTGTTGTAGTGTATAGTGTAAGTCAATTATTTATTGGTTGACTTTCTGTCTTGATGACCTGTCTAGTGCTGTCGGTGGCGTACTGAAGTCCCCCACTATTATTGTGTTGTCATCTATATCATTTCTTAGGTCTAGTAGTAATTGTTTTATTAATTTGGGAACGCCAATGTTAGGAGCATATATATTTAGAATTGTGATATATTCCTGTTGGACTAGTCCTTCTATAATTATATAATGTTCCTTTTTGTCCTTTTTAACTGCTGTTGCTTTAAAATTTGTTTTGTCTGATATGACAACAGCTACTCCTGCTTGTTTTTGGTGTCCATTTGCATGAAATATCTTTTTCCACCCCTTCACCTTAAGTTTATGTGAGTCGTTATTGTTAGGTGAGTCTCCTGAAGACAACAGAAACTTGGTTGGTGTATTCTGATCCATTCTGTCATTCTGTATCTTTTAAGTGGCACTTTTAGACCATTTACATTCTATGTTAGTATTGAGATGTGAGGTACTATTTTACTCATCATGCTGTTTGTTGCCTGAATACCTATTTTTTATTGTGTTGTTGTTATGTAAGTCCTGTGAGATTTATGCTTTAAGGAGGTTCTATTTTGTGTATTTTGATAATTTGTTTCAAGATTTAGAGCTACTTTTAGAAGTTTTTGTACTGCTGGCTTGGTAGTGGCAAATTCTCTCAGCATTTGTTTGTCTGGAAAAAGACTATATCTTTCCTTCATTTATAAAACTTAGTTTCACTGGTTACAGAATTCTTGGCTGATAATTGCTTTGTTTAAGGAGGCTAAAAGTAGAACCCCAATCCCTTCTAGCTTGAAGGGTTTCTGCTGACAAATCTGCTATAAATCTGATAGGCTTTTCTTTATAGGTTACCTGATGCTTTTGCCTCAGAGCTCTTAAGATTCTTTCCTTTGTCTTAACTTTGATAACCTGATGACTATGTGCCTAGGCGATGACCTTTTTGTGATGAATTTCCCAGGTGTTGTTTGAGCTTCTTGTATTTGGATGTCTAGATTTCTGGCAAGGTTGGGGAAGTTTTCCTTGATTATTCCCTCAAATACGTTTTCCAAACTTAGATTTTTCTTCTTCCATGGGAACACCAATTATTCTTAGGTTTGGATGTTTAACATAGTCCTAAATTTCTTGGAGGCTTTATTCATTTTTAAAAATTCTTTTTTATTTATCTTTAATGGATTGAGTTAATTCAAAAGCCTTGTTTTTAAGCTCTGATTTTTGTTCTTCTGCTTGTTCAATTCTATTGCTGAAACTTTCCAGGGCATTTTGCATTTCTCTAAGTGTGTCCTTGATTTCCAGGAGTTGTGATCATTTTGTGTTTATGCTACCTATTTCACTGAAGAATTTTCTTTCCATATCCTGTATTATGTTTTTGACTTTACGTTTCTCTGGTGCCTCCTTAATTAGCTTAATAATCAACATTCTGAATTCTGTTTTCTGGCAATTCAGAGATTTCGTCTTGGTTTAGATCCATTGCTGTTGAGCTGGTATGATCTTTTGGGGGTGTTAAAGAGCCTTGTTTTGTCATATTACCAGAATTGTTTTTCTGGTTCCTTCTCATTTGAGTAGACTATGTCAGAGGGAAGATCTGGAATTCAAGGGCTGTTGATCAGATTCTTGGTTTGTTGTTATTGTTGTTTACTTTAAGTTCTGGGATACAAGTGCGGAACATGTAGGTTTGTTAAATAGATATATGTGTGCCATGGTGGTTTGGTGCACCTATCAACCCATCATCTAGGTTTTAAGCCTCACATGTATTAGCTTTTTGTCCTAATGCTCTCCCTCTCTTTTTCCCCCACCCCTCGACTGGCTCTGGTGCATATTGTTCCCCTCCTTGTGTCCATGTGTTCTCATTGTTCAACTCCCACTTTTGAGTGAGAATATGTGGTGTTTTTTTTTTTTTTTCTGTTCCTGTGTTAGTTTGCTAAGGATGATGATTTCCAGCTTCATCCATGTCCCTGCAAAGGACATGATCTCATTCCTTTTCATGGCTGCATAGTTTCCATGGTGTATATGTACCACATTTTCTTTATCCAGTCTATCACTGATGGCCATTTGGGTTGGTTCCATGTCTTTACTGTTGTAAATAGTGCTGCAATAAACATACATGTGCATGCATTTTTATAGTAAAGTGATTTATATTCCTTTGGGATTTCTCAGTCAAATGGTATTTGGTAATGGGATTTCTGGGTCAAATTGTATTTCTAGTTCTAGATCCTCGAGGAATTGCCACGCTATCTTCCACAATGGTTGAACTAATTTACATTCCCACCAACAATGTAAAAGTGTTTCTATTTCTCCACAGCCTTGCTAGCAACTATTGTTTCTTGATTTTTTAATAATCACCATTCTGACTGGCATGAGATGGTATCTCATTGTGATTTTGATTTGCATTTCTCTAATGATTAGTGATGTTAGGCTTTTTTTTCATGTTTGTTGGCTGCATAAATGTCTTCTTTTAAGAAGTGTCTGTTCTTGTCCTTTGCCCACGTTTTGATTGGAATTGTTTGTTTTTTTCTTGTACATTTGATTAAGCTCCTTGTAAATTCTGAATATTAGACCTTTGTCAGGTGGTTAGACTGCAAAAATTTTCTCCCATTCTGCAGGTTGCCTGTTCACTCTGATGATAGTTTCTGTTGATGTGCAGAAGCTCTTTAGTTTTATTAGATCCCATTTGTCAATTTTGGTTCTTGTTGTAATTGCTTTTGGCATTTTTGTCATAAACTCTTTACCTGTGTCTATGTCCTAAATGATATTGCCTAGGTTTTCTTCAAGGCTTTTTATGGTTTTGGGTTTCACATTTAAGTCTTTAATTCATCTTTAGTTAATTTTTGTATAAGGTGTGATTTTTGTATAAGATATAATTTTAGTTGAGGTGTAAGGAGTCCAGTTTCAGTTTTCTTCATATGGCTGGCCAGTTTTCCCAGCACCATTTATTAAATAGGAAATTCTTTCCTCATTGCTTGTTTTTGTCTGGTTTGTTCAAAGATCAGATGGTTGTAGATGTGTGGTGTTATTTCTAAGGTCTCTGTTCCGTTCCATTGGTCTATATGTCAGTTTTGGTACCAGTACTATGCTATTTTGGTTACTGTAGCCTTGTAGTACAGTTTGAAGTCAAGTAGTGTGATGCTTCCAGCCTTGTTCTTTTGCTTAGGATAGTCTTGGCTATATGGGCTCATTTTTTGTTTCATATGAAATTTAAAGTAGTTTTCTAATTCTGTGAAGAATGTCAATGGTAGTTTGATGGAAATAGAATTCAATCTATAGATTACTTTGGAGGGTATGGCCATTTTCATGATGTTGATTCTTCCTATCCTTGAGGAATGAGTGTTTTTCCATTTGTTTGTGTCCTCTGTTACTTCCTTGAGCAGTGGTTTGTAGTTTTTCTTGAAGAGACCCTTCACACCCCTTGTTAGCTGTATTCCTAGGTATTTTATTCTTTTTGTAGCAATTGTGAATTGGAGTTCACTCATGATTTGGCCCTCTCCTTGTCTATTGTTGGTGTATAGAAATGCTTGTGATTTTTGCAGATTGACTTTGTATCCTGAGACTTTGCTGAAGTTGCTTATCAGGTTAAGGAGTTTTGGGGCTGAGATAATGGGGTTTTCTAAATACAGAAGCATGTCGTCTGCCAATAGAGACAATCTGACTTCCTCTCTTCCTATTAGAATACCCTTTTTTTTTCTTGGCCTAATTGCCCTGGCCATAGCTTCCAATGCTATGTTGGATAGGAGTGTGAGAGAGAGCATCCTTGTCTTGCACCAGTTTTCAAAGGGAATGCTTCCAGCTTTTGTCCATTCAGTATGATATTGGCTGTGGGTTTGTAATAAATAGCTCTTATTGAGATATGTTCCATCAATACCTAGTTTACTGAGAATTCTTAACATGAAGGGATGTTGAATTTTATCAAATGCCTTTTCTGCATCTATTGAGATGATCATGTGGTTATTGTCATTGGTTATGTTTATGTGATGTATTATGTTTATTGATTTGTGTATTTTGAACCAGATGGGGAGAATGGAACCAAGTTGGAAAACACACTTCAGGATATGATGCGGGAGTACTTCCCCAACCTAGCAAGACAGGCCAACATTCAAACTCAGGAACTACAAAGAACACCACTAAGATATTCCACAAGAGGATTAACCCCAAGACACGTAATCATCAGATTCTCAAAGGTCGAAATGAAAGAAAAAATGTTAAGGGCAGCCAGAAAGAAAGGCCAGGTCACCTACACAGGGAAGCCTATCAGACTAGTAGTGGACCTCTCAGCAGAAACCCTACAACCAGGAAAGAGTGGAGGTCAATATTCAACATTCTCAAAAAAAGAATTTTCAACACAGAATTTCATATCCAGCCAAACTAAGCTTCATAAATGAAGGAGAAATAAAATCCTTTCCAGACAAGCAAATAGTGAGGGATTTCATTACTACCAGGCCTGCCTTGAAAGAGCTGTTGAAGGAAGCACTAAATATGAGAAGGAAAAACCAGTACCAGGCCCTGCAAAAACACACCAAAATATAAAGAACAATGACACTATGAAGAAACTGCATCAACTAGTGTGCAAAATAACCAGATTGCATTATGATGACAGGATCAGATTCACACATAACAATATGAACCTTAATTTTAAATGGGCTATAAGCCCCCATTAAAAGACACAGACTGGCAAATGTGATAAAGGGTCGAGACCCGTTGGTGTGCTGTATTAGGAGACCCATCTCATGTGCAAAGACACATATAAGCTCAAAATAAAAGGATGGAGGAAAATTTACCAAGCAACTGGAAAGCAAAAGAAAAAAAATGCAGAGGTTGCAATCCTAGCCTCTGAAAAAACAGACTTTAAACCAGCAAAGATGAAAAAAGACAAAGAAAGGCATTACATAAGGGTAAAGAGATCAGTTCAACCAGAAGAGCTAACTATTCTAAATATATATATACCAAATACAGGAGTAGGCAGATTTATAAAACAACTTCTTGGAGACCTACAAAGAGACTTAGACTGCCACCCAATAATAGTGGGAGACTTTAATACCACACTGTCAATATTAGACAGATCAATGAGAGAGAAAATTAACAAGGCTATTCAGGACTTAAGCTCATCTCTGGATCAAGTGGACTTAACAGATATGGACAGAACTCTCCACCCCAAACCGACAGAATATACATTCTTCTCAGTTCCACATGGCACTTATTCTAAAATCTACCACATAATTGGAAGTCAAACACTCCTCAGCAAATGCAAAAGAACTGAAATCATAACAGTCTCTCAGACCACAGTGCAATCAAATTATAACTCGGGCTTAAGAAACTCACTCAAAACCACACAACTACATGGAAATTGAACAACCTGTTCCTGAGTGACTCCTGGGTAAATAATGAAATTAAGGCAGAAATAAAGTTTTGAAATCAATGAGAACAAAGACACAACATACCAGAATCTCTGGGACACAGTTAAAACAGTGTTTAGAGGGAAATTTATAGCACTAAATGCCCACATCGGAAAGCTAGAAAGATATAAAATCAATGCCCTAACATCACAATTAAAAGAGCTAGAGAAGCAAGAGCAGACAAATCCAAAAGCTAGCAAAAGACAAGAAATAACTAAGATCAGAGCAAAACTGAAGGAGATAGAGACACGAAAAACCCTTCAAGAAAATCAATGAATCCAGGATCTGTTTTTTTTTTTTTTTGAAAAAATCAACAGAATAGATAGACCGCTAGCTAGAATAATAAAGAAGAAAAGAGAGAAACATCAAATAGACACAATAAAAAGGGATAAAGCGGTTATCACCACTGACTCCACAGAAATACAAACTACCATGACAGAATACTATAAACACCTCTATACAAATAAACTAGAAAATCTAGAAGAAATGTATTAATTCCTGGACACATACACCATCCCAAGGCTAAACCAGGAAGAAGTCAAATCCCTGAATGGACCAACAACAAGTTCTGAAATTGAGGCAGCAATTAATAGACTATCTATGAAAAAAATCCCAGAACCAGACGGATTCACAGTTGAATTCTACCAGAGACACAAAAAGGAGCTGGTACCATTCCTTTTGAAACTATTGCAAACAATTGAAAAGAACTGTCTCCTCCCTAACTCATCTTACGAGACCAGCATCATCCGGAAACCAAAACCTAGCAGAGACACAACAAAAAAAGAAAACTTCAGGCCAATATCCCTGATGAACATCGATGCAAAAAACCTCAGTAAAATACTGGCAAACTGAATCCAGCAGCATTTCAAAAAGCTTATCCACCACAATCAGATTATTTTGTCATGGGGTGCTCACTTGGTGTGGTGTTCTTCCCCTTCCCCTAGGAATGGGGCTTCCTGAGAGCCAAACTCTAATAATTGTTTTTGCTCTTCTGGATCTAGCTACTGGGCTCCAGGCTGGTGCTGGGGAGTATCTGCACAGAGTCCTGTGATGTTATCTGTCTTCAGTTCTTGCAGCCATGGATACCAGCATTTGCTCCGGTGGAGGTAGTAGGGGAGTGAATTGGACTCTGTGAGGGTCCTTGGTTGTGTTTTTGTTTAGTGCACTGGTTTTGTGTTTGTTGGCCTCCAGCCAGGAAGTGGAGGTTTCAAGAGTGCATCAGCTGCAGACTTATAAGGAGGTTGCAAACTTGCCCTAGGGACAAGTGTATTCAGTTTTCTCAGGTGGTGGGCAGGGCCATAGAGCTCCCAAAAGATTATGACCTTTTCCTTTGGCTACCAGGGTGGGTAGAGAAAGACCACCAGGTCGGGTCAGGGATAGCCATTTAGTATATTCAGAAGCATTTTATTCTTGTTGATGCTCTTTTAAATGGAATTGTTTTCTAAATTTCACTTTGGATCACTTGTATATAAAAATATAATTAATTTTTGTATATTGATCTTGTACCCCACAACTTTGCTAAATCTACATTAGTTCTAATAGTATTTTAGTGGATCCTTAGAATTTTTCATAAGGTCATGTCATTTGCAAATAAAGATAATTTTTTTCTTTCCAATCTTGATGTCTTCAAGAGAATTTTCATGGTTGAGAAGAACCAGGTACCGTCAGCTAGCTGAAATCGCACAGCAAAAGACATAAATTGGTGGTTGAAGTTCTGATTAAATGAATATCAGATAGGTGCACTGCAAATTCTGTTTGAAGCCAAGTTGCTGACTTTTTACCTAGGGTTCCTTAAACTCCCTCTGTTTAGAAATGTCATTAATCTAAGAGTTTGAAAAGAGACTGAATGAACCTTCAGTGGAAGCAGATCAAATTAGAAGGTTATAGGTTCACAGGGGCATTGAACTTATAAGACCATAATATGTATTTTACTGGCATAGCCAGAAGGTTAAAACAGATGGTATCGTAGTATCATGCCATATTGACAATATGTACATATATGTGAGTATATAAGGATAATTAATTTTACAAAAATTCATCAAAATTAGGATGGCAAGGAAGCAACCATGACCAAAAAAAATATCATAAAAGATTTCCTTTTTTTCTGCCAGATATTGTTTCTCAAAACCAGTTTCAGCAAACGTATATATCTCGTAGTTTAAGTATAATGTAAATAACTACCATACATATAAAACCCATATTGCAGTAGAGGTTCTAAGACATTACCAAAGAAATTGTAAAACTAACTTTTATGGTTGTCCTTTTTAGACAGAACTTTCAAGCATATCCTGTAAGTATAACAAGTTACTTTTTTTGCCAATAATTTCCAGTAATTTCTCTTCACTTTTACCTTTGGAGGCAGTATAAGGAAATATTTGAAGTTATAGTACCACAAGGTGCCCTACAAATTATTTTTTTCTCTGGGTACTTCTTGGCAGCTATCTGCATGACATATGATACACTCTAATCCTAGGGTTTAATAAGTCCATTTCATGGTTATAACATAAAGCTTTCATGAAACTCTGTAAGGAGAAATGGATAAAACTCACCCAGAAGATAAATGTATAAGTTTTGGTGGGGAATCTACATTTTCCTGTTGCTGATAGTTTTAATTTACCAGACTGACTTGCTTTTAAATTACAAAATTTTTAAAGTTTCATCCAAATCATCGAAATAGAACTGAATTCTAAACTTAAAAAAAGTTCAACTTTACATAATATTAGTCTTCCCCCAACCCCAGTCTAAAGACTAGACTGCATTTAATATTAATAAAGAAAAAATGCCTTCTATTTGCACATCAAATGTTTAAAGCACTCTTCACACATTATCTTGATCTACTCAAAAATCTTGCACCTTAAATTAGTGGCTACTTACAATTTTTAATAGATCCTAAATTCCTCAAAGCCTAATATTGTGTTTTTAATTTTCTTTTCTTTTCTTTTAAAATTGTGTCTTTAAAAAATTATACTTCAATGTTTCACAAAATGTGTGGCAAAACATTATTGCAGCATCCCTTACTGTACGTTCATATCTATCTATTTGACTAAGCATAGAGGTACCGATCTGTTAGATGATTATGAAGTCTCTTCTTACTTGCTTATAAGACTCATCTCAGATTTATCCATTCTACATTAAGAAGGTTTTAATTAAGCTACTATGAAATTAAAGTTTAATTAGCTAGTGCTTCCGGTAAAAAATATAGCTGCTGAGAAAAAATTGTATAGCTGCTGATAGCTTGTAGCCAGCTTGGCAGCTCATGACCATGCTGTGGTGTGCCCTGCTGGGCATTAACAATTTCAGAGAATGTTAGCATCAGATGAGATCACTCTGTCACCAAACTGGAACAAGACAACACACCACAAGTGCAAACATCACAATGACAAATATCCTTCTCTCCTGGCAAATATGAATGACTACTGCTTCTTCTCCAGTGACAATTCCAGCCCAACTTAGCATCTCCCACCTCCTATTCAAATTAATACAAATTGGTTCTACTACCTGACAGTACCTAATTCCAAACAAACCAATAGTTCCTTAAACTTTCCCTCAAATTATCCCGAATAAGATTGAATTTATAATAATCCTATCATAAGTCCCTCTTAATTCCCTCTCCACAATTTCCATGGTGCATGATTTTCCTTACTGTAGCAAATTAATACACATAAATGTGTTTGACTATAATAGGTATGTTTCTGATGGTCTTTGGGTAGTGGGATTAATATATACAAACATACACATATTTGGCCATGTATATTTAGACCTACGTGCAATGACAGAGGGAGATACAGATCCAGACAGAAAAAAAAATGCCAGTTTCCTGGAAAAAACTTATCAAATATTTAAGAAGTGCTAGATGAACCAACTGGACACTTGAACAAAATTAGTGGACAATAGCAATTTTCTGGCCAACACATTATAATATAACTAGGATTGGGTGATTCTGCATGATTTGAAAGAGACGGCAAAGCGAAGAACCCTATACGAGCTTTGAATTTTAAGAAAGTGAACGTCTATTCCAGGAAAGCATTACCCTTTCAATGCTGCAAAATCTTGGAAAAGCACAAACAGTTTTCAATCCCCACTACTCTGGTGTTTTATGAAGAGCTGATCCTGAGCCACTGGAGGCTCCCCTGGAAGTTTCTTCTTCACTTCTTATTCAGGTCTGTTAAAATTTTGCTATTTTCAAACATGACGTTTCTTTGTTCCTAATGTTTCTATGTAACTGTAGTCTTTAGGGCACACAATGAGGAAACTGGCCTTCAGACCTTATTTTACCACTCAATATTTGTAGCCACTGTGCTCAAATAGTCTTTTCAGTCAGGTCTCATTTCTCATTACTTCCAGGCCAAGCAGAGGACTTCAGTCCAATTTGCTGGGAGTCGTGGTACCATTTTGAATTCCTCTCAGACCCTTTCTGCTTCCATCAATTTGGTTTGTCATGCTGACTTCTGGTGGATGAGATGTTTGTTCCCAAACAGTTCATCACCAGACTTCACTTCAAATCACTCACTGCTGTAGATCAAAAAAATGGTTGCCAATAAAGTGTTTGGCTATTTGAACTCTTGTTTTTGTTTTTTTCGTGTTCTCCACAACTTCACCAATCTTAACAAGTTTTCTTCAACCTCCCAAGAGCTCTCAAATTTTCTCAAGACTCGAGTCACAAGAACAAATGCAGATTTATATGTCAGTAGTAATCAACCAACTTAGATTGTGCCTATATGTAGGTATTAATTTTAATCCTTGATTAATTTTACTGGTTCAGCTAATCTAGGTGGACTTTATGAACAGATATAGTCTTATGTAGAGGCAAATCCAATATTTTTCTTTAAACTGTGAAGAAAATTGAAACGGTTACAGGAATGAAAGTCGTCTAATAGAAAGCTGTGAAATATACTTGTAGCACAGATTTTGTTTTTGAGTCCACCTAAGTTTGTAGCAAAGATTTCAAAGGCATTCACTTTTTTTCTTCATAAATTAAATGGGCAACCCATTCTTGATTAATTAAATAATACATTGTAAATGAAAGGACTTAAATGATTTTTACATTGTGAAGGGTTCTGAATTAGTATTTATCTTTATGATTATCTCTCAGGTTAAAGATTTAGGCATCAGTAAATGAAGCCCCGTAAGATGTGTACACGGAATGCCGACAGTGAAAAGTCTACTAAAACGGTAGCTTCTCTAGGGAATGCACTCAATTAGACTATATCAGAAATAACATATCCTATAGGATTTATAATTATTAAACCATTTAAAGAAGACACCTTCATTGTTTACTAATATACAGTAAAAATGGGAAAATACAAAATAAGCAGCAGTCAATAATTTTTTAATGAAATAAAAGTTAAATAGAATCAGTTCTTGTGAAATAGAGAAAACTTATTTAGATATTCCTGTGACAGTAAACATGGTATAACAATATGCCAGAGGCATAAGACACTTTCTAGTTGATTTTAAATACTGTGGTTTTATATTCTCAATCCACGCTTTTAAATAATACTACACAGAGAATGTAGTGGGCTCATTAACTACAGTAAATGTAAAAGAGAAACATACTACTGAAGTAGGCATATTTTTAAAATTATGTTCCCACTCAGGATAACTTTTCTCTCTGCATCTCAAATTCTTATATGTACTGCAGACATACTAAGATGCAACTGTTAGGAACGTATTAATAAAAAAAGTAAACAGTAAGAGTGACACCTTTTATCTAATGAGCGCTTTGTGCCTTCAGTTCTATCTTGCTAGGTCATCAAACCAGAGAGAGAAGAGGCACACCTGTGTTTTTTGAGACAAAAACTAAACAAAATTTCTCTGAGGTCAGGAGAAATAAGGGTGACCAATTGAGAACTATCACATTTTTCCTTACATAAAGGGATTCATCCTTCTGTTGTAACTTCATCTACACCATGGAATACCATGCAGCCATAGAAAAAGAATAAGTGCAGGACCGTTGCAGGGACATGGATGAAGCTAGAAGCCATCATTCTCAGCAAACTAACACAAGAACAGAAAACCAAATACTGTATGTTCATACTCATAAGTGGGAGTTGAACAATAAAAACATGTGGACACAGGGAGCGGAACGTCACACACTGAGGCTGTGTCCGGAATTGGTGGGTTCTTGGTCTCACTGACTTCAAGTATGAAGCCACGGACCCTCGCGGTGAGTGTTACAGCTCTTAAGGTGGCACATCTGGAGTTTGTTCTTTCTGATGTTCAGATGTGTTCGGAGTTTCTTCCTTCTGGTGGGTTCGTGGTCTCGCTGGCTCAGGAGTGAAGCTGCAGACCTTCGAGGTGACTGTTACAGCTCTAAAGACACGGTGTCTGGAGTTGTTCATTCCTCCCAGTGGGCTCGTGGTTTCACCGGCTTTAGGATTGAAGCTGCAGACCTTTGTGGTGAGTGTTACAGCTCATAAAAGCAGTGTAGACCCAAAGAGTGAGCAGTAGCAAGATTTATTGCAAAGAGCGAAAGAACAAAGTTTCCACAACGTGTAAGGGGACCTGAGCACGTTGCCGCTGCTGGCTGGGGCAGCCTGCTTTTATTCTCTTATCTGGCCCCACCCACATCCTGCTGATTGGTAGAGCCCAGTGGTCTGTTTTGACAGGGCGCTGATTGGTGCGTTTATAATCCCTGAGCTAGACATAAAGGTTCTCCATGTCCCCACTAGATTAGCTAGATACAGAGTGTCCATTGGTGCATTCACAAACCCTGAGCTAGACACAGAGTGCTGATTGGTGTGTTTACAAACCTTAAGCTAGATAGAGAGTGCTGATTGGTATATTTACAATCCCTGGGCTAGACATAAAGGTTCTCCACGACCCCACCAGACTCAGGAGCCCAGCTGGCTTCACCCAGTGGAATCCCGCATCGGGGCTGCAGGTGGAGCTGCCTGTCAGTCCCGCGCCGTGCGCCCGCACTCCTCAGCCCTTGGGTGGTTGACGGGACTGGGCGCCGTGGAGCAGGGGGCGGCGCTCATTGGGGAGGCTCGGGCCGCACAGGTGCCCATGGAGGGAGTGAGAGGCTCAGGCATGGCGGACTGCAGGTCCCGAGACCTGCCCGCGGGAAGGCAGCTAAGGCCAGGTGAGAAATCGAGCGCAGCGCCGGTGGGCTGGCACTTCTGGGGGACCCAGTACACCCTCCTCAGCCGCTGGCCCGGGTGCTAAGCCCCTCATTGCCTGGGGCCGGCAGGGCCGGCCGGCTGCTCCGAGTGCGGGGCCCGCCAAGCCCACGCCCACCCAGAACTCCAGCTGGCCCGCAAGCGCCACGCGCAGCCCCGGTTCCCGCTCCCGCCTCTCCCTCCACACCTCCCTGCAAGCTGAGGGAGCCGGCTCTGGCCTTGGCCAGGCCAGAAAGGGGATCCCACAGTGCAGCGGTGGGTTGAAGGGCGCCTCAAGTGCCGCCATAGTGGGAGCCCAGGCAGAGGGGGCGCGTAGAGCGAGTGAGGGCTGTGAGGACTGCCAGCACACTGTCACCTCTCAAGGCCTGTCGTGGGGTGGGGGACAGGGGGAGGGATAGCATTAGGAGAAATACCTAATGCATGCAGGGCTTAAAACATAGATGACCGGTTGATAGGCATTTTTATAGATAGCAAATTGGAGAACAAAAAGCACAATGGGTTTTTCTCTGGAGCAAATTGTCCTGCTACACAATGGTGGTTAAAATTGATACCATTCTTGTAAAGGAATAGCCTCAAATGTCTGTGTTAAAGACCCCAAGCAAATGCTGGCAATTAAATGAACAATTTTATAATTTTGTTCTAGAGTACAAATTAAAGTTTAAATAAACGTAGTGTGCATCAATACATTTATTTAGAACAAACTAGTTTTAACCTGAGTCAAAGTTGAGCTCCTATTTGAGAAGTTTTCCTAATATAGCCAATAAAAGAGTTTTGATTAAATTATAATATTTTGGTAAACATAGCCATTTAACATTTTTACTCTGATTGTATAAAAGGAGTGTTGCAAAAAAAGCCAGTTAGACACTTGTTTTATTGTCTCGTGTTTATGATATTTGTAAGATATTTCAATAAATTTGTGCATATATAGGAATATATATGTACTATTTTTACAAATAAGAAAAATATGAAAGCTCAGAAGAAAAAGGAGATTAAATTATCTACTAAATTCTTGCTGGGTATGCAATCTTCCTGAAAATGATTACCTTGGGTCCTTTCTGCCTGTTGTATTCCTTGAAAACCCTTCACCCAGGGTTTCTTAGCTAATTAAAGGTACAAAATAATTACTGATACCAATCATCTTTGTTCTGCATAAATGTCTTTTGTCTTAATTTTAGGTCCTGGGGTTTACTGACCAGTGTGGTTGCTTTGTTTGCAACTTTTAAATGCCAGTGTATTTAAAACTAATTCAGGAAGCATGTTTAAAAAAGCAGATTTCTAGGAACCACACTTAGAGATTCTAATACATTACGTCTGTAGAGGCCCTAGGAATCCGCATTTTAATTTGTACCTGCAGCTCATTGTGAAGTTGGCCCACAGGCAAAACTTAGGGAACCTTATGGATACTTCGTAAGAGTGATAAAGAGTTGGGCAAATGAAGTAAGTTAAATAGTGTATTGTTTCATGGCCCAGTAGTTTCTTAAATTTCATAGTAGACTTTTGTTCTTCAACAGGACCTTCGCAGTTAATATAAATCTGAAGGTTAAGCGCACCTATAATTCATAAGCAAAAAAGGGAGACCATCACACCTTTTCCCCTTGGTTCACTGTTAATTTGATCAGAGAGACTTAGAGGGATGTGAAATGGCCAAAATTTTAATAGCAATCATTGGCTTCTGATTGGCATGTTAGAACTGGTGCAGTATGCCAGTAATCTTAATTGAGTGAGCACTTTCCCAGACAGATCTCTTTGCCACTTTTAGGCCATTAGTATCTGTGAAGAGCCAGATCAGGAATTGCACATATAGCAGGTTGGAGCTGTGATAGGAAGTGACTGAAGTCACCCAGTAGGAAACTAGAGGCATTAATAAATACTGTTGGCTGATCAAACTTGATATGCTAAAATTTGCTATTTCAGAACATTTTGAGGTTAAAAGAAAAATTAAAAAGCCACATCTTTGAAGGCAACTGAGTTTATGATTAAATTATGCTTTAAATTGAGTGTGTGTGTGTGTGTGTGTGTTTTCTGTTACTAGCACTCTGACCAAGTCTGAATTCACCAATAAAAAGAGGATAATGATGCCTATTGTGTAAGACTGCTGTGAAGATTAAAAGAGGTCAAAAACTAAAAAATGCTTGGCAGAGCACCAGGAAAAAAAAATGTGTACAATTTTATATGTATTTTCTTCCTTGTTCCAGTTTGTTCGCTATGAATACATTTTGAATCTCCTTCCTCAATTTCGGCTTGTGTGTTTAAATCTCCTTTTTACTTTTATTCAAAAAAGATTATTGGTAGTTTTTTAAAAAAGTGCTAGGGAATAATCAGAATATAAAAGAAAATTGAATTGTAGCCTGTTGTAGACAGGATTTTTGATACTTGTTTTCTGTCATATAAACAGTATTTATTTTCCCTTTGACAACTTTTGAAGCAAATGTTCAAATAAACCCAGATATCTTTTATAGCTATTGAGTGCTGTTAATTTTACTTGGATATTATTAGAAATAAATTTATACTATTTTATTTGAAAATCATAACATACACTTAAATATAATTTTACACATTTGTACTGAGAAACACATATTTACATTTTATTATGAAAATAGGATGTATAAGAAAGAAAATAAGTAACTTTCTAAATACACTTGTTTTCTATAAGATGAAGCCAGCTTTCTCACCAATCATTTTTGATTTTAGATTTTTCACTTACAACTTACCTTGGTTTAAAATGACTTAGAGCTCATTTTTTAAAGACACAAATATGTTTTATGTAGGTGATGTTATTCTATTTGCGCAGAGCCATTTAACCACCGCAATAAAGAATGATACAAAAAGTTTAGATTAAAGAAAGTTTGGATTAAACACTGAATTCTTGGTAAAAATATTTCATGATAAGAAGTTGAATACTTATACAAATCATAGCCTAAGAACAACATTTGAGGGGTCATCAGTTTAACTTAAATCCTTTTCAAGTACATTTGGTTACTAACATGAAAGAAAAGGCTTTCATCTGAAGACAGTTTCAGTTTCTGAAGTTGTCCCATACAATTGACTTCTCTACATTGTTGTTATGATGAATTTCTAATACAGCCTTAATATTAGGTTGGTGCAAAGGTAGTTGTGGTTTTTGCCGTTTACAATGAAGACTTCAAAAATCATCTGATATGATGAAATATAAAACCCTTCAGGTATTAATACACAAGTAAAATTATAAACTCTCTTGGGGGTCTGAACTTACATTTTAACTCTTTGATGTAATTTGAGTGCTCCCAACTTAAAGTACCTTTTAAAATTAAAACATTTGTTAGAATATTCTAAAATCAAAATCTGTAATGAAAAGAGCCAAACTACGTGATTATTAAGACCTACAATGTTTCATTGTAGAAATAAGGGAAAACTGGCTGGTAAATCTGCCATTCAGCTACCAGCTTTTATACTAATTAGGAAATCAAACTGAGGGCTTGCCAGCAGTGTTGCTTCATTTAAAACAAAATATGAAAATAAATGTGTATATGAGAAACTTGGGTAGACCCAATTGAGTAGAAGACATTGTCTGAATAGTCACTGCTTTTCATCAGATAGGGATGCATTTATTATATTTGTATTCTCTACTCTCTACATTTGAAAAATACTCCTAGTGAAGAGCATTAACTTTAAAAACATGACTAGGAATAATGTTTGCTTTTTTTTTCTCAATTCATGTTGCCAGCTTCTAAAATGTCTCGGTACAATTAGGTTATTTATAAGAAGTGATGTATCCTTAGACTGTGTTATGAATTATATCTCTGGAGAGATAGAGAGTTGACCAAAAATGGAAGAAGGTTAGAATAATAAGTTTTTGAAATATTTCATCATTAAATATTTTCTTTGAGTACCACAGTTTTTTTTCTTCACTTCTTTTAGTATGGAAATTGATCATTTCTTTTAAAACAAGTGTGGCTGCATGTAATTTAATACTATAATTCAACTATTTATAAATTTTTATCATGTGTTCCTTTCCAAAATTCATGCATGTAAGATTACAAATGTGCATATTCTCAGCCAATTCTGCTATTTCCTACAATATATTTATGAAAGACTTATTGGCAAATGTAATCTATAATGTAGCTCACCTAATGTACAAAATGTAATACTTGGCTAAAAAATATTTTTCAAATAAAAATATTTACTATTCTTTCATGAACTGAAATGTAATGTTATAAAATACTTGTATATGTTAACTATTAGGAAAGTATAGAATAAAGCTTGAAGAATGCAGGCGTTATTGAAAATAGTCAAATTTTCAATAAGCTTCCAAGAATATTGCAGTATTGCAGATATCTACATTTTCTTCATTTTAAGAACAAGAATCTTATTTAACTTGGTTGAATGAACATAAGGCCCCGGGGATATCATTTTAGTGTCACTTCATGTCAAACCAATACATTAAAACCAGTGTTCCAAATATTCTAACCCATTCAAGCAAAAAACATTCACCAAAGTAAAATGCAATGTAAAAGGTACTATAGAGTGTTTCAAAGTAACAACTATCCTATGTTAGTCACATGAATATTTAGAATAAAGGAAAAAGTAATGAAATGGAAACATGTAGAGAAAGAGAACTCTGAATATGCTTAAATGTGTACCAATAACAGTCAATCTGTAAATAACACAAACTCATATATCAGTCAACAACAAGAAGCTTTGGTTGATAGAAAAAGGAGTCCTAATATAAAATTAATTTCTTCTGTTTCTTTTTCTTTTGTTTTGTTTTAAATTTGTTCCCTAGATCTGTTTTGTGGAAAGGAAAGGAGTGGCTCTACTGAACATCTGTGATACCCAGCTGCACATTGGCATTTGGGTAAGATTTGATTGATGGCGTACTTGAACGTAGATTTACAAATGTGGCCCAAGGCCAGTTTTCCTTTATTTCTACAATGAAGCACTGTAAGTCTTAATATTAAGTGTTTACTGGAAAGGAGAACAAGAAAGCAGTTTCTAGCAACATGCAGAGAATGAAAACAGGTGAATTAATCAGTATTACTACCTACCCATAGGTCCCACAGCTTATCATAGATATTCCAACCATGAAATACTAGCTACTCAATAGCATAGAAAAATTGACTTAAAATAGCCTGCCAGTGCTATTACCCTGGTGCTGTCAATTGGATACTTTCAAAACTTCTGTTTTGTCTGCTAATCCTTTTGTGGGGTTTTTTTTGTATGTTTATTTGTTTTACATATGGGTGCTCTCTTTGTTAAAATTTAAAAGGTATAATGTAACATGGTTTGATTAGAGCCTTCTAAAACAGTACATCGAAAGCCTTATGGTCTAGGAACTGTTTATGAGCTTGAGAATGGTTACAGAGTAATAAACACTTTTTTTTCACCTTTGCCTAAAATCTGCGTATCTGTCTATACAAACAAGAAAATCTTGTTAATTCTGTTTTCAAACCTATTAAATTAATGGGAGAGATGGCAACTAATATTTGGTACTTTTCCACAAAAGTTTGAAAGGATGGCTAAACTTTACCATAAGGTAAATAACAACACAGTAAAATCACAGTTGAAATTGACAGATGTGGAAAGGTGAAATCCATGTTGTTAATTTGCTGGAATCACTTAAACTTTTAGAAATATGCCTTTACTTCCGTCATTGAAAGACTTTCCCATCTACAAAGCAAAATCTGATATTTTTAAAAGATCAGCTTACCAGAACTATTATTTATTTAACAAGAGAAAAAGATATTCCTAATGTAAGACTATACTTAATTTTAAAATGGCCCAAATTCTTCATCATGTTTTGATTTGTATCCCGATAATGTCAAGAATACCTCTTAGCCCTTATAAAGAGATTACTCATGGTTTTTCTCCTTAGTGTTCCCCATGGAAATTTACTTTATTGGACATATTATGCTCTTCTTATTTCTAGCTTATCTTGCTTTTTTTAAAACACT
Source organism: Homo sapiens (assembly GCF_000001405.40). Lineage (NCBI taxonomy): Eukaryota > Metazoa > Chordata > Mammalia > Primates > Hominidae > Homo > Homo sapiens. Next base: position 79,774,097 of record NC_000007.14, read on the forward strand.
ATTTGATAATATAGATAATAATAATAATATGACTACATATTGGCATAGCTCTTTTAAATTAGCAAAGTTTTCTTGCAGACATAATTTAAAATTATAATCACATAAATTGTATAAAATATATAGAATAGGAATGTATATTAAAATTAGCCCCATAAATGGATCAAATTTGTTAGCTAGATAATAGGTAAGAAAGAGCTGGAGTTGGAACTCTGAAAGCCTAACTCCAAGCTTAGAGATTCTTCCAGGTTGACTCACCATGAGTGGCTTCCAAAGCATGCTTCATATACCTTTTCTATTCACTTATGTAAGTATCTCATAATTTTACTGAATATAAATTAGAAAGTATATCATCAAAAGTGATCAGAGACTCTACATGATCAAAATATGGATGAAATTAGAGAGAATCTCTGTAAAAAGTTTTTGTCCAGAAACATAAATATCCATAAACTGCTAAAACTTTGAACATAATTTTTATTGTTGTTATTTAAGATTACTCGATTCGTTATTTCAAATTCTAATTGACAACACAAATAACTTTTAGACTTTTAAGGGAAATAAGTTAAATTCTAACACTTTGGAAAAATAAAGGTGAAAAGCAAAATTCCAGTATGCTCCAAAATATAAAGGTACTAAACAAACAAACAAAAGCAAATATGCACTTACAAATACAGAAGAGCATTTAATAAAATCTATTTATGAGCTTCTCCACAAACATACAGAGTTAATGTAAATAACTCTAATGCTAACATGTAGTGTTGATCCCAATACTATGGTTATTGGTAATTCAATAAAACATTGACTTTTGGAGGAAATAATAATCACAAATTAAGGTGAATAATATAAAGTAGAGTAAATAACTAATATTTGCTGAATTTGTTTTTGTGAGGTTATTCTAACTTATTCTCATAAAGGAAAACAAAAATGTATCCAGAATAATGTAATTATATAGACCTTGAATAAGAAACAAGAAGTCTGTTTAATAGTAAAAATAAATTTATGTGTTAAGTTAGGTAAAAAAAAAGTTTAGATGCTGAGATAGAATACTTTCCACTTTTGTGGTTGACAAATGCCAGGATTATTTTATAAAAATTACATTTTGTAGGTCCATTGCTTTCACATTTCAGTTGTCATGATAATGTTAAGTGTATAACATCCATCATAAATTTAAAAGGGCAAACACAATGTTCCATTTGAAAAAGACTTTGATAATTTACAGGAAAAAAAAAACTTGAAGTCTATACAAGACTTATACAGAATTCTTAACGCTTTTAATCACAAAAGCATCTCGTTCATTCCCTCAGCCAGAGACAATGAAAACAGAATTTTAAGTCATTTTCATCTAGGCTTTCAAAAATTTGAGAGCCATGCAGTTTTATTTTTAAAACACTGATAAGTAATTATACATGACTGAGATGCTCTACTTTTGCAATATTAACCCTTGATGGGTTTTTAAATAATCTATACATGAGCTGTTCACTCTTTAGCAACATTTTATGTCCTCTTTCAGAAATGCTTCCAAAAGTTGGATTTTGAATTGTAGCCTGCGTCGAAATCAATAAAATCAGGTAGGGCACGGTGGCTCATGTCTGTAATCCCAACACTTTGGGAGGCCGAGGCTGGCGGATCCCCTGAGATCAGGTGTATGAGACCAGCCTGGCCAACGTGGCGAAACCCCATCTCTACTAAAAATACAAAATTTAGCCAGGCATGGTGGTGCATGTCTGTAATCCCAGCTACTTGGGAGGCTGAGGCGGGAGAATCGCTTGAACCCAGTAGGCAGAGATTGCAGTGAGCCGAGATCACACCACTGCAATCCAGCCTGGGTGACAGGGCAAGACTCTGTCTCAAAACAAAACAAAACAAACAAAATCCATAAAATTGTGTAGGGAAAACTTGCTTTCACCATGTTTTTCCTCTACCCTCACACCACAGCAATCATCAACACAGAAAACTTTTGTGACCAAATGTGTGAGGGTTTTTTCCCCCACATACCAAGCAGCAGACACCAGCTGGTTGTCGTCTAGCTCAGTTCCAACACTGTCTACCCAGAGATAGTCTCAGATCCCACAGGCTGAGGGCTCGGTCTCCAAGACTGCTCCCTCACACCCACCCAGTCGCAAGTCTGGGCCTACAGAAGTTCTGATCAATCAGCTTCAAGCTGGGGTTCCCATGAACCAAATCAAAGTTTGGTTTGATTAATTTGCTGGAGAGGCTCAAAGAACTCAGGGAAACACATTTACCAGTTTATTAAAAAGGTTACTGCAATTGATACAGATGAAGAGATGCATAGGGCAAGGTATTGGGAAAGGGGCACGGAGCTTTCATGCCCTCCCTGGCTGTGCCACCCTCTAGGAACCTCCACGTGATCAGCTCCTGAAGCTCCCTGAACCCTGTCCTCTTGGGTTTTTATGGAAGCTTCATGACATTCACATTCCTTCCTCCAGTTTATAGGGTGGTACTCTCTCATGGGAGGGTCCTAAGACCCACAGTAAGAAAGGTGGAGAAACATTACAGTGAAAGGAAGGGAGGAGAAGGTCAGAGGCCTGCCCTGAGGCCTAACACAACCAACACTGTAACAAAAAGCTGTAACAATGCCTATGGGAGTTATAAGCCAGGAACCATGGATGAAAACCAGTGTATATCATAATACTACAAAAAAACAAGGAAATTTATCAGTTAACGATATTGCTGGGCATGGTGGCTTACACTTGTAATCTCAGGGCTTTGGGAGGCAGAAATGGGAGGATTGCTTGAGGCCAGAAGTTTGAGATCAGTCTGGGCAACATAGTGAGATCCCATCTTTACAAAAAATAAAATAAATTAGCCAGGTGCACTAGTGGTGCCTCATGCCTGTAGTCCCAGCTACTTGAGAAGCTGAGGTGGGAGAATTGCTGGAGTCCAGGGGTTCCAGGCTGCAGTGAGCTGTGATCATGCCACTGCACTCCAGCCTGAGTGACAGAGCAAGAACCTGTCTTAAAATAAAAACAATTAAAAAAAAGTTTCATAATAACATTTTTTCTTGTCATTCTGCTAAAAGTGTTACGATCTACTATCAGGTAGGATAATAATGAGTCAATAATGCATGTTTGCAATGGAGAAACTTATATTTGCAGAACTTCAGAATATAAAGTAAAGTTAAAGGAAGGGGAGGAAAAGCAAAAGAAAGAGAAGGTGGTATGATAGGAAAAGAAGGAGGGGGAATAACATTTCGAATTCCTATGACATTAATACATTCATTTATAAAATAAGTATGAAGTATGTTTATTGTCAAGAATTAAACTAATGTAGAATATATTATTTCATAATTATTATTAAATTAATCCAAATTTGTATAAATAAGGATTTAAATTATTATTAAATTAACCAATTGTTTAAATTTTCTTTACTTTTATATTAAAATAAATGACAAAGAAAATTAATTTTTCTCTTATTAGTAACTTACAGAAGCAAAACGGCAAAGTTAAATGGGTTTGAAAACATTACTTGAAACAATAGTAAGTTATTTTTCATCAACATTTGGTTGGATGATCTAAGTCCTTTTGAACTGTCGTACTATCAGTCCTGATGGAATAGTGCATCCATTTTCAATGATGAACAATGGATTTTAGGGCTTTGGCTCCTTTCCATGAAGTATAGAAAAGGAGTTGCAGAAAATAATGCTGTAAAACAAAACCAGCCAGGAGTCAGAGTGAGGAGATCCTTTTACTTTTTTTTTTTTTTTTAATAGGTGTCTTGGATATTTGGGTCATGTTCTAAACTTAGCTCAGAGATGTAATACTCTCTAGTAGGGGGCTCAATTTTCAGTCTGTGGGTAGGAGATTTCTAAAGATTTACTTTCTGAATTCTTAAATCAATTAGTTATAATGTGTATTCTTTAGCTGCAGAGCCTTCATCCCAATTCTAACACAAGAAGCATAACTCTACAACCTTTGTAGTATTTAACTTGTATCATTTTCAAGAGAAACTGGGCATTGTCTTACAGAGCTGGTACTCAGGATCGTAACATGATTTTTCTTCCTTTTTCTCCGTGGGAAATGTCTACCCCATGGTGTTTAAACATGACATTGTAAAGAATAATCAGTACAGACTTTAGCTGAGCCAGGCAGTTACTGTTTTCTTTTGAAATAGATGATCAATAACATTCTCCCCTCTTGTATTTTCTTTCCCTCTTTTTCAAAGAGAATCAGGAACATAACTACTTCTAAATATAACAATATAAATTTATAAAGGAGCTATACTGTTAGGTACCAAGAAATGTGTAACTTTTGTGTTAATTTTCTTCAATTATAATTGTCTCAGAAATGTACCCTGCATACCAAAAATGGGTTGAAAGCTACTGCAGCACATGATGTCCATGTTGCAGTTGGCCAGCATCATCTTTGTTCACTATTTTTGAAGCTTTCTGAGACAAAATTTTGCCTGCCTTCTTCCCATCCTCTTTGCCTCTCTCTTACCTCTTGCATTTGACATTTTCCTTTCATCTCTCTTCTTTCTGTATTTAATTGATCATTTAAAAGTCCTGTTCTCCTTTTCTTACTTGATCTCATCTTTCAGGAGTCTCCTGAATCCACACATGGCAAATGTTTCAAATTTACACATTTTAATAGTCGCTTGAGTGGTGTATGAAGGAGTGGGAAAGACAGCAGACACTTTATCTGGCCTTTGCATTGTTCCTCATTTTGACCAGATCACCATCAACAACTCTGATCAAGCTGTTCTCTTTTAGCACCAAATTTAATTATTTTCTAAAATCCAAATACTTTGTTTGCAGAAAAGTGGTTTTTTCTTATCATCTCTCTCTATAATATTTTTCATCCTCTGATGATTCTGAATCATTTCTAAGTAGTGGCATCTTTGCTATGATTGTAACTCATAAACAGCATCCGAGTTATGCAACATGGCTTAGGTAGAGAAAGTGGCAAATATTTTTTGGCACTAACCAAATTTCCTATTTCTGTTTTCATAGTCTACATACAGAAAGAAAACAAAGCCCTGAGCAAGAAACCTGCTATGTGGGTGTCAGTACCTTGAAAGCCAGGATGGGTACAAGTTGTTCAGAGGCTTTAAGCATATCAGTTAATGTCTTCCCCAAAGCCATGGTCAACCACAATCTGCAGAAGTATGCTAAATAGGCATTGTGCAAGTATTGCTCATTCACAGGCAAAAAAATTTCCTTTCTGTTCTTGCGCAGTCTTACATGAATAAGGAATTGGAAACAGCTTCCTGTGCTACACGAAACAGAACTCCTGGGTTAAAATTAGTCCCAGCAATGTCCGTAATTAGTGGTATAAGAGGGCATGTGTTGCTAATCCTCTCTGGCCCTCACTTTTCTCATTTTGGAGGTTGTTCTTGACCAAAAAATATATGGCATTAAAGTTTTAGCAAACGAAAGCCATTTCTCTTTCTTCCATGACTGAATCTGAAATGAGCTGGGGCTGATAGAAAATTTTGTCTGTGTTAAGAAATCACGCTGTTACTTAACTACCACCACCACCACCTCACCCCTCCAACCAACCACCACCAAAACTGATTTACTTATTTATGTATGTATTTATGGAGATGGGGTTTTGCTGTGTTGCCCAGGCTAGAGTGCAGTGGCACAATCGTGGCTGACTGCGAATCCGACCTCCCAGGCTCAAGTGATTGTCTCACCTCAGCCTCCTGAGTAGCTGAGACTACAGGCATGTGCCACTACCTGTGGCTAATTATTTTTAAATGTTTTTTCTATTTTTTTCTCATTAAGTATTTTTATTTTGGAAAATATAGATTGTTTTTAAATCACAAATATTTATGTTCACATGTTATGTGTTTATGGGTTTTTTTGTTTTTTTTTTCTACTTTTTTATTGTTATACTTTAAGTTATAGGGTACATGTGCACAACGTTTAGGTTTGTTACATATGTATACATGTGCCATGTTGGTGTGCTGCACCCATTAACTCGTCATTTACATTAGGTATATCTCCTAATGCTTTCCCTTCCCCCTTCCCCTACTCCACGACAGGCCCCAGTGTGTGATGTTCCCCTTCCTGTGTCCAAGTGTTCTCATCGTTCAATTCTCACTTATGAGTGAGAACATGCAGTGTTTGGTTTTTTGTCCTTGCGATAGTTTGCTGAGAATGATGGTTTCCAGCTTCATCCATGTCCCTGCAAATGATATGAACTCATCCATTTTTATGGCTGCATAGTATTCCATGGTGTATATGTGCCACATTTTCTTAATCCAGTTTTTTGTAGAGGCAGGGTTTCGCCACAGTACTCAGGCTGGTCTCAAATTCCTGGGCTCAAGCCATCCTCCCACCTCAGCCTCCCAAAGTGCTGGGATTACAGGTGTGAGCCATTGTGCCCAGCCCAAAACTGCTATAAAACCTTGCTTGTAAGAGTGATTTCCATCTCACTTTGGAACATTTGGTTTCTGATCACAACTGATTGGACCATAGATGGCTATCTAATCTAAAAGCAGGCAAGCCAAAGCATGGCCCAAATTGCCTGGATAGAAAGGATAAATTATATGGATTTATTTTTGTCTAGAAATATAGAAGAGCATGGAACAGTTTGAAATTGCTGAAGTTGAAACAATGTGAGAGGAGGACATGAGGTGACTGGGCCAAATTTTTTAAGAAACCTTAAATAAGAATAAGATTAGAAAGCAGTAACTTTAATAGATAGCCCTATGAGATAGGGATAAAAATGGGAAGTCCAATGTAAGACAAACATGTAGTAGTAAAGGAGAGTTAGAAGAAAAAGTCACACTGAGGACACATGCTAGAATAAATCTCCAGGGGCCCCTCCTGGGTTCCTTCTTAGAGTGCCTCTTCCTGTGTGCTGATTGTTACTAATTTTCTGATTTTCATTTAGGGGAGCCTTCTATACTAAATTTCGTATTCCTTGGGGCTTCCAAATAAAGTTAAAATCTTTCAACCCAACTAACTTATAGTAAAAGAATCATTATATGATTTTTAAACTCCAAACTCCATATTCCCCTATGGTATTTGCATTTTATTAATTCCAAGATGTTTATAATTGAAAGAGTATTTAGAAGATATTTAGAAACAGAAAATTTTGCATGAATATTACCTACTCAAGAACTTTGCTTCTCATATCCTCAATAACAGCACCAACTTGACAAGAAATCCTGTTCACAATGCTACTCACCCACCAAAGCAAGATGACATTTATATTATGTGTACTGGAGTTTTATTGGTTTGATTGATACATCTCCATGTCCTACCATTAATACAAACATAAACATGCAGTCCTATTAAACTTTATCTTCATGATTAAGATATTACATATTAAATAAAAAGATTTTAAATTTTTACCATTCCTAATTTAAAATTAAATTTATCCAGGTGAGAATATGTCAAAGAAAGATCATAAGACTTTTGCTAAGAAACATATTTTAAATGTCACCCCTAAAGATTACATTTCATTCTTAAAAAAAGAAAACCATGCTTTCTATATTACACTGCATTGGGGCATTCATGATTAATGAAGACATTTGACAACCAATGTTGAATTTATTTTTTATTTTAGAAAAAGAGTAACATATGCAAGATAATATGAGAAATAGAAACAGAGTAGAAACAGAAGCCTGTTTGATTCAAATGAGGAAAAATATGTCGACGTTGACTTGACACTATACATACAAAGAAATAAACAGCAGAGATTACAGCAGGGTCCAGCGTTTGCTTGGAGAAAACTCTTGATCTTGTGTAGTCTCTATCATATTCCTTGCCCCTAGCCAAAATAAACAGAATCTGCGTTTTGTTAAGCAAACATAGGTTCAGTATAAGCCCTAGTTTTCACTTGACCTCTTGTTGCTATATTTTTCTTCCTAAAGATAAATCAGCTACTAAGCCCAGACAGAAACCATGTCTGGGAAACATCAGGAACAGCTCTGATCCACACTTTGAAGTAGATAAGGTGGCTTTCAATAGTCCTCATTTCCCTTTTTGTCCTAGTCTTCCTATCCTGGTATTGCTGCCTCCCAGGTTTCTGACCAAAATGTCATCCTAATCGTTCCTTCTTGTTATTGTTGTTATAATCTTTCCTTCTTCACCCTTTTCCCCCGCACTTAGACATGTGGTTGCCAAACTTTATCCTAATGAAGTAAACTCTGCTATGTAGAATCAGTTCCTAAAGTGTGAATTAATTGGCCAGATAAATGAATACAAGCTAATACTCTCTTAGATGATCATAGTGTACTGAAAAAAAAAAATCTTCATCTGTATGGTCAGAACCGTAGGTGACTCTATTATAAGGGATTTTGATAAGCCTTAATTCAAACAGAATTTTCAGGCTTTATATTCTGTTTATATGTTGGGTCAAATGGTAGCTCGGTTTTAAGTTATTTGAGAAATGTCCAAGCTGTTTTCCACAGTGGCTGAGCTAATTTACTCCCACCAACAGGGTGTAAGTGTTCCCTTTTCTCAGCAGACTCTCCGACATCTGTTGTCTTTTGACTTTTTAATAATAGCCACTCTGACTGGTAGAAGATATTTTGATTTGCATTTCTCTGATTAGTGATGATGGTGCTGTAAAAACCAATACTTACCATCCCCCAAATAACCTATTGTCTGAGTTTTAAAGTCTAAGATACAGATGGTATCATATATCTTAGACAATTATATTAAAAAGCTTTGCCATCAGATCTATTTCTCTCTCAACAAAAGGTTTTTTCTTCCAACTTTTATTTTAGATACAGGGAGTACATGTGCAGGTTTGTTACATGGGTATATTGCACTCAGGTAGTAAATATAGTCCCCAGTAGGTAGTTTTTCAACCCACGCTCTCCACCATAGTCCACAGTATCTATTGTTTCCATGTTTATGTTCATGTGTGCTCAATGTTTAGCTCCCACTTATAAATGAGAACACATGGTGTTTGGTTTTCTGTTCCTGCATTAATGCATTTAAGATAATGGCCTCCAGCTGCATCCATGATGCTGCAAAATATATGATTTTGTTATTTTCTATGGCTGTGTAGTATTTCATGGTGTATATATACCACATTTTCTTTATCCAGTCCACCACTGATAGGCACCTCCATTAATTAAATGTCTTTGCTATTGTGAACAGTGCAGTGATGAACATACAAATGAATGTGTCTTTTTGTTACAATCATCTATTTTGCTTTGTGTATTCCAGTAATGGAATTGCTGAGTCAAATGGTAGCTGTCTTTTAAGTTCTTTGAGAAATCTCCAAACTGCTTTCCACAGTGGCTGAACTAATTTACATTCTCACCACCATCTCACTGGTGTGAGATGGTATCTCATTGTAGTTTTAATTTGCATTTCTCTGAAGATTAGTGATGATGAGCATTTTTCATATATAATATTGATTGGCTGGCTGCTTGTATTTCTTCTGAGAAGTGTCTGTTCATATCCTTTATCTATTTTTAAATAGAGTTTTTTGTTTTTTGCTTGTTGATTTGTTTAAATACTTTATAGATGCTCGATATTAGACCATTGTTGGATGCAAAGTTTGCAAATATTTTCTCCCATTTTGTAGGTTGTCTGTTTACTCTATTAATGGTTTATTTCACTATGCAAAAGCTCTTTAGTTTAATTAGGTCTCACTTGCCAATTTTTGGTTATTTTGCAGTTGCTTTGGGGATTTTTCAAAAATTCTTTTCCAAGGCTGATGTAGAGAAGAGTATTTCCTAGGTTTTCTTCTAGAATTTTTCCAGTGTAAGGTCTTACGTATAAATCTATAATCCATCTTGGTTAATTTTTTATGTGGTAAAAGGTAAGGGTCCAGTTTTATTCTCCTGCATATGGCTAGGAAACAATCCCAGCACTATTTACTCAGTAGAGAGTCATTCCCCATTGCTTGTTTTTGTCAGCCTTGTCAAAGATCAGATAGTTGTTTAAGTGTGCGACTTTATTTCTGGGCTCTCTAATCTGTTCCATTGGTCTATATTTCTCTTTTCTGTACCAGTGCCGTGCTGTTTTGGTTACCATAGCTTTATAATGCAGTTTAAAGTTGGGTAGTGTGATGCCTCTTGCTTTGTTCTTTTTACTTAGCATTGCTTTAGCTATTTGGGCTCTTTTTTGGTTTCATATGAATTCTGGTATAGTTTTTTTTCTAATTCTGTGAAGAATGACCTCGTTAGTTTGAAAAGAATAGCATTGAATCTGTAAATTGTCTTGGGCAGTATGGTCATTTTAATGATATTGATTATTCCAAACCATGAGCATAGAATGTTTTTCCATTTATTTTTGTCATCTCTGATTCCTTTCAGCAGTGTTTTGTAGTTCTCCTTGTAGAAATGTCAAAATTTCTATGCTTTGTTGTGTATCACAGGAAAAGGAAAGACAGTCACTGAACTCTGCATTCTCTGGGATCCATGCTAGTGGGTCTCCACCTGGGTTCAGTCAATGACAGACATTGTCAGGAGGTGAGAGAGTGAGAGAAAGGGTCAGTCAAGGATATATTCCTCTCTCTATTTTCTGTCTAAAATGGTGTCTTTGGCAAAAGCTGTGCTTCTTCCCAGCCTCTATCTCCCTCTAGAAAAGCCCACCCTGATTCCAGCTTCCCCTAGATTATTATGATCTCTGAATTCTGGTGACACTACTTGTTCCCTTTGGCACTCAGTCCTAAGGGTTGTAGTAGTATTGCTTCTTAATCTCTGGGTAACCTTACAGATTTCCTGTTTAGTATTTCAGCTTTTTCATTCCTTACCTCCAAAACCAGTTCCTTGTATTAAATCCCTGCTGTTTACAATCTAAGAGTGATTTTTACAGTTGTGTTCTTCACCGATGTGAAGTCCTAGAGGTGACAATATTTGTATTTATGTGCTTGCCTAATAACTATTTATTCCATACATTGGCACTGGCTTTTAAATTTTTCAAATGAATATGAGATAGGCAGAGATGATGAGACTTTGATTGCTGGTTATTCTTCCAAATTGTTTATCTGAAAACTGCTAGGTAGGAAGATCTACCAAATACCCATTTTTATGTCAGTCTGAAAAAAACAAAACAATTAAATCCTTTGAGAGAAATAGTAATGTTTTTGTCTTTGACACCAACTTATTCCTTATTGTAAATAATGATCAGATGAGTAAAAATTAGTAATAGCTAATGGAACAATTATATTATTGGGTGTCTATTTCCTCAGGGGTTGTCCTGATACTATTTAATTGAACAATCATTTATTGAACTAGTCTGTGCCAAATATTATGCTAAACCTAGGCATATAAAAATGAATGAGGCACAAAACCTGCCCAAAGGAAGTTCAATCTATTAGAAGTATCAGATAAACAAGTAAATTTTTAATACTGAGTAATAATGACAGGATGGGAAAATATACAAGGTGTGGGAAATGTAATACATTCAGAGGGATTGAGCAGGAAATGTTTTCTGAACTAACATCTAAGTAATATTTTGAAGAACTGATATCATTCCAAGCCAGGCACTGTGTTAGAGAACTAAGTGAGAGGAAAATAATGAAAGGGTTTGCTTGCCATTATAATGAGTCAGGGATTCAATATCTTCTGAACAGTTAAAGGTTATAGGTATGAGATAAACATTCAGACACATGCTTTTGAGTTACATTATGAAACAAGCATAAAGAAAGAAAGGCTGGCTAAGAAATTGATGTGACTGAAACATACATCTCTGGACTTGACAGTAATGAGAACACGAACCAAGGCCACAGGAATGGAAACTGGGTGGGAATGATGTGTTCAAGAGATATTTAGAAGGTAGAGTTTCGTGCCATTATGACTGTTTCAGTGCACTGTATTAGAGAATGAGGAATACTACTCAGACGATACTAATTTATTCAAGTATTTTGTAATCCAACACTAGATATTATCCTTGAATTGGAAAACAAATGGGAATTAGAAGTCTGTAATAAGCTCAACACGGCTGAAATTTTTTCCAGCTTTGGCAAATTGTTAATTGAGGCAGCAAAATGAACTGATTAAGAGGAGGAATTCTGAAGCCAGAATTTCTGGCTTTGAACTCATGGTCTGCCAGAAAATATTCATAGCTGTTTGTTGAATAAATGAATGAATAGATGAATAAATAAATACCAAATAAAAAACAGATTAAAAATGGGAAGAAAGACAAGTACTTAGAAACATACAGGTATTTGATATCTTAGCTAATATTTCTGCAACTCACTTTCTTTATCTATGGAATGGGATATGGAATAGAAACTACTTGTCATGGTTGATAATTGTCTTAGTCTGCTCATACTGTCGTAACAAAACGCCACAGACTGGCTGTCGTAAACAACAGAGATTTATTTTCTCTTGGTTCTGGAGGCTGGAATGTTGAAGATCACGGTTCAGGCAGGGTTCAGTTTCTGGTGAGAACCCTCTTCCTGGCTTGCAGATGGTGCCTTCTCACTGCATCCTCACATGGCCTTGCATGCACACAGAGTGAGATGAGAGAGACAGAAAGAGAGAGAGATAGAGAAAGCTCTTGTGTATTGTTTTGTAAGTAAACGAATTCTATCAGATCAGGTCCCCACTTCACTCATTTAACCTTAATTATTTCCTTACTCCAATATGGCCACTGTGGAGGTTAGGGGTGGCCATATTCGATATATGAATTTTGGGGGAATACATAGATTCAGTCCATAACAATAATATATCTAAAGAAATTGGAACAGAGCCTAATGAGATATTATTATCATCTTTATACCTAGAATATTTCTACTAAAATATACCTATGAATGTCATTTCCAAAAAGATAAGGATTTATGTCCATTTTATTAACAACCGAATCCAAAGTTCCTGGAATAATGCAAATAGCAGGTGCTCAATAAGTATTCATTGAATGAATAAGAGAGTACCACTAATAGGCATATACAGTTGTAGTTATTCCTTTAATAAGCAGATAGTGCTTAGTATGTGACATACATTATTCCAATACTTTATATAACTCAATACATTTAATCCCTGTCATAACTTCATGAGATAGCCTAATTGCTTCCTTTTCACAAATGAGAACTCTGAGGTGATAAGAGGTATCACTGCTTGTCAAAGGTCACATAGGAAATAAATGGCAAAAGTAGTATATGAACCCAGACACTATGGCTCTAGAGTTTCATGCTATTATCGATGACACTACAGAGTTGGCTCTAGGGTCCACAGACATGGCTGTAATGACAGTTCCCAAGTAAAGGGTCTCTTTTTTATTTAGGCAGAGTGTCTTAATTGATATGTTCACTGAAGGATCAAGTAAATTCAAAATGACAGCAAGCCTTTAATGATCTCTCCAGCTGGAATATTCGTTTCATAACTTGAGAAAAATAGCTGTGCTGGTTGCAGCTGAGATTCAGAAGATAGCAAATATCTCAGCATCCTGCTATTGCCAGTCTCACAAAGCTTTGGGTCTAAGTAGAAGTTGGTATAATATTCCTTGTTTTAATTATTTTGCATCTGTGCTACATTTTACTCTTGCATGTTTATTTCTTTCTGTCATACACCTTATTTCACCTGATCTTTGTAACCTCTATGTTTTGTACTATATTCTGCTATGTTTCTTATTTCATCTTCTTACACGCTATCCTTTCTGTTCATGCACTTTTTTCTTCCACAATAAGACTTCATTCTTTACTGTTAAGACTCACATTCTTTTTGGCTTCTTGCAGTTGTTTTTGTGATTTTCTTCATTTGTTTTTCTGTTTTTTCTTGGCTCTGCATGATAGACAGCGATTATTTATCAGCCATTTGTGGTTTCTTAACATTGCCAACAGGCTGACAATTTTCCCATTTCTTTCTCTGTGAGGTTTCTGAATCATCTTTTAAAGTAGTTCTCTGTACCAGAAAAACAGAATATCAAAATGCTGAGCGACAGTTTACATGAAACATGCACTTTGCTTTGATTGTCTTTTTCTGAGACAAAAACGTACCATTCCTGTGTTACTACAGTACCAACTTTCAGAACTGAAATTTTCTGCCAGTAAGTTAGTTCCTCTGGTCTAGATGATAAAAGCAGACTGATATTACAAGAAAACCATCTAAAAGTGCATATATTTTTAATTTGATTGTCCAGAAGGTATTCTGCATCCCTTTTCTATTGACATGCTGCTATGGATTAATGAATTTTCCTTAATATTCCCTATTGATGAATCAGAGGGCTTTCACACAAATAAATTATTTTATTCCCGAAAGTAAATTTATCCTTCTAAAGATTAAGAAGGATTAAGCTTTGAGTTTATAGTATCTTCGTATCTATATATAAATGCATTAAAAACACACACTGACCCTCACACACACACACATATATATATGTGTATATATGCATAAATATGTTTGGCAGGTATATAATAATTCATATATTTTATATATTATAAATATTATTTAATATGTTATATAAATATCATTTTATCTTTCAAACTTCTCCCTAAAACATTAACATTACATTCTTCAATATACGTGAATTTCTACAGCTATTGCATTGAAAAGCAAGAACATCAGTCTAGCCATGTTTTATCAAAATTGCCTCAAAATGCATTTTTTGTCTCAGCATCCTTATCTTATGATGAAGAAAGACTAAGCTTGTAAAAACCCCACCTGCATGGAGAATTTTTTTTCCTAGGGTGGAAAATATAAGGGAGAAAGAAAGCAACTCATATCTTATCCATTATGATTAACAGCCCATGCTAATGACATTCATTAAGCTAAATGAGCAGGAGAATGAGGACTCAAGCTTTCTAATTGAGGCAGATTTATTTTTAGGATGAAATTCTCCCAAAATACATTTTCTTTTTTAAAACATTGAGTGTCATTTCAAGGCATATAATTTAAACAACTGATTATGGATGGGATATGCTTTAGCCCTTTTGGAAGTATAAAATTATACAACCAGCAAAATCATCATTATCACTTTTATAGTTTTATTATGACTATTATTTATTACATGAGTGGATAAAATATAAAAAGGAAGGAAAAATGATCTTCATTAAAGTTAATGACTCATCTTAGCAATTTTGTTATTGAGTTAACTATTTAAGATCTCTTCTGCCCTAGATCTTCTGCTGAGTGAGAGTATTAGTCACATCTATTAAACACATACCTACAAAAATAGTAGCACCTTAGGATAAGAGGCTTGGAAATATGTTTTACATATGCTGATATCTACTTTGCTTTAAATTAAAAATATATATATACACATATTGACATACATATATGTAGCATATACGAATATTAGGAAGCCTGTCACAAATAACATAGGTTTTAATACAAATTGTACACAGAAGATTCTACATATTGAAAGTATTTTTATAATAAATATGTATACTTCTTAATGTATTACTGAAAGATCAATGGACTTGTCATTAAAGGATCTGAATTTAACTTATACTTCTTCCAGTATTAGCTTTGTATTATGGGAGAGTCTCTAAAATAGAGATAGTAAATGTGAGCTCAAATAATAACTTCCAAAATTTTTTTTCTGACTACAACAAAGTAATTTGTTTTGAGCAAATCCTCTTACAAAAAAAATTATGAACGACAAAATCTATGAAACAACTATTTGAAAGCATTAGAGATAAACCAACTGAGGCAGGATTTAAGGATCTGTAATCCTTGAGAGAATGGAAGAGCATAAGATGATTTCCACATTCATCCATCTTTTTCCTTGAAAACATTTTTCAATTCACTGCATCATAGAGCAGAGCCCAAGCAGAACCCAGCGTCTCACTTGGCTGAAAGTCAGTGACTGGAATTTAAAGCTGCCAAATTGGATAAGACTCAAGAAGCAAAAATCTTTGAAATGAGGAAACTACTATAATGAGTAAAAAAAATCTACAGGCAAATCCCCTTCTAGTTTTTGATTAATTACCCATCCTTGCACATGAAAAATGAAACTGAAAAAAGAATGATGAACAAAGGAAGAAGAAGGAAGGAAGGAAGGAAGGGAGGGAAGGAGGGAGGGACGGAAGGAGGGAGGGAAGGAGGGAGGGAAGGAGGGAGGGAGAGAGGAAGGAAAGGAGGGGAGGAAGAAAAGGAAAGAAGGAAAAAAGGAAGCAGGGAAGGAAGGAAGGAAGAAAAGAAAAAGACTAGAAATGAATATTAGCTGAAAGGAAACAACTAAACAGAAATTTTATCAGTTATATAATACCAGGGAGGCAGATGTTGAAGATCAAACCCTGGAATGATGCAAATATTTTCTCAAATACTCCAAGTCTTTTGTTAAGGCCCCAGAAAAACCACAACCTAGGACTAAGGCCACCTCCTAGGTATAAGGAACATGCTTAAGAGCAAGGACTACCATCTGAAAGTAACAGTGAAAGTGATATAGAATAGTTCTATATGTGTGAAATCAGCACACAACAAACTCAAGGGAAGTACTAATACAGTATTTGCTGTCAAAGAAAATCTAACCCTCCCTGGAGAAAAATAACGTGTTCCAGAGTTATTATAATTTTTCATCCAATGTGTTGAGAATTCAGTCAAAAATTACCAAATATATCAAAACATAGGACAAAATGACCAAAAATGAAAACAAACAAAAAAAAGGCAGGTAATAGAAGACCTAGAGTTGGTATTAGAATTGTCATACAAGGGCTTAAATATAACTGTGTGATTAATATATTCAAGAAAGTAAAGAAAAGAATGTTGGATTTTAACAGAAACATGAAATTACACACACACACAAAGAGATAGAGACTCAATTCAGAATTAAGTAGCAAAATACACATTATTTTCATATACCCTCGGATCTTTTGCCAAAGTAAACTGTGTGATTAATATTTTCAAGAAAGTAAAGAAAAGAATGTTGGATTTTAACAGACACATGAAATTACACACACACACAGAGATGGAGACTCAATTCAGAATTAAGTAGCAAAATACACATTATTTTCATATACCCTTGGATCTTTTGCCAAAGTAAACTGTGTAATTGACATTGAAGCAAGTCTAAACAAATTTTAAAAACTAAAAATAGTCAAAGTACGTTATCTAAACACAATGGAATTTAAATAAAAATCGGTTTCGCAGGCCGGGCTTGGTGGCTCACACTTGTAATCCCAGGATTTCGAGAGGCCAGGGTGGGAGGATCACTTGAGCCCAGGAGTTTGAGATCAGCCTGATCTCTCTTTTGTGAGACCCTGTCTCTACAAAAGTAAACAATAAATAAAATAAATAAGTTTCAGAAGGATAATTATAAAACTCCTCAAATGTTGGAAAATGTCATTTCTTATACATTTTATTCCTCCAAAAAATTAAACCTAGAAAAAAAGTAAATAATTCCCAAATATCCTTTACCTGGAATCATCAATTTTTAACATTTTGTTCTACTTGTGTCATTATTTCTCTACATCTCACAGATGTAGAGAACAATTTGAAATGAAATTGCATACATTGTGCCCCATTTCCCACTTGAAAGTCAGTGTTAGTTCTCTAAGACTAAGATGCTCTTATATAACCATCGTAAAATAATCAAATTCATGTAATCTAACATTAGTATAATATTTTATTTATGTTTCTCATACCAGTTTCTTCAACTGTCCTAATAACGTTTCTAGCCGTTTTTCTCATTCCTTGAACATATCTAGGATTATGTATGCATTTACTTGACGTATCTCTTAAATTGTCTTTTAATCTTTAAAGATTAAATCTAGAACATGTTTTAAGCCTTTCTTTAACTTACAGTACATTGACTTTTTTTTAGTTTTTAAGAACTTAGGTTTGTTATTTTAGTTGAATTTCCTTCAAATAGGTTTTGATGGTGTTTTCTTATGTTTAGATTCAGGTTAGGCTTTTTTTGTGGGGTGGAAATCTGTGTAAGTAATGCTGTGTCCTGCTTAGGATGTCATATTCAGACACACAGGATGTTTGTTCCCTGTTAGCGACCATGGCAATTTTGATTACTTGGTTGAGATGTTGTCTGGTTTATTGCCTATATAGTTATTATTTTTCTTTAAATATTTAGTTTAGAGAGAGATAATTCGAGGCAATGTAATTATTCTCTTCCTCATCAAAATTTTTACCTCTAAAGTTAACAGCTGTTGTTTCTTGCCTGCAAAATTTTTACTATAATGGTACAAAATGATAATTTTTTACCCTATCATCCCTTTTATGTTCATAGGTGAGAATTATATTGTAAAAAAAAAGATTTTTTATTATTTTCTTCACATTTACATATTTGTGTTGTTAGTATGAAATCATGGATTTTTACTTCAGTCCATGGATCATAATCCATGACTGTTCGTATTTAATTAGACATACAAGTTGTTCCAGATTTGGCCAAAAAGAGCCCCCCTTCAGTCTCATCCCTGTGTATTTTTAGTATGCTAATATTTTGGCATACTAACATTTCTGTTTGTTCACTTCCCAATTTGCCGGCACCAAAAATGATTCAGGTTCATCCTAACCATTTTTTCTCTAGCACTAAAATTAGCTATTTCTCCAAGAATCTCTAATGTCTTGTAGTGAGAAATGATATTTATAAAGAAAGATCCAGATTTCTGCATGCTAAATGTGCTTATTGCTAATGGAATATTGATTGCTTCGAGGCCCTTTCAAGGACACAGCTGGCTGGAGTTGGGCAGGGAAGTGAGGAGGCAGAGATAGATGAATAGATACTCAAAAAAATTCATTTTTGCCTTTCCCAATTCATATTTGTATGCTTCCATTTCCACAGTGAGAAAACTGAATCCCAATAATATCATTATATTTAATCATTTGCGCTATAATTACTATACACATAATAGTCATAATTGTTAAATCTTTAAAAAATAAAAACAAGTCTATTAAGATAAGTTTCAGATATGTTTGGAGTTCTTTTTTTATTTTGTCCAAAGGATATGTAGTCAAACAACTGCATTTCAACATCAATTGGATTAGTGTTTTTTATTTTATTTTATTTTTCTATTTTAGTGATGGGTTATTTTGAAATTAGATATATAATTGGTTCTTTTTTTTGTTTTTGCATTGTTTATTTTTGAATATGTACAGTATTAATATGATTTAAAACTGTAGTAAATGTTATACTCACTGAAATGTTACTTTCTGTATTATTTTTTTACCCTTTTCTCAACTCACACTTGTAGATAAACTAATATCATTATTCTTTTTATATTCTTGCTGTATTCCTTACTGTAAAATTAGCAAATATTTTAATGTTTTCTTATTTTCCCTTGTGACTTACATGGAAATAGCATACTATATACACTCTTCGGCTATTTGCTTTTTTTTTTTTTAATTTAGCGATATATTCTAGAAATTTCTCCATATCAATTTATATATTCTTGTATTATTTTAAACAGCCGCATAGTCTTTCATTGTGTGTATATACAATAGTTAATTCCACCAATTTGCTATGTTGGTTATTTACATAGTTCCCAACATTTTGCAATTACAAATAACGCTACAATGAACAACCGTGTATGTGTATTTTTTGTATTATTAAAATACTTTCATGGTAAATTCACAGATATAAGATGACTGTGTCAAAGGACAAATGCATAGGCATTTCTGCTAAATATTGCCAAATTCCCTTCCAAAGAGGTTGTGCTATTTTGTGTCCCCTCCCCACAAATTACAGTTTCTCCACAGCCTCATTAGTGAAGTGTATTGTCAAGTTTCTAAGTTTTTGCCATTTGTATATGAGAAATGGTATGTAAACACAGTTTTAATTTATGTAATTCTTTTTATACATGAAGTTAAATATATCTTAATGCATTTATGGCTATCTTTATTTTTGTGACTTGTTTGCTTATTTTTCCCCATTTTTCAAAAAATTTTAGGAAATTCTAAAATTTGAAAAAGTTCTATTTGTATTTAGGATATGACTCTGAACAAGGAATATATTTTGTCAATATTTTCGTCAACTTTGATATCAATTTTTTGACTTTGTTTATGGTGTTTTTGTTGTTGTTTTTATTTGGTTTTGTTTACATACAAAACTCTAAAAATTATTTCTATGTACAACATTTCATCAATCATTTTTTAAATTGCATCAGATTTTGTGCTCTACCTAGAAAGCATTCCTCTATAATCCAGGTTATAAAGGATTTCACCTATGTTTCCTGCTACTACTTGCATAATTTCAAATATTAAATTTATATTTCTGATTTTTATAGTTAATTCTCTGCAAGATATTTTGTATCAATTTGTCTGGATTTAGGAAAACAAAAACAAAACATAAACAATTTGATGATGTTTCCATTTTGTCAGATTTCAAAAATATAATGAGCATATTCCAACAATGATTCAAGGATAATAACCAATTACTTTTGTCTAAGAAATATTGCTGTCTCATTTATACTTGAATTAATTGTTGAGAACATGGACTGATTTCAGTCAGATGCAATTCTTACATTTACCAATAATTGTTAAAATATTAAAATCAAATACTACTGAAAAGGTAAAATAACTCATTGAAACCTGTAAAAGAGAGATGTGAATTCAGAGACCCCAGTCTCCTTGAGAGAGTGTTCATAAAGTGCCAACTAACTGAACACATTTAATTCCTATTTCTACTTTCTCACAACCTGGAAAAGAAAAGCTTCTGTTGAGCCTACATTTTATTTTTTTAATTGCTATTTACACTCAATATTTTAATACTGTTTTATTTCAAGGGAAACATTCAAATTGTCATATTATTTTCTTAATTGCTTTCTTTGTAATAGGTGTTAATTTTTATTTTAACCTATTCTATCCCTTGTTTGGCAGTGTAAATTGGCATGTTTGTATAATGCCAGATTTTCTTAAAGCCTGGGAATATTGTTATGTATATCACTTAAAAATAGTAAAAATATGTATTAGTGGCCCTGTAATATAGTGAGAAAATATGAAAATAACGACAAAATACCTGGGGTTCTAATACGAATATCTGTCATGTCTAGTTTTACAACTGTGATGAAGACACCAGTTCCCTAATCCATAGTTTTATCATCTGTAAAATGATAGAATTCTATTTAATCAGTGCTTTGCAATCATTATTTACCCAGCATTTTTCTTAAGTATCTAACTGTCAACTAATGAATGACAAGGTTCATAAACTTGGAAAGGAGAGCTTTATTTCTAATAAAGCATTGCAGCCTGAATAATGGCCATTGTAACAGGCTGGGAAATGTCGCCTCTGGCCAGAAGACTGAAGAGGCAAAGTGAACAGAAATTTATGCTGAGCAGGGTGGCTGAATATATATATTTAATAAGCTGTAGGAACAGTCATGAATATTCATAAAAGGAGAAACATGTGCATACTCAGTTGAGCTCCATGCCCCTTCATGGTTTCCATGTTCAAAAAAGGGAAGAGTTAGCATGATCTGAGGGTAGAGCTTTTGGCCTCTGACATTAAAAGGTGAGGCAGAGGACATGAAAACCTTTACTGTTACTAGGCTGGCCAGAGCCACTCTCTGTTCAGTAGTCTTTTAAGGCAAAAAAAGAAGGTTGGCTTCTGGGGTTGGTTAATATCAATGATAGAGTCTTTTAAAAGGACTGGTTTCTGTTTAGCCCTTACGGAAGAAAACCCAATGGCAGTTAGTGAGAAAGGAAATATTATGAGGTATGTCTAAACTCTCATCCTATCATTGCCAATAACTGTTTTCAAGGTTACTCTGGGGACCCCTTGGCCAAGATGGGGTCTATTCAGTCAGTTGGGGGCTTGGGATTTCATGTTTATTTCTCATATCCAAATAATTTGTTGCGGATCATATTACATGTTGGAATTATTGTAACCTTGAAAAAAGGGGACATTTCTACATTTCTCATTTAACAAGCAGTTCAATTTAATTAAATTGATTTTATAAATGTAGCAAGCATATGTGTTTTGTTTGGGGACCAAAAATTTCTTAAAATATACATTGAAATATAACTATATGTCAAGCTCAGGATGCTCCTTTTTGCAGCAAGGCCATATCTCCAATCAGAAACTTCCCTAACACAAATACAATCAGTTTTGTACTCTCTGAATCTTCCCAAATTACTCATACATATATAACGTGGAAAGGGAGCGGTTTCTTCTCCTGGAGCACAAACCAATCCCACCTTAAGGTTGACAAGAATTAAGGGAGAAAATGTATTGATTAGCTTCCATTTGCATGTTTCCTCATGAGAGATTTTTTTATACCTGCATTGTGTGAATTTTGAGGTGTTTTTACCTTAATTTGGCTTAACACTTCCCCAGATAAGTATTCTTGACATTGCAGACTAGATTGAGTCAACCAATGTTATGATCTTAGAGAATCCTGTACTTTCCGTTTGCCGCATTTGTTAGAATTTATAAATTTATAACTGCATGTTTGTAAACTATTTGAAAAAGTTTGTCTTCCTTACTCAGTCATAAAATCTAAACAGCAACACCATGTCTACTTTGTCTAAAATGTTGGATACTGGCATAGTCTCCTGCTTGTAAGTACATGTTGATGCATGAGGATGTAGAGCAACAGGAACTCTTCATGCATTGCTGGTACAAGTGTAAAATGGTGCAGTCACTCTGGAAAGCAGTTTGGAAGTTTCTCAGTTAAAAATGAAAAACTCTATTATAAATGAATGGGCATAGCTGCTTTATTTGTAATAACTTAAGTCCAAAAATAACCACAATGTCTTTCAACTGGGTGAGTAAACTCTGATACGTCTATAGAGCAGAATACTGTTCAGCAACAAAAGGAAATGAACTTTTGATCCATGTAGCAACTTGACCTGATCTCAAAAAACATACAGTTGATTGAAACAAGCAAACAAACAAAAAACAGGCCCAAAAAGAAAAAAAAAACTTAAAAATGGTTACATACTACAAGATTACATTAATATCATCTTCTTAAAGTGACAAAACTAGGGATAGAGAACAAATAAGTGGTTCCCAGGGCGCTTAGGATTGGAGAAACACATTATTAAGAGGCAACACAACATAGTTTCTTTGTAGTGTTGGAATAGTCCCATGTCCTGATTGTAGTGATGTTTAATCAATACATGTAATGATATGTTATAGAAATATACACCACAAGAAAGAGTGCATGTAAAATCCAAATAATGCCTGTATTTGAAGTAATTAATTAATGTCAATTTTCTATTTATGGCAATAGATTATGGATTATGAAAAAAGATATTTTCATTGTGGAAAGCTGGGTTAAGAGGAAGAGAAACTTTCCTATTTTAAAAACTTCTTAAAATTTAATTCATTTCAAAATAAAAACATGTGTTAAGTGAGTTCATAAATGAACAGAGCAACATCCCTCACATTGTCTCAACTAAGGTGTACTCATGCAAATTGGAATCGGATGGTGTATTAGTCCATTTTCACACTGCTATACAACCCAAGACTGGGTAACTTATAAAGGAAAGAGGTTTAATTGACTACCAATTCTGTGTGGCTGGGGAGGCCTCAGGAAATACACAATCATGGTAGAAGCCAAAGGGGAAGCAAGCTTGAACCTCACATGGCAGCAGGAGAGAGAAGAGTAAGGAGCGAAGGCATAAGAACCCCTTATAAAACTGTCAGATCTTATGAGAACTCACTCACTATCATGAGAACAGCATGGGGGAAACCACCCCCTTGATCCAACCATCTCTTACCAGGTATCTCCCTAAACATGTGGAGATTATGGTGATTACAATTCGAGATGATATTTGGGTGAGGACACAAAGCCTAACCATATCAGATAGACAGTCTGGAAATACAAAGTCTTACGTGCGTGTATTTCTTCAGCTTATTTAAGATATAAGCAATTGTTTTATTTCTAATTATTCTCATTTGTTTGCCTGTTGTTAAGCTAGTGCCAACTCTAGACCAAACCCTTTGGCTTCTTGTCCCATTTTTGTTACTGTGCAATCAAATGTTAATATCCAGTCATTGACTATTTACTTCAGCTCCATTTTGATTCCTAAAAAAGCAATATAATTTCACATCTGAATTGGAGTTATTTCTAACCTTTGGTCTGAATCTCTTCTCCCTACAGCCACTAAACAAAACTCAGCTAAAATTAGTGGAAATTTTATTAAAATACTTTACTCAGTTTTGAGCACATGACGCCACGTTTACCTTGGAGTCGATGCTTTGGTTTCTGTTATCTCATAAAGTGTTATTTCAAAGAGTTTCACTTTTCAATCAAGGATACTTTCTGAAAGTGCAGAAACTCCAAAATTTAGCAGTACTATTTAGGTGTACCCTAAATTCAGCTTTCCTATAATAAATTATAAGTTGATACTGTTAGCTTCAAAAGGAATGTATGACAACGCAAAACTTAAATTATTCAAGGAAAAGGAGAAAGTCATTTTTCTTTTGTCTTTGCTTTGTTTTGCTACAAGTGAATTACGGAATTCCACCATAGAAAAGTCTCTAAAATTATTCTCTAAATCTGACACAGATTATTTTTTCACAAATGTGCTCCTAATATCAAATCCTTGTATAAGACCTGAAACAGCACCAATAAATTAATACCATTTCAATTTCAATAAAAATTTTTATTGTTTCAGTTCAGAAAATCCCCTATAAAATCCTATTGTACTATGATTTTAATTATGTGTCGTGTAAAGTGGCACATGCAACATGAACAGTGTTATTATTCCTGAATTCTTCATTTCTCTGAGCAAGCAGTTCTATGAAGGAAATGAAAGAACAGAAATCAAAGAGATAACAAAATACCACAGACTGGGTAATTTTTTAAAAAGCAGAATTTATTAGTGTACAGTTCTAGAGGTTGGCAAGTCTATGGTCAATGTGCCAGCATGTGATCAGGGCCTTCTTGCTGTGTTATCCCATGACAGAAGGTGGAAGGGCATGCAAGAGCTACTGAGAGAATGGAGAGAGATATGAGAAGAGACCTGGATTTGTCTGTTTAAAAGAAATCCACTTCCGTGATAACAAATACACTCCTGCAATATTAGCATTAATCTATTTATTAAAGCAGAGCCCTCATGGTCTGGTAATCTCTCCTTAGGCCCCACCTCCTCACACTATTGAACTGCGGATTAATTTTCCAACACATGCTTTCTTCGGAGGGGCACATTTAAATCATAGCATTCTATCCACAGCTACACAATTCAAGTCTTTTTTATATGCAAAATATATTCATTCCATTCTAATAGCCCCAAAATCTTAATTTGTTTCAGGACCTTAACAAATTCCAGAACCAATTCAAAATTCCAGAGTCTTATCATCAGATATGGATGAGACTCAGGCAGGATTTATCATGAGGTTAATTTCCCTCCTGCTGTGAGGCTGTGAAATTAAATAAGCTACCTACTTCCAAAATTCAGTGGTGAAACATGCATAGGATAAATAGTACCATTCCAAAAGGGAGGGATAGGGAAAAAGAAAGGAGTTAACAACTTCCAAGTAAGTCCAAAAGACAACATGATCAACAATATTAAATCTTAATGCTCCAGAATAATATTTGACTCCCTGTGTCACCTTCAGAATATACTGGGATAGGGTTTGGAACCCCAAAGCCTCAGGCAGCTCCACTCCTATGGTTTTGCTGAAGTCAGCTCACACAGCAACTCCCACAGTTTGGAGTCTTGTGCCTGCAGCACTTCTGGGCTGAAGCTACATGTTAATGACTCTACAGTACTCGGGTCTCAGGGGTGCTCCACCATCAAGGTCTCATTAGGTATTGTCCTACTGGGAACTCTTCTCCACTCCTACAATAGGTATCTACAGCTTCCTTTAAAATCTTGCTGGAGACAGCTACACCTCCACAGGTCATGCACTCTGCACATCTGCATAGTCAGCACTACAATGTTGATTTATATCAAAGTTTATAGCCTATACTTTCCAGAGTAGTAGCTGTAGTGGTGGCTGGAAGCATACCTAGGGCCACGTAGCTAGAAATGAAGAGGCCAAGGAGTCCTGTGCTAAAATGCAGGGAGAAGAAACTTGAGACATCACAGAGCACTGAATCATGAGGTCTAGTGGATGCCTCTCTAGAAACCTTGTCCTCAAAGTCCTAGATTGGAGGGGTAGCCTTGAAGATTTCTGAAATGCCTTTGGGGTCATTCTTCCATTGTCCTGAAGAATTTCACCTGGCTTCCTTCTATCCATGCTAATCTTATCAAACAGTTGCTTGGCCACATCCTTGCACACTTTTCCATTCTTTACATGGCCAGGCTGTGAATTCTTCAAATCTTTACATTCTGCTTCGCTTTTAATTATAAATTCCATCTTTAAATCATTTTCTGCTCTCTTACTTTACTGTATGCAGTTAAAAGAAACCCCTCAGCTTCAAAAGTTAGCCTGGTGTGGTGGTGCACACCTGTAGTCCCAGCCACTCGGGAAGCTGAGGCAGGAGAATCACTTGAATCCAGGAGGTGGAGGTTGCAGTGAGCCGAGATCACGCCATTGCACTCCAGCCTGACCACAGAGCGAGACTCCATCTCAAAAAAAAAAAAAGAAAAAAAACAAGAAACTCCTCAGCTTCTTCAGTATTTTGCTTAGAAATTTATTCTGGCTGTGCATGGTGGCTTATGCCCATAATCCCAGCACTTTGGGAGGCTGAGGAGGGCAGATCATGAGGTAAGGAGATCAAGACTATCCTGGCCAACATGGTAAATCCCGTCTCTACTTAAAATAAATATATATATATATTCACACAAAAATTAGCTGGTCATGGTGTTGCATGCCTGTAATCCCAGCTACTTGGGAGGCTGAGGCAGGAGAATCGCTTGAACCAGGAGTCGGAGGTTGTAGTGAGCCGAGATCATGCCACTGCACTCCAGCCTGGTGACAAAGCTATACTCCATCTCAAAAAAAAAAAAAGAAAAAAGAAAAAGAAAAGAAATTTATTCTGCCAGATATCCTAGTTCATTGGTCTTAAAATATGTCTTCCATAAAGCCCTAAGACATAAATACAATTCTGCCAAGTTCTTTACAACTTTATGACATGGATGGCCTTTAACTCCTGTTTCCAGTAAAATATTTCTCATTTTCATCTGGGACCTCATGAGAATGGCCTTTACTTGCCATATTTTTACTAACATTTCGTTCCTGACTACTTACATCATCTCGAAGAAAGTGTGCGCTTTCTCTGCAGTTCTCATCTGAGCCCTCTCCAGAATTCCCATCAATAGATGTTTTTCTAGTCTGCTTCTCCAAACTCTTTCAGCCTTTGCCATTACTCAGTTCCTAAGCTACTTCCACCTTTTTAGACATTTGTTACAGCAACACCCCACATTACTGGTACCAGCTTTCTGTATCAGTCCATTTTATGCTGCTATAACAGAATATCACAGACTGGGTAATTTATAAAGAACAGAAATTTATTGGCTTGTGGTTCTGAAGGCTGGAATACCCATGATCAAGGTGTTAGCATCTTGTGAGAGCCTTCTTGCTGTCATCCATGGCAGAAGGGAGAAGAGCAAGCAAGGGAGAGAGTATGAGAAAGCCAAACTTGCTCTTTTATAAAGAACCCACTCTCACAATTAACAAACCAACTCCTGAAATTATGACATTAATCCAATAAGGGCAGAGCCCTCCTTGCCTAATCACCTCTCCTTAGACTCCAACTCCCAACACTGCTACACTGGGGATTAAGTTTCCAACACATACGCTTTGGGAGACTCATTCACACCATAGCAATTATTTTCCATTGTTGTGGGATGTCAGGGACCCGGAACAGAGGGACTGGCTGGAGCCACTGCAGAGGAACATAAATTGTGAAGATTTCATGGACATTTATCAGTTCCCAAAATTAATACTTTTATAATTTCTTACACCTGTCTTTACTGCAATCTCTGAACATAAATTGTGAAGATTTCGTGGACATTTATCAGTTCCCAGATAATACTCTTATAATTTCTTCTGCCTATCTTTACTTTAATCTCTTAATCCTGTTATCTTCCTAAGCTGAGAATGTATGTCACCTCAGGACCACTATTGTACAAATTGATTGTAAAACTTGTGTGTTTGAACAATATGAAATCAGTGCACCTTGAAAAGAACAAAATAACAGTGATTTTCAGGGAACAAGGGAAGACAACCATAAGATCTGACTGCCTGCGGGGTCGGGCAGAATAGACCCATATTTTTCTTCTTGCAGAGAGCCTTTAAACAGATGTGCAAATAGGGAAGATATCACTGAATTCTTTTCCTAGCAAGGAATATTAATAATTAAGACCCTGGGAAAGGAATGCATTCCTGGGGGGAGATCTACAAATGGCGGCTCTGGGAGTGTCTGTCTTATACGGTTGAGATAAGGACTGAAATACGCCCTGGTCTCCTGCAGTACCCTCAGGCTTATTAGGGTCGGGAAGAAATCCCACCCTGGTAAATTTGAACCAGTTCTCTGCTCTCAAACCCTGTTTTCTGTTGTTTAATATGTTTATCGAGACAATACGTGCACAGCTGAACATAGACCCTCATCAGTAATTCTAATTTTGCTCTTTGCCTTGTGATCTTTGCTCTTGTCCTTGCCCTGTGTCCTCAGAAGCATGTGATCTTTGTTCTCCCTTTTGCCCTTTGAAGCATGTGATCTTTGTGACCTACTCCCTGTTCATACACCCCCTCCCCTTTTGAAGTCCTTAATAAAAACCTGCTGATTTTGTGGCTCAGGTGGGCATCATGGTCCTACCGATATGTGATGTCACCCCCGGAGACCCAGCTGTAAAATTCCTCTCTTTGTACTCTTTCTCTTTATTTCTCAGCTGGCTGACACTTTGGGAAAATAGAAAGAACCTACGTTGAAATATTGGCGGGTTCCCCCAATATTCCATTACCTTTGTTCACTCACTTATTCGTTCACTTTAGCAGTCCCTGGGTGCCTATTATGTGTCTTGTCCTCTCCGAGACACCAATAATACAACAGAGAATGAGATGAATGAAGTCTTCTTTCTCATAATGTTTTCATTCAAGTATTTACTTGTTTTGTTTCTAGCTGGGCTGGAATTTTGCATTTTAATCTACCTTCCTTGTTTATTATCAAAAGTTTCTCTGTAAAAGCATATCTTTGCATGCATGGAATTTAAAGATTACTGGTAAAGGAATTTGCCTTGTTGGGAAAGTGCTTTTTTCAACAATAGGAATTTGGCACCCTATATTGTCATTAGGGTGCCAGAAATGTAGACTAATTTTCCAAGAGACCAAAGACTCTTAAAATAGATCTTTATGTAATAATTAAAATTAATTAGAGAGGTATTGTCACTAAGTACACAATATTTTTTAAACCAAAGTAGGTGGTTAAAACCAGAAATGTGTTCTTTTAGAAGTGAATAGTAACTGAGATTGTATAAAGATTTTAATAATGAACTATTGCTTGTGTGTCTATGTATAAACATTATTTAATACACATTCTTGTTGCTATATTTTAAACACACATCTCTGTGACTACTATACTTTTGGGGGGATCCAAAGTTAATAATTTTAAGACAAAATATTATACTTTTATTTAGTTAAATTTATAATGATCATCTCCCTTGAAATTTCCTGATTTCATGTCATGGTTTTGGATTCTGCTTAGTGAACTGAATGGCCAAACATTGGAAAGTCATTTTAAAATATCTATTTCTGTGCTGAAGCACAGAAAGTATTTCAGAGTAACACCTGGAGAAGCCTAGATCTGTGAAGAATGAGACTCAAGATTAGTCACAGAATAAGAATTATTCTTTAATCCCCCAAAGAAAGTTGAGTAACATTGATAAAATATCATGGGGAACTTTGCATTTCCAATGCATCTTTGCCACTTTGAACTTTATAGAATAAAATGTTTTAACTTTCCATAGCTTTCATGTTTAAGCCTAATTGAAAAAATTTCAGAGGGATCAAAAATGTAATTCATTAACTGTGCTCTAGGGTGCTAGTTAAAACTCCGTGTGAATGTGAAGTGTTCTTACAATCTACTCTTAAGCTAATCCTGGACTCTATCCTGCTTCAGGCAAGTCATCTTCCTATATGGCAATAGTGATAGAATAAGATGCCGCAGCATATCCACGATTCTCTGGTTTCCTTCTTCTCTATCATCAAATATTTAGAGCACGTCTAGAATACTTTCACTTCATACAAAAATCTCCACCAGACCATTTCTAAAAAAAAATCACCCACAACCCCTGAAGAAATTCGCTGGTTATGAGTTCAGAAAAGAGATGCAACCTATTACAGTTATAATAATAATTCTAATTATAAACAAAAGTGTTCTTTATATTTTGAAGAAACATCAACTCTATTGTTGATGTTACTGTTTTAATGCTGACTTCTAAAATAACTCCCAATAAATTTATGTTTTCTTACACATGAAACCCTTTCAAACATTTGGATGTAGTTGTTATAACTTTCTAAGTAATTTGTTCTCTGGGCTAGGGGACTTAAGAGTAGGAGCTCTGGTAACAGACAACCAAGTATGAATTCTGCCTCCAGACCTTATTAGCTGTGTGATCTTAGGCAAGAAACTCTGTGCACTCCAATTTTCTCATATATAAAATAAGATATTATATCTATCTAAATGAATTGTCATGGGATTAATTTAATTCACATACATATGCATACATATGTACAACTAGTCTTCAAAAAGTGTATCCACATAGAACATACTTAATTGTTAGTTATTATTAATAGTAGTATTATTCTAGAAGCATACTTCCATTAATTCAGAGAATTGTCCTATATGTTTTGCTAGCCACATCATACTGTCTCATGTTATATCTGTGGTTAACCATATGAAGTTGAGGGCCAAGCAAAATCTTGTTTATTCTGTGCAGTTAAATTTGGGACTCTGAATTCAGGACTTTGTATTATTTTTATTTAATCTTGTTATTTTAAACTCAATAGCCTTTTAGTAATATCTTTTTAAATCTGATTCAATTTTTATTTCCGTCTTTTTAAATTATTCCTTAGCCTTTTAGTAATGTCTTTTTAAATCTGACTCTAGGTTTCAACTGGTTCCAGATTTCTTTGTCTGATGTATATTTAATAAACAGACTATGTTTTATTTTCCTTATTTTAAAGCAAATATCAGCAAATATGGCCAAGGAGAGTGAGAAAGTAAATATTTTAAACTCTGTGGGCCATATAGCCTCTGTTGCATCTTCTTAAATGTGTCGCTGTAGAGGTGAGGGAATTATGGACTATATGTAAATGTTTGAGTATATCTGGGTTACATCAAAATCTACAAAGACAGCTGGGATCAGATTTGGTCCCTGAATCATAGTTCACTGCACCCGTTCTAGAGTCCTCCTTACACCAAGTTGACCATATGGAAAGTACTGCCAAAGGAAGGTGGTACATCAGCTGATTCCAGTAGCTGTCACTTAAATTGCAAAGATCTGGACACACATCATTTAGTTAATTTTTGTTCATAGTAAAAGAGATTAAATTCTGACCTCTCAAGCAGAGGAAATAACAAATAGAAAAGTTTATTTCTTGTGAATTAGGAAATTTAAAGAAGCCAGAAATAGCTTAAGAGAGTTGTCTGAAATTGATGTGTGAAAAACTACATAGGGAATTTAAAAATAAGTTATCAGGGTAAACTAAACCATTAATTCTAATTTGTGTTTTTAACAATCAGATTTAGAAACACATATGTGTGTATGACCTGTGTTTCTAGAAAGGGAAGGAAGAAAAAAGTTCCTTAGTCTATAAAGATGTTTTTGCCGTCATTTATTCCTTAGTTTCTACACTAAGTAGATGTAAAAGGTAACTAAATCCTAAATACAGGTATTGAAGAGACCAGTGTTTGTTAGATTCCCTAATCTAAAGGTTGTAAACCACTAAAAATCTATAAATTATTCTGTTTTCTTTTCTTTTTTCTATCTGTCACAGCAGTGTTCTACCAAAATACATGCAAGAAAAATGTGTTGCTTATTTTTTGACCTATAAAAAGGAAAAAAATGAACAATTTTGATTCTTTTAACCAGCATTTCAAATTATATGGAGGTTTACAAAAATAAATATTTTGTACATTCCAGTAAATTTTTGTTTCAAGTTTCTATAAAAGCATACCGCAAATCTCAGTAGCTATTAAGAAAGTACTTCTGCTTTCTATTTCAGATTGTGTGGTATTCTCTTTTATCGAAATATGTGTATGGCCTTAAAAATACTTCTAGACACGTATTAATGAGTAGAAAAAAATTACTTCCTATTTAGAGCTATAAAAATGAGTGATTATTTCTCTATTTTCTAGTGTGCAGTTGTAATTGTCTTGTAACTTTGAAAACATTTTATGTGCAGCACCCTCTAAAGGATGCCCATGTGCTAATCCATGAACCTGTAAATACGTTAACTTACATGGCAAAAAAAAGAAAAAAGAAAAAAAAAGACTTTACAGATGTGATTATTTAAATTAAGGGTCTTGAAATGAGGAGATTATCCCGGATTATCAGGAGGGGCCCTAAATGTGATCCTCAAATGCATATTTATAAGAGAGAGGCAGGGGGAGATTTCACTATACATAAGAGGAGAAAACAATGCCTCCATGGAAGCAGCAATTAGGATGATGCAGCCACGTTCAAAAGATGTGGAAAAGATGAGAAATACATTCTTCCACGTTCAAAAGATGTGGAAAAGATGAGAAATACATTCTTCCCTAGAACCTCCAGAGGGAGCTGGAATCTGCCAATATCTTCATTTCAGTCTAGTGACACTGATTTTGGACGCCTGGCCTCCAGAATAAATTATTGTTATTTTATGCTACCAAATTAATGACAATTTGTTGTAGCAACCACGTAAAACTAATACAAAGAGTCATTGAGTTTAGATTCATATTGAACACTGTATAATTGGTCTAGATGGCATAAAAGGAATCTAAAAATATGTTTGCTATCTTTGATATATTTAGAATCTTATACAATATACAGAGGTATTATTGGGCAGGTGATATTGTTTGGCTTTGTGTCCCCAACCAAATTTCATGTCGGATTGTAATCCTCAATGTTGGTTGGAGGAGGGTCCTTTTAGAAGGTGATTGGATCATGCAAGTGAACTTGCTGTTCTGTAATAGTGAGTGAGTCCTCATGAAATCTAGTTGTTTAAAAGTGTGTACCACCTCCCCCTTTACTTGCCCATCCTCTCTCTCTCTCTCTCTCTCTCTCTCTCTCTCTCTCTCTCTCCCTCCCCCCTCCCCCCCCACCTCCTGCTGCAGTCATGTAGGATGTCCTGGCTTCCCCTTGACCTTCCAACATAATTGTAAGTTCCCCAGCCATGCTTCCTGTACAGCCTGTGGAACTGTAAACTAATTGGTACCAGAGAAGTGGAGCATTGATATAAATATACCTGAAAATATGGAAGCAGCTTTGGGACTGGGTAGTAGGCAGAGGTTGAAACAGTTTGGAGGATTCAGAAGACAAGAAGTGATTAATGGTGTTCTATATCTCCTAATAACTTTCTCTTCCACATTCATTCTAAAGGAACATTTTATGCACCTGAAATTTGCATTTTTCTCTACTTGGTGAGCAGTTATGACTACATATCTTTCAACATTAACATTGAATCATTTTCAAATGTTCATATCAGAGTTCTTATATTAAAAAATAAAATCTCAATTTTTTTTCTTGCCCAACAAGTTAGAAACCCTAGGTTCAGCTTCTCTGTATAAATTTCCCACTTTGGATTTAGTCTACTTTGTGTACTATAATGCAGCCAGTTTTTATTCTCTGAGCCATTCAGCCTTTATTTCTAACCTCTTTTTTTCCATATGTTAGACATATTAAATGTTCTTCCATAAGAATGATACAATAGTCTTTTCCCTGTATTATAAAAGTCCCACATTTGTGTCTCTGCTTTTATATATATTCTCTGCTGCTATATATATATATATAAAATATATATTTTGTATTTTACATATGTTAACATACATATATATACGTATGCTATACGTAACAAGCATGATTGTTTTTATTAGCAAGTCAAATCAAATCGCCTTTCTGATCAATGCCCTCCAATGGCTTCTCATCTCACTCAGAGTGAGAAGCAGTTGGATCATGGGACCAATATGATCTGAATCTTGGCTCATTCCCTTCTACTCTCTAACCCTTTCTTTCTCTCCAAAACCACTGGAACTGTGGGATATTTTAGGCACTCCCCTTCTTGCCCCATTATTCCCTTTCCCTGGAAAGTTCTTACCCTCAGTGTCTGAATCTAAGAGTATGTTCAAATACCATCATCGGGGAAGGCACTCTGGACCAAGATTTCTAGAACAGTAGCACCTCTCATTCTGTCTTCTAACCCTGCTATTTCGTTCTTCTCAAAAACCAACCTATTCCATGTTTGTTATTTTGCCTCCCTCCATTAGAATTTAAGCTTGATAAGAGCAAGGGTTTTGTGTTTGTTTCCTTCTTTACTTCTAGTGCCTGGAGGAATGACTGGCACATGATAGGCATCGGTATACACTGAAGGAATGAATAAAGGAATAATGAATGAATTAGTGTGATCGAAATTAATCTTTCAAAATATACTGTAACTTCCTTCTTTAGTA
Source organism: Homo sapiens (assembly GCF_000001405.40). Taxonomy (NCBI): domain Eukaryota; kingdom Metazoa; phylum Chordata; class Mammalia; order Primates; family Hominidae; genus Homo; species Homo sapiens. The sequence goes on from NC_000007.14 coordinate 79,808,404, forward strand.
AACCCCCTTTGACACTTTCCTTTCTTTTTCTTCCATTTTTTCACCATTATACACATTATGCCCCCTTTTGCTCTCCTATCTCTTCTGGAATTTGCATTCATTTATATTTTATTCTCTCTCTCTTGTTTTAACTTTGCAGACAGAGTTAATTCCTCTAAGCATACTGAAAGATTCAGAGATAAACTGTTATCTGTCTTGTAGGGAAGTATTAAAACCTAACAACATCTTGAAGTGTTTCTATGTTTAAAATGAGGATATTCTGTCTTGAACATCAGTGAATGATGAATAATCTGTTGACTAACTTGGGAGCATGAAATGAGATGTCATTTGCCATGAATTGTTGATAATACTGCATTCATTTTCCATGGTTCCGTTTTACCTAGTTGATACCCAGCTAGTATGCCAACTTTTCTGTAAATGATTAAAATGTAATTTAAATAATTTATCTCAGACTGCAGAGAAATAATTTTTAGTTACTGCTACATTTGCCTTAACTTCTGTTAAAAATATTTGATACTCTGGTTATTGATATCTATGGATTTTATTTGATAGTTCATTACAGAATTTTAGAATAATAAAACATGTTTGAAAAGGCACTGCAATCATGAAGGAAGAGCAAGTGACTCTTATAATGTCATAATTTACTACAAGTATTAAAAATCCCAGTGCTGATTACAGTGTGCAAATTCTAAAAAGATTTAACATCATAGTAGAAGACATAGAAGATAGCATATAGATGGATTTCATATAATATAACATCAGTCACAATCTGAAAAGGCTACATACTGTATGATTCAAACTATATGACATTCTAGAAAAGGCAAAACTATGGAGACAGCAAAAAGATCTGTGTTTTTCAGGGGTTGTCAGAGAGAGGGATGAATAAGAGGACCATAGAGGAGTTTTAGGGTATGAAGAATGTTGTGTATGATACTATAGTGGTGAATAAGTGTCATTATACATTTGTCCAAACACGTGTAATGTACAGCACCAATAATGAACCTTAATATACACTCTGGACCTTGGGTGATAATGTTGTATCAGTGTGGCTTCATCCAGTGTAGTAATTGTTCCGCTGTGATGTGGGATGTCAGTAGAGGGGAAAGTGTGAGTATGTGGGGGCAGTAAGTATGAGAGAACTCTACTTTATGCTAAGTTTTGTTATGAACCTAAAAATGGTCTTTAAAAAATAAAGTGTGTATTTTTGAAAAACTGTAAAAAGGGGGAAATCAAACCAATTTAAACTCCCCTACTAGGGATTAAGACGCATGAGATAATATACTTCTTCTTATCAATAACACTTCTTTATTTAGATAGTCACAATCCCCTTGATTCATAGAGCATATTCATAGATCAGGCAATTGTACTATACTATATTTCTAATTATTGAATTGCTTTGTGAATAGGAATTTTTTGTATTTCTTTCTTGCATTGAGTTGTTAAAAATGAAAATGGGGCCAGTGAAGTTACTGTTTGGAGATGATAAGTGAATGCTTAGCTGCCATACTTGTTATTGCTTTGGTTGAAAGTAGTTTTCTTGACAATTTATTTGTACAAGCTCTTTACTTTTTGACTCTTTACTTCTGAATATTGCCTATGGGATAGTATTTGATTTTGTGCACCATTAACATGAGCCAGCTCTGCTTTATTCTCATATCTCAGTTCAGAAGACACTAACCTGGTTTAAACCCACTAGTCACCACCAATGTGACTCAGAAGGAAAGGCAATTGTAACATCACCAAACATCTCTAATCACTTCATCATCAATATCTAATTAGGTAATGCAGAATTGGTAATTTTTAAGGCAATATTATATTGATGAATGTTACACAAGTCTGTGAATATTTCCCGAAAGAAATGTGCATGTTTTTGGTCATAAATGTTTCTGGTCCATGAGTATTTCAACATTACTGGGTGAATTTTATCATTGGAAAAATAAAACAACAAAAAAAAGTTTAAATCTTAAAGTATAAATTTTAGGTTACACAGATAATCCCTAAAAAACAATAGAGATAGGAAAAATGTATACAATTGTGATTTAATTCCCTTACATCTATCTGGATAAGGCCTTATTGTACTTCCTGGACACTGTTCTGTGTTAGGTTTAATCCTACATTAGTCTTCAAAATTAAAATATAAGTGTTCAGAATAATAAAAAACACAACTCATTCAAATCAATATGATGATGAAGAATAGTTGAAAAATAAGATGTTGGCCAGATGCGGAGGCTCACGGCTGTAATCCCAGGACTTTGGGAGGCCGAGGCAAGTTTATCACCTGAGGTCAGGAGTTCAAGACCATCCTGACCAACATGGCGAAACCCTGTCTCTACTACAAATACAAAAATTAGCCAGGTGTGGTGGCACATGCCTGTAATCACAGCTACTAAGGAGCCTGAGGAAGGAGAATCACTTGAACTTGGGAGGCAGAGGTTGCAGTGAGCTGAGATTGCGCCATTACACTCCAGCCTGCGCGACAGTGAGACTCTGTCCAAAAAAAAGAAAGAAAGTAAAAAGTAAAATAAGATGTTAGAGAAGAAGCACAAAGATTCTAAAGATTGTTTTAAAAACTGAAGTTGAGAATGGATTTATAGTACCTACGTTTATGAAGTTAATATTTTTAAAGAAAAGCTGAGTTCATCATCACAGAATGAGAGAAAACATATGTAAGCTATTCCTGGCACTACTTCAAATTTATATGAGAATGAAGGCTGTAAAACTCTGAGGGAATTCCCAAAGTCTGAGACTCAAGAGAAGAAGGAAAGAAATAGTGTTGAGCACTTCACCCTTGACCAGCTTTATGTGCTAATCATGAGCTAGAATTGTACAAGTTCCAAGTTATGGGACAGATAATATCGCAGATTTTAATTATTACATATAAGGAGGTGGAGAGAGTACTCCAGGTAGGTCATGCAAGAAAGACTAAATAGAGGACTATTATACTCAGTAACAAAATGTAGGCAAATGAAAATGTTTATGTAACATAGCTCAGTCAAATTCAATTAAACTTTGCCCTTTCATGGTTGCCCACAGTTTCATCCTTACTAAAACTCATCCTTACTAAAATATATTTGCCCTGAGGATCTCAGTTCACTGATGACATTCTGGTTCTTAAGTTCAACATTCCTAACCTCCATGACTTTTTATTTACATCTCAGACTGCTTCTTCTTCTCCGAGTTTATCTGCTTTATTTGTTGATTCTTAGTCCATACTACTGTTTGCACCTTCCCCTTATCTCTTTCATTGTTCCTTTTCCTTTCTCTACCTCTTAAAAATAGGCATTATCTTTAGTTTCTCTTCTATTTCTTTTTTACCTACTTTTCCTAGATGATTTTAACAGTTTCCATGGCTTAATCGCTCAGATTTCCTCTGCGCTTCATATCCTCATTTTGCAAGGCCTGTGGACATTTCCACCCGGATGCCTGACCATAAATGTAAGTGTAATGTCTAAAAGAATACCAGTTGTTCCCTCCAAGACATATCACACCTCAGAATTTATATTGATTTCCAAACTAACATTGTGCTATCAACTTCGCAAACAGAAAAACAAATAGATCTATCTTTTTTTTCAATGATCCTCTCAAATCCAGAAAACATACTTATTAATTGCTTGTAACATTTCTGACAAATATTCTTTATCTCCCTTTTCACTGACGATAACCTTTCTTGCTTTGCCTCAGGATTCCTGCGTTAGTCTTCAAATTAGCTTCTTTATTTCTAGATTTTGCTGCTGAATCTGTCTATTGGGCATTGTTATTTAAAGTATAGTCTGGGAATTAGCAGTAATAGTATTATCTGGGAATTCATTTTCGTAAGGTGTAATCTCAGGCTTCACTGGAGAATTGAATCAGCATGTGCATTTTAGCAGGATCCCCAAGTGATGAGTGTGCACATTAAAGTCTGAGAAGCTCTACTCAGCATGACCATGTTACTGCTCTATTCATAAGGGCTTCAAAAACACACTTACTTCAATATTATTAGATGGTAACATTGATTAAATTTGAAAGTATTACACTCTCCCCTCAAAATTTAGTTAGCACTAATCACCTATACTATACTTTTTTCCCCCCATCCTCTGAATCACTATGCACATTTTAGTTCCTGTGTCTGGCTAACATGGTTTACTTGCTAAAAATGCCCTCTACTTATTGTTTGTTTACACAAATCTAATCCATTCTGAAAGACTAATTCAAGATCCAACTTCTTAAAACATCTTTTTTATACCTATTATAATAATAGCAGCAAAAATAATTTTATTAAGAGTGTCTAAAAAACTATTTTGTGTTATTTTTGGTTTTCTTAAATTGCTAGCCCATTTCTAATTAGATATCAAGTCTTTTATTAGCTTGTATTCTGGCATCTAGAAGAGATCTTGCACACCACTGGGGCCAAATGATTTCTAAAAATAAGTCTTTATAGATGTCCTTAAAATTAAATAGGAGATTTATTTTACTTTATAGCATTTATGCATACAGCAAAATTGTACACAATTTTACAGATGATGGTTACACACATTTTAAACCAGAATTTCCTGCCTTTTCTTTCAGCCTCTTCTGCTAGGAGATATTTCACTCGGTATAAATGAAATATATACTTGGTACAAATATAAGAAAATATTTCACTTGATGTAAACACCTAAACATTTAAATGGGCAGGACACTAATTATATGATTATATGTAGCATTAACTTCCATTGCCTACATTTAAAATAATGCTGTGTAATAAAATTGATGTTTGGATATATTGCAATATTTAAAAATGCTATATTTAATAACTCTACAGAGAAATATATCTACATAAGCAGCTGTTTTGTAGAAATTAGCTTTATAACTAATGCTCCATATTGTTAGTTGACATATATCGTTGATCATGATTCAATAATTCATATTAGTCACAAGCAAATTACAGAATTAGTACTTGAAACGAAAACCTCCTATGAATAAAAAATAAAATTCATCTTCGTTTTTAACATCAAGAGGAAATAACAAAAATTGATATATTTTTTCCCACAAAAGGATTCTGCATTGCAATTTTTTACGTTACAAATAATTATCTAGCCAAATATTATAAAGCAATCTATAACTTTTTAGTTATTTTGAAAATAACTATAAATCCTAACATGTCTCTTTTGATTCTTTCTATGTTCGATGCACTCCTGTGTTAAGTGTTAATTTTGTATTGTAAGGGGATGACAATAGCAAGTATACAAAATAAAATATCACTATGTATCCCTTATAGTTTAAAAAGCCCTTGCTTTGGAGTATTCATGTCTTAGAATTCCCTTTTGTCTTTAATGAAGCCAGAATTTCCTTTACTACAAATTCTATTTTATGCATGCTCTTTGCTCTTCTTTCCAAAGCTATTTTAGGTTGGTTAAGTGCATGTCATATTAGTTTACCTGAAAATGTGACTTTCTGAAGATACCCAAAGGAATATGGACATAATTCTGGGTTGGAAAAATGGCTAGTTATGAGTCATCCAGTGAGGCACCACCTGGAAGCAGTTGAGAGTTGATCATGCAATCCAGTAAAAGATTGAGTTAAATCTATCATCCCATAACTAGTCCTGGAATTTACCTCATAAGTGTACATTAGGTAAAACTGTATTGAGCTTTCTCAACTTTCTTTATCTCCCTGAAGATCACTACCAGTCAAATTCTAGGAGAATGTCCTCTAGTTCCTAGGCATTAGGGGGTGAGAAGACTGACGTTAGGGGGGATATCACATGCCTAACACATGATATTGTTCTTAAGAGAATTTCCTTTTTCGTTGAGAGGGTAACATATAAATACTGCAGGACAACAAGATGAGTTACACTTTAAATGAAGATTGGTAGTAGTCACTCAGCACTGATTAAAGAAACACCATTTCTGCCTGAGTCTCCAGGGCAGGTTTCATGAAGCAGTTGACATTTGACCTAAACTTTAAAGAAAAGATGTTCAACATTCACGTGAGTATGGGATAAAAGTCATTCAAAAGAAGGAGAAAGAAAATAAGAAATTTGAAGAAAGAAACAGTGTAGGGTACCGCCACATCTGCAGAATGAAGAGCGACCATTCTCTAATATATAACCACCTGAGGCTTGGAGGAGGCAAAAATGAGTTGGAACTACAGCATGTGGGGACTTCAAGTGAGTTTAAAGTTTATGGTGCAGATCATGAAAAGCATAAAAATTAATTCTAAATATAATTGCACAATAATGTTGCAACTTGCTCTTTCCTTTTTGATTTTAATAATAAAATACATTTTGAATCAGAGTTTCAAAAAACCTAAAATATTGGAGCTTGAAAGGATTTTATAAATCATTTTGACAAAATAATCATTTTATACTTGGGGAAACTGGGTTCCAAAGACCTTGAGTGACATCTTCAAGGTCAAAGAATTCTACCTGATCATGTAACACAATCACACATAGCTCTTATAATTATTCTGGTTGTGTCAATAATCCCAAATCTAGAATGTAATCAATCTCTATTGAGAAGAGACTACAGTCTGATTTGGGTGATCAGTTTGTTTCAAAAGATCGATTTAAACCCTTATGACTGTTCCCTTACATGTAATTATATTTCACTTAAAGTTAGTTACAGACGGAATTGCTAGGAATTTTAAAAAGTGTAAACATCATCATCATCTCCTTGGTTTAGTCTTCCTTCCATGTACTACTATCATGCAGTATAACATTTAGCCTTTCTACTCTTTTTTTCAAACAAATTTCTGAAAACAAAACAAAATAAAACTATGAACTCTTTGTTCTTTCCTGGACATGACTAAACATAGCCCTGAAAGAAGGGAAGACCTTGACCTTGAACTTACCAGCTTTTCTGGTGAGATAGTTTCAGATATATATGACTTATTTCCTACAGATTTAGACTGTGTGTGTGTGTGTGTGTGTGTGTGTGTGTGTGTGTGTGTGTACAAGATTAGAAGGGGAAAAAACTTAAAGATAAGAGTAGCACATAACCTTGATTTCTGTCCGCCTCAGAGAACTACGGTCAAGCTCACATGACATAGACCTTTTGTGGATTTCTGGCATGCTGGTTGTGATGTTGCAGTACTTAAATTTCTTCTGCCAGACTATGTGATGTCTTTTTAAATATATAACCACATTTAACTGTTTTTTAATTCCATATATTTCCCAGCAAAATTAAATATAACTTTTTGACTGCCTGCCTCTAACAAAGAGACATTAGCTACTCCATCTGGCCTGCAGCGATCAGGGAAATGTATATTCAAGTTTCCCAGGGATGGCGAGTCCAGCATCCTAATTTAGTTACTGGAATCCCATGCCTACATTACTTGGGCAGTAACTTTAACACAGAAGGAGCCAGAATTGAGAAGTCACATTGACTGAAGTTCTTTGAATGGACCAAATTACATAGCTGGAGTGAAAGTTCATTGCATCATTGTTCTATGGTCATAATGTCTCAGAAACATATTTCTTTTCTCTTTTATTTTACTTCTTCTGCACTACTCAGTCCCAGGCAGACTTTCCTATGGTCTCCTAGGGTTTGGACAATAGGCATGTTTAGATCTGGTTTGATCTTTTACTAAGGCTATAACCCTTACTTCCCACTAATGTAGGGAGGTTCTGTCTAAGACTCTGCATATTGGGCAGAACCTGAGTTTTGATCCCCTCCAGTACAGCTGATGAACCAAAATGTGAGTGTAATATCTTGGCCAATATCTTCAAAATTTTTTGCTCTAAGAGTGTACTTTCCTCTGTTACAAACTTTTAAACAAAAATTGGCCTGAAATCTCAGCACTGTAAGATATTTTTAAATTCTACAATGTAATTAATGTCATTTCAAAATATTTATTATTTTTAGAGAATGAGTTAATGTGGAGAGTCCTTTAGAAACAGAAAAAGTCCTTTAGATAAAGAAAAGTAAATTAATGTGAAGAAAATTTTAAAATGTCATAGAGAAACATGGCATTGAGGGAGTAGTTTGGGTTAATAATGACTATACAGTTCATCTGCCCCGTGCGACTCTTCTCCTGCCACATATAGTGATATGTGTGAGACTATGCAGAAGGCAGATGGGTGATTTTATTCAGATTTTTCCAGAACACGTGCATTTAAAACATATCATAATAAGGGGGTTTAAGAGATTTCCAAGAGAATGATTGAAATGATAGAGCATGGAATCTAAGTGAACAGGGAATAAACTAAGGACAGGGAAAAGGGAGGAAGAGAAAAAAGAGAGGTCAGTAAACTAGAGGTCCTGATGTGATTCACAGCCACTCATTGCATAAGTAATTAAATAAGAAAGCAAGAAACAGGAGATGGTGGTCAGAGAGTATAAGTGATACAGTATTTCAGGGTAACTTCTTAGGGCCTTACTATAAAGTGGATCAGGAAAATGGACTAGAATTGAAGATCACTGTTGATGGTGAAGTCAAAGCTAGTTTTCTATGTGGATTTTGAAATCAGCTACATTGACAATAGGAGTTGAAGCAAACGGGAAAACTTTGAACTTGATATCAGTATATTCAGTAAATTAAGGTTAAAATTATATAAATTGTACAATAGTAACTGGCAAAAATTAGAAGGGGTGGAGTGTTCCAAACGTAGAGGAGTAGAGGTTTTTGCAAAAGAGGGATAGATATGTCCTGGATATAACAAAGGGAATCCAGAAGGAGTCTTGCCTCCCATTATATGAGCTTTAAGAGCATAACTTCTACTAATTTAATCCTTTCTTCCCTTCTTTATTTTTCTCTTTTTTTAGTTAGAGTCTCATTCTATTACCCAGGCTACATGATCTGAGCTCACTGCAACATCAACCTCCCTGGCTCAAGGCATCCTCACACCTCAGCATCCCAAGTAGCTGGAGCTACAGGTGTGCACCACCATGCCTGGCTAATTTTTGTATTTTTTGTAGAGATGGGGTTTTGTCATGTTGCGCAGGCTGGTCTTGAACTTCTGAGCTCAAGCCATGAACCTTTAGCCTCCCAAAGTACCGGGATTGCAGGCGTGAGCCACCATGTCTGGCTAATTTAATCCTTTCATTATACAAGACCATCGGCGAGTTGTGTGTTTGGACCACATTGCTTTCCCCATTGTCTTCTATACAATGTTAGAGAACCAAAAAACCAAGCACAAGGTTGACCCAATAACTGTGGATTGGGCATTAGAAAAGAGGAATGATTGTGAGTATACTTTAATAAGACAGAGACAACAGAATATAGCAATTAGGAGTGTTATACCTTGGATGGGTTTTGAAAGAAAATGGCCTGATCTCAAAATATAAAGAGAAGAAAATGAGATAATAACCAAAGATTTTTCAGAAATGATAAAAAAAACCCAAATATAGGAAATAAATGTATCCTAGCAAAACTATCTTTATAAAAAGGAAAATGAAGTAAAATATTTTACAGCAATAAAATGTCTGATAGTTCAGCATCATTAGACTATCATTGAAGTAATTTCAAAATATGAACTTGAAGGCGAAAGAAAATGACCACAGAAGGAAAGTACGGGGTGCAAGATAAAATGATTATCAAAGAAAACATGAAGTATCAAAGAAAACATGAGGAATCAAAGAAACTCAGAGTGAGCCTAAACAGTGATTTATACTGATTTAATTTCTGTTACATAGAAAATCCAAGAAATTCTGGTTGATTTAAACCAGTAAGTTAAAAAAAATCACAAAATAAATACAAACTTCTTGAGACAAAAACAGATAATTACAACTGTGTAAGATTCATATAAACATCAGATTTTTCATTAATAGCTTTGGATGTCAGAAAAGTATCAAACAGTGGTTCCAAAGTTATTAGGGAAAATGACTTTGAATGGATGCCGTCTCTAGACAAATCTTAAATTAAGTGTGAAGGTAGAATAATGACTTTTTTTGAATTCATGGACTTAGAAAAGATTCATCACATAACTGCTACATTAAAAGTACATTATTCTGTCATTTTAAAAAGTGGGAGAGGGAGAAATGAGAAACTCCAGGAAAATTGAAAACTACACAAATATTTTATTTTCCAAATATGAAGCAAACTAAAATGTGGGCACAATTTTAAACCAACTGATAGACTGATGAAAAATAATATTTAATTATGTATTAATGTGTACTGTGTTATACTTTGAGTGATTCAGAGGTCATGGTATTGAAACACTAAAAAAGAAAATATTATTGTGAAATACAACTTGGACTTGCAGTTAATGTCTCTGCAAAATAATAACAATAAAAATAAGGTTCATTGGTTTTCCACTTTTAGCTCATCTTGCAATGCAGACTTACTTATGATCACGGAGCAATTGTAAATTTTATTAATTTTGTCCATGTCAAACTGATGTGCTGAGGATAGAAAAATTATAATAAGGAAAAGAAAAAAAAAGATTAGGAGTAAGATATGATATAGAAGGGAATTTGGTGATTATAATTGAAAAAATAAATATATAAGTACATTAAACAGAGATATACAGCTAAGCAATAATTTAAATAATGATCAAAAATATTTGATGAAGACAATGATGAGAAGTGGAGAACTCCCTGCGTGATCAAAATTTGCAGCTTCCGCAGTGGACAGTTAATAGGTAACACAGTCTGTAAATCAAGAAATGGAGAATATGTATGAAGATAATGTAAAAAAAAAGAAATAATTACTAGATTATGTTTCTTACATTGGGCTAGATATGAAGTGGTGGCAAAGGTGCAAAGAAAATCTTTTTTATGATGTCATCTGTATTATATGAATCTATAAGATATTATTTTGATTAGAGTACTTAAAACATATGGAAATTAATACCAGTAACATTATTTTTTAAATAAGATTTCTCCATCATGTGATAAGCATTTAAAGATCCAAAGATGAGTAAAGTGAAAAATTTGTTTTACTTTTTTCAAGTTTATATTATTCTTCAAGAGAAATGCGACAAATAAATGTAAATAATCCATGCAAGTTCAAAATTTTTCAAATGTATTTCAATACATATTATTGTATTTTTGTTTTCAATCTTATTTAAATAACTGTTTTTAAGAAAGACTAAAGGAAAACTCTGCACTCTTTTTATATATTTTTCCAGTTTTAATATTTTTCACAAAAGTTTCTTTCATTTTTTTCAAATTATTATACAGAATTCATATGTAAATCTCAAAAATGGAAAGAAAGAAAACCCAAATTCTCCTCATTATGAAGTGTGGAATGTAAAAAAACCAGAACACTGAGATTATGATAATTTTCCTATCAAATATATATTTGTGTTATTACTCCTTAACTTCTGATGTATTTTTCCATATGAGTATGAAACATGAAAAATTGGTACACAGACAGAAGCTCTAAGATCCACTCATTGTGAACTCTGCATAATTTTGGAAATAATGTCTTTAAAGTCTTTTTTTCTGGTTAGCTTTCAAGTGCTATTTTAAAAGTTGCAAGACATGAAGAACCAGATGCATACATTCCCTTCACATGGATTTTCAATTTAATTCCTCATAGTTGTTTCTTGTCTCTGGGATGCTAATACGGTCTATTTTGTGTCAATGCACAATTTGTACAATGTTTCTTTTTAACTATCTCTTTCTTTGGTGATATGGTTAGTAATTTTATTCTAAAAATATTTTTAAAATATTTACTTACTATTTCTAATATACACCATGATCGTCATTAATTTGCTAGGAAACAAAAGCAGAATATATTAGGAAAACTGAATTAGCGTGTTTAATTTTAATGTGCCTCCAAACACTTTTTTTGTTATAGTATACTAAGCTTATGGGGAAAGTGCTCCAACTGACAGATTATTATTGAGAAGGATGTAAGGGAAAGCCTGTTTTTATTAATACCTTTTCACAAATACTAGCCTCAAGGTATTAGAATAAAATGCAATGTGTGAGTTTAAGTGTTGAATAATATGCTAGGTTGCTGTAAAGGAATATGCTTAACAAAGTATTTCCCCTTTGAAATATTATTATTTTTTCCCCAGGAAACCAGCCGGACAGTAAAGAAATGTTCTTCTTTTTTACCAAATTACAGAATTCATTTATGTCCTGTGGGCAAAGGTAAACACACAGTAATCATAGCTCAGAATCTTCTCATTCAAGAAATGCCCATCAAGCACCCTAATGATGTCTTGTTTATGTTGATGATTTATTGTTTTCTTCGAACACGTCTGAAATATTTTACAATTCAGCTGGTTCTGGCGGTTTCCAAGCATTTTCCCAGCCTCAGAGAGGAGTACTTGCCCCGCCTTCTGCAGAGCTGGCTGACAAAGGCAGTGTCCTGGCCTTTGGCCAGGCGCTTGTCTCTAGCATGCTCCTCACATTTCTGATTTGCGCAGGGAGTACTGAGCACTGCAACCTCAAAAGCATATTAGACTGCAAAACTCCATTCAAGTGAATGCTGTTCTAGCATAAAAAAAAAATACACACTATTTTTTAAACTAAAAGTTGGAAGAAAAACATATATGTTCAGCAAAACACACGCAACAGGCTACAATGCAAATGATATATATATATAAGAATATAAGCTTTTAAACTGAAGGTTTATAAATATAAACAATAAATTAAAAAATTTATAAGGAAAACTTTTTTTGTTTTTTTTGTTTTTTTGTTTTTTGCCTAAGAGTCTCTCTCTGTTGCCCAGGCTGGAGTGCAATGGTGCGATCTCGACTCACTGCAACCTCCACTTCTCAGGTTCAAGCGATTCTCTTCCCTCAGCCTCCCGAATAGCTGGGATTACAGGGGCCCACCACCTCGCCTGGCTAATTCTTGTATTTTTAAGACAGGATTTCACCATGTTGGCCAGGCTGGTCTTGAACTCCTGACCTCAGGTGATCCGCCCACCTTGGCCTCCCAAAGTGTTGGAATTACAGGCGTGAGCCATCGTGCTTGGCCAAGGAAAACATTTTAATTAATAAAGAGATACATAAATCTGTTGAAGCGTTGCCTGAAATTTCTGGATTAATAAGCTTGAAATGTTAGACATTTAATTAAAATAAATGTTCTGTTTATCCCACGATATCTAAGCCCCCTTCTCTTTGTCTGGCTGTTAATGCTGTCATGACTGCTGATGAAAATCAAAATCCTCTATAGAAGTAAAAAACATTTACAGGTATTAGAGAGATTTTAAACAAATTATTTTGGATATAATGTCATGGAAAAATTATTTTTCACAAATCATTTTAAATATTTTTCTTCTAAAGTATTACATTACATCTAGAACCTTAACATAAAGAGAAAAAACAGAATAACAATTGGTAGTGTTTGAAGCAATAATTAGCTCAAAAGATTTCAGTATAAATGTCTTCATTGTAATCTCCCAAAAAACATCATCTTTTCAAACTGTTGTCAGAAATGAAATGAACTATGAGTCCAATATACAACAATATTTCTTCCTTTACTACACAATACAAACATGAATAGGAAAATGTAACTTTATGCTTTGGTATATCATACTCATGATGCTCAGGATTCATCAACAAAGATTAAGCAATACGTTTACTATACATAAAAAAATTTAATACCACTTTAATTTTCCAAAGTAGACAAAATATTGTAGATAATATCCATAATTTTGAAAGCCAGTCTTTGAAGTATATTTTATTACCAGAAGTATTTGAACTGCTTATCTCCTGTTAAATAAAAGACTGACTAGAAATTTGTATTTATTAGCTAAAGGACTCACAACTATGTGGTTAGAATTTCATTCAAGCACTAAATTTCAAAAAAGTTAACCTTGATATTAATTAATAGATATATCATTTTTAGTAAATTAAGTAAATGAAAGAACAGAAATACAAGATAACTTTTCAAAGTTACAATATTTCACATGGAAACCAAATGTATAGTATGCATGCTGCTTAACTATGGATGTCTTGGTCATCAGCCATTCTATGCGGCTTCATAGTATTAGCATTCTCACCAGTCCTAATTCAAAATTAATTGCCTGAAACACTCAGATGCCAGTGTTATCCAACAAGTAGACCTTCAATGTTAAAAATGTAAGCTAATAAATATGTTGATACTCTTAGTTTTAAAAATAATAGACTAAAAGATACATAAATTAGTCAATAGAAAGCATTAAGGAGTTTACCCTGTAACTTACCCATTCTTGATTCTGAAAATAAAGACTGGGTTAAAGTTCTGAACATATATCCTATGAAGTTTTTTCTTTTGCAAGAATAAAATAATTTGTTCACAAGCACAGAAAATATTTTGTAATTGAAAGAAGATATTTTATTGATTCAGTTCTTAATTTTTAGGACTAGATGTGCATGTATTAACAATAACAAATTAATGTTTAAAAAATAATTTATAAACATCAATGTTAACTGAAGAGAATTTCTGTTTGTACATGTTATCAGTGATGTGAAATTTGATTCTTGAGAGCCATGTGTTCAGTCTGTCTCTCTTTGCTTATCTCTAAGACAATTTATATTGTGCCATCTGGAAGGAAGACAGGAAAAACCAAAACAAAATCCAGTTCAAAACTGTATATTCGATTGGAAAAAAAATCAATGCCTCCTTGGGATTTTTTTGAGATTTTACCTACCTCTGCTCTTTTCATTCATTGACATAATTTTTTGTATTTCTGGATGCCGAATTTTGGAAATCTTGTGTTTGATATGGGTCTAATTTCTCAGATAATCTTTTTACACAGTAACATATGTTTTGGAATCTATCCAGGAGAGATATTTCTGTCTTCTGAGAGAAGGATTACACTGTTCTACCCTAAGGAGTTTCTCTTCAAGTATGGCAAAATAATCTCCTAACAATTGAATCATCTCAAAACAACCATAAAATCTGGATACAATTTTTAAAAACTTGAAAGTTTAAAAAAGCTGTACTATTTTTTGTGGGGTTGGGGGAGTTGGTTAAAACTCTGAAGATGGTTATAGCAAGGAGTGTTTCTCATTTTTATGAATTTAGTTTGAAGACCGACCACAGTCCCACTGTGGCCCAGGGAAGTTTAAACTCTGGTAGAAACCCACATTCTTTCTAACCTAGAGAATCAGAACACAGAGCCTGGGCCAATCATGCTCTAAAAATGAGGGAATTCTGGGAAAAGAAAGCATGGAAGAAATCATCAAGTTATGTATATAAACTCTGTCCAAATCCATGGCTAACCACTGAATTATGCAAGCATGGGGAAAACTCAAAGCAGCTATCAGTTAAAGCTACATGGAAAAAACTGAGAGTTGAGTTGCTGCCTTAAACACACAATAAAAATGTTGAGGCTTGAGGATAAGCAAGGTAGTTTTTGGTTTTCTAAAAGAATTTAAACATCCTTTATAGGAATATAACAAAATGTACAGCCTCAATAATATAACTGTAACAATGTTCCGGATACATTGGAAAATTACTCACATAAACAGAACCAAGAATATACGACTTTCTTAAAGGAAAATAAAATAAGCAGAGGCTAGACTCAAGATGATCCAGATGTTAGGTTGTCAAACACAAACCTCTTGTTTCCAGATTTATTGAGGTATAATTGACCAATAAATACTGTAAATACTTAAGGTATAAAATGTGAAAAATTTTAATATGCGTACTTTGTTAAACTGATTACCACAATCAAGTTAATTCATTCATCACCTTATATAGTTACCACTGTGTGTGTGTGTGTGTGTGTGTGTTTGTGTGGTGAGAGCACGCAAGATCTACTCTTAGAAAATTTCAAATATACAGTACAGTATTAATTAATGTCATAACGCTCAACATTAGATCACCAGAATTTATTCATCTTATAATTGAAAGCTTGTACCCCTTGACCAACATATTCCAATTTCCCCCACCTTCCAGCCCCTGGTAACCACTATTCTCCTCCTTGATTCTGTGAGTTTGACATTTTTAGATTTCACATAGAAGTGAAGTCATAGAGTATTTGTTTTTCTGTATCTGGCTTATTTCACTTAGCATAATGCCTCCCAAGTTAATCCATGTTGTTGCAAACATCAAGATTTTCTTCTTTTTTATGGATGTGTTGCATTTCATTTTACACACACACACACACACACACACACACACACTCCATAATTTTTTATTCATTCTCCCGACAAGGAACACTTAGGTTGAGTTCCTATCTTGGCTATTGTGAATAATTCCATATGGACTTGGGAGTCTAAAGATATCTATATCTTTTAGACATGTTGATTCTATATCCTTTGGATAACTACTCAGTAGTGGGGTTGCTGAATCATACGGCAGCTCTATTTTTAATTTTCTGAGATTTGTTTCCATAATAGTCATACCAATTTATATTTCACCAAAAGTGTACAAGGGTTTCCTTTTCTCCACACCCTTGCCAATACTTGTATTCTCTTTTCTTTTTGATAATAGCCATTCTAACAGATGTAGACTGATATCTCATTGTGGTTTTGATATACATTTCCTTGATGATTAGTGATATTGAGCAGCTTTAGTATACCTGTTCGCCATCTGTATACCCTCTTCTGAAAAATGTCTGTTTAGATCTCCTGCCATTCTTTAATTTGATTATTTAGTTTTTTGCTATTGACTTGAAAGAGTTCTTTATATATTTTAGATATTAATCCTCTGTCAGATATTTGATTTGTAATTTTTCTGTCCCATTCCATATGCTGTCCTTTCATTTCGTTCATTGTTTCCTTTGCTGTGTAGAATATTTTTAGTTTTAGGTAATCCCATTTGTTTACTTTTGCTTTTGCTGCCTGTGCTTTTGGTGTCATATTTAAAAAGTCATTGCCAAGACCAATGTCAAGGAGTTTTCCCATGTTTTCTTCTTGGAGTTTCAAATTTTCCATCTTACATTAAAGTCTTTAATCCACTGTGAATTAATTTTGATGTATGGTGTAAGATAAGGACTCCATTTCAGTCTTTCACATGTGGATATCCAGTTATCTCAACACTATTTATAAGAGACTATAATTTCCCCATTTTGTATGTTTGGCAGCCTTTTCAAAGATTGGTTGATGTGTGAGTTTATTTCTGGGTTTTCTATTCTATTTCGTTGGTCTATGTATCTGTGTTTATACCAGTTTTATCCTATTTTGATTACTATAACTTTATCATATTGTTTGAAATCATTAAGTGTGATGTTTCCAGCTCGATTCTTCTCAAGATTGCTTTGGCTATTTGGGGTCTTTTGTTGTTCCATATTAATTTTAGGATTGTATTTGTGTGTGTGTGTGAAAAACTTTATTGAAGTTTTTATTTGTATTACATTGAATCTGTAGGTCACTTTGAGTAATATAGGTATTTTAAACAATATTAATTCTTCTAATATGTGAACATGAGATATTTTTCTATTTATTTGTGTTTTCAACTTTTTCTCATCTTTCACCTCTTTAGTTACATTTATTCCTCAGTATCATCTTTGTATGCCATTTTAAATGAAATTGTTTCCTGAATTTCTTTTTCAGATAGTTCATCATTAATGCATAGAAACACAACTGATTTTTGTATGATTTTAATGCTGCAACTTTGCTGAATCTATTAGCTCTAAGAGGTTTTGGTGGAGTCTATAGGATTTTTTACATATAAGATCATGTCCCCTGCAAAGAAGACAATCTAACGTTTTCCTTTCTGATTAGAATGGCTTTAATTTCTTTTTGTAGTCTAATTGCTCTTACTACGACTTTCAGGACTGTGAGGAATAAAAGCAGTGACAGTGGGCACCTTTGTCTTATTCCTAGTCTTAGAGGATATGTTTTAGTTGTTTACTATTTAATATGTTAGCTGTGGTCTTGACACATATAGTCTTTATTATGCTGAGGCACATTCCTTTGATACCTAATGTGTTGAGAGTTTTTTATCATGTCAGACAAGACTATAAAACAGCTTTTATAATGAGGTAAAGGAAAATACACTTGGAATGAAAGGACAAAAATTGAAAATCTCAGCAGAAAAATAGAAAATGCTAGATATACTAATTAAAAATCTTAAATAGAAAATAGAAATTAAAGAAATTAAAAACAAAATATTTGAAATAAAATGTAAACTGATCAGATTAATAGTAGAAAGGAGCTGACAAAAAAATGAACTTGAAAATCATATAATAGAAATTATACAACCTAAGAGGCAGAGGAAAAAACAAACTAAAGAAAAAGCAAACAGAACTTCAGAGAGTGTTAGATTACATCAAATGGTCAAACATACATGTAATTAGTGTCCCAGAAGCAGAGGAGAGAATGCGGCAGTAAAAATATTTTAAGAATTAGTGTTCAAATGCTTTTCAAATTTTGCGAAATACATTGATTCAAAATGCGATATATTCAGTAAAACCAAAACAACACATACAATGAGTACACCTTACTTGGGCACATCATAGACAAATTACAGAAACCCAAAGAAAAGAAGAAAATATTGAAAGAAACCAGAGAATAATGGCACATTATATACAGTCAAACAATGTTCCAAATGATTGTAGTCTTCCATCAGAAACTGTGAATCAGAAGAAGTGGAATGACATCATTAAAGTAATGATGGAAATAAAACTAACAACCCAGAGTTCCATGTACAGTGACAATATTCTTCAATAAAAAAGCAAAGTGGAGATGTTTTCAGATAACAGAAAACTAAGAGAATTTGTCTTGAAAAGACATATATTGCAAGAAATGCTAATGGAAATTCTTCCGGGTGAAGGTGAGTGGTAGTAGAGGGAAACAGACATTCAAGAAGGGAATACAAAATGATACGTAGTTGGAGATAGTCTATTTTTTATTCTTCATTTCATTAAAATATACATGGCTGTTTCAATCAAAGACTATGATGCTTTCTTTTGGAGTGTATAATGTATATTGATATAATACATATGAAAATTCTAGCATAACAGATCTCAAGAGGTAAATGGACTTAGATGGTTATAAGGTCTTTTCATTAATGTGTACAATATTAACCTTAAGTAATGTGAAAAGTTAAGGATACATGACATAACTTTAAAGAAACCATTAAAATGCAAACAGTTATAGTTAGAAAGCCAGTATATAAAAACAACTGAAACATCAGGAGATACCTGGGAACCTCACACAGTGCTACTGTGCACCTGGACTCGTTCCTGGCCCCCAGGAATGGGGGAGTTAAGGTGGCAAGGAACAACCTGGAACCAGAGGGTTTGGTGTGGCAGTGTCTGTAGTGGAGCACAGCCAGGGTTGGCCATTTCCCTAGGGTTGACTTGCTCCCATAGGGGATTTTAGCCTTAGGGGAACTGTTGGTCCTGAATTATGCAGGGTGGTCTTGCCCTTCAAATTAAATCCAGTAAAAAAACTGAGCAAAATATTTCAACACATACCTCACAAAAAACATTTTTGTGGCAGATAAGCACATGAAAAGATGTCAACATTGTTATTTATCTGAGAAAGTACTATTAAAAGAAATAAAAGTTACTGTTGTGTACCCATCAGAAGACCTAAGAGTAACGGCTGAAAATGTTAAGTGTCCAGATGTGGAGCAACTGAAACTGTCATGCACTGCCTGTGGGAACATGAAATGCTACAATTACTTTGGAAAACTCTACAGATATTTCTTTAAAAATTCAATATATATCCAAGAAGTAACCTAGTTATTCCACCACAGGTATTTACCTGAGATAATTGATAATATATATCCACACAGAGGATTTATATGCATATATTCATAGAAGCTTTTTTTCAAAGTAGCTCCAAAATTCAAATAACCCAAATATTCATCAACAAATGCATGGGTAAACAAAATATGGGTATCTTTACAACTGAACACTGCTGAGCAATGAAAATGAATCCACACAATAACATATGTGACTCTTTAAGCCATTGTGCTAAGAGGAGCCTTTTGCAAAAGGGTTTATATTGTTTGGTTGATTCTAATTATGTTAAAATCTAGAAAATGCTAACTAATCTACAGAGAACAAAAAGATATCAATGACTATCTGGGGCAGGGTGCAGAGGCAGGAATGTGCTCCATAGAGGCTTAAAGAAACCCTGAGAGGTGAGAAAAATGTTGTGTGTTGATTTGAGCAGTGGTTTGGCACTGTACCCATCTATCACAATGAATCAAATCACACACATTAGCTCTATACAATTACTTGAATGTAAATACACCTGAGTAAAGTTGATAAAATTGTGAAACATTTAACACCACTGACTAACAATTCTGTCTGTAGAATTTTTAATTAAGCTGTGTTTTATTAAAAAGAGATGTCCACCAATACATACTGTAATAGTAACCTCATAGAAAGATGATAATTGTTATTTGTATATGTACTTCAATTATGCATTACTTTCTCATGTCTAAAATCAGTAACATTTTGACGGTTTTTCTTTTCTGTTGTATTTTATTAAGTGTAAAGTCAATTAAGTAAATACAGGACCAATTCTCCAGAGAAGTCTGAGAAAATTAAGTGTAAAACAAACCAAAAGTGATGTATTTTATTTTCATTGTGTATATTTAAGGTATACAATGTAATGTTTTGATTTACATATACATTGTGAAATGATTACTGTAGCCAAGCAAAGGAACATATCCATCACAAAGTGGTATAATTTATAATGTCTCCCTCTCATTGCACTAAAAGTGTTTCAATTGTTTGTAAATATATCTATCTTTGAATACCTAATGCCCACTGATGCAAGTTATGTAATGATTTCTATCAGTTTATTTTAATGTATTTATATTTGATATTAACCTAAATAAATATTCATATATAAAAAAGAAACATTACCCAACTGCAGCATAGAAATACCAATGTTCTCAGTCATATAAACAAAGATGAGTGATGGAAATCCAGCCTAATTCTCCTGTATCCTTGAATGTGAAGCCATTTTTTGGATTGCACCTTAAAAATCAGAAACATGTTAGTGTTCTTTCCCTGTTTCAAACTGTAAATTTTCATTTCTTATTAAAAATCAGTAGTGTATTTCCTTTTCTCTGATATAGTAAGTCTTTGAACTTCTCAGTAGAAAGAAGTGTTATAAAGTTGAGTTTAAAAAAAAAATGTATATATATATACTCTATTGGGTTAGAGGAAAGAATAATGCACCCACAGTTTTCTGATCTGGGTTCATACCCCAGCCCTCAGTGATTGCCACTCTGAGAAAAGAACACATTATCTATCTCCCAGGGTTATTTTCAGGAACAGAGAACCTAAAGGAAATGATAGGATGTATGCTGAAGCGCTTTGCTTTTGAGCTGGATGTCTAAGGTTAAAACTTGTTTTCTCTGCTTAACATTGGTGTGACCTAGGGCAAGTACTTAGTCTCTCTGTTAATTTTACTTATTAGTAAAATATGATTAATAATAGCTACTTCACAATGTTAAGGTGAAAATTAGGGATGATATATTAATAGTTTGAAACATAAGTATAGCAGTAGAAACATAAGCATCTTTATTTTATTTATTTATGTTTTTGAGATGGAGTCTCACTCTGTGGCCCAGGCTGGGGTGCAATGGCGTGATCTCATCTCACAGTAACCTCCACCTCCCAGGTTCACGCTATTCTCCTGCCTCAGCCTCCCGAGTAGCTGGGACTACAGGCATGTGCCACCACACCTGGCTAATTTTTTGTATTTTTAGTAGAGACAGGGTTTCTCCCTGTTGGTCAGGCTGGTCTTGAACACCCGACCTTGGGTGATCCACCCACCTCGGCCTCCCAAAGTGCTGGGATTACAGGCATGAGCCACCGTGCCTGGCCATAAGCATCATATTTATATCTATTAGAAGCTGTGAGTTAAGATAGTATCTTTTCCCAAATAAATATTAAATGGCCAAGCAGACAGCCATAAAAGACAATTACAAATAACACAAGAAACTGAGGAGCAGTAAGGCTATAATCAGAAAGTCAAAAGATAAGCGTCGGCCAGGGTGTGCAGAAAAGGGAACACTTACACACTGTTGGTGCAAATACAAATTAGGATAGCCACTATGGAAAACAGTATGGAGATCCTAAAAATAATCAAAAATAGAACCACCATATGATCCAGCAATCCCACTGCTGGGTATATATCCAAACGAAATTAAATCAGTATGTTAAAGGGATATCTGCACTCCCATGTTTATTAAAGCATTATTCCCAATAGACAAGAAAATGAATTAACCTAAGTGTATATCAACATGAATGGATAAAGAAAATCTGGTATATAAATCTGGTTTTTCCTTAGCCATAAAAAAGAAGAAAATCCTGTTATTTGCAACAGATATTACATTAAGTAAAATAGGCACAGAAAGACAAATACCTCATGATCGCACTCACATGTGGAATTTTAAAAAGTTTATCTCATAAAAGTAAAGAGTAGCACGGTGGTTACCAGGGGTTGGGGTGATGGTCGGGGCAGGAGGTGGCTAGGGAGACATTGGTCAAAGGATATAAAATATCAATTAGATAAGAGGAATATGTTCAAGAAATCTATTGTACAACTTGGTTACTATAGTTAATAGCAATATATTATATTTTTGAAAAATGCTAAGAGTAGATCTCAAGTTTTCACCACAAAAATAACAACTAAGATAATATATGTGTTAATTAGCTTGATTTAGCCATTCCAAAATATATGTATATATGTATGTGTGTGTGTATATACACACACAGATATATATATATAAAACAAAACATCATGTTGTACACAATAAATATATACAATTTCATCTGTCAACTTTTTTTTTTTTTTTTTTGAGACGGAGTTTTGCTCTTGTTGCCCAGGCTGGAATGCAATGGTGCGATCTCAGCTTACTGCAACCTCTGCCTCCCAGGTTCAAGCAATTCTCCTGCCTCAGCCTCCCGAGTACCTGGGATTACAGGCATGCACCACCATGCCCGTCTAATTTTGTATTTTTAGTGGAGAGGGGGTGTTTCTCCACGTTGGTCAGGCTGGTCTCGAACTCCTAACCTCAGGTGATCTGCCCGCCTGGGCCTCCCAAAGTGCTGGGATTACAGGTGTGAGCCACAGTGCCTGGCCTGTCAATTTTTAAAAATTAAGCTAAATTAACTTAAAAAAAAATAAAAGAAACTAAGTAGCAGCATCTTCCAGTGATGTAGATTTTATTCCAGAAAGAAAACTGTCCCAGCCTGTGGCTTCCACCACTGTCCATGAATATTGTCTGTAACTGTCAATCAGTATTCCTCTTTCTCTTATCAATTAACTCTTCTATGGACAAACTCATTCGCTTTTTTATTAAATGTTTAACTCTACCACCAATGTTCAAAAGATCAAAGAACAGAGGATTTAGTCAATGCAATGTTTGCTGAAAGACAAGTTAAACAGACTTGCCTTAAATAATTCCCTCTACATTTTTATTGGTCAATTGCTAAGCTCTAAAGCTGTGAGGAGGGGGATAGATCTTCAGTTTGTGTGTCAGTATAACTGGTGTTCAAAACCTATACTACAACGTCTGCATCCTATAGTAAGTTCATCTAGTGTACTTGGACAGTATTTTTATAGACTGTTCTTCTGACCTTACTGCTTCCTTTTCTTTTAAAGAAAATAAGGTGGTCCTGGAAGGTCTGGGGAAATTTTTGTTCCCCTTTTCTTTACAGGTAGGTAAAATATTCTGTTTCTTGAGCTAGATGTTGGTTACACAATTGGGCTCAGTTTGTTGAAATTCATTGAGCTTTAGATTTATGACATTCAGGATTCTTTATTATATAATGCATCAATTAAAGGTAAACATACTAATAGTAATAAGAGTAGTAATGAAATCGCATTTCTTAGCATTTTATGACATAGAGATTATATGACCTTCTCTGAGTAAGAAAGGGAGAAATATATTGTAAAAAATAAGGAAGTTTATAGGTCCTAAACAATAATTCTCAGTTCGTGTCATGCAGTAAAGTAGTTCTGACATAAATAAATTTGAGAAATATTCCATATACTATCCTCCACCTTGAGTATTCATCATTCACAGTAGCAAATAAAAAACTCTCAAATATTGTACAGTAAATGCATTTGTTAAACTTTATTTAACGCAGCGTTTACAAAATTCAGGTGTGTTCTATAGAACACTAATTCTTCTGCTTTCTAATACATTATGTAGGAAGCAACAATTCTGTGGTCAAGTAAGTCTGAGTGTTAATGGGTTATGGTTTAAATAAAGCTTAATAGTTTTCTTCACTGCAGTATTGAACTTAAATTTGCTATCTTTTCCAGGATATTGTATGTTTCTATATGAATGAGTATTGTATTAACACTTTTAAAGTCACATTATTTCCCCTGTTAATACCTAAAATTAACTAGAATAACTACATTACAAAATGAAGGTTCAACAGCTAAGTTAAGCTATGCCATAGGGACAGGCACTTTCTTATACTTCTGGAGTTTCATTGAAGGCATTTGTAGCCATAAACATAGAAGACAAGGATGGGTGTTTTGAAGTATGCAGCAGAACCTTTCAAGATAAGGGTTTCTTGGGAGACATTAGTTTAAGAGTATATGACCCTTCTCATGAAACATCTCTAAAAATGGCATTTCCAGCATCCCTAGTATTCATCCAATCTCACAGGAGAGTCATATATCTAGTAGTTGCTGCCTTCTACAAATCTGCACAATAGTAATAGAGTCAGAGTAGGACACAACAAAATAAATAAAAATGCGCTTGCTTAATTCAGTCGTTGCAACAAGAAATGTGATGAAACAATCTAAATGTAAGGGCTGATCTCTGAACAACTATTGAGATTTCAGTACAGTTAGTATACCAAAACAGACACTGCAAATGACCAGTTTATGTGAACTAGCATAAGATACATAAATATGTAACAGAGACAGTGGGAAAAAAGATCCTTATGATTAAAATAAAATCAGAGATACCGAAACAGCCATTTCATAATAGAGGCTTGATTAAGACTTACCTCAGTATGTCGATATGTCAGTAAATATAATATGATGATATATCAGTAAATATAGTCAAACTAGTTTCAATATAGAGACTTTAATGTGGTTTCATTAATGCTATCTTTCGGAGAGTGACAAAAGTAGGAAGAGTTAAGTAACAAAGAAGCTACAGATCTTTTTACCTTGTTTTATAGTTTTGATTTTTTTACATAAACTATAAAAACAATTTTTTTAAAAACAAAATCATTCATCAATTTGGTGGCATACCATTTAAACAAAAATTTTTAAAATGATTTTAAAATACAGGATTTTAACTGGACTTGTTAGTGGTTTATGCCTAAAGGATAAAACTAGCATCACAGAAATTTGAAATTGAATTAGTCATTGTTAGTAAAAATACTGGTTTTGAGTGAATATATATATTAAAGTAGAAAATACTGGTAACATTAAAAATCATGTAATCAATATTTGAAGAGTAAAAGAAAATAAACACAAACATAAAATATAAAAGATTAAATCCCAGTAATCTTTATTTTAATTTAGAAATATCAGTAGATACTCATGATTAATTTTTCTTTAAAAAAATCACATTTCTTAGTTCTCTTCATTGAAAAGGTCTAAAAGCAACGTAACACAGAAGCAATCAGCTCTAAAACCAATATTTTGGTATCTGCATACCATTCCTTACTAAAATAAACAGGTTCCTTTGAGAAATAACTGTTTCCAGATCTGGAGGAAGGAAATATATAAAATGAGCATGAGGTATCAAAGACTACTGAGATTATCTCAAAAGGACATAGAAACCAACTTGAAGCAGCTCTCAACAGCCAAATATAAAACAATTAGGATATTAATGAGAATTATGATTGCAATGAAATGAAACATAAAATACAAAAAAATCCATAAGTTCATAATCAGCTTTTAAAAATACGCATAGATCACCTTTAGATAACTTTTTCTGGAATAATCCCAGGTTACAATTGTTGTCTTAGGATAATTATTAATATAACTTCATTTTACTCGTAAGTGTCACAGTTTGGAGATTAAGTTATATGATTACCCTACCATTGTAGAGTGCTGGTGTGATAACTCATTCTGCAAATTGGCAAATAAAATAAAAAAGAAATTATAATACCTTATAAAACTGTTTCAAGGTAGCCAAGTATTTGATAAGGGTAATTTCTTCTATAGAAGTAGTTCAACTCATAAAGCAAAAATAATCATAGAGCTATAAAATTATTATTTTATTTTATTTTTTATTTATTTAGTTTTTTATTATACTCTAAGTTTTAGGGTACATGTGCACAACGTGCAGGGTAGTTACATATGTATACATGTGCTATGTTGGTGTGCTGCACCCATTAACTCGTCATTTAACATTAGGTATATCTCCTAATGCTATCACTCCCCCCTCCCCCCACCCCACAACAGGCTCTGGTGTGTGATGTTCCCCTTCCTGTGTCCATGTGTTCTCATTGTTCAATTCCCATCTATGAGTGAGAACATGCGGTGCTTGATTTTCTGTCCTTGAGATAGTTTGCTGAAAATGATGGTTTCCAGGTTCATCCATGACAAAGGACATGAACTCATCCTTTTTTATGGCTGCATAGTATTCCGTGGTGTATATGCGCCACATTTTCTTAATCCAGTCTATCATTGTTGGACATTTGGCTTGGTTCCAAGTCTTTGCTATTGTGAATAATGCTGCAATAAACATACGTGTGCATGTGTCTTTATAGCAGCATGTAAAATCATTATTTTATAAGCCCTAATTTAACAATGGATCTGGAGAACAATTCATACTAGATGTTTTAAAAATACATGAAATGTTGCTACTAAGCCTTATAATGGGTAGATGGACTGACAACTGAAAACACTGATCTCTCTTAGGAAAACCAGACTATATGGGCTCTTGATTCAATATTAAAGAAATCTACCATGCCACCTACAAATCATTCTTGCTAAAATTTGAATGTGACTATGCAAGTTTTAGACTCAATTACAAGAAATATAAAGACAAGAGAAACATATTGAATAACAGCAATAAAATGCAATCTGCCAAATATAGATTGTGGGAATATGCTACAGGATGGTTAGCCCAATTCCTTAAATAAACTATGGCTTGAACAAAAAATGTCTCTGTATGTGTGTGGGAACTGCTATGCTGTTATAGATCAAAAAATATTTAAGAGTGAAACCAACCCAGTAGTCCCATAGACTATTCTTTTTGATAAACACAGAAATTGACTCTTTCAGTCTTAGAGCTTGAAACTTATATTTGTTTTATCAGAGTTCCTTCCTCAGGACAGGACCTACAGGCCTCTCAAAAAAGTATCAAAGAACTGAAACTCACCAGATCACCACAGCAGATGCCACCCCTCATTCATCACGATTGCTTCCTTGCTCCTCCCTAGTTCTTGTTTTCTTACATATTATTACATTTCCTCCCTGCTGTGTAAACCCCTAGTTTTAGCCAGATAAACGGGGAAATATACTTCAAAAAAGAAAGAAGTATAAAGACTATCTTAGATAAACAAAATCCGAGGGCATTTATTGGCAGCAAAACTAGTCTACACAAAATATTAAACAAAGTTCTTTAGGCAAAATAATTTTATATCAGAGAGAAACATCAATCTATGTAAAAAAATTGAAGAGCCCCAGAAGTGAAATAAATGAAAATATAATAAAATTGATTTATTATTTTAATTTCTTTAAATAACTCAAAATACAAAACTATCAAAGTATCGTGCATATGTGAAATAAATGTATGTAACAATAGGACAAAAAATGGAAAAGAGGAATTGGGAGGAGACTGCTGAAAGTTCCTTGCAATACATGTAAAGTGTGGATATTATTTCAATGCCGATTCTGATTTTTAAAAAAGATAATAAATCAATATAAATAAAATGAAATCATAAAAGTGCTCAACATGAGAAGTCAGAAAAAAGTATAAAACAATAGGTGGAACAAATAGAAAACAGGTAAAGAGATTTTAATTCAACCATATTAAATAAAATTTAAATCCAATCATACTGAATTTGAACAATCCAAATATACCAGTTGAGAGACAGATACTGTAAGATTGAATAATAATGGTACAACCCAGTCATATGCTGTCTGAAAGAAATTCATTTTAAACATAAAGGCACAGGTTAATAATAAAAAGACATAAAAATATATGCCATGCACAAAAGTTATACCATGGAGCACACACTAACCAAAATACTGTTATTAGACAAAATATACCTAAACCAAAGAATATTATAATAAAGTGGAACATTACTTAAATATAAAATTGCTCAATTTTCCAAGAGATAAGTCTCAAACGTGTGCATCTAGCAATCGAGCTTCAACATACAAGAAGGGAAAACTCTTAGAACAGAAATAGTTAAATCCCCAAATACAGTTGAAGCCTTCAACATTCCTCAAGCAGTAATTGACATAACAACTAGTGAAAATATAGAATACCTGAAAACATTATCAACCAACTTGACGTAATTGACATTTTTATAACATCCTACCCAACAACAGCTGAATACACGTTTTTTTCAAAGTGTATATGGAACATTCACCATGGCAGTCCATATTCTGGGCCATAATATAAACCTCAACAAATTTAAGAGAACAGAAATAATATAAAGTATATTCATGATCTATAACATAACAAAATTAAATTAGAAATCTGCAATGGAAAGATATCTGTAATATTCTCCCCAAATATTTGGAAAATCAACAACTCACATTCAATAGCCCATTGGTCAATGAAGATGACTCAAGGTAAATTAAATAATACTTTAACCAAATGAAAATAAATACCACATAATACTTTAGCGGTATATAGCTACAGAAGTGCTTAGAGAACGTCAAAAAACATGAAATGTTTATAGTAGTAAAGAAGAAAAGTATTAAATCAGTTATCTAAGCTGCTACTTTAAAGAAGTACCAATAAAATAAAATTAAATCTAGAGCAAGTAGAAGAAAGGAATTATAAAAAGAACAAAGTATCAAAACATCACATTGCACTGTGTTCTTTTTATAATTGCTTTCTTCTGCTTGCTCTAGATTCAGCTCTTCTTTCATTGTCAGTTTTTTAGAGCAGCAGCTTCTACTCTATACATGTAATACATAATGCAATACAATTATGATTTGTCAATTAAAATAATGTTTAAAAAGGTAACTATGTAAGGTGATGGAGGTGTTAATTAGGTTAATAGTGACAATCATTTCACAATGCATACGTATATGAAAACATCACATTGTACACCTTGAATATACACAATTTTTATTTGTCATTTATACCTCAGTCAGTATGAAAAAGTTTAAAAGAAGAACAGAAAGAAATGAAATTGAAAACAGAAAACAATAGAGAAAATTAATGAAACAAAATTGATTCTTTAAGAAATACAATGAAATTGATAGGAACTTTAGGCATTTTGATCTAGAATAAAAAAGAGAACATATAGGTTACTAATGTTGGGAATAAAAGAAGGATATCACCATGGAACTTACAGATATGAAAGGAATAATCAGGTAATACTGTGAATAATCAAAGACATTAAAAGGAACGAAAACTATAGAACCATATCTCTCATGATCATATGCAAAAAAATTCTCAGCTAAATATTAGCAAGCTAAATTCAACAACATATAAAAACTAAGTGAAGGTTATCTCAGGAATGCAAGGGTGGTTTAACATTTGATAATAAATCAATATAATTCACAATATTATCAGACTAAAAAAGAAAAACCACATTACCATCTTAACAAACGCAAAAATATTGATAAATCAACATTTATTTATGATTTTTATTTTAAAAAACTATTAGAAAACTAAGGATAGAAGAACACTCCTTTGACTGATAAAGGGTGTCAAATATAAAGATAACATCATACTTAATTGTAAGACACCACATGCTTTCCCGCAACATTGTGGTGTTAAAAAAAGGCTTGGCTATTGTCTTACAACTCTTACTCAACATCATTCCAGAAGACCTATCCATTGTGCAATAAGGAAAAAGAAAGACACTCTGATTTAGATTAGAAAGAAATAAAATTATCTCATTTGCAGATGACATAATTGTGTAACTAGAAAAATCCCAAAAAACTTAACAAAAATCTCCTAGAACATGTAAGTTCATTCAGCAAGTTTGCTGGATATGTTAATATATAAAATTGATTTTGTATTTATACAGTCACTATGAACAGCTAGAAACTCAATTTTTAAAATTTGTCCTTAAGCATGTGTACAATTGATGAAAATTCTTGTTAGGATATTCCCACATTAAAATTTTTTTCTTTTTTAAGGTCAAATAGTATTCTATTGTATATATATACCCCATTAGCTTTATCCATTTATCTGTTGACGGACACAGATTAATTCCATATCTTGTCTATTGTAAATAATGCTTCAATAAACATTGGAGTGCAGATATCTCTTTGACATACTGATTTTATTTCCTTTGATATATTCCCAGTAGTGAGATTGCTAGATCATATGGTAGTTCTGTTTTGAGGGGCCCTCATACTCTTTTCCGTAATAGCTGAACTAATTTATACACCCACCAATAGGGTGCAAGTGTTCTTTTTTCTCTACATCCTCCCCAACTCTTGTTACCTTTTGTCTTTTTGGTAATAGACATTCTAATAAGTAGAAGATGATATCTTGTGGTTTTGAACTTTTTTTAAATGGCAATGAAGAAACCAAAGTCACTGCTTGGAAGTATGTCTAAGTCAATGCCTAGTATCTTATGAACTCAGCCTCCTTACCAGCTGCCCCACAGATATTTGGATCAAGGTAATATGTGGAAGGGTCAAAATGTTTCCAAAACACTTGTTGCTGAAAGGTTTTACCGTCAGTTTTATTTTCAGATTGCATACTATTTGATCAGTAACTATATTTATATTCCTTTCTGTAGATCTGAAATTGTCAAATGTTTCATTATGAAGTTTATCTATAGAGCTTACTTATTAAATGTCCAATAAAAATAACCACTCATATGGGAAATTTAACTTTATTCATGTTTTCAGGTTAAATGTGCACACTGACAGGCCTTCTCCTGTCCTGAAAGAACTCTTAACCAATACAGCCACAGATAGGAATCCCAGCTCCACCAGGTACTTACCGTGTGACCAAGTCTTGACGTAACTTTACCTTGTGAATTTCCTTGTCTGCTTCTTGTTGTTTCAAGAGGCAACTTAGCAGCAATGTGTCAACATCAGGATATTAACATCTCTTGTAATTTTCCTATGTTGCCTAACTCCAACTAATGCCAATGATATTATAATTCCAGGATCAGAACAGATTATCATATCAGACTCACCAGTTTAATACACAGTTGTATTGTTCATTTATTGATGACTTACAGAATCATATCCAACATTTATCTGATAGATAAATGAAAAAAAAAAGTTTTATAGCAACATCCCATGTGTACCTTAACTTCTCAGCAAGTAATTTTTCTTCTTGATGTTTATTTCATTTTACCTGCAAATGTGTTATTTTTCTTTATTGTGTATGTGTGTGCTTAAAAAACTTAAATTACGTACAATTGTCAATTATATAACTGGCTAAAAAAGTGGAAAATTCAATGAATCCTTTTTTTAATGTCAGCAAATGGTATAATTTGTGTTTTATACTGAATTGTTGAAATTGATCTCTTTGACAGTAAAGCAAATGTTGCTATTGTTTTGACAGTATAAAGCAAAGCAATATGAAAGCTGAATATATTTAAAGAAACTCTTAAAAATTGAATCCACACAGAATGCATATTAAAAATGAATATTTCATAGGGAATTTTTGTATAATTATTTTCATCCAAGTTCTCTGAAATTTTTTATGAGATGGTACTTCTGAAAGAATATTACACCAAAAACCAACCTAAAATCAACTTCACACTCTATAAGTTAGATACACTTATTTGAAGTGAAATCTCATTTCTAAATTCCTACAAGAATTTTTGCTGAGCTTTATTATTGTAGAACTTCTATATCACTTCTAGAAACCATAAATGTGCATGACACACACGTGTATATATTGCATATAATTTGTGGATCTCATATACATGTGATTTTCTTAGAGCCAGTCCTCAAAAGGAAAGTCTCTTAGTCACTGTGATGTGTTTGGTTTCTTCTATGTGTATACTTAACAAGTCTATAAGAGAATTCACCCACAGAAACACCCACACAAAGACATTCAATGAAAGTAACTCAGAAGGTAAGACAAACCAAGTGCATTTTTGAAGTTTTATGCACACACATATTTATACATACATATATACACACATATGAATATTTATATATACACATAAAGAAAGTTTGAGGATTTGTTTTCTTTGTTAACAGTGGTTTATAGACTACATATCAAATACCAGAATCTGTGATAAGTATTCTATATTGTTTTTCATTTAGCCCTAACACAAAAATCTCTTAGGTTGGCATTAAAAGTATGGGTACATGTAAAAGTTCCCTTACTTTTACAATGTGGTATGATAAATATTAACATATTCTCTGTAATGTTCTATAGAGAGGAAGTTGAGGTATAAAGGTTTAAGAAACTCATCCGAAGAAGAACAGTAAGTGGTAGATCCAATATATGATCACATTTTGGTTTCTTTATAAGATCAAAGATATTAGATAGAAGATAGAGTCACCCGCATGAATGCATATAACTGCTTTATAAATACTGTATTGACTTTTAATGTCTTGGAATTATATAGATGTTTTATATGTAAAAATGTTTAGAATGATGTTAGTAAAATGTTAGCTAATGAATCATTTTAGATTCATGGCCTGAAATTTTATGGAAGGAATTATCCAAATACCCTCTTACACCCTAGGTAATCCCAATAAATAGTGTCCAGTTGTAAGGTAATACCTAGAGAAAAGACAAAAGAGATCCAAAATCATGTAATAATGATAAATGTGAAGATGATCAGAGGTCTAATGTAGGCAAGATGTGTAAAATAAAGACATTCTAAATTAAAGGCTCAGGGTGCTTCTCATAATAGGGACTGAGAAACTAGCCAATAACCAACACTACCAAAGCCTCTGCAATTGTCTGGAGATAAAACTGGCCTTTTGTTTAATTATCTCTGTAGTCAGGTGTAAGAAACACTGCCTCAAAATCTTAAATTCTCCTTCAGCAAATCAGCTAATGGGGACTCTGAATTTGGCCTCTCTCAATCTGTCTCAGAGATCCTGAATCCTCCTCTTCCTGGTGATTGGGGCCCTAGAAATTGTCATTATTAAAAAAACAACCAATATAAAAAGATCTGACACTAGTTCCCTTCTTTTATGCACTAGGTGTCTGGCTGCATAAACCCATAAGCAGTATTTTATCCACAAAGTGGAGATTTCCAAGAGGAAAAAAACCCAGATTTGAGTATGTAACTTTACATGGTCTCTTTAAATAAACAGGTTTGATGTTTGAGGCACTCATCAGAGGGAGTCTATTCTCCATGTGACCTTTCTTAGTTTAAAGGATTCCTTGTACCTTCAGAGGCAGGTAACCTGCTAAACACAAGTGTCGTTTTGAAATAGTACAACATCAACATCAATGCTCTTAACAGCTGTGGTATACCTCTCCTCGGCTATGTTAGAAGTTCTAAAACTAAAGTAAGGAAATATATCATTTATCTTAAAATTGACATTAAAAATGAATTTCTTCCACCTTAGGGAAATTACTTACCTGTAAAAGTACCCTTACTTTTACAATGTGATATTATAAATATTAACATATTCTCCATAATGTTCAACTTAATTCAGTTTTGGGGGGAAAAATGGGCTAGTCCTTAAACATAACATGTTTGAGCTCACATATTTAATTGACTTTCTCTTTCATAACAATTTGTAGGCTAGTAATAGAACCTTTAAGAAAAAAGGCTCAATGACCATATCTTTAAATTGAAAACTGAGAAAACTTATCCTTAGAATTTTGATAGGGGAAGATAAGTTCCACATTTATGACTATTTATTTAGCACTGACAAATATCAAAATGATAACCTTATGTTGGAGAAGTTTGTATATTTCCCCAAAATTAGCTATGTGTCTCGCTAGTCACAGTTAGTTTAAAATGTCTTTTTAAAAGACAATCAAGAGGACACTTTGTAAAAAGTCAAGTCATTTACATATTCTCTACCTTATTAATCTATAGAAAATTCATCTGATATTGGTGTCAATTTTCTCTCCTCGGCCTCTCCTTTCTCCTCTTCCATATTCTGTGGACTAGGATCATTTCTGAAGGACTAGTACTATACCTTGTATGTAGTTTTATAGTGACAGTTTCTAGTATATTTTTTCATGTTAGGAAAGAAATGTTTTTGATAAGTAAATTTATTTAATATAATAGTTTTATTCTAAGGCTAAGAGATCTAAAAGGCAATCAACTATAAAATTATTGCCTGTCGTTAATTCATTTGAAATCCAGAATGATTTTGAATTAGGAGACAGTAAGACCACAACAAGAAAATTCCTTTTCTGTTGCACTTTTAAAGAAAGGGAGGAGATAAGAAAAAGAAGCAATTTAAAAGTATCACTGTTTCTTTGCAGCAGAATATGTTTTCAGAAACTTTCATAGACTTTTTTCCTTGTCTCATCACAGGCTGGAATGTGCTTAGTATTCTTTCACTCACTTCATATAAATGTGGACACTGAGACTCAGAAGTTACAACATAGAAGACCTGAGATTTTAGTCCAGTTATTTTAATTAAATATCTTCTTTTTCACTCAGCTATGAGAGTGTCAACGTTTTGAATATGACATCATCATAACTCTAAAGGCAGCACTTTCCTATCAAAAAAGTAAATGTAGTGTACATCATTACAAAAGTTGTCTTGTAAAGCATACTCTTTTTCTGGTAGGTGAATATTTGCAGAACTCACTAGGAAGCAACTCTTTAAACTCAAATCCTAACTTGCAAGGAAGAATTATTTCTCTAGCAAACAAAAATCCTAACTTATAATCAAATTTAGAAATTACCAACATATTGAAGTTTATCTTCAAAGGCCTGGACAAATCTGGACACTTAGATTAAAAAAAATTGAAAGGGAAAACAAAAGACATTTTTTGATAATCTAGATATCAGATAACATGATGATTATCTAAGATTGTGGACAATCCCAAATCAATTGTTTACCATAAGCAAAATGCAACTAAATTCAATATTTGATTACTGAAACCACAGAGACTTGGTTTACTAGGCAGTTGCTTTTGGTTGTGATTATTATTTGTTTTGAAGTGAAATTCAATCAGTTGTGTCTATAGAAAAACATCTGACTGTGTCTGCATTCCTAGGTATTTCACAGGCATCTTCTATATTGCCTGACCCTCTTCCATGTACTGGGTACGTACTTTAAACAAAATAAATGCCCCACTCAGGTGGCTATCACATGCTAATGGAGGCGAAGTTATAGGGAGACAGAATATTACAAAAATAAATATGGAACATTATGTTGTTGATAAGTGTAATTCTAAAGGAAAACAAAGCAGTGGCCAGGCACAGTGGCTCACACCTGTAATCCCAGCACTTTGGAGGGCTGAAGTGGGTGGATCACTTGAGCCCACGAGTTCGAAACCAGTCTGGGCAACATGAAGAAACCCTATCTCTACAAAAAAATACAAAAATTAACCGGGAGTGGTGCAGCATGCCTGTAGCCCCAGCTACTCAGGAGGCAGAAGTGGAAGGATCACCTGAACCTGGGGAGGACGAGGGGATGCACTGAGCTGTGATCATGCCATTGCATTCCCGCCTGGGTGACAGAGTGAGATCCTGTCTCAATAAATAAATATATATATATACTAGATACATAGTATATAATATGTATACACACATATATACACCATAGGTATTATATGTATATACTACATTTATGCTACATATTTTCTAAATTTTTAAAAAAGAAAAATAGCAAGACGAAGAGGTGGCCAAGAAAGTCCTCTCTTAAAAGGTAGCATTTTAACAAGGACTCAAATCAAATGAGTGAGCAAAACACGAATATTCAGGGAGAAAGTACAAGAGGCTGAGACAACACTGTGCAAAGGCCCTGTGGCAGGCAAGGTTCAAAATGATAGATGTAAGATAGATGACACATCAAGTCCCCTTTCTTGCTCCAACATCGAAATGGGACTTAGGAATCAGGAGATCTGAAGGTAAAAATATTTAGAACAGAAATATATTTTGTCTCCATTGGGGATTCTGGCTTTTCCAATAAGTAGAGTTTTTATAACTATTTTTTTATTTCAACTTGTGTGTAAGATCTTTTTATTTCAAATCTAGAAAACTGTCATAATGATAATTAAAATTTCCTCAGAAATTATATAATCACTCAACTGTAGCATAAATTGAATTCATTTTAAACTAATGGATTATAGAAATAATAGTAAAATTGTATAATGTTACAGATAACTGAAATGTTGGCTAAATTAATCTGCAGTGAAAGCTTTCCTTAAAACATAAGTTTTAAATAAATACATTTTGTTTATAAGTCTCATTCAGAACAAGGAATGGACTCTATATACTGTAGAATGAGACATTCTCTTATGGTGTCCTATAATGTGATTGAAGTGTTTTATTTTCAAATGGTTGCTATCTGCAAAACTCCTTATATTTTTGTCCTTACCTCTAAGTCAGTTAATTTCACCTACTTTGTAATTAATTTATACAAACAAAATCATGTTCTTAGATTACACTGTAGGAACATATAACACTACTTTTGCCTTATTACCCAATTACTTGGAGCTCTTTAGTAATCAATCACTTATCTGCCTTTTATTTCTTTCATGGTTAATTGGAGATAACTAATAGATGTGTTTATTCCTCCCCGTGTAAATCTTTCCATGCATCCATCATGAAGTACATGAAAAATTGCATCTGTTTTGATTTCAAGATTGTTGATTTTCAGTTTAGAAAACTCAAACTCAAAAAAAATGAATTTCCTAATATTATACTTTATTTTTGGAGTTATCAAAAAATGATTAGAAAAAATAGCAGAAATATCAAGCATACATTATTGCTATATATTAATCTGTATGGTAACTACACTTTATGTATAGGGTTCTGACTAGCCTTTATTACCCATAAGTTTGTTTCAAATAATTTTTCCCAGTAATCTGGAAATATTGACAATTTAAAATCATTGCTATTTTCATGTTTGCATGAAAAACTAACACAAAAAATAATTTGACTAAAATGAAAATTTCAAATAAGTCCACTGGCTGATGAAAATAAAGCAAAAAAATTACAATAGATTCCTCATCTTGTACAGTAGTTGGCTTCAGACATGTGTACAAAGTAAACTCTATGTATGCTATGAGGAGATGAAATCACCTTAGAAATTAGTTTTTATGATCAGTCTTAAAGATATTTCAGACCATACTAGAATATGATCTAATTGTTCTTTCAGTTGTTTACAGAAAAATAAAACCACAGAATTATTCCTGTTACCTGGGTTGAAGATCCTAATAACTAAATAATTTGAAGACCTAATAACTAAATAATTTGGATAAGGTAGAGTAATTTCAAATAAGTAGTACATGACGTTTTAATGTCTGGCTTCTCTATAAAGCATAAATAGATTTTAGATGCCTTATGTCTGTGTATTCCAGCTGACCAAAACAATATTAAGAATGCATCTTTATAAATGGGTGCTAATTGATAATGGAAATAATTTAGTAATGGACTATATAGGATGTTAATAATGAAGCCATATGTTTATGTCTGGATTTAGAAATTTTAAACAATCATTTACTATGTTATTTTTCCTTACCTTGAAGAACATAAACTGTTGTTTCAGTTCTACAAATCAGCAAGATATTATTTATGGCAAGAAATATTCCGTTGAAATGTTGTGCTATAAGATGGGAAAATGTAAATATTTTTCATGGTTTTTATCAATGTGAAAAAAACTTAATCCTGAAAAAAAAATCAGAAAAATTGTAATTAATTTTTTTCTAAAAGTTATAAAAATAATGCATTGTTAGTAAGATAAGATTTACTATTAAAAGTCTCCATGTTTATCACATTTATTTATTAAGATATCCATGACAAAAAAAAGACGACACACAAATTTTATTTGTCCATTTATTTTTCATTTTAAATTTGATGTTCATGACCTTTATCAACTGTAACCTCATCCATCTGAAAGGGAAGATCGTATAATGTTGAAAAATGAAAAGTCATTAAAAGTTTTTCATACTGTGCAGAATAGGACTAATTTTGACTTTTTTTTTTTTTTTTTTTTTTGAGACAGAGTCTCGCTCTGTCGCCCAGGCTGGAGTGCAGTGGCGCGATCTCGGCTCAGTGCAAGCTCCAAATTTTGGCTAATTTTTTTATAATTCTTCACTTAAGATTAATTCTTTTCTGTTAAAAAACTAATTTTGAATAAAAAAAGAGTTATTATTTTCAGTACAGTTCATAAGGCTTAATATTCTTTTTTTTTTTTTTTTTTTTTTTTTTTTTTGAGACGGAGTCTCTGTCGCCCGGGCTGGCGTGCAGTGGCGTGATCTCGGCTCATTCTTTTGGGGGAAAAATACTAACTAGTAAATGAGGAAACATTACCGTATGCATATACTTCTAATAGAACACAGCACATTGTATGTAATGGGTTATTCTTCCTCTTATCTTCTTACTCAGTCCTTGCTGAGAATAGGACAAAAGCTCTTTTCGTCTTTGTAGTTCCAAAGCCTAGTATAATGCCCGAAACAAAACAGTCTTGAGTTCAATACAATGCCAAGAACATAGTAAGTTCTTCTTCGTGTCCCTACTTAAATATTGATGTGGACAGCAGATAGGGAAATACTGCGTAGAAGAGGGCAGTTCCCCAGCAAAGGCCACACCCTAAAACCTGGAAACCCATGACCCTGTGCGAGAACAGGCATTTTTGTTTTTGTACCCAAATTGTTGCCTTTTGGCCCACCAGTACCCCCTATCCTGTAACCATTTAAATCCCGAACCCCAGGCTCCAGGAGACGAGCAGATAGATAAACGGCAGAATTGGGTGGCTGAGAAGGAGAGAAGAGAAGGAGCATCCAAATGGAGAGAGGAGTTAGGCTGGGATGATCGGAGAGGAGATGGGCTGCTGGGTGGCCTGACCCCAGGGGAAGATCACCTTCCTCCTCCATCCCTCTTCCAGCTCTGCATCCATCCCACTGAGAGCCACCTTCACCACTCAGTAAAACCCCCACATTCACTCTTCATGTCCATGTGTGACCTGATTCTTCCTGGACACCAGACAAGGACCCAGGGACCAAGAAGGCACTGAGCTGGTTAACATTTAGGCCATCTGCGGACAGCAGAGCTAAAAGAGCACTGTAACACTGGGGCTTCAGGAGTCACAGGCATCCACCCCAAGATGCTGCCATAGAACCAGAGCCCAGAAGGGCTCGCCCTGGCTCATGGGCAGGCCCATCTGCGTGCTCTCTTTCCCATAAGGGGTTTGAGTGGTGGTAGAGGAACAGAGAGCCACACTCCTGTTGCATGCCCTGCGCGGGGGCACCAGGGAACTCTCCCGTTTCAATATCACCTTACTGAAACAGACTTTTTTGATCAATCTGATCAATAAAATAGGAATTCCTCCCAATTCTAAGTATGTTCTTCTTCCTTAGTGTGTTTTTGGTTTTTTTTCTATGTTGTTTCATTTTGCTTTTTGTTTTTGGCATGCTTTAGCATTCATTACCATCTGATATGCTATACATATTGTTTCTCTATGTTTATTGTTCAGGATGCTATAACAAAATGACGTAAACTGGGTGGTTTATAACAACAGAAAGTCATTTCTCAAAATTCTGGAGTCAGGTAAGTCTCAGATCAAGGTGTCAACAGATTCAGTGTCTGGTGAGAGCTCACTTCCTGGTTCATATACAGTCCTCTTCTCACTGTGTTCTCACATGGCAGAAGGGGCAAAGCAGCTCTTGAAACTCTTTTATAAGGGCACTAACTCATCCCAATCATAGGGGCTCTACTTCCCTGACCTAATTACCTCCCAAGGGCTCCCCTCTAATACCATCACCTTGGGTGTTAGAATTTAAACAGGAATTTGAGGGAACACAAACATTCAGACCATAACATTTATGTCTAGTTTCCTCAAGATTTACAATAATGTATGACACTTAATAGAGGCTCAATAAATAGTTGTGGAATTAATGAAGAAATGAATGAAGAAATAAGCAAAAGGAAATCCAACTAATTTAAGAAACAATGTCATGTGAAAGATCTTTATGTGGCTTCTAATTTGTTTCTGATATTATAAGTTTTTGATATTCTTTCCTCCCCCTACTGCCCCCCAGTCCTGATGTTTTCCTTATGTTGAAGTTCTTCACAGCCTCCACTCAAGAAAATCCTGTTGCAATTTCTAAAAGAGACTAAAATAAAAGTAGCTATTACTTCCTTCATGATATCAAACAACTAATTTAGTCACTACAAAACTCGTTATAAACTATTACAAAATTTTAAGAGTATATCATGGTTTTGCAAGTTACAAATATATGCTAGTTTTGCCATACTTGAAACCACCACTGTCCGTTGAACATTCTGCAATGATAGATATGTTTATATCCATGCTGTCCCACATGGCAGACACTAGACCCATGTAGCTATTGAGCTCTTGAAATAAGATAACTAGGTTTAAATTTTATTTAACTTTAATTTAAATTAAATGGCCACATGGGAATAGTGTCTATCACATTGAACAAACATAGTTCTAAACAATTATTTTCCTTTTCCATATTCAGAAATTGTAAAAGAAATAATGCAACAAAAATAATGAAATGTACAGTTATGTGGTAGGTTTAACAATGACAATACTTTGTAATAAAATTGTTATAGAAAAATATCAATTTCTTGCAAATTATGAGGAGTTTTGTTTATCTTGTTTTATTAAAATATAGAATAAGATAGATAAATTTATAATAGCTGAAACGTTTATCTGAAGGGTAGAATAATTCTATAATACGTATACTTTATTACAGCAAGTTCTATTGATCCATTCTCTAAGATTTAGGATCAGAATACAAAAATAAATATGTGGCTCTACTACAGTATTTTTTAAAATTATTTGCTAACAGTATAAGATATCATGGATAAGCAAATGTCTTTGTTCTTTGACATTGTTATGATTCCTTTTCTCCTTTGATTTTTAGTTGCACCTTGATTTAAGATGAAATCAGCATTGATCTGGCATGCTTCAGAGAGACTAAAAGTTACTTTATATTTAATAGTTGGTTTTATTTGTGGTTGAAAAGATGTTTTATGAACTTTTTAAAATCGATTGAGTAGAGTGATTCTGGAATGACAGTGTTTGGGGGATATTTGCATTATTTTGTGGGGTATATGAAAACAGATATTGTAAAGAATAGATTGGCTTGACTCTTTTTAGTAATAAAAACTAAAACAATCACCAAAAGTAAAAACAGAAACAAAGAAACTATAACCTACAAGACTTTGATTCCTTAAAATGAATGGAAAATAGAAAGTAGAAACTTGCTTTCTGACTTGTACTCTGCTGAATCTAGCTCATTCGATAAATCCATTACAAGCAGGTGGTTCAAATTCCTAAATCAGAAAGACTGAGGTTTTTCAAAACTTCCCCTACACTGTCTTTCTTTTTATCCAGCCTAATTCTGGAACCTAATAAAAGGAAAATAACAACGTGATATTTAAAAAATTAAGGAGAAAAGACTGTAAGACTTGTAAATTGCAACAGATGTAAAAATATTTCTAGAAAATATTTTGTAATCAAAGAAATATTGTTTTGGCAACTATACAAATATAATAAACAGGTTAAGAGAAAAATAATATTTAAAAATTGGTCTTTTCTATAGATATCAACAATAATGTACTAGAAATGCACTGGAAAATAGCAATAACTACAAAACACAATCCTATCAAGAAATTTTAAATGTCTACTGAAGATCAAACACAGTAATTGAAAGATTATGTTCTTAAATAGAAAGCCTCAATATAAAAATAGAGGTCAATTATCTTTGTATTAAACTATAAAACCATGTAATTCTATTCAAAAATGTAATAAGATTTACATGTATATGTGTGTGTGCATATATATACATGGTTTAAAACTACATCTCAAGTTGTTTATTCCAACGCTCTTGTGGAAAATTAATTTGTAAGAATAGCTAAAGAGATTTCAGAAAAGGAAAAAATGAGGAACTAACTCTACCTAATTTTATAACAAAATATAAAACTATACAATTACACAATGTGACATGTTGTGAGAAAAGGCAAAGATTAGTAAAGCTGAGTTACTTCTGCAGTTCAATAATCATGGAATATTTTGTGAGTACTTAATCTACCCAAGTATTAGCATAAAAACTATATTTTTGGCATAGTATTGATCACAAAGCAAGTAATTCCACTTTTTCTTCCTCTGAAAATCATGTCTCTTTAATTCATTCAGTAAGTATATGTGTTCCAGGAATTGTGATGGCTTGCTGTCTAATGATAATCTCATCAGATAAAGATAAATTAATATATTTGTTTAAAGGTACTTATCATTACAATGCTGAAAAATACCAAATACAAAAATCATTAAAATATGTATACATAAATACATATATCATCATATATACAAATACAAATACATAAATCATTGGAATGTATAATTTTCCATCTTTTTATAACTGGAGGCATTCATTTCATGGATACATAATAGTAGTTTAAAATATATCTGTCTGTATAAATTATACTACTGGAGAGCCATTAATGATTATCTGAGCCATTACTGATTATCTTTCTCTAACAATAAATTTCTAAAACTATCATTTCTAATTCTATTGCAAAATTACAAAAGTACATGTGCACTTTAAAAAGCAATAAACAGCAGTGTAAGCAA
Organism: Homo sapiens; assembly: GCF_000001405.40. Taxonomy (NCBI): domain Eukaryota; kingdom Metazoa; phylum Chordata; class Mammalia; order Primates; family Hominidae; genus Homo; species Homo sapiens. The sequence continues at coordinate 79,850,966 of NC_000007.14, forward strand.
ATCTATGGAAAAGCAATTTGATCAGAACATTTCTATGACCTTTCTTTCAATAAAGAAAATATCTAAAACTTTTAGATGTAGCTTCAAATATTTCACTTAAATAAAAATATACCAGCAAACACTGTTGTTTCTTATTGGTATGTTAATTTTTTGAAACAAAACATTTGATGTCTTGAATTAATACAATTTCTACCTTTAATTACCTATTTCCCATTGTAAAATTCAATTTTCCAAAATTTAAGATGGCTATAGAAAGAAAAATAGTGGCTGATATACTTTTTTGAGGGCAAATGGATTGTACATGTGAATTAATTCAAGACATTAATAAAACTCAAACAGCAATGAGGAACAAGTTGTCCTAATTTTTTTTTTTTTTTTTTTTTTTTTTTTTTTTTTTTTTGAGATGAAGTCTCGCTCTGTCGCCCAGGCTGGAGTGCAGTGGCGGGATATTGGCTCACTGCAAGCTCCGCCTCCCGTGTTCAAGCCATTCTCCTGCTTCAGCCTCCCCAGTAGCTGGGACTACAGGCACCCGCTACCATGTCCGGCTATTTTTTTTTTTTTTTTTTTTTTTTTTTTTTTTTTTTGTATTTTTAGTGGAGACAGGTTTTCACCGTGTTAGCGAGGATGGTCTCGATTCCCTGACCTTGTGATCCGCCTGCCACGGCCTCCCAAAGTGCTGGGGTTACAGGCGTGAGCCACCGTGCCCAGCCCTCATTTTTATTTTGAATAAAGCACATTGTTTTTTGAGTTTTTTTCTATGTGGGTATTTGATTTCATGCTCATTCACATTTGTTACTCAATTCATGCATTTATACATCTATCTTTCCTTCCATTCTTTCACATACTCATTAACTAAACAACTGTTTAGTAGAGTGACTATAACATAGAAGGCGCTATGCTATACATGTGTGAATACGGAATAAAATCTGCAAACAGATTTTTGCCCTTACAGAGTTTCCTATCTATAGCTGGAAAGATCGATACAAAATAAATCAAGAAATAAATGTAATTGTAAACTGGGACAAGTATTAAAAGCATAGATGCACTTGATTATTTATGCTTTCTTATTAAGGAAAATAATATGTACATTATCACATCTTCTGCCAACATGAGAAAAGAAGAATAGAGCAGATATTGTATTAACAACTTGCCTATGGGAAGAGGAGAATGTCTAATCTGAGAATTTCTACTTTTTCAAAACAGTGTGAAGAAATATTATCAAATGAAGATGTGGCTTTTAGAGAAGTGGAAGAGTACAATAAAAGATGAGAAATAGATGTTGCAGGTTATGGAAAGTAGGTTTACTAGAGAAGCATATTAACACTAGTGAATGTTAGTAGAATCCTCATTTGATAGTCATAATCGTGAATATGAAATAATCCCACTGTATAATTTTCTCCAGCAGTGTTTGACAACATGGTTACAGAAAGCTTGAAGGAAGATTGCTGGAATTGCTAAGTAATGCAACAAAAAGGAAAGGTACAAAATAGATCAGAGGAGTTACAAGTCAGTGGCTGTAAATATAAACTATGAAATAAAATTGTGAAGAGGTAAAAAGATACAGCTGGTTGCATACATAAACCATAAGAAATTGTTCAACAAGAAATGGTGAAGTCAAATGATTGAAAATCATAAAACGATTGAAGTTGTTTCCATGAGGGACTTAAACAAAAAGCAAACTCAGAAAATAAAAGTTTGTAGTTAACTGTGGCATTGTTTGTATGACAGACCTATTTTTGGTTAAGTCAAGAACTTGACTTTGATGCTCAAAATCTGTGCAGAGGCATACTAAAAGAATACCTAATTGATCATTAAAAGATGAAAATGAAACCTGTAGTCTCAAATGCGCCATCTAGGTTATGTGTGAATTTGTTGAAAACTATCACAGAAATTGAGATGGATAGGATATCTGTGAACTGGATGTTAGAGTCTTCTGTGAGAAAGGAAGAGTGACTAGGAGGTTGGAACAGGGAGTCATAATTGAATAGGAGATTGCTAAAGTCTAGGAGATTATTAAAGTCTGACAGCAAAGTCTCATTTACAATTACTTTTCCAAAATGAAGGGGGAGTAATAGTTTAGGATAAGCCCTATGAAATGAAGAGAAAACTGACTATGGAGAAACAGCCAGTCTTCAAATAATCTGTAAGAGTAGTGATATCCTCAGAGAGCACCAGTTTTCTGGAAGTCGTAGAAAATGTTCTAAGAAGAAGTTGAGAATGCTAAGAATTTTGCTGACCCAATGTGATATGAGAAGGACAGATGGTCAGACACTGCTTGCGAGCCACTACAAACGCTCCTAGATTCACCTATTGCTCTTGAGACATAAATCGAATTTCCATTCAGACTTTGACTAACTTCACCAGGTGCAACCTGAGAGTGCCTCATTTTTGGCCTGTAAAACATATCTTTATTCCTGAACAGTAGTTTCTCTGACTCCTTGACATAGAAAATGCCCTTGAAAACCCATTTGCCATTCATGCATATGCAACCTTAAGTGCTGTGAAGTTAATATGCATGAGGCCATCTTTGATCAGTGGGCAGTGAGAGCTACTGGATGGATAACTTTGAAATACATCTCATAGCACCCTTTAGAAAATCCTGTGGGATCAACACAAGTTGCCCCTAGTGGTGTCCAATGTGCTAACTGTGATAGACTGAATATTTGTTCCCCTCCAAAGCTCTTATATAGAGATCTAATCCCAATGTGAAGGTATTTGGAAGTAGGACCTCTGGACGGTGAGTAGGTTATGAGGGTAGAGCCCTCTTGAACAGGATTAGTGCACCTATAAAAGAGGCCCCAGAGAACTCCCTTAACATCTTTCTCCATGCGAAGACACAGCAAGAAGAGTAGAAGCTAGGTCTTGCCAGACACTGAATCTGCCAGTGTCTTGATTTTGGACTTCCCACTCTCCAGAACTATAAGAAATAAATGCTTTTTGCTTAAACCACCCAGTCTATGGTGGGTTTTTCTCATAGCAGCCTGAATACCTAATAGACTTACCGCTCAGTTGCTTTCTCTTATTCTTTCAGGCTGATATTCTTCATCCTTGTAACTTTTGATCACTTTTCTATTGAACTGTCTGTACACATGCTTTTATTGTAAGACTGCATTGGGAGAAACCCAGAATAAGACAGAGTTTGGGAGATAATAGAGAACTTCTTTGACTTATGCAGTGGTGGGGACAGAAATTTATTATCTCTACTAATAAAGTGAGACAACAAGCTATTCCTGGGTTCCAGAAGTTTCAGAGAGATGCCTATTATTGGAGAAGTTTAGGCAGTCAGACATAATTTCCATGGAGGACTTAAGGAATTATCTGTCTGGGGTGATCAGTTAGTTGACATTTCCCAATTCTCTCTACCACATTGACTATAAATAAGCTTTTTGATTCATAGTCTCTCTCTTATAGGAGAGAGATAAATTTAAGGCAATTAATCTTTTTTAAAAGTTACTATAGCACTGAAAACAAAATGCACAGGAGATTTTCTAAGATGACATTGCCATGGGTTGAACTGTGTCCTCCCAAAATTTATGCATTAAAGTCCTAACTCTTATTACCTCAGAATGTGACCTCACTTGAAGACAGGGTCTTTACAGAGGTAATCAAGTTACAATTAAATTAGGGTGAGCCCTAATCAAATTTGATTGGAGTCTTTATCAAAAGGGAGAATTTGCAGACAAACATGCAGGGGGAAAATTATGTGAAGATGAAGACGAAGAAGATATTGGGCAATGCTTCTACATGCCAAGGAATGACAAAGATTGCCAGCAAACTACTAGAAGTTAGGAAAGAGGGATGGAACAAATTTTTCCTCACAGACCTCAAAAAACACCAACCCTATCAAGACCTTAATCTTGAACTTTCAGACTCCAGAACTATGACACAATAAATTTTTGTTATTTAAGGGAGTCAGCTTACGGTACTTTGTTATGGCAACCCTAGCAGACTAATAAGACTTAGACAAAATTCCAATAAATCAAGAAAAACAAAAAGTAATGCAATCAGAAATTAGAAAAGTTAAACAAATCAGTCCTAGAAACAAATAAAATAAAAACAAATATAAACATAGAGAAGCAAATTGTGGAATCAAAATGAAATAGATTGAAAAATAAATTAGAGGATTTTACTAAAGATCTGAAAAATCCATATTGGTCAAATACCATGAAAGTAGTTGAAAAATTACAGTAGATGGCTTTAATCTTAAAAACTTAAGTTTATTAGATATAGCCAATAGCAACATATCTTTCTCTCTTGTTAAGTGAATATTTATTCCAAAAACAATACTTCCAGCTTTCTTTCCTGTTGGGATGACTGTGCGACCTAGTTCTGCTAAAGAGTATATACTGTGAGGGTTTCTGAGAGGACTCAGCTCTTAGCTCTTGGCTGAACATCCTTAATTTCCTCATCCCATTCTTGCTGGATAAACAAAAGTAAGAGCTTATGATGTGGCTACCATATTGTAAATATGAGTGAACAATTTTCAGAATTAACTAGAGCATGCTAAGAATGGTGCAACTGAAAAATATAAAGAGCCTAGGTCCCTGGCATTACTTTTGAACACCCAAATCAAAACCAGCAATAAATTATGTAAGACTTATCAACTGAAAAAAATGAACCATTTGCGTAACCATTGCTTGTTGCAGTTTCTGGATATCTTTTCCCTTTAATTTTGGGCACTAACTATAATTCCTAACACAGTAAGAATAGTTAACATGTAAGGTAATATTGATTTCCTCAGTAAAACAAGAAGTTAAAAAATGAGGATTTCAGTAGATGCCTAAAAGATTATAAAACCAACACTCATTTATGACTTTAAAATAAAGTTTTAGGTAACAGAGACACAACATAATAAAAAACATTTTATTTGACTATTAAGGAAAAACATACTTAAGTATTCACTGACTGGCCCCACTATCCCTCTTGTTATGAAGTCCTGACACCAAGAAGCAATCCTCTCTTCATCCTCCATTTCTCTTGTCCTGTCAATTTTTAAAACTTTTTTCATTTTTATGGATACATAATAGTTGTACATATTTATGGGGTACATGTAATATTTTGATACAAGCATATAGTGTGTAATGATCAAATCTGAGTAATGGAGATATCAATCACATCTAACATCTATTATTTCTTTGAGAATATTTCAGATCTACTGTTCCAGTTATTTTGAAATACACAATAAATTATTTTTAACCACAGTTGCTCTATTGTGCTACTGAATAGTAGATCTTAGTCTTTGTATCTAACTGGATTTTTGTTCCGGTTAACGAATCCCTCTTTATCCCTCCTCCCCGTACACTTCCCATCCTCGGATAACCAGCACTCTATTTACTACCTCCATAAGATCAATAGTTTTAGCTCCCACATATGAATGAGAATCTGACTTCTTTTTTTCTGTGCCTGGCTTTCTTCATTTAACATAAAGTCTTCCAGTTCCATCTATGTTGCTGCAAATGACAGGACTTCATTCTTTTTATAGCTGAATACTATTCTATTGTGTATACAAACCACAAACCACATTTTCTTTATCCATTCATCACTGATGGACATATCTTTGATTCCATACCTTGGCTATTGAGAATAGTGCTGCAATAAAGATGAGACTGCAGATATCTCTTCAATATGTTGATTTCCTTTTACTGAATAAACAGCCAGTGGTAAGATTGCTGCATCATATTGTAGTTCTATTTTTAGTCTTTTGAGTCAATGTTATCTTTAATGTTTCTTGAACCCGTTTAGTCCTTTCCAGGTTCACCATAACAATCCTTGTTCAAGCGACTGGCTTCTCTGGAAGGAGCAAATGCAGTGGCCTTCTAAGTGCTCTCCCAATTTATAGTTGCCTCCTTCCCTCTCCATTCATTAGAGGGTTATTTTCACCCTGCAATTCTGTTCACTTCACATGACACGTCACCCTGCATTGTGCCATGCTCTCTCCCCAAACACAGCCTTCCACGTCATCTTCCCTCAGCCTAAAACATTCCCCCCATTCACTCTTACTTTCTAATCCCATCTTCATCTAATTAACTGCAATCAAAAGTCATTTAATGATGGAGATACACTCTTAGAAACGTGTTGTTAGGCAATTTCATTGATGCCTGAACATCACAGAGTGTACTTATGCAAACCTAGATAGGAAAGCCTTCTATACACTTAGCCCATAAGGTATAGCTATTGCTCCTAGGCTGCAAACATGTTACAGGCATTTTACTGTACTGAGTGCTGTAGATAATTGTGACACAATGGTAAGTAGTTGTGTATCTAAAAATATTTAAACATAGAGAAGGTGCAGTAAAAAGATGGTTTGCTAATCTATGGATCATTCTCATATGTTCAGTCTGCCATTGACCAAAACATCATACACAACACATGGCTGTACTTCTAATACTTTGGCTCCTTTACCAAATGTCACTTCCTTCAGAAAAATCTGCCCTGATCCTCAAATCAATATCACATCCTCTTGTCATATGTTTTTGAGGCATTTTTCCTAGTTTTTCATGAATTTGTCATTTTATAATTCAATATTCATTTGATTAATCACCATTTCACCAGATTGTAAAGTCTATAAATACAAGTTTGTACATATTTGCTCTGTTTTCTCCCCTTCCTCATAATTCTTTGCTAGGTAATATATAGATACAAAAGGTATTTTAACATATAGGACATTGTCCAGGAATCTTTAGGATTACCAGGAGTATAATTATAAAGTTTTTTATTCTAATTTGAGCCCCAATACAGTTGCTAAAATGGACACTTATAGACATAAGTCATTTAAATGATATAGTCATTTTAAGTAAGAATAATATTTCTTATACTTAGGACTTACACTTTTAATATTTTAGATGCCTACTTACCAAGAACAAGTTATATTAATGTATGATATTTTGACCTCAATCTCTCTGAGAAATATTTGACTAAAGGTTATGTTTTAGTTTACTTGTGAGAGTGTGTGATGTCTTCATGAATAATGAGATGTTTAATTCAGTAGTCATACATAAATTTTTAAAATGTTTTCATGAATTCACATATTTTAATCACTCATTCAATTAGTTTTGTGTGTGTCAATATAGTAAGTGTTAAAGAAAATATATAATTCATGTAAGTCTAAGCTTGAATTAATGAGCACAGCCTTTATAGTTAGATAAAATCGGGATTAAATCTGACCACTTACTAATGGTGTGACCATAGGCATATTATATACCCCCTCTACAGGAACAGAGGACAGAAATAACTTCACTAGTCACTACAAAAAATAAGCATGATGATAACATACTAAGTGCAATTCACCTAGATTCCAGAAAATGTGGTTGTTTTCTTGTTTTATAAGATTTAAACATTCTTTTGATGTCAAGACATAACATATTGACACTCAGATAGATAAAGAGCAGCACTCTGTTATTTAAAGCTTCAAAAGAGAGGCTGCCAGACAGGGTCACACAGGGGGTCGCATCTGGGGACAGGGTAACAGCAAGCCAGAGATATAGGGAGCAGTAAAAGTGTGGCAAGTTGGTAGGTTTAGGTTTTGCTAGCTCTTACAGAATTGGCTAATTTAAATGATTTCTCTGGCTTCAGGGCATAGGGGCTTTCTCTTGTTGTCTGGTACCTGGCCCTGGAGCAATTAGGGCTGGTGCATGGTGATTCCTGAGGGTGAGAGCCTTATAAGGGAAATAGCTGGTCTGTGGACTTAATCAGCCACTCAAGAAAGGGAACTGCCTCAATTTCAGAACTTGTTATTGGTCTATTCAGGGATTTGACTTCTTCCTAGTTTAGTCTTGGGAGGGTGTATGTGTCCAGGAATTTATCCATTTCTTCTAGATTTTCTAGATTGTTTGCATAGAGGTGTTCATAGTATTCTCTGATGGTAGTTTGTAGGTCTGTGGGATCAGTGGTGATATCCCCTTTATCATTTTTTATTGTGCCTATTTGATTCTTCTCCCTTTTCTTCCTTACTAGTCTGGCTAGCAGTCTATCTATTTTGTTAATCTTTTCAAAAAAACCAGCTCCTGGGGAAATAGGTATGCTTTTACATTGTTGGTGGGAGTGTAAATTAGTTCAACCATTGTGGAAGACAGTGTGGCAATTCCTCAAGGATCTAGAACCAGAAATACCATTTGACCCAGCAATCCTCTTACTGGGTATATACCCAAAGGATTATAACTCATTCTGCTATACAGACTCATGCACACGTATGTTTATTGCAGCACTACTCACAATAGCAAAGACTTGGAACCAACCCAAATGCCCATCAATGATAGACTGGATGAAGAAAATGTGGCACATATAAACCATGGTATACTATGCAGCCATAAAAAAGGATGAGCTCATATCCTTTGCAGGGACATGGATGAAACTAGAAACCATCATTCTTGGCAAACTAACAGAGGAACAGAAAACCAAACACCACATGCTCTTGCTCATAAGTGGGAGCTGAACAATGAGAACACATGGACACAGGGAGGGGAACATCACACACTAGTGCCTTTCCGGGGGTGGGGGGCTAGGGGAGCGAGAGCATTAGGAGAAATACCTAATGTAGATGATGGGTTGATGGGTGCAGCAAACCACCATGGCATGTGCATACCTATGTAACAAACCTGCACATTCTGCACATGTACCCCAGATCTTAAAGTATAATTTAAAAAAAGGGAACTGACCAGCCTCTAGCCTGGGTCTCAAAACTGAGTAAAGACAGCATTTTACAAAATAAACAAATTGACAAAAACAAACAATATAAGCAAAAATATTATATTTCCCCCTCTATAAAATGATGTGATTGTGTATAGAAGTCGTACATCTATTCAACCAATGCTACCTTAGCAAGGTTACCTTTGATTACTCTGAAGTCTTCAAATCCTAAGTACATGAAAGAGGGTTCTGAAGATATTGGGACAAATTAGGTATATTTTTAAATATTTAGAAATAGCGAATGGAAATGATCTTTTAAACGCTAAGTTGAGTCAAACTATCATCTTGGTCATTTAAATATGAGATTTGTTTGTTTTATATTAGTTTTATTTGCTTTGTTTATTTCAATAATGAGTCTCCTTTTTCCCATATCACTTTTGACTTGTTTGTGAGAACATTGCATAACTGTCTGGCCTTGATATAGTTTGGATGTTTGTCCCCCTTCAAATCTCATGTTGAAATATGATTCCTAATGTTGAAGGTGGAGCCTGGTGGGAGGTGTTTGGCTTGGGAGTGGATCTCTTATGAATGTCTTGGTGCCCTCCCCATTGATGAGTGAGTTCTCACTCTATTAGTTCATGTGAGATCTGGTTGTCTCTTGCTCCCTCTCTCACTATGTGACACGCCTGCTCCCCCTTTGCCTTCTGCCATGAAGAAAAGCTATCTGAGGCTGGAACACTATTGACTCCAGTAAGCATGGCACCACGTCTGAGAGGCCAAAGAAGAGACCTGGAGCCAGCAAATGAGACACTGGGTTTATTGGGGACTTACATACAGGGCAGTCCAGGAGTGGCAATCTGGCCAGGAAAACTGCTCCCATTTGCAAAAAGCATGTAGGTTATATAGCATTTTCACTTAGCAACCTCTATGTAGCAACCTTCTGTTAGCAACCTTCATTTAACCCAAAACAAAGGACCTTGATCCCCTGTACAGCCTGCCTTGCAAGGGATGGGCCACAGGTTTGGATATCCTTCATAGGTAAGGAGCAAATCTCTGAGTTGGCCACTCTTGGATTCCTTAGCTTGGAACTCTGAACACACATTCTTCTTAGACCACAGGGTCATTCTCAGGGTGTGCTTAAGTTATTACTATCAGGTACATCTGTCATATAGGCCTCACTAGAAGCTGAGCCAGTGCTGGTGCCATGTTTGCAGAGTCTGCAGAACTGAACCATGAGCTAAATAAACCTCTTCTTTTTTAAAAATAATAAATTACCCAGTCTCAGATATTCTTTTATAACAACAAAAAATGGACTAAAGCAGAACTTTTGCAAGTTAACTAACCTATTTACATGTTAGTATATTCATCTAGTAGAGTCTGATATTCCTGTATCTAATCAGAGAGACAGAATCACTATGAGTGATATAGAAGAAGAGCTTCATTACAGAAGTAAGGCTTTATTGAATTGTGCAAGCTGGTGAAGTCTATACAAGTCTGTTGCCTTTGTGTCTGGTATTGCTCTGAAGTCTCTATGGGTCTGTCAAGAAAGTATGATAGATATGAAGAGTAGAATAGATATACACTGGAACAATGAGAACAAACAGAAACACATGATGACAAATGGAATCCATGTCTGTCCCCCATGTTTCCAACCCCAATGGCTTGAATATTCTGCCAGAAAAGAAAGTTCTTTGCCATCAAGTTGTGTAAGCATCTGGCCTCAGAAAACTTGAAAGCACATCTGGTGGAAACTGATGGTGCTACACATGTCAAAAAGGTGTGCCATTTTATCAGCAACACTGTCTATACTCTCTGCCACTGCACTGTGCCTGGCACCCTACACCGACCCACAAAACATAGTGGTTCTTGCCTCACATCTGCCTCCCAAATCTCACACAAATTCCTCTTGTGGTCAACACAAACCCAGGACTACACAGCAAAGGAAATTCTGGAAAATATAGTTTTAGCTTAGTAAAATTGACACGCCCCATAGCCAACTGCACCTCAAAATATAAAAATTTGTTACACACTATACATATTATAAGTGCATAAACAAAAATGTTTCTTGATTTCCATAACTTTATTAGTCAAATATTTACTTGGAGACTACATTTGAATAATTAACAGAGTGCTGGACATTTAGGAGACCTGACTTCCACTCATGGTTCTACCTTTAAATAACTAATATAATAACATTGACTTTTCTGGATCTCACCATTATCTGTAATTTAATACATTTTTTATGGTTGGAAAAGTGCATGAATTTTATGTTAGAATTGAAAGTAAAGAAGTAAAGCTAGTTCTGTTTTTTAGAATATGATTGGGAATATATAACTGGAAAACAAACAAAAAATTTATGGAAAACTATCACAAACAAAAGTAAAACAGCAGGTTATAAATCAACATACAAAAAAATTAGTGGCTTTTGTATACATAAAAACAAGAAAAATTGTGATGAAAGAATACAATCAATTTATGATAAAAAATAACAAAAATAACAATAATAAGATCTAAGCATAAGCTTAATAAAAAGTCCAAAACTTATGAGAAAAATTTACAAAGATTACTGAAAGACATCAAAGTGTAATTGAAAAAATGAAAAGACATTTTTGGATAGGAGAACATCTTAAAATTTTCTTCCTAAAGTAATGTATAAATGTAATGCAAAGCAATAAAAATAAAATTAGATTTTATTCTGGATACAGAAAAGTTGAATATGGAAAAAGAATGTTATAAAGATAGCATCTTAAGTCTAAGAAAACATGGACTTCTTAATAAATGATATTGGAATAATGAAATAATAATATGGCAAAAGATATGGTTGGTTTCTTACATTTAAATTACAAATAGGTAGGACATTGTAACACAGGCGTAAGAAAAAATAATGTAGAAAAAAAATTAATACGTTTATTTGTATACTTTTTTTTTGAGACAGAATCTCACACTTTGTTGCCCAGGCTGGAGTGCACTGGCATGATCTCAGCTAATCAAACCTCTATACTCCAGATGTATCAACTCACAGGAAAGAGAAGAAAATGTTAAATGATAGTAAATATTGAGTCAGCAAAATTCAGACTGAAAATAAATCTGTAAGACAAATAAACCAGATGTTCTCAACAAACAAATTGCAAAGACAAAAAAAAAAAGAGAGATGGAAGGATGGTACAGCTCTCAACTAACCACAATGTATAGATTCTAATTCAAACAAACTGTAAGAAAATAAAAACTATGAAACAATCCCTGAAATGTGAAAAACAACTGACTATTTAACATTAAGGAATTGTTACCCAGTATAATGCCCAGTGTAATGCCTACATGACATAGTTGAATTTCTACCCCACCCTTGCTTAATCTTTAAGAAACAGAATGCCTGCAATGATCAGTTCTCCACCTAACCAGACCGGCTGAGACTGGTGAGATCCCAGATGGCAGCTCACGACCTCTGAAGAACCTCTAACTTCATAATAACCTAATTTCCATGCTAAATGACACTTCCACCAGCACCATGATAATTAACAATTACCATGACAACGACCAGAAGAAAGCATAAAAGGACAAAAAGGAGGGTGCTCTACAGATCTAGGAAGTTCTCCACACATTCCCAGAAAAGATATGAATGTTTCTCCCATTGTCTTTAATGCCCAACCCCTTCATTAAATATGCCCTATTTTATATATATATGCATATATATATATATATATATAAAATAAGCCTATATCTGTGGCTTGCCAACTCTCTTGAGATGAGAAGTTGATTTGTGAGCCACGCTTCCACTTCTCAATTCCGTGGACATTGAATAAAACCTACATTGCTTGTGGCTCACATTTGATTGAGTATTGACTTCAAGACACCAAACAGAGAAAGATCCGACCTTTTGGGTGACCAGCTTTGTCAGTAACAGAATCATTGTTTATTGAAGCATGGATAAAGGCAATAAAATTACCCAGCTTTAAGAGTCCTTACCATTTAAAAATACATACTAAAATAGTTACAGTTTTAAAATGAAGAGTAGGTTTTTTCTAAGCATATTTCCTCTATAAGTGAATTTGTAGTAGTTATGCTTGTTTTGTTTTAGTTTTTCATTTAATACTTCCAGTTATTTTCTTCAAAATAGTCCAAGATAAAACAAGAAAGTTAAAAATAGTAATGTATAATATCATTGTACAAATCAAAGATATACATTATTATGGAAACCATCTATTTAAAATTGTAATAATTTTTGACAATGTACATTGTATATGTTAGTACGTAGGGTAGAAGATTAAATGAATGAATTTTTAAAAATTTAACTCACTTTCATTGAGCATCTATTACTTTCCAGAGACTGTTGATAATGGATTAAATGTTAAAAAGACACAGTTCCTAACCTTCGAAAAGCTTACAGTGTAGCAGGTGAAATAATGTACACATGCACATAACTTTAACACTAAGTAGACTCTAATATATTATAATAGTAATGCTCACTAAGGTCTATGGACCCTGAAAACTATTCAATGATCCTAAGGGAGAATGAAAAATATTTCATGGAGAAAATTTTTTTTGAGCTGGATATTAATGGATTAAAAAAAATCAGAAGCTGTAGTAGATTAAAAAAAGTTTCACAGTGGATAAAAAGGAGTTTCCAAGTATATGGAACAATACAGGCAAAGACAGCTGGTGACAAGGAAGAATATATTTATGGCTAGAAGATAGTACTTTAAGAATAAAGTAGTGGTGCTTGTGTGTCCAGAATTGGTTCCTTCCGAAGGGTTATTGGTCTAGCTGACTTCAAGAATGAAGCCACAGACCCTCGCAGTGAGTGTTACAGTTCTTGAAGATGGTGTGTCCAGACTTTGTTCCTTCAGATGTTCAGATGTGTCAGGAGTTTTTTCCTTCCAGTGGGTTCGTGGTCTCGCTGACTTCACAAGTGAAGCTGCAGACCTTTGCAGTGAGTGTTACAGCTCTTAAAGGTAGTGACGACCCAAAGAGTGAGCAGAAGCAAGATTTATTGTGAAGCGCGAAAGAACAAAGCTCCCACAGTGTGCAAGGGGATCCAAGCAGGTTTCCTCTGCTGACTTGGGTGGCCAGCTTTTATTCCCTTGTTTGGCCCCACCCACATCCTGCTGATTGGTCCATTTTACAGAGCACTGGTTGGTCCATTTTATAGAATGCTGATTGGCACATTTTACAGAGTGTTGATTGGTGTGTTTACAATCCTTTAGCTAGACACAGAGTGCTGATTGGTGTGTTTTTACAGAGTGCTGATTGGTGCATTTACAATCCTTTAGCTAGACACAGAGTACTGATTGGTGTGTTTTTACAGAGTGCTGCTTGGTGCATTTATAATCCTCTAGCTAGACACAGAGTGCTGATTGGTGCGTTTTTACAGAGTGCTGATTGGGGCATTTACAATCCTTTAGCTAGACACAGAGCGCTGACCAGTGCATTTACAATCCTCTAGCTAGACAGAAAAGTTCTCCAAGTCCCCACTCAATCCAGAAAGTCCAGCTGGCTTCACCTCTCACTTGGAGGGAAAATCACAAAAGATAATGGTAAACATTCATGGAGGGCTATAGTGTCCACATAAGGTGTTTTTAGCGTTAGCTTAGAAATTTGATTTTCTTTAGTAAGGCAGTGAGACATAAAATTTAAGCAATATCTTACTGAAAGGCATACTTCTCTTTCTTAAACATTGTTTTGAAAAAAAAAAAATCATTGGCTGGGCATGGTGGCTCACACCTGTAATCCCAGCACTTTGGGAGGCTGAGGCGGGCGGATCACAAGATCAGGAGATTGAGACCATCCTGACTAACATGGTGAAACCCCATCTCTGCTAAAAATACAAAAAATTAGCCAGGTGTGGTGGTGGGCACCTATAGTCCCAGCTACTCGGGAGGCTGAGGCAGGAGAATGGCCTGAACCCAGGAGGCAGAGCTTACAGTCTAAGAGCCGAGATCGCGTCACTGCACTCCAGCCTGGGTGACAGAGCGAGACTCTGTCTCAAAAAAAAAAAAAAAAAAAAAAAAATCATCTATGTATACGTGTAGGGAAAATAATGTAATGAGAGTTCCCATGTACTCATCACCAGCTTCAACATGGTTAATCCCTCATTCACTTTCTTCGCCCTCCCATTACAGATTGTCAGATATTAAGAAATCAGATACTGCATCATTAGGAACTGTGTCTTTTTAACATTTAATCCATTATCAACAGTCTCTAGAAAGTAATAGATGCTCAATGAAAGTGAGTTTAATATTTAAAAATTCATTCATTTAATCTTCTACCCTACTTACTAACATATACAATGTACATTGTCAAAAATTATTACAATTTTAAATAGATGGTTTCCATAATAATGTATATCTTTGATTTGTACAATGATATTATACATTACTATTTTTAACTTTCTTGTTTTCTTTATCTTGGACTATTTTGAAGAAAATAACTGGAAGTATTAAATGAAAAACTCAAAACAAGCATAACTACTACAAATTCACTTATAGAGAAAATATGCTTAGAAAAAAACCTACTCTTCATTTTAAAACAATTTTAACAGTATTCTCACTAGAGGAACCTTTTAGCCAGGGGACTTGTCAGTTCCATGCAATCTGCAATCATTCTACTTTCATCAGCTCCTAGAAAGCCAATTGCTTCAGTAATAAACAAGAGGCTTCCTCTTGCAATTGATATCAGTCTAATTCAAGTAAGACACTTCTTTGTGAACATGCTCATTTGAAATGTCATTAGAGGACAAAACGAGCCTGTAGTAATGAATAATATTCTACTATATTTAAAGTAACTTTAAAACTGCTGATATTGACATAATAATGATAAAACTATAATTATCAAATACCAGTATTTCATATGGGAATTGTGAGAAATCCCTGTCATTTTTATGGCACAGGTTTGTTGATAAAATTATCTTAAATGGAGAAAAGTGCAAAAGTTGGATCACTAGATAGTTATTCCTGAAACTTTATATTATTTGGAGATTCAAAATATTAAATATATTATTAGATTTTAGACATGAGAGGAAGGTTATCTGATCACTCCGTACCTTCAGGGATCAGGCAACTGAGGGAGAAATGAGTAGTTAGGTTTCTGATATTGATGTTGAAGTTACAGACAGAGTCCAGCCTGGTCATGACAGAGGGGCAATCCTCACAGCTCCCCCGACTTATAGAATGTTGCCCATTCCACTCCACCAAGTTGTCTGTTGTTTGATCTCAAAAGAGTTGTAGTGATATTTTAACAGCACCAACTTTCACCAATATTGTTCATAACTTGAGAAAGGCATCTCTGGCATAACCACATTTCTAGGTTATAAGGTAGAAAAGATAGCAAATACAATGCTATCTTTGCTATGAAAGTTAAGATTAAGAAATGCTGAAAAGGTACATAAAAAAGGTTAGATATAGTATAATTTCCTAGTGATAAATGGAATCTTAAATAATAAATAATATGGATTAAGAATTGCACATATGGAAACCAGAGTTAAGTTCAAAAAGTCTGCAATGAAATGTGGCTATCAGAAGTGCTAATGCCTCGTAGTCCATGGTGTATACATACCACATTTTCTTTATCCAGTCTATAATTGATGGGCATTTAGGTTGATTCTATGTCTTTGCTATTATGGATACTGTGCAGCCATAAAAAGAGAACGAGGTCATGTTCTTTACAAAGACATGGATGGAGCTGGAGGCCATTACCCCTAGCAAATTAATGCAGGAACAGAAAACCAAATACTGTATGTTCTAACGTATGTTATATGTGGAAGCTAAATGATGCGAACACATAGAAACACAGAGGGCAACAACACACACTGAGGCCTGTCAGAGGGTGGAGGGTGGGAGGAAGAAGAGGATCAGGAAAAATAACTAATGAGTACTAGGCTTAATACCTGGATGATAAAATAATCTGTACAGCAAACCCCCGTGACACAAGTTACCTAGGCAACAAACCTACACATGTACCTTTGAACTTAAAATAAAAGTTAAAAAAAAAGTTAACAGGGAAATAACTTGAAAAAAAAGAAAAAAGAAATGCTAAAGCCAATGCTTACTTTTTCTTTACTTACACAATTTCAATCGGGCAAAATTTCATTGGAAAAAAATACTGTAAAAAAGTACAAAAAAGTGTTATCTATGGCAATATCTTGGCACATTAATTTTTTCATATGCATATAAAAATATTATTTTAACCTATAATATTATTTTTGACCAATATTTAATTAAAATAAAAGTATATTTTAAAATGTCAAATGCCATGGAAAATGATGGAAGTTAAAGTCTACTGAGGGTTCATTGAAATGACAAGATCGTTAATGACTTCAGTGACATTAATTCAAATGAACCTGGAAGCTACAGTGATTTGAGGAATGATCAAATAATTTGCCATTATCTTGACAAAATTTAGACTTCATTTCTCTTATTTAATCAGTTTTAAACCGTTTGTTTTATGTTAATTTTCTATTTCTGTGTAACAAGTTATCACGAATGTATTAGCAGCTTACAACATTATCTCACAGTTTCTTGGGTTAGATGTCTGGGAGGTTTGGGCCAGGTTCTCTGCTAAGGATCTCACAAGGCTGAAAATGAAAGTATCTGTTGAGCTGGGCTCACACTGAAGGCTCTGGGGAAGAATATGCTTGTTTACTCACTTGGGTTGTTGACAGAACATAGTTCCATGCAGTTGCAGGGCTGAGATCCCATTTCCTTGCTAGCTGTTGGCTAGGGGTCATGCTCAGATTGCAGAAGCCACTCTCTAGTCCTTGCACGAAGGTCCCACATCTTCAAAGCTAACAATATCACATTGACTCTTTAAACTCAGGCATATCCAGGGGACATATAGGAGAAAAGGGAAGTTTGGGGACAAGATAATATAAAAATGAATTGTTTTAAAAAATGAAATTCATTTAAACAGAAAAAGAGAAGACTTAGGACTTTATGTTCAATACTAAAATACTCTAGCAATTTTCATATGGAGAAATATTCAGACTTCCCTCTGTGGTTTCAGAGGAAACTACCAGGGCCTATCTGATAAAGATATGTTAAATTAGATTTGGGCCCCATATAGGAAAGGATTTGCTTACCTATAAAAGTCTCCACAATTGTCACGGACAGATGGTTTTATAAATCAATCTCTCAGTGGTGTTTTTCAAGTATAATTCAGTGATGTCTATAAAATATAATAAAGGGATCCATTCTTCAGAAATAGAACTAAAGCAAATAACTTCAGGTAATATCTCACTCCTCAATTCCAAAATCTGTTAAAATGTGTAAATTCTGTCATATACTTTCCTAGGTAATAAAAACTACTATATATATCTCAGTAATAAAAAACTCGTTTACTCTACTTATGCAAAAACATATTAAAGTTCATCAGAATGTAGAAATATTCCTCTACTTGTGGACATAAGCTTAGGCCTATTGAATACTAAGGTTTCTCTCTTGTTCTAGAGCTGTATTGTGCAATGGGGTGACAGTTTCGTCACTGTTCCTCACACCTATAATCCCAGCTCTTTGGGAGGCCAAGGTAGGCAGATCACTTGAGGCCAGGAGTTCGACACCAGCCTGGCCAACGTAGAAACTCCATCTCCACTAAAAATATAAAAATTAGCCAGGCATAGTGGCACACGCCTGTAGTCCCAGCTACTTGCGAGACTGAGGCAGGAGAATTGCTTGAACCTGGGAGGCAGAGGTTGCAGTGAGCCAAGACTGCACCACTGCACTCCAGCCTGGGCGATAGAGTGAGACTCTGTCTCAAAAAAAAAAAAAAAAAAAAAGAAAGAAAAGAAAAGAAAAAAGAAAGCCATTGAGCCATAGGTGGTTCTATTGAATGCTGCTGTAGAGGAAGGAAAAAAAAAGAGTTCAACAAGGTTCAATAATGTAGCTCTTTTTACAGTAAAATTACTACCTTATAGACATCACCCATTATATTGCTCTATAGTGATTTATTAAATGTTTTTGTTTTTATTGATGCATAACAGATGTACAAAGTTTCAGCATACATGTGATAATTCAACACATTTATATAATTTGTAGAGGTCAAATCAGTATACTTGAGATATCCATCACCTTAAATATTTGTCTTTTCTTTATGCTAGAACCATTCAAATTCTTCTTTTCTAGCTATTTTGAGATGTATAATGGATTACTGTACACTATAGTTATCTCACTGCTCTCTCTAACAGTAGGTCTTATTTCTTCTACCAAAGTATATATTTGTACCCATTAATCAACTTCTTCTTTAATCACCAGCTTGCTCCTGCTATGTGTCTAGCATTCTTCCAGACACTAGAGAAAAAGCTGTAAAGACGGGGAAAAAAACAAACAAACAAGAATTCCTTCCCTAAAGCAGTTTACCTTCTAATGTAAGGTGACAGTAAACAAATTAACGAGTGAAATATAAAGTATGTTAGATGGTGATAATTGCTATGGAAAAACTAAGGCATCAAATCAGAATTGGGATTGCTGGAGGGGAGAAGCAGGATAGAGGATGCATTTGGAACTGCGATTTTCATAAGTGGTTTGGAAAGGTCTCGCTGAGAAGGTGGCACATATGCAATGGAGGGAGAGAGGGAGCCATGTGAATGTCAGGGGGAAGAGTGTGATGGGCAAATATCAAGTGCAAAGTTCCTGCCCCGTACTTTGGACGGAATATACAAAGAACAGCAACAGGTAGAAGGCATTACGGCTGGAGCAGAAAGAAGGAGGGAAGAGGTGGTCAGGGATAAGGTCAGAGATGTAAGACAGAGAGAGATATGTTTTTGCAGACACTGTGTATTTCTCTGCTTTGCTTTGGGTAAGATAAGATACAATTCAAGAATTTTAGCAAAGGAGGAACTTAATTTCCCTTATGTAAAATATAAACAATTACATTTATATTTTTAAAAATCTCCCTAAGGGAAATTTTCCAGGGAACAAAGTAGATGCTGGGTAATTAATTAGGAGGGAAGAAATGAAGTCGGCTTGAACTAAGATGAATGTTGAAGGTTGTAAATAGTAAATTCTGGAGATAGAGCCCACAGCATTTGCTAACAGATCAGACATGTCCTGTGAGAAGAAGAAATGTATCAAGGATTCTTTAAGTGACCTTTCTCCTTTTACTGTATTATTAAATTCACATTAGAAAAATGCACATATTCAACAGAATTATTTTTATAATGAACACACCTTTCGGCTATGAAATTCTGACCTTCCGGAAGGGCAAGTGAGAATTCGCTTTCAGAAATACACAAATGAAAACACAAGTGTGCCCTTAACAGTGGAAATCAAAGTTTAAATGTTAAATGATGGTGGTTGAGCCACTTTAAGGCATTAGGTATACTGATTTTTCTTCAACACTTTACTTAGACAAAGTATCACAAATAACTGATACATGTATAATAAGTTGTTCAACAAAATTTTATTTATTGGAATTCAATGACCGGTTATTGTATTACATTTTATTACTTTACTCAAAAAGAGCTTACAAAATACACCATGTAGAACGCAGTACCAATTCATGTTATGCTACAGGGTTACTCAATTTCAGTCCTATTGACGTTTGGAACCAAATAATTCTTTGCTCTGGGGCTCCCCTTTTCATTATAGAAAATTTAGCAGCATGGCTGGCCTCTATGTACTGGATAACAATAAACCCCACCCTCAGTTGTGGCAGCAAAATGCTCCCCATCATGAGAAACTTTTGTTAAAGTTGTAACAGTTTTTTTTTTTTTTTTTTTTTTGGAGATGGAGTCTCCCTCTGTCGCCCAGGCTGGAGTGCAGTGGCATGATCTTGGCTCACTGCAACCTCTGCCTCCTGGGTTCAAGCGATTCTCCTGCCTCAGCCTGCCAAGTAGCTCAGCCTACAGGCGCGTGCCACCACACTTGGCTTATTTTATGTATTTTTAGTAGAGACGGGGTTTCACCATGTTAGCCAGGATGGTCTCGATCTCCTGACCTTGTGATCCACCTGCCTCGGCCTCCCAAAGTGCTGAGATTACAGGTGTAAGCCACCGTGCCTGGCCACAAATTAAACTTTTATTCTAAGATAATTAAAGCAGTGGCTAACGTTTGTAGAAAAACACACTGGCAGACATTCTATTAGGTGTGTTAATGGCATAATCTCATTTATTAACCATAGCCATACAATAATCTAATTTATTAACTATAGCCGTTCAAACTGTTCTATCAGTTTACAGAGGAAAAAATTGCAATTTAGATATTGAATAACTTTCCCAAAGTCTCAGAACAAAAGAGTGGAGGAAACAGGACAATTCTGGAACTTTGGGATCCTCCTTAGATTTCCTCACATAACAGGACTCTGAACCCAGATTTATAAATCCGTCTCTGTGATTTTAAAATATGCAGTGAATTTAATTAAAAGATCATAATTTAATTACTTAACATTTCATCAGAAGAAAATGGTTTGGTTTAATAAATACTTTCATTTTTCACCTTTTAAAACTTTTTAATTCATATATGTACAAACTAATTTGTAAAATATATTGCTAGCAATCCAATTGCATCATTATTAATATTCTCGATTTTACATTTAACCAATAAATTACATGATAACAATTTTGTAAATAGCTAAGTTTATTTATTCATTTATTTGTTTATTTATTTATTTAATATATTAAATATATTTTTAATATATTTAAGCTGGATTTCATTAAAATATGTTTTCTCAGCTGTGTGAAGGGCAGTGAAGGAATGGGAGAAGGAGTAAAATGTGACAAAACTATGACAAAGGAGTTAGAAAAAACATTTCAGGAACAAAGAGAACTAATTAACTCAAACATACGGTTCATCTCACTCTGCTAAGAGCTAATTGTGTTTTACACACTCCAGCTGTTAAAAGTACTGTGGCATGGCTATTCATGTGAACGTAAATTGAAAAACAGTAAGAATTAAAATTTATAATGCATACTGTTTTTACTTAATAAAATCCTATCCTCCTAGCTAACATAGTGTTCCAGTATATTAAATTTTCTGGTTAATTTGAAATGCTTATTTGAAAATCTTCCTAAGGTATATTACTCTTTATTTTATCTTAATAAAAGTACTATGGCAAATACGCCAAAAATAAGTGACGTTCTTTTAGTGTTTCAGAAATATCAGCAGTTAACAAATAGTTACTGCTTAATTCTGTTAAGTTTTATGCAAAATGTGCAGAAAAATATACCAAATTTTTTGTATTCTTCAGGTATCTCTATAAGTGTATTATTTTGTATATGTTTTAAAATTTTTGTGAACCACTCTCTCAAGTATATATTTTAGAATATAAGGAAGAGAGAATAGTTGAGTTTTTATTGAGATCTACACATTTATACAATCTCTACTTAAAACAATAGTTAAAATTGAAAATAATTCTTTCAAGGCAAAACTTTAAGAAGCAGAAACATTTTTAAAATGAAAATTTTTTAAATTAGAAATTAAAATTTTTAAAAATATATTTTTATTCCTTCCCAAATAAATAATTTGTTTTATAATCATATTTACTAGAGGGCATATTGTTGAAAGTTCTAAATGCATGTGTCTCCAGCTATCATCCTAAGTTCTGGTAGTGAATAAAGGAAATCTACTTTTTATTCTCTAAAGAGGTGAATTTTTGCCTTAGGTGTCTGCCAGAGGCTCCTTACTCCATGATCTCAAAATTGTTAGTCAAACCTCATCCCATGATCAGTGGTTTCAGAGTTGAGTGTACATCAGAATCTCCCAAAGTTTCTGATTTAGCAGGTCTCAGGTGGGACCTGCGAGCCTGCATTTCTAACAGGTGGCAGGTAATATTGATGGTGCTGTCCAGCAAATACACTTTTAGAGGCTCTGTACTTGAAGGAATTTTCTCTGAAAATACAAACTCTGATTAGTATCATATTCTCAGAGATCTCAGTACTAACCATTTAAGTGTAGTATAGACAGTTTAGCATTTAATTATACGTTTTAAAATTATTCTCAAATCTTATTTAATGTCAAAATTCAGTAAAGATAAAAATAATCCTATTTATTTTGTATTGTCCAGAGATTCACGTCCTCTGCCCCTCATGCTATTTAGATAGTAAGCAGGTGTGATAGAAATATGAGAAATGTACAAAGGAGTTTTGAATTCACTAGGACCTCATTGATGTATTATGTTATTTGGGTGATTTATTTATATGTCACATGTTTATATTCTGAAAATAAATAAGAGATAAAATAAAAAGTTAATTCAAGAAAATCATCTTGGGACAAAAAGCTCAAAACGTCAAATCCAATCCTATTTCTACCGATAGTTTTATGACTGAGCAACATGAAAGTATCATCAGCCTGTACCAATGCAGGTTTGTGGGTTTTTTTAAAGTTATTATCGTACAGTTTAAAACCTACTCCTAAAATTAGACCTCAATTTAATCCAATAGGTCTAAATTTAGGAGTAGGTTTTAAGTTGTGCAATAATACCTTAAAAATAAAATACCCACATTATTTTCTTACCCACTGATGATACTTCATGTTATCCTGGAATCTACAGTGGTTTGTGTACAAAAGAGAGTGGAGATTTCAAGCCCTATCTTTAACAGAGGGCTACTGATTTCAAGCCCTATCTTTAAGAGAGGGCTACTTTATACCATCCCAAGACAAAATAGCATGAAAAAAAGTCCAGGATGCCATACCTTTGCAGAAGAACTAATGCATCCCTACATGCCTATATTTCTTATGTTTGGTGCTATGTGCCTAGTTAATGATAACTAGTGTTTCACTGTGGGTTTTCAATGTACTCGTATCAAAGTATCAAATCTCTCAACTATATATGAACTATCCATAACATTATAAAAATATTAAATATAATTAAAGAGTAATCTATAATTTAAATAAACCTATTATGCTGAGGACAAGAAAAAGTTTTATCCACAGAGTTTAATATAAACCACAATGTGTATTTTTTTCTGTAGAATTAATGAATATACACCACTGTTTATTATCCATTTGTTTTATTGATTTAATAAATAGGGATTCTAAATTGGACTTTGAAGAGTTATTTCTTTTCTTTAATAAAAGAGTTGCATTTCAGTACTTTTTATTTCCCTTAATAATGTTAATGCCCATGACATTTAATAAATCATATAAATTAGTATAAAATGTATTATCCACACTTCTTTATTTTTGTAAGTCTAACCTGGCTGTTGTATGTGCTGGGAGAATATATTGGTATCACAATTCTTTTAGAACACTTCAGAATAATTTTTGTTTACTTTAACAGAGTAGTAGTAAGCTGGAACCAAAGTCTGTTTTAGCATTTAAGTTTTATATTAGAGTTTTAATCTCTCTGTGGACGACAAATCCATTTTTCTTTGATCAACAGAAACATTAAAAAAAAAAAACAGCAGCAGCAGCATACATAAAAGCAAATAAACCTACAAAAAGTCCAGCCCCTCTTTGTCACAATTCTATTTTGTCACCTCAGCACATTTGCTACATTTTTTTCATGTAATAAAGAGGAACAAGTGTGCTAATTACAAAACCATCAAGAATCTATAAACATGCTTTCCACTACTTCTCCACTCCTTTGATTCAATTCAAAATGGTAACTATTAATCTTTGTGGTGTCTCAAAGGCACAGCTAAGTATTCAGCAGGAAAACATACCTGCAAATGGGTTTACAGAATGGATTTGCACATGAACTGTGCCCTTTAATACCTGTATACACATAAGAAAGTTTCTTAATTTCTCTGTCTCAGTTTCTTCATCTGTAAACTGTAAATTTTTTTTATTATACTTTAAGTTATAGGGTACATGTGCACAACGTGCAGGTTTGTTACATATGTATACATGTGCCATGTTGGCGTGCTGCACCCGTTAACTCATCATTTACATTAGGTATATCTCCTAATGCTATCCCTCCTCCCTCCCCCCACCCCATGACAGGCCCCAGTGTGTGATGTTCCCCTTCCTGTGTCCAAGTGTTCTCATTGTTCAATTCCCACCCATGAGTGAGAACATGTAGTGTTTGGTTTTCTGTCCTTGTGATGGTTTGCTGAGAATGATGGTTTCCAGCTTCATCCATGTCCCTACAAAGGACATGAACTCATCCTTTTTTATGGCTGCATAGTATACCATGGTGTATATGTGCCACATTTTCTTCATCCAGTCTATCATTGATGGACATTTGGGTTGGTTCCAAGTCTTTGCTATTGTGAATAGTGCTGCAATCCCCTTATACAAAAATTAATTCAAGATGGATTAAAGACTTAAATGTTAGAGTAAAATCATAAAAACCCTAGAAGAAACCCTAGGCAATACCATTCAGGACACAGGCATGGGCAAGGACTTCATGTCTAAAACACCAAAAGCAATGGCAACCAAAGCCAAAATTGACAAATGGGATCTAATTAAACTAAAGAGCTTCTGCACAGCAAAAGAAACTACTATAAGAGTGAACAGGCAACCTACAGAATGGGAGAAAATTTTTGCAATCTACTCATCTGACAAAGGGCTAATTTCCAGAATCTACAAAGAACTCAAGCAAATTTACAAGAAAAAAACAACCCCATCAAAAAGTGGGTGAAGGAACAGACACTTCTCAAAAGAAGACATTTATGCAGCCAACAGACACATGAAAAGATGCTCATCATCACTGGCCATCAGAGAAATGCAAATCAAAACCACAATGAGATACCATCTCACACCAGTTAAAATGGCGTTCATTAAAAAGTCAGGAAACAACAGGTGCTGGAGAGGATGTGGAGAAATAGGAACACTTTTACACTGTTGGTGGGACTGTAAACTACTTCAACTCCACTAGTTCAACAGTGTGGCGATTCCTCAAGGATCTAGAACTAGAAATACCATTTCTCCCAGCCATCCCATTACTGGGGATATACCCAAAGATTATAAATCATGCTGCTATAAAGACAAGTGTAAATATTTTTTAAACTACAGTTGACCCTTGAACAATGTGGGGGGTGGGGTGCCGGCCCCATACGCAGTTGAAAATTCATGTATAACTTTTTTTTTGAGATGGAGTCCAGCTCTGTCGCCCAGACGAGTGCAGTGGCGAAATCTCGGCTCACTGTAACCTCCGTCTGCCGGGTTCAAGCAATTTTCCTGCCTCAGCCTCCCCAGTAGCTGGGATTACAGGTACGGGCCATCATTCCCCACTAACTTTTGCTTTTAGTAGAGACGGGGTTTCACCATGTTGGCCAGGTTGGTCTCAAATATGTTACACATATTATATACCATATCCTTACAATAAAATAAGCTAGAGAAAATAAAATGTCTTTAAGAAAACCATAAGAAAGAAAAAGTACATTTTCAGTACTGTACTGTATTTGATACCACAAGTTTATGTTTGTTAGAAGATGAATCATCTGTCTGAAATGGCAGGAAACCGCAGCTACAGACCTCAATCTACAGTACATATCAAGTAATTCAACTTTTCTTGTAATGTCATGACTTTCCTCTCCTTTCTGGGAGCACGTCCAGCATCACTAGTGGCACTTTGTATGGGTCTCATGATGTTATTCAAAGTTTACGGTAGCACGCCAAATGTTGTGAAGAATATACAAGATCCATGAACGATCACTTTAACTGCATTGTGCAATTTACTGGAGTGAGGAGCTGCTCACACAGAGATGATTAGCGTCACATGGCATTTCAGCAGATACAGCACTTAAAATCACAGGTGGTGGTGACAAAATTATGACAGTAGTACAGTATGTAAGACAGTTAATGTTATCCACTATAGTTGAATATCGCATCTTTACATTTGTCTGGATATTTCTCAACTGTGAATATCATCATGTAGGGTCTCTAAGTGCATACCTAAGTTTTGATAAAATTTAACTTTTTATGATAGATTTGTATATACTTTATGGCAGTAAGTGATAAAATAGACTAGTCTTAGATTGGTGCAAAAGTAATTGCACCAGCCTAATATTTGCATACATCTTAGGCACTTATGACATATCTAGCATTTTCCTTAATATTTTTGATGTTTCTATACTGCAGAGTTCACCTTCGAGGTTTTTCAAATTGTCACCAATCTCTAAAAATTTTTCCAACATATTTATTGAAAAAAACACTATCAGTGGATGCATGCAGTTCAAACTTGAGTTGTTTTAGAGTCATCTGTACCTGTTAAGTTTCAAGCATAACTTCTCAACTCTGCTTCTCTAAAGAGGCAGCATCTGCCACTCCATTATTGTGATCCACAGTACTCTTGTACAAATCGCTCCCACTGCTGTTATCAAACTTTATTGTAAAGATGTATTTCCTACCCGCTTGCCTCTAAAAACAAACAAACAAAAATCTTTAAGAGTAGGGTCAGTGTTTAATTCTTCGTAACTCTACTACCCAGCTTCCAGCCCTTAGAACATGCTGACGCAAAGTAGGCACTCAATATTTATTTAATGAGTAAAGTAACTTTTGGTGATAAAATTTGTAACTTTCACTAATTTGTAGTACATGCGGCCTTGTTATCTGGAATCTTGTAAAGCATTGTTAAAGAGTCTATTGGCATAGTCAGTGTGGTGTTACAACTAAATCAGGAACATATGGTAAAGCCGAGTGACCAACCCATGTCTAAAAAATAACCTTGAATTAATGCATATAATAAACTAGACACAATGTGATTTTTGTTCTCCCTGAAATATCACTATAGCACTTAGTGTAATCTCATTTTCATATTTAGTAACATAATTGTGTGACTTGGCCTGGAAGAATGTAATTTTAGAATGTCTAAGGTATGTGTATCAGGAAAATCTTGGAAGAATCTGCATTGCCATCTAAGCTTCTCTTCTGTCCTGTAAATTGATATAGGAAAACATGTGTTTTTGTTTCCAGAAAGTAAAAGAGTTAAAATGGCAAATTAGCCATGATTAATGAACTGAACAAAATCAAAAGATCTGATAATCTTTTACTTAAAGAGCTTATACTAGTAGAAATGTGTCTACAAATGACATGTTTAATGGACAAGGCTTTAAAGAAATGTCTTATCTACATGTAAAGAAGCATCTTTATTTGAAATGATTATTTTCCAATTGGAATAAGATATAAAAATAGAATTGTTCCTCCCCTCCAATGATGCCAAGTCCAAGCTGATATTGAAGAAGTCGTATTTTGCTTAATGACTTAAAATGATCAAGACACTCTAAAGTTACTGTGCAGTCTTTGCTGGCTTAAATTCAAATATTGATCCACTCACCAAGTTTCATCATTTCAGTAGATTAGAAATAGAAACCAGGTTTTGACTTACAAATTAAATTCATGTCAGCATTAACCAATTATTTTAATCTAGAATACATATGTTACATTAACTAAAAGGCAGTGACTCTAAGTAAAATTAATGATAATAGTTAATACCTCTGTATTAATTTACATAAGTGCAAAGCTCCTCAATGTCATAAGTGTCAGAGCTGGATTCAAATTAAGTCTCCTGATTCTAAATTCTTTGCTCTTTTCACACCATAAGATTGCCTACTCTAACAAACTTGGTTCTTTGTATCCCTACACCTCTCTTTATATGTTCTTGTGCCCTATTTGTGCTTCTTCCCAAATCATCATTTTTAATATAGATACAACTATTGTGATGCCCAGCCAGTTCTGTACAGATTCTGGCTTCAAATTTCACCTGGTCTGTTCATTCCTTCGCTTCCTTCCATTCTTAGCAATGTGACAATAAATAAATCATTAAATGGATAACCTGATAAATTAACCACTACTAAATTGCCATATTCCGTGAAATTAATTCAGAGCAATAAATCTTGATGATATTGAGATTTTTAGTAGTAGTAATAGTATAGGCTTTTTGCTTACCACAGTCAGTCTTTAGACAAATCTTGAATTACACTATATAGAGAAAGGAGGCCTTTCATAATTGTACAAGTCGATGATTCCCTCCTTGCAATGTTAGAATTTTCCCGTTCTTGTTGTTAGTTACCATTATCAAAGGTTACATTGCTATCCTCATCTTATATTTTTCAACTGTCAAAGATGCTTAATAGGTAGTGTATCATCAAACCAAAATATATTTCTACATAGCAAAAATGGAGAAAGACTATAATCTATTGAGCACAGATAAAAATGTGTAGCTCAACCTAACAACATCAATTCCAACATTGTAAGGAAACAGAGTTTCTGATTTCTGGTGTATCTTGGTCATGCCAATTTGATCATTTATTAAAAATGAATCATGGTAATGATTTTTGGACATAGAAGGACAAGCTAGACAGTTTCTAAAATACATTTTTTTATTCTTTTTGTTTCATCACCCAAAAAATAAAGGAAACAATAAAAACCCAAATAAGCCAAAAATGCTGCATGCTCTGATTAAGAATTTTTGTAATTTGTTAAGTTCTCCAATAATTCAATACAAAATAATTTGCACATATTTTACATCAGAACAATCCTGTCCCTGTGAATTTCATTTATACCTGAGAATCATTTGTTTATCCCTGGTATTCTCCAAAGAGATTAAATGATAGCAAATATTAGTGTGTCTAGACTTTTATTCCAACACGAAGACTGCTGTCTTGAGTTTCAGGACAAATAAATGGCTAGGAAGATAAGACAGTGTATAAAATAATGGGTTCCAAACAAGAAATACCTATGGCCATAAAGAGAGAAGCAGATGGTGTGCTTCAGAATACTCCAAATAACAAAGAACCTACTATTTTGTGTGGATCCCTAAAACCTGGTCTTAAAACCTGTTATAAGTGAAACACTCCTGTGTAGGGCTCTTTTATCATTAGACTGCAAAAGAATTAGGCTTTCCTGACAAGATGAAGGTGAGTTCTTAAATTATGTTGATACTTTGTTGTCAAAATCCTGAGTGCAGTTAAAAGACATGTAAATTAAAGTTGACAAAAATACAATAAAGAGCCCCAAACAACAAACAGTCATCAGCGTTTCTTGCCTCCAGGACTTCTTTGGCTTTCCCCTCCTGCTTTCCCTTATTGCTTCTGTGGCAGCTCCATCTGCTCCATCTGTTAGGGTTCACTTAACACTGTAGTGCTTGTTGGTTTAAGAAAAAGCATGCCAAACTAAAGGCTCCCAATAAGTGATTTTCTGCTTAAAATGTAAGGTAATTTGTAGAGCCATCAAAACACAAATGTGTTTCAACTCCTGTGTGTGTGTGCACATATATTATTAGACAATGTATTCTAGAAGCGAAATTGCATGGCTGGTCAAAAAATCGATGAGGCTTCTTGAAAAATTGTTAATAAAACATTCAAGAAAATGATTGGAAGACAGGTTAACTACTTAATAACTAACTTCTTTTTAGGTCCACTTTAATTGCGCTTACTTTGCTCACAATTAGTGTCGCGAAGGTAAACAAGCTACTATGAGAAAACATTGACCCTAATTGCTGTTTGGATAGAAAAATAAGTTGTATTTTACACTTGCCTGAGTTGATTTGCTGAAGTAATAAGTCAGGGATTTTTTTTTCAAACTATGTAATTAGTTTGTTCTCAGTGTAATGAAAAACACAGAAGAATGGCTTCCTAAAACTGAGGAAATAAATATTATCACTACGAGTAAAAACTTTGCATAATAGAAAGAATACTGACTTAGGAATCAGGACTTCTGAAATT
Source organism: Homo sapiens (assembly GCF_000001405.40). Lineage (NCBI taxonomy): Eukaryota > Metazoa > Chordata > Mammalia > Primates > Hominidae > Homo > Homo sapiens. The sequence continues at coordinate 79,881,123 of NC_000007.14, forward strand.
TGTCACTACCAAAGTTACTTTGCTTCAGCAATAATAAGTTCTCTAGGTCTCACTTTCCTGAACTATAAAATGAGGACTTTGGTTTTAATCTCTAAAATACTGTCAAATTCTAAAATTATTTAAACCTACCTTAATGCAATTATGCTTCCTCAATTACGCTTCTCTTACCGCCTTAAAGATCAGCTTCTCTCTCTCTTTTTTTTTTCTTACACTTTCCGAAAGCTTGTTTACAGACTTCAGACTAACAGGGACAAGGAAAGGTAAGAGATGTGTTTTAGGAAAATGCAGATTAAAATTCAGATATTTTGTCATGGATTATCAGCTCTAATTTCACTAAAGTCTCAGTGTCTTTGCTAACTAAAAATTAAAATATTGGCCGGGCACGGTGGCTCACGCCTGTAATCCCAGCACTTTGGGAGGCTGAGGTGAGCAGATCACAAGGTCAGGAGATCGAGATCATCCTGGCCAACATGGTGAAACCTTGTGGCTACTAAAAATACAAAAATTAGCCGGGTGTGGTGGTGCATGCCTGTAATCCAAGCTACTCAGGATGCTGAGGCAGGAGAATCGCTTGAACCTGGGAGACGGAGGTTGCAGTGAGCCGAGATCGCCACCACTGTATTCCAGCCTGACGACAGAGCTAGACTCTGTCTCAAAAAAAGATAATACTAATAAATAATAAATAAATAAAAATATTTTTTAAATCCATGTATTAATAAAATGAGCTGAGAGACAATTTACTGAATGTGCAAGCAATGAGCAGATTCCTGTGTCAGTCCAATATGCAATTTGACTGTATACTCAAAAAATTTTAGAGTTGCATACAATCCCAGAGTTCTTTAATTTTACAAGTATGTAAAGAGTTAGAGAATTTGAACGGTTTCTTCTATTATTTTACAGTTTTATTGAAGTATAATGTATTTACAATAAGCCTCTCATTTTATAGAGTACAATTTTATGTTTTGACATATGTATATACCCATGAAAGCATCAGCAAATAGATAATTATCATATTCTTCACCCCCAAAGACTTCCTTGTGCCTCTTTGTATCCTCTCTTTTGTCCCTTCTTCCCCTCCTTCTCCATTCCCTGGCAATTATTGACCAGCTTTCTGGTTCTGTACATTAGTTTGTCTTTTATGTAATTTTATATAAATGTAAACATATAGTATATATCTTTATTCTGGCTTCTTTCACTCAGCATATTTATTCTGAGATTCATCGTATTGTTACAAGCTGGAGACAGTCTCCTAGTGGATTTGTATGTCTTATTTTTTGCATGTCTTAGGAGCAGAATCACTAACTGCCTTTGTTCTGGATTGTCTTTGCAAGGATGTTTGTATAGGGAACACACTTTGAAGATATAGTGTCTCTCTCCAGAGCAAAGAGTATGTTTATTTACTGTTCAGTATGATAAATATATTGTCTTCCTTCAGGGCAAAGGTTAAGCAGCCTTATTGCCTAGTATAAAAAAAAAATGAGTGTTTAAACTTGGGACCCCTTTCCGGCATTCTTTTCATAATGCCCTGTTGGAACTGGGGCTCAGGGAACCCATATTATTCTGGCTACCGCTATCGTGTGTGAGAAAGTTCTGTCTCTGACCCAGGAGACCTGTGTCTTCTGCCAGAGTCTATAAAATTGTGACAGACTAACTTGTTAACTTGCAAATCAGGTAAAATCTCAGATCCCTCACAGTTCTTGACAATTGTTTCATTTCATTTTATTACTATTAATCAACTTTGTGGATATACCTCAATTTATTAATCCATTCATCACTCAACAGGCTAACATCACTTGATGAACTGGGCTATTCCCAGTTTTGGGGCGTTACAAAAATAAAGTTTTTGTGAACATTCACTTACAAGTATTTGTAAAAACTGTACATTCACTTCTCTTTGGTAAATAACTAGATGTTGAGTGGCTGGGTCATATTGAGATATATGGTTATATGTTTAAGAAACTGCCATAAAGTTTTACAAAGTGATTGCATCATTTTACATTCCCACCAATATTCTATGAAGTTGCATCACAATCTCACCAATATTGGTTTAGTTGGTCTTTTACATTTCAACTGTCCTAATAGGTATGTAATGGCATTTCATTATGGCTTTAATTTCCATCTGACGGTTTAAATTTTTTGCCCATTTTTGAGTTATTTTCTTATTATTAAATTTTGAGATATTTTGTATATGCTAGATACATACAAAACCATAATAAGGAATGTAATTTACAGTTGTTTTCTTCCAGTCTATGGTTTGTCTTCGCATACTTTCAGAATAGTGTTTGAAAAAGAATATTTTAATTTTGATGAAGTAAAATGTATCTGTTTATAAGTGGGTATGCTTTTAATATCGCATTTAAGAAATCTTTTGACTAACAAAGGACATAAACATTTCCTTCTATGTTTTCTTCTATATGTTTTATAGTTTAATGCTTTATATTTAAGTCTATGATATACTTGGAGGTAATTTTTATATGTGGTACAAGGAATGGATAGAAGTTCCTTTTTTGCATATAGATATCCAATTTTTCCAGCATAATTTCTTGAAAAGATAATTCTTCCCCCACCAAATTGCCATTGCATCTTTGTCAGCAGTGATCATGTGCATATGTCTGCTTCTGGAGGCTTTTTTCTGTTCCATTGAACCATTTGCCTAACTACAATACTACACTGCCTATGTAGCTTTAAAATAAGTATTGAAATAAGGTAGTAGTATTCTGACAATTTTTGTTTGGCTTTTGCAAAGTTGTTTCGGCTCTTCTAGAGCATTTACATTCTCAAATAAATTTTTAATCACCTTGTCAAATTCTACTCTATGCTAACACACCAAAAAAAGGCCTACTGTATTTCTAGTAGGGTTACACTTAATTTATAGACTAATTTGCTGAGGATATGTATCTCTAAAATATTGAGTATTGCAATCCAAGAACATGCTTTGTCTTCCTTTAATTTAAATATTCTTTAATTTTTCTCAGTAATGGTTTACAGTTTCTAGTGTATAGGTTTTATGCATCTTTTGCCAAATTTATCCTAGGTATTTCATATTTTTGTTCCTCTGTTAAATTGTATTTATTTTGATTTCCAAGTTCCATTGCTGGCAGAAAATACTATGGTTAACAGTAAGGTATTATATATTGCAGAATAGCTAGAGGAGAGGCATTTGAATGTTCTTACCACAAAGAAATGATAAATGTATGAGGCGATGGATATGCTAACTACACTGATTTAATCATTAGACAACATAGATGTGTATTGAATTGTCAAATTGTACCCCATAACTGTATATAATTATAGTATATCAAAATTGTAATATGACAAAAGAGAGCTAATATTGACTAGGTACAGATATATAATTATTTTACTGGTATTTTGCAGAAACTTCAGAACTGAGATCTTGCTACACTTACTCATTTAAGTTAATTCTTATAGAAAAAAAGAGCAAAGAAAATGTAGACAGTGATATTTATGTAACCATTCTCACATTAATTAGTGTACAAGAAGGTTTCTAAATATTCATAATTAGTGAAAAATTTTTATAAATATATCCTAAATAATCACAGGTGTGCTTCTGTAACATTATTTAGAATAAGCATTTAGTAGAGTAATAGGAATTGTTATCCAGGTTACATTTAGAAAACAGTTTAGAATATTTGTATGTAGAGTGATTGTTGATATAATTGGGTTTAAACCTACAATTTGCTATTTGTTTTTTGTCTCATTTGTTTCTTCGTTTTCTTTTTCTTCTTTTTTATGCATTCTTTTGGATTGAGTATTCTTTTTTTTTTTTTTGATTATACTTTAAGTTTTAGGGTACATGTGCACATTGTGCAGGTTAGTTACATATGTATACATGTGCCTTGCTGGTGCGCTGCACCCACTAACTCGTCATCTAGCATTAGGTATATCTCCCAATGCTATCCCTCCCCCCTCCCCCCACCCCACCACAGTCCCCAGAGTGTGATATTCCCCTTCCTGTGTCCATATGATCTCATTGTTCAATTCCCACCTATAAGTGAGAATATGCGGTGTTTGGTTTTTTGTTCTTGTGATAGTTTACTGAGAATGATGATTTCCAATTTCATCCATGTCCCTACAAAGGACATGAACTCATCCTTTTTTATGGCTGCATAGTATTCCATGGTGTATATATGCCACATTTTCTTAATCCAGTCTATCATTGTTGGACATTTGGGTTGGTTCCAAGTCTTTGCTATTGTGAATAATGCCGCAATAAACAAACATGTGCATGTGTCTTTATAGCAGCATGATTTATAGTCCTTTGGGTATATACCCAGTAATGGGATGGCTGGATCAAATAATAATAGCTATCTATGACAAACCCACAGCCAATATCATACTGAATGGGCAAAAACTGGAAGCATTCCCTTTGAAAACTGGCACAAGACAGGGATGCCCTCTCTCACCACTCCTATTCAACATAGTGTTGGAAGTTCTGGCCAGGGCAATTAGGCAGGAGAAGGAAATAAAGGGTATTCAATTAGGAAAAGAGGAAGTCAAATTGTCCCTGTTTGCAGATGACATGATTGTATATCTAGAAAACCCCATTGTCTCAGCCCAAAATCTCCTTAAGCTGATAAGCAACTTCAGCAAAGTCTCAGGATACAAAATCAATGTACAAAAATCACAAGCATTCTTATACACCAACAACAGACAAACAGAGAGCCAAATCATGAGTGAACTCCCATTCACAATTGCTTCAAAGAGAATAAAATACCTAGGAATCCAACTTACAAGGGAGGTGAAGGACCTCTTCAAGGAGAACTACAAACCACTGCTCAAGGAAATAAAAGAGGATACAAACAAATGGAAGAACATTCCATGTTCATGGGTAGGAAGAATCAATATCGTGAAAATGGCCATACTGCCCAAGTTCATTTACAGATTCAATGCCATCCCCATCAAGCTACCAATGACTTTCTTCACAGAATTGGAAAAAACTACTTTAAAGTTCATATGGAATCAAAAAAGACCCCGCATTGCCAAGTCAATCCTAAGCCAAAAGAACAAAGCTGGAGCAATCACACTACCTGACTTCAAACTATACTACAAGGCTACAGTAACCAAAACAGCATGGTACTGGTACCAAAACAGAGATATAGATCAATGGAACAGAATAGAGCCCTCAGAAATAACGCTGCATACCTACAACTATCTGATCTTTGAAAAACCTGAGAAAAACAAGCAATGGGGAAAGGATTCCCTATTTAATAAATGGTGCTGGGAAAACTGGCTAGCCATATGTAGGAAGCTGAAACTGGATCCCTTCCTTACACCTTATACAAAAATCAATTCAAGATGGATTAAAGATTTAAACGTTAGACCTAAAACCATAAAAACCCTAGAAGAAAACCTAGGCATTACCATTCAGGACATAGGCATGGGCAAGGACTTCATGTCCAAAACACCAAAAGCAATGGCAACAAAAGACAAAATTGACAAATGGGATCTAATTAAACTAAAGAGCTTCTGCACAGCAAAAGAAACTACCATCAGAGTGAACAGGCAACCTACAAAATGAGAGAAAATTTTCGCAACCTACTCATATGACAAAGGGCTAATATCCAGAATCTACAATGAACTCAAACAAATTTACAAGAAAAAAACAAACAACCCCATCAAAAAGTGGGAGAAGGACATGAACAGACACTTCTCAAAAGAAGACATTTATGCAGCCAAAAAACACATGAAAAAATGCTCATCATCACTGGCCATCAGAGAAATGCAAATCAAAACCACAATGAGATACCATCTCACACCAGTTAGAATGGCAATCATTAAAAAGTCAGGAAACAACAGGTGCTGGAGAGGATGTGGAGAAATAGGAACACTTTTACACTGTTGGTGGGACTGTAAACTAGTTCAACCATTGTGGAAGTCAGTGTGGCGATTCCTCAGGGATCTAGAACTAGGATTGAGTATTCTTAATAATTCAGTTTATCTAAGTAATTTTTATAATTTTATCTCCTTTGTTATTAGTGATAACTTCGTTGTGCTTTCTATATAACATATACACATCTAAGTTATACTTTCATTTTCACTAGCCTGACCTTTATGCTGTTGTCAGATATTTTACTTTTAGTAATTTTATAAATGTACATTATATTGTTATTGTATTTGTTTTAAACAGTGATCTTTTAAAGGAATTTTTTAAATAAGGGAAGAAGTCTTTTATGCTTATCTACTTACTTACCATTTAGTGTGCTCTTTATTCTATCATATAGATGCAGGTATCACTTTGCTTTTACCTAGAGGACTTCCTTTAATGTTTCCCATAGCAAAGTTCTGCTGGTGAGAAACTCTTTCAGTTTCTCTATTTCTAAAGGATCTTTCCACCTTTATTTTTTAAGATTTTGCTGTCTTTTTTATAGTTTTTATTATTCTGATATTGTTCCTCCATCTATCATGTGACTTTTTCCCCCTCTAAGTGATTAAGATGTCTCTTTACAACATGTTTTTGGCAATTTGATTTTGAAGAGCAATGGTAGTAATGTTTTTTGTTTCTTATGCTTTGAGTTTATTAAGCTACTAAAACTATGGGTTAATAACATTCTTCAAATTTGGAAAATATTCATCCCTCATTTCTTGAAATATTTTTCTCTCTCTCTATCTTCCTTCATGAACCTATACGAAGCCACTTAAATTTGCCCCATGGCTTATAGAAACTCTGTTCAGTTTTTAAAATTTGTTTCATTTAGAGTATTTTCTATTGCTATACCTTTAAATCCATGAATCTTTTCTTCTGTAGTGACTAACCTGCTGTCAAATCTACCTAGTGTATTTATTTTTATCTCAGAAATTATAGCTTTCATTACAAGAAGTTTGATTTGAGTCTTTTATATATAATCCATCTCTCTAACATGTTTGAACTTTCTTCTATCTTATAATATAGATATAATAATTGCCTTGGAATCTTTGACTACAAAGTCAATCATACATGTCATTTTTGGGGGGGGGGTCTCTTTCTACTGAATGATTTTTTTTCTTATTATATTTATATTACCCAACTGCCTATATTTTGGCTGCCTGACATTACAAATTTTATGTTGTTTAATTTTATAACTTGTTGTTTAGTTTTATAATGATGTTTCAGTCAATCGTGGACCACATATATGACAGTGGTCCTCCAAAATTATAATACTATATTTTACTGTAACTTTTATATGTTTAGAGACACAAATACCATTGGGTTACAATTGCCCAACAAAATTATAATACTGTATTTGTACTGTACCTTTTATATGTTCAGAGACACAAATACAACTGTGTTACAATTGCCTACAGTGTGCTGTACAGGTTTGTGAACAATTTTGTGTTCCTATAAATATAGTTGAGTTTTATTTGTGAACAGTTAGGTTATTTGGAAGCAGTTGAGCTTTTATATAGTCTTCCTTTTAACCTTTTTTAGGGGGAGCCAGAGTAGTGTTCAGTCATGGGCTGACTTTGCCCCAGTAATGAGACAATTCTCTACCCAATGTCCTGGAAACTGGGGCATTTCCCACCCTGGTTTTGGGGAATACAAATTATTCCAAACCTTACGTGACCTCTAGAAACTGTTTCCTCTGCTGCTTTAGATTATTTTGGAGGGGACTTCCTTACACAAATGCCCTTAACAGTGATCAACTAAAGACACGAGAGGGACCCTCTACAGATCTCCAGAATTCTTGTTCTCCCTCTGCAGGTCTCTTTTTTCTGGTAGTCTCTTCATAGAAATCCAGCTTTTTGGTCTCTTGGACTCCCAGTTCCATCTCCTCAAATCAGGAAGATTGGAGTCCTTGCCTGGGTCCCCCTTCCATGCCCCAAACCTAGAAACTCTCTCTAAGAAGTAATTGGGGCAATGTCGGGTCTTATCTTATTTGTTTACTCTCTCCCAGGTATCACTGTTCTGTGTTGCCTTATGATGCCCATGTCTAAAATGCATTGATTTATTTACTTTGTTTAGATTTTTAATTATTTCAAGTGTGGAAGACAAAGTTCTTTCAAGTGTGGAAGACAAAGTCCTTGAAGTTGAATAACATTTAAGAAATTCTTTAGTTGAAGGTGTATTTGGAACTATAACCCAATAGGTAATGGGAGTACATCATAAGAATTAAGAGCTTAGTCGCTGTAGTCTGAGCACACTGGGTATCAATCCAAATTTAACTGCTTCCTAGGTGCAATCTCCTGAACAAATTTTTAAATCTCGTTGAGCCTCCATTTTCTCATCCATAAAAATGAAATACATATATAGTTCAAGAGATGAATGAATATGCAGTCAAGCTCTGCATAATTATGTTTCAGTTAACAGTGGCCATATATATGACAGTGGTCTAATAAAATTATAATAACTTAATTTTACTGTACCTTTTATATGTTTACAATACAAATGCTTACCATTGTGTTACAATTGCCTACAATATTCAGTACAGTAACGTGCTATACAGGTTTGTAGCCTGGGGCAATAGGCTGTACCATATAGCCTAGATGTATAGTGGGCTAGGTATAGTATGGAGTGTGTAAGTGCACTCTATGATGTACACACCACGGAAACGCCTAGTTATGCATTTCTCAGAATACATCCCTGTCATTAAGTGATGTATGACTCTATATAGTGGTGCCAACAAGACTATAAATAGTAGGTAGCAAGTGTTAGTTACTTTTTATTTTACTATTAATAAAACTCATCTGCCCTAAATAATACTAAGGAATCATGAACTATGTTAAATAAAGGCTTATTCTTGTGTACTTGTGCATCCCGGAAGAGAAACTGATCAGAAAGGTGAATCAGTAAGTTATCAGGCATGGAAGCAGAGCTACCATGGGTACTAAACAAAGAAGAGACCCGTTACAGAAATTAAACATTACGCAAACATGGGAGGAGCTAGGAAAGTAAAAATGTGACAAATTTTAGCAAATATTCATAACAGGAATAGCTCTAGGTTCCACTTTTTGTACTAATTATGCTTTTCAAATTATATTTAAACTATCTTTGCTTAGTCAAAGTAACAAACACGTTTGCATCTAGAAATTTATTAATATTGTTTTACACTTTCATCTAAGATTTAAGTTAATTTTGTAAATTATATAAAATGTGAGTCAAATTGTTGATTTGGGGTTTTTGTTTGTTTTTCTTTTTTGCATATGGCTTCCTATTTCTGTAACAAAATTTGCTTTAAAAGCTCCACTGGCTTCTAAAAATTATTTTATATTTATTTTTAATGGATATATAAAAATTGCATAGATTTAAGTTATGCAACATGATATTTTAATATATGTATATATTATGGAATGGCTAGATGAAGTGACTTAACACAGGTATTACCTCACCTAGTTATCATTGTTTTATGGTCAGAACACTTAAAATCTACTGTCTTAGCAAATTTCAAGTATGGAATACCTGTATATGTTTATTGATTATAGTCAACCTGATGTACAATAACTGTCTTGATCTTACTCTACCTGTCTTGGCTTTTGTTTCCTTTGACAGCCCTATTGACTTCAGCTATAGTTTTTGCATTCTTTGTTAGTGATTACCATAAAGATTGTAAGAGAATAGTTAAAATAAAAAAGATTAGCAATGCCAAGTGTGGGCAATGATGTGGAGTAACTGAACACTCACATATTAGTGATGGGAAGAAAAAAACTTACAGCCACTAAGGAAAACAGCTTGTCAGTTTCTTAAACATTTAAACATATACCTTTCATGTGATCCAGACATTCCACCCTTAGGTATTTACCCAAGAGAAATAAAAGCATATGTGTAAACAAAGATTTGTAAACAAATGGTTATAGAAGCTTTATTTGTGATAGCACAAAACTATCATAAAAACTCAAATGTCTATCAACATTTAAATGGTTAAGCAAGTTGCGGTATATCTTAACAGAGGAATGCCATTCTGTAAAACAAGAAATAAGCTATTGATACAATATGGGTAAATTTCAAAATCAGGTCATACACAAAAGACTATCCTGTATGGTTCTACTTATATGAAATCTAGAAAAGCAAAGCTATGATGACAGAGGACAAATCAGTGCTGCTTGGGTCTGGTAATTGCGGAAGAGATTGACTGCAAAGGGGCATAGGAGACCTTTTGAGATAATGTAAATGTTTTGTAATATACTGTGGTCGTGTATACAAAACCGCACAGAATTACCAAAACTCATTATATTGCATAGTTAAAATGAGTGGATTTTATTGCATGTAATGTACAACTCAGTGAATCTGGGAGTGGAGGATAGTGAAGGAGAGGGAAAGGGAGAGGAAGAGAAAAAGAGAGACAGAGACAAACAAAGAGAAAGAGAAAGGGAGAGAGAGAGGTGGAGGAAGATGAAGAAGAGAAGGAGGAGAAGGAGGAGGAAGGGGGAGGAAGGAAGAGGAGGAGGACGAAGAGGAGGGGGAAGAGGAGGACTATTTACGGGCTAAGACCTAAACTAGATTAGATCATGAAATGGGTCCAACTCTTGATAAGTAACTCCTTCCGAGGTACCAAAAAGTCTATCTGACAGTGAAAAATGAATGTATAATAAGGTAGTACCAGGGCTAGCCAAAGTAGAAAATAAGTGCACTTTTATCCATTTGTCTTGGCAGCAGAAAACAGCCAAAAAGTATACTAAGAAGACTGTTGCTATCCAAATTGCACGTGAATTCCTCTCATTGGTAGGACTCATTTGGCATACAGAAAACTTTGCTGCTCAGGAATCTGGCATATACAGTTTTTAGTTTGATAGTCTCTAAGTGTAAGGAAGAACACTAAAAGAGAGTGGAGTGGAAATTGAATAAGCCAGTAAATACTATCCACTAAAATGTCACTTGGTTTCTCTTATTGATTTGTAGGGATTCTTTATATGTATTCATAATAATCTTCATCAGTATTTCTTGCCGTATTTATTTCCATATTCTCTGTATTGTTTGATAAATAAAAGATCTTAATGTGGTTATGCTTATCAAAGTACTTCTTATTTCTTTCTCTCTTTTTTTTTTTTTTTTTTTTTTTTTTTGAGACAGAGTCTCTCTCTGTAGCCCACGCTGGAGTGCAGTGGCACGATCTCAGCTCACTGAAACCTCTGCCTCGTGAGTTCAAGCAATTCTCCTGCCTCAGCCTCCCAGGTAGCTGGGACTACAGGCACCCGCCACCATGCCCGGCTAATTTTTTGTATTTTTAGTAGAGACGGAGTTTCATCCTGTTAGCCAGGATGGTCTCAATCTCCTCACCTCGTGATCCGCCCTTCTCAACCTCCCAAACTTATTTCTGATTGTTATAACATTTTATAGGCAATCTTTTACTATCTCGTGTTCATAAAACTGTTATTCTCTATTGTCCTCAAGTTTTATATTTTTGACATTTACATTTAAATAATAATTCACCTAGAATTGATTAATTTGCATGTGATTTGAAGTACGGACCAAATTTCATGGAAAGTCAATTGTCACTATTTATTAAATATCCATTTCCCCCCACTGCCTTCAAACCCACTTCTGTCACATTAACATGGCTTGTTAATATGACACTTCATGCTGCTCCCCAACTTGTTCTTTCTCAGAAATATCTTAGCTATACTTGGCCCTCTGTCATTTTACATAAATTTTAGAATTTGACAATTTAGTTTGTTAAAAATCTAAAACTTATAAAATCTTGTAAATGTTAATGATATTAAATCTATAGATCAATTTAGAGACAACTGGCATTCTTAAAATGTTGCATCTTCCAAAGAGTGAACATGGTATATTTCTCTAATTATTTTTGTCTTTTCAGTGTATTTCAACAACATTTTTTTTTTCATAAACGTCTTAAAGACTTTTGGTTAGATTTATTTCTAGTTGTACTGTATTTTGATATTTTTACAAATATTTCTTTTGAAACTACACTTAATTTTCAAACTGCAATTTCTTTTTTAATAATGATTTTGTATTTAACAATAATGACAAAATCATTAGTTCTATTTATTAATCTCTCTAGTTTCTTCTGTGTTTAGTATATGAGAAATTATATCATCTGAGAATACTGTTTTGTGTTTCTTCCTTTTCTTTTCAAATACGTATTTTGTTTGATATTCAATTAGATAAATTTTTATATTTTGTCTCAGCTATTTTTTGTTATCCCCATTGGCTCTAAAAATTAATGTCTTGTTTTTCTTCTGAAAGTTCATAAGTTTCATTCCTTGGATTTTTTTCTGTGAAAAACTTTGAAACCTAACTTGAAGACAGGCTTCTCTTAAAGACTCTGAACTGGCTTATTTTTAGGTTCTGTAGGGCACTATGAAGTGGAAGGAAGTACTTTTAGCTAAAATTTTACCTGTTTTGTTTGTTTTTTAAGAGCACTCAGAAAAAGTTATTCCAACTAGAGGACTCCCTTGTGGTTATGAATTACCAAGGAAGTATTGTTTTGTTTTAAATCTGCATTCAGCTCTTAGGTTCTTAAAGAAGCAGGATTATTTCGATTTTTTTTTTTCATAAAGCCATAACCTTTTAGTGTCCCAGTTTATAGGAGTGGAGCTGTCTGCTGTTAGGTTCTTCACTGTGGAAAGGGTGATTTCTGCATTTTCTTTTCTTCTCCCTGTATCTTAGAAAGTAAAATCCAAGATCAGAACCCTAGCAAACACTCAACAGATAAATTAGAGCTCTACTATCTTGGTAACTCAATATCACATTTTCAAAGGGACTTGAAATTTTTTTTTTTTTAGTCAGGAGGTCATTTAACTGTCCGAAGCTGCAGAAAATGGAAGTGCTTATTCTTTATATGACTGTGTAAATTCTGTATTTGAGAAGTTCAGGAAAAATCATTAATCAATTTTTAAATATCACTTGTAATATAAGATTAAGATTATTTTGGAAAGTTGGAAATTGTTATAAAAATTAATATGTTTACACATATAGTTATTTCCAATTCATTAGCTAGAAAGTTACCCATCTCTGATTCAAAAATAAACATATTCCCACTCTATTTAAAATTATACATAACACAAATATAGGAGATAAAAAGTATCAGAAGTTATTGAGAAATACAGATTAAGGAATTAATATTTTTGGCATTAGGAAACATTTTCTATCATGACCTCATTCAATGAGTATGAACCCAGTGGTACGCTACTTTTTCCTTCTCTAGAAAAAGCACTTAGATTCCAAAGCAGTATTTAAAAGGAAAAACATTACAAAATATCTCTTAGAAAATCTCCATCCTTTACATCTACACTTATATTTCCCACCATTAATTCATAATTCCTAATGACTATCATAATGAATGTTTAATATCAGTATGAACTCTGAACCTTAATTTCTTAAAGTTTAATTGAATGGCAGGTTTTAAATACATTCTTTGAATCTTGATGATGTATATTCTCTCTCTTGAAGCTTCTGCCTGGAACTTTTGCCCAACTTACTATTGGTGAGACTAAGAACCTATGTGTAAGTTGTCTATTATGTGAATAATATTTCAACCCTCAAAACTAAGGTACTTGTCAAAGATTTCTACTTGATCTTTCTTTCCAGATCTACTTGAGATATGTGACATTTTTTTAGAGACATAGAACAATGTATCCCAACAGCAAACACAGAGAGATTTTAGTTTATCAAACTACCAAATTATGCTGTACAACAGTTCAGATATTCTTGCCATTGGGACATGCCGTCTTTAGTATTTATTTTATTTTAAAACTGACTTCAAAGATCCATTTCAACATTAGTGCTTCTTTATAGATTTAACATTCTGTTTTATGACCTTTAATACAAATGTTGGGATAAGACATTGATGGAAAATATCGTTTAAATTTGAATATAACCTATGGGTGTCATTTCCTTAAGGGAGAACAAAGACCAAAAACTGTATCATTTCAGGTCATAGTTTAGTAACAAAAAGTTTATCTTACATATTTTTTAAACAGAAAGGAAATAAAAGTTGAGAAAATTTAAGCAGCCTTTATGTAAGCTACTTGGCAGATTTTCCATATCTCAGGGCAAGTGACAACAACAACTTTACTTCTTTCTAAATAAACAGGTTTGGGAAGTCAGAGCTTTTCAAGAAATTATTTAAAATAAAAAACAGACTCAGTGCCCCATATGCCAAACACATATTTGGTGAGGCTAGGTAAAATCTTCCATAAATATGTACTCCAATAAAACCTCAGGTCAACACACCAAAATAAAAAAGATAACAATTGTGCCCAAAGGTCCTTTGTATAAATGTATCTTGTAATATATAAAAGTTAACAGCATCTACTTCACAGGGAACTTTTTGGTGTTGTCTGTAAATTGATTTGATTTAAATTTCCAGGGCCACAGATCACTAAAAACTAAACTGAATGCATGTGTTTTTCCTGAAGCAAACTCCTGTGTGGAAGTGATGGAAAATATAGTTGGATGTTAAATCTAAATGTGCTATCAGGGAGTATGACACAAATTATGAGCCTGTTCAAGATGAAGCCCATTGTCTTATGACAGTTGCAAATACAGTAAACAATGAATTCATTATCATTACTGGATTTTAAGCCAGAGTAAATCTCTAATGTTCTATAGTAAAACCAAGCAAAAGAAATCAACCATGCTATCTCTGGTAATACTTCTTTATTGAAATCCCTGAAATTGCATACCAATCATACTATAAACCACACTTACAAGGTTGGTGATTATGGCTCCTCTGGGGACAACAGTGAAGTATTACCACTATTTTCCATTTCGAAAGGAAATATAAATTGAAGGTCATGAACCAAATTTCCTTCCATTTTTTAGCAAAATGGGTATGGAGTTTAATATATGACAAAAGTACAGTAATTGTTTCATTTTCACTCTAAAATGGGACGCTTCTCCACTGTATTCCATGTTCTAGCAACTACAAACTCCTGGAGGTAAAAGGTTAGCAATCATGAAGCTCAGCCTGGCTGCTCTTAAGCAGTGAATGTGTACACAATCTGTACTGGTTATGTGTCTATTCTCTCCTTCATGATCTTTAGGTAGGAGGATTCTGGAGGTTGAGGGTCAGCTCTTAAACTTCTCTAGCCATGTATTGCTGTGTAACAAAATACCTCAAAATTTAGCAGCTTAAAACAACAATCATTTTACTTATTTGCTCACAATTCTGCAACTTGAGCAGGGCTTATTGGGGACAGTTAATTTCTCCTTCATCAGCCGGCATAAGCTGGCCTGACTTGACCAAAGCCAGTCTCAACTCTTAGATGGCCTCACTTGCATGGTGGCGAAGTTGATACTAACGGTTGGGTGAAAGCCCAGCTAGAGGTGCTGAATAAGCCCTCAGTTCTCTTTCATGAGACCTCTCCATGTGGCTAGGCTGGGTTTCTTACAGCATCCTATTCTCAGAGTAGTTGAACTTGCATGATGGCACACTACCCTCAAAGTGTGAAAACAGATGTTGCCAAAACCCAGAACCCCCAGAACTAGCAAAGTGTAACTTCTACCACATTATATTGCTTAGTTAACAGGTTCAGATTTAAGAAGAGGTAAACGCAGGTAAATTATACAAGGATGTAAATACAGTCATGCTCTGCATTACAACTTTTCGGTCAATGATAGACCGCATATACAACAGTGGTCACAAAAGATTATAATACCGCATTTTTTACTTTACCTTTTTATGTTTAGACATGTTTAGATACACAAATATTTACCATTGTGTTACAATTGCCGACAGTATTTAGCACAGTAACATGCTGTACAGGTTTGTAGCCCTAGAAGCATAGGCCTATACCATATAGCCTAGGTGTGTGGTAGGCTATATCATCTATGTTTGTGTAACTACACACTACAATGTGCTCACAATGAAAAAATCACCTAGTGACACATTCTTCAGAATGTACCCCTATTGTTGAGCAATGCATAACTATAAAGCAACATAACAGATTACCATGTACCCCAGCACTATACACACAGATGGTACTATCAGAATAGTTCTTGTATGAATGAACTATAGAACATTTAAGTCATCTAATTTCAGTGTTTTATTACCTTGATGTTTAAGTTTTTCCTGGTGGTTAACTAAAATTTTCCCTTATTCAATTTGAGCATATTTTTCCAAATTGAAATTGCTATAGCTTAGCTAATAAATGGCCAACATCATCTTAATAAGGTATGCTTTTGTTTAAAGACAAGTGTTAGAGAATCATTTTCTCCCTATCTGAAAAACAAACTCATTTTACTGCCATGTGGAAAATAAGAAAGACAGTTAAATACTTGGCAAAGAGATATAATGACTTGTCCCTATGAGAATTTTGTGTTGATTTTTTTGAAAACAAACACAAGATGCCTAGAGTGTTTTCAGGATGCTTCTTAAGAAAGAGCCATGCACAGGAACAATTTCATTTCCTGATGGGATGGAAATGATGAAATAGTTCTGATCTGCCCTAGGTATTTGAGATTTATTTCTCCAGAAAGGGGAAAAAAGGTAAATGTGCTTTCTTATAGACTGACTGTTATCATTGTTGTTGTCATTAAAGCTGTTTCTATTTATAAACAAAGTTCATAATAGGTGAGTAGAATTTTTAAATTAGAAAACAAATTTATAGAATTATAAACCCATATTATGGTTTTGCAAAATCAGAACATCCTCTGATTCCCTCCTTTCCATGTTCATCTCACCATAGATCTGGTAAAAGATTCCTAAACTTTATGTTTTAACTGACAATTAGTCTTGGATGAAACAAAAAGCGAGATGGTAAATTAGCAAAATTCTTAACAGATAGTCCAGTGCCGTGCTGGAGTTAGCTTGCACCACTCTGTGAAAGCTGTTTGTGATCATCTCTTCCCAATCTGCATTTTAAAAAGTCATGTTGATAAGCACAATTAACCATCATAAGAATATTTACACCATGGCTTTTTTCTCTTTTTTTCCCTGTATTTATTTATTTGAAGAATCAGTTGTTAAATATTTACATTTACATCACTGATTCTAAGTCAGCTAGACTAACAGAACAAAAAGCAGGAAGTCAGGAACAGGCATTGGACAATGATTGACAGTCAGAGCCAACATTTCAGCTGAGACCTGAATGACAATTTGGAGAAGGCCATATACTCTAGTAGAAGAGTATTTCTGACAGCGGGTTAAATGTGGAAAATCCATAAGCCAGGAACAATTCTGGCATATTTGAATAACAGAAGCAGAGAGGAGGAATGGAATATGTTTATCAAGAGGACTGCATTACAAGAAAAGATTGGAAATGTAGACAGAAGCAAAATTATGTACACATTTACCAGAGAGTAAGGATTGGATTTTAAGAATATGTGCAATAGAGAAGACTTGGGATACTTTAAGCTGAGGACTGATACGAACATATTTATTTATGAAGAACAATCTGGCTTCTCTGTGTCAAATGAGTTGAGGCTAGGCATGGGAAGAATAAAGTGAAAGAAAGTACACCAGTTACAAAATTATTGTATTACCTTAGAGGAGAAATAAGAGTAGTTTAGACCCAGTTGGTGGCATGGATATGGAGAAAACCAAAAAGATTTGCTTGTAGTTTGGAGGTTGTTTCTCTAGAATTTGATGATGGATTTGATGTGAGGAATAAAGAAAAACTCCCAAGCGTTCAGCCTACGTTTTTCATTGAATTGTGATACTGTTTACACAAGTGCAACAGTAGTGTTTTTATAATGGCAAACACTAAGAGAAAAAAATATTAAAGATGTAGAAAAATGTCCTATTTTGAATATTCTATACTTGAGTTTTCTATTGCATACATAAAGAGAGATGTCAAGTATTGGTTGAATATGTGAGTACTGTGTCTCAAAGGAGAGTTCAAGGCTATTGACATAATTTGGAAACTTATCAGCACATACATATTTAAAAGCCCACAACTATTGGAATTATATCATGTTAAGGGAAGAAAGAGAAAATCATCCAGAGCAGATGCTTATAACACTCCAATATCTAGAAGTGAGGCAGAGAAGCCCATAAGGGAAAGTGAGATGTGGAACTAGAGATAAAAGAAAAAATAAAAGCATTCATTGTCACTGAAGCCAAGCAGAGAAAAGACTTATACAAAAAAATAATCAATATCACTTGATGCTACTGAGAATTCATAGATATGAGACCTGAGAAGTGGAGTGTGGGCTGCAGACAGGTGGCTGACTGGCAAAGGGAATTAAGGAATTGGACACAGGTTGAGGAGTCAACTCAATGTAGATATTTTTCTACGAAGGAGAGCAGAGAAATGGAACATATGGGATCAAGAGAAGAATTATCTTCAAAATAGGAGCTGCTGGCTCAAACTGATATATTAATGGGAATGAAATGATAGAGGGAAGATTCTCTTGATGATAAAAGGGAATACCCTGTTTTAGTATTCACTGTGAGTTCAGCCTCAACTACATTGCTGGTCAGTATATCCTCGTCATGCATTATCCAATTTCATTTATGAAAATGTAGCCTCGGCCTACAGGTTTTACTAGCCCAGTTTTATAAATGCAAAAATTAAATCTGAGAGTTATTAAAAAATTTATTTTTTAACACACACATAGTCATTCTTAAAATATTACTTAATTTATGTTATATTCTAAGTAAGATGTTTAGCAATTAGTGATCTCAGAATGAATATTGTACAAAAAGAAATGAATCTAGCAATTTAACACTAGGTCAGTCTATTGCCAAACTTTATGATTTTTTTCCTGATACCATACTCTAAAGCATTCATCCCAGTTTGGTTGAGACAATTTGAATTATAGCCTACTGGTCCAACATAATTATTAATAGCACCTCATTTTACCTTTAAGTGTTTTGGGTTAGCAATGAATCTTATAGTCATTATATTAAAAAATCTAAATTGGGTGTACCCATTGACCGTCTCTTGTTTACATATTACTGTATCTCATTGATGTTATTTCTAACTCATCAACATTAGCAATTCATTTATTAAAAACATGTCATTTTCCAAATTTGTAATATTCACCAGTAGCAAAACATTTATTAAATAGATTCTATAATATAATCACTAAACTATTCTTCACAGAATTAGAAAAACAATCCTAAAATTTGTATGGAAAAACAAAAGACCCTGAGTAGACAAAACAATCTTGAGCAAAAATAACAAAGCGGGGGAGGCATCACACTAGCTGACTTCAAAATATACTCTAAAACTACAACAGTCAAAACAGTATGATATTGGCATTTAAAAACAAAACAAAACATATAGACCAATAAAACAGCATAGAGAACTCAGAAATAAATTCATACATTTACAGCTAATTTATTTTTGACAAAGGTGCCAAGAACACATAATGAGGAAAAAAGAGTCTCTTCAATAGTGTGGGAAAACTGGATATCCACATGCAGAAATTAGACCCTTATCTCACACCATATACTAAACTCAATTCACAATGGATTGAAGATTTAAACAGAATACCTGAAACAGTAAAAAAAAAAAAAAAATATGGAAAATCTCCATGACATTGGTCAGAGCAATGATTTTTTGGACATGACCACAAAAGCACAGGCAACAAAAGCAAAAAATAGACAAATAGGATTACATCAAGCTAAAAAAGCCTCTGCATAGCAAAATAACAATCAACAAAGGGAAGAGACTACATAATGTGAAAAAATTTTGCACACCATATATCTAATAAGAAGTTAATATCCAAAACATATAAGAAATTTAAACAACTCAATAGCCAAGAGAACAAAAAACAGTCTAAAATTTGGCAAAGAAGACATATAAAGGACCAAAGGTATATGAAAAAATGCTCAACATCACTAAGCATCAGGGAACATCAGATCAAAACCACAATGAAGGCCAGGAGTGGTGGCTCACGCCTATAATCCCAGCACTTTGGGAGGTGGAGGTGGGCAGATCATTAGGTCAGAAGATCAAGACCACCCTGGCTAACATGGTGAAACCCCGTCTCTACTAAAAATACAAAAAATTAGCTGGGCGTGGTGGCGGGCGCCTGTAGTCCCAGCTACTCTGGAGGCTGAGGCAGGAGAATGGTGTGAATCCGGGAGGTGGAGCTTTCAGTGAGCCGAGATCGCGCCACTGCACTCCAGCCTGGGCAACAGAGCAAGACTCTGTCTCAAAAAACAACAACAACAACAACAAAAACACAATGAGATGTCACCTCATACTTACTAGAATGACTACTATAAAAAAGATGAAAGATAACAAGTGTTGGAGAGGATGTGGAGAAAAGGGAACCCTTGTACACTGCCATTGGCAATATAAATTCATACAGGCATACCTCATTTTATTGCACTTTACCTTTCTGTGCTCCACAGATATTGCAATTTTTTTACAAATTGAAGACTGTGGCAACCCTGAATAAAGCAGGTCTATTGCTGCCATTTTTTCCAGTAGTATGTGCTCACTTGGTGTCTCTGTGTCAGATTTTGCTAATTCTCACAATATTTCAAACTTTTTATTATGATGATATCTGTTATGGTGATCTGTGATCAGTGAGTGATCTTTATGTTACTATTATAATTGTTTTGGAGTACTAAAAACCACACCCATATGAGGCAGTGAATTCAATCAATAAATGCTGTATGTGTTCTGTCTTCCCCAGTGATTGCTCTTCCTTGTCTTTCTATCTTCAGGCCTCCCTGTTCCCTGAGA
Organism: Homo sapiens; assembly: GCF_000001405.40. NCBI lineage: Eukaryota > Metazoa > Chordata > Mammalia > Primates > Hominidae > Homo > Homo sapiens. The sequence goes on from NC_000007.14 coordinate 79,901,664, forward strand.
TACAAAAATATTGAAATTGGGCCAATTAATAACCCTACAATGGCTTCTAAGTATTCGACTGAAAGAAAGAGTCACACATCTCTCACTTTAAGTCAAAAGCTAGAAATGTTTAAGCTTAGTGAGAAAGGCTTCTCAAAAGCTGGACCTCTTGTGCCAAACAATTAGCCAAGTTGTGACAGCAAAGGAAAACTTATTGAAAGAAATTATAAGTACTGCTCTAGTAGACACACACATGATAAGAAACAAAGCAGCCTTATTGCTGATATGGAGAAAGTTTCAGTAGTCTGGCTAGATCAAACCAGCCGTAACATTCCCTTGAGCTGAGGCCTAATCCAGAAGAAAGCCCTAATTCTCTTCAATTCTATGAAGGCTGAGAGAGGTGAGGAAACTGCAGAAGAGAAGTTGAAAGTTCACAAAGGTTGGTTTATGAGATTTAAGGAAAAAAAAAAAAACTGTTTCCATAACATAAAAGTGCAAGGTGAAGCAGCAAGTGCTGATGCAGAAGCTTCAGTGAGTGATCCAGAAGATCTAGCTATGATCATTGATGAAGGTGGCTACAGAAAAAACAGCCTTCTTCTATTGGAAGAAAATGCCATCGAGGACTTTCATAGCTAGAAAGTAGAAGTCAATGCAGGGCTTCAAAGGACAGACTGGCTGGGCGCGGTGGCTCACACCTGTAATCCCAGCACTTTGGGAGGTCCACGCGGGCAGATCACCTGACATCAGGAGTTCCAGAGCAGCCTGACCACTATGGTGAAATCCCGTCTCTGCTGAAAATACAAAAACTAGCCAGATGTGGTGGCACATGCCTGTAATCCCAGCTACTCAGGAGGCTGAAGCAGGAGAATCGCTTGAACCAGAGAGGCGGAGGTTACAGTGAGCCGAGATCACACCATTGCACTCCAGCCTGGGCAACAGAGGGAGACCCTGTCTCAACAACAAAAAAAAAGACAGAATGACTCTCTCGTTGGGGCTAATCCTGCTGATGACTTTAGATTGATCCAGTGCTAATTTACCATTCCAGAAATCCTGGAGCTCTTAACGAATGTTGCTAAAGCTACCCAGGCCGTGCTGTGTAAAAGGAACAGCAAAAGCCTGGATAACAGCACATCTCTTTATAGCATGGTTTAATGAATATTTTAAGCCCCTGTTGAGACCTGCTGCTCAGAAAAAAAAAAAAAAAAATATATATATATATATATATATATATATGTATATGTATAGATAACTTTTAAAATATCACTGTTCATTGACAATACAATACACCTAAAAGCTCTGATGAACATGTATAAGGAAATTAATGTTATGTTCATGCCTGCTAAAACATCTATTCAGCAGCCCATGGATTAAAGAGTAGTTTGAATTTTGAGGCCTTATTATGTAAGAAATACATTTTGTAAGGCTATAGCTTCCATAGATAGGGATTCCTCTGATGGATCTGGGCAAAGTAAATTGAAAACCTTCTGGAAAGGGTTTTATATTCTAGATACCATTAAGAACACTTGTGATTCATGGGAGGAAGTCAAAATATGAAAAAAAGTGGACTTTGGAAGAAGTTAATTGCAACCCTCATGGATGACTTGGAGGGGCTCAAGACTTCAGTGGTGGATGTCACAGCAGATGTGGGAGAAACAGCAAGAGAACTAGAATTATGAGTGGAGTCTGAAGTTTTGACTGAATTGGTGCAATCTCATGAAAAACTTTAACAAATGAGGAATTGTTTCTTATTGTTGAGCAAAGAAAGTGGTTCCTAGAGGTGGAATCTACCCCTGGTGAGGACACAGTAATTGTTATTGACATGACAACCAATGATTTAGAATATTACATAAACATAGCTGATAGAGCAGCAGCAGGGTTTGAGAGAATTAACTCCAACTGTAAAAGAAGTTCTACTGTGGATAAAAATGCTATCAAATAGGATCTCACGCTACAGAGAAATCTTAAGTGAAAGGAAGAGTCAATCAATGCAGCAAACTTTCTTAAGACATTGTGACAGCCACCCCAACTTTCAGCACCCACCACCGTCATTAGTTAGTAGCCATCAACATCAAGGCAAGACCCTCCACCAGCAAAAAAGATTATAACTTGCTGAAGATACAGATGATTGTTAGCTTTTATAGCAATAATGTACTTTTAAATTAAGTTATGTACATTGTGTCTTTAGAAATAATGCTATTGCACACTTTATATAATACAGTGTATTGTAAACATAGCTTTTATGTGCACTGGGAAAAAATATTTGCTTAACTCACTTTATTGCAATATTTCCTTTATTGCAATGGTTTGGAACAAGCCCACAATATCTCTGAGGTATGCCTGTACAGCCATTATGAAAAACAGTATGGTCATTCCTCAAAATATTAAAAATGGAACCACTATATGATCCAGCAATCTCACTACTGGGTCTATATCCAAAGGAAATGAAATTGGTATGCCAAAGAGGTACCTGCACTGCCACATTCATTGCAGCATTATTCACAAAAGTCAACATAAGGAAGTGTCCATCAAAAAGTGAATGGACAAAAAAATGTGATATGTGTACACAGTGGAACACTATTCAGCCTTTAAAAAGATGGAAATTCTGTCATTTGTGACAACATGGACAAACTTAGGGGATATTGTATTAAATGAAATAAGCTAGACATGGAAAAACAAACACGATATGAGCTCACTTATAAGTGTAATCTAAAAACGTTGAACTCCTAGAGGTGGAAAATAGAATTGTGGCACTTAGGGATGGGAGTAGTAGTGGGAACAGGGAGTTGGGGAGATGGCCAGAGGATACAAAATTTTCATTAGGCAGGAGGAATAAGTTCAAGAAATATGTTGTAGAACATGGTGACTATAGTTAATAACAATGTACTGTGTTTTTGAAAATTGCTTAGAGTAGATTTTAATTGTTCTCCCCATAAAAAATAAGTATTTTAGGTAATGCATATGTTTATTAGCTCAATTTAGCCATTCCACAATGTATAGGAATTTCAAAACATGTTATACCTGAAAAATATATAGTTTTATTTGTCAATCAAAACATACACAAATAATTTTCTTAAAATGTCATTGAATTGCTTACCAGGAATCTTATTAGCCAGATTAATCATCTAATGTCATTAGCCATTAGAATTCAATCTTGTATGACTGATTATTAGTATTAAACAGTTTGCATTATTGGCTGTTAGTTGTCCGTTGATTTCATTTGCCATTTTCTACTGTTGTTTTTTTACCTGTTATAGGTGCTCATGATATATTATGAAAATTAATTTGCTTTTGTTATATATGTTATATGTATTACATATATGCTACAAATATTTTATCTCAATCCTTTTCTTATATCAAAAATATTTTTGTTTTATTCTTATGAAAATATTTAATAGTTATATAGTTATATCTGAGAAAGCTCTCTTGGTAACATATTTGGAAAACATTCTTCTACATTTTCTTGAAAGGCCTGTAGATATATAATCTACCTGGAATTTATTATATGGAATGAAGTAGGAATGTGACATAATATTTTCCTCATATATAATTGATTGCTTAATAATTTTATTTAAATACTCCCATTTGTAGCATTTGTGTCTAGATATTTTGTTTCATTTGCTTGTTAATTTCTCTATGAGCTCTAAATTATTCAAAATACTGTTGTCTTATTATATATTTTGGTCCCTGTCAGGTCAAGATATTATAGGTCTGTCTTTCAAAATGTTCATTTTTTATATCATGTAAACTATAAATCATCTTCAAATTATATTTAAATATTATCTTAGTATATTGATAAGAATTACATAAAATTTATAGATGAGTTTGAGTCCTTAGTCCAGAAACATGGGACATGTCTGCATTTGTCCCAATACTATTTTATTTGTCACTAAATTGTGTTTTTTAGCATTGTCCCATCAGTGTTTAAATAATTTCTTATTTTCTAGAACAAGATCTTCCAACTCACTTTCCTGTTTTCGTGCCTCAGATCTACAATCAGACATTTCACTAAGGATCTTGATCTTTTTTTAAGGGGTAATGCCATTTAGAAACCAATATCTGAGCACTAGTGGCTCTCAGTGAACGTACTGTGGCTCTCCTGGTAGAGGGGAGGAAAGCTACATGGTAGAGGCATATGTGATCCAGACTACAGGTTCTTGATTAAGCCCTCTTCTCTCTAAGATTAAACCAGTATTTATTAATTTAATCCTTTTTAAAATGCAATTTTGCTATCATTTTAATTTTTTAATTAGCTCAGTTTTGCATTTTTCCATTTGTTTATGCATTTCAGCCAAAACTTTTTCCAAAATTTCTAGAAGACTACATTCTTATCATATATTTGGGATAATTACATACTAAACATATGTTTGTATCAACGCTAGTTAATATTTGCTGAATGCTAACAATTTGAAAGTGGAATATTAATTTTTTAAGCAAAGATTTTATTTCCTTTTAGACCTAAGAACATTTATCAATAAGGGCACTCACTTATCCCTTACCTTTGATGTACTCACACATCACAGATTTTGGCGTTTCTTTTGATGTCCTTAAATTCTTGTTTTGTCTAATTTCAAATATGTAACTGACTTGCTACACTTTTAAGGTTTCTTGGACATTCACTCCTCACAACCTTCCATATAATACGGTTGCTTTACTGTGATGTAATATTTTCACCTGATTATTTTAAGATTCACAGAACTTTAAAAGTGTTGTTACTAGTGCACGGATGTAATAACTTCTGCTCTTTGAACTTAGTATTTGAAAAACCCTGTAAAAGAATTTATGGAAGCCACATTTTAGGCTTGTAACTAGATTAAAATACTCAACCTCTTGGCAAAAATGGTAGTGAAGGTTTTTTCAGTATTCAGGTTTTATGACTAAACTAAAAAGCTTAAGAAAGGAACAAAGGGGCCGGGCGCAGTGGCTCACGCCTGTAATCCCAGCACTTTGGGAGGCCGAGACGGAAGAATCACGAGGTCAGGAGATCGAGACCATCCCAGCTAACACGGTGAAACCCCGTCTCTACTAAAAATACAAAAAATTACTCCGGGCGTGGTGGCGGGCGCCTGTAGTCCCAGCTACTCGGGAGGCTGAGGCAGGAGAATGGCGTGAACCCGGGAGGCCGAGCTTTCAGTGAACCAAGATCGCGCCACTGCACTCCAGCCTGGGTGACAGAGCGAGACTCCGTCTCAAAAAAAAAGAAAAAAAAAAGGAACAAAGGAAGGAAAGAGAAAAGAAGGCAAAGTAGAGAATGCATAAATGTTCTCAGTGGTTTCATTACAGTATACACTTGGAACTGAATATCACTTTATGGTCCCATCCCCTGCCCCAAAATATAAACCAGTACTGAACTATAGATGTAAGAAAGGAAAATTCAAAGGAAAAAGCCTATGAATTAAAATACACTTTAGAATCATACCACCCAATTACAGTTATGGCCCCTATTTGGATCCCATTTCAAACAACCAAACTGTAAACCAAAACAAACAAACACAAATATGTTAGACAACTGGGAAACTATATCGCTGATTAAATAGTTGATGATATTAAGGGACTGTTGGTAATTTTTAAAGCGTAACAATGGTATTACGAATAATTTTTTGAGTTAAAAATATTTATAAGTATTTTCTGAAATATTTATGGGTGAAATTATATAATGTCTGGTACTGACTTTAACGTAATGGAAGATAGAGATAAACATTAGTCATTAATGTTAACTGTTGAAGCTGACAGATCAGCGACTAGGGGCTTCACTACACCATTCTCTATAATTTTGTATATGTTTGAAATTTGCTATAAGTTTGGAATTTAATTAGGGCCTGTATGTTGAGGTGGTGGTGGGAATAGAAAGAAGTGAAAACCATTGAGTGGGATCTGAAAGTTTTAATGGACAAGTCTCAGTAATCATTTGTGGTTAGATGTGTCAGGAGTGAGGGGAGACAACTTCTGCATGATCTAAATGTATCACTCAGCTTGGAACTCAGCACTAGATCCAAGAAAAATGTCATGAATGTATTCAGGGTATTGAATTTGCTTGGAAGTTGGAATAGGAAAATAATGATAAGTGAGTTAAGGGAACTGTAAAGAAAATGGATGAAATGGTCAGGCACTGTGGCTTATGCCAGTAATGCCAGAACTTCGGGAGGTCCAGGCAGGTGGATCAATTGAGCTCAGGAGTTCAAGACCAGCCTGGGCAACATGGCGAAACCCTGTCTCTACAAAAAATACAAAAAAATTAACCAAGTGTGGTGGTGCATGCCTGTAGTACTAGCTACTCCAAAGGCTGAGGTAGGTGGATTACTTGAGCCTCGGAGGTCGAGGCTGCAATGAGCAGTGATTGCACCCTGCACCCCAGATGCTATTAAAAAAAAAGAAAGAAAAGAAAAAGGAAAGAAAATCAATGAAATGATGGATCATGACTGAAACAGAAGGAAAGAAGGAAGGAAGGAAGAGCCATGAGTGGGCTGAGACATAAGGCAGAAAAAACGAGTGCTCTAGGCTATTGTTTTGACACTAACAGGCTGTCTAAGATTGAGCAAATTACTTTGTGTATGCTTTATTTACTTTCCATAACCAAAAATTAAGAGTGGACTTAATATATGGTCATTTGTAGGTCACAATGATGTTTTCCTTCACCTGCATGTCTTCTTTTTTGCCAGTTAATATTCCCTACTTAAAGAAGAGAGTTGTTTGAAATTATATACAGATTTAAGTTACACCAACACACTACATTCTCTTAACTATCCATTTCGCAATGTAGCCTCGATTGTGAAAAAAAGCATGAGAAAAATCATGTTTGTTTTGTACTGTTTTTGTTGTTGTTGTTGTTGTTGTTGTTGTTGTTGTTAAGGGGTTTTTGCCAAAGTTAAAATTTCCAGCTAATAACCTTTGAAGCTCTAGCATTAACCATAGTAAAATATACCATCGTAACCCTAATCTGGGGCTTTCTGCAAAGCTGTTTATAACCTGTCTTAAGTGATCCTTTATAAAAATAGAAAATAGTGCTCTAATGCTGTTATCAAAAATTCTGTTTAATCAAATTTGTATTACTTTTGTTCGGCTGAAATGCAGAGGTCAAATATCACAGTATTCATTATTTTATTGCCTTAATTCTCAATGATGCTTCAAACCCCAAACAACTGCATGTGATAGGCCTTTGTGAAAATTTAATTATGGTCCTGATTGCAGGGGACATATTTATTCTTTGATTCTTTATCTTCCATAGAGGTCTGAGGACATATATTCCATTACCTATAAAGGAACAGAATTATCCCCTACTTGTGTACTTTACCCCACTCACTAAGTTTTCTTATGAGAAAAGAAACTAACCTGTTTAGTGAGATGATGATAGGCTGAGAGTCATCAGGTTATTGTTAAAGGTCATTCTTCATATACAGCCCAGGCATAATCAAGCTAAATTCAATCACAATACAAAGGTATTTTTATTCACTGAAAATTAACAATTTATTAGGGGACACGTTGATTTTCATTTCAGAGAGACAATGAATGACCATTGACTTCCCAATTTAGTTATTCATTGAACATCTAATATATGCCAGTCACTGTTCCAGGTGCTTGAGAAATGGCAGTGACAAAAATCCCTTACATTCTTGTGGTTTAGGAAACCTTGAATGTGAACCCAAGAATTAGGGATCAAAACCACATCTGGGGACACCAAGCCTTCTGTGCAGCCACGTCAGATGGTTTCACCAGAAGTGAATGTCAAAAGAATAGCAGCCTCAAAGACAAATCTTAGCAGGCAGAGTCTGCCACGTTTCAAGAATTAAGCAAGGCTTTGGTGGCATCCTCAGGTAAGGTACTGAAACCGCGTTTGAAGTTCAAACAAACAAAGATTGATTTTAGCAATCAAAGCCGACTTACACTTTCTGAGACTTCCAGTCTTTCATAGATCCTAAGGTACGGAGGTACTCTCTAAGGTACTTTAGAAGAAATAATTTCATTTCTCAAGGTATTATAGATCCCCACAGTAAAAAGTTAAGACTCATGGCAAAGCCAGAAATAAGTCAACCAAATAGATAGCATTTCATTACAAGGTTCCTTCATTTGGTGAGTCAAAGGAACATTGCTCTCATCACTATATTTCCTGGCCAGGACACAGGCTGGGGAATTAACGGAGTAATGGAATTTCTACACTGTCTTTCATTTTTAAGAGCTCCATACGAGCATGTGACACCAAACTTATTTCTCTTTATCTTGATTTAAACTGTATCCAAGGCCAAGGGGTGAATGTGACTTGCTTTACTTCTTAAATTATGAAGTTTGCCCTACAATTCCTATAGTTATTCCCCCACATTCCTCATTATCTCAAACTGACTTCACATAGATTTTGATCATTGTGAATTTCATAGAGACTATAGGTTCAACCACAAGACAGATAAAATTTTAATCAGTGAACAGCTAAAGAGGCCTTTTGGTCCTCATTATATATTGGATAAGTAATCTTCTTGAGTTGAGGTACAGGAAAAAAACTATGGAATTATTATAATGCTAAGAAGAAAATTTTAAAAGCTTATACCTATATTTTTTCTAAGACTTATAATTTCTTAAGGAGGAACAAGGTCAGCATCTTAAAAGCAGATTATTTTTGTTATAATTAATACCGAAGTAGTAAAAGAAATAAAGAAGATTATAATGAAAGACATGCCTAAGGATGAGGATTTACTTAGGATAAATACTGCTATCTGGTGGGACAGCCTAGATGTATATAAAAGAGAAATGGAGATATGCACAGCCCTATGTATTATTAAGGTTGGAGTCAGGGAAAAGATATGCTATTATGATGGGTTAACAGACCACCATTTCAAGAAGATAAAAATAGGAAGACCTTAGCGTCCACACTTGGATGACTTAAGAGGCAGTTTGAAAACAGGAAGCCAGTGAACCAGAGAGAAGCCACTGGGATAGCTCCCTTGGAAAATTAGGATTAATAACTAGATAGTTTCATAAAATCTGGACATATTTTAGAAATAAAGTCTTCATCAATAGACATGGAATATTTTCACTGAGTTTTAAATTGACAGAGCTGCTGCATGAAGATAGATAAATATGGCAAGTATTCTAAGGGGAGAGGTCTGGAGAATTCACCATGTTAAGTTCCCAGAAGAAGGATATGAGTAGTCATTACAGAAGTCATAGAGGTCACTACTGCACTGAGAACAGGTTTGGATTAGATGTTGATCTGATGGGAGGTAACATCTGCATGGAATACCACTTAGGAAGGTGAGAGTGTCATCATTTGTTTAATTAATGGATACTTTTGGTTGGAACAGAATTTATTGAATTCTTATGTCATTCCAGGGAAAAACCCAATGTACAATCTAGAAGAACATTTTAGGAAAATTAATTTCAGATACTTAAAGTACCTGAAAAAAAAAAGAATGAGAACCAAATGATGCAGCTGAGCATTGGCACCACTTGAACAGTGATCAAAAGGAAACGATTGGGGAAGCAGTTTACATTTTGAATTTTTCTGAACCAGCTTGAAAAGACCTGAGGAAAGCAGAAGAAAAAAAACAATATATAACACTCCTAAAAGGAAAAATAAAGCAGAAAAGAATATTTCTCTTGCCATTGAAGTCAAATTAGCCCTGATAGTTGAAGGCCAAGGTTGGTAGTTCCAAGTTACCTTAGGATAATGAAGTTTCTATGGATCACAATCTTTCCACACCTTGTCCAAAATACCATAAAGATTTAAAGAACAGTTAACTTAAAACATCAATAACTTACATTTGCCACATAGAGAACAGAAGATATACATTCCAGTTTATGGGTAAAAGAAGGAATAAGCAACTAAGACTACAAGAGCCCACACTTGCATGTGAGTCTGGAGGGAGCTGTACGATGTGTGAGTAGTGGGCAACAGTGGTGAAACCCAGGAAACATTATCAAGAGTTCACCTCCAGAAATAGAGAACCACACCCTGAGTAGAAACTAGCGACAGTATTGTTGGGCTTAGAAGACTACATAGCACAGTCAACAGGAAGATAAAGAAGGGACTTGAAAAGGCAGACTTGGTAAAGTATCTTTGAAGAGAGTTACGAATTGGGATGACTTGCTGCTGGTTTGGGTAGTTTTAAGCTTGTCTCTGAGGAAGCCTGGAAGTCAAATACTGATCTTTGAACAAGAAGGAAATGAAATAAACTAGCTGTCTATGTATAATGTGCAGCATGAAGTCTGAAATTCCCCTGGAGACATGCTGTACTAGCTTGTTATCTGTACTGCTTAGTGAAAATGTATAGATTGACAGTTATACATGATTTAATAAGTCATAAAGCCTAGGTTTTATCTAAGTGATAGGTGTGGTGTAAAAGACTACTTAGCAAATTTGTACCTTGGCATTAGTGAAGCTAATTAACTCACAGATTAAATCAGGTATCTTTTTTGAAAAAAATGATGCCTAATAGTTGCACATATTTTGGGGGTACTGTGATATTTTGAAACCTGAAAAATTTGGAATGCTTCATAAATTTTCATGTCATTCTTGTGTAGAAGCCATGCTAATCTTCTCTGTATCATTCCAGTTCTAGTATGTGCTGTCGAAGCAAGTACAAAACCAAAATATCTTGTATTTACCTTGGTGGCTCATAAACCGAAGATGAACCACATCCTATGTGAGTGAGATAGGACCCTACAGGGCTGCACTGATAAGTTATGTGCCTCTACGAATGTCTGCACTTTCTCTCTGTGGCTGTAACATATCTTTTACCTTTATAAAGCTTTACAAAACTATGTCCTGTGGGGTCCCGTGAGGACTTTCAATTATCTGGTAGTGTGTGACTTCTGTAGCAGCAGTTGCATTTGGAGTCAGCAGCTGGTTTTAAATAGAGGAAAAGAAGCAGCTGATGACAAACAGCCTACTGGAACAGAATATAATATGAAAATAAAATCAAACTGCACCTCCACTAAATAATGATTTCATACGTTTAAAAACCACCATTTCCTGTTGCTACAGAAGCAGAATCCTTGATATGAGAACTCAGAAAAGCCACCTGCTACCCACCAGCCACATAAAAGAAATATTTTCCTAGTCATTATTCTAGGAGAATGAAATATGGATAAGAAAAATAAAATCATGGCATTCATGAAAAACTGAAGATGAGGATCAAAACAGGTTCACAAATGAAAGCACATTAAGTGACACAGACAAAACCTGCTGAGAAGTAAGATTCTTGCCAGAATTTAAAATATAACAAAATAAGACATTGAAGATGTGAAAGAACATTTAAAAACGGAAATTACAAACTTTAAGAAGAGACAGGTAATCGATGTTAAATGGGAAAGAACAAAGCTTGGGAAAGAAAAAAAATCAAAATTAACTTGTAAATTAAGATTAAACATAAGATACCCAAAAGATAATAGAAACTACTTAAAGTGTAGTAAATGACATCAAGAGGATAGAAATGAGACCAAATGGACAAATGATACACTTAGAGAGGAATAAATAGAAGGTAGAAAGACAAAGAAGATGGAATGTACATAACCAGCAAAGAAAATACAATTTCCATGGGAAAAGAGTACCAAAAGAAGCAATAAAGAACAAAGCATAATCAAGCAAAGAAACAGATCTAATATTTTTTTAATTAGAATACAAAAAGCTCTCATTTTTAAAAATAACTGAATCTGCATGTAAAAAAGATGCACAGTGTGCCTGAGAAAATTGGCCTAGGATGTTAAACAGTAACACCATGTTCCTAACATTATAAGATTTTAAAGATAACAGGTAAAAACTATAGGCCTCCAATCAAAAACATCAATGCACTGACAAAGTAAAGAAAATTATATTGACATCAGACTTCTTGAGAGGAACGGTAATACAAGAAGATAATGGCACCGTATTTACCAGACACACATAGGAAGAAAATGTAAGGCAATAATGTTTTATCCAGCCAAGCTTTCTTTCAAGTATGAAGATTTTAAGAAAACAGTTTTAAACGTGCAAGAATTTAAGTTTATGAATCTTTCCTAAGCAATCTCCTAGAAAATATGATTAGACAACCAGGAGCTGATTGAAGAGATTGTATATAAAATTTTGGTATTAAGCATTGAGTAAGTAAAATTCTATATATAAAGAGAGAAGAAGAGATAGAGGAAGAGGGATGGAGAAAGAGAGGGAGAGAGGAAGGGGGTCACTGAGATTAAATAACAAATATATGCTTTACAAAATAGAGAGAGAAAACTAGGAACAGAAGAGAGAGAGAGAGAAATGGGGAAATAAAATGTTATAGAAGATTCCCTAATAAGTAGTGATTAGAAATCAAATGATAACATTTGAATGCAAGAAACTTGTGTACATTTAAGAGTAATAATATAGCAGTAAGAAAGATAATATGATTGATTAAAATTAAATGGTGAAGAAGAAGGAAGGAAGAGGAACTAAGTGAATGTTTTATTTGTTTCTTGTAGAAATCCACAGATACTCCTAAGGAAAATGGGGAATGAGATACTCACACAACAGTAAACATTATAACCAAAATATAAACTTTTCTATTACTTAAAAAGATAAAAACAAAAGAAAACAAAAAAGTAATTACTTAGTGAATAATTAATTATTATGTGTTTGTAGGCTTAGCTCATTAAAAGTAAAAAATTTCAGGTAGAATGACAGCAAAATGCAACTTTGTATTGTAGACAAGAGAATCCCTTAAAAAAGTTTGAGAGGCTACAAATCAAAGAATGGATGAAAAAATAACAAGCAAAACAACAAGAAAAGGAAAGCAAAGATAACAACTTCATATCAAACATAATTAAGGCTAAAAAGTATTAAATGAGAATAAGAGTTATTATATTATACCTTCACAGCAAAGATAAAACAGATATGAATCCCTAAATGTTATATAATATACAAACCATTTTTATAAAACAGAATCTACAGATGGTTCATTAGAAACACACTGAGGTAAGAGAATTTAATACAATAAAACCGTCTTAGGTCAAGAGTAAAAGGATTATGTGAGAATCTAGATAGAATCTATTTATATCTACATAATTTATTGAGATATTCACCCCAATATTAAAAATATAGTTTCTAACCAATTGCACCTGAAAATATTTTGAAAAATAAAAATTATAGACCATAAAGAATATCTCGACAGATTACACAAAATTGAAAAGGAAACAATGTTCACTGACCAAAATACAACCTTTTACATAGAGATTCAATGACCCTCTATAAAACAAGACCTTATGGGATATAGTTAAGACAGTACTTGAAAGAAAATTCATAGCTAAAAATATTCATTTTATTTAAAAATGAAAGAGTGAAAACAGTAAATTAAACATCCCACTCAAAATGTCAGGGGCCAGAAAAGGCAAACCAAAAGAAAGAGAAGAAAGGAATTCATAAAGATAAAAGAAGGGAAAAATTAACTAGAAAAAAAGTGACAAATAATTCTTTTTTAACAAAACAGGCTCAATTCCCTTCCAAGATGGCCGAATAGGAAGAGCTCCGGTCTGAAACTCCCAGCGTGATCGACACAGAAGATGGAGGATTTCTGCATTTCCAACTGAGGTACCTTGTTCATCTCACTGGGACTGGTTGGACACTGGGTGCATCCCACGGAGGTTGAGCCAAAGCAGGCCAGGGCATTACCTCAGCCAGGAAGCACAAGGGGTCAGGGAATTTCCCTTTCCTAGCCAAGGGAAGCCATGACAGATGGTACCTGGAAAAATGGGACACTCCCTCCCAAATACTGCACTTTTCCAGTGGTCTTAGTAAAAGGCACACCAGGAGATTATATCCCATGCCTGGCTGGGTGGATCCCACCCTCAGGGAGCCTTGCTTACTGCTAGCACAGCAGTCTGAGATCGACCTGTGAGGCAGCAGCCTGGCAGGGGGAGAGGCGTCTGCCATTGCTGAGACTTGAGAAGGTAAACAAAGCAGCCAGGGAAGTTTGAACTGGGTGGAGCCCACCACAGCTCAGCAAGGCTAGCTGCCTTTGTAGTCTCTACCTGTGGGGGTAGGAGAAGCTGAACAAAAGGCAGCAGAAACTTCTGCAGACTTAAATGTCCCTGTCTGACAGCCCTGAAGAGAGCAGTGGTTCTCCCAGTACGGTGTTTGAGCTCAGAGAACGGACAGACTGCCTCCTCAAGTGGGTCCCTGACCCCCATGTAGCCTAACTGGGAGATACCTTTCAGTAGGGGCCAACTGACACCTCATACAGGCGGGTGCTCCTCTGGGACGAAGCTTCCAGAGGAGGGATCAGGCAGCAATATTTGCTGTTCTTCAATATTTGCTGTTCTGCAGCCTCCAATGATGATACCCAGGCAAACAGGGTCTGGAGTGGACCTCCAGCAAACTCCAACAGACGTGCAGCTGAAGGACCTGATTGTTAGAAGGAAAACTAACAAACAGAAAGGAACAGCATCAACATCAACAAAAAGGACACCCACACCAAAATGTTATCTGTAGGTCACCATCATCAAAGACCAAAGGTAGACAAAACCACAAAGATGGGGAGAAACCAGAGCAGAAAAGCTGAAAATTCTAAGAACTAGAGCACCTCTTCTCCTCCAAAGGATTGCAGCTCCTTGACAGCAACGGAACAAAGCCGGATAGAGAATGAGTTTGACAAGTTGACAGAAGTAGGCTTCAGAATGTCGGTAATAAAAAACTTCTCTGAGCTAAAGGAAGATGTTAGAACCCATTGCAAGGAAGTGAAAAACCTCGAAAAAAGATTAAATGAATGGCTAACTAGAATAAACACTGTAGAGAAGACCTTAAATGACCTGATGGAGCTGAAAACCATGGCACAAGAACTACATGACAGATGCACAAGCTTCAATAGCTGATTTGATCAAGTGGAAGAAAGAGTATCAGTGATTGAAGATCAAATTAATGAAATAAAGTGAGAAGAGAAGTTCAGAGAAAAAAGAGTAAAAAGAAATGAACAAAGCTTCCAAGAAATATGGGACTATGTGAAAAGACCACATCTACCTTTGATTGGTGTACCTGAAAGTAACGGGGAGAATAGAACCAAGTTGGAAAACACTCTGCAGGATATTATCCAGGAGAACTTCCCCAACCTAGCAAGACAGGCCAACATTCAAATTTAAGAAATACAGAGAACACCACAGAGATACTCCTCGAGAAGAGCAACCCCAAGACACATAATTGTCAGATTCACAAAAGTTGAAATGAAGGAAAAAATGTTAAGGACAACCAGAGAGAAAGGCCGGGTTACTCACAAAGGGAAGCCCATCAGAATAACAGCGGATCTCTCGGCAGAAACTCTACAAGCCAGAAGAGAGTAGGGGCCAATATTCAACATTCTTAAATAAAAGAATTTTCAAGCCAGAATCTCATATCCAACAAAACTAAGCTTCAGAAATAAAGGAGAAATAAAATCCTTTACAGACAAGCAAATGCTGAGAGATTTTGTCACCACCAGGTCTGCCATACAAAAGCTCCTGAAGGAAGCACTAAACATGGAAAGGAACAACCGGTACCAGCCACTGCGAAAACATGCCAAATTGTAAAGACCATCGAAGCTAGGAAGAAACTGCATCAACTAACGGGCAAAATAACCAGGTGACATAAAAATGACAGGATCAAATTCACACATAACAATATTAACCTTAAATATAAATGGGCTAAATGCCCCAATTAAAAGACACAGATGCAAATTTGTTAAAGAGTCAAGACCCATCAGTGTACTGTATGCAGGAGACCAATCACTTGCAGAGACACACATAGGTTCAAAATAAAGGGATGGAGGAAGATCTACCAAGCAAATGGAAAGCAAATAAAAGCAGGGGTTGCAATTCTAATCTCTGATAAAACAGACTTTAAACCAACAACGATCAAAAGAGACAAGGCCACTACATAATGGTAAAGGGATCAATTAAACAAGAAGAGCTAACTATCCTAAATATATATGCACCCAATACAGGAGCACCCAGATTCATAAAGCAAGTCCTTAGAGACATACAAAGAGACTTAGACTTTCACACAATAATAATGGGAGATTTTAACACCCCACTGCCAGTATTAGACAGATCAATGAGACAGAATGCTAACAAGGATATCCAGGACTTGAACTCAGCTCTGCACCAAGCAGACCTAATAGACATCTACAGAACTCTCCACCCCAAATCAACAGAATATGCATTCTTCTAAGCACCACATCACACTTATTCCAAAATTGACCACATAGTTGGAAGTAAAGCACTCCTCCGCAAATGTAAAAGAACAGAACTCACAACAAACTGTCTCTCAGACCACAGTGCAATCAAATTAGAACTCAGAATTCAGAAACTCACTCAAAACCACACAACTACATGGAAACTGAACAACCTGCTGCTGAATGACTAGTGGGTAAATAATGAAATGAAGGCAGAAATAAAGATCTTTGAAACCAATGAGAACAAAGACACAACATACCAGAACCTCTGGGACACATTTAAAGCAGTGTGTAGAGGGAAATTTATACCACTAAATGCCCACAAGAGAAAGCAGGAATTATTTAAAATCAACACCCTAACATCACAATTAAAAGAACTAGAGAAGCAAGAGCAAACACATTCAAAAGCTAGCAGAAGGCAAGAAATAACTAATATCAGAGCAGAACTGAAGGAGACAGAGACACAAAAAACCCTTCAAAAAATTCAATGAATCCAGGAGCTGGTTTTTTGAAAAGATCAACAAAATTGATAGACCACTAGCAAGACTAATAAAGAAGAAAACAGAAAAGAATCAAATAGACACAATAAAAAATGATAAAGGGCCTATCACCACTGATCCCACAGAAACACAGAGAACACTATAAACAGCTTTATGCAAATAAACTAGACAATCTAGAAGAAATGGGTAAATTCCTGGACCTATACACCCTCCCAAGACTAAATCAGGAAGAAGTTGAATCCCTGAATAGGCCAATAACACGCTCTGAAATTGAGGCAATAATTAATACCCTACCAACGAAAAAAAGTCCAGGACCAGACAGATTCACAGCTGAATTCTACCAGAGGTACAAGGAGGAGCTGGTACCATTCCTTCTGAAACTATTTCAATCAATAGAAAAAGAGGGAATCCTCCCTAACTCATTTTATGAAGCCAGCATCATCCTGATACCAAAGCCTGGCAGAGAGACACAGCAAAAAAAAAGAGAATTTTAGACCAACATCCCTGATGAACATCAATGCGAAAATCCTCAATAAAATGCTGACAAAACAAATCCAGCAGCACATCAAAAAGCTTATCCACCACAATCAAGTGGGCTTCATCCCTGGGATGCAAGGCTGGTTCAACATAAGCAAATCAATAAACATAATCCATCACGTAAATAGAACCAACAACAAAAACCACATGATATCTCAATAGATGCAGAAAAGGCTTTTGACAAAATTCAATGGCCCTTCATGCTAAAAAATCTCAATAAACTAGGTATTGATGGAACGTATCTCAAAATAATAATAGCTATTTATGACAAACCCACACCCAATATCATACTGAATGGGCAAAAACTGGAAGCATTCCTTTTGAAAACTGCCGTCTCTCACCACTTCTGTTCAACATAGTGTTGAAAGTTCTGGCTAGGGCAATCAGGCAAGAGAAAGAAATAAAGGATATTCAATTAGGAAAATAAGTCAAATTGTCCCTGTTTGCAGATGACATGATTGTATATTTAGAAAGCCCCATTGTCTCAGCCCAAAATCTCCTTAAGCTGATAAGCAACTTCAGCAAAGTCTCAGGATACAAAATCAATGTGCAAAAATCACAAGCATTCCTATACACCAATAACAGAGAGTCAAATCATGAGTGAACTCCCACTCACAATGGCTACAAAGAGAATAAAATACCTAGGAATCCAACTTATAAGGTATATGAAGGACCTCTTCAAGGAGAACTACAAACCACTGCTCAACGAAATGAAAGAGGACACAAACAAATGGAAGAACATTCCATGCTCATGGATAGGAAGAATCAATATCATGAAAATGGCCATACTGCCCAAGGTGATTTATAGATTCAATGCCATCCCCATCAAGCTACCAATGACTTTCTTCACAGAATTGGAAAAAAACTACTTTAAAGTTCATATGGAACCAAAAAAGGGCCCAGGTGTGGTGGCTCATGCCTGAAATCCCAGAACTTTGGGAGGCTTAGGTGGGTGGATCACCTGAGATCGGGGGTTCAAGACCAGCCTGGCCAACATGGCAAAATGCCCTCTACTAAAAAAACAAAAATTTGCCGGGTGTGGTGGTGCATACATTTAATTCTAGCTACTCAGGAGGCTGAGGCAGGAGAATCACTTCAACCCGGGAGGCGAAGATTGTGGTGAGCTGAGATTGCACTTCTGTACTCAAGCCTGGGCAACAGAGTTAAATTCCATCTCATAAATAAATAAATAAATAAATAAATACCAAAGCAGATGCGGTGGTGCATTCTGTGCCTATATTCCCAGCTGCTACTAAAGAGCCTAAGGCAGGAGAATCACTGGAGCCCAGAAGCTTAAGGCCAGCCAGGACAACATAGTAAAACCCTGTCCCTAAAACAAACAAATAAACAAAAAGCCCAATAGACATTTCACCACACATCTTACAACCATGTTAGAAAAATAAGAAATTAATGACATGGATACAAAAACCACCAAATCAATGTTTTATCTTGAGACAATAAATAAAGTTTTAAAATCTACTACATGAAATAAATTATTTTTTACAAAAAAAATAGTTAACTAATACTGAGCACACACATGTAGAATAAACCAATTTTTATTTTATAAAAAGAAAAAGTTCTCAAAGAGTTATTTTTATAAGGAACAACATATCATGATGGATTCATAGAGGAATTTCTCAAATCTATAAAGACTAGATAATCCCAATGTTATTGTGGACATTTCCAGACCATAATTTAAAAAAAGAAAAGAAAAGTAAATGAGGAGTAACACCTCCAAATTACTTAAAGCAAATAGTTAAACGTGATAAATATTGTACACAAAAGAAAACTGGCAATCAGTTACACCTGCAAGCACTTATGCGTAAAAGTTCTAAATAAATATTCAAAACATAAAAACATTAACATTAAAATAAGATACATCATAATCAAGAGAGTTTTGTTCCAGGGGTGTAAGCACCCTTCAATATTGTATTATCCATTAATATAATTACTCATATTCATTTATATAAGGATAAATAGCTTGATAGTGTCTCAGATATGCTAAAAATGCATTTGGAAAAAAAAACTATTTTTATTACCAATGAAACCAGCAACAAATCGAAATTAATACACGTATCATGAAAATGACAAAAAATGTATATTTCTCAGTTCAAAGGTTAGCATCTGACCTTGCGGTGAAGCACTGGCGATAGTCAAAATCAGAAATGAGACAATATCGCCTGCTGGGTGTGGTGGCTCACACCTGTTTGAACACTGTATTAATGGCATTAGCCAATGCAATGATATAAGAGAAAGCAAATAGAGGCTTAAGAATATAAAAGGAAGAACTAAAACTCTATTTGTATGAGATATATTATGAATCAAGAAAACCAAAACAATAAATTTACCATGCTAACAGGATATAAAATTGACATACCAAAATAATTACCTACTTATCTGTGAATGATGACCAGCTAGACAATGTATGGGTAAGAAGAACCTATTTACAACAGATTTTTAAGTACTTATGATAAACTATACAAAACATAAAAATACAGATGGGGATAACTTGAACCATTTCTGAAAAACACAAAAGTAAAACTTGAACAAGTTGAAAGACATACCACAATCTTGGAGAAGGAAATCCGACATCATGAAGATATCAATTTTCTCGTATTCAATATGAACATTTAACACAAACTCAATAAAAATAGCACCAGTGGTTGTTGTTTCTTTTCTGAAATTAGACATCTTAAGTACAGCAAATGTAATTGTTACCTACCCCTCTTATACCCAAACTTCATTCCTTCCGTTCTCTTATACTCTAATCTACTCAATCAGCAAACCCTCTTTTCAATTTCAAAATATATCTCAAATGCATCACTGCATTCCTTCTCTAATACCAGTTTCTAAATCTAAATTGTCATCTCCTGTCTGGATTTTCGTGGTAGTGATAGCAGTGGTGGCCCACCTGGAGTGGCCACTGCCATGACACCAGCTGAAGTGGAGGAGGTACAGCCACGGCTGCCCAATCCATGGAGTCGGTGGGAGATAGGAACAGGTGGAAGCCCTATCCCCTTCCAAGTTGGAGAGGCAGGATCTCCGCCTACACGGGTGCAGCTGCAGCTGCCAGCCATGGCTGCAGACCCAGGAATCTCTGCACTTTCTGAGGCCTTGGAAGCCTACTTGCCCCCACAAGCTTGGAAGTGCCTGCTCCCACTGTCTGGCCTCTCCCAGCTCCAGGCGCCCGCTCTGATTTCAGAGCAAAGTTGTAGCTGAGCCCCCACACTGTAACAACCTGGCCAGGTGTGTGCTCACTTGGGGCAGTGCTGACACACCAGCTCCCTGCCACCTCAGCCCCCTATAGACTTTGGGCACCAACAAGCAGGAGAGGGAGCCTGGGGAATGCTAGAGGCAGTTTGGTGTGGGCCTGCAGGCACACCTCGGCATGAGCAGCCTGGGCACTTTGGGCACCATGGATGGAAGGTTAATGGTGGCAAAAGGCAGATAGGCTCCTGAGAAGAAAGGGGCAGGTCCCTGGTGAAACCCCTCCTCGGGCCAGGGATGGCCTGAAGCCTGGAGGACGGGCTGCCAGTTCTGTGGACTTATGATGCTTTTTCTAGCCTTCCCAAGGCCACCCATGGACCAATCAGCATGCACTTCCTTCGCTCTGAAGCCCATAGAAACTGTGCACTCAGCCAGACTCAGGCAGAGGATGGGAGGACCTGCCCGTGGAGAGTAACTACGCACGGTGGGTCTCCTCTCTGCTGAGAGCTGAGCAGATGACAGGAGACCTGCCTGTGGGGAGGATCTACCCACTCTGGGTCTCCTCTCTGCTGAGAACGGAGCAGACAACAAGACTGTCTGCCTGCAGAGAGGAGCTACCCACTGTGGGTTTCTTCTGAGCTGTTCCGTCGCTCAGTAAAACACCTCTTCACCTTGCTCACCCTCCACTTGTCCACAAACCTTAGTCTTCCTGGACTTGGGACAAGAACTCAGGACCCACCAAATGGCAGGACCAAAAGAGCTATAACACAAACAGAGCTGAAACACACCGCTTGCTCGCCACATTGTGGGTAACAAGAAGGAGAGAAGAGAGGAGAGAAGAGTTGCAGCCACATCGCGGGTGACAAGAAGGAGAGAAGACAGAAGAGCTGAGGCCTAGACCTAGGAGCTCCCCAAGAGAGGGCTGTAACACTCTCTTTGCAGCTCTGTGATTCCTGGCATCTCCAAACTTCCAGGCACCACCATGTTTCCCGGTGCCAGCTGTAGAAGCTACTTGTGGTACACCTGGTCCAGCCGCAGCCTCACAGGAAGCCGGCACCCATGCCGGTGCCTGGAGATGCCTGCCCTGCCACAGCCAGCATGTCTAACTGTGCGCAGGAGCCAGACCCCATGCTTGCTAGCTCACACACCCCCACCACTCCATGACTGGCTCACCCTTGGCAGATGTAGGATCCAGGCCAAATAGCATGAGCCAAGCACAGTCTGCCAGGCCAAGTGGGTGAAATGAGTTCAGTGGGCTCAAGCAAAACTCAGGCAATGGTGCCACTGACCACAGCGGTTTCCGACTGGAAAAGTGACACCCCAAGGATCCCATAACTTTAGCCTTTTAAGTGGCTCTCCTGAGTCTTTTCTTCTCCAAATCATTCTCCATAAAGCAGCAGCCAAAATATTCTTTAATATAAAATATATTGCTCTTCCACCTAATACCTTCAATGGCTTATCATTGCAGTTAAAATATATGGCTCTTCTTTAACGCTTACAGTTCATCTCATACAATGTTTTTTAAAAGGTATGTTGTTCATTGACTATGCCAAGCTCTTAACCATCATGGTTCATCTTATTTCCTTGTCTCTACTGAAACCCCTTCTTCCATGAATACTCACATTGCTGCTCTCTTCTCGAAGAAGCCTTTCTCACTAACGCATCTCAGTCTTTCCCTTTCCACAGACATATCCCAGAGGAATAGGTCTATCCCATTACCTTATTTATTTTTCTCATAGCACTTATCAAAATCGAAATTCGTTGGAGTTAT
Organism: Homo sapiens; assembly: GCF_000001405.40. Taxonomy (NCBI): domain Eukaryota; kingdom Metazoa; phylum Chordata; class Mammalia; order Primates; family Hominidae; genus Homo; species Homo sapiens. The sequence goes on from NC_000007.14 coordinate 79,923,794, forward strand.
TTCTTGATTCATTGTTTATTTCCAAACATACACACATTAGAACATATTATCCTTCATGGCTAGCATGGAGAAACATTTCTTCCTTGTTCACCTGCCTCCAATTTTAAGATAATATCTAGCCCATACTAGACACTCACTAAAATGTTTATTGAAATAAAAATTCTTTCTAAAAATTATTTCTACTACTACTGTGGAGGCCTGTGGGAAACAAACATGTACTGAACAGGTATTGAACCTATGTTTTCTGAAGCTTTTAGGTGCGAGTAATGAGTATATGATATTAAAGAGGAAAATCCCCAGTTAGTTCAAGATGATGTGTTCATTTGTTCCTTAGGTCATGATTCATACATAAATGAATATCATTAGTCATAAGTTAAAAAAAGAAACACTGATATGTTTCAATATAAATACTACCACCACATAGCTAAACAAATCAAATTTTTATTTGCCCAGTGACATCAATACCCAAAAATATAGTATTGTGTCAAAAGATCTTGAAAAGAGAGATTGTATGAGAAAAATGTAAAGGTATTAGCTAGACTAAAGTGAGAATTATTTCTGAATTTTAACTAGAAACAATAATTTCCACATCACTCTGAATTGTTTTAATATAAGAGGAACCCAATATAAGTAGCAAATAAAAGGAAACAGCCTTACACTCAAAGGAAATTTCTGTTCCTCTAAAGCAGCAGGAATACCTGATTCAAAACGTCGTGATCAATGTGGAACTCTCTTCACTCACATACACGTATGTACAGACCTTAGCCATGGCTGCATCAGATTCTGTGTGTCCAGGCTCATTCTCACATTGTTGAGTTCCCAACCCTAAGTATGTTGAGCATATGCACAGTGCGAGGAAGGATGATATTACCTCTTCTGGTATTCTCTCTTAAAAGAACTAAAATCCTTTCTCAGAAGTCTCTCTCAAGCATTTTTCTTATATCCTTTTGACCCAAATTGGGTCACATGTCATCAGGGAATGCCAGGTACTGTTTCATTTAGCCTTGTTTCCTTGGCCAGTCACTGGTCGCGGGTGTGAGGATATACTTACCCTTAAACTAATCAAGCCCATTCTGAGAGCCCAGGGACAATTTCACCTGATACAAAACAGCCACACGGATGAAGAATGAGGGACAAAAACTCTTTAAGAAGACAAATGGGTGGTGACTTGGGAACCAACATTTTTCAGTAAAGTCTGCAATAATAAATTCCAACTTCTGATCTCCCACATCATAAACTATTTTCAGCCATCCCACCACTGGCCCACTTAAGTTCATATCTGTCTGATATTTAATAATGATCTCAAAAATTCTAGAGAGCCTTTCTGGTAATATATTCTCATGCATTCTGTGATAATCACGCAAGACTAACTCCTAACAAAGTCACAGAAATGAAAGCTTTGAAACTCAGTAACCTATCGTGTTTTCACAGGGATGAATGATCAGAAAGTATTTGAGGACTAAGCATTCAGTCACAATGCCTGAAAGAATAAAGATTATAAAGTAAGGATGGCAATTGTCCAGCAATTATCTGGTCTCAATTGTTTCCTGAGAATTTTGCCATTTCTGTTTGCAAAGCAGTAATTGACATTGTTTAGAGGAGACAAATCATTTTGCATTCCTCTTGGCAGCTTTAAAATGACAAAACAAATTTCCTACAAGACCTTGTTTTTTCTCCAAGTTTATTTCTTGCTGAAATTAAATATCTATGTTTTTCAGTCATTATGAGTCATAAAACAATGCCCAAATATTGACTACTATAATATTATCTACAAAACCAAACTGAGTTCTTCTAAAGATCTGAGGTCACTCAATGACATTTACCTCCAGATGATAGTAATATCTTCAGATTTCTAGATGGCATGTATCTTTTAAGGTCATAATGCTGATTGCTGCTATCTAAATAATTGACCACCTGGAAACCAGGCAATTGAATTATAACAAGGTTTTGTGGTATTGTTTAAGCTTTAAAAAATCAAATGAATAAACTAAAAAACAAAACTGTGATTTAAGAGTAGTGTTGAACATTTATTGAACATCTATTATCAGTTAGGCAAAGTATTAAGAATTTACACACTATAAGTATTGGATAGGAAATTATTAGTCTACATCTATATATCACAAAATATTGGATAAAATGTCTTAAGTGCCTCAACGCAAAGACTCGCTAATGTGCCTTTTGGCCTTTGTTTTCAAAAAAGTGGTTTTCCAATGAGGTAGTCTCTATATATGGAACTTGTCCTATAAAGCATAGCATCAGTAAGGAAACAACTCCAGACCAAGCGCAGTGGCTCACGCCTGTAATCCCAGCACTTTGGGAGCCTGAGGCAGGTGGATCACCTGAGGTTAGGAGTTCAAGACAAGCCTGGCCAACATGGTGAAACCCCATCTCTACTAAAAATGCAAAAATTAGCTGGGCATGGTGGCAGTTGCCTGTAATTTCATCTACTCGGGAGGCTGAGGCAAGAGAATGACTTGAACCCAAGAGGCAAGGCTGCAGTGAGCTGAGATTGTGCCACTGCACTCCAGCCTGGGCAGCAGAGCAAGACTCCATCTCAAAAAAACAAAACAAAACAAAGAAAACTCCAAATGATATTTTTGATTTGGTGTTTGATTTTTTGAAAAGTAGATCTATGTTATTGTTATTATTATTATTATTATTATTATTATTATTATTAAGACAGAATCTTGCTCTGTCGCCTAGGCTGAAGTGCAATGGCATGATCTCAGTTCACTGCAACCTCCGTCTCCTAGGTTCAAGCTATTCTCCCCCCTCAGCCTGCTGAGTAGGTAGGATTACAGGCCCCTGCCACCATGCCGGGTTAATTTTTGTATTTTTAGTAGAGATGGGGTTTCATCATGTTGACCAGTCTGGTCTCAAACTCCTGGCCTCTTGATCCACCCGCCTCTGCCTCCCAAAGTGCTGGGATTACAGGCATAAGCCACCATACCTGGCCGTTATTTTTGTAACTAAAATAAATAAAATTGAAATGTGAAAAATGCCATTTATTTATAATAAATGAGGTAAGATTAATAAATGTTTATAAGACATGAAAAAATAACTACTAATATCTTTAGTTGCTAAGTACAAAATAATATTTTAGCTTGGTTTTTTGGATGAATAGGACTTTACCAAGCATTATAAATAAAATGGTGTGGCGGGAAGGAATTACATGTATCTATATCGGTTATTAATATAACTAGAAATCTATTGCATTGAAAGACAAAACATATCAGGGTAAGATAATAGAATAACTTATTCTATTAGAATGTAGAAAAACTTATGATGAGAAATATAATGTGTTAAGTCAATGAATTGAAGGAAACCTATCTCTGAGACATTGTAGAAAAGCGGATAAGAACAAATAGCTATCACAGCTGCAGTTTGATGCAAGAGAGAAGAAAGTATGAATAATGTCAGCCAACTTTATTCAGAGGAGCTCTGGAGAGGCATTTGGAAGGAGAGAGAGCAGTAGGTATCAGATTAGACCATTAAGGGGATGAATCTGTGTTTGGGAGGAAGAGGTTGTACTATGTCTCAGTGTATAGGAACGCTTAGGGTTCTGCAAACTCATTGTTATGAAAGAAAACATGAGGTTCCAAGGTGACCATTTAGAGAGATGTTAAAAAATTAGAAAACAAGCATATTTTGCAATTACCCATGAAATAGTGCTATGCAAATGTTCAGTCCGGGTCTAGGTTGGATTTCCCTTTGAAAATAAAACTCTGAAGCACAAAAGAGTTTCTATTTTAAAAAATAAATTCTATTTCTATAAAATTCAACCTCAGCAAGTATTACTATCAATCTAACACTAGACTTGAGTGTTCATTTATATATCAATAGAATTTAGTAGGTCTTTTTAAAAATTAATATATAATTTTATTTCATTTCTGAGAAAAACAACTGTTATAAAACACCACAGAACACTACAAAAACAGTGATTATAATCTTTTCAAGTTTATAAAGGTTGTATTAGGTTTATGACACATAATCTGCTTCTATTCATATTCTTTAAAAGCAATGTGCCTGAATATATGCACATACTCACAGTCTTTTCTCATAAAATTACAGATTAAGTATTATTTTAAACATCTAGGAAGCTGTGAATGGATAACTTGTTGACGTACTACATTTAAAAGTGTACATCCTTGCTTATACCCTTAGCATTAAGTAATCATTACTTAGTGTTCATAGATAAAACACTTTTGTGTTTTCAGTAGAAATTCCCTGAAAAAGATTCTGTTAATTGCTGAAATATTTCTGGGTAAATAGCAAAATATAGTCCATACAAGTTACAGAACAAATGTGCCACCTGGAGTCTTTGCTAACATTTACTATTTTGTATTTATCAAAATTCTTGGTATTGTATTAAATTCAGAGTTTTCCAATAACCACCTAGAAATGAACCATTCTGTAGCTATTTGAGACATTTTAACCCAAATCATCTCATCGATTTATAAAATAATGTTCAGTAATACATCTTTCATTAATTTATGCCTCTCTGGAAAAAAATATCAGAGGTCAGGTGGGTGAAGCTACTAAAGACAAAAGCACAACACAATGATATGGAAATAATCTTCTTTGTAAAATGTTTAGACTCCTTCAAATGTATATACACAGGCTTAAATGCCTGAATAATATTGCAGAATTGAACATTTCTTAACTTTTTAAAAATTTTCCAACTATTAAATTCAGGGGTACATGTGCAGAATGTGCAGGTGTTTTACATAGGTAAATGTGTGCCAGGGTGGTTGGCTGCAGATCATACCATTATCCAGGTATTAAGCTCAGCATCCATTAGCTATTCTTCCTGATCCTCTCCCTTCTCCCATCCTGCTGCCCTTCAATAGGCCCCAGTGTGTGCTGTTCCCCACCATGTGTTCATGTCTTCTCATCATTTAGCTCCAAGTTACAACTGAGAACATGTGGTATTTGGTTTCCTTTTCCTGCATTAGTTTGCTAAGGGTGATGGCCTCCAGCTCTATCCATGTCCCTGCAAGGGACATGATCTCATTCCTTTTTATGTCTGCATAGTATTCCATGATATATATGTACCACATTTTCTTTATCCAGTCTAACATTATTGAGCATTTAGTTTGATTCCATGTCTTTGCTATTGTGAATAGTGCTGCAATGAAAATACATATCCATGTGTCTTTATAATAGAATGACTTATATTCCTTTGAGTATATACCCAGTAATGAGATTGCTGGGTCAAATTGTATTTCTGCTTCTAGGTCTTTGAGAAATTGCCACGCTGTCTTCAACAGTGGTTGAACTAATTTACACCCCCAACCAACAGTGTAAAAGCATTCCTTTTTCGCCACAACCTTACCAGCATCTATTATTTTTTGACTTTTTAGTAATAGTCATTCTGACTGGTGTGAGATGGTGTCTCATTCCGGTTTTGATGTGCATTTCTCTAATGACCAGTGATATTGAGCTTTTTTTCATGTTTCTTGGCCACAGGTATGTGTTCTTTTGAGAAGTGTCTGTACATGTCCTTGGCCTACTTTTTGTTTGTTTATTTTTTGTAAATTTGTTTAAGCTCCTTATCGATGCTGGACATTAGACCTTTGTAAGATGGATAGTGTGCAAATTTTTTCTCCCATTCTGTAGGTTGTCTGTTTACTCTGTTGATAGTTTCTTTTGCTATGCAGAAGCTCTTTAGTTTAATTAGATCCCATTTGTCAATTTTGGCTTTTGTTGCAGTTGCCTGCAATCTTTGCCAGTATGTATGTCCTGATTGGTATTGCCTAGGTTTATTTCTAGAGTTTTTATACTTTTGAGTTTTACACTTAAGTCTTTAATCCATATTAAGTTTATTTTTGTATATGGTATAAGAAAAAGATCCAGTTTCAATTTTATGCATATGGCTAGCCAGTTCTCCTGGCACCATTTATTAAATAGGGATTCCTTTTCCCATTGTTTTTGTCAGGTTTTTAGATGATCAGATGGTTGTATGTGTGTGGGCTTAATCCTGGGTACTCTGTTCTGTTCCACTGGTCTATGTGTCTGTTCTTGTACCACTACCATGCTGTTTTGGTTACTGTAGCCCTGTGGCATAGTTTGAAGTTGGGTAGCATGATTCCTCCAGTTTTGCTCATTTTGCATAGGATTATATTGGCTATTTGGGCTCTTTTTTGGATCCATATGAATTTCAAAATAGCTTTTTCTAATTCTGTGAAGAATGTCAGTGGTAGTTTAATGGCAATAGCATTAAATCTATAAATAGCCTTGGGCAGTATGGGCATTTTCATGATATTTGTTCTTCCTATCCATGAGAATGGGATATTTTTCCATTTGTTTGTGTCCTCTCTGAATTCTTTGTACAGTGGTTTGTAGTTTCCCTTAAAGAGGACCTTCACTTCCCTTGTTAGATGTATTTCTAGCTATTTTATTATTTTTGTGGCAATTATGAATGGGAGTTCCTTCGTGCTTTGGCTCTTGGCTTGCCTGTTGGTGTATAGGAAGGCTCATAATTTTTGCACATTGATTTTGTGTACTGGGACTTTGCTGAAGTTGCTTATCAGCTTACAAAGCTTTTGGGCTGGGACAATAGGGTTTTCTAGAGATAGGATCCTGTCATCTGCAAACAAAGATAGTTTTACTTGCTCTCCTCCTATATTGAATACACTTTATTTCTTTCTCATGTTTGAGTGCCCTGGCCAGAACTTCCAATATTACGTTGAATAGGAGTGGTAAGAGAGGGCTAACTTGTCTTGGGCCACTTTTCAAGGGGAATGCTTCCAGCTTTTGCCCATTCAGTATGACATTGGCTGTGGGTTTGTCATAAATAGCTATTATTTTAAGGTATGTTCCTTCAGTACCTAGTTTATTGAGAGGTTTTAACATGCAGCAATGTTGAATTTTATCGAAGGCTTTTTCTGCATCTATTGAAATAATCATGTGGTTTTTGTCTCTGGTTCTGTTCATATGATGAATCACATTTATTGACTGGCATATGTTCAACCAGCATTGCATCATGGGGATGAAGCCTACTTGATCATGGTGAATAAGCTTTTCGATGTGCTGTTGGATTTGGTTTGCCAGTATTTTATTGAGGATTTTTGCACTGATGTTCATCAAGGATATTGGCATGAAGTTTTCTTTTTTTATTGTATCTCTGCCAGGTTTTGGTATAAGGATGATGAAAGCCTCATGGAATGAGTTAGGTAGGAGTCCCTCCTTTGTTGTAATAGTTTCTGTACGAATGCTACCAGCTCTTCCTTGTACATCTGGTAGAATTCAGCTGTGAATCCATCTGGTCCTGGGCTTTTTTTAGTTGGTAGTCTATTTATTACTGCCTCAATTTCAAACTTGTTATTGATCTATTCAGGAATTCAATTTCTTCCTGGTTCAGTCTTGGGAGGGTGTATGTGTCCAGGAATTTATCCATTTCTTCTAGATTTTCTAGTTTATGTGCCTAAAGGTGTTTATAGTATTCTCTGATGGTTGTTTGTACTTCTGTGGGTCATTGGTGCTCTCCCCCTTATCATTTCTGATTGTGTCTATTTGGTTCTTCTCTCTTTTCTTTTTTATTAGTCTAGCTAGCATTCTATTTTATTAGTTTTCGCAAAAAAACAGTTCATGGATTCATTGAGTTTTTGAAGGTATTTTTGTGTCTCTATCTCTTTCAGTTCCCCTCTTATCTTGGTTATTTCTTGTCTTCTGCTAGCTTTGAGGTTTGTTTGCTCTTGTTTCCCTAGTTCTTTTAGCCATAATGTTAGGTTGTTGATTTGAAATATTTCTAAATTTTCAATGTGTGCATTTAGTGCTATGAAATTTCCCTCTTAATGCTGCCTTAACTGTGTCCCAGAGATTCTGCCATCTTTTATCTTTGTTCTCATTAATTTCAAATAACTTCTTGATTTCCACCTTAATTTCATTATTTATCCAAGAGCCATTCAGGAGCAGGTTGTTCAATTTCCATGTAGTTGTGTGGTTTTGTGTGAGTTTCTTAATCTCAAGTTCTAGTTTGATTGTGCTGTAGTCTGAGAGACTGCTATGATTTCAGTTCTTTTGCATTTGCTAAGGAGTGTTTCACTTCCAACTACATGGTCAATTTTAGAGTAAGTGCCATGTGGTGATAAGAATAATGTATATTCTGTTGTTCCAAGGTGGAGCGTTCTGTAGATATCTATCAAGTCCACTTGAGTTCGGGTCCTGAATATCTTTGCTAATTTTCTGTCTCAATGATCTAATTTTGTCAGTGGGGTGTTAAAGTATCTCACTAATATTGTGTGGGAGTCTAAGCCTCTTTGAAGGTCTCTAAAACCTGTTGTATTAATCTGGGTGCTCCTGTATTGGGTGCATATATATTTAGGATAGTTAGCTCTTCTTGTTGAATTGAACCCTTTACTATTATGTAATGCCCTTCTTTGTCTTTTTTTATCTTTTTTTGGTTTAGAGTCTTTTTTTTCAGAAACGAGGATTGCAATCCCTGTTTTTTTCTGTTTTCAATTTGCTTGGTAAATTTTCCTCCATCCCTTTATTTTAAACCTATGTGTGTCTTTGCACATGGTATAGGTCTCTTAAAGACAACATAACAATAGGGTTTGATTTTTTTTAATCCAGCTTGCCATTCTGTGTCTTATAATTGCAGTATTTAGCCCATTTACATTTAAGGTTAATACTATTATGTGTTAATTTGATCCTATAATCATGATGCTAACTGGTTATTTTGCAGACTTGCTTATGAAGTTGCTTCATATTGTCACTGGTGTGTGTTTTTGTGGTGGCTGGTATCAGTTTTTTTTTTTTTTTTCCATATTTAGTGTTTCCTTCAGGAGTTCTTGCAAAGCACGTCTGGTGGTAACAAATTCCCTTAGCATTTGCTTGTCTGAAAGGGATCTTATATCCCTTTGCTTATGAAGCTTAGTTTGGCTGGGTTGGAAATTCATTTTTTTAATAATGTTGAATATTGGCCCACCTATCTCATCTGACTTGAAGGGTTTCCATTGAGAGGTCTGCTGTTAGTCTGATGGGCTTCCCTTTGTAGGTGACCTAGCCTTTCTCTCTGGCTGCCCTTAACATTTTTTTCTTCATTTTGACCTTGGAGAATCTGATTATTATGTGTCTTGGGGATGATCTTCTCATGGGGTATCTTACCGTGGTTCTCTGCATTTTCTGAATGTGTATGTTGGCCTGTCCAGCTAGGTTGGGAGAGTTCTCCTGGATGATATTCTGAATATGTTTTCCAAATTGGTTTAATTTTCCCCATCTCTTTCAGCTACCTCAATCAGTTGTAGATTCAGTCTTTTTATATAATCTCATATTTCTCAGAAGTTTTGTTCATTCCTTTTCATTCTTTTTTGTCTATTCTTGTTGGCATGTCTTATTTCAGAAAGATAGACTTGAAGCTCTGAGATTCTTTTTCCACTTGGTGTTCTGCTATTAATACTACTGACTGCATTCAGAATTTCTTCTGTGTTTTTCAGCTCTGTTAGGTCAGTTACGTTCCTCTCTATACTGGCTATTTTGGCTGTCAGCCCCTGCATTGTTTTATCATGATTCTTAGCTTCTTTGCATTGGGTTACAACATGCTCCTTTATCTCAGCAAAGTTATTTTTTTGTGAACATTCTAAAGCCTATTTCTGTTGTTTCAGCCATCTCAGCCTCAGCCTAGTTCTGAACGCTTGCCGAAGAGGTGTTGCAATCATTTGGAGGAAAGGATGCACTCTGGCTTTTTGAGTTTTCTGCATTTTTGCACTGATTCTTTCTCATCTTTGTGGGCTTATCTACCTTCAATCTTTGAGGTTACTGACTTTGGATGGGGTTTTAGTTGTTGCTCTTATTTGTTTGTTTTTTCTTCTACCAGCCTGGCCACACTTCTGCAGGGCTGCAGAAGTTTTCTGGGGGTCTCTTCTAGACCCTAGTTACTTCACTTTTTCTAGTATCTGGAGATAGCACCAGTGAAGGCTGCAAAACAACAAAGGTGGCAGACTGCTCCTTCCTCTGTCCCAAGGGGTACTGACCTGCTTCCTGCCAGAACATGCCTGTAGGAGGTGGCTGGAGACCCCAGTAGTGAGGTCTCACTCAGTCAGGAGAAATGGAATCACAGACTCTCTTAAAGAAATAGTCTGGCTGCACTTCGCAAAAGAAGACATTTATGCAGCCAAAAGACACATGAAAAAATGCTCATCATCACTGGCCATCAGAGAAATGCAAATGAAAACCACAATGAGATACTATCTCATGCCAGTTAGAATGGCGATCATTAAAAAGTCAGGAAACAACAGGTGCTGGAGAGGATGTGGAGAAATAGGAATGCTTTTACACTGTTGGTGGGACTGTAAACTAGTTCAACCATTGTGGAAGACAGTGTGGCGATTCCTCAAGGATCTAGAACTAGAAATTTGACCCAGCCATCCCATTACTGAGTTTAAACCCAAAGGATTATAAATCATGCTGCTATAAAGACACATACACACGTATGTTTATTGCAGCACTATTCACAATAGCAAAGACTTGGAAGCAACCCAAATGTCCATCAACGATAGACTGGATTAAAAAAATATGGTACATATACACCATTGAATACTTTGCAGCCATAAAAAATGATGAGTTCATGTCCTTTGTAGGGACATGGATGAAGATAGAAATCATCATTCTGAGCAAACTATCGCAAGGACAGAAAACCAAACACCGCATGTTCTCACTCATAGGTGGGAACTGAACAATGAGAACACTTGGACACAGGGTGGGGAACATCACACACCAGGGCCTGTTGTGGGGTCGGGGGAGGGGAGAGGGATAGCATTAGGAGATGTACCTAATGTAAATGACAAGTTAATGGTTGCAGCACACCAACATGGCACATGTATACATATGTAACTAACCTGCACATTGTGCACATGCACCCTAGAACTTAAAGTATAATAAAAAGACAGAAAGAGTCTGGCTGCATTTTGGTAGAGCGGCTGTGCTGTGTTGGGGATACCTCAACCCGCAATCAGTTTGGGTTCTCCAAGGCCCACAGGCTATACTAGCTGAGATGCCCAAACATCAAAGGTGGCAGCCTGCCCTGCCCCCTCGGCACTCCATCCCAGGGAGAAATTAGAACACTGTTGGCAGGAGAACACAGACGAGGGTGGCTGGAGGCCCCAGCTGGAAGGACCCAGTGAGGAGGAATGGATCCGGCTCCCATTAAAAGCTGGGCTGGGCATGATGGCTCACATCTGTAATCCCAGCGCTTTGGGGGGCTAAGTGGGCGGATCACTTGAGGTCAGGAGTTCGGCACCAGCCTGGTCAACATGGCGAAACCCTGTCGTGTTGGTAGGCACCTGTAATCCCAGCTACTTGGGAGGCTCAGGCAGGAGAATCACTTGAATCCAGAAGGCAGAAGTTGCAGTGAGCTGAGATTACACCACTGCACTCCAGCCTGGGCAACAGAGGGACTCTGTCTCAAAAAAAAAAAAAAAAGAAAAAAAAGAAAAGAAAGAAAAAAACCTGGAAAATAAGTAACAGACACATATTATTATGTTTTTTAAAGAGGCTGAAATTTTTTAAAAAATGAAATCCATCTTAGGAAGTTCGAAAAAGAATAGCAGAATAAATCAAAAGAAATTTGAAGAAAGGAAATAAAAAAATAGTTAATTCTGAAAGAAAGATAAAATAAAAATAAGCCAAGAAGCTAATAAGTGACGTCTTAAAATGATTAATACATTTGATAAATAGCTGCAAAATGGATTATGAAAAGACAAGTGTATTACATGATACTTTAATAATGAATAAATAGAATGATGTATTAGTAACGAATCAAGTAACAGCAGAAATGGATAGTTCAATAACATAATAAAATATTTATGCAAATTAGAAAAACTAAAAAAATGCATAATTCCTAGAAAAGCATAAATTCCCAAAATTATTCAAGAACAAATAGGAACCTTGAATAACCCTACTAATGTTAGAGAAATTTAATTCATAGTTTCTGTCTTCCCAGGAAGAAAACACCAGATTAGTAATTTATTACTGGTGAGCTACACGAAATATTCAAGAAACAGTTCATTGTGATCTTACACAAACCCATTCAGAGAGTAGAAGAATTGTCTCTTAACGGTTTCATTAAATGTGACACATTGAATTCTAAGATGGCTTCCCAAAAATCCCATGGTGCAATTCCCAAAAGCTGTTCAATGTAATTACGTTTACTAGTTAATTGACCTTAAAATAGCAAAACTATTATGAATTATTTAGACAGGTCCATGTAGTCAAATGAGCCTTTAAAAGCAGCAGAAGAGGCCCGGCGCAGTGACTCACACCTCTTTGGGAGGTGTGATCCCAGCACTTTGGGAGGCCAAGGCAGGATCACCTGAGGTCGGGAGTTCGAGACCAGCCTGACTGACATGGAGAAACCCCATCTCTACTAAAAATACAAAATTAGCTAGGTGTGGTGGCTCAAGCCTGTAATCTCAGGTACTCAGGAGGCTGAGGAGGGAGAATCGCTTGAACCCTGGAGGCAGATGTTGTGGTTAGCCGAGATTGCGCCATTGCACTCCAGCCTGGGCAACAAGAGCAAAACTCCATCTAAAAAAAAAAAAAAAAAAGCAGCAGAAGAAAAAGGCAGAGAGATGCAGCAGAAGAGGACTTCAGATTTGAAGTGCTAAAAAGACTCAATGAGCTATTGCTGGCTTTGAAGAAGGAGTGGAGCATGTGTCATGTACAGGCAAGCAGGCAGTCTCTAGAAACAGAATGATCCCTGGCCAACAGCCAGTAAGAAAACAGGGATATTTGTCCTATAATCACAACAGAAGGAAGTAAATTCTGCAACTACCTGAATTAACCTAGAAGTGGATTCTATGCCAGAGCCACCAGAAAAGAGCCCAGGATGGCTGACACCTTGATTTTAGCCCAGCAAAACCCAGAGGAGAGAATCCAGCTGTACCATTCCTAGATTTCTTATCTATAGAAAATTGTGAGACAATGAATATGTGTTGTTTTTAGCTCCGTACCTAGTTCCACCCTCATGGAAAGCTATTACAGAAGAGAAAAACAAACGAGGAACTCACTCCCACAAAAGTGGTTTCTCCAAGTTTGGATTCTCCTCAACAATCTGCCAAATTTTGTTTACTTTTCATAGTTTCTAGGTAGTTACATTTTGTATTTTATCCGGAATTTTTCATGATAATGACTGGAAAAAAAAAGTTGTAGTAGGTTCAGTCCATCCTTGTCAGAACTGTAAACATTCTGTCTATTCTTATTAGATAGATGCCTATTAGACCTTCTCATTCAATTATTTATGTCTCTTAATTTCTCTTTAATATTCTCCATATCCTTGTTTCTCCAGTTTGTAAATTTTGATTTATATATTCAAATATATCTTCAGGTCTTGAATTCTTTCTTTGGCAGAATTAAATATGCTTTTTAACCCATTCTTTTTTTTTTTTTTTTTTTTGAGACGGAGTCTTGCTCTTTAGCCGAGGCCGGACTGCAGTGGCGCTATCTCGGCTCACTGCAAGCTCCGCCTCCCGGGTTCATGCCATTCTCCTGCCTCAGCCTCCCGAGTAGCTGGGATTACAGGCGCCCACCACCATGCCCAGCTAATTTTTTGTATTTTTAGTAGAGACAGGGTTTCACCGTGTTAGCCAGGATGGTCTCGATCTCCTGACCTCGCGATCCGCCCGCCTAGGCCTCCCAAAGTGCTGGGATTACAGGCATGAGCCACCGCACCCAGCCTTTTTAACCCATTCTTTAAGATTACAATATCACCAGTTGTGTTTTACATTCCTGGAGACTCCATTAGTTTTTAGTTTTTTAACTATCTGATCATACCTGCCTTTCTCCTCACCTTTGAGATTCTGTCTTTGACTTATTTAAACATTTCTTACTTATGTGTTCTACATTCTACAGCTCTGAATTCCAATATACTTAGTAGAATGTGAGTGTCTAAATCTGTTATTTATTGTCTTCTGACTCTCACTTGTGGTCATCTTGCTCTTCATGTCATTGGTGCTTTTTGATTATCAGTGTATTGGTTGCTTCTCTTGATCTTAAGTTGGCAAGGTTATCTTCTGTCAAGAACCAGGGAATGCCACCAGCCTGCGATGACCCTACAACTACTCAAAGGTCCCACCTCACTATGGGAGGAAAATGTCTAGCTCAACCATTTCACCATTGCTCTAGGCCCATCATCTACCTCTCACTGCTGCTATCAGCTTTCATGAAATATTTGCTTTTTCAATCTAGTTACTGCTCCCAACCTCAGCCCCAGATCATTGATTTGTTGGCTATGTTTGTCTGTTTATATGTTTTCCCAGAAGAGGAGGATGGTTCTCTTTGGAGAAATTCAGCAATCTATCAAAAAAGGCTATATCATATCAAGGATATAATTGTTTCCATTACAAAGGGTTGCCTCTGAGCAACTCATCTGTCATATTGACAAAAGTTCAAATTTGTCCAATCAAACCCTATGGGTTCATACCCCTCTATGTTCCAATATTTTTTGTCTATTGTCTTTCCTTCTCACATTTTGTCTTTTAAATTTACACTTCATACTTTCTTTACTTTCATTTTAAAATTGTCATGGGGGCACAATAATAAATGAAAAAATTATTCTGACATTTTGAATGAGAAAGTTTTTTTAATATAATTTTTTTTAGAAATTGTACCAATAGACACATTAGACATACATGCACACACACACACACAAATAATTACATATGCTTCATTTTAAAATTAATTGTAGAGTATCATATGTCCTGTTGTATATTTAAAATTTTCCCCCACTAAGTAGTATTTACTATAATAAATACTATTAATACCCTTGAACATTAATTTTTGCACTTATCTCTGCTCAATTTTTATTACAAAATTTCTGTTTTAAAAATGATGGAAAAAATCTATGTCTACCAACAGAGTTTGATAATAGTATCTACTACATATTTTCTAGCATTTTTTAATTTAAAAAACTACCAATCTGATAGGTTTTATATACACACATAAATATATATGTATTTATGTGTATATGTGTATTTATGTGTGTATTTATTGTTTTATATTTCTTTGTTCTTGTTTTATAAACTTTGAGACTTCAGTAATTTTTTATGTAAATTATTTATTCACATGCTTAGAGAGTTTCTTAGTTTCATTTTCTCACCCAATATATAAATACTGTTCAGTTAAAAATGTATATATTATTGCACACTGGTGAAAAAATAAAGAATATAAATGAGTTTTTAAAAATAAAACACTTTATGAAAATATTATTCATCCATCATTATATATAAAAACTTTATTTGGCATCTGCTTTGTAGGGCAGAAACCACAATTAAAAGGAATTCTTCCTGACAATTTTTCTGGTAATACAGTTATTCTTCCTTATGTTATCTCTCATAATAACTTAAGCCTCAAAAATTAGTTTATCGAATAAAATTGGTGGTTTTTTTTTTATTATTATACTTTAAGTTTTAGGGTACATGTGCACATTGTGCAGGTTAGTTACATATGTATACATGTGCCATGCTGGTGCACTGCACCCACTAACTCGTCATCTAGCATTAGGTATATCTCCCAGTGCTACCCCTCCCCCCTCCCCCCACCCCACCACAGTCCCCAGAGTGTGATATTCCCCTTCCTGTGACCATGTGATCTCATTGTTCAATTCCCACCTATGAGTGAGAATATGCGGTGTTTGGTTTTTTGTTCTTGCGATAGTTTACTGAGAATGATGGTTTCCAATTTCATCCATGTCCCTACAAAGGACATGAACTCATCCTTTTTTATGGCTGCATAGTATTCCATGGTGTATATGTGCCACATTTTCTTAATCCAGTCTATCATTGTTGGACATTTGGGTTGGTTCCAAGTCTTTGCTATTGTGAATAATGCCGCAATAAACATACGTGTGCATGTGTCTTTATAGCAGCATGATTTATAGTCATTTGGGTATATACCCAGTAATGGGATGGCTGGGTCAAATGGTATTTCTAGTTCTAGATCCCTGAGGAATCGCCACACTGACTTCCACAATGGTTGAACTAGTTTACAGTCCCACGGTTTTTTTTAAACATCATTTTAGCTTCAGCATTTCTGCTTTCTTTTATTTTAATCACCCTCTTGCATGTATCATATGATTGTTTTTCTCAAAAATCTTGTGTACAATTTTTTATTATTAACTGATGAGTTTAGTTCATTTGTAGTGATACTAATTACATGCAAAAATAGATTCATATCTACAATATTGAGTTTTCTGAAATAAATTAAGAATTAAACATAACAAGATATTATATACTGTATAGCAAAAACATTAGGGAACACTGAGAAATAAGTGCCTAACTCAGATCTGAAGTTTAGGGAAAGCTTTAAGCAAAACAATACATTTATTTATTCTAAGTTTTTAGGATAAGTTTCAGGCCAAGTGAATAATAGAAAAACAAATTTGGGAGCACCACTTATGTTGAGAAACAGACATAAAGCTAGCTGCAGACAACGATTTTCCATTCAGTTAATCTCTGTTCACCAGGCCATACAATAAAAAATGAGAAGAAAATTTTAAGTCAAAATAATGTATTTAATGTTTTTGACCGAATGAGTTACCTATTGTTGCTCAGAATCTGTTCATTTCTGTGAGCACTTATAAAAAATCAATTCCACTTCAGCCACATGCAAGATAAAAGAAACACTTGCCCACAAACAAAAAAAAGCTAAGATCTCAATCATTGAATATCAAAATGTTGAGAACTTGATAAAATAGATTGTCAGACATAACTATTAGTGGGTTTATGATTACTCATACATCTAAGTGTATATAAATGCACTGTACATGTGTTTTCCAATAAATCTGTTCTGATAACCAATTTGTGTTTCTGAGCATCTGCTTTCTCTAGGGGAACAATTTTCAAGTGTTGTGCTTACTAAGGAGACTTGAAGTTGCCGGTTTCCTTCTGGAGAGACTACAATTTGGGTCTCTTTATTGTTTATATTCTCAACCAGTGCCACAGAACAACACTGAATAACTACGGCTGTGAATGTGCATCCCAAGTGATCTCAAATATATAGTTAAGACTCTTAGTGGAAAGCAGCAGCCAGACTATGTCTATTCCTTGCCCACTTACATTTAGTCAGGATAATTTTGTAATATATACTCAGTGAAACTTAGACATGATTTTCAAAGAGCACTAAGGACAGAAGTCACTTTAGAAAAAGGCATCTCTTGACTTACAGTAACTTCTCTTTAAAACAATCAAAGAACTAGCAAGAACATTCTGAATTCAGGCTTACATCCTTTTAATGTGAGTCCATTTAGATCACACATATATATGCAACATTCACCCACACAGAGCTAGACGTGTATTTCTCTTTTTTTTAATTGTACTTTAAGTTCTAGGGTACGTGTGCACAACGTGCAGGTTTGTTACATATGTATACATGTGCCACGTTGGTGTGCTGCACCCATTAACTGGTCATTTACATTAGGTATATCTCCTAGTGCTATCCCTCCCCGCTCCGCTCACCCCATGACAGGCCCTGGTGTGTGATGTTCCCCTTCCTGTGTCCAAGTGTTCTCATTGTTCAATTCCCACCTATGAGTGAGAACATGCGGTGTTTGGTTTTCTGTCCTTGTGATAGTTTGCTGAGAATGATGATTTCCAGCTTCATCCATGTCCCTACAAAGGATGTGAACTCATCATTTATTATGGCTGCATAATATTCAATGATGTATATGTGCCACATTTTCTTAATCCATTCTATCATTGTTGGACATTTGGGTTGGTTCCAAGTCTTTGCTATTGTGAATAGTGCCTCAATAAACATACGTGTGCATGTGTCTTTATAGCAGCATGATTTATAATCCTTTGGGTATATACCCAGTAATGGGATGGCTGGATGAAATGGTATTTCTAGTTCTAGATCCTTGAGGAAGCACCACACTGTTTTCCACAATGGTTGAACTAGTTTACAGTTCCACCAACAGTGTAAAAGTGTTCCTATTTCTCCACATCCTCTCCAACACCTGTTGTTTCCTGACTTTTTAATGAATGCCATTCTAACAGGTGTGAGATGGTATCTCATTGTGGTTTTGATTTGCATTTCTCTGATGGCCAGTGATGATGAGCATTTTTTCATGTGTCTGTTGGATGCATAAATGTCTCCTTTTAAGAAGTGTCTCTTCATATCCTTCACCCACTTTTTGATGGGGTTGTTTATTTTTTTTCTTGTATATTTGTTTGAGTTCTTTGTAGATTCTGGATATCAGCCCTTTGTCAGATGAGTAGATTGCAAAAATTTTCTCCCATTCTGTAGGTTGCCTGTTCACTCTGATGATAGTTTCTTTTGCTGTGCAGAAGCTCTTTAGTTTAATTAGATCCCATTTGTCAACTTTGGCTTTTGTTGCCATTGCTTTTGGTGTTTTAGACATGAAGTCCTTGCCCATGCCTATGTCCTGAATGGTATTGCCTAGGTTTTCTTCTAGGGTTTCTATGGTTTTAGGTCTAACATTTAAGTCTTTAATCATCTTGAAATAATTTTTGTATCAGGTGTAAGGAAGGGATCCAGTTTCAGCTTTCTACATATGGCTAGCCAGTTTTCCCAGCACCATTTATTAAATAGGGAATCTTTCCCCATTTCTTGTTTTTGTCAGGTTTGTCAAAGATCAGATGGTTGTAGATGTGTGGTATTATTTCTGAGGGCTCTGTTCTGTTCCATTGGTCTATATCTCTGTTTTGGTACCAGTACCATGCTGTTTTGGTTACTGTAGCCTTGTAGTATAGTTTGAAGTCAGGTAGCATGATGCCTCCAGCTTTGTTCTTTTGGCTTAGGATTGACTTGGCAATGTGAGCTCTTTTTTGGTTCCATATGAATTTTGAAGTATTTTTTTTCCAATTATTTAAAGAAAGTCATTGGTAGCTTGATGGGGATGGCATTGAATCTATAAATTACCTTGGGCAGTGTGACCATTTTCACAATATTGATTCTTCCTATCCATGAGCACGGAATGTTCTTCCATTTCTTTGTGTCCTCTTTTATTTCGTTGAGCAGTGGTTTGTGGTTCTCCTTGAAGAGGTCCTTCACATCCCTTCTAAGTTGGATTCCTAGGTATTTTATTCTCTTTGAAGCAGTTGTGAATGGGAGTTCACTCATGATTTGTCTCTCTGTTTGTCTGTTATTGGTGTATAAGATGCTTGTGATTTTTGCACGTTGATTTTGTATCCTGAGACTTTGCTGAAGTTGATTATCAGTTTAAGGAGATATTGGGCTGAGAAAATGGGGTTTTCTAAATATACAATCATGTCATCTGCAAACAGGGACAATTTGACTTCCTCTTTTCCTAGTTGAATACCCTTTATTTCTTTCTCCTGCCTGATTGCCCTGGCCAGAACTTCCAACTGTATGTTGAATAGGAGTGGTGAGAGAGGGCATCCCTGTCTTGTGCCAGTTTTCAAAGGGAATGCTTCCAGTTTTTGCCCATTCAGCATGATATTGGCTGTGGGTTTGTCATAAATAGCTCTTATTATTTTGAGATCTGTCCCATCAATACCTAATTTATTGAAAGTTTTTAACATGAAGGGCTGTTGAATTTTGTCAAAGGCCTTTTCTGCATCTGTTGAGATAATCATGTGGTTTTTGTTGTTGGTTCTGTTTATATGCTGGATTACATTTATTGATTTGCATATGGTGAAGCAGTCTTGCATCCCAGGGATGAAGCCCACTTGATCATGGTGGATAAGCTTTTTGATGTGCTGCTGGATTTGGTTTGCCAGTATTTTATTGAGGATTTTTGCATCGATGTTCATCAGGGATATTGGTCTAAAATTCTCTTTTTCTCTTGTGTCTCTGCCTGGCTTTGGTATCAGGATGATGCTGGCCTCATAAAATGAATTAGGGAGGATTCCCTCTTTCTCTATTCATCAGAATAGTTTTAGAAGGAATGGTATCATCTCCTCCTTGTACCTCTGGTAGAATTTGGCTGTGAATCCGTCTGGTCCTGGACTTTTTTTGGTTGGTAGGCTATTAATTATTGCCTCAATTTCAGAGCCTGTTATTGGTCTATTCAGGGATTCAACTTCTTCCTGGATTAGTCTTAGGAGGGTGTATGTGTGCAGGAATTTATCCATTTCTTCTAGATTTTCTAGTTTATTTGCGTAGAGGTGTTTATAGTATTCTCTGATGGTAGTTTGTATTTCTGTGGGATCAGTGGTGATATCCCCTTTATCATTTTTCATTGCATCTATTTGATTCTTCTCTCTTTTCTTCTTTATTAGTCTTGCTAGTGGTCTATCAATTTTGTTGATCTTTTCAAAAAACCAGCTCCTGGATTCATTGATTTTTTGAAGGTTTTTTTGTGTCTCTGTCTCCTTCATTTCTGCTCTGATCTTAGTTATTTCTTGCCTTCTGCTAGCTTTTGAATGTGTTTGCTCTTGCTTCTCTAGTTCTTTTAATTGTGATGTTAGGGTGTCAATTTTAGATCTTTCCTGCTTTCTCTTGTGGGCATTTAGTGCTATAAATTTCCCTCTACACATTACTTTAAATGTGTCCCAGAGATTCTGGTATGTTGTGTCTTTGTTCTCATTGGTTTCAAAGAGCATCTTCATTTCTGCCTTCATTTCTTTATGTACCCAGTAGTCATTCAGGAGCAGGTTGTTCAGTTTCCATGTAGTTGAGCAGTTTTGAGTGCGTTTCTTAATCCTGAGTTCTAGTTTGATTGCACTGTGGTCTGAGAGACAGTTTGTTGTGAGTTCTGTTCTTTTACATTTGCTGAGGATTCTTTACTTCCAACTATGTGGTCAATTTTGAAATAAGTGTGATATGGTGCTGAGAAGAATGTATATGCTGCTGATTTGGGGTGGAGAGTTCTGTAGATGTCTAATAGGTCTGCTTGGTGCAGAGCTGAGTTCAAGTCCTGGTTATCCTTGTTAACTTTCTGTCTCGTTGATCTGTCTAATGTTGACAGTGGGGTGTTAAAATCTGCCATTATTATTGTGTGGGAGTCAAAGTCTCTTTGTAAGTCTCTAAGGGCTTGCTTTATGAATCTGGGTGCTCCTGTATTGGGTGCATATATATTTAGGATAGTTAACTCTTCTTGTTGAAATGATCCCTTTACCATTATGTAATGACCTTGTTTGTCTCTTTTGATCTTTGTTGGTTTAAAGTCTGTTTTAAAGAGACTAGGATCACAACCCCTGACTTTTTTTGTTTTCCACTTGCTTGGTAGATCTTCCTCCATCCCTTTATTTCGAGCCTATATGTGTCTCTGCACATGAGATGGGTCTCCTGAATACAGCACGCTGATGGGTCTTGACTCTTTATCCAATTTTCCAGTCTGTATCTTTCAACTGGAGCATTTAGCCCATTTACATTTAAGGTTAATATTGTTATGTGTGAATTTGATCCTGTCATTATGATATTAGCTGGTTATTTTGCTCGTTAGTTGATGCAGTTTCTTCCTAGCATCGATGGCCTTTACAATTTGGCATGTTTTTGCAGTGGCTGGTACCGGTTGTTCCTTTTCTTGTCCAGTGCTTCCTTCGGGAGCTCTTGTATGGCAGACCTGGTGGTGACAAAATCTCTCAGCATTTGCTTGTCTGTAAAGGATTTTATTTCTCCTTCACTTATGAAGCTTAATTTGGCTGGATATGAAATTCTGGGTTGAAAATTATTTTCTTTAAGAATGTTGAATATTGTCCCCCACTCTCTTCTGGCTTAAAGAGTTTCTGCTGAGAGATCAGCTGTTAGTCTGATGGGCTTCCTTTTGTGGGTAATCCGACCTTTCTCTCTGGCTGCCCTTAACATTTTTTCCTTCATTTCAACTTTGGTGAATCTGACAATTATGTGTCTTGGAGTTGCTCTTCTCGAGGAGTATCTTTGTGGCATTCTCTGTATTTCCTGAATTTGAATGTTGGCCTGCCTTGATAGGTTGGGGAAGTTCTCCTGGATAATATCCTGCAGAGTGTTTTCCAGCTTGGTTCCATTCTCCCTGTCACTTTCAGGTACACCAATCAGACGTAGATTTGGTCTTTTCACATAGTCCCATATTTCTGGAAGGCTTTGTTCATTTCTTTTTACTTTTTTTCTCTAAACTTCTCTTCTCACTTCATTTCATTCATTTGATCTTCAATCACTGATACTCTTCCTTCCAGCTGATCAAATCAGCTACTGAAGCTTGTGCATGCATCATGTAGTTCTTGTGCCATGGTTTTCAACTACATCACATCCTTTAAGGACTTCTCTACACTTTTTATTCTAGTTAGCCATTCGTCTAATCTTTTTTCAAGGTTTTTAGCTTCTTTGTGATGGGTTCGAACTTCCTCCTTTAGCTTGGAGAAGTTTGATCATCTGAGCCTTCTCTCAACTCATCAAAGTCATTCTCCATCCAGTTTTGTTCCATTGCTGGCAAGGATCTGCGTTCCTTTGGAGGGGGGAGGCACTCTGATTTTTAGAGTTTTCAGCTTTTCTGCTCTGTTTTTTCCCCATCTTTGTGGTTTTATCTACCTTTGGTCTTTGATGACGGTGACATGCAGATGGGGTTTTAGTATGGATGTCCTTTCTGTTCGTTAGTTTTCCTTCTAACAGTTAGGACCCTCAGCTACAGGTCTGTTGGAGTTTGCTGGAGATCCACTCCAGACGCTGTTTGCCTGGGTATCACCAGCGGAGGCTGCAGAACAGCGAATATTGGTGAACAGCAAATGTTTCTGCCTGACCGTTCCTCTGGAAGCTTCATCTCACAGGGGTACCCGGCCATGTGAGTTGTCAGTCTGCACCTACTGGGGGGTGCCTCCCAGTTAGGCTACTCAGGGGTCAGGGACCCACTTGAGGAGGCAGTCTGTCCTTTCTCGGATCTCAAGTTGCAAGCGGGGTGAACCACTACTCTCTTCAAAGCTGTCAGTCAGGGACATTTAAGTCTGCAGAGGTTTCTGCTGTCTTTTGTTTGGCTATGCCCTGCCCCCAGAGGTGGAGTCTACAGAGGCAGGCAGGCCTCCTTGAGCTGCGGTGGGCTCCACCAAGTTCAATTCAAGCTTCCCATCCGCTTTGTTTACCTAGTCAAGCCTCAGCAATGGTGGGCACCCCTCCCCCAGCCTCTCTGCCACCTTGCTGTTTGATCTCAGACTGCTGTGCTAGCAATGAGCTAGGCTCTGTGGGCATGCAACAATCTGAGCCAGGCATGGGATATAATCTCCTGGTGTGCCATTTGCTAAGACCATTGGAAAAGCACTGTATTAGGATGGGAGTGACCCAATTTTCCAGGTGCTGTCTGTCACCCCTTCCCTTTGCTAGGAAAGGGAATTCCCTGACCCCTTGCACTTCCCAGGTGAGGTGATGCCTTGCCCTGCTTCAACTCACGCTTGGTGAGCTGCACCCACTGTCCTGCACTGACTGTCCGACAAGCCCCAGTGAGTTGAACCCGGTACCTCAGTTGGAAATGCAGAAATCACCTGTCTTCTGTATCACTCATGCTGGTAGCTGTAGACTGGAGCTGTTCCTATTCAGCCATCTTGGAACCGCCCCCCCAGATGTGTATTTCTCACAAAAGCATTCATTCAGCCAATACCTGTTTTTGAGCATCTCCAGTGCATTGAAAATTATGGTAGGTATGGGGAGAGACACTACTGCATGAGGCAGATACTATCCCAAACCTCATGGCAATTCAGTCTTGCGAAGAAGACAGACAACAAACAAATACAACATACAGAAAAGATAATTATAAATCATGGTGCAAGATGATATTTAAAAAATGCAAAGTTTTCTATGATAGAAAATATGAGGAGAACTAGTTTAGATATAACTAATAAAGACAGCCACTTATACTGATACATGCATTCTAATGATACTTTAAGAGATGAGTGGGGAAAAGTGACCTGCCTAAGAACATGTGCAAAAGTCTAGGGGTGGTTTTAGGAACTAAATGAAGAGAGTGGCTGACACATGGTTATTGGGGAAGTGGGGAAAATGGGAATGAGATTGGAGAAATAAACTTTTATTCTGTTGGATGTGAGGGACAGGGTGTACTTGGTAGGCATCAATGACTGTATAGTTCATTCTAAATACAATGGAGAACTATTGAAAAATTTAACACAAAAAATAAAATGATCAAATTTATGTTTTAAAAATATCAATGTGATCCCTTATATGGAAATTTTTATTTTTTTTTTTGAGATGGAGACTCACTCTGTCATCCAGGCTGGAGTGCAGTGGCACAATCTCGGCTCACTGCAAGCTCCACCTCCCGGGTTCATGCCATTCTCCTGCCTCAGCCTCCTCAGTAGCTGGGGCTACAGGCACCCGCCACTATGCCTGGCTAATTTTTTGTATTTTTTAGTAGAGACAGGATTTCACCGTGTTAGCCAGGATGGTCCTGATCTCCTGACCTCGTGATCTGCCTGCCTCAGCCTCCCAAAGTCCTTATACGGAAATTGATTGAATTATTTAGGAAGTGGCAAAAGTGAAAATGGGTCAGAAATGATGGTTTACAATAGAATGCAGAAATAGAAATGGACAGGAATCTACAGATTTGAAATATATTTTGAAGGTATAAATTAATAAGAATTGTGGATTAAATTGGAGGACAAGCATGAGTATGGTGTGGAATAATTGAGGGTAAATCTCAAGTTTCTAGCTTAGCAAATTGCAAAAACAGTCTTGTCATTATTGGAAATTAATCGACTTGGGAGGAAAATGTCTGGATATAGAAATAAAAAGTTTGATTCTGGATATGTTATATTTAAAACACCAAAGTAGAATTGTTTGATTAATCAGAGGACATATGGATATTAAATCCAAATGAGAGTATGGGATTACAAATATAAAATGGGATTTGAAGCTATGGATCAAAACATTATGCTGTATACCATAAATATATACAATTTTTAACTGCCAGTTAAAAATTAATAAATGAAGCCATGAAAATGAATGTGATCACCAACATAGATAGAACTTAAATTAGATAACTAGATCTTTGGATGAAAATTTTCCTGTCAAAAGCCATTGATAAGACTCCATTGAATTTGGTAAAGGAAAATCACGGATGATCTTGGCAATAGCAGTTATTGTGGACAAATGATGGCAGAAGCTGGTTATAAATGGGCTGAGTTGTGAAAGGGAAGTCAATGATGCTTTCTTCTGGATAGATTCCCATAACTGGGATGAGACACTTCCAATTCCATTTAAAAATTTTTGTCCTTAGCTCTTCTTTGATCCGCAAGTTGAGCCCCATTTCTCCTGCCTGAATGTGCTGTACTCATTGATATGCTACCCATGAAAAAGTATTTCCAGGTAAGAAGGCTTTGGAGGTGATCCCTTCCCACTTACCACCCATGCGCATGATGAATACAATCACTGTGACCTGCTGCCGGGGCCTGTGTTTACCACTGAAGATATCATGCTTCCAAAAACATCCCTCATGCTTTTGCAATCACCTTAACATCAACTGGCAGCTGAAAGTCACCAGACATTAATTGCTCACCAAAGCCTGTCAATTTCACTTGGAAAATATACTGTTCTTCTGTCTGATTACTTTCATGCCCAATTTTACTACCCTAGCCCAAGACTTTATCTCTTATATGAAACAACCACTTTACATGCCCTTCATCTTTTTAACAATTTTAGGAAGTCAATACTGTTTTTCTCTTTTATTTTATTGATGAGGAAATTAAATCACAGAGAGATTAAGTAACTTGCCTAAAGTCATTTTCAGCACATGATAATGCTGGGATTCAAACCTAGGCAGGTTGCCTCTAGAGGCCGAGTCTTAACCACTGTCCTACATTACATTCTATAAGAGACAGACTAGTTTAAAAAATGTGAAGGAAACTATGATGTGTCATTTAACAGGTTTGTAAAATTCGCTCTCTAAATGCCAATAAATCTCTAAATGTATTAAAGGAAAAAAATGAAACAAAAGCGAACAAACCTACTAGTCACTACAGATTACTTTTTTATGTTTGCTAAACAAAGTTTAGGGATCCTCTCTCAATGTCATTCTTGTAAACAATAATCTGTTTAATTTTTTTATTTTTAAACTTTATTTTCATATATTCATGTAGCTCATTAGAAAATTAATATAATCTTTCAAATTACAATTCATATATTCCAGATGAGCATTAGCAAGCAGGAAACAATGAGTTGCGAATGAATAAAACCTTTATTTAACTTTGTTAAGGACATTCAGAAGACTTGAATAGACCAAAAAACAAATGTACTGTTATTTACCAGCTTTTGCAATATTTAAACTGTGTTTGTTTAAATAGATCTGCTTTTTGTTTTTAGCTTCCGGTCAGGCTTTACAACTGCTTGTTAAAAGCCCGTGACCTCTGGATAAGAGTGAAATACCAAGCACTAAGGGAGGCTAGAGCCATTCTTCAATCAGGAACAAATGCATTCTAAACAAGGTGATTGGCAAAAATCTTCATTTTCTTTTCCTTCCATTGACCTCCTAGAAATGAAAAGCCCTCCTGAAAACAGGTGGTCCAGAAAATCTATAGATAATTAAGCAAAATGAGGCTTGTTGACAGCTTGGCATGAAATGTGAATATTTAATTACATTTTAATGACAGCACATTATTTTACATAACTATGATAGGTGATATAACATGAGATTTGAGACTGCCAATACAAATTTTAAATAGTTTTTCTCAACATTTATAAAAAATCATGTAATAAAAAGCATATTTAAACATTAAATGGCTTGTAGAGGTCCCTTTTTTATACATAGTGCCTATTTTCATTTTTGTTATCTCTCACAGCACTTCTGTAATTATTTAAAATGTCATTGTCTTGTTTCAAGGATAGCTAAATAGGAAAAGGTGTTCTGGCTAAAATTATGTCCCAAATCAGTTTGATTAGGATCCTCATTAACATTAGGCAGGCATTACTTTTGAGCAAAACACAAATTAAAAAGACTTATACAAGTCTTTTTAAAAACTTCATTTGACTTTATTGGTTAAGGAGTTTTAATTCTGTGGTAACTTTAACAAGGATTATGATTCTTGTTTGTGCTTTAATATAAATGTAATGCTTTAAACTGCTGGTAAACTTAATTCCTTCAAATTCTATCTAAATTATCTTAAGCAACTTAAATAGACGAACTTGAATCCAAGCTTTTCCCAATGTGATTTCAACCATCTGTGAAAATATTGTACCGTATAATATCCCTCATTTATCCTAATTAAATCTTATGTAATAAATCATCTCCTTGTCCAATAAAAGTGCTATGATTTTTTTTCAAACAAGAGTCACAAATTCGAAGGTATAGAAATGAATGTAACTTAATAGGTTATATTTTAACATTTATAATAATTTTAAACATGAAGAAATAAAATGTATGTTCTTTTTTAGAGTAAATTATAAGTAAAAGTATTTTATTTCAAGGGAAGGGGGGAAGGGTAAAGCAGCTTAAATTTAGGAAACACAGGTCTATTTGGTGCATAGCAAAATAGATTGCATTTATTTTTCTTTCTGGTTCTAACAATATACAAATTGCCACAAATCAGCTAATTATTATTCCAAAAGAGAGAACATCCAACTGGCATATGTTCCAAATGGAGCTCAGGCATTTTCCTCTAGACCTGATGGCTCCCCATTTCCATCAGTGCTCTCCATCTCTGTAAGTCATACTACCATCTTGCATTTGTTCACGCTGAAATCTGACTAATCCATATCCCTCCCCTCAAATCCTATCTCCTACCTAATCCCATTTATTCTATCCTGTAAATATATCTTAATTATATCAACTCTCCTCTATATCCATTAGCCCCTGTTAAGTCTAAACATTACAATTTATCTTCCCCGATATACTTTCCCTTAGTCCCAAGCCATTATCCATCCTATAGGCAGCATGGTTTTTTAAACTGTTATGCTGATGAGCCAGTTTGTAAAACATTCTGGCTTTTAAAAAAATTAAGCTAAGCAAATGTCTCCATGACAGATAAATTCCAATTCTAGATATTTATCTGGGAAAAATAAAAACATGTGCTTCTTTTTCACTAAAAGCTTTGTATAAGAATGTTAGTGATAGCTTTATTCATAATCGCCAAAACTGAAAACATCCCAGGTTTCAATCAACAGAAGAATGGACAGACAAACTATGATCTATTTATACAACGAGATAGTACTCAGCAATTTAAACAGAACTAATGATATACCCAACATGTTCGTATCTCAGAAATATAATGTTAACCTAAAGAAGACTTACACAAAAGAACATATGCTCTTTGACTTGATTTATCTGAAATTCTAGAATAGGCAAAACCAACCTATGGTTATATAAGAAAAATCAGAACCCTGGTTGTTAATGTAATGTGAAGGGGAAAGTGGGACCAGAAATTGACTGCAAAAGAGCAGAAGGAGATTTTAGAGGGGATGATGAAAATGTTCTATATCTTTGTAGAGATTCAGCATTGCACAGGTCAGGTTTATGCATTTATCAGTGCTCATAGAAAGATTATGAATGATGTATTTCATTCTATGTAAAATTCACTTCAAAAAATATAAGTAATCATAAACAAATATTGAGCTCTAATGAATTATATGCATGTTGAAATGCTTAGATATGAAATGCACTGATATCTAAAGAAAACTCTGAAATGCATTAGACATATACGATTAAACTGTTATGTATCCTGATTGTGGTGATATTGCCATGACTCTGCTTTGTCAGAGCATGGAACTATATACTAGAAAGGGCAAGTTTTATTGTATGTAAGTTACATCTCATATTAAAACCCTCTTAAAATAAGTTAGATTAATAGGTGGCTAATTGAATGGATAAATGAATGGGCTACATCAATGGCAGATTGGATAAAGAAAATGTGTTACATATGCAACAAGAAATACAATGCAGCCATAAAAAAAGAATGAGGTCACGTCCTTTCCAAGAGCATGGATGGAGCTGGAGGTCATTATCTTTGGCAAACTAACACAAGAACAGAAAACCAAATACCACATGTTCTCACTTGTAAGTGGGAGCTAAATGATGAGGACTCATGGACACAAACAGGGGAAAAGAAGACACTGGGGCATACTTTCAGGTGGAGGGTAGGAGGAGGGTGAAGATAGAAAAACTACCTGTTAGTTACTATGCTTATTACCTGAGTGACAAAATAACTACTGGGTACTAGGCTTAGTACTTGGGTGATGAAATAATCTGTACAACAAACCCCCGTGACATGAGTTTACCTATGTGACAAACCTGCACAAGTACCTCTGAACCTAAAATAAAAGTTGAAAAGAAAATGAATGGGCTAAAACAAATATAGCAAAATATGTACAACTGTAACATCAAGTTGGTAGGTATGTGGAAGTTTACAATAATTTCAAATAGTGGTTTGAAAACATTTTCATAACAAAATGTGGGGGGAAATATGTAAATCTGATCAGGTTGCATTATTCTCACACTTAAATTTTTATAATGACGTCGCATTATTTGGGAGGTTTACTCTAGAATTACTAACATGGTATAAATGTTTTAATTGACTGCCTCTCCCTGAGCCTTAAATCTCACAGAAGGTCATTTCCTCGTCATACACCATAATCTAATCATGCTCTTCGTTGTCAATTTTAAAAAGATGCAGATCCTTCTTCCCAGGGCCTTGTAATTAAATAATGGTGTAAATAATTGTGCAATTATCTGTCTTCTCCAGTAGTTTTTAAAAACCATTAGATCATGGTCCACTAATATATCCCTAGTCCATAACCCCAGACCTAGCCCTTGGCCTAATGTAAGTACTCAATAAATACATTTCAAAATATGAAAACTGACTGAAGAGATAGTACCCTTGACTTCATATCAAAGTGAATTATGGATTACTTGTGTAGCCTAACCATTATTTTATTTAGTATCCCCTTATCTCTTAGACGTGTACTGATTTTGAGCAATGATAATGAAATAATAGAAAATAAGTTCTTTAAAAACTATCGTTTTTGGCCTAGCACAGTGGCTTACGCCTGTAATCCCAGTACTTTGGGAGGCAGAGGCAGGTGGATCACTTGAGGTCAGGAGTTCGAGACCAGCTTGGCCATCATGGTGAATTCCTGTCTCTACTAAAAATACAAAAATTAGCTGGGCATGGTGGCACATGCTTGTAATCCCAGCTACTCAGGTGGCAGAAGCAGGAAAATCTCTTGAATCTGGGGGGCAGAGGTTTCAGTGAGCCGAGATCGCACCGTTGCACTCCAGCCTGGGTGACAGAAAGAGACTCCATCTCAAAAAAAAAAAACTATCGTATTTGAAAATTATCAATTGGCAAAGTATCCCAGGTATTTTATTTTGTTATAGCCAGATAAATAATACTGAGAAACATTTCACCTGATTATACATTTTTATTTTAATATTTTAAGGAATATATATAAATGTGTCTACTCAATTAAACATTATTTTTCATTTTATGTAAATTTAATTGCTTATAATATATCATAAGAAAGCTATAAATTTGCATTTTGACATGAAATAAAAAATAAGTTATCCTTCCAGAGTACAGCAGGGGGAACTCAAGAGGATATCTACTTACTGGTATAACTACAAAGCTTTTCTAATTGCAGTATAGTGTTGGAGCAACTTGCAGGATAATGGTTAATTTAAATTGATGTACAGACATATCCCAGGGCTTCTGGTATTGTTGTAGTAATATCAGAAATTCAGCTAAGGAAATGAAGAAGAGTAAAGTCTCCATTGTCCAATTTTCAGATGTATGCTGAAGAAATTAAGTCGGTGGGCATTTCTCTTTTTAACATAATAATATCAAGAAAGCAAAAGAAAAGATACTGAGAAAAGATAGACTAAGAATAAAGAATTGTGGAGTAGTCTTAGAACTGAAATGTGTGAGAGGATAAAGACAGTTTTGAACACTGCTAAAAGAAATCAGAGATGATGCAAACAAATGGAAAAACACTCCATGCTCATGGATTGGAAGAATCAATATTATTAAAATGTTCACATTGCCCAAAGCAATTTACAGATTCAATGCTATTCCCATCAAATTATCAACATCACTTTTCACAGAATTAGAAAAAAACAATTTTAAAATTCATATGGAATCAAAACAGAGCCCAAATAGCCAAAGTAATCCTAGGCAAAAAGAACAAAGCTGATCGAGACCATCCTGGCCAACATGGTGAAGCCTCGTCTCTACTAAAAATACAAAAATTAGCTGGGCATGGTGGCACGCAGCTGTAGTCCCAGTACTCGGAAGGCTGAGGCAGAAGAGTCGTCTGAACCCAGGAGGCGGAGGTTGCAAAGAGCCAAGATCATGCCACTGCCCACTGCACTCCAGCCTGGCAACAGAGTGAGACTCCATTTCAAAAGAAAAAAAAAAAAAAAACTACAGGTATCACATCATTACATCATTGCACTTCAAACTACACTACAAGGATACAGTAACCACAATAACATGGTACTGGTAAAAAATTAGACCAATACACCAATGGTACAGAATAGGGAACCCAGAAATAAAGCTGCATACCTACAACAAACTGACCTTTGACAAAGTCCACAAAAATAAGCTATGGGGAAAGGACTCCCTATTCAATAAATGGTGCTGGGAAAATTGGCTAACCATATGCAAAAGAATGAACTGGACCCTTACCTATTACCATATACTAAATTTAACTCAAATAAATTAAAGACTTAAATGTAAGACCTCAAACTATAAACATCCTGAAAGACAATCTAGGAAATATGCTTCTGGACATCAGCTTGACAAAGAATTTATGACTAAGTTCTCAAAAGCAATTGCAACAAAAACAAAAATTGACAAGTGGACCCTAATGAAACTAAACTAACGAGCTTCTGCACAGCAAAAGAAACTTATCGCTAGAGTAAACAGACAAACTACAGAATGGGAGAGAATATTTGCAAAGTAAGCATCCAACAAAAGACTAATATCCAGAATTTATAAGGAATGTAAAAAAATTAACAAGAAAAAAAAAAACCCATTAAATAGTGGGCAATGGACATGAACAGACACTTCTCAAAAGAAGACATACAAGCAGCCAGCAAACATATGAAATGTTAAATATCACTAATCATCAGAGAAATGCATATCAAAACCACAATGAGATACCATGTCTCACCAGTCAGAATAGTTGTTATTTTTTTAAAAATCAAAAAATAAAAGATGTTGGTGAGGCTGCAGACAAAAAGGAACACTTATACACTTTTGGTGGGAATGCAAATTAGTTCAGTCACTGTGGAAAGCAGTTTGGAGATGTCTCAAAGAACTAAAAGTAGAACTACCATTCAACCCAGCAATACCATTACTGGGCATATACCCAGAGGAATATAAATCATTCTGCCATAAAGACACATGCACATATGTGTTCATCACAGCACTATTCACAATAGCAAAGACATGGAATCAACCTAGGTGCCCATCAACAGCGGATTAGATAAAGAAAATGTGGTACGTATACACCATTGGAATGCTATACAGCCAAAAATATGAAAAAATCGTATCTTTTGCAACAACATGCATGCAGTTGGAGGCCATTATCCTAAGCAAATTAACACAAACAGAAAAGCAAATATCACATGTTCTCACTTATAAGTGGGAGCTAAATCTTGGGTGCACATGAACGTAAGGACAGGAACAACAGACACTAGGGACTCCAAAAGGAGGGAGGGTGGGAAGGGGACAAGGGCTGAAAAACTTCCTATTGGGTACTATGTTCACTATTTAGGTGACACAATCAGTAGAAACCCAAACTTTGCATCATGCAACATATTCTTATAACAAATCTGCACATGTACCACCGAATCTAAAATAAAAATTTAAAAAAAAAACAGTTTGAGATTCTGCAATTACATGTGAGGAGATTTTTCTAACCTAGAAAATATGAAGGGTTAATGTTTTTGTAACATGTATAAAAATGTTCAAAGTTTTATAAAATCTTAAATGTTGGGTTAGAGGTAAATATCAGAAAAAAGCTTATTATTTCATTTAGGAAGCCCCCTCAAAGACCTCACAGTTGAAAGTATTAAAAATTATGCACAATTTAATTCACATTACAATTGCCCATAATAACTACATATTTTTTCACTGGGTGAAAATTAGGTGCAAGAAGAACTTTTAAATTGAACATTTAGCTATGCAGGTTAAGTCCCAGCAAATTTCAGCTGGAACTGCATGACTGAGCTGAGTTTAACCTCATGATTTGAAATGAAAGAAACTGGGAATTATATTTGCAAGATTTAAGAATAGCATATAAGATATTTGCCCAGTGTAATTTTCTTTTATTCCTCTGTTTTGCAGGATTATGAGAAAAAGCAATAAAGGAAGACATCAATTCTCAAGCGAATAATTTCTTCTATAGAGCCTGCTAAACAACACCAACGGCAAGTGATGAGGAGTAAATTTACTTCTTTCTTCTCAAAACAACAAAAATATCTTCATTAGAAACAAGGCTCACGTTTTCATACAAATCTTTATATTCAATATGCTGCATTTTCAGGAGAAACAAATAGAAAAATAAGGGTTTACCTAGAATGTGTTATGTAATGTTCTACAAAAGCCTCACAGGGTAGTATCATAATGGTGATTTTGTTGCAGTCTGTATTTTTTTGGAAAGTTCTTTGCCCAGAAAATCAATTGTGTAGTTCCTCAGATGTGATCAGACTCAGGGATACTAACTTACTCTAAATTAAATTAATGAGAGACTAGAATGTAAAACAGAATACCAATTTATTCATTTACAATAAGAATTATGACTTTATTCGGACCAGAGGGCACTCACTGCCATGATGAATATATGCTTTTTCTAAGGCAGAACTACATGGAAACTAAAATACAATATTATTCAAGGAATCAATACCAGGAATTTGGATCATCCTAGGCAGCTTCTCAGCTGAGGCCATTCTTCTCCCAGAAAGACACAGCCTTCCTAAGCAATATTACCCCTGGTTTTTGGTCAAAATATTCTGTCTCCTACCTGATGCTGTGCATATTGACAATTATTGTTCTGTTCATTTTTTTCCAGGTCCCTATGATGAAAAATAAACCCCCCTTCAAATATATTTATAAAATTTGTTTGATCACAATGTGGTCCAAACCAGTAGTCACTATATGTGATTTTCCATGTCTTTGCTTTCATCCAATAAGTGTTGAGTCATTTTCTACTCACAAAATCTACCTGATGCCATTTCCAAATCCTTTAAAAAGAGGTGTTCGGAGGAGCATCTTATACTACCTGTAGATACATCCTTAGACATAAAGAATCCTTTAGTCCATGAAATCAGATTTACTTTTGGATGAAACCTTGTTTGCTGCTCTGTTCACACTGCTGTCTCTGACTAATCTTACTCCATGTATGCTTCAAATGAGCCACAGAAAGAGCTTTTAGATCAAAGCAGTAGTGTGAATTGTCAAAAAGACATCAGGTTCCGCAAGAAAGCAAGACGGAGCTTAGACTCTCTGTAATGAGGAACAGTATTTCTGCAAGATGTAAAGCTGTCTTCTGCTAGGAAGATTCCAGAGTTAGAATCATGGAAAGCCTGGTTAAAACAAAGCTAAATAATGTTGTATGGAGGTATGTGTCTATAACTCTAAGAGAAGACAAAGTATTATTACACAGTAATCTGTTTGACTATGGAATTCTGTTCTAGTAGAACACCTACTAACAGGCAA
Source organism: Homo sapiens (assembly GCF_000001405.40). Lineage (NCBI taxonomy): Eukaryota > Metazoa > Chordata > Mammalia > Primates > Hominidae > Homo > Homo sapiens. Next base: position 79,958,341 of record NC_000007.14, read on the forward strand.
TGGAACTAGGGTTTGGGGGGATACAGCTTAAGTATCAACATTTGCGTTCAAATATAAATACAAAAATCAATTCAATAATACATACAAAGCCTTTGGGTCTTCTTTATTGCTGTTCTCCCCACCAGGGAGTTGAAGTTGATTGGAGGAGCAGCTATTAGTAGGAAACTTGTAATAATTAATAATAAATAGGTGGTACTGATATCAGAGAGAAGCCATAAACCCTGGTTCTCCAAGTGTAATCTGTAAACAACCCGTATCAAAATCATCTGAGTTTCTTTACAAAGCTCCAGATTCCTGAGACTCTCTGTCGTTTTACTGAATAAGAATCTCTGAAGATGGACCACAGGAGGGTGCATTTTAAATAGACTCACCATGATGCTTTTATGTATTTTAGAATAATTTTTTTAGAATAATTTTAGAATAATTTTTATGTACTTTAGAATCATTTTTAGAATAATTTTGAATTTTAGAATAATTTAATTAGATTTTTCATTTATCTTAGGAAATGACAAGGCATTTAGATTCAAAACATTTTGGAGACCACCTGGCATCCACCATGCCCTGGGATTTAGGCAATAACGTCCTAGTCAAAAAGAAAAAAACTTTTGTAAAGATTGCTTCAGCACCAGTATATATAAGTTTCTCCAATATCTCTCCAAAACTTCCTATCATGTTATATCCAAAGAGGTTTGTCATTACACAAGAACACATATTGAAATCCTAAATAGTGTAGATTGTATATAAACAGAGAAAAAAATATACATTCTTATTTATTTTCTATTTTTCTATTTTATTTCCTATTTCCACAATCCAAAAGAAAGCTATAAGGATCCCAAAGTTATAAAACTTAGCAAACTTTCCAATATGATTATTTGGGAATAAAGTAAATAAATCAAATTTCTGGCCATTCTAGGATAACCTGAAAGAATATGAGACAATTTAAACCTTTAAATTGTCTTAAATGGTCAATTTAAACCTTTTTGTTCAGCATTTGCTTAAATCAAACTGAAGCATACTTCCCTATCATGAATGTTAAGGCTTTATAACTTCAGATCTCTACCATCTTATCTATATGTTATGAAAGTAAGTATATTCTTTTCCACTCCCCTCAGTCCCTCAAATATTTACAAACATAACCTTCCAAATATTTCGATTTATCTGATCTTTCAGTTTTATGTTGAGAACATTTTTAATTTTTTGCATTGATGGGTCTTCATAAAGCTCTAACTAGATCCGACCATAACTGTCTTCTCTGCTCTCAGACCCTTAACTGATTGTTAGTTTCTCTAATATCACTTAAATAAACTATCTGAAATTAATATTTTTCTGTAGTTCTCTGCATTAAAATGAAAAAAGCCTTGAGCAGTATAAAAAATATTTATTAAACTTATAATTCCTTAAGTTTTGATTTTAAGAAAAGTAATTTAATGTTCAAGAGGAGCAGTATTTAAATGTGATCACTGGTTAGGCGTGTCTTTAATTTGAATGCAAATAAGCCAATTAGAAAGGTGTTTGGATATAAATAAGAAATACTGGATGAACTGATCAACTGAATCTGCAACCTTGAAACTCATAATGGCTGTAGCTAACAATAGTTGAAAAATCATTATAGCCTAGCATATTGTATTATGCGTTGGGTATTCATTTATTTAATTTTTATAACAACTTATTTAAGTACATTAGTATCATCCCTATTTCAAAAATTACAAAGCTGCATTCAAAAATGTTAAATAGCTTGTCCAAGGTTATTTAACAGGTCTACTCATTCTAAATAAGTACAGGTCTAATTCTGATTAAGAAAGCAGCATATTAATATTCAATGTGATTAATCTTCTAGGAACTTCAGATCCCAGATTTGGTTGTCTGGTTTCCAAAGGAAATTTGCATGTCTAGCTGTGTGTGTAAGCTATTGGCATTTTTCTTTAACTCAGAATTATCATCTTCAGGTAGAGAAGTATAGCATCCCTGTTTGTGAAATAAGGGGTAGGACTTACCTGCTCTTCGTACCCCTCCAGCATCTACCCCCAGTTTTCTGGGTAACTCCTTGTTTTTAAGGATTTCATTGGGGGAACGTCATCTCTGTGGAACTGGAAATCAAGGGAATACCCAAATGGCACAAAATAGGTCCATCAAAATCTCGGTCATAAAAATTTAAATCTTGAGTGAGTGGCACAAGATCAGAAAATGATGAAACTGAATATTAAGATTAATCTTCCTGGAAGGGCCTATCTATAAGTCAGACTGCACTCTTCCTGTCTTTCCATCAGCTTTTTCTTCAGTCGGGTCAGTTTCTGTTTCAACTGAAGAACCCCAACCAAAACACCTACGAAGAAACTGTTCGGAAGAGTTACAGATGCTTTGATTGCAGGCCGGGCACTGTGGCTCACGCCTGTAATCCCAGCACTTTAGGAGGTCGAGGTGGGTGGATCACTTCAGGCCAGGACTTCAGGCCAGGAGTTTGAGACCAGCCTGGTCAACATGGCAAAACTGTATCTCTACCAAAAATACAAAAATTAGCTGGGCATGGTGGCAAATGCTTGTAATCCCAGCTACTTGGGAGGCTGAGGCATGAGAATCACTTAAACCTAGGAGGTGGAGGTTGCAGTGAGTTGATTATGCAATCACACTTCAGCCTGGGCGACAGAGCGAGACTCTGCCTCTAAATAAATAAATAAATATAAAACCAACAGGGTGACTATAGTCAAAATTATTTATTTGTACAATTAAAAACAACTAAAAGAGTCTAATTGTGATTGTAAGATGAAAGATAAATGCTTGAGGGGATTGATATCCCATTTTCCATGGTGTGAGTATTATGCTTATATCAAAGTTTCTCATGTACCCCATAAATATATACAACTACTGTGTATCCACAAAAATTTGAAAAACAATAAAATAAAGCACTTGGTTGTTCCATGGCTGTAAAAAAAGTATAAAAATTCTCTGCCCTAAAAAGAATAAAATCTAATTGGAAAGATATGGCATATTCATGTACAAAAACAAAAACAATGCAATTCATAATTTTTTTTTGAGACAGAGTCTCGCTATGGGTCCAGGCTGGAGTGCAGTGGCATGATCTCGGCTCACTGCAACCTCCACCTCCCAGATTTAAGCGATTCTCCTGCCTCAGCCTCCAGAGTAGGTAGGTCTGAAGGTGCAGCCAACATGCCCAATTAATTTTTGTATTTTTAGTAAATATGGGGTTTCACTATGTTGGCTAGGCTGGTCTCGAACTCCTCACCTCAAGTGATCCACCACCGGCCTCAGCCTCCCAAAGTGCTGGGATTACAGGTGTGAGCCAGCACGCCCAGCCTACAATTCATAATTGAAGATAGTTTACACTAAGTATCAAATATTTGGATTTTTAAATACAGAAGATTTTTCCGTTGTTCAGAAGACAAGTCACTTGCTGCAAAGATCATAAGGAAGGTTTCATTTTCTAGATGGACTTCAGCTGGACACTTAATTTTTAATAGGGAAATGGTATGGGGAAAGTTCTAGCAGCTTAAATGCATTAATCTTGGCCTGGATTGTATTTAGAGAACTAGTTTAGAAAAAAAGAGGGAAAGATAGTACAATGCAATTATACTAGAAAAGTCATGTGTTGATCGGGTATATACCTGGATGTGTAGTGACTGTGGCTTAGCGACCTAGCTTACTTTCATGAGTCAACCATTTATTCCACATACTAAGTGGGGACGCTTGGAAGAGGGAACAATTGTAATAGCCAATTATTTGATGTCCTACTGTCTAACATGGGGGTTTAATGTGAAGCTGCCTGGCATCTGGAACCTAGTTAAGCCAATTAAATAAATAAGATAAAGGAAAGGTGCACTGTCACACCATAATAATTTACAAATCTTAAGACTACTTTCTACCTCCTGAATGTAACCGGGACTGCTCAGTGTTGGTGAGGGTTTTTTTGAAATGCTTTCTCTCAGTCACGACTAGAATCAGAACCTCATAGACATCAAGATAGATAGAATAATAGATTAATAGATAGACATCTTACTTGAACTTCAGAGACCACCCTTTGGACTTAATAAATTTAAGCTCTCGAGTGTTTAATTTTTAGACAATAATAAAAATATGAAATTCTCCTTGGCTCTACATAATTAACATTATTCAAATTTGCCTTAGACTGAGTACTAGAAGCTTCAGATAGCAGTCACTAGTTATGTTCTGTGTCAGCCTATGAACAATTTATAGTTGATTTCTGGGTGGTTGTTTTTTGTTTTTTTAATTACGCAAGCTGTTCTAATAGTAAAAATAGCTTATGGTAACTCGGGTTAACAATCAGTCTATAACTAGTCACAGGCACTATATTAGCACTGTATCTTTTGATCTTTTTGATAACATTTCATGATATTTGTTACTATCCCCATTTTTCAAACGAGGAGTCTTTTCAGATGTTATTTTTTGGTTGATAAGAGGGGTTAAATTCAAATTTGTCTAAGTCTAAAGTTATTTTTCACCACACATCATTTCTAAACCAGACTTACTATCCCTTCATTCTATCCACCCTCTCTTTCCCTCACCCTTTCCTGTTAATTTGAAGAATCTGGTGCTTAAGAGCACAGACTCTGGAATCAGACTGACCCCAGGCTCAAGTCCTGGCTCCAACATTTACCACAGTTGGGACCATGAGAAAATTAACTCAGTTTCTCTAGGGTTCAGTTTTCTCATCTTCAAGACGGGTGGAACTAGTAATTATGCCCATCCTGTGTTGTAAGGAGTAAATTCTGAAGGATTTGACACAGTCCCTAGAACATGATTATTTAATGAATGTCATTAAATAATCTTGATCTTCATGTTTTCATTAGCAATTAGATTGTTCTTTTTGTCATAAACCCTGAAGTCATTCATTCTCAACTTTTTCCTTTTTCTTACCCACTACATCTAATTACTTACAAATTCTTATTTCTGAAATGATTCTTGCCCATATTTTACACCTTACAGTTTCTCAATCACAGATAGAAATCTGGTTCTCATACCTCTGTCCTAGTTATTTCCCAAATCATGCCATTGATTTTCCTAGCTCCTTTATGGAGATTTCCAAAGCGAAATTCATACGTTCTAATGACTGCTCACGATAAGCCAGTAGAGCATGAGAGACAAATATTAAAACTTCTACACACAAAAGTAGAAATTAAAATAGATGAAATAAAACACCTAATTTTTACTTTTGCATGTGTTTTAAAATGTACCAAATGTTATTATTGTAGTTATGGGGGTTCTGGAGATATTGGTTAAAGGATACAAAATTTCAGTTAGATAAGAGAAATATGTTCCAGAGATCTATTGTACAACATGGTGACCATAGTTAATAACAATTTTTTTTATTCTTAAAACTTGCTAAGAGAGTAGATTTTAGGTGTTCTCATCACAAAAAAAATGTTAAATATGTATGGTAATTCATATGTTAATTAGCTTGCTTTAGCCATTCCACATGTATACATATTTCAAAACATCACATTGTATGAATATATACAAATTTATTTGTCAATTATAAAATAATGTTATTATTGTAGTATATGTATATGCTTGATGAGTAAATATGCATATATTCCAAATGCCTCAATAACTACTGTTTTATAATGGATGACCAAAAAGACCCTCTTGATATTAATACAATCTCTGTACAGTAGCACACTTAATTATGCAAATTTTGTATTACAATGCCATACAAAAAAGTTTTAAAGTATCTTCTTGTCTACCATTGCTTTCAAAGTGCTGCATATTCTGGATGCAGTTTAATTTCTATTTTTATATTTGACTCATTTTAATATATCCTATTATGAATTTGCATAACATATCTTACTTTAATATGTTATGCAAATTCCTATTTCTACACCTATTCCCAGCAATTACTAATTAACATTCTTTTTTCTTTTTTCTTTTACCTTTTCTTTATGTTTTTCTTCTTATATTCTTTCTAAATAGATTTTTATTACTAAAAATGAACCAGGCACTGTGCTAGATTTTGGAACCCAAACATGAAAGCAGAAGCCTTTTTTTAATAATATAATATCCTAGTAAAATACTTCACTCATAGTCATGTAATACTTTCCTGTCCCATAAGTTTCTGTCAAAAATCTTCCTGTTTCCCTTTATTCCGTTCATACACTATGATGACCTTGGATGATTCCCATGGACCTCCAAGGATTTTGTTTGTATCTGTAATTTGGAATCTATATTCTGCCTGTTCCACAGTTATATGTCTTTTTATCTTCCCTTTACTATATCCCATCTTCATTCATCCATTCATTTATTTATTCAAAAGATAATCATTGAGCTCTTACTCTGTACTGTGTACAATCATGAATTACTTAATAATCAGATGAGACTCAAGTTTGGAATGCCTGCAAACCTAGGGCAGGGAAAACACACTCAGAAGAGAGAAAAAAAATCTTTTTTGCAAAAAGTTGACATTTGATGTTTTTCAAAAAAGCAGGAGTCAGAATGTAAAAAGTCACAACCTAATTGAATTTTCTTACATCCGTTTTACAGCTTGGAGATATTTTTATTTTGAATCACATAAGGGAAGAGGACTATAGCTCTTTCACTACTTTGAGTCTCCAATACCTTGATATGTCCTTGACCTTCATTACTTGAAACCAGTGATTGAATCACTGTACGTAGTAGATGCTTGACAAGTATCATTGTTATGCAACATTCAGTAGACAGACATGTGCAAGTTGCTGTCCCAAAAAAGCTGGCTTGGAATAAGGTTGCCATACTAGAAAATAAAAATATGGAATGTCTACTTGAATTTGAATTTTAAATAACAAATATTCCACAGTGTATACTTATACTAAAAATGTATTTGCAGTTACTTGGATGGCTGAGGTTGGACGATCCATTGAGGCTGGGAGTTTGAGGTTGTGTGACCTATGGTCATGCACATCAGCCTAGATGACTGAGCAAGATCCAGTCTCAGAAAAATATATATATATATTTGTTGTTTATCTGAAATTTGAATTTAACTGAGTGTCCTATATTTTATCTAGCAATCCCATCTGCATAGAATCTTGATTAAATACCATCAACATTAAATAAAGCTTTTTTTAAAGAGCAAATTTACCATCTAGGCAATAGAAATGGTTCTTTTTGAGAATTTCAGGTTTTGTGTTCTCTCTCAATAACCATGTAGATATGTACTTAAAGCATTCTGAAGCGGAGAAGTGGTACCGTGGAATTGCCATGCAGCTATGTCCCATGGATTGTCCTGTGAGGAAACCTAGACCACATGTGCAACACGTGAATCAATTACATTTTATTCATGAAGAAAAGTTAAACGCTATTGATTATCCAACATAGAAGTAACAATTTTACTATAGACACCTTACAATTACATAGTTCCTGAATTCTGTTTCTTGGTAGCTCAAATTCTTTCATAAATTCCACAATTTTTTGCCGTTGTTTTTTGTCGTTTGCCCCATTTCACTTTCTAATCTCTACTTTATACTGCTCCTCAGCCTATCTATGGATCCCATTGTTTATACCACCTATTAAATATTATAATCATCTCTCATATTTTAATAGTGCTTTATGGTAACAATACTTTTTGTGTATTCTATTATTTGAGTTATATAAAAGTTAGTTACTAAAGTTACAGACTATGAAATAACGATAATAATTAATAATTGCAGAGTTTAGCCCCTGGCACTTTGCACTTACATATTAATGCAATCTTCCCAACACCCTGGAAGTCAGCTACTACTAGCTAACCTCTTTTCACATACGAGGTCATTAAGCAAGAGAAGGCTAAGTCTGGGGTTTGAACCTAAGCTGTCTGGCTTCAGCCTAATTCTGCAATACTGTGCTAATGCCTAGCAACATACGCTTAAAGAGGATGGGGGCTTAAGCTAATCTAAAAGCTGATCAGAGCAGAGTCCCGGACTCTAACTCAAATCTTCACCAAACTCAGAATCAACACCAAACTACTTGATTTTTCTGCTTGCTTTAGCTGTTTTCTGCTTTATATCCCACAAAATGTATTCCAAGGAAGAAAGAAAAAGTATTCTCACTAGAATATTCCACATTGAGAACTAAAATTAGGTAGAATAGACACTAGTATAGTTGTACACTCCTTTGTTTATCTCAGTTTTCTTCTTAGACCAACATCTCTTCCAGAAATAGCATTTGCAGCTTTGGTGAATGAACAATGAGAATGCTATTGTATAATCAAGAATCACAAAAGAAAAACAGGTCAAGCTCCCAATCTAGAAAGTTATTTCAATTCTAAATACTCCTGAAAGAACCAATCCTACGTCTCAAAGAGTCACGTGTTACAAGACATAACGTAAGTCTAGGAGGTTTGCTTTTTCCATTCTACGCAAGAATTCCTAAAAAGCTATCATGGATCATGAGCAACATAACGATCCTTAGTATTTTTTTATGTTTCCAATTTAAAGTGCAATATTTAATGACACTAATATCTTTCTTGGCCCATGACCCTCAGGTGTGCTGAGGTAGGAAACAGTAGGTGATAATACAGTAACTGCATCTACTCTCTTACAAAAAAGGCAGAAATAAAAGAAACTTATATTCTAAATTTTGAATATCAATTATTCTTGTTTTTAAGATTAATAAAATTTTAAACACAAATTTTCTTATCAAAAACTTCATTGGGGAAGAAACCAAGTTAGCTTGAATGTTTAAGCTTCCATGGCTCATAAAGGTACAGAACATTCATCTTTTCCTTTTTCACGATAAACATTATGTAAGTTTTACCAAACCATGATGAGTATAAGAACAGGGAATATAATGCTGAAGTATCCAGAGCCTACAGCTGCTTTCAAATTCATCCAAGGCTCTTATTTGAACTATGTTTTGATGTTGAGCCAAGGAAGGGTTCAGTCAAGCAATTTTGTTATGAGGGCCAGTAATTTGAACCATAAATTACTGAATATGAAATAGACTACATGTGTAAAATGTCACAAGTCCTCCATTAAGTAAGACTTTGAAATCAATAACAACCTAAAGGAAGAGTTTTAATGAAACTGGGCCCTGAAATACCAGAATATACCATACCCAAAACAGTAAAATAAATGTTACACTCTGTGCTTCCTTCTGTGACCCTGTAATATCGCAATATGACTTTTGTGATGATTGTTCACTACCAAAATGTGGTGATTGTTAATATTTTCTCTTTTATTTTGGAAATGTCTATTTATTTGAGTATGTAAAAGTGCTGCTGAGTGATCCTAGAAGAAGTTAGTTATCTTTTCTTCTTTCTGTGATTGAGTACATTTATCAGGTGAAATTAGAAAGTTTAAAATCTAAAAGGAAGAGGTTTTAATTTAAACCTGTCACTTCTAAACTTCTACACAGTGCGGGTTAACAATGATCTTAATGCACTTTCATCTGTAAACTCCTTGGTGTGTGAAGTGAGTAGATGTTCTCAATTACATTCCTAATGAAAAAGTATCTTCTCTAAAAAATACCTCCATTGTGTAAATGAATCTAAGAAGATTACAATTACAAACTATATTTGCCTTTACATTTTCAAGTTTTACTGTATTGCTACAAAGTGTGAACAAAAAGGTAGTTGTGTACATTCAATGCCACATGCTTTTGGCTATTATTTATAAGTGCTGAATTAACTAAATCTTATTTCCAAAGACTGGTCAATTATTTCAAAAATTATTTCAAACACAATCAATTTAGCCTTGTGGTAGCTGGCCTCCAAGCTAACCTGCAATAATCTCTGCTTCCTGGAGTGCACACCCTTGTGTAGTCCCCTCACCTACTGCATGAGGGTTGGTCGATGTCACCACTAGAATACATCAGAATTGCCAATATGCTATTTCAGAGGCTTCTTCCTTGCTCTCAGTCATTCATTTCAAGGAAAGCCTGCTTCTACATCACAGGATGCTCAGGCAGTGCAGGAGAGAGGCCCACAAGACAAGAGCCAAGGCATTCTGTCAAGAGCCATTGGAGTGTGCCATTTTGGAAGTGTAACGTCCTGCCAGTCAATCCTTCAAATGTCTGCAGCCCCAGCAAGTACCTTACTATAGCACATGAGAGACTCTGAGCCAGACCACAGCTGAGCCGCAGCCAGATTCCTGGCTTTAAGAAACAGTGAGAGATAATCTATGTTTCTTTAAACTGCTAAAGTTCAGAGTAATTTGCTTCGCAGCAATGCATAACTAATACAGTCCTATTCTCATGTGAGGCACATAGAGAATCTGCATAAGAATTTTCCTTTGGCCTTTATAAAGGCTTAACACATAGCATTTCAGAAACTCCTTCAACCAGTGGGTGAACTAAAAGCAATAGAAAGAGAATTACATCATCACACATTCATCTACTAGTAGGTCCTTTTAGTTGTTTTGTGCAACTAGAAAATTTAAATATGTTAAGAACACATAAAATAGAAGAGTAAATAGTATTTATTATTATTATTGCTATTATTATTTATCAGAAAAGTAACTTGACTTTGGGTTTTACAAAGACAACAGAACTTAAAATTTTTTTAAGTCAAGCTCCATGAATAACATAATTTTACCTGCAAAATTTCAAAATGACTCTTGTTTTCCTCCCTGAATTGACAGCCTTTTTATAATTCATTAATTTTACAATTGATATGGTTAGGCTTTGTGTACCCATCCAGATCTCATCTTGAATTGTAATCCCCATAAATCCCATAATCCCCATGTGTCAAGGGAGAGGCCTTGTTGAGGCAATTGAATCATCAGGATGGCTTCCCCCCCTGCGTTCTCATGATAGTGAGTGAGTTCTCATGAGATCTGATTAGTGTCTGGCAGTTCTCCTGCTTGGACTCACTATCTCTCTCCTGCCACCTTGTGAAGCAGGTGCCTGCTTCTGCTTCCACCATGATTTTAAGTTTTCTGAGGCCTCTTCAGCCATGCAGAACTGTGAGTCAATTAAATCTCTTTTCTTTATAAATTACCCAGTCTCACGTATTTCTTTATAGCAGCATGAGAACAGACTAATACAACAATCTTGAGTAATCTAAAGTATCATTAAGAATTTAATCTTCCCTTAGTTTTTTTTTTTTTTTTCTGAGCCCTATTTGTAGATGTTTCCGCAAGTCTCTGGAGTATAAGACAGTCAAATCACATGTTTCTCCTTCATTAGAAAACTGGTGCTAGTTAAATATATGAGATAATATTTTATCAATTGTTTCCTTCAATATCGAATCTTTTTGTTTTTGTTTTTTTTCTTTTTTTTTAAGACAGGTGCTGGCTCTGTTACCCAGGAGTGTGGTGGCACGATCTTGGCTCACTGGAACTTCCACCTCCTGGGCTCAAGTGATCCTCCCACCTCAGCCTCTTGAGTAGCTGGGATTACAGGCGTGAGCCACCATACCCAGCCCTAACAGTGAATCTTCACCTTGAAAACTCAATGACAAATCTCCAAAGAGGAAATACGTTCTTTAATAATCTTCATCTCAGAAATGTACACAATCCAATGTCTTGGAAATTGATACAAAGAACATGAATTTCTGTTCTTACTGTATTTGGTTCAAAATTAGAGTTGTTTTTTATAATTATTATCTCCTCTTTTTCATTTCTTTCTGTAGTTTTATTCTCTGTATATGTCTAGTATTCTTGCATTGCAATTAGAATCATGTTTTATTTATTGTCTTAGATGAATAAAATGAATTTAATGCTAAATTTGGAATAGGACACACATTTTCAGAAATAGTGTAGCACTAAATTTAAAGTTAAATCTAGGACTTATTTATTTTCTTCATGTAAATAGCAAAATAGTTGCCACAGGTCAAGAAGAAATCAAATGACAAATTGATTTTGATTAATTATCAAGAAAATAGAGAATATGATATGACTTTGACTTTCTGATACAAGACCTAACTCATGAGCCTGAGCGTAGTGTGGTCTGGGACCTCTGCTGCATACTTTTTGGTGGCAATTATATATTTGCTTCTCTCTCTCTCATTGACACACTCTCCTGTCACCTTGCTCTCCTATCAACATGTCATTTTTTAGAAGGGGCAGCAGGAGATAGGAAGGACATAGATCTCAACCTGAGATCTATGGTGTCTAAATATTAACAGTTATTGTCTATTGGACATCAACAATTGTATTGGACCACCTTCAAGATTTTGCCATACCTGTATTTCTTCTCTGTTACTATTTACTTAATATTTTTCTCCAAATTCATTCACTTTAATAGTTACATTTCTGAAAACACATTAAAATTAAAACATAACTAATGAAAGGAAAATTACTTTGCATTTCACCTAAAATCAAGTAAATGCTCCTAGTGGTATAGGTCTCACAGCATGGGAAATACTGCTCTATACTATCCTATTTATCAATGAATAGGAATACTACATGATGTTTCTCTTACCCATTGAGCAGTTAAAATATTTTTTAGCACTTCCTCATTTGCACCTTTTCTTACCACCAGAGATCACAAATTTCCTGCAAGTGCAGATTAAGATAACAACCATAATAGCCATCATTTTTAAGTCCTGAAAGCATGAAGCAGGAATCGTGTTCCTAGTATGTACTGAATTAAATATTTGGTTCTCACCTGCAAATTTTATATGGATCCTCAACCTACTTCACTTGCCTTATCTCCCTTATATGTGTTTCCTTATCAATATTTCACTCCTTTCCCTTTTTTTTTTGCATCACTCATTTTTTCATACCCTTACTTTTGCTACTTTCTCTGTTTAGAATAAACTTTCCCTTTCTCCACTGGATAATGCCGTGCTCATGTTTCAGATGAGTGAAGGCATCTACAACTCTCCCTGGCAGATTTAGCCATGTGCTCTCCTGTGTCTCTCGCATATTCATATTTCATAGTTCATATTTTTATTATATCCCTTACCACCTTCATAATGGAGTCTCTTCTCATAGCCTGAGTTCCTTGAGGGCAGGGATCTCCAGTGTCTAGTAACATTTCTAGCACACTATAAGTGCTTAATGCAATTTTAATACAATTTGAGTTGGTTTAAAGTGAATTCAATTGAAATTAAGTAAAATCTAATTGAAAATTCAGAGCAGACATCTTCCAGTTGTTGCGTATTACATGTTCTCAAGAACACTAAAATGAAGTTTAAAGAGAAACCAGAGTCCGGTAAAATAATTAATTTTACTGCTATAATAGCAACAGAGACAATGTTTTTCTCTTACCAAAGCCCTGAGTACACAGTTAGACTGCATTTCTCAGTGTCCTTGAAGCCAGGTAAAGCCATGGGACGAAGTTCTGGTCAGTAAAATCTGAGCAAAATTGGTGATCAGCATAAGTATCTAAAAATACTTCTATGGGATCCTCCATGCTTGCAGTTTCTTTTCTCTTGAATTCTGTCAAGGTGTGGAGGATCCGACGGAGTATTAAAAGGTCCTAGGGTAAAAGAACCTTGGGTTCTTCGATAAATAGGTGAGCAGAGCTTCTTGACCCACCAACATTTGACCCTTGATCTGAACAAAAATAAATGTCTTATGTGATTTCAGTCACTGAGATTTTTAGTTTTATTGTTTGTAAGTGTATGTCTGTTTGCTAGAGAAAAGTTATTCTACCTTAATACACATTGGAAGTTATTTTCTTAAACCTTAGGTTTTAATTGTTCTGCTTCATCTTTCCAGTGTATATGTCATGAGCAGTGATGGAGGAACAGTTTTTAAGGGTAGTAGGAAAGAAAGTAATTAAATACTTCTTTTAGGTATATATGTCTTTAACATAATGCAATGCTTATAAGATACTCGAAATATTAGGAAGTAGATATCCAATGTTTTATCACTGTTATTCCAAATTTTATTATTAAACATCTTTTCTTGAAAATTCTAATCATTCACTTGGAATTATCTGTATAGAAGATGTATTGCCACTGTACATATCTGAGACCTGCTTCCAACATATTAAATTTAATTTGAAATTTAAATGCATATTAGAACCTAAATTCTACTTTCTAGTTAAATCTAAGAGTCTATGGCCTTAGGAATACATTAGTATATAATTAAGTTGTAAAACCTCAGTCTAAAATTCTTTTAATGTATACTTTGAACCAAGATATTCAAGTAAATGTTTGTGAATTATATTATCAATTAGTTTTAGAAGGCCTGATCTAGTAGTTCTTTAAACATTTATATTAATTGCAATTCACTCTAATAATTTTACCGTGAATAGCAAAAGGCTCATCTTCAGAATTAAATAATTCAGAAATTAATCTGGTCTCAGCTTTTTTTCACCACACTTTCTTCGTTTTCTTAGTTTATCTCCAGTAACATCAATCATTCTGCTGGACTTGACAGAGGATGTCATGAGGGTCAGCATATAGCTAAGTACCTGCCTCAAAAGCAAATGTCGAACATTCATATGCTCGCAGGTTTCCTTCCACAACCCCTAAAAAGGGAAGCTATCTTGATAATTCAAATAAGAACCATTCCTGCCTGATGCTTCTTCCTCTTGCAAGAATTAGCTCCAGAGAATCTTCTAGCAAAAGATCTGAAGGGGAATGCTGAATATACATCTTTGAATTGGTTTTAGAAACTACAAAGTTCTGGTACTTTAGTCTCTGTCACTCTTCTGTCATGTTGGCCTCGGGGGCATTTAAATAAAGCAAGCCTAGGATATTCCAAAATTTAGAATGGACAGTAATAGGTTTCTCTCAAGTAGCTAAGAAGTTGCAGTGGGCAGCAATGAAACAGGGTCACACACTTCAGAAGAAATCACCAGTTTCATTTCATTAACTAAGAGAAAATGTTAAGTTATAAAAGCATTAAGGTATTATAGTTCTGCTTTAACTAAACTTGGGACTAATTTTTTAAATGAATAGACTTTATTTTTTAGAGCAGTTTTAGATTTACAGAAAAATTTAGCAGAAACTGCAGTTTCCATATACCACAACCCCTTAAAACACAAGTACATACACAGTTTTCTCCATCATTAACCTCTTGCATTAGTGTGATATATTTATCAACAATTGAGGATCCAATATTTATCCATTTGTAAAAACTTAAGCCCATAGTTTATATAATGGTTCACTTTTTTGTGTTGTAAATTCTATAGGTTTAAGAAATACATAATGATAAATATTCTCCATTGCAATACCATACAGAATAGTTACACTACTCTAAAAATTCTATGTTCCACTTATTCATCCCTGTATCTTCTCCTCCAAGCCTTAAGCAACTACTGATCTTTTTACTATCTTCATAATTTTGCCTTTTCTAAAATCTCGTATAGTTGGAGTCATACAGTAAATACCTTTTTCAGATTGACCTTTCTCATGTGTCAATGTGCATTTAAGTTTCCTCCATATCTTTTTGTCTCTTGATAGCTTATTTCCTTTTATTGCCAAATAATATTCCATTGTCTGGATATACCATAGTTTATTTATTCACCTACTGAGGAACATTTTGCTTGCTTTCAAGTTTTTGCAGTTATGAATAAAGCTGCTATAAACATCTGTGCTCAGGCCTTGGTGTGGGCATGCTTTCCATTCCTTTAGGTAAATACCACAGAATGTGATTGCTGGATCATATGTTAAGTGCATGTTTAGTTTTGTAAGAAACTGCCAAACTGTCTTCCCACATGGCAGTAGCATTTTTCATTCCCACGAGCAAAGAATGACAGTTCCTGTTGTTCCACATCCTTGTCAGCATTTGGCTTTGTCAGTGTTCTGGATTTGGGCCATTCTAGTAGGTGTATAGCAGTACTTCATTGTTTTAATTTGCACTTCCTGATGACATATTATGTTAACCATGGGTTTCCATATGTTTATATGCCATCTATATATCCTATGTGATGAGATATATTTTGATCTTTTGGTTATATTTTTATTGGGTGGTTTATTTTCTTATTGAGTTTTAACTGTTCTTTGTGTACTTTGGATGCCAGTTCTTCATCAGATTGGCATTTTGCAAAGATTTTCTCTTAGTGTTTGGCTTAAAGGACTAATTTTCAAACAGTTTTTAAACTTTTTATTCTGTAATTTTTTAAAAAATATAAAATATATATTTTAAGAGAATATTTTTAAGTATTGAGCTTATAAAATTAAAGATAATGACTCATCAAATTTATCTGATAAATTAGTTAATTATTTAAAACACAGGGCCTGGCATATAGCAAGTTTTACATAAAAGTCAAGTACTTTTTTATTGATTCCATGCAACTATTGTAATGTTTATATTGTGTCAAAATCCTTTTCATAATATAATTTTCATTATAATTAACACAAATAATAAAATTTGATAAACTCCTGTGACATAAAATATGTTTGTTTTGATGAGATTATTCTGAAAAAGCACCAAGAAAATGTCTGTCTATGACATTTTTGTTCAAACTTTACAAAGAAGCTCATCTTGTAATGCTAATATACCAAACATAATGTTTCACTTCAATTTAATTGGTAGTTAAGTCTTCTGCAGTTTCATAAAGATTGAGCAGTGATCATACTGTATCGGCAAGACACAGTGTTTATAAACATCAAATCAATATATGGCTTAGAAAAAGCCAATTTCACATTTTTCATCCATAAATTGTCCACGAAGGATTCTATTTACCTTTTTATAAAAGCACTTTTACTTTAGAAAAAAAACTCAATTATTTGTCATCTAAATGTTTATCTTATAGTTCCCAATGACCTCAATTTCTTTCCAACTGTTCCTATTAACACAGATGTTGAATAGAAAACATCAAGAAATAAAATTCTTTTCACTGGAGAAAATTATAGTAGCACAGTTTAGGAAAAAGATCAGTTTCTTCCAAATACTATCAGTACTCCCTCTGCAGAAAACCTGACATCTCCTCTTTGCTTGAAATACTGCAATAATAGATTTCCCTAATTTACAATGTATTCCTTTCCAACTTTAAATACATCCAATTCTTTAATAGTCTTTCTTTTTTGTTGTTGTTTTTTTTTGAGACGAAGTCTCGCTCTTGTCCCCCAGTCTGGAGTGCGATGACGTGATCTCGGCTCATTGCAACCTCCGCCTCCTGGGTTCAAGCGATTCTCCTGCCTCAGCCTCCCGAGTAGCTGGGATTACAAGTGCCTGACACCACGCTCAGCTAATTTTTTGTATTTTTAGTAGAGACGAGGTTTCACCATGTTGGCCAGGATGGTCTTGAACTCCTGACCTCAGGTGATCCGCACTCCTCGGCCTCCTAAAGTGCTGGGATTACAGGTGTGAGCCACTGCGCCTGGCCTATTTAATAGTCTTTCTACATATTTTGAGACAATTATTCTTTCCTCTCATTTTCTCTGGTTTATAGAGTCAACATAATTGATCAAGCCATTTAACACATTATATGCCAGGCACTGTTGTAGGGGCTGAAAATATTACAGTGAGTACAAAAGAAAAAAAATCCCATAATAGAGCTTCTAAGAGATGTTCAAAAACATTTTTTAATATGTAAAAATATGTTACATTGTTATAAGTACAGACATGAATAACAGGCATGGTAAAAATGATAAGAAATGGGAGGTGGGGAAGAGGAGATGCAATTTTAAACAGGTAGGTCAAGAATTCCTCAGATAGGGTTCACCTTTGAATAAAGATCTGAAGGTTGTTGTGAACTATTTGGATGAGAAAAGAGCTACCGCGAAGGATCAAAACCAGAGCTGTAACTGCCCAGTGGGCTGTCTTTGCTGCCTAATCAGAGCCGATTTATTAAGACAGGGGAATTGCAATACAGAGTTTAATTCACACAGAGCCCGCTGTACGGGAGACTAGAGTTTTATTATTACTCAAATCAGTCTCCCTGGTAATTTGGTGGGTAGGGGGTTTGAAAGTGGGGAGTGCCAATTGGTCTGGTGGGAGATGAAATCATAAGGAGTTGAAGCTGTCCTCTTGTGCTAAGTAGGTTCCTAGGTGGGGGCCACAGGACCAGCTGAGCCAGTTTATTCATCTGAGCGGTGCTAGCTGATTCGTCACGTGCAAGGTCTGCAAAATATCTCAAGCACTGATCTTAAGTTTTATAATAGTGGTGTTGTGTCTAGAATTGGTGGGTTCTTGGTCTCACTGACTTCAAGAAGGAAGCCGCGGACCCTCGCAGTGAGTGTTACAGCTCCTAAGGTGGCGTCTGGAGTTTGTTCCTTCTGATGTTCAGATGTGTTCGTTGTTTTTTCCTTCTGATGGGTTCGTGGTCTCGCTGGCTCAGGAGTGAAGCTGCAGACCTTCGCGGTGAGTGTTACAGCTCTTAAGGTGGCACGTCTGGAGTTTGTTTCTTCTGATGTTCGGATGTGTTCAGAGTTTCTTCCTTCTGGTGGGTTCGTGGTCTCGCTGGCTCAGGAGTGAAGCTGCAGACCTTCGGGGTGAGTGTTACAGCTCTTAAGGCAGAGCGTCTGGAGTTGTTCGTTCTTCCCGGTGGGCTCGTGGTCTCGTTGGGCTCACGAGTGAAGCTGCAGATCTTCGCAGGGAGTGTTACAGCTCATAAAAGCAACGTGGACCCAAAGAGTGAGCAGTAGCAAGATTTATTGCAAAGAACAAAGCTTCCACAGTGTGAAAGGGGACCCGAGCAGGTTGCCACTGCTGGCTCCAGCAGCCTGCTTTTATTCTCTTATCTGGCCCCACCCACATCCTGCTGATTGGTAGAGCCGAGTGGCCTGTGGCAGCCTGCTTTTATTCTCTTATCTGGCCCCACCCACATCCTGCTGATTGCTAGAGCCAAGTGGCCTGTTTTGACAGGGCGCTGATTGGTGCGTTTACAATCCCTGAGCTAGATACAAAGGTTCTCCACATCCCCATCAGATTAGTTAGATACAGTTTCAACACACAGGTTCTCCAAGGCCCCACCAGAGCAGCTAGATACAGAGTGTCGATTGGTGCATTCACAAACCTTGAGCTAAACACAGGGCGCTGATTGGTGTGTTTACAAACCTTGAGCTAGATACAGAGTGCCGATTGGTGTATTTACAATCCCTGAGCTAGACATAAAGGTTCTCCAAGGCCCCACCAGAGCAGCTAGATACAGAGTGTCGATTGGTGCACTCACAAACCTTGAGCTAAACACAGGGTGCTGATTGGTGTGTTTACAAACCTTGAGCTAGGTATAGAGTGCCGATTGGTGTATTTACAATCCCTGAGCTAGACATAAACGTTCTCCAAGGCCCCACCAGAGCTGCTAGATACAGAGTGTCGATTGGTGCACTCACAAACCCTGAGCTAGACACAGGGTGCTGATTGGTGTGTTTACAATCCCTGAGCTACATATAAAGACTCTCCACCTCCCCACCAGACTCAGCCCAGCTGGCTTCACCCAGTGGATCCTGCACTGGGGCTGCAGGTGGAGCTGCCTGCCAGTCCCGCGCCATGCGCTTGCACTCCTCGGCCCTTGGGCGGTTGATGGGACTGGGCGCCATGGAGCAGGGGGCGGCATTCATTGGGGAGGCTCGGGCTGCACAGGAACCCACAGAGGCGGGGGAAGGTTCAGGCATGGTGGGCTGCAGTCCTGAGGCCTGCCCCACAGGAAGGCAGCTAAGGCCCGGTGAGAAATCGAGTGCAGAGCCGGTGGGCCGGCACTGCTGGAGGACCCAGTACACCCTCCCCAGCCGCTGGCCCGGGTGCTAAGCCCCTCACTGCCCAGGGCCGGCAGGGCCGGCCGGCAGCTCTGAGTGCGGGGCCCGCCAAGCCCAAGCCCAGGCCCACCCAGAACTCCAGCTGGCCCGCAAGCGCTGCGCGCAGCCCCGGTTCCTGCTCGCGCCTCTCCCTCCACACCTCCCTGCAAGCTGAGGGAGCCGGCTCTGGCCTTGGCCAGCCCAGAAAGGGGCTCCCACAGTGCAGTGGCGAGCCGAAGGACTCCTCAAGTGCCGCCAAAGTGGGAACCCAGGCAGAGGAGGCACCGAGAGCAAGCGAGGGCTCTGACGGCTGCCAGCACGCTGTCACCTCTCAGTGTTATCCCCAGGAGCAATTTGGGGAGGTTCAGAATCTTGCAGCCTCCAGCTGCCTGGCTCCTAAACCATGATTTCTAATCTTGTGGCTAATTCGTTAGTCCTGCAAAGTCCAGGCAGGAAGGGGGTTTGTTTTAGGAAAGGGCTCTTAGTTTAGTTTCAAAGTTAAACTATCAACTAAGTTCCTCTCAAAGTGAATTCCGCCTATACCCAGGAATGAACAAGGACAGCTTGGAGGTTAGAAGGAAGATGGAGTCGTTTAGGTCAGAACTCTTTCACTGTAATAATTTTCCCAGTTATACTTTTTCCAAAGGCAGTTTCAGAACAAGCTTGATATGCTTGAGGAATTGAATGAAGTCAGGTTTAGCTGGAGTATGGAAGTGAGGGGAAAGTCAGAACAGGATGAGATGACTTAGGCAATGCACATCAACTTATGTCAGGCGCCAGAGAAAATAAGGTGTATTCATTTCCTATTGATGCTGTAACAAATTATCACCAACTTAGTGGTTTAAACGATTTTAATATTTTATAGTTCTGGAGATCAGAAATCTAAAAATGTATCTACTAAGGCTAAAATCAAGATATTAATAGGGCTGAAGAAGGAAAAAACAAAAATATTTGCTGATGCTTTTCCTAAAACAAATTTCTTGGTATTTTATAATATTTCTCACCCTCAGGTCTTATACAGGAATTGCTTTGATTTGTATCATTAGTTTGATAATTTTAAATTGATCACCATGGTAGAATTCAGGATAAAACACTAATCACAATTTTCTCTGTAAAGGAATATTTCATTAAAATAAACTGAAATTTTCTTGGCAAATATGTGATATAAAAGATAAGCCTGACTAGAAGAAATTAAACCTGAGAGACAGTGATTTTTTTTTTTGGAAAGGCTAGTTTTTCAAACTTACTTTTCCCTCTATATTGTGGAATATATAACCTATCCTACTCTGAAATATATGATTTATAGAATTGTTATGAAAGATAAGTGAAAACTAATAAAATGATGATAAAAGTTATTTTCTTATCTGTGAGATGGGAACAGTTAGATTCTTTTAGGTGTGTTTTGTAGATTTGGTTACACCCAATTAATTCATCTAAATAAAGATAGATTGGCATTTGAATATTAAACATTGCTAAAAAAAAAAAAAGGAACAGCAGGCAATCTAGTTAGCTAACCTGTGGCTGAGGAATAGGCAAAAAAGTTTTGGTGGTCTTGTTTGTTAAAATGAAATCTTTTTGCAACCCTTGTTTTTCACTTCTGTTACATTTTGTTGTCCCCTATACTACTTCATTGTATGTGTTCTCTCCCTCCTTTAATATAGGGTTTTTTTATATAGCTTCTTTTTTTCTGTAAAGGAGAAAAAAGTAAATATTTTAAGCATTGCAAACCATATGATCTCTGTTGCAACTACTTAACCCTGCTTTGTAGCAGGAAACAGCCTTAGATGATATATAAACAAATGGGTATGACTGCGCTCCAACACAGCTTTATTTACAAAATCAGGGAGGGGGATGTGCCATTTGATTCATATGTCACAGTTTGCTGTCTCTTTCCTTAGAATATCACTTTTAGCTCCAGTACTTATCTTACTAATATATTTTTTACGATGGAACATTAGTCATGTAATTAGAGAAACTTCAGGTTAATCTCAGGGTTCAATAATTTTCTAAAAGTATGACTTTACCGAACCTTCAATGAGCTTCTATATATATTATGTAAATCTCCCAAAAGTGAACATGGTATGCAGGATTTCCAAATGTATTGGGGTATGAAAATATTCTTAAGAGCATCCAAAGAGTATTATATCACAGAAAACATTTTGGAAAATTTAGAAATACCAAGGAAATGTCCATGTTGTATAATTTACAAAAAATTCAGGCATTGGCTATAAAAAGATTACAAATATTGTAGACCAATTTTGGAAAACAGTATTCATAGAAGGTGGAGCCCACTTGATGAGACTGAAGGGTATAGTGAAAAAAACTAAAAACTAAATAAAGAAGATGCTATGAGAAAGAAAAACAGGGAAGTATAAGTGTAGACTGGGGAAATAAGAAGGCCTTTTGATAGAGAATGAAACAGATACATTAAGAATCCAGGAGGGATGTGTGTACTTTTTGTGGGATAGAGTTGTAAAATACTGGAATTATATGCCAAGGGTAGTTGTGAAAAGACTTATGCCATACTAAGAAGTTTGGGCATTATCTTGAATGAAAATAAGAACCAGAAAATGTTTTTTTGATCAGAAAAGCAACATCTCCAGTTCTTTGTTTTAAAAAGACATCTTGGACATCAATTTAAAGAATGTGCTAGAAGGTGTCCAGAATAAATACTGAGATGCCAATTAAAAGAGTCCAGTTATCTAGCCAAGGGCATCGAGGCCTTTATCTACCAAAGTACTGGCAGTGGAACTTAGAGGAGGTGAAAGGTCAAAGAGATATGAAATATGTGGAATGAGGTGAATCTGGCAACTACTTGACTATGAGGGAATGAAGAGAGAGGAAATGAAATTTAAGATAACTCTGAGTTTTCTCATACAAACTCCTGAATGACCAATGATGCCATTAACAAACATTAATAATAAAACTAATACAAATAATATAGGAAGTACAGGTTTGAAGGTAATACATTGTAAATCCTAAAAAATGTTGGAATGTATTTGGAATATAAACTACTAGTTATTTTCCCTTTTCATTTTGTAAAGTTTGTGGAAAATTACTATTTAGAATGTTGGAAATGTTCTGTTTTGTAGAATAGGAATTGTTGAATTAAGATGAGCCTAATGAAAATATTTATCAACAGACACATATATAAAATAAAGTGTGGCAGATCAAAGTCTGCTTTGTTAAAGATATTTCTGATAATTTTTCATGATCAAGTATTATTCTTAAATCTAAGAATTTAGGGCTTGGAAGAAAGCCCACTGTACTCTCACTGGATCCAATGTGAATCAAGTATAGCCTTCCCACCTACCCCATACTTGGTCCAAAACATTAGATGCATCCAGCATTTATTTCATAGAAACCATGATAAAACATTATTACTTGTTAAACCCTCATATGCGGAGAGACAGCAAAAAGTTCACACAGACTGTAATATAAATTTTGAAAATCAACTATGTCTTTTTAATTTTTACCCTCAAAATGCCCTTTCTTATTACCCTGTATCAGTGGTTTATGCCTTTGTATGTATTAAAACCACACATGAGGCATTTGGTAAAACATGTAATTCTTGGTTCTACTTTCTGATTCTATAAATTTTATAGGAATCCTAGGATACTGTATTTTTATTAAGTGCCTCAAAGATTTCTGAGGTATATGTTCCCTGTACAAGGGAGCAACATCCGTATATAAAGAACCATGCCAGAGTGCTTTATGCCTTCTGCTTCAGTTTTCTTGTTTTGAAGTTGTAATTTAGCAAGTGTTTCCATTTATTTTTGGTATGTTTTCAATCTTGCAAATATTTCCTTGTACTCCTTCTATAACGTGTCTTTCTGTTACTGCCTGGTCCTTAATGTACATACTGAGGAAGGGATATCTGGGGCCCAAAGGCAACTAATGTAATATCATATTTGCTGTCAGAAATATTTCCCCAAGGTAGCAAAATCACTCTCACATCTTGTGAAGAGTACATCAAACTGAATGAAATAGGCGTGAAGAATCAGAGAGACTGCAGTCATTATTTTGAGCTTATGTAGCTTTTAAATCTTAATATTTCCCTGAAATTTTTTTAGTAAAATAAAAAATGTGAGCATATTTTTTTACATCCAGCAATGACATATTTAGGAGACAAGTAACAGTAATGTCCATCCACTTAAGTCTTTCTGAATGAGTAGAGATGCATTGTGAAAAAAGTAATTTGCAGAAGCATTGACAAAATCCCTTCTGATTACCTTAATTGATTCTTTCTGAAAATCTCCATACTTTCCTCATTCTTTCCAAGAAACTCATGCTACGAAAATGTAAAGGGAGTGAACTCAACACCTAATCACTCAAGACTTCAAACTTAAACACATTCTCTAGGTCTATGATTCTCTGCACATTCTCTGAACAGATGCTGGTTTGCTCTAACTCATCAGACCAGCAGTAAGAAAGCTTCAGCTGACAAACACCAAAACCTTCTCTTGTCATTAGCAGTGGCTGCTGGAATAATAAAACATCTGGCATCTTCCTTTACTGATTAAAGGGGTCATTTCAAAGACCTGTCATCCAGCCCTTAGGCATAAAGACTTGAGCCTCCACATTTCTCCCCTTTAATTCATGTTTTGCAGATGCAGGGACACTCTACATACGAATTTATTAAAATAGGATAAGGCTAAATGATTACACATGTATTATGAGGGAGTGCTATAGAGGACCCTTAATCACAAGATCTTTATTTCTCTTGTAAAAAAAAAATCACGAATAGATTTAACAATTTGAAAAGATAATGAAACTCAATGTAAATAATACCATATGATTCATTCAGGAAAAAAGTCTAAACCTTAACTCCAATGTAATAGAATATGAGTTGTCTGTTACTACCCAGGAAATGAATCAGACATTGACTGATAATATGATGTAAAATTTTCAATAAAGCATTGCTGCTAGGAAATAGTTTGGACTTTGGAAAAAAATTTTAAAAAATATTTTGCCACCCCCATACAAACATATGCATCTGCACATGAAAAATCTATGTGGAGTTCTGATCATCACTCCTTGCAGAAGAGAAAATGGAATTGTTAAAAAAAAAAAAAAGAAGGAAAGAAAAGAAGAAAGAAAAAAAGCAGAAATGAAGGACGGTGGAGAAAAAAGATTAACAGAAGGACAGTTTTATTAATAGACTAGAAAGCTAAATGTTTTCGTACATGCAAAGGCAGTGACTGAGAGCTAAAGTTATTTAGAATAACCATGAAGAAATAGCCAGGATAAATCCTTTCTCTTTGATGCTAAAATTTGGGGAAAGAAACTATTTCATGCTTATATTTACTATATATAATAGAAACATTATAAATTCATAGATAAAATACATATAATAGATTATTATCAAAAGTCTTGAGAGGCCAGGCATGGTGGCTCACACCTGTAATCACAGCACTTTGGGAGAACGAGGCGTGTGGATCACGAGGTCAGGAGATTGAGACCATCCTGGCTAACATGGTGAAACCCCGTCTCTACTAAAAATATAAAAAATTAGCCAGGCATGGTGGCAGACGCCTGTAGTCCCAGCTACTCAGGAGGCTGAGGCAAGAGAATGGCATGGACCCGGGAGGCGGAGTTTGCAGTAGCCGAGATGGAGCCACTGCACTCCAGCCTGGGCTACAGAGAGAGACTCCGTCTCAAAAAAAAAAAAAAAAAAAAAAAAAAAAGGTTTGAGACATGTCCCAACTTTTGGATGAATCCTCAGAAATTCCTGATAGAGGAGCATGCTGAATCGAAACAGTGTGACAATTATTATGTACCCAATATCTGACTTTGGAACAGGTGACAAGTCTTCAATAACAAAACTCAATTAAAAAGTGGATAAACCTCTCCTTACACATCAGAGTTTCCCAAAATTTATTCTATAGAAACTAGTTTTATTGGGTGTTAATATCTATTATTGGGACATAAAAGGGTCCTGTGGATAAATAAATTCAAGAAATTTTAGAAAATTCTCTATTGGAGAGCTTCTTGGCACTCTTAATATTCTAAAATGTATTTTAAACGTCCTGTAGAGTCTCTTTTATACTGTCATTTTCAAACTTATTGTTCACAAAAAAACACTTTTTCTCATATGTCCTTCAGAACTAGTTATCCTTAGCACAAATTTTGGGAAATATCACCATCAGACATTGTAAGCAGAAGTTCTCTATTCCAGAAATATTTGAAAATTCAGAAAGGTTGCTAACATCAACAATGATTTTCTTGCTTTCTTCATAACTAAATATTTACCATATGTTTTAAGAGAAAAAATAGTTCCACCACTTCCATTATAGATACATGATAATAATGTGTTGATAATTATGACAATTTCTAGAAATTTAGATAAATTTCCTATGAAATAAATTATACTTTGGGGAGATACTTTCTACTTGCTGACTAACGAAGGGAAAATGAGCTTCCTACTATTTTACCTAAATATGACTGGTAATGGAAAAAATCTTAATCAGCTGTTACTCATTCTCATTTTTAAAATTCCAAAACCTGTTTCAAAAAAGTCTCAAAAAAGGTATAAACACATAAACCATACCCTAAAAATAATGCAACATCCCTAAGTGATTCAGAGGATTGGAGAACGTTAGAGTTCAAGAGTGTGTTCATTATCTGCATTCTTCTTCACTATTTTTTCCCATCATCTTACACATTCAAAAAACAAACAGAAGCAAAAATTCATATGCAGATTCATTATTTTTGAACTTTCTGTTAATGAGATTTTCAAACTCAGAGAATGGAATGATGTACCCATCACCAACTTCTACAGTTACCAACATTAGCCAATCTTGTCAGCAGTATCTTTGGAACTACTGGAGTTTTAATTGGAAACAGCACATCTGAAAAATATTATTGATAACTCCTTAGCAACCATACTAGTTACACACTAAGATGATTAAAGGCTTAAAATCCTAGGAGTTTACTGATAAAAACTCAACAAATTATAAACCCTTAAAGTTTTAAAAGTCACAACAGTATGATGCTTTCCCCAACATAATAAAAAATGACTTCTACTCGTGTGCTGGCAGACATAGAAACCAATTACTTAGCATAATTCCTCTGTGCCTGTTTGAAAATTATGAGGATTGCATCTTTTAAAAAGCCTTTCTTTTTTTAGAATAACATTATCATTAAAGCACTTAAATAGACTTGTGTACCATATATCATATCTGTAAGCAATCTTGTACCATATTGATTTTTACATAGACCCTAAAACTCTTAGTTTACTATGAAAAATCATCTTTAAGTTTTTTATTTACCACAACTCTTTAGGCTGACAAAATATTTTAAAGTACATCCCTACGATATATAATCACAATGAAGAATGACATTTGAACACTTTGTACAAAAAAATCTGAAAATTTTAATGTGTTATTTTTTACTCTGCAAAAAAATGCTAATAAAATTCATTCCTATGGCACCCAAAACATCTAATTAGCTTTGACTAGAGACACATATTACTATGATATCATCTTGAAAAAATTAATTTCATTTTATTAATTTTTAAATGTTTATTTCCATAAAACCTGAGTTAGGAACTATCTTTATGATTCTTCAACTAGAAGATAGTGACTTCCATTATCCTTTATGTGTGCTTATGTATTTCAGCATATACTATGTAAACCAATAGTATTTCCTTAGGAGATTTAGGATTTTATGCTCTATGTTCATCCAAAAAAATTTCTGGAAACAACTGACTAAATATCTTAGAAATTTAGTAACAAGTGTGAAATAATATTAATAGCTTATATTTTTGAGAATCTACTTGATTCAACAACTGCATTCAGTTGGGCATTATTAATATACTCCCCACTATCTTCAGGAAATTGAAAATATAAAGTGATTTGCACAAAGTCATAAGTAGCAAGAAACAGACTCCATATACTCTGATGTTGGAATTCAAACTCTTACTTATTATACTGCCTCTGCTGTTCCTAGTTCTGACATAAATCAGGATAGCATATCTGCTGCAACAATACCCATATTTCAGTTTAACACAATTAAAGTTTATTATCCACTGTTATGGTTGCCTGGGTCAGGGGAGAGCTGGTTCCATGAAGTTATTCAGGCACAAAGAATTCTTCCATGTAATGTCACCACCAACATCAACATGAAAGTTGATGTTTGTCATGAAAGGAGAACAGAGACTCTTTATGAGACATTTTTGTTGCCAGGTCTAGAACTCATACATGATTTCATGCCTACTAGCATTTGCCAGATCTTAGTGACATGTTTCCTAACTTGAAAGATTTGGGAATGTAGTTTAGCTGTATACAGAGGAGAAAAATAAAATGTGTTTCTTAACCTTATCAGCTATTCTCTGTCACAAATTCGTAAGAAGTTTACAGATAAGTCAAATTTATCTATGTTCATTAATGAGTTTACTTAATACCACCTAATAAAATAAGCATAATCTAATTTATCTCAAATTATTTTTACTATATTTTATATTAAGTTCATTTTTAATTAATTGTACTTTTTAATAAATTTGTATACAACTCCAGTCCAAATTTATATGAAGTTCTGAATGTATATAATTAGGTTCAAATATATTAGATATCAGTAAAGTCATTTCTAAAAATAGAAAAAGTAACAATAAAAGCACAAGAAAGGTCTCATTATATTAGAATAGAAAGTAATGGTGCCAAATGAATAGACATAACAATGACGGAGTAAATGTATGTTACATTAACTATTAAAATAAATGAGAATCAACAGCATATTTGTATTCAGAAAATGTCTTGCTATTCAGAATCTCTTCAGAACAGTAAAATAGCTCTTCCGGTATTCCCGAAATTGGTGAAATTTATTTTCAAAGTTTTGTCCAAATTGATCCACAAATTTTACTTTTCTAGTTAAAAGAGACTAGTTTTGGGAAAGATATAGAGAAACTGAAGGAAAAAGCAACAGAATTTTATTCCAAATGCTTATCAAAATTTGGAATTCTTTTCTGAGGAAAAAAGAATTAAAAGTTATAAAAATATAGTTATATAACTAGATGTTCTCATACTTCCTAAGAATAAAAAAGAAAAATTTAAAAATAGAGCATACTATACCCTTAAAATTTTGTTAATATTTTAATATTGAAAGAAAGTCATCACTCAGCAAAAGATAAGCTTAACCTATAGCAAAATGTTTAAAGCGTAACAGTCAAAGGGCATGAACAGGCAATTACAAAAGAGTGAGTGCAAGTGAGTGAATCCATTCAGCCATTCATACAATAAAATGGTTTGAGAAAAATGAGCAACTAGTATACACCTAACATTATAGTTGCCACTGGAGATTCAAAGAGAGACTAAAAGACATAGTACCTGCTCTAAAAGAAGGTGTACTGCCCTGAAGGACGTGGGCAGTTAAATAAATAATTACCACAATGTACTATAACTGCTGTTTCAGAAGAAACATATTTGAACTCTTTACACATAAAGGATTGCTCATAGCAGTTCAAGAAGGCCACCTGAGATGAAAAGTCTATTACTTAGCTCAGGATTTAAATCTGGAGCCAATTCATTGAAATGAATTTTTTAAATAGGACTAATTACAAAGAAAAAACAGTGCATTTTTGTGACATTTTAACTCAAATAAGCTTTAAAATCACTTTAAAAACTATAATTCTTACAAATCTAATATCTCAGCATTTTAATTATTTCTATATCTGAAGTTTCTAAATGCATTGGAAATTAAGAAGATAGATGCTTGATTACTGTGCTAGTTGTGAATAGAACAGGTAAATTAATATTTCGGCACCAAATAATGATCTGAACCATAATTATGGGACATGTGATTTCAATCTGAACTACTTTTCACTGTGAGAAGACCAGTTAACAATGATATATTAAATGTAGTTAACTTTGAATCACTGAACCCAGTGTGATGAAACCTGCTGAATGACACAAACTCTTTTCCTCATTTTATGTTTAAGAAATACATGGTTTCCATTTCAAATCTTACACTAAATTATTTTGATCATTTTATAGCTTTTCTAGGATACTATACTATTTTTAGTATGTGTGATGGTTAATGTGGAGTATAAACTTGATTGGATTGAAGAATGCAAAGTATTGTTCCTGGGTGGGTCTCTGAGAGTGTTGCCTATAAGATTAACATTTGAGTCAGTGGACTGGAAGAGGCTGGCCCACCCTCAATCCAGGTGGGCACCATCTAATCAGTTGCCAGTGTGGCTAGGATAAAAGCAGGCAGAAGAATGTGGAAAGACTACACCGGCCCGAGTCTTCTGGCCTCCATCTTTCTCCCATGCTAGATGCTTCCTGCCTTTGAACATCACACTCCAGGTTCTTCAGCTTTTGGACTCTTGAACCTACACCAGTGATTTGCCAGGGGCTGTCAGGCCTTGGGCCACAGACTGAAGGCTGAACTATCGGCTTTTGTGGTTTTGGGACTCAGACTGGCTTCATGGCTCCTCAGCTTGCACACGGCCTATTGTGGGACTTCACTTGGTGATCGTGTGTGTCAGTTCTCCTAGTAAACTCCCCTTCAGATATTCACCTACCCTATTAGCTCCGTACCTTTAGAGAACCCTAATACCATATGCTTTTTAATACCAGGTCATACTTTAACTTTTTTGGCTGTGGTGCGTATGCATTTTCTCCTAGAAAACAGAACAGTGAGAAGTATGGAAGCCGAATATTGCAGTTACATGTCACTTAATGACAAGGATACATTCAGAAAAATGCATTGTTAGGCAATTTTGTGGTTCTACAAATATCATAGAGTTTACTTCCACAAATCTAGATGGTATAGGCTACTATACACCTAGACCACAGGGTATAGCCTATTGTTCTTAGGCTGCAAACCTGTTCAGTATGCTACTGTACTAAATTCTGTGGGCAGTTGTAACCTAACAACAAGTATTTATGTATCCAAACATAGAAAAGGTACAGTAAAAGTATGACATAAAAGATTAAAAATGGTACATTTATATAGGGCACTTACCATGAATGGCGCTTGCAGGACTGGAAATTGCCCTGGGTGAGTCAGTGAGTGAGTAGTGAGGGAATGTGAAGTACTTAAGACCTTACAGTACAATACTGTAGACTATAAACACTACTGGTCTAAATTTAGATTTTAAAAATTGCTCTACAATGTTACAACAGCTACAATGTCACTAGGCTATAGTAATTTTTCAGCTCCATTATGATCTTATGAGACCAGCATCATAAATTCAGTCTGTTATTGACCAAAATGTCATTATGCAGTGCATGACTGTATATTCTGTATATAGTAATTCAACTACTCTACCTGTAAATATGAAAAGCTGCAATAAATAACAAGGATAGAACATTATAAACTTGGATCTAAACCATATTTATTTCAATCCCCCCCCCAAAAAAAATCACCTATTTTTCAAATAAGTAATCTTGTCTTGTAAATATCCTAACAGTTCACTTTAAACTAGCTTTTAGATATTTAAAATATAACTGTGTGACTTTATCTACTTTTTAAAAATTGGCTTTTATTTTTGAGGTATCCCAAGGCAATTAAGAAAATAATATGTTGGAAATAGCAGGACAGTACACTGACATAATTGCTGTAGATACAGCAATTTTGAGGGCAAATGCCTTCATAACAATACAGATACCATATCTTTTTTTTTTTTTTTTTTTACCGATACCCTTTTAATCTTCAACCTCTCACCTCTGGAAAAACCAAATATTGTGTATTATTTGAAAATTAAGATAGCACATTGAAATAAAACCTGAGATTACAACACTGACATTCTTGTATAGAATAAAAAGCATTGGATAATGATATTATCTGAATTTTCAAATTCAGTAGGATGTTTGCAGGGTAGAAGATGTACTGTATCTGCTCATTGTGGTTATGATAGAGATGTATTTTGTAGGGGAAAAAAGCTATTAACTTACCTGAAATTTGTGCAGAACATCCTGTTATATTCATAACATAAACTGAATAGACTGGTGACTTGTGTTTTCATTTTTGAGGTTTGCATTTTATTTCTCTGCTTTGTCACACGAAAGTCATATCCCACATTAATAAGCATAGTTCTTTGTGTATGCCTTTAAAAATTTACTGAAAATGCAAAATACAAAAGTACTATTAAAACTGGGTAAAATACTGAAGAGAACCAAACTTACATCAGGGTAATATACTAAGTAATTTGTTGTTATAATGATAGCGGCTGAACTTTAGTGATAAGCATTTCGTCATATATTTTATTTGATTTAATCCAATGACAACCCTCCGAAGTAGGTGATATTATATATTAATGCCATCTCCACTTAACAGATACAGCGATTAAGGCTCACATAGTTTAACTCTAGTTTAAAAGTGGCACATTTTTCTTTTATTTTTACTTTATTTATTTATTTATTTTTGAGGCAGAGTCTTGCTCTGTCGCCAGGCTGGAGTCCAGTGGCGCAATCTCGGCACACTGCAACCTCTGCCTCCCGGGTTCAAGCGATTTCCCTGCCTCAGCCTCCTGAGTATCTGGGACTACAGGCGCCAGCCACCACGCCCAGCTAAATTTTTGTATTTTAGTAGAGACGGGGTGTCACCATGCTGGGCAGGATGGTCTCCATCTCCTGACCTGGTGATCCGCCCTCCTCAGCCTCCCAAAGTGCCGGTTTTACAGGCGTGAGCCACGGCACCCGTCCACAGTTGCACAATTTTTAAAGTTGTAAAAGATTATGTCTATAATTTAGAATTTTTGAGAATATTCTAACTGAGGCAGAAAACATTGATTCCGTAAAAAATCTTAAAATTTTGAATTGCAGAAGATATACATATAAATTTTAAAAGATAGATTGGTAAAATATTTGCATAGTACATGACTCATAGAAGATTCATGTCTAAAATAGATAGGTAAACAGATATGAAGTTTATAAATTGAACAAAAAATTGTAAAATGACAAAAGTTATGAATAGGCAATTTAAAAACAAGCAAATTCAAATATCCAATGAACATGTCTTTAAAAGACAACCTGACTAATATTTAGGTAAATACAAAGTGAAAAATAAAACTACTGAGCTATTATTTCTCATCTTTTAAAATAGTGGTACCCCAAAATATGAGGAAAATGTAATCTCAAATATTGTGAATACAAAGATAAATTGTTACAAACTTTTGAGATTTAAACTGGTAACATCTATTAAAATTAAGATTGTACAGATCCCTTGGCCGTGAAATCTCAATAGAAGATAAGGATATATGTATAGGGACTTTTGTTGCCCACAAAAGTTGAGACAAAAATAATGTTCTCATTCATGTAAAATTTTATGTTTGTCTATATATACCTATATGCTAATATAGTTTGGATATTTGTTCCTTCCAAATCTCATGTTGAAATTTCATCCCCAGTATTGGAGGTGGGGCCTAGTGAGAGGTGTTTGGGTTACAGGAACAGAACCTTCATGAATGGCTTGGTACTGTCCTGGTAGCAATGAGTGAGTTCTCGCCCTGTTAGTTCCCCCAGGAATTTATTATTGAAAAGAGCCTTACACCTCCTCCTGTCTCTTGCCTCTTTTCTCTTGCCGTATGATCTGCACACTCATGCTCCCTGTTTGGGTTCCACTATAAGTGTATGCAGCCTGAGTACCTTGAAGAAGATGCTAGTGCCATGTTTCTTGTACAGCCTGCAGAACAATGAGTTTTAAAAATGTCTTTTCTTTATAAAAGGTATTTATTTATAGCAATAGAAACAGATGAAGACATACACATAATGAAATGTTTGCAAGGCCGGTCACCATAATATTGGGAGCATGGATGTAATTTTCTGAATTGTTTGATAATTTATAATTACATTACCTTAGTTACATAGAAATAAAAACTGTTTTTATCCTAGAAAACAAATCCAATTAATTCCTGACTCACTTTTTAGGCATCTATAATAGATAATCTACATATCTGAAAGGAGGAATCAATAACTCAGGATCCAGGAGTGGGTTTTATTTTCCAGAAATCCTAAACTGAGGTAGAATTCTAATCCCTAAATGGCCTCTTGATTAAGATATCAAATTTAAATACCTTGGTCTGGAGTATTTAATTACACTTTAATTTACATATATAGCAGAAACAGATAGTTCTAATTTCACATTATCTTTTCAGTCCTTGTCATCAAATCATTTATTGCTTTCATAAAACATCTTATTAGAATTTGTTATTTAAAATTAATCACACTGGATCAATCCTATCCAATTAGGATCTGGTGCTCAATGGGCACGTATGGTAAGCAAGCCTTACAGAATTGTTTGACGAGAACTATTTGTATCTGGAATTATGATACTCCAGGATTTATATGTTGAAAATTAAATGTCATGAGGCTTGGGGGAGAAAAAAAACTAAGTTCCTTTGACTCCTCTGCCAAGACGAAAGTTCTCCTGTAGATGAGCTTTGCAGCATCCGGCATCTGTTTCATTAAGTACTGCTAAATGATCAGATGTTCTCATCACTCATTCTTTATGTTCCTGTCAGCTCAAGTAATCACACTCAGTATTAATTTACTGAGAGTAATTTTTCAAAACTTTTTTGGCTGAATGTCTATATCTATACTGTATTTTAATGAGAAAACAGCATTACTCTGTTTAAAAGGGAGCTCCTAATAAAAGAAATGTATTTCTACCTGTTCTTAGGAAATTAATTACTTCTTAATATGAACTTTGATGCATAAAAACTAGAAAACTCGATCATGTTGTATCTTTCTCCAAAAATAAAATCATGTTTTTTGCATATACAATTCTTCCAGATATTTAAACTCTTTTGATAGTCAACTGTTTCTATCAAAACATTTTAAAAGCACAAATTTTTAAAAGTTATCCACAGGTCTACATTGGCTACTTTATGTTTCTTTCTTCATTAGTCTTTGGGTTCTTTATTAATTCCAAGCCTGACAGCATCAGCACAGATATCCTCCTGTCAGTAGGTGTGGAGGTAGATGGTGCATGTACTTACTGCCCAAGATTGAACACTTGTTTCCTGAGGCAAGTAGGCAGAGTCATGTCTTAAAGCTTTAGATCTATCATCTTTTATTCTTTTTCCAGTAATACCAAGAACAATACAAAGGCATTTTAATACTGTAAAAGCATGAGCAGATCTTTAACCACCCTTTACCCCAAAAGGCTGCCCAAAAGGATAATTTTATTTTAAACAATAAGGGCCCTGGACCAGCCACACATTGTTCAGGAGATGCTCAGATAGCTAGTTGAGACGGGTTACAGTCTAACTACAATACAGTTAGGTATATGCAAGGTGATAGAGGTTGGAGATAAAGTGTAATACTCTAAACCAGAAACCCCCATTAGACCAGAATTGATCTTTGAAAATTCTCTAGTCTGTAAATATGGAACTAGGAAGTTCAATTTATGAGTTTAATAACAATATTCTCACCCACTTCTAAATTACAGATATAATGTTTTACCTTTAATAAGATTCTAAAATATTATTTTTGTACATTTATATATTAAATCCATCTGTAATTTGTTTTTGCGTGTTATGTAAATATTCAACTCTTTTTTTTCCAGATGCCTGTTAGTCAATTGTGCCAGCATTAGTTTATTAAATAAAATATTCTTTCCCATACAATTTAAATATACTGATTATCTGTAAATATTGTGAGCTTTTTCTACTCCACTGAATAATTGGTATATTACATTACATAATTACAGTAACTTTGAAATAAGTTTTAATATCTAGTAAGACTAAATCCCCCACATTAAAAAAAAATAGTGAATAGCATTGTTGTGAGACTGAAAGCAAAAGAAGTTTCCAGTCTTGTTAAAGGCCAGGAGAATGTAAAACCCTTCTCAGCTAGTCCTGTCTAGCTTACGTTTCAAAAGGCAATAGGAGGCCAGGCGCGGTGGCTCACGCCTGTAATCCCAGCACTTTGGGAGGCCAAGGCGGGCGGATCACGAGGTCAGGAGATGGAGACCATCCTGGCTAACACGGTGAAGCCCCGTCTCTACTAAAAATACAGAAAAATTAGCCGGGCGTGGTGGCGGGCGCCTGTAGTCCCAGCTACTCGGGAGGCTGAGGCAGGAGAATGGCGTGAACGGGAGGTGGAGAGCAAGACTCCATCTCAAAAAAAAAAAAGGCAATAGGAGTAAAACATGTTAAAATTGCTGGTGAGGCATGTTCTGCAGCTCAGAAGCCTGTGAAATAATTTTTTAAATACAGAAAAGGGGTTATAAGGAAAACAGGTTTTTGATGCTGATGAGACTGGAATCTTTAATAAGAATGTTAGCAAATGAGCCTGTATAACACAAATGGCCTCCAATGCTTCTGACTTGAAATCATTGTAATATCATGCAGTTAGTCATTTGTAAGAAATATTTACATTAAACAGTGTGGCTTTAAACAGAACACATAGAAAATAAGATTATATATTGATCAATTGGTGAAAATATTGTGACCCAAAACTTACAAGAACCTAACATTGTATTTCCCCTAGGAAAAATGGTTTCCTATTTGTTAATTCAGTGTTCACGGTAACTTTACAGAATATAACTATTGTAAATAACAAAGATAACTGTAATTTATCTTTATCTCTTAGTTTACTAGTTTTCTCTTTCTTGTTCTGTAGATTCACTAGATATGTATAGGCATAGAATTTTATTTATTCAATTTGAGACTCATCGTATTCCTGAATCTAAGGATTCTCATCTTTCATTAATTCTGGCAAATACTCAGGCAAGATCTTTCCATGTATTCCCTTTCTTTTACTTAATATTCTCCACATCTAAGATTCCAATTAGCTGTATCTTGGATCTTCTAATTCTATCTTCCTTATCTTGTAATTTTTTCAGATTTTTCTTTTTCTCCTCCTTCTATGCAGTCTTTTAATTCACCCTTCCCTCTTTGGCTGTGTCTAATCTGTTGTTTTTCAAAGTTACTGGGTTTTAAATTTGATTAATATATTTGTAGTATATTTTTTGTTTGTTTTGGAAAAAAGATTTCACTATGTGGCTCAGGATGGTCTTGAGCACCTAGGCTCAAACAATCCTCCTGCCTCCACTTCTGGAGTAGCTGGGATTACAGGCTTGTGTCACTGTGCCTGGCTCTATTTGTAATGCCTTAAAGTTCTACGTTTCTATTTGTTTTTTGTCTTCTTTTTCATATTTTATTTCATGTTTTGCATATTTAATAATTTTAACAACACTTGTAGTGTATATCTGCTCTGTTTAGTATGGTAGCCACTGGTCACATTCAAGCTTGTCAGCCCCTAAAATGCGACTAGTCTGAATTGAAATGTACTGAAAATGTCAAAGACTTAGTATGAGAAAGAAGAATAAGATATCTACTTAACATTTTTATGGATTATATGTTAAAATAACATTCTTCATATTTGATATAAATTGTATTACTAAAATTAATCTTTTTTTTATTTTACTCTTAATACAGCTACTAACTAGATGTAAAGTTAAATATGTGTTTTACATCATATTTTTACTGGGCAGTAGGTCTCTAGACTGAAACTCTATTTGCTTGAAATCTTAGGGTTCTTATCCTGCTCTTTATTGTTTTTGCTAACACTTGCTTATGGTGGCTTATATCCTGAGATGTTTTGTAATTTTCTGTTTTGTGTTCTTAGCTTGTTTTCCTGTAGATGCACCCAAATGTGTTACATGTGACCACTTAATATTAATTTCTCAGCTTGTGGTACCTCAGCCAATGTAAATAATGTAAATTTTTATCTTTTTTTTAAATTATTATACTTTAAGTTTTAGGGTACATGTGCACAACGTGCAGGTTAGTTACATATGTAGACATGTGCCGTGTTGGTGTACTGCACCTATTTAACTCATCATTTAACATTAGGTATATCTCCTAATGCTATCCCTTCCCTCTCCCCCTACCACACAACAGGGCCCAGTGTGTGATGTTCCCCTTCCTGTGTCCATGTGTTCTCATTGTTCAATTCCCACCTATGAGTGAGAACATGCGGTGTTTCATTTTTTGTCTTTGCGATAGTTTGCTGAGAATGATGTTCTCCAGCTTCATCCATGTCCCTACAAAGGACATGAACTCATCATTTTTTATGACTGCATAGTATTCCGTGGTGTATATGTGCCACACTTTCTTAATCCAGTCTATCATTGTTGGACATTTGGCTTGGTTCCAAGTATTTGCTATTGTGAATAGTGCTGCAATAAACATAAATGTGCATGTGTCTTTATAGCAGCATGATTTAAAATCCTTTGGGTATATACCCAGTAATGGGATGGCTTGGTCAAATGGTATTTCTAGTTCTAGATCCCTGAGGAATCTCCACACTGACTTCCCCAATGGTTGAACTAGTTTACAGTCCCACCAACAGTGTAAAAGTATTCCTATTTCTCCACATCCTCTCTAGCACCTGTTGTTTGCTGACTTTTTAATGATTGCCATTCTAACTGGTGTGAGATGGTATCTCATTGTGGTTTTGATTTGCATTTCTCTGATGGCCAGTGATGATGAGCATTTTTTCATGTGTCTGTTGGCTGCATAAATGTCTTCTTTAGAGAAGTGTCTGTTCATATCCTTTGCCCACTCGTTGATGGGGTTGTTTGTTTTTTTCTTGTAAATTTGTTGGAGTTCTTGTAGATTCTGGATATTAGCCCTTTGTCAGATGAGTAGATTGCAAAAATTTTCTCCTATTCTGTAGGTTGCCTGTTCACTCTGATGGTACTTTCTTTTGCTGTGCAGAAGCTCTTTAGTTTAATTAGATCCCATTTGTCAATTTTGGCTTTGGTTGCCATTGCTTTTGGTGTTTTAGACATGAAGTCCTTGCCCATGCCTGTGTCCTGAATGGTATTGCCTAGGTTTTCTTCTAGGGTTTTTATGGTTTTAGGTCTAACGTTTAAGTCTTTAATCCATCTTGAATTAATTTTTGTATAAGGTGTAAGGAAGGGATCCAGTTTCAGCTTTCTACATATGGCTAGCCAGTTTTCCCAGCACCATTTATTAAATAGGGAATCCTTTCTCCACTTCTTGTTTTTTCAGGTTTGACAAAGATCAGATGTGAGAACAGGAAGGTGTCCACAAACTCTCAAAAACATTTATCCCCATTCCATGGTTCAGGTTGAGGCAAATCAGTTTTCTCTTAGACTCCCATTTTTGGTGGTCACTTTTTCTTAACAGAACTTTTCACTGTGGCCCTTTGTGGGCCTCGATTTTATCCAGGGTTTTCAGTCCAAACACCAATCTATCCTAAACCTAATGCTTTATTTCCTGGCTCCACATGGACTCAAAACACAAGCCGCTTTTAACTCAAGATGAGTGAATGCCTCCGGAGCAGGGAGATCACTAGCCTAGTCTTCAGGTTTCCCTTTGTTTTTGGATCCTAAAGATTTCTTTCTTTCAAGCTCCTATTCATTTACAACAATGTTTTACAATTTATACAGCATTTAAGTGTTTTCTACTGGAAATATTTTCATAGAGTAGTGCCCCCCTAATCCACGGGGATATGTTCCAGGACCCCCTGTGAATGCCTGAAACCGTGGATAGTACCACACCCTATACAGATACTCCTCAACTTATGATGTGATTATGTCCTGATGAAGCCATCATAAATTGAAAATATAATTGATCAAAATGCATCAGGCTACATCCTGATAAACCAATCAAAAAGTCAAAAATTATTAAATCAAACCATCATAAGTTAGGGACCATCTGTATATACTATATTTTTCAATCAGATAACTACCAAGATGACTATTCAATGACTAATGTGTGGATAATATATACAATATGGATATGCAGGACAAAGGCATTATTTCACAGCCCAGGTGAGATAGAGCAGGATGACAGGAGATTTCATCCTGCTACTTAGAACATGCAATTTAAAATTACGAATTATTTATTTCTGAATTTTTCATTTAATATTTTCAGACTGTGGCTGACCATGAGTAACTGAAGCCACAGAAAAAGAAGCTGTGGATAAGAGGGAACAACTGTGTAATATAATCTATCATGTTACTAAAAATGGAAGACCTTGTCATTATTTATTTATCTATTATGTGCTTATTTATCTTGCTTCATTAGTTCTAATTTTGATAGGGGTATGTATCTCTACATATTTCAATATGGAAATATCAATGTAGAATATTCTGAATCTTATTTAAACATGAAGACAGGTATGTCAAATACAAAAATCCATTACATCCAAGCTAGTTTTGTGTTGAAACACTTAAGATTTTTCTTAGGATTAATGGGAAGCAAAATTGTGAGAGAAGAATGACATTAAAATTCAGCACCACTCACCTGAATGTCATGACACTCCT
This sequence comes from Homo sapiens, assembly GCF_000001405.40. Classification (NCBI taxonomy): domain Eukaryota; kingdom Metazoa; phylum Chordata; class Mammalia; order Primates; family Hominidae; genus Homo; species Homo sapiens. The sequence goes on from NC_000007.14 coordinate 79,998,086, forward strand.
GGTCGTACTATCTCCCTAGAAATTTTGGTTGACATGCATGTTATTCGTGTAAATATTAGCAGCTTGGTTTTTTATTTTAGTGAATTAAAATTTATCAAATTTTCTTGTTTCTACATTAAAAATATTTTTATGTCAGTCTCTCAGAGTTATAAGCAGTTTTTAAACATAGAAATTAATGTGCCTCATTCATTAATAATCCCCCAAATGTCAAGCACAATGCCTGAAATATGAGAATTCAATAAATTTTTTAAATTAGTGGAGATGTGAATATTTTTATGTTTCTCTTTTATCACCAAAGGGAAATGGTTTCTAGGACAGCTGGTCTGCATAGCAGTAAAGTTTGTGATAAAAGAAGATAGTTCTCTGAGTAACAATAACTTCCCTATGTAGATATTTATATATATATATTGTGGGCTAAAGATGATGACTTCTAGATTAAGAATTATGTTCTGTCCAATAAAGTAGTATATTCTGTTCAGCTTTTTTAATCCCCCAGCCAAACACTATTCCTGGCAAAAATGTCAGGAATGTTGTTCAAAAAATGGAAAAATTACTGGACCTTGGATCAGAAATCTTAGAGATATGCTATGTAATCTTTATTAACTTGACTTAGGTTTCATCGTATGTTAAATATAAACATTTGCCTAAATTGTCTAAAGGATAAAATACTAGAATTCTATATATAGTATTATTGGGACACAGCCAATTTTGTATGAGAGTGTAAATGTGTGAAATGTATAGTAAGTTCTTTACTGTAAAGCATTAATATTTTCTTCTCTGTGTCTCTTAAAAGGTTTTCAGGTATCTCAGAGTATGCTCATACTCTGTAGGAATTGTCTCTGTGCCATTTCTGTAACAGATCAAGAGATTCTTTATTAAACATAGAAGAAAAATCAGGAAAGAGATTCCTTATTAAACCTGAATGATGAAAACACAGAAGGGATGTAAGGAAGTATTTTTTCCCCAACACTGGCCCAATATGCTTACAAATAACCATCCCTTACACATCTCACTCACTTACCCTGGGTGGACGACTGACTAAGGAAGCTTACGGTCATAGAAACCAAAAGCTGGAGAGCTGCGATTACCAAATTAGAAGGATCTTCAATGGAATGGGAAATTCTTCACACAGGTAAATACTCTGACCCTTCAAAAGTGTGAAGACTTTCCCATTCCATATTTCCCACTTACACTAGTTTACAGCATCAGTGTAACATGCACATTCTGTGTAGAACAGGGAAAATATTAACTTACGAACCTGAAGAACGTTAGGTTAGAATTGAATTCAACCAAATTTTATAGAAAATGGTATGAAATAAAATAAAATGTACGTCCTTTATATTCTAAACACTGTTTTGAATATATAGTTTCATTGAATTAGTTTTTTCTTTCTTCTTTTCTGCACATAGAATCTTAATAGTTGGATAGATATGATTTCACAGTCCCATACTAGTGGTACGTAATTATCCAACTATGGCATTATTAATTTTTGTCTTATTTATCTCTGTTCTGTGCCCTAGTCCCTTTCCCAACCCATGGACATACTATCTTGTATTTGATGTGTCCTTCCAACACACATTTCATACTTCTCCTTTAAATATAGCATTTTTTGTGTGCATGTTTTTTAAAGTATACACAAGATTATACACTCTATAAAACACTTTTTATCAATCCAGCATTATGTTTTTGTGAGAAATACATGTGAGAAATAGAATATTATTTATGTTTTCCATTTGCCATTATGTAACAGCTTGTACATCCATTTCTTTTCCAATATGTATGAAGATTGTTTGAAATTATTTGATTTTATGACTAATTCTTCAATTAATATTGTGAAATTTTCATGGTGGTTCATGCCTGTAATCCCAGCACTTTGGGAGGCCAAAGCTGGTGGATCAACTGAGGTCAGAAGCTCAAGACCAGCCTGGCCAACAGGATGAAACTCTGTCTCTACTAAAAATGCAAAAATTAGCCAGGCGTGGTAGCACATGCCTGTAATCCCAGCAACTTGGGATGCTGAGGCAGGAGAATTGCTTGAACCCGGGAGGCGGAGGTTGCGGTGAGCCGAGATCATGTCATTGCACTCCAATCTGGGCAACAGAGTGAGATTCCACCCCAAAAAAAAAAAATTGTAACACATATATAGAAGAAACTAATTAGTTCATAAAGTATAAACTATTTTAATATTTTACTGCCAAAATTCTCTCTAAAATAGTTGAACTAATTGTTATCTCAAAACTATTTCTAGAAAATATATATTTACTCACATTCTTTCCAAACTGTAATGATACCAGACTTTTTAATATTAACTTTAAGTAATTAACATAATGCTAATTAACATTAATATTAATTAATCAACCCAATTAATGTCAATATAGTGATTAGAGCATTTTATTTCATTGTATTTTTATTTTTCTAAGTTTGTGCATTCCCCTACATATTTATTGGCCTTACGAGTTTCTTTTTCCATTAAATTCCTTTTTATATCATTCACTTTTATATTTAAAAATGTCTTTTTAAAAATGTATTTGTGGAATTTTTAAAATATATTTTTTATGACATTACTTTGTCTGCTACATATGCCAGTAAACTTTTTCTAATGGATTGCTTGACTTTTAACCTAGTATTATATTTCATTATCTAATTTAATCTAATCTAATCTGGACTTATTTTTCTTTTATGATTGGTGTGGTTCTTCATTTTGTTTTCATTAAACCTCTACCAACTCTAAGACCATAAAGATATTCATCCATATTTTCTTCTAGTTGTTTTGTAGTTTCTTTGCGTAATAAAGGCATAATTTTAACTATGAACACTACACCCTGAGATGCATACTATTTTTATGCCCACTACATAGATAAGTAAAATGGAAGACAACATTGAACTGTGTGTTAGTTCATTCTTACAATGCTGATGAAGGCATACATGAGACTGGGTAATTTATGAAGAAAAAGAGGTTTAATGGACTCACAGTTCCACGTGGCTGGGGAGGCCTCACCACCATGGTGGAAAGCAGAGATAATGAGAACCAGGCCAAAGGGGAAACCCCTTATAAAAGCATCAGATCTAGTGAAACTTATTCACTGCCACGAGAACAGTATGGGCAAACCTCCTCCATGATTCAGTTATCTCCCACTGGGTCCTACCCATAAGACATGGGAATTTTGGGAGCTACAGTTCAAGATGAGATTTGGTGGGGACACAGCCAAACCATATCAAAGTGATAATCACACCTTGTTCTTGTTAGTAGGTGTGTGCATTTCAAAATTCTAACTAATATACAAGCCAGTAATACTCACAGGACTGCGTTTAGAGACTCCAATAATAGAACTACGTGTCAGATGTATTCCCTGCACTGCATTTTCCCCAAACCCCCATATATTTACATGCAAATAAAAATAGCTAAAGCTTCTGCAGGCAATTAAACATATCAAAATTATAAAATTTTATTTTATGCCCTTATGATTAGCTTATCTAATCTATTCTCAAAACTATTAAATCAACACAAGTAAAAACAAAGAAGCTTGTTCTTTGGAACAATTTAGAACTTTTCCAACCAGGAATAAATGGCAAACAAGTCTTTATAATTAGTACACATATTTGACTAGTTTATTTTAAAATATACATACTTTTCCCAATAATTATGTTCAGGTAAACACTCATAAAATTGATGAAAGCATAAAATTTTGTCCAAACTAAAGTTTAAATACATTGAAGATGGTTTTTTAATTTAACAAAATGAATTCATTCCTTATTTAGCAAAATGAATTCATGCTAATCATTTGTTATTAGTATTTGATTGGATTTTACAATTTATAAAATATTTTTATATTATTTAATTTAATTCTCTGCAAACACATGATAAAGTATTTTTCTTAAATTAAAATGAGAAAACTAATTTTCTGAGAAATATTATAATTTGCTCAAAATCAAGAAGCTAGTAAATGATGGAGACACTGAAACACAACTGGCAACTATCACTTGTTTCTTCCTGTTTCATCATGTTAAACGTTCTAAGCACAAAATAGAAAAAATGGTGCAATTTTAAATGTTACGATAAAGAAAATGAATGTGTGCTAATCTTAGAATTCAGAGAGTATGATTAGAAAATATCAAAAGAAGCAAGAGAATTCAGTTCTACTTAGAATACAGCCACTACACAAAGAAGATTAGGGAAAAAATATTAGATACCATTTAATAATAAGCTGACAAGCAGGAAAATGACATTTTTGTCTTGGATATTATAAATATACTTTTGTGATTAGACTTTATAAATAGGGATGTTGGATTTAGGATAACAAAATTTTTCTTTTTAGTGTTGTTTCCTGTTCAGTCTATATAAAGTGAGGGGTGTTCAGAGTACATATTTAACTTTTAAGAAGAGAAGAATGCTAATTACTCCAGTATTCCTGTACCAGCCAGTTCCAAATAATAGACTAGAATGGTAAAACTGAGCCAACATGGTATGTCTTAGGGTGCAGCACTCTCTAAGGCTTAGCTTGTTTGTTATTTCCACTCTATTCATTCATTAGGTGCCAGATACTACACCGTCTCCTCTTAGAGAGTGGACATGAGCTAGTGTCCTATTTTCTTTAAGTAAACTAACATCATTCTGTAACCAAATAATATTCAGGTATCAGTTGATGATCTAATCCAAAAACAAGAATTTTGTCCAAATTTCACTCATTTTAGTTATCACTTTCTCAATATTTGCTGAGTACTATTTCTACTATTATTTACTTATCATTTTCTTATATTCATTACAATAAAGATGGTAGTTAATGTTTAATGTGTCCGTCCATGTACTACCCTAAATCATTTTACTTGGTATCAGAGGAATACAAATCACATTTGGGGAAAGACTAGAGTTATGAGAAAAGAAAAAATAAACACAGCAGGTTCTGGTGGAAGCAGGAGTTTAAACATTACACATTCCTTTTAGATCCAGCCATTACTCACAGACAAATTACTGCCCGGCAGCAGCAAGACTTTGACAGAGTTGTTATATCTAGTCTTTCAATATTCAGGACCAGTATTTAATAATGAAAACAAGATGGATTATTCCTTGTTACATGTGACAGGCATGATGAAATAAGAATTGTCATAGCTATTTACTACTTTTGAAAGAAGAAATGTGATCAGAAATGAAAATGCTCACTGTGATACTTTTGAAACTTTGATCAACAGCATGTATCTCATAAAAGTGTCCATTGGAAATGCCTGAAATAAGTCTTCCCAAATGCATTTACTTTAATGTTTCTTGTAAAATAAAAGACTTTTATCCCCTCACTGTGTGCAAAATTTCACAGTATTTTATTAAAAGTGATCTTATGATCTATCTGGCTTTGGCATGGAAATCATTTTATTCTTGCTTTTTCTGAAGTTGGCTCACATGATCAATCTAAGAGTTGAGGAAAGAAAAGTGTTAGTCCATGACCTGATTTGCGATGTCTCATTGCATAAGAAGGTATCATAATCCAACTTTCACAGGAAACACAAAGTTACCCTACTGAAAGCATAGTGGATAATAAAAGTGATATTCAGCTAATTTGTATATCTTGAAAAAGGAAGCCAAAAGCAATGAACAGATTTAAAATATATAAGAGAATGTAGTTTTTAAAAACATATGTCTACCAGCCTAGTGACTATAAAGTTTTAAAGCATTAATTTCTATGCATTTATTTATTCAGCAAATATTAACTGAACACCTATACTAAATGTTAGGCAATGTTCTAGATTCTGGGAATAGAGCAGTGAACAGCAAATCAGAAAGAAAATATCTTAATCTTGTGAAGATTACATTATAGTGTGAAAACAGACAATAAACTAAGTATAGTTGATCCTTGAACAACATGGAATTGGCTGTGTGGGTCCACTTAAGGGTGGATTTTTTTTCAGTAAATATAACTGACCCTCCAGATCAAGGTTCCACATCCGCAACCAAACGTGGATGGAAAATACAATATTGGAGGACTGGAAGATCACATATATGGAGAACCAACTCTTCCTGTCTGCAGGTTCCACAGGCCAGCTGCAGGATTTGAGTGTGCATGGATTTTGTTGTACATGGGGTCCTGGAACCAATCCCCCACAGCTATCAAGGGATGACTGTAAAAATATATATAAAATTGGAAAAAAGATAGGGGTGCATGGATGAGGTAAGCATTGCTTTGTTTTGTTTTGTTTTGTATTTTTAGTAGAGACAGGGTTTCACTGTGTTAGCCAGGATGGTCTCGATCTCCTGACCTCGTGATCCTCCTGCCTCGGCCTCCCAAAGTGCTGGGATTAAAGGAGTGAGCCACCACACCTGGCTAGCATTGCATTTTTTAAAAGGATGGTCGGGGAAAGCTTCCTTAAGACTATGTTAAAAAAAAAAAAAAAGATTTGTAAGTAAGTGAACCTTGAATATCTGCAGAAATAACATTCCTGGAAGTGGGAATAACATGGGCACATTTCCTGAGGTAGGTATCTACCAGGCATCTATATAAGGAACAACAAAAAATCCAGAACAGCTGGAGCAAAATGAGCAGTGGTGGAAGTAGTGAAAGATGGAGTCAGAACATTAAGGGAGAAAGATCACATAGACCTCATAGAACATCATAAGGAATTTGCTTTTACTCTGAATAAGATGAGAAACCTGGAGAGTTTTGAGCAGAGAAGAGAAATAATCTGACCTTGCTTTATTAATATCACTCTGGCTTCTGTGTTGAGATGAATATTGGATAATGGTAGTAGCAGAAAAGCCAGTGAGCAGGCTATTTCAATAAGCTTGATGACAGCCAAGCAGTGGCAAATGCCTATAGTCCTGGCTACTGGGAAGGCTGAGGCAGGACTGAGTGGCTGAGGCAGGAGGATCACTTGAGCCCAAGAGTTCCAGTCCCATCTGGGCAACATATAATAACCTTGATGCGAGACCCTTTGATTTGGACCAGGAAGGTTGCAATGAAGTGGCAAGACTGTGATATGTTTTGAAGATAAAATCAAAAGTATTTTGCTAACTAATTCATTGTAAAGTCGAAAAATGAGGAAAGTTAAGTATGACTCCAAGGTTTTTGGCCTTAAGAAATTAATGTTGCAGTTAACTGTAATTGCAAAGTTTGTGAGAGAAACATGTTTGGTTGGGGAAGATGAGGAGTTTAGCCTTGGACATTGATAATGTTTGGATCTGTGTCACTGCCCACATCTCAAACTCATGTCAAATTGTAATCCCCAGTGCTGGAGGTGGAGCCTGGTGGGAGATGATTCGATCATGGGGAAAATTTCCCACTTGGTGCAGTTCTTGTGATAGTGAGTGAATGAGTGCTCATGAAACCTACTAGTTTAAAGGTGTGTGGTACCACCCTGCTCTCTCTCTTCCTCCTGCTCCAGCCATGTAAGATGTGCCTGCTTCCCTGTTGGCCTTCCTTCATGACTGTAGGTTTCTTGAGGCCTCCCCAGAAGTTGAACAGATGCTGCCATGCTTCCTGCACAGTCTGCATAATCATGAGCCAATTAAACCTCTTTTCTTTATACATTACCCAGTCCTAGGTGTTTCTTTATAGCAGTGCAAGAATGAACTAATACAGACATGCTAAATTTAAGATGCCTGTTGGACATCCAAATGAGGATGGTTAGTCAGCAATTGGATGTAGGAATCTGGAGCCCAGAGGAAGGTGCTAGTTAAAGATATAAATTTGGTGCTTACCAATTTTTAGATAATATTTTAATCCATGAACCTGGACAAGAACATCAAAGATTCAGATATTCAAGAATATGAAAAAAAAAAGTTGGAAAAGAAGACAAAAAAACAACCAGTAAGAAAAGAAAGAAACCAGAATGACGTGTTGCCTTGAAGGAAAAACTCAAAATTGCCCTGAAGGAGGAGGGAGGAGATAATTGGTCAAATGCTGCTGATAGATAAGATGAAGGCTAAAAATCAATCATTGGATTTAGCGACATGAAGAAGTTTTAAAGAGTGTGGAATTTGAAAAGCACAATGCTCTTAATGAGCTAACCTCAAAAAAAGGAGCAGAGAAATGAAGTGGTACCTGGAGGAGTTGGGAGGTTTGTTTCTTTGCTTGGTTTCTAATGGGGGACATAATAGCATGTTTGTATACTGATGTGAATTAATGAATAGAAGTGATGGTGGGATGATGCAATTCAACTTTAATAATAGGAAGAAAGGAAAGATTTTGATAAAAATGTTGATAGGTGAGAAAATATGGTATGAAAGCTTAAGGGATTTCCCTTCTGGTTACTTCAAATTTCTCAGTGAAATAAAAGTCATCAGTTGAGAAGGGATGCTCCAGGTCTGAAGATAAGAAGGTGGGAAATAGGACTGTAGGACAGTGAGTGAATTGAGGCAATGGCGAGTGTATGCTAGAGAGCAGTAAGGGGTCACTTAAAGATTTTAATGAGAAATTTAAAATGAGACTGCTCCACATGAATGTTCCTCTCCAGCCATGTTCAGGTGCAAGGTCGTAGGCACTGATAAGGGAAGAGTTAGATTTGGCAGGTGTTGTTTTTCCAAGTGTTATGATGTAAGACAGAGGCTAGGATGTTGAGGGTATATACAAGGAAGAGATTATAATTGAACATGGAACTAAAGCTGGGTATGAAAAGAAATAAAGACAAGAGGTGGTGAATGATAATGAAATCTGATCATCATAAGTAGATTTAATTTTTCCATGTAATTATAGAATTAATGTGGAATTG